>NC_000008.11:45927265-48427265 GCF_000001405.40 Homo sapiens
AAGCTTTGAGGATTTCGTTGGAAACGGGAATATCTTCAAATAAAATCTAGCCAGACGCATTCTAAGAAACATCTTAGGGAGGTTTACATTCAAGTCACAGAGTTGAACATTCCCTTTCACAGAGCAGGTTTGAAACAATCTTCTCGTACTATCTGGAAGTGGACATTTTGAGCTCCTTGGGGCCTATGCTGAAAAAGGAAATATCTTCCGACAAAAACTAGACAGAAGCATTCGCAGAATCACGTTTGTGATGTGTGCACTCAACTGTCAGAATTGAACCTTGGTTTGGACAGAGCACTTTTGAAACACTCTTTTTGTAGAATCTGCAGGTGGATAGTTGGCTAGCTTTGAGGATTTCGTTGGAAACGGTAATGTCTTCAAAGAAAATCTAGACAGAAACATTCTCAGAAACACCTTCGTGATGTTTGCAATCAAGTCACAGAGTTGAACCTTCCGTTTCATAGAGCAGGTTGGAAACACTCTTTTTGTAGTATCTGGAAGTGGACATTTGGAGCGCTTTCAGGCCTCTGGTGAAAAAGGAAATATCTTCCAATAAAAACGACATAGAAGCTATCTCAGGAACCTGTTTATGATGCATCTAATCAACTAACAGTGTTGAAACTTTGTACTGACAGAGCAGTTTGAAACACTCTTTTTTTGGAATCTGCATGTGGATATTTGGATCGCTTTGAGGATTTCTTTGGAAACGGGATGCAATATAAAACGTACACAGCAGCATACTCAGAAAATACTTTGCCATCTTTCCATTCAAGTCACAGAGTGGAACATTCCCATTCATAGAGCAGGTTTGAAAGACTCTTTTTGGAGTATCTGGAAGTGGACATTTGGAGCGCTTTGTGAACTATGGTGAAAAAGGAAATATCTTCCAATGAAAACAAGACAGAAGCATTCTGAGAAACTTATTTGTGATGTGTGTCCTCAACTAACGGACTTGAACCTTTCGTTTCATGCAGTACTTCTGGAACACTCTTTTTGAAGATTGTGCATGCGGATATTTGGATAGCTTTGAGGATTTCGTTGGAAACGGGCTTACATGTAAAAATTAGACAGCAGCATTCTCAGAAACTCCTTTGTGGTGTCTGCGTTCAAGTCACAGAATTGAACATCCCCTCACATAGAGCAGTTGTGCAGCACTCTATTTGTAGTATCTCGAAGTGGACATTTGGAGGGCTTTGTAGCCTATCTGGAAAAAGGAAATATCTTCCCATGAATGCGAGATAGAAGTAATCTCAGAAACATGTTTATGCTGTATCTACTCAACTAACTGTGCTGAACATCTCTATTGATAGAGCAGTTTTGAGACACTCTTCTTTTGGAATCTGCAAGTGGATATTTGGATAGATTTGAGGATTTCGCTGGCAACGGGATTATATATCAAAAGTAGACAGCAGCATTCTCAGAAACTTCTTTGTGATGTTTGCATCCAGCTCTCAGAGTTGAACATTCCGTTTCATAGAGTAGGTTTGAAACCCTCTTTTTATAGTGTCTGGAAGCGGGCATTTGGAGCGCTTTCAGGCCTATGCTGAAAAAGGAAATATCTACCAACAGAAATTAGACAGAAGCATTCTGAGAATCACGTTTGTGATGTGGGTACTCAACTAACAGTGTTGATCCATTCTTTTGATACAGCATTTTTGAACCACACTTTTTGTAGAATCTGCAAGTGGATATTTGGATAGCTGTGAGGATTTCGTTGGAAACGGGAATGTCTTCATAGAAAATTTAGACAGAAGCATTCTCAGAACCTTGATTGTGATGTGTGTTCTCCACTAACAGAGGTGAATCTTTCTTTTGACAGAACTGTTCTGAAACATTCTTTTTATAGAATCTGGAAGTGGATATTTGGAAAGCTTTGAGGATTTCGTTGGAAACGGGAATATCTTCAAACAAAATCTAGCCAGACGCATTCTAAGGAACATCTTAGGGAGGTTTACATTCAAGTCACAGAGTTGAACATTCCCTTTCACAGAGCAGGCTTGAAACAATCTTCTCGTACTATCTGGAAGTGGACATTTTGAGCTCCTTGTGGCCTATGCTGAAAAAGGAAATATCTTCCGACAAAAACTAGACAGAAGCATTCGCAGAATCACGTTTGTGATGTGTGCACTCAACTGTCAGAATTGAACCTTGGTTTGGACAGAGCACTTTTGAAACACTCTTTTTGTAGAATCTGCAGGTGGATATTTGGCTAGCTTTGAGGATTTCGTTGGAAACAGTAATGTCTTCAAAGAAAATCTAGACAGAAACATTCTCAGGAACACCTTCGTGATGTTTGCAATCAAGTCACAGAGTTGAACCTTCCGTTTCATAGAGCAGGTTGGAAAAACTCTTTTTGTAGTATCTGGAAGTGGACATTTAGAGCGCTTTCAGGCCTCTGGTGAAAAAGGAAATATCTTCCCATAAAAACGACATAGAAGGTATCTCAGGAACTTGTTTATGATGCATCTAATCAACTAACAGTGTTGAACCTTTGTACTGACAGAGCAGTTTGAAACACTCTTTTTTTGGAATCTGCAAGTGGATATTTGGATCGCTTTGAGGATTTCGTTGGAAACGGGATGCAATATAAATCGTACACAGCAGCATACTCAGAAAATACTTTGCCATATTTCCATTCAAGTCACAGAGTGGATCATTCCCATTCATAGAGCAGGTTTGAAACAGTCTTTTTGGAGTATCTGGAAGTGGACATTTGGAGCGCTTTCTGAACTATGGTGAAAAAGGAAATATCTTCCAATGAAAACAAGACAGAAGCATTCTGAGAAACTTATTTGTGATGTGTGTCCTCAACAAACGGACTTCAACCTTTCGTTTCATGCAGTACTTCTGGAACACTCTTTTTGAAGATTCTGCATGCGGATATTTGGATAGCTTTGAGGATTTCGTTGGAAACGGGCTTACATGTAAAAATTAGACAGCAGCATTCTCAGAAACTTCTTTGTCGTGTCTGCGTTCAAGTCACAGAATTGAACATCCCCTCACATAGAGCAGTTGTGCAGAACTCTATTTGTAGTATCTCGAAGTGGACATTTGGAGGGCTTTGTAGCCTATCTGGAAAAAGGAAATATCTTCCCATGAATGCGAGATAGAAGTAATCTCAGAAACATGTTTATGCTGTATCTACTCAACTAACTGTGCTGAACATTTCTATTGATAGAGTAGTTTTGAGACACTCTTCTTTTGGAATCTGCAAGTGGATATTTGGATAGATTTGAGGATTTCGTTGGCAACGGGATTAAATATCAAAAGTAGACAGCAGGATTCTCAGAAACTCCTTTGTGATGTTTGCATCCAGCTCTCAGAGTTGAACATTCCCTTTCATAGAGTAGGTTTGAAACCCTCTTTTTATAGTGTCTGGAAGCGGGCATTTGGAGCGCTTTCAGGCCTATGCTGAAAAAGGAAATATCTACCTACAGAAACTAGACAGAAGCATTCTGAGACTCACGTTTGTGATGTGGGTACTCAACTAACAGTGTTGATCCATTCTTTTGATACAGCAGTTTTGAACCACACTTTTTGTAGAATCTGCAAGTGGATATTTGGATAGCTGTGAGGATTTCGTTGGAAACGGGAATGTCTTCATAGAAAATTTAGACAGAAGCATTCTCAGAACCTTGATTGTGATGTGTGTTCTCCACTAACAGAGTTGAACCTTTCTTTTGACAGAACTGTTCTGAAACATTCTTTTTATAGAATCTGGAATTGGATATTTGGAAAGCTTTGAGGATTTCGTTGGAAACGGGAATATCTTCAAATAAAATCTAGCCAGACGCATTCTAAGAAACATCTTAGGGAGGTTTACATTCAAGTCACAGAGTTGAACATTCCCTTTCACAGAGCAGGTTTGAAACAATCTTCTCGTACTATCTGGAAGTGGACATTTTGAGCTCCTTGGGGCCTATGCTGAAAAAGGAAATATCTTCCGACAAAAACTAGACAGAAGCATTCGCAGAATCACGATTGTGATGTGTGCACTCAACTGTCAGAATTGAACCTTGGTTTGGACAGAGCACTTTTGAAACACTCTTTTTGTAGAATCTGCAGGTGGATAGTTGGCTAGCTTTGAGGATTTCGTTGGAAACGGTAATGTCTTCAAAGAAAATCTAGACAGAAACATTCTCAGAAACACCTTCGTGATGTTTGCAATCAAGTCACAGAGTTGAACCTTCCGTTTCATAGAGCAGGTTGGAAACACTCTTTTTGTAGTATCTGGAAGTGGACATTTGGAGCGCTTTCAGGCCTCTGGTGAAAAAGGAAATATCTTCCAATAAAAACGACATAGAAGCTATCTCAGGAACTTGTTTATGATGCATCTAATCAACTAACAGTGTTGAAACTTTGTACTGACAGAGCAGTTTGAAACACTCTTTTTTTGGAATCTGCATGTGGATATTTGGATCGCTTTGAGGATTTCTTTCGAAACGGGATGCAATATAAAACGTACACAGCAGCATACTCAGAAAATACTTTGCCATATTTCCATTCAAGTCACAGAGTGGAACATTCCCATTCATAGAGCAGGTTTGAAACACTCTTTTTGGAGTATCTGGAAGTGGACATTTGGAGCGCTTTCTGAACTATGCTGAAAAAGTAAATATCTTCCAATGAAAACAAGACAGAAGCATTCTGAGAAACTTATTTGTGATGTGTGTCCTGAACTAACGGACTTGAACCTTTCGTTTCATGCAGTACTTCTGGAACACTCTTTTTGAAGTTTCTGCATGCGGATATTTGGATAGTTTTGAGGATTTCGTTGGAAACGGGCTTACATGTAAAAATTAGACAGCAGCATTCTCAGAAACTTCTTTGTGGTGTCTGCGTTCAAGTCACAGAATTGAACATCCCCTCACATAGAGCAGTTGTGCAGCACTCTATTTGTAGTATCTCGAAGTGGACATTTGGAGGGCTTTGTAGCCTATCTGGAAAAAGGAAATATCTTCCGATGAATGCGAGATAGAAGTAATCTCAGAAACATGTTTATGCTGTATCTACTCACCTAACTGTGCTGAACATCTCTATTGATAGAGCAGTTTTGAGACACTCTTCTTTTGGAATCTGCAAGTGGATATTTGGATAGATTTGAGGACTTCGTTGGCAACGGGATTATATATCAAAAGTAGACAGCAGCATTCTCAGAAACTTCTTTGTGATGTTTGCATCCAGCTCTCAGAGTTGAACATTCCGTTTCATAGAGTAGGTTTGAAACCCTCTTTTTATAGTGTCTGGAAGCGGGCATTTGGAGCGCTTTCAGGCCTATGCTGAAAAAGGAAATATCTACCTACAGAAACTAGACAGAAGCATTCTGAGAATCACGTTTGTGATGTGGGTACTCAACTAACAGTGTTGATCCATTCTTTTGATACAGCAGTTTTGAACCACACTTTTTGTAGAATCTGCAAGTGGATATTTGGATAGCTGTGAGGATTTCGTTGGAAACGGGAATGTCTTCATAGAAAATTTAGACAGAAGCATTCTCAGAACCTTGATTGTGATGTGTGTTCTCCACTAACAGAGTTGAACCTTTCTTTTGACAGAACTGTTCTGAAACATTCTTTTTATAGAATCTGGAATTGGATATTTGGAAAGCTTTGAGGATTTCGTTGGAAACGGGAATATCTTCAAATAAAATCTAGCCAGACGCATTCTAAGAAACATCTTAGGGAGGTTTACATTCAAGTCACAGAGTTGAACAT
Source organism: Homo sapiens (assembly GCF_000001405.40). NCBI lineage: Eukaryota > Metazoa > Chordata > Mammalia > Primates > Hominidae > Homo > Homo sapiens. The sequence goes on from NC_000008.11 coordinate 45,932,980, forward strand.
TCCCTTTCACAGAGCAGGTTTGAAACAATCTTCTCGTACTATCTGGAAGTGGACATTTTGAGCTCCTTGGGGCCTATGCTGAAAAAGGAAATATCTTCCGACAAAAACTAGACAGAAGCATTCGCAGAATCACGATTGTGATGTGTGCACTCAACTGTCAGAATTGAACCTTGGTTTGGACAGAGCACTTTTGAAACACTCTTTTTGTAGAATCTGCAGGTGGATATTTGGCTAGCTTTGAGGATTTCGTTGGAAACGGTAATGTCTTCAAAGAAAATCTAGACAGAAGCATTCTCAGAAACACCTTCGTGATGTTTGCAATCAAGTCACAGAGTTGAACCTTCCGTTACATAGAGCAGGTTGGAAACACTCTTTTTGTAGTATCTGGAAGTGGACATTTGGAGCGCTTTCAGGCTTATGGTGAAAAAGGAAATATCTTCCCATAAAAACGACATTGAAGCTATCTCAGGAACTTGTTTATGATGCATCTAATCAACTAACAGTGTTGAACCTTTGTAGTGACAGAGCAGTTTGAAACACTCTTTTTTTGGAATCTGCAAGTGGATATTTGGATCGCTTTGAGGATTTCGTTGGAAACGGGATGCAATATAAAACGTACACAGCAGCATACTCAGAAAATACTTTGCCATATTTCCATTCAAGTCACAGAGTGGAACATTCCCATTCATAGAGCAGGTTGGAAACAGTCTTTTTGGAGTATCTGGAAGTGGACATTTGGAGCGCTTTCTGAACTATGGTGAAAAAGGAAATATCTTCCAATGAAAACAAGACAGAAGCATTCTGAGAAACTTATTTGTGATGTGTGTCCTCAACTAAAGGACTTGAACCTTTCGTTTCATGCAGTACTTCTGGAACACTGTTTTTGAAGATTGTGCATGCGGATATTTGGATAGCTTTGACGATTTCGTTGGAAACGGGCTTACATGTAAAAATTAGACAGCAGCATTCTCAGAAACTTCTTTGTGGTGTCTGCATTCAAGTCACAGAATTGAACATCACCTCACATAGAGCAGTTGTGCAGCACTCTATTTGTAGTATCTCGAAGTGGACATTTGGAGGGCTTTGTAGCCTATCTGGAATAAGGAAATATCTTCCCATGAATGCGAGATAGAAGTAATCTCAGAAACATGTTTATGCTGTATCTACTCAACTAACTGTGCTGAACATCTCTATTGATAGAGCAGTTTTGAGACACTCTTCTTTTGGAATCTGCAAGTGGATATTTGGATAGATTTGAGGATTTCGTTGGCAACGGGATTATATATCAAAAGTAGACAGCAGCATTCTCAGAAACTTCTTTGTGATGTTTGCATCCAGCTCTCAGAGTTGAACATTCCCTTTCGTAGAGTAGGTTTGAAACCCTCTTTTTATAGTGTCTGGAAGCGGGCACTTGGAGCGCTTTCAGGGCTATGCTGAAAAAGGAAATATCTACCTATAGAAACTAGACAGAAGCTTTCTGAGAATCACGTTTGTGATGTGGGTACTCAACTAACAGTGTTGATCCATTCTTTTGATACAGCAGTTTTGAACCACACTTTTCGTAGAATCTGCAAGTGGATATTTGGATAGCTGTGAGGATTTCCTTGGAAACGGGAATGTCTTCATAGAAAATTTAGACAGAAGCATTCTCAGAACCTTGATTGTGATGTGTGTTCTCCACTAACAGAGTTGAACCTTTCTTTTGAAAGAACTGTTCTGAAACATTCTTTTTATAGAATCTGGAAGTGGATATTTGGAAAGCTTTGAGGATTTCGTTGGAAACGGGAATATCTTCAAATCAAGTCTAGCCAGAAGCATTCTAAGAAACATCTTAGGGATGTTTACATTCAAGTCACAGAGTTGAACATTCCCTTTCACAGAGCAGGTTTGAAACAATCTTCTCGTACTATCTGGAAGTGGACATTTTGAGCTCCTTGGGGCCTATGCTGAAAAAGGAAATATCTTCCGACAAAAACTAGACAGAAGCATTCGCAGAATCACGTTTGTGATGTGTTCACTCAACTGTCAGAATTGAACCTTTGTTTGGACAGAGCACTTTTGAAACACTTTTTTTGTAGAATCTGCAGGTGGATATTTGGCAAGCTTTGAGGATTTCGTTGGAAACGGTAATGTCTTCAAAGAAAATCTAGACAGAAACATTCTCAGAAACACCTTCGTGATGTTTGCAATCAAGTCACAGAGTTGAACCTTCCGTTTCATAGAGCAGGTGGGAAACACTCTTTTTGTAGTATCTGGAAGTGGACATTTGGAGCGCTTTCAGGCCTATGGTGAAAAAGGAAATATCTTCCCATAAAAACGACATAGAAGCTATCTCAGGAACTTGTTTATGATGCATCCAATCAACTAACAGTGTTGAATCTTTGTACTGAGAGAGCAGTGTGAAACACTCTTTTTTTTGGGATCTGCAAGTGGATATTTGGATCGCTTTGAGGATTTCATTGTAAACGGGATGCAATATAAAACGTACACAGCAGCATAGTCAGAAAATACTTTGCCATATTTCCATTCAAGTCACAGAGTGGAATATTCCCATTCATAGAGCAGGTTTGACACACTCTTTTTGTAGTATCTGGAAGTGGACATTTGGAGCGCTTTCTGAACTATGGTGAAAAAGGAAATATCTTCCAATGAAAACAAGACAGAAGCATTCTGAGAAACTTATTTGTGACGTGTGTCCTCAACTAACGGACTTGAACCTTTCGTTTCATGCAGTACTTCTGGAACACTCTTTTTGAAGATTCTGCATGCGGATATTTGGATAGCTTTGAGGATTTCGTTGGAAACGGGCTTACATATAAAAATTAGACAGCAGCATTCTCAAAAACTTCTTTGTGGTGTCTGCATTCAAGTCACAGAATTGAACATCACCTCACATAGAGCAGTTGTGCAGCACTCTATTTGTAGTATCTCGATGTGGACATTTGGAGGGCTTTGTAGCCTATCTGGAATAAGGAAATATCTTCCCATGAATGCGAGATAGAAGTAATCTCAGAAACATGTTTATGCTGTAACTACTCCACTAACTGTGCTGAACATTTCTATTGATAGAGCAGTTTTGAGACACTCTTCTTTTGGAATCTGCAAGTGGATATTTTGAAAGATTTGAGGATTTTGTTGGCAACGGGATTATATATAAAAAGTAGACAGCCGCATTCTCAGAAACTTCTTTGTGATGTTTGCATCCAGCTCTCAGAGTTGAACATTCCCTTTCGTAGAGTAGGTTTGAAACCCTCTTTTTATAGTGTCTGGAAGCGGGCATTTGGAGCGCTTTCAGGCCTATGCTGAAAAAGGAAATATCTACCTATAGAAACTAGACAGAAACATTCTGAGAATCACGTTTGTGATGTGGGTACTCAACTAACAGTGATGATCCATTCTTTTGATACAGCAGTTTTGAACCACACTTTTTGTAGAATCTGCAAGTGGATATTTGGATAGCTGTGAGGATTTCCTTGGAAACGGGAATGTCTTCATAGAAAATTTAGACAGAAGCATTCTCAGAACCTTGATTGACATGTGTGTTCTCCATTAACAGAGTTGAACCTTTCTTTTGACAGAACTGTTCTGAAAGATTCTTTTTATAGAATCTGGAAGTGGATATTTGGAAAGCTTTGAGGATTTCGTTGGAAACGGGAATATCTTCAAATCAAATCTAGCCAGAAGCATTCTAAGAAACATCTTAGGGATGTTTACATTCAAGTCACAGAGTTGAACATTCCCTTTCACAGAGCAGGTTTGAAACAATCTTCTCGTACTATCTGGAAGTGGACATTTTGAGCTCCTTGGGGCCTATGCTGAAAAAGGAAATATCTTCCGACAAAAACTAGACAGAAGCATTCGCAGAATCACGTTTGTGATGTGTGCACTCAACTGTCAGAATTGAACCTTGGTTTGGACAGAGCACTTTTGAAACACTCTTTTTGTAGAATCTGCAGGTGGATATTTGGCTAGCTTTGAGGATTTCGTTGGAAACGGTAATGTCTTCAAAGAAAATCTAGACAGAAACATTCTCAGAAACACCTTCGTGATGTTTGCAATCAAGTCACAGAGTTGAACCTTCCGTTTCATAGAGCAGGTTGGAAACACTCTTTTTGTAGTATCTGGAAGTGGACATTTGGAGCGCTTTCAAGCCTACGGTGAAAAAGGAAATATCTTCCCATAAAAACGACATAGAAGCTATCTCAGGAAGTTGTTTATGATGCATCCAATCAACTAACAGTTTTGAACCTTTCTACTGACAGGGCAGTGTGAAACACTCTTTTTTTTGGAATCTGCATGTGGATATTTGGATCGCTTTGAGGATTTCGTTGGAAACGGGATGCAATATAAAAGGTACACAGCAGCATACTCAGAAAATACTTTGCCATATTTCCATTCAAGTCACAGAGTGGAACATTCCCATTCATAGAGCAGGTTGGAAACACTCTTTTTGTAGTATCTGGAAGTGGACATTTGGAGCGCTTTCTGAACTATGGTGAAAAAGGAAATATCTTCCAATGAAAACAAGACAGAAGCATTCTGAGAAACTTATTTGTGATGTGTGTCCTCAACTAACGGACTTGAACCTTTCGTTTCATGCAGTACTTCTGGAACACTCTTTTTGAAGATTCTGCATGCGGATATTTGGATAGCTTTGAGGATTTCGTTGGAAACGGGCTTACATATAAAAATTAGACAGCAGCATTCTCAGAAACTTCTTTGTGGTGTCTGCATTCAAGTCACAGAATTGAACATCCCCTCACATAGAGCAGTTGTGCAGCACTCTATTTGTAGTATCTCGAAGTGGACATTTGGAGGGCTTTGTAGCCTATCTGGAAAAAGGAAATATCTTCCCATGAATGCGAGATAGAAGTAATCTCAGAAACATGTTTATGCTGTATCTACTCAACTAACTGTGCTGAACATTTCTATTGATAGAGCAGTTTTGAGACACTCTTCTTTTGGAATCTGCAAGTGGATATTTGGATAGATTTGAGGATTTAGTTGGAAACGGGATTATATATAAAAAGTAGACAGCAGCATTCTCAGAAACTTCTTTGTGATGTTTGCATCCAGCTCTCAGAGTTGAACATTCCCTTTCGTAGAGTAGGTTTGAAACCCTCTTTTTATAGTGTCTGGAAGCGGGCATTTGGAGCGCTTTCAGGCCTATGCTGAAAAAGGAAATATCTACCTATAGAAACTAGACAGAAGCATTCTGAGAATCACGTTTGTGATGTGGGTACTCAACTAACAGTGTTGATCCATTCTTTTGATACAGCAGTTTTGAACCACACTTTTTGTAGAATCTGCAAGTGGATATTTGGATAGCTGTGAGGATTTCCTTGGAAACGGGAATGTCTTCATAGAAAATTTAGACAGAAGCATTCTCAGAACCTTGATTGTGATGTGTGTTCTCCACTAACAGGGTTGAACCTTTCTTTTGACAGAACTGTTGTGAAACATTCTTTTTATAGAATCTGGAAGTGGATATTTGGAAAGCTTTGAGGATTTCGTTGGAAACGGGAATATCTTCAAATCAAATCTAGCCAGAAGCATTCTAAGAAACATCTTAGGGATGTTTACATTCAAGTCACAGAGTTGAACATTCCCTTTCACAGAGCAGGTTTGAAACAATCTTCTCGTACTATCTGGAAGTGGACATTTTGAGCTCCTTGGGGCCTATGCTGAAAAAGGAAATATCTTCCGACAAAAACTAGACAGAAGCATTCGCAGAATCACGTTTGTGATGTGTGCACTCAACTGTCAGAATTGAACCTTGGTTTGGACAGAGCACTTTTGAAACACTCTTTTTGTAGAATCTGCAGGTGGATATTTGGCTAGCTTTGAGGATTTCGTTGGAAACGGTAATGTCTTCAAAGAAAATCTAGACAGAAACATTCTCAGAAACACCTTCGTGATGTTTGCAATCAAGTCAAAGAGTTGAACCTTCCGTTTCATAGAGCAGGTTGGAAACACTCTTTTTGTAGTATCTGGAAGTGGACATCTGGAGCGCTTTCAGGCCTATGGTGAAAAAGGAAATATCTTCCCATAAAAACGACATAGAAGCTATCTCAGGAACTTGTTTATGATGCATCCAATCAACTAACAGTGTTGAACCTTTCTACTGACAGGGCAGTGTGAAACACTCTTTTTTTTGGAATCTGCAAGTGGATATTTGGATCGCTTTGAGGATTTCGTTGGAAACGGGATGCAATATAAAACGTACACAGCAGCATACTCAGAAAATACTTTGCCATATTTCCATTCAAGTCACAGAGTGGAACATTCCCATTCATAGAGCAGGTTGGAAACACTCTTTTTGTAGTATCTGGAAGTGGACATTTGGAGCGCTTTCTGAACTATGGTGAAAAAGGAAATATCTTCCAATGAAAACAAGACAGAAGCATTCTGAGAAACTTATTTGTGATGTGTGTCCTCAACTAACGGACTTGAACCTTTCCTTTCATACAGTACTTCTGGAACACTCTTTTTGAAGATTCTGCATGTGGATATATGGATAGCTTTGAGGATTTCGTGGGAAACGGGCTTACATAAAAAATTAGACAGCAGCATTCTCAGAAACTTCTTTGTGGTGTCTGCATTCAAGTCACAGAATTGAACATCCCCTCACATAGAGCAGTTGTGCATCACTCTATTTGTGGTATCTCGAAGTGGACATTTGGAGGGCTTTGTTGCCTATCTGGAAAAAGGAAATATCTTCCCATGAATGCGAGATAGAAGTAATCTCAGAAACATGTTTATGCTGTATCTACTCAACTAACTGTGCTGAACATTTCTATTGATAGAGCAGTTTTGAGACACTCTTCTTTTGGAATCTGCAAGTGGATATTTGGATAGATTTGAGGATTTCCTTGGAAACGGGATTATATATAAAAAGTAGACAGCAGCATTCTCAGAAACTTCTTTGTGATGTTTGCATCCAGCTCTCAGAGTTGAACATTCCCTTTCGTAGAGTAGGTTTGAAACCCTCTTTTTATAGTGTCTGGAAGCAGGCATTTGGAGCGCTTTGAGGCCTATGCTGAAAAAGGAAATATCTACCTATAGAAAGTAGACAGAAGCATTCTGAGAATCACGTTTGTGATGTGGGTACTCAACTAACAGTGTTGATCCATTCTTTTGATACAGCAGTTTTGAACCACACTTTTTGTAGAATCTGCAAGTGGATATTTGGATAGCTGTGAGGATTTCCTTGGAAACGGGAATGTCTTCATAGAAAATTTAGACAGAAGCATTCTCAGAATCTTGATTGTGATGTGTGTTCTCCACCAACAGAGTTGAACATTTCTTTTGACAGAACTGTTTTGAAACATTCTTTTTATAGAATCTGGAAGTGGATATTTGGAAAGCTTTGAGTATTTCGTTGGAAACGGGAATATCTTCAAATACAATCTAGCCAGAAGCATTCAAAGAAACATCTTAGGGATGTTTACATTCAAGTCACAGAGTTGAACATTCCCTTTCACAGAGCAGGTTTGAAACAATCTTCTCGTACTATCTGGAAGTGGACATTTTGAGCTCCTTGGGGCCTATGCTGAAAAAGGAAATATCTTCCGACAAAAACCAGACAGAAGCATTCGCAGAATCACGTTTGTGATGTGTGCACTCAACTGTCAGAATTGAACCTTGGTTTGGACAGAGCACTTTTGAAACACTCTTTTTGTAGAATCTGCAGGTGGATATTTGGCTAGCTTTGAGGATTTCGTTGGAAACGGTAATGTCTTCAAAGAAAATCTAGACAGAATCATTCTCAGAAACACTTTCGTGATGTTTCCAATCAAGTCACAGAGTTGAACCTTCCGTTTCATAGAGCAGGTTGGAAACACTCTTTTTGTAGTATCTGGAAGTGGACATTTGGAGCGCTTTCAGGCCTACGGTGAAAAAGGAAATATCTTCCCATAAAAACGACATAGAAGCTATCTCAGGAACTTGTTTATGATGCATCCAATCAACTAACAGTGTTGAACCTTTGTACTGACAGAGCAGTGTGAAACACTCTTTTTTTTGGAATCTGCAAGTGGATATTTGGATCGCTTTGAGGATTTCGTTGGAAACGGGATGCAGTATAAAACGTACACAGCAGCATACTCAGAAAATACTTTGCCATATTTCCATTCAAGTCACAGAGTGGAACATTCCCATTCATAAAGCAGGTTGGAAACACTCCTTTTGTAGTATCTGGAAGTGGACATTTGGAGCGCTTTCTGAACTATGGTGAAAAAGGAAATATCTTCCAATGAAAACAAGACAGAAGCATTCTGAGAAACTTATTTGTGATGTGTGTCCTCAACTAACGGACTTGAACCTTTCGTTTCATGCAGTACTTCTGGAACACTCTTTTTGAAGATTCTGCATGCGGATATTTGGATAGCTTTGAGGATTTCGTTGGAAACGGGCTTACATATAAAAATTAGACAGCAGCATTCTCAGAAACTTCTTTGTGGTGTCCGCATTCAAGTCACAGAATTGAACATCCCCTCACATAGAGCAGTTGTGCAGCACTCTCTTTGTAGTATCTCGAAGTGGACATTTGGAGGGCTTTGTAGCCTATCTGGAAAAAGGAAATATCTTCCCATGAATGCGAGATAGAAGTAATCTCAGAAACATGTTTATGCTGTATCTACTCAACTAACTGTGCTGAACATTTCTATTGATAGAGCAGTTTTGAGACACTCTCCTGTTGGAATCTGCAAGTGGATATTTGGATAGATTTGTGGATTTCCTTGGAAACGGGATTATATATCAAAAGTAGACAGCAGCATTCTCAGAAACTTCTTTGTGATGTTTGCATCCAGCTCTCAGAGTTGAACATTCCCTTTCGTAGAGTAGGTTTGAAACCCTCTTTTTATAGTGTCTGGAAGCGGGCATTTGGAGCGCTTTCAGGCCTATGCTGAAAAAGGAAATATCTACCTATAGAAACTAGACAGAAGCATTCTGAGAATCACGTTTGTGATGTGGGTACTCAACTAACACTGTTGATCCATTCTTTTGATACAGCAGTTTTGAACCACACTTTTTGTAGAATCTGCAAGTGGATATTTGGATAGCTGTGAGGATTTCGTTGGAAACGGGAATGTCTTCATAGAAAATTTAGACAGAAGCATTCTCAGAACCTTGATTGTGATGTGTGTTCTCCACCAACAGAGTTGAACCTTTCTTTTGACAGAACTGTTTTGAAACATTCTTTTTATAGAATCTGGAAGTGGATATTTGGAAAGCTTTGAGGATTTCGTTGGAAACGGGAATATCTTCAAATAAAATCTAGCCAGAAGCATTCAAAGAAACATCTTAGGGATGTTTACATTCAAGTCACAGAGTTGAACATTCCCTTTCACAGAGCAGGTTTGAAACAATCTTCTCGTACTATCTGGAAGTGGACATTTTGAGCTCCTTGGGGCCTATGCGGAAAAAGGAAATATCTTCCGACAAAAACTAGACAGAAGCATTCGCAGAATCACGTTTGTGATGTGTGCACTCAACTGTCAGAATTGAACCTTGGTTTGGACAGAGCACTTTTGAAACACTCTTTTTGTAGAATCTGCAGGTGGATATTTGGCTAGCTTTGAGGATTTCGTTGGAAACGGTAATGTCTTCAAAGAAAATCTAGACAGAAACATTCTCAGAAACACCTTCGTGATGTTTGCAATCAAGTCACAGAGTTGAACCTTCCGTTTCATAGAGCAGGTTGGAAACACTCTTTTTGTAGTATCTGGAAGTGGACATTTGGAGCGCTTTCAGGCCTATGGTGAAAAAGGAAATATCTTCCCATGAAAACGACATAGAATCTATCTCAGGAACTTGTTTCTGATGCATCCAATCAACTAACAGTGTTGAACCTTTGTACTGACAGAGCAGTGTGAAACACTCTTTTTTTTGGAATCTGCAAGTGGATATTTGGATCGCTTTGAGGATTTCGTTGGAAACGGGATGCAATATAAAACGTACACAGCAGCATACTCAGAAAATACTTTGCCATATTTCCATTCAAGTCACAGAGTGGAACATTCCCATCCATGGAGCAGGTTGGAAACACTCCTTTTGTAGTATCTGGAAGTGGTCATTTGGAGCGCTTTCTGAACTATGATGAAAAAGGAAATATCTTCCAATGAAAACAAGACAGAAGCATTATGAGAAACTTATTTGTGATGTGTGTCCTCCACTAACGGACTTGAACCTTTCGTTTCATGCAGTACTTCTGGAACACTCTTTTTGAAGATTCTGCATGCGGATATTTGGATAGCTTTGAGGATTTCGTTGGAAACGGGCTTACATATAAAAATTAGACAGCAGCATTCTCAGAAACTTCTTTGTGGTGTCTGCATTCAAGTCATAGAATTGAACATCCCCTCACATAGAGCAGTTGTGCAGCACTCTATTTGTAGTATCTCGAAGTGGACATTTGGAGGGCTTTGTAGCCTATCTGGAAAAAGGAAATATCTTCCCATGAATGCAAGATAGAAGTAATCTCAGAAACATGTTTATGCTGTATCTACTCAACTAACTGTGCTGAACATTTCTATTGATAGAGCAGTTTTGAGACACTCTTCTTTTGGAATCTGCAAGTGGATATTTGGATAGATTTGAGGATTTCGTTGGCAACGGGCTTATATATCAAATGTAGACAGCAGCATTCTCAGAAACTTCTTTGTGATGTTTGCATCCAGCTCTCAGAGTTGAACATTCCCCTTCATAGAGTAGGTTTGAAACCCTCTTTTTATAGTGTCTGGAAGCGGGCATTTGGAGCGCTTTCAGGCCTATGCTGAAAAAGGAAATATCTACCTATAGAAACTAGACAGAAGCATTCTGAGAATCACGTTTGTGATGTGGGTACTCAACTAACAGTGTTGATCCATTCTTTTGATACAGCAGTTTTGAACCACACTTTTTGTAGAATCTGCAAGTGGATACTTGGATAGCTGTGAGGATTTCGTTGGAAACGGGAATGTCTTCATAGAAAATTTAGACAGAAGCATTCTCAGAACCTTGATTGTGATGTGTGTTCTCCACTAACAGAGTTGGACCTTTCTGTTGACAGAACTGTTTTGAAACATTCTTTTTATAGAATCTGGAAGTGGATATTTGGAAAGCTTTGAGGATTTCGTTGGAAACGGGAATATCTTCAAATCAAATCTAGCCAGAAGCATTCTAAGAAACATCTTAGGGATGTTTACATTCAAGTCACAGAGTTGAACATTCCCTTTCACAGAGCAGGTTTGAAACAATCTTCTCGTACTATCTGGAAGTGGACATTTTGAGCTCCTTGGGGCCTATGCTGAAAAAGGAAATATCTTCCGACAAAAACAAGACGGAAGCATTCGCAGAATCACGTTTGTGATGTGTGCACTCAACTGTCAGAATTGAACCTTGGTTTGGACAGAGCACTGTTGAAACACTCTTTTTGTAGAATCTGCAGGTGGATATTTGGCTAGCTTTGAGGATTTCGTTGGAAACGGTAATGTCTTCAAAGAAAATCTAGACAGAAACATTCTCAGAAATACCTTCGTGATGTTTGCAATCAAGTCACAGAGTTGAACCTTCCGTTTCATAGAGCAGGTTGGAAACACTCTTTTTGTAGTATCTGGAAGTGGACATTTGGAGCGCTTTCAGGCCTATGGTGAAAAAGGAAATATCTTCCCATAAAAACGACATAGAATCTATCTCAGGAACTTGTTTATGATGCATCCAATCAACTAACAGTGTTGAACCTTTGTACTGACAGAGCAGTTTGAAACACTCTTTTTTTGGAATCTGCAAGTGGATATTTGTATCGCTTTGAGAATTTCGTTGGAAACGGGATTACATATAAAAAGTAGACAGTAGCATTCTCAGAAACTTCCTTACGATGTTTGCATTCAAGTCACAGACTGGAACATTCCCGTTCATAGAGCAGGTTGGAAACACTCTTTTTGTAGCATCTGGAAGTGGACATTTGGAGCGCCTTCTTGCCTGTGGTGAAAAAGCAAATATCTTCCCATAAAAACAAGATAGAAGCAGTCTCAGAAACTTATTTGTGATGTGTGTCCTCAACTAACAGTCTTGAAGCTTTCTTTTCATGCAGTACTTCTGGAACACTCTTTTTTGAAGATTCTGCATGTGGATATTTGGATAGCTTTCAGGATTTCGTTGGAAACGGGTTTACATATAAAAAGTAGACAGCAGGATTCTCAGAAACTTCCTTACGATGTTTGCATTCAAGTCACAGAGTGGAACATTCCCATTCATAGAGCAGGTTGGAAACACTCTTTTTGTAGCATCTGGAAGTGGACATTTGGAGCGCTTTCTTACCTGTGGTGAAAAAGGAAATATCTTCCCATAAAAACAAGACAGAAGCATTCTCAGAAACTTTTTTGTGATGTGTGTCCTCAACTAACGGACTTGAACCTTTCTTTTCATGCAGTACTTCTGGAACACTCTTTTTGAAGATTCTGCATGTGGATATTTGGATGGCTTTGAGGATTTCGTTGTAAACGGGATTACATATAAAAAGTAGACAGCAGCATTCAGAAACTTCTTTGTGGTGTCTGCATTCAAGTCACAGAATTGAACATTCCCTCACATAAAGCAGTTGTGAAGCACTCCATTTGTAGTATCTCGAAGTGGATATTTGGCGGGCTTTGTAGCCTATCTGGAAAAAGAAAATATCTTCCCATGAATGCGAGATAGAAGCAATCTCAGAAACTTGTTTATGCTGTATCTACTGAACGAACTGTGCTGAACCTTTCTATTGATAGAGCAGTTTTGAGACACTCTTCTTTTGGAATCTGCAAGTGGATATATGGATAGATTTGAGGATTTCGTTGGAAACGGGATTACATATCAAAGGTAGACAGCAGCATTCTCAGAAACTTCTTTGTGATGTTTGCATCCAGCTCTCAGAGTTGAACATTCCCCTTCATAGAGTAGGTTTGAAACCCTCTTTTTATAGTGTCTGGAAGCGGGCAATTGGAGCGCTTTCAGGCCTATGCTGAAAAAGGAAATTACCCATAGAAACTAGACAGAAGCATTCTGAGAATCACGTTTGTGATGTGTGTACTCAACTAAGAGAGTTGAACCATTCTTTTGATACAGTAGTTTTGAAAAACTGTTTTTGTAGAATCTGCAAGTGGATATTTGGACGTCTTTGATGCCTTCATTGGAAACGGTATTCCTTCATATGAAAGATAAACAGAAGAATTCTCCGAAACTTCTTTGTGATGTGTGCATTTTACTCAAAGAGTTGAACATTCCTTTCTATATAGAAGTTTTTAAACACTCTTTTTCTAGAATTTCCAAGTGGATATTTAGTTTGCTTTGAGGCCTTTGTTAGAAAATGAAATGTCTTCATATAAAAAATAGAGATAATCATTCTCAGAAACAATTTTGTGATGTGTGCGTGCAACTCACAGAGCTTAACTTTCTTTTGATGGGTCTGATTTGAAACACTTCTTTTGTAGAATTTGCAAGTGTATATTTATTGCTCTTTAAGACCTGTGGTAGAAAAGGATATCTCTTCACATAAAAACTAGACAGAAGCATTCTCAGAGACCACATTGTGATGCTTGCATTCAACTCACAGAGTTGAACATTCCTCTTGAGAGAGCAGTTTTGAAACAGTCTTTTTGTAGGCTCTGCTGGTGGATATTTGACCTCTTTGTGGCCTTCGTTGGAAACAGGATTTCTTCATTTGTAAATTAGAAAGAAGATTTCTCAGAAACTTCTTTGTGATGTGTGCATTTATTTCACAGAGTTGAATTTTGCTTTCAATAGAGTAGTTTTGAAACACTCTTTTTGTAGAATTTCCAAGTGAATATTTAGAGTGGTTTAAGGCCTAACCTAGAAAAGGAAATATCTTCATATGGAAACTACACAGAATCATTCTCAGAAACTACTTCATGATGTGTGCGTTCAACTCAAAGAGTTTAACCTTTCTTTGGATGGGGCAGTTTTGAAACACTCTTTTTGTAGTATCTGCAAGTGGATATTTTGACCTCTTTGTGGCCTTCGTTGGAAACGGGAATTTCTTCACTTAAAAATAGACAGAAAAATTCTCAGAAACTTCTTCGTGATGTGTATGTTCAATTCACAGAGTTGAACCTTCCTTTCGATAGAGCAGTTTTGAAACACTCTTTTTGTTGTATTTTCAACTGGATATTTAGAGTGTTTTAAGGCCTATGGTAGAAAAGGATATATCTTCATATAACAACTAGACAGAATCATTCTCAGAAACTACTTTGTGATCTCTGCGTTCAACTCACAGAGTTTAACATTTCTTTTGATAGAGCAGTTTTGAAACACCGCTTTTGTAGAATTTGCAATTGTATATTGACAGCACTTAGACGCCTATTTTAGAAAACGAAATATCTTCACATAAAAATTAGAAACATTCTCAGAAAATACATTGGGATGTTTGCATTCAACGCACTGTGTTGAACATTCCCCTTGGTGTAGCAGTTTTGAAACATTTTTTTTCTAGAATCTGCAAGTGGATATTTAGACCTCTTTGAGACCTTCGTTGGAAACTGGATTTCTTCATATAAAAACTAGACAGAAAGACTCTCAGAAACTTCTTTTTGATGTGTGCATTCAACTCACAGAGTTGAAACTTCCTTTCGATAGAGCAGTTTTGAAAAACTCTTTTTGCAGAATTTCCAAGTGGATATTTAGATCGCCTTGAAGCCTATGGTAGAAAAGGAAATATCTTCATATAAAAATTATACAGAATCTTTCTCAGAAACTAGATTGTGATTTGTGCTTTCAATTCACTGAATTTAACCTTTCTTTTGGTAGAGCAGTTTTGAAACACTATGTTTGTAAAGTCTGCAAGTGTATATTTGGAGCACTTTAAAGCCTTCTTTGGAATCAGGAATATCTTCACATAAAAAGTAAACAGAAGTATTCTCAGAAACTTCTTTGTGTTGTCTGCACTCAACTAACAGAGTTTAACCTTCCTTTTGATAGAACAGTTTTGAAACACTCATTTTGTAGAGTTTGCGAGTGGATATTAAGAGCGTTTTTTGGCCTATGGTAGAAAAGGAAATATCTTCATATTAAAAATACACAGAGGCATTCTCAGAAACTACTTTGTGATGTTTGCATTAAACTCACAGAGTTGTACATTACTTTCGATAGAGTAGTTTTGTAACACTCTTTTTGTAGACTCTACAAGTGGATATTTGGACCTCTTTGAGGCCTTCGTTGGAAACGGGACTTTCTTCATATAAAAACTAGACAGAAGAATTCTCAGAAACTTGTTTATGATGTGTGCATTCAATTCACAGAGTTGAACTTTTCTTTCAATAGAGCAGTTTTGAATCACTCTTTTTGTAGAATTTCCAAGTGGATATTTAGAGCTGTTTGAGACCTATGGTAGAAAAGGAAATATCTTCATATAAAAACTAGACAGAATCATTCTCAGAAACTACTTTGTGATGTGTGCATTCAACTCACATAGTTTAACATTTCTTTTGATAGAGCAGTTTTGAAACACCACTTTTGTAGAATTTGCAAGTGTATATTCAGAGCGCTTTGAGGCCTATGGTAGAAAATGAAATATCTTCACATACCAACGAGGCAGAAGCATTCTCAGAAACTACTGTGTGATGTTTGCATTCAACTGACAGAGTTGGACATTCCTCTTGATGGAGCAGTTTTGAAACTCTCCTTTGTAGAATCTGCAAGTGGATATTTGGAACTCTTTGAGGCCTTCGTTGGAAACGGGAATTTCTTCACTTGAAAAACAGACAGAAGAAATCTCTGAAACTTTCTGTGACATGGACATTCAACTCACAGAGTTGAATCTTTCTTTCGATAGAGCAGTTTTGAAACACTCTTTTTGTAGAATTTCCAAGTGGATATTTAGTGCGCTCTGAAGCCTGTGGTAGAAAAGGAAATATCTTCATAGAAAAACTGCACAGAAGCATTCTGAGATACTACTTTGTGTTGTTTGCATTCAACTCACAGAGTTGAACATTCCTTTTGATAGAGCAGTTTTGTAACACTCTTTTTGTAGAATCTGCAAGTGGTTATTAGGACTTCTTAGAGGCCTTCTTTGGAAACGGGATTTCTTCCTATAAAAAGTAGACAGAAGAATTCCCAGAAACTTCTGTGTGATGTGTGCATTCAACTCACAGAGTTGAAACTTCCTTTCAATACAGCAGTTTTGAAACACTATTTTTGAAGTATTTTCAAGTGAATATTTAGGGCGCCTTGAAGCCTATGGTAAAAAAGGGAATGTCTTCACATAGAAATTAGACAGAACCTTTCTCAGAAACTAGTTTGTGATGTGTGCTTTAAACTCACTGAGTTTAACCTTTCTTTTGTTAAAGCAGTTTTGAAACACTCTGTAAAGTCTGCAAGTGGATATTTGGAATGCTTTAATGCCTTCTTTGTAAAGGGGAATATCTTCACATAAAAGTAAACAGAAGTATTCTCAGAAACTCCTTTGTGATGTCTTCACTCAACTACCAGGGTTGAACCTTCCCTTTGATAGTGCAGTTTTGAAACACTCTTTTTGTAGAATTTGCGAGTGGATATATAGAGCGTTTTGGGGCCTATGCTAGAAAAGGAAATATCTTCATATTAAAACTACACAGAGGCATTCTCAGAAACTACTTGTTGATGTTTGCATTCAACTCACAGAGTTGAACATTCCTTTTGGTAGAGCACTTTTGAAACACTCTTTTTATAGGATATGCAAGTGGATATTTTGACCTATTTGAGGCCTTCCTTGGAAACGGGATTTCTTCATTTAAAAACGAGATAGAAGAATTCACAGAAACCTCTTTGTGGTGTGTGCATTCAGTACACAGAGTTGAACCTTCCTTTCGATAGAGCAGTTTTGAAACTCTTTTTACATAATTTCCAAGTGGATATTTAGAGCGCTTTGAGGTCTATGGTTAAAAACGAAATATCTTCATATAAAAACCAGACAGAATCATTCTCAGAAGCTACTTTGTGATGTGTGCATTCAACTCACAGAGTTTAACCTTTCTTTTCATGGAGAAATTTTGAAACCCTCTTTTTGTAGAATTTTGAAGTGGATATTTGGAGCACGTTGAAGCCTATGGTAGAAAAGGAAATATCTTCACATAAAAACTAAACAGAAGCATTCTCAGAAACTACTGTGTGATGTTTGCATTCAACTCACAGAGTTGAACATTCCTCTTGATGGAGCAGTTTTGAAACACTCTTTTTGTGGAATCTGCAAGTGGATATTTGAAGCTCTTTGAGGCCTTCATTGGAAACGGGCTTTCTTCTTATGAAAGCTAGACAGAATTCTCAGAAACATCTTTGTGTTCTATGCATTCAATTCACAGAGTTGAATCTTCCTTCCAATAGAGCAGTTTTGAAACACTCTTTTTGAGGAATTTCCAAGTGGATATTTAGAGTGGTTTGAGGACTTTGGTAGAAAAGAAATTATCTACATATAAACACTAGACAGAATAATTCTCAGAAACTACTCTGTGATGTGTGCGTTCAAATCACAGAGTTTAACCTTCTTTTCAATAGAACAGTTTTGAAACACTTTTTTTGTAGAATTTCCAAGTGGATATTTAGTGCCCTTTGAAGCCTATGTTAGAAAAGGAACTATCTTCATAGAAAAACAACACAGGAGCATTCTCAGAAACCAGTTTGTGATGTGTGCATTGAATTCACAGAGTTTAACCTTTCTTTTGAATGGAGAAGTTTTGAAACACTCTTCTTGTATGATTTGCAAGTGTATATTTAGGGCGCTTTGTAGCCTGTGGCAGAAAGTGAAATATCTTCACATAAAAAGTAGAGTGAAGCATTCTCAGAAGCTAATTTGTGATGTTTGCATTCAACTCACAGAGCTGAACAATCATTTGATAGAGCAGTTTTGAATCACCCTTTTTGTAGATTCTGCAAGCGGACATTTGGACCGCTGTGAGGCCTTCGTTGAAAACGGGCATATCTTCACATAAAAATCAGACAGAAGGATTCCCAGAAACTTCTTAGTGATGTGTGCATTCAACTTACAGATTTTAACTTTTCTTTTGATAGGGCAGTTTTGAAACACTCTTTCTGTAGAATTTGCTAGTGGATATGTGCCTCCCTTTGAGGCTTATTTTGGAAAAGGAAATATCTTCACATAGAAAGTAGAAGGAATCATTCTCAGAAACTACTTTTTGATGTGTGACTTCAACTCACAGAGTTGAACCTTCCTTTTGATAGAGCATTTTTGAAACACACTTTTTGTAGAATCTGCAAGTGGATTTTTGGAGGGCTTTGAGGCCTACTTTTGAAACGGGTATATTTTCACAGAGAAAGTAGACAGAAGTATTCTCAGAAACTTCTTTGTGATGTCTGCATTCAACTCACTGAGCTGAACCTGCCTTTGGATAGAGCAGTTTTGTACACTCATTTTGTAGAATTTCCAAGTGGATATTTAGAGTGCTGCATGTCCTATGGTAGAATAGGAAGTATTTTCATAAAAAAGTAGACAGAAGCATTCTAAGAAACTACTTTGTGATGTTTCCATTCAACTAACAGAGTTGAACATTCCTTTTGATAGAGAAGTTTTGAAACACTCTTTTTGTGGAATCTGCAAGTGGACATTTAGACCGCTTTGAGTCCTTGGTTGGAAACGGGATTATCTTCACATAAAAACCAGAGAGAAGCATTCTCAGAAACTTCTTTGCGATGTGTGCATTCAACTCACAGAGGTGAATATTTCTTTTGATATAGCAGTTTTCTAACACTCTTTTTGTAGAATCTTCAAGTGGATATTTTATTCCCTTTGAGGCCCATGTTGGAAAAGGAGTTATCTTCACATAAAAATTAGAATGATACATTCTCATAAACTTCTTTGAGATAGATAAGTGAATTCAACTCACAGACTTGAACCTTTCTTTTGACACAGCAGTTTTGAAACGCTCTGTTTGTAACGTTTGCAAGTGGACATTTGTAGTGCTTTCAGGCCTTCTTTGGAAAGGGGAATATCTTCCCATAAAAAGTAGACATAAGTATTCTCTGAAACTTCTTTGTGATGTCTGCACTCAACTCACAGAGATCAACCTTCCCTTTGATAGAGCAGTTTTGAAACACTCTTTTTGTAGAGTTTGCAAGTGGAGATATAGAGCGTTTTGGGGCCTATGGTAGAAAAGGAAATATATTCATAGAAAAACTACACAGAAGCATGCTCAGAAACTGCTTTGTGATGTTTGCATTCAACTCACAGAGTTGAATATTCCTTTTGATAGAGCAGTTTTGAAACATTCTTTTTGTAGGATCTGCAAGTGAATATTTGGACCTCTACGAGGTCTTCGTTGGATACGGGAAATTCTTCACTTAAAAACTAGACAGGGCCGGGCGCGGTGGCTCAAGCCTGTAATCCCAGCACTTTGGGAGGCCGAGGCGGGTGGATCATGAGGTCAGGAGATCGAGACCATCCTGGCTAACAAGGTGAAACCCCGTCTCTACTAAAAATACAAAAAATTAGTCAGGCGCGGTGGCGGGCGCCTGTAGTCCCAGCTACTCGGGAGGCTGAGGCAGGAGAATGGCGTGAACCCGGGAAGCGGAGCTTGCAGTGAGCCGAGATTGCGCCACTGTAGTCCGCAGTCCGGCCTGGGTGACAGAGCGAGAATCCGTCTCAAAAAAAAAAAAAAAAAAAAAAAAAAACTAGACAGAAGAAACTCAGAAACTATTTGTGATGTGTGCATTCAGCTCACAGAGTTGAACCTTCCTTTTGATAGAGCAGTTTTAAAACACTCTTTTTGTAGAATTCCCAACTGGATATTTAGAGCACTTTGAAGCCTATGGTAGAGAAGGAAATATCTTCATAGAAAAGCTACACAGAAGCATTCTCAGAAACTACTTTTTGATGTTTGCATTCAACTCACAGAGTTGAACTTTCCTTTTGATAGACCAGTTTTGTAACACTCTTTTTGTAGAATCTGCAATTGGACATTTTGGCCTCTTTGAGGCCTTCGTAGGAAATGGGATTCCTTCATATAAAAACTAGACAGAAGAATTCTTAGAAATTTCTTTGTGATGTGTGCATTCAAATCACAGAGTTGAAACTTCCTTTCAATAGAGCAGTTTTGAAACACTCTTTTTGTAGAAATTCTAAGTGGATATTTAAGGGGTTTGAGGCCTATGGTAGAAAAGGAAATATCTTCATATAAAAACTAGACACAATGATTCTCAGAAACTAGTTTGTGATGTGTGTGTTCAACTCACAGATTTTAACCTTTCTTTTGATGGAGCAGTTTTGAAACACTCTTTTCCAAAGTTTGCAAGTGTGGATTTAGAAGGCTTTGAGGCCTATGGTACAAAAGGAAATATCTTCACATAAAAACTAGACAGAAGCATTCTCCTAAACTACTTTGTGATGTTTGCATTCAACTCACAGAGTTTAACCTTTCTTTTGATAGAGAAGTTTTGAAACACACTTTTTGTAGAATTTGCAAGTGCATATTTAGAGATCTTTGGGTCTATGGTAGAAAAGGAAATATCATCCCAAAAAACTAGACAGAAGCATTCTCAGAAACCACTTTGTGATGTTTGCATTCAACTCACCGGGTTGAACAATCATTTGATAGAGCAGTTTTGAAACACCCTTTTTGTGTAATCTGCAAGTGGACATTTGGACCGCTTTGAGGACTTCATTGGAAATGGGTATATCTTCAAATAAAAATGAGACAGAAGGATTCCCAGAAACTGCTTTGTGATGTGTGCATTCAACTTACAGAGTTAAACTTTTCTGTTGATAGAGCAGTTTTGAAACACTCTTTTTGTAGAATCTCCAAGTGGATATGTGCCTCCCTTTGAGGCTTATGTTGGAAAAGGAAATATCTTCATATAAAAACAAGAAAGAATCATTCTCAGAAACTTATTTTTGATGTGTGCCTTCAACTAACAGAGTTGAACCTTCCTTTTGATAGAGCATTTTTGAAACAATCTTTTTGTAGAATCTGCAAGTGGATCTTTGGAGTGCTTTGAGGCCTACTTTTGAAACGGGTATAACTTCACATAGAAAGTAGACAGAAGTATTCTCAGAAACTTCTTTGTGAGGTCTGCATTCAACTCACAGAGTTGAAACTTCCTTTGGATAGAGCAGTTTTGAAACACTCTTTTTGTAGAATTTGCAAATGAATATTTAGAGAGCTTTGTGTCGAATAGGAAGTATTTTAATAAAAAAAGTAGACAGAAGCATTCTAAGAAACTATTTTGTGATGTTTCCATTCAGCTAACAGAGTTGAACATTCCTTTGTATAGAGAAGTTTTGAAACACTCTTTTTGTGGAATCTGCAAGTGGATATTTCGACCGATTTGAGGCCTTCGTTGGAAACGGGATTATCTTCACATAAAATCCAGAGAGAAGCATTCTCAGAAACTTCTTTGTGATATGTGTATTCAACTCACAGAGGTGAATATTTCTTTTGATATAGCAGTTTACAAACACTCTTTTTGTAGGATCTTCAAGTGGATATTTTATTCCCTTTGAGGCCCATGTTGGGAAAGGAGTTAACTTCACATAAAAACTAGAATGAATCGTTCTCATAAACTTCTTTGTGATGAGTGAATTCAACTCACAGAGTTGAATCTTTCTTTTGACAGCAGTTTTGAAATGCTCTGTATGTAAAGTTTGCAAGTGGATAATTGGAGGTCTTTGAGGTCTTTATTGGAAACGGGAATATCTTCACATATAAAGTAGACATAAGTATTCTCTGAAACTTCTTTGTAATGTCTGCACTCAACTCACAGAGATAAACCTTCCCTCTGATAGAGCAGTTTTGAAATAGTCTTTTTGTAGAATTTGCAAGTAGATATTTAGAGTGTTTTGTGGCCTATGGTAGAAAAGGAAATATATTCATAGAAAAACTACACAGAAGCATTCTCAGAAACTGCTTTGTGATGTTTGCATTCAACTCAAAGAGTTGAACATTCCTTTTGATAGAGCAGTTTTGAAACACTCTTTTTGTAGGATCTGCAAGTGGATATTTGGACCTCTATGAGGCCTTCGTTGGAAACGAAAAATTCTTCACTTAAAAACTAGAGAGAAGAAATCTCAGAAATTTTTTGTGATGTGTACACTCAACTCAGAATTGAACCTTCCTTTTGATGGAGCAGTTCTGAAACACTGTTTTTGTAGAATTTCCAACTGGATATTTAGAGCGCTTTGAAGCCTATGGTATAGAAGGAAATATCTTCATAGAAAAAGTACACAGAAGCATTCTCAGAAACTACTTTGTGATGTTTGCATTCAACTCACAGAATTGAACATTCTTTTTGATAGAGCAATTTTGTAACACCCTTTTCATAGAATCTGCAAGTGGATATTTGAAACTCTTTGAGACCTTCATTGGAAACGGGATTTCTTCCTATGAAAACTAGACAGAAGGATTCTCAGAAACTTCTTTGTGATGTGCGCATTCAGTTCACAATGTTGAACCTTCCTTTCGATAACCAGTTTTGAAACACTCTTTTTGTAGAATTTCCAAGTGGATATTTAGAGCTATTTGCGGCCTATTGTAGAAAAGGAAATATCTTCATATAACCACTAGACAGAATCATTCTCAGAAACTGCTTTGTGATATTTGCATTCAATTCACAGAGTTTAACACTTCTTTTGATAGAGCAGTTTTGAAACAATCTTTTTTGTGGAATTTGAAAGTGAGTATTTAGAGGGCTTTGAGGCCTATGGTACAAAAGGAAATATCTTCATATGAAAACTAGACAGAACCATATTCAGAAACTACTTTGTGATGTGTGCTTTCAACTCACAGAGTTTAACCTTTCTTTTGATGGAGCAGTTTTAAGACACACTTTTTGTAGAATTTGCAAGTGTATATTTAGAGCACTTTGAGGCATATGGTAGAAAAGGAAATATCTTCACGTAAAAAGTAGACAGAAGCATTCTCAGAAACTACTTTGTAATGATTGCATTCAACTCACAGAGTTGAACATTGCTCTTGATAGAGCAGTGTTGAAACACTCTTTTTGTAGAATCCGCAAGTGGATACTTGGACCTCTTTCAGGCCTTCATTGGAAGCGAGATCTCCTCATTTAAATACTTGACAGAAGAATTTTCAGAAAATTCTTTGTGATGTGTGCATTCAACTCACAGAGTTTAACCATCCTTTCGATAGAGCAGTTTTGAAACAATCTTTTTGTAGAATTTCCAAGTGGATATCTTGTGCACTTTGAGGCCTTTGGTCTAAAAGGAAATATCTTCATATAAAAACTTGACAGAATCATTCTCAGAAAGTACTTTGTGATGTGTGAGTTCAACTCTCAGAGTTTAACATTTCTTTTCATGGTGCAGTTTTGAAACACTCTTTTTGTAGAATTTGCAAGTGTATATTTAGAGCGCTTTGAGGCCTATAGTAGAAAAGGAAATTTCTTCACATAAAAACTAGACAGAAGCACCCTCAGAAACTGCGTTGTGGTGTTTGCATTCAACTAAGAGAGTTGAACATTCCCCTTGATAGAGCCGTTTTGAAACACTCTTTTTGTAGTATCTGCAAGTGGATATTTGGAACTCTTTGAGACCTTCGTTGGAAACCGGATTTCTTCATTTAAATATGAGACAGAAGAATTCTCAGAAACTTCTTTGTGATGTGAGCATTCAACTCACAGAGTTGAACGTTCCTTTTGATACACAAGTTTTGAAACACTCTTTTTGTAGAATTTCCAATTGGATTTTTAGAGCGCTTGGAGGCCTATGGTAGAAAAGGAAATATCTTCACATAAAGTCTAGACAGAATCATGCTCAGAAACTAGTTTGTGATGTGTGCGTTCAACTCACCCAGTTTAACATTTCTTTTGATGGGGAAGTTTTGAAACACTCTTTTTGTAGAATTTGCAAGTGTATATTTAGAGTGTTTTGAGGCCTATGGTAGGAAAGGAAATATCTTCACATAAAAACTAGACAGAAGAATTCTCAGAAACTACTTTGTGAGTTTTGCATTCAATTAACAGAGTTGAACATTCCTCTTGATAGAGCAGTTTTGAAACACTCTTTTTGTAGAATCTGCAAGTAGATACTTGGACCTCTTTGAGGCCTTCGTTGGAAACGGGATTTCTTCATATAAAAACTAGACAGAAGTATTCTCAGAAACTTTTTTGTGATGTGTGCATTCAACTCACAGAGTTGAAGGTTCCTTTCGATAGAGTAGTTTTGAAACACTCTTTTTGTAGAATTTCCATGTAGATATTTAGTGCGCTTTGAAGGCTATGGTAGAAAAGGAAATATCTTCGTATAAAAACTGGACAGAATCATTCTCAGAAGCTAGTTTGTGATGTGTGCATTGAACTCGACTTTAACTTTTCTTTTGATGGAGCAGTCGTGAAACACTCTTTTTGTAGAATTTGCAAGTGTGTATTTAGAGGACGTGAGGCCTATGATAAAAAAATTAAATATCTTCACATGAAAAGTTGACAGAAGCATTCTCAGAAACTACTTTGTGATGTGTGCTTTGAACTCACAGAGTTTATCCCTTCTTTTGATGGAGCAGTTTTGAAAGACTCTTTTTGTAGTATTTCCAAATGGATATTTGGAACGCTTTGAAGCCTATGGTAGAAAAGGTAATATCTTCATAGAAAAACTACACAGAAGGATTCTCAGAGACAACTTTGTGATGTTTGTATTCAACTCACAGAGTTGAACATTCCTTTTGATAGAGTAGTTTTGTAACACTCTTTTTGTAGAATCTGCAAGTGGATATTTTGACCTCTCTGATGTCTTCATTGGAAACGGGTATTTCTCCATATAAAAAGTAGACAGAAGAATTCTCAGAAACTTCTTTGTGATGTGTGCATTCAATTCAAAAAGTTGAATCTTCCTTTCGATAGTGCAGTTTTGAAACAATCTTTTTGTGGAATTTCCAACTGGATATTTAGTGCGCTTTGCAGCATGTGGCAGAAATGGAAATATCTTCACTTAAAAACTAGACAGAAGCATTCTCAGAAACTACTTTGTGATGTACTCATTAAACTCAGAGAGTTGAAAACTCCTCATGATAGAGCAGTTCTGAAACACTCTTTTTGTAGGATCTGCAACTGGTTATTTGGACCTCTTTGAGATCTTCGTTTGAAACGGGATTTCTTCATTTAAATACTGGACAGAAGAATTCTCAGAAACGTCTTTGTGTTGTGTGCATTCAACTCACAGGGTTGAACTTTCATTTTGATAGAGCAGTTTTCAAACACTCTTTTTGTAAAATTTCCAACTGGATATTCGGAGCGCTTGGAGCCGTAAGGTACAAAAGGAAATATCTTCATATAAAAACTAGACAGAACCATTGTCAGAAACTACATTGTGATGTGTGCATTCAACTTTCATAGTTTAACCTTTCTTTTGATAGAGCAGTTATGAAACACTCTTTTTTTTTTTTTTAGAATTAGCAAGTGTGTATATAGAGGGATTCTGGGCCCATGGTAGAAAAGGAAATATCTTCACATAAAAACTAGACAAAATCATTCTCAGAAACTACTTTGTGATGTGTGTGTTGCACTCACAGAGTTTATCCTTTCTTTTGATGGCGCAGTTTTGAAACACTCATTTAGTAGAATTTTCAAGTGGATATTTAGAGCGCTTTGAAGCCTATGATAGAAAAGGAAATATCTTCATAGAAAAACTACACAGAAGCATTCTCAGAAGCTACTTTATGATGTTTGCATTCAACTCACAGAGTTGAACATTCCTTTTGATAGAGTGGATTTGTAACACTCTTTTTGTAGAATCTGTAAGTGGATATTTGGACCTCTCTGAAGCCTTCCTTGGAAACAGTAATTTCTTCATATGAAAACTAGACAGAAGAATACACAGAAACTTCTTTGTGATGAGTGCATTCAATTCACAGAGGTGAACCTTCCTTTCGATAGAGCAGTTTGGAAACACTCTTTTTGTAGAATTTCCAAGTGGATATTTAGAGCACTTGGAGGCTATGTTAGAAAAGGAAATGTCTTCATATAAAAACTAGACAGAAGTTTTCTCAGAAACGATTTGTGATGTGTACATTCAATTCACAGAGTTTAGCTTTTCTTTTGATAGAGCAGTTACGAAACACTCTTTTTGTAGAATTTGCAAGTGTGTATTTAGAGTGCTTGGAGGCCTATGGTAGAAAAGGAAATATCTTCACATAAAAACTAGACAGAAGCATTCTCAGAAACTACATTATGATGTGTGCGTTGAACTCACAGAATTTAATCTTTCTTTTGATGGAGCACTTTTGCAAAACTTTTTTTGTAGAATTTCCAAGTGGATATTTAGAGCGCTTTGAAGCCTGTGGTAAAAAAGGAAATATCTTCATAACAAACTACACAGAAGCATTCTCAAAAACTACTTTGCGATGTTTGCATTCAACTCACAGTGTTGAACATTCCTCTTGATAGATGTGTTTTGAAACACTGTTTTTGTAGACTCTGCAAGTGGATATTTGGACGTCTTTGAGTCCTTCTTTGGAAAAGGGATTTCTTCATATAACAACTAGACAGAAGATTTCTCAAAAACTTTGTGATGTGTCCATTCAACTCACAGACTTGAAACTTTCTTTTGATGGAGCAGATTTGAAACAGACTTTTTCTAGAATTTCCAGGTGGATATTTAGAGCACTTGGAGGCTTATGGTAGAAAAGGAAA
Source organism: Homo sapiens (assembly GCF_000001405.40). Lineage (NCBI taxonomy): Eukaryota > Metazoa > Chordata > Mammalia > Primates > Hominidae > Homo > Homo sapiens. Next base: position 45,959,581 of record NC_000008.11, read on the forward strand.
TATCTTCATATAAAAAGTAGTCAGAATCATTATCAGAAACTATTTTGTGATGTGCTCATTCAACTCACAGAGTTGAACCTTTCATTTGATAGAGCAGTTATGAAACACTCTTTTTGAAGTATTTGCCAGTGGATAATTGGAGCGCTTTGTGGCCTATGTTAGTAAAGGAATTATCTTCATAGAAAAACCAGACAGAAGCATTCTCAGAAATTTCTTTGTCATGTGTGCGTTGAACTCACAGAGTTGAATCTTTCTTTTGATAGAGCAGTTTTGAAACACTCTTTTTGTAGAATCCTCAAGTGGATATTTGGAGTGCTTTGAGGCCCAATGTAGAAAAGAAAATACCTTCATATAAAAACTTGAAGGAAGCATTCTCAGAAACTTCTTTGTGATGTTTGCATTCAACTCACGGAGATGAACATTCCTTTTGATAGAGCAGTTTTGAAAAACTCTTTTTGTGGAATCAGCAAGTGGATATTTGGACAACTTTGAGGCCTTTGTAGGAAACAGGATTATCTTCACATAAAAACCAGAGAGAAGAATTCTCAGAAACTTCTTTGCTATGTGTGCATTCAACGCACAGAAGTGAACTTTTCTTTTGACAGAGCAGTTTTTAAACACTCTTTTTGTAGAATCTTCAAGTGGATAATTCATTCCCTTTGGGGCCCATGTTGGAAAACGAATTATCTTCACATAAAAACTAGAAAGAAACATTCTTATAAACTTATTTGTGATGAGTGCATTCAACTCACAGAGTTGAACCTTCCTTTTGACAGAACAGTTTTGAAACACTCTTTAAAATGTCTGAAATTGGAAATTTGGAGGTTTTTTAGGCCTTCTTTGGAAACGGGAATATCTTCACATAAAAAGTAGACAGAAGTATTCTCAGAAACTTCCTTGTGATGTCTGCACTCAACTCACAGATTTGAACCTTCCTTTTTGATAGAGCCGTTTTGAAACACTCTTGTTGTAGAGTTTCCAAAGGGATATTTTCAGCGCTTTGAAGCCGATAGTAGAGAAGGACACATCTTTATAGAAAAACTACACAGAAGCATTCTCAGAAACTACTTTGTGATGCTTGCATTCAACTCACATTGTTGGACATTCCTTTTGATAGAGCAGTTTTGTTACACTCTTTTTGTAGAATATGTAAGTGGATATTTGGACCTCTTTGAGGCCTTCGTTGGAAACGGGATTTCTTCATGTAAAAACTAGACAGAAAAATTATCAGAAACTTCTTTGTGATATGTGCATTCAACTCACAGAATTTAACCTTCCTTTCAATAGAGCAGTTTTGAAATCCTCTTTTTGTAGAACTTCCAAGTGGATATTTAGTGTGCTTTGAGTCCTCATATAAAAACTAGACACAATGATTCTTAAAAACTAGATTGTGATGTGTGCATTCAACTCACATATTTTAACCTTTGTTTTGAAGGAGCAGTTTTGAAACACTCTTTTTTCAGAATTTGCAAGTGTACATTTAGAGTGCTTTGAGGCCTATGGTAGAAAAGAAAATATCTTCACATAAAAACTAGACAGAAGCATTCTCATAAACTACTTTGTGATGTTTGCATTCAACTCACAGAATTGAACATTCCTCTTGATAGAGCAGTTTTCAAACACTCTTTTTGTAGTATCTGCAAGTGGATATTTGGACCTCTTTGAGGCCTTCATTGGAAACGGGATTTCTTCATGCAAATACTAGACAGTAGAATTCTCAGAAATTTCTTTGTGATGACTGTATTCAACTCACAGAGTTGAATATTATTTTCGATAGAGCAGTATTGAAACACTCTTTTTGAAGTACTTCCAAGTGGATATTTATAGTGCTTTGATGCTTATGGTAGAAAAGGAAAAAACTTCATTTAAAAACTAGACAGAACCATTCTCAGAAACAACTTTGTGATGTGTGCGTTCAACTCACAGATTTGAACATTTCTTTTGATAGAGCAGTTATGAAACACTCTTTTTGTAGAATTTGCAAGTTTGAATTTAGAGAGCTTTGAGGCCTATGGTAGAAAAGCAAATATCTTCATATAAAAACTAGACAGAAACTTTCTCAGAAACTACTTTGAGATGTGTGCATTGAACTCACAGAGTTTAACCTTCCTTTTGATAGAGCAGTTTTGAAACGCTCTTTTTGTAGAATTTGCAAGTGTATATTTAGAGATCTTTGGGGCCTATAGTAGAAACGGAAATATCTTCCCAAAAAACTAGACAGAAGCATTCTCAGAAACTACATTTGTGATGTTTGCATTCAACTCACGGAGTTGAACAATCATTTGATAGAGCTGTTTTGAAACACCCTTTTTGTGGAATCTGCAAGTGGACATTTGGACCGCTTTGAGGCCTTCATTGGAAACGGGTATATCTTCACATAAAAACCAGACAGAAGGATTCCCAGAAACTTCTTTGTGATGTGTGCATTCAGCATACAGAATTGAACTTTTCTGTTGATAGAGCAGTTTGAAACACTCTTTTTGTAGAATCTGCAAGTGGATATGTGCCTGCCTTTGAGGCTTATGTTGGAAAAGGAAATTTCTAACTGGATATTTAGAGCACTTTGAACCCTATGGTAGAGAAGGAAATACCGTCATAGAAAAGCTACACTGAAGCATTCTCAGAAACTGCTTTGTGATGTTTGCATTCAATTCACAGAGTTGAACATTCCTTTTGATAGACCCGTTTTGTAACACTCTTTTTGTAGGATCTGCAAGTGGATATTTGGGCCTCTTTGAGGCCTTCTTCGGAAACGGGATTTCTTCATATAAAAACTAGACAGAAGAATTCTCAGAAACTTCTTTGTGATGTGTGCATTCCACTCACAGAGTTGAACCTTCCTTTCAATAGAGCAGTTTTGAAACAGTCTTTTTGTAGAATTTCCAAGTGGATATTTAAGGGGTTTGAGGCCTATGGTAGAAAAGGAAATATCTTCATATAAATAGTAGACACAATGATTCTCAGAAACTTGTTTGTGATGTGTGCATTAAACTCACAGATTTTAACTTTCTTTTGAAGGAACAGTTTTGAAACACTCTTTTTGTAGAATTTGCAAGTGTGTATTTAGAGGGTTTTGAGGCCTATTTTACAAAAGGATATATCTTCACATAAAAACTAGACAGAAGCATTCTCCTAAACTACTTTGTGATGTGTGCGTTCAACACACAGAGTTTAACCTTTCTTTTGATGGAGCAGTTTTGAAACACACTTTTTGTAGAATTTCCAAGTGGATATTTAGAGCTTTTTGAAGTCTATTGTAGAAAAGGAAATATCGTCATAGAAAAACAATATGGAAGCATTCTCAGAAACTGCTTTGTGATGTTTGCATTCAACTCACAGAATTGAACATTCCTCCTGATAAAGCAGTTTTGAAACACCCTTTTTGTTGAATCAGTAAGTGGATATTTGGACCTCCTTGAGGCATTCTTTGGAAACGGGAATTTCTTCACTTAAAAACTAGGCAGAAGAAATCTCAGAAACTTTTTGTAATGTGTGCATTAAACTCACAGATGTGAACCTTCCTTTTCATAGAGCAGTTTTGAAACACTCTTGTAGAATTTCCAAGTGGATGTTTGGTGCGCTTTGAAGCCTATGGTAGAAAAGGAAATATCTTCATAGAAAACTACACAGAAGCATTCTCACAAAGTATTTTGTGATGTTTGCATTCAACTCATAGAGTTGAACATTCCTCTTTATAGAGCAGTTTGAAGCACTTTTTTGTAGAATTTGCAAGTGGATGTTTGATTGCCTTTGATGCCTATGTTGGGAAAGGAATTATCTTCACATAAAAACTAGAAAGAAACATTCTCATAAACTTCTTTGTGATGAGTGCATTCAAATCAAGGAGTTGAACCTTCCTTTTGATAGAGCAGTTTTCAATCACTCTTTTGTAGAATCTCCATGTGGATATTTGGAGCGTTTTGAGGCCTTCTTTGGAAACGGGAATATCCTCACATAAAAAGTAGACAGAAGTATTCTCAGAAACTACTTTGTGATGTCTGCACTCATCTAACAGAATTGCAACTTCCTTTTGATAGAGCACTTTTGAAACACTCTTTCTGTTGAATTTGCAAGTGGACAATCAGAGCGCTTTGAGGCCTATGGTAGCAAAGGTAATATCTTCATAGAAAAACAACTACACAGAAGCATTCTCAGAAACTACTTTGTGAAATTTGCATTCGACTCACAGAGTTGAATGCGTCTTTTGATAGAGCAGTTTTGAAACACTGTTTTTGTAGAATATGCAAGTGGATATTTGGAACTCTTTGAGGCCTTCGTTGGAAACGGGAATTGCTTCAATTAAAAACTAGACAGAAGAATTTTCAGAAACTACCTTGTGATGTCTGCACTCAACGCACAGTGTTCAACCTTCTGAAACACTCTTTTTGTAGAATTTGCAAGTGGATATTTAGAGCGTTTTGGGGCCTATGGTAGAAAAGGAATTACCTTCACCCAAAAACCACACAGAAGCATTCTGAGAAACTGCTTTGTGATGTTTGCATTCAACTCACAGATTTTAACTTTTCTTTTGATGGCGCAGTTTTGAAACACTCTTTGTAGAATTTTCAAGTGGATATTTAGATCGTTTTGAGGTGTAAGGTAGGAAAGGAAATATCTTCTTAGAAAAACTACACAGAAGGATTCTCAGAAACTACTTTGTGATATTGGCATTTAACTCACAGAGTTGAACATTCCTTTTGATAGAGCAGTTGTGAAACACTTTTTGTAGAATCTGCAAGTGGATATTGGGACATCTCTGAGGCCTTCATTGGAAACGGGAATTTCTTCATATAAAAACTAGACAGAAGAATTCTCAGAAACTTCTTTGTGATGTGTGCATTCAATTCACAGAGTTGAACCTTCCTTTCAATAGAGCAGTTTTGAAACACTCTTCTTGTAGAATTTCCAAGTGGATATTTAGAGCAGTTAGAGGCCTATGGTACAAAAGGAAATGTCTTCAAATAAAAACAAGACAGAAGCATTCTCAGAAACTTCTTTGTGATGTGTGCATTCAACTCACAGAGTTGAACCTTCGTTTCGATAGAGCAGTTTTGAAACACGCTTTTTATCGAATTCCCAGCTGGATATTTAGAGCGCTTTGAGGCCTATGGTAGAAAAGGAAATACCTTCATAGAAAAACTACACAGAATCGTTCTCAGAAACTAATTTGTGAGGTTTGCATTCAACTCACAGAGTTGAACGTTCCTTTCATAGAGAAGTTTTGAATCACTTTTTTGTTGTTGTTGTTGAATCTGCAAGTGGATATTTAGACCGCGTTGAGGCCTTCATTGGAAACCGGTTTATCTTCACATAAATACCAGACAGAAGCATTCTCAGAACCTTCTTTGGGATGTGTGCATTCAACTCACAGAGGTGAAATTTTCTTTTGAAAGAGCAGTCTTGAAACACTATTTTTGTAGAATCTGCAAGTGGATACTTTATTCCCTTTGAGGCCTTTGTTGGAAAAGGAATTATCTTCACATAAAAATTAGAAAGAAACATTCTCGTATACTTCTTGGAGATGAGTGCATTCAACTCACAGAGTTGAAGATTCCTTTTGATAGAGCAGATTTGAAACACTCTGTTTGTAAGTCTGCAAGTGGATATTTGGTTGGCTTTGAGGCCTTCTTTGGAAACGGTAATATCTTCACCTAAAAAGTAGACAGAGGTATTCTCAGAAACTTCTTGTGATGTCTGCACTCAACCCACAGAGTTGAACGGTCCTTTTGATAGAGAGGATTTGAAACACTCTTTGTGTAGAATTTGCAAGAGGATAATTAGAGCGCTTTGAGGCCTATGTTAGAAAATGGAATATCTTCATAGAAAAATTACACAGAAACATTCTCAGAAACTATTTTGGGATGTTTGTATTCAACTCAAGGAGTTATACATATCTTTTGATAGAGCAGATGTGAAACACTCTTTTTGTAGAATTTTCAAGTGGATATTTAGAGCGCTTTTATGCCTATGGTGGAAAAGGAAATATCTTCATAGAAAAATTACACAGAAGCATTCTCAGAAACTACTTTGGGATGTTTGCATTCAACTCACGGAGTTGAACATTCCTTTTTCATAGAGCAGTTTTGTAACACTCTTTTTGCAGAATCTGCAAGTGGATATTTGGACCTCTTTGAGTCCTTCGTTGGAAACGGGATTTCTTCATATAAAAACTAGACCAAAGAATTCTCAGAAACTTCTTTGTGAAGTGTGCATTCAACTCACAAGGATGAACCTTCCTTTCAATAGAGCAGTTTTTAAACACTCTTTTTGTAGAATTTCCAAGTGGATATTTAGAGCGCTTTGAAGTCTATGGTAGAAAAGGAAATATTTTCATATAAAAACTAGACAGAAAGGCTGGTTCAATATACACAAATCAATAAATGTAATCCATCATATAAACAGAGCCAAAGACAAAAACCACAGGATTATCTCAATAGATGCAGAAAAAGCCTTTGGCAAAATTCAACAACACTTCATGCTAAAAAGTCTCAATAAATTAGGTATTGATGGGACGTATTTCAAAATAATAAGAGCTATCTATGACAAACCCACAGCCAATATCATACTGAATGGGCAAAAACAGGAAGCATTCCCTTTGAAAACTGGCACAAGACAGGGATGCCCTCTCTCACCACTCCTATTCAACATAGTGTTGGAAGTTCTGGCCAGGGCAATTCTGCAGGAGAAGGAAATAAAGGGTATTCAATTAGGAAAAGAGGAAGTCAAATTGTCCCTGTTTGCAGACGACACGATTGTATATCTAGAAAACCCCATTGTCTCAGCCCAAAATCTCCTGAAGCTGATAAGCAACTTCAGCAAAGTGTCAGGATACAAAATCAATGTACAAAAATCACAAGCATTCTTATACACCAACAATAGACAAACAGAGAGCCAAATCATGAGTGAACTCCCATTCACAATTGCTTCAAAGAGAATAAAATACCTAGGAATCCAACTTACAAGGGATGTGAAGGACCTCTTCAAGGAGAACTACAAACCACTGCTCAACGAAATAAAAGAGGATACAAACAAATGAAAGAACATTCCATGCTCATGGGTAGGAAGAATCAATATCGTGAAAATGGCCATACTGTCCAAGGTAATTTACAGATTCAATGCCATCCCCATCAAGCTACCAATGACTTTCTTCACAGAACTGGAAAAAACTACTTTAAAGTTAATATGGAACCAAAAAAGAGCCCGCATCGCCAAGTCAATCCTAAGCCAAAAGAACAAAGCTGGAGGCATAGCACTACCTGACTTCAAACTATACTACAAGGCTACAGTAACCAAAACAGCATGGTACTGGTACCAAAACAGAGATATAGATCAATGGAACAGAACAGAGCCCTCAGAAATAACGCCACATATGTACAACTATCTGATCTTTGACAAACCTGAGAAAAACAAGCAATGGGGAAAGGATTCCCTATTTAATAAATGGTGCTGGGAAAACTGGCTAGCCATATGTAGAAAGCTGAAACTGGATCCCTTCCTTACACCTTATACAAAAATCAATTCAACATGGATTCAAGACTTAAATGTTAGACCTAAAACTATAAAAATCCTAGAAGAAAACCTAGGCATTACCATTCAGTACATAGGCATGGGCAAGGACTTCATGTCTAAAACACCTAAAGCAATGGCAACAAAAGCCAAAATTGACAAATGGGATCTAATTAAACTAAAGAACTTCTGCACAGCAAAAGAAACTACCATCAGAGTGAACAGGCAACCTACAAAATGGGAGAAAATTTTCACAACCTACTCATGTGACAAAGGGCTAATATCCAGAATCTACAATGAACTCAAACAAATTTACAGGAAAAAAACAAACAACCCCATCAAAAAGTGGGTGAAGGACATGAACAGACAGTTCTCAAAAGAAGACATTTATGCAGCCAAAAAACACATGAAAAAATGCTCATCATCACTGGCCATCAGAGAAATGCAAATCAAAACTACAATGAGATACCATCTCACACCAGTTAGAATGATGATCATTAAAAAGTCAGGAAACAACAGGTGCTGGAGAGGATGTGGAGAAATAGGAACACTTTTACACTGTTGGTGGGACTGTAAACTAGTTCAACCACTGTGGAAGTCAGTGTGGTGACTCCTCAGGGATCTAGAACTGGAAGTACCATTTGACCCAGCCATCCCATTACTGGGTATATACCCAAATGACTATAAATCATGCTGCTATTGCGGCATTATTCACAATAGCAAAGACTTGGAACCAACCCAAATGTCCAACAATGATAGACTGGATTAAGAAAATGTGGCTCGTATACACCGTGGAATACTATGCAGCCATAAAAAAGGATGAGTTCATGTCCTCTGTAGGGACATGGATGAAACTGGAAATCATCATTCTCAGTAATCTATCACAAGAACAAAAAACCAAACACCGCATATTCTCACTCATAGTTGGGAATTGAACAATGAGATCACATGGACACAGGAAGGGGAATATCACACTCTGGGGACTGTGGTGGGGTGGGGGGAGGGGGGAGGGATAACATTGGGAGATATACCTAATGCTAGATGACGAGTTAGTGGGTGCAGCGCACCAGCATGGCACATGTATACATATGTAACTAACCTGCACAATGTGCACATGTACCCTAAAACTTAAAGTATAATAAAAAAAAAAATAAAAAACAAACAAACAAAAAAACCAGACAGAATCATTCTCAGAAACTCCTTTGTGATGTGTGGGTTCAACTCACAGAGTTTAACATTTCTTTCGATAGAATAGTTTTGAAGCACTCTGTTTGTAAAGTCTGCAAGTGAATATTTGACGCACTTTGAGGCCTTCTTTGGAAAAGGTAATATCTTCACATAAAAAGTAGACAGAAGTATTCTCAGAAACTTCTTTGTGATCTCTGCACTCCACTCAGAGATTTGAAACTTCCTTTTGATAGAGCAGTTTTGAAACACTATTTTTGTAGGATTTGAAAGTGAATATTTAGAGCGTTTTGGAGCCTATGTTGGAAAAGATAATATATTCATTCAAAAACTACACAGAAGCATTCTCAGAAACTACTTTGATGTTTGCATTCAACTCACAGAGTTGAACATTCCTTTTGATAGAGCAGTTTTGTAACACTTTCTTTGTAGAATCTGCAAGTGGATATTTTGACCTCTCTGAGGCCTTCGTTGGAAACGGGAATTTCTACGTATAAAAACTAGACAGAAGAATTCTCAGAAACTTCTTTGTGATGTGTGCATTCAATTCACAGAGTTGAACCTGACTTTCGATAGAGCAGTTCTGAAACACTCTTTCTGTAGAATTTCCAAGTGGATATTCAGAGTGGTTTGAGTCCTATGGTAGAAAAGGAAATATCTTCATATAAAAATTAGACATTATCATTTTCAGAAACTACTTTGTGATGTGTGCATTCAACTCACAGATTTGAACCTTCCTTTTGATAGAGCAGTTTTGAAACACTCTTTTTGTAGAATTTGCAAGTGAATATTTAGAGGGCTTTGATGCCTATTGTAGAAAAGGAAATATCTTCATAGAATAACTACACAGAAACATTCTCAGAAAGTAATTTGTGATGTTAGCATTCAACTCACAGAGTTGAACCTTCCTTTTGATAGAGCATTTTTTGAAACACTCTCTTTGTAATGGCTGCAAGTGGATATTTGGAGCAATTTGAGGTCTTCTTTGTAAATGAGAATATCTTCACGTAAAAAGTAGACAGAAGTATTCTGAGAAACTACTTTGTGATGTTTGCACTCAACTCACAGTGCTGAAACTTCCTTTTGATAGAGCAGTTTTGAACCACTATTTTTGTAGAATTTCCAAGTGCATAGTTAGAGCACTTTGAGGCCTATGGTAGAAAAGGAAATATCTTCATAGAAAAACTACACAGAAGCATTCTCAGAAACTACTTTGTGATGTTTGCATTCAACTCAAAGAGTTGAAGATTCCTTTCGATAGGGCAGTTTTGTAACACTCTTTTTGTAGAATCTGCAAGTGGATATTTGGACCTTTTTGAGGACTTCGTTGGAAATGGGATTTCTTCATATAAAAACTATACAGAAGAATTCTCAGAAACTTCTTTGTGATGTGTGCATTCAACTCACAGATATGAAACTTCCTTTCGATAGAGCAGTATTGAAACACTCTTTTTGTAGCATTTCCGAGTGGATATTAACAGCGCTTTGAAGCCTGAGTTAGAAAAAAAAAATAACTTCATATAAAAACTAGACAGAATCATTCTCAGAAACTACTTTGTGATGTGTGCGTTCAACACACGGCATTTAACCTTTCTTTTGATAAAGCAGTATTGCAACATTCTTTTTGTGGAATTTGCAGGTGGATATTTAGAGCGCTTGGAGTCCTTTGGTAGAATACGAAGTATTTTCATAAAAAAATGGCCAGAAGCATTCTCAGAAACTATTTTGTGATGTTTGTATTCAACACGCAAGGCTGAACCAACCTTTTGATAGAGGAGTTTTGAAACACTCTTTTTGTGGAATCTGCAAGTGGATATTTTGTTCCCTTTGAAGCCTAAGTTGGAAAAGGAAATACCTTCACATAAAAACTAGAAAGAAACATTCTCATAAACTTCTTTGTGATGAGTGCATTCAACTCTCGGAGTTGAACCTTCCTTTTGATAGAGCAGTTTTGAAACACTTTGTAAAGTCTGCAAGTGGATATTTGGAGTGCTTTAAGGCCTTCTTTGGAAATGGGAGTACCTTCACATAAAAAGTAGAGAGAAGTATTTTCAGAAACTTCTTTGTGATGTCTGCACTCAAATCACAGATTTGAAACTTCCTTTTGATAGAGCAGTTTTGAAAAACTTCTTTTGTAGATTTTGCAATTGGATAATTGGAGCGCTTTGAGGCCTATGGTATAAAAGGATATATCATCATAGAAAAACTACACGGAAGTATTCTCAGAAACTTCTTTGTGATGTTTGCATTCAACTCACTGTGTTAAACATTCCTTTTTATAGAGCAGTTATGCAACAGTCTGTTTGTAGAATCTGCAAGTGGATATTTGGACCTCTTTGAGGCCTTCGTTGGAAATGGGAATTTCTTCACTTAAAAACTAGACAGGAGAAATCTCAGAAACTTTTTCTGATGTGTGCATTCAACTCACAGAGTTGAGCCTTCCTTTTGATAGAGCAGTTTTTAAACACTCTTTTTGTAGAATTTCCAAGTGGATATTTAGAGCACTTTGAGTCCTTTGGGAGAATAAGAAGTATTTTCATAAAAAAAGTAGACCGAAACATTCTCAGAAACTATTTTGTGATGTTTGCATTCAACTCACAAAGTTGAACATTCCTTTTGATAAAGCAGTTTTGAAACACTCTTTTTGTAGAAAATGCAAGTGGATATTTGGACCTCTTTGAGGCCTTCGTTAGAAACGGGAATTTCTCCAAAGGAAAACCAGACAGAAGAATTCTCAGAAACTTCTTTGGGATGTGGGCATTCAACTCACAGAGTTGAACCTTCCTTTTGATTGAGCAGTTTTGAAACACTCTATTTGTAGAATTTCCATGTGGATATTTAGAGCGCTTTGAAGCCTATGGTTGAAAAGGAAATATCTTCATATAAAAACTAGACAGAATCATTCTCAGAAACTACTTTGTGATGTGTGCATTCAACTCACAGAGTTTAACCTTTCTTTTGGTATAGCAGTTTTGAACCCCTCTGTTTGTAAATCTGCAAGTGTATATTTGGAGCACTTTGATTCCTTCCTTGGAAACGGTAATATCTTCACATAAAAAGTATACAGAAGCATTCTCAGAAACTCCTTTGTGATGTCTGCACTCAACACAGAGTTGAACCTTCCTTTTGATAGAGCAGTTTTGAAACACTCTTTTGTGGAATTTGCAAATGGATATTTAGAGCGATTTTGGGCCTATGGTAGAAAAGGAAATATCTTCATAGAAAAACAACACAGAAGCATTCTCAGAAACTAATTTCTGATGTTTCCATTCAACTCACAGAGCTGAATATTCGTTTGACAGAGCAGTTTTGAAACGCCCTTTTTGTGGAATCTGCAAGTGGATATTTGCAGTGCTTTGAGGACTGTGGTGAAAAGGAAATATCTTCACATAAAAACTAGACAGAAGAATTCTCAGACTATTTTTGGGAAGCATGCATTCAACTCACAGAGGTGAATATTTCTTTTGTAAGAGCAATTTTGTAACACTCTTTTTCTAGAATTGGCAATTGGATATTTAAAGCGCTTTGAGGCCTATGTTGAAAAAGAAAATATCTTCACATAAAAACAAGACAGAAGCATTCTCAGAAACTTCTTTGTGATGAGTGCATTCAACTCACAGACGTGAACGTTTCTTTGGAAAGAGGAGTTTAGAAACATTATTTTTGAAGAATCTGCAAGTGGATATTTGGAGCGCTTTGTGGACTATAGTGGAAAAGGAAATATCCACACATAAAAAATTGACAGAAGCATTATCAGAAACTTCTTTGTGTTGTGTGCATTCAACTCACATAGTGGAACCTTTCCTTTGAGCAGTTTTGAAACACTCTTTTTCTAGAATCTGCAAGTGGATATTTGGAGCGCTTTGAGGACTATGGTGGAAGTGGAAATATCCTCACATAAAAACTAGACAGAAAAATTTTCAGAAAATTTTTCGTGATGTGTGCCTTCAACTCACAGGGTTGAGCCTTTCTTTTGATAGAGCAGTTTTGAAACCCTCCTTTTCTAGAATCTGCAAGTGAACATTTGGAGCGCTTTGAGGACTATTGTGGAAAAGGAAATGTCATCACATAAAAACTTGACAGAAGCATTCTCAGAAACTTCTTTATGATGTGTGCATTCAAACCACAGGGTTAAACATTTCTTTTGATAGGGCAGTTTTGAAACAATCTTTTTCTAGAATCTGCAAGTGGATATTTGGAGCGCTATGATTCTTAAGGTGGAAATGGAAATATCTTCCCATAAAAACTAGACAGAAGCATTGTCAGAAACTTCTTTTTGATGTGTGCATTCAATTCATAGATTTGAACCTTTCCTTTGATAGAGCAGTTTTGAATCCTTCTTTTTTTTAGAACCTGCAAGTGGATATTTGAAGTGCTTTGAGACCTATGGTGGAAAAGGAAATATGTTCACATATAAACTAGACAGAAATATTCTCAGAAAATTTTTCTGTTGTGTGCATTTAACTCAGAATTGAAACTTCCCTTTGATGGAGCAGTTTTGATACACTCTTTTTGTGGAATCTGCAAGTGGATATTTGGAGGGCTTTGAGGCCTATGTTGGAAAAGGAAATATCTTCACATGAAAACTAGAAAGAAGCATTCTCAGAAACTTTTTTGGGATGTGTGCATTCAAGTCACAGAGTTTAACATTTCTTTTGATAGAGCAGTTTTGAAAATCTCTTTTTCTATAATCTGTAAGAGGATATTTGCAGCGCTTTGAGGCCAATAGTGGAAAAGGAAATATATTCAAATAAAAACTAGACAGAACCATTCTCAGAAAATTCTTTGTGTGCATTTAACTCAGCATTGAACATTTCCTTTGAATGAGCAGTTTTGGTATATTCTTTTTGTAGAATCTGCAAGTGGATATTTGGAGGGCTTTGAGGCCTATGGTGGAAAAGGAAATATCTTCACATAAAAACTAGTAAGAAGCATTCTCAGAAAATACTTTGTGTTGTTTGCATTCAACTCACAGAGTTGAATCTTTCTATCTGTAGAACATTTTTGAAACACTCTTTTTCTAGAATCTGCAAGTGAATATTTGGAGCGCTTTGAGGCCTATGGTGGAAAAGGAAATATCTTTACGTAAAAACTAGACAGGAGAATTCTCAGGAACTTTGTGTTGTGTGCATTCTACTCACAGAGTTGCATCTGTACTTTGATTGAGAAGTTTTGAAACACTCTTTTTGTAGAATCTGCAAGTGAAAATTTGGAGCGCTTTGAGGCCTATGGTGGAAAAGGAAATAACTTCATATAAAAACTAGATGGAAGCATTCTCAGAAACTTCTTTGTGATGTGTGCATTCATCTCACCGAGTTGAACCTTTCTTTTGTTAGGGCAGTTTTGAAGCAATCTTTTTTTTGAATCTGCAAGTGGATATTTGGAGTGTTTTGAGGCCTATGGTGGAAAAGGAAATATCCTCACATAAAAACTATACAGAAGCATTCTCGGAAACTTCTTTGTGTTGTGTGCATTTAACTCACAGAGTTGAAACTTTCCTTTGATGGAGCATTTTGAAACACTCTTTTTCTACACACTGCAAGTGGATATTTAGCAGGCTTTGAGGCCTATGTTGGAAAAATAAATATTTTCACTTAAAAACTAGACAGCAGCATTCTCAGAAACTTCTTTGTGATGTATACATTCAACTCAGAGAGTTGAACCTTTCTTTTGATAGAGCAGTTTTGAAACACTCTTTATGTAGGATCTGCAAGTGGATATTTGGAGCACTTTGATTCCTATGGTGGAAAAGGAAGTACCTTCACATAAAAACTAGAGAGAAGCATTCTTAAAAACTTCTTTGTGTTGTGTGCATTCAACACACAGAGTTGAACCTTTCCTTGTTTGAGCAGTTTTGAAACAATCTTTTTGTAGCATCTGCAAGTGGATATTTGCAGCGCTTTGAGGCCGACGGTGGAAAAGGAAATACCCACACATAAAAACTAGACAGAAGCATTCTCAGAAACTTCTTTGGATGTGTGCATTCAACTCACAGAGTTGAACCTTTCTTGGGATAGAGCAGTTTTGAAACACTCTTTTTGTAGAATCTGAAAGTCAATATTTGGAACGCTTTGAGGCCTATGGTGGAAAAGGAAATATCTTCACATAAAAACTAGACAGAAGCAATCTCAGAAACTTCTTTGTGATGTGTGCTTTCAACTTGCAAAGATGAACCTTTCTTTTGATAGAGCAGTTTTGAAACACTCTTTTTCTAGAATCTGCAAGTTGTTATTTGGAATGCCTTGAGGATTATGGTAGAAAAAGAAATATCTTCACATAAAAACTAGACAGAAGCATTCTCAGAAACTTCTTTGTGATGAGTGCATTCACCTCACAGATTTGAACCTTTCTTTTGATAGAGCAGTTTTGAAACACTCTTTTTGTAGAATCTGCAAGTGGATATTTGGAGCCCTTTGAGGACTATGGTGGAAAAGGAAATATCCTCACATAAAAATTAGACAGAAACATTCTCAGAAACTTCTTTGTGATGAGTGCATTCAACTCACAGTGCTGAACCTTTCTCTTGATAGAGCAGTTTTTAAACACTCTTTTTGTGGAATATGCAAGTGGATATTTGGAGTGCTTTGAGGCCGAGGTTTGAAAAGGAAATATCTTCACATAAAAAATAAATAGAAGAATTCTGAGAAACTACTTTGTGATGTGTGCATTCATCTCACAGAGTTGAACATTTCTTTTGATTGAGCAGTTTAGAAACACTCTTTTTGTAGAATCTGCAAGTAGATATGTTCCTTTTCCAACATATTCCTCAAAGCGTTCCAAATGTCCACTTGCAGATATTCAGAGCGATTTGGGGCCCATGGTAGAAAAGGAATTATATTCACATAAAATCTAGACAGAAGCAATCTGAGAAACTTCTTTGTCATGTGTGCATTCATCTCACAATGTTTAAACTTTCTTTTGATTGAGCAGTTTTGAAACTCTCTTTTTGTAGCATCTGTAAGTGGACATTTGATGCTCTCTGAGGCCGATGTTGGAAAAGGAAACGTCTTCACATAAAAACTAGATAGAAGCATTCTGAAAAACTGATTTGTGATGTGTGCATTCATCTCCCTGAGTTGAACCTTTCTTTTAAAGGACCAGTTTTGAAATAATCTTTTTGTAGAATATGCAAGTGTATATTTGGAGTGCTTTGAGGCCTATGGTGGAAAAGGAAATATCTTCACATAAAAACTATACAGAAGTATTCTGAGAAACTTCTTTGTGATCTGTGTGGTCATCTCACAGATTTGAACCTTTGTTTTGATTGAGAAGTTTGGAAACACTCTTTTTGTAGAATCTGCAAGTGGACATTTAGAGCGCCTTATGGCCTATGGTAGAAAAGGAAATATCTCCACATAAATTCTAGACAGAGGAAATCTGAGAAACTTCTTTGTAATATGTGCATTCCTCTCACAGAGTTAAACTTGTCTTTTGATGGAGCAGTTTTGAAAATCTCTTTTTGTAGAATCTGCAAGTGGACATTTGGAACGCTTTGAGGAATATGTTGGAAAAGGAAATATTGTCACATAAAAACTAGAGAGAAGAATTCTGAGAAACTTCCTCATTATATGTGCATTCATGTCACAGAGTTGGAGCTTTCTTTTGATTTTGCAGTTTGGAAAGAAACTTTTTATAGAATCTGCAAGTGGACATTTGGAGTGCTTTGCGGCCTATGGTAGAAAAGGAAACATCTTCACATAAAATCTAGACAGAAACAATGAGAGAAACTTCTTTGTGATGTGTGCATTTATCTCACAGAGTTAAACCTTTACTTTGAGCAGTTTTGAAACACTTTTTGTAGAATCTGCATGTGGACATTTGGAGCGCTTTGAAGCCTATGGTGGAAAAACTATGGTGGAAATTTTCTTTGATTGAGCAGATTTGAAACTCTCTTTTGTAGAGTCTGCAAGTGGACATTTGGAGTGCTTTGGGGCCTACTGTGGAAAGGGAAATATCTTCACATAAAAACTTGACAGAAGAGTTCCGAGAAACCTCTTTGTTATGTGTGCGTTTATCTCACAGAGTTGAATCTTTCTTTTGATTGAGCAGTATGGAAACACTCTTTGTGTAGAATCTGTAAGTGGACATTTGGAGCGCTTTGCAGCCTGTGGTAGAAAAGGAAATATCTTCACATAAAATCTAGACAGAAGCAATCTGAGAAACTTATTTGTGATGTGTGCTCTCATCTCACATAGTTAAACCTTTCTTTTGATTGAGCAGTTTTGAAACTCTGTTTTTGTAGAACCTGTAAGTGTACATTTGGAGCCCTTTTTGGCCTGTGGTGGAAAAGGAAATTTCTTCACATAAAAACAAGACAGAAGAATTCTGAGAAACTTCTTCATGGTGTGTGCGTATATCTCAGAGAATACAACCTTTCTTTAAATTGAGCAGTTTGGAAACACTCTTTGTGTAGAATCTGCAGGTGGACATTTGGAAGGCTTTGCGGCCTATGGTGGAAAAGGAAATATCTTCACATAAAATCTACACCGAAGCAATCTGAGAAACTTCTTTGTGATGTGTTCATTCATCTCACAGAGTTAAACCTTTCTTTTGAGTGTGCAGTTTTGAAACTCACTTTTTGTAGAATCTGCAAGTGTACATTTGGAGCGCTTTGAGGCATATGGTGGAAAAGGATATATCTTCACATAAAAACTAGGCAGAAAAATTCTTAGGAAGTCCTTTGTGATGTGTGCATTTGTCTCACAGAGTTGAACCTTTCTATTGATTGAGCCATTTGGAAACACTCTATTTGTTGAATCTGCTAGCAGACCTTTGGAGAGCTTTGCAGCCTAAGGTAGAAAAGGAAATATCATCACATAAAATCTAGACGTAAGGAATCTGAGAAACCCCTTGTAATGTGGGCATTCTTCTCACAGATGTAACTCTTTCTTTTGATTGAGAAGTTTTGAATCTCTCTTTTTGTAGAATCTGCAAGTGGACATTTGGAGGGCTTTGAGACCTATTGTGGAAAGTAAATATCTTCATATAAAAACTTGACAGAAGCATTCTGTGAAAATTCTTTGTGATGTGTCCATTCATCTCCCAGAGTTGAAACTTTCTTTTGAAAGACCAGTTTTGAAAAACTTTTCTTGTAGAATCTGCAAGTGCACATTTTGAGCACCTTGAGGGCTATGGTGGAAAAAGAAATATCTTCAAATAAAAACTAGACAGAAGAATTCTGAGAAACTTCTTTGTGATGTGTGCATTTATCTCACTGAGTTGAACCTTTCTTTTGAATGAGAAATTTGGAAACATTCTTTTTGTAGAATCTGCAAGTGAACATTTGGAGCCCTTTGCAACCTATGTTGGAAAAGGAAATATCTTCACATAAATTCTAGACAGAAGCAATGTGAGAAACTTCTGTGTGATGTCTGCATTCATCTTACAGAGGTAAACCTTTCTTTTGATTGAGCAGTTTTGAAACTCTCTTTTTGTTGAATCTGCAAGTGGACATTTGGAGCGTCTTGAGGCCTGTGATGGAAAAGAAAATATCATCACATAAAAACGAGACTGAAGAATTCTGAAAAACTTCTTTGCAATGTTTGCGTTCATCTCACAGAGTTGAACCTTTCTTTTGTTTGAGCAATTAGGACACACTCTTTTTTAGAATCTGCAAGTGAACATTTGGAGGGCTTTGTGGCCCATGGTAGAAAATGGAACATCTTTACATAAAATCTAGACAGAAGCAATCTGAGAAACTTCTTTGTGATGTATGCATTCATCTCACAGAGTTAAACATTTCTTTTGATTGGGCAGTTTTCAAACTCTCTTTTTGTAGAATCTACAAGTGGACATTTGGAGTGCTTTGAAGCCTATGGTCGAAAATGAAATAGCTTCACATAAAAACTAGACAGAAGAATTCTGGGAAACTTCTTTGTGATGTGTGTGTTCAACTCACAGAGTTGAACCTTTCTTTTGATTGAGCAGTTTGGAAACACTCTTTTTGTAGAATCTAAAAGTGGACATTTGGAGTGCTTTGGGGCCTATTGTAGAAAAGAAAATATCTTCAAATAAAATCTAGACAGACGCAATCTGAGAAACTTATTTGTGATGTGTGCATTCATCTCACAGAGTTAAAACTCTCTTTTGATTGAACAGTTTTGAAACTCTCTTTTGTAAAATATGCAAGTGGAGATTTGGAGTACTTTGGGGCCAATGGTGGAAAAGGAAATATCTTCACATAAAAACTTGATAGAATAATTCTGGGAAACTTCTTGGTGATGTGTGCGTTCATCTCAGAGAGTTGAACTATTCTTTTGATTCAGCCGTTTGGAAACACTGTTTTTGAAGAATCTGCATGTTGACTTTTGGAGTGCTTTGAAGCCTACGGTGGAAAAAGAAATATCTTCACATAAAATTTAGACAGAAGAAATCTGAAAAACTTCTTTGTGATTTGTGCATTCATCTCGCAGAGTTAAAACTTTCTTTTGATTGAGGAGTTTTGAAACTCTCTTTTTGTAGAATTTTCAAGTGGACATTTGGAGCACTTTGAGGCCCATGGTGGAAAAGGAAATATCTTCACATAAAAACTAGACAGAAGAATTCTGAGAAACTACATTGTGATGTGTGTGTTCATCCCAAAGAGTTGAACCTTTCTTTTGACTGAGCAGTTTGGAAACACTCCTTTTGTAGAATTGGCAAGTGGACATTTGGGGCGCTTTGTGACCTGTGGTACAAAAGGAGATATCTTCCCATAAAATCTAGACAGAAGCAATCTGAGAAACTACTTTGTGATGTGTGCATTCATCTGACAGAGTTAAACCTTTCTTTCATTAGAGTAGTTTTGAAACTCCCTTTTTTAGAATCTGAAAATGGACATTGGGAGCCCTTTGCGGCCTATTTTCAAAAGGAAATACCTTCATATAAAAACTTGATAGAAGCATTCTGAAAAACTTCTTTGTGATGTGTGCGTTCATCTTACTGAGTTGAACCTGTTTTTTGAAGGACCAGTTTTGAAATACTCTTTGTAGAATCTGAAAGTGGACACTTGAAGCACCTGGAGCCCTATGGTGGAAAAGGAAATATCTTCACATAAAAACTAGACAGAAGAATTCTTAGAAACGTCTTTGTAATGTGTGCGTTCATCTCACAGAACTGAACCTTTCTTTTGATTGAGCAGTTTGTAAACACTGTTTTTGTAGAATTTGAAAGTGGATATTTGGAGCCCTTTAAGGTGTATGGTAGAAAAGTAAATATCTTCACATAAAAACTAGAAAGAAGAATTCTGAGAAAATACTTTGTGGTGCCTGGGTTCATCTCACAGAGTTGAACCTTTCTTTTGATTGAGCAGTATGGAAACACTCTTTTTGTAGAATCTAAAAGTGGACATTTGGAGCGCTTTGCTGCCTATTGTAGAAAAGGAAATTTCACATAAAATCTAGACAGAAGCAATCTGATAAACTTCTTTGTGATGTGTGCATTCATCTCACACAGTTAAAGCTTTCTTTTGATACAGCAGTTTTGAAACTCTCTTTTTGTAGAATCTGCAAGTGCACATTTGGAGCGCTTTGAGGCCTTTGGTGGGAAAGGTAATATCTTCACATAAAAATTAGAAGAATTCTGACAAACTTCTTTGTGATGTGTGCGTTCATCTCACAGAGTTGAACCTTTCTTTTGATTGAGCAGTTTGGAAACACTCTTTTTGTAGAATCTGCAAGTGGACTTCTGGAGCGTTTTTCAGCCTATTCGTAGAAAAGGAAATATCTTCACATAAAATCTAGACAGAAACATTCTTTTTTTTTTATTTTGCCTCGTTTTATTTTTTTATTTTTTTATTTTTATACTTTAAGTTTTAGGGTACATGTGCACAATATGCAGATTACTTACATATGTATACATGTGCCATGCTGGTGCACTGCATGCACTAACTCGTCATCTAGCATTAGGTATATCTCCTAATGCTATCCCTCCCCCCTCCCCCCGCCCCACAACAGTCCCCAGGGTGTGATGTTCCCCTTCCTGTGTCCAGGTGTTCTCATTGTTGAATTCCCACCTATGAGTGAGAATATGTGGTGTTTGGTTTTTTGTTCTTGTGATAGATAACTGAGGATGATGATTTCCAATTTCATCCATGTCCCTAAAAAGGACATGAACTCATCATTTTTTATGGCTGCGTAGTATTCCATGGTGTATGTGTGTCACATTTTCTTAATCCAGTCTATCATTGTTGGACATTTGGGTTGGTTCCAAGTCTTTGCTATTGTGAATAGTGCCACAATAAACATACGTGTGCATGTGTCTTTATAGCAGCATGATTTATAGACATTTGGGTATGTACCCAGTAATGGGATGGCTGGGTCAAAAGTTATTTCTAGTTCTAGATCCCTGAGGAATCGCCACACTGACTTCCACAGTGGTTGAACTAGTTTACAGTCCCACCAACAGTGTAATAGTGTTCCTATTTCTCCACATCATCTCCAGCACCTGTTGTTTCCTGACATTTTAATAATTGCCATTCTAACCGGTGCGAGATGATATCTCATTGTGGTTTTGATTTGCAATTCTCTGATGACCAGTGATTGTGAGCATTTTTTCCATGTGTTTTTTGGCTGCATAAATGTCTTATTTTGAGAAGTGTCTGTTCATGTCCTTTGCCTACTTTTAGATGGGGTTGTTTGTTTTTTTCTTGTAAATTTGTTTGAATTCATTATAGATTCTGGATATTAGCCCTTTGTCAGATGAATAGGTTGCAAAAATTTTCTCCCATTTTGTAGGTTGCCTGTTCACTCTGATGGTAGTTTCTTTTGCTGTGCAGAAGTTCTTTAGTTTAATTAGATCCCATTTGTCAATTTTGTCTTTTGTTGCCATTGCTTTTGGTGTTTTAGACATGAAGTCCTTACCCAAGCCTATGTACTGAATGGTAATACCTAGGTTTTCTTCTATGGTTTTCATTGTTTTAGGTCTAATGTTTAAGGCTTTAATCCATCTTGAATTGATTTTTGTATAAGGTGTAAGAAAGGGATCCAGTTTCAGCTTTTCACATATGGCTAGCCAGTTTTCCCAGCACCATTTATTAAATAGGGAATCCTTTCCTCATTGCTTGTTTTTCTCAGGTTTGTCAAAGATCAGACAGTTGTAGATATGCGACATTATTTCTGAGGGCTCTGTTCTGTTCCATTGATCTATATCTCTGTTTTGGTACAAGTACCATGCTGTTTTGGTTACTGTAGCCTTGTAGTATAGTTTAAAGTCAGATAGTGTGATGCCCCCAGCTTTGTTCTTTTGGCTTAGTACTGACTTGGCGATGCGGGTTCTTTTTTGGTTCCATATGAACTTTAAAGTAGTTGTTTCCAATTCTGTGAGGAAAGTCATTGGTAGCTTGATGGGGTTGGCATTGAATTTATAAATTACCTTGGGCAGTATGGCCATTTTCGCAATATTGATTATTCCTACCTATGAGCATGGAATATTCTTCCATTTCTTTGTGTCCTCTTTTATTTCATTGAGCAGTGGTTTGTAGTTCTCCTTGAAGAGGTCCTTCACGTCCCTTGTAAGGTGGATTCCTAGGTATTTTATTCTCTTTGAAACAATTGTGAATGGGAGTTCACTCATGATTTGGCTCTCTGTCTGTTATTGGTGTAAAAGAATGCTTGTGATATTTGCACATTGATTTTTTATCCTGAGACTTTGCTGAAGTTGCTTATCAGCTTAAGGAGATTTTGGGCTGAGGCGATGGGGTTTTCTAGATATACAATCATGTCGTCTGCAAAGAGGGACAATTTGACTTCCTATTTTCCTAATTGAATACCCTTTATTTCCTTCTCCTGCCTAATTGTCCTGGCTAGAACTTCCAACACTATGTTGAATAGGAGTGGTGAGAGAGAGAATCCCTGTCTTGTGCCAGTTTTCAAAGGGAATGCTTCCAGTTTTTGCCCATTCAGTATGATATTGGTTGTGGGTTTGTCATAGATAACTCTTACTATTTTGAGATACATCCCATCAATACCTAATTTATTGAGAGTTTTTAGCATGAAGGGTTGTGGAATTTTTTCAAAGGCCTTTTCTGCATCTATTGAGATAATCCTGTGGTTTTTGTCTTTGGTTCTGTTTATATGCTGGATTACATTTATTGATTTGCGTATATTGAACCAGACTTGCATCCCAGGGATGAAGCCCACTTGATCATGGTGAATACGCTTTTTGATGTGCTGCTGGATTCCGTTTGCCAGTATTTTATTGAGGATGTTTGCATCAATGTTCATCAAGGATATTGGTCTAAAATTCTCTTTTTTGGTTGTGTCTGTGCCCGGCTTTGTTATCAGGATGATGCTGACCTCATAAAATGAGTTAGGGAGGATTCCCTCTTTTTTATTGATTGGAATAGTTTCAGAAGGAATGGTACCAGTTCCTCCTTGAACCTCTGGTAGAATTCGGCTGCGAATCCATCTGCTCCTGGACTCTTTTTGGTTGGTAAACTACTGATTATTGCCACAGTTTCAGCTCCTGTTATTGGTCTATTCAGAGATTCAACTTCTTCCTGGTTTAGTCTTGGGAGAGTGTATGTGTCGAGGAATTTATCCATTTCTTCTAGATTTTCTAGTTTTTTTGCTTAGAGGTATTTTTGGTAATCTCTGATGGTAGTTTGTATTTCTGTGGGATTGGTGGTGACATCCCCTTTAACATTTTTTATTGCATCTATTTGATTCTTCTCTCTTTTTTTATTAGTCTTGCTAGCAGTCTATCAATGTAGTTGATCCTTTAAAAAAACCAGTTCCTAGATTCATTTTTTTTGAAGTGTTTTTTGTGTCTCTATTTCCTTCAGTTCTGCTCTGATTTTAGTTGTTTCTTGCCTTCTGCTAGCTTTTGAATGTGTTTGCTCTTGCTTTTCTAGTTCTTTTAATTGTGCTGTTAGGGTGTCAATTTTTGATCTTTCCTGCTTCCTCTTGTGGGCATTTAGTGCTATAAATTTCCCTCTACACACTGCTTTGAATGTGTCCCAGAGTCTGGTATGTTGTGTCTTTGTTCTCATTGGTTTCAAAGAACATCTTTATTTCTGCCTTCATTTCGTTATGTACCCAGTAGTCATTCAGGAGCAGGTTATTCAGTTTCCATGTAGTTGAGTGGTTTTGATTGAGTTTCTTAATCCTGAGTTCTAGTTTGATTGCAATATGGTCTGAGAGATAGTTTGTTATAATTTCTGTTCTTTTACATTTGCTGAGGAGAGCTTTACTTCCAACTACATGGTCAGTTTTGGAATAGGTGTGCTGTGGTGCTGAAAAAAATGTATACTCTGTTGATTTGGGGTGGAGAGTTCTGTAGATGTCTGTTAGGTCCACTTGGTACAGAGCTGAGTTCAATTCCTGGGCATCCTTGTTAACTTTCTGTCACGTTGATCTGTCTAATGTTGACAGTGGGCTGTTAAAATCTCCCATTATTAATGTGTGAGAGTCTAAGTCTCTTTGTAGGTCACTCAGGACTTGCTTTATGAATCTGGGTGCTCCTGTTTTGGGTGCATGTATATTTAGGATAGTTAGCTCTTCTTGTTGAATTGATCCCTTTACCATTATGTAATGGCCTTCTTTGTCTCTTTTGATCTTTGTTGGTTTAAAGTCTGTTTTATCAGAGACTAGGATTGCAACCCCTGCCTTTTTTGTTTTCCATTTGCTTGGTAGATCTTCCTCCATCCTTTTATTTTAAGCCTATGTGTGTCTCTGCATGTGAGATGGGTTTCCTGAAAACAGCACACTGATGGGTCTTCACTCTTTATCCAATTTGCCAGTCTCTGTCTTTTATTTGAAGCATTTAGTACATTTACATTAAAAGTTAATATTGTTATGAGAGAATTTGATCCTGTCATTATGATGTTAGCTGGTTATTTTGCTCATTAGTTGATGCAGTTTCTTCCTAGTCTCTATGGTCTTTACATTTTGGCATGATTTTGCAGCAGCTGGTACTGATTGTTTCTTTCCATGTTTAGTGCTTCCTTCAGGAGCTCTTTTAGGGCAGGCCTGGTGGTGACAAAATCTCTCAGCATTTGCTTGTCTGTAAAGGATTTTATTTCTCCTTCACTTATGAAGCTTAGTTTGGCTGGATATGAAATTCTGGGTTGAAAATTCTTTTCTTTAAGAATGTTGAATATTGGCCCCCACTCTCTTCTGCCTTGTAGAGTTTCTGCCGAGAGATCCACTGTTAGTCTGATGGGCTTCCCTTTGTGGGTAACCCAACCTTTCTCTCTGGCTGCCCTTAACATTTTTTCCTTCATTTCAACTTTGGTGAATCCGACAATTATGTGTCTTGGAGTTGCTCATCTCAAAGAGTATCTTTGTGGCATTCTCTGTATTTCCTGAATCTGAATGTTGACCTGCCTTGCTAGGTTGGGGAAGTTCTCCTGGATAATATCCTGCAGTGCTTTCCAGCTTGGTTCCATTCTCCCCGTTACTTTCAGGTACACCAATCAGAAGTAGATTTTGTCTTTTCACATAGTCCCATATTTCTTGGAGGCTTTGTTCGTTTCTTTTTATTCTTTTTTCTCTAAACTTCCCTTCTCTCTTCATTTCATTCATTTCATCTTCCATCACTGATATGCTTTCTTCTAGTTGGTTGCTTTGTTTCCTGAGGCTTCTGCATTCTTCACGTAGTTCTTGAGCCTTGGCTTTCAGCTCCAACAGCTGCTTTAAGCACTTCTTTGCATTGGTTAGTCTAGTTATACATTCGTCTAATTTTTTTTCAAAGTTTTTAATTTCTTTGCCTTTGGTTTTAATTTCCTCCTGTAGCTCGTAGTTTGATCGTCTGAAGCCTTCTTCTCTCAACTCATCAAAGTCATTCTCCATCCAGCTTTGTTCCATTGCTGTTGAGGAACTGTGTTCCTTTGGAGGAGGAGAGGTGCTCTTCTTTTCAGAGTTTCCAGTATTTCAGCTCTGTTTTTTCCCCATCTTTGTGGTTTTATCTACTTTTGATCTTTGATGATGGTGATGTACGGATGGGTTTTTGGTGTGGATGTCCTTTCTGTTTGTTTGTTTTCCTTCTAACGGACAGGAACCTCAGCTGCAGGTCTGTTGGAGTTTGCTAGAGGTCCACTCCAGACCCTGTTTGCCTGGATATCAGCAATGGTGCTTGCAGAACAGCAGTTTTTTGTGAACAATGAATGCTGCAGTCTGATCATTCCTCTGGAGGTTTTGTCTCAGAGGAGTACCTGGCCGTGTGAAGTGTCAGTCTGCCCCTACTTGGGGGTGCCTCCCAGTTAGGCTGCTCAGAGTTCAGGGGTCAGGGACCCACTTGAGGAGGCAGTCTCCACATTCTCATATCTCCAGGTGCAGGCTGGGAGAACCACTGCTCTCTTCAAATCTGTCAGACAGGGACATTTAAGTCTGCAGAGGTTACTGCTGTCTTTTTGTTTGTCTATGCCCTGCCACCAGAGGTGGAGCCTACAGAGGCAGACAGGCCTCCTTGAGCTGTGGTGGGCTCCAACCAGTTCGAGCTTCCCAGCTGCTTTGTTTACCTAAGCAAGCCTGGGCAATGGCGGGCACCCCACCCCCAGCCTTACTGCCACCTTGCAGTTTGAACCCAGACTGCTGTGCTAGCAATCAGTGAGACTTCGTGGGCATAGGGCCCTCAGAGTCATGTGCGGGATATAATCTCTTGGTGTGCCGTTTTTTAAACCCGTCGGATTTTCCAGGTGCCGTCTCTCACCCCTTACTTTCACTAGGAAAGGAACTACCTGACCCGTTGCACTTCCTGAGTGAAGCAATGCCTCGCCCTGCTTCAGCTCGCACACGGTGTGCTGCAACCACTGACCTGCGCCCATTGTCTGGCAGTCCCTAGTGAGATGAACCTGGTACCTCAGATAGAAATGCAGAAATCACCCGTCTTCTGCTTCACTCACGCTGGGAGCTGTAGACTGGAGCTCTTCCTATGTGGCCATCTTGGCTCCTCCCCCTTAGATAGAAGCATTCTGAGAAACTTCTTTTCATGTGTGCATTCATCTTACAGAGTTCAACCTTTATTTTGATTGAGGAGTTTTGAAACACTCTTTTTGTAGAATCTGCAAGTGGACATTTGGATCGCTTTGAGGCCTATGGTGGAAAAGGATATATCTTCACATAAAAACTAGATAGAAGAATTCTGACAAACTTCTTTGGAGATGTGTGCATTCATCTCACAGAGTTGAAGCTTTCTTTGGATTGAGCAGTTTGGAAAAACTCTTTTTGTAGAATATGCAAGTGTACATATGGAGCACTTTGTGGCCAATGGTGGAAAAGGAAATATTGTCACATAAAATCTAGACAGAAGCAAACTGAGAAACTTCTCTGTGATGTGTGCATTCATCTCACAGAATTGAACCTTACTTTGATTGAGCAGTTTGGAAACACTCTTTTTGTAGAATATGCAAGTGGACATTTGGAGCACTTTGTGGCCTATGGTAGAAAAGGAAATATATTCACAGAAAATCTAGACAGAAGCAATCTGAGAAATATCTTTGTGATGTTGCATTCATCTCACAGAGTTAAACCTTTCTTTTGATTGAGCAGTTTTGAGACTCTCTTTTTGTAGAATCTGTAAGTGGATATTTGGAGCGCTTTGAGGCCTATGGTGGAAAAGGAAATATCTTCACATAAAAACTAGACAGAAGAATTCTGAGAAACTTCTTTGTGATGCATGCATTCATCTCACAGAGTTGAAACTTTCTTTCAATTTAGCAGTATGGAAACACTCTTTTTGAAGAATCTAAAAGTGTACTTTTTGGAGCAGTTTGTGGCCTATTGTAGAAAAGGAAATGTCTTCACATAAAATCTAGACAGAAACAATCTGAGAAACTTCTTTGTGATGTGTGCATTCATCTCACAGAGTCAAACCTTCCTTTTGATAGAGCAGTTTTGAAACTCTCTTTCTTTGGAATCTGCAAGTGAACACTTGGAGTGCTTTGAGGCCTCTGGTGGGAAAGGTAATATCTTCACATAAAAATTAGAAGAATTATGAGAAATTTCTTTGTGATGTGTGCATTCATCTGACAGAGTTGAACTTTTCTTTTGATTGAGCAGTTTGGAAACACTCTTTTTGTAGAATCTGCAAGTGGACATTTGGATCGCTTTTTGGCCAATGGTAGAAAAGGAAATATCTTCACATAAAATCTAGACAGAAGCAATCTGAGAAACTTCTTTGTGATATGTGTATTCACCCCACAGAGTTAAACCTTTCTTTTGATTGTGCAGTTTTGAAACACTCTTTTTGTTGAATCTGCAAGTGGATATTTGGAGGGATTTGGGGCCTGTGGTGGAAAAGGAAATATCTTCACATAAAAAGTAGACAGAAGAATTCTGAGAAACATCTTTGTGATGCGTGCATTCATCTCACAGATTTGAAACTTTTTTTTGATTGCACAGTATGGAAACACTCTTTTTGTAGAATCTTAAAGTGTACATTTGGAGTGCTTTGTGGCCTATTGTAGAAAAGGAAATATCTTCACATAAAATCTAGACAGAAGCAGCCTGAGAAACTTCTTTGTGATGTATGCTTCATCTCAGAGTCAAACCTTCCTTTTGATAGGACAGTTTTGTAAGTCTCTTTTTTTAGAATCTGCAAGTGGACATTTGGAGCACTTTGAGGCCTGTGGTGGGAAAGGAAGTATTTTCACATAAAAGTCAGACAGAAGAATTCTGACAAACTTCTTTGTGATGTGTACATTCATCTCACAGAGTTGAACTTTTCTTTTGATTGAGCAGTTTGGAAACACTCTTTTTGTAGAATCTGCAAGTGGACATATGATGTGCTTTGCAGCCTATGTAGAAAAGGATATATCTTCACATAAAATCTCGAAAGAAACAGTGAAACTTCTCTGTGATGTGTGCATTCATCTCCCAGTGTTAAAAGTTTCTTCTGATTGAGCAGTTCTGAAACTCTCTTTTTGTAGAATCTGCAAGTAGACACTTGGAGCACTTTGAGGCCAATGGTGGAAAAGGAAATATCTTCACATAAAAACTAGATTGAAGCATTCTCAGAAACTTCTTTGTGATGTGAGCAAGGATCTCCCAGAGTTGAATGTTTCTTTTGATGGACCAGTTTTGAAATACTCTTTTTGGAGAATCTGCAAGTGGACATTTCATGCGCCTTCAGGCCAATGGTAGAAAAAGCAATATCTTCTCATAAAAACTTAACAGAAGAATTCTGGGAAACTTCTTTGAGAAGTGTGCGTTCATCATACTGAGTTGAATCTTTCTTTTGATTGAGCAGTTTTGAAACACTCTTTTTGTAGAATCTGCAACTGGATATTTGGAGCACTTTTCGGCCTTTGGTAGAAAAGTAAATAACTTCACATAAAATCTAGACAGAAGCCATCTGAAAAAATTCATTATGATGTGTAGATTCATCTCACATAGTTAAACCTTTGTTTTGATTGAGCAGTTTCGATACTCTCCTTTTGTAGAATCTGGAAGCAGAAATTGAGAAACTTCTATGTGATGTGTGCATTCATCTCACAGAGTTAAACCTTTGCTTTGATTGAGGAGTTTTGAAACTCTCTTTTTGTAGAATCTGCAAGTGGATATTTGGAGCACTTTGAGGCCTATGTTGGAAAAAGAAATATCTTCCCATTAAAACTATACAGAAGCATTCTCAGAAACTTCCTTATGATGTGTGCATTCAGCTCACAGAGTTGAACCTTTCTTTTGATAGAGCAGTTTTGAAACAAACTTTTTGTTTGTTCCACCACAGGTCTATGGTGGAAAAGAATGTATCTTCATATAAAAACTAGACAGAAGCATTCTTTGAAACTTCTTTATGATTTGTGCATTCAACTCACAGAGTTGAACCTTTCTTTTTGTAGAGCAGGTTTGAAACAAACTTTTTGTAGAATCTGCAAGTGGATATTTGGAGCGCTTTGAGCCCTGTGGTAGAAAAGGAAATACCCTCACATAAAAACTAGACTAAACATTCTCAGAAACTTCTTTGTGATGTGTGCATTCAACTCACAGAGTTGAACCTTTCTCTTGATAGAGCAGTTTTGAAACACTCTTTTTGTAGTATCTGAAAGAGGATATTTGGAGGGCTTTGTGGCCCATGTAGGAAAAGGAAATATCTTCACATAAAAACTAGACAGAAGTATTCTGAAAAACTTTTTTGTGATTGGGCATTCAACTCACAGAGTTGAAGTTCTCTTTTGATTGAGCAGATTGGAAACACTCTTTTAGTAGTATCTGCAAATGGATATTTGGAGCGCTTTGAGGCCTATTGCTGAAAAAGAAACATCTTCACATAAAAATCACACAGAAGCATTCTGAGAAACTTCTCCATGATGTGTACATTCATCTTACAGAAATGAAACTTTCTTTTGATTGAGGAGTTTGAAAACAGTCTTTTTGTATTATCTGCAAGTGGATATTTGCAGTGCTTTGAGGCCTTTAGCTGAAAATTATATATATACCCATAAAAACTAGACCAAAGCATTCTCAGAAACTTATTTGTGATCTGTGCATTCATCTCACCGAGTTGAAATTTTTTTTTGATTGAGAAGTTTTGAAATACACTTTTTGTAGAATCTGCAAGTGGATATTTGGAGTACTTCATGGTCTATGGTGTAAAAAAAATATATTCACATAAACACTAGACAGGAGCATTCTCAGAAACTTCTTTGTGATGGGTGCATTCAACTCACAGAGTTGAACCTAACTTTTGATTGTGCAGTATGGAAACAATATTTTTGTAGAATCTGCAAGGGGATATATGGAGCACTTTGGGGCCTATGGTGGAAAATGAAATATGTTCCCAAAAAAATTAGACAGAAGCATTCTCATAAACTTCTTCATGACGTGTACATTCAACTCAGAGTTGAACCTTTCTTTTGACTGAACAGATTTGAAACACTCCTCTTGTAGGGTCTGCAACTGGATATTTGTAGCACTTTGAGGCCTGTGGTGGAAAAGGAAATGTCTTCTCATAAAAATTCGACAGAAGCATTATCAAAAACTTCTTTGTGATGTGTGCATTCAACTAATAGAGTGGAACCTTTCTTCTGATTGAGAAGTTTGCAAACACTCTTTTTGTAGTATCTGCAAATGGATATTTGGAGAGCTTTGAGGCATATAGCTAAAAAAGAAATATCTTCCCATAAAAACTGGACAGAAGCATTCTGAGAAACTTCATTGTGATGTGTGCATTCATCTCACAGATTTGAACCCTTCTTTTGATAAAGCAAGTTTGAAACAGTCTTTTTGTAGAATCTGCAAGTGGATACTTGGAGCGCTTTGAGGCCTACCATTTAAAAGGAAATATCTTCACATAAAAACTGGACAGAAGCGTGCTCAGAAACTACTTGGTGATATGTGCATTCAACTCACAGAGTTGACCCTTTCTTTTGATTGAGCAGTTTTGAAACACTGTTTTTTGTAATCCGCAAGTGGATCTTTGTAGGGATTTGAGGCTTATGGTCGAAAAGGAAATATCTTCACATCAAAACTAGACAGAAGCATTCTGAGAAACTTCTTTGTGGTGTTTGCCTTCGTCTCACAGAGTTGAAACTTTCTTTTGATTAAGCAGTTATGAACACTTTCTTCGTAGAAACTGCATTTGGATATTTGGAGTGCTTTGAGGTCTATGGTGGAAAAGGAAGCATCTTCACATAAATACTAGACAGAAGCATTCTCAGAAACTTCTTTTTGATGTGTGCATTAATCTCACAGAGTCAAACCTTTCTTTTGAAAGCAGTTTCAATGCACTGTTTTTGTAGAATCTGCAAGTGCGTATATGGAGTGCTTTGAGACCTAAGGTGGAAAAGGAACTATCTTCACATAAAAACTAGACAGAAATTTTCTCAGAAACTTCTTTGTGATGAGTGCCTTCAACTCAAACAGTTGATCCTTTCTTTTGATAGAGCAGTTTTGAGAAACTTTTTGTAGAATCTGCAAGCAGATATTCAGAGCGCTTTGATACCTGTGGTGGAAAAGTAATATCTTCACATAAAAAATAGACAGAAGCATTCTCAGAAACTTCTGTGTGATGTGTGCATTCATCTCACAGGGTTGAACGTTTTTGTTTTTTTTTTTGGTAGAGCAGTTTTGCGACACTCCGTTTTAAAATCTGCAATGGATATTTGGAGTGCTTTGAGGTCTTTGGTGGAAAAGGAAATATCTTCAAATAAAAACTAGAAAGAAGCATTCTGAGAATATTCTTTGTGATGTGAGCATTCATCTCAGAGAGTTGAACCTTTCTTTTATTGAGCAGTTTTGAAACACTCTTTTTGCAGATTCTGCAAATGGATATTTGGAGCTTTGTGAGGCCTATGTTGGAAAAGGAAATATCTTCACATAAAAACTAGACAGAAGCATTTTCAGAAACTTCTTTGTGGTGTGTGTATTCAACTCACAGAGTTGAACCTTTTTTTGATAGAGCAGTCTTGAAGCACTCTTTTTGTAGAATCTGCAAGTGAATATTTGGAGCGCTTTGAAGCCTATGGTAGAAAAGGTAATATCTTCACATAAAAACTAGACAGAAGCATTCTCAGAAACTTCCTTGTGATGTGTGCATTGAACTCACAGTGTTCAATATCTCTTTTAAGAGAGCAGTTTTAAAACACTCTTTTTGTAGTTTCTACAAATGGATATTTTGAGTGCCTTGAGGCCTATGGTGGAAAAGGAAATATCTTCCCATGAAAACTAGATGGAATCATTCACTGAAATTTTTTTTGTTATGTGTTCATTTAACTCACAGAGTTGGACTCGTCTTTTGAAAGAGCAGTTCTGAAACACTCTTTTTGTAGAATCCGTAATGTGATATTTGGAGTGCTTTGAGGCCTATGGTGGAAAAGGAAATATCTTCCCACGAAAACTAGACGGAAGCATTCAGTGAAACTTTTTTGTTATGTGTTCATTTAACTCACAGAGTTGGACTTTTCTTTTGAAAGAGCGGTTTTGAAACACTCTTTTTGTAGAATCTGTAACGTGATATTTGGAGTGCTTTGAGGCCTATGGTGGAAAAGGAAATATCTTCAAATAAAAACTAGACAGAAGCATTCTGAGAAACTTCTTTGTGATGTGTGCATTCAACTGACAGAATTGAACCTTTCTTTTGGTTGAGCATTTTGGAAACAATATTTTTGTAGTATCTGCAAAGGGATATTTGGAGCACTTTGAAGCCTATAGCTGAAAAAGAAATATCTTCACATAAAAACTAAACAGAAGAATTATCAGAAACTTCTTTGTAATGTGTGCATTCAACTCACAGAGTTGATCCTTTCTTTTGACTGAGCAGTTTTGAAACACTCTTTTTGTAGAGTATGCAAGGAGATATTTGGAGCACCTTGAGGCCTATGGTGGAAAAGGAAATATTTTCACATAAAAACTGGACAGAAACATTCTCAGAAATTTCTTTGTGATGTGTGGATTCAACTCACAGAATTGAACATTTCTTTTGATTGAGCAGTTTTGAAACACTCTTTTTCTAGAATCTGCAAGTGGATATTTAGAGCGCTTTGTTGCCTATGGTGGAATTGTAAATATCTTCAAATAAAAGCTAGACAGAAGCATTCTCAGAAACTTCTTTATGATGTGTGCATTCAACTCACACAGTTGAAGTTTTCTTTTGATAGGGTAACTTTGAAACACTCTTTTCGTAGGATCTGCAAGTGGATATTTGGAGCGCTTTGAGACCTATGGTGGAAAAGGAAATATCTTCATATAAAAACTAGACAGAAGCATTGTCATAAACTTCTTTGTGATATGTCCATTCAACAAACAGAGATGAACATTTCTTTTGATAGAGCAGTTTTGAAACACTCTTTTTGTAGGATCTGTAAGTGGATATTTTTAGCGCTTTGAGGCCTAAGGTGGAAAAGGAAATATCTTCCAATAAAAACTGGACAGAAGCATTCTCAGAAACTTCTTTGTGATGTTTGTATTCACCTCACAGAGTTGAAGCTTTCTTTTGATTGAGCAGTTTGGAAACACTCTTTTTGTAGTATCTACAAATGCATATTTCGAGTGCTTTGAGGTCTACAGCTGAAAAGGAAATATCTTCACATAAAAACTACACAGAAGCATTCTGAGAAACTTCTTTGTGAAGTCTGCATTCATCTCACAGAGATAAAACTTTCTTTTGGTTGAGCAGTTTTGAAACACTTTTTTCGTAGAATCTGCAAGTGGATATTTGGAGCACTTTGAGGCCTATGGTGGAAAAGGAAATATTCTCACATAAAAACTAGACAGAAGCATTCTCAGAAAGTCCTTTTTGATGTGTGCATTCAACTCACAGAGTCGAACCTTTCTTTTGATAGAGCAGTTTCAATACACTGTTTTTGTAGAATCTACAAGTACATATTTGGAGCACTTTGAGACCTAAGGTGGAAAAGGAACTATCTTCACATAAAAACTCGACAGAAGTTTTCTCAGAAACTTCTTTGTGATGAGTGCACTCAACTCAAAACAGTTGAACCTTTCTTTTGATAGAGCAGTTTTGAGAAACTTTTTGTAGAATCTGCAAGCAGATATTCAGAGGGCTTTAATGTCTATAGAGGAAAAGGTAATATCTTCACATAAAATATAGACAGAAGCATTCTCAGAAACTTATGTGTGATTTGTGCATTCAACTCACAGAGTTGAAAGTTTCTTTTGATAGAGCAGTTTTGAGACACTCTTTTTTAAAATCTGCAAGTGGATATTTGGAGCGCTTTGAGGTCTTTGGTGGAACAGGAAATATCTTCACATAAAAACTAGAAAGAAGCATTCTGAGAAAATTATTTGTGATGTGAGCATTCATCTCACAGAGTTGAACCGTTCTTTTATTGAGCAGTTTTGAAACACTCTTTCCATAGATTCTTCAAGTGGATATGCGGAGCACTTTGAGGCCTATGGTGGAAAAGGAAATATCTTCACAGAAAAACTAGACAGAAGCATTCTCAGAAACTTCTTTGTGGCGTGTGAATTCAACTCACAGAATTGAACGTTTCTTTTGATAGAGCAGTCTTGAAACACTTTTTTTGTGGAATCTGCAAGTGAATATTTGGAGCGCTTTGAGGCCTATGGTGGGAAAGGAAATATCTTCACATAAAAACTAGACAGAAGCATTTTCAGAAACTTCCTTGTGATGTTTACATTCAACTCACAGTGTTGAAAATTTCTTTTGAGAGAGCAGTTTTGAAACACTCTTTTTGTAGAATCTGCAAATGGATATTTGGAGTGCTTTGAGGCCTATGGTGGAAAAAGAAATATCTTCCCACAAAAACTAGACCGAAGCAATTCACTGAAACTTTTTTGCTATGTGTGCATTTAACTCACAGAGTTGGACTTTTCTTTTGAAAGAGCAGTTTTGAAACACTCTTTTTGTAGAGTCTGCAAGTTGATATTTGGAGCACTTTGAGACATCAGGTAGAAAAGGAAATATCTTCAAATAAAACCTAGACAGAAGCATTCTCAGAAACTACTTTATGATGTGTGCATTCAACACACAGAGTTGAAGTTTTCTTTTGATAGAGCAGCTTTAAAACAGTATTTTTGTAGAATCTGCAAGTGGATATTTGGAGGACTTTGAGGCCTATGGTGGGAAAGGAAATATCTTCACATAAAAACTAGACAGATGCATTCTGAGAAACTTCTTTGTGCTTTGTCCATTCAACAAACAGAGTTGAATATTCCTTTTGATAGAGCAGTTTTGAAAAACTCTTTTTGTAGAATCTGTAAGTGCATATTTTTAGCACTTTGAGGCCTAAGGTGGAAAAGGAAATATCTTCCCATAAAAACTAGACAGAAACATTCTCAGAAACTTCTTTGTGCTGTGTGTATTCAACTCACAGAGTTGAACCTTTCTTTTGATTGAGCAGTTTGGAAACACTCTTTTTGTATTATCTACAAATGCATATTTGGAGCACTTAGAGGCCTACAGCTGAAAAGGAAATATCTTCACATAAAAACTACACAGAAGCATTCTGAGAAACTTCTTTGTGAAGTGTGCAATTATCTCACAGACTTGAACCTTTCTTTTGATTGAGCAGTTTTGAAACACTCTTTTTGTAGAACCTGCAAGTAGACATTTGG
This sequence comes from Homo sapiens, assembly GCF_000001405.40. NCBI lineage: Eukaryota > Metazoa > Chordata > Mammalia > Primates > Hominidae > Homo > Homo sapiens. The sequence goes on from NC_000008.11 coordinate 45,995,226, forward strand.
AGCGCTTTGAAGCCTATGGTGGAAAAGGAAATATGTTCACATGAAAACTAGACAGAAGCCGTCTCAGAAACTTCTATGTGATTTGTGCATTCAACTCACAGAGATGAACCTTTCTTTTGATAGAGTAGTTTTTAAACACTCTATTTGTAGGATCTGCAAATGAATATTTGGAGTGCTTTGAGGCCAATAGCTGAAAAGGGAATATCTTCACATAAAAACTAAACAGAAGCATAATCACAAACAACTTTGTGATATGTGCATTCAACTCACAGAGTTGAAATTTTCTTTGGTTGAGCTGTTTGAAAACACTCTTTTTGTAGTATCTGCAAATGCATATTTCCAGCGTTTTGAGGCCAATACCTGAAGACAAAATATCTTCACATAAAAACTATTGAGAAGCATTCTGAAAAACTTATTTGTAATGTGTGCATTCATCTCACACAGTCGAACATTTCTTTTGATTGAGCAGCTTTGAAACACTCTTTTTGTAGAATCTGCAAGTGGATATTTGTAGCGCTTTGAGGCCTATGGTGGAAAAGGAAATATCTTCACATAAAAACCAGACGGAAGCTTTCTCAGAGGCATCTTTGTGATGTGTGCATTCAACTCACAGAATTGAACCTTTCATTTGATTGAGCAGTTTGGAAACAATCTTTTTGTAGAATCTGCAAGTGGATATTTTGAGCCCTTTGAGGCCTATGGTGGAAAAGGAAATATCTTCACATAAAAACTAGATGGAAGCTTTCTCAGAAGCATCTTTGTGATGTGTGCATTCAACTCACAGAGTTGAACCTTTCTTTTGATGGAGCAGTTTGAAAACAATCTTTTTGTGGAATCTGCAAGTGGATATTTTGAGCTCTTTGAGGCCTATAGTTGAAAAAGAAATATCTTCACATAAAAACCAGACAGAAACACTCTGAGAAACTTCTTTGTGATATGTGCATTCATCTCACAGAGTTGAACCTTTCTATTGATTTAGCAGTTTTGAAACACTCTTTTTGTAGAATCTGCAATTGGATTTGTATGGCGCTTTGACACCTATGGTACCCAAAAAATTATCTTACCACAAAAACTCGACAGAAGCATTCTCAGAACCTTCTTTGTGATGTGTGCATTCAACCCACAGAGTTTATCCATTCTTTTGATTGAGCAGTTTTGAAACAATCTTTTTGTAGAATCAGCAGTTGGATATTTGGAGTGCTTTGAGGCCTATGGTGGAAAAGGAAATATCTTCATATAAAAACTAAACAGAAGCATTCTGAGATACACCTTGTGATGTGTACTTTTATCTCACAGAGTTGAACCTTTCTTTTGATTCAGCAGTTTGGAACCACTCTTTCTGTAGTATCTGCAAATGGATATTTGGAGTGCTTTGAGGCCCCAGATGAAATCTAGAAATACACTATCTGTGAATTTGCTTTGTGATGTGTGGATTCATCTTACAGAGTTAAACATTTCTTTTTTTCAGCTGGTTGGAAACACCTTTTTGTAGAATCTGCAAAGGGACATTTGGGATCCCATTGAGGCATTTGGTGAAAAAACAAAAATCCCCGGATAAAAACTATAAATAAGCTATCTGTGAAACTGCCATGTGATGTGTACATTCACCTCACAGAGTTAAACATTTCATTCGATTCAGGAAGTTGGAAATATTTCTTTTGTAAGATCTAGGAAAGGACATTTGTGAGCCCATTGAGGCCTATGTAAAACATTGAATATTAGCAAAGTAACACAAGAAAGTAGCTATTTGTAAAACTGATTTGGGATGTATGGATTTATCTTTCAGAGTTAAGCCTTTCTTTTGATTCAGCAGGTTGGAAACAGTATGTTCGTAGAATCTGTGAAGGGACATTTGGGGGCCTATTGAGCCCTATGGTGAAAAACAGAATATCTTAAGATAAAAACTAGAAAGAACAATCTGTGAAGCCGCTTTGGGTTTTGTGGATTCATATCATTGAGTTAAACTTTTCTTTTGATTCAACATGTTGGAAACACTGTTTTTGTAGTATTTGTGAAGGGATCTTTGGTAGCCCATTGAGGCCTATAGTGAAAAAGAAAATATACCCAGATAAAAACTAGAAAGAAGTTATCTGTTAAACTGCTTTTTGATGTGTGTATTCATCTCACAGAGTTACACCTTTCATTTGAGACAGCGGGTTGGTAACATTCTTTTTGTAGAATCTGAGAAGGAAAATTTGGGAGCCATTGTGGCCTAGGATGAAAACAGAATATCCTCAGAAAAAACTAGAATGAAGTTATCTTTGAACCTGTTTTATAATGTGTGGCTTTATTTCAGAGAGTTAAATATTTCTTTTGATTCAGCAGTTTGAAACACTATTTTTGTAAAACCTGTGAAAGGACATTTGGAAGCCCTCTGAAGACTATTGTGAAAAACCAAATATCCTTAGATAAACACTAAAAAAAAAGGCATCTGTGAAACTGCACTGTAATGCGTGGATTTATGTCACAGTGTAAAAATTTCTTTTGATTCAGCAGGTTAGAAACACTTTTTTTTGTAGAATCTGTGAAGAAACCTTTGGGAGGCAATAGAGACATATGGTGAAAAACTGAACATCCCCAGATAAATACTAGGAATAAGCTGTCTATGAAACTGCTTTGTCATGTATGGATTCACCTCACAGTGTTAAACCTTTCATTTTATTCAGCAGTTTGGAAGCACTCTTTTTGTAGAATCTGCAAAGGAATGTTTGGGAGACCATTGAGGTCTATGGTGAAAAACAGAATATACCCAGATAAACACTAGAAAGAAGCTATCTGGGAAACTGCTTTGTGATGTGTGGATTTATCTCACAGAGGTAAATCTTTCTTTTCATTCAGCATATTGGAAACACTCTTTTTGTAAAATCTGCGAAAATACATTTCAAAGCCTATTTAGGCCTATGGTGAAAAACAATATATCCCCAGATAAACACTAGAAAAAAGATCTCTGTGAAACTGCATTGTGATATGTGGATTCATCTCACAGAGTCAAACTTTTCTTTTGATTCATCAGGTTGAGAATACTCTCTTGTGGAAACTTCAAAAAGAAATTTGGGAGCCCAATGAGGCCTAGTGTGATAAACTGGATATCCCCAGATAAAAACTAAAAAGAAGCTATTTGTGACACTGCTTTGTGATATGTGGATTCATTTCACAGAGATAAACCTTTCCTTTGAGTCAGCAGGTGGAAGTGCTCTTTTTGTATAATCTACAAAGTAATATTTGGAGCCCATTGAGGCCTATCATGAAAAACAGGATATCTTCAGATAAAAACTTCAAAGAAGCTATCTGTGAAACTGATTTGTGGTGTGAGGATTCATCTCACATAGTTAATCCTTGCATTCGATTCAACAGATTGAAAATACACTTTTTGTAGAATATGCAAAAAAACAATTGGGAGCCCATTGAGGCCTAGGTAGAAAAGCAAAATCACCAAATAAAAAGTAGAAAGAACCTATCTGTGAAACTCCTTTGTGACATGTAAATTCATCTCACACAGATAAAACTTTCTTTTGATTCAGCAGGTTGGAAACATTCTTTTTGTAGAATCTGTGAAGGGGCATCTGAAAGTTCATTGAGGCCTATGGTGAAAAACTGGATATCTTCAGAGAAAAATGAGAAAGAAGATACTTATGAATCTGTTTTGTGATGTGTGGATTCATGTCACAGAGTTAAACCTTTCTGTTGATTCAGCAGTTTTAAAACACTCTTTTTGTAGAATTTGCAAAGGGAAATAGGGCAGCCCATTGAGGCTTATGGTGAAAAACAGAATATACCCAGATTAAAACTAGAAAGAAGCTGTCTGGGAAACTCCTCTGTGATGTGTGGATTCATCTCACAAAGTTAAACCTTTCTTTTGATTCAGCTGGTTGGAATCACATTTTTTGTAGAATCTGTGAAGGGATATTTGGGAGGTTACTGAGGCCTATGTTAAAAAAAGGAATACCCCCAGACGGAAAATAGAAATAAGCTATTTGTTAAAGTGCTTTGTGATCGATGGATTTATCTCACAGGGTTAAACCTTTCTTTTCATTCAGGAGGTTGAAAACACTGTTTTTGTAGAATCTGGGAAGGGATGTTTGGGAGCCCACTGAGGTTTTTGTTTAAAAACAAAATAGCCCCAGATAAAATATAGAAAGAAACCATCTATGGAACTGCTTTGCAATGTGTCGATTCATCTCAGAGAGGTAAACCTTTCTTTTGATTCAGCAGTTTGGAAATAATCTTTTTGTACGATCTGTGAAGGGACCTGTAAGAGCCCTTTGAGGCCAATGGTGAAAAACTGAATATATTCAGATAAAAACTAGAAAAAAGCAATCTGTGAAACTGCTTTGTGATGTGTGGACTTGACTAACAGAGTTAAACCTTTCTTTTAATGCACTAGGTTTGAAATACTATTTTGTAGCGGCCTATGGTAAAAGAAAGAATGTCCACATATAGAAACTAGAAAGAAGCAATCTGTGAAACTGCTTTGTGATGTGTGGATTAGTCTCACAGAATTAAAACTTTACTTTGAATCAGCAGGTTGGAAAGACTCTTTTTGTAGAATCTGTAATGGAATTGATTCAACAAGTTGAAAGCACTCTTGGGATCCAATTCAGGCCTATTGTGAAAAACTCAATATTCCAGATAAAATCTAGAAAGAAGCAATCAGTGAAAGTGATTTCTGATGTACAGATTCACTTCACAGAGTTAAAAGTTTCTTTTGATACAGTGTGTTGGAAACTCTCTTTTGGTAGAATGTGTGAATGGACATTTGGGAGTTCACTGAGGCCCATAGTGAAAAACTGAATATCCACTGTTAAAAACTAGAAATAATTTATCTGTTAAACTGTTTTGTGATGTGTGGATTCATCTCATGGAGTTAAAAATTTGTTTTACTTATTTTTTTATTATTATACTTTAAGTTCTAGGGTACATATGCACAAAGTGCAGGTTTGTTACATATGTATACATATGCCATCTTGGTGTGCTGCACCCATTAACTCGTTATTTACATTAGGTATATCTCCTAATGCTATCCTTCCCCCCTACCCCCTCCCATGACAGGCCCTGGTCTGTGGTGTTCCCCACCCTCTGTCCAAGTTTTCTCATTGTTCAATTCCCACCTATGAGTGACAACATGCAGTGTTTTGTTTTCTGTCCTTGTGATAGTTTGCTCAGAATGATGAGTTCCAGCTTCATCCACATCCCCACAAAGGGCATGAACTCATCCTTTTTAATGGCTGTATATTATTCCATGGTGTATATGTGCCATATTCTCTTAATCCAGTCTATCATTGATGGACATTTGTGTTGGTTCCAAGTCTTTGCTATTGTGAATAGGGCTGCAATAAACATATGTGTGCATGCATCTTTATAGCAGCATGATTTATAATCCTTTGGGTATATACCCAGTAATGGGATGGCAGGGTCAAATGGTATTTCTAGTTCTAGACTCTTGAGGAATCACTACACTGTCTTTGACAATGATTGAACCAACAGTGTAAAAGTGTTCCTATTTCTCCACATCCTCTCCAGCACCTGTTGTTTCCTTACATTTTAATGATTACCATTCTAAGTGGTGTGAGATGGTATCTCACTGGGGTTTTGATTTGCATTTCTCTGATGACCAATGACGATGAGCATTTTTTCATGTGTCTGTTGGCTGCATAAATGTCTTCTTTGGAGAAGTGTCTGTTCATATCTTTTGCCCACTTTTTGATGAGGTTGTTTGATTTTTTTCTTGTAAATTTGTTTAAGTTCTTTGCAGATTCTGGATATTAGCCCATTGTCAGATGGGTAAATTGCAAAAATTTTCTCCCGTTCTGTAGGTTGCCTGTTCACTCTGATGGTAGTTTCTTTTGCTGTGCAGAAGCTCTTTAGTTTAATTAGATCCAATTTCTTAATTTTGGCTTTTGTTGCCATTGCTTTTGGTGTTTCAGTCATGAAGTCCTTGCACATGCCTGTGTCCTGAATGCTATTGCCTAGGTTTTCTTCTAGGGTTTTTATGGTTGTAGGTCTGAAATGTAGGTATTTAATCCATCTTGAATTAATTTTTGTATAAGGTGTAAGAAAGGGATCCAGTTTCAGCTTTCTACATATGGCTAGCCAGATTTCCCAGCACCATTTATTAAATACGAAATCCTTTCCCCATTTCTTGTTTTTCTCAGGTTTGTCAAAGATCAGATGCTGGTAGATGCGTGGTATTATTTCTGAGGTCTCTGTTCTGTTCCATTGGTCTATATCTCTATTTTGGTACCAGTACCATGCTGTTTTGATTACTGTAGCCTTGTAGTGCAGTTTGAAGTCAAGTAGTGTGATGCCTCCAGCTTTGTTCTTTTGGCTTAGATTGACTTGGCAATGCAGGCTCTTTTTTGGTTCCATATGGACTTTAAACCAGTTTTTTTTTTTTCCAATTCTGTGAAGAAAGTCTTTGATAACTTGATGGGGATGGCATTCAATCTATAAATTACTTTGGGCAGTATGGCCATTTTCATGATATTGATTCTTCCTATCCATGAGCATGGAATGTTCCTCAATTTGTTTGTGTCACTTTTTATTTCATTGAGCAGTGGCTTGTAGTTCTCCTTGAAGAGGTCCTTCAGATCCCTTGTAAGTTGCATTCCTAGGTATTTTATTCTCTTTGAAGCAATTGTGAATGGGAGTTCACTCATGATTTGGCTCTCTGTCTGTTATTGGAATGCTTGTGATTTTTGCACACTGATTTTGTATACTGAGGCTTTGCTGAAGTTTCCCATCAGCTTAAGGAGATTTTGGGTTGAAATAATGGGGTTTTCTAAATATACAATCATGTCATCTGCAAACAGGGACAATTTGACTTCCTCTTTTCCTAATTGAATACCCTTTATTTCTTTCTTCTGCCTGATTGCCCTGACCAGAACTTCCAACTATATGTAGAATACGAGTGGTGAGAGAGGGCATCCCTGTCTTGTGCCAGTTTTCAAAGAGAATGCTTCCAGTTTATGCCTATTCAGTATGATATTACCTGTGGGTTTGTCATAAATAGCTCTTATTAAAAATCGGCATGTTGGAAACAGTCTTTTTGTAGAATCTGTAAAGAAACATTTGGGAGCCAATTGAGACCTATGGTAAGATAACAACTAGAAAGAATCTCTTTGTGAAACTGCTTTGTGATGTGTGGATTCATCTCACAGATTTAAACTTTCTTTGATTTAGCAGTTTGAAAGCATTCTTTTGTAGTATCTGAAAAGGGACATTTTGGAGCTCATTGAAGATTATATTAAAAAACTGAATATGCCAAGATAAAAACTAGAAAGAAGCTATCTGTGAAACTGCTTTATAATATGTGGACTAATCTCACAGAGGTAAACCTTTCCTTTGATTCCCTAGGTTTGAGGCACTCCTTTTGTGGAATATGCAAAGGGACATTTAATGCACATAGACATCTATTGTCAAAAACCGAATATGTACAGATACAAACTACAAAAAACTCTCTGTGAAATTGCTTTGTGATGTGTGAATTCACCTCACCAAGTTAAACTTTTCCTTTGACTCAGCACACTGGAAACACTCTTTTTGTAGAATATGTGAGGAAACATTTAAGAGCCCTTTAAAATCTATATTGCAAAACCCAATATGCCCAGATAAAAACAAGTTTGGAAACACTTTTTTTGTAAGATCTATGAAGAGACATTTTGGAAATCACTGGGTCCAATGGTGAAAAATTGAATATCCCAAGATAGAAACTAGAAAGAAGGTATTTGTGAAACTGCTTTTTGATGTGGGATTATCTTACAGAGTTAACCCCTTCTTTTGATTCAACAGCTTGGAAACACTCATTTGTAAAATTGGCAAACGGACATTTGAAAGCCCTTTGAGGTCTATGGCGAAAAAGCCAATATCCCCAGATAAAAACTAGAAATAAGCAATTTCTGAAACTGCTTTTTGATGTTTGGATTCATCCCACAGAGTTAAAACTTTGTTATGATACAGCAGTCTGGAAAGACTTCTTTTGCAGAATCTGTGAAGGGGCATTTTGGAGCCCACTGAGGCACTTGTCAAAATCTGAATATCCCTAGATAAATACTAGAAAGACTCTATCTGTGAAACTGCTTTGTGATGTGTGGATTCATCTCACAAACTTAGATATTTCTTTTGATTAAGAAGATTGGAAACACTCTTTTTATAAAATCTGTGAAAGGACAATTTGGAGGTCACAGAAACCTATGGTGAAAAAGAGAATGTCTCCATATACAGACAAAAAACATGCTATTTGTGAAACTGCTTTGTGATGAACAGATTCATCTCACAGAGTTAAAAGTTTCCTTTGATTCAGCAGGTTGAAAAACCTGTTTGTAGAATCTGTGATGGAACTTTTGGGAGACCATTGAGGTCTATAGTAAAAAAAAATCCCCAGTTAGAAACTAGAAATAAGCTATCTGTGAAACTTCTTTGTAATGTGTGGATTCATCTCACAGGGAAAAACCTTTCTTTGGATTCAGCAGGTTCTAAACACCCTTTTTGTAGAATTTGTGAAGGGACATATGGGAGCCCATTGAAGTTTATGATGAAAAACGGAATATCCCCAGATAAAAACGGTAAAGAAGCCATCTGTGAAACTGTTTTGTGATGTGTGGATTCATATCACAGAGTGAAACCTTTCTTTTTATTCATTAGGTTGGAAACACTATTTTTGTAGAATCTTCAGAGGGATGTTTGGGAGGACTTTGTGGCCTATAGTGAAAAACTGAATATCCCTAGATAAAAACTAGAATGAAGCTTCAGTGAAATGATTTTTGGTGTGTATTCATCTAATGGAGTTAAACCTTTCTTTTGATTCAGCAGGTTGTGAACTCTTTTTCTGTACAATTTTTGAAGGGATATTTGGGAACCCTGAGGCCTAAGGTGAATAACTGCATATTCCCAAATACAAACTAGAAAGAATCTATTAGTAAAACTGCTTTGAGATGTGTGGGTTCATCTCACACTGTTATCACTTTGTTCTAATTCAGTAGGTTGGAAACACCATTTTTGTTGAAACTGCAAAGGGACAATTGGGAGCCTATTGAAGCTTATGGTGAAAAACAAAATATCCCCAGATAAAAAGTAGAAAGAAGCTGTCAGTGAAACGGCTTTGTAATGTGTCAATTCTTATCACAAAAGTAAAACTTCCTTTTGATTCAGCAGGTTGGAAACACTCTTTATGTAGAATCTGAAAGTGAATATTTGGGAGCCCATTGAGGCCTGTGTTGAATATCTGAATACCCACCAATAAAAACTAGAAAGAAACTATCTGTGAAACTCATTTGTGATGTGTGTATTCATCTTAAAGAATTAAGCCTTTCTTTTTTTTTCAGAAGGTTGGAAACACTCTTTGTAGAATCTGGGAAGGTACATTTTTGAGCCCATTTAAGCCTATGGTGAAAAATTTAATATCTCCAAATAAAAACTAGAAAGAAGTTATCTGTAAAACGGCATTGTGTGGTGAGGATTCACCTCACAGAGTTAAACTTTCCTTTTGATTCAGCAGGGTTAATTCTTTCTTTTGATTCAGTAGGTTGGAATCACTTTTTTTGTAGAAACTGTTAAGAAACATTTGGGAACCTATTATGACCTATTGTGAAAAAACGAATTTTTCCAGAGAAAAACTAGAAGGAAGCTATCTGTGAAATTATAATATGTGTATTCATCTCACAGAGATATAACTTCCTTTTGACTTACCAGGTTAGAAACACTGTTTTGTAGAATCTGCAAAAGGACGTTTTTGATCACATTGAGGCCCATGGTGAAAAACCGAATATCTCCAGAGAAAAAGTAGAAAAAAGTTATCTGTGAAACCGCTTTGTGCTGTGTGGATTCAGCTTACAGATTTAACCCTTTCATCTGATTCAGCAGGTTAGAAACACTCTTTTTGAAGAATATGTGAATGGACATTTGGGAACCAATTGAGGCCTATATTGAAAAAACGAATATCCCAAGATAAAAATTCATAAGAAATTATCAGTGAAACTTCTTTGTGATATGTGGATTCATCTCAAAGATTTTTAACATTTCTTTTGATTTATCTGGTTGAATCACTCTTTTTGTAGAATCTGTGAAGATATATTTGGGAGCCCATTGAGGCCTATGGTGAAAACCGAGTATCTCCAGATAACAACAAGAAAGAAGTTATCTGTGAAATTGCTTTGTGATGTGTCTATTCATCTCACAGAGTTAAAATTTCCTTTCTGTTCAGTAGGTTGGAAACACTCACTTTTAGAACTGAAAAGGGAAATTTAATAGTCAATTAAGGCCAATGGGGGAAAACAGAATATCACCAGATAAAAACTAGAAAGAAGTTATCTGGGAATCTGCTTTGTAATGTGTGAATTCATCTCACATAGTTAAGGCTTTCTCTGGATTCACCAGGTTGGAAACCCTTTTATTGTAGAATCTGAAAAGGGACATTTTGAAGCCCAGTGAGGCCTATGGTGAAAAACAGAATAGTAACAGAAAAAAACTATTAAAAAGCTATCTGTGAAACTGCTTTGTAATGTGTGGATACATCTCACAGAGTTAAACCTTTCTTTTGCTTCAGCATGCAGGAAAATCTCTTTTTGTAGAATCTGCCAAGGGAAATTTGTGAGCTCATTGAGACTAAAGGTAAAAAATTGAATATACCAAGATAAAAACTAGAAAGCAGCAATCTGTGAAATGGCTTTGTGATGTATGCTTCATCTCAGAAATGTGAACTTTTCTTTTAATTTAGAATGTTGGAAACTTTTTTTTGCAGAATCTGTGACTGGACATTGGGGAGCTCATTGAGGTGAATGGTGCAAAACTGAATATCCCTAGATAAAAACTGGAAAAAATCTCTTTGAAACTGCTTCATGATGTGTGGATTCTTCTCATGGTGGTAAACATTTATTTTCATTCAGCAGATTGGAAAATCTCTTTTTGTAGAACCTGAAAAGGAACATTTGGTAGCCCAATGAGGCCTATAGGAAAAAAGAGAATGTCCTGATAAAAACAAGAAATAACTTACCTGTGAAACTGCTTTGAATGTGTGATTCACCTCACAAAGTTAAACGTTTCTTTTAATCAGCAGGTTGGAAATAAGCTTTTTGTAGAACCTGTGAAGGAACGTTTGAAACCCCATTGAGGCTTATAGTTAAAAACAAAATATCTCAAGATAAAAGCTAGAAAGAAGGTATCTGGGAAACTGCTTTGTGATGTTTGGATTCATCTCACAGAGGTAAATCTTTCTTTCGAATCAGCAGGTTGAAAACACCATTTTGTAAAATCTACAAAGAGACATTTGGGAGACCATTGAGGCATATGGTGAAAAACGGAGAATCCCAAGATAAAAACAAGAAAGAAGCTATCTGTGAAACTCCTTTGTGACGTGTAGATCCATCTCACAGAGTGAAACTTTTCTTTTCATTCAGCAGGTTGGAAACATTCTCTTTGTAGAATCTGCAAAGGAACAATTGGGAGTCTATTGAGGCCCATGTTGGCAAACTGATTATTCCCAGATAAAAACTAGAGAGAAGATATTCATGTAACTGCTTTGTTATGTGTGCATTCATCTAACAGAGATAAAACTTTCTTTTGATTCATCAGGTTGGAAACACTCTTGCTTTAGAGTCTTGAAAGGAATATTTGGGAGTCCCTTGAGTGCTATGGTGAAAAACCAAATATTCCCAGATAAAAACTAGAAAGAAGCTATCTGTGAAACTGCTTTGTGTTGTGTGGATTCATCTCACACAGTTAAACCTTTCTTTTGATTCAGCAAGTTGGAAAGCTTCCTTTTGGAGGATCTGGGAATGGAGATTTTGGAGCCCATTGAGGCCTACGGTGAAAAACCGAATATCCCCAGATATAAACTAGAAAGAAATTTTCCATGAAACTGCTTTGTGATTACTGTGAAAAAGCTTTGTGACATGTGGATTCATCTCACAGAGTTACACATTTATTTTGGTTCAGCTGGTTGGAAACACTCTTTTTGTAAAACCTGAAAAGAGACATTTGGGAGCACATGGAGGACTATGGTGAAAAATTGAATAACCTCAGGAAAAAAAAAACAAGAAACTATCTGTGAAACTGCTTTGTGATATGCGGATTCATCTCACAAAGTTAAATCTTTGTTATAACTCTGCAAGTTATAAACACTCTTTTTGTAGAACTTGTGAAAGTACATTTGGGAGCCCTTCAAGGACTATGGTGAAAAACAGAATATCCCCAGATAAAACGAAAAAGAAACTATCTGTGAAACTATTTTGGGATGAGTTAAGTCATCTTACAAAGTGCAACCTTTCTTTTAATTCAGCAGGTCGAAGACAGTCTTTTTGTAGAATCTGTGAAGGCATATTTGAAAGCCCATTGAGGCCTATGGTGAAAAACCGAATATCCTCAGATACAAACTAGAAAGAAGCTATCTGTGAAACTTCTTTGTGATATGTGGATTCATCTCACAGAGTTACACCATTCAGCATGTTTGCTAACACTTTTTTTGTAGAATATTCAAAGGGACATTTGAGAGCCCTTTGAGGCCTATGTTAAAAAAAGAATAACCCCAGATAAAAACTAGAAATAAACTATGAAACTGCTTTGGGTTGTGTGGATTCATCTCACAGAAATAAACCTTTCATTTGATTCATCTACTTGGAAACACTTTTTCCGTAGAATCTGTGAAGAGGCATTTAAAAGCCTATTGTGGAGTATGGTGAAAAATCAAATATCTTCTAATAAAAACTAAAAACATGCTATCTATGAAACTGCTTGTGAAGAGTGAATTCATCTCACAGATTTAAAAATTTCTTTTGATTCAGCAGGTTGGAAACACTCTTTTTGAAGAATCTGCCGAGGGATATTTGGGAGCCCCTTCAGGCCTATGGCAAAAAACTGAATATCCCCAGATAAAAATTCAAAAGAAGTTATCTGTGAAACTGCTTTGCAATGTGTGAATTTGTCTCACATGGTTAAACTTTTCTTTTGATTCAACAGGTTGGAAACACTTTTTGTAGAATCTAGGAAGAGACTTACGGGAGCCCAAGGAGGCCTATGGTGAAAAAATGAATATCCTCAGATAAAAACTAGAAAGAAGCTCTTTGTGAAACTGCTTTGTGATGTGTGGATTCACATCTCAAAGTTAAACGTTATTATTATTATTTTTTTGATTCTGCAAGTTGGAAACACTTTGTAAAATCTGCAAAGGTAGAGTTGGGAGCCCATTGAGACCTATGTCAAAAAACTGAATATTTCCAGTTAAAAACTAGAAAGAGGCTAACTGTGAAACGGCCTTTTGATGAGTTTATTCGTGTCAAAAACTTTAACCTTTCTTTTCTTTCAGAACGTTGGCAACACTTTTTGGAGAATCTGTGAAGGGACATTTCATAGTCCATTGAAACCTATAGCAAAAAAAAAAAAAAAAAAAGGAATATCCCCAGATTAAAACTAGAAAGAAGCCATCTGTGAAACTGCTTTGGGTTGTGTGGACTCATCTCACAGAGGTAAACCTTTCTTTTGATTCAGCAAGTTGGAAACAGTCTTTTTGTAGAATCTGCGAAGGGACATTTGGGAGCCCATAAATGCCTATGGTGAAAAACTGAATATCCTCAGAATAAAACTGGAAAGAAGCTACCTGTGAAACTGCTTTTTGATGGCTAGATTCATCTCACAGAGATAACACTTTCTTTTGATGTAGTAGGTTGAAAACACTCTTTTTGTAGAATCTGCAAAGGGAATATTTTGGAGCACATTGAGTGCTATGGTGAAAAACAGAATATCCCCAGATAAAAACTGGAAAGAAGGCTCTCTGTGACACTACTTTGTGATGCCTGGATGCATCTCATAGAGTTAAACCTTATTTTTGATTCAGCAGGTTAGAAACACTCCTTTTGTATATATGCCAAGGTACATTTGGGAGCCCGTTAAGGTCTATCATGAAAAAATGAATATCCCCAGACAAAAATTATAAAGAAGCTATCTGTTAAACTGCTTTTTGATGTGTGAATGCATCTTACACAGTTAAACATTTCTTTTGATTCAGCCAATTGGAAACACTCCTTTTGTAGCATGTCTGAAGAGATATTTAAGATTCCATTGAGGCCTATGGTGAAAAATTGAATATCCCTTGATAAAAATTAGAAGAAACTATCTGAGAAACTGCTTTGTGACATGTGGATTCATCTCACAGTTAAAAATTTCGTTTGATTCAACACATTAGAAACAATCTTTTTGTAGAATCTGTGAAGGGACATTTGGGAGCCCATTGAGGCCTCTGGTGAAAAACTGAATATTCTTAGGTAAAAACTAGAAAGAAGTTATCTAAGAAACTGCTTTGTAATGTCTGGATTCAGCTCACAGCTTTAAATATTTCCTTTGATTAAGCAGATTGGAAACACTCTTTTTGAAGAATCTGCAAAGAAACATTTGAGAGCCTTTTGAGGCTGATTGTGAAAAACTGAATATCCCCAGGTAAAAACTAGAAAGATGTTATCAGTGAAACTGTCGTGTGATGTGTGGATTCATCTCACAAAGGTAAAATTTTCTTATGATTCTGAAGGTTGGCAACACTCTTTCTGTAGAATCTGTGAAGGTACATTTGGGAGCCCATTGAGCCCTATGGTGAAAAACTGAATATCCCCAGATAAAAATTAGAAAGAAACTCTGTGAAACTACTTTGTGATGTTTGGATTCAACTCACAAAGTTAAACTTTTCTTTTGATTCAGAAGGTTGGAAACACTCGTTTTGTAGAATCTACAAAGGAACATTTGGAGGCCATTGAGGCCTATAGTGAAAAACTGAATATTCTCAGATAAAAACTAGAAAGAAGCTATCTGTGAAACTGCATTGTAATGTGTGGATTCATCTCACAGAGTTAATCCTTTCTTTTAGTTTAGCAGGTTGGAAACACTCTTTCTGTAGAATCTGCGAATAGATATTTAACAGCCCATTGAGCCCTATGGTGAAAAATCAAATATCTTTTCTTTAAAAAAAATAAAAGAATACTATTCTGTAGAATCCTCTAAGGGACATTTGGGAGCCCATTTATGCCTATGGTGAAAAACCAAATATCCCAAGATGAAAACTGGAAATAAGCTGTTCCTGTAACTGATTTGTGATGTGTGGATTAATCTCACCAAGATAAGTATTCCTTTTCCTTCAACATGTTGGAAACACTCTTTTTGTAGAATCTGTGTTGGAACATTTAAAGGTCCCTTGAGATTTTAGGGGAAAATGGAATATCCCTATATAGAAACTAGAAAGAAGCTATCTGTTAAACTGCTTTGTGATGTGTGGATTCATCTCACAGAGTTAAACCTTTCTTTTTATTCAGCAGGTTGAAAAGACTCCCTAGACCCTGTGCAGAGACTGATGGGAAGGCATTTTCTTTCCTGGGTGACCAAGGCCCCCCTCCTTGGCTGAGCTGCTTTTTTCCCTTCCCAAGCTGCCTCAACATCCCCTTTAAAGTGTGACCTTCACTTGGGGGCCTTCTTCCTGCTTTGGGGTGCCCCTTGCATGAGAAACACACCCTGGATGTAAGCTAGGGACTCCATGACCCCCTTGGCATGGCACAGGGGCTGCCAGGAACACATTTTCATCAGTGGAAGGACCCAGGCCACCCTTTTTTTCCTTCAAGAGTTGCCTCAACATCCTCTTTCAAACCTGACCATCACTTGAGGGACGTTTTGCCACTTGATGGTGCCCCGTGGGTGAGACATGCATCCTGGGTGCAAGCCAGTTATGACACTATCCACCCACACCTTGTGCAGGGGCTGACAGGAAGTCATTATTTTCCATGGGAGGACCCAGGCACCCTCCTAGGCTGTGCCACTTTTTTCCATTCCTGAGCTGCCTCAACGTCACCTTTCAATCCTGACCTGCCATACCCTTCCTTCTGGGGCCTTTTTGCCACTTTGCGGTGCCTCCTGTGGGCAACACATGCATACTGCATGCAAGCCAAGGAGTCCACGATGACCCCCATGGATCCTACAGAGGCGCTGCCAGGAAGACATTTTCTTTTGTGGGAGGACCGAGGTCCCCTCCATGGCCGCATTTTTTTTTTCCAGAGCTGCCTCAACCTCCACTTTCAAGCCTGATTTGCCATGGCCTTCCCCCTGGGATATTCTTGCAGCATTGTAGTGCCCCCATGGGAGAGACATGCATCATGGTTGCAAGCAAGGGACTCACGGCCCCCTGTGCCCACTGCAGGGGGTGCTGGGAAGAGATTTTCACCTGCTGGAGGATCTAGAGCTCCCTCCTGGGCCGCCTCATTGTTTTTCCTTCCAGAGCTGCCTCCACATCCCCTTTCAAGCCTGACTTGCCATTCCCTTCCCTTGGAGGCCTTCTTGCTGCTTTGGTGGGCCCTGTGGGTGAGACACGCACCCTGGAGGCAACCCAGGGATGCCACAACCCACCCGGACCTCGCTCAGGGACTGCCAGTAAGACATTTACATTTGTGGGAGTACCCAGGCCCCCACACTGAGAGTGATGCTTTTTTTCCCTTCCTGACATGCCTCTACATCCCCTTTCAAGCCTGACTTTCCCTTGGAGGACTTCTTTCCCATTTGAAGTGCCCCTGTGGGTGAGACCTGCACCTTGAGTGCAAGCTAGGAATGCCATGACACTCCCAGATGCTGCACAATGCCTGCCTGGAATGCATTTTCTTCTGTGGGAGGACCCAGGCCCCCACCTGGGCCGCACCATTTTTTTCCATTCACGAGCTGCCTCAATGTCCCATTTGAAGCCAGAATTTTCTTGGGGGCCTTCTTCTTCCTTTAGAGGTGCCCTGTGGTTGAGATACACACCCTGGGGGTGAGCCAGGGATACCATGACTTCCCCAGACCCCACGCAGGGACTACTGGGAAGGCATTTTCATCCATGGGAGGACCTAGGTCCCTTCCCAGGCTAGGACGCTTTTTTCCCTTCCTGAGCTGCCTCAATGTCCGCTTTCAAGCCTGACATTCCCTTGCAGGCCTTCTTGCTGCTTTATGGTGTCCCCCGAGGGGAAACACGAACCCTGGGTGCAAGCCAGGGATGCCGCAAACACCCCAGACTCCATGCAGGGGCTGCCAGGAAGGCATTTTCTTCTGTGGGAGGTCACAGGTCCCCCTGCTGGGCTGTTTCACATTTTCTCAACCTGCACTGCCTCAACCTCCCCTTTCAAGCCTGACTTGCCATCTCCTTCCCTTGGAGGTCTTTTTGCCCCTTTGGGGTGCCTCCCAAGATGGGACATGCAACCTGGGTGCAAGTCATGGATGCCACGAGCCCCCCCCCAACCCGGGCCACACAGAGTAGATGCCAGGAAGGCACTTTTGCCTGTTGAAGGACCAAGGACCCCATCCTTGGCTGAGCTGCTTTTTTCCTTTCCTGAGCTGCCTCAACATCCACTTTAAAGCCTGACCTTCAATTTGGGGCCCTCTTGCTGCTTTTGGGTGACCCCCATGGGCGAGACACTCACCCTGGGTGAAAGCCAGGGATGCCACAGTTTCCCTGGATTGTGGCTGCCAGGAAGGCCCAGGCCTCCTTTGGAGGCCTTTGGCATCCCCTCAGCCTGGCCACCGTTTTTCCCTGGATGCCTCAACATACCTTTTGAATGCTGACATGCTGTTCCCTTTCCCTGGAGCCCTTCATGCCCATTTATGATGCCCATCATAGGTGAAAGATGACTTTGGTGCAAGCCAGGGACTCCGTGATCACTTTGGGCCCAGCACAGGGGTTGTCAGGAAGGCCCAGGCTTCCCTGGGAGGCATTCAGCCTCCCCTTTGGCCTGGCTGCTTTATTTCCCTGGCTGCCTCAATGTCCTGTTTCAAACTTCTTGCTGCTTTGGGGTGCCCATCGTTTGCAAGACATGCACCCTGGGTGCAAGCCAGAGACCCCCACGGATGCCATGCAGGGGCTGCTGGGAAGGTATTTTTATCCATGGGAGGATCCAGGCTACCGTCCTGGCCCTTGCCAATTATTTTTCCCTTCCTGTGCTAACTCAACGTCCCCTTTCAAGCCTGACCTTCCTTTGGTGGCCCTCTTGCCACTTTGGGGTGCACCTGTGGGTGAGACACACAACCTGAGTGCAAGCTAGGGACTCCACTAATCCCCATGCTCAGCACAAGGGCTACTGGAAAGGCCCATTCAGCCATGGGAGGATCCAGGCTCTCCTCCTTTGTTGTGCCAGTTTTTTTCCTTCCAGAGCTTCATCAACCTCCCCTTTCAAGTCTGACATGCTGTGGCCTTCCTTCTGGGGCATTCTTGCCACTTTGGGGTGCCCCCATGGGCGAGACATGCACCCTGGGTGCAAGATAGGGACTCCACAACCTCCCAGGCCCAGTGCAGGGTCTGCCGGGAAGGCACTTTCATCTGTGGGAGGAAACAGGCCCCCTCCTCAGCTGTGCCATTTTTCTTTCCTTCCAGAGCTGCCTCAACCTCCCCTTTCAAGTCTGACGTGCCATGGCCTTCCTCCTGGGGCATTCTTGCTGCTTTCCAGTGCCCTGTGGGTGAGACACGTGCCCTGGGGGCAAGCCAGAAGCATTACAACCTACCCATACCCCACGCAGTGCCTGCCGGGAAGGCATTCTTATCTGTGGGAGGACCCAGGCCCCCCTCCTGGGCTGTGCCACTTTATTCCTTTCCTGAACTGCCTCAATGGGCTCTTTCAAGCCTGACCTTCCTTTGGGGACATTCTTGCCACTTTGGGGTGCCCCCATGGGTGAGACATGCACCTTGGGTGCAAGCCAGGGAAGCCACTCACCGGACCCAGCACAGGGGTTGACGGGAAAGCATTTTCATCCATGTGAGGAGCCAGGCCCCAGTACTGGGTGATGCCAGTTTCTTCCCTTCCCAAGCTGCGTCTTCTCCCTGTCCTAGCCTGACCTTCCCTTGTGGGCCTTCTTGCCACTTTGGGGTGCCCCCGTGGTGAGACACAAACACTGGGTGCAAGCCAGGGATGCCATGTCCCCATCCCAGACTCCACACAAGGGCTGCATATCAGGGGAACCCACCCCCAATAATTCAACACGAGTCCTTTTCTATTTTCCCTAAGTGTCGGCCAGTCTGAGAAATAAAGGAAAAAAGTACAAAAGATAAATTTTAAAGGTGGGTGTCCGGGGGAGACATCACATGTCAGGAGGGTCCATGATGCCCCCTACACCGTAAAACCAGCAAGATTTCATTAGTGATTTTCAAAAGGGGAGAGAGTGTACAAATAGGGTATGGGTCACAGAGATCACATGCTTCACAAGGTAATAAAATATCACAAGGCAAATGGAGGCGGGGGAAATCACAAGACCAGGGTGAAATTAAAATTGCTAATGAATTGCATGCATTGTCATTGATAACATCTTATCAGGAGATAGGGTTTGAGAGCAGACAACTGGTCTGACCAAATTTTATTAGGCAGAAATTTCCTCATCCTAATAAGCCTGGGAGTGCTACTGGAGACTGGGGCTTATTTCATCCCTTATCCACAATCATAAAAGACAGGCAACCCTGGAGTGGCTATTTTAAAGGACTACCCCATGGAAGGCATTCTCTTTCCCAGGGCTGTTCCTTGCTGAGAAAAAGAATTCAGTGATATTTCTCCTATTTGCTTTTGAAAGAAGAGAAATATGGTTCTGTTCTGCCCAACTCTCAGGCAGCCAGACCTAATGGCTATCTCCCTTGTTCTCTGAGCATTGCTGTTATCCTGTTCTTTTTTCAAGGTGCTCAGATTTCATATTGTTTAAAAAATTTGTGCAGTTAACATAATCATCACCAGGTCCTGAGTTGACATACACCCTCAGCTTATGAAGATGACAGGATTAACAGATTAAAGACAGGCATAGGAAATCACAAGAATATTGTTTGGGGAAGTGATAAGTGTCCATGAAATCTTTACAATTTATGTTCAGAGACTGCAGTAAAGACAGGCATAAGAAAATATATAAAAGTATTAATCTGGGGAACTAAAATATGTCCATGAAATCTTCACAATTTATGTTCTTCTGCCATGGCTTCAGCTGGTCCCTCCATTTGGGGTCCCTGACTTCCCACAACAGCTGCAGGGAAGGCATTTTCCTCTGTGGGAGGACACAGGCATCCCTCCTGGGACATGCTGCATTTTTCCCTTCATGAGCTGCCTCTATGCCCCCTTTCAAACCTGACCTTCCTTTTGGGGCCTTCTTGCCACTTTGGGGTGTCCTGTTGGTGAGAAAGGCACCCTGGGTGCAAGCTAGGGACTTCATGAACACCTGAGCCAGGCACAGGGCTGCTGGGAAGGCACTTTTTTCCATGGGAGGACACAGGCTCCCCTCCTTGGCCATGTGGATTTTTTTCCTTACAGAGCTGCCTCAACCTCCCCTTTCAAGCCTGACATGCTGCGACCTTACTCTTGGGATATTTTTGCCACTTTGCGGTGCCCCTATGGGCAAGATATGCACCCAGAATGCAGGCTAGGAACTCCACAACACCCCATGACTGGTGCAAGGGCTGCCAGGAAGACACTTTCATCTGTGGGAGGACACAGGCCTCCTCCTCGGCAGCACAGGTTTTTTTCTTCCAGAGCTGCCTCAACCTCCCCTTTCAAGCCTGAAGTGCCGTGACCTTCCCTCTGGGGCATTCCTGCCACTTTGCAGTGCCCCGTGGGTAAGACACATACCCTGGGGGCAAGCCAGGGGTGTTATCACCACCCTGCACCCGACACAGAGCCTGGCTGGAAGGCTTTTTCATCCATGGGAAGACCCAGGCCCCCTCCTGGGCCTTGCCACATTTTTCCCTTCCTGAACTGCCTCAACATCCTCTTTGAAGCCTGACCTTCCCTTGGGGGCTCCTTGCCTCTTTGAAGTGACACCTGTGGGCGAGAAATGCATCCTGGTTGCAAGCCAGGGATGCCATGTCCACCCCGGATGCTGTGCAGGGGCTGCCGGGAAGGCACTTTAGTCTGCAGCAGGACCCAGGACCCACTCTAGGGATGCACCACTTTCTTCCCTTCCCTAGCTGCCTCAGTGTCCCCTTTGAAGCCTGACTTACCATCCCCTTCCCTTGTGGGCCTTCTTGCTGCTTTGCAGTGCCCCCGTGGGTGAGACACACACCTTGGGTGCCAGCCAGGGGCATCACGACACACCCCTACACCGTACAGGAGTGCATCCTGGGCCGTGCCCCTTTTTTCCCTTCCTGAACTGCTCCAAAGTCCCCTTTAAAGCCTGACCATCCATTCGGGGCCCTCTTGCCACTTTTGGGTGCCCCCTGTGGGCAAGACACGAACCCTGTGTGCAAGCCAGGGATGCCACGACCCCCCCCACAGACCCTGTGCAGGAGCTGCCAGGAAAGCCCAGGCCTCCCTGGGAGGCCTTGTGTTTCCCTCAGCCTGGCTGCTTTTTTGGCCTGGCTCCCTCAATGTCCCCTTTCAACACTGATGTGCTGTTCCCTTTCCTCGGGGGCCTTCATACCAGTTTGTTGGGGCCTCCCATATGCAAGGTCACCCTTTGTGCAAGTCAGGGACTCCACGACAGCTACGGGCCCAGCGCAGGGGCTGCTGGCAAGGTGGGGGCCTCCGTAAAAGTCCTTCAGCTTCCTCCTCAGCCTGGCCACTTTATTTCCCTGGCTGTCTCAACATCCCGTTTCAAGCCTGACTTGCAGTCCCCTCCCCCCAGGGGCCTTCTTCACACTTTGGGGTGCCCACCGTATGTGAGACATGCACCCAGGATGCAAGCCAGGGATGCCACGACCTCCACAGGTGCCACACAAGGACTGCAGGGAAGGCAATTTATCCATAAGATGACCCAGTCCCCCATCTGGGCAAACGCCATTTTTTTCCCTTCCCAAGCTGCCTCAAAGTCCCCTTTCAAGCCTGACTTTCCTCTGGGGAGCTTCTTCCTGCTTTGCGGTGGCCCTGTGGGTGAGACACACACCCTGGGTGCAAGCTAGGGACTCCATGAACCCCCAGCCTGGTGTAGGGGCTGCCAGGAAGGCACTTTCAACCCTGGGAGGACCCAGGCCCCCTCCTCGGCTGTGCCATTTTTTTCCTTCCAAAGCTGCCTCAACCTCCCATTTCATGCCTGATGTGCTGTGGCCTTACTAATCGGGCATTCTTGCCACTTTGAGGTGCACCCTGTGGGTAATACACCCACCCTGCTTGCAAGCCAGGCACACCACGAGCCCCTCAGAACTCCCACAGTGGATGATGGGAAGGCATTTTCGTCCATGGGAGGATCCAGGACCCCTTACTGGGCTGCGCCAATTTTTCCTTTCCCAAGCTGCCTGAACATATACTTTCCAGCCTGACTTGCTGTCCCCTTCCATTGGGGGACTTTTTGCCACTTTGGGCTGCCTCCCATGGGTGAGACACGCATTCCGGGTGCAAGCAGTGATGCCACGACCCTTCTGCACCCTGTGCAGGTGCTGCTGGGATGGCACTTTCGTCCATGAGAGGACCCAGGACCTCCTCCTGGGCCATACCCCTTTCTTCTTTTCTCAAGCTGCCTCAACATCACCTTTCAAACCTGATGTGCAGTCCCCTTCCCTTAGGGACCTTTTTGCTGCTTTGAGGTGTCACCTGAGGTCAAGAAACACACCCTGGGTGCAAGCCAGGGATGCCAAAATCCCCATGGACCCAGTGCAGAGGCTGCTGGGAAGGCACTTTCCTCCCTGGTAGTGCCCAGGCCCCCGTCCTAGGCTGCGCCAATTTTTTCACTTCAAGAGCTGCCTCAACGTCCGCTTTCAAGCCTGACATTGACTCGGGGGCCTTCTAGCTTATTTGGGGTGCGCCTGTGGGCGAGACACGAACCCTGGGTGCAAGCTAAGGACTCCATAAATCCACCGGCCCAGTGCAGTGGCTGCCAGGAATGCACATTCATCCACGGGATGACCCAGGCCCCCCTCCTTGACTATGCCATTTATTATCCTTCCAGAGCTGCCTCAACTTCCCCTTTCAAGCCTGACGTATTGTGGCCTTCCTCCTGGGGCATTCTTGCCACTTTGGGGTGCCCCAATGGGCAAGACATGCACTGTGCGTGCAAGCTAGGGACTCCATGACCTTCCGGGCCCAGCACATGGGGTTCTGGGAAGGCATTTTCATCCGTGGGAAGACACAGGCCCCCCTCCTAGGCCATGCCATTTTTTTCCTTCCAGAGCTGCCTCAACCTCCCCTTTCAAGCCTGCCACGCTGTGGCCTTCCTCCTGGGGCCTTCTTGCTGCTTTGCAGTTCCCTGTGGTTGAGACATATACCCTGGGGGCAAGCCAAGGGTGTTAAAACCTACCCACACCATGTGCAGAGCCTGCCTGGAAGGCATTTTCATCCATGGGAGGACCCAGGCCTCCCTCCTTGGTGACACCACATTTTTCTTTTCCAGAACTGCCTCAATGTCCTCTTTCAAGCCTGACCTTCCCTTGGGGGCCTTCTTGCCACTTTGGGGTGTCCACCGTAGGTGAGACATGCACCCTGAGTGCAATTCAGGGATGCCATGACCCCAGTGGACCCCACACAGAGGCTGACGGGAAGGCATTTACATCTGTGGGAGAACCCAGGTCTCAGTATGGGGCCACGCCGATTTTTTCCCTTCCCAAGCTGACTCAACGACCCCTTTCAAGCCTGAACTTCCGTTGCAGGCCTTCTTGCTGCCTTATGGTGCCTCCTGTGGCAAGACATGATCCCTGGGTGCAAGCCAGGGACACCAAGACCACCCTGGATTTACACAGGGGCTGCCAGAAGACATTTTCATCCATGGGAGGACACAGGCCCCCCATCCTGAGCTGTGCCCCTTTTTTTCCTTCCCATGTTGCCTCAATGTCCTCTTTCAAGCCTGACTTGCCGTCCCCTTTCTTTGGGGGCCTTTTGGCCACTTTAGTCTGCCTCCCATGGATGAGACACCCACCCTGGTTGCAAGCCAGGGATGCCACGGCCCCCCCAGACCCTGCTCAGGGGCTGCCAGGAAGGCATTTTAGTCCGTGGCAGGACCCAGGCCCCCCTCTTGTGCCGCACTACATTCTTTCTTACCCCAGCTGCCCTAATGTCTCCTTTGAAGCCTGACTTGCTGTCCTCTTTTCTTGGGGTCCTTCTTGTCACTTTGCCTGCCCCCAAGGGTGAGACATGCACCCTGGTTGCAATCCAGGGATGCCATGACACACCCCAACCCCGTGAATGGGCTGGTGGGAAGGCACTTTCATCCATTGAAGGACCTAAGCCCCTGTCCAGGGCCATGCCAATTTTTTCCCTTCTTGAGCTGCCTCAACATCCCCTTTAAAGCCTGACCTTCCATTGGGGTCCTTCTTGCCACTTATAGGTGCCCCCTGTGGGTGAGACATGAACCCTGGGTGCAAGTGAGGGATGCCATGACCCCCACCCCGGACCTTGTGCCGGGGCTGCTGGAAAGGCCCGGGCCTCCTGGGAGGCTTTCAGTGTCCCCTTTGGCCAGGCTGCTTTTTTCCCCTGACTGCCTCAACATCTCCTTTCAAACCTTGTAGGGAAACCCCCTGAAACTACTGCTACAGAACAAAAGATGAAATGCTCCTGATTATTGTAAATACAAAATTGGATGCAGGATTGTGTAAAGACAATGACAGGTTGTACTGCCAGAATGAGCCAACAGCACGTGATGTGCTTCCCCCTGCAGAGAGCCTATGAATGGATGTGCAGTCAGGGAGGTTTCACATCACCAAGATTCCTATCCCAGAAAAGCAGATGTTCATAGCTCTGGGCATGGAATGCAACCCCTGTGGAGAGCCTATAAATGGATGCATGAGGGGCGCCTATTCATATGGATAAGATAGGGCTATAAACACCCTCATCTTGCCATGGCTCATCTAGGCCTCTTTAGGGTTAAGACATACTCCCTTCTGAGAATTTCTGGTCTAACCAGGTGTTCGGCATCACGTCCTGTTTCTATGGATTGTTTGTTACCAGCTTTTGCTGCAACTGTTACTGCTGATTAATATCTTGTTAATCATAGGTTATGGAAAGACTGTATTTCTTTTTTAAGGCTCCGTTAGAAATTACTGATGCACACACTATATTGTAAATTCTTATCTCTGTATACTGTAGTTCTGCATACAGATGTTATGTTAAAGAATTACTTCATCCCTATGTGACCATCTCACCTCATAATCAAATGACCCAAATCCCTCACTAACCTACTTCTGCCCTCACTAAACTTAATAATAAATGCTGATATATCCAGTGCTTTGGTGGCATCACGGGACCAGAAGGTGGTGACCCCCGGATGCAGCTTTCACTATCTTGTGTGTGTATATTATTTCTCGACCTGCCAATTCACCTGGGAACAAAGAAAGAGCCCCTTTGCATTGCAGGATGCTGGCCAGATCCCACAATAAGCCCTGGCATGCTGTCCCCTTTCCCTGGGGTCCTTCATACCAGTTTATGCGGTCCATTGTATGCGAGAAAGGCACACTTGGTGCAAGCAAGGGATTCCATGACCACTTCGGGCCCTGCCTAGAGGCTGCCAGGAAGGCCCAGGCCTCCCCCTCGGCCTGGCCACTTTATTTCCCTGGCTGTCTCAACGTCCCGTTTCAAGCCTGATGTAGTGTCCCCTTACACCAGGAGCCTTCTTGCAGATTTGGGGTGCACACCATTTGCAAGAAACACACCCTTGGTGCAAGTCTGGGATGCCACTACCTCCGTGGACCCCGCACAGGGGCTTCTGGGAAGGCACTTCTGTCCATGGGAGGACCCAGGCCCCCATCCCTGCTCGCGCCAATTTTTTCCCTTCCCAAGCTGCCTCCACGTCTCCTTTCAAGCCTGATCTTCCCTTTGAGGCCTTCTTGCCACTTTGGGGTGCCCTGTGGTTGAGATATGCACCCAAGGTGAAAGCTAGGGCCTCCATAAACCCCCGGGCCCAGTGCAGGGGCTGCCAGGGAGGCACTTTCATCCACGGGAGGATCAGGATCCCCTCCTTGGCTGTGCCATTTTTTTCACTTCTAGAGCTGCCTCAACCTCCGCTTTCCAGCCTGACGTGCCGTAGTCTTCCTCTTCCAGCATTCTTGCCACGATGGGGTTCCCCCATTGGTGAGACATGCACCCTGGGTGCAAGCTAGGGACTCCACTTACCCCCAGGACTGGCGCAGAGGTGCTGGGAAGGCACTTTGGTCCATTGGAGGGCCCAAGTACCCCTCCTCGGCCGTGCTGAATTTTTTCCTTCCAGAGCTGCCTCAACCTCCCCTTTTAAGCCTGACATGTCTTGGCCTTCCTCCTGGGGCATTTTTGCTGCGTTGTGGTGCCCCTATGGGTGAGGCACAGACCCTGGGTGCAAGCTACGGACTCCACGACATTCCGTGACCAGTGCAAGGGCTGCTGAGAAGGTACTTTCATCCCTGGGAGCACACAGGCCCCCTTTTCAGCCACCAGTTTTTTTTCCTTCCAGAACTACTTCAACCTCTCCTTTCAAGCCTGACATGCTGTGGCTTTCCTTTTGGGGCATTCTTGCCACTTTGTAGTGCCCCATGGGTGAGACATGTATCCTGGGGCAAGCCAGGGGCATTACGACACCCCCGCACGCTGCACAGTTCCTGCCAGGAAGGCATTTTCCTCCATGGTAGGACCCAGGCCCCCTCCTGGCCTGTGCCAATTTTTTCCCTTCCCGAACTGCCTCAACATCATCTTTCAAGCCTGACCTTCCCTTGGGGGCCTTCTTGCCTCTTTGGGCTGCCCCTATGGGTGAGCCACGCACCCTGGGTGCAAGCCAGGGATGCCACGATCCCCCTGGATCCCATGCAGGGGCTGATGAGAAGAACCAGGCATCAGTGGGAGGCTTTATGCATCCCCCTTGGCCTGGCTGCTTTATTTCCCTGGCTGCCTCAATGTCCCATTTCAAGCCTGAGGTGGTGTCCCCTTACGCTGGGGGCCTTCTTGAAATTTTGACTTGCTCCCCATGTGCAAGACCCTCACCCTGGGTGCAAGCCAGGGACTCCACGACCCCTCAGGGCCCAGTGTAGGGGCTGCAGGGAAGGCCTGGGCATCCGTGGGAGGCCTTCAGCATCCGCTTCAGCCTATATGCTTTTTTACCTGGCTGCCTCAAGGTCCCCATTACAGCCTGATGCCCTGTCTCCTTCCCTTGGGGGACTTCTTGCCACTTTGGGGTGCCTCACTTTGCAAGACATGCAGCCTGGGTCAAGCAGGGACTCCATGAACCCCCCAAGGCCTGGCACAGAGGCTGCCAGGAAGGCCGGGGTCTCCGTAGGAGGCATTCAGCATCACCTTCAGCCTGGCTGCTTAATTTCTCTGGCAGCTTCAACGTTCCTTTTAAAGTCTGACATGCTGTACCCTTTGTCTGGGGGCCTTCTTGCCAGCTTCAGGTGCCTCCCGTTTGCCAGACAGGCACCCTTGATGCAAGCCAGGGACTCCATGACCACATGGGGCCTGGCGTTGGGACTGTGGGAAAGCCCAGGCCTCCATGGAAAGCCTTCAGCATCCCCTTTGGCCTGTCCGATTTATTTATCTGGCTGCCTCAATGTCCCCTTTCAAGACTGATGTGCTGTCACCTTCCCCCAGGGGCCTTCTTATTGCTTTGTGGTGCTCCCTGTGTGCAAGACATGAACCCTGGGTGCAAACCAGGGACTCCACGACCCCTCAGGGCCCTTTGCAAGGGCTGCTGGGTAGGCCCAGATCTCCTTGGGATCACTTCAGCATCCCCTTCAGCCTCGACACTTTTTTCCCTGGCTGTCTCAATGTCCCCTTTAAAGCCTGACGTCCTGTCCCCTTTTCTTGGGGAACTTCTTGCCACTTTGTGGTGCCTTCCGTGTGTGAGACACACAAACAGGGTTCAAGACAGGGATTCCACAATCCCCCTTGGTCCAGCACAGAGGCTGCTGGGAAGGCCCGGGCCTCCGTGGGATGACTTCAGCATCCCACCTGGTCTAGTCGCTTTTTTCCCTGGCTGCCTCAATGTTCCCTTTCAAGCCTGAAGTGCAGTCCCCTTTCCCTGCTGGCCTTCTTGCCAGTTTTTGTGCCCTCCATGTGTGACACAGGCACTCTTGGTGCAAGCCATGGGCTCATGACCACCCCAGGCACGGTGCAAGGGTTGTCGTGAAGGCCCAGGCCTCCTTGGGAGGACTTCAGCTTACCCATCGGCCTGGCCGCTTTATTACCCTGGCTGCCTTAATATCCCATTTAAAGCCTGATGTGATGTCCCCTTACCCCGGGGGCCTTCTTGCTGCTTTAGGGCCCCTAACCATGTGTGAGACACCCACACTGAGTGCAAGCCAGGGACTCCACGAAGCCCCCAGGCCCAGCACAAATGCTGTTGTGAAGGCCTGGGCTTCTCTGGGAGGCCTTCAGCTTCCCCCTCGGCCTGGCTGCTTCATTTCCGTGGCTGCTTCAAAGTCCCCTTTCAAGCCTAACTTGCTGTCCCTTTTCTCCCGTGGCCTTCTTGCCACTTTGGGGTTCCCTTCGTGTGCGAGACACACACCCTGGATGCAAGGCAGGGACTCCACGACCACCCCGGGCCCAGCATAGGGGCTGCTGGGAACGCCTGGGCCTCCGTGTAAGGCCTTCAGGTTCTCCCATGGCCTGGCTGCTTTATTTCCTTGGCTGCCTCAACATCCCCTTTCAACCCTAATGTGCTGTCCCCTTTTCCCAGGGGCCTTCTTGAGAGTTTGTGGTGCCCCCCGGTGTGCGAGACACGCACCCTTGGTGCAAGCCAGAGACTCCATGATCACTCCAGACCTGGCGCAGGGGCTGCCGAAAAGGCCTAAGCAACTGTGGGAGGCCTTCAGGGTCCCCCTCAGCCTGGCCGTTTCATTTCTCTGGCTGCCCCAATGTCTTGTTTCAAGCCTGAGGTGCTCTTCCCTTCCCCTGGGGACCTTCTTGCCACTTTGGGGTGCCCACTGTGTGCGAGCCACGCACCCTGGGTGCAAGACAGGGACTCCCAAGACCCTTCAGGGTGCGGTGCAGGGTCTGCCAGGAATGCCTGAGCCTCTATGGGATGCCTTCAGTGTCCCCTTCGAACTTGCCACATTTTTTCCCTGGCTGCCTCAACGTCCATTTTCAAGCCTGATGTGCTGTCCTTTTTCCCCGGGGGCCTTCTTGCCAGTTTGTGATGCCACCCCTCTGTGAGGCAGGAACGCTTGGTACAAGCCAGGGACTCCACGACCCCATCAGGCTCACCAAAGGGGCTGCCGGGAAGGCCCGGACTTCTTCTGTTGCAGGCCTTCAGCATCCCTTTCGGCCTCAACGCTTTTTTTCCCTGGCTGCTTCAAGGTCCCCCTTAAAGCCTGACGTCCTTTCTCCTTCTCTTGGGGGCCTTCTTCCACTTTGGGGTGCCCCCCGTGTGTGAGACACGCACTGTGGATGGGGGCCAGGGATACCACGAACACCCGGGCTGATGCAGAGGCTGCCAGGAAGGCCCGGGAGTCCGTGGGAGGCCTTCAGCATCCCCCTCAGGCTGGCCACTTTATTTTCCTGGCAGCTTCAAGGTCTCATTTAAAGCCTGACATTCTGTTGCCTTCCCTTGGGGGCCTTCTTGCTGCTTTGGGATGCCCCTGTGTGTGAGACAAACAACCTGGGTGCAAGGGAGGGACTTTACGAATCCCCCGGGCCTGAAGCAGAGGTTACCAGGAAGGTCTGGGTGTCCGTGGGAGGCCTTCAGCCTCCCCCTCTGCCTGCCCACTTTATTTCCCTGGCTGCCTTGATGTCCACTTTCAAGTCTGACATGCTGTCCCTGTTCCCTGGTAACCTTCTTTCTGCTTTGGGATGCCCCACTGTGTGCAAGACGTGCACTTTTGGTGCAAGGCAGAGACTCCACCATCCCCCCAGACTCCACTCAGAGGCTGCCAGGAAGGCCCAGGCCTCTGTAAGAGGGCTTCAGCGTCCCCCTTGGCCTGGCCGCTTTTTTTCTCTGGTTGACTCAATGCCCCCTTTCAAGCCTTATGCACTGTCCCCTTCCCCTGGTGGCCTTGCCTGTTTGGGGTCCCCTTCGTGTGCAAGACATGCACCACTGGTGCAAGCCAGGGACTCCACGACCCTATCAGACCAGGCTCAGGGGTTGCCAGGAAGGCCCTGGCCTCAGTGGGATGCCTTCAGCATCCCCCTCGGCCTGGTGGCTTTATTTCCCTGGCTGCGTCAACGTCCTGTTTCAAGCCTGATGTGCTGTCCTCTTCCCACAGGGGCTTTCTTGATGCTTTGGGGTGCCCCATGTGTGTGAGACACATACCCTTGCTGCAAGCCAGGGACAGCACAAACCCTCCGGGCCCAGCCCAGGGGCTGCCGGGAAGATCTGGGCCTCCGTGGGAGGCCTTCAGGGTCCCCTTTGGCCTCAGAACATTTTTTCCCTGGGTGCCTCATGGTACCCTTTAAAGCATGACGTCATGTCCCCTTCTTTTAGGGGCCTTCTTGCCACTTTGGGGTGACTCTGTGTGTGAGGCACGCACCCTGAGTGCAAGCCAGGGACTCCATCAATGCCACGGGCCTGGCACAGAGGCTGTAGGAAAGGCCGGGGCCTCTGTGGGAGGCCTTCAGCGTCCACCTTGGGCTGGCTGCTTTATTTCCCTGGCTACCTCAATGTCCCCTTTCAAGCCTGATGTGTTGTCCCCTTCCTCTGGTGGCCTTCTTGCCAGTTTGCTATGTGCCACGTGAGTGAGACACACACCCTTGTGGCAAGCCAGGGGCTCCACGACCACCCCAGACCATGGGCAAGGGCTGCTGGGAAGGCCTAGGCCTTTGCGGGATGAATTCTGCATCCCCCTTGTCCTGGCAGCTTTATTTCACTGGCTGCCTCAATGTCCCCTTTAAAGCTGGACATGCTGTCCCCTTCCCCTGCAGGACTTCTTGCCACTTTAGTGTACCCCCGTGGGTGAGACACGCATCCTGGGTGCAAGCCAGGGACTCCACGACCACTCCAGGCCTGGCGCAGGGGCTTCCGGGAAGGCCCAAGTCACTGCTGGGGGCCTTCGGTGTCCACCTGGGCCTGGCCACTCCTTTAACCTAGCTGTCTCAACCTCTCCTTTCAAGCCTGACATAATGTCCCCTTTCCCTGGGGGCCTTCTTGCCAGTTTGTGGTGCTCTCCGTGTAAGAGACAGGCACTCGTGGTGCAAACCAGGGATGCACCGACCCCCCTGACCCAGCACAGGGGCTGCCGGGAAGGCTCGGGCTCCGTGGGACTACTTCAGCATCCCACTTGGCCTGGATGCTTTATTTTCCTGGCTGCCTCAAGGTCCCCTTTCAACCCAGACGTCCTGTCTCCATCCCCCAGGGGCCTTCTTGCTGCTTTGGGGTGCCTCCCTTTAGTGAGACATGCACACTGGGTGCAAGCCATGGACTCCACGACCCCTCCGGGCCCGGTGCAGGTGCTGCCTGGAAGGCCCAGGCCTCCGTAGGAGGCTTTCAGTGTCCCTTTTGGCCTGGCCGCTTTTTTTCCCTGGCTGCCTCAAGGTCTCCTTTAAAACCTGAAGTCCTCTCCTTTTCCCTTGGAGACCTTCTTGCCATTTTGGTATGCCCCTCCCCACCCCGTGTGTGAGACACGCACCCTGGGTGCAAGCCAGGGACTCCACGACCCCTCTGGGCCCTACGCAGAGGCTGTTGGGAAGGCCCGGGCATCAGTGGGAGGTCTTCAGGGTCCTGCTCGGCCTGGCCACTTTATTTCCCTGCCTGCCTCCCTGTCCGTTGTCAAGACTGATGTGCTGTCTCCTTTCCTCGGGGGCTTTCTTGCCACTTTGGGATGCCCCTGTGTGAGAGACATGCAGGCTTAGTGAAAGCGAGAGTCTCCATGACCCTCCTGGGCCTGGCGCAGGGGCTGCTGGGACGGCCCGGTCCTCAATAAGTGGGCTTCAACATCCCAGTTGGCATGGCTTTTTTCCTCTGGCTGACTCAACGTCCCCTTTCAAGCCTTATGTGCTGTTCCCTTCCCCTGGTGGCTTTGACAGTTTGTGGTGCCACCCCCTGTGTGCGAGGAAAGCACCCTTGGTGCAGGCCAGGGACTCCACGACCCTCCCGGGCCAGATGCAGGGGCTGCAGGGAAGCCCTGGGTCTCCGCATGAGGCCTTCAGCGTCCCCCTCGGCTTGGCCGCTTTTTTTACCTGGATGCCTCAACATCCCCTTTCCAGCCAGACGTACTGTCCCTTTCCCCTGGGAGCCTTCTTGCCACTTTGGGTTGGCAAGGAGACTTGCCCCCTGTGGGTGAGTCTCACACCCTCGGTACAAGCCAGAGACTCCATCATGCATTCAGCTTCCGCCCATTTTTATGTTAAAAGCAGGGCACTTTGCTTCTGCACATCAACGGAATCATTATCATACTCAGATCACTTGGACTGGGGTATGCAGTACTTCAGCATTGTCTCACCTTTCATATTACTAGAGAAGGCTTTCTCACCATGTTTTGTTCACAGTCTCCACCCGCCAGTTGCCCCTCATTGTTTCTGAGAGCCACACATGGATGCCTCGGGAAGAAAGTGTTCTGCCTTACAACCAAACCCTGCAGCAAATGTTGAATGCTTTCTATTAGGGTGGTTACCTTGTGCTCATGCACTCACTGCCAACGTCCCTCCATTTACCCACCTTTCTCTCAAGGCCACAGTCCTCCCCAAGACCTACACACCAAGGTGGTAGGCATGAGCTTACCAAAGTCGCTCCTGCATCTTGTGCACACTTTGCAGAGTGGAGCATGGCACAGATGTGCACTCGACAGATGAGGTGGCATTTCTTACCATCTGGGATTGGCCTGCTTCACTCAAACGCCTCGCCCACCCAGCGACCTCTTCAGGACGTACTCACAAACACAGCGGTGGCGGCTGTAGGAGAGGGCAGTTGTCGTTGGCACAACACACCATCTTTTATTCTCAGGCACGTGAGGGACAATCTGGAGCACTGCTGGATCACCACAAAGGCCTCTGTGGTGCCAACACTCATGCATCCCAGAAAGGGCAGCATGGTGTTTTTTAAGGATAGTCCACCATGGCCACAGAGAGGTGCCATGGCCACCCCCAAGGCAACAACCACAGGAAGCCAGAACAGAGGTGCCTGCTCTGTCAGAGGACCCCACAAATTTCCTCAAAGCCACGAGGCACCAGGTGTGAGTGCAGTGAAGTCATGCCAAATTCCATGCCTCATGCCTCCCAACACACCACCCACAAGTGGGGAGGAGAGACGAGGAGCCTCACGAGTAGAAAGAGAAGAACAGACCCATTCATCATGAATTTCCATCCCTTGCTGCTCGCTGCTTAGTACCCGCCCAGGAGAGCATGACATCATCACATCAATTGTGAAAAGCCCCATAGCGGGGCAGTGGTTGAGTCGGGGTCAGTCCTGGCTAAGTTGATGAGCATAACAGCCTAGCCAGCCTCACTCTGGGATAGGGACAGCAAACAATTCACAGAAGAGAATGTCTGACGTGCACAGCACAGAGCCAACAGGGGGTTGTTTTGGCTATCCCGCGCAGCTGCAGCATGGAGCACGTGGGTCAAGGGAGCCCACTCCACTTTCCCCACCAGGGTGGAAGTTCCAGAGACCTGGGGCACCACCAACAGTTATAACACTAGCATGCGTCAGAGCAGGCGCACAGGTCCCAACAGTCAGCTCAAGCTGGAGCAGTGCCTGTTAGCTGGGTTACCAGTATACCACAGCTTCACACCCATCTAAAGACCCACTCTAATAGCCGGACACCATGTTGACAACAACCTGGTGGCCCAAAATGCCACCCCGGAGTGAAAGATATACCTCGCCTGGAGGCAGGTTGTCAAGTCACCGACCACGCCACTGGCCTATAAATGAGCGACCTGGACATCTGTTCCCAAAAATGCCATAATGGCAGTCAGACACGGAACACTCAGGGCCCTCTGGTCGACCCCAGGACACAAGTCGGAGCAGCAGATGATGAGGGACTCCGTCCTGGCCACCCATGAAACACAGGGCCTGGCCTCTGTCTCCAGAGCAAGACTCAGAATCATTTTCAGCCAACCCCTCGCATGACCAGATCACACGAGGGACCAAAGCCTGGCCAGATGCCACCTCTGAAACCACATGCACATTCAGGGGCTGCTCTCCGACTCCGCATGGGGACTTGGAAAAAAAGATTAGAGCAGGGGGACTGGGGCCGGGCCAGGGGACTGCTCCTCAGTAACCAGAGGACAGTGCAGGATGGTCCCCAACTCCCCGCGGGGACCTGGAAAATAATTCGCCAGATGCCTTAGACTGCCAGGACCAGCATGGGCTTGCAACTGGGCTGGGATTGGCGTCCGTGGCCACCCACACCATGCCCAATAGGTCGCCATGGGTCTCGGCTTGGGCTTTGGGAGTTGCGGCACTCTGGTCGACCAGCCAGGGTAGCCCCACACTACCCTTGGGCATGGAGGCACGGCTACAGCCTCCCCACACAAAGCCCTGCATGCTCAAGCTCTGACTCCCAGATGGCGGTGCTAGAGCTCTGGCGAGACTGGGACAGCCCCGTTGATGGCCACAGGCTTTCTGGAGCTATGCCTAAGTCACAGCAGGATGGTTTTTTTCCCTTGGCAGCTGCCACTGGAGCTCCGGAAGCCAAGAGAACTATATAAAAGCAGCCGCCAGATGGAGCCAGACAGCCGTCGACAACCGTCGCGAACATCAGCAAAGCAGATCCGGATGGCGTGGCAGCCTGTGACCGCAATACCCAAACCGTGAGTCGAAGTCTTCTCGAGGCCGAAAACGCAGCCCCTCCACGCCAACTTCACAGAAACCGTTCCCCAAAAGTGTCTCTGCATAGACTGCGACAGAATCAAAAGACAACCAATGGCGTGTGGGTGTTTGAAGATGCATCTCAGAAGGAGAA
Source organism: Homo sapiens (assembly GCF_000001405.40). Classification (NCBI taxonomy): domain Eukaryota; kingdom Metazoa; phylum Chordata; class Mammalia; order Primates; family Hominidae; genus Homo; species Homo sapiens. The sequence continues at coordinate 46,029,889 of NC_000008.11, forward strand.
AGAAGAAACAGGACTTGGTCGTGGGTCGGTTAGGGCACAGGGAAAAACAGAGTAAGGAGAGTCTTCCAGAACCCAAACAAGTCTCCAGTCTTCCAGAATCCAACAGAGGAAGGGAGGGAGAAAGGGAATAGAGAAAAGGGACAGACCGAGGAAGGGAAGTAGGAAGGGAAGTGAGCAGCGAGGGAGGGAGGGAGTAAGGAAGTGGGAAAGAGAGACAGAATATTAAAAATCTAGAGAAATAAATATAAAGAAAGAGAGAAAGAGACATAGAAAGGGAAGAAAGATGAAAGAGATAAAGAATAAGGAAAGAATTGAAGGAAAGCAGGGAGGAAAAAACAGAGCAAGGAAAGAAAAAAGAAAAAGAAAAAAGGACAGAAAGAAAGGAAGAAAGAAAGAGACAGAAATAAAAAAGAAGAGAAAAGAACAAAGAAGGCAGGGCATGGTGACTCACATGTATAATCCCAACACTTTGCAGGGTTATGTAGGAGAATCACCTGAGCCCAGCTCTGGCAACATAGCGAGACTCTGTCTCTACTTAAAGAAAAAAAGAAAAGAAAAAAAAGTTGGCAGGACGCGATGACATGTAGTCACAGCTCCTCAAGAGGCTGAGATAAGAGCTTCTCTTGGACTCGGGAGGTCAAGGCTGCCATGAGCCATGGTCAGGCCAATGCACTGCAGCCCGGGTGACAGAGCGAGACTCCACCTCAAAAACTTGAACAAATGAAGGCTGTGAGTCCCGCAAGAAAAAGATATAAAGGAAACAAAGAAGGAAGTTGAGTTCTGAAAGGAAAACTATTTTTAAAAGAAACAATGGCCAGGCCCGGTGGCTCTCGACTGTAATCCCAGCAATGTGGGAGACCAAGGCAAGCGGATCACCAGGTCAGGTGTTCAAGACCAGCCTGACATATATGGTAAAACCGTGTCTCTAATAAAAATACAAAAATTAGCTGGGAGTGGTGGTGCGTGCCTGTAGTCCCAGCTAACCTGGGGGGTGCGAGGCAGAAGAATCACTTGAACCCAGGAGGCGGAGGTTGCTGTGAGTCAAGATTGTGCAACCGCACTCCAGCCTGGGTGACAGGGTGAGACTCCATCTCAAAAAAAAGAGAAAAAGGAAAAAGAAGGGGGAAGAGAGAAATATGGAAAGAGATACTAAAAAAACAGAAAGAAAGGGAAAGAAAGGGAAAATAAAAAAAAGAAAGAAGAAAAAGAAAGAAAGACAGAAGAAAGAAAGAAAAAGAAAGAAAGAAGGAAAAAGAAGGAAGGAAGGAGAAAGAAAGAAAGAGAAAGAGAGACAAAGACAGAGTCAGAACTGGAGAAAGATATTAGGAAGAAAGAAATGAAAGGAGAAAGATAGAAAGATTAAAAAAAAGAAAAAGAAAACAAAACTCTAAAAGGATAGTAAGGCCCAGGGAGGGGCTATGGTGCACTTTCCACTTTACCAACATGCGGGCCAGGGAAAGAAAAATATTAAACATAATACATAACGGTAAAAAGTGACTATGGCGGCCCAGCCAGGGTGGTTGAGTTTCCCTAGGGAGGGAGGGAGAGAGGAAGAGGGAAGTTGCTCGAGTTGAAGGAGAGAATCCGTGGCTAGGGGGAGGGGACAGAAAGAGGAGGGGAAAGGGACAGAGGCACAGTAGTATACACTGGAATGTTTTTTAGCCTGGGGTGGGTGGGGGGACACGAAGGGCAATTCAGGAAATAAGCTGACTCCAGAAATGACACTTAATTCATAGTGCTGCCATCGCTGCCTTGAAAGGTGTGCAGTGCATGTTTGTTCCTCCACACTCATTCGGTTATTTCTAGGAAATGCCATTTAGTCCCACATGCTTGAAATCCACCTGCTTTAACAACATCTGGGGAGAATCAGAAAAGTCCCCACTAACGAAAAGGCCTAGAGTTGAGCTGCCATCTGTAAAACCCAGGCAGAAGAGTCCACGCGGGTCAAACACATGAAGAAAGAAAAGGAACCAACTGAAGAAAAAAAAAAAATCACCAACATGGCCCAGCCGGAATCTCCAGAAGTTTTCTGCTCAATGAGGGAGTGGGGGAACGGATGGATGGAGGTAGGGCGAACCTCCGAGGGTGGGGGCGGGGGCGGGGGTGGGGGGAGCGGAAAGAAGCCACACTTGCTCCTGACCATGGGCAGGCAGCCAGAGCATCCTGTGCACCGCCTAGATTTCAAAACCAGTGACGGCTAGAAGACGCCCAATGACAACAGATGGAAGGGTCAGCCTGGCACCCTCCCAGAAGCTCCCAGCAACTAATTGACCAGAACTCTGCAGGGGAAGAAGCACTGTGACGGGAAAACATGGAGAAACACACGCACCTAAGCACGTACGCATGCATGCACCATATCCCACATATAGATGAGTTTATACCGTGACAGTGAGAGAGCCCACCTCTAGAAACGAAAGAAGGAGGCTGGGCGCCGCAGCCCACGCCTGTCACCCCAGCACTTTGGGAGGCCGAGGCAGGCAGATCACCTGAGGTCAGCAGTTCCAAACCAGCTTGGTCAACATGGTGAAACCCTGTCTTTAAGAAAAATACAAAAATTAGCTGGGCTTGGTGCTGGGCTCCTGTAATCCCAGTTCTTTGGGAGGAAGAGGCACTAGAATCACTTGAACTCCAAAGGTGGAAGTTGCAGTGAGCCGAGATCTCACCACTGCACTCCAGCCTGGGCAACAGAAAAAGACTCCATCTAAAAAAAAAAGAAAAGAAAAGAAAAGTCAATCGCTTCTGTCTTTAGATGAATGCACTCACGCATAGACAGATAGCTTTAAGCTTTGTAAACTTTTGTAATTTTGAGTCGGTCTGGCGATATTTCCAAGCCTTCTCCCCGTAAGTGGTCACAGAAATGAAAACTCCCTCCTTTTTTAGTTCATTTGCATCTCGTTATCAGGCCACGAGAATAAGCAGCCCACCCTCTGTTTGGTCCGGGAACAAATACACTCCAGCCAGGAGACATAGGGAGAGCTTGTCTCAGAAAACAAACAAGAAAACAATAAAAAAAAAAGAAGGAAAATAATTAGCCTGGCATTGTGCTGTGTTGCGGGTCGCGCCCGTGACTATAGACCCAGCAACTCGGGAGACTGATGTAGAGGAGAATCAATTTAAGCCCAGCAGTTCAAGGTCGCAGTGAGCTATGATCTTACCTCTGCACTCCAGCCTAGGCAACACAGGGACACCCCATCTCTAAAATATACATGAAAGAATGAATAAATGAATGCAAATAAAATGCAAGGAGGTGGAAGAGCATGGGAAGGCTCTACTCTTTCCTAAAGACCAGAGCAGAAAAACAGGACCATCCATTTGAGACATAGGCGATTCCAAATCACAGTGGAGGCTGTGAGGATTTTGGAGCAAGGCCTTGCCGTTATCTGCAGATTACCAGCTTTCTTTTGAGCGACAGAGCTCTCTCAGCTAGCCTCTGGCTGTTAGTAGAAACCAAATGCCCAATCGTGGGGCCTGGAAGTTACCATGTGAGCTGAGCCACTCCTCACACACATAAGTGGGTGTGCACGGCAGCACTCTAGTGTGACATGGAAGTGCAGTGGACCTGATCAAGTCCGAACAGATCCTGAAGCACAAGTAAGTTCCAGGAGAAAGAAGCCCAAATGCCCATGGTCCCCAGTCAAGAAATGAGCTGACTTAAGAAATTACACATAGCTGGGCACAGTGCCTCACGCCTATAATTTCAGCACTTTGGTAGGCTGAGACGGGTGGATCACTTGGGGTCAGGAGTTCGAGACCAGCCCAGCAACCACAGTGAAACCCTGCCTCTATGAAAAATACAAAAATTAGCCAAGGGTGGTGGAATGTGCCAATAGTCCCAGCTACTCAGAGGTTGAGGAAGGAAAATCGCTTGAACCTGGGTGGTGTAGGTTGCAGTAAGCGACGAGCAGTGTGCTCCAGCCTGGGTAACACTTCAAAACTCTGTCTCAAAACAAACAAAAATTACAGTAAATTAAAAAAAAAGAAAGTACACGTAAAAATTACACATAGCTGGGCACAGTGGCTTACATCTGTAATCTCAGCACTTTGGGAGGCTGAGAAGGGTAAGTCACTTTGTGGTATCATTGCCATTACTGCCTCCACTACTGCCTTGAAAGGACAGAGGCATATGTTTATGTCACTTTGTGTTTTTTTTTCTTTTTTCCTGGAAACTCACTTATATATTTATTCATTTTATTATTATTATTATTATTATTATTATTATTATTATTATTATTATTTTGGAGACAGAGTTTCACTCCTGTTGCCCAGGCTGGAGTGCAATGGTGCAGTCTCAGCTCATTGCAACCTCTGATCCATGGTTCAAGTGATTTTCTTTCCTTGGCCTCCCGAGTAGCTGGGATTACAAGCAAGTGCCACCACACCTGGCTAACTTTGAATTTGTAATAGAGACTGCGTTTCTCCATGTTGGTAAGGCTGGTCTCGAACTCCCAACCTCAGGTGATTTGCCTGCATCAGCCTCCCTAAGTGGTAGGATTACAGACATGTGCCACAGCGCCTGGCATTTTTTTTTTTTTTTTTTTTTTTGAGATGGAGTCTCACTCTGTCTTCCAGGCTGTAGTGCAGTGGCACAATCTCAGCTCACTGCAACCTTCACCTCCTGGGTTCAAGCAATTTTCCTGCATCAGCCTCCTGAGTAGCTGGGATTACAGGCGCACACCACCATGCCCAGATAATTTTTTGTATTTTTATTAGAGATGGTGTTTCACCATACTGGCCAGGCTGGACTTGAACTCCTGACCTCGTGATCCACCAGCCTCTACCTCCCAAAGTGCTGGGATTACAGGTGTGAGCCACTGCACTTGACATATTTATTTTTTTTAACTGATCAAAGAACCATCAGACCCAGTCATCAGGGTGGCAATTCCCTGGGCAACAAGGGAAGGAGGAACTTGGAGGTGTGGGAGGGGGTTGGGCACGGTGCAGAAGACATAGTTGCCCTGGGCTGTGCACAGGTGCCATGAGCTTTCTTCCTCCTTGAGGCCTCAGGTTTCAGAGTAACAGTGGCCTCTTAGTGACGCCTGACATATGCCAATGAGACTGTCAGCCAGGAATGAATTGGGATCACCCAGAGGGGGAGAGGGCAGGGGAAGGATGGAGGCCCCCACAGCACAGTGGGTCGCTGCACCCTCCCAGGTGGTTCCCACAACTAATCGACCAGGGCCCCTGGAAGACACAGCCTAAGTCCTCACCCATTTGTCATCTGGAAATTCCATCCAGAGACCGACTGAAAATTCTCTCAGTCAAGGTCCAAACCTAAAAGAATCAATGACACACCCAACAGGACTAAGACAACTTTTAAAAGAATCATTTCTGTGTTTTGGGTGCATCTGTGTATTTCTGTACAACAAAATTATTTATTTTAAACTTTACAATTTTTTTACTTCTTACATGTATAGTCCCATGATAGACAGACCAGAAGACTCGTCAGCTCAGAGTCCATGAGGCCAGAAGCTGACATCCTCAATTTCTATTTAGAATAAATTTAAACAAGCCAGCCAAACACCCTGCCATAAAATTCCTGGAAGGACTAGTGATTAAAAAAAGGAAAAAACAAAAACAAAAACAAAACAATGCTGTCAGGAGCAGTGGCTCACACCTGTCATCCCTGTACTTTGGGAGCCTGAGGGCAGCATTGATCCCAGGCAATTGAGACCAGCCTTGGCAACATGGTGAAACCTCATCTCTAGAAAATTACAAAAATTAGCTGGTTTCATAATCTGGACTCAAAATTAATAAATAGATTGAAATTTAGAATTTTAAAAAAGTCTTAAATTCTGTATTCTGTTTTTTTTTTTTTTTTTTTGCTTCCTACCCTGAGTTGGACATAAATATATCTGTTGTCTGTCTGTCTGTCCATCTGTTTGTGACAGGGTCTCACTCCATCTGCCACCTAGGCTTGAGTGCAGTGCTACCATCACGGCTCACTGCAGCCTCAATCACCCCAGGGTTAGGTGATTCTCCCACTTCAGCCTTCTGAGTAGCTGTGACCACAGGCAAGCACCTCAGGCTTTGGCTCTGTTGTCCAAAGCTGGTTTGAGCTCCCAGGCTCAAGCGATCCTACTGCCTCGGCCTCCCAAAGTGTTGGGTTTGCCAGCGTGAGCCACCACACCTGGCCTGACTTAATACATCTAGTCGCACTACATCCTAACCACATGTCTTTGAAGAACTCGATTCAAGAGAGAGTCAGCAAGAGAGGTTCAGCATTCTATCCCTAAAGCAGTGAGGTTGGTGATGGCAGAGTTTTCCGTGCTTCTGTGGTTTTAGGTGTCCAAGCATAGAGGATAGATTTCAAATGTTTCCGGAGAGGTGCGAGCCACAGTCATTCATGGCATCTGAGTTCGGGTTGGGGTTTCTGACAGTGCCTTAAGGGCCAGGATCTGCTAAGGCCCGTGTTCTAGGGTGGGGACGTTGGAATCCAAGGTAGAGGGAGCAATCAGTCCACACTGAGCTCCTGCCCTAGGCCCCACCATGCAGACCAAATCAGAAGGAACAGTCCCTTGTCCTCATGCCACATCCATCCACTGAACTTGAGATCGGATTTGTTTTCCAAACATGAGGTGACTCTTGGTTTGAAATGTATGACAAGGGGCCTGGCTTTCCTGAGTTGGCAGGATAAAGAAGTCATTCTGTGGCATAGAATGAGATGTGCCTTGAATCTAAAATCTCCAGTTAAAACCAATGATGGTGGCCCAGTGCAGTGGCTCACAACTGTCATTCAAGCAATTTGGGAGGCTGAGACTGGCAGATCACGAAGTCTGGAGATCTAGATCAGACTGGCCAACATGGTAAAACCCTGTCTCTACTAAAAAAACTAAAGTTAGATGGGTAGGGTGGCACGCACCTGTAATTGCAGCTACTCAGGAGGCTGAGGCAGGAGAATCGCTTTAACCAGGGAGGCAGAGATTGCAGCCAGCCGAGACCACGCCACAGCCCGGGTGACATTTACTCAGGAGGATAAAAGAACAATAGGGGCCCCACCAGGGTGGAGGTTCCCTAGGCAGTGAGGGAGAGAGGGAGGGGCCTCCAGGAGGGACAGAGAGAAACCAGTTGCCCCAGGCTCTGTGAAGTCAGCCAGACTTCCATCAGTGCCACCTGGACTTTCAATAACAGTGGCCACTCGGTGATGCCCTATTTATTTTTTAAAAACTTACTTATTTTGAAAAATTGCAATTTAGGCCAGCATGGTGGCTCATGCCTGTTATCCCAGTGCTTTGGGAGGCCAGGGCGGGTGGATCCCTGAAGGTCAGGAGTTCAAGGCCAGCCTGGGCAATATGGTGAAACCCTGTTTCTACTAAAAAAACAAAAGTTAGCTGAGTAGGGTGGCATGCGCTTGTAATCCCAGCTAGTTTGGAGGCTGAGGCAGGAGAATCGCTGGAACCGGGGAGGTGGATACTACAGCCAGCAGAGACCAGGCCACAGCCTAGGTGGCAGGAAAAGACTCCATTTGAAACAAATTAATAAATAAATAAGTGATGAATGTATATAAAAAGAAAAATGCAAGGAAATAGCGGAGCACGAGAAGGCTCCACTCATTACAAAAGACCAGAGCAGAAAAATAGGGTCATCAGGTTGAGACACAGGCCATTTTGAATCTGTTGTCACCATGCCCAGGTTTCTGTGCCTCCCATCTGTCATCACCGATCTCGTCAAGTACAATTGCTGGGTCATGACTACACAGAGATCTTTCAGTCTACCAAATGTGTCCGTACTTTCACTAGCCTGGTTGGGAGAATAAAAAGCACATTTAGCAAAGTACTCATTGTACGTTCATTGGTCTCCCATGTCTCTCATGAAACCAATCAAATTCATAGTCTGTTTTTTTTTTCCAGCCCTCAACTGTCCACAATATACCAAAATAAACGAACAGTGAATACATTTTTTGCAACAAGGAGGAAAAACAACAAAGCAAAAGTCTCAGAGGCTTGTGATACACAGGGGGATACAGAATGAGGAGACTCTTCCAGAATCCACACAAAGACAGACAGATGGAGGGATGGCAGGAAACAGATTGAGAAAATAGAGTAAAAACGATCAAGAAAAATAAATGTAAAGAAAAAAAGACAAAGATGTAAAGGGAAGAAAGATGAAAAAGAAAATAGAAAGACAGAGAAACAAAGAAAAAGAATGACAAATGAGAGAAAGAAGGGAGGAAGAAAGAGAGAAGAAAGAAAAAGAAAGAAAGAAAAGGAAAGAAAGAAAGAGAAAGAAAAAAGAAAAATGAAGGAAATAAAAAAGAGGGCAGTGCATCATGGCTTACGCCTATAATCCCAACACTTTAGGAGGCTGAGATGGAAGAATCACTTGAGTCCAGCAGTTTGAGACCAGCCCTGGCAACACAGTGAGGCCACGTCACTACTTAAAAAAAAATTAAAAAGTTAGCCAGGTGTGATGGCAGGTGCCTGTAGTTTCAGCTCCTTTGGAGCCTGAGGTGGGAGCATCACTTGGGCTCGGGTGGTGGAGGCTGTGGTGGGCCTTGGTCAGGCAAATGCACTGCACCTGTTGCCCAGGCTGGTCTCGAACTCATGGGCTCTAACGAACTGCCTGCTTCAGCCTCTGAACTTGCACCTGCCATGTCCAACGGCCTTGGGGGTATCAGTGACACATTTTAGTAGACACAGTGTTATGCCTCATTGCCCAGGTTGGTCTCGAACTTGAACCCGGGAATTTGAGGCTACAGGGAGCCAAGGTCATGCCATTTAATGGCAGTCTGGGTGATAGAGCAAGACTCCATCTCTAAATAACTAGATAAATAGCAAAAACAATAACAATAATCACAATAATACAAAGAAATAATAAACAACAGCAATAGCAATATACAAACTAGTGGAAGTGAAAAATATAAAAATATAAAAGGTAATTTAGATCACAATTAATTGTAATTTCAAGGAGTTATTTCTTTAACCTGTCTCTCTTACTTTCTGAAACAGGATCTTTCTCTGTTACTCAGGCTGGAGGGCAATGGCGTGATCACAGCTCACTGCAGCTTCGACATCCCAGAATCAAGCGATTCCTGCAGTCTCAGCCACTTAGAAGGCTGAGATGGCAAGATCACCTGAGGGAGCCCAGGAATGTCAAGGTTGTGGTGAGCCGAGATTGCATTCTCACACTCCAACCTGTCTCAAAAAAGAAAAGAAAAGAAAAGAAAAAAGTAAATGTAAAACAACAGCAACTTCAGTGTGTAGAAAGAGAAGTAAGAAAAGTAAAAGAAAAAAGAAACAAAATGAAAAGCAACTGAAAGTACTGTGGAAACAATTGGAGAGGAAGAAACGGCTTACTGAAATAGCGACATCTAATGGATGCAGCTGGTAGTGCTGCCTACCAATGTCAACTGTTCTACCTTAGAAATCCCAATTTGATGGTCAAGTCCAACGCTCACCGCAGACATCTGGCTGACCAGGCGCTCGCGGATGGAAGCGTTCAGACCCAGTTGGAAACTTTTCACACCGAGCCGGCCCACTTTTGCAGCCATCTAACTCCACCGACCTGCCCGCCGTTCCCCCACTGTCCACTGGTTGACCGGGGCGGAGAGAGGAGGAAAGGCACAAGGGCAGTGAGTGGCTCATATCCCATCCCCGTGCACCTGGGAGGGGGAGAGGGGCTGTGACCCCAACGGCCAGTACCGGGCATGAGTGAACACTACTCGAACAGGGACTGCAGGGGTACACCCCCCCGACACCCACGCCTCAGCCATTCTCACCAGGCTCAAGGAATCCGATCCCAGCCCCAGTGGGGTGTGGGGAGGAGGCGGAATCAGAGAGGCAGAACGACGAGCAGGGGCGCCACCTCTACCTCAGCAACCCCCGGCGCGGCACTTTGCAAAGCCCATGGGTGGGGACGGGCACCTCCCAAATGTACAGTGGGCACCGATAGGCTCTCGCTAGAGACACCAACTGCGTGCCCCGGGGATCCGGGGCGGGTGGGCGGGCATGAGTGGGCCAGGGAACGAGGTCCCCGGGGGCAACAGGAGGGAGGAAGGAAGGTAGAAGTCAAGCACTGAATTACACAGGACACGCCACATCACCAGGTCCCCCCCACACGAGTGGAGAGACCCCTGTTTGGAGGTCTGACTTTCAATAGATCACAGCGAGGGAGTTGCTCTGCTCCATAGAAAACCCTAATCCAGAAGCAGGGTGTCTACAAATAGTTTAGCATCAGATTCCCCACAAACCTGTTATGTGATGGGTCAGGGGATCACCGCATTTCTGGCAGCAGCCCATTTCCCAGGACGGGGGGCTCTCTGCACCGGACCTCAGTTCCCGCCGCGCGTTGGGACATGCCCCGCATGGGGCAGGGCAGACCGCCAGCAGGGACAGCAGAGGACCGGCTATCCGAGGCCAACCAAGGCCCCACAGCCCTGCCATATCCTTCCGTGGGATTCTGACTTAGGGGCGTTGGGTCATAATCCCACAGATAGTGGCTTTACCCCATTGGCTCCTCAACCAAGCACACACACCAAATGTCTGAACCTGTGGTTCCTCTTGTACTGAGCAGATTACCGTGGTAGCATCACATGGGCAAAACACATGGGGAACACACACAGTAAAACTAACCTGTCTCACATGGGTCTAACCATGATGCTTTCCAGGGCATGCGCACCACTTTTGGGTGAATCCATTTCAGTTTGCCTTGCCCTTCACAAAGAAAAGAGAACTCTCCAGGCGCAGTGACTCATGCCTGTAATTCCAGCACTTCAGGAGGCTAAGGAGAATGGATCACCTGAGCTCAATAGTTCAAGATCAGCTGGGCCAACATGGCGAAACACCGTCTCTACGAAAATACAAAAATTAGCCGGGCATGATGGCAGGTGCCTGTAATCCCAGCTACCCTGGAGGCGGGGGCGGGAGAATGTCTTGAACCCAGGAGGCAGAGGTTGCAGTGAGCTGAGATCGTGCCATTGCACTCCAGCCTGGGCGACAAAAGAGAAAATATGTCTCCAAAAAAAAAAAAAAGATACAAATAATTAGATGGGCTCTGTTGCCCAGGTTGGATTGCACTGTCCTCATCTCAGTTCTCTGCAGCAACCTCCACCTCCCGGGTTCAAGTGATTCTCCTGCCTCTGCCTCCCGAGTAGCTGGGACTACAGGCGCACATGCCACCACACCAGGCTAATTTTTGTATTTTTAGTACAAATGGGGTTTCACCATGTTGGCCGGGCTGGTCTTGAACTCCTGACCTCAAGCAATCTGCCCGTTTTAGCCTCCCAAAGTGTTGGGATTACAGGCGTGAGCCACCGCACCCAGCCTATGTGTTTGTTTTTTAAATCTATCTTCCTACGGTCATAAGAATTCTCATTAATTTTGCTTAAAGCTCCTGGAGAGAAAAGCCTTTATTATTGTCATTGTAAGAGTAGAAAAAGTAGAGTTCTTTTTTTTTTTTTCTTTTGAGACACAATTTCGCTCTTTTTGCCAGGCTGGAGTGCAATGGCCCATTCAGCTCACTGCAACCTCCACCTCCCAGGTTCAAGCAATTCTTCTGGCTCAGCCTCCCAAGTAGCTCAGATTACAGACATGCGCCACCACTCCTGGATAAGTTTATATTTTTATTAGAGTTGGGGTTTCACCATGTTGGTAAGGCTGGTCTCAAACTCTGACCTCAGGTGATTCACCTGCCTTGGCGTCTCAAAGTGCTGGGATCACAGGCATTAGCTGCTGTGTCCATCCTTTTTTTTTTTTTTTTTTTTTTTTTTTCTCTGACAGCATCTCTTTCTATTGCCCAGGCTGGAACACAGTGGCACAAGTATAGCTCACTGCAGCATCAAACTCCTGGATCTCAAGCAATCTTCCTGGCTCAGCCTCCCAAGTGGCTAGGAATACAGGTGCATACCACCAAGCCCAGGTAATTTTTTTAAAAACAAAAATGTCTCAACATGGGTATTTTTTCTTTTTTTACAGAGATGATATCTCACTATGTTGCCCAGGCTGGTCTCAAACTCCCCATCTCAAGCCATCCTTCCACTTTAGCCTCCCAAAGTGCTAGGAATACAGGGGTGAGCCACCGCATGCAGCCCTAAGGGCTCTTTTTTTGTGTGTGTCTGACAGTCTTGCTCTGTCAACCAGGCTGGAGTGCAGTGACATGATCTCAGCTCACTGCAACCTCTGCCTCCCAGGTTCAAGCAATCTCCCGCCTCAGCCTCCTGAGTAATTAGAATTACAGACACATGCCACCAGACTCGGCTAATTTTTGTATTTTTAGCAGACACTAGGTTTCATCATGTTGGCCAGGCTGATCTTGTGAACTCCTGACCTCAAGTGATCCACCTGTGATGGCCTCCCAAAGTGCTGAGATTATGGGCGTGAGCCACCACATCCAGCCACCAAGAACTCCTTAAATGCACATAGTGTCACAAAAGTGGCTCATGCAGGGAAATTTGTGGTGGATTTGGGGAAAATTAGGGCAAATTTTAAACATGTGACCTTTTATCAGATCACCTACATTTCTTGGATTCTATGTGGGTTTGTCGCAGATGCTTAATGTGACAAATTACACAGCTTCTATCACTTCATTTGATCAGCCTCCTGTTGACTTTTAGCCAAGTCCTGCAGGGCTGCTTCTCAGATTTTATCTTTCTGCAAGACAAAGATGTTTTCACAGTCTCTCTCTAACTTCCCCCTTTTGTGGCTATTAATTTATACTTATATGTTTTTCAACTCCTTATTTTTGTTTTCTCTTTATGAAAGCTTTAACCTGTGTGAATTTTGTAAATATATAAATATATCATATTATATTATAAATATATATTTATATAGATATATAAATATATCATGTTACATTATAAATATATATTTATATTTATATAAATAAAACAAAATATATAAAGAAAATATAAACAGATATAAATGTAAAAATAAATATAAACTATATACAAAATATAAAATATATTTTATAAAAATATAAAAATATGTAAAAATAAATATAAAAATTTTAAATAAATATAAATAAAATAAGTTATATAAATATTTATATAAATATTAGAAATATAATATTATGAATATATATTTTTTAAATAAATGAATAGGATTCATCACCTAACTTCTAAAGCTACTTCTCTAGATGAAATTCCAGGTACTTTGGAGTCAGCAATGGTATATTGAGTGCATGGCTCTTGCTCACAGGTGTTTCTTTCCTGTCCCATGGCAGGCAGCACCAACAGAAGGCTTCTGAGAAGCTGAGAGCTATTTTTACCCATGGAACAGGAGCAAAGTTTGCAGCTACACTATCAGGCTGTGTTAGGATGTTAGCAGTTAGTTTAGCTTTGAGTCTTCAGAGCAATTGTTCTTAGCTACAGAAAAAAAAATCACACCCATAAAGCACTTGCTGCTCTGCAGGATGGGAGCACACTCTGTTGTCGGGGCATTTGAGGTCCCCTGGCATGTGTTTTTGATGTTTATTGCTATCAGGGATACCCCTGTAGAACTTCTGATAGCTGTTTCCCAGAAAGGACAGCATTAGAGATAATGAGTGCCAGAGGCAGAGAACAGTCCAGTGCTAGATCCTTGGGCTGCTATCTCAGACATTTGCTTATTTATTAAATTTTTTTTTCTGTTTTTTTTTGGAGATGGGGTCTATGTTGTCCAGGCAGGTCTTGAACTCCTGAGCTCAAGCAGTCCTCCCACCTTGGCCTCCTAAAGTGCTGGGATTACAGGCATGAGCCAACATGTCCAGCTGTTATTATTATCGTTATTATTATTATTTTGAAGCAGAGTTTTGCTCTTGTTGCCTAGGCTGGAGTGCAATGGCAAACCTAGGCTCACTGCGACTGTCACCTCCTGGGTTCAAGCAATTCTACTGCCTCAGCCTCCCGAGTAGCTGGGATTACAGATGCCTGTCATCATTCCCAACTAAGGTTTGTATTTTTAGTAGAGATGAGGTTCCACCTTGTTCAAGGCTGTTTTCAAACTTCTGACTTTAGGTGAACCACCCACCTTGGCCTCACAAAGTGCTGGGATTACAGGCATGAGCCACCGTACCTGGCCCTAGCTGTTATTATTTTTCATTGATACCTAATACATATTTAATTGATACCTAATCCATATTTATAGGGTACATTGTGATATTTTTATACATATTTACAATGTATAAGGATCAAATCAGGGTAATTAGTATACACATCACCTCAAACATTTATCATTTCATGGTGTTGAGATGTTCAAAATCTGCTGTTCTAGCTATTTGAAAATGTACAATAAATTGTTAATTATAGTCACCCTATAGTGCTTTAAAGAACTAGAACTTAATCCCCCTATCTAGCTGTACTTTGGTATCCATTAAACAAATTTTAGGCTGTGCATTTTGGTTCATGCCTATAATCCCAGCACTTCAGGAGGCCGAGGTAGGTGGATCACCTGAGGTCAGGAATTCAAGACCAGCCTAGACAACATAACAAAACCCTTCTAAAAAATAATAAAAGGAAAGAAAATAAAATTTAAAATTTTCTTCATTGATCATTCAGGAGCATATTGTTTAATTTCCATGTGTTTGTACAATTTCAAAAGTTCACTTTGTTGTTGAGTTCTAGTTTTATTTAATTGTGGTCAGGAAAGATACTCGGTATAATTTCAATTATTTTAAATTTGCTGAGACTTGTTTTGTGGCCTAACGTATGGTCTATTCTGGAGAATGTTTCTTGTGCTAATGAAAGAACATGTTTTCTGCATCAGTTGGATGAAATGTTGTTAATGTCTCTTTATTAGTCTAAAATGCATTTGTTTTTTCTGAGCTGCAGTGAGCCAAGATACCACTCCACTCCAACCTTGGCAAAAGAGCGAGACAAAAAAAAAATCTAGAAAAAAGCTGTCTGTGAAACTGCTTTGTGATGTGTGCATTCAGCTCACAAAGTTAAATCTTCTTTTGTTTCAGCAATTTGCAAACACTCTTTGTGTAGAATATGCGAATGGACATTTTGGAGTGCAGTAAGGCTTATAGTGAAAAACAGAATTTCCCATGATAAAAATTAGAAAGAAGCTATCTATGAAACTGCTTTTTAATGCGTGGATTAATCTCACAGAGTTAAACATTTCTTTTGGTATAGTTGTTTTGAAACACTCTTTTGGTAGAAATCTGCAAAGGGACATTTTGAAGTGCTGTAACACCTACAGTGAAAAACAAAATATCCCATGATAAAAATTAGAAAGAAGTCATCTGTGAAATTGCTTTGTGAGCTGTGCATTCATCTAACAGAGTTAAATCTTACCTTTGATTCAGCAGTTTGGAAACACTCTTTTTGTAGAATCTACAAAGGGACATTTCAGAGGGCAATCAGGCCTGTAGTGTAAAAAAGAATATTATGCAATAAAAACCAGAAAGAAGCTATCTGTGGAACTGCTTTGTGATATGTGGATTCAGCTCACAGAGTTAAACTTTTATTTGAGTCAGCACTTTGAAAACATTCTTTCTTTAGAATCTTCAAAGGGACATTTCAGAGAGCTGTAAGGCCTATAGTGAAAAACAAAATATCCCATGGTAAAAACTGGAAAGAATTCATTTCTGAAACTGCTTTTTGAAGTCTGCATTCACCTCACAGCATAAAACCTTTCTTGTGATTCAGCAGTTTGGAAACACTCTTTTTGTAGAATCTGTGAAGATACATTTCAGAGCACAGTAAGGCCTGTAGTGAAAAACCAAATATCTTGTGACAAAATCAAAAAAGATGCTATCATGAAACTGAATTGTGATGTCTGGATTCAACTTACAGAGTTAAATCTGTCTTTTGATTCAGCGGTATGGAAACACTTTTTTTTGTAGGATCTGTGAGGGACATTTTGGATCCCACTAGGCCTATAGTAAAAAAACAATTATTCCTAGATAAAAACTAGAAAGAAGCTATCCATGAAAATGATTTGTAATGTGTGCTTTCAGGTCACAGAGTAAAACCTTACTTTTGATTCAGCAGCTTGGAGATCCTCTTTCTGAAGAATCCACACAGGGACATTTCAGAGCCCACTTTGCCTAAAAACTGAATAGCACCAAATATCCCTAGATAAAAACTAGAAAAAATTATCTATTAAACTGCTTTGTGTTGTGTGAAATCAGCTCACAGAGATATACCTTTCTATTTTACAGCAAGTTAAAAACACTCTTTTTGTAGATTCTGTGAAGGGACATTTTGGTATGCACTGAGGCCTATAGTGAAAAACAGAATAACCCATGATAAAAACTAGAAAAAAGCTATCTGTGAAACTACACTGTGATGAGTGTATTTAGTTCACACAGTTTAAACTTTCTTTTGATTCAGGAATTTAGAAACCCTCTCTTTGTAGAATCTGAGAAAGGGACATTTCAGAGCACAGTAAGACCTATGGTGAAAAACCAAATATCCCAAGATAAAAACTAGAAAGAAGCTATCTATGAAACTGCTTCATGATGTGTCCATTCAGCTCACTGAGATAACACTTACATTTGATTCATCAGTTTGGCAACATTCTTTTTGTAGAATCTGTGAAGGAACATTTCAGAGGTTATTGAGGTCTATAGTAAAAGACTGAATATCATGCAATAAAATCTCGAAAGAAGCTATCTGTGAAACTGCTTTCTGATGTCTGGATTCAGCCCAAATGGTTAAAGCTTTCTATTGATTCAGCAGTTTGGAAACACTCTTTTTGTAGAAACTGTGAAGGGACATTTCAGACATCAGTAAGGCTGATAGTGAAAACCCGAATACTCCACGAAAAAAACTAGAAAGGAGCTATCTTTGAAACTGTGTTGTGAAGTGTACATTCAGCTCACAGAGTCAAATCTTTCTGTTGATTCAGCAGTTTAGAAAGGCTCTTTGTACAATATGCAAAAGGACATTTCAGAGCCAACTGAAACCTGTAGTGAAAAACCAAATATGCCTAGATAAAAACTAGAAAAAATCTACCTGTGAAACTTCTTCGCAATGTGTTCATTAAGCTCACAGAATTAAACCTTCCTTTTAATTCAGCAGTTTGGAAACATGCTCTTGGTAGACTCTGTGAAGGTACATTTCACATAACACTGAGGCCTCTAATTAAAAACTGAATATTCTGTGATAAAATCTAGAAAGAAGCTATCTAGGAAACTGTTTTGTGATGTTTGGATTCAGCTCCCAGAGTTAATTTTTTTTTTTTTCTTGCTTCAGCAGTTTGCAACACTTTTTCTGTAGAACTTGCAGAGGGACATTTTGGAGCCCACTAGGCTTAAAAACCGAATGTCAGTAAATAATTTTAGATAAAATGTGGAAAGAAGCTGTCTCTTAAACTGCTTTGTGATGTGTGCATTCAGGTCACAGAGATAAACCTTACTTTTGTTTCAGCA
Source organism: Homo sapiens (assembly GCF_000001405.40). Classification (NCBI taxonomy): domain Eukaryota; kingdom Metazoa; phylum Chordata; class Mammalia; order Primates; family Hominidae; genus Homo; species Homo sapiens. The sequence continues at coordinate 46,047,178 of NC_000008.11, forward strand.
GTTTGAAGACACTCCTTTTGTAGAATCAGTGAAGGGACCATTCAGAGCTCACTAGGCCTATAATGAAAAACAAAATATCACTAAATAAAAACTAGAAAGAAGTTATCTGTGAAACTGCTTTGTGATGTATGCATTCAGCTCAGAGAATTAAACCTTTTTTTTTTTTTGATTCAGCACATTGAAAACACTCTAGTTGAAGAATCTGCAAAGGGATGTTTCAGAGTGCAGTAAGACCTATAGTAAAAAGAAAAAAAAAACAAATATCCCATAATGAAAACTAGAAATAATCTATCCTTCAAACTATTATGTGATGTGTGTACTCAGCTCACAGGGTTAATTTTCTTTTGATTCAGCTCTTTGGAAACACTCTTTTTGTAGAATTTGTGAAGGGATTTTTTGGATTGCAGTGAGGTCTATAGTAGAAAACAAAATATCCTGCAATAAAACCAAAAAGAAGCTTTCTGTGAAACTGCTTTGTGACGTGTGCATTCAGCTCAGAGAGCTAAAACTTACCTTTGATTCAGCAGTTTGGAAACACTCTTTTTGTAGAATCTGCACAGGGACATTTCAAAGGGCGTTGAGGTCTGTAGTGAAAAACTGATTATCCCACAATAAAAACTAAAATCTGTCTCTGAAACTGCTTTGTGATATGTGGATTCCACTCACAGAGTTAACACTTTCTTTTCATTCAGCAGGTTGGAAACACTCTTTTTGTAGAATTTGTGAAGGGACGTTTTGGAGTGCCGTGAGGCCTACAATGAAAACTGAATACCCTGTGCTAAAACTAGAAAGAAAATATCTGTGAATCTGCTTTGTAATGTGTGCATTCAGCACACAGGGTTAAATTTTACCTTTGACTGAGCAGTTTGGAAACAATCTTTTTCTACAATCTGTGAAGGGACATTTCAAAGCCCACCAGACCTATAGTGAAAAACAAAATATCACTAAATAAAAACTAGAAAGAATTTATCTGTGAAACTGCTTTGTGATGTTTGCATTCAGCTCACAGAGTTAAACTTTACATTAGACTGACCAGTTTGGAAACACACTTTTTGAAGAATCTGCAAAAGGACAATTTGGACAGCATTGAGGCTTATACTGAAAAACAGAATATCATGCAATAAAATCTAGAAAGAAGCTCTCCTTTTAACTGCTTTGTTATGTATGGATTCAGCTCAGAGAGTTAAACCTTTCTTTTGAGTCAGCAGTTTGGAAACAATCTTCGTAGAATCTGTGAAGGGACATTTCAGAGCACAGTGAGACCTGCAGTGAAAAACCATATATCCTGCAATAAAAACTTGAAAGGAGCTATCTGTGAAACTGCTTTGTGATGTGTGCATTTGGCTCTGAGAATTAAACCTTTATTTTGATTTAGCAGTTTGGAAACACTCTTTTTGTAGAATCTGCAAATGGACACTTCAGAGCCCAGTGAGCCCTATAGTGAAAAACTGAATCTCCCCCAATGAAAACTAGAAAGAATCTGTCATTGAATCTGCTTTGTGATGTGTACATTCAGCCACAGATTTAAACTTTTATTTGATTCAGCCCTTTGGAAACACTCTTTGTGTAGAATCTGTGGAGGGACACTTTGGAGCATAGTGAGACCTATAGTAAAAAACCAAATGTCCCAGATAAAAACTAGAAAGAGGCTATCTGTCAAACTTCTTTGTGATATGTTCATTCAGCTCACAGAGTTAAACGTTTCTTTTGATTCAGCAGTTTGGAAACACTCTTTTTGTAGAATCTGCAAAGGAACATTTCACAGTGCAGTAAAGCCTGTAGTGAAAATTCGAATATCCCATGATAAAAACTAGAAAGAACATGTCTTTGAAACTGCTTTGTAATGTGTGCATTCAGCTCAAAGAGTTAAACATTTCTTTTGACTCAGCAGTTCGGAAACATTGTTTTTGTAGAATCTGCAAAGAGACATTTCAGAGGCCACTAGGCCTATGGTGAAAAACTGAATATCCCTAGATAAACCTAAAAAAAGTTATCTGTAAAACTGCTTTGTGTTGTGTCCATTAAGCTCACAGAGTTAAACCTTTCTTTTTATTCAGTAGTTTGGAAATACTCTTTTTGTAGAATCTGTAAAGGGACATTTTAGGGCTCATTGAGGCCTATGGTGAAAAACCGAATACCCCTAGATAAAAACTAGAAAGATGCTATCTATGTAACTGCCTTTTGATATGTGGATTCAGCTCACAGAGTTAAAATTTTCTTTTGATACAACAAATTGGAAACACTGTTTTAGTAGAATCCACAAAGGCATATTTCAATGCGCAATGAGGCCTGCAGTGAATAATTGAATATCCTGCAATAAAAATATTCTTTTTGTGGAATGTGTGATGGGACATTTTGCACTGCAGTGAGGCCTAAGGTGAATAACCAAATTTCCCGTGATAAAAAGGAGAAAGCTTTGTAGAATCTGCGGACGGACATTTTGGAGCACAATGAGGCCCATAGTAGAATCTGAACATCCCAGATAAAGACTAGAAGGAAAATATCTGCAAAACTGCTTTGTGATGTGTGCATTCAGCTCACAGAGTTAAACTGTGCTTTTGATTCAGCAGTGTGGCAATACTATTTGCAGAATCTGTGAAAACACATTTCAGAATGCAGTGAGGCCTATAGTGAAATATCAAATATCTTGTGATAAAGAATACAAAGAAGCTATCTGTGAAACTACATTGTGATGTGTGCACTCAGCTCACAGAGTTAAATCTTACTTTTGATTCAGCAGTTTGGAAGCACTCCTTTTGTAGAATCTTCAAAGGGACATTTTGCAGCCCACTAGGCCTATTGTGTAAAACAAAGTATCCCTAGATAAAAACTAGAAAGAAACTATTTTTGAAACTGCTCATGATGTGAGGATTCAGCTCACAGAGTAAAATCTTGCTTTTGATTTGGCAGTTTGTAAACACTCTTTTTGTAGAGTCTGCAAAGGGAAATTTCAGAGCCCATGGAGGCCTACAGTGAAAACCCGAATATCTGTGATAAAAACTAGAAAAATACTGTATGTGAAACTTCTTTGCGATGTGTGGATTCAGCTCACAGAATTAAACCTTTCTTTTGATTCAGCAGTTCAGAAACACTCTTTTCCTATAATCTGTGAAGAGAACTTTCATAATGCAGAAAGGGGTATCATGAAAAAAAACTATTCCACAATAAAAACTAGAAAGAAGTAGTCTGTGAAACTGCTTTGTGATGTCTGCATTCAGCTCACAGAATTAAACCTTTCTTTTGATTCAGCATTTCAGAAACACTCTTTTTGTGTAATCTGCGACAGGAAATTTCAGAGCACAGAAAGGGGTATTGTGAAAAACCAAGTATTCTGCAGTAAAAACTAGAAAGAAGTGATCTGTGAAACTGCTTTGTGATGTCTGCATTCAGCTCACAGAGCTAAACCTTTCTTTTTTTTCAGGGGTTTGGAAATTTCTTTTGTGGAATCTGTGAAGGGACATTTTGAAGCACATGAGGCCTACAGTGAATAACCGAATATCTTGTGATAAAAACTAGAAAGAAGCTAACTGGGAAACTGCTTTGTGATCTGTGCATTCAGCTCAGAGAGTTAAACCTTGCATTTGATTCAGCAGTTTGGAAAAGTCTTTTGGTACAATCTGTGAAGGGACATTTCAAAGGGCATTGAGGCTTGTAGTGAAAAACTGAATATCTTGTGATAAAAACAAGAAATAAGGTATCTGTGAAAATTCTTTGTGATGTGTGGATTCAGTTCACAGAGTTAAACTTTCTCTTTGATTCGACCATGTGGAAATACCTTTTTGTAGATCTGCAAAAATACACATTGAAGCACAGTGAAGCCTATAGTGAAAAATCGAATATCCCACAATAAACAATAGAAATAAGCTATCTGTGAAACTGTTTTGGAATGTGTGCATTTAGCTCACAAAGTTAAAACTTTTATCCAATTCAGCAGTTTGGAAACACTCTTTCTGTAGAATCTGCAAAAGGGATGTTTCAGAGCCCACTAGGCCTATAGTGAAAAACAGAATATACCTAGATAAAAACTAGAAACAAGCTATATGTGAAAATGCCTTGTGATGTGTGCATTCAACTCACAGAGTTAAAACTTACTTTTGATTCAGAAGTTTGGAACACTCTTTTTGTAGAATTCGTAAAGAAACATTTTGGAACGTGATGAGGCCTGTAGTAAAAAACACAAATTCATGCAATAAAATCTATAAAGAAGCCATAAGAGAAACTGATTTGAAATGTGTCAATTCAACTCATAGTTAAACCTTTGTTTTGAATTAGCAGATTCGGGAAACACTTTTTTGTAGTATTTGTGAAAAGACATTTCAGATCTCAGTATTCCTGTAGTGAAAAACTCACTATCCCTAGATAAAAACTGGAAAGAAGCTATCTGTGAAACTGCTTTGTAACATTTGCATTCAGCTCACAAAATTAAACCTTTCTTTTGATTCAGCAGTTTGGTAATTTTTTTTGTAGAATCTGCAAAGGGATGTTTTGGAGCACAGTGAGATCTATAGTGAAAATCCAAATATCTCATTAAAAAAAAAGAAACTGTGTGTGAAACTGCTCTGTGATGTGTGGGTTCAGCTCATAGAGATAAAACTTTCTTTTGATTCACAAGGTGGGAAACACTTTTTTTGTATAATCTGCAAAGGGACATTTCAGAGCACATAGAGGTTTATATTGTAAAACAGAATATCCCCAAATCAAATATAGAAATAAGCTGTCTGTGAAACTGCTTTGTGATGTGTGGATTCAACTCACTGACTTAAAACTTTTTTTTGATTCAGCAGTTTGGAACCATTGTTTTGTGCAAACTGTGAAGAGATCTTTTGGATCCCATTAGGCCTATAGAGAAAAAAGAAATATCCTGACATAAAAACTAAAAAAAAAAAAAAAAAACTATGTGGGAAACTACTTTGCTTTTTGTGCATTCAGCTCACAGAGTTAAACTTTACTTTTGAATCAGAAGTTTGAAAACCCTCTTTTTAAAGAATCTATGAAAGGGCATTTTGAACTGCAATGGGGCCTATAGTGAAAAACTGAATATTACCTGATAAAATCTAGAAATATTCTATCTGTGAAACTACTTTGTAAAGTGTGGATTCAGCTCTCTGATTTAAGTCTTTCTTTTGATTCAGTAGTTTGGAATCACTCTTTTTGTAGAATCTGTGAAAAGACACCACGGTTCCCAATAGGCCAGTAGTGAAAAAACAAATATCTTTAAATAAAACCTAGAAAGAATCTATCTGAAAACACTTTGTGATGTGTGCATTAATCTCAAAGTTAAATTTTACATTTGATTCAGCAGTTCAGAAGCACACTTTTTGTAGAATATGGAAAGGGACATTTTGGAGCACAGTGAAGTTTATAGTGAAAACCAGAATGTCACATGATAAAACCTACACAGAAGTTATCTGTGAAACTACTTTGTGATATGAGCATTCAGCTCACAGAGTTAAAACTTTTATTAAATCCTGCAGTTTGGAGACACTCTTTCTGTAGAATCTACAAAGGGACATTTCAGAGTGAAGTAAGACCTACAGTGAAAAAATGAATATCCCACAATAAAATGTAGAAAGAAGCTATCTATCTGTGAAAATGCTTTGTGATGTGTGCATTCAGCTCAGAGTTAAGACTTTTTTTGATTCAGCAGTTTGGGAACACTGTTTTTGTAGAATCTGTGAAGGGACATTTCAGAGCGCAGTAAGACCTATACTGAAAAACTGAATATCCCATGATAAAAACCAGAAAGAAGCTATCTTTGAAACTTCTTTATGATGTGTGCATTCAGCCCACATAGTTAAAACATTCTTTTGATTCAGCAGCCTGGAAACACTGTTTTTGTACAATCTGCAATGGAACATTTCAGAGCCAGCTGAGGTCTATAGTGACAAACAGAATATATGCAGATAAAAACTGGAAAGAAGCTAGCTGTAAAACTACACTGTGATGTGTGCATTCTGATCACAGAGTTAAAACTTCCTTTTGATTCAGCAGTTTGGAATCACTATTTTTGTAGAATTTGTGAAGGGACATTTTGGAACACAGTGAGGACTATAGTGAAAAACAAAATATTCCATGGTAAAATCTAGAAAGAAGCTATCTGTGAAGCTGCTTTGTGAGGTTTGGATTCAGCTTACAGAATTAAACCTTTCTTTTGATTGAGCAGTATGGAAACACTTTTTCTGTAGAATCTGCAAAGGGGAATTTTGGAGCCCACTAGGCCTATAGTAAAAAACTGAATATCCCTAAATAAAAACTAGAAAGATGCAATCTGTGAAAGTAGTCTGTGATGTGTGCATATAGCTCACAAAGGTAAACCTTTCTTTTGATTCAGTAGTTTTAAAACACTCTTTTGGTAGAATCTGTGAAATGACATTTCAATGCACAGAGAGTCCTATAATGAAAAACTGAATATCACACAATAAAATTTAGAACGTAGCTGTATGTGAAACTGCTTTGTGATGTGTGGATTCAGCTCTCAGAGGTAAATTTCTGTTTTGATTCAGCAGTTTGTAAACACCTTTTCTGGAGAAGCCACAAAGGGATATTTTGGAGCCCAGTAGGCCTAAAAACCAAATATCACTAAATAAAAACTAGAAAGAAGCTATCTCTGAAACTGCTTTGTGATTTGTGCATTCAGGTAATGAGATAAATTTTACTTTTGATTCAGCAGTTTGGAAACAATATTTTTGTAGAATCTGTGAAGGTACATTTCAGAATGCAGAACTCTTTTTTTGTAGAGTCTGTGAAGGGAGATTTGAAAGTGTAGTGAGGCTTATAGTGAGAGAATGAATATCACGCAAAAAATCTAGTAAAAAGCTCTCTATGAAATTGCTTTGTGATATGCGGATTCAGCTTGCAGAGTTAAACCTTTCTTTTGATTCAGTACGTTGGAGACACCATTTTTGTTGAATCTGTGAAGGGACATTTTGGAGTGCAGTGGGGCCTACAGTGAAAAATTTAAAAACCCGTGATAAAAACTAGAAAGAACATAACTGTGAAATGGCTTTATGGTGTGTGCATTAAGCTCACAGAGTTAAACCTTACTTTTGATTGAGCATTTTGGAGACACTCTTCTTGTAGAATTTGCAAAGGGACATTTCAGAGAGCAGTATGACCTATAGTGAAAACCTGAATATCTCACAATAAAAACTAGAATGAAATTATCTTTGAAACTGTGTTGGCCAGGTGCAGTGGTTCACTCCTGTAATTCCAGCACTTTTGGAGGCTAAGGCATGTGGATCATGAGGTCAGGAGATCAAAACCATCCTGACTAACACGGTGACATGCCATCTCTACTAAAATTACAAGAAGAAATTAGCTGGGTGTGGTGGCGGGTGTCTTTAGTCCCAGCTGTTCAGGAGACTGAGGCAGGAGAATGGCATGAACCCAGGAAATGGAGCTTGCAGTGAGTCAAGGTTGTGCCACTGCACTCCAGCATGGGGGAAAGAGTGAGACTCCATCTCAAAAAACAAGCAAACAAACAAAACTGCTTTGTGAAGTGCACAATCATCTCAGAGAGCTAAAACTTTATTTCGTTTCAGCAATTTAGAAACACTCTTTGTACAATCTGTGAAGGGGCAATTCAGAGCCAACTGAGGCCTATGGTAAAAAACTGAGTATCACTAGTTAAAAGCTAGAAAAAAAAGTTATCTATGAAACTGGTTTCTGATGTTTGCATTCAGCTTACAGAGTTAAACCTTACTTTTGACTCAGCAGTGTGGATAAACTCTTTTTGTAGAATCTGTGAAGGAATATTTCGGACCCAACTAAGGTCTATGGTGAAAAAACCCACTGTCCCTAAATAAAAACTAGGAAGCAGCTATCTGTGAAACTGCTTTTTTCTGTGTGGCTTCAGCTCTCAGAGTTAAACTTTTTTTGATTCAGCAGTTTGGAAACACTCTTTCTGTAGAATCTGCAAAAGGACACTTCGGAGTCCATGAGGCCTAAAAACCAAATATCACTAAATAGCCCTAGACAAAAATTAGAAAGAAGCTATCTCTGAAATGGCTTTGTGATGTGTGTATTCAGGTAACAGAGATAAGCCTTACTTTTGATTCAGCTGTTTGGAAACACTTTTTTTGTAGAACCTGCAATGGTACATTTTGAAATGCAATAAGGCCTATGGTGAAAAACCAAATATCCCATGATAAAACCTAGGAAGAAACTATCTGTGAAACTGCATTGTGATGTGTGGATTCAGCTCACAGAGTTAAATATTTCTTTTGAATCAGCAGTTAACCCTCTTTTTGTAGAATCTGAAAAGGGACATTTCAGAGCACAGTAAGACCTACAGTGAAAAACAGAATAACCCTACATAAAAACTAGAAAGAAGCTATCTGTGCAAGTGGTTTGTGATGTGTGCATTCAGCTCAGATTTAAATCTTACTTTGGATTCAACAGTTTGGAAACACTCTTTTGGTAGAATATGTGAGGGGACATTTCGAAGCACAGTGAGGCCTGTAGTGAAACATCAAATATCACGTGATATAATTGATAAAGAAGTGATCTGTGAAACTGCTTTCCAATGTGTGGATTCAGCTTTCAGAGTTAAAACTTTCTTTATATTCAGCAAGTTGGAAACACTCTTTTTGTTGAATCTGTGAAGGGACATTTTGAAGCACAGGGAGGCCCACAATCAAAAATTGAAAAACCTGTGAGAAAAACTAAAAAGAAGATAAATGTGAAACTGCTTTGTGATGTGTGCATTCAGGTCACAGAGTTAAAACTTGCTTTTGATTCAGCAGTTTGGAAACATTCATTTTTGGTAGAATCTGCAAGGTGACATTGCAGACTCCACTAGGCCTGTAGTGAAAAACTGAATATCACTAAATAAAAACAAGAAAGAAGCTACTTGTGAACCTGCTTTGTGATGTGTGCATTCAGTTCCCAGAGTTAAACTTTACTTTGGATTTGGCAGTTTGGAAATATTCCTTTTGTAGAATTTATGAAGAGTTATTTTGGAGGTCATTGAGGCCTATTGTGAAAGACCAAATATCACCTGATAAAATCTAGAAAGAAGCTGTCTGTGAAAATGTTTTGTGATGTGTGCATTCAGCTCACAGAGTTAAACTTTTCTTTTGATTCAGCAGTTTGAAAACACTCTTTCAAAGTAATTTGATAAGGGGCATTTCAGACCATAAGAAGGCATATCTAGGGATAGTGGGTTTTTTCACCATAGACCTTAGTTGAAACTTATAGTGAAAAACCCAATACACCTAGATAAAAACTAGAAAGAAGCTATCTGTGAAAATGCTTTCTGATGTGTGAACTCAGCTCACAGATTTAAACCTTTCTTTTGATTCAGCACTTTGAAAACACTCTTTTTGTAGAATTTGATGAGGGGCATTTCAGAGAGTAGAAAGGCATCTAGTGAAAAACTAAATATCCCATGATAAAAACTAGAAAGAATCTATATTTGAAACTGCTTTGTGAAGCATACATTCAACTCACAGAGTTAAACCTTTTTCTTTGTTCAGCAATTTGGAAACTATATTTTTGTACAATCTGCAAAGGGACACTTCAGAGCCAGCTGGGGCTTATATTGAAAAACCTGAATATCTCCAGATACAAACTAGAAAGAAGCTATCTGTGAAACTGCTTTGTCATGTGTGTTTTCATTTCACAGAGTTAAACCATTTTTCTTTGATTCAGCAGTTTGGAAACCCTCTTTTTGCAGAATCTGCATAGTGAAATTTTGAAGCCCACTAGGCCTGTAGTGAAAAACCAAATTTCACTATATAAAAAGTAGGAAGAAGCTATCTGTGAAACTGCTTTTTGATGTGTGGATCCAGCTCTCAGTGTTAAGCTTTCCTTTTGATTCAGAAGTTTGAGAACACTCTTTTGGTAGAATCTGTAAAGGGACATTTCAGAGTACAGTGAGTCCTATGCTGAAAAAATGAACATTGTGAGATAAAAAGAACAAAGAAGCTATATGTGAAACTGCTTTCCATGTGGTGATTAAGCTCACAAAGTACAATCTATTTTTTAATTCATTCGTTTTAAAACGCTTTTTTTGGTGAAATCTGCAAAGGAGCATTTTGGAGTGCTTTGAGGCCAACATTGAATTATGGAATATCCCATAAAACTATAAAGAAGCTATCTGTAAAACTGCTTTGTGATGTGTGCATTCATCTCAGAGAGTTAAAACTTACCTTTGATTCAGCAGTTTGGAAAAACTCTTTTTGTAGAATCTGCACAGGGACATTTCAAAGGCATTGAAGCCTATAGTGAAAAACCGAATATCTACTGATAAAAATGAAAAGGAAGCTGTCTCTGAAACTGCTCTGTGACCATGTGTATTCTGCTCACCGAATTAACAATTTATTTTGATTCAGAAGTTTAGTAACTTTTTTTGTAAAATCTGCAAAAGGACATTACGTAGCACAGTGAGGCCTACAGTGAAGAACTGAATAGTTCAATTTAAAAGCTACAAAGATGGCCAGGTGCAGTGGCTCACGCCTGTAATCCCAGCACTTTGGGAGGCTGAGGCAGGCGGATCACGAGGTCAGGAGATCGAGACCATCCCGGCTAAAACGGTGAAACCCCGTCTCTACTAAAAATACAAAAAATTAGCCAGGCGTAGTGGCGGGCGCCTGTAGTCCCAGCTACTTGGGAGGCTGAGGCAGGAGAATGGCGTGAACCCGGGAGGTGGAGGTTGCAGTGAGCCGAGATCACGCCACTGCACTCCAGCCTGGGTGACAGAGCGAGACTCCATCTCAAAAAAAAAAAAAAAAAAAAAAGCTACAAAGATATGAGTGAAACTGCTTTGTGCTGTGTGCATTCAGCTCACAGAGTTACAGCTTTATATTGATTCAGCAATTTGGAAACTCTTTTTGTAGAATCTGCAAAGGGACACAGCAGACAGCCTTGAGGCCTATACTGAAAAACAGAAATTCACATGATAAAAGCTAGAAAGAAGCTATCAGTGAAACTGCTTTGTGATGTGTGGATTCAGCTCACAGAGTTAAAACTTTCTATTGATTCTGCAGTTAGGAAACACTCTTTTTGTAGATTCTGAGAAGGGACATTTCAGAGCACAGTAAGACCTACAGTGAAAAGCAGAATATCCTGCAAGAGAAACTCTAAAGAAGCTATTGGTGAAACTGCCTTGTGAAGTCTGCATTCAGCTCAGACTAAAACCTTTCTTTTAGTTCCACAGTTTGGAAACTCTTTTTGTAGAATCTGCAAAAAGGCATTTCAAAGTGCATTGAGGCCTGTAGCAAAAAACTCAATATCTCATGATAAAAACTAAAAAGAAGTTATCTGTAAAGCTGCTTTGTGAAGTCTGCAATCACCTAACAAATTAGAACCTTTATTTTAATTCAGCACTTTGGAAAGACTCTTTTTGTAGAATCTGCAAGGGGACATTTCAGAGTACATTGAGGCCTACAGTGAAAAACAAAATATCATGTGATAAAATCGACAAAGAAGGTATTTGTGAAACTGCATTGTGATGTGTGGATTCAGCTTAAAGAGTAAAACATTTCATTTGCTTCAGCAGTTCAGAAACACTTTTTCTGTATAATCTGTAAAGAGACATTTCAAAGCCCGCTAGGCCTACATTAAAAAAACAAATATACCTAGATAAAAACTAGAAAGAAACTATCTGTGAAAGTGAAGTTTGATGGGTGCATTCAGCTCACAGAGTTAAAACTTTTGATTCAGCAGTTTGGAATCACTCTTTTTGTAGGATCTGTGAAGGGACATTTTGGAGAATTGTGAGGCTTATAATTAAAAACTGAATATTCTGTGATAAAGTTGAGAAAGAAGCTATCTGTGAAACTGATTTTTGATGTGTGGATTCAGCTCAAAGAGTTAAAACTTTCCTTTGATTTAGCAGTTTAAAAACGCTTTTTTTGTGAATCTGTGAAGGGATGTTTCAGAGAGCAGTAAGACCTGTTGGGAAAAACAGAATATCCCAACATAAAAACTAGAAAGAAGCTATGTGTGAAAGTGGTTTGTGATGTGTGCTTTCAGCTCACAGAGTTAAACCTTACTTTGGATTCAACAGTTTGGAAATACTATTTTGGTAGAATCTGTGAAGGTACAATTCAAAGTGCAATGAGGCCTACATCAAAACAGCAAATATCATGCAATAAAATGTAGAAAGAAGCTATCTGTGAAGCTGCTTTGTAATATGTAAATTTAGCTTTCAGAGATAAACCTTTCTTTTATTTCAGCAGGTTGGAAACACTCTTTTTGTAGAATCTGGGAAGGGACATTTCAGAGCACAGAGAGGCCTACAATGAAAAATTGAAAAACCCATGATAAAAACTAAAAAGAAGCTGTCAGTGAAACTGCTTTCTCATGTGTGCATTCAGCTCACAGAGTTAAACCTTACTTTGATTCAGCAGCTTGGAAACGTCTTTTGGTAGAATCTGCAAAGGGACATTTCAGAGCCCACTAGGCCTATTGTGAAAAACATCATATCACTAAATAAAAGGTAGAAAGAATCTATCTCTGAAACTTCTTTGTGATGTGAGCATTCAGCTTCCAGAGTTAAACCATATTTTTCATTCAGCAGCTTGGAAACATTCTTTTAGTAGAATATGCAAAGGATCATTTCAGAGTTAATTGAGGCCTACAATGGGAGACTGAATATCACCTGATAAAATCTAGAAAGAAGCTATCTGTCGAACTTTGTGATGTGTGGATTCAGCTCACAGAGTTAACCTTTGTTTTGATTCAGCAGGTTGAAAACACTCTTATAGTAAAATCTGTGAAGGTACATTTCAGTGTGCACTGAACCCTATAGTGAAAATCTGTAAATCCTGTGAAGAAAAACTAGAAAGAAGCTATCTGTGAAACTGCTTTGTAATGTGTGGATTCATCCCACAGGGTTAAACCTTTCCTTTTGTTCAGCAGGTGGGAAATATTTTTTACATAGAATCTGCAAAGAATCATTTTGGAGCTTACTGAAGACTACAGTGAAAAATAATTGAATATCCCTAGATAAAAACTAGAAGAACTTATCTGTGAAACTGCTCTGTGATGTGTGCATTCAGATCACAGTGTTAAATGATTCAGCAGTTTGGAAGCACTGTTTTTGTTGGATCTGAGAAGGGAAATTTCAAAGGGCTTTGAGGCAAATAGTGAAAAACTGAATATCCCATGATAAAAACTAGAAAGAAGCTGTGTGTTAAACTGATTTCTTATGTTTTAATTCAGCTTACAGAATTAAGCCTTCATTTTTTTCAGCTGGATGGAAACACTTTTTTTTGTAGAATCTGCAAAGGGAAATTTGGGGGTGCACAGAGGCTTACAGTGAAAAACAATATTCTGTGATACAAACTAGAAAGAAGTTATCTGTGAAACTGCTTTGTGATGTGTGGACTCAGCTCACAGTTTGGAAACATTCTTTTTGTAGAATATAAGAATAGGCATTTCTGAACCCACTGAGGACTATAGTGAAAACCAAATATTTGTGAAAAAACAAGAAAGACGCTATCTGAGAAACTGCTTTGTGATGTATGGATTCAGCACACAAAATTAAACCTTTCTTTTGATTCAGCATGCTGGAAACACTTTTTGTGGTATCTGTAAAGGGATATTTCAGAAGGCAGTGAGGCCTATTGTGGATAATGGAAAATCCCACAATAAAAACTAGAAAGAAACTATCTCTGAAAAAGCTTTGTGATGTGTAATTTCAGCTCACAGAATTAAATCTTTCTTATCATTCAGCAGGTTGGAAACCTTCTATTTGTAGAATCTATGAATGAACATTTCTGAACCCACTGAGGCCTATAGTGAAAACCATATATTATGTGATGAAAACTAGAAAGAAGCTATCTGTGAAATTCTTCGTGATATTTGCATTCAGCTTATGGAGTTAAACCTTTCTTTTCATTTAGCAGTTTGGAAACACTTTTTGTGGAATCTGTGTAGAGACATTTCACAGCACAGTAAGACTCATAGTGAAAAACTGAATATACAGCTATAAAAAGTAGAAATAAGTGATTTGCTTCTTTCTAGTGAAATGGCTTTGTGATGTGTGCATTCTGCTCACAGAGGTAACTTTTATTCTGTTCCAGCAGTTTGGAAACATTCTTTATGTACAATCTGCAAATAGACATTTCAGAGTGCCTTGTGGCCAATAGTGAAAAACAGAATATCATACAATAAGGTCTAGAAAGAAGCTATCTGTGAAACTTCTTTGTGATGTGCATATTTAGCTCACAGAGTCAAACCTTTCTTTTGATTCTGCCTTTTGGAAGCACTCTTTTTGTAGAAATTGCAAAGGGACATTTAAGAGCTCATTGAAGCCTGTGGTCAAAAATAGAATATCCCGAGATAAAAACTAGAAAGAAGCTATCCTTGAAACTGCTTTGCAATGTGTTCATTCAGCTCACAGAATTAAACCTAACTCTTGATTCAGAAGTTTGGAAACACTCTTTTTGTAGAATCTGTGAAGGAACAGTTCAGAGCACCTAGATGCCTATAGTAAAAAGCAGAATATCCTGTGATAAAAACAAGAAAGGAAGTACCTGTGTATCTGCTTTGTGATATGTTCATTCAGCTCAAGACATTAAATCTTACTTTTGATTCAGCCATTTGGAAACACTCTTTTTGGAAAATCTGCAAAATGACATACCGGAGAGCAGTAAAGCCTACTGTGAAAAACAGAATATCCCACGATAAAAAGGTGAAAGAAGATATGTCTGAAACTGCTTGTGATGTGTGGATTCAGCTCACAGAGTTAAAACTTTCTTTTGATATATCAGTTTTGAAATATGCTTTTTGTAGAATCTGCAATGGGACATTTTGGAGCACTGTAAAGCCTATGGTGAAAAACGGAATATCCTGTGATAACAATAAAAAGAAACGGTAAAACTGCCTTGTGATGTGTACATTTAGCTCACAGAACTAAACCTTTCTTTCCATTCAGCAGAATCTGCAAAGGGAGATTTCAGATTGAAGTGAGGTGTATAGTGAAAAAGAAAATATCCCTCAATAAAAACTACAAAGAAGCTGTCTGTGACACTCTTTGTGATGTGTACATTCAGCTAACAGATTTAAGCCTTTCTTTTCATTCAGCAATTTGGAAACACTCTTCTTGTAGTATCTGTGAAGTTACATTTTGGAACCCATTGATGCCTGTAATGAAAAACTGAATATCCTGTGATAAAAATTAGAAAGAAGGTATCTATGAAACTACTTTGTGATGTGAGCATTCAGCTCACAGTGATAAACTTTAGTTTTGATTCAGCTTTTTGGAAACACTCTTTTTGTAGAATCTGAAAAGGAACTCTTCCATAGCATTGAGGCCTATAGTGGAAAACTGAATATCTTGTGACAAAATTAAGAAAGAAGCTATCTGTGAAACTACTTTGAGATGTGTTAATTCAGCTCCCAGTTTTAAAGCTTTCTTTGGATTCAGCAGTTTGGAAACACTCTATTTGTGGAATCTGTGAATGGACATTTTGGAGCCCATTGGGGCCTATAGTGAAAAACTGAATATCCTGAGATAAAAACTAGAAAGAAGCTATTTGTGAAGATGCTTTTTGATGTGTGCATTCGGTTCATATATTTAAACCTTACTTTTGATAAAGCAGTTTGGAAACACTTTTTTTATAGAATCTATGAGGTGACATTTCAAAACATATTGATGCCTATAGTGAAAAATCGAATATCCCAAAATAAAAACTACAAAGAAGCTTTTTAAAAAACTGTTTTGCAATGTGGGCCCACATAAATAACCTTAATTTTAATTCAGCTATTTTAAACAGTCTTTTGGTAGAATCTGCAAAGGGACATTTCAGAGTGCAGTGAGGCCTACAGAAAGGCCGAATATTCTGTGATACAAACCGGAAAGAAGATACTGTGAAACTGGTTTGTGATTGCAGATTCAGTTTACAGAGTTAAGCCTTTATTTTGATTCAGAAGATTGGAAAAACTTTTTTTTAGAATCTGCATAGGGACATTTAGGAGCCCACTAAAGTGTACAGTGAAAAACTGAATATCCCAAGATAAAAACTAGAAAGCAGCTATTAGTGAAACTGCTGTGCAATGTGTGCATTCAGCTTACAAAGTTAAATCTTCATTTTCATTCAGCTATCTGGAAAAACTCCTCATGTAGAATCTGCAAAGCAACATCTCAGAGGACATGGGTTCTATAATGAAAAACATAATATCCTGCAATAAAACCTAGAAAGAAGCTATCTATGAAACTGCTTTGTTATGTGTGGATTCAGCTTTGAGAATTAAACCTTACTTTTGATTCGCCAGTTTGGAAACACTCTTTTTGTAGAATCTGTAAAGGGCCATTTTATAGTGCAGTGAGGTCTACAGAACATAATAGAATATTTCACAAGAAAAATTGGAAGGAAGCTTTATGTGAAATTGCTTTGTGATATGTGAATTCAGCTCAGGGTTAAATTTTTCTTTTGATTCAGCAGTTTGGAAACATTCTCTTTGTAGAATATGCTAAGGAACATTTTGATGTCTTTTAGGCTAATAGTGAAAAACAGTATATCCCTAGATAAAAACTACAAGGAACCTATCTGTCAAACTGCTTTGTAATGTGTGGATTCAGCTCACAGAATTAAATCTTTCTTTTGATTCAGCAGCTTGTAAACACTCTTTTTGTGGAATCTGTGAAGGGAAATTTTGGAATGCAGTAATGCCTAGAGTAAAAAACAGAATATCCCCAGATAAAAACTAGACAGAAGTTTCTGTGCAACTGTTTTGAGATGTCTGCATTCAGCTCACAGAGTTAAACTTTTCTTCTGATTCAGCAGTTTAGAAACTCTCTTTATGTAGAAACTGTGAGGCACATTTCAGAGCGTAGTGAGGCCTACAGTGGAAAAGAAAATATCCCGCAATACACATTAAAAGAAGCTGTGTGGGAAACTGCTTTGTAAAGTGTGGATTCAGCTCACAATGTTAAACCTTTCTTTTGATTCAACTGTTTGGAAACACTCTTTTTGTAGTATCGGTGAAGAAACATTTCAGAGCACAGTGAGGCATATACTGAAATACAAAATATCCCATGAGAAAAACTAGACAGAAGGTGTCTGAGAAACCCCTTTTTGATGTGTGCATTCAGCTCACAGATTTACACCTTACTTTTGATTTAGCAGTGTAGAAACACTATTTTTGTAGTATCTGTGAAGTTATATTTCAATGGATATTGAGGTCTATAGTGAAAAACTGAATATCCTGAGATAAAAACCCAGAAAGAAGCTATCTGTGATGTTGCTTTATGATTTGTGGATTCAGATCACAGAGTTAAACCTTTGTTTTGATTCAGCAGTTTGAAAACCCTATTTTTGTGGAGCCTGCAAAGGGACATTTCAGAGCACAGTAAGGTCTTCTTTAGTGAAAAACAAAATATCCCATGATAAATACTAGAAAGAAGCTATCTGTGAAATTGTTCTTTCAGGTGGGGATTCAGCTCACAGAGTTAAACCTAACTTGGTACGCAGGTTGGAAACACTCTTTTTGTAAAATCTGTGAAGAAATATTTCAGAGTACACTGAGTCTTATACTGAAAAATCAAAGATCCCGTGATAAAATAAAAAGAAAGAAGCTATCTGGAAAACTGCTTTGTGATGTGTGCATTCATCTCACATAGTTAATCCATTCTTTTGATTCAGCAGGTTGAAAACACTCTTTTTGTAGACTCCGTGAAGGGATTTTTCAGAGCCCACTGAGGCCTATAGTGAAAAAGTGAATATCACGTGATAAAAAACTAGAATGAAGCTATCTCTGAAACTGTTTTGTGAAGTGTGTAATCAGCTCAAAGAGTCAAACCATCCTTTGGATTCAGCAGCTTTGAAACTCTTTTTTTGTAGACTCTGCTAAAGGATATTTTGGAGCACACTGAGGACTCTAGTGAAAAACAAAATATCCCACAAAAAATAAAATGAAGCTATCAGTGAAACTGATTTGTAATGTTTGTGTTTAGCTTACAGAGTTAAATCTTTCTGATTTTTAGGAGGTTAGAAACACCTTTTATGTAGAATCTGTGAAGGAACATTTCTGAGCCCACTGAGGTTTACAGTGAAAACTGAATATCTCATGATAAAAAATAGAAGCGACCTGGGAAACTGGTTTGTGATATGTGTATTCAGTTCACAGAGTTAAACCTTTCTTTTGATTCACCATGTTGGAAACACTCTTTTTGCAGAATCTCCAAAGGGATATTTTGGAGATCACCAAGGCCTATAATAAAAAACAGAATATTCTGCAATAAAAACTAGAAAGAATCTATCTGTAAAACTGCTTTCTGATGTCTTAATTCAGCTCACAGAGTTAACCTTCCTGTTGATTAATCAGCTTGAAAACGCTTTTTTTTTTTTTTTTGTAGAATCTGTGCAGGGACATTTTGGAGTGCACTGAGGCCTACAGTGAAAAACTGAATACCCCACTATAAAAACTAGAAAGAAGGTATTTATGAGATGGCTTTGTGATGAGTGGATTCAGCATTGATACTTATACCTTTCTTTTGATTCAGCAGGTTGGAAACACTGTTATAGAAGAATCTGCAAACGGACACTTCAGAGCACACTGAAGCATATACTGAGAAACAAAATATCCCATGATAAAAACTAGAAAGAAGCTATCTGTGAAACTGATTTGTGATGTATGGATCCAGCTTACAGACTTAAACCTTCTTTTATATTCATCAGTTTGGAAACACTTTTATTTTTAGAGACTGTGATGGTATATTTTAGAGCACGGTAAGGTCTATAGTGAAAAACAGAATATCCATCCATACAAACTAGAAAAAAAAGCTGTCTGTTAAACGGCTTTGTGATGGGTGCATTCAGCTTGCAGAGTTAAACCTTTCTTTTGATGTTGCAGGACTGAAATACTTTTTTTGTAAAATCTGGGAAGTGACATTTCAAAGCCCACTGAGGCCTATAGTAACAAACGGAATATTACTAGATAAAAACTATAAAGAAGCTCTCTGTAAAATTGCTTTGTGATGTGAGGATTTAGCTCACAGAGTTAAAGTTTTCTTTTGATTCAGTGGTCTGGAAACACTCTTTTTGCAGAATCTGTGAAGGGTCATTTTAAATAGCATTGAGTTCTATAGTAAAAAAAAAATCCCATGAAAAAAACTAGAAAGAAGCTATGTGTGAAATGCTTTGTGCTGTCTCCATTCAGCTCACAGGATTAAACCTTTGTTTTGATTCAGCAGTTTGGAAACATACTTTAAGGCCTATTGTGAAAAACCAAATATCCCCTAATAAAATCTAGAAAGAAACTATCAGTGAAACTTTGATGTGGGGATTCAGCTAACAGAGTTCAGTTTTTCATTTAATTCAACTGCTTGGAAACACTCTTTTTGTAGAATCTGTGAAGGGACACTCTGGACACACTGAAGCCTATGGTATAAAACCAAATGTCCCTAGATAAAAACTAAAAGAAGCTATCTGTGAATCTGTTTTGTGAAGTGTGCATTCTGCTCAAATAATTAAAACTTACTTTTGAATCAGTAGTTTGGGAAAACTCTTTTTGTGGAATCTCTGAAAGGACTTTTTGGAGTGCAGTGAGGCTTATAATGAAAAACTGAATATCATGTGGTAAAAAATCTAAAAAACACTCTTACTGAAACTGCCTGTGTTGTGTGTATTCAGCTCATAGAATTAAATATTTTTTATTCAGCAGTTTGGAAACACTCCTTTGGGAGAATCTGTAAATGGAAATTTTGGAACACAGTGAGACTTACAGTGAAAAACTGAATATCCTGTGATAAACACTAGAAAAAGCTATCTGTGAGGCTGCTGTGTGATGGGTGCATTCAGCTCTCAGAGTTGAAACTTTTTTTGATATAGAAAGTTGGAAAAACTCTTTTTATACAAATTGTGAAGTGACATTTATGAGTGCTGTGAGGCATACAGAGAAAACCCAAATATCCCATGATAAAATCTAGAGAGAAGCTACCGTGACACTGCTTTCTGGTGTGTGGATTCAGCTCACAGAGTTAAACCTTTTTTTGATTCAATAGTTTGATAACACTCTTTTTCTACAATTTGCTAAAGGAATTTTGGAGGGCCTTGAGGACAATAGTGAAAAATTGCATATCACTGAATAAAAATTAGAACAAAGCAGTCTCTGAAATGGCTTTGTGATGTGTTGATTCAGCTCAAAGAGTTAAACCTTTCTTTTGATTCAGCAGGTTGGAAATGCTCTTTTTGTAGAATCTGCAAAGAGACATTTCAGAACCCACTGAGGCCTACAGTGAAAATTCAAATATCCCTAGATAAAAACTAGAAAGAAGCTATCTGTGAACCTGCTTTGCAATGTGTGCTTTCAGATCTCAGATGTAAACCTTACTTTTGATGCAGCTATTTGCAAACACTCTTTTTGTAGACTCTAAGAAGGGACATTTCAGACGACAGTGAGTCCTACAGTGAAAAACAAAATATCCCAGGAAAAAATTACAAAGAATTTATCCATGAAACTGCTTTGTCATCTGTGGATTCATCTCACAGAGTTAAACCTTTCTTTTGATTCAGCAGGTTGGAAACACTCTTTTGTAGAATCTGCTATGGGACATTTGGGAGCCATTGAGGACTATGGTAAAAACATCAAATATCCCCAGATAAGAACTAGAAAGAATCTATCTGTGAACTGCTTTGTAATGTCTGGATTCATCTCACAGAATTAGACGTTTCTTTTGATTTAGCAGTTTGGAAACACTCTTTTTGTAGAATCTGCAAAGGGACATTTCGGAGACCAATGAAGCCTATATTGAAACACTTCAGGTTCTAGAAAGAAGCTATTTCTGAAACTGCTTTTAATGTGTGCATTTAGCTCAGAGAGATAAAAGTTCATTTTGATTCAGCAGTTTGGAAACACTTTTTTTTCAAAATCTGTGAAGAGACATTTCAGAGGGCTTTGAGGAATATAGTAAAAAACAGAATATCCTGCAATAAAAACTAGCAAGAAGCTATGTGTTAAATTTTTTTATGATGTGTGGATTCAGCTCATTGAGTTGAACCTCTTTTTTTTTTTTATTCAGCAGGTTGGAAAAACTCTTTTTGTGGAATCTGTGAAGGGATATTTCAGAGTGCAGTAAGGCCCATAGTGAAAAACAAACTTTTGTGCAATAAAAACTAGAAAGGAGCTATATGTGAAACTGATTTGTAATGTGTGGATTTAGCTCACAGAATTAAACATTTCTTTTAATTCCAGAAGTTTGAAAACACTCTTTTTGTGGAATCTGTGAAGGGATATTTCAAAGCGCATTAAGGCCATTAGTGAAAAACTGAATATACTGCGATAAAAACTAGAAGGAAGCTGTGTGTGAAACTGCTTTGTGATGTGTGAATTTATCTCACAGAATTAAGCCTTACTTTTGATTCAGTTGTTTGCAAACACTTTTTTTTGTGGAATCTGGAAAGGGACGTTTTGGAGCTTAGTGAGGCCTACAGTGAAATACAGAATGTCCCATGACATAAACTAGAAAGAAGCTACCTGTGAAAGTGTTTTGTGATGGGTGGATTCCGTTCAGAGTTAAATCTTTTTTTTTTGATAAAACAATTTGGTTAAACTCTTTTTATGGAATCTAGGAATGGACATTTCAGAGCCCACTGAGGTCTATAGTGAAAAACCGAATATCTCAAGATAAAAACTAGAAAGAAGTTATCTGTGAAACTACTTTGTGATAGGTGCATTCAGGTCACAAAGGTAAACCTTACTTTTGAATCAGCAGTTTGGAAACACTCTTCTTGAAGCATAGGCAAAGGGACATTTGGGAGTTCATTGATGCTTATAGTAAAAAATAAAACACCCCATGATAAAAACTAGAAAGAATCTATGTGTGAAACTGATTTGTGATGAGTGGATGCAGCTCACAGAGATAAACTTTATTTTCGATTCAGCAGTTTGGAAACACTTTTTTGCAGAACCTGTGAAGGAATGCTTCAGAGTTCAGTAAGGCCTATAGTGAAAAACTGAATATGCTGTGATAAAAACTAGAAAGATGCTATCTGTGAACTTGCTGTATGTTGTGAGGATTCTACTCACAGAGTTAAACTTTTCTTTTGATTCAGCAGGTTGAAAAAACTTTTTTTTGTAGAATCTGCAAAAGAACATTTCAGAGCACACTTAAGCCTAGAAGGAAAAGCCTAATATATTTAGATAAAAACTAGAAAGAATCTATCCATGAAACTGCTTTGTAATGTGTGCGTTCAGCTCACAGAGGTAAACCTTACTTTTGACTCAGCAGTTTGAAAACACACTTTTTGTAGAATCTGCAGGAGGACATTTGATAGCACATTGATGCCTAAAGTGCAAAACAGAATTTCTCATGATAAAAACTAAAAAGAAGCTATCTGTGAAACAGCTTAGCAATTTGTTCATTCAGCACATAGGTTTAAACCTTACTTTTGATTCAGCCTTTGAAAAGACTATTGGTAGAATATGCAAAGAAACATTGCAGAGTGCAGTGAGGCCTACAGTAAATAACTGAATACTACATGATAAAAACCAGAAAGAAGCTATGTGTTAAACTGCTTAGTGATGTGTGCATTCAGCTAAAATAGTTAAACATTACTTTTGGTACAGCCGTTTGAAAACACTCTGTTTCTAGAATCTGCAAAGGGACATTTCAAAATGCGTTGATTGCCTGTAATGAAAAATCAAATAGCCAATGATAAAAACTAGAAAGAAGCTATCTATGAAATTACTTTGAGATATGGGCATTCAGCTTGAAGAATTAAACCTTACTTTTTATTCAGCTGTTTGGAAACACTCTTTTGGTAAAATCTGCAAAGGGATATTTTAGAGTGCAGTGAAAAACAATGCAAAACTTAATATCCCATGATAAAAACTAGAAAGAAGCTATCTGTGACACTGCTTTGTGATATGTGGATTCAGCTCACAGACTTAAACCTTACTTTTGATTTAGCAGTTTGGAAACACTCTTTTTGAAGAATCTGCATAGGGAGGCATAGGGACATTACAAAGCCCACTGAGGCCTATCGTGAAAAACTGCCTATCCCTAGATAAATACTAGAGAGAAGTTATCTGTGAAACTGCTTTGTGATGTGTGCATTCAGCTCACAGAATTAAACCTTTCTTTTTATTTATCAGTTTGGAAATACACTTTTTGTAGAATTTGTAAAGAGACATTTCAGAGCCCACTAAGCCTATAGTGAAAAACCAAATATCCCAAGATAATTACTAGAAAGAAACTATCTGTAAAACTGCTTTCTGATGTGTGCATTTAGCTCAGAGAGACACTTCAGTGCATATTGAGGTCTATCATAAACAACTGAATATCCCACGAGAAAAACTAGAATGAAGCTGTCTGTAAAAATGCTTTTTGATGTGTGAATTCAGCTCACAGAGTTAAACATTTCTTTTGATTCAGCAGGTTGGAAAGACTTTTGTAGAATCTGCAAAGGGACATTTCAAGGAATTCTGAAGCCTATGGTGAAAAACGGAATATCTTGAGATAAAAATTAGAAAGAAGCTATCTGTGAAACTTCTTTGTGATGTGTGCATTCAGCTCACAAATATACATCTTACCTTTGATTCAGCAGTTTGGAAACACTTTTTTTGTAGAATATGTGAAGAAACATTTCTCAGGACATTGAGGACTATAGTGAAAAAGTGAATATCCCATGATAAAACCTATGATAGAGCCATTTATGAAACTGCTTTGTGATGTGCAGATTCAGTTCACAGAGTTAAACTTTTGTTTGATTCAGCAGTTTGATAACACTCTTTTTGTAGAATCTGTGAAGGGATATTTCAAGGTGCAGTAAGGCCTATAGTGAAAATCAAAATATTTCACGAAAAAAAGTAGAAAGAAGCTATCTGTGAAACTCCTTTGTGATTTTTGCATTCAGCTCACAGAGTTATACCTTTCTTTTGATTCAACAGTTTGGAAAGACTATTTTTGTAGATCTGCAAATGGACATTTTGGAGCTTACTGAGGCCTACAGTTAAAAACCTAATAACTTGAGATAAAAACTGGAAGGAATTAGTGGTGAAACTGCATAGTGAATTGTGCATTTAACTCACAGTGTTAAGCCTTACTTTTGATTCAGCTCTTTGGAAAAACTCTTTTTCTGAAATCTGCGAAGGGACAGTTCAGAGTGCATTGATGCCTATAGTGAGAAATCGATTATCTTGTGACAAAAGCTAGACAGAAGCTATCTATAAAACTGCTTTGCAATGTGTGGATTCACCTCACAGAGTTAAACCTTTCTTTTAATTCAACTGTTTGGAAACACTCTTCTAGTGTAATCTGCAAAGGGACATTTTGGAGCACAGTGAGACCTACAGTGAAAAACTTAATATCCCACAATAAAAATTAGAAAGAAGCTACCTGTGAAACTGTTTGGAATGTGTGGATTCAGCTTACAGAGATAAACCTTTCTTTTAATTCAGCAGTTTGGAAACACTCTTTTTGTAGAATCTACAAAGGGACATTTCAGAGGGCAATGAGGCATATAGTGAAAAACCAAATATCCTGCAATAAAACCTATAAAAAAGCTATCTGTGAAACTGCTTTTTGATGTGTGGACTCCATTCACAGAGTTAAACCTTTCTTTTCATTCTCCAGTTTGGTAACACTCTTTTTGTAGAATCTGCAAAGGGACATTTTGGAGCCCATTGAGGCCTATAGTTAAAAACCTAATATCCCTAGATAAAAACTTGAAAGAAGCTTTCTGTGAAACTGCCTTGTGATGTGTGGATTCAACTCTAAGAATTAAATCTTTCTATTGATAGAGTAGGTTGGAAACACTCTCCTTGTGGAATATGT
Source organism: Homo sapiens (assembly GCF_000001405.40). Taxonomy (NCBI): domain Eukaryota; kingdom Metazoa; phylum Chordata; class Mammalia; order Primates; family Hominidae; genus Homo; species Homo sapiens. The sequence continues at coordinate 46,071,905 of NC_000008.11, forward strand.
GAAATGACATTTCAGCCTACTAGGACTATGCTGAGAAATAATATCATCAAATGAAACCTATAAAAATGCTATCTGTGAAACTGCTTTGTGACCTGTGGATTCAGCTTATAGAGTTAAAACTTTCTTTTGATTCATCAGGTTGGAAACACTGCTTTTGTAGAATTTGTGAAGGGACATTTGAAAGCCCACTGAGGCCTATAGTAAAAAACTGAGTATTCCATGATAAAAGCAGAAAGAAACTATCTGCAATATTGCTTTGTGATATGTGCATTCAGCTTACAGAGTTAAACCTTCCTTTCAATTCAAGTGTTTGGAAACACTCTTTTTGAAGAATCTGCTAAGGGACATTTCAAAAGGCCTCAAGGATTGCAGTGAGAAAAAAATATCCCTCGATAAAAACTAAAAAGAAGTAATATGTGAAACTGCTTTGTGATGTGTGGATTCAGTTTACAGAGTTAAACCTTTCTTTTGGTTCAGCAGTTTGGAAATACTCTTTTCATAGTATGTGTGAAGGGACATTTCAGAGCACAGTGAGCCCTACGGTGAAAAACAGAATATCCTGCCATAAAATCTGGAAAGAAGCTATCTGTGAAACTGCATTATGAAGTGTGGATTCAGCTCACAGAGTTAAACCTTTCTTTTCATTTAGCAGTTTGGAAATACTATTTTTGTAAAATCTGCAAAGTGATATTTTGGAGCCCACTGAGGCCCATAATTGAAAACTGAATATCCCAAGATAAAAACTAGAAAGAAGCTACTGGTAAAACTCCTTTATGATGTGTGCTTTTAGCTCACAGACTGAAACCTTACTTTTAATTCACAAGTTTAGAAACACTATTTTTGTAGAATTTGCAAAGAGGCATTTCATAGTGCAGTGAGGTATATAGTTAAAAACATAATATCACGTGAGAAAATCTAAAAGGAATATACCTGTTGTCTGTGTAACTGCTTTGTGATGTGTGGATTCAGCTCACAGAGTTAAATCTTTCTATTGATTAAGCAGTTTGGAAAAACCATTTTTCTCAAATCTTCAAAGGGACATTTCAGAGTGAAGTGAGGCCTACAGTGAAAAACCAAATATTTCAATATAAAAACTAGAAGGAAACTATCTCTAAAACTGCTTTCTGATATGTGCATTCAGCTCACAGAGTTAAACCTTTCTTTTCCCTTTTTTTTTTTTTTTTTTTTTGTTAATAATGTTTCACTCTTTTTGCCCAGGCTGGAGTGCCATGGCACCATCTCAGCTCATTGTAAACTTCACCTTCCAGTTTCAAGTGATTCTCCTGCCTCAGCCTCCAAACTATCTGGGATTACAGGCAAGTTCCACCATGCCTGGCTAATTTTTTCATGTTTTTAGTAGAGACAGGATTTCACCATGTTGGCCAGGCTGGTCTCAAACTCCTGACATCGTGATTCACCCACCTTGGTCTCCCAAAGTGCTGGGATTAGAGTTACGAGCCACCATGCATGACTTAAATCTTTCTTTTGATTCAGCAGTTTGGAAACACTCTTTTTTGTAGAACCTGCGAAGGGCCATTTCAGAGCTAACAAATGCCTTCAGTGAAAAAACAAATATCCCATGAAAAAATTATAAAGAAGCAGTCTGTGAAACTGCTTTATGATTTGTGCATTCAGGTAATCCAGTTAAACCCTAATTTCATTCAGCTATTTGGAAACACTCTTTCTGTAGAATGTGCAAAGAGACATTTTAAAAGGCCTTGAGGATTATGGTGAAAAAACGAATATGCCTTGATACAAACTAGAAAGAAACTTTTTCTGAAACAGCTTCGTGATGCATGGATTCAGCTAACAGAGTTAAAACTTTCTTTCTATTCAGCAGGTGGGAAACACTCTTTTTGTAGAATCTGCAGAGGGACATTTTGGATCCCACTTAGGCCTACAGTGAAAAATGGAATATCCCCAGAAAAAACCCAGAAAGAAGCTATCTATGAAACTGCTTTGTGACATGTGGATTCAGCTCTCAGAGTTAAACATTTCTATTGATTCAGCAGTTTGGAAAGACCCTTTTTGTAGAATCTATGAAGAGACATTTTGGAGTGCAGTGACACCTACTGTGAAAAACTGAATATCCTGCCACAAATACTATAGAGAAGCTATCTCTAAAACTGTTTTTTGATGTGTGGATGCAGCTCACTGAGATAAACCTCTCTTTTGATTAAGAAGGGACTCTTTGGATCCCACTAAGGCCTTAGTCAAAAACTGAATATTCCTGAATAAAAACTAGGAAGAAGCTATCTGTGAAACTGCTTTGTGAGCTGTCAATTCAGCTCACAGAGTTAAAACTTTCTTTTGATTCAGCAATTTGGAAACCCTTTTTTGTAGAAACTCTGAAGGGGCATTTTGGAGCCCACGGAGGCCTTAGTGAAAAACTAAATATTCCTGGATATAAACTGGAAAGAAGCTATCTGTGAAACTGCTTTGTGAGTTGTGAATTCAGCTCACAGAGTTAAAATTTTCCTTTGATTCAGCAATATGGTAACCCTTTTTTGGTAGAATCTGCAAAGGGACATTGTGGTACATAGTAAGGCATATAGTAAAAAACAAAATATCTCATGATAAAAACAGATAGAAATTATTTGTGAAACGACTATGTGATGTGTGGATTCAGCTAACAGGGTTAAACTTTTTTTTTCATTCAGCAGTTTGGAAAAACTGTATTTGCAGAATCTGCGAAGGGACATTTCAAAGGGCATTGAGGCTTATAGTGAAAAACCGATTATCACATGGTAAAATCTACAAAGAAGCTATCTGTGATACTGCTTTCTGACGTGTGGACTCAGCTCACAGAATTAAACCTTTCTTTTGATTCAGTGGGTTGGAAATACTCTTTTTGTAGAATCTGCAAAGAGGTATTTCAGAGCCCACTAGGCCTATAGTGAAAAACCATATATCCCAACACAATTACTAGAAAGAAACTACCTGTAAAACTGCTTTCTGATATGTGCATTTAGCTCAGAGAGTTAAACCTTTCTTTCTCTTTCTTACTTTCTTTATTTCTTTCTTTCCTTTCTTTTTTTGGGGGATGGAGTTTCACTCTTGTTGCCCATGCTGGAGTACCATGGTGCAATCTCAGCTCACTGCAACATTTGCCTTCTGGTTTCAAGTGACTCTCTTGCCTCTGCCTTCCAAGAAGCTAGGATTACAAGAGCCCACCACCACACTTGGCTAATTGTTTGTATTTTTAGTAGAGACAGGGTTTCACCATGTTGTCCAGGCTGATCTTGAATGCCTGACTTCATGTTCCACCCACCTCAGCCTCCCAAAGTGCTGGAGTTACAGGCATGGGCCACCGCACATGGCCTAAACCTTTCTTTTCATTTAGCAGTTTGGAAAAACCTTTTTGTAGAATCTGTGAAGGGTCATTTCAGAGCTCATTGATGCCTATAAAGAAAAGCCAAATATCCTTTGATAAAACTGAGAAAGAACTGATCTATGAAACTGCCTTGTGATGTGGGCATTCAGCTAACTGAGTTAAACCTTAATTTGATTCAGCTATTTGGAAACATGATTTTAGTAGAATATGTGAAGGGATATTTTGGAGGGCCTTGAGGATCATAGTAAAAGACCGAAAATACCTCAATACTATTTGTGAAACTGTTGGTGAGGTGTGGATTCCGCTAACAGAGTTAAACCTTTCTTTTGATTCAGCAGTTTGGAAAACTTTTTTTGTAGAATCTGTGAAAAGATATTTTGTAGGACGGTAAGAAATATTGTGAAAAAAAGAATATCACATCAGAAACTCTATACAAATCCTATCTGTGAAACTGGTTTTTGGTGTGGATTCAGCTCACAGAGTTAAATTTTTCTTTTGATTCTGCAGTTTGGTAATGCCCTTTTTGTAGAATTTACGAAGGGACATTTCAAAGCCCACCAAGGCCTATAATGAAAATCCTACCTTAGATAAAAACTAGAAATAAGCTCTCTGTGAAACTGCTTTGTGATGTGTGGATTTAGCTCACAGAGTTAAACCATTCTTTTGAATCAGCAGTTTGGAAACAAAGTTTTTGTAGAATCTGCAAAGTGATATTTCAGAGCCCACTGAAGCCTATAATGAAAAACAGAATATCCCTAGATAAAAACTAAAAAGAAGCTATTCGTAAAACTCCTTTGTGATGTGTGCATTCAACTCAGATAGTGAAACCTTAGTATTGATTTAGAAGTTTGGAAACACTCTTTTTGTGGAATCTGTGAAGAAACATTTCAGAATGCAGTAAGGCCTATAGTGAAAAATGTAATATCACGTGATAAAACCTAAAAAGAAGCTACCTGTGAAACTGCTTTGTGATGTGTGGATTCAGCTCACAAAGTTAAACATTTGTTTTGATTCAGAGGTTGGAAATATTCTTTTTGTAGAATCTGTGAAGAAACATTTTGGAGACCACAGAGGCCTGTAATGAAAAATTGAATATCCCTAGATGAAAACAAGAAAGAAGCTATATGTGAAACTGTTTCATGATGTATGCATTAAGCTCACAGAATTAAATGTTAATTGGATTCAGCTCTTTGAAAACACTGTTTTGGTAGATTGTGCGAAGGGACACTTTGGAGGCCCTTGAAGCCTGTGGTGAGAAACTGAATATGACATGATAAAATCTAGAAGGAAGTTATCTGTGAAAATGTTTTGTGATGTACGGCTTCATCTCACAGAGTTAAACCTTTCTTTTGATTCAGCCATTTAGAAACATTCTTTTGGTAGAATTTGAGATGGGACATTTTGGGTTCACTGAGTCCCATAGTGAACAACTGAATATCCCAACATAAAAACTAGAAAGAAGCTTTTTGTGAATCTACAATGTAATGTGTGCATTCAGCTCACAGTTAAATCTTTCTTGTGATTCCTGAGGTGGGAAACACTCTTTTCATAGAATCTGCAAAGAAACTTTTCAGAAAAAATTTTCTGAGGCTTATACTGAAAAACGTTATATTTCTAGATAAAAACTAGAAAGAAGCTATCTGTGAAATGACTTTGTGATGTGTGAGTTCAGCTCTCAGAGTTAAATCTTATTTTGACTCAGAAGTTTGGAAGTGTATTTTTCTAGAATCTACAAAGGGACATTTCAAAGGACATTGAGGCCTATAGTGAAAAATCGAATATCATGCAATAAATTCTACAAACTATCTGTGAAACTGCTTTATGATATGTGGATTCAGTCCACAGAATTAAAACTTTCTTTTGATTCAGCAGGTTGGAAACACTCTTTTTGCAGAATCAGTGAAGGGATATTTCAGAGCCCTCTAGTCCTATAGTGAAAAACCAAATATGCCAAGATAAAAATTAGAAAGACACTATCCGTAAAACTGCTTTCTGATGTGTGCATTCAGCTCACAGTGTTACACCTTTCTTTCTTATTCTTTTTTTTTTTTTCAGATGGAGTTTCACTTTTGTTTCCCAAGCTGGAGTGCCATGGCAAAATCTCAGCAGACTGCAACTTCCATATTCCAGTTTCAAGTGATTCTTCTGCCTATGCCTCCTGAGTAGCTGGGATTACAGGTGCCCACGACCATGCCTGGCTAATTTTTTTTTTTGTATTTTTAGTAGAGACAGGATTTCACCATGTTGGCCAGGCTGGTCTCAAACTCCTGCCCTCATGATCTGTCTGCCTTGGCACCCCAAAGTGCTGGGATTACAGACATGGGCTACCCTACATGGCCTAAACCTTTCTTTTGATTCAGCAGTTTGGAAACACTCTTTTTGTAGAATCTGCAAAGGGACATTTCAGAGCTCACTGATGCCTATATTGAAAAACCAAATATCCTACAATAAAAACAAGAAAGAAGTGGTCTTTGAAACTGCTTTGTGATGTGTGTGCACAGCTAACTGAGTTAAACCTTAATTTGATTCAGCTCCTTGGAAGCACTAGTTTTGTAGAATGTGTGAAGGGACATTTTCGAAGGCCTTGAAGATTATAATGAAAAACCGAATATACCTCAATACAAACTAGAAATAAGCTATTTGTGAAACTGCATTGTGATGCATGGATTCAGCTAATAGAATTAAATCTTTTTTTGATTCAGCATGTTGGAAACCCTCTTTTTGTGGAATCTGTGAAGGGACATTTTGGAGCCCACTTAGGCCTAGAGTGAAAAACCGAATATTCCTAGAAAAAAAAACTAGAAAGAAGTTATCTGTGAAACTGATTTCTTATGTGTGGATTCAGCTCTAAGAGTTAAATTTTTCTATTGATTCAGCAGTTTGGAAATGCACTTTTTGTAAAATCTACGGAGTGCAGTGAAGCCTACAGTGAAAAACAAAATATCCTGTGATAAAAACTATAAAGAAGCTATCTCTAAAACTGCTTTGTGATGTGTGGATGCAGCTCACTGAGTTATAATTTTCTTTTCGTTCGGCGCATTAAAAATACTTTTTTTGTAGAATCCTTGAGTGGACATTTAGGAGCCAACTGGGGCCTTAGTGAAAAACAGAATATTCCTGGATAAAAACCAGAAAGAAGCTATCTGTGAAACTGCTTTGTGAGGTGTGGCTTCAGCTCACAGAGTTAAATGTTCCTTTTGATTCAGCAGTTTGGAAACTTTTTTTGTAGAATCTACAAAAGGACAATTTGGAGCACAGTTAGGAATATTGTGAAAAATCAAGTATCCCGTCATAAAATCTATTAAAAAGCTATCTGTGAAACCGGTTTTTGATATGTGGATTCAGCTTATGGAATTAAACCTATCTTTTGATTCTGCAGTTTGGAAAAACTTTCTGTAGAATTTGCAAAGGGACGTTTCAAAGGGCATTGAGTCCTATATTAAAAAATATAATGTCCCACAATAAAAACTAGAAAGAAGTTGTTTGTGAGACTGCTTTGTGCTGCGTGAATTCACCTCACAGAGTTAAACCTTCCTTTTGATTCAGCAAGTGGAAAACACTCTTTTTGTAGAATCTGGGAAAGGACTCTTCAGAGCTCAATGATGCCTAGAGTGAAAAACTGAAACTCCTGGGATAAAAACTAGAAATAAGCATTCTGTGAAACTGCTTTGCTATGTATGCATTCAACTAAAACATTAAACCTTACTTTTGATTGAGCAGGTTGTAAACACTCTTTTTATAGAATCTGGAAAGGGACATTTCAGAGTGCAATGAGGCCTTCAGTGAAAAACAGAATAACCTGTGATAAAACTAAAAACAAGCTATCTGTGAAACTGCCTTATGATGTGTGGATTCAGCTCACAGAGTTAAATCTTTTTTTGATTCAGCCACTTGGAAAAACTGTTTCTATAAAATCTGTGAACTGACATTTGGAGCGCCATAATACATATAGTGAAAAATCGAATATGCCTAGTTACAAACTAGAAAGCAGCTATCTGTGAAAATGTTTTGTGATGTGTGCACTTAGGTAACAGAGTTAAACCTTACTTTTGAGTCAGCAGTTTAAAAACACTCTATTTCTAGAATCTGTGAAAGGAGACTTCGGAGCACGTTGATGCCCATAGTAAAAAATCAAATATTTCTATATATAAATTAGAAAGGAGCTGTGTGTGAAACTGCTTTGTGATGTGTGGATTCAGCTCACAGATTTAAATCATTCCTCTTATTCAGAAGTTTGAAAACACTCTTTTTGTAGAATCTGTGCAAGGATATTTCAGAGTACAGTAAGGCCTATAGTGAAAATCAACATATCCCATGACAAATGTAGAAAGAAGCTATCTGTGATACTGCTTTGTGATGTTTGCATTCAGCTCACAGAGTTAAAACTTTCCTTTGATTCAGCAGTTTGGAAACACTGGGACATTTCTGAGATTACTGAGACCTACAGTGAAAAACCTAATATCCTGAGATAAAAACTAGAAAGAAGCTTCTGTGAAACTGCTTTGTGATGTGTGCATTCAGCTCACATAAAATCAGAAAATGTTCCAATAAAAATTAGAAAGAAGCATTCTGTGAAACTACTTTTTGATGTTCACATTCAGCTCACAAAATTAAACCTTACTTTTGATTGAACAGGTTGGAAACAATCTTTTTGTAGAATCTGGAAAGGGACATTTCAAACTGCTTTGTGGTGTGTGGATTCAGGTCACATAGTTAAATCTTTCTTTTGATTCAACAGGTTGGAAACACTTTTTTTGTAGAATAAGCAAAGGAACATTTCAGAGACCATAGAGGCCTATAGTGAAAAACTGAATATCCTGTGATAAAAACTAGAAAGAAGCAACCTGTGAAACTGCTTTGTAAAGTGTGCATTCAGTTCAAAAAGTTAAACCTATCCTTTGATTCAGAAGTTTAAAAGCATCTTTTTGTAGAATCTGCAGAGATATTTTGGAGCCCACTGAGGCCTATAGAGAAAAACTGAATATCTTGTGATAAAAACTAGAAACTATGAGCAAAACTGCTTTGTGATGTGTAGATTCAGCTCACAGATTTAACCTTTCATTTGATTTATCAGCTTGGGAACAATCTTTTTGTAGAATCTGCAAAGTAACATTTTGGAGCAAACTGAGGCCTATAGTGAAAAACCAAGTATCCCATGATAAAAACTACAAAGAAGCTATCTGTGAAACTGCTTTGTGATGTGCGCATTAAGCTCACAGAGTTAAAACTTTTTTTCTGATTCAGCAGGTTGGAAACCATCTTCTTGTTGAATCTGCAAAGGGACACTTCAGAGACCACTTAAATCTTCAGTGAGAAACTGAAAATCTTGTGATAAACACTCGAAAGAAGCTATCTATGAAACTGCTTCATGGTGTGTGGATTCAGCTTACAGAGTTAAACCTTGCTATTGATTCCACAGGTTGGAAACACTCTGTTGTAAAATACGTGAAGGAACATTTCAAAGACCATTGAGGCCTATAGTGAAAAACCAAATAACTGCAATAAAAACTAAAAAAAAAAGCTACCTGTGAAACTGCTTTGGATGTGTGCATTCAGCTCACAGAGTTAAACTATTCTTTTGATTCAACAGGTTGGAAACACTTTTTTTGTAGAATCTGTGAGGGCATGTTATGAAGCCCACTGAAGCATACAGTAAAAAACAAAATCTCCCATGATTAAAATTACAAAGAAACCATCTGTGAAACTGCTTTGTGATGTGTGGATTCTGCTCACAGTGTTAAACCTTTCTTTTGATTCAGCAGGTTTGGAAACACCCTTTTTGTAGAATCTCTGAAGGGACATTTAGGAGCCCATTGGGGCCTATGGTGAAAAACTGAAATATCTTCAGATAAAAACTATTAAGAAGCTATCTGTGAAACTACTTTGTAATATGCACATTAGACTCAAACAGTTAAACTTTTCTATTGGGACAGCAGGTTGGAAACACTATTCTTGTAAAACCTATGATTGAACATTTCAGAGTCCACAGTGGTTTATAGTGAAATCCGGATATCTTGCATTAAAAACAAGAAAGATGTTATCTGTGAAAAAGCTTTGTGATGTGTGCATTCATCTTACAGATAGAGACCTTTCTTTTGATTCAGCAGGTAGGAAACTCTCTTTCTGTAGAATCTGTAAATGGATATTTCAGAGCACACTAAGGCCTGTAGTGAAAAGCTGAATATCTCAAGATAAAAACTAGAAAATTCAATCTGTGAAACTGCTTTGTGATGTGTGGGTTCAGCACACATAGTTAAATCTTTTGTTTCTTTCAGAAGGTTCTAACCACTTTTTTTGTAGAATGTGTAAAGGGACATTTCTAAGCCCACTGAGGCCTATAGTGAAAAATCAAATATCACACACACACATATACACACACAAACACACACACACACACACAAACTAATAAGAAGTTATATGTGAAACTACTTTGTGATGTGTGGGTTCAGCTCAGAGAGTTAAACTTTTCTTTTGATTGAGCAGGTTGAAAACACTCTTTTTGTAGAATATTCAGAGAGATATTTCAAGGTCCTTTGAGGCCTATGCTGAAAAACTGGATATCTCACAATAAAAACTAGAAAGAAGCCACCTGTGAAACTGCTTTATGATGTGTGCTATCAGCTCACAGACTTAAACCTTTGTTTTATTCAGCAGGTTGGAAATACTCTTTTTAGAATCTGTGATGGGACATATCGAAGCTCACTGAGGCCTATTGTGGAAAACCAAATGTCCTGTGATAAAAACAAGAAAAGCTATCTGTGATACTACTCTGTGATGTCTGCATTCAGTTAAAAACTTAAATCTTTATTTTGATTCAGCAGGTTGAAAACATGTTTTTGTAGAATCTGCAAAGAGACATTTCAGAGCCCAATTAGACCCATAGTAAATAACAGAATATCCCGTGATAAAAACCAGAAAGAATCTATCTGTGAAACTGATTTTTGATGTGTGGATTCAGCTAACAGGGATAAACTATCTGTGGATTCAGCAGGTTGAAAACCCTCTTTATGTATAATCTGTGAATGGACATTACAAAGCCCAGTGAGGCCCATAGTAAAAAACTGAATATCCCATGATAAAAACAAGAAAGAAGCCATCTGTGAAATTGCTTTGTTATGTGTGAGTTCAGTTCAAAAAGTTTAACCTTTCTTCTGAATCAGCAGCTTGAAAACACTCTTATTTGTAGAATCTGTGAAGGAACATTTCAGAGCCCACTGAGGATTACAGTGAAAAACAGAATACCCAGTGATAAAAACTAGATAGAAGCTATCTGTAAAACAACTTTATGATATGTTGATTCAGCTCACAGAGTTAAACATTTCTTTAGATTCAACAGGTTGGAAATACTCTTTTTGTAGAATCTGTGAAGGGACATATCACAGCCCACCGAGGCCTATAGTGAAAAATGAAATATACCACAATAAAAAATAGAAAGAAACTATTTGTGAAACTGCTTTGTGATGAGCAGATTCAGTTCACAGAGTTTAACCTTTCTTTTGATTCAGCATGTTGAAAACACTACTTTTGTAGAATCTGTGAATTGGTTTTGGAGCCCAGTGAGGCCTGTAGTGAAAAATGTAATATCCTGTGATAAAAACTAGAAAGCACCTACCTGTGAAACTGCTTTGTGATGTGTGTATTAAGCTCACAGAGTTAAACTTTCTTTTGATTCAGCCGTTTGGAAAAAGTCTTTTTGTATAATCTGCGAGGGACATTTCCGATCCCACTGAGGCCTATAGTGCAACTCCGAATATCCCGCAATAAAAACTAGAATCAATTTGTGAAACTGCTTTGGGATTTGACATTGAGCTCACAGAGGTAATTTTTTCTTTTGATTCAGCAGACTGGAAACACTTTTTTTTGTTGAATCTGTGAAGGGACATTTCAGTGCTCACTGAGGCCTACAGTAAAAAAACTGAATATCTCACCATAAAAACTAGAAAGTAGCTACCTGTGAAACTGATTTAGGGTGTGTAGATAGAGTTCATAGAGTTGCACCTTTCTTTTGATTCAGCAGGTTGGAAACATTCTTTTTGTACAATCTGTGAAGGTACATTTCAGAGCAAACTGTGGCCTGTAGTGAAAAACCGAATATCTTGCAATAAAAACTACAAAGAATCTATCAATGAAACTAGTTTGAAATGCGTGCATTCAGCTCACAGGATTAAAATCTATTTTGGTGCAGCATGTTGGAAACACTCTTCTTGTAAAATCTACAAATGGACGTTTCAGAGCCCACTATGATTTATAGTGAAATCTGAATGTCCAGTGATAAAAATTAGATAGAAGCTTTTTGTGAAACTGCTATTTGATGTATGTATTCAGTTCACAGAGTTAAAAGTTTCTTTTGATGCTGTAGGTTGGAAACACTCTTTTTGGAGAATCTGTGAAAAGACATTTTGGAGCAAAATGTGACCTATACTGAAAACACAAATATCCCATGGTAAAAACAACAAAGAAGCTACCTGTGAAACTGCTTTGTGATGTTTGCATTCAGTTCACAGAGTTAAACCATTATTTTGATTCTGCAGGTTTGAAATACTCTTTTTGTAGAATCAGCAAAGAAACATTTTGGATCCCACTGAGGCTTCTAGTGAAAAAGGGAATATCTTGCAATCAAAATAGAGAGAAGCTATCTGTGAAACTACTCCATGATGACTGGGTTCAACTCACAGAGATAAACCTTTCTTTTGATTCAGCAGGTTGGAAACATTCTTTTTGTAGAATCTGTGAAAGGATATTTCAGAGCCCTCTGAGGCCCTTAGAGAAAAAACAAATATCCTGCTATAAAAATTAAAAACAATCTATCTGTGAAACTGCATTGGATGTATGGATTCAGTTCACAGAATCAAACCTTTCTTTTGATTAAAAAGCTTGGAAACACTCTCTCTAGAATTTGTGAATAAACCTTTTGGAGCAAAATGAGGCCTCTAGTGAGAAACCAAATATCCTGCAATAAGATCTAGATAGAAGCTCTCTTTGAAATTACTTTGCAATGTTTGCATTGCGTTAGCAGAGTTAATCCTTTCTTTTGATTCAGCAGGCTTGAAACAATCTTTTAGTAGAATCTGCCAAGAGAGATTTCAAAACCTAAAAAAGGCCTATAGTGAAAAACAGAATATCCCATGATAAAAACTACAAAGTAACTCTCTGTGAAACTGCTTTGTGTTGTGTGGATTCAGTTCAGAGAGTTATACCTTTATTTTGACTCACCAGTTTGGAAACACTCTTTGTGAAGACTCTGCAAAAGGACATATCGTAGCTCACTGAGGCCTTTAGTGAAAAATTGAATATCCCATAATAAAAACTGTAAAAATGCTATCTGTGAAACTGCTTTGTGATACGTGGATTCAGCCAACAAAGTTAAACCTTTTTTTGATTCTGCAGGTTGGAAACACTCTTTTTGTAGGACATGTAAAGGAATACTTCAGAGCCCACTGAGGCCCATAGAGAGAAATCAAATATCCCACAATAAAACATATAAAGAATGTATGAGTGAAACTGCTTTTTGATATGTGGATTCAGCTCACAGATTTAACCTTTTATTTGACTTAGCAGGTTAGAAACACTCTTATTGTAGAATCTGCAAGGTGACATTTTAGAGCAAACAAAGGCCTATAGTGAAAAAACAAATATCCACGATAAAAACTACAAAGAATCTATCTGTGCAACTGCTTTGGGATGTGTGCATTCAGCTCAATGAGTTAAACCTGTATATTGATTCAGCAGGTTGGAAACACTGTTGTTGTTGAATCTGTGAGGGACATTTCAGAGCCCACTTAAGCCTATTTTGAGAAAACGAATACTTTGAGATAAAAACGTGAAGGAAGCTATCTGTGAAACTGCTTTGAATTCTGTAGATTCAGCTCATAGAGTTAAACCTTTCTTTTGATTTAGCAAGTTGGAAATACTTTTTTATAGAATATGGGAAGGGACGTTTCAGAGATCATTGAGACCTATAGTGAGAAACTGAATATCCTGTGATAAAAACTAGAAAGAAGCTACCTGTGAAACTGCTTTGGATGTGTGCATTCAGCTCACAGAGTTAAACATTTCTTTTGATTTCGCAGGTTGGAAGCACTCTTTTTATCAAATCTGCATCTGCGACAAAATATTTCAGAGGCCACAGAGACCTATAGTGAAACAGCAAACATTCAGTTATAAAAACAAGAAAGAAGCTGTCTGTGAAACACTTTGTGATGTGTGGATTCAACTAATAGAATTAGATCTTTCTTTTGATTCAGCAAGTTGGAAACCCTATTTTTGTACAATCTGCAAAGGGACATTTCAGACCCCACTGAACATTAAAGTGAAAAAGAAAATATATTGTGATAAAAACTAGATAGAAGCTTTCTGTGAAACTGTTTTCTTATGTGTGGATTCAGCTCACAGATTTAAACCTTTCTTTTGATTCAGCATGTTGAAACCACATTTGTTATAGAACCTATGAAGGGACATTTTGGAGCAAAGTTAGGCCTATAGTGAAAATCAGAAAATCCCATAATAAAAATTGGAAAGATTTTATCTGTGAAATTGCTTTTTCATTTTGCATTCAGTTCACAGAGCTAAACTATACTTTTGATTCAGCCATTTGGGAACAGTCTTTTTCCAGAATCTGTGAAAGTATATTTCAGACCCCACTGATGCCTACAGTGAAAAACAAAATATCATGTGATAAAAACTATGCAGAGTCTCTCTGTGAAACTGCTATGTGATGTTTGCATTCAGTTCAAAGGGTTAAAGCATTCTTTTATTTTAACAAGTTGGAAACACTCTTTTCGTAGAATCTGAGAAGGGACATTTTGGAGCCCACTGGTACCTATAATGAAAAACTGAATATCCTGTGACAAAAACTAGAAAGAATCTATCTGTGAAACTGCTTTCTGATTTGTGGATTCAGCTCACAGACTTAAACTTTATTTTTGTTTCAGCAGGTTAAAAACACTATTTTTGTAGAATCTGTGAAGGGATATTTCAAAGGCCACAGAGGCCTTTATTGAAAATCCAAATATCCTGTGATAAAAAACTACAAAAAAGCTACCTGTGAAAACTGATTTATTATGTGTGGATTCGGCTCACAGAGTTAAACATTTCTTTTGATTCAGCAGGTTGGAAGCACTTTCTTTGTAGAATCTGCAAAGAAACATTTGGAAGAAAACCACAACCAATTTGAAAAACTGAATATTCTGCAATAAAATCTAGAAAGAAGCTGTCTGTGAAACTACTCTCTGATGAGTGGATTAAACTCACAGAGTTGAACCTTTCTGTTGATTTAGCAGGTTGGAAACACTCTTTTGTAGATTCTGCAAAGAGACATTTTGGAGCACACTGAGGGCTATAGTGAAAAACAAAATACCCAGTGATAAAAAGTAGATAGAAACTATCTGTGAAACTGCTTTGTGATGTGTGGATTCAACTCACAGAGTTAAATCTTTCTTTTGATTCTCCGGTTTGGAAACACAATTTTTGTAGAATATGTGAAGGGACATTTTGGAGCCACTGATGCCCATAGTGAAAAACTAATTATCACACAATAAAAACAATGAAGAATCTATCTGTGAAACTGCTATGTGGTGTTTGCATTCAGTCCACAGAGTTAAACCATTCTTTTGTTTCAGCAAGTTGGAAACACTCTTTTTGTAGAATCTGAGAAGGGACATTTTGGAGCCCACTGGTGCCTATAGTGAAAAACTGAATATCCCACAATAAAAACTAGAAAGAAGTTATCTGTGAAACTGCTTTCTGATGTGTGGATTCAGCTCACAGACTTAAACCTTGTTTTGGTTTCAACAGGCTAAAAACACTCTTTTTGTAGAATCTACAAAGGGACATTTCAAAGGCCCCTGGGGCCTTTAGTGAAAAACCAAATATCCTGCAATAAAAACTACAAACAAGCTATCTGAGAAACTGATTTTTCATGTGTGGATTCAGTTCACACAGTTAAACGTTTCATTTGATTCAACAGGTAAAAAACACTCTCTTTTAAGAATCTATAAAGAAACATTTCGAAGAAAACCACAGCCTTTAGTGAAAAACTGAATATCCAGCAATAAAAACTGGAAAGAAGCTACCTGTGAAACTGCTCTCTAATGTGTGGATGTTGCTCACAGATTTGAACCTTTCTTTTGATTTAGGAGGTTGAAAACACACTTTTTGTACATTCTGTGAACAGCCATTTTGAAGTGCACTGAGGTTGATTGTGAAAAATGGAATACCCAGTGATAAAAAGTAGAAAGAAGCTATCTGTGAAACTACTGTGTGGTGTGCAGATTCAGCTCACAGAGTTAAACTTTTCTTTTGATTCAGTAGGTTGGAAAGACTCTTTTTGAAGTATCTGTGAAGGTATATTTGGGAGCCCTAAGAGGTCTTTAGGGGAAAACTAAATATCCCCAGATAAAAACTAGAAAGAAGCTATCTGTGAAAAAGCTTTGTGATGTTTGGATTTATCTCACAATGTTAAACTTTTGTTTTTATTCAGTAGGTTGGAAACACTCTTTATGTAGAATCTGTGAAGGGATATTTGGGAGCCCATTGAGGCCTACAGGAAAAAAACAAATATCCCCAGGTAAAAACTAGAAATAGTCTATCTGTGAAACTGTTTTGTGATGTGTGGATTCATCAAACAGAGTTAAATCTTTCTTTTGATTCAGTAGGTTGGAAAGACTCTTTTTGTACTATCTGTGAAGGGACGTTTGGGAGCCCTTAGAGGCCTATAGGGAAAAACTGAATATCCTCAGATAAAAACTAGATAGAAGCTATCTGTGAAACCACTTTGTGATGTTTGGATTCATCTCACACAGTTAAACCTTTGTTTTTATTCAGTAGGTTGGAAACACTCTTTGAGTACAATCTGCGAAGTGACTTTTCGGAGTCCATTGAGACCTATGGGGGAAAAAAAATCCCAAGATAAAAACTAGAAATAGTCTGTCTGTGAAACTGCTTTGTGATGTGTGGATTCATCAAACAGAGTTAAACCTTTCTTTTGATTCAGCAGGTTGGAAACACTTTTTGTAGAATATGTGAAGAGACATTTCAGAGCCCCATGAGGCCTGTAGTGAAAAACTGAATGTCCCACGATGAAAACTAGAAAGAAGCTATCTGTGAAATTGCTTTATGATCTGTGCTTTCAGCTCACAGAGTTTTACCTTTCTTTTGATTCAGTAGATTGGAAACACTTTTTTTGGTAGAACTTGTGAATGGACATTGAAAAGCCCACTGAGGCCTATAGTGAAAAACCAAAATCCCACAATTAAAAACTAGTGAGAAGCTACCTGTGAAACTGTTGTGTGAAGTGTAGATTCAGCTTACATTGTTAAACCTTTCTTTTCATTCAGCAGGTTGGAAATACTCTTCTTGTAAAATCTGCGTAGGGACATTTCAAAGCCCACTTACGTCTATAGTGAAAACCTAACTATCCTGTGATGAAAACTAGCAAGAAGCTGTGAAAGTGCTTTGTGATGTGTGAATTGAGCTAACAGAATTAAATTTTTATTTTGATTTGGCAGGTTGGAAACACTCTTTGTTGAATCTGCAAAAGGATATCTGGCAGAAAAGGACATTTCACAGAAGAGGCAGGCAGAGGGGAGAAGTATCAATGCCTGACTGGATGCTGCGTCCTACCAGGGAGGTCTCTCTCTTTCCAGAAGCCCTGGGGTGTCTTCCGGGTTGGGGATAGAGACCCAGACTCTGGCCCAGGGTTCTTTTGTTTCTCAAGGAGGGCCCCCACTGGTAGGTGTGGGACAAAAGGCGGGTCTCTGTGGGCATGCAGAAACTCAGGGGCACTTTGAGTCAGGAAGTGGAAAGAAGACTAAGCAGGTGCTTGGTCCTCCCAGGAAAACATCTTCCTTTTCAGACACCCCTATGGTGCCCCTGGGTCAGGGCTAGAGTCCAGGGCTCGGGCCAATGGTGCCTGTATCTCTAACAGAGGGCCCCCATGGATGACCACGGGGCCACAGGCAGGCCTGTGAAGGATGGCAGAAACCCAGGGGGATGTTGAGTGAGGCACAGTCGAGAAGTGGCTAGGCCTGAGAAGGTGCTGGGTCATCCCAGGGAGGTCTTCACCTTCCCAGAAGCCCACGGTGCATGCTTTGGGTGGGGTCTAGAGTCACAGGCTCCAGCCCAGGGTGACTTTATCTTTTGTGGATGGCCCATATAGGTGATGGCGGGGCCACAGGTGGGCCTGTGTGAGCATGCAGAAACTCAGTGGGACATTGAGGCAAGTAGAGGAAAGAAGAGGCAACGTCTGAGCAGGTGCTGAGTCCTCCCAGGAAGGCCTCTCCCTTCCCAGAAGTATTTGGTGAGACCCCGGGTTGGGGCTATAGCCCTGGGATCCAGCCCTGGGTGCCTGTGTCACTCGTACAGAGCCCTCATGGGTGGCAGCACAGCCGCAGGTGGGACTGGGCAGGAGGGCAAAAATGCAGAGAAATGTTGAGGCAGGCAGAGAGAAGTGGCGTGACCTGAGCGGGTGCTGGGTCATCCCAGGGAGGCTTCTGTTTTGCCAGAAGGCCCCAGGGTGCCCCCTGCGTGAGAGCTAAAGCCCCAGTCTCCTTCCCAGGGTGTCTGTGTCTCTCACAAACAGCCCCAACAAGTGGCGGCACGGCTGAAGGCCAGCAGGTGCAGGTGGGCAGAAACTCAACAGGACTTTGAGACAGGCAGAGGGGAGTAGTGGCAAACCCTGAGCAACTGCTCAGTCATCCCAGGGTGGCCTCTCCCTTCCCAAAAGCCCCCAAGGCGCCCCTCTGGTCAGGGCTAGAGTTCCAGGCTTCAGCCCCGTGTGCCTGTGTCTCTTGTAGAGGTCCCTCCAAAGGCACACCTTAATAACTATAAAGAAGCTATCTGTGAAACTGCTTTAGCATGTGTGTTTTCAGCTCACAGAGATAAAACTTTCTTTTGATTCAGAAGGTTGGAAACACTCGTTCTGTAGAATCTGCGAAGGGACATTTCAGAGCTTGTAGAGGCCTATATTAAAAATCCAAATATCACAGGATAAAAACTAGAAGGAAGCTATCTGTGAAGCTCCTTTGCGATATGTGCATTCAGTTCACAGAATTAAACCTCTCTTTTGATTCAGCAGGTTGGAAACACTCTTTTTATGGAATCTGCAAAGGGACTTTTCAGAGCCCATTGAGGCCTATAGTGAAAAACAAAATATCCCGGCATAAAAACTAGAAAGATGTTCTCTGTCACACTGCTTTTGATGTGTAGATTCAGCTCACAGATTTAAACCTTTCTTTTGATTCAGCAGGCTGGAAATGCTCTTTTTGTAGAATCTGCTGTGGGACACTTGGAGCCCACTGAAGCCTTCTTTAGTGAAAAACAGCATATTCCACAATAATATCTAGAAAGAAGCTATTGGTGAAACTGGTTTCTGAAGTGTGGATTCAGCACAGAGTTAAATCTTTCTTTTGATTCAGCAGGTTGGAAGCACTCTTTTTGTAGAATCTACAATGGGACATTTTGGTGCCCATGGAGGCCTATAGTGGAAACTGAACATCCCGCAATAAAAAGTAGAAAAAAATCTATCTGTGAAACTGATTTGTGAGGTGTGGATTCAACTCACAGGGTTAAATATGTTTATTAATTCAGCAGGTTGTAAACACTATTTTTGTAAAATCTGTGAAGGGACATTTCAGAGCAAACTTAGGCTTATAGTGAAAGAACTAAAATTTTGTGATAAAATCTATAAAGAAGCTATCTGTGAAATGGCTTTGTGATGTTTGCCTTCAGTTCAGAGTTAAACCTTTCTTTTATTTACACAGTGGGAGGCCTCTCCCTTCCCAGAAGCCCCAGAGTGCCCACCGGGTCTAGGTAGTGCCATGGGCTCCAACCGAGGGTGACTGTGTCTGTCATGGAGGGCCTCCACGGGTGGCAGCAGGGCCTCAGGCAGGCCTCTGTGGGCAGACAGAAACTCTAGAGGATGCTGAGGTATGCAGAGGGGAGAAGCAGTGAGGCCTGAGAAGGTGCTAGGTCTTCCCATGGTGGTCTCTCCCTTTCGAGAAGCCCCTGGGGCATCCCCCGGGTTGGAGTAGAACAATGGAGTAAGGCCCAGGGTGGCTGTATTTCTCATGGATGGCCCCCGGGGGTGGCTATGGGAAAGCAGACGGGCCTGTATGGGTGGGCAGAAATTCAGGGGAACGTTGAGGCAGGCAGAGAAGAGAAGTGGCTTAGCCTGAATGGGTACTGGATTGTCCCAGGGAGGCTTCTTTCTTCCCAGAAGCACCAGGGTGCATCCCAGATCGGGGCTAAAGCCATGGGCTCTGGCCAAGTATGTCTGTATCTCTCTGAGGTCCTCCATGGGCAAGGGTGAAGCTGCAGGTGGGTTGTGCAGGTGGGAGAAACTCATGGGGATGTTGACGCAGGCAGAGGGGAGAGGCAGCAAGGCCTTGAGTGCTGTGTCCTCCAGGGAGGCCTCTCCCTTCCCAGAAGCCCCCAGGGTGCCCCCCAGGTGGTGGCTGGAGCCCCAGGCTCTGGCCCCGGTTGCCTGTGTGTCCCTAGGATGGCTCCATGGGCAGGCAGTGGGGATGCAGGAGGGCCAGCACGTGCAGGCAGAAACTCAGGGGAATATTGAGGCAGGCAGAAAGGAGAAGCAGTGAGGACTGAGTGGGTGCTGGATAGTCCCAGGGAGGCGTCTCCCTTCCCAGAAGCCCACAAGGCACCCCCAGTGTCAGGGCTAGAGCCACGGGCTCCAGCCCAGGGTGCTTGTGACTCTTGGGGAAGGCACCCACACACAGCATGGGGGCTGCAGGCAGGTCTTTTCTGGAGGGCAGAAACTCAGGAAGACATTGAGGTAGGCAGAGGAGAGAAGAGGTGAGGTCTGAGCGGGTGCTAGGTCATCCCAGGGAGGCCTCTCCCTTCCCAGAAGCCCCAAGGGTGCCCCCTGTATTGGGTCTAGAGCCACGGGATCCAGCCGATGGTGCCTGTGTCTCTGGTGGAGGGCCCACACGGGTGGCGGAAGGGCCACAGGTCGGTCTGTGCTGGCAGGCAGAAACTAAGGGGGAGGTTCAGATAGGCAAAGGGTAGAAGCAGCGAGGCCTCAGTGGGTGCTGGGTCATCCTAGGGAGACCCTTCATTTCCCAGAACCCCCAGAGCGCCCCCTGGGTAAGGGCTAGAGCTCTGGGCTTCAGGCCAGGACGACTGTGTCTCTCATGGAAAGCCCCTAAGGGTGGTGGTGGTCATGCAGGCAGGCCTGTGTGGATGAGAGGAAACTCAGGGGGAAATTGAAGCAGGTAGAGAGGAGAAGCAGCGATGCCTGAACGGGTGCTGGGTACTCACACGGAGGCTTCTTCCTTCCCAGCAGACCACAGGGTGCTCTTCAGGAGGGGAGTAATGCCACAGATTCCGGCCCAGGGTGCCTGTGTCTCTTGCAGGGGGCCCCCACTAGTGGTCTTTGCATGCAGGGAGAAAATTAGGGGGACACTGAGGCACATAGAGGGGAGAAGCAGCGAGGCCTGAGCAGGTGCTGGGTCATCCCAGGGAAGCCTCTCCCTTTTCAGAAGACCCTGGGGCACCCCACGGGTCAGACTAGGCCATGGGAACTGGCCCAGAGTGACTGTGTCTCTGGCAGATGACCACCACGGGCAGTGGCAAGGCCACAAGTGGGTCTGTGCAGGAGGGCAGAAACTCAGGTAGACTTAGAGGCAGGCAAAGGGGAGAAGTGGCAAGGCCTGAGAAAGTGGTGGGTAGTCCCTGAGAGGCCTTTCCCTTCCCAGAAACCTCTGGGGCACTTCCTGGGTGGGGGCTAGAGCTCCAGGCTCCACATGCAGAGTGCCTGTTTCTCTCCCAGAGGGCCCCCTTGGGTGGTGACAGGGCCGCAGGCAAGCCAGGGTGGGCAGGCAGAATCTCAGGGGGGTGTTGAGGCAAGCTGATGAGATAAGCAGCAAGGCCTGAGAGAGTTCTGGGTCATCTCGTCATCTCACAAAGACCTCTCTCTTCCCAGAAGCCCCCAGGGTGCCCACAGGTGGGGTCTAGAGCCTCAAACTCTGGCCCAGGGTGCCTGTGTCTCTCGTGGAGGGCCCCCATGGATGCTGGCAGGGCCACATACAAGCGTTTGTAGGTGTGCAGAATCTCAGGGGATGTTGAGTCAGGCAGAGAGGAGAAGTGGTGAGGCCTGAGTGGGTGCTGGGTTGTCCCATGGAGGCCTCTCCTTTCCCAGAAGTCCCCTGGGTGCCTCCTGGGTCGAGGCTACAGCCACAGGCTCCAGCCCATGGCACCTGTGCTTCTTGCAGAGGGCACCCAGGGGTGGCAGCAGGGCTGTGGGGGCAGGCAAAAATGCAGGGGGACATTGAGATAGGCAGAGAAGAGAAGAGGCAAGGCCTGAACGGGAGCTGGGTCATCCCAGGGAGTCCTCTCCCTTCCCAGAAGCCCCTGGGGTGCCCTCCAAGTAGGGTCTAGAGCCATGGGCTCCAGCCCAGAGTACCTGAGTCTCTCCTGGAGGACCACCACGGGTAGCGGCGGGGCTGGAGGCAGGCCTGTGCGAGCTGGCAAAAACTCAGCCAGACAGGAGAAGTGGCAAGGCCTGAGTGGGTCCTGGGTCATCTCAGGAAGGCCTCTCCCTTTTCAGAAGTCCCTGGGGTGACTGCAGGTGGGGACTAGAGCCTCAGGGTCTGGCCCAAGGTGCCTGTGTTCCTCGTCGAGAGCAGTCACAGGTGGTGGTGAGGCCGCAGGTGGGCCTGTGCAGGCAGGCCTGTGCAGGTGGGCAGAAACTCAGGGGGACATTGAGGTAGGCAGAGGGGAGAAGCGGTGAGGCCTGAGCATGTGCTGGGTCCCCAAAGGGAGGCCTTTCAGTTCCCTGAAGCCCCTTGGGCTCCTTCTGGTTGGGGACTAGAGCCACAGACTATTGCCCAGGGTGCCTGTGTCTCTTGTGGAGGACCCCCACAGGCAGTGGCGGGCCACACATGGGCCAATGCAGGCAGGCAGATACTCAGGAGGCGTTGAGGCATGCAGAGGGGAGAAGCAGTGAGGCTGAGCAGTGCTCAGTCCTTTTAGAGGCCTATCCCTTTTCAGAAACCTACTAGGTGCCTCCCGGGTGGGGGTTTTCTGGGATCTGGCCCCAGGTGAGTGTGTCTGTTGTGGAGGGCCCCCAAGGGTGGTGGTAGGTCCACGGTGGGCCTGTGTGGGAGGGCAGAAACTCAGGGGGACATTGAGGTAAGCAGAAGGGAGAGACATCGAGGCCTGAGAGGGTGCTGGTTTGTCCCAGGGATGCCTCTCCCTTCTTAGAAGCACACGGGGAGACCCCCGGGTAGGGGATAGAGCCATGAGCTCTGTCCCAGTGTGCCTGTGTCTCTCACAGAGGGCACTCACGAGTGGTGGTGAGGCCACAGGTGGGCCTGTGCAGGGGAGCAGAAACTCAGGGGGACATTGAGGCACGCAGAGGGGAGAAGTGGCAAGGATTGAGTGGGTGCTGGGTCATCCCAGCGAGGCCTCTCCCTTCCCAGGAGACCCCAGGGTGAACCCCATGTTGGGGCTAGAGCCATGGGCTCTGCCCCAGGGTGTCTGTGTCTCTGGTGGAGAGCCCCCACGGGTGGTGGCGGGGCCGCAGTTGGGCCTGTGTGGGCAGGCAGAAACTCAGGGGGAGGTTGAGGCAGGCAGAGAGGAGAAGCAGCGAGGACTGAGCAGGTGCTGGGTCACCCCAGGGAGGCCTCTACCTTCACAGAAGCCCCCAGGGTGCCCCCTGGTTCAGGGCTAAAGCCTGAGACTTCCACCCAGGGTGGCTGTGTCTCTTGCTGAGGGCCCATAAGGGCAGCTGTGGGGACACAGGCGGGACTGTGTGGGCAAGCAGAAACTCAGGGGGACATTGAGGCACACAGAGGGCAGAAGTGGTGAGGCCTGAGGAAGTGCTGGGTCATCTGACAGTATCCCAGAGCTCCCTTCGGGTGGGAGCTAGAGCCTTGGACTCTGGCCAACTGTTCCTGTGTCTTTGGCGGAGGGACCCCCACAAGCAGCGGCAGGGCCTGTGTGGGCCTGTGCTAGTGGGCAGAAACTCAGGGGGATGTTGACACATGCAGTGGGGAGAAGCAGTGAGGCCAGAGCGGGTGCTGGGTCTTCCAAGGGATGCCTTTCCCTTCCCAGAGGCCTGCAGGGCAGCCCCTGAATGTAAGCTAGAGCCCCATACTCCAGACAAGGGTCCCTGTGTCTCTGGCTGAGGGCCCACAGTGGCTGCGGCCCCACTGCTGCCCGCAGGTGGGCAAGTGCGGGGCGGGCAGAAACTCAGGGGGAGGTTGAGGCAGGTAGAGGCACAGGAATAAAGTGGAGAGGCCTGAGTGGGTGCTGGGTCTTCCAGGGAGGCCTCTTCCTTCCCAGAAGCCCATGTTGGAAACGCTTTTTTTGTAGAATCTGAGAAAAGACATTTTGGAGCCCAATGAGAACTGTAGTATAAAACTGATTATGCTGTGATAAAAACTAGAAAGAAGCTATGTGTGAAACTGCTTTGTGATGTGTGAATTCATCTCACAGAGTTTAGACCTTTCTTTTGATTCAACAGGTTGGAAACTCTTTGTACAATCTTAGACAAAATATTTCGGAGCCCAGTGAGGCCTATAGTGAAAAACTGAATATCCCGTGATAAAAACTAGAAAGAAGCTATCTGTGAAACTGCTTTGTGATATGTGCATTAAGCTCCCAGAGTTAAATCTTCCTTTTGATTCAGAGGGTTGGAAACAAACTTTTTGTAGAATCTACGAAGGGATATTTCAGAGCCCACTGTGTCTGGCCTATAGTGAGGAACAGAATATCCCGTGATAAAAACTAGAAAGAAGTTATCCAAGAAACTGCTTTGTAGAATCTGGGAAGAGACATTTCAGAGCCCACTGAGGCCTGTATTATAAAACTGAATATTACATGATAAAAAGTAGAAAGGAGCTATATGTGAAACTGGTTTGTGATGTGTGGTTTCAGCTCCCAGAGTTAAACCATTCTTTTGATTCAGGACATTGGAAACACTCTTTTTGTAAAATCTGTGAAGAAACATTTCAGAGCCCACTTAGGCCTATAGTGGAAATCTGAATATTCAACGATAAAAACTAGTATGAAGAAATGTGTAAAACAGGTTTGTAATGTATGTAAAATATTCTTTTGATTCAGCAGGTTAAAAATACTTTCTGTAGGATCTGTGAATAGATATTTCATAGCCAACTGAGGCCTATAGTGAAAAACTGAATATCTTGTGATAAAAAACAAAAGAAGCTATTTGTGAAACTTCTTTGTATTGTGTGGATTCAGCTAACAGAGATAAACCTTTATTTTGGTTCAGCAGATTGGAAGCACTCTTTTTGCAGAATTAGTGAAGAAATATTTTGGAACCCACAGAGACTTACAGTGAAAAATCTGACTATCCCATGATAAAAACTAGAAAGAAGCTATCTGTGAAACTGCGTTGTGATGTGTGGACTCATCTGACAGAGTTAACTGGTTATTTTGATTCAGCAATTTGGAAACACTCTTTTGTAGAATCTCCAAAAGGACATTTTGGATTCCACTCTGGCCTATAGTGAAAATCTGAATATCCTGTGAAAAAAACTAGAAAGAAGCTATCTGTCAAACTGCTTTGTGATGTGTGGATTCAGCTCTGAGAGTTAAACCTTTCTTCGATTCAGCAGGTTGGAAACACTCTTTTTGTAGAATCTATGAAGGGACATTTCAGCGCCCACTGCCGCCTACAGTGAAAAACTGAATGTCCCGTGATAAAAACTAGAAAGAAGCTGTGTGTGAGACTGTTTTGTGATGTCTGCATTCAATACACAG
The DNA here is from genome assembly GCF_000001405.40 of Homo sapiens. Classification (NCBI taxonomy): domain Eukaryota; kingdom Metazoa; phylum Chordata; class Mammalia; order Primates; family Hominidae; genus Homo; species Homo sapiens. The sequence goes on from NC_000008.11 coordinate 46,096,977, forward strand.
AGTTAAAACATTCTTTCAATTCACCAGGTTGGAAACACTCTTTTTGTAGAATCTGCAAATGGACATTTCGGAGCCCACTGAGGCCTACAGTGAAAAACTGAGCATCTTGCTATAAAAACTAGAAGGAAGTTCTCTGTGAAACTGCTTTGTGATGTGTGGATTCATTTCACAGAGTTAAGCTTTCCTTTTGATTCAGCAGGCTGGAAACTCTTTTTGCAGAATCTGTGAATGGACATTTCAGAGCCCTCTAAGACCTATAGTGAAAAACCGAATATCCCGCGATAAAAACTAGAAGGAAGCTATCTGTGAAACTGCTTTGTGATGTGTGGATTCAGCTAAAATAGTTAAACTTTTCTTTCGATTTAGCAGGTTGGTAACACTGTTTTTGTAGAATCTGCGAAGGAACATCTCGCAGAAATGGACACTTCATAGAAGTGTTAATTGGAAGGGAGAAGGAGTGAGCCCTGAGCTGGTGCTGGGTCCTCCAGAAAGGCTTCTAACTTTCCAGAAGCCCCATGGGTACCCCCAGGTGGGAAGCTAGAGCCCTGGGCTTTGGCCCAAAGTGTCTGTGTCTGTCCCAGAAGGCCCCCATGGGTGGTGGCAGGGCCACAGACTGGGCTGTGCAGGTGGTCAGAAACTAAGAGGGACATTGAGGCTGGCAGAGGGGAAAACTGGTGAGGCCTGAGAGGTTGTGGGTCCTCCTAGGAAGGCCTCTATTTTCCCAGAATCCCCCAGGGGGTCCCCTGTGTTGAGACTAAAGCCTTGGGCATCGTACCAGCATGGCTGTGTCTTTCACGGAGGGCTCCATGGGCCTCGGCAGGGCCACAGGTGTGCTTGTGCAAGCATGCAGAAATTCAGGTGGACATTTAGGCAGGCAGTGGTCAGAACCGCCGAGGCCTCAGTGGGTTCTGGGTCATTCCACAGAGACCTCTCCCTTCACAGAAGCTCCTGGTGTGCCCCCCAGTTGGGGGCTACAGCCCCAGATTCTGGTCCAGAATCCCTGTGTTTCTCATGGAAGGCCTCCACAGGCAGTGGCAGGGTCTCAGGCCGGCCAGTGAGGGTGAGCAGAAACTCAGGAGCACATTGAGGTAGGCAGTGGGGATAAGCGGGGAGGCCTTCACTGGTGCAGGGTTCTCCCAGGGAGACCTCTCCCTTCCCAGAAGCCCCTGGGGCATTCCCCGCATTGGGTTTAGAGCCTCTGGCTCCAGCCCTGGATGCCTGTATCTCTCATGGAGGGCCTCCACAGGCATTGGGCGGCACCACAGGCAGGCATGTGCAGGCAGGCAGAAACTCAGGGGACACTGATGCAAGCAGAGGGGAGAAGCGGTGAGGCCTGAACATGTGCTGGGTCCTCCCAGGAAGGTCCTTCCCTTCCCTGAAGGTCTCCCTTTGTGTGAGCTAGAGCCCCAGGCTCTGGCCTGGGGTGAATGTGTCTCTCACAGAGGGCCCCCTTGGGTGGCAGCGGGGTGGCAGGCAGGCCTTTGTTGGCAGGCAGAAACTCAGGGGACGTTGAGGCAAGCTGAGGGAAGAAACAGCGAGGCCTGAGCTGGTGTTGGGCTTCCTCAGAGAGGCCTCTCCCTTACCAGATGTCTCTGTTGGCTCTCTGGATGGGGACTAGGGCCCCTTGCTCTGGCCCAAGGTGCCTGTGTCTCTCACCGAGGGCCCTCACAGATGGCAGCTGGGCCTCATGCAGGCCTGTGTGGGTGGGCACAAACTCAGGGGGACATTGAGGCAGGCAGAGGGGAGAAGCAGTGAGGCCTGAGCGGGTGCTGGGTCATCCCAGAGAGCCCTCTCCCTTCCCCGAGGCCCCAAGGGCTTTCCCCAGGTGAGGGATATAGCTTCAGTCTCCAGCCCACGGGGTCTGTGTCTCTCATGGGAAAACCCCACGTGCAGTGGCAGTGGGGCCACAAATGGTCCTGTGCAGTCAAGCAGAAACTTAGGGGACTTTGAGGCAGGCAGAGTGGAGAAGCAGCGAGACTTGAGCAGGTGCTGTGTCCTCCCAATGAAGCCTCTCCCATCCAAGAAGACACTGCCCACCCCCGTCCCCGGGTAGCGGTTAGAGCCCCAGACTTTGGCCCAGGGTGCTTGTGTCTCACGGAGGGCCTTCATGGGCGGTGGTGGGGCTGCAGTCGAGCCTATTCATGCAGGCAGAAACTCAGGCTCCCAATTCAGGGCTAGAACCCAGGGTGCCTTTCTCTCACAGAGAGCCTCCACAGGCGGTGGAGGGGCCACAGGCAGGCTGGTGAGGGTGAGCAGAAACTCAGGGATAAGCAGCAAGGCCTTTAGTGGATGCAGGGTCAACCCGTGGAGGCCTATCCCTTCCCAGAAGCCCCAAGGCACCCTCCGGGTCAGGGTTACAGCCCCCGGCTCCATCCCAGGGTGCCTGTGTTTGTCGCTAAGGACTCCACATGCAGTGGCAGGGCCGCATGCGAGCCTGTGCAGGCAGGCAGAAACTCAGGGGGACTTGTAGCAGGCACAGGAGAGAAGTAGCTTCGCCTGAGCAGGTGCTGGGTCAACCCAGGGAGGCCTGTCCCATCCAAGAAGCCCCCAGGGCATCCACGGGTTAGGGCTAGAGCCCTGGGCTCTGGCCCCAGGTGACTCTCTCTCGCAGAGAGCCACCACAGACATTGGTGGGTCCACAGGCAGGCATGTGCTGGCTGGCAGAAACTCATGGGGACATTGAGACAGTCAGAGGGGTGAAACGGCAAGGGCTGAGCAGGTGCTGGGTCTTCCAGGGAAGCCTCTCCCTTCCCAGAAGCCCCCGAAGTTCCCACCTTGTGTGAGCTAGACCCCAGAGCTCCGGCCCAGGGTGTCTGTGTTTCTTGCAGAGGGCCCCCTCGGGAGGCGGCAGGGCCCCAGGAGGGTCTGTGTTGGCAGACAGAAACTCTGGGGGACTTTGAGGCAGGCAGAGGGGAGAAGTGGCCAGGCCTGAGTGGGTGCTGAGTTTTCCCAGGAGGCCTCTCCCTTCCCAGAAATCCATGGGGCCCTCCCTGAGTGGGTGCTATAGCCCCAGGCTCAAGACCAGGGTGCCTCTGTGTCTCTTGGAGAGCCCCCCCAGAATCCCCAGGGGTGCCCCCTGAATGGAAGATTTCCGCGAGGGACCCAGACACTCTGATTTAAAGCTTGGGGATTTAAAGCCCGCTGGGGACACACCTGTGGGCTTCTGGGATGGGAGAGGCTCCCAGCATTCCCTGTGGTCTCGCCGCTTCTCCCGTCTGCCTGTCTGAACATATTCCTGAGTTTCTGCGGCCCGACCATTCCACCTTGCAGTTACGTTTTCCTTTGTGGGGGCCTTCTGCGAGAGTCACAGTCACCCTGCTCAAAAGCAAGGAGCTTTACAGCCCTCTTGGGACAGCCCTGGGGGCTTCTGGCATGAGAGAGTCATCCTTGGGAGGCTCGGAGCATGCCGTGTGGTCTTGCCACTTCTCCACTCTGACTGCCTCAACTTCCCTCTGAGTCCCTGCGCCCTTCCCACGCAACCCACCAGCACCGTTTTCTCTCTTGGGTAACTTCCACGAGAGACACAGCACCCTGCCTTAAAGCCTGGAGCTTTAGAGCCTGGCCAGAACACCCTTGGGGGCTTCTGGGACAGGAGAGCCATCCTTGGGAGGCTCCCAGCATTCTCTGCGGTCTTGCCACTTCTCCCCTTTGCCTCCCTCAACATGCCCCTGAGTAGCTGTGGCACGCCCACAGCAACCTGCGGCCCCATTTTCGCATGTGGGGGCCTTCCACAAGAATCACAGGCTCCCTGCTCCAAATCCTGTGGCTTCACAGCCCACCCAGGACAGCCCTGGGGGCTTCTGGAATGCAAGAGGCCTCCTTGGGAGGCTCCCAATATTCTTCGTGGTATCACGCTTTTCTTCTCTGCCTGCCTCTACGTCCTCCTAAGTACCTGAGGCCAGCCCATGGCACCTTCTGATGCCATTTTCAAGAGTGGGGGCCTTCCGCGAGAGATACAGTCACCCTGGGGCATTACAGTCCACCTGGGACAGCCCTGGGGGCTTCTGGTATGGAAGAAGCCTATTTGGGAGGCTCCCAGCATTCTCTTCGGTCTCGCTGCTCTTCCTCTATGCCTGTCTCAACGTCCCACTGAGTCCTGCAGCCCACCCACACCACCCTGTGGCCACATTTTCTCCTGGAAGGAGGCCTTCCGGGAGAGACACAGGCACCCTGCTCCAAAGACTGGTGTTTTACAGCCCACTCGGGATAGTCCTGGGGGCTTCTGAGATGGGAGAGGCTTCCTTGGTATGCTCTTAGCGTTCCCTTCGTTCTCGCCGCTTCTCCTCTCTGCCTGCCTCAACTTCTTCTGAGTCCCTGCCACCTGCCCACGCCATTCTGTGTCCCTGTTTTCACATGTGGGGGCCTTCTGTGGGAGACACAGACACCCTGCTCCAAAGCCTGGGGCTAGGCAGCCCACCCGGAACAGCCCTTGCGGCTTCTGAGATGGGAGAGGCCTCCTTGGGAGGCTCCCAGCATTCCCTGCAGTCTCGCTGCTTCCCTCCTCTGCCTGTCTCAAGGTCCTCCTGAGTACTTGTTGCCCAGCCAAGCCACCCTGCGGCCTTGTTTTTGCTTGTGGGGGCCTTCCACGAGAGACACAGACACTCTGCTTCAAAGCCTGGGGCTTTACAGCCTGCCCTGGAGAGCCCTGGGGGTTTCTGGGATGGAAGAAGCATCCTTGGGAGACTCCCAGCATTTCCTACAGTATCACCTCTTCTCCCCTCGGCCTACCTCAACATCCCCCTGAGTGCCTGCGGCTTTCCCACACACTCTGCAGCTTCTTTTCATTTGTTTTGGCCTTCCATGAGAGACACAGTCACCTTGATCCAAAACCTGGAACTTTACATCTTGCCTGGGCCATCCCTGGGAGATTCTGGGATGGGGGAGGCTTCCTTGGGATGCTCTTAGCACTCCCTTTGATCTCGTCACTTCTCCCCTCTGCCTGCCTCAACTTCCTTATGAGTCCCCGAGGTCCACAAATGCCACACTGCTGCCCCATTTTTACTTGTGGGGACCTTCCGTGAGAGACACAGGCACCCTGCTTCAAAGCCTGGGGGTGAACAGTTTTCCCGAAACAGCCCTGGGAGCTTCTGGCCTGAAAGAGACCTTTTTGGGAGGCTCCCAGCATTCTCTTCAACCATCTGCCTGTCTCAATGTCCCCCTGAGTCCCTGCTGCTTGCCCATGCCACGCTGCTGCCCATTGTCACTTGCAGGGGCCTTCCACGAGAGACAGACGCACTCTGCTCTAAAGGCTGGGGCTTTACAGCCCTCTTGGGACACCCCTGGGGGCATCTGGTGTGAGAGAGTCCACCTTGGGAGGTTTGCAGCATTCCCTGCCATCTCACCACTTCTCCACTCTGCCTGCCTCAACGTCCCCCTGAGTCCCTGCGGCCCACCCATGCCAACCTGCTGTCCTGTTTTCTCATTTGAGAAACTTCTGCGAGAGACGCAGCACCTTGCTTTAAAGCCTGAAGCTTTAGAGCCTGTCCAGAACACTCCTGGGGGCTTCTGGGATGGGAGAGGCGTCCTTGGGAGGCTCCCAGCATTCCCTGTGGTCTTGCTGCTTCTCCTCTCTGCCTGCCTCAATGTCACGCTGAGTTGCTGTGGCACGCCCACGCCAACATGCAGCCCCGTTTTCGCATGTAGGGGTCTTCCGCGAGAGACACAGTCACCCTGCTCCAAAGCCTAGGGCTTTCCAGCCCACCAGGGACAGCCCTGGGAGCTTCTGAAATGGAAAAGGCCTCTTTTGGAGGCTCCCACCATTTTCTGAGGTCTCACTTCTTCTCCAATGTGCCTGCCTCAATGTCCTTCTGAGTCCCTGAGGCCCGCCCACGCCACTCTGCGGCCCCATTTTCTCTTGTGGGGTTCTTCCGTGTGAGACACAACCACCTTGCTCCAAATCCTGGAGCTTTACCGCCCTCCTGGAACAGCACTCGGGCTTCTGGGATGAAAGAGGCCTCCCTGGGAGGCTCCCAGCTTTCCCTGTGGTCTTGACACTTCTCTCCACCTGTCTCAACATCCCCCTGAGTCCTTGAGGTCCGCCAACGCCACACTGCGGCCCCATTTTCGCATGTGGGTCCTGTCGCGAGAGACACAGGAATCCTGCTATAAAGCCTGGGGGTGAACAGCTTTCTTGAGACAGCCCTGGGAGCTTCTGGCATGAAAGAGACCTCCTTGGGAGGCTCCCAGCATTTCCTGCCGTCTTGCCGCTTCAACCTCTGCATTTCTCAATATCCCCCTGAGTCCCTGTGGTCTTCCCACACCAGCCTGCTGCCCCGATTTTGCTTGTGGGGGCCTTCCGCGAGACACACAGGCTTCCTGCTCCAAAGGCTGGGGCTTTACAGCCCACTCAGTGCAGCCCTGGGGGCTTCTGGGATGAAAGTGGCCTCCTTGGGAGGCTTCCAGCATTCCCTGAAGTCTTGACTCTTCTCGCTGCCTGTATCAACGTCCCTCTGCATCCCTTTGGCCCACCCGTGCCACCTTACGGCCACGTTTTCACTTGTGGGGGCCTTCCGAGAGAGACACAGGCACCCTGCTACCAAAGCCTGGGGCTTTACATCCTGCTTGCTGTATTCCCTGCAGCCTCATTGCTTCTCCACTCTGACTGCCTCAAAGTCCCACTGAGTCCCTGGGGCCCACCCACGCCACCCATTCGCCCTGCTTTCCTGAGTGAGGGCCTTCCACAAGACACACAGGCACCCTGCTCCAATATCTGGGGCTTTACAGCCAACTCAGGACAGCCCTGGGGGCTTCTGGATGGCAGAGGCCACCTTGGGAGGCTGCCAGCATTCCCTGCGATCTCGCCGCTTCTCCCCTGTGCCTGCCTTAACGACCCCGAGGTCCTGCGGCCCCCTCACGCCACCCTGCAGCCCCGTTTGCGATTATGGGGGCCTTCCGCGAGAGACACAGGCACCCTGCTCCGAAGCCTGGGGCTTTACAGCCCGCCTGGGACAAAGGTGGGGGCTTCTAGGACGGGAGAGGCCGGCTAGGGAGGCTCCCAGCATTCCATGCAGTCTGGCCGCTTCTCCTATCTGCCTGCCTCAACGTCCTCCTGCGTTTCTCCTGCCCACGCACGCCACCCTGCGGCCCTGTTTTCGCTTGTGGGGGCCTTTTGTGAGAGACACAGGCACTCTGCTCCAAAACCTGGGGTTTTTCAGCCCACTCGGGATAGCCCTGGGGGCTTCCAGTATGGGAGAGGCCTCCTTGGGAGGCTCCCAGCATTTTGTGTTGTCTCGCCATTCTTCTCTACCTGCCTCAACGTCCCTCTGAGTCCGTGCAGCCCGCCCACGCCACCCCACGTCCTCAATTTTGCTTCTGTAAGCCTTTTGGGAGAGACACAGTCATCTTGCTCCAAAGCCTGGTGTTTCATAGCCCGCCTGCGATAGTCCTGGTGGCTTCTAGATGGGAGAGGCTTCCTCAGGATGCACCCAGCATTCCCTTCGTTCTCACTGCTTCTCACCTCTGCCTGCCTCAACGTCCCCCTGTCACTGCAGCTCTCTCATTCCATCGTGCGGTCCTGTTTTTGCTTGTGGGGGCCTTCCAAGGGAGACACAGGCACCCTGCTCCAGAGGCTGGGGCTTTACAGCCTGCCCATAACAGCCCTGGTCACTTCAGGGGTTGGAGAAGCCTCTTTGGAGGCTCCCAGCATTCCCTATAGTCCTGCCACTTCTACATGCTGACTGTCTCAAGGTACGCCTGAGTCCCTGTTACCTGACCACGCTACCCTGCGGCTCTGCTTTCACTTGCGAAGGCCTTCCGCCTGAGACACAGGCACCCTGCTCTAAAGAGTGGGGCTTTAAACCCGCCCGGGACAGCCCTGGGTGCTTCTGGGATTGGAGTGGCCTCCTTGGAAGGCTTCCAGCATTCCCTGCAGTCTCCCCGCTTCTACCCTCTGCCTGTCTAAACTTCCTCTAAGTCCCTGCCATCCGCCCACGCCAGACTGTGTCCCAGTTTTCACTTGAGCTGGCCTTCCGTGAGAGACACAGTCACGCTCCTCCAAAGCCTGAGGCATTACAGTGTGCCCACGACAGCCCTGGTGGCTTCTGAGATAGGAGAGGCGTCCTTGGGAGGCTTTGAGCATTTCCTGGGGCTTCCATGCATCTCACTTCTGCCAGCCTCAACGTTTCCCCGAGTCCCTGCAGCCCGCCCACACCACGCTGCGGCCCGTTTTCCCTTGTGGGGGCCTTCCGCGAGAGGCATAGACAACCTACTCCAATGCTTGGGGCTTTACAGCACACCCGGGACAGCCCAGGGGCATCTGGGATGAAAGAGGCCTCCTTGGGTGGCTCCCAGCATTTCCTGTTGTCTTGCCGTTTCTCTCCACTGCCTGCCTCATAGTCCAGCTGAGTCCCTGCCACACGCCCACGCCATCCTGTGGCCCCGTTTTTGCATGTAGGGGCCTTCTGTGAGAGACACAGTCACCCTGCTCCAAAGCCTGGGGCTTTGCAGCACGACCAACAGCCCTGGGGGCGTATGAAATGAGAGATGCCTCCTTGGGAGGCTCCCAGCATTCCCTGCGATCTCGCCGCTTCTCTACTCTGCCTCCCTCATCGTCTCCCTGAGACCCTGAGGCTTCCCAGGCCACCCTGTGGCCCCGTTTTCGCTTGTGAAGGCCTTCCGCGAGAGACACAGGCACCCTGCTCCAAAACCTGGGGCATTACAGCTCACCTGGGATAGCCCTGGGAAATTCTGGGATAGGCGAGGCCTCCATTGGGAGGCTCCCAGCATTCCCTGCTGTCTTGCCGCTTCTTCCCTCTGCCTACCTCAGCTTCCCCCTGAGTCCCTGAGGCCCGCCAATGCCACCCTGCTGCCCCATTTTTCGCTCGTGGGGACCTTCCACGAGAGGCACAGGCACCCTGTTATAAAGCCTGGGGGTGAGCAGCTTTCCCGAAACAGCCCTGGGAGCTTCTGCCATGAAAGGGACCTCTTTTGGAGGCTCCTAGCATTCCCTGCCATCTAGCTGCTTCCACCCTCTGCCTGTCTCAACGCCACGCTGAGTCCCTGCAGCCCGCCCACGCCACCCTGTGTCCCTCTTTTCGCTTCAGGGGGCTTTCCACGAGAAACACAGGCACCCTGCTTCAAGGCTTGGGGCTTCACATCCCCCCAGGACAGCCGTTGGGGCTTCTGGCATGGGATAGGCCTTTTTGAGAGGCTCCTAGCATTCCCTGTGTCTTGCTGCTTCAACCCTCTTCCTGCCTCAATGTTTCCCTGAGTTCCAGCCACCTGCCTACGTTACCCTGGGGGCCATTTTCTCTTGTGGGGGCATTCCGTGAGAGACACAGGAACCCTGCTTCAAAGCTTGAACTTTACCTCCCACTTGGGACAGTCCTGATGGCTTCTGGGATGGGAGAGGCCTCTTTGGAAAGCCCCCAGCATTCCCTGCTGTCTCGCTACTTCTCCCCTCTGCCTGCCTCAACGTCCCACTGAGTACCTGTGGCTCTCCCATGTCACCCTGCAGCCCCGTTTTTGCTTGTGGGGTCCTTTTGCGAGAGACACAGGCACTGTGCTCCAGATCCTGGGGACTTACAGCCTATTCGGGAAAGCAGTGGGGCCTTCTGGAATGGGAGAAGCCTCTTTGGAGGCTCGCAGCATTCCCTTCACTCCAGTCGCTTCTCCCCTCTGCCAGCATCAACACATCCCTAAGTACCTGCCGCCCACCAATGCCAACCTGAGGTCCCATTTTCGCTTCTGGGGCCCTTTCACGAAAAACACAGGCATGATGCTCCAAAGCCTGAATCTTTCAACTGTGCCCAGGTGAGCCCTGGAGGCTTCTGGGATGGGAGAGGCCTCCTTGGGAGGCACCCAGCATTCCCTACGGCCTTGCTTCTTTTCACTTCTGCCTGCCTCAACGTCTCTCTGAGTCCCAGCAGCCAACCCAGGCCACCCTCCGGCCCCGTTTTCACTTGTGGGGGCTTTCTGCAAGAGACACAGGCACCCTGATCCAAAGCCGAGTGCTTTACTGCCCTCCCAGGACAGACCTGGTGGCTTCTGGGATGGGAGAGGCCTTTTTGGGAGGCTCCTAGCATTCCCTGCGGTCTGTCCGATTCTCCCCTCTGCCTGTCTAAACATCACCCTGCATCCCTGGCACCCCCTCACACCACTCCATGGTTATGTTTTTGCATCTAGGGGCCTTCCACGAAAGAAAATGGCACCCTGCTCCAAAGCCTGGGGCTTTACAGCCTGCCCAGGATAGCCTAGGAAACTTCTGGGAAAACAGAGGCCTTTCTGGGAGGCTCTCAGCATTCCCTGAGGTCTTGAGGCTTCTCCCCTTTTCCTGCTGCAACATCCCCCGAGTCTTTTTGGCCCACCCACTCCACGCTGCATCTCCATTTTCACTTGTGGGTGCCTTCTGCGAGAGACACAGGCACTGTGCTCAAAAGTCTGGGGCTTTACGGGCTGTCTGAGATAGCACTGAGAGATTTGGGGATGGGAGAGGCCTCTTTCGGAGCCTCCCAGGATTCTCTCTGGACTCATTGCTTCCCCTCTCTGCTTCAACATTGCCCTGAGTCCCTGCGGCCTGCTCACACCACCCTGCTGCTTCATTTTCTCTTATGGGGGCCTTCCACAAGAGACACAGGCACCCTGAACCAGACTGGTGCTTTACAGAATGCCTAGGACAGCAGTGAGGGCTTCTGGAATGAGAGAGGCCTTTGTAGGAGGCTCCCAGCATTCCATGCAGTCTCTCTGTTTTTCCCCTCTGCCTGCCTCAACATCCCCCTGAGTACCTGCGGCCCCTCCTGGCCACACTGCAGCCCCATTTTTGCTTGTGGGGGCCTTCCGTGAGAGACACAGATACCCTGCTCCAAAGCCTGGGGCTTTACAGCCCTCCTGGGACAGGCTTAAGGGCTTTTGGGATAGGAAAAATATCCTTGGGAGGCTCCCAGCATTAACTGTGGTCTCGCCACTTCTCACCTCTGCCTGCCTCATCATCCCCGAGTCCCTGCGGCATGCCCACGCCACACTGCTGCTCCATTTTCTCTTGTGGTGGCCTTTCGCGGGAGACACAGGCACCCTGTTCCAAACCCTGGGGCATTACAGCCTTACCAGTACAGTCCCCTGAGTCCCTGTGGCACGCTGATGCCACCCTGAGGCCCTGTTTTCACCTGTAGGGGCCTTCCGCTAGAGGCACCCTACTAAAAAGCCTGTGGCTTGACAGCACCCCCGGGACACAGCTGGGGGCTTCTGGTATGGGAGAGGCCTCCTTGGGAGGCTCCCAGCATTCCCTGCAGTCTAGCGGCTTCTTCCCTCTGCCTGCCTCAACGTGTCCCTGAGTCCCTGCCACCCGACCATGCCACCCTGTGGCCTTGTTTTCACTTGTGGGCACCTTCCACAAGAGATACAAGTACCCTGCTCCAAAGCCTGGGGCTTTACAGACCGCCTGGGGCATCCCTGAGGTTTCTGGGATGAAAGAGGCCTTTTAGGGAGGCTCACAGCATTTTCTGGGGTCTTGCCGATTCTCCCCTCTGCCTGCCTCAATGTCCCCCTGAGTGTCTGCCATCTGCTCACTCCACCATGCGGCCCCGTTTTTGCTTGTGGGGGCCTTCCTCGAGAGACACAGGCACCCTACTCCAAAGCCTGGGGCTTTGCAGCTTTTCTGGGACAGCCCTAGAAGATTCTGGGATGGGAGAGACCTCATTAGGAGGGTTTCAGCATTTCCTGCAGTCTTGCTGTGTCCCCCTCTGCTAGCTTCAACGTCTTCTTAAGTCTCTGCGACCTGCCCACGCCACTCTGTGGCCTCGTTTTCACTTTTGATGGCCTTGTGCGAGAGACACAGCCACGCTGCTCCAAAACCTGGGGCTTTACAACTTGCTTGGGAAGGCACTGGGTGCTTCTGGGATGGAAGAGACCTCCTTGGGAGGCTCCCACCGTTTCCTGCTGTCTCGCTGCTTCTTGCGTCAGCCTGCCTCCATATCCACCTGAGTCCCTGGGACCTGCCCGGACCACGCCTCAGCCCCCTTTCTGCTTGCAGGGGCACAGGCAACGTGCTCTAAAGCCTGGGGCTTTATAGCCCACCCGGGACAGCCCTGGAGGATTCTGGGATGGGAGATGCCTCTTTGGGAGGCCCCCAGCATTAACTGCGTCTCGTCACTCCTCCCCTGTGCCTGCCTCAACGTCCCCCTCAGTACCTGTTGTGTACCCATGCCACCCTGTGGCCCCGTTTTCCCTTATGGGTGCCATCCGTCAGAGACAAACACACTGCTTCAAAGCCTTGGGCTTTACTCCCACCCGAGGCAGTTCTGGGGCCTTCTGGATGGAAGAGGAATTTTTGGGATGCTCCCAGCATGCCCTTCCATCTTGACGCTTCTCCACTCTGCTTGCCTCAACATCCCTTTTAGCCCCTGTCGCCTGCCCACGACAACCTGTGGCCTTGTTTTCACTTGGGGATCCATCCGCGACGGACACAGGCACCATGCTCCAGAACCTGGGGCTTTAGAGCCCGCCTGGGATGGCCCAGGGGACATCTGGGATGGGAGACGCCTTCTTGGAAGGCTCCGAACTTTCTCCGTGGTCTCGCCACTTCTCCACTCTGCCTGCCTCAATGTCCACGTGAATTGTTGCGCCCCACCCCCATTACCCTGTGGCCCCATTTTCGCTTGTGGGGGCGTACCGTGAGAGACACAGGCAACCTTCTCCAAAGCCTGGGGCTTTACAGCCTGCCAGGGCAGCCCCTTTGGCTTCTGGGATGGGAGGGTCCTCCTTATCATTCCCTGCGGTCTCACCACTTGTCCACTCTGCCTGCCCAACGTGTTGAGTGGCTGCGGCCTGCCCACGCCACCCTGTGGCCCCGTTTTCCCTTGTGGGAGCCTTCCGCGAGAGACAGAGTCACCCTGCTCTAAACCCTGTGGCTTTAGAGCCTGCCTGGGACAGACCTGGGGGCTTCTGGGATGGGAAAGGCCTCCTTGGGAGGCTCCAATTTTCTGCAGTCTTGCCAGGTCTCCCCTCTGCCTGCCTTAATGTGCCCCTGTGTCCCTGAGATCCGCCCAAGACACCCTACGGCCCCATTTTCCTTTGTGGGGGCCTTCCGCGAGAGACACAGGCACCCTTCCCTGAAGCCTGGGGCTTTAGAGTCCTCCTGTTACAACCTTGGTGGCTTCTGGGATGGGAGAGGCCTCCTTAGGAGGCTCCCAGTATTCCCTGTGGGCACGTCTCCCCAATTCTCCCCTTTCCCTGCCTCGACGCCCCAGTGAGTCCCTGCCGCCACCCCACACAATTCTGTGGCTTCAATTACCCTGTGGGGGCCTTCCAAGATAGAAACAGGCACCCTGCTCCAAAGTCTGGGGCTTTACAGCCCGCCCGTGAAAGCCATGGGGTTTTAGAGATAAAGGAGGCCTTTTTGGGAGACACGCAGCATTCCCTGCAGTCTCGCGGCTTCTCCCCACTGCCTGCCTCAACGTCCCCCTGAGTCCCTGTGGCCATCCCGCTCCACCCTGCTACCCCATTTTCGCTTGCGGGGGCCTTCCGCGAGAGACACAGCCACCCTGCTGCAAAGCCTGGGGCTTTACAGCCCTCCTGGGACAGCCCTGAGGGCTTCTGGAATAGGAAAGGCCTCCTTGGGAGGCTCCTAGCATTCCCTTCAGTCTTGCGCTTCTCCAATCTGCATGCCTCAATGTCCCCATAAGTCCCTGCACCCCTTCCACGCCAACCTGCAGCAATATTTTTGCCTGTGGGGGTTTTCTGGGAGAGACAAAGGCACCCTTCTCCAAAGCCTGTGGCTTTACAACTCACCCCAGACAGCCCTGGGGGCTTCTGAGATGGGAAAGGCCTTATTGGGAGGCTCGAAGCATTCCCTACACTCTCACCGCTTCTCCCCTCTGCTTCCCTCAACATAACCCTGACTCCATGAGGCCCATCCACACCACCCTTGCCACCCTGTTTTCACTTGTCGGGCCTTCCGCGAGTGACACAAGCACCCTGCTCCAAAGCCTATGGCTTTACAGCCCACCCGGGACAGCCCTGAGAGATTGTGGTATGGGAGTGGGCTCCTTAGGAGGCTCCCAGCATTCCCTGCAATCTTTCCACTTCTCCCCTCTGCCTGCCTCAATGTCCCCCCGAGTTTCTGCCGCCCATCCACACCACCATGCGGCTGCGTTTTTGTCTGTAGGGGCCTTCCGGGAGACACACAGGCAAACTGTTCAAAAACCTGGGGCTTTACAGCCCTCCCGGAACAGCCCTGGGCGCTTCTGGGAAGGAAGCGGCCTCCTAAAGAGGCTTCCAGCATTCCCTGCTGTCTTGCCACTTCTCCTCTCTGCCTACCTCAATGTCCCCCTGAGTCCCCACACCCCTCACAAGCCATGCTGCAGCCCTGTTTTTTTGCTTCTGGGGGCATTTTGCGAGAGACATAGGCACTCTGCTCCAATGTGTGGGGCATTACAGCCGGCCTGGTATATCCCTGGGGGATTTTGGGTTAAGAGGGGCATCATTGGGATGTTCCCAGCATTTCTTCCTGTTGTGCCGCTTCTCCTCTGCCTGCCTCAACGTCCCCCTGAGCCTCTGCGGCCTGCCCACGCCACCCTGCGACCTTGCTTTCACTTCTGGGGGAATTCCACGAGAGACCCCGGCACACTGCTCCAAAGCCTGGGGCTTTACAGCCTGCCTGAGACAGCCCTGGAGTCTTCTGGGAGGGGAGAAGTCTTTTGGGGAGTCTCCCAGCATTCCCTGCAGTCTCACTGCTTCTCCCTTCTGCCTGCCTCAATGTCCTCCAGTGTCCCTGTGGCCCACCCATGCCACCCTGCCATCCCGTTTTTGCTTCTCGGGGCCTTCTGCGAGAGACACAGGCACCATGCTCCAAAGCCTGCGGCTTTACAGCCTGCTCAGGACAGCCCTGGGGGCTTCTTGGTTGGAAGGGGCCTCCTGGGAAGGCAATCAGCATTCCCTGTGATCTCGCTGCTTCTCCCCTTTGTCTGCCTCAACATCCCCCTGAGTCCCTGCGGCTCACCCACACCACCCAGCCACTCCGCTTTTGCTTGTGGGGCCATCCACGAGAAACGCAGGCCTTCCCTTCCAAAGCCTGGGGCTTCATAGCATGCCCGGGACTGCCCTGCAAGCTTCTGGGTTGGGGAAGGCCATTTTTAAAGGCTCCCAGCCTTCCCTCCGGCCTCGCTGCTCCTTTTCTCTGCCTGCCTTAACGTCACCCAGACCCCCTGCGGCCCGCCCATGCCTCCCTGCCGCCCCGTTTTCACTTGTGAAGGCCTTCCAAGAGAGATGCAGGCATCCTGCTCCAAAGACTGGGGCTTTACTGCCCACCTGGGAGAGATCTGGGAGCTTCTGGGATGGGAGAGGCCTCCTTGGGAGGCTCCCAGTATTCCCTGCAGTGTCTCCTCTTCTCCCCTCTGCCTGCCTCAACTTCCCCTTGAGTCCCTGCAGCCCACCAAGGCCACACTGCTATTCAGTTTTTGCTTGTGGAGGCCTTCTGTGACAAACACAGACACTCTGCTCCAAATTCTGGGGCTTCACAGCCTGTCCAGGACAGCCGTGTGGGCTTCTGTGATGGAAGAGGCATTCTTGGGAGGCTTTCAACATTGCCTCCATTTTCGCTTATGGGGGCCTTCTGCGAGAGACACAGGTACCCTACTCCAAAGCCTGGGGCTTTACACCGTGCTTGGGACAGCCCTGGGCTCTTCTGGAATGGAAGAGGCATCCTTGGCATGTTCCCAGCATTCCCTGCGGTCTCGCCCCTACTCCCGTCTGCCGGCCTCAATGTCCGCCTGAGGGCCTGCGGCCCGCCCACTCCCCCCTCTTGTCCGGATTTTGCTTATAGAGGCCTTTCTAGAGAGACACAGTCACCCTACTTCAAAGCCTAGGGCTTTACAGCCCAACCATATCGGCCCTGGGGGCCTCTGGGATGGAAGCAGTCTCCTTAGGAAGCTCCCAGCATTCCGTGCAGTCTCTCCGCTTCTCCCCTGTGGTCCCGTTTTCACATGTTGAGGCCTTCTGGGAGAGGCATAGGCACCCTGCTCCAAAGCCTGGGGCTGTACAACTCGCCTGGTAGAGCCCTGGTGTCTTCTGGGTTGGGAGAGGCCTACTTGGGAGGCTCCCAGCATTCCCTGCTGTCTCGGTGCTTCTCCCCTCTGACTGCCTCAGTGTCCTTGCTTGTTCCCTGCTGCCCGCCCATGCCACCCTGCGGCCTCGTTTTTGCTTGTGGTGAGCTTCCCAGAAAGACACAGGCACTCTGCTGCAAAGCATGGGTATTTACAACCCGCTCATCCCCCTGAGTCCCAGCGGCCCGTATATACACCACCATGCATCCCCGTTTTCACTTGTGGGCACGTTTCGCGAGAGACACAGTCCCCTTGCTTCAAAGCCATGAAGGCTTCTGGGATGGGAGAGGCCTCCTTAAGGGGCCCCCAGAATTCCCAGCGGTCTTGACGCTTATCCCCTCTGCCTACCTCAATGTCACGCTGAGTTTCTGGCGACCGCCCACACCACCTTGCGGTCCCGTTTTCACTTGTGGGATTCTTCTGACAGAGGCACAGGCAACCTGCTACAAAACCTGGGGCTTGACAACCCACCCGGGACAGCCCTGGGGGCTTCTGGGATGAGAAATGCATCCTTGGGAGACTCCCAGCATTCCCTGCAGTCTTGATGCTTCTCCCATCTGCCTGCCTCATCATCCACCTGAGTCACTGCGGCCCGCCTAGGCCACCCAGCGACTTTGTTTTGGCTTGTGGGGGTCTTCTGCGAGAGACACAGGCAAGCTCCTCCAAACCCTGCGGCTTTACAGCCCGCCCAGGACAGACCTGGGGACTTCTGTGATGGGAGAGGCCTTTTTGGGAGGTTCCCAGCATTTCCTGCGGTTTCGCCGTTTCTCCCCTCTGCCTGCCTCAATGTCCCCCTGAATCCCTGCAGGCCACCCACGCCAACTTGAAGCCCCGTTTTTGCTTATGGGGGCCTTCCGCGAGAGACACAGGCAACCTGCTCCAATGCCTGGGGCTTTACAGCCTGTGAGAGACAGCCCTGGAAGCTTCTGAAAAGGTAGAGGCATGCTTGGGAGCCACCCAGTATTCCCTGCGGTCTCTCTGCTTCCCCAGTCTGCCTCAACATCCTCGTGAGTCCCTGCGGCCCTCCTACACCACCCTGCCTCCCCGTTTTTGCTTGTGGGTGCCTTCCGCCAGAGACACAGGCACCCTGCTCCAAAGCCTGGGGCTTTACAGCCCACCCGAGAAAGCCCTGGAGGCTCCTGGGATGGAAGAGGCCTCCTTGGGAGGCTTTCAGCATTCCCTGTGGTCTCACGGCTTCTCCTCACTGCCTGTCTCAACGTCTCCCTGAATCCCTGGGAACTGTCCACACCACACCACACTGTTTTTGCTTG
This sequence comes from Homo sapiens, assembly GCF_000001405.40. NCBI lineage: Eukaryota > Metazoa > Chordata > Mammalia > Primates > Hominidae > Homo > Homo sapiens. Next base: position 46,114,282 of record NC_000008.11, read on the forward strand.
TGAGGGTTTTCAGCGAGAGACACAGGCACCCTGCTCCATAACCTAGGGCTTTGCAGCCCGCCCAGGACAGCCCTGGGGCCTTCTGGGATGGGTGAGGAGTCCATGGGAGGCTCCCAGCATTTCCTGCCATCTCGCCTCTTCTCCCCTGTGACTGCCTCAACTTCCTTCTGTGTTCCTGTGGCCCGCCCACCCCACCTTGCAGCCACGTATTCGCTCGTGGGGGCTTCCATGAGAGATACAGCCACCTTGCTCCAAAGCCTGGGGCTTTACAGCACGCCAGGGACAGCGCTGGGGGCTCATGGGTTGTGAGGGACCTCCATGGGAGGCTCCCAGCATACCCAGTGGTCTTGCAGCATCTGCACACTGCAAGCATCAACGTCCCGCCGAGTTTCTGTGGCCTGCCCCACAAGTTTCTATTAGCTTGTCGGGCCTTTTGCTAAAGACACAGGCAACCTGATTCAATGCCTGCGACTTTACAACCGGCCCAGGACAGCACTGGTAGCTTCTGGGATGGGAGCGGTTTTATTGGAGGCCCCTAACATTCCCTGAGGTCTCACTGCTTCTCCCCTCTGCCTGCCTCAACGTCCCTGAGTCCATGTGGCCTTCGCACACCACAATGCGACTCCATTTTCACTTTTGGGGTCCTTCCGCGAGAGACACAGACACCATGCTCCAAAGCCTAGAACTTTACAGCCCACCAGGGACAGCCCTCGGGGCTTCTGGGATGCGAGTGGCCTTTAGGGGAGGCTCCCAGCATTCCCTGCAATCTTGCCACTTCTTTCCTATGCCTGCCTCATCGTCCCCCTTAGTCCTTGCGGCACGCTCACACCATCCTGTTGCCCAGTTTTCACGTGTAAGGGCCTTCTGCAAGAGGCACAGTCACCCTGCTCCAAAGCCTGGCACTTTACAACTCACGCAGGACAGCCCTGGGGACTTCTGGGATGGGAGAGGCATCACTGGGATGCTTCCAGCATTCCCTGTGTTCTGCCACATCTCCCCTCTTCCTACCTCAAGATCCCCCTGAGTCCCTGCAAACGGCCCACCCCACTCTGTGGTACCATTTTCACTTGTGGGGGCCTTCAGAGAGAGGCACAGGCAGCCTGCTCCAAAGCCTGGGGCTTAACAACCTGCCTGGTATAGCCCCAGGGTCTTCTGAGATGGAAGAGACCTCTTTGGGAGGCTCCAAACCATCTACCCGCTTCTCCCCTCTGCCTACCTCAACATACCCCTTTGTCTCTGCTGCCTGCCCACACCACACTGAGGCCCCGTTCGTGCTATGGGGGCCTTCTGAGAGAGTCACAGGCACCCTGATCCAAAGCATGAAGCTTTACAGCTCTCCCGGGAGAACCCTGGGGCTTCTGGGGTGGGAGAGGCCTCCTTGGGAGGCTCCCAGCATTTTCTGTGGTCTCACCGCTTCTTCCCTCTACCACCCTTAAAGTCCCCCTGAGTCCCAGCGGCCCTCCCACGCCATTCTGTGTCCCCGTTTTCTCTTGTGGATGCCTTCCACGAGAGACAGTCACCCTCCTCTTTAAAGCCTGGGGCTTTACATCCCGTGCAAGACAGCCTACGGGCTTCTAAAATGGGAAAGGCCTTCATGGGAGGCTCCCAACAATTCCTGCCATCTCGCTGCTTCAACCCTCTGCCTGCCTCAATGTACCCCTGACCCTGCCGCCTGCCCATGCCATCCTGCATCCCCGTTTTTGCTTGTAGGGGCCTTCCATGAGAGATACAGACACCATGTTCCAAAGCCTGGGGCTTTACATCCCACCGGGGATAGCTCTGTGGGCTTCTGGGATGAAAGAGGCCTCCTTGGGAGGCTCTTAGCATTCTCTGCAATCCTCCTGCTTCTCCCGTCTGCTTACCTCAAAGACCCGCTGAGTCTCTGCCGCCCGCGCAAGCTACCCTGCCTCCCCGTTTTTGCTTGTGGGGGCCTTCCAAAAAAATACACAAACACCCTGCCCCATAGCCTGGGGCTTTATAGCCTACCCGGGAGCGGTGGGAGCTTCTGGTATGGGAGATGCTGGCTAGGGAGGCTCCCAGCATTCCATGCAGTCTTCCTGCTTCTTCTGTCTGCCTGCCTCAAAGTCCCCCTAAGTCCATGCGGCCCGCCAACGCCACCCTATGGCTCTGTTTTCGCTTCTGGTGGCCTTCTGCGATAGACACAAACACCCTGCTCCAATGCCTGGGACTTTACGGCCTGCCCAAGACAGCCCTGGGGGCTTCTGGAATGGGAGAGGCCTCCTGGGCAGGCTCCCAGGTTTCCCTGGGGTCTTGCCGCTTCTCCCTCCTACCTGCCTCAACATCCCCCTGAGTCACTTCGGCCAGAGCATGCCACCGTGCCATTCCATTTTTGCTTGTGGGGGACTTCCGCGAAAGACACGGGCACCTTGCCCCAATGCCTGAAGCTTTACAGCCCACCCTACCCCTGCTCGGGGCAGCTCTGGGGCTTCTGAGATGGGAGAGGCCTCCTTGGGAGGCTCCCAGATTTCCCTGTGGCCTCGCCACTTCTCCCCTCTGCCTGCCACAACGTCCCCCTGAGTGCCAAGGGCCCGCCCATGCCACCTTGTAGCCCAATTTTCGTTTGTGGGATCTCCCGCGAGAGACACACACATCCTTCTCCAAAGCCTGAAACTTTAAAGGCTCCCCGCGACAGTTCTGTGGGCTTCTGGGATGGTAGAGTGGTCTTTTGGAGGCTCCTAGCATTCCCTGCACTCTCACCACTTCTCTCCTCTGCCTGCCTTAACGTCCCTGAGTCTCTTTGCCCTGCTCATGCCACCCTGTAGACCCATTTTCGCTTGTGGGGGCCTACCTCGAGATACATAGGCACCCTACTCCAGAGCTTGGGGGTTTACATCCTGCCCAGAACAGCCCTGGGAAATTCTGGGACGGGAGAGGCCTCCTTGGGAGGCTCCCAGCATTCCCTGCAGTCTCACAGCTTCTACCCTCTGCCTGCCTCAATGTACCCTTGAGTCTCTGCCGCCTGCCCATGCTAACCCACAGCCCCATTTTCACTTGTGGGGGTTTCCGCGAGGGACACAGGCACCCTGCTCCAAAGCCTGGGGCTTTTCAACCAGCTTGGAACAGCCCTGGGGGTTTCTAGGATGGGAGAGGCTTCCTTGGGTGGTTCCCAGCATTCCCTGTGGTCTCGCTCCTTCTCCCCTCTGCCTGCCTTAACATTTCCTTAGATCTGTACCAACCGCCCACACCAAACTGTGGCCCAGCTTTTTATTCTGGGGACCTTTCAAGAGAGATAAAGGCACCCTGCTCCGAAGCCTATGGCATTGCAGCCCACCAGAAAGAGCCCTTGGGTCTTCTGGGATGGGTGAGTCATCCTTCGGGGGCTGCCAGCATTCCCTGTAGTCTTGCCGCTTCTCCCCTCTGAATGCCTCCACATCCACCTGAGTCCCTGTGGCCCGCCCACGCCATGCTGTGTCCCCGTTTTCGTTTGTGGGGCCCTTCCGCTAAAAACAGTAAGAAACTACTCCAAAGCCTGGGGCTTTACAGCCTGCCTGGGACAGCCTTGGGGACTTATGGGATGGGAGGGGCCTCCTTGGGAGGCTCCCAGCACTCCCTGCTTTCTTGCTGCTTCTCCCCTCGGCCTTCCTCAACGTCCCGCTGAGTCCCCATGACCCGCCCACGCCACCCTGCTACCCCGTTTTCGCTTGTCAGGGCCTTCCGCCAGAGACACAGTCACCCTGCTCCAAAGCCTGGGGCTTTACACCAAGTCCGGGACAGCCCTGAGGGCTTCGGGGATGGGAGAGGCCTCCTTTGGAGGCTCTTAGCATTCTCTGCTCTCTCGCTGCTTTCCCCCTCTGCCTGCCTCAACATCCCCCTGAGTCCCTGTGGCCGGCTGATGCCACCCTGAGGCCCCGTTTTCGCTTAAGGCGTCCTTCGGTGAGAGACACAGACACACCGCTCCAAAGCCTATGGCTTTACAGCCCACCTGAAACAGCCCTAGGGACATCTGGAATGGGAGAGGTGTCCTTAGGAGGCTCCTAGCATTCCATGCGGTCTTGCCACTTTTTTTTTTCTGCGTGGCTCAACCTCCTCCTGAGTCCCTGGGGCCTGCACACGCCACCCTGTGGCCACGTTTTTGCTTGTGGCGGCCTTCTGCAAGAAACACAGGCATGCTGCTCCAAAGCCTGGGACTTTACAGCCTGCCTGGAACAGCCTGGGGGCTTCTGTGATGGGAGATGCCTCCTTAGGCTCCCAGCATTCCCTGTGGTCTCTAAGATTCTCCCCTCTGCCTGCCTCAATTTTCCCTGAGTCCCAATGATGCACTCACTCCACCCTGCATCCCTGTTTTCCTTTGGGCGGGCCTTCCACCAGGGATGCAGGCACACTGCTTCAAAGCCTGGGGCTTTACAACCCTCCTGTAGAGCCCTGAGGGCTTCAGGGATGGGAAATGCCTTTTGGGGAGGCTTCAAGCATTCCCTGCAATCTTGCCGCTTCTCTCCTCTGCCTGCTGCAATGTCCCCCTCAGTCCCTGTGACCTGCCCATGCCACCCCGCAGCCCAATTTTTGCTTGTGGCGGCCTTCCGCGAGAGACCCAGGCAAACTGCTCCAAAGCTTGGGGCTTTACAGCCTGCTCAGGAGAGCCCTGGGCATTTCATGGATGGAAGAGGGCTCCTTGGGAGGCTGCCAGCACTGTCTGCGGTCTTGCTGTTTTTCCCATCTGCCTGCCTCAATGTAGCCCTGAGCCCCTGAAGCCCCCTCGTGCCATCCTGCGGCCCCATTTTTGCTTGTTGGGGACTTCTGCGAAAGCCACAAGCACCCTGTTCCAAAGTCTGGGACTTTACAGCCCACACGGGACAGCTCTGAGGGCTTCTAAAATGGGAGAGATTTTCTTGGGTGGCTCCCAGCATTGCCTGCGTTCTCTCTGCTTCTCCCCTCTGCCTGCCTCAATATTCCCTGGAGTCCCTGTGGCCCGCCCACACCACCCTGCGACTGCTTATTCACTTGTGGGGGCCTTCCGCAAAAGATATAATCACCCTGTTCCAAAGCCTGGGGCTTTACAGCCTGCGAGAGACACCCTGGGGACTTTTGAAAAAGTGAGGCCTCTTTGGGAGGCTCACAGTATTCCCTGTGGTCTTGCTGCTTCACCCCTCTGCCTGCCTCATTATCCACCTGAGTATCTTGGGCCCACCCAGGTCACCCTGTGACCCGGTAGGTCTTCGCTTGTGGTGGCCTTCCCCAAGAGACGCAGGCACCCTGATCCAAGGCCTGAGGGTTTACAGCCTGTTCGCAACAGCCCTGGGGCTTCTGGGATCAGAGAGGCCTCCTTAGGAGGCTCCCAGCATTCCTTGCTGTTTCCCTGCTTCTCCCCTCTGCCAGGCTCAACATTCCCTTGAGTCCATGTGGCCTGCCCTCGGCACCATTCGGCCCCGTTTTTGCATGTGTGGGCCTTCTGCGAGAGACACAGGCATGCTGGTCCAAAGCATGGGGTATTACAGCCTGCCTGGGACAGCCCTGGGGGTTTCTGGATGGAAGACATATCCTTGGGAGGCTCCCAGCATTCCCTGCGGTCTTACCACTTCTCCCCTTTGTCTACCTCAACATTTCCCTGAGTCCCTGTGACCCCCTCACGCAACCTGCAGCCCCGTTTTCACTTGTGGCGGCCTTCCCCGAGAGACACAGACACCCTGGTCCAAAGCCTGGGGTTTACAGCTTTCTCAGGACGGCCCTGGGGCATTCTGGGATGAGAGAGGCCTCCTTGGGAGGCCGCTGACACTCGCTGCAATCTCACGGCTTCTCCCCTCTGCCTGCCTCAATGTCTTTCTGAGTCCCTGCAGCCCGCTCATACCACCCTGCTGCCCTGCTTTCCCTTGTGGGGGCCTTTTGCGAGAGACACAGGCACCCTGCTCCAAAGCCTGGAAGTTTACAGCCCGCCCAGGACAGTCCTGAGGGATTCTGGTATGAGAGAGTCATCCTTGGGAGGCTTTCAGCATTCCCTGAGGTCTCAATGCTTCCCTCCTCGGCCTGCCTCAACCTTCCCCTGAGTACCTGTGGCTCTCCCATGCCCCCGTGTAGCCCCATTTACTTTTGTGGGGTCCTTCCACGAGAGACACAAGCACCCTGCTCCAAAACCTCTGACCTTACAACCTGCCCAGGACAAACCTGGGGGCTTGTGGGATGGGGGAGGCCTCTTTGGGAGGCTCCTGGCATTCCCTGTTGTCTCGCCACTTCTCCCCCTACCTCCCAGAACATCTGCATAGTCTCTGCGGTTTGCCCACGCCCCCCTGCGAACCCGTTTTCACTTGTCAAGGGGTTCTGCGAAAGACACAGGAACCCCGCTCCAAAGCCTTGGGCTTTAGAGCCTGCCCAAAATAGCTCTGGGGGCTTCTGAGATGGAAGAGGCCTCTTTTGGAGGCTCCCAACAATCGCTGTGGTCTCATTGCTTCTCCCCTCTGCCTGCTGCAATGTCCCACTGAGTTACTGCGGCCTGCCCATGCTAACCTGCGGCCCTGGTTTTGCTTCCAGGGTATTCTGTGAGAGACACAGGAACCCTACTCCAAAGCCTGGGGCTTTACAGTCCACCTGGGACAGCCCTTGAGGCTTCTGGGATGAAAGCAGACCTTTTTCATAGGCTCCTAGCATTCCCCACTGTCTTGCCGCTTCTCCCCACTGCCTGCCTCAACGTCCCCCTGAGTTACTTTTTCCTACTGAAGCCATTCTACAGCCAAACCTTTGCTTGTGGGGGCCTTCCACGAAAGACACTTGCACCCTGCTCCAAAGCCTGAACCTTTACATCACACCCAGGACAGCTTTGGGGGCTTTTGTTATGGGAAAGGGGAACTTGGAGGCTCCCAGCATTTCCTGCAGTCTTGTCCCTTCTCCCCTCTGCCTTCCTGATCATACCAATGAGTACCTGCGGTCCGCCAATGCCATGCTGTGACCCCTTTTTCGCTTCTAGGAGCCTTTCCCGAGAGACACTGACAACCTGCTCCAAAGCCTGGGGCTTTACAGCCTGCCTGGAATAGCACTGGGGACTCCTGGGATGGGAGAGGCCTCCTTGGGAGGCTGCCAGCATTCCCTATGATCTCGCTGCTTCTCCCCTCGGCCTGCCTCAATGTTCCCCTGAGTCCCTACGACCCGCCCAGGCCACCGTGCAGCCCTGTTTTCACTTGACGGGGCCTTCCCCAAGAGACAGAGTCACCCTGCTCCAAAGCCTGGGGCTTTACCCAATGCCCAGGACAGCCCAGGGGGATGGGATTCTGGGATGGAACGGGCCTCCTTTGCAGGTTCCCATCACTCCCTGCAGTCTCGCCACTACTCCCATCAGCCTGCCTCAATATCCCCCTGAGTCCTGGAGGCCCTCCCAAGCCAACCTGCGGTCCTCTTTTGCTTGTGGGGGCCTTCCACGAGAGACACAGACACGCTGCTCCCAACCTTGGAACATTACAACTTGCCCCAGACAACTCTGGGGTCTTCTTGGATGAAAGAGGCTGCCTTGGAAGGCTCCCGGCATTCCCTGTTGTTTCACCACTTATCCCCTCTGCCTTTCACAATGTCTCCATGAGTCCCTGCGGCCAGCCCACGCCAATTTGTGGTCCCGTTTTCACTTGTCAGGGCGTTCCACGAAAGACACAGGCAACCCACTCCAAATCCTGGGGCTTTACAGCCCGCCAGGACCAGCCCTGGGGGCTTCTGTGATAGAAGCCTCTTTGGAAGGCTCCCAACATTCCCTGCATTCTCGCCGCTTTTCCCCTCTGCCTGCCTCAATGTGCCACTGAGTCCCTGAGGACTGCAGATGCCACCCTGCGTCCCCATTTTGGCTTGCGAGGGCCTTCTGTGAAAGACACTGGCACCCTCCTCGAAAGACTGGGACTTTAAAGCCCACCCAGGTAAGCCCAGGGGGCTTCTGGGATGGGAGAGGCCTCCTTGGGAGGCTCCCAGCACTCCCAGTGATCTCGCCGCTTCTCCCCTCTGCCTGATTTAACATCTCCCTGAGTCCCTGCGGCCCGCCAATGCCACTTTGCGGCTCCGTTTTCGCTTGTGGGATCATTCCTTGAGAGACACAGGCACCCTGCTCCAAATCCTGTGGCTTTACAGCCCGCTCGGGACAGCCCTGGTGGCATCTGGGATGAAAGAGGCCTCCTTGGGAAGCTCCCAGCATTCCCTGCGGTCTCACCACTTCTCCCCTCTGCATGCCTCAACGTCCCCATGAGACCCTGTGGCCCAACCACGCCACCCTGCCTCCCAGTTTTCACTCGTGGGGGCCATTCACAACAGACACAGGCTCCGTACTCTAAAGCCTGGGGCTTTACATCTGACCCGGAAAAGCCCTGGGGGGTTTTGGGATGACAGAGGCCTTTTTGGAAGGCTCCCAGTATTCCCCGTGGTCTCACCGCTTCTTCCTTCTGCCAGATTCAACGTCTTCCTGAGTCACTGCTGCAACCCCATGCCACCCTGCAGCCCCTTTTTCCCACATGGGGGCCTTTCACGAGAGACACAGGCTGTCTGCTACAAAGCCTGGGGCTTTAGAGCACTCCGCAGACAGCACTGGGGACTTCTGGAATGGGAAAGGCCTCCTTGGAATGCTCTCAGCATTCCCTGCAGTCTATATGCTTCTTTCCTCTCCCTGGCTCAATGTCCCACTGAGGCTCTGCTGCCTGCCCACGCTACCCTATGGCTTCGTTTTCACTACTGGGGGCCTTCCGCTGGAGACACAGGCATCCTGCTTCAAAACCTCAAGCTTTACATCAGCCGGGGGCAGTCCTGCGGCTTCACGGATGGGACACCTTTTTAGGATGCTCCCAGCATTCCCTGTTGTCTCGCAGAAACTCTCCTCTGCCTGCCTCATCATCAACTGAGTCCCTGCCAGCCACTCACGCCACCCTGCGGCCACGTTTTTGCTTGTGAGGTTCTTTTTTGAGAGGCGCTGGCACCCTGCTCCAAAGCCTGGGGCTTTAAACCTGCCTGGGACAGCCCTGGGGGCTTCGTGGATAAGAGGCCTTTTTGGCAGGCTCCCTGCATTCCCTGTGGTCTCGCCACTTATTCCCTCTGCCTGCCTCAATGTCTCCCTGAGTTCCTGCAGCCCTCTCATGCCATCCAGATGCCCCATTGTTTCTTCTGCCATCTTCCACGAGAGACACAGGCACCCTGCTCCAAAGCCTGGGGCATTACAGCTTGTGCAGGACAGTCGTGGGGGTTTCTGGTATGGGAGAGGCCTTTTTGGAGGCCTCCAGCATTTCCTGCAGTCTCACCAGTTCTCCTCTCTGCCTGACTCAACATCCACCTGAGTCTCTGCCACCCGTCCACTTCTGCCTTGGGCCCTGTTTTTGCTTGTGGGGGCCTGTGGCAAGAGACACAAGCACATTGCTCCAAAGCCTGGGGCTTTACAGCTTACCAGGGACAGACCTGGGGGCTTTGGGTTGGGAGAGGACTCCTTGGCAGGTCCCTAGCATTCCTTTCAGTCTCGCCACTTCTCCTCTCTCCCTGCTGCAATGTTTCCCTGAGTTTCTGTGGCCTGCCAGCAGAAATTTAAAATAATAATAATAATAATAATAATAATAATAATAATAACTGTATTTATTCACTCCAAAAAAGTAAAACCTATGGCCAAGAATGTGGCAAGGCAAGGGTTAAAAAGAAAAGAACCAATGTTCCTCTGCCTAGCAGCTCACTTCAAGGACAGTTAGAAGATAATGCTGTCTGAATAGCCAAGGCCAAAGGAATGGGCTGCAGACAACCCCCTCCCTTGCAGAGCAAGGTTGAAGAAAAAAAAGAGAAAGAGAGGTTATTTTACTACTACTCTTTTCCCAGGCTTCTTAAGCATGATTGGCATGATTATGTTTTACAAATGTCTGTATTTAGCCAGTTCTTGTTTTTCTTTTAATGCAGCTACAAGGCCACTACCTAGGTCAAAAATTATGTCATGCTATAGATTACGTGAACTGTTACTGTATGATTAACTGCTTTTATTTTATTTTATTTTATTTTGCTACTGCTTTTATTTTGCTTCTGTAAGGCCGCTTATAAAAACCCCGCTCTGTCTTTGTTCAATGTTCAGCTTTTGGATGTGAATCCTCTGAGCCAGTGTGTACCAAAAATAAATAAATCTTCCTGTACTCCGTATTGGTATCTCCGTTCTCAGTTTACCGCATTTTTGGCAACCACTAAGGGACCAGAGATGGTAGGCTTACTGTCTTCTTTGCCTCTGGAGGCTGGAGCACGGGTCTCGGGAAACCTGTGACCCCAGGTGCTGCCAGGAGAAGGTCAGCCCGGAGGGGAGATCAGCTCTCCCGTGACCCAGAGCCCCTACCCAGCAGCCCAACGGAACCTAAAGAGGGGCTACAGCACGATTTCAGAAACAGAACGCTTCAGAAACCACGTTAAGGTTTGGGGGCCCAAGACAGGACCCGTCCCCTTGGAGAGAAGGGTAGCCTGATTACCTCCCAGAGTGTGCTGGATAGACGGACCCAGAGGGGCTTGGGGCGATGGGAGTGGCTCATCAATTTGGATGAAACTCACACCCCAGCGACCCAGAATGCTAGAGTGGCTCGCTAAGTCAGCTAGGAATCTGAAGGTGGCGAGAGTGGCTCACCACCCCAAGTGGGAACTAGAGGTGGCAAGAGTGGCTTGCCACCCCAACTGTGAAACTAGAGAGGGCAAAAGTGGTTTCCAACCCAATTACGAGCTTGGGAACTCAAAGTGTGTGAAAGTGTGTGAATGGACGAGCCTAATTAGTCTCATCAGCTGCGAAGTGGGGAGTCACAGATCTAGCATGGACTGTGTGCTCTGAGAAGCTGTGCAGCCAAATAAGAATAGTGGTGATCTGCATATGGGTAGTACGAGCTGCCCTACAGCTCAAAGTTGTAGTGGGAATAAGGACCTCTCCAAAGCCAAGCAGCATCTGAGAACTCCCATAATAGGAGACGGTGTAGTCAGCCAAAATGATAGGAAGAGTGAGTGTGCAAGAGTGAATGTGCTGTGTCGTAAAGGGAGGAATGGGAGGAAAGTCATCAAAATATCAAAACTTACTCTAACGGCGTGCATGTTACAGAACTTTAAGAAAGGTTTTGCAGCAGATTATAGAGTTAAGTTAACCCCCCAGTCAAGTTAAGTTACCAGGCCCAGTCAAGCGGTCCGTCTCAGATGTGGCCATGCTCAAGCTATGCAAATGCATCTCAGGGAGATGTGAGGACCTATCTATTATGATGACCAGGATCCCAACAGGGACCCAGAGGATGCAACTCAGCTTCAGCATTTGCAGAGGTACTGAGAGGCACTTCTGCAGGGGCTGAGAGTTGGTAGAAGGAAAGCAATTAATTCTAACTCTGTGAATTAGAATTGCCCTCTTTTGGTGTTGGACGGCCGACCAAAGGAACTATAGTCAGGAAACAATGAGCCAATGGGCCATGTATTTAGGGTGGTGACAGGGGTTGGAGGACAGCCAGTGTACCCAGATCAAATTCCTTTATATTGACTCATGGTGAAATATAATATAGACAAAACCAGCATAGACCCAGCCCTGTTTAACGGCCTATTGCAAAAAAAAAAAAAAAGCCAAAAGTGAAAGTATGAACACCTTTGTGGGCAGACAGAGTTAAAAGGGGGAATCCCAGAGACAGCAAGAGAAGCCAGTTTTGCAGGAGTCTCCAGAGGTAACAGAAATTCTCACTCCATATATTCCAGCCTACTGTCCCCTTTACTGAGGCCAACAGCCCCCAAGGAACCAGATTTAGAAGCTAACAAGCCCCAGGTCTCACCTTGAAGGGGAGGATCAGAGCCTCGAGAGACCAGGGAAGGAAGTCAAGATAGTCAAGTGGGCCTTCTCAGATCTGGCCGTGCTCGAGCTATGCAAATGCCTCTCAGGGATATGCGAGGACCTATCTATTATGAGGACCAGGATCCCAACAGGGACCCGGAGGATGCAACTCAGCTTCAGCATTTGCAGAGGTACCGAGAGGCACTTCTGCAGGGGCTAAGAGTTGGTAGAAGGAAAACAATTAATATAAGGAAGATTTCAGAAGTGCTTCAAGAAGCTGATGAGAGCCTAAGTCAGTTTTATGAGAGACTCTGTGAAGCATTCTGGCTTTACACCCCATCTAACTCTGAGGCTGCTGAACATCAGTGTATGGTAAATACTTCATTTGTAAAGCAAGCCCAGGGTGACATCAAGCAGAAGCTGCAGGCATGGATACCACCCAGTCTATAAAAGTGGCCACCAAGGTGTGTGTTAACTGTGACCTGGGAACAAAACGGGAAAGAGGAAAAGCAACCAACACAGCAGCTTTGCACGCCAAGGATTAAGTCCCTCTCCCCAGCCCTGTTGTATCTGGAAGAAGAGGGGGCCGAGGATGGGCGCTACGAGAAAAGCAAAAGAGAAGGAAAGGAGAAAGTAAGAGTAAGTGTGAGAAGGGAAAGAAGAAAGTAAAAGAGAAATCAGAAAAAAACAGAAGAGACAGATGCCAGCACACGCGGGCAGAACCCATGTTGTTGTCCGTCCCCTCCAGCTGGTTTCAGGAGCAGGAGAACTCAGGAAAGGAAAGGAAAGTAAATTGAAGGCTTAAGAAACAGTCCAATCTGTTGGCAATAGCTCTTATACAAAGAGAGATTAGCAATGTGAGAGGACGTGGATGTGGACGTAGACGTGGACGAAGTCAAGTTAGGCAGGGATTCAAGAGCAAGACAAGGCTCCAGACACCCCCTCCCTTCCAGATCAAGGAAAAAAAAAAAGAAAAAGACAAGTTCTTTTACTGTTACTCTTTTCCCAGGCTTCTTAAGCATGATTATGTTTTACAAATATCTGTATTTAGCCAGTTTTTGTGATTAACTGCTTTTATTTTGTTACTGCTTTTATTTTGCTTCTGTAAGGCCACTTATAAAAACCCTGCTCTGTCCTTCTTCAATGCTCAGGTTCAGGATGTGAATTCTCTGAAACGGTGCATACTAAAATAAACAAATCCTTCCATACTCCGTATTGGTCTGTCCGTTCCTCAGTTTAACACCACATGCCCATGAAATCCTGCAGCCCCTTTGTCTCTTTTGGTGGTCCTCCTCGAGAGACACAGGCACCCTGTTCCAAAGCCTGGGGATTTACAGCCTGCTAGGGACAGTCCTGGGGGCTTCTGGAATGCGAGAGTTTTTGGGAGGCTCCCAGAATTCCCTGCGGTTTCATCGCTTCTCCCCTCCGCCTGACTCAATGTTCCCCTGAGTCCCTGTGGCCCGCCCAGGCCATCCTGCAGGCCTGTTTTAGTTTGTAGGGGCCTTTTGCGAAAGACACAGGCATCCTACTCCAAAGCCTGGGGCGTTACAACCAGGCCGGGACACACCTGGGGGCTTCTGGGATGGGAGAGGCATCCTTGGAAGGCTCCTTGCCACCCTGCCACCATGTTGTTTCTTTTGGGGGTCTTCCGCGAGAGACACAGGCAACCTGCTTTTAAGCCTGGAGCATTACAACATGTTCGAGACAGGCCTGGGGCTTCTGTGATAGGAGAGGCCTTTTTGGGAGGCTCACACCATACCCCACTCTGTCGCCGCTTCTCCCCTCTGCCTGACTCAATGTCCCCCTGAGTCCCTGTGGCCAGCCCACGCCACCCTGCGGCCTTGTTTTCTCTTTTGGGGGCCTTTTGCAAGAGACAGAGGCACACTCCTCCAAAGCCTGGGGCTTTCCAGCCCACCTGGGACAGTTTTGGGTGCATCTGGGATGGCAGAGACCTCCTTGGGAGGATCCCAGCATTTCCTGCAGTCCTGCCACTTCTCCTTTCTGCCTGCGACAATGTCACCCTGAGTCACTGTGGCCTGCCCACGCCACCCTGCGGGCCCGTTTTGCCTGTGGGGGCCCTCCGCGAGAGACACAGGCACCCTGTTCCAACGGTTGGGGCTTTACAGCCGAACCCAAACAGCTCTGGGTGCTTTTTGGATCATAGAGTCCTTTTGGGCGGCTCCCAGCATTCCCTGCGGTCTCGCCGCTTCTCCTCTTCTGCCTGCCTCAATGTCCCCTGAGTCCCTGCTGCCTGCTTACGCCACCCTGTGGCCCCGTTTTCGCTTGTGAGGGCCTTCTGCGTGAGACACAGGCACACGGATGCAAAGCCTGGAGACTTACAGCCCGCCCAGGAGAGGCCGGGGGGCTTCTGAAATGGGAGAGGCCTTTTGCAGAGGCTACCAGCATTCCCTGCGGTTTCACCAATTCTCCTGTCTGCATGCCTCAATGTCTCCGTAGTCCCTCCGGCCCGCCCACGCCACCCTGCGGCCCCCTTTTCTTTTGTGGGGGCCTTTCGCGAGATACACAGACTCCCTGCTTCAAAGCCTGGGGAGCATTCTGGGATAAAAGAGTCTTCTTGGGTGGCTTCCAGCATTTCCTGTGGTCTCTTCGCTTCTTCTCTCTACCTGCCTCAACGTCCTGTTGAATTCCTGTGTCCGGCCCATGCCACCCTGTGGCCCAGATTTTGCTTGTGGAGGCCTTCCTCTAGAGACACAGGCACCCTGTTCCAAAGCCTGGTGGTTTACAGCCCGCCTGGGACAATCCTGGGTGCTTCTGGGATCAGAGAGGTCTCATTGGGAGGCTCCCAGCATTCCCTGCGGTATCACCACGTCTCCCGTCTGCCTGCCTCAACATCTCCCTGAGTCTCTGCAGCCCGCCCACGTCACCCTACAGCCCGTTTTTGCTTGTGGGGAATGCCGTGAGAGACACAGGCAACCTGCTCCAAAGCATTGGGCTTTACAGTAGGCTCAGGACAGCACTGGTGACTCCTGGAATGGGAGAGGCCTCCTTGGGATGCTCCCAAAATTTCTTGTGGTCTTCACACCTCTCCCCTCTGCCAGGCTCAACGTCCCGCTAAGTCCTTGCAAATCGCCAACACCACCCTACTGTCCCATTTTCGCTAGGGGGGGCCTTCTGCTAAAGACAACCTGCTTCAAAACCTGAAGCTTTACCTCATGCCCGAGACAGTCCTGAGGGCTTCTGGGATGGAAGAGGCCTCCTTGGGAGGCTCCCTGCATTTTCTGAGGCTTTGCCGCTTCTCCCTTCTGCCTGCCTCAGCATCCCCCTGAGTCCCTTTGGCCTGCTCACGCCACTTTATTGTCCCGTTGTCTCTTTTGAAGCTCTTCTGAGAGAGACACAGGCACCCCGCTCCAAAGCCTTGAGCATTACAACACGTCTGAGACAGCCCTGGGGGCTTCTGTGATGGGATAGGCCTCCTTGGGAGGCTCCCAGCATTTTCTGCGGTGTCGCCGCTTCTCCCCTCTGCCTGCCACAACATTCCCCTGTGTCCCTGCATCCCGCTTATGCTACTCTGCGGCCCGCCCACGCCACCCTGATACCGTTTTTGCTTGTGGTGGCATTTTCCTAGAGACACAGGCACCCTGCTCCAAAGCCTGGGGCTTTAAACCCTGCCTGGGTCAGTCCTGGGGTCTTCTCTGATGGGAGAGGCCTATTTGGAAGGCTCTCAGCATTCCCTGGGATCTCGCTGCTTCCCCCCTCTGCCTACCTTAACCTCAACCTGAGTCCCTGCTGCCCACTCCCGCTACCGAGCAGCCCCGTTTTCTCTTTTGGGGACCTTCTGTGAGAGACACAGGCACCCTGCACCGAAGCCTGGGGCTTTCCAGCCTGCCCGGGACACCCCTGGGTGCAGGGAGTGTTCTGGGGTGGGAGAGACCTCCGTGGGATGCTCCCAGTATTCCCTGTGGTCTTGCCACATCTCCATTCTGTCTGCCACAACGTCCCCCTGAGTCTCTGCTGCTCGCCCACGCCACCCTTCAGCCCCATTTTTGCTTGTGGGTGCTTTCCACGAGAGATACAGGCACCCGGCTAGAAAGATGTGGGCTTTAGAGCAGGCCCGGGACAGTCCTGGGGCTTCTGGGATGGGAGAGGCCTCCTTGGGATGCTCCCAGCATTCTCTGTGTTCTTGATGCTTTACCCCTCTGCCTGGATCAACGTCCCCCTGAGTCCCTGCGGCCTGCCCAGGCCACCCTGCGCACCTGGTTTCCCTTGTGGAGGCCTTATGCGGGAGACACAGGCACCCTGCTCCAAAGCCTGGGTCATTACAGCAAGTTCGGGACAGACCTGGGGGCTTCTGGAATTGGAGAGACCTCCTTGGGAGGCTCCCTGCATTCCCTGCGGCCTGGCTGCTTCTCCCTTCTGTCTGCCTCAATGTCTCCTTGAGTCCTTTCAGCCCTCTCACGCCACCCTGCCGCCCTGTTGTTTCATTTGGGGGTATTCTGCAATAGACACTGGCACCCTGTTTTAAAGCCTAAGGCATTACAGCTCGTCTGAGACAGTCCTGGGGGCTTCTGTGATGAAAGAGGTCTCCTAGGGAGGCACCCAGCATTCCCTGCAGTCTTTTCCCTTTTCCCTCGGCCTCACTCAACATCTCCCTGACTCTCAGCAACCCGCCCGCGCCATGCTGCCGTTCCGATGTCTTTTTTAGGGGTCTTTGGCGAGAGACACCAGCACCCTGCTCCAAAGCCTGGGACTTTACAGCACATCCGAGATAGATCTAGGGGCTTCTGTGATGGGAGAGGTCTCCTTGGGAAGCTCCCAACATTGTCTACTGTCTCGATGTTTCTCCCCTCTGCCTGCCTCAATGTCCTCCAGAGTCCCTGCAGCCTGTTCACGCCATCCTGCGGCCCTCCCACGCGACCTTGGCGGTTTTGTTTTCGCTTGTGGGAGCCTTTTGTGAGAGACACAGGCATCCTTCTCCTTAGCCTGGGGCTTTGAAGGCCGCCAGGGACAGTCCTAGGGGCTTCTAGTATAGGAGGGGACTCCTTGGAAGGCTCCCAGCAATCACTGCAGTCTCACCACTTCCCCTGCTCTGCCTGCCTCAAAGTCACCCTGAGTCCCTGCCACCCGCCCACGTCACCCTGCGGCCCCGTTTTCACTTGTGGGGGCCTTCCGTGAGAGACACAGTCACCGTGCTTCGAAGCCTGGGGCTTTGTAGCACGCTGGGGATAGCCCTGGGGGCTTCTGGGATGGGAGAGGCCTTTTTGGTAGGGTACCAGTATTTCCTGCGTTCTAGCCAATTCTCCCCTCTGCCTGCAACAACGTCCCTCTGAGTCCTCGCGGCCATCCACACCACTCTGTGGCCCCGTTTTCATTTGTGGGAGTCTTTTGGGAGATACACAAGCACCCTGCTTCAAAGCCTGGGGCTTTACAGGTTGCCTGAAATAGCCCAGAAAGAGTTTGGGATGGGAGTGTCCTCTTGGGAATCTCCCAGAATTCCCTGTGGTCTCGCAACTTCTTCCCTCTGCCTACCTCAACATCCCCATGCATCTCTGCAGCCCGCCCATGCCACCCTGTGGCTCCTTTTTTGCTTTTGGCGGTCTTCCGTGAGAGTCACAAGCACCCTGGTCCAAAACCTGGTGTTTACAGCCTGCCCAGGACAACCCTGGGGGATTCTGGGATGGGAGAGGCCTTTTAAGGAGGCTCCCAGCGTTCCCTGCGGTCTCGCAGTGTCTTCTCTCTGCCTTCTTCAATGTACCCCTGAGTCTCTGTGGCGTGCCCAAGCCACCCTATTGCCCCATTTTCGCTTATGAGGGCTTGCTACAAGTGCCACAGGCACCCTGCTCCAAAGCCTTGGGCTTTACAGAAGGCCCAGGACAGCCCTGGGGGCTTCTGGGATGGGAGAGGCCTCCTTGGGATGCTCCCAGCATTCCCTGCTGTCTCGACACTTGTCCTCTCTGCCCGGCTCAATGTCCCCCTGAGTATTTGCGAGCCGCCCACCCCACCCTATGGCCCAATTATCGCTAGTAATTGCCCTTCCGCTAAAGACACAGGCACCCTTCTTCAAAACCTGAAGCATTACATCACACCCAGAACAGCTCTGGGGGTTTCTGGGATAGGAGAGGCCTCCTTGGGAGGCTCTTAGCATTCCCTACAGTCTCACTGCTTCTCCCCTCCACCTGCCTCAATGTCACATTGAGTCCCTGCCGCCCGCCCACCCCACCCTGAGGCCCTGTTTTTGCTTATGGAGGCCTTCCGCCAAAGCCACAGGCACCCTGCTCCAAAGCCTGGGGCATTACAGCCAGGCCAGGACAGCCCTGGGGGCTTCTGGGATGGGAGAGGCCTTCTTGGAAGTCTCCCTGCATTTTCTGTGGTCTTGTCGCTTCTCCCCTCTGCCTGCCTCAAAGTCCCCATGATTCCCTGTGGCCTGCCCATGCCACCTTGCCTCCCCGGTTTTGCTTGTGGAGGTCTTCTGCGAGATACACAGGCACCCTGCTCCAAAGCCTGGTGCTTTATAGCCCTCCCGGGACAGCCCTGGAGCTTCTGGGATGGGAGAGCCCCTATAGAGAGGCTCCCAGCATTCTCTGCTGTGTCACCACCTCTCCCTTCTGCCTGCCTCAACTTCTTGCTGAGACCCTGCGGCTTGCTCATGCCACTCTATGCCCCATTATTGCACGTGGGGGCTTCCCGCAAGAGACGCAGCCACTTTGTTCCAAAGCCTGGGACTTCATAGCCCGCCCGGGAGAATCCTGGGTGCTTCTGAGATGAAAGAGGCCCCCTTGGGAGGCTCCCAGCAATCCCTACCTTCCTGCTTCTTCTCTTCTCTGTCTACCTCAGCATCTCCCTGAGTCCCTGAGGCCTGCCCAGGCCACCCTACCGCCTCATTGTGTCTTTTGGGGTTCTTCTGCAAGAGGCACAGACACCCTGCTCTAAAGCCTGGGGAATTGCAGCCCATTAGAGACAGCCCTCAGGGCTTCTGGGATGGGAGAGGTGTACTTGGGAGGGTCCCAGCATTCCCTGCGGTCTCTTCTATTTTTCCCCTCTGCCTGCCTCAACATCCCCTGAGTCCCTGAGGCCCGCCCACACCACCCAGAGGCCCCATTTTCGCTAGTGGGGGCCTTTTGCTAAAGACACAAGCACCCTGCTTCAAAATCTGAAGTTTGTCAGAACGCCCGAGACAGTCCTAAGAACTTCTGGGATGGGAGAGAATTCCCTGGGTGGCTCCCATTATTCCCTGTGGTCTCGCCACTTTCCCCTTCTGCTTGCCTCAATGTCCCCGAGTCCCTGCCTCCCTCCCACGCTACGCTGCGGCCCCGTTTCCACTTGTGGGAGGCTTCTGCAAGAGACACAGGCACCCTGCTTTGAAGCCTGGGGCTCTCCAGCCTGCCTGGGAACCCCTGGGTGCTTCTTGGGTGGGAAAGGCTTCCTTGGGAGGCTTCCTGCATTCCCCGCGGTCTCACCGCTTCTTCCCTCTACCTGCCTCAATGGGTCCCTGAGTTTCTGCCACCAGCCCAAGCCACCCTGCTGCCCTGTTGTCTCTTTTAGGGGACTTCCGAGAGAGAAACAGGCACCTGCTCCAAAGCCTTGGGCATTACAGCCTCTCTGGGACAGCCCCAGATGCTTCAGGGACGGGAGAGCCCTCCTTGGGAGAATCCCAGCATTCCCTACGGCCTAGTGGTTTCTTCGCTTCTGCCTCCCTCGACTTCCCACTGAGTCCCTGCTGCTTGCCCATGCCAACCTGAGGCTCCAATTTCCCTCGTGAGGGCCTTCTGCGAGAGATACAGGCACACTGCTTTAAAGCATGGGGACTTACAGCCCGATTGGGACAGTCTTGCGGTCTTCTGAGATGGGATAGACTTTTTTTGGGAGGCTCCTAATATTCCCTGTGGTGTTGCTGGTTCTTGCGTCTGCCTGCCTTAAAGTCCCCGAGTCCCTGCGGCCCACCCATGCCACCCTGCAGCCCCGTTTTCATTTGTAGGAGACTTTTGGGAGATGCACAGGCACCCTGCTTCAAAACATGAAGCTTTACCGAATGCCTGGGACAGTCCTGGTGGCTTCTAGGATGGGAGAGGCCTTTTTGGCATGCTCTGAGCATTCCCTGTGGTCTCACCAGTTCTCTCGACCTCCTGCTTCAACTTCCCCGAGTCCCTGCCACCTGCCCATGCTACCCTGCGGCCCCATTTCTGCTTGTGAGAGCCTTCTGCGAGACACACAGGCACCCTGTTCCAAAGTCTGAGGCTTTACAGTCTGCCGGTAAAGCCCTGGGGGTGGCTGGGATGGAAGAGTCGTCATTGGGAGGCTCCCAGCATTCCCTGCGGTTTCGCCACTTCTCCTCTCCGCCTGCCTTAATGTTCCCCTGAGTCCCTGCGTCCCTTCCAGGCCACCGTGCGGACCCGTTTTCGTTTGTTGGGGCCTGTTGCGAGAGACACAGGCACCCTTCTCCAAAGACTGTGGCATGAAAGCCAGTCCGGGATACACCTGGGTGCTTCTGGGATCGGAGAGGCCTCCTTGAAAGGCTTCCAGCATTTCATGCGGTCTTGCTTCTCCCCTCGGCCTACCTCAACGTCTCCCTGAGTCTCTGTGGCCGGTCCGCACAACCTTGCCACCCTGTTGTCTCTTTTATGGGTATTCCACGAGAGACACAGGTACCCTTCCCCAAGTACTGGGGTATTACAGCCTGCCTAGGACAGCTGTTGTGGCTTCTGGGTTGGGAGAGGCCTCCTTAGGAGGCTCCCAGCATTCCCTGCTGTCTTGTCACTTCCCCCTTCTGCCTGCCTCAACATCACCGTGAGTTTCTACTGCCGCACATGCCACGCCGCCACCCCATTTTCGCTTGCGGGGGCCTTCCGTGAGAGACGCTGGCACCCTGCTCTGAAGCCTGGGGTTTTATAGCCAGCCTAGGACAGCCCTGGGGGCTTCTAGAATGGAAGCGGCCTCCTTGGGATATTCCCTGCATTCTCTGCGGTCTCACTGCTTCTCCCCTCTGCCTGCATCAATGTCTCCCTGAGTCCCTGTGGCCTGTCCTCACCACCCTGCTGCCCCATTGTCTTTTGGTGGTCTTCCGCGAATGACTCGGGGACTCTGCTCCAAAGCCTGTGATATTACAGAACATCCGAGACAGCCCTGGAGACTTCTGTGATGAGAGAGGCCTCCTTGGGAGGCTCTCAGCAATCCCTGCCATGTCACCGCTTCTTCCTTCTGCCTGTTTCAATTCCCTGAGTCCCTGCAGCCCACCCACAACAACCTGCAGCTCGCCTATGCCACCCTGCTTCCCTGTATTCACTTGTGGGTGATTTTTGTGAGACACAGGCACCCTGACCCAAAGCCTGGGGCTTTACAGCCCGCCCAGGACAGTCCTGGAAGCTTGCGGGATAGGAGAGACCTTCTTGGGAGGCTTTCAGCATTCCCAGCGGTCTTGCCGCTTTCCTCCTTGCCTGTCTCAATGTCACCCTGAGTCACTGCCACCCACCCATGCTACCCTGCGGCCACGTTTCCTTTGTGGGGGCCTTGCAGGAGAGACACACTCACCCTGCTCTGAAGCCTGGAGCTTTCTAGCCTGCCCAGGACACCCCTGGGGGATTCAGGGATGGAGAGGTCTCCTTGGGAGGCTCCCAGCATTCCCTGCAGTCTCGCCACTTCCTCCCTCTGTCTGCGTCAATGTCTCCCTGAGTCTCTGCGGCTTGTCCATGCCACCCTGCCACCCCCTTGTCTCTTTTGGGGGTCTTCCGTGAGAGACACAGGCACCCTGCTCCAAAGACTGGGGCATTACAGCTCAGCCGGGACAGCCTTGGGACCTTCTGGGATTAGAGAGTTCTCCTGGGAGGCTCCCAGAATTCCCTGCAGTCTCGCTGCTTCTTCCCTCTGCCTGCCTCAATGTCCCACTGAGTCCCTGAGGCCCTCACACGCCACCCTGTAGCCCCGTTTTTGCATGTGGGGGTTTTCTGCAAGAGACACAGGCTCCCTACTCCAAAGCCTGGGGCTTTATAACCCGCACGGGACAGCCCAGGGGCTTCTGGGATGGGAGAGGCCTCCTTGGGAGGCTCCCAGCATTCCCTGCGGTATCGCCACGTCTCCCTTTTGCCTGTCACAATGGCCTCCTGAGTCCCTGCGGCTTGTCCAGGCCACACTGCAGCCCCCTTTTCACTTGTGGGAGCCTTCTGCAAGAGACACAGACAGCCTGCTCCAAATCTTGGGGCTTTACAGCCCGCCCGGGACAGCCCAGGGGACTTCTAGGATGGGAGAGGTGTCCAGGGGAGGCTCCCAACATTCTCTGTGGTCTCACCGCATCTTCTCTCTGCATGCCTCAACGTCCCCGTGAATCCCTACGGCCCACTTTCGCCAATTTGAGGCCCCATTTTTCCTTATGGATGCCTTCCGCGAGAGATACAGGCACCCTGCTCCAGAGCCTGGTGCTTTACAGCCCGTCTGAGACAGCCAGGGGGCTTCTGGGATGCGAAGGGAGGGTCCCAGCATTCCGTGCGGTGTCGCCGCCTCTCCAGTCTGTCTTCCTCAACGTCCCCCTGGGTCACAGTGGCTTGCCCACTTTACCCTACGGCCTCATTTTCGCTTGTGGTGGCTTTTCTGGAGAGACACAGGCATCCTGCTCCAAAGCCTGGGGCTTTACAGCACTCCCGGGACAGCCGTGAGAGCTTCTGAGATGGGAGAGACTTCCTTGGGATGCTCCCAGCATTCCCTGCAGTCTCGACACTTCTCCCCTCTACATGGCTCAATGTCCCCCTGAGTCCTTGAGGCCCTCCCACACCACCCTACGACCCTGTTTTCACTAGTGGGGGCCTTCCTCTAGAGACACAGGCACACTGCTTCAAAACCTGAAGGTTTACACACGGCTGGGACTGTCCCCGTGGCTTCTGGGATGGAAGAGGCCTCCTTGAGAGGCTCCCAGCATTACCTGTGTCTCGCTGCTTCTCTTCTCTGCCTGCCTCAAGGTCACCCCGAGTCCCTGCCACATGCCCACACCACTCTGTGGCCCCGTTTTCACTTGTGGGGCCTTCTGCGAGAGACACAGGCACACTGCTACAAAGCCTGGGGCTTTTCAGCCAGCCTCGGAGAGACTTGGGTTCTGGGATGGGGTAGGCCTCCTTGGGAGGCTCCCAGTATTCCCTGCAGTCTCGCCCCTTCTCCCCTCTGCCTGCCCCCACATTCCCCTGAGTCTCTGCAGCTCGCCCAGGCCACACTGCAGCCCTGTTTTCGCTTTTGTGGCCTTTCACGAGAGACACAGGCTCCCTGCTACAAAGGCTGGAGCACTACAGCTTGTCTGGGGCAGACCTGGGTGCACTTGGGATTGGAGAGGCCAAATTTGGAGGGTCCCAGCGTTCCCTGCAGTCTCCATGCTTTTCCTGTCTGTCTGCCTCAATGTTCCCCTGAGTTCCCGTGGCCCGACCATGTCAACCTGCCAACCCATTGTCTCTTCTGGGGGTCTTCTGCAAGAGACACAGGCAACCTGCTCCAAAGCTTGTGGCATCACAGCTTGGCTGGGACAGCCCTGAGGACTTCTGGGATAAAAGAGGCGTCCTTGAGAGGCTCCCAGCAATCCCTGCAGTCTCTCTGCTTCTCACCTTTGCCTGCCTCAAAATCCCCCTTAGTCCCTGCGGCCTGCCTACACCATTGTGCACCCTGACTACTCCATTCTGCTGCTCTGTTTTCACTTGTTTGGGCCTTTTGTGAGAAACGCAAGCACCCTGCTCCAAAGCGCGAGGCTTTACAGCCCACCCGGGAAGGTCCTGGGGACTTCTGGAATGGGAGAGGCCTCCTTGGGAGCCTCCTAGCATTCCCTGCGGTCTTGCCGCTTCCCCCCTCTGCCAACCTCAACGTCACCCTGAGTCCCTGCCGCCTGCCCACGCCACTCTGCGGCCCAGTTTTCGCTTGTGGAGGCCTTCTGGTAAAGACACATGCACCCTGCTCTGTAGCCTAAAGCTTTATAGCCTCCCTGGAAACACGTGGGGGCTTCTGGGATGAGCAAGGCCTCCTTGCAAGGCTCACAGCATTCCCTGCCATCTCATCGCATCTTCCCTTTGCCTTCCCCAACTTCCCCTGAATCCCTGCATCCATCCCATGTCACCTTGTGGCCCCGTTTGTTCATATGAAGGTCTTCAGTGAGAGACACAGGCACCCTGCTCCAAAGACTGGTGCTTTAAAGCAGCCCCCGGGAGAGCTTTGCAGGCTTCTGGGATTGGAGAGGCGTCCTTCGGAGGATCGCAGCATTCCCTGCAGTCTTGCTGCTTCTCCCCTCTGTTGGTCTCAATGTCTCGCTGAGTCCGTGCGGGCTGCCAACGCCACCCTGCTGCCCCATTTTCACCTGTGGGAGCATTCCTCTACAGATACAGGCACCTTGTTTCAAAACCTGAAGCTTTACACCACGCCTGAAACAGTCCTGGGGGCTTCTGGGATGGGAAATGCTTCCTTGGGAGGCTACCAGCATTTCCTGCAATCTCGCCGCTTCTCCCCTCTGCCTGCCTCAACAACCACCTGAGTCCCTGTGGCCCGCCCACGCCACCTGTCGGCCCTGTTTTTGCTTCTGGGGGCCTTTCGAGAGAGCTACTGGCACCCTGCCCCAAAGTGTGGGGCTTTACAGCCCACCCGGGACAATCCTGGGGGTTTGTGGGATGAGAGAGGCATCCTTGGGCGTCTCCTAGCATTCCATGTGGTCTCAGCGCTTTCCCTTCTGCCTCCCTCAACCTTACCCTGAGTCCCTGCCACCCTCCCACGCCAACCTGCAGACCCGTTTTTGCTAGTAGGGGCCTTTAGCTAGAGACAGTCACTCTGCTTCAAAACCTGAAGCATTATAGCATGCCCAAAACAGTCCTGCAGGCTTCTGGCTCCTTGGCATGCTCCCAGAATTCCCTGCAGTATCGCCACTTCTCCCTTCTGCCTGCCTCAACGTTCCCCTGAGTCCCTGTGGCTAGCCCAGGCCACCCTGAGGCCCTGTTTTCCCTTGTGGAAGCCTTCCACAAGAGACCCAGGCACCCTGCTCCAAAGCCTGGGACACAATAGCCCATACGGGACAGACCTGGGGGCTTCTGGGATGTAAGAGGCCTAATTGGGAGGCTCCAAGCATTCCCTGCAGTCTTGCAGCTTCTACCTTCTGCCTTCCTCAATGTCTGAGTCCCTGCTGCATGCCCATGGCAACCAGCAACCCCGTTGTCTCCTTTGGGGGTATTCCACGACATATACAGGCACTCTTCTTCCAAGCCTGGGGCATTACAGCCCATCCGGGATAGATCTGGGCTCTTCTGAAATGTGGGAGGCCTCCTTGGGAGGCTCCCAGCATTCCCTGTGTTCTTGCCACTTCTACCCTCTGCCTTTCTCAACATCCTCCTCAGTTTCTGCCGCCCTCCCACGCCACACTGTGGCCTCCCTTGAGAGAAACAGGCTCCCTGCTCCAAGGTTTGGGGCTTTATAGCCCATCAGCGACAGACTTGGGGGCTTCTAAAATGTGAGAGGCCTCCTTGGGAGGCTTCAAGCATTTCCTGAGGTTTCACAGCTTCTCTTGTCTGCCTGCCTTAACATCCCCCTGAGCCCCTGCGGCCTGCCCATGCCACCCTGCAGCACTGTTTTCGCTTGTTTGGGCCTTTTGCGAGAGACACAGGCACCCTGCTTCAAATCCTGGGGTTTACAGCCCGTCCGGGACATTTCTGGGGGCTTCTAAAACAGGAGCCACATCCGTGGCAGACTCCCAGCATTCCCTGCAGTCTCGTCGCTCTCCACTCTGCCTGCGTCAAAGTCCCGCTGAGTACTTGAGGTCTGCCCACACCACCCTGTGGTCCCATTGCTTCTTTTGAGGGGTCCTCCCCGAGAGACACAGGCACCTTGCTCCCAAGCCTGGGGCTTTACAGCCCATACAAGACAGCCCTGGGGACTTCTGGGAAGAGGCATTTTTAGGAGGCTCCCAGCATTCCCTGCGGTTTAACCGCTTCTCCCTTCTGCCCACCTCAACGTCCCCCTGAGTCCTTGCGGCCCTTCCACTCCACCCTGTGGCCCCGGTTTGGTATGCGTGGGACTTCCACGAGAGACACAGGCTGCCTGCTCCAAAGCCTGGGGCTTACAACGCGCACGGGACGGCCCTGGGGACTTCGGGGAAGGGAGATGCCTCCTTAGGAGGCGGCCAGCATTCCCTGAGGTCTCCTCGCTTCTCCTCTCTGCCTGTCTCAACGTCCCCCAATACCCTGCGGCCCACCCACTCCACTCTGCGGCCCCGGTTTTGCTTGTGAAAGCAATCCGTGAGAGACACAGGCACCCTGCTTCAAAGCCTCGTGCTTTACAGCCTGCCTGGGAAAGTGCAGGTGGCTTCTGGGATAGGAGATGCCTCGAGGGGAGGCCCCCAGCATTCCCTTCAATCTCACAGCTTATTTTATCTGCCTGTCTCAACTTCCCAGTGAGTCTCTACAGCCTATCCTAGCCACTTTGTGGACCCGTTTTTGCTTGTGGAGGGCTTCCGTGAAAGACACAGCACCCTGCTCCAAAGCCTGGTGCTTTACAGCCCACCTGAGACAGCCCTGGGGGCTTCTGGAATGGAAGAGACCTTCTTGGGAGGCTCCCAGTTTTACCTGCAGTCTCGCCACTTCTCCCCTCTGCCTGCCTCGATGGTCCCCTGAGTCCCTGTGTCCCGCCCAAGCCATTCTGCTGCCCCATTTTCTCTTTTTGGGGTCTTCTATGAGAGACACAGGCACCCTGCTCCAAAGACTGCAGCATTACAGCCTGACTGGGACACCCTGGGGGCTTCTGGGATGAGAGAGGCCTCCTAGAAAGGCTCCAAGCGTTCCCTGCGTTTTGGATGCTTCTCATGACTGACTGCGTCTACACCCCTCTGAGTCCCTGTGGCCGGCCCACGCCATCCTGCGGTCCTGTTATAGCTTGTTTGGGCCTTTTGCGAGAAACACACGCACCCTGCTCCAATGCCTGGGGATTTGCAGCAGGTCTGGGACAGCCCTGGAGACTTCTGGGATGGGTGAGGCATCCTTTCGAGGCTCCCAGCATTCCCTGCGGTCTCGCCACTTCTCCCCTCTGCCTGTCTCAACGTCCTTCTCAGTTTCTGCAGCCCGCCCACGCCACTCTGCCGCCCTGTTGTTTTTTGGGGGTCTTCCGCTAGAGACACAGGCACTGTCCTCCAATGACTGGGACATTACAGCCCGCCTGAGACAGCCCTGGGTTCTTCTGCAATGGGAGAGGCATCCTGAAGAGAGTCACAGCATTCCCTGCGGTCTTGACGCTACTCCCCTCTGCCTGCTTCAACGTCTCCCTAAATCCCTGCGATCCTCCCACACCACCCTGCAGCCCCATTTTTGCATTTGGGGGCCTTCCGTGAGAAACACAGGCACCCTGTTCCAAAGCCTGGGGCTTTACAACCTGTATGGGGACAGCATTGGGGTATTCTGAGATGGGAGAGGCCTCCTTGGGAGGCTCCCAGCATTCCCTGCGGTCTCCCCGCTTCTCCCCAATGTCTGTCTCAAAGACCCCTGAGTTCCTGCGGCCTGACCATGCCATTCTGTGGCCACAGTTTCCCTTGTGGGGGCCTTCCATGGGAAACATAGGCAGTTTGCTCCAAAGTTTGGGGCTTTACAGTCTGCCCGGGACAGCCTAGGTGGCTTTTTGGATGGGAGAGGCCACTAAGGGAGGCTGCCAGCATTCCCTGCGGTCTCGACACTTCTTTTTCCTCCCTGCCTCAATGACCCCGTGAGCCCCTACGGCCTGCCCTCACCACCCTGCGGCCCCGTTTTTGCTTGTGAAGGCCTTCCGCGGGAGATACGGGCAACCTGCTCCAGAGCCTGGGGCTTCACAACCTGATCGGGAATACCCTAGGGGCATCTGGGATGAAAGACGCCTCCTTGGGATGCTTCCAGCATTTCCTGTGGTCTCACCACTTCACCCTTATGCCTGCCTCAACATTCCCCTGAGTCCCAGTGGCTCATCCAGAAAACTCTGAGGCCCCGTTTTTGCTTGTGGGGCCTTCCATGAGATACACAGGAACCCTGCTCCAAATCCTGGGGCACTACAGCTCGTCAGGGACAGACCAGGGGGCTTTTGGAATGGGGAAGTCCTCCTTGGGAGGCTCCCAGCTTTCCATGCGGTCTTGCCGCGTCTCCCCGCTGCCTGCTTCAACATCTCCCTGAGACCCTGCAGCTGCCCATGCCACCTCACAGCCCTGTTGTCTCTTTTAGGGATCTTCCGCAAGAAACATAGGCACCCTGCTCCAAAGTCTTTGGCATTACTGCCCATCTGGGGCAGCCCTGGGGGCTTCTGGGGTGGGAGAGGCCTCCTTGAGAGGCTCTCAGAATTCCCTGCAGTATTGTGGCTTCTTCCTTTGGCCTGCCTCAACGTCTACCTGAGTCCCTGCGAACCTCCCACACCACACTGTGGCCCCATTTTTGCATGTGGGGGCCTTCTGCGAGAGATGCAGGCTCCCTGCTCCAAAGCCTGGTGCTTTCCAACCCGCATGGGGCAGGCCTGGATGCTTCTGGGATTGAAGGGGCCTGTTTGGGAGGCTCGTACCATTCCCTGCAGTCTGGCCACTTCTCCATTCTGCCTGCCTCAAAGCCCCTCTGAGTCCCTGTGTCTTGCCCAGGCCACCATGTTGCCCCGTTGTCTCTTTTGGAGGTCTTCCACAAGACATAGAAACCGTGCTACATAGACTGGGGAATTACAGCTTGACAGAAACAGCCCTGGGGGCTTCTGTGATGGCAGAGGCTCCCAACATTCCCTGCAGCTTCTCCTCTCTGCCTGTGTCAACATCCCCCTGAGTCTCTGCACCCTGCCCATGCCACCTACGGCCCCGTTTTTGCTTTTGGGGGAATTCCGTGAGAGACAAACCCACCCTTCTCCGAATCCTGGGGCTTTATAGCCCTCCTGGGACAGCCTTGGGGCTTCTGGGATAAAAGAAGTCTTCCTGGGAGGCTCCCATCTTTCCCTGCGGTCTTGCCCACTTCTCCCTTAGGCCTGCCTCAATGTCCCCATGAGTCCCTGTGGCCTGTCCACGCCACCCTGAGACTTCGTTTTTCTTGTGGGGGCCTCCCGTGAGAGACACAGGCACCTGCTCTAAGGCCTTGGGCTTTACAGCCTGCCCTGGACAGCCCTGGGGGCTTCTCGGATGGGACGAGCATTGGTGAAAGGGGCGGTCTTGCCGCTTTTCCCCTCTCTCTGCCTCAAAGTGCCCCTGAGTCCCTGTGGCCCCCCACACCATGTTGCAGCCCCATTTTCACTTGTGGAGGCCTTCCAGGAGTGAAACAGACACAAGCCTCCAGAGCCTGTTTTTTTACATCCCACCTGAGAGAGCCCTGGGTGCTTCTGGGATGGGATAGACCTCCTTTGGAGGCTCTCAGCATTTCTTGCCATCTCACCACTTTCCCCTCTGCCTGCCTCAACCTTCTCCTGAGTCCCTGTGACCCGCCGACTCCATCATGCAGCCCCGTTTTTCCTTGTGGGGGCCTTTGGCAAGAGACACAGGCACCCTGGGGATTTACTGCCTGACTGGTTCAGCTTTGGGGGCTTATGGGATGGGAGAATCCTCCTTGCCAGGCTTTCAGCATTCTCTGCGGTCTCGCCGCTTCTTTCCTCTGTCTGACTCAATGTCCCACTGAGTCCTTGTCACCCGTTCACGCCACCCTGCAGCCACATTTTTCTTATTGGGGCCTTCTGCGAGACACCCTGCTCCAAGGCCTGGTGCTTCACAGCCGGCCTGGGAGAGCTCTGGATACTTCTAAGATGAGAGAGGCCTCCTAGGGCCGTGTCCAGCATTCCCTGCTGTCTCCCCTCTGCCTGACTCAACAGCCCCCTGATTTCCTCAGGTCCGATTGATTGATTTCCTCAGGTCCGATTGATTTCCAAACCACCCTGTGGCTTTGTTTTCACTTGTGGGGGTATCCTGCGAGAGACAAACACTCCCTGCCTTAAAGCCTGGGTCTTTACAGCCCGCCTGAGTCAGCCATGGGGGCTCCTGGGATGGAAAAGTCCTCCTTGGGACCGCATTCCTTGCAGTCCCGCCGCTTTTCCTCTCTGTCGACCTCACGTCCCCCTGGGTCGCTGGGTCCCACGCTTTCCACCCTGCAACCTTGTTTTCTCTTGTTGAGGCCTTCTGTGAGAGACACAGGCACCCTGCTTCAAAGCCTTGGGCCTTACAGCCCACCCAGGACAGCCCTGGGGTATTCTGGGATGGAAGAGGCCTCCATGGAGGGCTTCCAGCACTCTCTGTGGTCTCGCCGCTTCTCCCCTTTGCCTGCCTCAAACATCTCTGTTTCTCGGTCGCCCACGGATGCCACCCTGCGGCCCTGTTTTTGCTTTTGGGGGTCTTTTGCAACAGAGACAGGGACCCTGCCACCAAGACCTGGGGCTTTACAGTCTGCCCAGGACAGCCCTGGGAGCTTCTGGGATGGGAGAGGTCCTCTTGGGAGTCTCCCAACATTCCCTGTGGTTTCCGTACTTCTCCTCTCTGCCACCCTGAAGGTCCCCCAGAGTACCTTAGGCCTGCCCACACCACCCTGAGGCCCCGTCTTCGCTTGTGGAGGCCTTCCACGAGAGACAAATGCACCCAGCTTTAAAGCCTGGGGCTTTACAGTTTGCCAGGGACAGCCCTCGGGGCTTCTGGGATGGGAGAGGTCTTGGAAGGCTCCTAGCATTCCCTTCATTCTCGCCACTTCTCCCTTCTGCCTGTCTCAACAGACCCCTGGGTCCCTGCGGCCCGCCCACGCCACCCTGCAGCCCCGTTTTCATTGTGGGGCCTTCCATGAGATATACAATCACACTGCTCCAAACCCTAGGGCTTCACAGCCTTCCTGGGCCAGCCCAGGGGGCTTCTGGGGTGGCTGAGGCATCCTTGGGAGGCTCCCAGCATTCCCTGTTGTCTTGCAGCTTCTGTTCTCTGCTTGTCTCAACATCCCCCTAAGTCCCTGTGGCCCACCCACGCCATTCTACGACCCCAATTTGGCTTGTGGAGGCCTTCTGCGAGAGACACACACAGGCTGCTCCAAAGCCTGGGGCTTTCCAGCCTGACCGAAACAGGCCTGGGCGCTTTAGGATGGCAGAGACATCCTTGGGAGGCTCCCAGCATTCCTTGCTGTGTCACCGATTCTCCTTTCCGCCTGTCTCAGCGTCCCCCTGCGTCCCTCCCACTCCACCCTGCGGCCCCATTTTCACTTGTGGGGCCCTTCCAAGAGAGACACAGGCATCTTGCTCCAAAGCCTGGGGCTTTACAGCTTGCCCAGGACAGCCCTGGGAGTTTCTGGGATTGTAGAAGCCTCCTTGGAAATCTCCCTGCATTCCCTGAAGTTTTGCCATTTCTCCCCTCTGCCTTTCTCAATGTCCCCCTGAATATCTTCCATCAGCCCACACCACCAAGCGGCCCCGTTTTTGCTTTGGGGGCGTTCCACTAGAGAAAAAGTTACCCTGTTTCAAGGCATCCTGGGGCATTACAGCCCTCCTGGGAAAGACCTGGGGGCTTCTGGGATAGGAGGGGCCTTCTTGGGAGACTCAAGCATTCCCTGCGTTCTTGCCGCTTCTCCACTCTGCGCTCCTCAACGTCCCCCTGAGATTCTGCGGCCCTCCCAAGCAACCCTGCCATCCCGTTTTTGCTTGTGGGGGCCTTCTGTGAAAGACTTACGCAACCTGCTCCAAAGCCTGGGGTTTCACAGTCAGCCCAGGACAGCTCTGGGGTCTTCTGGGATGGGAGAGGCCTTTTAGGGAGGCTCCCAGCATTCACGGCGATCTTGCTGTTTTTTTCTTTTTTCTGCCTCAACGTCTGCCTGAGTCCCTTTAGCCCACCCACGCAAACCTGTGGCCCCGTTTTTGCTTGTGGGAGGATTCCTCGAGAGACACAGGCACCCTGCTCCAAAGCCTGAGGCTTTACAGCCCGCCCAGGATACCACCATGGTGGCTTCTGGGAAGGGAGCGACCTCTCGGGTTGGCTATCAGCTTTACCTGCGGTGTCGCCGCTTCTCCCATCGGCTTGCCTCAACGTCCCACTCTGTCGTTGCCACCCGCCCAAGCCACCCTGTGATTCTGTTTTCCCTTCTGGGGGCCTTTTGCGGGAGACTCAGTCACCCCGCTCCAAAGCCTGGGGATTTACAGCCTGCTTGGGACAGCCCAGTGGGCTTCTGGGATGGGAGAGGAGTTCTTGGGAGGCTCCCAGCATTCCCTGAGGTATCACCGCTTCTTCACTCTGACTCAACATGCCCTTTCAGGTCTCCCTGAAAGGCTCTCAGAATTTCCTGCAGCATCGCTGCATCTCCCATCTGCCTGACTGAACGTCCCCCTGAGTCACTGCCGCCCGCCCACGCCACCTTGCAGACCTATTTTTGTTTGCCAGGGCATTTTGTGAGAGACACAGGCACACTGGTCCAAATCCTGGTGATTTACAACCCGCCCATGACAGCCCTAGGGGCTTCTTGAGTGGGAGAGTCCTTTTTGGGAGGCTGCTAGCATTCCTTATTGTCTCGCTGCTTCTCTTCTCTGCCTACCTCAACATTCCCGAGTTTCTGCGGCGGGCCCACGCATCCCTGAGGCCCCGTTTTCGCTTATGCAGGCATTCTGTGAGAGACACAGGCACCCTGCTTTGAAGCCTGGAGCTTTCCAATTCTCCCAGAAGTGCCCTGGTGTCTTCTGGGATGGTAGAGGTCTCCTTGGGAGGCTCCCAGCATTTCCTGTGGTCTTGTCCCTTCTCCCCTCTGCTTGTCTCAACATCACCCTGAGTCTTTGCTGCTGGCCCATGTCACACTTCAGGCCCATTTCCCTTGTGGGGGACAATCGCAAGAAACACCTGCACCTGCTCCAAAGCCTGGTGCTTTACAGCCCACCTGTGACAGCCCTATCTCCCTGGGATAGGAGAGGCATCTTTTGGAGGCTCCCAGCATTCCTTCCTGTCTCACCGCTTCACCCCTCTGCCTGCCTCAACGTCCCCCTGAGTCCCTGAAGCCTGCCCACTCCACCCTGTGGCTCAATTTTTGTTTGTGGGGGTCTTCCGCGAGAGACACAGGCACCCTGCTCCAAAGCCTGAGGATTTATTCCTTGCCTGGGACAGCCCTGGGAGCTTCTGGGATGGGAGGGGCCTCCCTGGGAGTCTACCAACATTCCCTGCGGTCTTGCTGCTTCTCCTCTTTGTGTGCCTCAATGTTTTCCTGAGTTCTTGCGGCTCGCCCACTCCACACTGTGGCTCCGTTTTTGCTTGCGGAGACATTCAGCGAGAAACACAAGCACAGTGTTCCAAAACTGGGGCTTTACAGCCCACTCCTGAGAGCCATGGGGCTTCAGGGATGAGAGAGGTCTTTTTGTGATTCTCCCAGCATTCCCTGCGCTCTTGCCACTTCTCCCCTCTGCCTGCCTCAATGTCTCCCTGAGTCCCTGTGGCCTGCCCATGCCACCCAGCACACCCGTTTTCAGTTCTGTGAGCCTTCCACGAGAGACAAAGGCACACTTTACCTAATCCTGGGGATTTACTGCTGGCTCGGTGCAACCGTGTGGGATTCTTGAATGTGATAGGTTTCCTTGGGAAGTCTCTAGTATTCCACGCAGCATTGCTGCTTCTCCCGTCTGCTTGCCTCAACTTCCCTTTGAGTCTTTGCAGCCCTCCAACGCTACCTTAAGCCCTGTTTTTCTTGTGGGGGCCTTCCACGAGAGACTTAGGCACCCTACTCCAAAGCCTGGGGTTTTCCAGACAATCCGGGGGGCACCCCAGGTAATTCTGGGAAGGGAGATGCCTTCCTGGTGGGATCCATCACCCACTTCAGCCTTGCAGCTTGTCCTATCTGCAAAAGACACATGGACCATGCTCCAAAGCTTTGGCCGTCACAGCCTGACTGGGACAACCCTGGAGGCTTCTGAAATGCGAGACTCCTTGGGAGGCTCCCAGCATTTTCTACGGTCTCGCTGCTTCTCTGCTCTTCCTGCCTCAATGTCCCTGTGAATCCCGGCAGCCCGGCCACCTAACACTGCAGCCCCGTTGTCACTTGTGGGGTCCTTCTGCTAGAGACAGAATCCCTGCTCCAAAGCCTGGGGCTTTACAACAGACCCAAGACAGACCTGGGGCTTCTGGGAATGGAAAAGCCTTGGGAGGCTCCCGGCATTCCCTGCTGTCATGCTGCTTCTCCCCTCATCCTGCCTCAACGTCTTCCTAGTCCCTCTGGCCCAATCATGCCACCATGAGGCCCCATTTTCACTTGTGGGGGCTTTCCATGAGGGACACAGGCACCCTGCTCCAAAACCTGGGACTTTACTGCCTGCCTAGGATAGCCCTAGGGGCTTCTGTGGTGGGAGAGGCCTCCTTGGAAGGCTCCCAGCATTCCCTGCGGTTACCCAGCTTTTTGCCTATGCCTGCCTCAATGTCCCACTGCATGCCTGTGGCCAGTGCATGCTGCCCTGCAGCCCCGTTTTCACTTGTGGGGGCCTTCCGCTAGAGACAGGAAATGTTCTCCATAGCCTGGGGCTTTACAGCCCACGTGGTACAGCCCTGCATCCTCCTGGGATTAGAGGCCTCCTTGGGACTCTCACACCATCCCTGCAGTCTCACCCCTTCTCCCATCTGCCTGCCTCATCATCCCGCTAAGTCTTTGCGGCCAGCAAACGCCAACCTGCCGCCCCATTTTAGCATTGGGGGCCTTTCACAAGAGACACAGACACCGTGCTCGAAAGCCAAGAAATTTACTGCCCGACCAGGACAGCCCTGGGGACTTCTTGGATGAGAGAAGCCGCACTGGGAGGCTCCCAGCATTCCATCTGGTCTTGCTGCTTCTCCCCTCTGCCTGCCTCAAAGTCCCACTGAGTATGTGCCACCTGCCCACGTCACCCGGCTGTTCTGTTTTTGCTTGTGGGGACCTTCCACAAGAGACATAGGCACCCTGCTCCAAAGTCTGGGGAATTACAGCCTGCCTAGGACAGCCCAGAGGACTTCTGGAATGGAAGAGAATTTTTGGCGAGGCTCCCGGCATTCCTGCATTCTCTCCACTTCTCCCCTCTGCCTGCCTCAATGTCCCCCTGAGTCCCTGTGGCCAGCCCACGCCACCCTGTGGCCCCCATTTTGCTTGTGGAGACCTTCCATGAGAGACACACGCAATCTGAATCAAAGCCTGGGGCTTTACAGCCCGACCGGGACAGCCCTGTGGCCTTCTGGGATGGAAGAGGCCTCCTTGAAAGGCTCCCAGCATTCCCTGCAGTCTTGCCGCTTCTCTCTTCTGCCTGCCTTAATGTCCCCCTGAGTCCCTATGTCCTGCCCATGCCACCCTGCAGCCCTGCGGCCCCATTTTGCTGTTTGAGCCTTCCGCAAAAGACACAGTCACCCTGCTCCAAGGCCTGAGAATTTACAGCATGCCTGGGACAGCCCTGGGGGCTTCTGGGATGGGAGAGGCCTCCTTGTGAGGCTCCCAACATTTCCTGTGATCTCCCCACTTTTCTGCTCATCCTGCCTCAATGTCTCCCAGTCCTTGTGGACCATTCATGGCACCGTACTGCCCCGATTTTGCTTGTGGGGGCCTTCCGTGAGAGACACAGTCACCGTGCTCCATACCCTGGGGCTTTACAGCCCACTTGAGACAACCCTGGGGGCTCCTGGGATGAGAGAGGCCTCCTTGGGAGGCTTACAGCATTCCCTGCCTTCTTGCTGCTTCTTTCATCTGCCTGCCTCAAAGTCCCCCTGTGTCCTTATTGCCAGCATATGTCACACTGCGGGGCCTTCCGTGAGAGGCAAAGACACCCTGCTCAAAAGTCGAATGTACAGCTTGACCAGACAGCCCTGGGTGCTTCATGGATGGGAGAAGCCTCGTGAAGCCCACCTGGGATAGCCCAGGGGACTTCTGGAAGGGGAGAGGCCTTTTTGGGAGGCTCCCAGCATTGCCTGTGGTCTCACTGCTTCTCCCCTCTGCCTGCCTCAACATCCCTTTGTGTTGCTGCTGGCCGTCCACGTTACCCTGTGGCCCCATTTTTGCTTGTGGGGGCTTTCTGCCGGAGACACAGACACACTGCTCCAAAGCCTGGGTATTGACAACCCACGCAGGACAGCCCTGGGGGCTTTTGG
Source organism: Homo sapiens (assembly GCF_000001405.40). Classification (NCBI taxonomy): domain Eukaryota; kingdom Metazoa; phylum Chordata; class Mammalia; order Primates; family Hominidae; genus Homo; species Homo sapiens. Next base: position 46,149,954 of record NC_000008.11, read on the forward strand.
GATGGTGGGGGCTTCCTTGGGAAGATCCGAGCATTCCTTACAGTCTTGTCATTCTTCCCTTCTGCCTGCCACAACGTGCTCCTGAGCCACAGCAGACAGCCCACTTTACCTTGTGTCCTCGTTTTTGCTTGTGTGGGCCTTCCGTGAGAGACACAGGCACCCTGCTCCAAATCCTGGAGCTTTACAGCCTGCGCGGTACTGCCGTGGGTTCTTCTGAGATGGGAAAGGCCTCCTTGGAAGGCTCCCAGCATTTCCTGCGGTCTCTCCCCTTCTCTACTCTGCCTGCCTCAACATCCCCCTGAGGCCCTGAGGCCCGCCCATGTCAACATGCTGTCCCATTTTCACTTGTGGGGGCCTTATGTGAGATACACAGGCACCCTGCCTCAAGACTGGGGCTTTATAGCCCACCCGGGAGAGCTCTAGGAGCTTCTGGAATGGGAGAGGCCTCCTTTGGAGACTCCCAGCATTCCCCGTGTCTTGCCGCTTCTCCCCTCTGCCTGCCTCAACATCCCCCTGGGTTCTGCATCCTACTAATGCCGCCCTATTGTCCTGAGTTTGCTTGTAGTGGCCTTTTGCAAGAGACACATCCGCCCTACTTTAAAACCTGGGGTTTTACAGCCCGCCCGGGACAGCTCTGGGGGCTTCTGGGATGTGAGAGACATCCTTGGGAGGCTCCCAGCATTCCCTGCGGTCTCACTACTTCTCCCCTCTGCCTGCCTCATCATCCTTCTGAGTCCCTGTGGCCTCCCCATGACACCCTGTGACACAAGCCTTTTTTGCTTGTGGGGGCCTTACACTGGAGACACACGTACACTGATTTAAAGCCTGGGGCTTTACAGCCCCCCTGAAACAAACCTGGGGGATTCTGGGATGGGATAGTCATCCTTGGGAGGCTCCCAACATTCCCTGTTGTCTCACTGCTTCTCCCTTTTGCCTGCCTCATTGTCCACCTGAGTCCCTATGGCCCGACCACACCACCCTGCCACTCTGTTTTCACTTGTGGGGACCTTCCACGAGAGACCCTTCCACCCTGCTCCAAAGCCAGGGGCTTTACAGCCTTCCCTGGACTGCCCTGGGGGATTCTGAGATGGAATAAGCTTACTTGGGAGGATTTCAGCATCCCCTGTGTTCCCGCCGCTTCTCCCCTCTGTCTGCCTTAACGTCTTCCTGAATCCCTGTGGTCTGCCTACGCCACCCTGTGACCCCGTTTTTGCTTGGGGGGCCTTCCGTGAGAGACACAAGCACCCTGCTCCAAAGCCTGTGGCTTTTTAGATCACTGAATTTCTCCCCAAGTAATTCTGAAAAAAGAGAGGCCCCCTTGGCGGGACTCAGAACCTACTCAGGCCTCCTCACTTTCCCATCTACCTGCCTCAAAGTCTCCCCCTGAGTTTTTGCCCGCCTACACATGCCTGCCTGTGACCCCACTGCCACTAGTCGAGGCATTCCACGAGAGACACAGGCACCCTGGGCCACAGTCCAGGGCTATAGCCTTCACCTGGGTACTGGGAAGAAAGAGGCCTCCCTGGGCCAGAGTCCAGGGCTTTAGCCGTCACCTGGGTTCTGGGAAGAAAGGCCTCCCTGGGAAAGCCGAGCACCCACTGAGGCCTCTCCACTTCTCCCCTCTGTCTTCCTTAATTGGCCCCTGAGTTTCTGCCTGGTCTCCCAGGCCTGCCTGTGGCTCAGCTGCCGCCCACTGGGGCCCTCTGCATGAGACACAGACACCCTGGGCTGGAACTCATTGCTCTAGCCTCTTCATGGGGGGCACCCCAGGGCTTCTGGCAAGTGAGTGGCCTTCCTGGGAAGACCCAGCACCCGTTTAGGCCTCTCAGCTTCTCCTCTCTTCCTGCCTCAACATCCCCTTGAGTGTCTTCCTGTTAGTAGAGGCTCACCTGTGGCCCCACCTTCACTTGCGCAGGCCTTCCGCGAGAGACACAGGCACCCTGGGTTGGAGTTTGGGGCTGTAGCCCTCACCTGGGGGTTGCCCCTCATGCTTCTGGGAAGGGACAGTTCTCCCTGAGAAAACCCAGCACCTTCTCAGGCCTTGCTGCTTCTCCTCTTTGCCTGCCAAAACTTCCCCCTGAGTTTCTGCTTACCTCTACAGGCCCACCTGCGGCCCTGTCGCTGCCCATTGGGGCCCTTCATGAGAGACACATGCACACTGGATCGGAACCTGGGGCTATAGCCCCTACCTGAAAGGCAACCCAGGGGCTTCTGGGAAGGGAGAGGGATTCCTGGGGAAACCCAGCACCCATTGAGTCCTTGCTGCTTCTCCTGTCTTCTTGCCTCAACATTCCCCTGAATTTTTGTCTGCCTGCACAGGCTAACCTGTGGCCAGATTCCGGGATTCCAACCCCCACCCGGGGGTCACCCCAGGGGCTTCTGGAAACAGAGAGGCTTCCCTGGGATGATACAGCACCCACTCAGGACTTGCTGGTTCTTCCATCTGCTGGCCTCTGTGTCCCCCTGAGTTTCTGCCCGCCTGCACAGGCTTGCCTGTGGCTTTGAGGCCACCCGTGAGGGCCATCCATGAGAGACACAGTCACCCTGGGCCATAGTCCAGTGCTCTAGGTCACACCTGGGGGCTTCCGGTGAGGGAGAGGCCTAGCTGACAGGACCGTGCACCTGCTCAGGTCTTGCCACTTCTCCCTGCTGCCTGCCTCACTGTCCCCCTGAGTTTCTGCCCACTACCACAGGCCTGACTGTGGCCCCATTGCTGCCTGTGGAAGCCCATTGTGAGAGATACTGGCACCCTAGACTGGAGTCAGGAGCTCTAGCCCCCACCTGAGGGGCTCCCGGGGGTTTCTGAGAAAAAAAGAGTCCTCCCTGGGATGATACAGCACCTGCTCAGGCCGTGCTGCTTCTCCCTTCTGCCTGCCTCAACATCACTTTGAGTTTATGCTGGCCCACAAAGGCCCACCTGTGGCCCCATCGCTGCCCTTGGGGGAACTTCTTTGAGAGACACAGTCAACCTGGGCTGGAGTCCCGGGCTCTAGCTGCCACCAGGAGGCTGTCCCAGGGGTTTCTGTGAAGGGAGATGCTTCCCTGGGGGGACCCAGAACACACTAAGGCCTAGCCTCTTCTTTCCTCTGCCTGCCGCTTTTGTGAAATATCCCTTAACAGAATCCACAAAAAAAAGCGTATCCAACCTGCTGAATCAAAAGAAAGGTTTAACTCTGTGAGCTGAATCTGCACATAACAAAGCAGAATCACAGATAACTTCTTTCTAGTTTTTGTAGCGGGATATTTGGTTTTTCACTATAGGTTTCAATGGGCTCTGAAATGTCTCTTTGCAGATTCTACAAAAAGAGTTTTTCCAACCTGTTGAATCAAAAGAAAGGTTTAACTCTGTGAGCTGAATCAACACATCAAAAGCAGTTTCAAAGATAGCTTCTTTCTAGTTTTTATTGCGGGATATTTGGTTTTTCTCTATAGGCCTGAAGTGGGCTGCAAAATGGCATTTCACAGACTCTACAAAAAGAGTGTTTCCAACCTGCGGAATCAAAAGACAGGTTTAACTATGTGAACTGAATGCACACATCACAAAGCAGTTTCACAGGTAGTTTCTTTGTAGTTTGCATCAGGGGATATTCAGTTTTACACTGTAGTCATCTTTGGCCCCTGAAATGCCCCTTTGCAGATTCTACAAAAAGAGTTTTTCCAACCTGTTGAATCAAAAGAAAGGTTTATCTCTTTGACCTGAATCCACATATCACAAAGCAGTTTCACAGATATAGCTTCTTTAAGGTTTTTATCATGGGATATTCACTTTTTCACTATAGGCCTCAGAAAGCTCTGAAATGTCCCTTTGCATATACCACAAAAAGTGTGTTTACTAAACCAGAAAATCAAAAGGAAAGTTTAACTTTGTGAGCTGAATCCATACATCACAAAGCAGTTTCAGATGGGTTCTTTCTGCTTTTCATCATAGCCCTCAGTGGGCTTCGAAATGTCTATTCACAGACTCTAAAAAAAAGTGTTTTCAGCCTGCTAATCAAAAGAAATGTACAAGTTTGTGAGCTGAGTCCACACATCACAGGTAGATTCTTCCTAGTTGTTTTCATTGGATATTTGGTTTTTCACTATAGGCCTCAGTGGCCTTCAAAGTGTCCCTTCGCAGATTTGAAAATAAGACTGTTTCCAACCTGCTGAATGAAAAGAAAGGTTTAACTCTGTGTGCTGAATCCACACATCACTAATCAATTTCACAGATAGCTTCTTTTTAGTTTTTATCACGGGATATTCTATTTTTCAACATAGTACTCAGTGGACTTTGAAATGCCTCTTTGCAGCTTCTACAAAAAGAGTGTTTCCAACCTGCTAAATAAAAAAAAAAAAAAGATTTACCTCTGTGAGCTGAATCCATACAGGACAAAGCAGTTTAACAGATAGGCTCTATCTAGTTTTTATCATAAGATATTCAAGTTTTCGATATAGGACATAGTAGGCTGCAAAATGTCCCTTTACAGATTCTACAAAAAGAGTGTTTACAACCTGCTGAATCAAAAGGCAGGTTTAACTCTGAGAGTTGAACCCAGACCTCTCAAAGCAGTGTTACAGATAGCTTCTTTCTGGTTTTTATAATAGGATTTTTTGTTTTTATCTATAGGCCTTGGCGGGCTAAGAAATGTTCCTTCACAGATCCTACAAAAGTAGTATTTCCAACATGCTGAATGAAAAGAAAGGTTTAACTCTGTGAACTGAATGCAAACATCACAAAGTTTCACAGATAGCTTCTTTCTAATTTTAATTATGAGCTTTTCAGTTTTTCACTGTAGGACTGTTTGCTCTGAAATGTCAATATGCTAATTCTAAAGAAAGAGTGTTTACAACCTGCTGAATGAAAAGAATGGGTTAATTCTGTTAGCTGAGCCCACACATCACAAAGCAGCTTCACACATAGCTTCCTTCTAGTTTTAATCGCAGGGTATTCAGTTTTCACTATAGGCCTCAGTGGGCTCTGAAATGTCCCTTCCCAGATTATTCAAAAAGAATGTTTACAACCTGCTTAACCAAAATAAAGGTTAACTCTGTGAGTTGAATCCACATATCACAAAGCAGTTTCACAGTAGTTTCTTCAAAGTTTTTATCATGGGATATCCATTTATTTACTATAGGCCTCAGGGAGCTCTGAAATGTCCCTTCACATATTCTACAAAAAGTGTGTTTCCAATCTGGAGAATCAAAAGAAAGGTTTAACTTTGTGAGCTGAATCCACACATCACAAAGCAGTTTCACAGATAGCTTCTTTCTACTGTTTATCTTGAAATATTCAGATTTTCAACATAGCCCTCAGTGGGCTTCAAAATGTCTTTTTGCAGATTCTAAGAAAATAATGTTCCACTCTGCTAAATAAAAAAAAAAAATACAAATTTGTCAGCTGAATCCACACATCACAAAGTAGTTTCACAGATAGCTTCTTTCAAGTTTTTTTTTTCCACAGGATATTCAGGTTTTCACTACAGGCCTCAGTGCCCTGTGAAGTGTCCCTTTGCAAATTCGAAAACAAGAGTGTTTACAACCTGCTGAATGAGAAGAAATATTTAAGTCTGTGAGCTGATTGCACACATCAAAAAGAAGTTTCACAGATAGCTACTTTCTAGTTTTTATTGTGGGATATTCCATTTTCCATATAGCCCTCAGTGGACTTTGAAATATCTTGTTGCAGCTTTTACAAAAAGAGTGTTTACAACCTGCTAAATACAAAGAAAGTTGTACCTCTGTGAGCTAAATCCACACATTACAAAGCAGTTTAACAGACAGTTTTGGTCTGGTTTTTGTCACGGGATTTTCAGTTTTTCACTATAGGACTCAGAGGGATTTGAATTGTCCCTTTGCAGATTCTGCAGAAAGAGTGTTTACAACCTGCTGAATTGAAAGATAGGTTTACCTCTGTGAGTTGAACCTGCACCTGACAAAGCAGTTCCATAGATAGCTTCTTTCTAGTTTTTATCACAAGATTTTCAGTTTTTAACTGTAGACCTCTTTGTGCTAAGAAATATCCATTCACAGATTGCACAAAGAGACTGTTTCCATCCTGCTGAATCAAAAGAAAAGTTTAACACTGTGAACTGAATGCACACATCACAAGTTTTCACAGATAGGTTCTTTCCAGTTTTTATCATGGGATTTTTTGTTTTTTCACTATAGGACTCAGTTTGCTCCAAAATGTAAATTTGCAGATTTTACAAAAGGTGTGTTTACAACCTGCTAAATCAAAAGAAAGGTTTAACTCTGTTAGGTAAACCCACAAACCACAAAGTAGTTTTAGAGACAGCTTCCTTCTAGTTTTTACTGCGGGGTATTTTGTTTTCACTGTAGGCCTCTGTGGGCTCCAAAATATTCCTTCCCAGATTCTACAAAAAGAGTTTTTACAAGTTGCTGAGTCAAAAGAAAGGTTTAACTCTGTAAGTTGAATCTACACCTCACAAAGCAGTTTCACAGATAGCTTCTTTCTAGTTTTATCATGGGATATTCGTTTTTTCACTATACTCCTTAGTGGGCTCTGAAATGTCCCTTCCAAGATACTAAGAGGGTTTCCAACCTACTGAATCAAAAGAAAGGTTTAGCTCTGTGACCTGAATCCACTGATCACTAAGCAGTTTCACATATAGCTTCTTTCTAGTTTTTATCATGGGGTATTTTGTCTTTTACTATAGGCCGCAGATGGCTCCAAATGTCCCTTGGAAGATTCTACAAAAAACAGTGTTTACAATCTACTGAATCAAAAAAAAAAAAAAGTTTAGCTTTGTGTGCACGATCTACACATCATAAAGCAGTTTTACAGATAAATTCTTTCTACTTTTTATTGTGACATATTCCGTTTTTCACTAAAGGCCTCAGTCGGCTCTGAAATGCATACTCACAGATTCCACTAAAAGAGTGATTCAACCTGCTGAATCAAAAACAATGTAACTCTGTGAACTGAATCCAAATATCACAAAACTGTTTAACAGATAGTTTCTTTCCAGTTATTATCACGGGATGTTCTGTTTTTCACTAAAGGTGTCAGTGTTCTCCAAAATGTCTATTCGCAGATTCTACAAATAAAGTGTTTCAAGCTGCTGAATCAAAAGAAAGTTTTAACTCTGTGAAATGAATTCACACATCACAAAGCAGTTTCACAGATAGCTTCCTTCTAGTTTATATCACGGGATATTCTGTTTTTCACTATAGGCTTCAAACGTCTCCAAAATGTCCCCTCGCAGATTCTACCGGTAGAGTGTTTCTAATCTACTGAATCCAAAGACAGGTTTAACTCTGTTCGCTGAATGCACACATCAGGAAGCAGTTTCACAGAGAGCTTCCTTCTAGTTTTTATGATGGCATATTCAGTTTTTACTACAGGTCTCAGTGGGCTCCAAAGCAGTTTCTGTAAAAAAAGCTCTTCCAACCTTCTGAACAAAAGAAAGATTTAACTCTTTGAACTGTACAATCACATCACAGGGGAGTTTTGCAAATAGCTTCTTTCTAGTTTATATCACAAGATATTCTGTTTTCACTATAGGTTTCAGTAGGCTCAGAAATGTCCATTCACAGATTCTACAAAAAGAGTGTTTCTAATGTGCTGAATCTAAAGAAAAGTTTTTCTGTGAGCAGAACTTACACATCACAAGGCAGTTTCAAGATAGCTTCTTTCTATTAATTATAGCAGAATATTCAGTTTTTCACTATTAGGCCAAATTGAGTTCTGAAATGTACCTTTGCAGATACTGTCAGAAGAGGGTTTCCAACCTGCTGAATCAAAAGAAAGATTTAACTCTACGAGCTGAATCCACACATAACAAAGCAGTTTCACAGATAGCTTCATTCTAGTTTTTATTGCAGGGTATTCAGGTTTTCTGTATAGGCTCCAGTGCACTCTGAAATCTTCCTTTGCTGATTTTACAAAAAGAGTGTTTTCAACCTGGTACATCAAAAGAAAGTTTTAACACTGTCAAGTGAATGTACACATCCCAAAACAGTTTCAAAATTAGCTTCTTTCTGTTTTTTTGTTTTTAAATGGATATGTGGTTTCTCCTTATAGGCCTCAGTCAGATGCAAAATGTCCTTTTGCAGATTCTACAAAGAGAGTGTTTCCAAACTCCTTAATCAGGAGAAAGGTTTAACTCACTGAGTTGAAAGCACACATCACAAAGCGGTTTCACAGAAAGTTTCTTTATAATTTTTATAGTGGGATAATATGTTTTCCACTATAGGCCTCAGTTTACTCTGAAATGTCCATTGGCAGAGTCTACAAAAACTTTGTTTTCAACTTGCTGAATCAAAAAGAAGTTCTAACTTTGTTAGCTTAATACACACATACCAAATCAGCTTCACAGATAGTTTCTTTCTAGTTTTATGATGGTATATTCAGTTTTTCACTATAGTACTCAGCTTGCTCTGAAATGCCCTTTACCAGATTCTACAAAAAAAAGAAAGAGGGTTCCCTACCTGTTGTATCAAATGATAGGTTTAACTCTGTGAGCTGAATCCACACATCTCAAAGCACTTTCACAAATAGCTTCTTTCTTGTTTCTATCACAGGATATACAGTTTTTCACTATTGGTCTCAGGGGTGTCTGAAATGTCTTTTCACAGATTTTACAAGAAGAATGTTTTCCACCTGCTGAAATGAAAGAAATTTTGAACTCTGTGAGCTAAATGCACACATCACAAAGCAGTTTCCAAGATAAATTTTTTTTTCTAGTTTTTATCACGGGATAATCAGTTTTTCACTATAGGACTCAGTAGGCTGTGAAATATAGTTTTGCAAATTCTACCAAAAGAGTGTTCTAACCTGCTGAATGAAAAGAATAGTTTAACTCTCCGAGCTGAATCCACACATCACAAAGCAGTTTCACAGGTAACTTCTTTCTAGCTTTTATCACAGAATATTTGGTTTTTCACGATAGGTGTGAGTGGGCTCTGAAATGTCCCATCACAGACTCTACAAATAGAGTGTTTCCAATGCACTGAATCCAAAAAAAGGTTTCAATCTGTGAGGTAAATCTTCACATCACAAAACGGTTTCACAGATAGCTTCTTTCTCGATTTTATCATAGAATATTGTTTTTCATTACTCATCTCAGGGGGTCTGAAATGTCCACTCACACATTACATAAAAAGAGTTTTTCCCATCTGCTGAATCAAAAGAAAAATTTAACTTTGTGAGAGGAATGCACACATCACAAAGCAGTTTCACAGATAGCTTCTTTCTAGTTATCATGGGATATTCATTTTTTCACTATTGGACTCAGTGGGCTCTGAAATGTCCCCATGTAGATGCTACAAGAAGAGTATTTTTAACCTACTAAATCAGAAGAAAGGTTTAATGTGTGAGCTGAATACACACATCACAAATCAGCTTAACTGAAGCTTCTTACTATTTTTTGTTCAAGGATATTCAGTTTTTCTTCATAGGCCTCAGTGGGTTCCAAAATATTCCATTGCAGACTCTACAAAAAGAGTAGTTCCAGCCTTCTGAATCGAGGGAAAGTTTTAATTCTGTGAGCTCAATCCAAATGTTACAAAGCAGTTTCACAGATGATAGCTTATTTCTAGTTTTTATTGTCAGATAGTCAATTTTTTATAATAGGTCTCAGTGGGCTCTGAAATGTCCCTTTGTAGCTTCTACAAAAAGAGTGTTTCCTACCTGCTGAAACAATGGAAATATTTCCAATCTGCTGAATTTAAAGAGAGGTTTAACTCTGTGAGCTGAATATACACACCACAATGCTGTTTGAAAGATAGTTTTTCTTCATGGGATATTCAATTTTTCAATATTAACCTCTGTTTTTTTCTGAAATGTCCCTTCACAGTATCTCCTTAAAGAGTATTTCCAACTTGCTGAATGAAAAGAAAGGTTTAACTCTGTTAGCTCTATCCACACATCACAAAGCAGTTTCACAGACACCTTCTTTCTAGTTTTTATTGAGATATTTTATCTTTCATTTTAGGGCTCAGTGGGCTTTGAAATGTCCCTTCACACTTTCTACAAAAAGAGTGTTTCCAACCTGTTGAATCAAAAGAAAAGTTATACTCTGAGCTAAATGCACACACCACAAAGAAATCTCATCAATCGCTTCTTTCTAGTTTTTTTCATGGGATGTTCAGTTTTCAATATAGGACTCAGTAGGCTGCAAAATGTCCCTTCACAGATCCTACAAAATCAGTGGTTCCAATTTACTAAATAAAATAAAAGTTTAACTCTGTTAGTTGTTTTTATGCATCAAAAAGTAATAAAACAGATAGCTTAATTCTAGTTTTTATCATGGGTTATACCATTTTTTATTATAGGTCTCAGTGAGCTCCAAAATGTAACTTCACTGATTCTACAAAAAGAGTGTTTCCAACCTATTGAATCAAAACAAATTTTAACTCTGTGAGCTGAATCCACACATCTCTAAGCAGTTTCACAGATAGCGTCTTTCTCGTTTTAATCAAGGGATATTCAATTTTCACTGTAGGCCTCATTGGGTTCTGAAATGACCCTTCACAGATTCTAAAAAAGAGTGTTTCCAAACTGATGAATCAAAAGAAACGTTTAACTCTGAATTTAAGAAAATTGTGAACTCTGTGAGCTGAGTGCACACATCACAAAACGGTTTCACAAATAAATTCTGTCTAGTTTTTATCATGGGATATTTGGTTATTCAGTATAGGCTTCAAAGGACTCGGAAATGTCCCTTCACATTTTCTGCAAAAAAAGGTTTCCAACCTACTTCTTCGAAGGAAACATTTAACTCTGTGAGCTGAATCCTCACATCACAAAGCAGTTTAACAGATAGTTTCTTTCTAGTTTTTATTATAAGATATTCGTTTTTTCACTATAACCTCAATGAGCTCTGAAATATCCTTTTGGAGATTATATAAAAAGAGTGCTGCCAACATCCTGAGTCAAAAGAAAGTTTTAACACAGTGAACTGAATCCACACATCACAAACAAATTTCACAATAGCTTGCTTTAGTTTTCTCCAATATATTCAGTTTTTCACTATAGGTGTAAGTGGGCTCTGAAATAAATCTACAAAATGATTGCTTCAACTAGCTGAATAATAAAAAAAAAGTTTTAATTCTGTGAGCTGAAACCACACATCACAAAGCAGTTTCACAGATAGATTCTTTCCAGTTTTCATTGAGGAATACTCTGCTTTTCATGTAAGAACTCAGTGAGGTCCCAAATGTTCCTTCACAGTTTCTACAAAAAGAGTGCCTTTTTATCACTATAGGCAACATTGGGCACTGAAATGTGCCATTGCAGATTGAACAAAAAGAGTGTTTCCAACCTGCTGAATCAAAAGAAAGGTTTAAATCTGTGAGATAAATCCACACATCACTAAGTGGTTTCAGAGATAGCATCTTTCTAGTTTTTTAACTAGGGCTATTAATTTTTTCACTATAGGCCTCAATGGGCTCCAAAAGTCCCTTCGCAGATTCTACAAAACGAGTGTTTCCAAACTGCTGAATCAAAAGAAAGGTTTAACTTTGTGAGATGAATCCACACGTTACAAAGTAGTATTACATGTAGCTTCTTTCTAATTTTTATTTTGGGATATTCAGTTTTTCACTACAGTCCTCAATCGGCTTCAAAATGTCTCTTCACATATTCTACAAAAAGAGTGTTTTTAAACAGCAGAATCAAAACAAAGGTTTAACCCTGTGAGCTTAATCCATCCATCACAAAGTAGTTTCACAGAGAGCTTATTTTGACTTTTAATCTTGGGATATGCTGTTTTTCACTATCAGCTTCAGTCGGCTATGAAATGTCTTTTCGCAGATTCAACAAAAAAAGTGTTTTCACCCTGCTGGAAAAAAAGAAAGCTTTAAATCTGTGAGCTGAGTGTACAATTCATAAAGCAGTTTCACAGATATCATCTTTCTTGTTTTTATTGTGAGATATTCAGTTTTTCACTATAGGCCACAGATTTTATCAAAAGAGTGTCTCCAACCAGCTAAATCAAAATAAACGTTTAACTCTGTGAGCTGAATTCACACACCACAAAGCAATTTCACAAACAGATTCTTTTTAGTTTTTATTGTGGGATATTTGTTTTTTCACTATAGGCCTCAGTGTGCTTTGAAATGTTCCTGTGCAGATTGTACAAAAAGAGCATTTCAAACCTTCTGAATCAATGGTATGGTTTAAGTCTGTGAGCTGAATCCAGGCATCACAAAGTAGTTTCACACATGGTTTCATCAAAAGTTTTGTCATAGGCTATACAGTTTTTCACTATAAGCCTCAGTGGGCTCCAAAATATCCATTTGCAGATTCTACAAAAAAAGCGTTTCCAACCTGCTGAATCAAAAGCAAGGATTAACTGTGAGCTGAATTCACACAACAAAAAATAATTTCACAGATAACTTCTTTCTAGTTTGTATTGCAAGATATTCACTGTTTCACAATAGGCATTAGTGGCCTCTGAAATGTCCCTTCACAGACCTACAAAAAGAGTGTTTCCAAAATAATGAATCAAAAGAAAGGTTTAAGTCTGTGAGGTGAATACAGACATCAAAAAGAAATTTCACCTATAGATTCATTCTAGTTTTTATCTCACAATGTTAGTTTTTTTAGTAAATGTGTCAGTGGGCTCAGAAATGTCCCCTCATAGATTCTACAGAAAGAGTGTTTCCAACCTGCTGAATCAAAAAACGGTTTATATCTGTGATCTGAATGTACACATCACAAAGGAGTTTCACAGATAGCTTCTTTCTAGCTTTTGTTGATGGAAATTCTTTTCTTCAATATAGGCATCAGTGGGCTCCAAAATATTTCTTCACAGATTTTTCAAAAAGAGTGCTTCCAATTTGCTGAAACAAAAGAAATGTTTAACTCTGTGAGCTGAATCCACACATTACAAAGCAGTTTCACAGATAGCTTTTTTCTAGTTCTTATCATGGATATTCAGTTTTTCAATAAAGGTGTCATTGGGCTTTGAAATATTTCTTCACAAACTTACAAAAAGGGTGTTTCCAACTTGCTGAAACAAAAGAAACGTTGAACTCTGAACTGAATCCACACATCAAAAAGCAGTTTCACAGATAACTTCTTTCTAATTTTTATCTCGGGATATTCGTTTTTTTACTACAGGCCTCAGTAGCCTCCCAAATGTCTATTCACAGATTTGACAAAAAACTGTTTCCAATCTGCTGATTCAAAAAACAGATTTAACTCCGTGAACTGAATGCACACATCACAAAGCAGTTTCACAGAGAACTTCTTTCCAGTTTTTATCTCAAGATACACGATTTTTCACTATATGGTTAACTGGGCACCAAAATGTCCCATAGTAGATTCTACAATAAGCCTTCTTCCAACTTCTTAATTAAAAGAAATCTTCAACACAGTGAGCTAAATCTACACACCACAAAGTAGATTCACAGATAGTTTTTTCTAGTTTTTTATCATGGGATATTTCAGGTTTTCACTATAGGACTAAGTCATCTCCAAAATATCCATTTGCAGATTCTAAAAAAAGAGTATTTCAAACCTGCTGAATCAAAAGAAGGTTTTAACTCTGTGACTTTACTCCACACATTACAAAGCAGTTTCACAGACAGCTTATTTCAAGTTTTTATCCTGTTGGCTCTAAAATGTCCTTTCAGAGATTCTACAAAAAGAGTGTTTCAAACCTGCTTAATCAAAAGAAAGATTAAACTCTGTGAACTGAATGTACACATCACAAAGCAGTTTCACAGATAGGTTCTTTCAACTTTTTATTGTGGGATGATCAGTTCTGCATCATAGGCCTCACTTTGCTCTGAAATGATCCTTTGTAGATTCTACAAATGAGTGTATTAAACCTGGTGAATCAAAAGTAAAGTTTAACACTGTGAGCAGAATACACACATCAGAAAGCAGTTTCACAATCAGCTTCTTTCTAGTTTTTATCACGGGATATTCTTTTTTTCACTTTTGGACTCAGTGGGCTATGAAGTGGTTCTTTGGAGATTCTACAAAAAGAGAGTCTACAGCCTCCTTAATCAAAAGATAGGTTTTACTCTGAGTGGAAGGCACACATCACAATGCAGTTTCACAGATCATTTCTTTCTAGTTTTTATTGCGTGATTTTTGGTTTTTCACTTTTGAACTCAATTGGCTTTGAAATGCCTCTTCACAGATACTGCAAAAAAAAGTTTTCAACATGCTGAATCAAAAGAAAAGGTTAACTCAGTGAGCAGAATCCAGACATCACAAAGCAATTTCACATATGGCTTCTTTCTAGTTTTTATTGCAAGATATTCAGTTTTTGACATTTGAACCCAGTGGGCCCTGAAATGTCCCTTTGCTGATACTGCAAAGAGTGTTTCCAATCTGCTGAATCAAGAAAAAGCTTTAACTCTCTGAAATGAATACACACATCACAAAGAAGTTTCACAGATAGCTTCTTTCTAGTTTTTATTGTGGGATATTCTGTTTTTCACTAAGGGCCTCATTTAGGTACAAAATGTCCCATCTCAGATGCTACAAATACAGTGTTTCCAACCTGCTGAATCAAAAGACAGGCTTTATTCTGTGATCTGAATCCACACAACAAAAGCAGTCTGACTGATAGCTTCTTTTTAGTTTTAGTCACAGAACATTCAATTTTTCACTGTAAGCCTCAGTGGGCTCCAAAATGTTCCCTCACAGATTCTACAAAAAGAGTTTTTCCAACCAGCTGAATCAAAAGAAAGGTTTAACCCTGTGAGCTGAATGCACATATCACAAAGCAGTTTCTCAGAGAGATTTTTTCTAGTTTTTATGGTGGGATATTCAGTTTCAAACTTTAGGCTTCAGTGGCCTTCGGAATGTCCCTTTGCAGATTCTACAAAAAGATTCATTCCTACCTGGAAAATCAGAAGAAAGTATTAACTCTGTGTGCTGAATCCTCACATCACAAGCAGTTTAACAGATTTTTCTTTCTAGTATTTATCACAGGATATTCAATTTCTCACTATTGGCCTCAGTGGGCTCCAAAATGTCCCTTTGCAGATTCTACAAAAATAGTGTTTCCTACCTGCTGAATCAAAAGAAAGGATTAACTCTGTGATCTGAATGCACACATGACAAAGCAGTTTCACAGAGAGATTCATTCTAGTTTTTATCATGGGATATTCAGTTTTTCTCAATAGGCCTCAGTGGGCTCTGAAATGTCCGTTCACAGATTCTAAAAAAAAAAAGGGTTTCTAACCTGCTGAATAAAAAGAAATGTTTAACTCTGTGAGTGAAATGCACGTATCACAAAACAGTTTCCCAGATAATTTTTTTCTAGTTTTTATCATGGGATATTCAGTTTTACACTGTAGGCTTCAGTGGCCTCCAAAATGTCCCTTTGCAGATTCTAAAAAAAAAGTGCCTCCAACCTGCTAAATCAAAGGAATGATTTAACTCTTTGAACTTAATCCATGCTTCATAATGCAGTTACACAGACAGCTTCTTTCTAGTATTTATCATGGAATATTCAGTTTTTCACTACAGGCTGCAGTGGGCTCAAAAATGTCCCTTCACATAAGCTACAATAAGAGTGTTTCCAACCTACTGAATCAAAAGAAGCTTAACTCTTTGAGTTGAATCCACATATGACAAAGCAGTTTCTCAGATAGCTTCTTTCTAGTTTTATGCAGGGAATATTTTGTTTTTCACTATAGGCCTCAGTGGGCACCAAATGTCTCTTCGCAAATGCTTCAAAAAAAAGTTTTCCAAACCTTCTGAGTGAAAAGAGAGGTTTAAATTTGGTACCTGAATCCTCTCATCAAAAAGCAGTTTCATGGATACTTTCTTTCTAGTTTTTATCATGGAGTATTCAGTTTTTCATAATAGGTCTTAGTGGGCTCTGAAATATTCCTTCTCAGATTCTACAAAGAGAATGTTTTCAACCTGTGGAATCAAAACAAAAGTTTAACTCTGAGAGCTGAATCCACACTAAACAAAGCAGATTCACACAGAGATTCTTTCTAGTTTTGATTGGGAGATATTCAGTTTTTTACTTTAGCCCTCAGTTTGCTCTGAAATATCCCTTCACTTATTGTACAAAAAGAGTGCTTCCAACCTGCCGTGTCAAAGTAAAGCTTAATTCTGTGAGCTGAATCCACAGAGCACAAAGCAATTTCACAGATAGCTTCTTTCTAGTTTATATTGGGGGATATTCTGTTTTTCACTCTTGGCCTTATGGGGATCAGAAATGTTGCTTTGCAGATTCTACAAAAGAGTGTATGCAACCTGCTGAATTATAAGAAAGGTTTAACTCTGTAAACTGAATACACACATCAAAAATCCGTTACACAGATAGCTTCTCTCTAGTTTTTGTGACAGTTTATTCTGTTTCTCACTGCAGGCTTCACTGAACTGCAAAATGTCCCTTTGTAGATTCTAAAAAATAGACTGTTTCCAACCTGCTGAATAAAAAGAAAGTTTTAAGCCTGGGAGCTGAATCCACCTACCACAAAGCAGTTTTTCAGGCAGCTTCTTTCTAGTGGTTATTGCAGGATATTCAGTTTTAAACTATAGTCCTCAGTGGGCTCTGAAATGCCTTTACCTAGATTCTCCAAAAAGAATGTTTCCAACCTGCTGAATCACAGAAAGAATTTAACTCTGTGAGTGAAATGCACATGTCACAAAGCAGTTTCACAGATAGCTTCTTTCTAGTTTTTAGTGTGGGATTTTCAGTTTTTCACTATAGGCCTCAGTGCGCTCCAAAATGTTAATTCACAGATTCTACAAAAAGAGCGTTTCCAACCTGCTGAATAAAAAGAAATGTTTATCATTTTGAACTGAATTTACAGATCACAAAGCAGTTTCACAGATAGCTTCTTTCTAGATTTTATCATGGGATATTCTGTTTCCCATGATAGGTCACATTGGGCTCCAAAATGTAGCTTTGCAGATTCTACAAAATGAGTTTTTCCAACCTGGTGAATAAAAGGAAAATTTCAATTCTGTAAGCTGAATGTCTACATAACAAAGCATTTCACAGATACATTCTTTCTAGTGTTTATCACAGAATATTGTGTTTGTCATTATAGACTTCTGCTTGCTCTGAAATATCCCTTTGCAGATTCTATAAAAAGAATTATTCCAGCCTTCTAAATCAACAGAAAAGTTTATCTCTGTGAGCTGAATCCATACATCACAAATTAGATGAACAGATGACTTCTTTCTATTTATTATTGTGGAATATTCAATTTTTCATTACAGGCCTCAGTGGGATCAGAAATGTCCCTTTGAAGATTGTACAAAAAGAATCTTTCCACTGGTGAATCCAAAGAAAGTTTTAACTCTTTGAGCCGAATGCATACGTCACAAAAAAGTTTCACAGATACCTTCTTTCTAGTTTTTAATCATGGAATATTTGGTTGTTCACTTTAGGACTAGTGTTTCTGAAATGTCCCTTTGCAGGTTCTACAAATGTGTGTTTCCAATGATCTGAATCCAAAGTAAGACTTAACTCTGTGAGCTGAAGGCTCACATCACAAGCCACTTCACAGATAGCTTCTTTCTAGTTTTTATCACAAGATATTCTTTTATTCACCATAGGCCTTAGTGGACTCAGTAATGTCCCTTCACAGATTCTCCAAAAAGAGTGTTTCCAACCTGCTGAATCACAAGAAAGGTTTACCTCTGTAAGCTGAATCCACACATCACAAAGAAATTTCACACATAGCTTCTTTCTACTTTTTATCATCGTATATTCAGTTTCTCACTGTAGGCTTCAGTGGGCTGAGAAATACTTCTTCACAGATTCTAAAAAAAAAAGAATATTTCCAACCTGCTGAAACAAAAATGGTTCACATTTGTGAGCTGAATGCAACATTACAAGGGAGTTTCACAGATCTCTTCCTTCTAGTGTTTATTGCAGAATATTCTTTTTGTCACTATTGGGTTCTATTTGCTTTGAAATGTCCCTTTTCAGATTCTACAAAAACAGTGATTCCAACCTTCTAAATCAATAGAAATGTTTAACTCGGTGAGCCAAATCCACACATCACAAATTAGATGCACAGATGGCTGCTTTCTATTTGTTATTGCGGAATATTCATTTTTTCACTACTGGCCTCAGTAGGCTCTGAAATGTCCCTTCATAGATTCTACAAAAAGCATGTTTCCAATCTGCTGAATCAAAAGAAAGGTTTAACTTTGTGAGCTGAATGCATATCTCACAAAGAAGTTTCTCAGATAGTTTCTTTCTAGTTTTTATCATGCAATATTTAGTTTTTCATTCTAGCCCTCAGTGAGCTTCAAAATGACCCATGGCTGATTCTACAAGAGTGCTTTCAACCTGCTGAATCAAAAGAAAAGTTTTACTCTGTGAGCTGAATGCAAATGTCATAAAACAGTTTCACAGATATCTTCTTTCTATTTTTTATCAGGGGATAGTCTGTTTTTTTACCATAGGTTTCAGTGGGCTCCTAAATGTCTCTTCACAGTTTCTACAATAAAAGAGTTTCCATTGTGCTGCATAAAAAGTGATGTTTAACTCTGTGAACTGCATCCACACATCACAAAGCAGTTTCACAGAAAGCTTCTTTTTAGTTTTTAATAGCGGGATATTTGGATTTTCTGTAAAATCCTCAGTGTTCACCAAAATGTCCCTTCACAGTTCTACATAAAGAGTGTCTCCAACCTTCTAAATGAAAAGAAAAGTTTCACTGTTGTAGCTGAATTCACACATCACAAAGCATTTTCACAGATATCTTCATTCAAGTATTTATCATGAAATATTAAGTTTTTCACTGTAGGCCTCAGTAGTCTCCAAAACGTTTCCTTGAATATCCTAGAAATAGAGTGTTACCAACCTGCTGAATAAAAAGGAACATTTAACTCTATGAGCTGAATCCACACATTACAATGCAATTTCACAGATAGATTCTTTATAGTTTTTTTTTCCCCCTCAGGTATAACGTTTTACACCGTAGACCTCAGTGGGCTGTGAAATGTCCCTTTCCAGACACTACAAAAAGAGTTCTTCCAACATTCTGAATCAAATATTTCAAAAGAAATATTAAACTCTGAGAGCTAAATCCATGCACCACAAAGCAATTTCACAGATAGCTTTGTTCTAGTTTTGTGTGTGTGTTTTGGCGGGGGGGGGGGGGGATATTCAATTTTTCACTATAGGCCTCAGTAGGCTTAGTAATGTCCCTTCACAGGTTCTACAAAAAGAGTATTTCCAACCTGTTGAATAAAAGAAAGGCTTAACAGTGAACTGAATGTACATGTCAAAAAGGAGTTTCACAGGTAGCTTATTTCTCATTTTTATTATGGGATATTCCATTATTCTTTGTAGACCTCAGTGGGCTCCAAAATGTCCCTTTGCAGATTCCACAAAAGGAGTTTTTCCAACCTACTTAGTGAAAAGAAAAGTTTAACTCTGTCAGCTGAATGCATACATCACACCAAAGTTTCTTGTATAGCTTCTTTCTAGTTTTTATCATAGAATATTTGGTTTTTAACTATAGGCTTCAGTGGGCTCTGAAATGAATCATGGATTCTAATAAAAGAGTGTTTAAAACCTGTAGAATCAAAGGAATGGTTTAACTTTGTGAGCCGAATGCACCCCTCACAAAAAAAGTTTCACAGACAGCTTCTTTCTAGTTTTTATCACAAAAATTTGTTTTTTCACTGTAGGCCTAGCGGGCTCTGAAATGTCAATTTGCAGGTCCTACAGAAAGGTGTTTCCAACCTGCTGAATCAAAAGAAACATTTAACTCTGTGAGCTGATGGCACACATCACAAGCAGTTTCACAGATAGCTTTTTTCAAGTTTCTATCATGAGAAATTCTGTTTTTCAATATAGGCTTTAGTGGGCTCAGAAATGTCCCTCCGTAAATTCTACAAAAGAGTGTTTCTAAGTTGCTGAATCATAAGAAAGGTTTAACTCTATTAGCTGAATCTACATATCACAAAGGGGTTTCACAGATAGCTTCTTTCCAGTTCACATCAGGAGATTTTTTTTTCCCTATAGGTCCCAGTGGGCTCCAAAATGTCTCTTCACAGATTCTAGTAAAAGAGTGTTTCCAATTTTTTGAATCAAGAGAAAGGATTAACTCTGTGAGATGAATGCACACGTCATGAAAATGTTTCACAGAAAGTTTTTTTCTAGTTTTTATTGCAGGATATTCAGTTTTTCACTATAGCCTCTGTAGGCTTTGAAATGACCCTTTACAGATTTACAAAAAAACTGTTTCAAACCTGATGAATCATAAGAAAAGTTTACCTCTGTGAGCTGAATCCACATATCAGAAAGCACATTCACAGATACCTTCTTTCTACTTTTTATCGTGGGATATTTGGTTTTTCACTATAAGCTTCAGTGTGCACTGAAATGTTTATTCACATATTCTATAAAATGTGCTTACAACCTGCTGAATCAAAAGAAAGGCTTAACTCTCTGAGCTGAATCCACATACCACAAAGTAGTTTCATATATAGCTTCTTTCTAGTTTTTATTGTGCGATATTCATTTTTTTACTATATGCCTCGGTAGGTTCAGAAATGTTTCTTGGCAGACTTTACAAAAACAGTTTTTTCAAGTTGCTAAATCAAAAGAAAGTTTTAAATCTGTAAGTTGAATGCACACATGGAAAGCAGTTGCACAGATAGCCTCTATTTTATCGCAGTATATTCCATGTTTTACTATAGGCCTCCATGGTCTAAGAAATGTCCCTTCCCAGAGTCTACAGAAAGAGTGTTTCCAACCAACTAAATAAAAGGAAAGATATAACTCAGTCAGCTGAATGGACACATCACAAAGGAGTTTCACAGATATTTTCTTTCTAGTTTTTATCATGGGATATTCTGTTTCTCATTATAGGACTCAGTGAACACCAAAATGTCCCTTTGCAGATTCCTCAAAAAGAGTTTTAAAACCTGCTGAAGTGAAAAAAATTTAATTCTGTGAGACGAATGCACACATCACAAAGCAGTTTCACAGATAGCTTCTTTCTAGTTTTTATCACGGAATATTAGGTTTTTCACTACAGGCCTCTGTGGGCTCAGAAAAGACCCTTCCCAGGTACTAAGAAAAGAGTGTTGAAACCTGCTGTGTCAAAGGAAAGGTTTAACTTGATAAGCTGAATCCATACCTCACAAAGGAGATTCATAAATAGCTTCTTTCTAGTTTTATCACGAGATTTTCAGTTTTTCACTACAGGCCTCAGTGGGCTCTGAAATGTCCCTTTGCAGATTATACAAAAAGAGGGTTTCCCACAGGCTGAATCAAAAGAAAGGTGTAACTCTGTGAGCGAAATGCATACATCACAAAGCAGTTTCACAGATAGCCTCTTTCTATTTTATTGTGAGATATTTGGTTTTTCACTATAGGTGTCAGTGGGCTCTTAAATGTTTCTTCACAGATTCTAAAAACAGATTGTTTCAAACCTGCTGAATAAAAATAAAGGTTTAACCCTGTGAGCTTAATCCACACATCACAAAGCAGTTTCACACATAGTTTCTTTCTAATTTTTGTCACAGGATACTTGGTGTTACACTATAGGCCTCACTGGGTTCCAAAATATTTCTTCCCGGATTTTACAAGGAGAATTTTTCCAACCTGTTGAATCAGAAGAAAGGTTGAACTCTGTGAGCTGAATACACACATGACAAATCAGTTTCACTGATAGCTTCTTTCTAGTATTTATCGGGGATATTTGGTTTTTCACTATAGGCTTCACGGGGTTCCAAAATGTCCCTTTGCAGATTCTACAGCAGATTCCTATCTGCTGTGTAAAAAGAAAGGTTTAAGTCATTGAGCTGAATTCACAAATCACAAAGCAGTTTCTCAGATAGCTTCTTTCTAGTTTTTATCATGGAATATCTGGTTTTTCTCTACTGGCCTCAGTGGGCTTTGAAATCTCCCTTCATAGATTTTACAAAAAGTTTGTTTTTAACCTGCTGAATTAAAGGAAAGGTTTAATTCTGTTATCTGAATGCACACATTACAAAGCAGTTTCACATATTAATTCTTTCTAGTTTGAATTGCTGGATGTTCTTTTTCTCACTATAGGCCTCAGTGCACCCCAAAATGTTCCTATGCAGATTCTACAAAAAGAGTGTATCCAACATGCTGAATCAAAAGAAAAGTTCAATTCTATGAGCTGAATCCCCATATCACAAAGCAGCCTCACACATATCTTCTTTCTAGTTCTTACTGTGAAATATTCTCTTTCTCAATATAGGCCTCAGTTGGCTTCTGAAATGTCTCTTCACAGATTCTACAAAAAGAGTGTTACCAACCTTCTTAATCCAAAGAAAGTTTTAACTCAGTGAGCTGAATCTGCACATCACAATTAGATTCACAGGTACCTTCTTTATTTCATTTTTCACTCTATGCTTCAGAAGGCTCAGAAATGTCCCTTCACAAATACTACAAAGAGAATGTTTCCAAGCTGCTGAATCAAAAAAAGGTTTACTTCTTTGAGCTGAATACACACATTACAAAGCAGTTTCACAGATAGCTTCTTCTGTGAATATCATGGGATATTCTGTTTCTCACTGTAGACTTCAGTGGGTTCCAAAAGTTCCCTTTGCAGATTCAACAAAAAGACTGTTTACAACATGCTAAATAAAAAGAAAGTTTTAACACTGTGAAGTGAATCCATACATCCTAAAGCAGTTTCACAGATAGCTTCTTTCTTGATTTTATCTTGGGATATTCAGTTTTCCACTATAGGTCTCAGTTTACTCCAAAATGTCCCTTCACAAGTTCTACAAAAAGGGTGCTTCCAACTTGCTGTATCAAAACCAAGGTTTAACTCTGTGAGCTGAATGCACATATAACAAAGCAGTTTCACAGATAGCTTCTTTCTCATTTTTTATTGCTGGTTCTTCTGTTTTTCACTATAGGCTTCAGTGGGCTCTGAAATGTCCTTTCACAGATTATAGAAAAATCGTGTTTCATACCTGCTTAATCAAAGGAAAGTTTTAGTACTGTGAGCTGAATGCACACATCACAAAGCAGTTTCACAGATAGTTTTTTGTGCTTTTTATCATGTGATATCCCATTTTGTACTGAAGCCTCAGTGGGCTGTGATATATCCCTACAAAGATTCTACAAAAAGAGTGTTTCCATTCTTTTGAATAATAAAAAAATTAACTCTGTGAGCTAAATGCACATATCACAAAGTAGTTTCACAGATAGACTCTTTTGAGTTTTACCATGGGATATTCTGTTTTTCACTATAAAACTCAGTGGGCTTCAAAATGTCCATTTGCAGATTCTACAAAAAAAAAAGTGTTTTCAAAGCCCCAGGCTTTGAAGAAGGGAACCTCTGTCTCTCACTGAAATCACCACAACCAACAACTGGCTCACAATGTGGCATGAACGGGTGAAGAGACTCCGGGGGATGTTGAGGAAGGCAGAGGGGAGAAGCTGTGAGAGAGCAGGGAATGCTGGGTTCCTCCCAAGGAGGGCTCTCCCATCCCACAAATCCCCATGGCTGTCCCATGCAGGCAGTAAAGTCCCAGGCTTTGGAGCAGGGTGCCTGTGTCTCTCACAGAAAGTCCCCACCAGTGAAAATGAGGCCACGGTGTGGCATGATTGGAAAGCAGAAACTCAGAGGAATGTTGAGGCAGGCAGAGGTGAGAAGCAGTGAGACCAAGGGAATGCTGGGAGGCTCCCAAGGAGTCCTCTCCCATCCCAGAAGCTCCCAGGGCTTTCCCAGTTGGGCTGTACAGCCCCAGGCTTTGGAGCAGTGTGCATGTGTCTCTCCTGGTAGGCCCTTACAAGCAAAAAGGGGAAAGCAGAGTGGCATGGCAGGGCTGCAGGAACTCACGGGGACATTAAGGAAGAAGAGAGGAGAAGCAATGAGACTGCAGGGAATGCTGGGAGCCTGTTACAGAGGCGTCTCCCATCTCAGAAGCCCCCAGGGCTGTCTGGGCTGGGCTGTAAAGATCCAGGCTTTAAAGCAGGGTGACTGTATCTCTTGCGGAAGTCCCCCGCAAGCTAAAGTGGTGCAGAAGGCTGGCAGGGGCATGCCACAGGGACTCAGGGGGATGTTGAGGCAGACCTGGGGGAGAAGCAGGGAGACCACAGGGAATGCTTGGAGCCTTTCAAGAAAGCCTCTCTTATCCCACAAACACCCTGGGCTGAACCGGGCGCACGGCTTTGGATCAGGGTGCCTATCTGCCGTGGAAGGCTCTTACAAGTGAAAACAGGGCCACGGCATGGTGCGGTTGGGCTGCAGGGTTGTAAGGTAACATTAAGGCAGGACAAAGGGAAGAAGCTCCCCAAACTATCCTGGGCGGGCTGTAAGGCCCCAGGCTTTGGAGCAGGGTGCCTGAGTCTCTCACAAAAGACCCCCACAAATGAAAACAGGGGTGCAGGGTGGTGTGGGAGGGCCACAGGGACTCAGGCGGAAATTGTGGCAGGCAGAGATGAGAAGCAGCGAGACTCAGGGAATGCTGGGAGCCTCACAAGGAGGCCTCTCCCAGCCCAGAAGCCCCCACAGCTGTCCCAGGCAGGCTTTTATGCACCAGTCTTTGGAGCAGGGAGCCTGTGTCTCTCACGGAAGACTTACAAAAGAGAGAATGAGGTGGCAGGGTGCTGGGCACAGGCAGCAGAGACTCACTGGGATGTTGAGGCAGGCAGATGAGAGAAGCGGCAGGACTGCAGGGAATGCTGGGAGTCTCCCAAGGAGGCCTTTTTCATCCTAGAACTGTCCAGGGCATGCTATAATGCTTCAGGTTTTGAAGCAGGATGTCTGTGTCTCTAGCGGAAGGCTCCCACAAGTGAAAATGGGGCCGCAGTGTGGCATTGACAGGCCGCAGGGACTCAGGGGGAAGTTGAGACCAGCAGAGGGAAGAATCTGTGAGACCGCAGGGAATGCTGGGAGCCTCCCAAGGAGGTCTCTCCCACCCTAGAAGGCCCCAGGTCTATTACGGATGGGCTGTAGTGCCCCAGGATTTGGAGTAGGGTACCTGTGCTTCTGGCAGAGGGCTTCCACAAGCGAAAACGGGGCTGCATGATGGCCTGGGCAAGCCAAAGGGACTCAGGGTGACATAGAGGCAGCCAGAAGGGAGAAGCAGCGAGCCTGCAGAAAATGCTGGTAGCCTTCCAAAGAGGCCTCTGCCATCCCAGATGACCCCAAATCTGTCCCGGGCAGGCTGTAAAGGCCAAGGCTTCGGAGCAGGGTGACTGTGTCTCTCGTAGAAGGCCGCACAAGTGAAACTGGGGCCTCAGGGCGACGTGGGCGGGCCGCAGATATTTAGGATGAAGTTGAGGCAGGCAGAGGAGAGATGCAGAGAGATTGCTGGGAATGGTCAGAGCCTCCTTAAAAGGCCTCTCCCTTTCCAGAAGCCTCCAAGGCTTTCCCGTGCGGGCTGTAAAGCACCAGGCTTTGGAGCAAGGTGCCTGTGTCTCTTGAGGAAGGCCACCACAACCAAAAACGTGGCCACATGGTGGCATGGGCAGGCTGCAGTGACTCAGGGGGACATGGAGGCAGGCAGAAAGTAGAAGCAGCGAGACCGCAGGGAATGCTTCATGCATCCCAAAATGCTTCTCTTATGACAGAAGCCACCAAGACTGTCAGGGTCAGGTTGTAAAGCCCTAGTCGTTGGAGCAGAGTGCTTGTGTCTCTCACAGAAGGCCCCCACAAAAAATAACGGAGCTGCAGGGTGGCATGGGTGGGCCACAAGGACTCAAATGGTCAATGAGGAAGGCAGAGGGTAGAAGCAGCGAGACTGGGGTGAATGCAGGGAGCCTTCCTCAAAGTCATCTCCCATCCCCGAAGCACCCAGTGCTGTCCTGGGTGGGCTGTAGAGCCCCAGGCTTCAGATCAGGGTCCCTGGGTATCTCACAGAAGACTCCCACAAGCAAAAACAGAACGGCAGAAATGCATTGGTGGACTGCAGGGACTCGGGGGGACATTAAGACAGGAAGTGGGTGGAAGCCGGGAGACCACAGGGAATGCTTAGAGTCTCCCAAAAAGGCCTCTCCGATCCCAGAAGCCCCCAGGGCTATATTTGGCAGGCTGTAAAGCCCCACGCTTTGGAACAGGGTGCCTGTGTCTCCCGCGGAAGGCCCCCAAAAGCAAAACCGGGGCAGATGTGTGGCATGGGCGGGCTGCAGGCACTCAGGGGTACATTGAGGCAGACAAAGAAGAGAAAAGGTGAGACCACAGGGTATGCTGGGTGCCTCCCAAGATGGCCTTTCCCTTCAAAGAAGGCCTGAAGGCTCTCCAGGCCTGGCTGTAAAGCCCCAGGCTTTAGTGCAGTTTGCCTTGTCTCTCACGAAAAGCCCCCAAAAGCAAAAACGGAGGTGCAGGGTGGGGTGAACGGGAAGCAGGGACTCAGGGCACTTTGAGACAGTCAGAGGAAAGAAGTGGCGAAATTGTAGGCAATGCTGGGAGCTTCCCAAGGACACTTCTTCAAAGGACCCCAGGGCTGTCCCTGGCGGGATGTAAAGTTTCAGGCTTTAAAGCAGGCTGTCTATGTCTCTCCCAGAAGGCCCCCACAAGCGAAAACGGGGCCACAGGGTGGCTTGGGTGGGCCACAGGGACGCAGTGGGACGTTGAGGCAGGCAGTGGGGAGAAACGGTGAGAAGCAGTGAATGCTGGGAGCCTCCCACAGAGCCATCTCCCATCCCAGAAGCCCGAGTGCTGTCCCAGGAAGGCTATAAAGCCCTAGACTTTGGAGCAGGGTGCCTGTGTCTCTCATTCAAGGCCCCCAAAAGTGACATCGGGGCCGCAAGGTGATGTGGGCGAGTCGCAGGGACTCAGGGGAACTTTGAGACAGACAGAGAAAACAAGCGGCGAGACGGAAGGGAATGCTGAGAGATTCCTAAGGAGGGCTATCCCAATCCAGAATCCATAAGAGCTGTCCTTGACGGGCTGTAGAATCCCAGATTTTGAAGCAGGGTGCTTGTATCACTCATGGAGTGCTCACCAAGCAAAAATGGGGCCTCAGTGTGGCGTGGGCAGGCAACAGGGACTTACAGGGATGTTGAGGCAGGCATAGGGGAGAAGCGGCAAGACCGCAGGGAATGCTGGGAGTCTCCTGAAGTGGTCTCTCCCATCTCAGAAGCCCCCAGAGCTGTCCCAGGTGAGCTGTAAAGCCCAGGCTTTGGAGAAGGGTGCCTGTGCCTCTCGCACAAGGCTCCCACAAGTGAAAATGGAGTGGCATGTGTGAGCCACAGGGACTCATGGGAACTGTTGAGGCAGGCAGAGGTGAGAAGCAGCCAGACTGCAAGGAATGCTGGGAGCCTCCCAAGGCAGCCTCTTTCATTCCAGAAGCCACACTTGGGCAGGCTGTAGAGCCCCAGGCTTTGCAGCAGGGGCCTGTGTCTCTCACAGAGGGACCTCCAAGCAGAAACAAGGCCACAGCGTGGCATGAGCGGTACTTAGGAGGTACTCCTGAGCAGGTACTCAGGAGGACGTTGAGGCAGACAGAGGGGAGATGCGGTGAGAACACAGAGAATGCTGGGAGCCTTCCAAGGAGGCCTTTCTCATCCCTGAAGCACCTAGAGCTGTCTCGGACAGGCTCCATAGCCCCAGTCTTTGGAGCACGGCCCCTGCATCTCTCACGGAAATCTCCACAAGCGAAAACAGGACCCCAGGATGTCGTGGGTGTGCCACAGGGACTCAGGGGGACATTGAAGCTGGCAGACGGGAGAAAGGGCGAGACCACAGCAAATGCTGGGAGCATCACATGAAGGTCTTTCCCATTACAGTAGCCCCAAGAACTGTCTCATGCAGGGTGTAAAACTCCAGGCTTCGGAGAAGCATGCCTCTGTCTCTAGCGGAAGGCCTCCACAAGTGAAGACAGGGCCGAATAGTGATGTGGGCAGGCCACAGGGACTCAGGGGGGATCTCGAGGCAAGCAGAGGGGAGAAGCAGCGAAAACGCAGAGAATGCTGGGAGCCTTCCAAGGAGGCCTCTCCCATTCCAGAAGCACCCAGGGTTGTCCTGGGCAGGTTGTAAAGCCCCAGGCTTTGGAGCAAGGTGTCTGTGTCTCTTGCAGAAAACTTCCACAAGCAAAATCAGGTCACAGGGTGGTGTGAGCAGGCTGCAGGGACTCAGGGGGACGATAAGGCAGGCACAGGGGAGAAGTGGTGAGACAACAGAGAATGCTGGGAGCCTCCCAATTATACCTCTTCCATCCCAGGAGCCTGCAGGGCTGTCCCAGGAGGGGTGTAAAGCCCCAAATTTTGGAACAGGGTGCCAGCGTCTCAAGTAGTAAGCCCACACAAATGAAATTGGGGCCACATAATGGCGTGGGGGGTGGGGGTCGCAGAGACTCACAGGGACATTGAGGTAGGCAGAGGGTAGAAGCGGTGAGACTGCAGGGAATGCTGGGAGCATCCCAAATATGCCTCTCCCATCCCAGAAGCCCCCAGCACTGTCCCAGGCAGGTAGTAAAGCCCCAGGCATTGGAGCAGCATTCCTCTGTCTCTCACGGAAGGCCACAACAAGCAAAAATGGCATTGTAGGGTGGTGTAGGTGGGCCACAGGTACTCAGGGTGACATTGAGGCATGGAAGGGGCAGAAGGGGCAAGACAGCAGGAAATGCTGGGAGCCTCCTAAGGATGCCTCTCCCATACCCCAAGCCCACAGGGCTGTCCTGGGCATTCTGTAAAGCCCCAGGATTTGGATCAGGGTGCCAGTCTTTCTCACGTAAGGCCTCCAAAAGCAAAAACAGGGCTGCAGGGTGGCCTGGGTGGGCCACAGTGACTCAGGGGAAACTTGAGGCAGGCAGATGGGAAAAGCCAAGAGATCGCAGGGAATGTTGGGAGCCTCCCAAGGATGCTTCTCCCATCCTAGTAGCCCCCAGGGCTGGGATGGGAGAAGCCTTTTAGTGAGGTTCCCAGCATTCCCTGCAGTCTCTCCATGTCTCCCTTCTGTCTGCCTCAACGTCCTCCTGAGTTTCTGCGGATTCTCCACGCCACCCTACGGCCTTGTTTTCTCGTGGCAGCTTTCTGCGAAAGACACAGGCACCCTGCTCCAAAGCTGGGAGCTTTACAGCACACCCGGGACAGCCCTGAGAGCTTCTGGGATGGAAGAGGCCTCCTTCAGATGCTCCCAGCATTCTCTGCCATCTCCCCGCTTAATTCCTCTACCTGCCTCAACAGCACCCTGAGTCCTTGCTGCCGGCCCACACCAAACTGCGGCCCCATTTTCGCTTGCAGGGGCTTTCTGCTAGAGACACAGGCACCCTGCTCCAAATCCTGGGGCTTTACAGCCCACCTGGGACAGCCTTGAGGGCTTCTGGCATGGGAGAGGCCTCCTTGGGAGGCTCCCAGCATTTCCTGTGGTCTGGCCGCTTCTCCGCTCTGCTTGCCTCAACGTTTTCCTGATTCCCGGTGGCTCGTGCAGACCAACCTGCAGCCCCGTTTTTGCTTGTGGGTACCTTCCTCAAGATACACAGGTACCCTACTCCAAAGCCTGGGGCACTACAGCCCATAAGGGACAGGCCTGGGGGCTTCTGTCATGGGAAAGGCATCCTTGGGAGGCTCCCAGCATTCCCTCCAGTCTCACAGCCTCTCCCCTCTGCCTACCTCAACATCTCCCTTAGATCCTGCTTCCTGCCCACGACACCCTGCTGCACCATTGTCGCTTTTCAGGGTCTTCTGCGAGAGACACAGGCACCCTGCTCCAAAGCCTGAAACTTTACAGCCAGTCCAGGATAGCCCCGGGGGCTTCTGGGACTGGAGAGGCCGTCGTGGGAGGCTCCCACCATTCCCTGCGGTCTCGCCGCTTCTCCCGTCTGCCTGCCTCAAAGTCCCCTTGAGTCCCTACAACCTTCACACGCCATCCTGTGGATGCTTTTTTGCATGTGGTGGCCTTCAACGACACATACAGCCTCCCTGCTCCAAAGCCTGGGGCTTTACAACCCGCACGGAACAGCCCTGGGGGCTTCTGGGTTGGACGTTGCCTCTTAGGGGGGCTTTCAGCATTCCCTGCGGTCTCGCTGCTTCTCCCCTCTGCCTGCCTCCACATCCCCCGATTCCCTGTGGCCCGTCCACGCCACCCTACAGCCCCGTTTTTGCATATGGGGGCCTTCCACGGGAGACAGTCACCCAGCTCCAAAGCCTGAGACACTACAGCCCATCCGAAAAAGAACTGGAAGCTTCTGGGATGGGAGAGACCTCCTTGGGATGCTTTCAGCATTCCCTGAGGTCTCAGAGCTTCTTCCCTCTGCCTCCCTCAATGTCCCCTGAGTCCTTGCTGCCTGCCCACGCCAAACTGCGGCCCGCCCACTCCACCCTGCGGCCCTGTTTTCGCTTGTTTGGGCCATTTGTGAACAACACAGCCACTCTGCTTCAAAGCCTGGGGTTTTACAGCCCACCCTGGACAGTCCTGGGGACTTCCGGAATGGTAAAGGCCTTCTTGGGAGGCTCCCAGCATCCCCTGCAATCTCGCTGCTTCCCCCATCAGCCTGCCTCAACCTCCCCCTGGGTCCCTGTGGCCCTCCCATGCCACCCTGCATACCCGTTTTTGCTTTGGGGGGGCCTTTTGCAAGAGACATAAGCACCCTGCCCCAAAGCTTGGGGCTTTACAGCCCACCTGGGACAGCCCTGTGGGCTTCTGGGATGGGAGAGGCCTCCTTGGGAGGCTCCCAGCATTCCCTGCTGTCTCACTGCTTCTCCCCTCTGCCTGCGTCAAAGTTCCCATGAGTCCCTCGGCTCGCACAGACCACCCTGTGGCCTTGTTTTCTCTTGTGGGGACCCTCCAAGAGAGTCACAGGTGATCTTCTTCAAAGCCTGGGACACTACCACCTGTTTTGGACAGACCTTGGGGCTTCTGGAATGGGAGAAACCTTATTGGAAGGCTCCCAGCATTCCCTGTGGTTTCACCCCTTTTCCCTTCTGCTTGCCTCAATGTCTTCATGAATACCTGTGGCCCGCCCATGTGACCCTGCCACCCTGTTGTCCCTTTTGGGGGTCTTCCTAGAAAGACACAGGCTCCCAGCATTCCCTGTGGTCTCACCGCTTCTCCCCTCTGCCTGAGTCAAAGTTCCCCTGAGTCCCTCGGCTCACCCAGACCACCCTGTGGCCTTGTTTTTGCTTGTGGGGTCCTTCCAAGAGAGTCACAGGCCATCTGCTCCAAAGCCTGGGGCATTACAGCCCATCCAGGACAACCCTATGGGCTTCTGGGATGGGAGAGGCATTTTTGGGAGTCTCCCAGCATTCCCTGCAGTGTCGCCGCGTTAACCTTCTGCCAATCTCAACATCCCCCTGAATCCCTGTGGCCTGCCCACGCCACCCTGAGGCCCCGTTTTTGCCTGTGGGGGCTTTCCGCGAGGGACACAGATGCACTGCTCCAAACCCTGGAGCTTTACGGAATGCCCGGGACAGCCCTGACGTCTTTTGGAATGAAAGAAGCCTTCTGGGGATGCTCCTAGCATTCCATGCGGTCTCGATGCTTCTTCCCTTTGCATGGCTCAAGTCCCCGTGGGTCTCGGCGGCCCTCGCATGCCACACTGCGTCCCCATTTTTGCATGTGCGGACCTTCTGTGAGAGACAAAGTCACCGGTCTCCAAAGCGTGGGGCTTTACAGCCTGCTTGGGACAGTCCGGGAGGGTTCTGGGATGGGAAAGGCCTCCTTGGGAGGCTCCCAGCATTCCATGTGGTCTTGCCGCTTCTCCTCTCTGCCGGTCTCAATGTCCCCCTGAGTCCCTGTGGCCCGGACTAGCCACACTGTGGCCTTGTTTTTGCTAGTGGGAGTCTTCCGCTAAAGACACAGGTACCCGGCTTCAAAACCTGAGGCATAGCTTGCGTAGGACGGTCGTCGGGGCTTCGGGGATGGGAGAGGCCTCTTTGGAAGTCTCCCACCATTCCCTGCGGCCTCGCTGCTACCCCCATCTGCCAGCCTCAACATCCCCATGAGTCCCTATGTCCTGTCCACACCGCACCGAGGCCAAGTTTTCGCTAGTGGCGGCCTTCTGCTAGAGATACAGGCACCCTGCTTCAAAACCTGAAGCATTATAGCACACTGGGGACAGTCCTCGTGGCCTCTAAATGGGAGAAGCCAACTCAGGAGGCTTCCAGCATTTCCTGCGGTCTCACTGCTTCTCCCTCTTCCTGCCTTGATGTCCCTTGAGTTCCCGTGGCTCACTCACACCACACTGCATCCCTATTTTGCCTTCTGGGAGCCTTCTGCGAGAGACACAGGCAATCTGCTCCAAAGCCTGGTGCTATACAGCCCACTCCAAACAGCCCAGGGGGCTTCTGGGATGGGAGAGGCCTCCAGAGGAGGCTCCCAACATTATCTGCGGTCTCGCCACTTCTTCCCACTGCCTGCCTGAACATTCCAGTTAGTTTCTATGGCCTGCCCAGCCCACCCTGCTGTCCCGTTTTTGCTTGTGGAGGCATTCCACGAAAGACACAGTCATCCTGCTTCAAAGCCTGGTGCTTTTCAGATAGCCCGTGACAGACCTGGGAGCTTCCAGAATGGAAGACGCCTTTTAGAGAGGCTCCCAGCATTCCCGGCAGTGTCACCCCATCTCCCCTCTATCTGCCTCAACATCCCTCTGAGTCCCTGTGGCTTGCTCACGCCACCCTATGGCCTCGTTTTTGCTTGTGGCGACCATCTGTGAGAGACACTGGCACCCACCTCCAAATTCTGGGGA
Organism: Homo sapiens; assembly: GCF_000001405.40. Taxonomy (NCBI): domain Eukaryota; kingdom Metazoa; phylum Chordata; class Mammalia; order Primates; family Hominidae; genus Homo; species Homo sapiens. Next base: position 46,182,472 of record NC_000008.11, read on the forward strand.
ACTACAGCCTGTCTGGGACAGACCTGGGGGCTTCTGGGATAGGAGAGGCCTTTTGGGGAGTCTCCCACCATTCCCTGCTGTCTCGCTGCTGCATATCTCAACGTCTCCCTGAGTCCCTGCCACCCGCCCACGCAAACTTGTGAACCCGTTGTCTGTTTTGAGTGACTTCTGTGAGAGACACAGGCATCCTGCTCCAAAGCCTGGGGCATTACAGCTCGTCCAGGACAGGCCGGGGGGCTTCTAGGATGGAAGAGGTCTTCTTGGGAGGCTCTCAGCATTCTCTGTGGTCTGGTGGCTTATTCCGTTTGCCCACCTCAACGTCCCCGTTAGTAACTGAGGCCTGCCCATGCCACGCTATGGCCTCGTTTTCACTTGTGAGGGCTTTCCTCGAGAGACACAGGCACCCTGCTTCAAAGCCTGAAGCTTTACCGCATGCCTGGGACAGTCCTGGGGGATTCTGGGATGAAAGAGGCCTCTTTAGGAGGCTCCCAGCATTTCCTGCAGTCTTGCCATTTCTCCCCTCTGCCTGCCTCAACGTCACCCTAAGTCCCTGCCGCCCTCCCACACCACCCTGCGGCCCCATTTTCGCTGGTGAGGACCTTTCGCGAGAGACACAGGCACTCTGCTCCAAAGCCTAGGAGTTTACAGCCCTCCCAGGAAAGCTTTAGGGGCTTCTGGGATGTGAGAAGACTTTTTGGGAGGTTCCCAGCATTCCCTGCGGTCTCCCGGCTTCTCCTGTCTGCCTGCCTCAATGTTTACTTGAGTCCCTGGGGCTCGCCAGTCCACCCTGCGGCCCAGTTTTCACTTGTGGGTGCCTTTCGTGAGAGACAGAGACAGAGGCGCCCTGCTCCATAGCCTGGGGCACTACATCCCGTCCAGGACAGACAGGAGGCTTCTGGGATGGGAGACATCTCCTTGGGAGGTTGCCAGCATTCACTGCAGTCTCACTGCTTCTCCCCTCTGCCGGTCTCAACATCTCCCTGAGTCCCTGCGGCCCACCAACGCCACCCTGCTGCCCTGTTGTCTCTTTGGGGGTCTTCCGCGAGAGCCACAGGCACCCTACTCCAAAGCCTGGGGCATTACAGCTCATCAAGGACAGACCTGGGGGCTTCTGGGATGGGGGAGGCATTCTTGGAAGGCTCCCAGCATTCCCTGTGGTCTCGCTGCTTCTCCCCTCTGCCTGCCTCTATGTCCCTCTGGTGGAAGGCCCCCGCATGTCAAAACGGGGCTGCAGGTTGGCATGTGAATGCCGTAGGGACTCAGGGGAATGGCATTCTCCTGCAGCCAGACCACACCACCCTGCAGCTTAGTTTTTGCTTATTTGGGCCTTTCCTGAGAAACACAGGCACCCTGCTCCAAAGCCTGAGGTGTACAGCCCGCCTGGGACAGTTCTGAGGAATTCTGGCATAAGAGAGGCCTCCTTGGGAGACTCCCAGCTTTCCCTGATGTCTCGCCACTTCCCCTCTCTGCCTGCCTCAACGTCACCCTGAGTGACTGCCACCCGCCCACACCACCATTTGGCCCAGTCTTTGCTTGTGGGTTCTTTCTGCGAGAGACACAGGCACCCTGCTCCAAAAACTGGGGCTTTACTGCCTTCTTGAGACAGTCCGAGAGGCTTCTGGGATGGGAGTGGCCTTTTTGGGAGGCTCTGAGAATTCCTTGTGGTCTTGCCACTTCTCCCCTCTGCCAGACTCAACGTCCCCCTGAATCCCTGCAGCCTGCCCATGCCACACTGTGGTGCTGTTTTTGCTGGTGGGAGCCTTCCACTAGAGACACAGCCACCCTGCTTCAAAATCTGAAGTGTAGCATGCCTGGGACAGTCCTGGGGGCTTCTCGATGGGAGAGGCCTACTTGAAAGGCTCCCAGATTCCCTGCGGTCTCATTGCTTCTCCCCTCTGCCAGCCTCAATGTCCTCCTGAATCCCTGTGGCCCGTGCATGCCACATTGGGGCCCCGTTTTTTTCTAGTGAGGGCTTTCTGCTAGAGACACAGGCGCCCTGCCTGAAAATATGAAGCATTACAACATGTCTGGGACAGTTCTCGGTGCTTCTGGGATGGGAGAAGCCTCCTTGGGTGGCTCCCAGCATTCCCTGTGGTCTCACTGCTTCTCCCCACTGCCTGTCTCAACGTTCTCCTGAGTCCCTACGGCATTCCTATGCCACCCTGGGGCCCCGTTTTGACATCTGGGGGCCTTTCTCGAGAGACCCAGTCTCCCTGCTTCAAAAGCTGGGGTTTTACAACCTGCCCGGGATAGCCCTGTGGGCTTCTGCGATAGGAGAGTTCTCCTTGGGAGGCTCAGTCATATCCTTTGGTCTCGCTGCATCTCCCTTCTGCCTCCCTCAACGTTCCTCTGAGTCTCTGTGGCTCGCCCAGGCCACCCTGCATCCCCATTTCGCTTGTGGGAACCTTCCTCGAGAAACACAGGCACACTGCTTCAATGCCTGGGGCTTTACAGCCTCCCCAGGACAGTCCTGGGGACTTCTGGGATGGGAGAAGCTGCCTCGGTAGGATCCCAGCATTCCCTTTGATTTCAACGCTTCCCCCCTCTGCCTGCCTCAACATCACCCTGAGTCCCTGCTGCCTGCCACGCCACCATGCTGCCTCGTTTTCCTAGTGGGAGTCTTCCAGGAGAGACACAGGCACTCTACTTTGAAGCCTGGGGTTTACACCATGCCTAGGACATACCTGGTGGCTTCTGGGATGGAAGAGGGCTCCTTGGGATGCTCCCAGCATTCCCTGCGGTCTCACTGCTTTTCCCCTCTGCTTGCCACAACGTTCCCTTGGGAGGCTTCCAGCATTCCCTGCTGTCTCGGCGCTTTTCCCAGTTCCCGACCTCAACGTCCCCTGAGTTTCTACGGCTCTCCCAGGCCACCATGCTGCCACGTTTTCGCTTGTGGGGGCCTTGCTTGAGAGACACAGGCATGCTGCTCCCATGCCTGTGGCAGTACAACTCGTCTGGGACAGGCAGAGGGCTTCTGTGATGAAAGAGGGGTCATTGGGAGGCTCCCAGCATTCCTTCAGGTCTCACCACTTATCCCCTCTGACTGTGTTAACATCCCTTTGAGTCCCTGTGGCATGCCCAAGCCACACTGCAGCCCCGTTTTCACTTGTGGGAGCCTTCTGCCAGACACAGACAACCTGCTCTAAAGCCTGGGACTTTACAACCTGCCAAGGACATCCCAGGAGGCTTCTGAGATGTGAAAGGCCTTTTAGGGAGGTTCTTGGCATTCCCAGTGGTGTCGCCTCGTCTTCCCTCTGTCTGCCGCAATGTCCCTCTGAGAACCTGCCACTGCCCACGCCTCCTTACGGCCTCATTTTTGCTTGTGGGGGCTTTCTGCTAGAAACACTAGTAGCCTGCTTCAAAAACTGAAGCTTTCCAGCATGCCCGGGGACAGTCCTGGGGCCTTCTGGGAGGAGAGAGGTCTCCTTGGGAGGCTCCCAGTACTCCCTGTGGTCTCGCCACTTCTACCCTCTGCCTGCCTCAAAGTTTCCTTGAGTCCCTGAGGCTCGCCCATGCCACGTTGCAGCTCTGTTGTCTCTTTGGTGGTCTTCCGAGAGAGATACAGGCACCCTGGTCCAAAGCCTGGGGACTTTGAGCCTATCCAGGACAGCCCTGAAGGTTTCTGGGAAAGAAGAGGCATCATTGGAAAACTGCCAGCATTCCTTGCAGTCTTGCTGCTTCTCCCCTTTGCCTCCCTCAACATCCCCCTGAGTCCCTGCGGCCTGCCCACACTACCCTGCGACCCAGTTTTCACTTGTTTGGGCCTTTTGTGAGAAACACAGACACCCTTCTCCAAAGCCTGGGGCTTTACAGTGCCCTCGGGACAGTCCTGGGGGCTTCTGGGAAGGGAGACGCCTTCTTGAGAGGCTCCCATCATTCCCTGTGGTTTTGGCACTTCCCTTTCTGCCTGCCTAAACGTCACCCTGAGTCCTTTCCACCCGCCCAGGCCACCCTTCCGCCACGTTTATGCTAGCATTTACACTAGTGGGGGCCTTCCACTAGAGACAAGGCACCCTGCTTTAAAACTTGAAACTTTACAGAACACCTGGGACAGTCCTGGGGGCTTCTGGTATGGGAAAGGACTCATTGATAGGCTTCCAGCATTTTGTGCGGTCTTGCTGCTTCTTCCCTCTGCCTGCCTCAACATCAACCTGAGTCTCCGTGGCTTGCCCAGGCCACCCTGCCTGCCTGTTTTCACTTGTAGGGGCCCTCTGTGAGAGACACAGGCACCCTGCTCCAAAGCCTAAGGCATTACAGTCCATCCAGGACAGACCAGGAAGCTTCTGGGATGGGAAAGTCGTCCTTGAGAGGTTCCCAGCATTCCCTGCCATCTCGCCATTTCTCCCTTCTGAATGCCTCAATATCTCCCTGAGTCCCTGAGGCATTCCCATGCCACCCTTCAGCCCGGTTGTTTCTTTTTTTGGGTTTTCCAGGAGAGACACAGGCACCCTGCTCCAAAGCCTGGGGCATTACAGTCTGTCCGGGACAAGCCAGGAGGCTTCTGGGATGAGACAGGCCTTCAGGAGAGGCTCCCAGCCTGCGGGCTAGCAGCTTCTTCCCTCTGCCTGCCTCAAAGTCCCCGTGAGTCCCTGTGGTCCACCCACGCCATGCTGCAGCTCCGTTTTTTGCTGGTGGAGGTCTTCCGCAAGAGACACAGGCATTCTGCTCCAAAGCCTGGTGCTTTACCGCCCACCCAGAACAGATCCAGGAACTTTGGGATGGGACAGTCATCCTTGGGAGGCTCCCAGCATCCCTGTGGTCTCACTGCTTCTCCCCTCTGCCTGTTTCAACGTCACCCTGAGTCCCTGTGGCCCACCCACGTCACACTGCCTCCCCGTTTCTCACCTCTGCCTGTCTCAATGTCCCCCTGAGTCCCTGCAGCCCTCCAACACCACCCTATGGCCCCATTTTTGCATATGAGGGCCTTCCTCAAGAAACACAGTTTCCCTACTACAAAGCCTCGGGCTTTACAACCTGCACGGGACAGCCCTGGGGGCTTATGGGATAAGAGAGGCCTCCAGGGAGGCTCCCAGCATTCCCTGCAAAGTCGCTGCTTCTCACCTTTGCCTGCCTCAATGTCCCCCTGAGTCCCTGCGGTCTGCCCATGTCACCCTGTGGCCCACCCACAAAATTCTGCGACCCTGTATTTGCTTGTGGGGGCCTTTGTGGGATACACAAGCACTCTGCTCCAAAACCCGAAGCTTTACAGCATACCTGAAACACACCGAAGTGCCTCTGGGATGGGAGATGCCTCCTTGGGACACACTCAGCATTCCCTGCAGTCTCACTGCTTCTCCCCTCTTCCTGCCTCAAAGTTCCCCTGAGTCCCTGTGGCCCTTCAACAGCACCCTGCCGCCCCGTTATTGCACGTTGGTGCCTTCAGCCAGAGGCAGCCTGCTCCAAGCCTGGGGCATTACAGCCCACCTGTGACAACCCTGGAGGCTTCTGGGATGGAAGAGGACTCCTTGGGAGGCTCCCAGCATTCCCTCTGGTCTCAATGCTTCTCCTCTCTGCCAGCCTCAACATCCCCCTGAGTCACTGCGGCCCGCCAGTGGCAACATACAACCCGCCCGCCCCACACTGAAGCCCTGTTTTCTCTTGTGGGTGCTTTTTGCAAGAGACACAGGCACCCTGTTCCAAAGCCTGGTGCTTTACATTCCAGCCGGGACAGTACCGTGGGCTTCTAGGATGGGATAGGCCCCTTTGGGAGGCTCCTAGCATTCCCTGCAGTCTCGTGGTTTCCCCCCTGCCTACCTCAACATCCCCCTGAGTCCCTGTGGCCCGCCCACACCATCCTACCGCCCTATTGTCTTTTTTGGGAGTCTTCCTTGAGAGAGGAAGGCACCCTGCACCGAAGACTGGGGCTTTACAGCCCGCCCAGGACAGCCCTGGGAGCTTCTCAGATGGGAAAGACCTCCTTGGGAGGTTCCCAGCGTTCCCTATGGTCTGGCCGCTCCTCCCCACTGCCTGCCTCTACATCACCCTGAGTCCCTGCAGCCTGACCGTGCCACCCTGCGGCCCACCCACACCACCTTGCGACCCCATTTTTGCTTGTGGAGGTCTTTTGCGAGAGACACAGGCACACTGCTCCAAAGCCTAGGTCTTTACAGCCCCCACGGCACAGTGCTGGGCACTTCTGGGATGGGAGAGACCTCCTTGGAAAGCTCCTAGCATTCCCTGCAGTCTCACCGCTTTCCCCTCTCCCTGCCTCAACGTCACCATGAAGCCCTGACACCGCCCACACCACCTTGCTGCCTCGTTTTCGCTAGGGGTCCTTCTGCTAGAGACACAGGCACCCTGCTTCAAAACCTGAAGATGTACAGCATGCCCAGGACAGACTTGTGGGTTTCTGGAAGGGAGAGGCATCCTTGGGAGGCTCCCAGCATTCCATTCAGTCTCGCTGCTTCACCCCTCTGCCACAGGGATTTAGGGGGACATTGAGGCAGGCAAAGGGGAGAAGCAGCGAGACTGCAGGGAATGCTGAGAGCCTCCCAAGGATGCCTCTTCCATCCTAAAAACCTCCAGGGCTGTTGTGGGCAGGCTGTAAAGTCCCAGGCTTGGAATAGGGTGCCTATATCTCTCGCTGAAGGCGACCACTTGCAAAAACGGGGAAGCAGGGTGGCGTTGGAGGGACACAGGGACTCAGGGGGACATCGAGGCAGACAGAGAGGAGAAGTGGGGAGACTGCCGGGAATGCTGCAAGCATCCCAGTGAGACCTCTCCCAACCCAGAGACACCCAGGTGTGTCCAGGGCAGGCTGTAAAGCCCCAGGCTTCAAAGCAGGGTGTCTGTCTCTCATGGAAGGCCCCCACAAGCAAAAACGGGGCCACAGGGTGGCTTAGGTGGGCTGCAGTTACTCAGGGTGATGTTGAGGTAGGCAAAGGGAGCTTCCCCAGGATGCCCCCCCAATTTCAGAAGCCCCCAGGACTTCCCAGAGCATGCTGTAAAGCTTCAAGTTTTGAAGCAGGGTGCCTGTGTCTCTAGTGGAAGCCCCTCACTAGCGAACACGGGGCTGCAGGGTGGCGTGGGCGAGTGGCAAGGACTCAGGGAGACTTTGAGTCAGGCAGATGGGGAAGTGATGAGACAGCAGGGAATGCTGGGAGCCTTCCAAGGAGGCCCCATCCCATCCCGGAAGCCCCCAAACTGTCCCAGGGGGCTGTAAAGCCCCAGGTTTTGAAGCAGGGTGCCTGTGTCTTTCGCAAAAGGCCCCACACGCAAAAACAGGGATGCAGAATTGTGTAGGCAAGTCGCAGAGTGGCGTGGGTGGGCTGCAGGGACACAGGGGAATGTTGAGGCAGGCAAAGGAGAGAAGCGGAAAGATTGCAGAAAATTATGGGAGCCTCCGAAAAAGGCCTCTCTCATTTTGGAAACCCTCAATGGTGTCCCGTGCAGGTTGTAAAGCCTGAGGCTTTGGAGCAGGGATCCTGTGTCCACCACAGAAGGCCACCACAAGCAAAAAAGAGGCCGTAGGGTGGTGTGGGCGGGCGGCAGGGACTCAGGGTGACGTTGAACCAGGCAGAGGAGAGAAGGCGCAAGACTGCAGGAAACTCTGGGGTCCACCCAAGGAGGCCTCTTCCATCCCAGAAGCCCCTAGGACTGCCTCGGGCCTGTTGTAATGACTTAGGTTTTGAAGTAGTGTGACTGTGTCTTTAGCAGAAAGCCCCCACTAGCGAAAATGGAGCCGGATTGTGGAGTGCACAGGCTGCAGGGACTCAGAAGGACGTTGAGACCGGCAGACGGAAGAAGCAGCGAGATCGCAGGGAATGCTAGGAGCCTACCAAGGACCTCTCCCATTTCAGAAGTCCCCAGGACTGTCTTGGGCGGGCTGTAAAGTTCCAGGCTTTGGAGCACTGTGCCTGTGGTTCTCACAAAAGGCCTAAACAAGTGAAAACAGGGCTGCAGCGTGGCTTGGGCACACCACAGGGTGGCATGGGTGGGACTCAGGGTGGTGTAGGCTGGTGACAGAAACTCAGGGTGACATTGAGTCAGGGAGAGGGCAGAAGTGGTGAGATGGCCGTGAATGCAGGGAGCCTCCCAAGGAGGCCTCTTTCATCCCAGAGGCCCATAGGACTGTCCCAGGCGTGCATAAAGCTTCAGGTTTTGAAGCAGTGTGCCTGTGTCTCCCACGGAAAGCCCCAACAAGCAAAAACGAGGCCGTAGAGTGGCGTGGGCAAGCTGCGGGGACTCAGAGGGATGTTGAGGCAGACAGACGGGAGACAGGACGACACCGCATGGAGTCCTGGTAGCCTCCCTAAAAGGCATCTCCCATCCCAGAAGCCCCCAGGGCTGTCCCTGGAGGACTGCAAAGCAACATCCTTTAAAGCAGATTGCCTGTGTTTCTCATGGAAGGCCTCCACAAACAAAAACGGGGCTGCAGTGTGGCATGCGTGGGAAAGCCATAGGGACTCACGGGGACGTTGAGGCAGGAAGAAGAGAGAAACAGCGAAACTGCTGGAAATGCTTGTAGCCTCCCCTGGAGGCCTCTCCCATTCCAGAGGCCCCCTGGGCTGTGCCAAGAGGGGTGCAAAGCCTCAGGCTTTTGAGCAGAGTGCCTGTGTCTCTCGAAAAAGGCTTCCACCAACCAAAACGGGGCCGTGGTGCGGCATAGGTGGGCAGCAGGTACTCAGGGGGATGTTAAGACAGGCAGAGGGGAGAAGCAGCAAGACTGCAGGCAATGCTGGGAGCCTCTCAAGGATGCCTCTCCCATCCCAGAAGTCCCCAGGACTGTCCCAGGAAGGCTGTAACATTCCTGGTTTTGGAGCGGGTTGCCTGTGGTTCTTGCAAAAGGCCCAAACAAGTGAAAACATGGCCAAAAAGTGGCATGGAAAGGCCAGAGGGTGGGCTGGGCTTGTGGCAGGTACTCAGTGTGAAGTTGAGTCCGGCAGAGGGGAGAAGTGGCGAGACCGCAGGGAATGCAGGGAGCCTCCCATTGAGGCCACTCCCATCTCAAAAGTCCCAGGATTTTCCCAGGAGTGCTGTAAAATTTCAGGTTTTGAATCAGGGTGCCTGTGTCTCTAGCGGAAGTACTGCACTAGCGAAAGAGGGGCCTCAGGGTCGCGTGGACAGGTAGCAGGAACTCATGGTGACGTTAAGGCAGGCAGAGGGGGAAGTGGTGTGACTGAAGGGAATGCAGGCAGCCTCCCAAGGGGGCCTCTCTTATCCCAGAAGCCCCGGGGACTGTCCTGGGTGCACTGTATCGCCACAGGCTTCGGAACTGTGTGCCTGTGTCTCTCGCAAAAAGCCCCCATAAGCAAAAACGGGGACGCACGGTGGTGTGTGCAGGTGGCAGGGACTCAGGGTGACGTTGACCCAGGTAGTGGGGAGAAGCGGCAACACCGCAGGGAATGCTGGGAGCCTCTCAAGGAGGCCTCTCCCATCCCAGAAGCCCCCAGGACCGTACCAGGCATGCTGTAAACCTTTGGAGCAGGGTGCCTGTATCTCCAGCGGAAGACCTCCACTAGCAAAAATAGGGCTGCAGGGTGGCGTGGGCAGGTGGAAAAGGCTCAGTGTGAGGTTGAGGCAGGCAGAGGGGAAAGTGGTGAGACCACAGGGAATGCTGGGAGCCTCCCAATAACGCATCTCCCATCCCAGAAGCCCCAGGACTATTCCAGGCGGGCTGTAGTGCCCCGAGCTTTGAAGCAAGATGCCTGCATCACTCGCAAAAAGCCACCACAAGTGAAAACAGGTCCGCAGAGTGGCGCGAGCGGGCAACAGGGCGGTGTGGGCAGGTCACAGGGGCTTAGGGGGATGTTAAGGCAGGCAAACAGACGTGGCGAGAACTCAGGGAATGTTGGGAGCCTCCCAACAAGGACTCCCCAATGCAGAAGCACCCAGGACTGTCCCAAGTGTGCTGGAATGCTTCAGGTTTTGAAGCAGGGTGACTGTGTCTCTAGTAGAAGGCCCACAACAGTGAAAACAGAGCTGCAGTGTGGCTTGGGTGGGCCTTAGAAACTCAGGGGGACGTTGAAGCCTGCAGAGGGGGAAGGAACGAGAACACAGGAAATGCTGGGAGCCTCCCAAGAATGCCTCTCTTATCCCAGAATCCCCCAGGACTGTCCTGGGCATTCTGTAAAGCTTCAGGCTTTGAAGCAGGGTTCATGTGTCTCTCTCAGAAAGCCCCCACTAGCGAAAACTAGGCTGAAGCATGGCGTGAGCAAGCCACAGGGATTCATGGGGTCATTGAGGCAGACAGAGGGGAGACACGGCGATACCGTAGGGAATGCTGGAAACTTCCATGAAAGACATCTCATATCCTAGAAGTCCCAGGGTTGTCCCGGGTGGGCTGTAAGGCACCAGGCTTTGGAGCAGAGTGCCTGTATCTCTCGTGGAAGGCCTTGACAAGCAAAAACGGGGCCGCAGGGTGGCGAGGGCAGGCCACAGAAACCCACTGGGACGTTGAGGCAGGAAGAGCAAATAAGCAGCAAGACTGCAGGGAATGCTGGTAGTCTAAGGATGCCTCTCCCGTCGCGAAAGCCCCCTGAGCTGTCCTGGGAGGGCTGAAAACCCCAGGCTTTGGAGCAGAGTGCCAGTGTCTCCCACGGAATGCCCCCATTAGCAAAAAAGGGGCCGCGGGGTGGCGTGGGAGAGTGGCCGGGACTCAGGGTGACTTTGAGGCAAACAGAAGAGGAAGTGGTTAGACTGCAGGGAATCCTGGGAGCCTGCCAAGGAATCCTCTTCCATCCCAGAACATGGTACTGTCCTGGGTGGGATGTAAAGACCCAGGCTTTGCAGCAGTGTGCCTGTGTCTCTCGCTAAAATCCCCCACAAGTGAAAACAGGGCTGCAGGGTGACATGGGTGGGCCACAGAGACTTAGGGAGACGTTGAGGGAGGCAGAGGGGAGAAACGGTGAGAACGCAGGGAATGCTGGGAGCCTCCCAAGGACGCCTTTCCCATCCCAGAGGCCCCCAGTTGTGTCGCCGGCAGGCTACACAGCCCCAGGCTTCGGAGCAGGGTGCCTGTGTCTCTCGCAGAAAGCACCCACAAGAATAACAGGGCCGCAGGGTCGCGTTAGAGAGCGGCAGTGACTCAGGGTAACCTTGAGGCAGGTAGAGTGGGGAAGCGGTGAAATCAAAGAAAATGCTGGGAGCCTCCCAAGGAGGCCTCTCCATCCCAGAAGCACACAGGACTGTCCAGGGTGTGCTGTAAAGCTTCAGGTTTTGAAGCAGGGTGACTGTGCCTCTAGCGGAAGGTCCCCACTAGCGAAATAGGGGCCGTAGGGTGGCATGGGTGAACCTCAGAAACTCAGGGAGACATTGAGCTGTGCAGAGTGGAAAAGCGTCAACACAGCAGGGAATGTTGGGAACATTCCAAGGAGACCTCTCCAATCCCAGAAGCCCTCAGGGCTGTCTGGGCACGCTGAAAAGCACTAGTCTTTGGAGCAGAGTGCCTGTGTCTCACACGGAAAGCCCCTGAAAGTGAAAACGTGGCTGTAGGGTAGCATGGGCCAGCTTCAGGGATTCAGGGGAACATTGACTCAGACAGAGGGTAGACTTGGCAACACTGCAGGAATGCTGGGAGCCTCCTTAAAAGGCCTCTTCCATCCCAGAAGCCCCCAGTGCTGCCCCAGGCCGGCAGTGAAGCCCAAGGCTTTGGAGCAGGGTGTCTATGTCGGTCGCGGAAAGCCTCCACACACAAAAACAGGGCCACAGGATGGCGTGGGAGGGCCGCAGGAACTCAGGAGGACGTTGAGGCAGGCAGAGGGAAGAAGCGGTGAGAACCCAGGGAATGCTGGGAACGCCCCAAAAATGCCTCTGCCATACCAGAAGCCCCCAAACCTATCCCCAGCAGGCTATAAAGCCCCAGGCATCAATGAAGCGTGCCTGTGTCTTTCACGGAAGGCCCCACAAGCGAAAACGGTGCCGCATATAGGAGTGGGTGTGCAGCATGGACTCAGGGTGACACTGAGGCAGGCAGACGTTGGAAGCGGCTAGATTGCAGGGAATGCTGGGAGCCTCCCAAAGAGGCCTCTCACATCCCAAAAGTCCCCAGGACTGTTTCTGGTGGGCTGTAAAGCCCCAGGCTTTGGAGCAGGGTACCTGTGTTTCTCGCAAAAAGCCCAAACAAGCAAAAACAGGGCTGCAGTGTAGCGTGGGTGATCCTCATAGTGGCGTGGGTGGGACTCAGGGGTTCAGGGCGACATTGAGGCAGGCAGAGGGGAGAAGCGGCAAGACCACAGGGAATGCTGGCAGCCTCCCAAGGACGCCTATCCCATCTCAGAAGGCCCCAGGGCTGTCTCGGACTGGCTGTAATGCCCCAGGCTTTGGAGCAGGGTGCATGTGTCTCTTGGGGAAGAATCCCAAAAGACACAATAGGGAAGCAGGTTGGCATGAGCGGGTGGAGGGGATTCAGGGGGACGTTGAGGCTGGCAGAGGGGAGAAATGGCGAGACCTCAGGAAATGAAGGGAGCCTCCCAAGGAAGCCTCTGTCATCCCAGAAACCCCCAGGTCCATCCCAAATGGGCTGTAATGCCCCAGGCTTTCGAGCAGGGTGCCTGTGTTTCTTTTGGAAGGTCCCCACAAGTGAAAACAGGGATGCTGGGTGGGGTGGTCGGCCGTCAGGGACTCAGGTTGACGAGGCAGGCACAGGAGAGAAGGGGCGAGACAGCAGGGAATGCTGGGAGCCTCCCAAGGAGGCCTCTCCCATCCCAGAAGTCCCCAGGACTGTTCTGAGTGGGCTGTAAAACCCCAGGCTTAGAAGCGTCATGCCTGTGTTTTTCCCAAAAGTCCCAAACAAGGGAAAACAGGGCTGCAGTGTGGCGCGGACGGGCTGCAGAGTGCATTGTTGGGCTGCAGCGACTCAGGGGGACGTTGAGGCAGGCAGAGCGAAGAAGCAGCGAGACCACAGGGAATTCCGGGTGCCTCCCAAGGACATCTCTCCCAACCCAGAAGCCTTCAGGGCTGTCCTGGAAGGGCTGTAATGTCCCAGGCTTTGGAGGAGGGTGCCTGTGCCTCTTGCCGAAGAATCCGAAAAGGCACAACGGGGCATCAGGGTGGCATAGGTGGGCCTCAGGGACTCAGGGAGATGTTGAGACCGGCAGAGGGGAGAAGGGACAAGAATGCAGGGAATGCTGGGAGCCTCCCAAGGAAGCCTCTCCCATCCCAGAATCCCCCAAGGCTGTCCTGGGCAGACTGTAAAGACCCAGGCTTTAAAGCAGGGTGCCTGTGTCTCTAGCGGAAGGCCCCCACTAGCAAAAACAGGAGGCAGGGTGACGTGGGTGGGCCGCAGGAACTGAGGGGGACATTGAATCATGCAGAGGGGAGAGGCGTTGAGACCACAGGGGATATTGAGAGCAACCTAAGGAAGCTTCTCCCAGCCCAGAAGTCCTCTGGGCTGTCCCAAGCATGCTGTAAAGCCCTAGGCTTTGAAGCAGGGTCCCTGTGTCTCTCGTGGAAAGTGCCCACAAGCAAAAACGAGGCTGTAGGGTGGCATCGGCAAACCACAGGGAAACAGGGATCCTCCCCTGGAGGCCTCTCTTATCCCAGACGCCCTGTGGGTTGTCCCGGGTGGGCTGTAAAGCCCCAGGCTTTAGAGAAGCGTGCCTGTGTCCCTAGAGGAAGGCTCCCACAAGGGAAATCAGGGACTCAGTGTGGCGTGGGAGGGACACTAGGACTCAGAGGGACGTTGAGTCAAGCAGAGGGGAAAAGCTGGAGGTCCCAGGGAATGCTGGGAGCCTCCCCTGGGGTCCTCTCCCATCCCAGAAGCACCCAGGGCTGTTCCACACAGGCTATAATGCCCCAGTCTTTGGAGCAGGGTGCCTGTGACTCTCGTGGAAGATCCCCAAAAGAGACAACGGGGTGTCAAGGTCGGGTGGGCGGGCCGCATGGTCTCAGGGGGATGTTAAAGCCAGCAAAGGGGAGAAGTGCTGAGACTGCAGGAAAAGCTGGGAGCCTCCCAAGGACGCCTATTCTATTCCAGAAGTCCATAGGACTGTCCCAGGAGTGCTGTCTTGCTGCAGGTTTTGAAGCAAGGTGCCTGTGTCTCTACCAGAAGGCCTCCACAAGCAAAAACGGGACCGCAGTGTGGTGTGGGCAGGCCGCAGGGACTCAGGGTGACCTTGAGGTTGGCAGAGGGGAGAAGCGGCGACACTGCAGCGAATGCTGGGAGCCTCCCAAGGATGCCTCTTCCATCCCAGAAGCCCCCAGTTCTGTTCCGGGCATGCTGTAATGCTTCAGGTTTTGATGCGGCGTTCCTGTGTCTTTAGCAGAAGGCTCCCAAAAGCGAAAACGGGGCCGCAGTATGGCATAAGCATGTCCCCGGGACTCAGGGGGAGGTTGAGACCTGCAGAGGAAGGAAGCGGCGAGATCACAGGGAATGCTGGGAGACTAACAAGAAGGCGTCTCCCATACCAGAAGCCTCCAGGGCTGTCCTGGGCATACTGTAAAGCCCCAGGCTTTGTAGCAGGGTTTTCTTGTCTGTCGTGGAAGACCCCGATGTACAAAAACGGGGCCGCAGTGTGGTGTGGGAGAGCCACAGGGACTCAAAGGGACGTTGAGGCAGGCAGAGGTGAGAGGCGATGAGATCCCAGGAAATGCTGGGAGCGTCCAAAGGAGGCCTCTCCCTTCCCAGAAGCCCCAAGGTGTGTCCCAGGCAGCCTGTAAAGCCTCAGGCTTCAGAGAAGAGTGCCAGTGTCTCTTGCAGAAGGCCCACACAAGCGAAAACGGGGCGCAATGCGTGGGCGGGAGGCAGGGATTCAGGATGATGTTGAGGCAGGTTTGTGGGGGAGCAGCAAAAACGGGGCAGCACAGTGGAGTGGGCGGGCAGCAGGGTGCGTGGGAGAACCGCAGGGACTCAGGGGGATGTTAAGGCAGGCAGAGGAAAGCAGCGGTGAGATCACAGGAAAGGCTGGAGCCTCCCAAGGACGCTTTTTCCCCCTCAGAATCCACCAGGGCTATCCCTGACGGGCTGTAATGCCCCACTCTTTGCAGCAGGGTGCCTGTGTCTCTCACGGAAGACCCCAAAGAGACAACGAGCAGCCGGGTGGCGTGGCCAGCTGCAGAGACTCAGGGAGACGTTGAGGCAGGCAGAGGGGAGAAGTGGAGACATGCAGGGAATGCTGGGAGCCTCACAAGCCTCTCCTATCCCAGAAGCTTCCAGGTCTGTTTTTGACGAGCTGTAGTGCCTCAGGCTTTGGAGCACGGTGACTGTGTCTCTGAGGGAAGACCCCCACATATGAAAACCGAACAGCAGAGTGGCCTGGCCGAGCCGCAGGGGCTAAGTCGAACGTTGAGGAAGGCAGAGGGGAGAAGAGGCAAGACGGCAGGAAATGTTGGAAGCCTTAGAAGGGGGCCTCTCCCATCCCAAAATCCCACAATGCTCTCACGGGAGGGCTGTAAAGATGCAGTCTTTAGAGCAGGGTGCCTGTATCTCTCGTGGAAGTACCCCGAAAGCAAAAACGGGATTGCAGGGTGGCATGGGCGGGTGGCAAGAACTCAGGGTTCCATTGAGGTAGGCAGAGAAGAGAGGCGGCGAGACTGCAGCGAATGCTTGGAGCCTTCCAAAAAGGCTTCTCTCATCCCAGAAGATCCCAGGACTGTCTTGGGCGTGTTGTAAAGCTTCAGGTTTTGAAGCAGGGTGCCTATGTCTTTAGCAGAAGGCCACCACTAGCGAAAACGGGGCCTCAGGGTGGCCTGGGCAAAAGGCATAAACTCAGGATGACCTTGAGGAAGCCAGAAAGGGAAGCAGCAAGACTGCAGCTTATGCTGGGAGCCTCCCATCCCAGAAACCTGCAGCACTGTCCTGGGAGGGCTGTAAAGCCCCAGGCTTTGGAACCGGGCACATGTGTCTCGCAAAAGGCCCCAACAAGTGGAAACAGGACTGCAGGGTGGCATGTGGAGGTTGCAGCGACAAACGCGGACATTGAGACAGGCAGAGGGGAGAAGAGGTGAGACCACAGGAAATGCTGGGAGCCTCCCAAGGAGGCCTCTTCTGTCCCAGCAGCCCTCAAGGCTGTCCCAGGTGGGCTGTAATACTCCAACCTTTGGAGCAGGGTGCATGTGTCTCTAATGAAAGACCCCCAAAAGAGAACGGGGTGGCAAGGTGGCATTCATAGGCCACAGAAACTCAAGGATAGGTTGAGGCAGGCAGAAAGGAGAAGCGGCAAGACCACAGGGAATACTGGGAGCCTCCCAAGGAGGCCACTCCTATCAGAGAAGTCCCCAGGACTGTCCCAGTCAAGCTGTAATGCTTCAGGTTTTGAAGTGAGGTGACTTTGTCTTTAGCGGAAGGCACCCACTAGCAAAAATGTGGCCGCAGTGTGGGTTTGAGGGCCACAGGGACTCAGGGGGAAGTTAAGACAGGCAGAGAGGAGAAGCGGCGAGACCGCTGTGTAGGCTGGGAGCTTTACAGCTCCCAAAGAGGCCTTTTTCATCCCAGAATCTTCCAGGACTGTCCCGGACGTGGTGGTCTTGAAACAGCATGCCAATGTCTCTAGCAGAAGGCTCCCACAAGAGAAAACGGGCCAGCAGTGTGGCGTAAGCAGGCCGCAGGGACTCAGTGGGACATTGAGACTGGCAGAGGGGAGAAGCGACGAGACCGCAGGGAGTGCTGGGAGCTTCCCAAGAAGGCCTCTCTTATCCCTGGACCCCCAGGTGTTTCCTATGCAGATTGTAAAGCTCCAGGCTTTGGAGCAGAGTGACTTTGTTTTTCATAAAAGCCCAAACAAGCAAAAACAGGGCCGCCAGGTGACATGGCGGGCCACAGGGTAACAACGTTGGTGGGCCTCAGGGACTCAAGGTGATCTTGAGGCAGGCAGAGGGGAGAAGCTGTGACACCACAGGAAATGCTGGAAGCCTCCCAAGGAGGAGGACTCTCGCATTTCAGAAGCCCCCTGGTCTGTCCTGGAGTGTGTAAAACTCTAGGTTTTGCAGCAGGATGCCTGTGTCTCTAGCGGAAGGCCCCCCCACCCCCGCCCCAGCAAAAATGGGGCAGTAGCGTGGCATGTGCGGGCTGCAGGGACTCAGGGGGACATTGAGCCATGCAGAGGGGAGAAACGTCGAGACTGCAGGGAATGCTGGGAGCATCACAAGGAAGCCTCTCCTATCCCAGAAGCCCTCAGGGCTATCCCTAGCATGCAGTAAAGCCCTAGGCTTTGGAGCAGGTTGCCTATGTCTCTCGCGTGAAGACCCCATGAGCGAAAACAAGGCAGTAGAGTGGCGTGGGCAAGCCGCAGGGACTCAGGGGTACATTGAGGCAGAGAGAGGGGAGACCCGGTGACACTGCAGGGAGCCTCCTTAAAAGGTCTCTGCCATCCCAGAAGCCCCCAGGGCTGTCTGGGGCAGGCTGTAAAGCACCAGGCTTTGGAGCAGCGTGGCTGTGTCTCTCGCAGAAAGCCTCAACAAGCAAAAACAGGGCTGCAGGGTAACATGGGTAAGTCATAGAACCTTACCGGGACGTTGAGGCTGGCAAAGGGAAAAAATAATGAGGCCGTACGGAATGCAGGGAGCCTCCCCTGGAGGACTCTCCAATACTAGAAGCTTCGTGGCCTGTCCAGGGTGGGCTGTAAAACTCCAGGCTTTGGAGCAGGGTACCTGTGTCTCTCTTGGAAGGCTCCCACAAGCCAAAACGGGGCCACAGTGAGGCGTGGGCGGGCCACATGGGCTCAGTGGAACATTGCTACAGGCAGAGGGGAGAAGTGGAGATATCCCAGGGAATACTGGGAGCCTCCCAAGGAGACCTCTCCCATTCCAGAAGCCCCCAGGACTGTCCTGGTCGCACTGTAATGCTTCAGGTTTTGCAACAGAGTGCCTGTGTCTCTAGTAAAAGGCTCCCACAAGCGAGAAAAGGGTCACAGTGTGGCCTGGGTGGGCAGAGGGGACTCAAAGGGACATTGAGACCGGCCCAGGAGAGAAGCAGCGAACCGCAGGGTAGGCTGGGAGCCTCCCAAAGAGGCCTCTTTCATCCCAGAAGCCTCCAGGGCTGTCCCGGGCAGGCTGTAAAGACCCAGGCTTCGAAGCAGTGTGCCTATGTCTCTCGCAGAAGGCCCCCACATACAAATTGGTGCCACAGGGTGGCGAGGGAGGATCGCAGTTACTCAGGGGGACGTTGAGGCTGGCAGAGGAGAGAAGCGGTGAGACTGCAGAAAATTCTGGGAGCGTTTCAAAGAGGCCTCTCCCATCCTAGAAGCTCCCAGGTGTGTGTCGGGCGGGCTTTAAAGACCCTGGCTTCAGAGCAGGATACCTGCGTCTCTCGCAAAAGGCTCCAACAAGCGAAAATAAGGCCACAGGGTGGCATTGGGGGGCCTGTAGGGACTCAGGGCACGTTGAGGAAGGCCGAAGGGAGAAGCGAAGATACCGCAAGGAAGCCTCCCAAGAAGGCCTCTCTCACCCCAGAAGCCCCCAAAGCTGTCCGGGACAAGCTGTAATGCCCCATGCTTTGGAGCTTGGTGCCCGTTTCTCTCGCGGAAGACCCCTACAAGAGAAAATAGGGCAGCTGTGTGGCGTGGGCCAGATGAAGGGACTCAGGGAGAGGCTGATACAGGCAGAGTTGAGAATTGGAGAGACTGCAGGGAATGCTGGGCACCTCCCAAGGGGACCTCTTTCATCTCAGAAGCCCCCAGATCTGTTTCAGACGGGCTGTAACTTGCCAGGCTTTGGAGCAGGGATCCTGTGTCTCTTGCGGAAGGCCCCTACATGCGAAAACGGGGCCGCAGGATGGCGTGTGAGGCCGGCACGCACTCAGGGTAACTTTGAGACAGGAAAAGGGGAGAAGCAGTGAGACCACAGGGAATGCTGGGAGCCTCCCAAGAAAGGCTCTCCCATTCAGAAGCTCCCAGGACTGTCCCAGGCGTGCTGTAAAGTTTCAGGTTTTGAAGAAGGGTGCATGGGTCTCTAGCGGAAGCTCCCCATCGTGAAATCAGTGCGGTAGAGTGGCATGGGCAGCAGCAGGGACTCAGGGTGACGTTGAGCCAGTCAGAGAAAAACATCGTCGAGATAGCAGGGAATGCTGGGGGGCCTCTTAAGGAGACCTTGCCCATCCCAGAAGCCCCAAGGTCTGTCCCAGGTGGGCTGTAAAGCCCCAGGCTTTGGAGCAGGGTGCCTGTGTTTCTCGCAAAAGGCCTCTACAGGCGAAAACAAGGCCGAAGGGTTGGTTGCGTTTGCAAGAAGCAGGGCAACATGGGCAGGCCGTGGAATCTCAGGGGGACGCTGAGGCAAGCAGAGAGGGGACACGGCGAGACCACAGGGAATGCTGGGAGCCTCCAAAAAAGGCCTCTCCCATCGCTGAAGCCAACAGATCTGTCCCAGGCGGGCTGTGAAGCAGCAGGCTTTGGAGCAGGATGCCTGTGTCTCTTGAGGAAGGCCTCCACAAGCAAAAATGGAGCCACAGGGTGGTGTGGAAGGGCCACAGGTACTAAGGGGGGCATTGAGGTAGGCAGAATTAAGAAGCATTGAGAAAACAGGGAATTCTGGGAGCCTCCCATGGAAGCCTCTCCCATCCCGGAAGTCCCCTGGGCTGTCCTGGGCTGGCTGTAAAGCCCTAGCCTATAGAGAAGGGTGCCTGTCTCTCTCGAGGAAGGTTCCCACAAGAGAAAACAGAGCCGCAGTGTGGCGTGGGTGGGCCGCCGGGACTCAGGGGGACATTAAGACAGGAAGAAGGGAGAAGCAGCGAGACCGCAGGGAATACTGGGAGCCTCACATGGACGCATCTCCCATCCTAGAAGTCCACAGGGCTGTCCCGGGCGGGCTGTAAAGTCCCAGACTTCGAAGCAGGATGTCTGTGTCTCTAGTGGAGGACCCCCACTAGCTAAAACAAGGCCACAGGGTGGCGTGGGTGGGCGGCAGGTACTCAAGGTGACATTGAGGCAGTTAGAGGGAAGAAACTGCAAGACCGCAGGGAATGTTGGAGCCTCACAAGGAGGCCTCTCCCATCCCAGAAGCCCCAAGGACTTTCCCGGGGGTGGTGATGTAAAGATTCAGATTTTGAAGCAGGGTGCCTGTGTCTGTAGCGGAAGGCCCCACTAGCGAAAACGGGACCATAGGGTGGCGTGGGCATGCTGCAGGGACTCAGGGGGACATTGATCCCGGCAAAGGGGAGAAGAGTCGAGACTGCAGGAAATTCTGGGACCTCCCAAGGATGGCTCTCCCATCCCAGAAGTCCCCAGGCTGTTCTGGGAGTGATGTAAAGCCCAAGCCTTTGGAACAGGGTGCCTGTGTCTCTCCTGAGAGGCTCCCACAAGCAAAAACGGGGCCACAGTGTGGCGTGGGCCGGCCACAGGGACTCAGGGGGACACTGACACAGGCACAGGGAAGAAGTGGCGAGACTGCAGGGAATGCTGGGAGCCTCCCTTGGAAACATCTCTCATCCCAGAAGACCCCAGGGCTGCCCCAGGAGTGCTGTAAAACCCAAGGCTTTGGAGCAGGGTGCCTGTGTCTCTCACGGAAGGCCCCCATATGCAAAAATGGGGCCGCAGCATGGGGTGCGCCAGCCGCAGGGACTCATGGGGATGTTGAGGCAGCAGAGAAAAGAATCGTTGAGAACGCAGGGAATGCTGGGAGATTCCCAAGGAGGTCTACCCATCCCAGAAGCCCCCAGGGGTGTCCCGGGCAGGCTATAAAGCCTGAGGCTTCAGAGCAGGGTGACTCTGTCTCTCTTGGAAGTCCCCTACAAGCGAAAACAGGGCCACAGGCTGGCGTGGGTAGGTTGCGGGGACTCAGGGTGACCTTCAGGCAGGCAAGGGGGGAAACGACCACAGAGAATGCTGGGAGCCTGCTAATGAGGACTCTCCCATCCCTGAATACCCCAGGACTGTACTGGGCAGGTTGTAAAGCCCCAGGCTTTGGAGTAGGGTGCTTATGTCTCTCTCCAAAGGCCCTCTCAAGAGAAAACATGGCTTCAGAGTGGCATGGGTGGGCCGCAGGGTGGCGTGGGAGGGCCACAGGGACTTTGAGGCAGGAAGAGGGAAGCTGCGAGACCACAGGGAATGCTGGTAGCCTCCCAAGTATAACTCTCTTATCCTAGGAACCCCCAGGGCTGTACTGGACGGGCTGTAATGCCGCAGGATTTGGAGCACGGTGCATGTATCTTGTGGAAGACCCCCAAAAGAGACAACGGGGCAGCAGGGTGGCATAGGCGGGCCTCAGGGACTCAGGGAGACGTTGAAAATGCTGGGAGCCTCCCAAAGTGGTCTCTCCCATCCCATACGCCACCAGGGCTGACCTAAGCGGGCTGTAATGCATCAGCCTTTGGAGCAAGGTGGCAGTGTCTCTGGCAGAAGGCCCCCACCACCAAAAATGGGGCCGTAGGAAGGCCTGGCAGGCCGCAGGAACTCAGGGGATGGTTCGTGCAGACAAAGGGGAGAAGCGGTGACAAAAGAGGAAATGCTGCGAGCTTCCCAATGAGGCCTCTTCCATCCCAGAAGCCCCCATGGCTACTCTGGGCAGGCTGTACAACCCCAGGCTTTGGAGCTGGGTGCCTGTGTCTCTCTCGGAAAGCCCCCACAAGCACAAATGGGGCCATAGGGTGCCGTAGGAGGGGTGCAGAAACTCAGTGATACATTGAGGCAGGCAGAGGGGAGACGCAGCGAGACCGCAGGGAATTCTGGGAGCCTACCTTAAAGTCCTCTCCCATCCCAGAAGTCCCCAGGGATGTCCTGGACATGCTATAATGCTCCAGGCTTTGGAAAAGTGTGCCTATGTTTCTCTTGGAAGACTTCCAAAAGAAACAACCGGGTAGCAGGGTGGCATGGGGGGGCTGCAGAGACTCAAAGGGAGGTTGAGGCAGGCAGAGGGGAGAAGTTTAGAGACCACAGGGAATGCCTGGAGTTTCCCAAAAAGGCCTCTCACATTTCAGAAACCCCCAGGACTGTCCCAGGCATGCTGTAATGCTTCAGGTTTTGAAGCAGGGTGTCTTTGTCTGTAGCAGAAGGTTTCCACTAGCGAAAATGGGGCCGTAGTGTGGCGTGGGTGGGCCACAGGATGAAGTGCGCAGGCCGCAAGATCCAGGGGGATGTTGAGGCAGACAGATGTCAGAAGCAGCGAGACTGCAGAGAATACTGGGAGCCCGGCAAGGAGGCATCTCTTATTTCAGAAGTCCCCAGGGCTGTCCCGGGAAGGATCTAATTCCCCAGTCTTTGGATCATGGTGCCTATGTCTCTTGCAGAAGACCACCCACAAAAAAAAAAAAAAAAAAAGGGCAGCCAGGTGGTGTGGGAGCAACGCAAAGACTCAGGGGGACGTTGAGGCAGGCAGAGAGGAGAAGACGTGAGACCACAGGGAATACTGGGAGCCTCCCAAGGACGCCTCTCCCATCACAGAAACATGAAGGAGTGTCCCAGGCGTGCTGTAATCTTTCAGTTTGTGAAGCAGTGTGCCTGTATCTGTAGAGGAAGGCTCCCACAAGCGAAAGCGGGGCCTCAGTGTGGCGTGGGTGGGCCGCAGGGACTCAAGGGGATGTTGAGACCGGCAGAGGGGAGAAGTGGCAAGACCGCAGGCAATACTAGGCGCTTCCCAAGGAAGCCTCTCCCATCCCAGAAGCTCCCGGGGTTGTCCCGTGCCCATTGTAAAGCCCTAGGCTTTGGAGCAGGGAGCCTGTGTCTCTAATGGAAGGCCCCCACAAGCAAAACCAGGGTTGTAAGGGGGCCTCGGGGACCCACAAGGACTCAGGGGAACGTTGAGGCAGGCAGAGGGGAGAAGCGTCAAGACCGCTGGGAATGCTGGTAGCCTACCCTGGAGGCCTATCCCATCCCAGAAGCCCCCAAGGCTGTGCTGGGCAGACTGTAAAGCCCCAGGCTTTGGAGCAGGGTGCCTGTGTCTCTCGTGGAAGACCCCCAAAGAGAAAATGGGGCTGCATGGTGACATGGGTGGGCAGCACAGCCTCAAAGACACATTGACACAGGCAGAGGGAATAAGCGGCGAGACGGCAGGGAATGCTGGGAGGGTCACAAGGAGGCCTTTCCCATCCCGGAAGCACCCAGGTCTGTCCCGGACGGGCTCTAGTGCCCCAGTCTTTAAAGCAGAGTGCCTGTGTCACTCGTGGAAGGCCCCCACCAAAGAAAACAAGGAGGCAGGATGGCCTGGGTGAGCCGCAGGTAGTCAGGAGAACGTTGTGGCAGGCACAGCGAAGAAGCAGCCAGACCACAGGGAATGACTGGAGTGTCCCATGGATGTCTCTTCCATTTCAGAAGCCCCAAGGCTGTCCTAAGCGGGATGTAAAGCTTCAGGCTGTGGAGCAGGGTGCTTGTGTTTCTCGTGGAAGACCCCTAAAACAGACAACGAGGTGGCTGGGTGGCGTGGGCTGGTCGCAGGGCTCAGGGAGACATTAAGGCAGGAAGAGGGGAAAAGTGGCGAGATCCCAGGGAGTGCTGGGAGCCTCCCCAGGAGGTCTCTTTCATTGCAGAAGCCACCAGTTCTGTCCGGAGCGGGTTGTAGGGCCCCAGGCTTTGGAGCATGGTGCCTGTGTCTCTCACAGAAGGCCCCCACAAGTGAAAACGGGGCCTCAGGGTGGCCTGGATGAGCCACAGGGACTCAGGGTAACATTGAGGCAGGCAAAAAGGAGAAGCAATGAGAAAGCAGGGAATGCTGGGAGCCTCTTAAGGAGGTCTCTCCCATCCCAGAAGCCCTCAGGACTGCCCCGGGCATTGCTGTAAACCTTCAGGTTTTCAAACAGTGTGCCTGTGTCTCCAGCGGAAGGCCCCCACCAGCGAAATTGGTGCCACAGGGTGGTGTGGACAGATGCAGGAACTCAGCATGACGTTGAGGCAGGCAGAAGGGAAAGCGGCAAGACCACATGGAATGCTGGGAGTCATACATGGAAGCCTCTCCCATCCCAGAACCCCCCAGGACAGTCCCAGGCGGGGTGTAAAGCCACAGGCTTTGCTGAAGGGTGTTTGCATCTCTGGCCGAAGGCCCCACTAGCGAAAATGGGCCTGCAGGGTGGCGTGGGCAGGTGGCACCAACTCAGGGTGATGTTGAGGCAGGCAGAGGAGGAAACGGCGATACTGCAGTGAATGCTGGGAGCCTCCTAAGGAAGACTTTCTGAAACCAGAATCTCTCAGGGCTGTTCCAGGTGGGCTGTAAAGCCCCAAGTTTTGGAGCAGGATGGCTGTGTCTCTTATAAAGGGCTCCCAAAAGCAAAAATAGGGCCACAGGGGGAAGTGGGAGGGCTGAAGGGTGGCGTGCATGGGCCACAGGGACTTAGTGTGACATTGAGGCAGGCAGAGGGGAGAAGCAGTGGGACTGCAGGGAATGCTGGGAGCCTCCCAAGGAGACCTATCCCATCCCAGAAGCCCCCAGGGATGTCCCGGACATGCTATAATACCCCAGGCTTTGGAAGAGGGTGCCTGTGTCTCTCACAGAAGACCTCCAAAAGAGACAACAAGGACACAGGGTTGCGTGGGCGGTCCACAGAAATGCAGAAAGACGTTGAGGCAGACAGAGGGGAGAAGCCACAAGACAGCAGGGAATGCTGGGATCCCCCCAACAAGGCCTCTCCCATCCCAGAAGCCACTAAGGCTGTCCTGGGTGGGTTGTAAAGCCCCAGGCTTTAAAGCAGGGTGCCTGTGTCTCTCGCAGAAGGCTTCCACTTTCACAAGCAAAAATGGGACCACAGGGTGGCGTGGGCTGGTGGCAGGGACTCAGGGTGACATTGAGGCAGGCAGAAAAAAGAATCTGCGAGACCGCAGGGAATGCTGGGAACCTCTGAAGGAGGCCTTTCCCATTCCCGAAGCCCACGTGACTGATGCAGGCGTGCTGTAAAGTTTCAGGTTTTGAAGCTGGGTGCCTCTGTCTCTAGCAAACAACCCCCACTAGCGAAAACGGGGCCGTAAGGTGACATGGGCAGGCCGCAGGGACTCATGGGGACATTCAGCCGTGCAGAGGGGAGAAGCGTCGAGATCGCAGGAAATGCTGGGAGCATCCCAAGGAGGCCTCTCCCATCCCAGAAGCCCTCAGTGCTTTCTCAGGCTTGCTGTAAATCCCAAGGCTTTGGAGCAGGGTGCCCGTGACTTTCACGGAAAGCCCCCACAAGCGAAAACAAGGCCGTACTGTGGCATAAGCAAGCAGCAGGAAGTCAGGGTGCCATTGAGGCAGACAGAGGGGAGAGGTGGCGACATCGCAGGGAATGCTGGGAGCCTCCCTAAAAGGCCTCTTCCATCCCAGAAGCTCGTAGGGCTGTCCCAGGCAGGCTGTAATGCACCAGGCTTTAAAGCAGTTGCCTGTGTCTTTCGTGGAAGGCCTCCACAAGCAAAAACGGGGCTTCATGGTGGCATGGGCAAGCCCTAGAGACTCATGGGGACGTAGAGGCAGGCAGAGCGAAGAAGCGGCGAGACCGCAGGGAATGCTGGAGGCCTCTCGCATCCCAGAAGCCCCCTGGGCTGTCCCAAGCAAGCTGTAAAGCCTCAGGCTTTGGAGCAGTGCCTGCGTCTCTCGCGGAAGGCTCTCACAAGCAAAAACAGGGAAGTCGTGTGGCATGGGCAGGCTGCTCGGACTCAGGGGGACATTAAGGCAGGCAAAGGGGAGAAGCGCCAAGACAGCAGGGAATGCTGGGAGCCTCCCAAAGAGGCCACTCCCATCACAGAATTCCCCAAGTCTGTCCCGGGTGGGCTTTAAAGCCCCAGGCTTTGGAGCAGGGTGACTGTGTCTCTTGCTGAAGACTCCCACAGGTGAAAACGGGTCGGCAGGGGGGCGTGGGCGGGCGGCGGAAACTCAGGGTGACGTTGAGACAGGCAGAGGGGAGAAGTGGCAAGTTCTCAGGGAATAGGGGGAGTCTCCCAAGGAGGCCTCTCCCATTTCAGAAGTCCCCAAGACTTTCCCCGGTGTGCTGTAAAACTTCAGGCTTTGAAGCAGGGTACCTGTGTCTCTAGCGGAAGGTTCCCAGTAACGAAAACGGGGCCATAGGGTGGCCTGGGTGGCCCACAGGGACTCAGGGGGACATACAGCCATGCAGAGGGGAGAAGGGTCGAGACCACAGGGAATGCTGAAAGCATCCCAAGAAGGCCTCACCCATCCCAGAAGCCGTCAGGGCTGTCCCAGGAGTGCTGTAAAGCCCCAGCTTTAAAGCAGAATACCTGGGTCGCTCCCCTTAAGCGCCCAAAAGTGAAAACTCGGCTGTAGGGTGGCATGGCCAAGCCTCAGGGACTCAGGGAGATGTTGAGGCAGACAGACGGGAGACCTGGAGACACGGCAGGGAATGCTGGGAGCCTCCCTAAAAGGCCTCTCTCATCCCAGAAGCCCCCAGAACTGTCCCAGGTGGGTTGTAAATCACCGGGCTTTGGATCAGCGTTCCTGTGTCTCTCGCAGAAACTCTCCACAAGCAAAAATGGGGCTGCACGGTGGCGTGGGTGGCCCATAGGGACTCACAGGGGCATTGAGGCAGGCAGAGGGAAGAAGCCGTGACACCACATGGAATGCTGGGAGCCTCCCCCTCTTGCGGAAAACTCCCACAAGCAAAAACGGGGCCGCAGTGTGGCGTGGGCGGGCCACAGGAACTCATGGGGACGTTGAGACAGGCAGAGGGGAGAAGCAGTGAGACCGCAGGGAATGCTGGGATCCCTCCCATGGAGGCCTCTCCCATTCCAGAAAACCTCAGGGCTGTCCCATGCGCTCGGTAAAGCCCCAGGTTTTGGACCATGGAGCCTGTGTCTTTTGCGGAATACCCCCATATGCAAAAATGGGGCCGCAGCCTGGCGTGGGTGGGCGGCAGGGACTCAGGGTGAAGTTGAAGCAGGCAGAGGGGAGAAGCGGCGAGACCACAAGGAATGTTGGGATAGTCCCAAGTAAGCCTCTCCCAACCAAGAAGCCTCCAGGACTGTCCCCGGTGTCCTGTAAAGCTTCAAGTTTTGAAGCAGAACACCCCCACTAGCAAAAACGAGGCGGCAGGGTGGCGTGGGTGGGCGGCAGGGACTCAGAGGGACGTTGAGGCAGGTAGGGGGGTAAGAGGTGAGACCACAGGGAATGCTGGGAGCCTCCCAAAAAGACCTCTCCAATCCCAGAAGCCCCCAGGACTGTCCCGGACAGGCTGTAACGCTCCAGGCTTTGGAGCAGGGTACCTGTGTCTCTCGAAAATGGCCCCCAGAAGGGAAAAACGGGCCGCAGGGTGGCGTGGGCAGGCCGCAGGGACTGAAGGGGACACTGAGGCAAGGAGAGACGAGAAGCAGCAAGGCAGCTGGGAATGCTGGGAGCCTCTCAAGAAGGCCTCTCCCACCCCAGAAGCCTCCAGGGCTGTCCCTTGTGCGTTGTGAAGCCCCAGGCTTTGGAGCAGAAAGCCTGTGTCTCTCGTGGAAGTCCCCTCATGCAAAAACGGGGATGCAGAGTGGCGTGGGAGAGCTGCAAGGACTCAAGGGGAAGTCGAGGCAGGCTAGAGGAGAAGCAGCGAGACCTCAGGTACCTCAGGTAATGCTGGGAGCCTCCCAGAAAAGCCTCTCCCGTTCCAGAAGCCTCAAGGACTGTCCTGGGCGGACTATAAAGCCTTAGGCTTTGGAGCAGTGTCCCTGTGTCTCTCGCAAAAGGCCCCCATAAGTGAAAACAGGGCGGCAGGGTGGTGTGGGCAGGCAGCAGGGTGGCGTGGGCAGGCCTCAGGGACTCAGGGGGACGTTGAGGCACAGGGTAGAAGTGACCAGACGGCAGGGAAAGCTGGGAGCCCCACAACGAGGCCTCTCTTATCCCAGAAGCCCTCAAGGCTGTCCTGGTCAGGCTGTAAAGTCCCAGGCTTTGGAACAGGGTGCCTGTGTCTCTCACGGAAGGCCCCAACCATCAAAACCTGCTCCGCAGGGTGGCGTGGGCTGGTGGCAGGGACTCAAGGGGACTTTGAGGCAGACAGAGGGGAGATGCAGCAACACCTCAGAAAATGCTGGGAGCCTCCCAAGGAGGCCGCTCCCATTTTGGAAGCCCACAGGACTATTCCGGGCATGTTGTAAAGCTTCAAGTTTTGAAGCAGGGTGCCTGTGTCTCAAGCAAAAGCCCCCCTCTAGAGAAAATTGGGCTGTAGGGTGTCGTGGGTGGGCCGTAAGGGCTCACGAGGATGTAGACAGGCAGAGAGAAGAAGTGGTGAAATCGCAGAGAATGCTGGGAGCCTCCTAAGGACGCCTCTCTGATCCCAGAGGGCCCCAGCGCCGTCCCGGACAGGTGGTAATGCCCCAGGCTGTGGAGCAGGGTGCCTGTGTTTCTCGCAGAAGACCCGCAAGAGAGACAACAGGGTGGCTGGGTGGCGTGGGCTGGCCGCAGGCCTGAGGGAGATATTAACGCAGGCAGAGGGGAGAAGTGGCGAGACCGCAGGGAATGCTGAGAGCCTCCCAAGGAGGCCTCTTTCATCCCAGAATCCCCCAGGTCTGTTCCGGATGGGTTGTAGGGACCCAGGCTTTGGAGCAGTGTGCCTAAGCCTCTCACAGAAGACCTACGCAAGTGAAAATGGAACTGCAGGGTGGTCTGGATGAGCCGCAGGAACTCAGGGGAACGTTGAGGCAGGCAGAAGGGAGAAGGGCTGTGAATGTAGGAAATATTGGGAGCCACTTAAGGAGGCCTCTCCCATCCTAGAAGCCCCTAGGACTGGCCAGGGCCAGCTGTAAAGCTTCAGGTTTTGAAGCAGGTGCCGCTGTCTCTCCCAAACAATCCCCACAAGCGAAAACAGGGCTGCAGGGTGGTGTGGGAGGGCCACAGTGTGGCATGGGCAGGCCGCAGGGACTGAGGCGGACATTGAGGCAGGCAGAGGGGAGAAGCTGCGAGACCACAGAGAATGCTGGGAGGCCTCCCAAGTAGGCCTCTTTCATCCCAGAAGAATCCAGGACTGTCCCGGACGGGATATAAGGCCTCAGACTTTGGAGCAGGGTGCCTTTGTCTCTCACGTAAGGCCCCCAAAAGTGAAAACGGGGCCACAGTGTGGCCTGGGCGAGCCACACTGACTCAGGGGAAAGTTGAGGTAGGCAGAGGGAAGAAGCGGCGAGACAGCAGGGAATGCTGGGAGCCTATTCAGGAGGCCTCTCCCATCCCAGAAACCCGCAAGGCTGTCCCAGGCTGGCTGTAAAGCCCCAGGCTTTTTAGGAGGATATCTGCGTCTCTAGCGGAAGGCCGCCGCAAGCAAAAATGGGGCCACAGGATGATGTCGGCGGGTAGCAGGGACTCAGGGTGAGGTTGAGGCAGGCAGAGAGGAGAAGCAGCAAGGCCACAGGGAATGCTGGGAGCCTCCCAAGGACGTTTCTCGCATCCCAGAAGGCCCCAGGGCTGTGCTGTGCGGGTTGTAATGCCCAGGCTTGGGAGCAGGGAGCCTGTGTCTCTCAGAGAAGGCCCCCACATGCGAAAATGGGGCCGCCAATGGCGTGGGAAGGATGCAGGGACTCAGGGGGATGTTGAGGCAGGCAGAGAGGAGAAGCGGCGAGACTGCAAGGAATTCCGGGAGCATCCCAAGGATGCCTCTTCGATCCCAGAAGCCCCCAGGCTGTCCCAGACGGGCTCTAATTCCCTAGGCTTTGTGGCCAGGTGCGAGAGTCTCTCATGGAAGACCCCCACAACTGAAAACGGTGACGCAGAGTGGAGTGGGGCCGCAGAGTGGGCAGCAGGGACTCTAGGTGACGTTGAGGCAGGCAGAGTGAAGAAGTGGAGAGACCGCAGGAAATTTTGGGACCCTCAAAGAAGACCTCTCCCAACCCAGAAGCCCCCAGGACTGTCCCGTGTGAGGTGTAAAGCTTCAGGCTTTGTAGCAGTGTTTCTGTGTTTCTATTAGAAGGCTCTAGCAGTAAAAACAGGGCCGCAAAGTGGCATAGGCAAGTGCAGGAACTCAGCATGACGTTGAGGCAGGCAGTGGGTGAAGCAATGATACCACTGGGGCCTCCCAAGATTGCTTTCCCATCCCAGAAGTCCCCAGGACTGACGCGGGTGGACTGTGAAGCCCCAGTCTTCGGAGCAGGTTGCCTGTGTCTCTCGCAAAAGGCCCCCACCAGTGAAAACAGGGCCGCAGGGTGGTGTGGGAGGGTGGCAAGGACTCAGGGTGATGTTGAAGCAGGCAGAGAGAAGGGGCGAGACCACAAGGAATGCCGGGAGCTTCTCAAGGAGGCCTCTCCCATCTCAGAATCCCCTAAGACCGTCCCAGGCATACTGTAAACTTTCAGGTTTTGAAGCAGGGTGCCTGTGCCTCTAGTGGAAGGCCCCAACTATCGAAAACGGGGCCACTGGGTGGTGTTCACAGACCGCAGGGACTCAGCAGGACGTTGAGGTAGACAGAGAGGAGACCCAGAGACACTGCAGGGAATGCTGGGAGCCCCTGTAAAAGGCTTCTCCCATCCCAGAAACCACCAGGGTTTGTCCTGGGCATGCTGCAAAGCACCAGGCTTTTGACCAGGGTGCCTGTGTCTCTCACGAAAGGCCTCCACAAGCAAAAACAGGGCTGCAAGGTGGTGTGAGCAGCCCGTAGAGACTCACAGGGATATTGAGGCAGGCAGAGGGAAAAAGCGGTGAGACAGCAGGGAATGCTGGGAACCTCCCCTGGACGCCTCTCCCATCCCAGAAGCCCCCTGGGCTGTCCCGGGTGGGCTGTAAAGCCCCAGGCTTTGAAGCAGAGTGCCTGTGTCTCTCCCAGAAAACTCCCACAAGCAAAAACAGGGCCTCAGTATGGCGTGGGGGGGCAGCAAGGACACAGGGGGACGTTGAGACAGGCAGTGGGGAGAAGACGCAGCAAGATGGCAGGAAATGCTGGCAACCTCTCCATGACGCTTCTCCCATCCCAGAAGCCCACAGGGCTGTCCTGGGCGTGCTGTAAAGTTTCAAGTTTTGAAGCAGCATGTCTGTCTCTAGAAAACAACCTGCACTAGCAAAAACGGGGCCCTAGGGTGGCGTGGGCGAGCGCAGGGGCTCAGAGGGACGTTGAGCCATGCGGAGGGGAGAAGATTCGTGACCGCAGGAAATGCTGGGAGCATCCCAAGGAAGCCTCTCCTATCCCAGAAGCCCTCAGTGCTGTCCCAGGCGTACTGTAAAGCCCCAGGCTTTGGAGCACGGTGCCTATATCTTTCACGGAAAGCCCGCAAAAGCCTAAATGGGGCAGTAGTGTGGTGTAAGCAAGCTGCAGGGACTCTGGGGGACGTTGAGGCAGACCTAGGGGAGACGTGGCAATATGGCAGGGAATGCTGGGAGTCTCCCTTAAAATCCACTCCTATTCCAGGAGCCCCCAGTGCTGTCCTTGGTGGGCTGTAACGCAACAGGCTTTAAAGCAGGGTGTCCGTGTCACTAATTGAAGGCCTCCACAAGCAAAAACAGAGCTGCAGGATGACATGAGCCGGCCATAGAGACTCATGGGGACGTTGAGACAGGAAGAGGGAAGAAGTGGCGAGACCGCACGGAAGGCTGGGAGCCTCCCTTGGACGCCTCTCCCATCCCAGAAACCCCCTGGGCTGTCACAAGCAAGGTGTAAAGCCTCAGACTTTGGAACAGAGAGCCTGTGTCTCTCGCAGAAGGCTGCCACAAGCGAAAACTGGGCCGCCATGTGGCAGGGGTGGGCGGCAAGGACACAGGGTGATGTTGAGGCAGGCAGAGGAGATAGGTGGCGAGACCGCAGGGAATGCTTGGAGCCTCCCAGTAAAAGCTTTCCCATCCCAGAAGACCCCAAGTCTCCCTGGCGGGCTTTAAAGTTTTAGGCTTTGGAGCAGAGTGCCTGTTTCTCTTGCAGAAGACCCCCACAAGCAAAAACGGGGCCGCAGGGTGTCGTGGGTGGGTGGAAGGGACTCAGGGTGACATTGAGGCAGGCAGAGGGTAGAAGCAGGGGGACGGCTGAAAATGCTGGGACCCTCCCAAGGAGGCCTCTCCCATCCCAGAAGCCCCCAATACTGTCTCGGGCATGCTGTAAACCTTCAGGTTTCGAAGCAGGGTGCCTGTGTCTCTAGTGGAAAGCCCCAACTAATGAAAACGGGGACTTAGGGTGGCGTGAGCAGGCCATAGGGACTCAGAGGGACAAAAGGCCATGCAGAGGGGAGAAGCGTTGAGACTGCAGACAATGCTGAAAGCATCTCAAGGAGACCTTACCAATTCGAGAAGTCCTCAGTGGTGTCCTAGTGGTGCTGTAAAGCCACGGACTTTACAGCATGGTGCCTGTGTCTCTTGCTTTAAGGCCTCACAAGTGAAAATGAGGTTGTACCTTGTCATGGCCAAGATGCAGGGACTCAGGGGGATGTTGAGGCAGACAGAGGGCAGACCTGGTGACACTGCAGGGAATGCTGGAAGCCTTCCTAAAAAGTCTCTTCCAACCCAGAAGCCTCAAGAGCTGTCCCGGGTGTGCTGTAAAGCACCAGGCTTTGGACCAGGGTGCCTGTGTCTCTTGCAGGAAGGCCTCCAAAAGCAAAAACGGGGATGCAAGGTGTTGTGAGCGGGCTGTAGGGACTCACGGGGGTCTTGAGGAAGGGGGAGGAAAGAGGCAGTGAGACCACAGAAAATGCTGGGAGCCTCCCAAGGAGGCCTCTCCGATCCCAGAAGACCCCTGGGTTGTCCCAGGTGGGCTGTAAAGCTCCAGGCTTTGGAGCAGGGTGCCTGTGTCTCTCGTGGAAAATTTCCACAAGAAAAAACGGGGCCTCAGTGTGTGTAGGCGGGCCGCAGGGACTCAGGGGCAAGTTGAGACAGGCAGAGGGGAGAAGAAGCGAGACCGCAGGATATGCTGGGAACCCCCTACCAAGGAGGCCCCTCTCTATCCAGAAGGCCCCAGGCGTGTCTGGTGTGGGTTGTAAAGCCCCAGGTTTTGGAGCAGGAAACCTTTGTCTCTTGCAGAAGGCCCCCACATGCAAAAACGGGGCTGCAGAATTGTGTGGGAATGCTGCGAGGCCTCAGGGAGAGGTTGACGCAGGGAGAGAGGAGAAGCAGCGAGACAGCAGGGAACGCTGACAGCATCCCAAGGATGTGTCTCCGATCCGAGAAGCCCCAGGGCTGTCCCGGATGGACTGTAATGCTCCAGGCTTTGGAGCAGGGTGCCAGCGTCTCTCGCGGATGGCCCCAACATGGAAATATGGGGCAGCAGAATGGCATTAAAAGGCCGCAGGAACTCAGGGGGATGTTGAGACAGGCAAAGGGGAGAAGCAGCGAGACTGCAGGGCATGCTGGGACTGTCCCAAGGATGCCTCTCTAATCCCAGAAGCCCCCAGGGCTGTCCTGTATGGGCTGTAATGCCCCAGCCTTTGGAGCAGGGTGCCAGAGTCTCTAGCGAAAGTCCCCTACAAGCGAAAACGGCGACGCAGAGTGGAGTGGGCAAGCAGAAGTGACTAAGGGTGACTCAGAGGCAGGCAGAGGGGAGAAGCGGCAAGACCGCAGGAAATGCTGAAACCCTGCCAAGGAGACATCTCCCAACCCAGAAGCCCCTATTTCTGTCCTGGGCGAGGTGTAAAGCTTCAGGTTTTGAAGCAGTGTGACTGAGTCTCTAGCAGAAGGGCCCCACTAGTGAAAACAAGGCCACAGCATGGCGTAGGCAGAAGCAGGAACTCAGCTTGACATGGAGGCAGGCAGAGAGGAAAGCGGCAAGGCTGCTGGGTACTCTGGGAGACTCCCTACAAGGCCTCTCCTATCTCAGAAATACCCAGGACTATCCCAGGCAGGCTGTAAAGCCCCAGGCTTTGGAGCATGGTGCCTGTATCTCTCGTGGAAGGCCCCTACCAGTGAAAACAGGGCAGCAGGGTGGCATGGGCTGTTGGCAGGGTCTCAGAGTGACATTGAGGCAGGAAGAGGAGAGAAGGGGCGAGAGTGCAGGGAATGCTGCGAGCCTCCCAAGAAGGCCTCTCCCATCCCAGAATCCCCAAAGACTGTCCCGGGAGTGCTGTAAAGCTTCAGGTTTTGAAGCAGGGTGACTGTGTCTCTAGCGGAAGGCCTCCACTAACGAAAACGGTGCCTCAGGTTGGTTTGGGCGTGCCGCTGGGACTCAAGGGGACTGAGGCAGACAGAGAGGAGAAGCAGCCACACCACAGCGAATGCTGGGAGCCTCCCTAAAAGGCTTCTCCCATCCCAGAAACCCCCAGGGCTGTCCCTAGTGGGCTGCAAAGCACCAGGCTTTGAACCAGAGTGCCTGTGTCTCTTGCAGAAGGCCTCCACAAGCAAAAGTAGGGCCGCAGGGTGGTGTGGGCTGGCCGTAGGGACTCATCAGGAGGTTGAGGCAGGCAGAGAGAAGAGGCAGTGAGACTGCAGAGAATCCTAGGAACTTCCAAAGGAGGCCTCTCCCAACCCAGAAGCCCCCAGGACTGTCCTTAGCATGCTGTAATGCTTCAGGTTTTGAAGCAGGGTGCATGTGTCTCTAGCGAAAGGTCCCAACTAGGAAAACCGGGCAGCAGTGTGGCTTGGGCGGGCCACAGGGACTCAGAGGGACATTGAGGCCAGCAAGGGAAAGAAGCGGTGTGAACGAAAAGAATCCTGAGAGCCTCCCAAGGAGTCCTCTCCCATCCCAAAAGCTTCCAGGACTGTCCTGGGCTTGCTGTAATGCTTCAGGTTTCGAAGCCGAGTGCCTGTCTCTTTAGCGTAAAGCTCCCACAAGCAAAAACGGGGCCGCAGTGTGGCGTAGTAGGGCCGCAGAAACTCAGGAGGATGTTAAGGCAGGCAGAGGGGAGAAGTGGCAAGACTGCAGGGACTGCTGGGAGCCTCTCGAGGAGGCCTCTCCCATCTCAGAAGCCTTTAGGGCTGTCCTGGGAATGCTGTAAAGCCCCAGGCTTTAAAACAAGGTGGCTATGTCTCTCGGGGAAGGCCCCCACATGCAAAACCGGGGATGCAGGGTGGCATGAGAGGGCCACAGGGACTCAGGTGAGCATTGAGACAGGCAGAGGGTTGAAGCCCTGAGACAGTAGGCAATGCTGGGAAAGTCTCTAGGAGGTCTCTCCCAACACAGAAGCTCCCAGGTGTGTCCCGGACAGGCTGTAAAGCCCCAGGCTTCAGAGCAGCGTTCTTGTGTGTCTCGTGGAAGGCTCCCACAAAAGAAAACAGAGTCACAGAGTGGCATCAGCGGGTGGCAGAAACTCATGTTGATGTTGAGAGGTAGAGGGGAAAAGTGACGAGATCGCTGGGAATGCTGGGAGCCTCCCAAGGAGGCCTCTCCCATTCTAGAAGTCCCCAGGACTGTCCTGGGCAGGCTGTAAAGCCCCAGGCTTTGAAGCAGGGTTCCTGCTTCAAAAAGGCCCAAACAAGCAAAAACAGGACAGCTGGGTGGCGTGGACAGGCCTCAGGTTGGCGTGGGCGGGCCGCAGGAACTCAGGGGGACGTTTAGACAGGCAGAGGAAAGAAGCGGATAGAACACAGGGAATGCTGGGAGCCAGCCCGGGACTATCCTGGGGGCTTCTGGGATGGGACAGGCCTCCTTGAAAGGCTTCCAGCATTCCCTGCAGTCTCAACGCTTTCCCCTCTGTCTGCCTCAACGTCACCCTGAGTCCCTGCTGCCCGCCCACGCCATTCTGTGGCCCCGTTTTCGCTAGTGGAGGCCTTCCACTAGTGACACAGGTACCCTGCTTCAAAACCTGAAGCATTACAATACTTCCAGAATTGTCCTGGGGGTTTCTGGAATGAGAGATACCTCCTTTGAAGGCTCCCAGCATTGTCTGCGGTCTGGTGGCTTCTCCCCTCTGCCTGTCTCAAAGTCCCCCTGAGTCCCTGCGGTGCACACTTGCCACCGTGCCCCCTGGTGTCTCTTTTAGAGGTCTTCCGGGAGAGACACAGGCACCCTGATCCAAAGACTGGAGCATCACAGCCCGCCTGGGACAGTCCTGAGGGCTTCTGGGATGGGAGAAGCCTCCTTGAAAGGCTCCCAGCATTCCCCGAGGTCTTGCCACTTCTCCCCGCCGCCTGCCTCAACATCACCCTGAGTCTTTGCCGCCGGGTCATACCACCATGCGGCTTCGTTTTCGCTTGTGGAGGCATTGTGGAGAGACACAGGCATCTTGCTTCAAAGTCTCGTGATTTATAGCCGGCCTGGGACAGCCTTGGGGGCTTCTGGAATGGGAGAGGTCTCCCTGGGAGGCTCGCAGCATTTCCTGAGTTATCGCCACTGCTTTCTTCTGCCTGCCTCAGCGTTCCTGTGTTCCTGCAGTTCTCCCAGTTTACCCTGTGGCCCCGTTTTGGCTTTTTGGGGCCTTCCGCGAGAAACACAGGCTCCCTGATCCAAAGTCTGAGGCACTACAGTCCTTCCAGGACAGACTTGGGAACTTCAGGGATGGCAGAGGCCTCCTTGGAAGGCTCCCAAGCTTCTCTGTGGTCTCGCCCTTCCCCGCTCTGCCTTCCTCTTTGACTTTTTTAGTTTCTGCAATCCACCACACTACACTACCGCCCCATTGTCTCTATTGTGCCTCTGAGAGACAGAGGCACCCTGCTCCAAAACCTCATGCATTACAGCCCATCATTTAAAGCCCTGGGGGCTTCTGGAACGGGAGAGGCCTTCTTGGGAAGCTCCCAGCATTCCCTGTGGTCTCGCTGCTTCTGCCCTCTGCCTGCCTCAATGTTTCCCTGAGACCCTGCGGCCTGCCCATGCCACTCTGCCGCCCTGCTGAGTTTCTTGGGGGAGTTTCGCGAGAGACACAAGCACCCTGCTCCAAAGCCTATGGCATTATAGCTTGTCTGAAACAGCCCTGGGGTCTTCTGGGGCAATATAGCCAGTCTGGGACAGCCCTGGGGGCTTCTGGAATGGGAGTGGCATCATTGGGAGGCTCCCAGCATTCCCTGCAGTCTCACCGCTTCTCCCCTCTGCCCTCCTCAATGTTACCCTGAGTCCCTGCGGCCCGCCCACGCCACCCTGTGGTCCCGTTTTTGCTTGCAGGAATTTTCCGCGAGAGACACAGGCACCTTGCTCCAAAGCCGGAAGATTTACAGCACGCCTCGGATAGATCAAAGGGCTTCTCGGATGGGAGAAGTCTCCAGGGGAGGCTCCCAGCATTCCCTGTGGTCTAGGTGCTGCTTCGCTCTGCTTGACTCAACTTCTCCGTGAGCCCCTACGTCCTGCCCACGCCACCCTGCGGCCTCATATTTTCTTGTGAGATGGGAGATGCGTCTTTGGAAGGCTTTCAGCATTCCTTGCGCTCTCGCTGCTTCTCCCTTCTGTCTGCCCCAACATACCCCCGCATCCCTTCAGCCCTCCCATGCCACCTTGCAGCCCTGATTTTCATGTGGTGGACTTCCGCAAGATAAATAGTCACTCTTCTCCAAAGCCTGAGACTATACAGCCCACCTGGGACAGCAGGGGAGGATGCTGGGATGAAAGAGGCCTCTTTGGGGGGCTCTCAGCATTCCCTGTGGTACCACCACTTCTCCCTCTTCCAGCCTCAACGTCCCACTGAGTCTCTGGGGCCCACCCATGCCACACTGTGGCCCCGTTTTTGCTAGTGGGGGCTTTCAGCTAGAAACACAGACACCCTGCTTCAAAACCTGAAACATTACAAGCCTCTCCGATTCCAGAAGCCCTCAGGGCTGTCCCAGGCATGCTGCAAAGCCACACCCTTTGGGGCAGGGTGGCTGTGTCTCACAGAAAGCCCCTACAAGTGAAAACGAGGCTGTAGGGTGGTGTGGGCAAGCCGCAGGGTCTCAGGGCCACAACAAACAAAAACTGAAGAGCAGGGTGGAGTGTGTGGGTGTCAAGGACTCAGAATGATGTTGAAGCAGGCAGAGGGGTGAAGCAGCGAGACCGCAGGGAATGCTGGGAGCCTCCCAAGGAAGCCTCTCACATCCCAGTAGCCCCCAGGGCTGTCCAGTGCGAGTTGTATAGCCCCAGGCTTTGGAGTACAGTGTCTGTGTGTCTCGTGGAAGATCCCCACATGCAAAAACACGGCAGAAGGGTGGCGTGGGCGGGCTGCAGAAATTCAGGGGGATGTTGAGGCAGGCAGAGGGAAGAAGCGACGAGAACGCAGGGAATACGGAAAACATCCCAAGGAGGCCTCTCCCATCCCAGAAGCCTCCAGGTCTGTCCCAGACGGACTGTAGTGCCCCAGGCTTTGAAGCAGTGTGCTTGTTTCTCTCGCAGTGGGCCCCCCAAAGCGAACCCAGGGCCGCAGGGTGGCCTAGGTGAGAAGTTGTGACTCAGAGGCATATTCAATCAGGCAGAAGGGAGAAGCAGAGAGACCCCAGGGAATGCTGAGGGCCTCCCAAGGACGCCTGTCCCATACCGGAAGCCCCCAGAACTGTCCCGGGCATGCTGTGAAGCTTCAGGTTTTGAAGCAGGGTGCCTGCGTCTCTAGTGTAAGGCCCCCACTATTGAAAACAGGGCCACAGGGTGGCCTGAATGGACGGCAGGGACTCAGGGTGACCTGGAGGCAGGCAGAGAGGGAAGCGGTGATACCAAAAAGGATGCTGGGAGCCTCCCAAGGACGCCTCTCCCATCCCAAAAGCCCCCAGGACTGTCCTGGACGTCCTGTAAAGATTCATCTTTTGAAGCAGAGTGACTGGGTCTCTAGCGGAAGGCCCCCACTAGCAAAAACAGGTCCGCTGGGTGGCGTGGGAGGGCAACAGGGACAGAGCATGACGCATTGAGGCAGGCAGAGGGGGAAGCGGCAAGACTGCAGGAAATGCTGGGAGCCTCCCAAGGAGGCCTCTTTCATCCCAGAAGCCCTCAGGCCTGTCCCAGGCGGGCTGTAAAACCCTAGGCTTTGGAGCAGCATTCCTGTTTCTTTCACAAAAGGCCCCCACAAGCGAAAACGGGTCTGGAGGGTGGCGTGGGCAAGCCCCACGGACTCAGGAGGATGTTGAGGCAAGCAGAGGGGAGAAGCGACGAGACCGCAAGAAATGTTGGGAGCCTGCCAGGACACTTCTCCTATTCCAGAAGTCCCCAGGGCTGTCTCGGGCTGGCTGTAATGCCCCAGTCTTTGGAGCAGGGTGCCTGTGTCTCTCGCAGAAGACCCCCAAAAGAGACAACGAGGTAGCAGTGTGGAGTGGGTGGGCCAACGGGACTCAGGGGGACCATAAGGCAGGCAAAACGGAGATGTGGCAACACCACAAGGAATGCTGAAAGACTGCTAAAAGGCCTCTCCCATACCAGAAGCCCCCGGGGCTGTCCTGGGCAGACTGTAAAGCACCAGAGTTTTTAATATGGTGCTTGTGTCTCTCGCGGAAGGCCTCCACAAGCAAAAATGGAAAAGCAGGGTGGCGTAGGTGGGCTGTAAGGACCGAGGGGGACTTTGAGGCAGGCAGTGGGAAGAAGCGACAAGACCTCAGGGAATGGTGGGAGCCTCCCCTGAAGGCTCTCCCATTCCAGAGGAACCCTGGGCTGTCCCGGGCGGGCTGTAAAGCCTCAGGCTTTTGAGCAGGCTGCCTGTGTTTGTTGCATAACGCTCCCATAATAGAAAACGGGGCCAAAGTGTGGCGTGGACGGGCCACAGGCACTCAGGTGGACATTGAGACAGGCAGAGGGGAACAGCAGCTAGACTGTAGGGAATGCTGAGAGCCTCCAAGGAGGCATCTCCCGTCACAGAAGCTCCCAGGACTGTCCCTGGAGTGCTGTAAAGCTTCAGGTTTTGAAGCAGCTTGCCTGAACCTGTAGCGGAAGGCCCCCACTAGGGAAAACGCAGCCAAAGTGTGGCATAGGCATGACAGAGGGACTAATGGGAATGTTGATCCAGGCACAGGGGAGAAGCATGGAGACAGCAGGAAATGCTGGGAACCTCCCGAGAAGGTGTCTCCCATTCCAGAAGCCCGCAGGGCTGTCCCAGGTGTGCTGTAATGCCTCAGGCTTTGGCGCATGGTGCCTGTGTCACTGGCGGGATAGGCCCACAATGAAAATGGGGCCGTAGGGTGGTGTGGGTAGGCAGCAGGGACTCAGGGAAATGTAGAGGCAGGCAGAGCGGAGATGCGGCGAGATTGCAGGGAATTCTGGGAACCTCCCTGGTAGGCCTTTCTCATCCCAGAAACCCCCAGGGTTGTCTCCGGTGGGATGTAATGCCCCTGGCTTTGGACTGGGTTGCTTGTGTCTCTCATCAAAGGCCTCCACAGGAAAAAAAAAAAAGGTCCACAGGGTGGCCTGGGAGGGCTTAGGAACTCATGGGGGACGTTGAGGCAGGCAGAAGGGAGAGTTGTGAGACCTCAGGGAATGCTGGGAGCCTCCCACGGAGGTCTCTCCCATCACAGAACCCCCTAGGGCTGTCCCAGACAGGTTGTAATGCCCAGGCTTTGGAGCAGGATGCTTGTGTTCTCAAGGAAGTCCTCAAAAAGACAACGGGAGGCAGGATGGCATAGGCAGGTAGCAGGGACTCAGGCAGACATTGAAGCAGGCAGGGGATAAAAGCAGCAAGACAGCAGGCAATGCTGGGAGCCTCACAAGGAGGCCTTTTTCATCCCAGAAGCCTAGAAGACTGTCCCAGGCATGCTGTAAAACTTCAGGTTTTGAAGCACGGTGCCTGTGTCTCTAAGCATAAGGCCCCCACTAGAGAAAATGGAGCCATAGGGTGGCGAGGCCGAGCCAAAAGGACTCAGGGAGACGTAGAGGTCGGCAGAGGGGAGAAGCAGCGAGATTGCAGGAATGCTGGGGGCCTCCCAAGGAAGCCTCTCCCATCCAAGAATCCCCCAGGTCTGTCCTGG
Organism: Homo sapiens; assembly: GCF_000001405.40. Taxonomy (NCBI): domain Eukaryota; kingdom Metazoa; phylum Chordata; class Mammalia; order Primates; family Hominidae; genus Homo; species Homo sapiens. The sequence continues at coordinate 46,222,888 of NC_000008.11, forward strand.
GTGGGATGTAAAGCTGCATGCTTTGGAGCAGGGTGACTTTGTCTTTCGGGGAAAGCCACCAGAGGTGAAAACTGGGCTGTAGTGTGAAGTGTGTGGGCCACAGGAACTCAGGGGGACCTTGAGACCGGCAGAGGAGAGACACAACAAGACCGCAGAGAATACTGTGAGCCTCCCTAAAAAAAAACTCTCCCATCCCAGAAGCCCCCAGGGCTGTCCCGGGTGGGCTGTAAAGTGCCAGGACCACCAGGCTATAAAGCAGTGTGCCTATGTGTCTCACTGAAGGCCCCCTCAAGCAAAAACGGGACCCAGGGTGGCATCAGTGGGATGCAGGAACACACGGGACAGAGTCAGGCAGAGGAAAGAATCCTGGAGACTGCAAGGAATGCTGGGATCCTCCCATGGACGCCTCTACCTTCCCAGAAGGTCCCTGGATGTCCCAGGGGTGCTGTGTAGCCCCAGGCTTTGGAAAAGGGTGCGGCAGAGAATGGTGGGAGCATCCGAAGAACACCTCTCCCATACCAGAAGCCCCCAGGGCTGTCACTGGCTGGTTGTAAAGCCCCAGGCTTTGGAGGAGGGTCCCTGTGTCTCTCGCAGAAGGCCCCCACATGGAAAAACGGGGCCGCAGTGTGGCATGGGAGGGTCGCAGGAACTCAGGGAAAGGTTGACGTAGGTAGGAGAAAGAAGCGGTGAGACCTTAGGGAAGGCTGGGAGCACCCCAAGGAGGCCTCTCCCATCCCAGAAGACCCCAGAAGTGTCCAGGGCAGGCTGTAAAGGCCCTGACTTCAGAGCACGGTGCCTGTGTCTCTCGCGGTGTCCCCTACAAGTGAAAACGGGGCCGCATGGTGTCCTGGGGGGGCAGCAGGGATCCACGGTGACATTGAGGCGGGCAGAGGGGGGAAGAGGTGAGACGGCAGGGAATGCTGGGAAACTCCCAAGGACGAATCTCCTACTCCCACTCCCATCCCAGAAGCCCCCAGGACTGTTCCAGGAGGGCTGTAAAGGCCCAGACTTTGGAGCACGGAGCTTGTGTTTCTCACGCAAGGCCACCTTAGGCAAAAACGGAAACACAGGGTGGCGTGCGAGGGCCACAGGGACTCAGGGGGGACGTTGAGGAAGGCAGAGGTGAGAAGCAGCAAGACCGCAGGGAATGCTGGGAGCCTCCCAAGGAGGCCTATCCCATTTCAGAAGCACCCAGGGCTGTCCCGGCCTGGTTGTAGTACCCCAGGCTTTGGAGCTGTGTGTCTGTGTCTCTCACGGAAGGCCCCCACAAGCGGAAACAGGGCCACAGGGTGGTTTGGGCAGGCCACAAGGACTCAGGGGATCATTGAGGCAGGCAGAGGGGAGAAGCGACGAGACCAGAGGGAATGCTGGGCCCCTCCCTAAAAGGCCTCTCCTATTTCAGTAGACCCCAGTGCAGTCATGGGTGGGCTGTAAAGCACCAGGCTTTGGAGTAGGGTTTCAGTGTCTCTTGTGCAAGGCCTCCACAAGCAAAACTGGGGCCACTGGGTGGCTTGGGTGGGACAGACTGACCTAGATGATGTTGAGGCACGTAAAGGGGAGAAGCAGCAAGAACCCAGGGAATGCTGGGAGGCTCTCAAGGATGCCTCTCTTATTCCAGAGCCACTCGGATCTGTCTCAGACGGCTGTAATGCCCCTGGCTTTGGAGCAGGGTTTCTGTGTCTCTTGAGGAAGAACTCCAAAAGAGAAAATCAGGTGGCAGGGTGGTGTGAGCTGGCGACTAGGTTTCAGCAAAAGGTTGGCCAAGGCAGAGGGGAGAAGCGGCAAGACTGCATGGAAAGGCCTTTCATCCCAAAAGCCCCAAGAGCTGTCCTGGGCGGGCTGCAATGCCACAGGCTTTGGAGCAGTGTGTCTGTGTCTCTTGCTGACGGCCTCCAAAAGTGAAACAGAGCTGCGGGGTAGCTTGGGCGGGCAGCAGGGACACAGGGTGACATTGAACCAGGCAGAGGGGAGAAGCAGCGATACCACAGGGAATGCTGTGAGCCTCCGAAAAACACCTTTTTCCATCCCAGAAGTCCCCAGGACTGTCCTGGGTGTGCTGTAAACCTTCAAGTTTTGAAGCAGGGTGCCTGTCTCTCTAGCAGAAGGCCCCGAATAGGGACAAAGGGGCCATAGGATAGCCAGGGCGGGCTGCAGGGACCAAGGGAAACGTTGAGCCAGGCAGAAAGAGAAGCATCGAGACCGCAGGGAATGCTTGGAGCTTCCCACAGAGGCCTCTCCCATCCCAGAAGCCCCCAGGGCTGTCCTGGGCGTGCTGTAAAACTTAAGCCTTTGTAGCAAAATGCCTGTGTCTTTCACGGGAAGCCACCACAAGTGAAAACGGTGCTGCAGGGTGGCCTGAAAGGGCCGCAGGGACTCAGGGGAACATGAGACAGGCAGTGGGGAGAAGTGATGAGACTTCACGGGATGCTGGGAACCTCCCAAGGATGCCTCTTCCATCCCAGAAGGCCCTAGGGCTGTACCAGATGGGCTGTAAAAGTTCAGGCTTTAAGGCAGGGTGCCTGTGTCTCCCACACAAGACCTCCACAAGCATATTTGGGGCCTCAGGGTGGCGTGGGCTGGTGGCAGGGACATGAGGTGACATTGAGGCAGCCAGAGGGAGGGAAAGGTGAAATGGCAAGAAATGCTAGGAACCTCTCAAGGAGGCCTCTCCCTTCCCAGAAGTCCCCAGGACTGTACCGGGTGTGCTGTAAAGATTTGGGTTTTGAAGCAAGGTGTTTGCTTGGAAGGCCCCCACTGGTGAAAACAGGGCCAAGATGGACGGGCTGCAGGGACTCAGGGGGTCGTTAAGCCAGGAAGAGGGGAGAAGCGTAGAGAACACAGGGAATGCTGGGAGCCTCCCAAGGAGGCCTCTCCCAACCCAGAAGCCCCCAGGGCTCTTTTGGGAGTGCTGTAAAGCCTCCGGCTTTGGAGCAGTGTGAGTCTGTCTTTCGCAGAGAGCCCCAACAAGCAAAAACAGGGTCGAAAGGTGGCGTGGGCAGGCTGCAAGGAATCAGGGGTACATTGTGGCCGAAAGAGGGGAGAAGCGGCGAGGCTGCAGGGAATGCTGAGCGACTCCCAAAAAGGCCTGTCTCATCCCAGAAGACCCCAGACTTTTCCGGGTGGGCTGTAAAGCAACAGACTTTGGAGTAGTGTGCCTGTGACTCCCACAGACCTCCACAAGCAAAAATGATATGGGCTGGCATGGGGACTTTGAGGCAGGCAGAGAGAAGAAGCGGCGAGAAAGCATGGAATGCTGGGAGCCTCCCATGGATGCCTCTTTCATCCCAGAAGCCCCCTGGACTCTCCCAGGCGAGCTGTAAAGCCCCAGGTTTTGTAGCAGGGTGTCAGTGTGTCTCGTGGAATGGTCACAGAAGCAAAAACTGGGTCGCAGTGTGGCGTGGGTGGGTCACAAGGACTCAAGGGGCAGTTGAAGCTGGCAGATGGGAGAAGGGACGAGAACGCAGGGAATACTGGAAGGCCCCGAAGAAGGCCTCTCCCATCACAGAAGCTTGTAGGGCTGTCCCAGACGGGCTGTAATGCCCCAGACTTTGGAGCAGAGTTCCTGTGTCTCTCACGGAAGACCCCTAAAATAGACTACGGGGTGGCAGGGTAGCGTGGGAGGGCTGCAGGGACTCAAGGGGATGTTGAGGCAGACAGAAGGGAGAAGCGGTGAGACCGCAAAGCATGCTGGGAGTATCCCAAGGAGGTCTTTCCCATCCCAGAAGCCTCTACGTGTGTCCCTGGCAGGCTGTAAAGCACCTGGCTTAAGAGCAGGATGCCTGTGTCTTTCCAAGAAGGTCCCCAAAAGGGAAAATGGGGTCGCAGGGTGCCGTGGCCAGGCGTCAGGGACTCAAAGTGACATTAAGTCAGGAAGATGGGAAAAGCAGCAAGAACGCAGGGAATGCTGAGAGCCTCCGATGAAGGCCTCTCCGATCCTAGAAGCCCCCAGGACTGTCCCTGGTGGGCTGTGAAACCCCAGGCTTTAAAGAAGGACGCCCGTGTCTTTTGCAAATAGCCCCCACACGCAAAAACAGGACCACAGGTTCGCATGCACAGGGCACAGGGTGGCGTGGGCGGGCCACAGGGACTCAAGGTTATGTTGAGGCAGGCAGCGGGGAGAAGCGGCAAGACTGCAGAGAATTCTGGGAGTGACCCAAAGAGGCCTCTTCCAACCCAGAAACCGCCAGGGGTGTCTGGGGGCAGGCTGTAAAGCCCCAGGGCTCGGAGCGGGGTGCCTGTGTCTATTTTAAGGGTCTTCTGTGAGAGACACAGGAACCCTGCTCCAAAGCCTGGGGCATTAGAGCCCATCCCGGACAGCCCTATGAGCTTCTGTGATGGGAGAGACCTCTGTGGGAGCCTCCCAACATTCCCTGCGTTCTCATCCATTCTCCCCTCTCCCTGCCTCAACGGACCCCTGAAGGCCTCATACAAGCGAAAATGGGGCCACATGGTGATGGTGGCTTGGGTGGGCGGCAAAGACCCAGGGTGACCTTGAGGCAGGCAGAGGGGGGAAGAGTCCAGACGGCAGGGAATGCTGGGAGCCTCCTAAGGATGAATCTTCTATCTCAGAAGACCCCAGGATTGTTCCTGGAGGGATGTAAAGCCCGAGGCTTCAAAGCAGGATGCCTGTGTTTCTCGTAAATGGCCCCCACAAGTGAAAACAGGGAGGCAGGGTGGCATGGCCAGGCCGCAGGGACTATGGTGGACATTGTGGCAGGCAGAGGTGAGAAGCAGTGAGACCGCAGGGAATGCTGGGAGCCTCCTAGGGATGTCTCTCCCACCCCAGAAGCTTCCATGGTTGTTTCGGATGGGCTGTAATACCCCATGCTTTGGTGCAGGACGACTGTGTCTCTAGCAGAAGATCCCCAACAGAGACAACAGGGCGGCTGGGTGGCATGGGCCGATCGTAGGAACCCAGGGAGACATTGAGGCAAGCATAGAGGAGAAGCAACGAGACCGTAGGGAATGCTGAGAGCCTTCCAAGGAGGTGTCTCCCATCCCAGAAGCTCCTAGGACTGTCCTGGACAGGCTGTAAGGCCCAAGACTTTGGAGCAGAGTGTCTGTGTCTCTCTTGGAAGACCCCCTCAAGCAAAAACAGTGCTGCAGTGTGGCCTGGGCGGGCCACAGGGACTCAGGGAGACGTTGAGGCAGGCAGAGGAAAGAAGCGGCGAGACCGCAGGGAATGCTGGGAGCCTTCCTAAAAGACCTATCCCATCCCAGAAGCTCCCCAAACTATCCTGGGTGGGCTATAAAGCCCCAGGCTTTGGAACAGCGTGCTTGTGTCTCTCGCAAAATACTCCCACAAGCAAAAACAAGGCCGCAGGGTGGCGTGGGCTGGCTGCAGGGTGGCGTGGGAGGGCCGCAGGGACTCAGGTGGAAATTGTGGCAGGCAGAGATGAGAAGCAGCAAGACCTCAGAGAATGCTGGAAGCCTCACAAGGAGATCTCTCATCCCAGAAGCACCCAGGGCTGTCCCGGCAAGCTTTTATGTCCCAGTCTTTAGAGCAGGGAGCCTGTGTCTCTCGCAGAAGACATACAAAAGAGAGAATGAGGTGGCGAGGTGGCATGGTGGCGTGCATGGGCAGCAGGGACTCACGGACACTTTGAGGCAGGCAGATGAGAGAAGCAGCAGGACCACATGGAATGCTGGGAGCCTCCCAAGGAGGCCTCTTTCATCCCAGAAGCCCCCAGGACTGTCCCGGGCGTGCTGTAATGCTTCAGGTTTTGAAGCAGAGTGCCTGTGTCTCTAGCGGAAGGCTCCCACAAGCGGAAAAGGGGCTGCAGTGTGGCGTCGACAGGCCACAGGGACTCAGGGGGAAGTTGAAACCAGTAGAGGGGAGAATTGGCAAGACTGCAGGGAATGCTGCGACCCTCCCAAGGAGGCCTCTCCCATCCTAGAAGCCCCCAGGTCTGTCACGGATAGGCTGTAGTGTCCCAGGCTTTGGAATAGGTTGCCTGTGTCTGTGGCAGGTTTCCACAGGCGAAAATGGGGCCACTGGGTGGCCTGAACGAGCCAAAGGGACTCAGGGTGACACTGAGGCAGGGAGAAGGGACAAGCAGCGAGCCCACAAGGAATTCTGGGAGCCTTCCAAGGAGGGCTTTCTCATCCCAGACGCCCCCATATCTGTTCCGGGCAGGCTATAAAGCCCAAGGCTTTGGAGCAGGGTGCCTGTTTCTCTCGCGGAAGGCCCGACAAGAGAAACCCGGGCCGCAGGTGGCGTTGGCGGGCCGAAGGTACTCAGGATGACGTTAAGGCAGGAAGAGGAGAGCCACGGCGAGATCGCAGAGAATGGTCAGAGCCTCCCTAGAAGGCCTCTCCCATTCCAGAAGCCCCCAGGACTTTCCCAGGCAGGCTGTAAAGCACCAAGCTTTGGAGCAAGGTGACTGTGTCTCTTGAGGAAGGCCGCCACAACCAAAAACGTGGCCGCCTGATGGCGTGGCTGGGCTGCAGGGACTCAGGGGGATGTGGAGGCAGGCAGAAAGGAGAAGCAACGAGACTGCAGGAAATGCTAGGAGCCTCCCAAGAAGGACTTTCTTATCCCAGGAGTTTCAAGGGCTGTCCTGGTCGGGCTGTAAAGCCCCAGGCCTTGGAACAGGGTGCCTGTGTCTCTCATTGAAGGCCCCAACAAGAGAAAACGGTGCTGCAGGGTGGCGTGCGCTGGCCGCAGGGACTCAGGAGGATGTTGAGGGAGACAGAGGGGTGAAGCGGTGAGACCACTGGGAATTCTGGGAGCCTCCGAAGGAGGCCTATCCCTTATCAGAAGCCCCCAGGTCTCTCCCGGGTGGGCTGAAAAGCCCCAGGCTTTGGAGAAGTTGCCTGTGTCTCTGGCGGAAGGCCCTCACAAGCGAATACAAGGCTGCAGGGTGGCGTGGACCGGCCGCAGGGACTCAGGGAAACATTGAGGTAGACAGAGGGTAGAAGAGGCAAGACCGCAGGGAATGCTGGGAGCCTCCCAAGGAGGCCTCCCTCATTCCGGAATCCCTCAGGGATGTCCCGGGAGGGCTGTTAAGCCTCAGGCTATAGAGCAGGGTGCCTGTGTTTCTCGCGGAAGGCCTCCACAAGCGACAATGTTGTCGCAGTGTGGCGTGGGCATGCCACCGGGACTCAGGGAGACGTTGATGCAGGCAGAGGAACGAAGCAGTGATACCGCAGCGAACACTGGGAGCCTTTCAATCAGGCCTCTCTTATTTCAGAAGCCCCCAGAGCTGTCCCAGGAGGGTTGTAAAGCCCCAGGCTTTGGAGCAGGGTGCCTGTGTCTGTCGCGAAAATTCCCCACATGTAAAACACGGTGCCGCAGGAAGCTGTCATCAGGCCACAGGGACTAAGGGGAACGTTCAGGGAGGCAGAGGACAGAAGCGCTTTTGTCTCTTGTGCAAGGCCAACACATTCGAGAATGAGGCTGCAGAGGGGGCATGGGCGCCCGTAGGGTCTCAGGGACATGTTGAGGCAGGCAGAAGGGAGAAGCGGCGATACCGCAGGGAATGATGGGAGCCTCCCTAAAAGGTTTCTCCTATTTCAGAAGCCCCCAGGGCTTTCTCACTGGAAGTGTAAAGCCCCAGGCTTCAGAGCAGAGTGCCTGCGTCTCCCGCAGAAGGCCAATTCAAGCGAGAATGGGGCCGCAGTGTGACGTGGGTGAACTGCAGTTACTCAGGGGGACGTTGAGGCAGGCAGAGGGGAGAAGTAGTTATACCGCAGGGAATGCTAGGAGTCTCCCAAAAAGGTCTCTCCCGTCCCAGAAGCCCCAAGGGCTGTCCCCACGAAATGTAAAGCCCCAGGCTTTGGAGGAGGGTGCCTGTGTCTCTCTCAGAAAGCCACCACAAGTGACAACGGGTCCGCATGATGGTGTGGGCCAGCCGCAGCGACTCAGGGAAACATTGAAGTTGGCAGAGAGGAGAAGAGCCGAGACTTCAGGGAACGCTGGGAGCCTCCCAAGATGGCCTCTCTCATCCCAGCAGCCCTCAGAAATATTCCGGTCAGGCTCTTAATCCTCAGACTTAGAGCAGGGTGCCTGTGTCTGTTCCAGAAGGCCCTCAGAAGCGAAAAAGGGGTCGCAGCGTGGCTCTGGCAAGCGCCGAGTCTCAGTGGGACATTTAGGCAGGCAGAGGGAAGAAGCCGTGATACCACAGGGAATGCTGGAAGCCTCCCAAGGGGGCCTCTCCCATTTCAGAAGCCCTCAGGGATGTCCCGGGTGGGCTGTAAAGCCCCAGGCTTTAGAGCACAGTGCCTGTGTCTCTCCCTAAAGGCTCCCACAAGTGAAAACACGGCCACACAATGGAGTGCGCGGGCTGCAGAAACTCAGGGAGACATTGAGGCCGGCAGAGGACAGAAGCGCTGAGATCTCAAAGAATGCTGGTACCCGCCCAAATTGGCCTCTTTCATCTCAGAATCCCCCAAAGCTGCTTCGGGCGGGCTGTAAAACCCAAGGCTTTGGAACAGGATGCTCGTGTCTCTCATGGAAGGCTTCCATGAGTGAAAACAGGGCTGCAGGGTGGCGTCGGCGAGTGGCAGAGACTCAGGCAGACATTGAGGCAGGCAGGAAAAAGAAGTGGTGAGACTGCAGGGAATGCTGAGAGCCTCCCAAGGAAGCCTCTCCCATTCCAGAAGTACCCAGGGCTGTATCAAGCAGGCTGTAAAGCCCCAGGCTTTGGAGAAGGGTGCCTGTTTCTCTCGCAGAAGACCCCGACAAGCGAAAATGGGGCCACAGGGTGGCGTAGGCAGGCCACAGGGACTCAGGGGGCCATGGAGGCAGGCAGAGGGAAGAAGTGGAAAGACGGCAGAAAATGTTGGGAGCTTCCCAAAAGGCCACCTCTATCCCAGAAGCCCCCAGGCTTGTCCCGGGTGGGCTGTAAAGCCTCAGGCTTTGGAGCAGGGTGGCTGTGTCTCTGGCAGAAGGCCCCCAAAAGCCAAAACGGGGCCACAGGGTGGACTGAGCCTACCACAGGGACTCAGGGAGACATTGAGTCAGGCAGAGGGGAGAAGCAGCAAGGCCACAGGGAATGCTGGGAGTCTTTCAAAGAGGCCTCTTTTATCCCAGAATCGCCCAGGTCTGTCCCAGGTGGGCTATAAATCTCCAAACTTTGGAGCAGGGTGTCTGTGTCTCTCACGGAAGGCACGTAGAAGCAAAAACTGGGAAGCAGGGTTGCCTGAGCCAGCGGCAAGGACTCAGGGGGACGTTGAGGCTGGCAGACGGAAGAAGCGACGTGACTGCAGAAAATGCTGGGAGCCTCCCAAAAAGTCCTCTCCCATGCCAGAATCCCCCAGGGTTGTCCCGGGCAGGTCATAAAGCCCCAGGCTTTGAAGCAGGGTGCCTGTGGTTCTCCCTTAAGGCCTTCAAAAGTGAAAACGGGACTGCAGGGTGGCGTGGGAAAGACACTGGGACACAGGGGGACGTTAAGGCAGGCAGAGGGGTGAAGTGATAAGACCTTGCGGATGCTGGGAACCTCCCAAGGATGCCTCTCTTACACCATAAGGCCCCAGGGCTGTCGCCAGCGGGCTCTAAATCCCCAGGCTTTGGAGCAGATTGCCTGTGTCTCTCATGGAAGATCCCCACAAGCAAAAATGAGGCCGCTGGGTGACGTGGGCAAGCCACAGGGACACAGAATAACATTGAGGCAGGCTGAAGGGAGATGCAGCAATATCGCAGGGAATGCCTTTAGACTTTTGAGGAGGCCTCTCCCATCCCAGAAGCCCCCAGGCTCTTCCGGGCGGGTTGCAAAGCCCCAGGATTTGGAACACGGTGACTGTGTCTCTTGAGGAAGGCCCTCACAGCCAAAACGGGGCCGCAGAGTGGCGTCGGCAAGCCGCAAAAACTCAGGGGGACGTTGAGGCAGGCAGAGGCGAGATGCGGCGAGTACGAAGGGATTGCTGGGAGTCTCCCAAGCAGGCCCCAGAGCTGTCCCAGGCAGGCCTTAAAGTTCCAGGCTTTGGAACAGGGTTCCTGTGTCTCTTGAGAAAGTCCCCTACAATACTAAACGTGGTCGCAGGGTGGCGTGGGCGAGCTGCAGGAACTCAGGGAATCGTTGAGGCAGGCAGAGGGGAGAAGCGACCAGAAGGTAGGCAATGCTGGAAGCCTCCCAAGGAGGGCTCTCTCATCGCAGAAGCCCCCGGCCTGTCCCAGGCGGGTTGTAACGCCACAGGCTTTGAAGCAGGGTGCCTGTGTTTCTGGCGGAAAGCCCGCAGAAGCGAAAACGGACACACATCGTTGCCTGGGAAAGTGGCAGAGACTCAGGGGGATGTTGAGTCTGGCAGAGGGAAGAACTGACCAGACGGCAGAAAATGCTAGGAGCCTCCCAAAGAGGCCTCTCCTATGCCAGAAACCCCCATGGCTGTCCGGGGCGGGTTGTAAAGCCCCAGGCTTTGGAGCAGGGTGCCTGTGTTTCTCGCGGAAGCTTCCCACAAGCAAAAACGTGTCTGCAGGGTAGTGTGGAGGTCCGAAGGGACTCAGGGGGACTTTGCAGCAGGCAGAGGGGAGAAGCCATGAGACAGCAGAATATGCTCAAAGCCTACCAAGGCGACCTCACCCATCTCAAAAGCCCCCAGAACCTTCCCAGGAGGGCTGTAAAGCTTCACGCTTTGGAGCAGGGTGCCTGTGTCTCTCAGGAAAGGCACGCAGGAGCAAAAACAGGGCCGCAGGGTGGCGTGGGCGGGACAGAGGTACTCAGGAGGACGTTCAAGCAGGGAGAGGGGAGAAGCAGCGAGATCACAGGAAATCCTGTGAGACTGCCAAGAAAACCTCTCCCATCCCAGAAGACCCCAAGCTGTCCCAGGCAAGCTGCAAAGCCCCATCCTTCAGAGTCGGTTGCATGTGTCTCTCATGGAATACCCACACAAGCAAAAACGGGGCCTCAGGGTGCCGTCAGCTGACCACAAGGACTCAGAGGGACATTGAGGCAGGCAGAGGGAAGAAGCAGCGAGACAGCAGGGAATGCTGTGAGCTTTTCTAGGAGGGATCTCCCATCCCAGAACTCCCTAGGGCGGCCCCGGGTGCTCTGTAAATCCCCGCCTTTGGAGCAGGGTGCGGTGTCTCTTGAGGAAGGCCCACACAAGCGAAAACGGGGCCCCAGGATGGCGTGGGTAGGCTGCAGGGACTCAGCGGGACGTTGAGGCGGGCAGCGAGTAAAAGCGTCAAGACCACAGGAAGTGCTGGGAGCCTCCCAAGGAGGCCTCTCCCATCCCAGAAACCGCCCGCGTTGTACCAGGCAGGCTGTAAAGCCTCAGGCTTTGGAGCAGGGTTCCTGGATCTCTCACAGAAGGCCTCCACAAATGAAAACGGGGCTGCAGGCTGGTGTGGGCGGGCTGCAGGGACTCAGGGGGATGTTGGGGCAGGAGCGGGTAGAAGCACCAAGAAAGCAGGGAATGCTGGGAGCCTCCCAAGGAGGCCTCTCGCGTTCCAGAAGCCCCCAGTCTGTATTGAGTGCGCTGTAAACCCCAGGGCTCTAGAGCAGGATGCCTGTGTCTCTCGCCGATGGTTCCCACAAGCAAGAACAGGGAGGCAAATTTGCGTGGGCGGGCTGCAGGGACTCGGGGGGGACCTTGAGGCAGGCAGAGGGAAGAAGCAGCCCAACCGCAGGGAATGCTGGGAGCCTCCCAAGGATGCCTCTCCTATCCCAGAAGCCCTCAGGGCTGTCCCGGGCAGGCTGTAAAGCCCCAGGCTTTAGAGCAGGGTGCCTATGTCTTTTGCCAAAGCCCACCAAAAGCAAAAATGGGGCTGCAGGGTGGCGTGGGTGTGCGGCAGGGACGTGCGGGCTGGAAGAGGGGAAAATCGTCGAGATTGCAGGGAATGCTGGGAGACTCACCAAAAGGCCTCTTCCACCCTAGAAGACCCAGGGCTTTCCCGGGCAAGCTGTAAAGTTCCAGGCCTCGGAGCAAGGTGCTTGTGTCTCTCCATTAAGGCGCCCACAAGCGAACACGGGTTCATGGGCGGGACACAGAAACTCAGCGGGACGTTGAGGCAGGCAGAGCAGAGAAGCTGCGAGACTGCATGGAATGCTGGGAGTCTCCCAGTGAATCCTCTCCCTCCAGGAAGCATTCAGGGCTCTCCTGGGCAGGCAGTAAGGCCCCAAACCTTGGAGCAAGGTTCCTGTGTCTCTTCCTTAAGGCTCCCACAAGCTAAAACAAATGCAAGGTGGTGTGGGCGGGACACAGCAACAAAGGAGGGCATTGAGACAGGCACAACAAAGAAGCGGTGAAACCACTGGAAATGCTGAGAGACTGCAAAAAAACTCTCTCATCCCAGAAGCCACCAGGACTGTAATGGGCAGGGTGTAAAACCCCAGGCTTCGGAGCAGGGTGCCTGTGTCACTGAGGGAAGAACCCCACAAGAGATAACGGGGCCACAGGGTGTCCTAGGCAGGCCGCAGGTACTCAAGTGGACGTTGAGGGAGGCAGAGGGGAGAAGGGATGAGACCGCAGGGAAAGCTGTGAAAATTGTAAACATGCCTCTCCCATCCCAGAAGCACCCAGAGCTGTCCCTGGTGGGCTGCAGTCCTCAGGCTTTGGAGCAGGGTGCCTGTGTGTCTCACAAAAGTTTCTTGCAAGCAAAAATGGGGCCGCAGTGTGGCGTGGTGGGGCATCAGGGACTCAGGGGGACGTTGAGGCAGGCAGATGAGAGAAGCGGCGAGATGGTAGAGAATGCTGGGAGCCTCCTAAGAAGGCATCTCTTATCCCAGAAGCCCTCAGGGCTTTCCCAGGAGGGCTGTAAAGATCCAGGCTTTGGAGGAGGATGCCTGTGTTTCTTAAAGAAGGTTCCCACATGCGAAAATGCAGCTGCTGGGTTGGGTTGGCAGGATGCAGGGACTCAGGGAAACGTTGAAGAAGGCAGAGGGGCCAAGCAGAGAGACCTCAGGAAATGCTGGGAGCATCCCCGGAGACCTCTCCCATGTCAGAATTCCCCAGGGCAGTCCCAGGAGGGCAGTAAACCACATAGCTTTGGAAAAGACGGACTGTGTCTTTCACAGAAGGCCCCCACAAGCGAAAACTGGGCCGCAGGGTGGCGTGGCGTGCCGCCGAGACTCTGGGAGACCTTGAGGCAGGCAGAGGGGAAACGCGTCATGACCTCAAGGAATGCTGGGAGCCTCCCAAAGAAAACGCTCCCATTTTAGGAGCCCCCAGGTCTGTCCAGGGCGGGTTGTAAAGCCCCAGGCTTTGGAGTAGGGTTCCTGGGTCTCTCTTGGGAGACCTCCACAATGTAAACGGGGCTGCAGGGAGGCATTGGCAGGCCGCTCAGACTCAGGGGGACGTTGAAGCAGGCAGAGATTAGAAGTGGCGAGATCGTAGGAAATGCTGGGAGCCTCCCAAGAAGATCTCACTCATCCCAGATGCCCCCAGGGTTGTACTGAGCGGGTTGTAAAGCCCCAGGCTTTGGAGCAGGATGCTTGTGTCTCTCGCCGAAGGCCCCCACAAGCAGAAACAGGGCCGCAGAGTGGCATGTGAGTGCAGCAGGGACTCAGCAGGACATTGAGGCAGGCAGAAGGGAGAATCCGTGAAACTGCAGGGAATGCTAGGAGACTCACAAGAAGACCTCTTCCATCCCAGAAGACCCCAGGGCTGTCCAGGGCGTACTGTAAAGCCTTAGGCTTAGGAGCAGGGTGCCTGTGTCTCTTGCGGAACAATCTCACAAGCGAAAATGGGGCCGCAGCGTGGCCTGGAAGGGTGGCAGGGACTTAGTGGGACATGAGGGAGGCAGAGGAGAGAAGCGACAAGACTGCAGGGAATGCTGGGAGCCTTCGAGGAGGACTCTCCCCACCCAAAATTCCCAGGAACTGTACTAGGTGGGCTATAAAATCCCAGGCATTGAAGCAGGGTGCCAGTGTCTCTTGCGGAAGGCCCCCACAAACAAAAACGTGGCCGCAGGTTTGCCTGGGGAGGGGGGGCTGCTGGGTCTGAGGGGACCATTGAGGCTGGCAGATGGGAGAAGCATCGAGACTTCAGGGAATGCTGGGAGCCTCTAATGGAGGCCTCTTCTATCCAAGAATCCCCCAGGACTGTCCCGGGCCGGCTGTAAGCGCAGTGTTTTGGAGCAAGGTCCCTGTGTCTCTCGAGGAAGGACCCCACAAGTGAAAAAGGAGCCACAGGGTGCCTTGGGAGGGCCACAGGGTCTCAGAGGGACATTGAGGCAAGGAGAGGGGAGAAGTGGCAAGACTTCAGGGAGTGATGAGAGCCTCGCAGTGAGGACTCTCCCATCCCAGAAGCCACCAGGGCTGTCCTGGGCAAGTTGTAAAGCCCAGGCTTTGGAACACGGTGCGTGTCTCTCTCTTCCAAGGCCCTCCCAAGCCTAAATGGAGCCACAGACTGTCATGGGCGAGTCACAGGGCCTCAGGGGGCTGTTGAGGCAGGCAGAGGGGTGAAGCGGCGTGATGCCAGGAATGCTTGAAGCCTCCCATGGAGGCCTCTCTTATCCTAGAAGCCCCGGGGCTGTCTTGGTAGTGCTATAAAACCCCAGGCATTAAAACAGGTGCCTGTGTCTCATGCCAAATGCCCCCACAAGCGAAACCGGGGCAGCAGAGTCGCCTGGGAGGAAGGCAGGGACTCAGGGGTATGTAGAGGCGGCAGAGGGTAAAAGGGGCAAGATCACAGGGAATACTGGCATCCTTCTAAGAAGGCTTTTCCCATCCCAGAATCCCTCACGGCTGTCCTGGTCAGGCTGCAAAGCCCCAAGCTTTGGAGCAGTGTGACTATGTCTCTCGGGGAAGGCCCCTACAGGCAAGAATGGGGCATCAGGGTAACTTGGGCGGGCCACAGGGACTCAGGGGACATTGAGGCAGGCAGAGGGAAGATGCAGCAACACCTCAGGGAATGTGGGGAGTTACCCAAGTAAACCTCTCCAATCTCACAAGTCCCCAGGTCTGTCCCGGTGTTGGAGCAGACTGCCTGTGTCTCTCACAGAAGTCCCCTCAAGTGAAAACGGGGACACAGTGTGGCATGGGCAAGTGGCAGGGACTCAGGGGGACTTTGATGCAGGCAGAGGGGAGAAGCTGTGAGAATGCAGGAATGCTGGGAACGCCCCCAAGGAGGCCTCTCCCATCCCAGAAGTCCCCAGGGCTGTCCCTGGTGGGCAGTAAAGACCAAGGCTTTCCAGCAGGTTGCCTGTGTCTCTCCCAGAAGCCCCCAACAAGCGAAAGTGGGACCGCACAGTGTCGTCGGTAGGTCGCATGACCTTAGGGAGACATAGAGGGCCAGCAGAGGAGAGAAGCAGTGAGATGGCAGGGAATGCTGGGAGCCTCCCAAGGAGGTGTTTCCCATTTCAGAATCCCCCAGGGTGTCCTGGGTGGGCTGTTAAGCTCCAAACTTTGGAACAGGATGCCTGTGTCTCTCACGGAAGTTGCCCAAGAGCAAAAACAGGGTCGCAGGGATGGGTAGGCCGCCCTCAGGGTCTCAGAAGGATGTTGTGGCAGGCTCAGGGGAGAAGCGCCGAGACCGCAGGGAATGCTGGGAGCCTCCCAAAGAAGACCTCTCCCATCACAGAAACCCCTAGGGCTGTTCCAGTCAGGCTGTAAAATCCCAGACTTTGGAGAACGGTGCCTGTGTCTCTGGCAGAAGGCCCCACAGGCGACAACAGGGCCGCACGGTGGCCTGGGAGAAAAACAGGGACTCGGGGGTCATTGAGGCAGGCAGATGGGAGAAGCGTCATGAACGCAGGAACTGCTTGGAGCCTAGCAAGGAGGCCTATCCCATCCCACAAGCTTCTAGAGCTGCCCCGGTCAGGCTGTAAAGCCCCAAGCATTGCAGCAGGATGCCTGTGTCTCTCACGGAAGGCCCCCACAAGCAAAAAGGGGATTAAGGGGTGTGGTGGGAGCGTCGCAGGGACTCAGGAGGACGTTGTGGGAGGCAGAGGGGAGAAGCAGCGAGACCACAAGTAATGCCGGTAGCCTCCCTAAAAGGACTCTCTCATCCTCGAAGCCCACAGTGCTGTCCCAGACAAGATGTAAAACTCCAGGCTTCAGAGCAGGGTGCCTGTGTCTCTCGCGGAAGGCCCCCACAAGCGAAAACGGGGCTGCAGGGTGGCATGGGCAGGCCGTAGGGACTCAGGGGCCATTGAGGCGTGCAGAGGGGAGAAGCGGCAACATTGTAGGGAATGCCAGAAGACTCCAAAGGCGGCCTCTTTCATCCCAGAAGTCACCAGGGCTTTCCCTGGAGGGCTATAAAGCCCCAGACCTTGGAGCAGGTTGCCTATGTCTCTCGCGGAAGGCCCCCACAAGCAAAAACGGGGCAGCAGGGTGGTCTGGGCAGGCAGCAGGGACTTCGGGGAATGTTTGAGCCTGGTAGAGGATAGAAATAACAAGTCCGGCAGGAAAGCTGGTAGCCTCCCTCAAAGGACTCTGCCATCTCAGAAGCCCCCAGGGCTGTTTCAGTCCGGCTGTAAAGCCACAGGCTTTGGAGCAGGGTGCTTGTCTCTCTCCCTTAAGGCCCCCACAAGTGAAAACAGGGCTGCAGAGTGGCGTGGGCAGGAGACAGGGACTCAGGGGAACTTTGAGGCAGGCAGAGCGGAAAAGAGGCGAGACCACAGGGAACGCTAGGAGCTTTTGAAAGAGGCCTCTCCCATCCCAGATGCCCCCAGGACTGTCCTAGGCATGCTGTAAAGTCCCAGGCTTTCAAGCAGCGTGTCTGTGTCTCTCGCGGAAGGCAAACACAAGCCAAAACGGGGCTGCAAGAAGGCATGGGTGGCTCACAGAAACTCACGGGACCGTTAAGGCTGGCAGAGGGGAGAAGCAGCGAGATCGCTCGGAATGCTGGGAGCCTTCCAAGAAAAGCTCTCTTATCCCAGAAGCTTTCAAGGCTGTCCCTGGCGGGCTCTAAAGCCCCAGGCTTTTAAGCAGGTGCCAGGATCTCTCGAGGAAGGCCCCTTCAAGCGAAATCAGGACCGCAGGGTGGCCTGGGCAGGTGGCTGGGACTCGGGGAAGTTGAGGCAGGCAGAGGGAAGAAGCAGCAAGACCTCAGCAAATGCTGGAAGACTCCCAACGACGCCTCTCCCATCCCAGAGGCCCATAGGGATTTCCTGGCCGGGCTGTAAAGTCCCAGGCTTTGGAGCAGGGTGCCCGTGTCTCTGGCAGAAGGTCCTCACAGGGGAAAACGGGGCAGGGTGGCCTGGGAGGAAAACAGGGACTCAGGGAGAAGTTGAGACAGGCAGAGGGGAGAAGCGGCAAGAACACAGGGAATGCTGCAAGCCTCACAATGAGGGCTGTTCCATCACAGAAGCCACCAGGTCTGTCCCAGGCAGGTTGTAAAGCCCCAAGGTTTGGTGCAGGGTCCCTGTGTCTCTCGCAGGAGGCCACCACAAGCGACGACAGGGACGCAGGTATGTCAATGCAGGTGGCAGTGACTCAGGGGGACATTGAGTCTGGCAGAGAAAAGAAGGGACGAGATCGCAGGAAATGCTGGGAGCCTCCCAAAGAAGCCTCTCCCATACCAGAAGCCCCCAGAGCTGTATTGGGCAGGCTGTAAAGCCCCAGGCTTTGGAGCAGGGTGCCTGTGTCTCTCCCTTAAGGAAACTGCAAGCGAAAACGTGGCTGCAGTGTGGCATAGGCGGGCCACGGTGACTCAGAGGGACATTGAGGCAGGCAGAAGGGAGATGCAGCGATACTGCAGGAAGTGCTGAGAGCCTTTTAAGGAGGCCTCTGCCATCCCAGAAGTTCCCACGCTGTCCTGGGCGGGCAGTAATGCCCCAAGATTTGGAGCAAGGTGCCTGTGTCTCTTGTGTAAGGCCACCTCAGGCGAAAACCCGGCCACAGGGTGGCGTGGGTGGGCTGCAGGGACTTAGGGGGGCATCGAGGCAGGCAGAGGTGGGAAGCTGTGAGTCCACAAGGAATGCTGGTATTTTCCCAAGGAGGCCTTTCCCATCCCAGAAGCCCCCAGGTGTGTCCCAGGTGGGCTGTAAATACCCAAGCTTTAGAGCAGAGTGCCTGTATCTTTGCCGGAATGTTCTTACAAGCGAGAATGGGGCCGCAGAGTTGCAAGGACGGGCTGCAGGGACTCAGAGGGACACTGAGGCAGGCAGAGGGGAGAAGTGGCGAGATTGCAGGGAATGCTCGGAGTCTCCCAAGGACACCTCTCCCATCCCAGAAGCCCCCAGGTCTGTCCCGGGCGGGTTGTAAAGCCCCAGACTTTAGAGCAGTGTGCCTGTCTCTCTCGTGGAAGACCACCACAAGCAAAAACGGGGCAGCAGGGTGCTGTGGGCAGGCGAGGGGGACTCGGTGGGGAGCTGAGGCAGGCAGAGGGGAGATGTGTCAAGACCGTGGGGAGTGCTGGGAGCCTCCCAAGCAGTCCTCTGCCATCCCAGAAGCCCACAGGACTTTTTTGGGCGCTGTAATGCCTCACACTTTGGATCAGGGTGCCAGTGTCTCTCATGGAAGGCCCCCACAAGTGAAAACGGGTGTGCAGCATGGCCTGGGCAGGCGGCAGGGACTCGAGGACATACAGGCTGGCAGAGGCGAGAAGCGTCAAAACCGCAGGGAATTCTGAGAGATTCCCAAAGAGGTCTCTCCCACTTCAGCAGCACCCAGACTTTTCCTGGGTGGGCTGTAAAAGTCCTGGGCTTTGGAGCTGGGTGTCTGTGTCTCTCCCTTAAGGCCCCCACAAGCGAAAACAGGGCATCAGGGTGGGGTGGGTGGGACATAGGTTCTCAGGGAAACATTGAGGTCGGCAGAGTGGAGAATGGCAAGATCCCAGGGAATGCTAAGTTGCTCCGAAGGACGACTCTCCCATTCCAGAAGCCCTCTAGGCTGTACATAGCGGGCTGTAAAGGCCCAGGCTTTGGAGCAGTGTGGCTGTGTCTCTCACTGAAGGCCCCACAAGCGGAAACAGGGCCACATGGTGGCGTGGAGAAGTCACAGGGACTCAGGGAGATGTTGAGACTGGCAGAGGGGAGAAGCAGCTAGACTGTAGGAAATGCTGGGAGCCTCTGACGGAGGCCTCTCCCATTTCTGAAGCCCCGAGGGCTGTCCCGGGCGGGCCATAAAGCCCCATGCTTTTGAGCAGAGTGCCTGTTTCTTTTGCAGAAAGCCCCTGCAACCGAAAACGTGGCGTGGGGGGGTAGTAGGAACTCAGCGGGACATTGAGTCAGGCAGAGGAGAGAAGTAGCAAGATTCCAGGGAATGCTGGCAGCCTCCCATAGATGCCTCTCCCATTTCAGCAGCATCCAGGGCTGTCCCGGGCGGGCTGTAAATACCCAGACTTTGGTGCAGGCTGCCTGTGCCTCTTGCAGAAGGTCCCCATAAGCAAAAATGGGGCCGCAGGGTGGGGTGGGCGGGCGGCAGGGACTCAGTGGGATGTTGAGGCAGGAAGAGGGGAGAAGGGGCGATACCACAGAAAATGCTGGGAGACTCCCAAAAAGGTGTCTCCCATCCCAGAAGCCCCGAAGGCTCTCCGGGGTGTGTGTGAAAAGCCCCAAGCTTTGGAGCAGGGTGCCTATGTCTCATGCAGAAAGCCCCAAGAAGCGAAAACTGGGCCACAGTGTGGTGTGGGCCAATGGCAGAAACTCATGGGTATGTCGAGGCAGGCAGAGGTAAGAGACGGCGAGATGGCAGGGAATGCTGTGAGCCTCCCAAGAAGGCCTCTCCCATCGTAGAAGCCCCCATCGCTGTCTGGCCAGCTGTAAAGTCCCAGACTTTGGAGCAGGATACCTGTGTTTCTCGCTGAAGGCCCCACAAGTGAAAACAGGGCCACAAGGACCCGTTGGCGAGCTGCAGGGACTCAGGGAGACATTGAGGCAGATAGAAAGAAGAAGCAGCAAGATCACGTGGAATGCTGGGGTCCTCCCAAGGAGGCATCTCCCATTCCAGAAGACCCCAGGGCTGTCCCAGGTGGTTATACAGACCCAGACTTTGAACAGGTTGCCTATGTCTCTTGCGGAATTCCCCCACAATCTAAAACGGGACCGCATGGTGGCGTGGGCGGGCCGCGGGGACTCAGGGGGACATTGAGACAGGCAGAGGGGAGAGGTGTCATGACCACAGGGAATGCTGGAAGACTCCCAAGAAGATTTATTTCATCCTAGAAGCCGCTATACGTGCTGTATAGCCTCAGGCTTTGGAGCAGTCTGCCTGTGTCTATCGAGGAACACCCACACAAGCGAGAATGGGGCAGCAGTTTGGCATGAGTGAGAGGCAGAAACTCAGGGGGACATTCAGGCAGGAAGGGGGAAAAAGGGTGAGACCGAAGAGAATGCTGGGAGCCTTCAAAAATGCTTCTTCCATCCTAGAAGCCCCCAGGGCAGTCTGGGGAGGGATGTGAAGCCACAGGCTTTTGAGCAGGTGCCTGTTTCTCCCGCGGAAGGCCCCCCCAAGCGAAAATGGGGCCGCATGGTGGTGTGGGCAAGCCGCAGAAACTCAGGGGGATGTTGATAACAGGCGAATGGGAGAAGCAGCTAGACTGCAGGAAATTCTGGGAGCCTCCAAAGGGAGTCTCTCCCATCCCAGAAGCCCCCAGGGCTGCGCTGGGCAGGCTGTAAAGCCCCAGGATTTGGAAGAGGGTGCTTGTCTCTCTCACAGAAAGCCCCTACAAGCAAAAACTTGGCTGCAGGTTGGCGTGGGCGGGTGGCAAAGGCTCAGCGCTTTGTTTAGGCAGGCAGAGGAGAAAAGCAGCAAGACCGCAGGGAATGCTGAGAGCTCCCAAATATGCCTCTCACATTTCAGCAGCACCCAGGGCTGTCCCGGGCGGGCAGTAAAGCCCCAGACTTTGGAGCATGCTGCCTGTGTCTGTCGCGAAAGGCCCCCACAAGAGAAAACGGGGTCAGAGAGACTCAGGGGCGCATGGAGGCAGGCAGAGGAGAGAAGAGGTGATACCACAGAAAATGCTAAGAACCTCCAAAACAGGTTTATCCCACCCCAGAAGCCCCAAAGGCTTTCCCGGGCGGGTTTTAATACCCAGGCTATTAAGCGGGGTGTCTGTGTCGCTCGCGGAAGGCCCCCACAAGTGAAAACGAGGCTGAAAAGTGGCGTGGGTGGGCCACAGGGACTCAAGGGGACGTAGAGGCAGGCAGGGGGGAGAAGGGGCGAGACTGCAGGGAGTGCTAGGAGCCTCCTAAGGAGGCCTATCCCATCCCAGAAGCCCCCAGGTTTGTCTCAGATGGGCTGTAATGCCCCAGGCTTTGGAGCAGGGTGCCTGTGTCTCTTGTGGAAGACCCCCAAAAGAGACTATGGGGAGGCAGGGTGGTGTGAGTGGGCTGCAGGGACTCAGGGAGACATTGAGGCAGGCAGACGGAAGAAGAGATGAGACCGCAGGGAATGCTGGAAGCCTCCCTAGGAGGCTTCTCTGATGCCGGAAGCCCGCAGGGATTTGTCGGGCCCAGGCGTTGGAGCAGGGTGCCTGTGTCTCTCGCAAAAGGCCTCCATAAGAGAAAACAGGGCCTCACAGTGGCGTGGGTGGGCGAAAGACACTCCGGGGAATGTGAAGGCAGGCAGAGGGGACAAGTGGCTAGACCACAGGGAATGCTGGGAGCGTCCCAAGGAGGTGTCTCCCATCCCAGAAGCCCCCAGCGCGGTCCCTGACAGACTGTAATGCCCCAGGCTTTGGAGCAAGGTGCCTGGTTCTCTAGCAGAGGACCCCCAAAGGAGACAATGGGGCTGCAGGGTGGCGATGGCAGGCCGCAGGAACTCAGGGAAACGTTGAAGTAGGCAGACGGGAGAAGCGTCGCCACCACAGGAAATGCTGGGAGCCTCCTAAGAGGCAATCTCCCATCCCAAAAGCCCCTATGGCTGTCCCGGTTGGGCCATAAAGTCCCAAACATTGGAGCAGGATGCCTGTGTCTCTCACAGTAGGCCCCCACAAGTGAAAATGGGGCCGCAGGGTGTGGTGAGCGGGAAGCAGGGACTCAGGGGTCGTTGCGGAAGGCAGAGGGGAGAAGTGGCAAGAACGCAAATAATGCTGGTAGCCTCCCAAAAAGGCCTCTCCTATCCTCGAAACACATAATGCTGTCCCAGGCGAGCTGTAAAGCCCCAGGCTTCGGCACAGGGTACCTGTGTCTCTCACAAGAGGCCCCCACAAGCAAAACCAGGACAGTAAGTTGGCGTGGACAGGCCGCAGGGACTCAGGGTTACGTTGAGGCAGACAGAGAGGAGAAGCAGTGAGACCGCAGAAAATGCTGGCAGCCTCCCCAAAAGGTCTCTCCGATCCCAGAAGCCTCCAGGGTTGTCTACGTCCAGCTGTAAATCCCCTGGTTTTAATGCAGGGTGCCTGTGTCTCTCGGAAAAGGTCCCCACAAGTGAAAACAGGGCCACAGGGTGGCATGGGCGGACCGCAAGTTGTCTTGGGTGGCGGCAGGGACTTAGGGTGACATTGAGGCAGGAAGAGGAAAGAAGTAGCGAGACAGCAGGGAATGTTGGGAGCCTCCCAAGGAGGCTTCTCGCATTCCAGAAGCCCCCAGGGCTGTCCCGGGCGGGTTGTAATGCCCCAGACTTTGGAGATGGATGCCTATGTCTCTTGCAAAAGGTCTCCACAAATGAAAAGAAAGCCTTAGAGTAGCCTCGGCGTGCCGCAGGGTGGCGTGGGCGGGCCACAGAAACTCAGGGGAACATTGAAACAGGCAGAGGGGAGAAGCAGCAAGACCGGAGGGAATGCTGGGAGCCTCCCAAAGAGGCCTCTCTTATCCCAGAAGTCCCCAGATCTGTTTCAGACGGGCTGTAATGCCCCAGTCATTGAAGCAGGGTGCCTGGGTCTCTCGTGGAAGACCCCCAAAAGAGACCACGGGGTAGCAGGTTGGCGTGGGCGGGCCACAGGGACTCAGGGATACGTTGAGGCAGGCAGAAGCCAGAAGCTGCAAGATGGCAGGAAATGCTCGGAACCTCACAAAGAGGCCTCTCCAATCCCAGAAGCTTCTAGGGCTGTTCCAGTCGGGCAGTCAAGTTCCAAGCATTAAAGCGGGAAGCCTGTGTCTCTCACGGTAGGCCCCTACAAGCGAAAATGAGGCCACAGGGTGTAATGGGCGGGTCAGAGGGACTCAGAGGGCAGTTGCAGAAGGCAGAGGGGAGAAGCGGCGAGACTGCAAGTAAAGCTGGTAGCCTCCCAAAAAGGTCTCTCCAATCATCTAAGCACACAGTACTGTCCCAGGCAAGCTGTAAAGCTCCAGGCTTCAGAACAGGGTGACTGTGTCTCTCGCGGAAGGCCCCCACAAGCAAAAATGGGGACACACGGTGGCCTGGGTGAGTCGCAGGGACCCAGGGGGACATTGAGGCAGGCATAGAGGAGACTAGGCAACATTGCAGGGAATGCTGGGGGACTCCCAAGGAAGACTCTTTTATTCCAGAAGTCCCCAGGGCTGTCCTGGGCAGGCTATAAAGCCCCAGGCTTTGGAGCAGGGACACTGTGTCTCTGGTGGAAGCCCCCTACAAGCAAAAACGGGGCGGCAGGGTGGCCTGGGCGGGCAGGGAAACTTTGGTAGATGTTGAGGCTGGCAGAGAATAGAAGTGACGAGACCAGCGGGAAGGCTGGTAGCCTCCCTTGAAGGCCTCTGCCATCCCATAAGCCCCCAGAGCTGTCCCGGTAGGGCTGTAACGCCCCTGGTTTTGGAGCAGCGTGCTTCTGTCTCTCCCTTAAGACCCCCACAAGCGAAAACAGGATGGCAGAATGGAGTGGGCTGGTCACAGGGACTCAGGACTTTGAGCAGGCGAGAGGAAAAGAGACGAGACGACAGGAACTGCTAGGAGCTTCTGAATAAGAACTCTCCCGTCCTAGATGCCCCCAGGGCTGTTCCATGCACACTGTATAGCCCAGGCTTTCCAGCAGGGTGCCTGTGTCTCTCGCGGAAGGCACACAGAATTAAAAATGGGGCCACAGGATGGCATGGGCAGCTCGCAAAAACTCAGGAAACCACTAAGGCTGGCAGAGGGGAGAAGCAGCGAGACAGCTGGGAATGCTGGGAGCCTTCCAAGAAGGCCTCTCTTATCCCAGAAGCCTTCAGGTTTGTCCCAGGCAGGCTCTAAAGCCCCAGGCTTTAAAGCAGTGTGCCTGTGCCTATCGAGCAATGCCCCCTCAAGCAAAAACGGGACTGCAGGGTGGCCTGAGCAGGTGGCTGGGACTCAGGGGGACGTTGAGGTAGGCAGAGAAAAGAAGCAGCAAGACCGCAGGAAATCCTGGGAGCCTCCCAAGAAGGCCTCTCCCATTCCAGAAGCCCCCAGAACTGTCCAGGACGTGCTGTAAAGCTTCAGGTTTTGAAGCAGGGTGACTGTGTCTCAAGCAGAAGGCTCCCACTAGCAAAATTGGGGACGTAGGGTGGTATGAGCAGGCCTCAAGGACTCAGAGGGACGTTTAGCCATGCAGAGCAAAGAAACATTGAGACCGCAGGTTATACTGGGAGCCTTTCAAAGAGGCCTCTGCCATCCCATTAGCCTTCAGGGTTGTCCCGGGAGGGCTGTAAAGCCGCAGGAGTTGGAGCAGGGTGCCTAAGCCTCTGGAAGAAGGCCCCTCACAAGGGAAAACAGGGCTGCAGGGTTGGGTGGGCGGGTTGCAGGACAGAGTTGGCGGGCCACACGGACTCAGGGGGCATTGAGGCAAGAAGAGGGGAGATGCGGTGAGACCGCAGGGAATCCTGGGAGCCTCTCCCATCCCAGAAGACCTAAGAGCTGTCCCGGGCTGTGCGTAAAGCACCAGGGTTTGGTGCAGGGTCCGTTGTCTCTCACGGAACGCCTCCACAAGCAAAAATGGAATCGCAGGGTGGCATAGGTGTGCCGCAGGGTCTCATGGGGATGTTGAGGCAAGCAGACAGAAAAAGCAGCCAGACCGCAGGGAATGCTGGGGGCCTCGCATGGAAGCCTCTCCCATCCCAGAAGACCCCTGGGCTCCCCTGGGCAGGGTATAAGCACCAGGCTTTGGATCAGCGTGCCTCTGTCTCTCGCGGAAAGCTCCCATGAGAGAAACGGGGCTGCAGTGTGGCGTGGCTGGGCTGCAGGGACTCAGAGGGACATTGAGACAGGCAGTAGGAAGAAGCGGCATGACCGCAGCGAATGCTGGAAGCCTCCCAAGGATGCCTGTCCCATATCAGATGCCCCCAGGTCTGTCCCGGGTGGGCTGTAAAGCCACAGATTTTGGAACAAGGTGCCTATGTCTTTTGCAGAAGGAACCTACCTGGAAAAACGGGGCCATAGGGTTGAGTGGAGGGTTGCAGGGACTCAGGAGGACGCTGAGACAGGCAGAGGCGAAAAGCAGTAAGACCGCAGAAAATGCTGGGAGCCTCGCAAAGAGGCCTCTCCCATCCCAGAAGCCTCAAAAGTTGCCTTGGGCAGGCTGTAAATCCCCTGGCTTTGGCCGGGAGAGGTGGCTCACACCTGTAATCCCTTGGCTCAGCACTTTGGGAGGCTGAGGCGGGCGGATTAAGAGGTCAGGAGATCCAGACCATCCTGGCTAACATGGTGAAACCCCGCCTCCACTAAAAATACAAAAAATTAGCCAGGCATGGTGGAGGGCGCCTGTAGTCCCAGCAACTCCGGAGGCTGAGGCAGGAGAATGGCGTGAACTCGGGAGGCGGAGCTTGCAGTGAGCTGAGATTGTGCCACTGCACTCCAGCCTGGGTGACAGAGCAAGACTCCGTCTCAAAAAAAAAAAAAAAAAAAAAAAAAAAAAAAATCCCCTGGCTTCAGAGCAGGGTGCCTGTTTCTCTCGAGGCATGCCCTTACCAGTGAAAATGGGGCCGTACGGTGGCGTGGGCGGCCAATAAGGACTCAGGCGGACATTGAAGCAGGCACAACAGAGAAGCCACAAGACCACAGGGAATGCTGGGAGTCTCCATAGGAGG
The DNA here is from genome assembly GCF_000001405.40 of Homo sapiens. NCBI lineage: Eukaryota > Metazoa > Chordata > Mammalia > Primates > Hominidae > Homo > Homo sapiens. Next base: position 46,248,608 of record NC_000008.11, read on the forward strand.
ACTCTCCCATCCCAGAAACCCCAAGGCTGTCCCTAACGGGCTGTAATACCCCAGGTTTTGAAGCAAGGTGCCTGTGTCTCTCGCAGAAGACCCCCAGTAGAGACAATGAAGCGGCAAAGTAGCACGGGCGGGCTGCAGGGACTCAGAGAGACATTGAGGCAGGCTGAGGGGAAAAGCAGCGAGACTGCAGGGAATGCTGAGAGCCTACCAAGAAGGCCTCCCCCATCCCAGAAACCCCCAGGGCTCTCCCGGATGAGACGTAATGCCCCAGGCGGTGGAGCAGGGTGCCTGTGTCTGTCGCGGAAGGCCCCCACAAGCGAACACGGGGATGCAAGTTTGCGTGGGTGGGCAGCAGACTTTGAGGCAGGCAGAGGGGAGAACGACAAGACCGCAGGGAATGCTGGGAGCCTTTCAAGGAGTCCTCTCCCATCCCAGAAGCCCCCAGCACTGTTCGCAGCGTGTTGTAAAGCTTCAGGTTATGAGGCAGGGTGCATGTGTCTTTAGCAGAAAAACCCCACTAGCCAAAACGGGGCAGTAGGGGAGCATGGGCTGGCCGAAGGGACTCAGTGGGATATTGAGCTAGGCGGAGACGAGAAGAGTCGAGACAGCTGGGGATGCTGAGAGCATCCCAAAAGAAGCCTCTCTCATCCCAGAAGCCCCCAGGGCTGTCCTGGGCATGCTGTAAAGCCCCGGGCTTTGCAGCAGGGTGCATTTGTCTCTCGCGGAAAGCCCTCACAAGCGAAAACGGGGTCACAGTGTGGTGTGGGCGGGCCTCAGGGACTCACGGGAACATTGAGGAAGGCAGAAGAAAGAAGCGACAAGACCGTCGGGAATGCTGGGAGACTTCCAAGGATATCTCTCCCATTTCAGAAGCCCCTAGGACTGTCCCAGGTGGGCTATAAAGCCCCAGGCTTTGGGGCAGTGTGCCTGTGTCTTTCGCAAAAGGCCTCCACAAGCGGAAAGAGGGCCGCAGGGTGGCATGGGCGGGCCATAGGGTGGTGTGGGTGGGCTGCAGGGACTCGGGGACGTTGAGGTAGGCAGAGATGAGAGGCGACGAGACCACAGGGAATGCTGGGAGCCTCCCAAAGATGCATTTCCCATCCCAGAAGCCCCCAGGGCTTTCTCGGATGGGCTTTAATGCCCCAGGCTTTGGAGCATGGTGCCTGTGTCTCTCACAGAAGGCCCCCACTAGGGAAAACGGAACCTCAGGGTGGCCTGGGCGGGCAGCAGGAACTCAGGGGAACGTTGAGGCAAGCAAAGGGAAGTAGTGACGAGAATGCAAGGAAAGCGGGGAGCCTCTCAAAAAGGCCTCTTCCTTTCCAAAATCCCCCAAGTCTGTACCGTGCGGGCTCTGAAGCACCAAGCTTGGAGCAGAGTGCCTGAGTCTCTCGCAGAGAGCCCCCAGAAGCAAAAACGGGGCCACAGGGTGGTGTGGGCTGGTTGCAGGGACTCAGGGAGATGTTGGGGCAGGCAAAGGGGAGAAGCATCGAGACTACAGGGAATGCTGGGAGTGTCATAAGGAGGCCCCTCCCGTCCCAGAAGCCCTCAGGACTGTCCAGGCGTGCTGTAAAGCTTCAGGTTTTGAAGCAATTTGCTGGTGTCTGTGGCGGAAAGCCCCCACTAGCAAAAACGGAGCTGAAGGGTGGCATCGGCCGGCTGATAAGAATCAGAGGGAAGTTGAGCCAGGCAGAGCGGAGAAGCATTGAGATGGCAGGGAATGCTGGGAGCCATCCAACGAGGACTCTCCCATCCCAAAAGCCCCCAAGTCTGACCTGGGCGGGCTGTAAATCCCCAGGTTTTGGAGCAGGGAGCCTGTGTCTCTCGCAAAATGTTTCCACAAGCAAATACATGGCCACAGGGTGGGCATGGCAGGCCGCAAGGTGGCATAGGCGGGCTGCAGGGATTCAGTGGGGCGTTGAGACAGGCAGAGGGTAGGTGCAGCGAGACCACAGGGAATGCTGGGAGCCCCCCCTAAAAGGCCTCTCCCATCTCAGAAGCCACCAGGGCTGCCCCAAACGTGCAGTAAAGCACCAGTCTTTGGAGATGGGTGCCTTAGTCTCTCACAAAATGCCTCCATAAGCAAAAACGGTGCTGCAAGTTGGTGTGGATGCATCGCAGGGACACAGGGGTAGAAGCAGTGAGACTGCAGGAAATGCTGAGAGACGCAGGGTGTGGTGGGTGGGTGGCAGGGACTCAGGGGGATGCTGCAGTACGCAGAGGGAAGAAGGGTTGAGACTGCAAGTAATGCTGGTAGCCTCCCAAATAGGCCTCTCTTATATTCGAAGCCCCCAGTGTTGTCCCAGGCAAGCTGTAAAGCCCCAGGCTTTGGAGCAGGTTGTCTGTGTCTCTCGCGGAATGCTCCCACAAGCAAAAACGGGGCCTCAGGGTGGCATGGGTGGGCTGCAGGGACTCAGGGGGACGTTGAGACAGGCATAGGGGAGAAGGGGCAGCATTGCAGGGAATGGTGGGAGACTCCCAAGGAAGACTTTAGAACCAGAATCCCCCAATGCTGTAAGGTCCCAGACTTCAGAGCAGGGAGCCTGTGTCTCTGGAGAAAGTCCCTCACAAACAAAAACGGGGTGGCAGGGTGGGATGGGCGGGTGCAGGGACTTCCAGAGATGTTGACACTGGCAGAGGATAGAGGGGACGAGACCGGTGAGAAGGCTGATAGCCTCCCTCGAAGGCCTCTGCCATCCCAGAAACCCCCAGGGCTGTCCCACCGGGGGAATGCTGGGAAACTCCCAAGGATGCCTCTCCCATCCAAGAAGCCCTCGGAACTGTCCAGTACGTGCTCTAAAGCTTCAGGTTTTGAAGCATGGTGCCTATGTCTCTAGCGAAAGGCCCCCACTAGTGAAAATGGGGATGTAGAGTGGCGTGGGTGGGCTGTAAGGACTGGCCGTTGAGCCAAGCAGAGCAAAGAAGCTTGAAGACCGCAGAATATAAAGGGAATCTTTCAAGGAGGCCTCTCCCATCTCAGAAGCCTTCAGTGCTGTCCTGGGAGGTCTGTAAAGCCTCAGGCTTTGGATCAGGGTGCCTGAGTCTCTCGCAGAAGGCCCCCAGAAGCGAAAACAGGGCCACAGGGTGACATGGGAAAGCCCCAGGAACTCAGGGGGATTTGAGGCAGACAGAGGGGAGACGTGGTGAGACTGCAGGGAATGCTGGGAGCCTCCCAAAGGCCTTTTCCATCCCAGAAGCCCTAAGGGCTGTCCCCGTCTGGCTTTAAAGCACCAGGGTTTGGTGCAGGGTCCCTTGCATCTCGAAGAAGGCCTCCACAAGCAAAAACGGAACCACACAGTGGTGTGGACATGCCGCAGGGACACATGGGTACTTTGAGGCAGGCAGACGGAAAAAGTGGCGAGACAGCAGGGAATGCTGGGGGACACGCATGGAAGCCTCTCCCATTATAGGAGCCCCCTGGGCTCCCCTGGGCAGGCTGTAAGCACCAGTCATTGGATCAGGTGTCTCTTGCGGAAGGCTCCCACAAGTGAATTCGCCGCCGCAATGTGGCATGGGTGGGCCGCAGAGACTCAGGGACGTTGAGACAGGCAGAGAGGAAAGAAGCAGTGAGAATGCAGGGAATGCTAGGAGCCTCCCAAGGATGGCTTTCTCATCCCAGATGCCCTCAAGGCGGTCGTGGTGGGCTGTAAAGCCACAGACTTTGGAGCAGGGTGCCCGTGTCTTTTGCAGAAGGACCCCACATGCAAAAAACGTTGCCACAGGATGGCATGGGAGGGTTGCAAGGACTCAGGGAAATGTTGAGGCAGGCAGACAGGAGAAGCAGCAAGACCGCAGAAAATGCAGGGAGCATCCCAAGGAGGCCTCTCCTATCTCAGAAGCCCCGAGATGTGTCCCGGGAAGGTTGTAAAGCCACAGGCTTTGGAGCAGGGTGCATGTCCCTCTCACGAATGCCCCTACCAGTGAAAACGGGAGGTAGGGTGGCATGGGCGGGTTGCAGGGACTCAGGGGAATGGTAAGCCAGGCAAAGAAGAGAAGATTTGAGACAGCAGGGAATGCCGGGAGCATGCGAAGCCGGCCTCTCCCATCCCAGAAGCCCACTGGGCTGTCCCGTGCGTGCTGTAAATCCCCAGGCTTTGAAGCAAGGTGCCTGTGTCTCTTGCGGAAAGCCCCCACAAGCCAAAACAGGGCAGTAAAGTGGCATGGGTGGGCCACAGGGACTCAGGAACACATTGAGACAGGCAGATAGGAGACACAGTGAGAACACAGGGAATGCTGGGTGTATTTCTAAAAGGCCTCTCCTATCCTAGAGGACACCAGGGCTGTCCAGGAGGGCTGTAAAGCAACAGGCTTTGGAGCAGGGTGTCTGTGTCTCTCGCAGGCCTCCACAATCAAAACCTTGGCCGGAGTGTGGTGTTGGCAGGCCGCAGGGGCTCATGGAGACATTGAGGTAGGCAAAGGGAAGAATCAACGAGACCGCAGGGAATGCTAAGAGAATCCCGTGAACTTCTATCCCATCCCAGAAGCTCCCAGGGTGTCTCAGGCGGGCTGAAAAGCTCCAGGCTTTGGAGGAAGGTGCCTATGTCTCTGAAGGGAGGCCCCCACATGCAAAAACAGGGCCGCAGGGTGGCGTGTGAGAAGGCAGTCAGGAGGACGTTGAGGCAGGCCGAGGGGAGAAGCGGAGAGACTGCAGGGAATATTAGGAGCATCCCAAGAAAGCCTCTCAAAACCCAGAAGCCCCTAAGGGTGCCCCTGGCAGGCTTTGAAGCAGTGTGCACTCATCTCTCTCGGAAGACCCCTACAATAGAAAACGGGGCCACAAGGTGGCATGGACGGCCTGCAGAGTCTCAGGGGGATGTCGAATCAGACACGGAGGGAAGTGGTGAGAACGTAGGGAATGCTGGGAGCCTCCCAAGATGGCCTCTCTTATACCAGAAGCCACCAGGACTGTCCTGGGCGGGCTGTAAATTCCCAGGCTTTGAAGCAGCGTTCATGTGTCTGTCGCAAAAAGCCCCAACAAGGGAAAAAAGGGCCACAGGGTGGCGTGGGCAGACCGCACAATGGCGTTCGCGGGTCATGTGTACTCAGGGGGACATTGAGGCAGGCACGGGGGAGAAGCCGTGAGACTGCAAACAATGCTGGCTGCCCCCTAACGAGGCATCTCCCAACCCAGAAGTCCACAGGGCTGTCCCAGACAGACTGTAATGCCTCTGGCTTTGGAGCAGGGTGCCTGTGTCTCTCGTGGACAGCCCCCACAAGTGAAAACGGGGCCGCAGCGTGGCGTGGGCAGACGGCAGGAACTCAGGGTGACATTGAGGCAGGCAGAGGGGAGAAGAGATAAGACTGCAGGGAATGCTAGAGGCCTCCTAAGCAGGCCTCTTCCATTTCAGAAGCACCCCAGAATGTCTCAGGCACGCTGTAAAGCTTCAGGTTATGAAGCAAGGTGCCTATGTCTGTAGCGGAAGGCTCGCACTAGAGAAAACGGGGCGGTAGGGTGGCGTGGGCCGGCCGCAGGGACTCAGAAGGACGTTGAGCCAGGCAGAAAGGAGAAGCGTTGAGACTGCAGGGAATGCTGGGAGACTCCCAAAAATGACTCTCCCATCGAGGATCCCCCAGGGCTGTCCCAGGCGGGCTGCAAAGCCCCAGGTTTTGGAACAGGTTGCCTGTGTCTCGCGGAAAGCCCCCACAAGCGAAAACAAGGCCGCAGGGTGGCATGAGCGAGCCACAGGGACTCAGGGGGACACTGAGGCGGGTAGAGGGGAGAAGCAGCGAGTCCGCAGGGACTGCTGGGTGCCTCCCAAGGAGGCCTTTCCCATCCCAGAAGTTCCCAGGGCTGTCCTGGACGGGTTATGATTCCCTAGGCTTTGGATCAGGGTGCCGGTGCCTCTTGTGGAAGACCCAGAACAGAGACAACTGTGTGGCAGGGTAGCGTGGGCGGGCCACAGGGACTCAGGGAGACGTTGAGTCAGGCCGAGGGGAGAAGTGGTGAGACCGCAGGGAATGCCTCCCAAGGAGGCCTCTCCCATCCCAGAAGCCCACAGGGCTGTCCCAGACCAGCTGTAACGTCCCAGGCTTTGGAGCGGGGTGCCTGTGTCTCTCGCAGAAGGCCCCCGAAGTGAAAATGGGGCCATAGGTTGGCCTGAGTGGACCACAGGGACTCAGAGGATCTTTGAGTCAGGCAGAGAGGAGAATCGGCGAGAGCGCAGGGAATGCCGGGAGCCTCCGAAGGAGGCCTCTTCCATCCAGAAGCCCCCAGGGCTGTCCCGGACGAACTGTAATGCACCAGGCTTAGGAGCAGCGTGCCTGTGTAGCTTGCAGAAGACCCCCAAAAGAGACAACAGGGAGGCAGGGTGGCATGGGTGGGCCGTAGGGTCTCAGGGAGATGTAGAGACAAGCAGAGAGTAGAAGGGGCGAGACCTCAGGAAATGCTGGGAGCCTCTTAATTAAGCCCCCCCCCATTGTAGAAGCCCCCAGGGCTGTCCCGGATGGGCTGTAATACCCCAGGCTTTGGAGCAGAGTGCCTGTGTCTCTCTCAGAAGACCTTCAAAAGAGACAAGCGGGAGGCAGAGTGGTGAGGTCGGGCTACGGGGACTCAGGGAGACTTTGAGGCAGGTATAGAGAAGTGGCGAGACCGCAGGGAATGCTGGGAGCCTCCCAAGGATGACTCTTCCATCACAGAAGCCCCCAGGGCTGTCCCAGATGGGCTGTAATTACCAAAGCTTTGGAGTAGGGTGCCTGTGTTTCTCACTGAAGGCCCCCTCAAGCGAAAACGGGGCCACAGGCAGGCACGGGCGGGTGGCAGGGACTCAGGGTGACATTGAGGCAGGCAAACGGTAGATGCATGGAGACAGCAGGGAATGCTTGGAGCCTCCTATGGATGCCTCTCACATCTCAGAGGCCTCCAGGACTGTCCCAGGAGTGCTGTAAAGCTTCTGGTTTTGAAGTAGAGTGCCTGTGTCTCTACTGGAAGGCACCCACTAGCGAAAACTGGGCAGTAGGGTTGCTTGGGTGGGCCACAGAGTCTCAGGGGGACTTTCAGTAAGGCAGAAAAAATAAGTGTCAAGACCACAGTGAATGCTGGGAGCTTTCCAGGGAAGCCTCTCTCATCCAAGCCCCCAAAGCTTCCCTGGAGGCGCTGTAATGTCTCATGCTGTGAAGTAGAGTGCTTGTGTCTCTCATGGAAGACACCGAAAAGAGACAACGGGGCGGCAGGGTCCCGTGGGTGGGCCACAGGGACTCAGGGAGTCATTGAGGAAGGCAAAGGAGAGAAGCGGCAAGACCAAAGAAAATGCTGAAAACCTCACAAGGAGGCCTCTTTTATCCCAGAAGCCCCCAGGGCTTTCCCAGCAGTCTGTAAAGCCCCAGGTTTAGGAACAGGGTGACTGTGTCTCTCACAGAAGGCCCCCACAAGCAAAAACAGAGCCACAAGGTGACCTGGGCAAGCGTTAGTGGCTCAGCATGTCCTTGAGGCAGGCAGAGGGAAGAAGCATCGAGATCACAGGGGATGCTGGGAGGCTCCCAAGGAGGCGTCTCCCATTTCAGAAACCCCAAGGACTATCCCGGGCGTGATGTAAAGCTTCAGGTTTTGAAATAGGGTGGCTGTGTCTCTAGCAGAAGGCCCCCACTGGAAAAAACGAGTCCCTAGCATGGTGTGGGCGGGCCACAGGTACTCAGAGGGACACCAAGCCAGGCAGAGGGGAGAAGCAGCTAGAGTGCAGGAGTGCTAGGAGCCTCCAAAGGATGCCTCTTTCATCCCAGAATCTCCCAGCACTGTCCTGAGCCTGCTGTAAAGCCCCAGGCTTTGGAGCAGGGTGCCTGTCTCTCACGGAAATCTCCCACAAGCGAAAACGTGGCCGAAGGGTGGCATGGGTGGGCCACAGAGACTCAGGGGGAACATTAAAGCTGGAAGAGTGCAGATGCGGTGAGGCCGCAGGGAATGCTGGGAGTCTCAGTAAAAGGCCTCCCTCATATCAGAAACCCCCAGGGCTGTCCTGGGTGGGCTTTAAAGTAATAAGCTTTGGAGCATGGTGACTGGGTCTCCTGCAAAAGGCCTCCACAAGTAAAAACAGGGCAGCAGGGTGGCATGGGCGGGCAGCAGGGACTCATGGAAACATAGAGGCAGACAGAGGGAAGAATCAGTGTGTACACAGCGAATGCTGGGAGCCTCCTGTGGAGGCCTCTTTCATCCCAGATACTCCTGGACTGTCCTGGGTGGGCTGTAATGCCCCAGGCTTAGGAGGATGGTGGCTGTGTCTCTCGCAGAAGGCTCTCACAAGTGAAAATGCGGCCGCAGTGTGGTGTGGGCGGGCTGCAGAAACTCAGGGGTACTTTGAGACAGGCAAAGCAGAGAAGCTTCGAGACCGCAGGGAATGCCAGGAGTTGGCCAAGGAGGCCTCTCCCATCACAGAAGCCCCCAGGGCTGTCCCGGGCGGGCTGGAAAGTCCCAGGATTTGGAGCACAGTCCCTGTGTCTCTCGAGGAAGTCCCTCACATGAAAAATGGGGCCGCAAGGTGGCGTAGCAGGGCCAGAGGGACTCAGGAGTCATTGAGGATGGCAGAGGGGAGAAGCAGGGAGACTGCAGGGAATGCTGGGAGCGTTCCACGAAGGCCTCTCCCATCCCAGAAGCCCACAGAGGTGTCCCGGGCAGACTGTAAAGCCCCAGGCTTCAAAGCAGGGTTCCTCTGTCTCTAGCAGAAGGCTCCCACTAGTGAAAGTAGGGGCTCAGTGTGGCTTGGGCGGGCCTCAGAGTGGAGTGAGAGGATCGCAGGGACTCAGGAAATTGTTGAGGCAGCAGAGGAGAGAAACATTGAGATGGCAGAGAATATTGGGCGCATCCCAAGGAGGCCTCTCCATTCCAGAGGCCCCCAGGGCTGTCCTGGACCTGCTGTAAAGCTTTGGAGCAGGGTGCCTGTGTCTCTCGCGGAAAGCCCCCACAAACAAAAACAAGCCATAGGGTGCGTGGGCAGGCTGCAGGGACTCAGGGGACGTTGAGGCAGGCAGAGGGGAGACGCAGCGAGACTGCAGCCAATGCAGGGAGACTCCTTAAAAGGCCTCTCCCATCCCAGAAGCCACAAAGGCTGTCCTGGTAGGGTTGTAAAGCACCAGGCTTTGGAACAGGGTGCCTGTGTCTCTCGCGGAAGGCTCCCACAAGCAAAACCCGGGCCACGGTGTGGCGTCGGTGGGCCACAGGGACTCAGGGGCACATGGAGACAGGCAGAGGAGAGAAGCGACCAGAACGCGGGAAATCCTGGGAGCCTCCCAAGGAGGCCTCTCTCATCCCAGAAGCCCCCAGGGCTGTCCCAAGCGGGCTGTAAAGCACCAGGCTTTGGGGGGGGTGGTGCTGCATCTCTCGCAATAGGCCCCCACAAGTAAAAAACAGTGCCTCAGGGTGGCATGGGCGGGCTGCAGGTATTCAGGGGGACATTGAGGCAGTCAGTGGAGAAAAGCGGCGAGACTGCAGGGAATGCTGGGAGCCTCCCAAGCAAACCTCTCCCATCCCAGAATCCCCAGAGCTGTCCCGGATGGGCTGTAATATTCCAGCTTATGGAGCAGGGTGTCTGTGTCTCGTGGAGCACCCTCACATGCAAATCATGGCCGCAGTGTGGCGTGGGAGGTCCACAGGGACTCAAGGTTACATGGAGGCAGGCAGAGGGGAGAATTGGCGAGACCGCAGGGAATGCCGCGAGCCTCCAAAGAAGGCCTCTTTCATCCTGGAAGCCACTAGAACTGTCCCTGGTGGGCTGTGAAGCCCCAGGCTTTAGAGCAGCATGTCTGTGTCTCTTAAATGTCTGCCACAAGGAAAAACGGGACCTCATGGTGGCGTGGGCAGGCGGCACAGTGACGTTGAGGCAGACAGAGGGGAGGAGCAGCTAGACCACAGGGAATGCTGGGAGCCTCCTATGGAGGCCTCTCCCATCGCAGCAGCCTGCTGGGCTGTCCCAGGAGAGGTGTAAAGCCCCAGGCTTTGGAGCAGGGTGACTGTGTCTCTCTCAGAAGTCCCAGAAAAGAGACAATGGGGCAGCAGTGTGGCGTGGGCAGGCCGCAGGTACTCAGAGACGTTGAGGCTGTCAGAAGGGAGAAGCGGCGAAGACTGAAAGAAATGCTGGGAGCCTCCCAAGGAGGGCTCTCCCATCCCAGAATCCATCAGGGCTGTAATCCCCCAAGCTTTTTAGCAAGGTGCCTGTGTCTCATGGGGAAGGCCTCCACAAGCAAAAACAGAACTGCAGGGTGGCCTCGGCAGGCCTCAGGGACTCAGGGGAACGTTGAGACAGGCAGAGGGGAGAAGCGGCGAGACTGTAGCCAATGCTGGGAGCCTATCAAGGAGGCCTTTCTCATCCCAGAAGCCCCCAGGCTTTCCCTGGTGGGCTGTAAAGCCCCAGGCTTTGGAGCAGAGTGCTTGTGTCTCTCGCAGAAGGCCCCAACTAGCGAAAACAGTGCCGCAGTGTGGGGTGGGTGTGCCGCAAAGACTAAGGTTGATGTTTAGAAGGCAGAGTGGAGAAGTGGCGAGAGTGCAGAGAATGCTGGGAGCATCCCAAGGCGGCCTCTCCCATCACAGAAGCCCCCACGGCTGCCCTGGATGGGTCTGTAATGCCCCAGGCTTTGGAGCAGGGTGCCTGTGTTTCTTGCAAGAGACCCCCAAAAGAGACAAAGGGACAGAACGGTGATGTGGGTGGGCCGCAGGTACTGAGGGAGATGTTGAGGCATGCAGAGGGAAGAAACGGCAAAACAGCAGGATATGCTGGGAGCCTCCTAAGGAGACCACTCACATTCTAGAAGCCCCCAGGGCTGTTCCGGATGGGCTGTAATGCAACAGGCTTTGGAGCAGGGTGCCTGTGTCTCTCGTGGACGGCGCCCACAAGCAAAAACGTGACCAAAGGGTGGCCTAGGCAAGCCGCACGGATGCAGAGGAATGTTGAGGAAGGCAGAGGGGAGAAGTGGCAAGACAGCAGGGAATGCTGGGAGCCTCCCATGGAAGTCTTTCCCATCCCAGAAGCCCCCACATATGTCCCCAGCAAGCTGTAAAGCCCCAGGCTTTGGAGCATGGTGCCTGCATCTCTCAAGGAAGGCCCTCACAGGCAAAAACGGTGCTGCAGGGTAGTGTGGGAGGGCTGCAGGGATTCAAGGGGACATTGATGCAGGCAGAGGGGAGAAGTGGTGAGACCACAGGAAATGCCAGGAGCCTCCCAAGGAGGCCTTTCTCATCCCAGAAACCTCCAGGGGTGTCCTGGGCAGGCTCTGAAGCCCCAAGCTTTGGAGTAGGGTGCTGTGTCTCTTGCGGAAGGGCCACACAAGTGAAAGCGGAACGGCAGTGTGGCGTGGGTGGGCGGCAGGAACTCAGGGTGACGTTGAAACAGGCAGAAGTGGGAAGCTGCGAGATTGCAGGGAATGCTGAGAGGCTCCCCAGGAGGCCTCACCCATCCAGGAAGTCCCCAGGACTTTCCCGCGTGTGCTATAAAGCCCCAGGCTTTGGAGCAGACTGCCTGTGTCTCTCGCAAAAGGCTCCCACAAGCGTAAACAGGGCTGCAGATTTTTGTGAGCGCGCTGCAGGGACTCACGGGGATGTTGAAGCAGGCAGAAGGGAGAAGCGGTGAGAACGCAGGCTATAAAGCTTCAGGCTTTGGACCAGCGGGCGTATGTTTCTCGCAGAATATCACCACAAGTGAAAAAAGGGCCCCACAGTGGCATGGGTGGGCCGCAGGGTGGCGTGGGCCACAGGGTGGCGTGGGCGGGCTGCAGTGAATCAGGGGAATGGTGAGACAGTCAGAGGGCAGAAGCGGTGAGACCGCAGGAAATGCTGGAGCCTCTCAAGGAGACCTCTCCCATCTAAGAAGCCCCCAGGGCTATCTGTGGCAGGCTGTAAAGCCCAAGACATTGAAGTAGAATGCCTGTGCTTCTCGAGGAAGACTTCTAAAAGAGACAATGGGGCGGAGGGTGGTGTGTGCAGGACGCAGGGTCTCAGAGAGACGTTGAGGAAGGCAGAGGGGAGAAGCGGAGAGACTGCAGGGTACACTAGGAGCCTCCCAAGGAGGCCTCTCCTATCCCAGAAGATCCCAGGGGTGTCATAGGCAGGCTCTAAAGTCCCAGGGTTTGGAGCATGTGGTCGGTGTCTCTCACGGAAGGCCCCCACATGCAAAAACGGGACGTCAAGGTGGCATGGGTCAGCCGAAGGGACTCAAGGAATCATTGAGGCAGGCAGAGGGGAGAAGCAGCGGGACTGCAGGGGATGCTGGTAGCCTCCCAAGGACGACTCTCCCATAACAGAAGTCCCCAGGGGTGTTCTGGGCAGGCTGTAAAGTCCCAGGCTTCGGAACAGGGTGACTGTGTCCTTCAAGAAGGCACCCACAAGCAAAAACGGAGCCGCAGGGTGGCATGGGCGGGTGGCAGGGACATTGAGGCAGGCACAGAGGAGAAGAGACGAGAGCACAGGGAATGCTGGGAGCCTCCCAGGGAGGCCTTTTTCATCCCAGAAGCCCCCAGTGCTGTCCCAGTCCGGCTGTAATGCCTCAGGCTTTGGAGCAAGATGCCTGTGTCTCTCGTGGAAGGCACGCACAAGAGAAAACGAGGCCGCTGTGTGGCCTGTGCGGGCCGCAGGGACTCAGGGGAACATTGATGCAGGAAGAGGGGTGAAGGGACGACACTGCAGGGAATGCTGGGGGCCTCCCAAGGAGGCCTCTTCCATCCCAGGAGCCCCCAGGACTGCCCCGGGTATGCTGTAAAGCTTCAGGTTTTGAGACAGGGTGCATGTATTTCTAGCGCAAGGCCCCCAGTAGAGAAAATGGGGCCAGCAGGGTGGCGTGGGAGGGCCACAGGTGACGTTGGATCACGGGGACTTTGATCCAGGCAGAGGGCAGAGGCATCGAGACCACAGGGAATGCTGGGAGCCCCCCTCAAAGGTCTCTCCCATTCCAGAAGCCCCCAGGGCTGTCCCTGGCGGGCTATGAAGCACCAGGCTTTGCAGCACAGTTCTTGTGTCTCTCGCGGAATTTCTTCACAAGCAAACACGGGACGGCAGGTTGGCATGGGTGGGCCGCAGGGACACATGGGGACGTCGACGCAGGCAAGAGAAGAAGCGGCCAGACAGCAGGGAATTCTGGGAACCTGCCATGGAAGCCTCTCCAATTCTGGAAGCCCCATGTGCTGTCCTGGGCGGGATGAGAATTTCCAGGCTTTGGAGCAGGGTGCTTATGTCTCTCGCGGAAGGCTCCCACAAGTGAAAACCAGGCTGCAGTGTAGCGCAGGTGGCCGTAGAAACCCAGTGGGACGTTGAGACAGGCAGAAAGGAGAAGAGGCAAGACTGCAGGGAATGCTGGGATCCTCCCAGGCAGGCCTCTGCCAACCCAGAAGCCTTCAAGGCTGTCCCAGATGGTTGTAAAGCCCCAAGCTTTGGAGCAGGGTGCCTATGTCTCTCGCAAAAGGCTCCCTCATGCAAAAACAGGGCCACAAGATGGCATGGAAGGGAGACAGGGACTCATGGGGACATTGAGGCAGGCAGAGGAAAGTATCGGGGAGACCCCAGGGAAAGCTGGGAGCCTCCCAAGGAGGCCTCTTCCATCCCGGAAGTTCCTAGGGCTGTTCCAGGTGGGCTCTAAGGCCACAGGTTTTCGAGCAAGGTGCCTGTGTCTCTCATGGAACACCCACAAGAGAGACAACTGGGAGATAGGGTGGCGTGGGCGGGCTGTAGGGACTCAGGGGGACGTTGAGGCAGGCAGAACCGAGAAGTGGCGAGACAGCAGGGAATGCTGGGAGCTTCCGAAGGAAGTGTCTCACATCCCAGAAACACTCACGGATGTCTCGGGCGCTCTGTAAAACCCCAGGCTTTGGAGCATCGTGCCTGTGTTTCTCGCAGAAGACCCCCACAAGTGAAAACGGGGCCGTAGGGTGGCTTGAGCGGCTGCAGAAACTCATGGGAACATCGAGGCAGGCAGGGGGATAAGCGGCGAGATCGCATGGAATGCTGGGAGCCTCCCAAGGATGCCTCTCCAATAACAGAAGCCCCCAGACTGTCCCGGGTGAATCATAGACCTTCAGGCATTGAAGCAGTTTGTTTGTGTCTCTTACAAAATGCACCCACAAGCAAAAAAAGGGCCGCAGGGAGGGGTGGCCTGGCCGCAGCAACTGTTGGGGATGCTGAGGCAGGCAGAGGGAAAGAGCGGAGAGATCGCAGGGAATCCTGGAAGTTTCTCAAGAAGGCCTCTCTTATCCCAGAAGACCTAAGGCCTGTCCTGGGTGGGTTGTAAAGCCCCAGGCTTTGGAGTAATGTGTCTGTGCCTATCGGGGAAGTCCCCCACAAGATAAAAAGGGGCCACAGGGTGGCATGGGCACACCGTAGGCACTCAGTGGGACGTTGAGGCAGGCAGAGGGGAGAAGCAACGAGACAGCAGGGAATGCTGGGAGTCTCATAAGAAGGCCTTTCCCATCTCAGAAGCCCTCAGGGCTGTCCCAGTCGGGCTGTAAAGCCCCAAGCATTGGAGCAGAGTGCCTGTGTCTCTGGCAGAAAACCTCCACAAGCAAAAGCTGGGCCGCAGTGTGGCATGGAGGGGCTTCAGAGACTAAGGGAGACATTGAGTCAGGCAGAGGGGAGAGAAGTGGCAAGACCGCAGGCAATGCTGGGAGCTTCCCAAGTAGGCCTCTTCCATCCCAGGAGCCCCCAGGGCTGTCCTGGGCGAGCTGTAAAGCTCCCGGCTTTGAAGCAGCGTGGCTGTGTCTCTCGCAGAAGGCTTCCACAAGAGAAAATGGGGCTGCAGGTTGGCTTGGGCGGGCTGCAGGGACTCTGAGGGACGATGGGGCAGGCAGAGTGGAGAAGCGGTGAGATTGCAGGGAAAGCTGAGAGCCTTCTAAGGAGGCCTCTCCCATCCCAGAAGCTCCTAGGGCTGTCCTGGATGGGCTGTAAAGCCCCAGGCTTTGGAGCTGTGTGCCAGTGTCTCTTGTGGAATGCCCCCACAAGCAGAAACAGGGCCACAGGGTGGCATGGGCAGGCCGTGGTGAATCTGGGGGAAATAGAGTCAGGCAGAGGGGAGAAGCAGCAAGATTGCAGGGAATGCTAGCAGCCTCCCAAGGACGCCTCTCCCATCTCAGAAGCCCCCATGTTTTTCCCGGGGCCTCTAAAGCCCCAGCCTTTGGAGCAGGGTGCCTGTATCTCTGGCAGAAAACCCCCACAAGCGTAAACGAGGACGCAGGGTAGTGTGGGCGGGCCTCAGAAATTCAGGAAGTCATTGAGTCCAGCAGAGCGGATAAGTGACGAGACCACAGGGAAAGCTGGGAGTTTCCAAAAAGGCCTCTCCCATCTCAGAAGCCACCAGGGCTGTCCTGAGAGGCTGTAAAACCTCAGGCTTTGGAGCAGGGTACCTGTTTCTCCCTTGGAAGGCCCCCACAAGTAAAAGCGGGGCTGGAGGGTGGCATCGGTGCGCCACAGGGACTTGGAGGGATGCTGAAGCAGGCAGTGGGGAGAAACAGTAAGACCACAGATGAAGGGGTGGCCTGCCCCTCCACACCTGTGGGATATCTCGTCAGGTGGGATGAGAGACTGAGAAAAGAAATAAGACACAGAGACAAAGTATAGAGAAATAACAGTGGGCCCAAGAGACCGGCACTTAGCATACCAAGGACCTGCACCGGCACTGGTTTTTGAGTTCCCTCAGTTTTTATTGATTATTATTTTTATTATCTCAGCAAGAGAAATGTGGTAGGAGAGCAGGGTGATAATAAGGAGAAGGTCATCAAAAAAAAAACATGTGAGCAAAAGAATCTATGTCGTAATTAAGTTCAAGGGGAGGTACTATGCCTGGATGTGCACATAGGCCAGATTTATATTTTTCTCTGCCCAAATATCTCAGTGGAGTAAAGAATAACAAGGCAGCATTGCTGCAAACATGACTCGCCTCCCTCCATAGGGCGGTTTTTCTCCTGTCTCAGAATTCAACAAATGTACAGTTGGGTTTTATACCAAGACATTCAGTTTTCAGGGGCAGGCAGGAGACAGTGGCCTTCCTCTATCTCAACTGCAAGAGGCTTTCCTCTTTTACTAATCCACCTCAGCATAGACCCTTTATGGGTGCCAGGCTGGGGGATGGTCAGGTCTTTCTCATCTCATGAGGCCATATTTCAGACTATCACATGGGGAGAAACCTTGGATAATACCCGGCTTTCCAGGGCAGAGGTCCCTGCTGCTTTTCGCAGTGCATTGTGCCCCTGATTTTTTGAGACTAGAGAATGGCGATGACTTTTACCAAGCATACTGCTTGTAAACATTTTGTTAGCAAGGCACGTCCTGCACAGCTCTGGATCCCTTAAGCCTTGATTCCATACAACAGACGTTTTTGTGAGCTTGAAGTTGGGGCAAAGTGGCTGGGGCAAAGCAACTGGGGCAAAGTTGCAAATTAACAGCATCTCAGCAAAGCGATTGTTCAAGGTACAGGTCAAAATGGAATTTCTTATGTCTTCCCTTTCTACATAGACACAATAACAGTCTGATCTCTCTTTCTTTTCCCTATATATCCCCCTTTTCTTTTTGACAAAACCGCCATCATCATCATGGCCGTTTCTCGCTGGTCGCTGTCTCTCCAGAGCTGCTGCATACACCTGTAGACTAACAACAGAGAGAACAGACATACAAGGATTAATAAAAAATTTGCTATAGTGGAACTTGTAGTGGTTTTAACCCAAGTGACAGGGTTAAGATTTGTGAGGCTATCAGCAGCTTTTACCATTGCCTCAGTTTCTGGCAACAGATTTAACTGGGTTTTCAATGCCTCAAAAATCTGTTATTTTAATTTTGAAATATCTAAAATAAGATTATCTTCTCTTCCTTGTAGATGGTGTCTAACCATGTCCCAGTGATGTTCAGATTCATTATAGGCTTGAGGTGTAATACAAAAATCTGACATATTCTAGTCACACTGTAACTGAAAAAGATATTCCAAGCTCACGAGCCTATCTCCATCCAAATGACAGTTTGTCTAAGATCGTTAATTTGGTTTGCCAATTTTTGATCTATTTGGGTCTGAGAATTCCATAATTTTGAGGAATTCTCTTGCCAATTATTTACATATTCTGCAGTTTTGAACAGAGGAGTGTAAAGCAATTCCAGCAGCTGCAGCAGTAGCTGTGACTGCAGTAAGACCCATAATCACTGCAATTAAAGTAAAAATGAGTCTTTTTGATCTAGTTAGAACTCCTTTTAATACTTCTGTTAAAATATGGATGGATGGGGAAGCCTACCACGGTTGGTCCATGGATACAGGAATCCACATGCCCTCTCTTGTCCTCACCAGTAGAATACGGTGCTGCCAATCAAAAGTCGAATCAATGCAAGTAAACAATCTACAATTTTCACGGGTTATAGTTTGGAAATCTGGTTTAATAACTATGTTTCCTACAACTAGCATATAAGGGGATTTTACACAACTTTGCAAAGGAATTGTCAGATTGGAATTTAGGTTAACAGTATAATATGGCTTGTGATTTCTTGTTTCTATAACTTGATTTTCAGACAAAATTGTAATGTGGTGCGAGGCCACAGTAAGCTTCCATAATTCTGGATGTTCAGGACCAGTAACAGGACTAATTAACTTTGGTCGAGGTGATGAAATTTTCTTTTCACCCCATTTCCATGGATAGGGTGATTCTAACCTTATATAAACCTAGTCCAGACTTTCAGTTAAATCACTATCATAGGCGGGATTAGTAGGCCAGACAGATGGGGCCTGTGAACATGAGTGAGTCTGGCCTATACTATCATAATATAATTGGCCTCTAGGGACCCAGTCCATAATAGTTCCAAATTTATTGTTTTGTAATACCACCACAGTATCAGCCACACATTTTTCCCAAACTAAGACTTCTGGGTCTTTTGATTCTTTGGGACTTTCCTTGGGGCAATGTTTTCCTTCTGGCCTAAATTTTAATGATCTTTGATAAGAAGAGTCCCGTAAATTATTTATTTGTGATCCGAGTGACTTTCCACTTACCATGGGATAAGTAAATTTACTGGTGGCACTAACAGTAGGTCAGTGCCTACCAACCAATCTTGGGTTGTAGGCATTAAGCATCCTGGTGCCTTTCCCAGGCAAATAGGAGGATAATGATACCCAGTGGAAATGTTTATCATCATTCCTTCTTTTTCAGGTTGGGCAGGGCCACGATGATCTGTGGGCCTGGTACCCATCTACTATTATCAACATATACTTCAATAGAATTATTCATCCAAGTGACTGCCCAAATTAAGGGCAGGAAAGGCACATAGGCCCAGTAAGTATAATTAGCTGCAGCTGCTCCGGCAGACATAGGGAGACTTACCACCGTTAATACAATCATTAAAGCTGCAAGCAGCATATTCTCTGGAGTTTGAGTTACCCTTGTGTTCTTCAGGCTTTTTTCAGCTGACTGTGTCAGCTTCTTTAGTTGGGCCCAGGTTGGCAGCTCCGCTTTCTTGGTGGATGGCAACTTCATCTGTTCTGATATCACCGTTTTGTTCACCTGGCGAATCATGATGTTCCATTGCTGGTTTTCTGTCTCTGCAGAGGCACTTTTTTTTTTTCATCTCCAATGGGTTCATTATAGAACTTTAAATTTCTAGGAAAAAGTTATGGACTTTTTCCTTTTAATTTTAATGTTTCAGGATATATTACCTCCTGTAATTGATTGTAGTCAACATTTTGCTTTGACTGAGCCACTACGGACTCTGCTATATTTTTACAATGTGAACTTTCCATTCCTTTCTTGAACTCTCTTCCTGCCTCTTCTTCACAATCTATCACACAGCTTTCAGGGGCATCAGAAACTGAAATGCTGTCTTCTTCTATTTGAAACTGTTCTAAAGTTGCTTTAATAATGGCCCAATCATTCCATAATGTTAAGTGGGATGATTTTACCTTCCCTACTTTCTTGTTTTAATTCTTTACCATTTTTCCAAGTCTTTTAGATCTAAAGCTCACGGTTCTGGAAACCATGGGCAGAATTGCTCTATTGTTTGAAATAGCATAATTACATTTTCTGTGGAAGCTGTAACTCCCCCTCTTCTTAAGAGAGTTTTAATGAAACTGAGATAAGAAGCATATTTACTTTCAGTTTGCCCCATTGTTACCCTGGGTTCCTCTGAGCGCACATGCTTACCACAAGGCTGACTGTGGACGTACTCTGGAATCTGTCATCGGCTGTCCTCAAACAGCCAGTATCCAAACACGCGGGTACCAAAAACATACCTCAAACAGTGGGTATCCAAACAGGAAGCTGATTCTCTCCTGGTGAAACGTAAGCAAAACCTCTCCCCCATGTTATCACCTTACCTATTTTCCATGTCATATTTTTGGTGTCTTTTCACCAAATCAGTTTTCCCTCATGTGAGCTGTTTTTTTACCAGTAAAAATGTTGTTTTGCAGAAGTAGTGGTCTGATTTCTATAAATGTTTTAAAAATTTAAAGTATAGAGTGCTAAATTAAGTTGCATCCGGGGAGTGTTATGCTCTTTATTCTATTTTCCCTTTTTTTGTTTAACCAATTGAGCTTTGAGTGTTCTATTAGTTCTTTCAATTATGGCCTGTCCTTGGGAATTATAAGGGATTCCTGTTGTATGTGTAATTTTCCACTGATTTAAGAATTTTTGAAATGCTTTACTACAGTATCCTGACCCATTATCTGTTTTATTTTTTTCTGGAAATCCCATGACAGCAAAACAAGATAATAAATGTTTTTTAACATGGGAAGTACTTTCTCCTGTCTGGCAGGTTGCCCATATGAAATGTGAATAAGTATCAACTGTCACATGGACAAAAGACAATTTTCCAAATGAAGGTACATGTGTGACATCCATTTGCCATAACACGTTAGGACATAGACCTCTGGAATTAACTCCTGCCTCCTGAGTGGGCAGGTGTAGGACTTGACACTGAGTGCAATGTTGTACAAAATTTTTTGCCTGTTTCCTTGTGATATCAAATTTATTTTTTAATCCTGTTGCATTTACATGAGTCATGGCATGAAGTTCTTGTGTTTCCATGAAGGCAGATGACACTAGCAAGTCAGCTTGTTCATCTGCCTTAGTTAAAGGCCCTGGTAAATTAGTATGTGCTCAAATATGAGTAATATGAAATGGGAAATTTCTTTGTCTTACAGTTTGTTGTAACAAATTAAACAGCTGCTTCAACTGATCATCCACACTGTATTTGATTAGGGTTGTCTCAACATCCTTTGTATCCTGTACTACATATGCAGAATCTGAAACAATGTTAATAGGCTGATTAAAATCTTGTAACACTGAAATTGCAGCAACCAACTCTGCTCTTTGAGCTGAGTGATATTGAGTTTCAATGACACATTCTTTTGGCCCAGTGTAAGCTGCTTTTCCATTGCTGGAACCATCAGTAAATACCGTCAGAGCAATTTCTAAAGGTTTATGTCTGGTAATTTTAGGTAAAATCCAAGTAGTCAATTTTAAAAACTGGAAGATTTTTGTTTTGGGTAATGATTATCAATAATTCCCACAAAATCAGCAAGTCCAATCTGCCATGCAGCAGAATTGATAAAGGCTTGTCTAACCTGTTTCTTGTTTAAAGGAACTATTATTTTATATGGGTTACTTCCACAAAATTTTGCTATTCGTAGTCTTGCCTCCCAAATTAATGTAGCCATTTGATCTAAGTACAATGTAAAAGTCTTAATTGTACTGTGAGGAAGGAATGACCACTCCACAACATCTGTATTTTGAACAATAATGCTTGTTGGAGAATGTACAGTAGCAAAAATCAAAAGTTGGGTGGGGCCAAATGATCTATTCTATTTACTTGTGCTGACCGAATTTTTTCTTCAATGAATTCAATTTCTTTAGTTGCCTCTGCAGTTAATGTTCTTTTACCATTCAAGTCCAGATCCCCTCTCAAGATAGGGAACAAATTTGACATGGCATAAGTAGGGATGCCTAGAGTTGGCTGAATCCAATTAATATCTCCTGGCAATTTTTGAAAGTCATTTAATGTTCTTAATGTGTCTTTTCTTAATTCTATTTTTTGTGGTTTATTTTTCTTTCCTCTACCTGCATTCCCAAATAATGAAAAGGAGTGGAGGTCTGAATCTTATCAGACGCTATTGTCAGTCCTGCATTTGCAACCTCTGTCTGAAGAAATGTGTAAGTCAATTAATTTGTCTCTTGTTTCTGCAGCACACAAAATGTCATCAACATAATGAATGATATAACAATCCAAAATCTTGTTTCTAACTGGATGAAGAGCCTGAGCTACAAAAGTCTGACAAATAGTTGGATTATTAAGCATTCCCTGAGGCAACACTTTCCACTGAAATCGGGAGTCTGGTTCTTTATTATTTATGGCTGGTATAATAAAAGCAAATTTTTCAAAATCCTGTTTTGCCAGAGGAATGGTAAAAAAGCAATCCTTTAGATCAATTATAATTAAAGGCCAATCTTTAGGGATCATGGCTGGGGAGGGCAGCCCAGGTTGGAGAGGCCCTATGGGTTGAATTACCACATTAATGGCTCTTAAGTCAGTTAGCATGTGCCATCTGTCTGATTCTTTCTGAATTACAAACACAGGAGAATTCTAAAGAGAGAAAGTGAGTGAAACATGTCCTTTTTAAAATAGTTTTTAAACTATTTTATGCAGCGCCCCCAACTTTTCCTTAGGGAGTGGTCACTGTTTGACCCATACAAGACACTGCAGGGTGAGTCTGAATTGCTCCTTCACCATAGTGAACTGCAGGTTGGGCAATAATGGGTGCTGTGAACCAAGTCACAGCGAGCCTAGTTTCAGGTTCCCTCCCCCAGCACTCACTCAGCTGAGGAGGAGGTGGCCATCGTGGTTTTAGCCCCAAAGGCCCCCATGGTTCTGGACTTTTTTCCTTTTAATTTTAATGTTTCAGGATATATTACCTCCGGTAATTGATTGTAGTCAACATTTTGCTTTGACTGAGCCATTACAAACTCTGCTATATTTTTACAATGTGAACTTTCCATTCCTTTCTTGAACTCTGTTCCTTTCTCTTCTTCACAATCTATTACACAGCTTTCAGGGGCATCAGAAACTGAAATGCTATCTTCTTCTATTTGAAACTGTTCTAAAGTTGCTTTAATAATGGCCCAATCATTCCATAATGTAAGTGGGATGATTTTACCTTCCCTACTTTCTTGTTTAATTCTTTGCCATTTTTTCCCAATCTTTTAGATCTAAAGTTCACTGTTCTGGAAACCATGGGGAGAATTGCTCTATTGTTTGAAATAGCATAGTTAGATTTTCTGGGGAATCTTTAACTTCCCCTCTTCTTAAGATAATTTTAATGAAACTGAGATAAGAAGCATAATTACTTTCAGTTTGTCCCATTGTTACCCTGGGTTCCTCCGAGCACACAAGCTTACCGCAAGGCTGACTGTGGACATACTCAGGAATCTGTCATCAGCTGCTGTCCTCAATGCTCACATTCTTAGCATACCTTCACCCTAGAGAAAGGCACCCACTTGGGGAAGCAGATGAAGGGGTGGCCTGCCCCTCCACACCTATGGAATATCTCATCAGGTAGGATGAGAAACTGAGAAAAGAAATGAGACACAGGGACAAAGTATAGAGAAATAACAGCAGGCCCAGGAGACTGGCACTCAGCATACAAAGGACCTGCACTGGCACCAGTATCTGAGTTCCCTCAGTTTTTGTTGATTATTATTTTTATTATCTCAGCAAGAGGAATGTGGTAGGAGAGCAGGGTGATAATAAGGAAAATGTCAGCAAAAAAAATGTGAGCAAAAGGATCTATATGATGATTAAATTCAAGGGGAGGTACTATACATGGATGTGCACGTAGGCCAGATTTATATTTTTCTCTGCCCAAACATCTCAGTGGAGTAAAGAATAACAAGGCAGCATGGCTGCCAACATGTCTCACCTCCCGCCATAGGGCGATTTTTCTCCTATCTCAGAATTTAACAAATGTACAATCAGGTTTTATACCGAGACACTCAGTTCCCAGGACAGGAAGGAGACAGTGACCTTCCTCTATCTCAACTGCAAAAGGCTTTCCTCTTTTACTAATCCACCTCAGCACAGACCCTTTATGGGTGCCGGGCTGTGGGATGGTCAAGTCTTTCTCAGCCCATGAGGCCATATTCAAACTATCACATGAGGAGAAACCTTCGACAATACCCAGCTTTCCAGGGCAGAGGTCCCTGTGGCTTTTCACAGTGCATTGTGCCCCTGATTTGCTGAGACTAGAGAATGGTGATGACTTTTACTAAGCATACTGCTTGTAAACATTGTGTTAAAAAAGCACATCCTGCACAGCCCTAGATCCCTTAAATCTTGATTCCATACTACACATGTTTTTGTGAGCTCAAAGTTGGGGCAAAGTGGCTTTGGCAAAGTTACAAATTAACAGCATCTCAGCAAAGCAATTATTCAAGGTACAGGTCAAAATGGAATTTCTTATGTCTTCCCTTTCTACATAGACACAGTAACAGTCTGATCTGTCTTTATTTTCTCAACAGCAGGGAATGCTGGGAGCCTCACAAGCAGTCCTCTCCCATTCCAGAACCCCCTGTGATGTGCCAAGTGGGTTGTAAAGCCCCGGCTTTGAAGCAGGATGCCAGTGTCTCTCTCAGAAGGCCCTCACAAGCGAAAATGGGACCGCAAATTTGCAGCTGGGCTGCAGGGACTCAGAGGGACATTGAGATGGGCAGAGGGGAGTGGTGGGCAGAGTAGCAGCAAAACCACAGGGAATTCTGGGAGCCTTCCAAAGATGCTTCTCCCATCCCAGAAGGCCCTCAGGCTGTCCCAAGTGGGCTGTAAAGTCCCAGGCTTTGGAGCAGAGTGCCTGTATTTTTGGCAGAAGGCCCTCAGAATCAAAAAAGGGGCCCCAGTGTTTCATCGGCTCACTGCAGGAACTCAGAGGGATGTTAAGACAGAATGAGGGGAGACGAGGAGAGACCACAGGGAACGTGGGGAACCTCCCAAGAAGGCCTCTCCCCTCCCAGTAGCCCCCAGGACTGTCTCGGGCTAGCTGTAAAGCCCCAGGATTTGGAGCAGGTTGCCTGTGTCCCTCGCGGAAAACCTTCACAAGTGAAAATGGGTCAGCTTGGTGGTGTGGATGGGCTGCAGAGACTCAAGGGGATGTACCGACAGGCAGAGGGGAGAAGCAACAATACCGCAGGGAAGGCTGGGAGCCTCACAAGGGGGCCTGTCCCATCCCAGAACTTCCCAGTGATGTTTTGGCCAGGCTGTAAAGCCCCAGGCTTTGTAGCAGGGTGCCTGTGCTGCTCACGAAAGGCCCCACAAGTGAAAACGGGGCTGCATGGTAGCATGTATGGGCCTCAGGGACTGAGGGGGACGTTAAGTCCTGCAGAACGCAGGAGTGGTGAGATGGCAAGGAATTCTGAAAGACTCCCAAGGAGGCGTGCTGCATCCCAGAAGCCCCCATGCTGGTCCCAGGTGGGCTGTAAAGCCCCTGGCTTTGAAGCAGAGTGCCAGTGTCTCTCAGAAGGCCCTCACATGCTAAAACAGGGGCCCACTGTGGGTGGGCAGCAGGGACTAAGTAGGAGAAAGAAGAGGACAAAAAGGAGAAGTGGAGAGTCCACAAAAAATGCTGGTAGTCTCCCACGACTGTCTCTCTCATCCCAGAAGTCCAGGGCTTTCCCCAGCAAGCTGTAAAACCCGACTTTGGAGCAGGGTGCCTGTGTCTCTCGTGGAAGGACACCACAAGTGAAAATGGGGCCATAAGGTGGTGTGGGGGGGCCTCAGGGACTCAGGGAGATGTTGAGGCAGGCAGAGCAGAGAAGTGGCGAGAAAGCAGGGTATGCTGGAAGCCTCCCTACTACTCTCCCATCCCAGGAGCCCGCAGGGCTGTCCTGCGTGGTCTGTGAAGCCCCAGGCTTTGGAGCAGGGTGCCTATGTCTCTCACAGAAGGCTCTTACAAGAGAAATCGGGGCAGTAGGGTGTGTGACAGGTTGCACGGATTCAGAGGGACATAGAGACAGGGAGAGGGGCGAATTGGCGAGAGCTGAGTGAATGCTGGGAGCCTCCTAAAGAGACCTCTCCCATCCCAGAAGCTCTCAGGTTTGTCCTGGGCGGGCTGTAAAGTCCCAGGCTTTGGAGCATGGTGCCTGTGTCTCTCGCAGAAGGCACCCACAAGCAAAAATGGTGCCACAGGATGGTGTGAGCAGGCCACAGGGCCTCAGGGGGACATTGAGGCAGGCAGAGGAAAAAAGTGTTGAGATCGCTGGGAATGCTGGCACACTCCCAAAGAGGCCTCTCCCATCTCAGAAACCCTCAGCGTTGTCCCAAACTTTCTTTAAAGCCCCAGGTTTTGTGGAAGGGTGTCTTTGTCCCTCGTGGAAGGCCCCATAAGTAACAACAGGGCTGCAAGGTGGCGTGGACAAGCTGCAGGGACTCAGGGGTACTTTGAGGCAGGCAGAAAGGAGTAGTGATGAGACCACAGTGATTGCTGGAAGCCTCGCAAGGAGATCTCTCCCATGCCAGAAGTCCCCAAGGCTGTCCCTGGTGGATTTTAAAGCCCCAGGCTTTGGAGCAAGGTGCCTGTGCCTCTCACCAAAGCACCCCACAAGCGAATACCAGGCAGTCCGGTGGTGTGGGCAGGCCACAGGGACTGAGGGGGACATTGAGTCAGGCAGTGGGGAGAAGCAGAGAGATTGCAGGGAATGCTGGGGGCCTCCCAAGGAGTCCTGTGCCCTCCCAGAAGCTCCTAGGGCAGTCCCTGGAAAGCTGCAAAGCCCCAGGCTTTGGAGCAGGGCTACTATGTCTCTCGTGGAATGCACCCACAAGTGAAAACAAGGCCACAGGGTGGCATAGACAGGCTGCAGGGACTCACGAGGATGTTCAAGCAGGAAGAAGAAAGAAGCCTCCAGATCGAGGGGAATTCTGGGAGCCGTCTAAGGAGGCCCCTCCCATCCCATCCAGGGCTGTCCTGGACTTGCTGTAAAGCCCAAGGTTTTTTGCAGGGTGGCTTTGTCTCTAGTGGAAGGCCCCCATAAACAAAAACGGGGCCTCAGGGTGGTGTGGGCGGGCCGCAGGGAATCAAGGGCACGTTGAGGCAGTCAGTAGGAAAAGTGGAGAGACTACAGGGAATGCTGGTAGCCTCCCAAGAAGGCCTCTCCAATCCCAGAATGTCTCAGGTCTGTTTTGGGTGGGCTGTAAAGCCCCAGGCTTTGCAGCAGAGTGCCTGTTTCTCTCACCGAAGGCACACACAAGCAAAAATGGGGGCGCAGGTTTGTGTGGTGGGATGGCAGGGACTAAGAGGGACGTTGAGGCAGGCAGATGGAAGAAATGGAGAGACGACAGGGAATGCTGAAAGCCTCTCAAGGTGGCCTCTCCCATCCTAGAAGCCCCTAGGGCTGTCCTGGGGAGGCTGTAACGCCACAGGCTTTGGAGCAGGGTACCTGTGTCTCTCACAGAAGTCTACCACAAGTGAAAACAAGGCTGCAGGGTGGCCTGGGTACACCACCGGGACTCAGGTGGACTTTAAGGCAGACAGAGAGGAGAAACAGCGAGACTGCAGGGAATGCTAGGAGCTACCCAAGAAGGCCTCTCCCATCCCAGAAGCCCTCAGAGCTGTCCTGGGCAGGCTGTATAGCCCCCGGCTTGGAGCAGGGTGCCTGTGTCTCTCACAGAAGGCCCTCACAAGCGGAATCCGCGCTGCAGGGTGGCGTGGGCGAGCTGCAGGAACTCAGGGGAACGTTGAGTCAGGCAGGAGGGAGAAGCGGCGATAGTGTAGGGAATGCTGGGAGCCTCACAATTAGACCTCTCCCGTCCCAGAAGTTCTTAGGGCTGTCCTGAACGAATTGTAAAGCCCCAAGCTTTGGAGCACAGTGCCTGTGTCTCTCATGGAAGGCCCCCACAAAAAAAAAAACGGGGCAGCAGGGTGGGGTGGGCAGGCTGCAGGGACTCTGTCCCAACCCGGGGGTTCCCCAGAGGCTTCTTGGAAGGGACAGGCGTTTCTGGGATGACTCAGCACCCGCTCAGGCCTTGCTGCTTCTCCCCTTTGCTCACCTGAACGTCCCCCTGAGTTTCTGCCCACCCTCACAGGCCTACCTGCCGCTCCGCCACCACTGCTGGGATCCCTCCGAGAAAGACACAGGCACCCTGGGCCAGTGCCCGGGGCTCTAGCCCCCCACCCCCAGGGGATGCACTGTGGGCTTTTGGGAAGGAAGAGGCCTCCCTGGGATGGCCCAGCATCTGCTCAGGTCTTGTCACTTCTCCCCTCGGCCTGCCTCAACGTCTCCCTGAGTTTCTGTCCCTCTCCATAGGCCAGACTGTGGCCCTCCCGCAGTTTTGTGGGGACTTCCGCTAGAGACACAGAAACTCTGGGCTGGAATCTGGGGCTCTAGCCATGACAACGGGGTGCCTTTGGGGCTTCTGAAAAGAGAGAGGCCTCCCTGGGAGGATGCAGGACTTGCTCAGGTCTTGCCAATTCTCACCTCTGCCTGCCTCAACATCTCCCTGAGTTTCTGCTTTCTTGTACAGGCCTGCCTGCCACCCTGCCACCACCTGTGGGGGCCCTTTGTGAGAGATAGAAGCAACCTTGGCCAAACTCCGGGGCTTTAGTCTCTACATGGGTGGTGCCCCAGGGGCTTCTGGGAAGGGAGAGGACTCCCTCAAACAACCCCACTCCTGCTCAGCCCTCACCGCTTCTCCCCTTGGCATGCATCAACGTCTCCTTGAGTTTCTGCCCATCAGCACAGGCCTGCCTGCTGCCCTGTCGACACCCATGGGAGCCCTCCTAGAGACACAGGCACCTTGGGCCAGAGCCCAGGGCCCTAGTACCAATTCCGGGTTGCCCTGGTGGCTTCTAAAAAGGGAGAGGCCTATTTGGGAGGAGCCAGTACCCACTAAGGTCTCAGGTCTTCTCCCCTCTGCCTAACTCAACATCCCCCCGTGTTTCTGCCTGCCCACACAGGCCCGCCTTTGACCTGCTGCCACACGTGGTTGTCCTCTGCAAGAGACACAGGCACCCCAGGCTGGAGCCTCGGACTCTAGCCCCCATCTGCAGGGCATCTCAGAGGCTTCTGGGAAGGGAGAGGACTCCCTGGGATGACCCAGCTCCCCTTCAGGCCTTGCCTCTTCTCCCCTCTGCCTGCATCAACGTCCTTCTGAGTTCCTGCTCTCCCACCCAAGCCCAGCTGCTGTCCTGCCACTACCCATGGGACCCTCTGTGAGAGGCACAGGCACTCTGGGCCGGAGCTTGGGGACCTAGCCCCCACCCAGGGGGTGCTCCAGAGGCTTCTAAGAGAGGAGAGGCCTTTTTGGGAAGGCACAGCACCAGCTCAGGCCTCGCCTCTTCTCCTCTCTGTCTGCCTCAATATTCCCCTGAGTTTCTGCCCACCAGCGCAAACCTGCCTGTGACCCATTGCTGCTCATGGTTGTTCTTTGAGAGAGAAACAGGCACTCTGGGCCAGAGCCCCAACCCTGTGGGCTCCTCTGGGGCCTCTAGAAAGGGAGAGGCTGCCCTGGGAACATGCAGCACCCCTCAGGCCTTGCCACTTCTTTCCTCTACCTGCCTTAATGTCCACCTGAATTTCTGCCTGCCAGCACAGACTTGCCTGCAGCCCTGCTGTCACCCTTGGGGGCCGTCGAGGAGAGACACAGCCACCCTGGGCCAGAGTCTGGGGCTCTAGCCCCCACCCGGGAGGCATGCAAGAGGCTTCCGGGAAGGGAGAGGCCTCCCTAAGAATACCCAGCACCTGCTCAGGCCTCAGCACTTATCTCCTCTGTCTGCCTCAATGTCCCCCTGAGTTTCTGCCTGCCTGGAGAGGCCAGCCTGCAGCCCTGCTGCCACCAGTGGGAGCCCTGCACAAGAGAAACAGTCACCCTGGGCCAGAGTGCAGGGTTCTAGCCCCAAACCAGAAGGCAACCCAGGGCCCTCTAGGAGGGGAGAGACCTCCGTTGGATGACCCAGCACCCACTAAGGCCTCTCAGCTTCTCCTTTCTACCTGCCTCAACATTCCCCTGAGTTTCTACCCATCCACACAGGCCTGCCTGGGGCCCCACTGCCACCCCTGGGGGCACTCCATGAGACACACAGTCTTTCTAGGCCAGAACACGGGGCTCTAGCCCCCAACTGGGGAACACCTGGGGGCTTCTGGGAAGGGAGAGTCCTACTTGGGGGTACCCAGTACCTGCTCAAGCCTCGCCACTTCTCCCCTCTGCCTGCCTCAATGTCTCCCTCTATATCTGCCCACCTGCACACGCCCACCTGATGCCCTGTCCTCATCCGTGGAGGCCCTTCACTAAAGACACAGGCACTTTGGGCTGGAGTCCTGGGCTCTTGCCATGACACGGGGGCACTGCAAGGGCTTCTGAAAAGGGAGAGGCCTCCCCGTGAGGACACAACCTTTGCTCAGGCCTCACTGCTTCTGAGTTTCTGCCCACCCTCACAAGCCTGCCTGCAGCCCCACCACTGTCCATGGAGGCCCTCCAGGAGAGACACAGTGGGAGCCCAGGGGCTTCTGGGAAGGGAGAGTCATCATCGGAGGACGCAGTGTTGGGAACAGACCCATAAATCTGGCCATAAACTGGCCCCAAAACTGGCCATAAACAAAATCTCTGCAGCGCTGTGACATGCTCGAGATGGCCATGATGCCCACGCTGAAGGTTGTTGGTTTACTGGAATGAGGGCAAGGAACACCTGGCCCACCCAGGGTGGAAAACCGCTTAAAGGCATTTCTAAACCATAAACAATAGCATGAGCGATCTATGCCTTAAGGACATGTTTCTGCTGCAGACAACTAGCCACAGCCCATCCCTTTGTTTCGGCCCATCCCTTTGTTTCCCATAAGGAATATTTTAGTTAATCTATAATCTATAGAGACAATGTTTCTCACTGGCTTGCTGTCAATAAATACCTGGGTAAATCTCTGTTCATGGCTTTCAGCGCTGAATGCTGTCAGGCCCCTGATTTCCCACTCCACACTATATATTTCTGTGTGTGTTTTTAATTCCACTAGTGCCACTAGGTTAGGGTCTCCACGACTGAGCTGCTCTCAGCAAGTGGTGCCCATATGTGGGGCTCAAACCCAGGTCAAAGGGTCACTGGAGCGATGGTTGGAGAACGTGGAACTATGCTGGAAAACACCTGAGTTCTCTTAAGCAATCCCCATGGTAAAAAGGGGAGCTCGGAAGCATCAGGGTAACAATGGGATAAGTGTGGGCTCTGGTTCTTTCCACCTTGGAACATTTTCACACTGATGATGAAGAGGAAGGATAGTATAATGAAGTAACAGAAGAGGTGACAGAGCAGGTTTGTTTGCCAGCTAAAGCTAAAGCAGCAAGGAAGGTAGAGGTTAGTCCTTACCCTTCTGCACCCCCTTATTATTTTGAAGAAAAAGAGTGGTCTGGCCCTCCATATCTTTCTTTTCTGGAGGACACTGGGAGAAAAGTAGTTGCCCCAGTGACTGTTTGAGCACTGCCTTGGGCGACTGCTCTCACTTCTATTTAAGCAGAAATTCAGCAAGCTAGATGAGAGGGTGATATAGAGGCTTGGCAGTACCCTGTTAGGATACAACCCCAAGATCAGCATGGAAATATTAGAGCTACATTTGAGCCTTTTCCTTTTAAATTACTCAAGGAATTTAAACAAGCTATTAATCAATATGGGCCAGGTTCTGCTTTTGTAATGAGACTGTTAAAGAATGTTGCTGTTTCCAGTCGGATGATCCCTACTTACTGGGATGCTCTTACTCGAGCTTGTCTGAATCCTGCTTAGTTCTTACAATTTAAAACATGTTGGGTAGATGAGGCTTCCATTCAGGCTGCTTGCAAAACGCAGGCCCAACCTCAAATTAATATAACTGCAGAACAACTTTTGGGGGTCGGTGGCTGGGTTGGTTTAGATGCACAAGTGGTCATGCAGGATGATGCCAAAGAATAGCTTAGAGGAGTGTGCATTAGACTTTGGGAAAAAATCACTTCAGGTGGAGAACAATACCCTTCCTTTAGTGCTGTGAAACAAGGACCAAAAGAAATGTTCACAGATTTTATAGCTTGGTTACAGGAGTCTCTTAAAAAGGTGATTGCAGATTTGGCTGCTCAGGATATAGTGTTGCAGTTATTAGCTTTTGACAATGCTAATCCGAGGACCAGGCTGCTCTGTGACCTATTGGAGGGAAAGCACGTTTAGTTGATTATATCAAGCTCTGTGACATTATCAGAGGTAATCTACATAAAGCTACTCTGTTGATGCAAGCCATGGCAAGACTAAAAGGGGGGTAAAAGAAAGCACTCCATTTCCTGGAAACTTGTTTTAACTGTGGAAGCATGATCATACTAAAAAAGAATGTAGAAAAAAATCAGCGAGTCAGGCCACCTGTTGAGGGAAAAAAAGAACTGCTGAGCCTGGAATATGTACAAAATGTAAAAAAGGAAAACATTGGGTTTATCAGTGTCACTCTAAGTTTGATAAAGGTGGGAACCCGATTTTGGGAAACGACATGAGGGGCCCATCCCCGGCTATGTTACAAACCTGGCATTTCTGGCTCAGGCCATTCTCTCACCCCTGTAAAATGCCTGTCCCCTGCCACAGCCATTAGTGTTGTAGTAGACTTAGGCTGCACAAAAGCTGTAAGCCTTCTGCCTAGGGAACCCCACAAAAAATACCAAGAAGAGTCTGTGGACCCTTGCCACTGGGGATGATAGGATTAGTTCTAGGTAGATCTAGTCTAAATTTAAAAGGAGTGCAAGTACATACAGGAGTCATTGATTCAGATTACAATGGGGAAATTCAAAGTGTTATATCTACTTTTGTTTCCTGGAAAACAGAGCCAGGAGAGCATACAGCACAACTACTGATTGTGCCATATGTGGAAATGGGGGAAAGTGAAATTAAATGAGCAGGCGGATTTGGAAGCACAAATAAACAAGGCAAAGCAGTTTTTGGGTGAATCAAATTACTGATAAATGTCCTACCTCTGAAATAACTATTCAAGGAAAGAAATTTAAAGGCTTGGTAGATACAGGAGCAGACATTTCAATCATTTTGCTACAGCACTGGCCGTCTGTGTGGCCAATTCAACCCACTCAATTTTACATAGTTGGAGTTGGTAAAGCCTCTGAGTATATCAACGCATTTATATTTTGCTTTGTGAAGGGCCCAATGGACAACCTGGGACTACTCAACCAATTATAACTTCTGTTATGGGGAAGAGATTTATTACAACAATAGGGAGCAAAAGTTCTAATTCCAGAACAATTTTATAGCCCTCAAAGTCAACATACGGTACATGAAATGGGATATGTCTCTGGTATGGGACTAGGAAAAATTTGCAAGGTTTGAAGGAACCACTTCAAGTGGAAAGACAAAGTTCCCCCCAAGGTTTAGGATATCATTTTTGATTGTGGCAATTGTTAAGCCTCCAGAACCTATACCTTTAAAATTGTTAACAACAGAAAAGCCATTTTGAATAGAACAATGGCCACTGAGTAAAGAGCAACTGGAGTCTTTAGAGGACTTAGTTACTGAACAATTAGAAAAAGGACACATAGCTCCCACATTTTCCCCTTGGAGTTCTCCAGTTTTCGTAATTAAGCAAAAATCAGGTAAATGGAGAACGTTAACTGACTTAAGAGCCATTAATTCAGTTATACAACCTATGGAGACATTACAGCTGGGATTACCTTCTCCTGCTATGATTCTGAAAAATTGGCCTTCAATAGTCATAGATTTAGAAGACTGTTTCTTTGCTAGCTCCTTAGCTGAGCAAGACTGTGAAAGTTTTGCATTTACAATTCCTGCAGTAAACAACCTGAAGTCCGGTAAGAATTTTCACTGGAAAGTGTTGCCACAAGGAATGTTAAACAGTCCAACAATTTGCCAGAAAGATGTAGGGCAAGCAATTGAAACTACTTGTAAAAATTTTTCACAGTGTTACATTATTCATTATATGGACGATATACTTTGTGCTACCCCCACTCCAGAAATAATAATCCAATGTTATGATCACTTACAAAATTCGATTTCTCATGCCAGTTTAATTATAGCTCCTGACAAAATTCAGACTACTAGTCCTTACTCCTACTTAGGGACCTTAGTAAATGACAGTACCATTGTGCCACAAAAAGTAAACATATATAGTGATCAATTGAAAAAGTTAAATGACTTTCAAAAATTACTAGGGGATGTTAA
This sequence comes from Homo sapiens, assembly GCF_000001405.40. Lineage (NCBI taxonomy): Eukaryota > Metazoa > Chordata > Mammalia > Primates > Hominidae > Homo > Homo sapiens. Next base: position 46,281,682 of record NC_000008.11, read on the forward strand.
TCAGATAGGACCTGCTCTAGGCATTCCTACCTATGCCATGAGTAATCTACTTTCTATCCTTAGAGGAGATCCTAGTGTAACTAGACCTTGTCAATTAAAAAAGAAGGCTGAGGCAGAGTTACAGCTAATTGAGAAGCAAGTCCATAAAGCTCAAATAAATAGAATAGTTTCAGAGAAGACTCTAGATTTGCTAATTTTTCCAACTCATCATTCACCTACTGATGTTGTTGTCCAAGAGCAGAACTTAGTAGAATGGCTTTTTCTTCCACATACTAATTCATGGACTCTAACTCCTTACTTGGATCAAATCGCTTCTATGATAGGAAATGGGAAAACTCAGATTGTTAAATTACATGGATATGATCCTGGAAAAATAATTGCCCCTCTAATGAAGGCACAAATATGGCAAACTTTTATAAATAGACTTACTTGGTTAACCCATTCAACTGATTTTGTGGGTATTCTCAATTATCATTTTCCTAAAACTAAACTGTTTCAATTTTTGAAATTAGCTAATTGGATTCTCCCTAAAATAACTAAATTTAAACCAATAGAAAGTGTTAGAAATGTCTTCACAGGTGGGTCTAGTAATGGTAAAGTTTCTTATTCTGGCACGAAAGGTAAAATTTTCACACACCCTATACTTCAGCTCAAAAAGCAGAGCTTGTAGCTGTAATTGAGGTACTGACTGCTTTTGATACTCCTATTAATGTGATTTCTCATTCTTTATATGTGGTTCATTCCACACAATTAATTGAAAATGCTCAGTTACGATTTCATACAGATGAACAACTGATGACTTTATTTCCCCAATTGCAAACAGCAGTTAGGAGTAGAATTCACCCTTTTTACATCACTCATGTTAGGGCTCACATTTGGGCTCATACACCTCTTCCAGGACCTTTAACTAAAGGGAATCAAATGACTGATTGCTTAGTTGCTACTGCAATATATAATGCTAGACACTTTCACAATTCAACCCATGTAAACGCCTCTGGTCTCAAACGCAGGTACAGCCTTACCTGGAAAGAAGCTAAAGCTATTATCCAGTGAGGCCCAACTTGCCAAATGGTGCATTCCTCATCTTTTACAGGAGGAGTTAATCCTCGAGGATTGGAACCTAATTGTCTTTGACAAATGGACGTCACACATATTCCCTCATTTGGAAGACTAGTTTATCTACATGTATGTGAGGACACCTTTTATCATTTTGTCTCAGCTACATGCCAATCAGGAGAGTCTTCTGCCTGTGTTAAACTTCACCTTTTGCAATGTTTTGTGGTGATGGCCATTCGAGCTTCTATTAAAACAGATAATTCCCCAGGCCATACTAGCCAAGCTCTAGCTACATTTTTCTCCATATGGAATATTAAACACATTACTCTTATCCCATATAATTCTCAAGGAGAAGCCATAGAGGAAAGAACAAATCTCTCCCTAAAATGACAATTGCAAAAGCAGAAGGAGGGGAACAGGGACTATGGATCACCCCATATGCAATTGAATCTAGCATTATTGACTTTAAATTTTTTGAGCCTGCCTAAAGGCCAGATGCTATCAGCAGCTGAATAGCATCTACAGAAACCAGCTGCAAAGATGGAAGCAGAACAACTGGTTTGGTGGAGAGATCTGATAACAAAAAGATGGGATATAGGTAAAACAATAACTAGGGGTAGAGATTATGCTTGTGTTTCTACAGGCCAAAACCAGCAGCCAATTTGGATACCATCAAGACACCTGAAGCCTTATCATGAGCCAGATCCCGAGAAAGAGATTCTGGGAGGATCCTGAGGAGTCCCCCATTGCAGTCATGTCGAGACTGACACTGAGGAGGACCCCAACTGTCAAGAGCAACACCCGTCAAACACAGCCACATACCTGGGGACAGATCAAAAATCTGTCATGGGTGGTGGAAGAAAATCTGAGGAAAGCGGAACAACCAGTCACAGTGAGTAATTTAATGATAGCTATGATAGCAGTGATCACCCTTTTCATGAGTATTCCTTCAACAAGGGCTGACACAGAGAACAATTATACTTGTTGGGCATATTTATGAATCTTGGCTGGCAATAATGACTGGATGTAATCAGTGTCTGACAGTTACACAGGCTTTCTGATCTCAGTATTTAACATAATAAATTTGCTACTATAATTAAGGCATAATGCCCTCAGAAACCTATTTGTAAACAGAATTGCACCTGGAAAGAAGTAATGAATGTACTTGTTTAAGAAGATTGCATTGCAGAACATGCAGAGGTGTTGAACAGAGATTCCTATGGAATCATTGATTGGTCCCCTAAGGGGATGTTCATCTGGAATTGCACCTCTCAGTCTGCATGCCATGGCCATATGTTCAGCTTCTCTGAAAAAAATGGTTAGATGGTAGAAATGGTAACAAATATGGCAAGAGTTCCTATTATCTAGAAACATGGCAGTATAGTGGCACCTCAATCTCAAATAATATGGCCTGCTGCAGGAGCTAAACATAAGGATTTGTGGACACTATTCATGGCTCTTAATGAGATCAAAATTTGGAAAAGAATAAAAAAGCATCTAGAAAGACACTCTACAAACTTGTCTTTGGATATTGCAAAATTAAAAGAACAAATATTTAAAGCATCCCAGGCACACCTGACCTTAATGCAAGGAACTGGAGTGCTTGAAGGAGCTGCAGACAAATTAGCAGCTAGTAACCCATTAAAATGGATAAAAACACTGGAAGCTCTGTAATTTCAATGATAATTGTGTTTTTAATCTGTGTTTTTTGTCTTTATATAGTCTGCAGATATGGATCCCAATTCCTGTGAGAAGTAGCTCACCATGATAAGGTCACCTTTGCTTTTATCATCTTGCAAAAACAAAAGGGGGGAACATGTTGCGAACAGGTCCCTAAATCTGGCCATAAACTGGCCCCAAAACTGGCCATAAACAAAACCTCTGCAGCACTGTGACATGTTCATGATGGCCATGATGCCCACGCTGAAGGTTGTTGGTTTATTGGAACGAGGGCAAGGAACACCTGGCCCACCCATGGCGGGCAGAAAACTGCTTAAACACATTCCTAAACCACATACAATAGCATGAGTGTTCTATGCCTTAAGGACATGTTCCTGCTGCAGAAAACTAGCCAAAGCCCATCCATTTGTTTCAGCCCATCCTTTTGTTTCTCCTAAGGAATACTTTTAGTTAATCCATACTCTATAGAAAAAAGCCTTCTTACTAGCTTGTTGTCAATAAATATTTGGGTAAATCTCTGTTTGTGGCTTCCAGCTCCAAAAGCTGTCAGGCCACTGATTTCCCACTCCACACTATATATTTCTGTGTGTGTGTCTTTAATTCTTCTAGCGCCACTGGGTTAGGGTCTCCATGACTGAGCTGGTATCATCAAACCTAACACCTGCTCAGGCCTCGCTGCTTCTCCCTTCTGCCTGCCTTAATGTTCCCTTGAGTTTCTGCCTGCTGGCACAGGCCAGACTGTGGCCCTGCCATTGCCTGTGTAGGCCCCCTTGAGAGACACAGGCAACTTGGGCCACAGTCTGGAGCTCTAGCCACTCCATGGGTGGTACCCCGGAGCCTTTTGCCTATGGAGAGGTCTCCCTGGGTTGACTCTCCACCTGCTCACCTCTGCCTGCCTCAAAGTCCTCCAGCACAGGCCTGCCTGCAGCCCTGCTGCCACCTGTGTGGGCCCACTGCAAGAGACACAGGTGCCCTGGGCCAAAGGCTGGGGCTCTGGCTCCAACCTGGGAGTTGCCCCAGGGGCTTCTGGAAAGGGAGAGGCATCCCTGGGACCACACAGCACCTGCTCAGGCCTCACCACTTCTCCCCTCTGCCTGCCTCAATGTCCCCCTGAGTTTCTGCCCACCTGCAGATGTCTACCTGTGGCCCCACTGCTGTGAGTGGGGTCCCACCTGTGTCTCTACACAGGCACCCTGGGCCAGAGTCTCGAGTTCTAGTCTCCACAGGTGGGGCACCCTGAGGGCTCCTGGGAAGAGAGAGCCCTCCCTGGGAAGTCCCAGCATGCACCTAGTCCTCACTGCTTCTCTCCTCTGCCTGCCTTAATGCCCCATTGATCTTCTGCTCACCCATAGAAGCCCATGTGCAGCCCTGCCACTACCCATGGGAGCCCTCTGCAAGAGACACAGGCATCCTGGACCAAAGCCCAGAGCTCTAGCCCCCAACTGTGGGGCACCTCTGGAGCCTCTGGGAAGGAAGAGGCCTCCCTGGGACAACCCAGCCCCTGCTCAGGCTCCACTCACTGCTTCTCTTTGCTGCCTGTCTCAATGTTCCCCTGAGTTTCTATCCACCCACAAAGGCTAGCATGCATCCCTGCCACTGCCCATGGAGGCCATCTGTGAGAGACATCGGCACCCTTGGCTGAAGCCCATGGCTCTACCCCAATCTTGGGGGCACCCAGGGTGCTTCTGGGAAGAAATAGTCATCCCTGGGAGAACTCAAAACCTGCTCAGGTCATGCCACTTTTCCCCTCTGCCTGAATCAATGTCCCCCTGAGTTCCTGCCCAACTGACAGGCCTTCTGGTGGCCCCAACCACCACCCGTGGGGGCCCTCTGTGAAAAATAAAGGCACCCTGTACAGGAGCCTAGGGCCCTAGCCCCCACCTGGTGGAGGCCTCTGGGGTTTCTGGGAAGAAACAGGCCTCCTTGGGAGGACCCAGCACCCACTCAGGCCTCACCACTTCTCCCCTCTTTCTTTGTCAAAGTTCCCCTTAGTTTCTGTCCGCCCTCACAGACCCACCTGCAGCCCACTGCCAGCCATAGGGGCTCTCTGTGAGAGACACAGGAGCCCAGATCCAGAGCCCAGGCCTCTATCCCCCACCTGGGGAATCCCTGTGGGATTCTGGGAAGGGAGAGACATCCCTGAGACGACCCAGCACCCTCTCAGGCCTCACCACTTCTCCTCTCTGCCTGCCTGAACGTCATTTGGAGTTTCTTTCCACCTGCACTGGCCCACATGTGGCCCCACTGCTGCCCATGGGTGCCCTCTGGGAGAAACACAGTCACCCTGGGCCAGAGCCCAGGGCCCTGCCCACCCTCACAGGCCAGCCTGCAGCCCCGCTGCCACCCGTTGGGGCCCTCCATGAGAGACACAGAAACCTTGTGCCAGAGCCCAGAACCCTAGCCCCCACCTGAAGGGTACATCGGGACTTTTGAAAAGGGTGGGACATCCATAGGATGACCCGGCATCAGCTCATGCCTCATCACTTCTCTGTGCCTGCCTCAATGTCCCTCTGAGGTTTGCACACCTGCTCAGGCTTCATTCCTTCTCCCCTCTGCCTGTCCCAATGTCCCCCTGAGTTTCTGCCTGCCCACTGAGATCCGCCTGCTGCCCCACTGTTGCCCATGTGGGCCCGCTGCAACATACAATGCACCCTGGGCCAAAGCCTGCGTCTCTAGCCCCACCCAGGGGGCGCTGGAGGGCTTCTGGGAAGAGAGAGCCCTCCCTGGGACAACCCAGCACTCAATCAAGGCTTGCCACTTCTCCCCTCTGCCTGCCTCAACTACCCCCTGAGTTTCTGCCAGCCCATGCACGCTTCCCTGTGGGCCAGAGGCCACCTGTAGGAGTCCTCTGTGAGATATACAGGAACCCAGTGTCAAAGAATGAAGCTCTGGTCTCCACCCAGACGGTCCTCCCAGGAGTTTTGGGAAAAGAGAGGCCTCCCTGGGATGACCCAGCTCCTGCTCTGGCCTCATCGCTTCTTCCCTCTGCCTGCCTTAATGTCCTCCTAAGGTTCTGCCCTCCTGCATGGCCCACCAGTGGCCCCATCGCACACATGGGGGCCCTCCATGAGAGAAAAAGGCACCCTGGGCCAGAATCCAGGAGATTCTGGGAAGGGAGAAGCCCAACTGTGATGACCCAACACCTGCTCAGGCGATGCTGATTATCCCCTTTGCCTGCTTCAACATACCCCGAGTTTCTGCCCACATGCACAGGCCTCTTTATGGCCCTGCTGTTGCCTGGGGACCCTCCATGAGAGATGGAAGGGCCTAAAACAGGGGCTCTAGCCACCACCCAAGGGGCTCCCTGGGGCCTTCTGGGAAGGGAGAGGCCTCCTGGGATAACCCAGCACCCGCTCAGACCTTGTCGCTTCTCCCCTCTGCCTGCCTGTTCTGTAAAATGTCCTTTTCTGCTAAATGTCTCTTCACAGATTCCACAAAAATAGTGTTTTCAACCTGCTGAATCAGAAGAAAGGTTTAACTCTAAGAGCTGAATCTACACATCACATAGCAGTTTCACAGATATTTTCTTTCTAGTTTTTATCATGAGATATTCAGTTTTTCATTATAGGTCTCAGTGGGCTCCAAAATGTCCTTTTGCAGATTCTACAAAAAGAGTGTTTCCAACCTGCAGAATCAAAAGAAAGGTTAAACTCTGACGTGAATGCGCACATCACAAAGCAGTTTCAAAGGTAACTTCTTGTTTTTACCACAGGATGATTGGTTTTTCACTGTAAGCCCCAGTGTGCACTGAAATGTCTTTTCACATACTCTACAAATGGAGTGGTTCCAACGTGTTGAATCAAAATAATGGTTTAACTCCATGAGCTAAATCCACACATCATAAAGGGGTTTTACAGTTAGCTTCATTATCATTTTTAACATGGAATATTCAGTTTTTCCCTGTAGGCCTCAGGGGTTTCCACTAGGTCCCTTTGCAGATTCTACAAGAAAAGTTTCCAACCTGCTGAATCAAAAGAAAGGTTTAACTCTGTGAGCTGAATGTACACTTCACAAAGCTGTTTCACAGATAGATTCTTTGTAGTTTTATCATGGGATATTTTGTTTTCCACTATAGGCCTCAGTGTGCTTTGAAATGTCTCCTCACAGTTGTATAAAAAGAGTGTTTCCAACCTGCTGAATCAAAAAAGTTTAACTCTGAGTTGAATCCACACATCACAAAGCAGTTTCACAGAGAGCTTCTTTGTAGTTTTTATCAAGGGATATGCAATTTTTCAGTATAGGACTCAGTGGGCTCCAAAATGTCCCTTTGCAAATTTTACAACCAGAGTGTTTCCAACCTGCTGAATCAAAAGTAAAGTTTAACTCTGTGAGCTAAAAGCACACATCACAAAGCAGCTTCACAGATAGCTTCTTTCTTGTTTTTATTGTGGAATATTCAGTTTTTCACTGTAGGCCTCAATGGGCTTTGAAATTTCTCCTTGCATATTCTGCAAAAAGTCTGTTTCCAACTTGGAGAATCAAAAGAAAGGTATAACTCGGTGAGTTGAACCCACATATCACAAAGCAGTTTCACAGATAGCATCTTTCTCATTTACATTTTGGCATATTCTGTTTTTTAATATAGCCCAAAGTGCACTCCAAAATGTTTCCTTGCAGATTCTACAAAAAGAGTGTCTCCAACCAGCTGCATCAAAAGAAAGGTTTAACTCTGTGAGCTTAATCCACAAATTACAATGCAGTTTCACAGATAACTTCTTTCTAGTTTTTATCACAGGATATTTGGTTTTTCAATTTAGCCCCCAGTGGGCGTGGAAATGTCCCTTCACAAATTTTACGAAAGGAGTTTTTCCAACCTGCCGAATCAAAAGAATTGTTTAACCTGTCAACTGAATGCACATATCACAAAGTGGTTTCACAGATAGTTTTTTCTATATTTTATCACAGGATATTCATTTTTTCCCTATAGGCCTGTGGGCTCCAAAATGACCCTTTGCAACTTCTACAAAAAGTGTGTTTTCAAATCACTGAATCAAAAGAAAGCATTAACACTGTGAGCTGAATCCACACATCACAAAGCAGTTTCACAGATGGCTTCTTTCTAGTTTTTATCACAGGATATTCAGTTTTTCACTATAGGCCTCTGTGGGCTCTGAAATCTTCCATCATAGATTTCTACAAAAGGAGTGCTTCCAACCTGCTGAATCAAAAGAAGGTTTAACTGTGAGCTGAATGCATACATCACAAAACATTTTCACAGACAGTTTCTTTCTAGTTTTTATCATGAGATATTAAATTTTTCACTATAGGCCACAGTGAGCTCTGAAATTTCCCTTCGCAGATTCTACAAAAAGAGTGTTTCCAACCTGCTGAATAAAAAGAAAAGTTTTTTGCTGGGAACTGAATGCAAACATCACAAAGCAGTTTCACAGATATCTTCTTTCTAGTTTTTAATTGCAGGATTTTCAGTTTCTCTCTAGAGGCTTCAGTTCCTTCTGAAATGTCCCTTCACAGATTCTACAAAAGCAGCGTTTCCAACCTGGTGAATCAAAAGAAAGGTTTAACTCTGCAAACTAAATCCACACAGCACAAAGCAGTTTCAAAGATAGCTTGTTTCTAGCTTATAATGCCAGATATTCCATTTTTTACTATAGGCCTCAATGGGCTCCGAAATGTCCCTTTGCAGATTCTACAAAAAGAGCGTTTTCAACCTGCTGATTAAAAAGAGAGGCTTAACTCTGTGAATGGAGTGTGAACATCACACATCAGTTTCATAGGCATCTTCGTTTTAATCATGGGATTTTCAGTATTTTACTCCAGGCCACAGTTTGCTCCAAAATATACCTTTGCAGATTTTATAAAAACAAGTGTTACCTACCTGCTAAATCAAAAGAAAGGTTTAATTCTGTGAGTTGAATCCACACATCACAAGGCAGTTTCACGGGTAAATTCTATCTAGTTTTTGTCACGAGATATTTGGTTTTTCAGCATAGGCCACAGTGGGCTCTGAAATGTTTGTAGATACTACAAAAATTGTGTTTCCAACCTTCTGAATCAAAAGAAAGGTTCAACTCTGTGAGCTGAATTCACACATCTGAAAGCAGTTTCACAGATAGCTTTTTCTAGTTTTTATCCAAGATTTCCAGTTTTTCAATACAGGCCTCAGTGGGCTCTGAAATGTCCCTTTGCAGATTCTACAAAGAGTGTTCACAACATGCTGAATCAAAAGAAAGGTTTAACTCTTTGAGCTGAATCCACACATCACAAAGCAGTTTCACAGATAACTTCTCTCTAGTTTTTATTGTGGGATATTCAGTTATTCACTACAGGCCTCAGTGGGCTCCAAAATATCCCTTCACTTCAATGTCCCCCTGAGTTTCTTCCCAGCTGCACAGGACCACCTGTGGCCCCACCACTGCCTGTGGGGGCCCTCTATGAGAGACTCAGGCACCCTGGGCCAAAGTCTGTGACCCTAGCACCAATCTTGTTGGCTCCCCAGAGGCTTCTGGGAAGGGGGAGTCTTCCCTCTGAGGATATAGCACCAACTCAGGCCTGGCTGCTTCTCCCTTTTGCCTGCCTCAATATCCCCCTGAGTTTCTGCCTCCCCTCACAGGCACATCTGCAGTCCCGTCATTGCTTGTGGAGGCCTTCCAGGAGGGATACAGTCACCCTGGGCTGGAGCCCGTGTCTCTAGACTTGACCTGGAAAGCTACCTGCGGCCTTCTGGGAAGGGAGAGGCCTCCCTGAGACAATCCACCACTTGCTCTGGCCTCATTGCTTCTCCCCTCTGCCCACCTCTTCTGAGTAATGGCCTTTTCTGGGAAATGTTTTTTGCAGATTTGACAAAAATAGGGTTCCAACCTGCTGAATCAAGAAGGTTTAACTCTATGAGCTGAATCCACACATAACAGAACAGTTTCATAAATAACTTCTTTCAAGTTTTTATCACAGAATATCCAGTTTTTCACCATAAGCCTCAGTGGGCTCCAAAATGTGTCTTCGTAGATTCTACAAATGATGTTTCCAAACTGCTGAATCAAAAGAAAGGTTTAACTCTGTGAGCTGAATGCACACATCACAGATAGCTTCTTTGCAGTTTTTATTGCAGGATATTTTGTTTTTCATCATGGGCATCCATGGGCATCAAAATGCACCCTCACAGTTGTACAAAAAGAGTGTTTCCAGCCTGCTGAATAAAAAGAAGGGTTTAACCCTGTGAGCTGAATCAACACATCACAAAGTAGTTTCACAGGTAGCTTCTTTCTAGTTTTTATCGTGAGATACTTGGTTTTCCATGATAGGCTTCAGTGGGCTATGAAACTTTTCTTCACATTTTTTCTACAACAAGAGTGTTTGTAACCTGCTGACTCAAGAGGAAGGTTTAACTCTGTGAGCTCTAAGCACACATCACAAAGCAGTTTAACAGATAGCTTCTTCCTAGTTGTTATTAAGAAATATTTGGTGCTTCACTATAGGACTCAGTGGGTTTGGAAATGTCCTTTGCATATTCTACAGAAAGTGTGTCTTCATCCTAGAGAATCAAAAGAAAAGTAGAACTCTGTGTTTTGAATCCACATATCACAATGCATTTTTCCAGGTAGCTTCTTTCTAGTTTATATTGTGGCATATTCAGTTTTTCAATATTGCCCACATTGGGCTTTGAAATGTCTCTTTGCAGATTCCACAAAAGGAGTGCTTCCAACCTGCTGAATAAAAATAATAGTTTAGCTCTGTGAACTGAATGCACACATCACAAATTCCTTTCACAAATAGTGTCTTTCTGGTTTTTCTCCTGGGATATTCATTTTTTCCCTGTAGGTCTCAGTGGGTTCCAAAATGTCCCTTTGCAGCTTCTACAAAAAGTGTGTTTCCAACCTGCTGAATCAAAGAAAGGTTTACTTCTGTGAACTGAATCCACACATCACAAAGCCGTTTCATAGATAGCATGTTTGTAGTTTTTATCACAGGATATTCAATTTTTCACTATAGGCTTCACTAAGCTCTGAAATGTCCCTTCACAGATTCTACAGAAAGAGTGTTGCCAACCTGCTGAATCAAAAGAAAGGTTTAAGTTTGTAAACTGAATGCCCATATCACAAAGCAGTTTCATGGATAGCTTCTTTTTAGTTTATATCGTGGCATATTTGGTTTTTCAGTATAGGCTTTAGTGGGCTCTGAAGTGTCCCTTCACAGATTTCTACAAAAAGATTATTTCCAACCTGCTGAATAAAAAAAATGTTTAACTATAAACTGAATGGACACATCACAAAGAGGTAACAGAGAGCTTCTTTCTGTTTTTATCATGAGATATTCTGTTTCTCACTATAGGCCTCAGAGAGCACTGAAATGTCCCTTTGCAGATACTACAAAAAGCATGTTTCCAACCTGCTGAATCAAAAGAAAATTTAACTCAGAGAACTGAATGCAAACATCATAAAGCAGTTTCTCAGATAGCTTCTATCTAGTATTCATCGTGATATTTTCAGTTTTTTAATACAGGCCTCAGTTTACTCCAAAATGTCCCTTTGCAGATTCTACAAGAAGAGTGTTGACAACCTGCTGAATCCAAAAAAAAAGTTTTAACTCTGTGAGTTGAATCCACAAGTCACAAAGCAATTTCACAGATAGCTTCTTCCTAGTTTTACTGTGGGATATACCTTTTTCAGTATAGGTCTCAGTGAGCTCTGAAATGTCCCTTCACAGATTCTACAAAAAGCGTGTCTTCAACTTGCTGAATGAAAAAAAAATGGCTTAAATATATGAGCTGAATCCAAATATCACAATCCAGTTTCACAGATAGGTTTTTGGAGTTTTTATCATGAAATATTCAGTTTTTCACTATTGGCCTCAGGGCCTCTGAAATGCCCCTTCACAGATTCAAAAACAAGAAAAGTTCCAGCCTGCTGAATCAAAATAATGGTTTAACTCTGTGAGCTGAAAGCACACATCACAAAGTAGTTTCACAGATAGCTTCTCTTTAGTTTTTATGGTGGGATATTTCATTTTTCACTATAGAACCCAGTGGGCTCTGAAGTGTCCCTTTGCAGTTTCTATGAAAATAGTGTTTCCAACTTGCTGAATCAAAATAAAAATTTAACTCTGTGAACTGACTCCGCAAATCACAAAACAGTTTCACAGATCACTTATTTCTGGTTTCTATCATGGGATATTCAGTTTTACACTATAGGCCTAAGTGGACTCTGAATTGTCTTTTTGCAGATTCTACAAAAACAGTGTTTCCAACTTGCTGAATAAAAAACAAGGTTTAACCTGTGAGGTGAATCCACAAGTCACAAAGCAGTTTCACAGATCACTTATTTCTGGTTTCTATCATGGGATATTTGGTTTTTCACTATAGGCTTAATGGACTCTGAATTCTCTTCTTGCAGATTCTACAAAAAGAGTGTTTCCAGCCTGCTGAATAAAAGACAAGATTGAACTCTGTGAGGTGAATCCATACATCACAAAGCAGTTTCAAAGATGGCTTCTTTCTAGTTTTTATTGTTGAATATTCAGGTTTTCAGTATAGGCCTCAGTAGGCTCTAAAATGTCCCTTCACAGATTCTACAAAAAGAGTGTTTTCCACCTGCTGAATCTAAAGAATGATTAAGCTCTGTAAACTGAATGCAAGCATGACAAAGCCATTTCACAGAGAGCTTCTTTCTAGTTTTTATCTCGGGATTTTTGGTTTTTCACTATAGGCCTCAGTTTACTCAAAACTGTCATTTGCAGATTCTACAGAAAGAGTGTTTCACACTTGCTGAATTAAAAGAAAGGTTTAATCTGTGAGCTGAATCAACTCATCTCAAAGCAATTTCACAGATAGCTTCTTTCTAGTTTTTTGTTTGGCAGAATATTCAGTTTTTCACTATGGTCCTCTGTGGGTTCTGAAATGTCCCATCATGGAGTCTACAAAAAAAGTGTTTCCACCTGCTGAATCAAATGAAAGGTTTATCTCTGTGAGCTGAATGTTCACATCAGAAATCAGTTTTGCAGATAGCTTCTTTGTAGTTTTTATCACGGGATATTTAGTTTTTCACTGTAGGCCTCAATGGGCTATGAAATGTCTTTTCGCATATTCAACAAAAGGAGTGTTTCCAAACTGCTGAATCAAAAGTGAGGTTTAACTCTGTGAGCTGAATCCACGCATCACAAAGCAATTTCAAAGATAGCTTCTTAATAGTTTTTATTGCAGGTATATTTTTTTCACTCTAGACTTCAGTGGGCTCTGAAATGTCCCTTCAGTGATTGTATAAAAAGAGTGCTACCAACCTGCTGAATCAAAAGAAAGGTTTAATTTTGTTAGCTGAATCCACACAAAACAAAGCAATTTCAGAGATAGCATTTTTCTTGTTCTTTCTTTGCAAAATATTCAATTTTTTAGTATAGGCCTCCGTGGGCTCCAAAATGTCCCATTGAAGGTCCTACAAAAAGAGTGTTTCCAACCTGCTGATTCAAAAGAAATGTTTAACTTTGTGAGCTGAGTCGCCACATCACAAAGCAGTTTCACAGTTAGCATTTTTGTAGTTTTATCTAAGGATATTTTTTTTTTCACTGCAGGCCAAAATGGGCTTTGAAATGTCCCTTCTCATATTCTACAAAAAAAAAAAGTCTTTCCAAACTACCGAATTTAAAGAAACGTTTAACTCTCTGAGTTGAACACATACATCACAAAGCAGGTTGACAGATAACTTCTTAATAGTTTTTATCACAGGATATTCGATTTTTCACTATAGGCCTAAGTGGGCTCCAAAATCTTTTATAGCAGATTGTGCAAAAAGAGTGTGTACAACCTGCTAAATAAAAAGAAAGTTTAGCTCTGTGAGCTGAATCCACACATCACAAAACAGGTTGACAGGTAGCTTCTTAATAGTTTTTATTGTGGGATATTCCATTTTTTGCTATAGAACACAGTGGGCTCTGAAATGTCCCTTTGCATATTATATAAAAAAGGGCTTCCAACCTGCTGAATGAAAAGTTTAACTCTGTGAACTTAATCCACTAATCACAAAGCAGTTTCATAGATTGCTTATTTCTGGTTTCTATCATGGGATATTCAGTTTCTCGCTCTAGGTCTCAGTGGACTCTGAAATTTCTTTTTGCAGATTCTTAAAAAAATAGTGTTTCCAACCTGCTGAATAAAAAACAAGGTTTAACTCTGTGAGGTGAATTCACATATCAAAAGCAGTTTTACAGATAACGTCTTTCTGTTTTTATTGTGGGATATTCAGGTTTTCTGTATAGGCCTCGGTGGGCTCTGAAATGTCCTATCACAGATTCTTCAAAAAGAGTGGTTTAACTCTGTAAACTGAATGAAAACACCAAAAAGCAGTTTCACAGAGAGCTTCTTTCTAGGTTTTATCAAGGAATTTTTGTTTTTTTCAGTATAGGCCTCAGTTTGCTTTGAACTGTTGTTTGCAGATACTACTAATACAGTGTTTCCAATGTGCTGAATCAAAGGAAAGATTTAATTCTGTAAGCTGAATCTACACATCTGAAAGCAGTTTCACAGATAGCTTCTTTCTTGTTTTTTGTTTTACAGCATATTCTGTTTTTCACCATACACCTCTGTAGGTTCTGAAATGTCCCATTGCAGATTCTCCATAAAAAGTGTTTCCAACCTGCTGAATCAAAGGACAGGTTTGACTCCATGAGCTGAATGTTCATACCACAAACCAATTTCACAGAGAGTTTCTTTGTAGTTTTTATTGTGGGGTATTTTGTTTTTCACTGTAGGCCTTAATGGGTTATGAAATTTCTCTCTGCATATTCTACAAAAAGAGTGTTTTGAAACTGCTGAATGAAATGGAAGGTTTAACACTGTTAGCTGAATCCATGCCTCACAAAGCAGTTTCACAGATAGATTCTTAATTGTTTTTTATTATGGGAAATTCCATTGTTTACTGTAGGCTTCAACGGGCTCTGAAGCGTCCCTTTGCAGAGTTTACAAAAGAGTGTTTTCAATCTGCTGAATCAAAAGAAAAGTTTATCTCTGTGAGATGAATCCAAACATCACCAAGCAGTTTCACAGATAGCTTCTTTCTAGTTTTTATCTTGTGATATTCAGTTTTTCACTTTTGGCCTTAGCGCAGTCTAAAATGTCCCTTCACAGATTGTAAAAAAATAATATTTCCACTCTGTGAAATCAAAAGAATAGTTTAACATTTGTGCTGAAAGCAGTTTCATAGATAGCTTAATTCTAGTTTTTATTGTGGGATATTCATATTTTTACTATTGGCCTCAGTGTGCTCTGAAATGTACCCTCACAGATTTTACAAAAAGACTGCTTACAATCTGCTGAATCAAAAGAAAGATGTAACTCTGTGAACCAAATGCACACTTCAAAAAGCACTTTCACAAATAGATTTTTTCTAGTATATATCAAGGGACATTTGGTTTTTCACTGTATGTCTCATTTGGATCCAAAATATCCCATCTTCAAATCTGCCAGAAAAGTGTTTCCCACCTCCTGAATTAATAGAAAGGTTTAACTCTGTGAGCTGAATCCACAGATCACAAGGCAGTTTCACAGGGAGCTTCTTTCTAGTTTTTATCACACGATATTCGATGTTTCACTATAGACCTCAGTGGGCTCCGAAATATTCCTTTGCTGATTCTGCAAAAAAGGGTTTTCAACCTGCAGAACCAAAATAAACATTTAACCCTGTTAGCTGAATGCACACATCACAAAGCAGTTTAACAGATAGCTTCTTTCCAGTTTTCATCAAAGAATTTTCAGTTTTTCTCTGTGTGATCCAAAATGTTCCTTTGCAGATCCTACTAAAGGAGTATTTCCAACCTGCAGAATCAGAAAAGAAATTTAATTCTTTAAGATGAATCCAGACAGCACAAGGCAGCTTCATAGATAGCTTCTGGGTAGTTTTTGTCATGGAATATTTAGTTTCTCACTGTAGGCCTATGTGGGCTTTTCAATTCCCTTCACAGATTCTACAAGAATACTGTTTCCAACCTGCTGAATCAAAAGAAAGGTGTAATTCTGTGAGCTGAATCAACAAACCACAAGGCAGTTATACAGATAGCTTCTTTCTAGTTTTTATTACAGGATATTCAGTTTTTCACCATAGGCCTCAATGATCTCCCAAATGTACTTTTGCATATTCTACAAAAAGAGTATTTCCAACCTGCTGAAAGAAATGAAATGTTTAACTCTGTGAGCAGAATGCACACGTCACAAAGCAGTTTAACAGTTAACTTCTTTCTAGTTTTTATCAGGAAATAGTCAGTTTTTCACTTTAAGCCTCAGTTTGCTCTGAAATATCCCTTCACAGATTCTACAAGAAGAGGGTTTTCAACCTGCATAATCAAAGGAAAAGTTTCCTTCTGTGAGCTGAATCCACACATCACAAGGAAGTTTCACAGATAGCTTCTTTCTAATTCTTATTGCAGGATATTTGGTTTTTCACTATTGGCCTCAGTGGGGTCAGAAAAGTCACCTCGCAGATTCTTCAAAGAGAGTGTTTCCTATATGTTGAATCAAAGAAAAATTTAAGTTTGCGAGCTGAATGCACACATCACAAAGCAGTTTCAAAGATAGCTTCTTTCTAGTTTTTATTGTGGGACATTCTGTTTTTCACTATAGGCCTCAGTGGGCTCCAAATGTCCCCTCACAAATTCTACAAAAAGAGTGTTTCCAACCTGCTAAAGCCAGAAAGAGGTTTGACTCTGAACTCAATGCACACATCACATAGCAGTATCACCCATAGCTCCTTTCTAGTTTTGATCAGGAAATATTCACTTGTTTACTATAGGCCTCAGTCGGTTCCTAAATGTCCCCTCCCTTGCAGAGTCTACAAAAAGAGGGTTTCCAACTTGCTGAGTTGAAAGAATGTTTTAACTCTCTGAAATGAATGCATATATCACAAAGCAGTTTCACAGAGAGCTTCTTTGTAGTTTTATAGCTGGATATTGGGTTTTTCATTACAAGCCTCAGGTTGCATTGAAATATCCCTTCACAGATTGTACAAAATGAGTGTTTCCATCCCACTGAATCAAAAGAACAATTTAACTCTGTGAGCTGAAATGGCACATCACATAGCACTTTCACAGATAGCTTGTTTCTAGTTTTTATATATATATTTTTTTACTGTAGGTCTGTGTGCTCTGAAATGTCTCTTTGCAGATCTTACGAAAAGAGTGTTTCTAACCTGCTGAATCAAAAAAAATTATCTCTATAAGCTGAATCTACGCATCAAAAATCAGTTTCACAGATATCTTCTGTGTAGTTTTTATCATAGGATATTTTGTTTTTCACTGTAAGTCTCAGTGGACTCTGAAATGTCCCTTTGCAGATTATACAAAAAGAGTGTTTCCAACCAGCTGAATCAAAAGACAGGTTTAACTCTGCGAGCTGAATCCACACATCACAAAGCAGCTTCACAGATAGATTCTTTCTAGTTTTTAATCACAAAATGTTAGGATTTTCTTTTCCTTTTTTTTTTTTTTTTACTGTCAGCCCCTGTGGGCTTTGAAATTTTTTTTTGCATATCCTACAAAAAGAGTGTTTTCAACCTGCTGAATGAAAGAATGTTTTAACTCTGTGAGCAAAATCCAGACATCACAAAGGAGTTTCACAGATAGCATCTTTCTAGTTTTTATCACGGGATATTCAGTTTTTCACTATAGGTCTCAGTGGGCTGTGAAATGCCTTTTCACAGATTGTACAAAAAGAGGGTTTCCAACCTGCTGAATCAAAAGAAAAGTTTTGCTCTGTGAGCTGAATCCACACATCGCAAAACAGTTTCACAGATTGCTTCTTTCTAGTTTTAATCGGCAGAAATTCAGTTTTTCACCATAGACCTCATTGGGCTCCAAAATGTCTCTTTGTGGATTCTTTAAAAGGAGTGTTTCAAATTTGCTGAATCAAAAGAAAGGTTTAACTCTGTGAGCTGAATCCACACATCACAAAGCAGTTTCACAGATAGCTTCTTTCTAGTTTTTATTGCAGAATATTTGAGTTTTTACTATAGGCCTCAGTGGCCTCGGATATGTCCCCTCGCATTTCCTACAGAAAGAGTGTTTCCAAATGGTGAATCAAAAGAAAGGTTTAGCTCTGTGAGGTGAATGCACATATCACAAAGCTGTGTCACACATAGCTTCTTAGTAGTTTTTATCATGAGATATTTCGTTTTTCACTATAGGCCTCAGTTTGCTCCTAAATATCCCTTCACAGATTTTACAAAATGAGTTTTTCCAACATATGGAATCAAAAGAAAGGTTTAACCCTGTGAGTCGAATCAACACATCACATGGCACTTTCACAGGTAACTTCTTTCTAATTTTTATCACAGAATATTCGGGTTTTCACTATAGGTATCTCTGTACTTTGAAATGTCCCTTCACCTTAGGTTCTTTCTAGTTTTTTTTTTTTTTTTTTTTTTTTAATAACGAAATGTTCAGTTTTTCACTATAGGCCTCATCGGGTTTCAAATGTCATTTTGAAGATCTTACAAAAAGGGTTGTTTCCAACCTGCTGAATTAAAAGAAAGTTTTAACTCTCTGAGGAAAGTCAGACATCACAAAGCAGTTTCACAGAGAGCTTCCTTCTAGTTTTCATCATGGGACATTCAGTTTTTCACTATATGTCTCCATGGACTTGGAAATATCCCTTCACAGATTCTGCAAAAAGAGTGTTTCCAACCTGCTGAATCAAAAGAATGGTTTAATCCTGTGAGCTGAATGCTCACATCCCAAAGAAGTTTCACAGATAGATTTCTTCTAGTTTTTATGGCAAGATATTCAGCTTTTACTATAGGCCTCAGTTTGCTTCAAATATCTTTTTGAAGACTTTACAAAAAGAGTGTTTCCAACACGCTGAATCAAAGGAAAGTTTGAACTCTGTGAGTTGAATGCACACCTTACAATGAAGTTTCACAGATAGCTTCTATCTAGTTTTTACTGAGGAATATTCAGTTTTTCACTACAGTTCTCAGTGTGATCTGAAATGTACCCTTACAGATTCTACAAAAAGAGTGTTTGCAACTTAATGAACCTAAATAAAGGTTTAACTTTGTGAGCTGAATCCACACATCACAAAGGAGTTTCACAGATTTCTTCTTTGTAGATTTTATTGATGGATATTTTGTTTTCCCTATAGGCCTCATTGGCCACCAAAAGTCCCTTCACAGATTCGACAAAAAGAGTGTTTCCAACCTGCTGAATCAAAAGAAAGGTTTAATTCTCTAAGCTTAATCCACACAACACAAAACAGTTTCACAGACAGCTTCCTTTTAGTTTTTATTGTGGATTATTTGGGTTTTCACTATAGGCCTCAGTAAGCTCTGATATGTCCCCTCACAGTTCCTAGAAAAAAAGGGTCTCCAAACTGCTGAATAAAAAGAAAGTTTTAACTCTGTGAGCTGAATCTGCACATCACAAAGCAGTTTCACAGACAGCTTCTTTCTAGTTTTCATCACTGTATATTTGTTTTTTCACTATGGTTTTCAGTGGGCTCCGAAATATCCTCGGGAAGATTCTACAAAAAGAGTGTTCCAAACCTGCTAAATCAAAGGAAAGGTCTAACTCTGTTAACTCAATACACTCATCACATAGCAGTTTCACAGATAGGTTCTTGTAGTTTTTAACATGGGATATTCGGTTTTTTACTATAGGCATCAGTTTGCTCCAAAGTATCCCTTCACAGATTCTACAAAATGAGTGTTTCCAACCTACAGAATCAAAAGAAAGTTTAACTGTGTGAGCTGAATCCACACATTATATAGCACTTTCACAGATAACTTCTTTCTAGTTTTCATTGCAGAACAATCAGTTTTTCATTATAGGTCTCTGTGTGTTCAGTAATATCCCTCCACTGAACCTATTAAAAGAGTGTCTTCAAGCTGTTGAATCAAAAATGTCATTTAAATCGTTGAGCTGAATCCACTCATCACAAAGCAGTTTCACTTATAGCTCCTGTTTATTTTTCATCAAGGCATATTTTGTTTTTCACTGTAGGCTCCAGTGGGCCTCAAATTTCCCTTCACAGATTCTACAAGAAGAGTGTTTCCAATTTGCTGAATAAAATGAAAGGTGTAACTCTGTGAGCTGAATCCACAAACCACAGCACAGTTTCACTGATATCTTCTTTTTAGTTTTTAGCTGGGGATATTTCGTTTTTCATTAGAGGCCTCAATGGGCTCAAAAATGTCCCTTCACAAATTCTACAAAAAGAGTGATTCCAACCTGCTGAATCCAAAGAAAGGTTTAACTCTATGAGTTGAATCAACACATCACAAAGAAGTTTCACAGATAGCTTCTTTCTAGTATTTATTGTAGAATATTCAGTTTTTCACTATAGGCCTCAGTTTCCTTCAAAATGTCTTCTTGCAGATTCCAGAAAAAGAGTGTTCCCAACCTATTGAATCAAAAGAAAGGTTTAACTCTGTGAGCTTAATCCACACTTCACAATGCAGTTTCACAGATAATTTCTTTCTAGTTTTTATCACAGGATCTTCACTTTTTCACTATAGGCCTCAGTTGGCTCTGAAATGTCCCTTCGCAGATTCTATAAAAAGAGATTTTCCATTCTGGTGAATTAACAGGAATGTTTAATGTTTTGAAGTGAATGCATGCATCACAAAGCTGTTTCACAGATGGCTTGTTTGTAGTTTTTATTTTAAGATATTTGGTTTATCACTGTAGGCATCATTTTTCTCTGAAATGACTTTTTCAGGTTGTACAAAAAGAGTGTTCTGAATCAAAAGAAAGTTTTAACTCTGTGAGTTGAATCCACACCTCACAAAGCAGTTTCTACAGAATGTCCCTTCAAAAATTTCACAAAAGATTTATTTCCAGACTGCTGAATAAAAAAAAAAAAAAGTTTTAACACTGTATGTAGAATGCACACATCACAAAGCAGTTTCACAGATAGCTTCTCTCTAGTTTTTATTGGATACAAAAAGAGTGTTTTATTGTGGGATATCTAGTTTTACATTATAGACCTTAGTTGGCTCAGAAATGCCCCCTTACAGATTCTACAAACAGAGTGTTTTCAACCTGTTGAATCAAAAGAAAGGTTCATTTCTGTGATATGAATGTAGGCATCAGAAATTAGTTTCACAGATAGCTTCTTTCTAGTTACTATGGTGGGATATTCAATTTTTAACTGTAGGCCTCAGTGGCTCTGGAATGGCTTTTTGCAGATTCTACAGAAACATTGTTTCCAACGTGATGAATCAAAAGAAAGGTTTAACTCTGTGAGTTGAATCCACACAACACAAAGTAATTTCAAAGATAGCTTCATTCTAGTTTTTATCACTGGATATTCTTTTTTTTCACTATAGGCATAATTGGGCTTTGAAATGTCCTTTGGCAGATTCTACAAAAAGAGTGTTTCCAACCCTTTGAATCAAAAGAAAGATTGATTTCTGTGAACTGAATCCACAAGTCACAAAGCAGTTTCACAAATAGCTTCTTCATAGTTTTTATCATGGGATATTCGGTTTTTCACAGTAGGCCTCAGTGGGCTCCAAAATGTCCCTTATCTGATTCTCCAAAAAAAGTTTTTCAACCTTAGGCATGAATAGAAATCTTTACCTCTATGAGCTGAATCCATACATCACAAAACAACTTCACAGATAGTTTTTTTTTCTAGTTTTGATTGTGAAATATTCAGTTTTTCAGGTTATGCCTCAGTAGATTCCAAAATGTCTATTCACAGATTCTACAACAAAAGTGTTTCCAACCTGCTAAATTAAAAGAAAGGGTTAACTTTGTGAGCTGAATCCACACATCACAAAGCATTTTCACAGATAGTTTATTTCTAGTTTATTTTGTGGGAATTTCTGCTTTTCAAACTAGGTGTCTGTGGGCTTTGAAATGTCCCTTCGCAGATTCTACAAAAAAAGTGTTTCCAACCTGCTTAATCAAGACAAAGGTTTAACTCTGTGAGCTGGATGCACACATCACAATGTGGTTTCAGAAATAGTTTATTTCTAGTTTTTTTAATAACAGGATATTCGGTTTTTCACTATGGGCCTATTCGGCTCTGAAATGTCCCTTCATAGATTATACAAAAAAAAGTGTTTTCAACCTGCTGAAGCAAAAGAAAGGTTTAACTCTGTGAACTAAATGCACACATCACAAAGTGGTTTCACAGTTAGCTTTTTTTGTTTTTGTAGTGGGATATTTTGTTTCTCAGTATGGGCCTCAGTGGGCTCCGATATGTCCCTTCACAGGTTTTACAAAAACAGTGTTTCCAACCTGCTGAATCACAAGAGAGTTTTAACTCTGTGAGTTTAATCCACACATCAGAAAGCAGTTTAACAGATAGTATCTTAGTAATTTTTATTATGGGATATTTTGTTTTTTTATTATAGGCCTCAGAAGGCTCCAAAACTTCCCTTTGCAGATTCTACAAAAAGAGTGTTTCCAAACTGCTGAATCAAATAAAGATTTAACTCTGTGAACTAAATCTACACATCAGAAAGCAGCTTTATGGATAGCTTCTTTCTAGTTTTTATCACAAGATATTTGGTTTTTCTCCATTCACCTCAGGGGGCTTTGAAATGTCCCTTTGCATATTCTACAAAGAGACTGTTTCCAACCTGCTGAATAAAAAAAAAAAAAGTTTAACTCTGTGAGCTGAATGCACACATCACAAAGTAGTTTCACAGACAGCTTCTTTCTAATTTTTATTATGGGATATTCACTTTTTCACTATAGGCGTCAGTGGGCTCCAAAATATCTGTTCCTAGATTCCTCAAAAAGAGCATTTCCAATCTGTTGAATCAAAAGAAAGTTACAATTCTGTGAGCTTGTGAGCTGAGTGCACTCATCACAAAATAGTTTCATAGATAAATTCTTTCTGGTTTTTATTTTGGGATATTCTGTTTCTCACTATAGGCCTCAGAAGGCTCCAAATGTCCCTTCACAGATAATATCAAAAGAGTGTTTCCAACCTACTGGTTGAAAAGAAAGGTAAACTCTGTGAGCTGAATGCAAACATCACAAAACAGTTTAACAGACAGCTTCTTTACAGTTTTTACTGCAGGATTTTCAGTTTTTCACTATAGACCTCAGTGGGCTGCAAAATGTCTTTTCTCAGATTCTCCAAAAGGAGTTTTCCAACCAGATGAATTAATAGAAAGGTTTTACTCTGTGAGCTGAATCCATACATAACAAAACAATTCACAGATAGCTTCTTCATCGTTTTGATCGCAAAATATTTAGTTTTTCATGTAAGGCCTTTGTAGACTCCAAAATGTCCCTGTGCAGATTCTACAAAAACAGTTTCCAAACTGCTAAAGCAAAAGAAACAGTTAACTTTGTGAGCTGAATCCACCCATCACAAATCAGTTTCACAGATAGCTTCTTTCTAGTTTTTATTGCAAAATATTCAATTTTTCACTATACTCTGCAGTGGGCTCTGAAATATTTCTCTACAGATTCTACAAAAAGAGTGTTTCCAACTTGCTGAATCAAAAGAAAGATTTAACTCTGTGAGTGAATGCACACATCACAAAGCAGTTTCACAGACAGCTTCTTTCTAATTTTTACCATGGGATATCCTGTTTTTCACTGTAGACCTCAGTGGGCTCCGAAATGCCCATTTGCAAATTCTACAAAAACAGTGTTTCCAACCTGTTGAATCAAAAGAAAGCTTTAACTTTGTGAGCTGAATGCACACCTCACAAAGCAGTTTCACAGATAGCTTCTTTCTTGTTCTTATCATGAGATATTTTGTTTTCCACTATAGACCTAAGTGACCTCTAAAATGTCTCTTCACAGATTCTACAAAAGAGAATTTCCAACCTGCTGAATCAAAACAAAAATTTATCTCTGTGAGTTGACTGCACACATTGCAAAGCAGCTTCACAGATAGCCTCTTTCTAGTTTTTATCACTGGATGTTCAGTTTTTCACTATAGGCCTCAGTGGGCTCCAAACTATCCCTTTGCAGATTCTACAAAAACAGAGTTTCCACCATGCTGCCTGAAAATAAAGGTTCAATTCTGTGAGCTGAATGCACACATCACAAAGCAGTATAACAGACAGCTTATTTCTAGTTTTTATAGTGAGACATTCTTTTTTTTTTACATAGCCCTCAGTGGGTTCTACAATGTCCCTTTGCAGGTTTTACAAAAGACTGTTTATAACCTGTTGAATCAAAAGAAAGGTTTAACTCTGTGAGCTGAACCCACGCATCAAATAGCTGTATCACAGATAGCTTATTTCTAGTTTTTATTGTAGGATATTCAGTTTTTCACTCTACACATCTGTTGGCTCTGAATTATCCCTTCGCAGATTCTACAGAAAAAGTGTTTCCAACGTGCTGCAACAAAAGAAAGATTTAACTCTTTGTGGTGAATTCACATATCACAAAGCAGTTTGACAGATAACTTCTTTCTAGTTGTTATCATGGGATAATTGGTTTTTCACTGTAGGCCTCCACGGGCTATGAAATGTCCCTTCACAGATTCAACAAAAAGAGTGTTTCCAATCTGCTGAATCAAAAGAAAAGTTTAACTCCCTGGGATGAAAGCACACATCACAAGGCAGTTTCACAGATAGTTTCTAGTTTTTCTTGAGGATATTTGATCTTTTACTATAGCCCTCAGTGAATTCCAAAATGTCTTCTCGCAGACTCTACAAGAAGAGTGTCTCCAAACTCCTGAAACAAAAGAAAGGTTTAACTCTTTGAGATGAATCCACACTTCACAAAGCAGTTTCACAGACAACTTTTTTTCTAGTATATATCATAGGATATTCTGTCTTACACTATAGGCTGCAGTATGCTCCAAAGTGTTTTTTGGCAGTTGCTTCAAAATGAGTGTTTCCAATGTGCTGAATCAAAAGAAAAGTTTAACTCTTTTATCTGAATTCACACACCACAAAGGAGTTTCACAGATAGGATCATTCTAGTTTTTACCACCTGATATTCAGTTTTCCACTATAGACCTCACTAGGCTCAGAAAAGAGACTTCCCATGTTCTACAAAATAGTATTTTCAACCTGCTGAATCAAAATAAAGGTTTAACTCTGTCAGCTTCATCCACACATCACAAAGCAGTTTCACAAATAGCATTTTTCTTGTTTTTATTGCGTGATATTCTGTTTTTTACTCTAGGCCTCAGTGGGCTCTGAAGTATCCCTTGCCATAGTCTGCAAAAAGAGTGTTTCCAAAGTGCTTAATCAAAAGATTTAACTGTTTGAACTGAATCCACATATCACAAAATAGTTGCAAAGACAGTATTTTTCTAGTTTATATTTCTAGTTTTCATTGTGGGATACTTGGTATCTCACTATAGGCTTCATTGGGTTTTGAAATGTCCCTTCGCGGATCTACAAAAAGAGTGTTTCCCACCTCGTGAATTAAAAGAATGGTTTATCTCTATTAGTTAAATCCACACATCACAAAGTAGTTTCACAGATAGCTTCTTTCTTGTTTTTATCACAGGATATTCAGCTTTTCACTGTAGGCCTTTGTGGGCTTTGAAACACCCCTTCGCTGATTCTACAAGATGAGTGTTTCCAACCTGCTGAATCAAAAGAAAGGTTTAACTCTTTGAGATGAATCCACACATCACAAAGTCGTCTCACAGATCATTTCTTTCTAATTTTTATCACGGGAAATTCAGTTTTTCACTGTAGGTTCTAGTGGGTTCCAAATTTTCACCTCATAGTTTCTACAAAAAGAGTGTTTAGAACCTGCTGAATCAAAAAAAAGTTCCACTCCAGGAGCTGAATCCACACATTACAATGCAGTTTCACAGGCCTATAAGGCCCTAGTGGGCTTTGAAATGTCCCTTCACAGATTCTACAAAAGAAGTGTTTCAAACCTTCTGAATTATAAGAAAAGTTTAATGCTGTGAGCTGAATTTACAGATCACAAAGCAGTTTCAGGATATCTTCTTACCAGTTTCTGTTGTGGGATTTTAGGTTTTTCACTATAGGCCTACGTGGGCTTTGAAATGTCCCATTGTAGATTCTAAAAAAACAGTGCTTCCCACCTGCTGAATCAAAAGAAAAGTTTAACTTTGTGAGCTGAGTGCACACATCCCAAAGTATTTTCACAGATAGCTTTTTTCTAATTTTTAACCCCAAATTTTCATTTTTTCACCATAGGCCTCAATGGGTTTGGAATATTTCCTCACAGATTCTAAAAAAAAGAGTGTTTCAAACCTGCTGAATGAAAAGAAAGGTTTAACTCTGACAGGAACCCACACAACACAAAGCAGCTTCACAGATAGCTTCTTTTTAGTTTTTATTGTGGGATTTTCGGGTTTTCACTATAGGCATTGGTTCGCTCTGAATATTCCATCAGATTCTACAAAAAGGGTTTCTCCAACTTGCTGAATCAAAAGAAAGTTTTTACTCTTTGACCTGAATGCACACATCACAAAGCAGTTTCACAGATAAATTCTTTCTAGTTTTTGTCATGGGATATTTGGTTTTTCACTACAGGCCTCAGTGGTTCTGAAATGTCCCTTCGCAGATTCTACAAAAAGCATGTTTCCATTCTTTGGAATCAAAAGAAATGTTTAACTTTGTAAGCCAAATCCACACGTCAAAAAGAAAGCAGTTTCACAGATAGCTTCTTTCTAATTTTTATCATGGGAAATTCAGTTTTTCATTATAAGGTTTAGTGGGCTCGTAGATTTGTACAAAAAAGTGTTACAACCTAATGAAACAAAAAAAAAAAAACAAAAGAAAAGTTAAACTCTGTAAGCTGAATCCATTTGTAACAAAAGAGTTTCAGATAGCTTCTCTCTAGTTTTTATCATGGGGATATATGAGTTTTCACTATAGGCTTCAGTGGGCTCCAAAATATTTCTTCACAGATTCTATAAAAAGATGTTTCCAAATTTCTGCAAAAAAAAAAAGGCTTAAGTCTGAGAACTAAATCTACACATCACAAAGCTGTTTCACTGATAGCTACTGTCTAGTTTTTATTTTGGGATATACGGTTTTTCACTTTAGGGATCAGTGGGCTCCAAAATATTTCTTAGCAGATTCTACAAAAAGAGTGTTTCCAAACTGTTGAATGAAAAGAAAGGTTTAATTTTGTGATCTGAATCCACACATCACAAAGCAGTTTCTCAGATACACCCTCTAGTTTTTATTGTGAGATATTTAGTTCTTCTCTAGAGGTTCCAGTGGGTTTCTAAATATCCCCTCACAGATTCTAAAGAAAGAGTGTTTCCAACCTGTTGAATAAAAAGAAAGTTTTAACTTTGTTAGATGAATCCACACATCACAAAGCATTTTCTGTTTTTCATCAGGGTATATTTGATTTTTCACAAGAGGTCTCAGTGGGCTTTGAAATATCCCTTTGCTAATCCTACAAAAAGAGTGTTTTCAAACTGCTGAATGAAAAGAAAGGTTAAAATCTGTGATCTGAGTCCAAACATCACATCCAGTATCACAGATAGCTTCTTTCAAGTTTTTATCACAGGATATTTGGTTTTTCACTCTACACCTCAGTTGGCTCTGAAGTGTCCCCGTGCAGATAGTACAAAAAGGGTGCTTCCAACATGCAGAGTCAAAATAAAGTTTTAACTTTTTGAGCTGAATCCACACATCACAAAGCAGTTTTCCAGATAGCTTCTTTCTAGTTTTTATCAAGGGATATTCACTTTTAACTATAGGCCTCAGTGGTTCCAAGATGTCCCACTGCTGATTCTACAAAAAGAGTGTTTCTAACCAGCTGAATCAAAAGAGAGGTGTAGCTCTGTGTCCTGAATCCATACATCACAAAAGAGTTTCATACATATCTTATTTTTAGTTTTTATTGTAGGATACTCAGTTTTTCACTATAGCAATCAGTGGGCTCCAAAATGTCCCATCACAGATTGCACAAAAAGAGTGTTTTTATCTTCTGAATCAATAGAAATATTTAACGCTTTGAGCTGAATGCTGACATCACAAAGCAGTTTCACAGACAGCTCTTTACTCCTTTTTATCTCAGTGTGTTTTGTTTTTTAATCTCGGCCACATTGGGCTCTGAAATGTACCTTCACATATTCTGTAAAAAGAGTGTTTCCAACCTACTGAATCAAAGGAAAGGTTTAAATCTTTGAGCTGAATTCACTGATCACAAAGCAGTTTCACAGATAGCTTCTTTCTAATTTTTTATTACAAGATATTCAATTTTTCAGTGCAGGCCTCAATGGGCTCTGAAATGTCCATTCAGAGATTCTACAGAAAGGGTGTTTCTAACTTGTGAAATAAAAAAAAGGTTTAAATTTGTGAGATAAATCCACACATCACAGAACAGATTCACAGATAGATTCTTTCTAGTTTTGATTGGTGATATTCAGTTTTTCACAATAAGCCTCAGTGGGCTTTGAAATGTCCCTTTGCAGATCCTACAATGAGAGTGTTTCTAACCTGCTACAGAAAAGGAAAGATTTAACTCTGAGAACTGAATGCACACATCCCAAGTCAGTTTCACAGATAGCCTCTTTCTAGTTTTTATCATGGGATATTTGATTTTTACTATATGTCTAAGTGGGCTCCAAAATGTTCCCTCACAGATTCTACAAAAAGAGTTTTTCCAACCTGCTTAATCAAAAGAAAGATTTAACTCTGTGAGCTGAATTCACAAATCACAAAGCAGTTTAACAGGTAGCTTCTTTCTAGTTTTTATCATGGGATATTCTGTTTTTCACTATAGGCCTCAGTTTGCTCTGAAAAGTCTCCTTGCAGAGTCTACAAAAAGTTTTTCCAACCTCCTTAATCAAAATAAAGTTTTATCTCTGTGAGCTGAATGCACACATTAAAAAGCAGTTTCACAGATAGCTTCTATCAAGTTTTCACTGTGGTATATTCTCTTTTTCACTGTAGGCGTCAGTGAGCTCTGAAATGTACCTTCACTGAAAATGCAACAAGAGTGTTTCCAAACTGCTGAATCAAAAGGAAGGTTGCACTTAGTTAGCTGAATCCACACATCACAAAACAGTTTCACAGATAGATTTTATCTACTTTATATCACAGTATATTCAGTATTTCAGGATAGGCTTCTGTGTGCTCTGACATGTTCCTTCGTAGATTCCACAAAAGGAGTGTTTTCAACTGCCACAAGAAAAGAAAGGCTTATGGTTTTAGGTCTAACATTTAAGTCTTTAATCCATCTTGAATTAATTTTTGTATAAGGTATAAGGAAGGGATCCAGTTTCAGCTTTCTATGTATGGCTAGCCAGTTTTCCCAGCACCATTTATTAACTAGGGAATCCTTTCCCCATTGCTTGTTTTTCTCAGGTTTGTCAAAGATCAGATGGTTGTAGATACACGGCATTATTTCTGAGGGCTCTGTTCTGTTCCATTGATCTATATCTCTGTTTTGGTACAAGTACCGTGCTGTTTTGGTTACTGTAGCCTTGTAGTATAGTTTGAAGTCAGGTAGCGTGATGCCTCCAGCTTTGTTCTTTTGTCTTAGGATTGAATTGATGATGCGGGCTCTTTTTTGGTTCCATATGAACTTTAAAGTAGTTTTTTCCAATTCTTTGAAGAAAGTCATTGGTAGCTTGATGGGGATGGCACTGAATCTATAAATTACCTTGGACAGTATGGCCATTTTCATGATATTGATTCTTCCTACCCATGAGCATGGAATGTTCTTCCATTTGTTTGTATCCTCTTTTATTTCATTGAGCAGTGGTTTGTAGTTCTCCTTGAAGAGGTCCTTCACATCCCTTGTAAGTTGGATTCCTAGGTATTTTATTCTCTTTGAAGTAACTGTGAATGGGAGTTCACTCATGATTTGGCTCTCTGTTTGTCTGTTATTGGTGTATAAGACTGTTTGTAATTTCTGCACATTGATTTTGTATCCTGAGACTTTGCTGAAGTTACTTAAAACCTAGGCATTACCATTCAGGACATAGGCATGGGCAAGGACTTCATGTCTAAAACACCAAAAGCAATGGCAACAAAAGCCAAAATTGACAAATGGGATCTGATTAAACTAAAGAGCTTCTGCACAGCAAAAGAAACTATCATCAGAGTGAACATGCAACCTACAAAATGGGAGAAAATTTTTGCAACCTATTCATCTGACAGAGGGCCAATATCCAGAATCTACAATGAACTCAAACAAATTTACAAGAAAAAAACTAACAACCCCATCAAAAAATAGGTGAAGTATATGAACAGATACTTCTCAAAAGAAGACATTTATGCAGCCAAAAAACACATGAAAAAATGCTCATCATCACTGGCCATCAGAGGAATGCAAATCTAAACCACAATGAGATATCATCTCACACCAGTTAGAATGGTGGTCATTCAAAAGTCAGGAAACAACAGGTGCTAGAGAGGATGTGGAGAAATAGGAACACTTTTACACTGTTGGTGGGACTGTAAACTAGTTCAACCATTGTGGAAGTTAGTGTGGCGATTCCTCAGGGATCTAGAACTGGAAATACCATTTGACCCAGCCATCCCATTACTGGGTATAAACCCAAAGGACTATAAATCATGCTGCTATAAAGACACATGCACAATTATGTTTACTGTGGCACTATTCACAATAACAAAGACTTGGAACCAACCCAAATGTCCAACAATGATAGACTGGATTAAGAAAATGTGGCACATGTACACCATGGAGTACAATGCAGCCATAAAAAATGATGAGTTCATGTCCTTTGTAGGGACATGGATGAAATTGGAAATCATCATTCTCAGTAAACTATCGCAAGGACAGAAAAACAAGCACCACATGTTCTCATTCATAGGTGGGAACTGAACAATGAGAACACATACACACAGGAAGGGGAACATCACACTCTGGGGACTGTTGTGGGGTGGGGAGAGGGGAGAGGGATAGCATTAGGAGATATACGTAATGCTAAATGACGAGTTAATGGGTGCAGCACACCAGCATTGCACATGTATACATATGTAACTAACCTGCACATTGTGCACATGTACCATAAAACTTAAAGTATAATAATAATAATAAAAGTAAATAAAAAAAGAAAGAAAAAGGCTTAACTCTGATAACTGAATCCACACATCACAAAGCAGTTTCACAGATAACTCCCTTATATTTTTTTATCACGGGACATTTGGTAATTCACTATAGACCTCAGTGGACTCTGAAATGTCCCTTTGCAGATTCTACAAAAGGAGTTTTTCTGAACTGCTGAATGAAAAGGAAGGTTTACCTCTGTGAACCATATCCACACATCACAAAGCAGTTTCATATATAGCTTCTTTCTAGTTTTTATCACAGGATATTCTGTTCTCCAAGAGAGGTCTCATTGGGTTGCTATATGTCCCATTGTAGATTCTACAAAAAAGAGTTTCCAGCCTGCTGAATCAAAAGAAATGTTTTCCTCTGTGAACTGAAGCACATCACAAAGCAGTTTCCCAGATAGATTATTTCTAGTTTTTATCATGGGATATTCGATTTTTCACTGTAAGCCTTCATGTGCTCCGAAACGACTCTTCTCAGTTTCTACAAAAGAGGGTTTCCAACCTGCTGAATCAAAAGAAGTTTAATTCTGTGAGCTGAATCCACGCATCACAAATCAGTTTCACAGGTAGCTTCTTTCATGTTTTTATTGCTGAATATTTGGTTTTTCACTATAGGCCTCAGTGGGCTCCAACATGTCCCTGTGCAGTTTCTACAAAAACATTGTTTCCAACCTACTGAATCAAAGGGAAGGTTTTACTCTTTAAGGTAATCCACACCTCACAAGGCAGTATTGCTCATCATTTTCTTCTAGTTTTTATTGTTAGATATTCGGTTTTTCACTAATAAGTGGGCTCCAAAATGTCCCTTCCCAGATTGTACAAAAAAAGTGTTTCCAACCTGCTGATTCAAAAGAAAAGTTTACCTCCTTGAACTGAATGCACACAACACAAAGCAGTTTCACATATATCTTCTTACTCATTTTTATCATGGGATATTTGATTTTACACTATGGGTCTCAGTGGACTTCAAAATGTCTCTTCACAAATTCTTCAAAAAGAGTGTCTCCAACCAGCTGAAACAAAAGAAAGGTGTAGCTTTGTTAATGGAATTGACATATCACAAAGAAGTTTCACAGATAGTTTCTTTCTAGTTTTTATCTGGGGTTATTTTGTTTTGCATTATGGGGCTCAGTGGGCTCTGAAATATCCCTTGCCATATTCTGCAAAAAGAGTTTCCAACTTGCTGAATCAATAGAAACGTTTACCTTTGTTAATGGAATCGACATATCACAAAGCAGTTTCACAGATAGTTCTTTCTGTTTTTATCATGCATTATTTTGTTTTACATTATAGGCCTCAGTGGGCTCTGAAATATTCCTTGCCATATTCTACAAAAAGAGTTTCCAACTTGCGGAATCAATAGAAACCTTAAAATATGTGAGCTGAATCCAAACATCACAAAGCCGTTTCATAGACAGCATCTTTCTAGTTTTTAATACAGGATAATTGGTTTACCACTATAGGCCTAAGTGGGCTCTGAAATGTCCCGTTGCTGGTTCTACAAAAAAAGTGTTTCCGACTTGCTTAATCAAAAGATTTAAATGTTTGAGCTGAATCCACATATCACAAAGCAGTTTCATGGATAGCTTCTTTCTACTTTTTAGCATGGGATATTCTGTTTTTCACTATAGGAATCAAGGGGCTCCAAAACGTTTCTCATAGATTGTACAAAAAGAGTTTTCCCATCCTGCTGAATCAAAAGAAAGGTTTAACTGTGAGAACTGATTCCCCACATTACATAGAAATTTTAAAGAAAGCTTCTTTCTATTTTTTATCACAGGATATTCAGTTTTTCACCAGAGGTCTCACTGGGCTTCTAAATGTCACATCACAGACTCTACAAAAGGAGTGTTTCCAGCCTGCAGAATCAAAAGAAGTTTTACCTCTGTGAATAGAATCCCACACATCACAAAGCAGTTTCACAGATAGCTTATTTCTAGTTTTTATTGTGGGATATTCAGTTTTCCACTATATGACTCAGTGGCTTCCAAAATGTCTTTTCGCAGGTTCTACAAAAAGAGTGTTTCCAACTTGCTGAACCAAATGATAGTTTTAATTCTGTGTGCCAAATCCATACACCACAAAGCAGTTTTGCACATAGGTTTTTTCTAGATTTTATTGTGGGATATTTGGTTTTTCACTATAGTAATCAGTGGGTTTTGAAATGTCATTGCACAGATTCTACAAAAAGATTGTTTCCAAACTAGTGAATCAAAAGAAAGCTTTTACTCTTTGAGCTAATCCAAACATAGCAAACCATTTTTGCTCATAACTTCTTTCTAGTTTTCCTCATGGGATATTCAGTTTTTCAGTATAGTAATAAATGGCCCCCAAAATGTCCCTTCTCAGTTGTACAAAAAAGAGTGTTTCCATCCTGCTGAATTGAAAGAAAGGCTAAACTCCTTGAACTGAATGCACACATGAAAAAGCAGTTTCACATACATATTCTTACTCGTTTTTATCACAGGATATTTGTTTTTTCACTGTGGGCCTCAGTGAGTTCTGAAACGTCCCTCCACAGATTCTTCAAAAAGAGTGTTTCCAACAAGCTGAAACAAAAAATAGCAGGTTAACTTTGTTAACTGAATGGACAAATCACAGAGCAGTTTCACAGATAGCATATTTCTAGTTTTTATCATGGAATATTCATTTTTTCACTATGGGCCTTAGTGGGCTCTGAAATGTTGCCTCATAAATTCTACAAAAAGAGAGTTTCCATCCTGCTGAATGCAAAGGAAGGTTGAACTCTCTTAGCTTAATCCACACATCACAAAGCAGCTTCAGAGATAGCTTCTTTCCAGTTTTTATCACAGGATATTCAGTTTTTCACTATAGGCTTCAGTGGACTCTGAAATGACTCTTAGCAGATTCTACCGAAAGAGTGTTTCCAAAGTGCTGAATCAAGGGAAAGCTTTAAATATGTGAGCTAAATCACTTGTTACAAAGCAGTTTCACAGATAGCTTTTTTCTTGTTTTCTCTCACGATGTTTGGTTTTACAAAATAGGCATCATTTTGCTTCAAAATGTCCCTTTGCAGATTTTCCAAAAAAAAAATGCTTGCAAACCTGCTGAATCAAAAGAAAAATTTAACTGTGTGAGCTGAATGCACACATTGCAAAGCCGTATCACAGATAGCTTCTTTTTAGTTTTTATTGTGGGATATTCAGTTTCTCACTATAGGCCTCAGTGGGCTTGGAAATGTCCCATGGCAGATTCTACAAAAAGAGTCTTTCCAACCTGTGGAATCAATAGAAATGTTAAAATATGTGATCTGAATCCACACATAACACAGCAGTTTCACAAATAGCATCCTTCTAGTTTTTATTCCAGGATAATTTGTTGATGACTGTAGGCCTAAGTGGGCTCCAAAATGTCCCTTTGCTAATTTTACAAAAAGAGTGTTTCTAACCTGCTGAATCAAAAGAAAGATTTAACTGTGTGAGCTGAATCCACAGATCACAAAGCATTATCATTGATAGCTTCTTTCCAGTTTTCATCATGGGATATTTTGTTTTTCACTTTAGGAATCAATAGGCTCCAAAATGTTTCTTTGTATATGGTACTAAAAGCGTTTTTCCATCCTGCTGAATCAAAAGAAAAACTTAACTCTGAGAAATGATTCCCCGCATTACAAAGGAGTTTCACAGACAGCTTCTTTCTAGTTTTTATCACAGGATATTCAATTTTTCAACAGAGACCTCTTTGAACTCCTAAAAGTCTCATCACAGATTCTACAGAAAGAGAGTTTCTGGCCTCCTGAATCACAAGAAACGTTTACCTCTGTGAACTGAATGCACATGTCACAAAGCAGTTTCACAGATAGGTTATTTCTAGTTCTTATCATGGAATATTTAGTTTTTCACTATAGGCATCAGTGGCCTCCAAAATGTCTTTTCACAGATTCTACAAAAAGACTGCTTACAACCTGCTGAATCAAAAGAAACTTTTAATTCTGTGAGTTAAATCTACACAGCACAAAGCAGTTTCACAGATAGAGTCTTTCTAGTTTTTAGCTCGGGATATTCTGTTTTTC
Source organism: Homo sapiens (assembly GCF_000001405.40). Classification (NCBI taxonomy): domain Eukaryota; kingdom Metazoa; phylum Chordata; class Mammalia; order Primates; family Hominidae; genus Homo; species Homo sapiens. The sequence continues at coordinate 46,316,344 of NC_000008.11, forward strand.
AGTGAAGGCCTCAGAGGGTTCGGAAATGCTCCCTCACAGATTCTACAAAAAGAGTGTTTCCAACCTATTGAATTGAAAGAAAGGTTTTGCTCTTTGAGGTAATCCACACTTCTCAAAGCATTTTTGCTCATATCTTCTTTCTAGTTTTCATCTTGGGATTTTCATTTTTCACTATAGTAATCAGTGGGCTCCAATATGTCCCTTTCCAGATTGTATGAAAAGAGTGTTTTCATCCTCCTGAATCAAAAGAAAGGTTTAATTCCTTGAACTAAATGCACACATCACAAAGCAGTTTCACATATATCTTCTTACTCGTTTTTGTCACTGGATGTTTTATTTTTCACTATGGGTCTCAGTGGACTCTGAAATGCCCCTTTGCAGATTCTTCAAAAAGGGTATTTCCAACCAGCTGAAATGAAAGAAAGGTTTAACTTTGTTAACTGAATGGACACATCACGAAGCAGTTTCACAAATAGCTTCTTTCTAGTTTTTATCATGGGATTTTTGGTTTTTCACTATAAACATCAGTGGACTCGGAAATGTCCCTTGGCAGATTCTACAAAAAAAGTGTTTTCAACCTCCTTAATCAATAGGAATGTTAAAATATATAAGGTGAATTCACACATCACAATGCAGTTTCACAGAGTGCGTCTTTCTAGTTTTTTATTGTGAGATAATCAGTTTATCACTAAAGGCCTCAGTGGGCTCCAAAATGTCTTTTAGCAGATTTTACAGAAAGGGTGTTTCCAACCTGCTGAATCAAAAGTTACTATTAATTCTGTCACAAAGCAGCTTCACAGATGGTTTCCTTCTAGTTTTTATCATGGGATATTCGGATTTTCAATGTAGGTCACAGAGGGCTCAGAAATATCCCTTTGCAGATTCTACAAAAAGAGTGTTTGCAACCTGCTGAATCAAAAGAAATGTCTAGCTCTGTCTGGTGAATCCATACATTACAAAGTAGGCTCATACAAAGCTTTTTTTTTTTTTTTTTTTTTTTTTAGATTTTATCGTGGGATATTTGGTTCTTCAGTATAGAAATCAGTTGGCTCCAAAATGTTTCTAAACAGATTGTAAAAGAAAAGTGTTTCCACGTTGCTGTATCGAGAGAAAGGTTTAAGTGCTTGAGCTGAATGCACACATCACAAAATAGCTTCACATGTAGCTTCTTTTTTTGTTTTCATTGTGGGATACTTAGTTTTTCACTGCAGGCCACAGTGGGCTCTCAAATGTCCCATTGCATGTTCTACAAAAAGAGTGTTGCCAACCTGCTGCATGAAAAGAAAAGTTTAACTCTGAGAACTAAGCTGCATGAAAAGAAAAGTTTAACTCTGAGAACTAATTCCCCACATCAAAAAGCAGTTTCATAGATATCTTATTTATTGTTTTCATCACGTGATATTTTTTTTTTCACTATAGGCCTCAGTTGGCTCCCAATTGTCTCATCACACATTGTACAAAAAGAGTGTTTTCAACCTGCTGCATGAAAAGGAAGCCTTACTTCTGAGAACCAAATCCACACATCACAACCAGTTTCACAGACAGCTTCTTAGTAGTTTTTTCATGGGATATATGGTTTTTTACTATAGGCCTCAGTGGGCTGTGAACTGTTCCTTCTCAGAATCTACAAAAAGAGTGTTTCCAGGCTGCTGAATCAAAAGAAAGTTTTGCCTCCATGAACTGAATGCACACATCACCAAGCAGTTTCACAAATAGGCTCTTTCTAGTTTTTATCATGGGATATTCAGTTTTTCACTATAGGCCTCAGTGGGCTCCAAAATGTCCCTTCACAGATTCTATAAAAAGAGTGTTTTTAACCTGCTGAATCAAAATAAAGGTTTAAGTCTGTGAACTGGATGAACATATAATAAAACAGTTTGACAGATAGCTTCTTTCTAGAATTTGTCATAGGATATTAGGTTTTATGCTATGGGTCACAGTGGGCTCTGAAATATCTATTAGCAGTTCTACAAAAAGTGGGTTTCCAACCTGCTGAATCAAAATAAATGTTTAACTCTGTCAGCTGAATGCAAACATCCCAAGCAGTTTCACAGATAGATTCTTTCTAGTTTTTATTGTGGGATATTTTGTATTTCAATATACGCCTTAGTGGGCTTTGAAATGTCCTTTCCAAGATTCTACAAAAAAAGTGTTTCCAGCCTGCTGAATCAAAAGAAAGTTTTAAATCTGCAGTATGGGTCCACAATCACAAAGCAGTTTCACATAGTTTCTTTTTATTTTTTATCATGAGATATTCAGTTTTTCACTGTAGGTCCAGTGGGCTTTGAACTGTCACTTGGTAGATACTAAATAAAAGAGTATTTCCAACCTGCAGAATCAACGGAAATGTTAAACTCTGTTAGATGAATACATATATCACAAAGCAGTTTCACAGACAGCTTCTTTCTAGTTGTTATCATGGGATATTCTATTTTTCAATATAGGCTTCAGTGGGCTCTGAAATGTCTCTTTGAAGATCCTACAAAAAGGGTGTTTAAACCTGGTGAATCAAAAGAATGTTTTAACTCTGTGAGCTGAATCCACACATCACAAAGCAGTTTCCCAGAGGCCTTCTTTCTAGTTTTTACTGCAAGATATTCAGTGTCTTTACTATAGGCCTCAAAGCACTCTGAAATGTCCCTTTGCAGATTTTACAAAAGAGTGTTTGCAAAAAACTGAATCAAAAATAAAGTTTACCTATCTGTACTGAATGCAAATATCAAAAAGTGGTTTTACAGAGAGTTTCTTTCTAGTTTTCATCACAGGATATTCTCTTTTTCACTACAGGCCTCACTACACTCCAATTTGTTCCTTCACAGATTCTACAAAAAGTGTTTTTCCAACATGCTGAATAAATAGAAAGGTTTAACTTTGTGAGATGAATCCAGACATCACAAAGAAGTTTCACAGAAGCCTATTTCTAGTTTTTATACTGGGATATTTGGTTTTTCACAAGGTCTAAGTACACTCAGAAATGTCCCTTTGCAGATTCTATGAAAGAGTGTGTCCAACCTGCTCAATCAAAACAAAGTTTTAACTCTGTGAGCTGTATCTGCACATCACAAAGAAGTTTCAGAGATAGCTATTTTCTAGTTTTTATCAGAGGTTATTTGATTTTTAACTTTAGGCCTCAAAGCACTCTGAAATATCCCTTCACAGATTCTACAAAAGAGTGTTTCCAAACTGCTGAATCAAAAGAAGTTTAACTCTGTGAGCTGAATCCACAAATCACAAAGCAGGTTCCAAGATAGATTATTTCTAGTTTTTACCATGGGATATTCTGTTTTTCACTATAGGCCTCAAAGCACTCTGAAATGTCCCTTTGCAGATTCTACAAAATGAGTGTTTCCAAACAGCTGAATGAAAAGTAAGTTTTAACTCTCTGAACCGAATGCACATGGCACAAAGCAGTTTCACAGATAGCTTTTTTCTAGTTTTTACCACAAGATATTCAGTTTTTAACTATAGACCTCAAAGTGCTCTGAAATGTCCCTTTGCAGATTCTACAAAAGAGTGTTTATAAACAGCTGAATCAAAAGTAAAGTTTACCTATCTGTACTGAATGCAAACTTTGCAAAGCAGTTTCACAGATAGTTTCTTTCTAGTTTTCTTCACAAAATAGTCTTTTTTTCACTGTAGGCCTCACTGTGCTCCAAAATATTCCTCCACAGTTTCCACAAAAAGAGTGATTCCAACTTTCTGAATAAATAGAAAGGTTCAACTCTGTGAGATGAATCCATAGATCACAAAGCAGTTTCACAGATAGCTTCTTCTTAGTTTTTATTGTGGGATATTCCGTTTCTCACTATTAACCTCAATGTGCTCCAAAATGGCCCATTGCAGATTTTATAAAAACACTGTTGCAAAACTGGTGATTCAAAGGAAAGGTTTAACACTGTGAGCTGAATCCACACATCATGAAGTGGTTTCAGATAGCTTGTTTCTATTTTCTATCAGGGGATATTTGGCTTTTAACTATAGACCTCACTGTGCTTCAAAATGTCCCTTTGCAGATTCTACAAAAAGTGTTTTTCTAAACTCCTGAATCAAAACAAAGCTTTAACTCTGTGAGCTGTATCCACAAATCACAAAGCAGTTTCACAGATAGCTCCTTTCTAGTTTTTATCATGGGATATTCTGTTTTTCACTATAGGCCTCAATGTGCTCTGAAATGTCTATTTGCAGAATCTCCAAAAACAGTGTTCTGAAGCTACTGAATTAAAGTAAGGTTTAACTCTGTGTACTGAATACATACATCACAAAATGATTTCACAGAAGGTTTCTTTCTAGTTTGTATCATAGGATATTCGTTTTTTTACTATAGGTCTCAAAGTGCTCTGAAACGTCCCTTTGCAGATTCAACAAAAGAGGGTTTCCAACTTGCTGAATCAAAAAAAAGTTTAGGGCTGAGTGTGGTGGCTCATGCCTCTAATCCCAGCACTTTGGGAGGCCAATGACTGTGGATCACGAGGTCACGAGATTGAGACCATACTGGCTAACGTGGTGAAACCCCATCTCTACTAAAAAATACAAAAAAAGTAGCCAGGTGTGGTGGCAGGTATCTGTAGTCCCAGCTGCTCAGGAGGCTGAGGCAGGAGAATGGTGTGAACTCAGGAGGAGGAGCTTGCAGTAAGCCAAGATCATGCCACTGCATGCCAACCTGGGCAACAGAGCAAGACTCCATCAAAAAAAAAAACAACTTTCAACTTTGTGACCTGAATCCACACATCACAAGCCATTTCACAGATAGCTTTTTTCTAGTTGTTATGGAGGGATATTCTTTTTTTACTATAGGCCTCACTGAGCTCTGAAATGTCCCTTTACAGATTATATTAAAAAAAGTGTTTCCAAACTCCTGAATCAAAAGAAAGACTTAACTCTGTGAGTGGAATACACACATCAAAAAGAGTTTCACAGATAGCTTGTTTCTAGTTTTCATCATGGAATATTCAGATTCTCACTACAGGCCTCACTGTGCTCTGAAATGTCCCTACACAGATTCTACAAAAAGAGTGTTCCCAACTGCTGAATCATAAGAAAAGTTTAACTCTGTGAGCTGAATCCAAACAACATGAAGCAGTTTCACAGATAACTTCTTTCTAGTTTTTAAGGCAGGATATTTGTTTTTTTTACTATAGGCCTCAGTGCCTTCTGAAAAGTCCCTACACAGATTCTCCAAAAATGTGTTTCCAAACTGCTGAATCAAAAGTGAGGTTTACCTCTCTGAGATGAATGCACACATCACAAAGTAGTTTCACAATTAGCTTTTTTCTAGTTTTTATCACAGGATATTTGATTTTTCACTCTAGATCTCACAGCATTCCAAAGTGTCCCTTTGAAGGTTCTCCAAAAAGATTGATTCCAAACTGCTGAATCAAGAGAAATCTTGAACTCTGTGAGTTGAATATACACATCCTAGAGTAGTTTCATGGATAGCTTCTTTCTAGTTTTTACCACATGATATTCGGCTTTTTACTATAGGTCTCAAAGCACTCTGAAATGTCCCTATGTATATTCTACAAAAAGAGTGTTTCCAAACAGCTGAATCATAATAAGGTTTAATTCTCTGAACTGAATGCACACGTCACAAAGCAGTTTCACAAATAGCTTCTTTCTAGTTTTTATCATGCGATATTAAGTTTTTCACTATAGGTGTCATTGAGCTCTGAAATGCCCCTTGTAGAAACTACAAAAAGAGGGTTTCCAAACTGCTGAATCAAAAAGTAAAGGTTTAACTCTGTGGGGCTGAATCCACACATCACAAAGCAGTTTCCAAGATAGCTTCTTTCTAGTTTTTACAAGGAGACATTCAGTTTTATACTATAAGTCTCAAAGCGCTCTGAAATGTACCTTCGCAGATTCTACAAAAAGAGTGTTTCCAAACAGCTGAATCAAAAGTAAGATTTAACTCTCTGAACTGAATGCACACATTGCAAAGCAGTTTCACAGATAGCTTCATTCTAGTTTTTACTACGTGATATTCGGTTTTTCACTGTAGGCCTCAAAGGACTTTGTAATCCCCCTTTGTAAGTTCTACTAAAATTCTGTTTCCAAACGGTGGAATCAAAAGAAAGATTAAACTCTATGAGTTGAATCCACATATTATAAAGCAGTTTCACAGATATCTTCTTTCTAGTAGCTTTTGCTGGATATCGTTTTTTGGTTTAGGCCTCAGTGGGCTCTGAATAGTCCCTTTGCAGATTATACAAAGTGAGTGTTTTCAACCTGGTGAATTAAAATATAAATTTACCTCTGTGAACTGAATGTACACATTACAAACCAGTTTAACAGATAGCATCTTTTTAATTTTTATTGCCAGATATTTGATTTTTCACTATAGGCCTCAGTGAGTTCTGAAATGTCCCTTTGTGGATTCTACAAAAAGAGTGTTTCCTACCTCCTGAATCAAGAGAAACCTTTAACTCTGAGCTGAATACACACATCAAAAAGCAGTTTCACAGAAAGCTTCTTTCTAGTTTTTATCACAGGATAGTCTGTATTTCACTACAGGCCTCACTGCACTTTGAAATGTCCCTTCACAGATTCTACAAAGAATGTGTTTTCAACCTGCAGAATCAAAACATAGGCTTATCTCTGTAAGCTGAATGTACACATCACAAAGCAGTTTTACAGATAGCTTCTTTGTAGTTTTTAATCGTGGGATATTCATTTTTTCACTATGGAGACCCCAGTGTACTCTGGAATGTTCCTTTACAGACTTTACAAAAAGAGTGTTTCCAAACATCTTAATAAAACCTACGTTTTAACTCTGTGAACTGAATGTACACATCACAAAGCAGTTTCCCAGAGAGCCTCTTTCTAGTTTTTAACATGGGATATACAATTTTTTCCTATATGCCTCAAAGCACTCCAAAATGTCCCCTTGCAGATTCTACAAAAAGAGTGTTTCTCAACAGGTGAAATAATGTAAGGTTTAACTCTGTGAGCTGAATCCACAGATCAGTAAGCAGTTTCACTCATACCTTCTCTCTAGTTTTTATCATGGGACATTCTGTTTTTACACTATAAGCTTCACAGCATTTCAAAATGTCTATTGGCAGATTCTACAAAAAAAGTTTCTAACCTGCTTAATCAAAAGAAAGATTTGACTCTGTGAAGCTGAATCTATACATCACAAAGCAGTGTCACAGACAGCTTCTTTCTAGTTTTCATCATAGCATATTCGGTTTGTCATTATATGCCTCAAAATGCTCCAAAATTCCCCTTCAATGATTCTACAAAAAGAATGTTTCCAAACTGCTGAATCAAAACTATGGTTTAGCTCTCTGAGCTGAATCCATGTATCACAAAGCAGTTTCAAAAATAGCTCCTCTCTAGTTTTTATCGCAGGATATTTTGTTCTTCACTATAGGCCTCAGTGCACTCCAAAACGTCCCTTCACAGATTCTACAAGAGTTTTTACAACCAGTTGTATCCAAACAAAGGTTTAACTCTGTGAGCTGAATCCACTCATTGCAAAGCAGTTTCACAGACAGCTTCTGTCTAGTGTTTATCTCGGGATATTCAACTTTTCACCATAGGCCTCATTACACTCTGAAGTGTCCCTTTGCAGATCTACAAAGGAGTGTTTTCAAACTACTGAATAAAAAAAAAAAAGTTTAACTCTGTGAGCTGAATCTATACATCACAAAGCAGGTGTCCAGATAGCTTCTTACTAGTTTTTACCACAGGATATTCAGTTTTTCACTATAGACCTCACTGCGTTCCAAAACATCTCTTCAGAGATTCTACAAAAATAATGTTTCCAAACTGCTGAATTAAAAGAAATGTTTAACTCTGTGAGCTGAATCAACACATCACAAGCAGTTTTTCAGATGGCTTCTTTCTAGTTTTTACCAGAGGATGTTCTGTTTTTTACTGTAGGCTTCAAAGTGCTCTGAAATGTCCCTTTGCAGATACTGAAAAAAAGAGTGTTTCCAAACAGCTGAATCAAAAGTAAAGTTTAACTCTGTGTGCTGAATGCACACATCACAAATCAGTCTCATAGATAGCTTCTTTCTAGTTTTTATCATAGGATATTCAGTTTTTCACTATGGGCCCCCACAGGCTCTGAAATGTCACTTTGCACATACTAAAAAAAGAGTGTTTCCAACCTGCTTAATCAATAGAAACATTAAAGTCTTTTAGCTGAATCCTCACATCACAAAGCAGTTCACAGATGGCTTTCTCCTTTTTATTGCAGAATATTTGATTTTTTACTATAGCCCTCAGTGGCTGCCAAAATGTCTTTCACAGATTCTACAAAAAATGTTCTACCAACCTACTGAATTAATACAAAGTTTTAACTCTGTGAGCTGAATGCAAACATCACAAAGAAGTTTCTCAGACAGATTCTTTGTAGTTTTTATCAAGGAATGTCTGGTTTTATACCAAGGCCCCAGTGTGCCCTGAAATTTCTCTTTGCAGATTCTACAAAAAGAGGGTTTCCAGCCTGTTGAATCAAAAAAAAAAATTGAACTTTGTGAGCTGAATGCGAATATCACAAATATTTTAACAGATAGCTGCTTTATAGTTTTTATTGTGAGATATTTTATTTTTTACTATATGCCTCAGTGGGCTCTGAAATGTCCCTTCACAGATTCTACAAAAAGAGTGTTTCCAACCTGCTGAATCAAAGGAAAGGCTTATTTCTGTGGGCTGAATGCAAACATCACAAAAGTTTCACAGATACCTTCTTTCTACTTTTTATCTTGGGGTATTTGATTCATCACTATGGGCCCAAGTGGGCTCCTAAAAGTCTCTTCACAGATTCTACAAAAAGAATGTTTCTAATCTACTGATTTTAAAGAAAGGTTTACCTCTGTGAATGGAATCCACATATCACAAAGCAGTTTCTCAGACAACTTCTTTGTTGTGTTACTGTGGGATAGTCTGTTTTACACTATAGGCCTCAGTGGGCTTTGAAACGTCCCTTCGCAGATTCTATAAAAAGAGTGTTTCCAACTTGTTGAATCAAAATAAAGGTTTAACTCTGTGAGCTGAATTAACACAACACAAAGGAGTTTCACAGTTAGCTTCTTTCTAGTTTTTATCATGGGATATTTGAATTTTCACCATAGGCCTCAGTGGGCTCCAAAATGTTCCTCTGTATATTCTACAAAAATAGTGTTTCCAACCTGCTGAATCAAAGGAAAAGTTTACCTCTGTGAGCTGAATGCAAAGATCACAAAGCAATTTCAAAGATAGCTCTTTCTAGGTTTTATTCCAGGATATTCGGTTTTTCACTTTAGACCTCAGTGGGATTTGAAATATCCCTTCACTAATCCTACAGAAAGAGTGTTTCAGATCTTCTGAATTAAAAGAAAGCTTTAACTCTGAGAGCTGAATGCTCACATCACAAAGCATTTTCACAGATAACTTTTTTTTAGTTTTCATCACTGGTTGTTTTGTTTCTCACTGTGGGCCTCAGTGGGCTCTTGCATGTTCCTTCACAGATTCTACAAAAAGAGTGTTTCCTGCTGGGAGTGGTGGCTCACACCTGTAATCCCAGCACTTTGGGAGGGCAAGGCAAGCAGATCACAACGTCAGGAGATTGAGAGCATCCTGGCTAACACAGTGAAACTCCGTCTCCACTAAAAATACAAAAGAAATTAACCAGGCATGGTGGTGGGTGCTTGTTGTCCCAGCTACTTGGGAGACTGAGGTGGAAGAATGGCTTGAACCCAGGAAGTGGAGCTTGCAGTGAACCAAGATTGCACCACTGCACTCCAGCCTGGGCGACAGAGCGGGACTCCATCTAAAAAAAAAAAAAAAAGAGTGTTTCCAACATTGGTTCCTGGGATGTGAGAAGCCTCCCTGGGAAGAAGTGGCACCCGTTCAACTCTTACCACTTTTCTTCTCTGAGTGCCTCAATGACCCCCTGAGTTTCTGTCAGCCTGAATAGGTCTGCCTGCCACCCAGGCGCCACCCATGGGTGCCCTCCATGAGAGACACATGCACCATGGGTTGCAGCCTGGAGTTCTAGCCCCCCACCTGAAAGGCACACCAGGGATTTCTGGGAAGGGAGAGGCCTCCATGGGAAGACCCAGCACCTGCCCCAGCCCATATGTTCTCTTGTCAAAAAGCACACACACCCTGGGCAGGAGCCCAGGGCTCTAGCCCCAACACAGGAAGCTCCCCAGGTCTTCCTGGAAGGGTGAGGCCTCCCTGGGAAAATGCAGAACCTGCTCAGGCCACATCGCTTCTCTCTGCCTGCCTGAATGTCCCCCTGAGTTTTGCCCACTCGCACAAGCCTGGCTGCGTCCTCATTGCCACAGCTTGGGGCCTCTGGGAGAGACACAGATGCCTTGGGGCCAAGCCTGGCCTCCAGCCCCCACCTGGGGGTTGCCTTGGGGGCTTCTTTTAAGAGAGAGTCCTCCCTAGGAGGACCCAGCACACGCTCAGGCCTTGCCACTTCATGCCTTTGCCTGGCTTAATGTCCCCCTGAGTTTCTGTTGGACCACACAGGCCTGCTTTTGGAAATGCTGCTGCCCATGGGGGTCCTTCACGAGAGAAACAGCCATCCTGGGCCAGACCCTGGGTCTCTAGCCCCCACCTGGGGACCCGTTGAGGGCTTCTGGGATGGAAGAGTCCTCCCTGGGTGGACCCAGGACCCACTCAGACCTCGCTTCTCCTCTTTGTCTGCCTCAAGGACACCTGAGTTTCTGCCGTCTCACAAAGGCCTGCCTGTGGCCCAACCGCCAACCCTGGGGGTCTTCTGCCAAAGCCACAGGCCAAGGCCTGAGCCCCGGCTCTAGCCCTGACCCAGGGGGTGCCCTGCAGGCTTCTGGGAAGGGAGAGGCCTCCCTGTGAGGACCCAGCACCCACACAAGAATCTCCGATTCTCCCCTCTGCCTGCCTCAATGTCCCCCAGAGTTTCTGCCTGCCAGCACAGGCCCACCTGCAGCCCCACCACCACCCATGGAGATCCTCCATGAAAGACTCAGTCACCCTGAGCCAGAGCATAAAGCTCTAGCCTCCGGGGGAAACCCCTGGGGCTTCTGGGAAAAGTGAGTGAGGCCTCCCTGTGTGGACCCAGCACCCACTCGGGCCTCGTGGCTTCTTCCCTTTGCCTGCCACAACATCCCCCTGAGCTTCTGCTCAACTGCACAGGCCGGCCTGTGGACCCGCTGCTAGACTTTGGGGCCTCCCCGAGAGAAACAGTCACCCTGGGCAAGAGCCTGGCCTCTAGCCCCACCTTGGTGGCTCCCTGGAGGCTTCTGTAAAGGAATAGGCCTACCCAGGAGGAGCCAGCACTGGCTCAGGCCTTGCTGCTTCATTTCTCTGCCTGCCTCACAATCCGCCTGAGTTTCTTCTGGTTCGCACAAGCCTGCCTGTAGACCGCTGCTCCCCATTGGAGCCCTCTGTGAGAGACACAGGCACCCTAGGCCAGAGCCCCAGGCTCTAGTCTCCACCTGGGCAGGCACCACGGAGGCTTCTCAGAAGGGAGAGGCCTCCTAGCGAGGACCCAGCACCCGCTCAGGCCTTGCCATTTCTCCCTTCTGCCTGCCTCTACATCTCCCTGAGTTTCTGCCAGCCAACACAGGCCTGCTTTCGGAACTGAGCCACCAATGGGGGCCCTCTGCAAGAGACAAAGCCACCCTGAGTGGAAGCCCGAGTCTCTAGTCTCCACCCACGGGGCACCTTGGGTGCTTCTGGGAAGGGAGAGGCCTCCCTGAGGGGACCCAGCACCTCCTCTGGCCTCGCTGCTTCTCTTCTCTGCCTGCCTCAAGGACCCCGGAGCTGCTTCCTTCCCACAGAGGCCTGCCTGTGGCCCCACCACCGCCTGTGAAGGCCCTCTGCCAAAGCCACAGGCAGAGGCCTGAGCTGGTCTCTAGCCCCCACCAGGCGGGTGCCCCGTGGGCTTCTGGAAAGGAAGAGGCCTCCCTGGGAGGACCCAGCACCCACACAGGAATTGCGAATTCTTCCCACTGCCTGCCTCAATGTCCTCCTGAATTTCTTCCTGCCTGCACAGGCCCACCTGCAGCCCCACTGCCACCCAAGGGGGCCCTCTGCAAAAGACACAGTCACCCTGGTCCAGAGCATACAGCTCTAGCCCTGACCCAGGGAACGCCCCTGAAACTTCCAGGAAAAGAGAGGCCTCCCTGGGTGGATGCAGCACCTGCTCAGACTTTGCTGTTTCTTCCTTTTGCCTCCCTCAATGTCCTCTGTTTCTGACAGCCAGCATGGGCCCGTCTACGGCCCCACCACCACCCATGGGGCCCTCTGCGACAGACACAGACACCCTGGGCCAGAGCCCAAGGCTCTAGCCCCCACCCTGGGGCTGCCCAGGGACTTCTGGGAAGGGAGAGACCTCACTGGGAAGAACCAGCACCCGCTCAGGCTTCGGTGCTTCTCCCCTCTGCCAGCCTCAATGTCTCACTGAGTTTCTGCTGGCCCACATGGTCCCAAGTGATGCCCTGCCACTGCCCTTGGGGGCCCTCCGTGAGAGACAAAGACACCCTGGTCCAGAGCCCGGAGCTCTAACCCACAGTTGGGGCACACTGGGGGCTTCTGGGAATGGAGAGGCATCCTGGGATGACCCAGCACTGGCTCAGGCATCACCTCTTCTCCCCTCTGCCTGCCTCAACATACCCCTGAGTTTCTCCCCACCCATACAGGCCACACTGCGGCCACACTGTCACCCGTGGGGGCCCTCTGCGAGAGACAGAATCACCCTGGGTAGGAATTCAGGGCTCTAGCCCCTACCTGGGGGGCGCCTCAGGTGCTTCTGGGAACCGACAGGCCTCCCTGGGGGCATCCAGTTTCCACTCAGGCCTGGCTTCTTCTCCCCTCTGCCTGCCTCCACATCTCATTGAATTTCTGCCCACCCACACAGGCCACCCCTGCGTCCCTGCCACCACCTGTGTAGGCCCTTGGAGAGAAACAAATACACCCTGGGGCAGACCCCAGGGCTCTAGCTGCCAGCCGGGGGGAACCCCTTGGCTATCTGGGAAGGGAGAGGCATCCCTGATGGGACCCAGAACCTGAACAGGCCTTGCCAATTCTCCCCTCTGCCTGCCTCAACATCCTCCAGAGTTTCTGCCTGCCCGCACAGGCATGGCTGCAGCCCCACCACAACCCATGCGGGCCCTCTGTGAAAAACAAAGTCACCCTCAGCAGGAACCTGGGGCTCTAGCCCTTACCCTGGGGGTGCCTGGGGGCTTTGGGGAAGGGAGAGGCCTCCCTGGGAGACACTAGCACCCACTCAGGCTTCACTGCCTCTACCCTCTGCCTTCCTCATTATTTCCCTGAGTTTCTACCTGCCCACACAGCCCCGTTTGTGGCCCCACCATGGCCCGTGGGGGCCCTGTGTGAGAGACTCATTCACCCTGGGCCAGAGCCCGGGGCTTTAGCCCCCAAGTGGATGGCGCCCCGGCAGCTTCTGGGAAGGGAGAGGCAACCCTAGGAAGACCCAACACCCGCTCAGGCCTTGGTACTTCTCACCCCTGTCTGCCTCAAAGGCCCCTGAGTTTCTGCCATCCCGCATAGGCATGTCTGTGGCCCCACCACCGCCCATGGGGGCCCTCCCCCAAACAGTCACCCTGGGCCAGATCCCAGGCTGTAGATCCAACCCAGGATGTGCTCCACGGGATTCTGGGAAGGGACAGTCCTCCCTGGGAGGACCCAGCAACCACTCAGTCCTTGCTGCTTCTCCCCTCTGCCTGCCTCAACATCCACCTGAATTTCTGCTAGCCCGCCCAGGCCTGTGTGCTGCCCTGCTGCCACCCATGGGGTCTCTCCGCTAGAGACACAGGCACCCTGGGCTGTAGTCTATGGCCCTAGCGCTTGCACCCGGGGTGCCCCCAGGGTCTCCCGGGAAGAAAGAGGCCTCCCTGGGAAGACCCAGCACCCACTCAGGCCTCACAGCTTCTCCCTTCTGCCACCTCAATGCCCTCTTAATTTTCTGCCTGCCCACACAGGCCCACCTGCAGCCTTGCCGCTGCCCTTGGTGTCCTGCTTCGAGAGAAACAGGCATCCGGGGATGGAACCCAAGGCTCTAGCCCCCATGATGGGGGGGCCCTGGGGTCTTCTTGGAAGGGAGAAGCCTCCCTGGGAGGAAACATCACCCGCTCAGACCTTGCCGCTTCTCCACTCTGCCTGCCTCAGCATCACGCTGAGTTTCTGCCCAACCGCACAGGCCTGCCTGCAGCCCAGATGCCACCCATGGGGGCCCTCTGTGAGAGCCCCAGGCACCCTGAATTGAAGTTCAGGGCTCTAGCTCCAACCCGAAGGGTCACCCCAGGGACTTCTTGGAAGGGAGAGGCATCCGTGAATAAACACACCAGCCGCACAGGCCTCGCCACTTCTCCCCTTTGCCTGATTCAAAGTACCCCTGAGTTTCTGCCTACCTGCAAGCCGGGTTGCGGTACCACTGACACCCGTGGAAGGCCTCTGCAAGAGACACAGGCACCCTGGGCTGAAACCCGGATCTCTAGTCCCAAACTGTGGGTTGCCACTGAGGCTTCTGAAAAGGGAGAGACCTCACTGGAAAGTCGAACACTCACTGAGGCCTCACCGCTCCTCCCCATTACCTGCCTCAAAGTCCCCCTGAGTTTCTGCCTGACTGCACAGGCCAGACTGTGGTCTAGCCACTGAGCAGGGGGCCCTCAGCGAGAGACACAAGCAACCTAGGCCGGATCCCAGGGCTTTGGAATAAGGTGCCTGTGTCTCCCGCGGAAGGCCCACACAAGCAAAAACGAGGCTTGTGTTTGGTGGCCATGGGTGGGCCGCCGTGACTCAGGGGATGTCGACACAGGAAATGGGAGAAGTGGCAAGACCACAGGAAATGCTGGGAGCCTCCCAAGGAGGCCTCTCCCATTGCAGAAGCCCCCATGGCTGTCCTGGGCCGGCTGTAAAGTCCCAGGCTTTAGGGCAGGGTGCCTGTGGCTCTCGAGGAAGGCTGACACAAGCGAAAACTGGGCAGCAGGATCGGTTGGATGGGTCATAGAAATTCAGGGAGATGTTGAGGCAGGCAGAGGGGAGAAGGGGCAAGACCTCAGGGAATGCTGGGAGCCTCCCAATAAAGGCCTGTCACATCCCAGAAAACCACAGGGTTGTCTGGTGCAGGCTGCAAAACCCAGGCTTTGGAGCAGGGTGCCTACGTCTCTGGTGCAAAGCCCCCAAAAGTGAAAACGGGTACACAGGGTGGTGTGGGCAGGCTGCAGGGACTCAGGGAAATGTTGAGGTAGGCAGAGGCAAGAAGTGGCTGAGGGGGAGAGCGTGCTGGCAGTCTTTACAGCCCTCGCTCACTCTCAGCACCTCCTCTGCCTGGGTTCTCACTTTGGTGGCACTTGAGGAGCTCTTCAGCCCACTGCTGCACTGTGGGAGCCCCTTTCTGGGCTGGCCAAGGCCAGAGCCAGCTCCCTCAGCTTGCAGGGAAGTGTGGAGGGAGAGGCGCGGGTGGGAACCAGGGCTGTGTGAGGCCTTTGTCGGCCAGCGCGAGTTTTGGGTGGGCGTGGGCTCAGTGGGCCCTGCACTCAGAGCCGCCAGCTGACCCACCAGCCCCGGGCAGTGAGGGGCTTAGCACCTGGGCCAGCAGCTGCTGTGCTCAAT
This sequence comes from Homo sapiens, assembly GCF_000001405.40. NCBI lineage: Eukaryota > Metazoa > Chordata > Mammalia > Primates > Hominidae > Homo > Homo sapiens. The sequence goes on from NC_000008.11 coordinate 46,331,899, forward strand.
TTCTCACTGGGCCTTAGCTGCCTTCCCATGGGGCAGGGCTCGGGACATGCAGCCTGCCATGCCTGAGCCTCCCCCTCACTCCGTGGGCTCCTGTGAGGCCCGGGCACCCCTGACGAGCACCGCCCCCTGTTCCATGGTGCCCAGTCCCATCGACCACCCAAGGGCTGAGGAGTGCAGGTGCAGGGTGCAGGACTGGCAGGCAGCTCCACCTGCAGCTCTGGTGTGGGATCAACTGGGTGAAGCCAGCTGGACTCCTGAGTTTAGTGGGGACTTGGAGAACCTTTATGTCTAGCTGAGGGATTGTAAATACACCAATCAGCACCCTGTGTCTAGCTCAGTGTTTGTGAATGCACCAATTGGCACTCTGTATCTAGCTACTCTGGTGGGGACTTGGAGAACCTTTATGTCTAGCTAAGGGATTGTAAATACACCAATTGGCACTCTGTATCTAGCTCAAGGTTTGCAAACACACCAATCAGCACCTTGTGTCTAGCTCAGGGTTTGCGAATGCACGAATCGACACTCTGTATCTAGCTACTCTGGTGGGGACTTGGAGAACCTTTGTGTCCACACTCTGTATCTAGCTAATCTAGTGGGGAAGTGGAGAACTTTTGTGTCTAGCTCAGGGATTGTAAACGCACCAATCAGCACCCTGTGAAAATGAACCAATCAGCTCTCTGTGAAACAGACCAATGGACTCTGTGTAAAATGGACCAATCAGCAGGATGTGGGTGGGGCCAGATAAGAGAATGAAAGCAGGCTGCCTGAGCCAGCAGTGGCAACCTGCTCGGGTCCCCTTCCACACTGTGGAAGCTTTGTTCTTTTGCTCTTTGCAATAAATCTTGCTGCTGCTCACTCTTTGGGTCCACACTGCCTTTATGAGCTGTAACACTCACTGCGAAGGTCTGCAGCTTCACTCCTAAAGCCAGCGAAACCACAAACCCACCGAGAGGAATGAACAACTCCAGATGCACTGCCTTAGGAGCCGTAACACTCACTGCAAATGTCTGCAGCTTCACTCCTGAAGCCAGCAAGACCACACACCCACCAGAAGGAAGAAACTCCAAACACATCCGAACATCAGAAGGAACAAACTCCAAACACACCGCCTTTAAGAACTGTAACACTCACCGTGAGGGTCCACGGCTTCATTCTTGAAGTCAGTGAGACCAAGAGCCCACCAATTCCGGACACGTGGTGAGATGGCAGGGAATCCTGGGAGCTTCCCAAAGAGGTCTCTTCCATCCCAGCAGCCCACAACGCTGTCCCTAGTGGGTTGTAAGGGCCCAGGCTTTGGAGCAGGGTGCCTGAGTCTCTCGCAGAAGGCCCTCACAAGCGAAAAGGAAACCACAGGCCCTGGGCCACATGGACTCAGAGTGATGTTGAGGCAGGCAGAGGAGAGAAGCGATGAGATAGCAGGGAGTGCTGAGAGCCTCCCAAGGAGGCCTCTCTTGTCCCAGAAGCACTTAGGGCTGTCCTGGGCTGGCTGTAAAGCTCCAGGCTTTGCAGCAAGGTGCCTGTGTCTCTAGCAGAAGGCTCCCAAAAGCAAAAACGGGGCTGCAGGATGGCGTGGGCGGGATGCAGAGACTCAGGGAAAGGTCAAGGCAGGCAGAAGGAAGAAGCAGCAAGACCGCAGGGAATGCCAGGAGACTTGCAAAGAAGCCTCTACCATCCCAGAAGCCCCTAGAGCTATCCTGGGCAGGCTGTAAAGCCCCAGACTTTGGAACAGGGTGACTGTGTCTCGGAAGTCTTCTCCAAGTGAAAACGGGAAGGCAGGGTGAAGTGGGCAGGCTGCAGGGACTCACAGGGGACGTTAAGGCAGGCAGAAGGAAGAAGCGGCAAGACTGCAGAGAATGCTGAGAGCCTCCCAACGAGACATCTCCCATCCCAGAAACTTCGAGGGCTGTCCTGGGAGGGCTGTAAAGCCAAAGGTTTGGAGCAGGGTGCCTGCGTCCCTTGCAAAAAAGCCCCACAAGGGAAAACGGGGCCACAGGGTGGCGTGTTCAGGAGGCAGGGGCTCAGAAGGATGATGAGACAGGCAGAGGTGAGAAGCGGTGAGACCACTCTGAATGCTGCGAGCCTGCCCAAGGAGCCCTCTCCCATCCCAGAAGCAGCCAGGGATGTACTGGATGGGCTGTAAAGACACAAGCTTTGGAGCAGGGTACCTGTATCTCTTGTGGAAGGCCCCCACAAGCGAGAACAGTGGTGCAGGGTGGCGTTGGGGGGCTGCAGGGACTCAGGGAGACATTGAGGCAGGCAGAGGGGAGAAGTGGCAAGACATAGGAAATGCTGGGAGCCTCCCAAGGACAACTCTCCCATCCCAGAAGCCCCTAGGGCTGTCCCGGATGGGCTGTAGAGCCCCAGACTTTGGAGCAGGGTGCCTGTGTCTTTACCGAAAGGCTCTGACAAGCAAAAACGGGGCTGCAAGGTGGTGTGGGCAGGATGCAGAGTCCCAGGAGGACCTTAAGGCAGGCAGAGGGGAGAAGCGGTAAGATGGCATGGAATGCTGGGAGCATCCCAAGGAGGCCTCTCCCATCCCAGAACTCCCCAGGGCTGTCCCATGAGGGCTGTAAAGCCCAAGCCATTGAAGCAGGATGCCTGTGTCTCTCGCGGAAGGCCTCCACAAGGAAAACGGAGCTCCAGGGTGGTGTGGTCAGGCTGGAGGGACTCAGAGGGAATTTGAGGCAAACAGAGGGGTGAAGTGGCGAGAGAGCAGGGAATGCTAGGAGCCTCTCAAGAAAGCCTTTCTCATCCCAGAGGCCCCCACCTGTCCAGGGCATTCTGTAAAGCCCCAGGCTTCAGAGCATGATGCCTGTGTCTCTCGTGGAAGGCCCCCACAAGCGAAAAGGAAGTCACAGGGTGAGGTGGGTGGGCCACAGGGACTCAGAGGGACATTGAAGCAGGCAGTGGGGAAAAGTGGCGAGATGGAAAGGGTTGCTGGGATCCTCCCAGAAAGGCCTCTCGCATCCCAGAAGCCACCAGGGCTGTTTTAGGTGGGATGTAATGACCCAGGCTTCTCAGCAGGGTGCCTATGTCTCTCGCAGAAGGCCACCATAAGCAAAAACGTGCAAGATGGCAGGGAATGCTATGAGCCTCCCAAAGAGGCATCTCCCTTTTCATAAGCCCACAAGGCTGTCCCGGGCAGACTGTTAAACCCAAGACTTGGAGCAGCGTGCCTGTGTCTCTCCCAAAAGGCCCCCAGGAGTGAAAATGGGGCCGCAGGTTGCCGTGAGTGGGTGCGGTTACCATGGGGTACGTTAAGGCAGGCAGAGGAAAAAAGCAGCGAGAGAGAAGCAAATGCTGGGAGCATCCTAACGATGCCTCTCTCATCCCAGAAGCTCCCAGGGCTGCCCACGGTGGCTGTTAAACACCAGGCTTTAAAGCACAGTGCCTGGGTCTCTCGAGGAAGGCTTACACTAGTGAAAAAGGGGCCACAGGGTGGCGTGGGGGGGCCTCAGGGACTCAGGAGGACGTTGAGGTAAGCAGAGGGAAGAAGTGGCGAGTCGGTGCAGGGAATGCCGGAAGCCTCCCAAGGAGGCCTCTTTCATCCCAGAATCCCCCAGTGCTGCCTCAGGCAGGCTTTAAAGCCCCAGGCTTTGGAACAGGGTGCCTGTGTCTCTGGTGGAAAACCCCACAAGAAAAAACAAAGTCGCAGTGTGGCATGGGCTGGCCGGAGGGATGCAGGGGAAAGTTGAGGAAGGCACAGGGCAGGAGCAGTGAGACCTCAGGGAATGCTGGGAGCCTCCCAAGAAAACCTCTTCCATCCCAGAAGACCCCCGGTCTGTCCTGGGCAGGCGATGAAGCCCAGGCTTTGGAAAGGGGTGCCTGTGTCTCACGGAAGGCCCCCAGAAGCGAATAGGAAGCCACAGGGTGGCGTGTGCGGGTGGCAGGGACTCAGATGGTAGTTAAGACAAGCAGGAGGAGGAAGACCGCAGGGAATTCTGGGAACCTGCCAAGGAGGCCTCTCCAATCCAAGAAGCTTCCAGGGCTGTACCAGGTGGGCTGCTAAGGCCCAGGTGTTGGAGCAGGGTGCCTGTGTCTCTCACAGAAGGCTCCCACAAACAATAACCAGGCCACAGAGTAACATGTACGGGCCACAGGGACCCAGGGGGACATTGAGGGCAGCAGAGGGGAGAAGCAGTGAGACTGCAGGAAATGCTGGGAGCCTCTGAAGGAGGCCTCTCCCATCCCAGATGCCCCAGGGCTGTCTCGCTTGGGCTGTAAAGCCCCAGGCTTTGGAGCATTGTGCCTGTATCTCTTGCAAAAGGCACCCAGAAGTGTAAATGGAATCACAGGATGGCTTGGGCAGGCTGCAGGGAGTCAGGGGGAGATGAGTCAGGCAGAGAGGAGAAGCGGCGAGACGGCAGGGAATGTTAGGAGCCACCCAAGGAGATTTCTCCCATCCCAGAAGCTTTCAGGGCTGTCTCGGGCAGGCTATAAGGCTGCAGGCTTTGGTGCAGTGTGCCTGTGTCTCTTGTGCAAGGACCCCACAAGAGAAAACGAGGTCGCAGGGTGGCATGGGTAGGCCACAGGGACTCAGAAAGACATTGAGGCAGGCAGAGGGGAGAAACGGCGAGACCACAAGGAATGCTGAGAACTTCCAAAGGAGGCCTCTCTCCTCCCGTAAACCCCTAGGGCTGTCCTAGGAGGACAGTGAAACCCCAGAATTTGCAGCAGGGAGCCTGTGATTCTTGTGGAGGGCCACCACAAGGGAAATCGGGGCAGCAGGGTGGCATGGGTGAGCCGCAGGGACTCAGGAAAAATTGAAACAGGCAGAGGGGAGAAGCGGCAAAATCTCAGGGAATGCTGGTAGTCTCCCATGAAGGCCTCTTCTATCCCAGAAGCACCCAGTGCTGTCCCAGGTGGACTGTAAAGCCCCAGGCTTTGGAGCAGGGTGCCTGTGTCTCTTGTGGAAGGCCCCCATAAGCAAAAACAGGGAAGCAGAGTGGCATGGGAGGGCCAAAGAAACTCAGGGTGATATTAAGGCAGGCAGAGGGGAGAAGGGGCAAGACCGCAGGAATGCTAGGAGCCTCCAAAGGAAGCTCTCTCATCCCAGAATTTCCCAGGGCTAGGTTGGGCTGGCTGTGAAGCCACAGGCATTGGATCAGGGTGCCTGTGTTTCTCCTGGAAGGCCCCCACAAACGAAAACGGAGCCACAACGTGGCATGGGAGGGTTGCAGGGACACAGGAGGACATTGAGGCAGGCAGGGTGGGGAAGGGGCCAGACCACAGGGAATGCTGGGAGCTTCCCAAGGAGGCCTCTCCCATCTGAGAAGCCCCCACGGCTCTCCTGGGCAGGCTATAGAACCACAGGCTTTGGAGCAGGGTGCCTGTGTCTCTCGCAGAAGGCCCCCAGAAGTGAAAATGAACCCGCACAGTGGTGTGGGCAGGCTGCAGGGACTCAGGGGGACGTTGAGGCAGGCAGAGGAGAGAAGGGGAGAGACCACAGAAAATGCTGGGAGCCTCCTAAGGAGGCCACTCTTAACCCAGGAGCCCCCAGAACTGCTCCGGTTGAGCTAAAAAAGCCCCAGGTTTTAGTATAGGGTGCTTGTGTCTCTCGCAGAAAGACCCCACAAGGGAAAAAGGGGAGGCAAGGTGGGGTGGGCTGGCCACAGGGACTAAGCAAGCGGTTGAGGCAGGCAGAAGGGAGAAGCAGCGAGACCTCAGGGAATGCTGGGAGACTCCCTAGGAGGCCTCTTCCATCTCAGATGCCCCCAAGGTTGCCCACAGTGGGCTGTAAAGCCCCAGTCTTTGAAGCAGGGTGACTGTGTCTCTCAGGGAAGGCCCCAACAACAGAAAACGGGGCCACAGCGTTGCATGGGTGGGCCACAGAATCTCAGGAGGACGTTGAGGCAGGCAGAAAAAAGAAGCAGTGAGACCACAGGGAATGCTGGGAGCCTCACAAGAAGGCCTCTCCCAACTCAGAAGCCCCCAGGTCTGTCCCGGGCAGGCTGTTAAGCCCAGGCTTAGAAGCCCAGTGACTGTGTCTCTCACAGAAGGCCCCCACAAGCTAAAACGGGGCCGCAGGTTGGCGTGGGTGGTCCACAGGAACTCAGGGGGATGTTGAGGCAGGCAGAGGGGAGAAATGGGGCGAGACAGCAGGGAATGCTGGGAGCATTGCAAGGAGGCCTCTCCCATCCCAGACACCATCAGGGATGTCCCGAGCAGGCTGTAGAGCCCCAGGCTTTGGAGCAGAGCACATGTATCTCTCACGGAAGGCCTCCACAAGCGAAAAAGGGACCGCAAGGTCATGGGGGTGGGCCAGAGGAGCTCAGAGGGACTTTCAGGATGGCAGAGGTGAGAATCGGTGAGACCGCAGGGAATGCTGGGAGCCTTCCAAGAAGACTTCTCCCATCCCAGGAGTCCCCACCTGTCCCGGGCAGGCTGTAAAACCCCAGGCCCTGGAGCAGGGTGCTTTTGTCTCTCGTGAAAGGCCCCCACAAGTGAAAACAGAAACGCGGAGTAGCGTGTGCTGGTGGCAGAGACAAAGGGGGTCATTGAGGCAGGCAGAGCGGAGAAGTGGTGAGATCGCAGGTAATGCTGGGAGCCTCCCAAGGAGGCCTCTTCCATCCCAGAAGCCTTCAGAGCTGTCCCAGTCAGGCTGTTAAGCTGCAGGCCTTGGAGCGGGGTGCCTGTGTCTCTCATGGAAGGCCTCCACAAGGAAAAACGGGGCCACAGTGTGGTGTGGGTGGGATGGAGGGATTCAGGTGGACTTTGACGTAGGTAGAGGAAAGAAGTGATGAGACTGCAGGGAATGCTGGGGGCCTCCCAAGAAGCCTCTCCCATACCAGAAGCCACCAGCACTCTCCCGGGCAGGCTGTACAGCCCAAGGCTTTGGAGCAGGGTGCCTCTGTCTCTAGTGGCAGATCCCCACCTCCGAAAACGGACCCAAAGGGTGGCTTGGGTTTGCCGCAGGGCCTCAGTGGGACACTGAGGCAGGCAGAGGGTAGAAGCAGACAGGCCACAGGGAATGCTGGGAGACTCCCAAGGAGGCCTCTCCCATCAGAGGAGATCCCAGGGCTGTCCTGGGTAGGCTGTAAAGCCCTGGGTTTTGCAGAAGTATGCCTGTGTCTCTCGCGAGACAACCACAAGTGAAATGGTGGCAGCAGGGTGGCATGGCTGGACTGCAGAGACTCAGGAAAACAGTGAGGCAAGCAGACGGGAGAAGCGGTGAGACCACACAGGGAAAGCTGGGAGCTTCCCAAGGAGGCCTCTCCCATCTCAGAATTTTCCTGGGCTGTCCCAGGCTGGCTATAAAGCCCCAGGATTTGGTGCGGGCTGCCCGTATCTATGGTGGAAGCCCGCACAAGTGAAAACAGGGATGTACGGTGGCGTGGGCGGGTGCAGGGACTCAGAAGGACGTTGAGGCCAGCAGGGGGGAGAAGCGGCAAGACCGCAGGGAATGCTGGGAACCTTCCAAGGAGGGTTCTTCCATCCCTGAAGCACCCAGGGCTGTCCCAGCGGGGCTCTAAAGCCCTAGGGTTTGGAGCAGATTGCCTGGGTCTCTCGCGAAGGGCCCCCAAAAGCGAAAATGGTGTCGCAGGGAGGTGTGGGCGGGCTGCAGGGGCTCAGGGGGATGTAAAGACAGGCAGAGGTGAGAAGCAGCAAGAGTGCCAGCAATGCTGGGAGACTCCCAAGGAGGCCTATCTGAATCCAGAAGCCCCCATGGCTTTCCCGGGAAAGCTGTAAAGCCCCAGACTTTGGAGAAGGGTGCCTGTGTGTCTCGCGGAAGGCCCTCACAAGCAAAAGCGGGGCTGCAGGGTGGCGTGGACCAGCCACAGGGATCAGGTGTACATGGAGGCAGGCAGAAAAGAGAAGCGACGAGACCGCAGGGTAAGATTGGAGCCTACCAAGGAGGCCCCTTCAATTTCAGAAGCCACTGTGTCTGTTTCAGGCAGGCTGTAAAGCCCCAGGCTTTGGAGTAAAGTGCCTGTGTCTTGCGGAAGGCCCCCACAAGCGAAAACGAGGCAGCAAGGTGGCAAGGGCAGATGGCAGGGACTCAGGGAGACCTTGAGGCAGGCATTGAAGGCAAGCAGCGAGAACCCAGAGAATGTGGAGAGCCTCCTAAGGAGAACTCCTCCATCTCAGAAGCCTCCAGGGCTGTCCCACGGGGGCTGTAAAGCCCCAGGCTTTGCAAGAAGGTGCCTGTGTCTCTCACGGAAGGCCCCCACAAGCGAAAATGGGGCCTCAGGGTGGCATATGTGGGCTGGATGGACTCGGAGGGACTTAGAGGCAGGCAGAGGGGAGAAGCGGCGAGACTTCAGGGAATGCTGGGAGCCTCCCAAGAAAGCCTCTTTCATCCTAGAGTTATCTGGGATGGCCCAGGAGGGCTATAAATTTCCAGGCTTTGGTGAAGGCTGCGTTTGTCTCTTACGGAAGGCCCCCAGAGTGAAAACGGGGCTGCAGCCTGGCCAGATATGGCTGCAGGGACTCAGGGGTCCATTAAGGCAGGTAGGAAGTGGTGAGACCGCAGGGAATGCTGGGATCCTCCCAAGGACACCTCTCCCATCCCAGAAGCCTCCAGAATTGTCTTGGGCAGACTGTAAAGCCCCAGGCTTTACAGCAGGGTTTCAGTGTCTGTCTGAAAAGGCCCCCAAAAGCGAAATCAAAGCTGCAGAATGGCGTGGGTGGGAGGCAGGGACTCCAAGAAATGTTGAGGCAGGCAGTAGGGAGAAGCGATGAGACAGCAGGGAATGCTGGGAGCCTCCCAAAGAGGCTTCTCCCACTTAGAAGCCCCCAGGGCTGTCCGGGGAGGGCTGTAAAGCCCCAGGCTTTAGATCAGGGTGCCTATGTCTCTCGCAGAAGGCACACACAAAGGAAAACAGGGTTGCAGGGTGGCGAGGGTGAACCGGAGGGACACACGGGGACATTGAGGCACGCAGGAGGAGAAGGGGTGAGACTACACATTATTCTGGCCGCCTCCCAAGAATACCTCTCCCATTCCAGAAGGCCCCAGGGCTGTCCTGGGCAAGCTATAAAGCCCCAGGCTTTGGAACAGGGTGCCTTTCTCTCTCGCGGAAAGCCCTCACAAGCAAAAATAGGGCCACAGGGTGACCTGGGAGGGCCACAGGCATCAGGGAGACATTGAGGCAGGCAGAGAGGAGAAGCATCATTGAGACCTCAGGGAATGCTGGGAGCCGCCCAAGGAAGCCTGTCCTGTCTCACAAGCACCCAGGGCTGTCCCCGGCAGGCTATAAAGCCCCAGGCTTTAGTGCAGGGTGCCTGTGTCTCTAGCAGAAGGCCTCCACAGCAGGGTGGCATGGGCGGGCAGCAGGGACTCAGGGAAACGTTGAGGCAGGCAGAGGGGAGAAGCGACCAGACCGCAGAGAATGCAGGGAGACTCCTAAGGAGGCCTGCCTTATCCCAGAATCCCCCAGGGCTGTTTCAGGTGGGCTGTAAAGCTGCAAACTTTAGAGCAGGGTGCCTGTGACTCTCCCGGAAGGCCCCCCACAAGCGAAAACAGGGCCACAGTGAGGCCAGATCGGGCTGCAGGAACTCAGGGGGACATTGAGGCAAGCAGAGTGGAGAAGCTGCGAGATTGCAGGGAATGTTGGGAGCCTCTCAAGGAGGCCCCTTTCATCCCGGAAAGCCCTAGGGCTGTCCCAAGCAGGCTGTAAAGCCCCAGCTTTAGGAGCAGAATTCCTGTGTCTCTTGCAGAAGGCATTCATAATTGAAAACCGGGCAGCAGCGTGGCGTGGGCAGTCCGCAGATACTCTGGGGGACATTGAGGCAGGCAGAGAGTAGAAGCAGCGAGACCACAGGAAATGATGGGAGCATTTACAAACGGCCTCTCTTATCACAGAGGCCCCCAGGTCTCTCCCAGGTGGGCCGTAAAGCTCCGGGCTTTAGAGCAGGGTGTCTGTGTCCCCCACAGAAGGCCCCCGCAAGCGAAAACGGGGCCACAGGGTAGAGCTGGCTTGCAGCAGGGATTCAGAGGGACGTTGAAGCAGGCAAAGGGAAGAAGTGGCTAGACTGCAGCAAATCTCGGAGAGTTGGAAGGAGGTTTTTCCCATCTCAGAATGCCCTAGGGCCATCCTGGGCCGGCTGTAAATCCCCGGCTTTGGAGCAGGGTACCTGTGTCTCTTACTGAAGGCCCACACAAGCGAAAACAGGGCCACTGGTGGGCGTGGGAGGGCTGCAGAGACTCAGGTGGATGCTATGGTATGCAAATGGTAGAAATTGCAAGACCACAGGGAATTCTGGGAGCCTCCCAAGAAACCCTCTCCCATTGCTGAAGTCCCCAGTGCTGTCCTGGTCAGGCTGTAAAGCTTCAAGCTTCAGAGAAGGGTGACTGTGTCTCTCTCAGAAGACCCCAAAATTCAAAAACTGGGCCAAAGTGTGGCATGGGCGGACCGCAGGAACTCAGGGGGACATTGAGGCAGGCAAAGGGGAGAAGTGGTGAGAGCGCAGGGAATGCTGGGAGACTCGCATTAATGCCGCTCCCATCCCAGAATTCCCCAGGGCTGTCCCTGGCGGTGCATAAAGTCCGAGGCTTTGGAGCAGGGTGCCTATGTCTTTCGCGGGATGCCCCCACATGTGACAACAGGGCCGCAGGTTGTCCCTGGGCAGGCCGCAGGAACTCAGTGGAATGTCAAAGCAGGCAGAGTGTAGAAGCATTGTGGAGACCGCAGGGAATGCTGGGAGCCTCCCAAGGATGCCACTCCCATCCCAGAAGCTCCCAGGGCTGTCCCTGGTGGGCTGTTAAACCCCAAGCATTGGAGCAGGGTGCCTGTGTCTTATGTGGAAGGCCCCCACAAGCAAAAATGGGGCCTCAGGGTTGCATGGGCGGGCCGCAGCAACTCATGGAAATGTTGAGGCAGGCAAAGCATAGAAGCAGGTAGACAACAAGGAATGCTGGGAGCCTCCAAAGGATGCCTCTCCCATCCCAGAAGCCCCCAGGGCTGCCCAAGGCGAGCTTTAAACCCCCAGGCTTTGGAGCAGGGTGTCTGTATCTTCACGGAAAGCCCTCACAAGCAAAAACGACAATGCAGTGTGGCATGGGCGGGTCACAGGGACTCAGGGGGACGTTACTGCAGGTAGCAAGAAGCGAAGATACTGCAGAAAATGCTGGGAGCCTCCCAAAGAAGCCTCTCCTACCCCAAAAGCCCCCAGGTTGTCCCGGGTGGACTGTTAAGCCCCAGGCATTGGAGCAGGGTGCCTGTGTCTCACGCAGAAGGCCCCCACGAGTGAAAACGGGGCCACAGTGTGGCGTGGGAGGGCCGCAAAGACTCAGGTGGATGTTGAGGCAGAGAGAGTGGAGAAATAGTGAGATTGTAGGGAATGCTGGGAGCCTCCCAAAGAGGTCTCTCCCATCCCAGAAGCCCCCAGGGCTGTCCCTGGCGTGAAGTAATGCTTCAGACTTTGGAGCAGGGTGCTTGAGTCTCTGGCAGAAGGCCCCTACAAATGAAATCCTGGCCACATATGGGGTGGGCGGGTCGCAGGGACTCAGGGGAACCTTGAGGCAGTCAGAGAGGAGAAGCAGCGAAGACACAGAAAATGCTGGGAGCCTCCTAAGGAGTTCTCTCCAAACTCAGAAGCCCCCAGAGTGGTCCAGGGCAGGCTGTAAAGACCCAGGCTTTGGAGCAGGGTGCCTGTGTCTCTTGCAGAAGGCTCCCACAAGGGCAAACGGGGAAGCAGGGTGGTGTGGGCTGGCATCAGGTAATCAGGGGGACTTTGCAGCAGGTAAAGGAGAGGCAGCGAGACCACAGGAAGTGCTCTGAGCCTCCCAAGGATGACCCCCATCCCATAAAACCCCAAGGCTTTCCAGGGAAAACTGTAAAGCCATAGGTTTTGGAACAGGATGCCTGTGTCTCTCACAGAAGGCCCCCACAATTGAAAATGGGCCTGCACAGTGGCATAGGTGGGCAGTAGTGACTCAGAAGGACTTTGAGGCACGCAGAGAGGAGAAGCAGCACAACTGCAAGGAATGCTGTGAGACTTCTAAGGAGAGTTTATTCATCCCAGAAGTCCCCAGGGCTGTACTGGGTAGGCTGTAAAGCCCCAGGCTTTAAAGCAGGGTGCCTGTGTTTCTCGCGGAAGGCACCCACAAGGGAATACAAGGCCACAGGGTGGTGTGGGCATGATGGAAGGGACACAGGGTGATGTTGAGACAGGCAAAGGGGAAAAGGGGTGAGACTGCACAGAATTCTGGCAGTCTCCTAAGGATGCCGCTACTATCGCAAAGAATAATTTTTTTAAAAAATTTAATGGACAGCTACTTTCTAGTTTTTATCATAGATACTAAAACAGCTATCTGTGACTGTTTGTGATGTGTGCATTCAGCTCACAGAGTTAAACCTTTCTTTAGATTCAGCTGATTGGAAGCACTCTTTTTATAGAATCTGCAAAAGGACATATTGGAGCCCATGAAGGCCTCCACTGGATCACACTATAAAAACTAGAAAGAAGCTATCTTTGAAACCTCTTTGTGATGTGTGCACTCAGCTCACAGAGTTAAACGTTTCTTTTGTTTCAACAGTTAGGAAACACGTTTTTTGTAGAATCTGCAAAGGAAAGTTTCAGAACCCACTGAGGTCTGTAGTGAAAAACCGAATATCTTGTCATAAAAACTATAAAGAAGCTCTATGTGAAACCACTTTGTGAGATGTGGATTCAGCTCACAGAGTCAAACCTTCCTTTTGATTCAACAGGTTGGAAACACTCCTTTTGTAGAACTTATGAAGGGACATTTTGGACCTCACTGAGGCTATATGAAAATTGGAATATCTTCTGTAAAAACAACAGAAAAGCTATCTGTGAAAGTGGTTTGTGACGTGTGGATTCAGCTCAAAGAGTTAATTATTTTGATTCATCAGGTTGGAAACAGTTTTTCTAGAATCTGTGAAAGGATATTGAGCAGCCCACTGAAGCCTATAGTGAAAAACAAAATTTTCCACAATAAAACCTAGAAGGAAGCTATCTTTGAAACTGCTTTGAGATGTGTGCATTCAGCTCACAGAGATAAACCTTTCTTTTGATTCAACAGGTTGGAAACTCTCTTGTTGTAGAATCTGCAAATGGATATTTGGAAGCCCACTGAAGCCTATAGTGAAAAATCAAATATACTGTGATAAAAATTAGAAAGAAGCTATCCGTTAAACTGTTTTGTGTTTTGTGGATTCACCTCACAGAGATAAACCTTTCTTTTGATTCAACAGGTGGTAACACAACTTTGAAGAATCTGCAGAGGGACATTTCATAGCCCACTGAGGCCTATAGTCAGAAACCAAATATCCCATGATAAAAACTAGAAAGAAGCTATCTGTGAAACTGCTTTGTGATGTGTGGATTCAGGTCACAGAGATAAAACTGTCCTTTGATTTATCAAGTTTGAAACAGTTTTTTTTTTTAGAATCTGCGAGGGAACATTTTGAAACCCACTAAGGTTTATGGTGAAAAACTGAATATCCCAGGATAAAAAGTAGAAAGAAGCTATCTTTTAAACTACTTTCATCTGTGTGCACATAGCTCATGGAGATAAATCTTCCTTTTGACTCAGAAGGTTGGAAACACTCTCTTTGTAGAATCTGGAAAGGAATATTTTACACCCCACTGATGCTTATAGAGAAAAACCAAATATACCTCAATAAAAACAAGAAAGAAGCTATCAGAGAAATGCATTATGATGTGTGGATTCAGCTAAGAGAGTTAAACCTTTCTTTGATTCAGCTGGTTGGAAAGACTTTTTTTGTTAGAATCTCTGAAGGGACATTTCAAAGCCAACTGAAGCCTATAGAAAAAACTGAATATCCAGAGATAAAAATTTGAATGAATCTGTCTGTGAAACTGCTTTGTGATATGTGGATTCAGCTCACATAGGTAAACCTTTCTTTTGATTAAGCAGATTGAAAATACTCTTTTTGTGGAATCTGCAAGGGGATATTTCAGAGCCAAATGAGGGCTATTATGAAAAACTGAATATCTTGTGATAAAAACTAGAAAAATGGCATCTGTAAAACTGTTTGGTGAAGAGTGCATTCACCTCACAGAGTTAAATGTTTCCTTTGATTCAGCAGATTGGAAACACTGTCTTTGTAGCATGTGCGAAGAGACATTTTAAAGCCCACAGAGGCCTTTAGTGAAAAACAAAATATCCTGCCATAAAAACTAGAGAGAAGCTATCTGTGAAGCTGCTTTGTGAAGTGTACATTCATCTCACAGAGGTAAACTATTATTTTGATTCAGCTGGTTGGAAATACTCTTTATTTAGAATCTGCAAAGGGACTTTTCAGAGCACATTGAGGACTATAGTAATAAACCGAATATCCCACAGTAAAAACTAGAAGGAAGCTATCTGTGAAACTACTTGTGATCTGTGCATTCAGCTCACAGAGTTAAACCTTTCTTGTTGATTCAGCTGGTGGAAACACACCTTTTGTAGAATCAGTGAAAGGACATTTCGTAGCAGACTGAGGCCTGTAGTCAAAAACCAAATATCCAGCGAAAAAAACTAGAAACAAGCTATATGTGAAAGTGCTTTTTGATTTATGCATTTAGCTCACTGAGTTAAACTTTTTTTTGATTCAGAAGGTTGGAAATACTCTATTTGTAGAACCTGTGAATGGACATTTTTGAGCAAACTGAGGCCTATAATGAAAAAATGAATATCCGGTTATATAAACTGGAAAGAAGCTATCTGTGAAACTGCTTTGTGACGTGCATTCAGCTCATAAAGTTAAATTTTTCTTTTGATTCAGCAGGTTGGAAATACTCTTTCTGCAGAATCTGCAAAGGGACATTTCTGGGAAAACTGATGACTATTGTGATCAACAAAATATTCTGCAATAAAAATTAGAAGGAATATATCTGTGAAACAGCTTTGTGATGAGTGCATTCAGCTCAAGTGCTAAATCTTTCTTTTGATTCTGCAGTTTAGAAATACTCTTATTGCAGGATCTGCAAGGAGACATTTCAGAGACAACTGAGGTCATAGTGAAAAACCAAATATCAAGTGATGAAAACTAGAAAGAAGCTATCTGTGAAACTGCTTTGTGAAGTGTGGATTCAGCTCACAAAGGGAAACCTTTCTTAGGGTTCAGCAGGTTGGAAACACTATTTTTGTAGAATCTGTGAAGAACCATTTTGGAGCCCACTGTGCCCATTCAACCAGTTGGAAACACTCATTTTTTTTAGAATCTGTGAAGAAATATTTCAGAGCCCAATGAAGCCTATAGTGAAAAAAAGAATATCCCTTGATAAAACTAGAAAGTAGCTATATGTGAAACTGTTTTGTGGTTTGTGGATTCAGCTCACAGAGCTAAACCTTTCCTTTGATTCAGTAGGTTGAAAACACTCATTTCATAGTTTCTACAAAGAGATATTTTAAAGCTCACTGGAGCCTATAGTGAAAAACTGAATATTCCATGATAAATACTAGAAAGAGGCTATCTGTGAAACTGCTTGTGATGTGTGCATTCAGCTCACAGAGGTAAACTTTTCTTTTAATTCAGCAGGGTGGAAACCTTTTTGTAGAATTTTTGAAGGGACATTTTGGAGTCTACTGATGCCATAGTGTAAAACCATGTGCACCATGATAAACACTAGAAAGAAGCTATATACGTATCATATGTGCCACGATGAATGTATCATATATATGTGTTGTATGTATGTATCATATGTATGTATGTATCATATGTATGTATTGTATGTACCACGATATATGTATCGATGTATGTATCATATGTACAATGATGTATGTATCATATGTACCACAATAAACACTAGAAAGCTATTGGTGTATGTATCATATGTACCACATATGTATCATATTTACCATGTATGTACCACAAACGTATCATATGTACCACGTATGTACCACGATGTATGTACCACATATGTATGTACATGATGCATGTACCACATATCTACCATGATGTATGTATTGTATGTACCATGATAAACACTACAAAGAAGATATCTGTGAAACTCCTTTGTGATGTGGGGATTCAGATCACACAGTTAAACCTTTCTTTTCATTCAGCAGGTTGGACACAATATTTTGTAGAATCAGTGAGAAAACTTCAAAACAAACCGAGATTGAAAACATTATTTTTGTAGAATCTGCAAAGGGACATTTCAGAGCATACTGAGGCCTGTTGTGAAAAATCGAATATCCCACTATACAAACTGTAAAGAAGCTATCTGTGAAACTGCTTTGTGATAAGTAGATTCACCTAACAGAGTTAAACCTTTATTCTGATTCAGTTGATTGGAAATAGTCTTGTAAAATCTGCGAAGGGACATGTGGGACCCGACTGAGGCCAATACTGAAAAATCGAATATCCCATAGTAATAACTAGAAAGATTGATCTGTGAAACTGCTTTGCAATGTGTGGATTTAGCCCACAGTTAATTAATTCTTTCTATTCAGCAGGTTGTAAACACACTTTTTGTATAATCTGTGAATGGACATTTAAAGACACTGAGGTTTATAATGAAAAACTGAATATCTGGTGATAACAACTAGAAAGAAGCTATCTGTGAAAGTACTTGGTGACGTGTGGATGCAGCTCACAAAGGTAAACATTTCTTTTGATTCAGCAGGCTGGAAACCATCTTTTTGTAAACCTGCGAGGTGACATTTTGGAGGGCTATAAGGCCTGTGGTGAAAAACCTAATATCCCGCAATAGAAACTAGAATGAAACTATCTGTGAAACTGCTTTGTTATGTGTTGATTGACCTCAAAGAGTTAAACCGTGATTTTGATTCAGCAGGTTGGCAACACTCCTTTTTTATTATACTTTAAGTTTTAGGGTACATGTACACAACTTGCAGGTTTTTACATATGTATACATGTGTCATGTTAGCGTGCTGCACCCATTAACTTGTCATTTAACATTAGTTGTATCTCCTAATGCTATCTCTCCCTCCTCCCCCGATCCCACAACAGGCCTCAGTGTGTGATGTTCCCCTTCCTGTGTCCATGTGTTCTCATTGTTCAATTCCCACCTATGAGTGAGAACATGCAGTGTTTGGTTTTTGTCCTTGCGATAGTTTGCTGAGAATGATGGTTTCCAGCTTCATCCATGTCCCTACAAAGGACACGAACTCATCAGTTTTTATGGCTGCATAGTATTCCATGGTGTATATGTGCCACATTTTCTTAATCCAGTCTATCATTGTTGGACATTTGGGCTGGGTCCAAGTCTTTGCTATTGTGAGTAGTGCAGCAATGAACATATGTGTGTCTTTATAGCAGCATGATTTATAATCCTTTGGGTATACACACAGTAATGGGATGGCTGGGTCAAATGGTAATTCTAGTTCTAGATCCCTGAGGAATTGCCACACTGACTTCCACAATGTTTGAACTAGTTTACAGTCCCACCAACAGTGTAAAAGTGTTCCTATTTCCTCACATCCTCTCCAGCATCTGTTGTTTCCTGACTTTTTAATGATCGCCATTCTAACTGGTGTGAGATGATATCTCATTGTGGTTTTGATTTGCATTTCTCTGATCACCAGTGATGATGAGCATTTTTTCATGTGTCTTGTCTGCATAAATGTCTTCTTTTGAGAAGTATCTGTTCATATACTTCACTTATTTTTTGATGGGGTTTTTTGATTTTTTCTTGTAAATTTGTTTGAGTTCATTGTAGATTCTGGATATTAGCCCTTTGTCAGATGAGTAGGATGTGAAAATTTTCTCTCATTCTGTAGGTTGCCTGTTCATGCTGATGGTGGTTTCTTTTGCTGTGCAGAAGCTCTTTAGTTTAATTAGATCCCATTTATCAACTTTGGCTCTTGTTGTCATTGCTTTTGGTGTTTTAGACATGAAGTCCTTGCCCATGCCCATGTCCTGAATGATATTGCCTAGGTTTTCTCCTAGGGTTTTTATGGTTTTAGGTCTAACATTTAAGTCTTTAATCCATCTTGAATTAATTTTTGTATAAGGTGTAAAGAAGGGATCCAGTTTCAGCTTTCTAAATATTGCTAACCAGTTTTCCCAGCGCCATTTATTAAATAAGGAATCCTTTCCCCATTTCTTGTTTTTGTCAGGTTTGTCAAAGATGAGATAGTTGTAGATATGTGACATTATTTCTGAGGGCTCTGTTCTGTTCCCTTGGTCTATGTCTCTGCTTCGGTACCAGTAGCATGCTGTTTTGGTTGCTGTAGCCTTGTAGTATAGTTTGATGCCAGGTAGTGTGATGCCTCCAGCTTTGTTCTTTTGGCTTAGGATTGACTTGGCAATGTGGGCTCTTTTTTGGTTCCATATGAATTTTCAAGTAGTTTTTTTCCAATTCTGTGAAGAAAGTCATTGGTAGCTTGATGGGGATGGCATTGAATCTATAAATTACCTTGGGCAGTATGGCCATTTTCACGATATTGATTCTTCCTACCCATGAGCATGGAATGTTCTTCCATTTGTTTGTATCCTCTTTTATTTCATTGAGCAGTGGCTTGGATTTCTCCTTGAAGAGGTCCTTCACATCCCTAGTAAGTTGGATTCCTAGGTATTTTATTCTCTTTGAAGCAATTGTGAATGGGAGTTCACTCATGATTTGGCTCTCTGTCTGTTATTGGTGTATAAGAATGTTTGTAATTTCTGCACATTGATTTTGTATCCTGAGACTTTGCTGAAGTTGCCTATCAACTTAAGGAGATTTTGGGCTGAGAGGTTAGGGTTTTCTAAATACACAATCGTCTCATCTGCAAACAGGGACAATTTGATTTCCTCTTTTCCTAATTGAATGCCCTTTATTTCCTTCTCCTGCCTGAAAGCCCTGGCCAGAACTTCCAACACTATGTTGCATAGAAGTGGTGAGAGAGGTTATCCCTGTCTTGTGCCAGTTTTCAAAGGAAATGCTTCCAGTTTTTGCCCATTCAGTATGATATTGGCTGTGGGCTTGTCATAGACAGCTCTTATTATTTTGAGCTACATCCCATCAATACCTAATTTATTAAGAGTTTTTAGCATGAAGCGTTGTTGAATTTTTTAAAGGCCTTTTCTGCATCTATTGAGATAATCATGTGGTTTTTGTCTTTCATTCTGTTTATATGCTGGATTACGTTTATTGATTTGTGCATGCTGAACCAGCCTTGCATCTCAGGATGAAGTCCACTTTATCATAGTGGATAAGCTTTTTGACGTGTTTGGTTTGCCAGTATTTTATTGAGGATTTTTGCATTGATGTTCATTAAGGATATTGGTCTAAAATTCTCTTTTTTTGTGTGTCTCTGCCAGGCTTTGGTATCAGGATGATGCTGGCCTCATAAAATGAGTTAGGGAGGATTCCCTCTTTTTTTATTGATTGGAATAATTTCAGAAGGAATGGTACCAGCTCCTCCTTGTACCTCTGGTAGAATTCGGCTGTGAATCCATCTGAACCTGGACTTTTTTTGGTTGGTAAGCTATTAATTATTGCCTCAATTTCAGAGCCTGTTATTGGTCTATTCAGAATTCAACTTCTTCTTGATTTTGTCCTGGGAGGGTGTATGTGTCGAGAAATGAATCCATTTCTTCTTGATTTTCCGGTTTATGTGTGTAGAGGTGTTTGTAGTGTTCTCTGATGGTAGTGTGTATTTCTGTGGGATCAGTGGTGATATACCCTTCATCATTTTTTATTGTGTCTATTTGATTCTTCTCTCTTTTGTTCCTGCTAGGAGTCTATCACTATAGACTTTTTGTTCCACAAAAAGAGTGTTTCCAACCCTTTGAATTAAAATAAAGTTTTAAATTTTGGAGCTGATTGCATACTTCACAAAGGAGTTTCACAGATAGCTTCTTTCTCATTTTTATCTCAGGGTATTCCATTTTTCACTATAGGCCTCAGTGATGTTTCAAATATCCTTTTGTGGATCCTACAGAAACAGTGTTTCCTACCTGCTCATCAAAAGAAAGTTTTAACTCCGTGTGTTGAATGCAAACATCAAAAAACCATTTCATACATAGCTTCTTACTAGTTTTAATCATGGGATAGTCGTTTATTTCACTATAGGTCTCAGTGGGCTTCAAAATGTCCCTTTGCAGATCCTAAAAGAGAAGTATTTTCAACTGCTGATTCAAAAGAAAGCTTTAACTCAGGAAGCTGAATCCACAAATCACAAAGCAGTTTCACAGATAGCTTCTTTCTACATTTTATTATGGGATATTTGGTTTTTCTTCATTATAGGCTTTTGTGGGCTCCTAAATGTCTCTTCACAGTTTCTACAAAAAACTGTCTCCAACCTTCAGAAACAAAAGACAGGTTTAGTCAGTGAGCCTAATGCAAACATCACAAAAGAGTTTCACAGATCGCTTCTTTCTAGTTTTTATTGCAGGACTTTGTTTTTCACTATAGACCTCAGTGGCCTCTGAAATGCCCCTTCCCAGATTCTACAAAAAGAGTGTTTCCAAACTGCTGCATAAAAAGAAATGTTTAAGTCTGAGAGCTGAATGAAAACATCACAAAACCATTTCACATATATCTTCTTTCTAGTTTGTAACACGAGATATTCGATTTTTTAATAGAGGCCTGAGAGGGCTCCAAAATTTCCCTTTGAAGATTCTACAAGAAGAGTGTTTCCAATCTGCTGAACCAAAAGAAAGGTTTAACTCTATAGTTGAATGCACACATCACAAAGCTGTTTCACAGATAGCTTCTACTTTTTACTGTGGGATATTCCATTTTTCACTATAGGCCTCAGTTGGCTCTGATATGTCCCTTCTTAGATTCTACAGAAAGAGTTTCCCAACATGATGAATGAAAAGAAATATTTAAGTCTGTTAGCTGAATTCATACATCACAAAGCAGTTTCACATACAGTCTATTTCTAGTTTTGATAACAAAATGTTCAGTTTTTCATATTAGGCCTCATGTGATCCAAAATGCCCCTTCATAGAGTCTACAAAAATAGTGTTTCCAACCTGGTGAATGAAAAAAAGGGTTAATTTGTGAGCTGAATCCACACATCACAAAGCAGTTTCACAAATTGGTTTTTTTTTTTAGTTTTTATGGTGAGTTTTCAATTTTTTCAATATAGGAATCAGTGGGTGCCTAAATATCCCTTTGAAGGTTCTACAAAAAGAGTGTTTCCAACCTGCTGAGTCAAATGAAAGGTTTAACTCTGTGAACTCTGTGAGTTGGATGCAAACATCACAAAACAGTTTCACAGAGAGCTTCATTCTGGTTTTTATCATGTGATATTTGATTGGTCACCATAGGCTTCTGCAGCCTAAGAAATGCCTCTTCACAGATTCTACAAAAATTGTTTCCAACCTGCTGAATTATAAGAAAGTTTTAATTCTGTGAGCTGTATTTAAACATGACAAAACAGCTTCCAGATAGCTTATTTCTTGTTTTTATCACAAAGTATTTGGTTTTCTGATATAGGACTCAGTGGGCTTTGACATGTCCATTTGCAGATGCCTTAAAAAGAGTGGTTCCAACCTGCTGAATGGAAAGAAAAGTTTATCTCTGTGAGTTGAGTGCACACATCACAAATCAGTTTCACAGATATTTTCATTTTAGTTCTCATCGTGGGATATTTGATTTTAACTATTGATTTTACCTATAGGCATTAATGGCCTACAAAATGTCCTTTTGCAGATCCTACAAAAACCGTGTTTCCAAAGTGCTGAGTCAAAACAAAAATTTAAATTTCAGAGCTGAATATAAATATCACAAAATAGTTGTTTCAAATATAGCATTTTCTTAGTTTTTATTGTGAGATATTCTGTTTTTCACTTTTGGTTTCAGTGGGCTCCTAAATGTCCCTTCACAGACTCTACTAAAACTGTGTTTTCAACCTGCCAAATCAAAAGAAAGGTTTAACTCTGGGAGCTTAATCCACACATCACAAAGATGTTTCACATGGCTTCTTTCTACTTTTTATTGTAGGATATTCATTTCTTCACTGTGGTCTCAGTGGGCTTCAAAATATCCCTTTTCAAATTGTACAAAAAGAGTGTTTTCAACCTGCTGAATCAAAAGAAAAGTTTAACTCAGGAAGTTTAATGCACACTTCACAAATCAGTTTCACAGATGATAGCTACCTTTTACTTTTTATCATGGGATATTCATTTTTGCACTGTAGGCCACAATGGCCAGCAAAATGCCCCTTTGCAGATTCCTCAAAAAGAGTGTTTCCACCCTGTTGAATCAAAACAAGGGTTTAACTCTCCAAGCTCAGTGCAAACATCACAACACAGTTCCAGTTCCACAGATAGATTTTTTCTAGTTTTTATTGCAAAATATTTGTTTTTACCTATAGGCCTCAGTGGCCCATGAAATGCCCCTTCACAGATTCTAATAAAAGGATGTTTCCAACCTGCTGAATCAAAAAAAGGTTTTAACTCTTTGAGCTGTATGTAAACATCACAAAACAGTTTCACAGATAGCTTCTTTCTAGTTTTTATTGCTGGATATTCAATTTTTCATTATAGGACTCAGTAGGCTCTGAAATGTCCCTTTTCAGATTCTACAAGAAGAGTGTTTCCAACCTACTGAAACAAAAGAAAACTTTATCTCTGTGAGCTGAATGCACCCATCACAAAGAAGTTTACAGATAGCCTCTTTCTAGTATTTATCACGGAATATTTGGTTTTTCACTATTGGCCTCAGTGTGCTCCAAAGTGTCCCTCTCAGATTCTGCAAAAAAAGTGTTTCCAACCTGCTGAATCAAAAAAGGGTTTAACTCTATGAGCTTTATTCACACACAACAAACACTTTCACAGATGATAGTTTTTTTGTCTTGATCACAGGATATTCAGTTCTTCACTCTAGGTCTCAGTGAGCTCTGAAATGTCCCTTTGTAGGTTTTATAAAAAAGAGTTTCCAACATGTTGTATCCAGAGAAAAGTTTAAGTCTGTGAGCTGAGTGCACATATCAAAGCAGTTTCACAGAGAGTTTCTTTCTAGCTTTTATAGTGGGATATTTGGTTTTTCAATACAGGCATCAGTGGGCTCCTAAATGTTCCTCCACAAATTTTACAAAAAGAGTGTTTCCAACCTGCTGAATCAAATGAATGGTTTAACTCTGTGAGCTGAATGCAAATATCACAAAACATTTTCACACATATGTTCTATATAGTTTTTTGTCATGGAATATTCTGTTTTTCAGTATAGGACTCTGTGGCCAACAAAATGCTTTTTTGCAGATTCTACAAAAAGAATGTTTCCAAACTGCTGAATTAAAAAAAGATTTAGCTCTGTGAGCTAAATGCACACTTCACGAAGCAATTTCACAGATAGCTTCTTTCTAGTTTTCATTGCAGGATATTCGGTTTTTCACTATAGGCCTCAGTGAGCTTTGAAATGTCCCTTTGCAGATTCTGCAAAAACATTGTCTCTAACCTGCTGAATCAGGAGAAAGGTTTAACTCTGTAAGCTTAATGCAGACATCAAGAAGGACTTTCACAGGTAGCTTCTTACTAGTTTTTATCATAGCATGTTCCATTTTTCATTATAGGCTGCAGTGGCCTCTGAAATGCCCCACCACCTACAAAAAGAGTGTTGCCAACCTGCTGATCAAAAAAAAGTTTTAACTCTGTGAGCTGAATGCAAACATCACAAAACAGTTTCACAGATAGCTTCTGCTTAGTTTTTATAGTGAGATATTTGGTTTTTTCACAATAGGCCTCAGTGGCCTATGAAATGCTTCTACAAAAAGACTGTTTCCAACCTGTTGAATCAAAACAAAGATTAACTTTGTGAGCTGAATGCACACATTACAAAGCAGTTTCACAGGTAGCTTCTTTCTAGTTTTTATTGAAACATATTCAGTTTTTCACAATAGGCCGCAGTGGGCTCCGAAATGTCCCATTGCAGATTCTAAAAAACCTGTGTCTCCAACCTGCTGAATCAAAATAAGGTTTATCTAATTGAGTTGAATGCAGACATCACAAAAGAGTTTCATAGATAGCTACTTTCTACCTTTTATTGTGAGATAGTCTATATTTCACTAAATGTTTCAGTGGGCTCCAAAATATCCGTTTGCAGATTCCACATAAAAAGTGTTTCCAACCTCCTGAATGAAAGAAAGGATTAAGTCAGTGAGTTAAAGGCACCCATCACAAAGCAGTTTCACAGATACATTTTTTCTAGTTTTTATCATAGGATATTCAGTTTTTCACTAAATGTCTAACAGGGCTACAATATGTCCCTTCGAAGATTCTACAAAAAAAGTGTTTACAATCTGCTGAATCAACAAATGGTGTAATTCTGTGAGTTGAATGCAATCATCATGAAACAGTTTCACAGATAGATTCTTCCTGGTTTTTATCACAGGATATTCGATTTTTCACTCTGGGCCCCACTGGGCTCCAAAATATTTATTTGCATTTTCTACAAAAAGAATGTTTTCAGTTTTCAGAATCAAAAGAAAGATTTAACTCTGTGAGCTGAATGCACACATCATAAAATGGGTTCACTTATTGCTTCTTTCTATTTTTTTATAATGGGATATTCAATTTTTCCCTATATTCCTCAGTGTGCTATGAAATGTCCCTTCGCTGATTCTACAAAAAGAGAGCTTCCATCCTGCAGAATCAAAAGAAAGGTTTAACTCTCTGAGCTGAATGCTCACATCACAAAACAGTTTCACAGATAGTCTCTTTCTAGTTTTTAACACAGGATATCCTTTTTTTTCACTAAAGGCCTCAGTGGGCTCTGAAATTTTCTTCTCAGAATCTACAAATAGAGTTTTTCAACCTCATGAATGAAAAGAAAAGTTTATCTCTATGAGTTGAATCCACCCATCACAAAGCTGTTTCTCAGCTTCTTTCTAGTTTTGATTGTGAGATATTCAGTTTTTTATATTAGTTTTCAATGTGCTCCAAAATGTCCCATTGCAGATTCTATAAAAGGGGTGTTTCCAACCTGCTGAATCAAAATAAAGATTTAACTCTGTGAGATGAGTCCACACATCACAAAACAGATTCACAGATAGCTTCTTTCTAGTTTTGGTCAATAATATTCTATTTTCAGCATAAACCTCAGTGGGCTTTGAAATGTCCCTTTGCAGATTCTACAAAAATAGTGTTTTTAACTTGCTGCATGAAGATAAAAGCTTAACATTGAAAACTGAAAAAAAACTGAATTCCCAGGTCACAAAGCAGTTTCACAGATAGCTTCATTCTAGTTTTTAGCATGGGATGTTCTGTTTTTCACTATGGGCCTCAGTGGGCTCTGAAATGTTTCTTTGCAGATTCTACAAAAAGAGTGTCTCCAACCTGCAACTCAAAAGAAAGGTTTAACTAGGTATGCTTAGTCCACACATCACAAAGCAATTTCATAGTACCTTCTTTCTTGTTTTCATCATGAGCTATTCTGTTTTTCACTTTAAGCCTCGGTAGGCTCTAAAATTTCCCTTCACAGATTTTACAAGAAGAGTGTTTCGAACCTGCTGAATGAAATGAAAGATTTAACTCTGTGAGCTGAAGCCACACATCACAAAGCACTTTCACTGGTCGATTTTTTCTAGTTTTTGCCAGAGGACATTTGGTTTTTCACTATTGGCCTCAGTTTCACCAAAATATTTCTTCACAAATGCTACAAAAGGAGTGTTTCCAAACTGCTGAATTAAAAGAAAGGTTTAACACTTTGAGCTAAATCCACACATCAAAAAGAAGTTTGACAGATAGATTTTTCTAGTTTTTATTGTGGGATATTTTGTTGTGCACTATAGGCCTCAGGGGGTTTGAAATGTCCCTTGGCAGATTCTACAAAAAGAGTTTTTTAAACCTGCTGAATAAAAAAGAAGGTTTAACTCTGTGTGCTGTATGCACACATCACAAAGTGGTTTCACAGATAGCTTCTTCGTAGTTTCTATCACAGGATATTCCATTTTTTAATATAAGCCTCAGAGGGCTTTGAAGTGTTCTTTCACATATTTACAAAGCAGTTACACAGATAGGTATTTTCTAGTTTTTATCACGGAATATTTTGTTTTTCACTATAGGCCTCAGTGGGCTCCAAAATGTCCCTTCACAGAATCTACAAAAAGAGAGTTTCCAACTCGCTGAATCAAAAAGAAAGGTTTAACTCTCAATTAAATCCACATGTTACAAAGCAGGTTCACAGATAAGTTCCTTCTAGTTTTTATTGCAGGATATTCCATTTTTTAATATAAGCCTCAGTGAGCTCAAAAATCCTGCTCCACAGATTACAAAAAAAGAGTTTTTACATCCTGCTGAATCTAAAGTAATGTCTAAACCTGGGAACTGAATGCACACAGCACAAAACTTTTCCACAGATAGCTTCTTTCCAGTTTTTATTGCAGGTTTTGGGTTTCTCACTACAGGTCTTAGTGGACTCCAAAATGTTTCCTCACAGATTCTACAAAAAGTGAGTCTCCAACCTGCTGAATCAGTATAATGGTTTAAATCTGTGAGCTGAATCCACACATCACAAAGCAGTTTTACAGATAGATTATTTCTAGTATTTATCCTGGTATATTCTGTTTATCAATATAGGCCTCGGTGTGCTCCAAAATACCCCTTCACAGAATCTACAGAAAAAGTATTTCCATCCTGCTGAATCAAAAGCAAATTTTAACTCTGTAAAATGAATGCACACATAACAAAACTGTTTCAGAGACAACTTCTTACTGATTTATATCACAGAATATTTGGTTTCTCATTATAGACCTCAGTGGGCTTCAAAATGTCTCTTTGCAGATTGTGCAAAAACAGTGTTTCCAACCTGCTGAATCAAAAGAAACGTTTAACTCTTAGAGCTGAATCAACACATCACAAAGCAGTTTCACAGACACCTTCTTCCTATTTTTTATCTTGGGAGTTTTCTTTTTTTGTATAGGCCTCAGTGTGCTCCAAAATGTTCATTCCTAGATTCTACAAAAAAAAAGCATTTCCAACTTACTTCATCAAAAGATAGGTTTAACCCTGTGAGCTGAATCCACACGTCGTAAAACAGTTTTATGTATATCTCTTCTCTAGTTTTTATCTTGGGATATTCTGTTTTTCACTATAGGCCTCAGATTCTACAAAAAGAGTGTTTCCAATTTGCTGAATCAAAAAAAGTTTAACTCTGTGAACTGAATTCACACATCACAAAGCAGATTCTCAGAAAACTTCTTTCTCTGTTTTATTGCGAGAAATTCAGTTTTTCACTATAGGCCTAAGTGGCTCTGAAACGTCCCTTTGCAAATTCTTTAAAAAGTGTGTTTCTCCTTAGCTGAATTAAAGAAACATTTAACTTTGCGAGCTGAATGCACAATCACAAACCATTTTTACAGATAGGTTCTCTCTAATTTTTGTTGCAAAGTTTTATTTCTCACTTTAGGCATCAGTGGTCTCAAAACTGTCCTGTCACAGATTCTACAAAAATAGTGTTTCTAAACTGCTGAATTTAAAAAGTTATAGCCCTGTGTCCTGAATCCACACATTGCAAAGCAGTTTCACAGATAGTTTCTCTTTAGTTTTTGTCATGGGATATTCGGTTTTTCACTATAGAACTCAGTGGGCTCTGAAATTTCCATTTGCAGATTCTACAAAAAGAGTGTTTCCAAACTACTGAATCAATAGAAAGGTTTAACTCTGTGAGCTGAATCCACACTTCACAAAGTACTTTCAGAGACAGCTTCTTTCTAGTTTTTTATCACGGGATATTCAGTTTTTCACAATACACCTCAGTGGGCTCTGAAATGACCCTTCGCATATTCTACAAAAAGAGTGTTTCCAACCTAGTGCATGAAAGAAAAAGTTTAACTCTGAAAACTGAATCCCCACATCACAAAGCAGTTTCACATACAGCTTCCTTCTTATTTTTTATTGGGGGATATTTGTTTCTTTGCTACAGGCCTCAGTGCTTCCTAAAAGTCAATTTGCAGATTGTAAAAAAAAAGAGTGTTTCTGACCTCCTTAATCTAAAAAAAAGATTAACTCCATGAGCTGAATCCACACATCACGAAGCAGTTTCACAGATAACTTCTTTCTAATTTTTGTAGTGTGACAACTCAGTTTTTCACGCAGGCTCCAGTGGGCTTTAAAATGTCCCTTCACATATTCTACAAAAAGGGTGTTTTCAACCTGCTGAATCAAAGTAAATCAAAGAAAGTTTTAATTTTGTGAGCTGAATCCACACATCACAAAGCAATTTCAAAGATAGCTTCCTCCCTTTACTGAGGGATATTTGTTTTTTCACTATAGGCCTCACTGGGCTTTGAAATCTTCATTTTAGGTTTTAAAACAAGAGGGTTTTTCACCTGCTGAATAAAAAGGACTGTTTAACTGTGTGACCTGAATCTACACATCACAAAGCAGTTTCACAGATAGCGTCTTCCTAGTTTTATTGTGGAATATTCGGGTTTTTCACTACATTCTTTCGTGGGCTCTGCAATGTACTTTCACAGATTCTAAAAAAAGATTGTTTCCCACCTGCTAAAACAAAAGTAACGTTTTACTGTGTGAGGTGAATGCACACATCACAAAGCATTTTCCCATATAGGTTCTTTCTAATTTTATCAAAAGAGTTTTGGTTTTTAGCTATATTCCTCAGTGGCCTCCAAAATGTTCTTTTGCAGATTCTACATAAAGAGGGTTTCAAACCTGCTGAATCAAAAGAAATGCCAAACTTTGTGAGCTGAATCCACACATCACAAAGCACTTTCACAGATACCTTCTTTTTAGTTGTTATCATGGGATATTCTGTTTTTCACTATAAGTCTGAGTGGACTTTGAAGTGTCCCTTTGCAGATTCTACATAAAGAGTGTTTGCAACCTGCCGAGTCAAAAGAAAATTTTAACCATGTGAGCTGAATTCACACATCACATGATTCTTCACAGAATCTACAAAAGAGTTTTTCCAACTTCCTGAATCAAAAGAAAGGTTTAACTCTGTGGGCTGAATGCACACATCACAAAGCACTTTCACAGGTAGCTTATTTTTAGATTCTATTGTGGGATTTTTTGTTTTTCACTATAAGAATCAGTGAGATCCAAAATGTCCCTTCACAGAGTGTACAAACAGTGTGTTTCCATCCTGCTGAATAACAATAAAAAAAAGGTTTAACTCCTTGAATTGAACGCACACATCACAAAGCTGTTTCACATATAGTTTCTTTTTTTTGTTTTTATTATGGGATATTCTGTTTTTCACTATAAGCCTCAGTGGCCTTTGAAATGTCTCTTTGCCAATTCTACAAAATGAGTGTTTGCAACCTGCTAAATCAAAAGGGTTTAACTCTGTGAGCTGAATCCATACATAGCAAAGTAGTTTCACAGATAGCTTCTTCCTAGTTTTTATCTGGGGATATTCAGTTTTTTATTGTAGGCCTCAGTGGGTTCCCAAATGTCTCTTCACAGATTCTACAAATAGAGTGTCTCCAATCAGCTGAATCAAAAGAAAAGTTTAATTTTGTGAGATGAATACACACATCTCAAAGCAGTTTCACAGATAGCTTCTTCCTAGTTTTTACTGCAGGATATATATATATATATATACTGTATATATTATATATACACCATAATATATATATATTATGGTGTATATATTATATATACTGTATATATATATATATATATATTACTGTAGGCCTCAGTGGGCTCAGAAATGTCTTTTTCCAGATTCCCCAAAGAGAGTGTTTCCAACCTGCTGCATGGAAAAAAAGGCTTAACTCTGAGAACTGAATCCACACATCACAATTGGTTTCACAGACAGCTTCTTTCTAGTTTTTATCGTGAGATATTTGTTTTTTCACTATACGCCTCAGTGGGCTGTGAAACAAATATCCCTTTGCAGAATCTGCAAAAAGAGAGTTTCCTGCATACTGAATCAAAAGAAAGGTTTGCCTCTGTGAACTGAATGCACATATCACAAAGCAGTTTCACAGATTCTTTCTAGTTTTTATCATTGAGTATTTGGTTTTCCACTGTGGTCCTTAGAGGGCTCTGAAATATCCCTTCACAGATTCTACAAGCAGAGTGTATCTAACCTGTTCAATGAAAAGAAAGCTTTAACTCTATGAGCTGCATGCAAACATTACAAATCAGTTTCAGAATTAGCGTCTTTCTAGTTTTTATTGCAGGGTATCCAGTTTTATGCTACAGGTCTCAGTGGGTTTCAAAATGTTCCTTCACAGATTCTACAAAAAGATTATTTCCAAGCTGCTGAATCAAAAAAAAGTTTTAACTCTGTGAACTGAATGGACACATCAGAAAGCAGTTTCACTGATAGGGTCTTTTTATTTTATAGCAGTATATTTTTTTTTCTATAGGCCTCAGTGGGCTCTGAAATGACCCTTCCTAGGTTTTATGAGAAAACTTTTTCAAACATGCAGAAGCAAAAGAAAGGTTTAACTCGGTGAACTGAATGCATATAGCACAAAGCAGTCACTGATAGCTCCTTTCTAGTTTTTATTGTGGGATATTCAGTTTCTCACTATAGGCCTCAGTAGGCTCTGAAATGTCCATTCTCAGATTCTACAAAAAGAGTAATTCCAACCTTCTGAATCAACAGAAATGTTTAACCCTGTGAGCTAAATGCACACATCAGAAAGCCATTTCACAGATAGCTGCTTTTCTCTAGGTTTTATTGCAGAATATTCTGTTTTTCACTATGAGCCTCAGTGGACTCTGAAATGCCTCTTCACTGATTCTGGAAAAAGAGTGTTGCCAACCTGCTGTATGAAAAGAAATGTTTATCTCTGTGAGCTGAATCCACACATCACAAAGTAGTTTCACAGATAGCTTCTTTATAGTTTTTATCATAGAATATTCGATTTTTACTATAGGCCTCAGTGGGATCCAAAAGTTTTTAGGGCAGGATATTCTGTTTTTCACTATATGCCTTAAAGTGCCCTGAAATGTCGCTTTGCAGATTCTACAAAAAGAGAGTTTGCAAACAGCTGAATCAAAAGTAAGGTTTAAGTCTCTGAACTGAATGTACACATCAAAATACAGTTGTAAAGATAGCTTCTTTCTAGTTTTTACAGCAGGAAATTCTGTTTTTCACTATAGGCATTAGTGGACACCAAAATGTCCCTTAACAGATATTACAAAAAGTGTGTTTCCAACCTCCTGAATCCAAAGTAACATTTAACTCTTTGAGCTGAATGCACACATCACAAAGCAGTTTCATAGATAGCTTCTTTCTGGTTTTTATTGTGGGATATTTTGTTTCTCAGTGTAGGCCTCAGTGTGCTCCAAAATGTCCCTTCACATGTTTTACAAAAAGAGTTTTCAACATGCTGAATCAAAAGGAAGTCTCAACTCTGTGAGCTGAATGCACACATGATAAAGCAGTTTCACACAAAATTTTTTCATTTTTTATCATAGGATATTTTGTCACTATAGGCCTCAGTGGCCTCTCAATTGTTTCTTCAGAGATTCTACAAAAAAACTGTTTCCACTTTTTTAAGTCTGTGAGATAGCTTCTTTTAGTTTTTAACATGGGATATTCACTTTTACACTACAGGCCTCAGTGGGCTCTGAAATGTTTCTTTGCAGATCCTACAAAGCAAGTGTTTTGAACCTGCTGAATCAAAACATAGATTTAGCTCTATGAACTGAATGTACACATCACAAAGCAGGTTTACAGACAGTTTATTTCTATTTTTTTGTGACATATTCAGTTTTTCTCTGTAGACCTCAACGCCCCTCAAAATGTCCCTTCACTCATTCTAGTAAAAGAAGCTGAGTCAAGAGTAAGGTTTAAATCTCTGAACTGAAAGCACACATCACAAAGCAGTTTCACAAACAGCTTCTTTCTAGTTTTCATTGGAGGATATTCTATTTTTCATTGTAGGCCTCAATGAGCTCCAAAATGTCCCTTTGTAGATTCTACAAAAAGAGTGTTTCCAACCTGCTGATCAAATAGAAAGGTTTTAATCTGTGAGATGAATATATCTATCACAAAAGAGTTTTACAGACAGCTTATTTATAGTTTCTTTCTTGGGACATTCTGCTTTTCACTACGGGCCTGAAAGTGCTCTAAAATGTCCCTTTGCATATTCTCCAAACTGAATGTTTCCAAACTGCTGAATAAAAAGAAGGGTTGAACCCCATGAGCTGAATCCAATCATCACAGAGCAGTTTCACAGATAACTTCTTTAAGTATTTATCACAGGATATTCAGGTTTTCATTATAGGACTCAATGCATTTTGAAATGTCTATTGACAGAATCTACAAAAAAGAATATTTCCAACCCGCTTAATCAAATGAAAGGTTTAACGCTGTGAGCTGTATCCACACATCAAAAAGCAGTTTCTTTCTAGTTTTCAGTTTTCTAATTTTTATCATGGAATATTTTGTTTTTCACTATAGGCCTCACAGCACTCCAAAATATTCCTTCGTAGATTCTACAAAAAAAGAGTTTCCAACTGCCGAATGAGAAGAAACGTTTAACTCCATGAATTGAATCCACAAATCACTAAGCAGTTTCAGAGGAAGCTTCTCTCTGGTTTTTATCATGGGATATTCTGTTTTTCACTATAGACCATAATGCGCTATGAAATGTCTATTGGCAGATTCTACAAAAAGAGTGTTTCCAAACTTCTGAATCAGAAAAAAGCTTTAACTCTGTGAGCTGAATACACACATCAAAATGCAGTTTCAAAGATAGCTTCTTTCCAGTTTTTCTGTGGGATATTAGTTGTTTTACAATAGGCCTCAAAGCACTCCGAAATGCCCCTTAGCAGATTCTACAAAAATAGTGTTTCCAAACAGGTGAATAAAAGTAAGGTTTAACTCTGTGAGCTGAATCCACATATCACTAAAGAGTTTCACAGATACCTTCTTTTTAATTTTTATTGTGGAATATTCAGCTTTTCACTATAAGCTTCAATGCAGTATGAAATGTCTATTGGCAGTCTACAAAAAGAGTGTTTCCAAACTGCTGCTTCAAAAGGAAAATTTATCTCTGTGAGGTGAACTCACACATTAAGAGGCAGTTTCCCAGATAGCTTCTTTCTTTTT
The DNA here is from genome assembly GCF_000001405.40 of Homo sapiens. Lineage (NCBI taxonomy): Eukaryota > Metazoa > Chordata > Mammalia > Primates > Hominidae > Homo > Homo sapiens. The sequence goes on from NC_000008.11 coordinate 46,364,752, forward strand.
TATATCACGGGATATTCAGTATTTCACTATAGGCTTCAATATGCTCTGAAATATCCCTTCACTGATTCTACAAAAAGAGTGTTTCCAAACTGCTGAGTCAAAGTAATGTTTAACCCTGTGAGCTGAATTCATATATCACAAAGGTGTTTCACAGAGAGTTTCTTTCTAGTTTTTATCATGGGATGCTCTTTTTTTTTTCTGCAGGCCCCACTAAGCTCTGAAATGTACTTTCACTTATTTTACAAAAAGAGTGTTTACAAACAGATGAATCAAATTTTGGCTTTAACTCTGTGAGGTGAATCCACACATCACAGAGCACTTTCACAGATACCTTCTTTCTAGTTTTTACCACGGGATTTTCGTTTTTCTACTATATGCCTCAAAGCTCTCTAAATTGTCCCTTTGCAGATTCTACAAAAAGAGTGTTTCCAACAGCTGAATCAAAAGTAAGGTTTAACTCCTTGAGCTGAATGCACACATCACAAAGCAGTTTCACAGATAGCTTCTTTCTACTTTTATCAAGGGATATTTCATTTTTCACTATAGGCCTCAAAGCCCTCTGAAATGACCCTTCGCAGATTCTAGAAAAAGAGAGTTTTTAAACTGCTGAATCAAAAGACAGGTTTAACTTTGTGAGCCCAATCCACATGTAACAAAGCAGTTTCACAGACAACTTCTTTCTGATTTTTACCGTGGGATATTTGTTTTGTCACTGGAGATGTCAATGTGCTTTAAAAGGTGTCTTCGCAGATCCTACAAAAAACTGATTCCAACCTGCTTAATGTTAACGATGTGAGTTCAATCCAAACATCACACAACAGTTTCACAGATATCTTCTTTCTAGTTTTTATAGCTGGGTATTCTGTTTTTTACTACAGGTCTCAGTGGGCCCTGAAATGTCCCCTTGCAGATTCTACAAAAAGAGTGTTTTAGACCTGCTGAATCAAAACATAAGTTTAGCTCTGTGAACTGAATGTACACATCCCAAGACAGCTTCACACATACTTTCTTTCCACTTTTTATCACCAGATATTGTTTTTTAATATTTATCAGTGCACTCTGAATTGTCCCATCGCTTATTCTACAAAAAGACTGTTTCCAATCTACTGTTTCCAATCTGCTGAATCAAAAGAAAGTTTTAACTCATTGAGGTGAACTCACACATCACAAAGCAGTTTCACAGACAGCTTCTTTCTTGTTTTTATCGCAGGATATTCTGCTTTTCACTATAGGCCTCACGGGACTCTGAAATATCCCTTTGCAGATTCTCCAAAGAGAGTAGTTTCAACCTGCTTATTCAAAACACAGGTTTAGCTCTATAAACTGAATGTACAACTCACAAAGCAATTTCACAGATAGTTTCTTTCTAGGTTTTAATTTTGAGATACCTGGTTTTTCATTATAAGCATCCAAGCACTTTAAAATCTCCCTTCACAGCTTCCACAAAAAGAGTGTTTCAAACAGCTGAATCAAAACTAAGGTTTAACAATCTCAACTGAATGCACACATCACAATACAGTTTCTCAGATAGCTTTCTCTAGCTTTTATTGGGGGATATTCTATTGTTCAATATAGCCACAAAGTGCTCTAAAATGTCCCTTTGCAGATTCTACAAAAAGACTGTTTCCAACCTGTTGAATATATAGAAAAGTTTAACTCTGTGAGATGAAACCACATCTCACAAAGCAATTTCACAGATAGCTTCTTTCTAGTTTTTATCACAGGATATTCTGCTTTTCACTACAGGCTTCAAGCGCTTGGACATGTCCCTTCACAGATTCTACAAGAGTGTTTCCAAAATGCTGACTCAAAACACGTCTTGAACTCTGTGAGCTGAATCCAAGCATCACAGAGCAGTTTCACAGATAGTTTCTTTCTAGTTTTTATCATGGGATATTTGGTTTATTACTATAGGCCTCACTGCAGTCCAAAATGTCCCTTCACAGATTCCACAAAAAGAATGTTCCCAAACTGCTGAATCAAAAGTTTGGTTTAACTCTGTTAGCTGAATTCATACATCACAAAGCAGTTACACAGAGAGCTTCTTTCCAGTTTTTATCTTTCCAGTTTTTATCATGGGATATTTGATTTTTCACTATAGGGTTCACTGAGCTCCAAAATGTCCCTTTGCAGATTCTACGAAAAAAAGTGTTTCCAAACCGCTGAATCAAAAGAAAGGTTTAATTCTGTAAGCTGAATCCACACATCACAAAGCAATTTCTCTGATAGCTTCTTTCTAGTTTTCACCACAGGATATTCTGTTTTTTAATACATGCCTCAAAGCGCTTTGAAATGTTTCTTCCCATATTCTACAAAAAGAGTGTTTACAAACAGTTGAATCAAAAGTAAGGTGTAACTCTCTGATCTGAATACACACTTGGCAAAGCAGTTTTACTGATATCTTCTTGCTGGTTTTTATAAATAGATATTTGGTTTTTCACTGTAGTCCTCAAAGTGCTTTGAAATGTCTCTTCACAGATTCTACAAATAAATTGTTTCCAACCTCCTGAATCAAAAGAAAGGTTTAACTCTGTTAGCCTAATCTGCACATCACAAAGACATTTCACGGAGGATATTCAGTTTCTCACTATTGGCCTCCTCAATGGGTTTCAAAATGTGTCTTCACAGATTCTACAAGACGAATGTTTCCAATCTGCTGAATAAATAGTAAGGTTTAATGCTGTGAGCTGAATCTACACATCACACAGTAGATTAACTGATATCTTCTTGTTAGTTTTTAATGCTGAGTGTTCAGATTTTCACTATAGATCTCAGTGGACTCTGAAATGTTCCTTTGCAGATTCTACAAAGAGAGTGTTTTCAATCTGCTGAATTACAACATAGGTTTTGCTCTGTGAACTGAATGTACACATCTCAAAGCAGTTTCACAGATAACTTCGTTCTAGTTTTTGTCACAGGATATTCGGTTTTTTCACTATAGATCTCACTGCACTTTGAAATGCCTTTTTGCAGATTCTACAAAAAGAGTGTTTCCAAATTGCTGAATTGAAACAAAGGTTTAACTCTGCGAGCTGAATCCACATTTCACAAAGCAGTTTCACAGATAGATCTTTTCTAGTTTTTATCATGGGATATTCAGTTTTTCACTATAGACCTCACTGCACTTCAAAATGTCTTTTTGCACATTCTACAAAAAGAGTGTTTTCAAAATGTGGAATCAAAAGAGTGGTTTAATTCGGTTAGCTTAATCCACATATCACAAAGCAGTTTCTCAGAGAGTGTCTTTCTAGTTTTTATCACAGGATATTCAGTTTTTCACTAAAGGCCTCACTCCACTTTGTAATGATGTCCCTTCGCAGATTCTACAAAAGGAGGGTTTCCAAACAGCCGAATCAAAGGTAAGGTTTAACTCTGTGAGCTGAATCCACATATAACTAAACAGTTTCACAGGCAGTTTCTCTCTCTTTTTTATCATGGGATATTTAGTTTTTCACCATTGGCTTCAATATGCTCTAAAATGTCTCTTTGCACGCTCTACAAAAAGAGTGTTTCCAAACTGCTGAATTATAAGAAGCGTTTAACTCTGTGAGATTAATCTACACACGAGGAAGCAGTTTCAAAAATATCTTCTTTCTGGTTTTTATTGTGGGATATTCTTGTTTATATTACTACAGTCTCACTGTGCTCTGAAATGCCCCTTCACAGATTTTACAGAAAGAATGTTTTCAAACTGCTGAATAAAAAGGAAATTTTAACTCTATTAGCTGAATTTGTACATCACAAAGCAATTTTATAGAGCGCTTTTTTCTAGTTTTTATCACGGGATATTCGGTTTTTTACTACAGGCCTCAATGCACTTTTAATTGTATCTTCAGGATTCTTCTAATAGAGTGTTTCCAACCTGCTGAATAAATAGTAAGGTTTAAGGCTGGGAGCTGAATCCACACATCACACAGCAGTTTCACAGATATCTTCTTTCTAGCTTTCATCACTGGATATTCTGTTTTTCACTATAGGCCTCAGTGGGCTCGAAATAGTCCCTTTGCAGATTTTGCAAAGAGAGTTCTTTTAAACTGCTGATTCAAAACATAGGTTTAGCTTTGTGAGCTGAATGTACACTTACAAAGCAGGTTCACAGATAGCTTCTTTCTAGTTTTTATCACCACAAATTGGGTTTTTCACTACATGCCTCAGTGTGCACTGAAATGTCCTTTTGCAGACTCTACAAAAAGAGCATTTGCAACCTGCTGAATCAAAAGAAAGCATTAACTCTATGAGCTGAATTCACACATCAAAAAGTGGTTTCAAAAATAGGTTCTTTCCAGTTTTTATCACACAATATTTGGTTTTTCACTATAGGCTTCAATGCGCTTCAAAATGTCCCTTCACAGATTTTACAAAAAGAGTGTTTCCAAACTTTTGTAACAAAAGAAAGCTTTAACAGTGTGAGTTGAATTCACATATCACAAAGCAGTTTCACAGACAGTTTCTTTCTAGTTTAAATCACAGGATATTCAGTTTTTCACTGTAGGCCTCAAAGCACCCTGAAATGTCCCTTTGTAGATTCTGCAAAAAGAGTTTTTCCAAACAGCTGAATTGAAAGAAAGATTTAGCTCTGTTATCTTAATTTACTCATCACAAAGCAGTTTCACAGATAGCTTCTTTCTAATTTTTACCATGGGATATTCAGTTCTTTACTATAGGCCTCAATGTATTCCAAAATGTTTCTTCAGAGATTCTCCAAAAGCAGTGTTTCCAAACTACTGAATAAAGAGTAAGGTTTAATGCTGCGAACTGAATTCAAATATCTCACAGCAATTTCACAGATATCTTCTTTCTTGCTTTTATCACTGGATATTTGTTTTTTCATTGTAGGCCTCAGTGGGCTCCAAAATGTCCCTTTGCTGATTCTACAAAAAAAGTGTGTTCAACCTGCTGAATCTAGATTTAGCTCTGTGAAATGAATGTACACATCACAAAGCAGTTTCACAGATAGCTTCTTTCTAGTTTTTATCACAAGATATTTGGTTTTTCACTATAGGCCTCACTGCACTTTAAAACTTCCCTCAGCAGATTCTACAAAAATGTGTCTCCAAACTGCTGAATCAAAAGAATGGTTAACTCAGTTAGCTGAATCCACATATCACAAAGCAGTTTCACAGAGAGCTTCTCTCTAATTTTTATCGTGGAATATTCACTTTTTCACTATAGGCTTCACTGTGCTCCAAAATGTCCCTTCATAGTTTCTACAAAAAGAGCACTTCCAAACTGCTGAATTGAAAGAAATGTTTAAGACTCTGAGCTGAATCAACATATCACAAAGCAGTTTCCCAGATAGCTTCTTTCTAGTTTTTTATCGTGTGATATTCTGTTTTTTACTACAGTCCTCAAAACACTTCAAAATGTCCCTTAACAGATTCTGCAATAAAAGTGTTTACAAACAGCTGAACCCGCCCCCCCAAAAAGAGATTTAGCTATGTGAGCTCAATCCACAAATCACAAAACAGTTTCACAGATAGCTTCTTTCTAGTTTTTATCGTGGGATATTGTTTTTTACTATAGGCCTCAAAGCGCTCTGAAATGTCCCTTCACAGATTCTACAAAAACAGTTTTTCCAAACTGCTGTAACAACAGAAAGGTTTAACTCTATGAGCTGAATCCACATATCACAAAGCAACTTCACAGATAGCTTCTTTCTAGATTATATCATGGGATATTTGGTTTTACACTATAGGTCTCAATGTATTCTGAAATGACCCTTTGCAGATCCAACAAAAAACGTGTTTTTAAACTGCTGAATTGAAAGAAAGTTTTACCCCTGTGAGCTGAATCCCCACATCCCCAAGCATTTGCAAAGATAGCTACTTTCTGGTTTTTAACACTGGTTATTCCGTTTCTCACTATAGGCTTCAGTGCACTTCAAAATGTCCCTTCACAGATTCTACACAAAGAGTGTTCCCAAATTGCTGAATCAAAAGTAAGGTTTAACTCTTCTAGCTGAATTCATACATCACAAAGCACTTTCACAAAGCGATTCTTTCTAGTTTTTATTGTGGGATATTCAGTTTTTCACTATAGGCCTCACTGTGCTCTGAAATCTTTCTTCGCAGATTCTACAAAAACGGTGTTTCCAAACTGCTGAATCAAAGAAAAGGTTTAATTCTGGGAGCTTAATCTACACATAACAAAGCAGTTTCACAAATAGCTTATTTCTAGTTTTTACCATGGGATGTTCATATTTTTCCTATAGCCTCAAAGCACTCTGAAAAGTCTCATTGTAGATTCTACAAAATTAGTGTTTCCAAAAAGCTGAATCAAAAGTAAGGTTTAACTCTTTGAATTGAATGCACACATTGCAAAGCAGTTTCCAAGATAACTTTTTTTTTCCAGCATTTATCACAGGATATTTGGCTTATCCCTATAGGCCTCAATGTGCTTTGAAATGTCCCTTTGCAGATTCTACAAAAAGAGTGTCTCCAACCTGCTGAATAAATAGTAAGATTTAATGCTGGGAGCTGAATCCACACAACACACAGCATTTTCACAGATATCTTCTTTCTAGATTTTATCACTGGGTATTAGGTTTTTCACTCTAGGCCTCAGTGGGCTCTGAAATGTCTCTCTGCAGATTGTACAAAGAGAGTGTTTTCAATCTGCTGAATCCAAACGTAGGTTTAGCTCTCTGTACTGAATGTACACATCACAAATCAGTTTCACAGATAGCTATTTTTTTTTTTTCTGAGAAGGGGTCTCACTCTGTCACCCAGGCTGGAGTGCAGTGGCACAATCTCGGCTTACTGCAAGCTCCACCTCCTGGGTTCACACCATTCTCCTGCCTCAGCCTCCTGAGTAGCTGGGACTACAGGGGCCCGCCACCACACCCAGCTAATTTTTTTTTGTATGTTTAGTACAGACGGGGTTTCACCATGTTAGCCAGGGTGGTCTCAGTCTTCTGACCTCATGATCTGCCCACCTCAGCCTCCCAATGTGCTGGGATTATGCCATGCCTGGCCCACAGATAGCTTCTTTTAAATTTTTATCACCAGGTGTATGTTTTTCCACTACAGGCCTAAGTGCACTCCAAAATGTCACTTCACAGATTCTACAGAAAGAATGTTTCCTACCTGCTGAATCAAGAGAAAGATTTAACTCTGTGAGCAGAATCCACACATCACAAAGCAGTTTCACAGATACCTTCTTTCTAGTATTTATCATGGGATATTCTGTTTCTCACTATAGCCCTCACTGTGCTTCAACATGTCACTTCACAGGTTCTACAAAAAGAGTGTTTCCATACTGCTGAATAAAAAGAAAGCTTTAACTCTGTGAGCTAAATCCCCATATCACAAATAAGTTTCACAGATAACTTCCTTCCAGTTTTTATCGTGGGATATTCTCTTTCTCAGTCAATGCACTCCAAAGTGTCCCTTTGCAGATTCCACAAAAAGAGTGATTCCAAACTGCTGAATAAAAAGTAAGGTTTAACTCTTTGAGCTGAATTCCTACACCACTAAGCAGTTTCACAGATAGCTTCTCTCTAGTTTTTATTGTGGGATATTCTGTTTTTCACTATAGGCCTCAGTGCACACCGAAATGTTTACTGGCAGATTCTACAATGACAAAGTTTCCAAATTACTGAATCAATATAAAGGTTTAACTTTGTGAGCTGAATCCACATATCACAAAGCAGTTTCACAGATAGCTTATTTCTAGTTTTTATTACCAGATATTCAGTATTTCACTATAGGCCTTAATGCACTCAAAAATATCCCTTTGCAGAATCTACAAAAAATGTGTTTCCAAACAGGTGAATCAAAAGAAAGTTTGAACTTTTTGAGCTGAATCTATGCATCACAAAGCAGTTTCAAAGAGAGCTTCTTTGAAGTTTTTATCCTGGGATATTCAGTTTTTTACTATAGGCCTCTGCATTTTGAAATGTTTATTGGCAGATTCTACAAAAAGAGTGTTTACTACTTGTTTACCCTCAAAAAAGTTGTTTAACTCTTTTAGCTGAATCCACCCATCACAAAGCAGTTTAACAGGTAGCTTATTTCTAGTTCTTATCATGGGATATTCTGTTTCTCACTACAGACCTCAAAGTACTCCGAAATGTCCCTTCACAGATTCTACAAAAAAACTGTTTCCAAACTGCTGAATCAAACTAAAGTTTAACTCTGTGAGCTGAATCCACACACTATAAAGCAGTTTCACAGATAGCTTCATTATAGTTTCTTTTTTTTTTTTCCACGGGATATTCAGTTTTTCACTGGAAGACTCAATGAGCTCTGAAGTGACTTCTGGCAGATTCCTCAGAAAAAGTGTTTCCAAACTTCCGAATCAAAAGAAAGGTTTAACTCTCTGAGCTGAATGCACACACTGCAAATCAGTTTCACAGATAGCTTCTTTCTAGTTTTTATCACTGCATATTCTGTTTTCCACTGGAAGACTTGGTGGGCTTTGATATGTCCCTTTGCAGATTTTACAATGAGAGTGTTTTCAAAGTGCTGAATCAAAATGCATTATTAGCTCTGTGAAATGAATGTACGCATCACAAAGCAGTTTCTCAGATAGCTTCTTTCTAGTTTTCTGATTGCCTCAACGTCCCTGTGAGTTTTTGTCAGCTGACACAGGCCCGTCTTTGGCCCTCCCGCCACCCATGGGGGCCCTCCATGAAAGACTCAGGCACCCTTGGCTGAAGCCCAGGGTTCTAGCCCACACCTGAGAGGCCCAGGGTTCTAGCCCACACCTGAGAGGTACCCCATCATTTTCTGGGAAATGAGAGGCCTCCCTGGGATGAACCAACACCAGCTCAAGCCTCACTGCTTCTCCCCTCTGCAGGCCTTAACATCCCCCTAAGTTTCTGCCTGGCTGCACTGTCCAGCCTGAAGCCCCACCCTGGCCTGTGTGTGCTCTCTGTGAAATACACACACACCCTGGGCTAAAGCCCGGGGCTCTAGCTTCCACCCGGTGGGCTCACCGGTGTCTTCCTGCAAGGGAGAGCCTCCCTGGGAAATTCTAGGACCTGCTCTGGCTTTGATGCATCACCCCTCTGCCTGCTTCAACGTCCCCATGAGTTTCTGACCCCCACACAGGCCCATCTGTGACCCTGCTTCCACCCATGGGGGCCTCCAAGAGAGACACAGACACCTTTGGCCAGAGTCGGGCCTCTAGCCCCCAGCCGCGGGTGCCCTGGAGGCTTCTGTAAAAAGAGAGACCTCCTGGGGGTACCCAGCACTCGCTCAAGCCTTGCCACTTCATTCCTTTGCCTGCCTTAATGTCCCCCTGAGTTTCTGCTGGCCTACAGAGGACTGCCTATGAACCTGCTGCCGCCATTTGGGGCCCTCTGTGAAAGAAACAAGCACCCTGAGTCAGAGCCCAGAGCTCTAGCCCCCACCCGGGGGCCCCACAGAGGCTTCTGAGAAGGGAGTGGCCTCCCTGTGAGGACCTGGCACCTGCTCAGGTCTCGTGTGTCTCCCATCTGCCTGCCTCTAAGACCCCTGAGTTTCTGCCGGTCACCACAGGCCTGCTTTCGAACCTGCCACTGCCCATACGGGACCTCCATGAGAAACACGGCCATCCTGAGTCAGAGCCAGGGTCTCTAGCTCTCACACCAGGGGAGCCTCAGGGGCTTCTGGGAAGGGAGAGGCCTCCCTGGGTGCAGCCAGCACCCACTCGGGCCTTGCTGCTTCTCCCCTTTGCCTGCCTCCAAAACCCCTCAGTTTCTGCTTTCCTGCAGAGGCCCCCTTGAGGCCCCACTGCCGCCTGTGGGTGCCCTTCGCCAAAACCACAGGCAGAGGTCTGAACCCAGGCTCTAGCTCCAACCCAAGGGCACCCCGCGGGCTTCTGGGAGGGACAGACCTCCCTGGGAGGACCCAATACCTGCACAGGAATCACCAATCCTTCCCTCCCCCTGCCTGCCTCAATGTCCCCCTGAGTTTCTGCCTGCCCACACAGGCCCACATCTGGCACAGCTGCCACCCATGAGGGTCCTCCGCAAAAGACACAGGCACCCAGGGCCAGAACACAAGGCTCTAGCACCCACCTGGGGGATGCCCTTACAGCTTCTGTAAAAGAGAGGCCTCCCTGGGTGGATCCAGCACCCACTCAGACCTCGCGGTTTCTCCCCTCTGCCTGCCTCGTTTCCTTGTGTTTCTGTCAGCCAGCATGGGCCAGTCTGCATCTTCACTGCCACCTGTGGGGGCCCTCCATGAGACACAGGCACCCTGCACTGGATCCCGTGGCTCTAGCCCCCACCAGGGGTGTGCTCCAGGGAATTTTGGGAGGCGAGAGGCCTCCCTGGGACTACCCAACACCTGGTCAACCCTAGCGGCTTCTCCCCTCTGCCTACCTCAACATCTCCCTGAGTTTTTGCTGGCCCACACAGTTCCGCATGTGGCAACGCCACTTCCCATGGGGGCCCTCCACGAGAGACAGACACCCTGGGTCAGAGCCCGGAGCTCTAGCCCGCACTTGGAAGCACCACTAGGGATTCTGGGAATGGAGAGTCATCCCTGGGATGACCCAGCACCCGCTCAGTCCTCGCTGCTTCTCCCCTATGCCTGCCTCAACATCCCTCTGAGTTTCTGCCTGCCCGCACAGGCCATACTGCGGCCCCTACGCCCCGCCTGTGCGGGCCATTCATAAGAGACACTGTCATCCTGGGCAGGACCTCGGGGCTCTAGCCCCCACCTGAGGGGTGCCTCAGGGGGCTTCTGGAAACTGACAAGCCTCCCTAGGAGGATCCAGCTTATTCTCAAGCCTGGCCGCTTCTCCCCTCCACCTGCCTCAATGTCCACCTGAATTTCTGCCCAACTGTGAAAGCCCCCCTGCATCCCCACAGCCATCTGTGTAGGCCCTCCGTGAGAGACAACGTCACCCTGCGCTGGAGCCCGGGCTTTAGGCTCAGATCCGGGGAGCACCCTGTGGTTTTCTGGGAAGAGTGGGGCATCCCTGGAAGGACCCAGCACACAACCAGGCCTTGCCGCTTCTTCCATCTGCCTGCAGAAGGCCCCCACAAGCGAAAACGCGTCTGCTGTGTGGCGTGGGTGGGCCACAGGGACTCAGTGGTTCACTGAAGCAGGCAGAAGGGAGAAGCGGTGAGACTGCATGGAAAGCTGGGAGCCTCCCAAGGAGGCCTCTCCCATCCCAGAAGCCCCAAACTCTGTACTGGGCAAGTTGTAAAGCCACAGGCTTTGGAGCAGGGTGGCTGTGTCTCTTGCGGAAGGCCACCACAGGCGAAAACAGGGACACAGGGTGGCTGTGAGCAGGCGGCAGTGATGCAGGGGGAAGTTGAGGCAGGTAGAGGGGAGAAGCGGCGAAACAGCAGGAAATGCTGGGAGCCTCCCAAGAAAGCCTCTTTCATCCCAGAAACCCCCTGGGTGGTCCCGGGCTGGTTGCAAAGACCCAGGGTTTGGGAGAGGGTGCCTGTGTCTGACACTGAAGGACCCCAGAAGAGAAAATGGGGCTGCAGGGTGGCGAGGGCAGGTCACAGGGACTGAGGGGGATGTTGAGGCAGGCAGAAGGGAGAAGCAGTGAGACCACAGGAAATACTTGGAGCCTCCCAAAAAGATCTCTTCCATCCCAGAAGCACCCAGGGCTGTCCTGGGCAGGCTGTAAAGCCCTGAGCTTTGGAGCAGGATGCCTGTGTAGCTCGTGGAATGCAAACACTTGTGAAAACGGGGCTCCAGATAGGAGTGGGAGGGCTGTAGGGATTCAGGGGCGACACTGAGGCAGGCAGAGGGGAGAAGCGGCGTGACAACGGGGAATGGTGGGAGCCTCCCAGGGAGGAGTCTCCCATCTGAGAAGCCCCCAGAACTGTCCCAGGAGGGCTATAAAGCCCCTGGCTTGGGAGCAGGGTGCCTTTGTTTTTCGTGGAAGGTCCCCACAGGCAAAAACGGGGCCACAGGGTGGTGTGGGCCAGCCGCAGGGACTCAGGGGGAACTTAAGGCAGGCAGAGGGGAGAAGTGGTAAGACCACAGGGAATGCTGGGAGCCTCCCAAGGAGTCTTCTCCCATCCCAGAATCCCCCAGGGTTTTCTTGGGTGAGCCGTGAAGCCCCAGGTGTTGAAGCAGTGTGCCAATGTCTCTCGCGGAAGACACCCACAAGTGAAAACCGGGTGGCAGTGTGGGGTGGGCTGGCCGCAGGGATTCAGGAAGACATTGAAACAGGCAGTGTGAGAAGTGGTGAGACTGCAGGAAATGCTGGGAGCCTCCCAAGAACGCCTCTAGCATCCCAGAAGGCCCCACGTCTGTCCCCGGTGGACAGTAAAGCCCCAGGCTTTTGAACTGGGTGCTAGTGTCACTTGCAGAAGGCCCCCAAGGCAAAAATGGGGCCGTAGCATGGCGTGGTTTGGCCACAGGGACTCAGGGGAACGTTGAGGCTGGCAGAGGGGAGAAGCAGCGAGACTGCAGGGAAAGCTGGGAGCCTCACAAGAAGGCCTCTCCCATCCCAGAAGCCCCTAGGTTTATTCCAGGCGGGCCGTAAAGATCCAAGCTTTGGAGCAGCGTGCCTGTGTGTCTTATGGAAGGCCACCACAATCAAACACGGGGCCCAGGGTGGCATGGGTGGGTGGCAGGGACTGAGGGGATCCTTGATGCAGGCAGAGGAGTAGAAGCGGCAAGACCACAGGAAATGCTGGGAGCCTCACAAGGAGGACTCTCCCATCACTGAACGCCCCAGGGCTGTCCCTGATGGGATGTAAAGCCCCAAGTGTTGGAGCAGGGTGCTTATGTCTCTTGCAGAAGGCATCCACAAATAAAAACGGGGAGGCAGGGTGGCATGGGCGGGCTGCTGGGACTCAGGAAAACATTGAGGCAGTCAGACCAGAGAAGTCACGAGAACACAGGGAATGCTGGGAGCCTCCCCAAAATGCCTCTGTCATCCTAGAAGCCCCCAGAAGAGTCCCGGGAGGGTTATAAAGCCCCAGCCTTTGGAGCAGGATTCCTGTGTCTCTCGCGGAAGGCCCATACAGGTGAAAACAGGGTAGCAAGGTAGATATGGGCAGGCCACAGCGACTAAGGGAAATGTTGAGGCAGGCAGAGGGGAGAAGTGGTGAGATTGCAGGGAATGCAGGGATCCTTTCAGAAAGGCCTCTCCCATCTCTGAAGCCCCCAGGGCTGTCCCAGGCGGGCTGTAAAGCTCCAGGATTTAAAGCAGAGTGCCTGTGTCTCTCGCAGAAGGCTCTGACAAGTGAAAACGGGGCCCCATGATGGAGTGGTTTTGCGGCAGGAACTCAGCGGGACGTTGAGGCATGCAGAGGGGAGAAGTGGAAACACCGCAGGAAATGCTGGGAGCCTGCCAACGATGTCTCTCCCATTCCAGAACCCCCCAGAGCTGTACCGTGCGGGCTGTAAAGCCCCAGGGTTTGGAGCAGTGTTCCTGTGTCTCTCACAGAAGTCCCCCACAAGTGAAAACAGGGCCGCTGGGGTGGCGTTGGCGGGCCCCAGGGACTCAGGGGGATGTTGAGCCAGGCAAAGGGGAGAAGCAGTGAGACCACAGGGAATGCTGGGAGCCTCCCAAGGGTGCCTCTCCCATCTCAGAAGCTCCCAGGGCTGTCCCAGGCGGGCTGTAAAGCCCCAGGCTTTGGAACAGGGTGCATGTGTCTCTTTCAGAGGGCACCCACAAGGGAAAATGGGGCCGCAGGGTAGCCGTGGGCAGGCCGCAGTGACTCAAGGGGATGTTGAGGCAGACAGAGGGGAGAATCGGCGAGACGAGAAGGAATGTTGGGAGGTTCCCAGGGAGGCCTCTCCATCCCAGAAGCCCACAGGGATGTTCCATGCGGACTGTAAAGCCTCAGGTTTTGGAGCAGGGTGTCTGTGTCTCTCGCAGAAGGCCCCCACAAGCGAAAACGGGGTGGCAGGGTGGCGAGGGCGGGCCACACCGACTCAGGGGGACGTTGAGGCAGGCAGAGGTGAGAAGGGGTGAGACCACAGGAAATCCTGGGAGCCTCTCAAAGAGGCTTCTTCTATCCGAGAAGCCCCCGGGGCCATCCCGGGCGGGCTGTAAAGCCCCAGGCTCTAGAGCAGGATGGCTGTGTCACTCGCAAAAGGCCCCCACAAGAGAAAACTGGGCAACTGGGTGGCGTGGGAGGGCCGCAGGGGGGACTCTGGGGGACGTTGAAGCAAGCAGAGGCAAGAAGCAGTGAGACGACAGGGAATGCTGGAATCTAACTGGGGAGGCCACTCCCAACCCAGAAGACCCCAGGTTTGTCCCGGTCGGGCGGTAAAGCTTCAGGCTTTGGAGCAGGGTGCCTGTATCTCCTGCAGAAGGCCTCCACAAGCAAAAACAGAGCTGCAAAGTGGCGTGGGCAGACGGCAGGCACTGAGGGGGACGTTGAAGCAGGAGGCAGTAAAATGGGGCCACAGGGTGGCGTGGGCGGGCCACAAGGACTTAGGAGGACGTTAAGGCAGGCAGATTGGAGAAGTGGCAAGACCACAGGGAATGCTGGAAGCCTCTTAAGGAGGCCTCTCTCATCCCAGAAGCCACCAGGGCTAATCCGGGCGGGCTGTAAACCCCGAGGTTTTGAAGCAGGGTGCCTGTGTCTTTCACCAAAGGCCCCCACAAGCAAAAACAGTGCCGCAGGGGTGGCATGGGCGGGCTGCAGGGACTCAGGGGGATGTTGAGGCAGGCAGAGAGTAGAAGCTGCGAGACTGCAGGGAATACTGGAATTTTCCCAAGAGTGCCTCTGTCATCCCAGAAGCCCCCAGGGCTGTCCTGCACAGGCTGTAAAGCCCCCAGGGGTGTTCTGCATGGCCTGTAAAGCAGGGTGCCTGTGCCTTTCACAGAAAACCCCCTCAAGTGCAAAGGGGGCTGCAGGGCTGTGTGGGCGGGTCGCAAGGACTCAGGGGGACCTTGAGGCAGACAGAGGGGAGAGGCAGGACAGAAAGGAATGCAGGGAGCCTTTCAAGGATGCCTCTCCCATTTCAGAAGCCCTTATGGCTGTCCCTGGCGGGCTCTAAAGCCGCAGGCTTTTTAGCCGGGAGAATGTGTCTCTTGCCGAAGGCCCCACAAGCAGAAACAAAGCCACAGGGTGGCGTGGGCAGGCTGCAGGGACTCAGGGGGATGTTGAGGCAGGCAAAGGGGAAAAGCGACAAGACTGCATTGAATGCTGCGAGACTCCCAAGGAGGCCTCTCCCATCCCAGAAGCCCCCAAGGCTGTCCAAATCAGGCTGTAAAGCAGGGTGCCAGTGTCTTTCACAGAAGGCCCCCACAAGTGAAAATGGGGCTGCAGGGTGTTGTGGGTGGTTTGTAGGGACTCAGGGGGACATAAGACAGGCAGAGGGCAGAAGCTATGAGACAGCAGGGAATGCTGGCAGCATCCCAAGGAGGCCTCTCACACACCAGAAGCACCACTGTAAAGCCTCAGGCTTTGGAGAAGAGTGCCTCTGTCTCTCGTGGAAGGCCCCAAAAGTGAAGACGGGGCCACAGGGTCGCGTGATTGGGCTGCAGGGACTCATGGGGACTTCGAGACAGGCAGAGGGGAGAAGTGGCCACAGCGCAAGGAAGGCTGGGAGCCTCCCAAGGAGGCCTCTCCAATCCCAGAAGCCTCCAGAGCTGTCTGAGACGGGCTGTTAAGCCCCAAGTTTTAAAGCATGGTGCTTGTGTCTCTCAAGGAAGCCCACACACCCGAAGTGAAAACGAGGCCACAGTGTGGCCGTGGGCAGGCTAGAGCGACTCAAGGGGACATTGATGCAGGCAGAGGGGAGAAGCAGTGAGACCGCAGGGAATGCTCAAAGCATTCCCAAGGAAGCATCTCCCGTCCCTGAAACCCATAGGGCTGTTCTGTGTGTGCTGTAAATTCTCAGGCTTTGGAGCAGGGTGCCTGTATCTCTCGCGGAAGGCCCCCGCAAGGAGAAATGGGTCCACAAGGTGGTGTGGTTGGGCCGCAGATACTCAGGTACTCAGGGGGATGTTGATGTAGGCAAAAAGGAGAAGCATCGAGACTACAGGGACTACTGGAAGCCTCCCAAAGGTGACTTTTCCATCCCAGGGGCCCCCATGCCTGGCTTGGGAAGGTTGTAAACCTCAGGGTTTGGAGTAGGGTGGCTGTGTCTGTCTCTGAAGGCCCCCACAAGCGAAAATGGTGTTGTAGTGTGACGAGGGAGATCACAGGGACTCAGGGAGAAGTTGAGGCAGGCAGAGGGGAGAAGCAGCAAGACAGCAGGGAAGACTCACAGCCTCCCAAAGAGGCCTCTCTCATCCCAGAAGCCCCCCGGGCTGACCCAGGAAGGCTGTAAAGCCCTAGGCTTTGGAGCCCCAGGCTTTTGGATGCCTGTGTCTCTTGAGGAAGGCCCCCACAAGTGAAAAAGTGAATAGTGTGGGAGGGTCGCAGGGTCTCAGGGCAAGTTGAGGCAGGCAGAGGGGAGAAACTGTGAGAATTCAGGGAATGCTGGTAGCCTCCCACAAGGCCCTCTCCAATCCCAGAAGCCCCCAGGGCTTCACCAAGTAGGCTGTAAAACCCCAGGCTTTGGAGCAAGGTGCCTGTGTCTCTCACGGAAAGCCCCCACAAGCGAAACGGGTTTGCAGAGTGGCATGTGCAGGCCTCAGGGACTCAGGGGGACACTGAGGCTCAGAGGGGAGAAGCAGTGAGACCGCAGGGAATGCTGGGATCCTCACAAGGATGCCTCTTCTATCCCAGGAGTCCACAAGGCTGTCCCAGGGGGCATGTAAAGCCCCAGTCTTTGGAGCAGGGTGCCTGTGGAACACGAGGAATACCCCTAGAAGCAAAAACGGGAATGCGGGGTGGCGTGGGCAGGCAGCAAAAACTCAGGGGGATGTTGAGGCAGGCAGAGGAGAGAAGCAGCAATACCGCAGGCAATGCTGGGAGCCTCCCAAGGACGACTCTTCCATCCCAAAGTTTCCAGGGCTGTACCGGGAGGGCTGTAAAACCCCAGGCTTTGGAGCAGGGTGCCTGTGTCTCTCGTGGAAGGCCCCCGCAAGCAAAATCGGGACGCAGATTGTGTGGGTGGGCCACAAGGACTCAGGGAGACATTAAGGCAGGCAGAGGGGAGAAGTGGCTAGACCACTGGGAGTGCTGGGAGCATTTCAAGGTGGCTTTTCCCATCCCAGAAGCCCCTGGGCTGTACCTGGTGGTCTGTAAAGCCCTAGGCTTTGAAGCAGACTGCCTGTGTCTCTCAAGAAATGCCCCCACAAGCAAAAATGGGGCTGCAGGGTGGCGTTCTTGGTTGTAAGGTACTCAGGGGGAACTTGAGGCAGGCAGAGGGAAGACGTGGCATCAAGGCAGGGAATGCTGGGAGCCTCCCAAAGAGGCCCCTTTCATCCCAGAAGCCTCCAGCGTGTCCTAAGCAAGCTGTAAAGCTGCAGACTTTGGAGCAGGGTGCCCTGTGTCTCTCGCGGAAGTCCCATAAGTGAAAACAGGGTCACAGGGTGGCCGTGGGCAGGCCACAGAGACTCAGGAGGACATTGAGGCAGGCAGAGAAGAGAATCGGTGAGACCACAGGGAATGCTGGTAGCCTTTCTAGGAGATCTCTCCCATTCCAGAATCCCCCAGGTCTGTCCGGGGAGGGCTGTAAAGCCCCAGTCTTTGGAGCAGGATTTCTGTGTCTCCCCTGGAAGGCCCCCACAAGTGAAAACGGGGTTGCAGTGTGGCGTGGGCGGGTGCCAGGGACTAAGGGAGAAGTTGATGCTGGCAGAGGGAAGAAGCATCGAGACCCCAGGGAATGCTGAGAGCCTCCAATGGATGACTCTCCCATCCCAGAATCCCCCAGGGCTTTCTCAAGCAGGCTGTAAAGTCCCAGGTGTTGAAGCCGATTGCCTGTGTCTCTCGAAGACCCCCAGAAGTGAAAACGGGGTGCCAGAATGGCGTGGGCGAGACATAGGGACTCAGGAAGACATTGAAACAGGCAGTGGTGAGAAGCTGCTAGACCACGGAGAATGCTGGAAGCCTCCCAAGAAGGCCTCTCCCATCCCAGAAGCCCCCAAGTCTGTCCCGGTTGGTCAGTAAAGCCCCAGGTTTTGGAGTAGGGTACGTGTCTCTTGCGGAAGGCACCAAAAAGCAAAAGCGGGGTCCTTGCGTGGTGTGGTTTAGCTGTAGGGACTCAGGGGGATGTCTCATGACAGACAGAGGGGAGAAGCGGTGAGACCGCAGGGAATGCTGGGACCCTCCCAAGGAGGCTTCTTCCAACCCAGAAGCCTCCAGGTCTGTCCCGGGCCGGCCGTAAAGCCCCAGGCTTTGGAGTAGGGTGTCTGTGTCTCTTGCGGAATGCCCCCACAAGCAAAAACGGGGCCTCAGGGTGGCGTGGGTGGGTTGCAGGGACTCAGGGGATGTTGAGGCAGGCAGAGGAGAGAAGCAGTGAGACAGCAGGAAATGCTGGGAGCCTCCCAAGGAGGCCACTTCTATACTAGAAGTCCTCAGGCCTGTCCCAGGCAGGCTGTAAAGCCATGGCTTTGGAGAAGAGTGACTTTTTGTCTTGTGGAAGGCCCCCAGAGGTGAAAACAGGGACACAGGTGGCGTGGGAGGGTCGCAGAGACTCACGGGGACCTTGAGTTAGGCAGAGGGAAGAAGCAGCGGGACAGCAGGGAATGCTGGGAGCCTCCCAAGGATGCCTCTCCCATCCCAGAAGCCCCCAACGCTGTTTATGGCAGGCTGTAAAGCCCCAGGCTTTGGAGAAGGGTGCCTGTGTCTCTCGCGGAAGGTCTCCAGAAGTGAAAATGGAACCGCAGGTTGGCGTGGCTAGGCCGAAGGGACTCAGGGTGACTGTGTCTCTCACAGAAGCTCCCCACAAGCAAAAACGGGGCCGCAGGTTGGCCATTAGCAGGCCAGAGAGACTCAGGGGGAAGTTGAGGCAGGCAGAGGGAAGAAGTGGTGTGACGGCCGGGAATGCTGGGAGCCTTCTGAGGAGGCACCTCCTATCCGTGAAGCCCACAGGTCTGTCCCAGGCAGGCTGTAAAGTGTCAGGCTTTGAGCAGGGTGTCTGTGCCTCTCCCGGAAGGCCCCACAAGCAAAAATGGGGCTGGAGGGTGGCCTGTGTGGGCGACAGGGACTCAGGGAGACGTTGATGAAGGCAGAGGGGAGAAGCGGCAAAATCGCAGGACATGCTAAGAGCCTCCAAAGGAGGCCTCTCCCATCCCAGAACCTCCCAGGGCTTTCGGGGGCAGGCTGTAAAACACCAGGCGTTGAAGCAGGGTGCCTGCGTCTCTCACAGAAGGCCCCCACAAGTGAAAACGGGGCGCCAGAGTGGCATAGGTGAGCCGCAGGGACTCAGGAAGACATTGAGGCAGGCAGTAGTGAGAAGTGGTGAGACCTCAGGGAATGCTGAAAGACTCCCAAGCAGGCCTCTCCCATCCTAGAAGCCACCAGTTCTGTCCCACGTGGTCTGTAGAGCCCCAGGCTTTGGAGGACGGTGCGTGTCTCTTGCAGGAGGCCCCCAGAAGCGAAAACAGGGCCGCAGAATGGCGTGGGTGAGTCGCAGGGACTCGTGGGGACCTTGGGGCAGGCAGAGGGGAGAAGAGGCAGGACAGCAGGGAATGCTGAGATCCTCCAAAGGATGCTTCTCCCATCCCAGAAGCATTTATGGCTTTCCCGGGCAGGCTGTAAAGCCCCAGGTTTTGGAGCAGGGAGCCTGTGTCTCTTGGCGAAGTTCCCTACTAAAGAAAACGGAGAAGCAGGGTGGCATGGGCGAGCCGCTAGGACTCAGGGGGAGGTTGAGGCTGGCAGGTGGGAGAAGTGGTGAGACCGCATTGAATGCTGCGAGCCTTCCAAGGAGTCCTCTGTCATCCCAGAAGCCGCCAGGCCTGTCCAAGGCTGGCTGCAAAGCCGCAGGCTTTGAAGCAGTGGGCCTGTGTCTCTCATGGAATACCCCTCAAGAGAAAACGGGGCTGCAAAGTGGCATGGGCAGTGGGAGGGACTCAGAAGGACGTTGAGGCAGGCAGAAGGGAGAAGCAGCGAGATGGCTGGGAATGCTGGGATTTTCCCGAGGATGCCTCTCCCATCCCAGAAGCTCCCAGGGCTGTCCCACGCGGGCTGTAAAGCCCAAGACTTTGGAGCAGGCTGCCTCTGTCTTTCGCGGAAGGCCCACACAAGCAAGAATGGGGCTGCAGGATGGCGTGAGCGGGTCTCAGGGACTCAGGGAGACCTTGAGGCAGGAAGAGGGGAGAAGCAGTGAGACCACTGGGAAGGCTGGGAGCCTCCCAAAGAGGCCTCTCCCATCCTAGAAGCAACCAGGGCTGTCCCAGCTGGGCTGTAAAGCCCCAGGCTTTGCAGCAGTGTGCCAGTGTCTCTCCCAGAAGGCCCCCACAAGCAAAAAAGATGCTGCAAGGTGGCGTGGTTGGGGCGCAGTTACTCAGGGGGACGTTAATGCAGGAAAAAGGGGGAAGCATCGAGACCACAGGGAATGCTTGTAGCCTCCCAAGTGTGCCTCTTCCATCTCAGAAATCCCCATGGCTGGCTTTGGCTGGCTGTAAAACTCCAGGGTTTGGAGCAAGGTGCCTCTGCCTGTCACTGAAGGCCCCCGCAAGCGAAATCATGTCTTCAGGGTGGCTAGGGTCGGTCGCAGGTACTCAGGGGGACATTGAGGCTGGCAGACGGGAGAAGTGGTGAGACCGCAGGGAATGCTGGGAGCTTCCCAAGGACACCTCTCCTATCCCAGAAGCCCCCAAGGCTGCCCCGGGCTGGCTGTAAAGCCCCAGGCTTTGGATCAGGATGCCTGTGTCTCTCAAGGAAAGCCCCCAAAAGTGTAAACGGAGGCACAGAATAGCGTGGGAGGGCCACAGAGACTCAGGGGGACATTGAGGCAGGCAGAGGGGAGAAGTCACGAGGCTGCAGGTAATGCTGGGAGCCTTCCACAAAGGAGTCTTGATTCCCAGAAGCCCCCAGGGCTACCCCGGGCGGGCTGTAAAACCCCAGGATTTGGAGCAAGTTGCTGTGTCTCTCACAGATGCCCCCCACAAGCAAAAACGGGGCCTCAGGGTAGCGAGTGCAGCCGCAGGGACTCAGGGGGACATTGAGGTAGGCAGAGGGGTTAAGCGGCGAGATGGCAGGGAATGCTGGGATCCTCCCAAAAAGTCCTCTCCCATGCCAGGAGCCCCAAAGGCTGTCCTGGGTGGGATGTTGATCCAAAGTCTTTGAAGCAGGGTGCCTGTGACACTAGTGGAAGGCCCCTAGAAGCGAAAGTGGGGATGCAGGGTGGTGTGTCAGAAATTCATGGGGACGGTGTTGCAGGCAGAAAGGAGAAGCAGCAATATTACAGGGAATGCTGGGAGCCTCCAAAGGAGGCCCTCCCATCTGAGAAGCCTACGGCTGTCCCGGGTGGGCTGTAAAGCTCCAGGCTTTGGAGCAGAGTGCCTGTGTCTCTCATGGAAGTCCCCATAAGTGAAAACGGGGACACTGAATGGCCATGGGAGGGCCGAGTAGGGTGCCTGTGTCTCTTCCGGAAGTCCTCCACAAGCGAAAACGGGGCCACAGCATGGCATGGGCGGGCGGCAGGGACTCAGAGAGATGTCTATGCAGGCAGAGGGAAGAAGCCGCGAGACCGCAAGGAATGCAGGGAGTCTCCCAACAAGGCCTCTCCCACTGCAGAAGACCCAAGGGCTGTCCCAAGCAGGCTGTAAAGCTGCAGGTTTTGGAACGGAATGCCTGTGTCTCTCGCAGACGTCCCCAAAAGCGAAAACAGGGCCACAGGGTGGCGTGGTTGGGCCACAGGGACTCATGGGGACATTGAGGAGGGCAGAGGGGAGAAGTGGCCAGACCACAGGGAAGGCTGGGAGCCTCCCAAGGAGGCCTCTCATGTCCCAGAAGCCCCAGGGCAGTCCTGGACAAGCTGTAAAGCATCAAGCTTTGGAGCAGGGTGCCTGTGTCTCCCAAGGTAGGCCCCTACAAGCGAAAACGGGGCTGCAGGGTGGTGGTGGACAGGCCGAAGCGACTCAGGTTGTTGAGGCAGGCAGAGGGAAGAAGTGGCGAGACCGCAGGGAATGCTGGGAGCTTCCCAAGGAGGCCTTTCCCATCCTTGAAGCCCACAGGGCTGTCCTGTGCAGGCTGTAATGCCTCAGGCTTTGGAGCAGGTTACTTGTGTCTCTCGAGGAAGGCCCCCATAATTGAAACTGGAGCTGCAAGGTGGTGTGGTTGGACCACAGGTACTCAGGGGGACACTGAGGCAGGCAAAGGGGAGAAGTGACAAGACCACAGGGAATGCCGGGAGCCTCCCAAGTGTGTCTCTTCCATCCCAGAATCCCCCATGGCTGGCTTCGGCGGGTTGCAAAGCCCCAGGGTTTGGAGCAGAATGCCTGTGTCTGTCGCTAAAGCTGCACACAAGTGAAAACAGGGCTGCAGGGTGGCGAGGGCGGGTCACAGAGACTCAGGGGGACATTGAGGTAGACAGAGGGGAGAAGCGGTGAGATCGCAGGGAATACTCAGAGCCTCCCAAAGAGGCCTCTCCCATCCCAGAAGCCCCCAGGGCTGACCCGGGCAGGCTGTAAAGTCCCAGTCTTTCTCTAGGGTGACTGTCTCTCCCAGAAGGGCCCCACAAGCGAAAGCAGGGCACAGAGTAGTGTGGGCGGGTGGCAGGGACTCAGGGAGACATTGATGCAGCCAGAGGGGAGAAATGGTGAGACCACAGGGAATGCTGGGAGCCTCCCAAGGTGGCCTTTCCTACTCCAGAAACCCTGAGGTCTGTCTCTGGTGGGCTTCAAAGCCTCAGGCGTTGGAGCAAGATGGTGCCTGTGCCTCTCCCAGAAGGCCCCCACAAGCAAAAACGGGGCCGCAGGGTGGCGTGGTTGGGCCACAGGGACTCATTGGGACCTTGAGGCAGGCAGAGGGGAGAGGTGGCCAGATGGCAGGGAAGGCTAGGGGCCTCTCAAGCAGGCCCCTCCCATCCCAGGAGCCTCTAAGTGTGTCCCGGGTGCACTGTAGAGCCCAAGACTTTGGAGCGTGGTGCCTGTGTCTCTTCCGGAAAGTCCCAACAAGCGAAAAAGGAGCCTCAGGGCGGTGTGGGCGGGCACCAGGGACTCAGAGAGACGTTGATGCAGGCAGAGGGCAGAAGCAGAGAGACTGCAGGGAAGCCTGGGAGCCTCCTAAGGATGCCTCTCCCATCCCAGAAACTTTCAGAGCTTTCTCAGGCGGGCATAAAGCCCCATGTGTTGAAGCAGAGTGCCTATGTCTCTCATGGGAGGTCCCCACAAGTGAAAACGGGGAACCAGGGTGGCATGGGCAAGATGCAGGGATTCAGGAAGACATCAAGACAGGCAGTGGTGAGAAGCGGCGAGACCGCATGGAATGCTGGAAGCTTCCTAACAATGCCTCTCCCATCCTAGAAGTTCCCAGGTCTTTCCTGAATGGACTGAAAAGCCCCAGGCTTTGGAGCAAGGTGCCTGTGTCTCTCGTGGAAGGCCCCCAAAGCAAAAACCGGGCAGCAGGGTGGCTTGGTTGGGCCACAGGGACTCATGGGGATGTTGAGGCAGGCAGAGGGGAGAAGTGGCTAGACTGCAGGAAATGCTGGGAGCCCCCCAAAAGGCCTCTTTATCCCAGAAGCCCATAGGGTTCTCCCGTGGGTGCTGTAAAGCCCCAGGTTTTGGAGCAGAGTGGCTGTGTCTCTCGTGGAAGGCCCCCACAAGTGAAAACGGGGCAGCAGGTTGGCATGGGCGGGCCCCAGGAACTCAGGGAAAGGTTGAGGCTGGCAGAGGGGAAAGCGGCGATACCGCAGGGAATGCTGGGAGCCTCCCAAAGAGGACTCTGCCCTCCCAGAAGCCCACAGAGCTGTTCTGGGCAGGATGTATAGGCCCATGCTTTGGAGAAGAGTGTCTGTATCTTTTGCAGATGTTCCCCACAAGCAAAAATGGGGCTGCCAGATG
The DNA here is from genome assembly GCF_000001405.40 of Homo sapiens. Classification (NCBI taxonomy): domain Eukaryota; kingdom Metazoa; phylum Chordata; class Mammalia; order Primates; family Hominidae; genus Homo; species Homo sapiens. Next base: position 46,388,515 of record NC_000008.11, read on the forward strand.
GCATGGGTGGGTTGCAGGGACTCAGAGGGACGTTAATGCTGGCAGAGGGGAGAAGCGGTCAGACTGCAGGAAACACTGGGAGCCTCCCAAGAAGGCCTCTTCCATCCCAGAGGCTCTCAGGTCTGTCCCGGGCGGGCTGTAAATCCCCAGGCTTTGGAGCAGGGTGTCTTGGTCTTTAGTGGAAGGCCCCCACAAGCAAAAACAGGGCCGCAAAGTGGCGTGGGCAGGCAGCAGGGATTCAGGGAGATGTTGAGGCAGGCAGAAGGGAGAAGTGGTGATACCACAGGGAATGCTGAGAACTCCAAAAAAGGCGTCTCCCATCCCAGAAACCCAGAGGTCGTTCCCGGGTGTGCTGTAAAGCCCCAGATTCTAGAGTACAGTGCCTGTGTTTCTCGCAGAAGGCGCCCACAAGAAAAAACGGGGCTGCAGGGTGGCGTGAGTGGGACCCAGGGGCTCAGGGGGATGTTGAGGCAGACAGAGGGGAGAAGCAGCAAGACTGCAGGGAATGCTGGCAGCCTCCCAACGAGTCCTCTCCTACCCCAGAAGCCCCCAGGGCTGTCCCAGGTGGGCTGTAAAGCCCCAGGTGTTGAAGCAGTGTGACTGCGCCTCTTGCGGGAGGCCCCCTGTAGAGAAAATTGGGGGGCAAAGTGGCATTGGGGGGCACCAGAAACTCAGAAGGACATTGAGGCAGGCAGAGGGGAGAACTGGTGAAACCACAGGTAATGCTGGGATTTTCACAAGGATGCCTCTCCCATGTGAGAAGCCCCAAGGGCTGTCCTGCGCAGGTTGTAAAGCCCAAGGCTTTGGAGTAGGGTGTTTTTGTCCTTCTCAGAAGGCTCTTAGAAGCAAAAATTCGGCCACAGGATGGCGTGAGCAGGTCTCAGGGACTCACAAGGACCTTGAGGCAGGCAGAGGGGAGAAGCAATGGGACAGCAGGAAATGCTGAGAGGCTCCCAAGGATGCCTCTTCCATCCCAGAAGCCACATGGTTGTCCAAGGCGGGCTGTAAAGCCCCAGGCTTTTGAGCAGGGAAACTGTGTCTCTCACCAAGGCACCCCCAAGTGAAAATGGGGATTCTGGGTGGCGTGAGCGCACCGCTGGGACTCAGGGGAACGTTCAGACAGGCAGAAGGGGGAAGTGGCGAGACCGCATTAAATGCTACGAGCCTCCCAAGGAGGCTTCTCCCATCCCAGAAGCTGCCAGGGCTGTCCAAGGCAGGCTGTCAAGCCCTAGGCTTTGGAGCACGGTGCATGTGTCTCTCGCAAAATACCCCCTCAAGTGAAAACGGGCCACAAAGTGGCGTGGGAGGGCAGCAGGAACTCAGACATTGAGGCAGGCAGAGCAGAGAGGCTGTGAGACCGCAGGGAATACTGGGAGCCTCCGAAGGACTCCTCTCCCATCCCAGAATCTTCCAGGCCTGTGTCTTGTGGGTTGTAATGCCCCAGGTTTTGAAGCAGGGTGCCTGTGTCTCTCACAGAAGGCCTCCACAAGTGTAAACGTGGTGGCAGGTTGGCGTGAGAGGGCTGCAGGGACTCAGAGGGAAGTTGAGGCATGCAGAGGACAGAAGCAGCGAGACCACAGGGAATGCTGGGAGCCTCCCTAAAATGCCTCTCTTAACCCAGAAGCCCAAGGGCTGTCCTGGATGCGCTGTAAAGCCTCAGGCTTTGGAGCAGGGTGCTCGCGGAAAGCACTCAAAAGCGAAAACGGGGCTGCAGTTTGGTGTGGTTGGGTGTCAGGGACTCAGTGGGACTTTGAGGCAGGTAGAGGGGAGAAGCACCGAGATTGCAGGAAATGCTGGGAGCCTACCAAGGATGCTTCTTCCATCCCCAAAGCCCCCTTATCTATCCAGGCATATTGTAAAGCCCACAGCTTTAATGCAGCCTGCCTGTGTCTCTCACAGAAGTCACTCACAAGCGAAAACCGGGCCACAGAATGGCGTAGGGGGAGGGGGCCGCAGGGACTCAGGCGGACACTGAAGCAGGCAGAGGGAAGAAGTGGCGAGACTGCAGGGAGTGTTGGGAGCCTGCCAAGGTGGCCTCTCAGGTTCCAGGAGGCCCCAGGTTTGTCGCGTGCTGGCTGTAAAGTTTCAGGCTTTGGAACATGGTGCCTGTATCTCGCGTTAGGCCCCCACGAGTGAAAACGGGGCTGCAGGTTGTTGTGTGTGGGTTGCAGTGACTCAGGGGGACATTGACTCGGGCAGAGGGGAGAATCATCGAGATCACAGGGAATGCTGGGGTCTTACCAAAGGGGCCTCTCTCACCCCAGGAGCTCCCAGAACTGTCCCAGGCAGGATGGAAAGCCCCAGTCTTTGGAGCAGGGTGCCTGTATCTTTTGCAAACAGCCCTCAAAGGCAAAAACAGCGTCATAGAGTGGCGTTGGCGGGCCGCAGAAACTCAGGAGAACGTTGAGGCAGGCAGAGGGGTGAAGTAGGAGACTGCAGGGAATGCTGGGAGCCTCCCAACAATGTCTTTCCCATCCCAGAAGCCCCCAGGGCTGTCCCAGGAGGGCTGTAAAGAACCAGACTTTGGAGAAGAGTGCCTGTGTCTCTCACGGAAGGCCCCCACAAGTGAAAACAAACTGCAGGGTGGTGGGGGTGGGCCACAGGTACTCAGGGGGACGTCAAGGCAGGTAGAGGGAAAAGCAGAGAGACTGCAGGGAATGCTGGGAGCCTCCCAAGGACACCTCTCCTATCCCAGAAGCCCCCAGGTCTGTCCAGGGTGGATTGGAAAGCCCGACGCTGTAAAGCAGGGTGCCTGTATCTCTCATTGAAAGCCCTCACAATCAAAAATGGGGCTGCAGGGTTGCGAGGGTGGGCCATGGGGACTCAGGGGGACATTGAGGCAGGCAGATGGGAGAAGCGGTGAGACCGCAGGGAGTACTTGAAGCCTCCCAAAGAGGCCTCTCTTATCCCAGAAACTTCAAGGTGTGTCCTGGATGGGCTATAACTCCCCAGGCATTGGAGCATGATGACTATGTCTCACAGAAGGCCCCAAAAGCAAAAACAGGGCAGCAGAATGGTGTGGTTAGGCCACAGGGACCCATGGGGACTTTGAGGCAGGCAGAGGGGAGATGCGGCCAGACCACCAGGAATGCTGGGAGCCCCCCAAGGAGGCCTCTCCCATCCCAGAAGCCCCCAGGGCTGTCCTGGGCAGGCTGTAAACCCCCAGACTTTGGAGAAGGTTGACTGTCTCTCCCGAGGAAGGCCCCCCAAGCAAAAACGAGGCCACATGGCTGTATGGGCCGGCTCAAGGTACTATGGGCATCGCTAAGACAGGCAGAGGGGAGAAGGTTTTCAACCTGCTGAATCAAAAGAAAATTTTAACTTTTGAGCTGAATCCACACATCACAAAACAGATTCACACATAGATTCTTTCTACTTTTGATCGCAGGATATTCAGTTTTTCACTACAGGCCTCAGTGCACTCTGAATTGTCCTTCACAGATTCTACAAAAAGAGTGTTTCCAAACTTCTGAATTAAGAGAAAACTTTATCTCTGTGAGCTGAATTTACACATCACAAAGCAGTTTCACAGATAGCTTCTTACTGGTTTTTATCACAGGATATTTGGTTTTTCACTGTTGTCCTAAAAGCCCTCTGAAATTTCCTTTCATAAGTCCTGGAAAAGAGGGTTTCCCAACAGCTGAATCAAAAGTAAGGTTTCACTCTATGAACTGAACACCCGCATTGCAAAGCACTTTCACAGATAGCTTCTTTTTAGTTGATATGGGATATTCTTGTTTTCACTATTAGTCACAATGTGCTCCAAAACGTCCCTTAGCAGATTATACAATAATAGTGTTTCCAACCTCCTGAATAAATAGAAAGCTAACTCTGTGAAATAAATCCACACTTCACAAAGCAGTTTCACAGATAGCTTATTTCTAATTTTTATCATGGGATATTCTGCTTTTCACTATAGGCCTCAAAGCACTCAGAAATGTCCCTCCACAGATTCTAAAAAAAAAAAAGTGTTTCCAAAAGGGTGACTAAAATTAAGGTTTAACTCTGTTAGCTGAATCCGCATATCACTGAACAGTTTCACAGACAGGTTATCTCTAGTTTTTGTCACAGAATATTCAGTTTTTTACTACAGGCCTCACTGTGCTCCAGAATGTCCATTGCAGATTCTACAAAAAGATTGTTTACAAACTGCTGAATCATAACAAAGATTTAACTCTGGGCTGAATCCACACATCCCAAAGCAGTTTCCCAGACAGCTTCTTTCTTGTTTTTATAGCAGGATATTTGGTATTTTACTATTGGCCTCAAAGTGCTCCAAAATGTCTTCACAGATTCTACAAAAAGAGTGTTTTCAAACAGCTGAATCAAAAGTAAGGTTTAACTATGTGAGCTGAATCCACATATCACTAAGCAGGTTCACAGATAGCTTCTCTCTTGTTTTTATCACTGGATATTCAGTTTTACACTATAGGCCTCAATGCGCTTTGAAATGTCTATTGGCAGATTTTACAAAAAGAGTGTTTCCAACCTGCTGAATCAAAAGAAAGGTTTACATCTGTGAGCTGCATCCATGATCACAAAGCAGATTCACAGACAGCTTCTTTCTAGTTTTTATCAAGGGATATTCGGTATTTTACTATAGGCCTCAAAGCGCTGTGAAATGTCCCTTCGCAGATTCAAAAAAAAAGAATGTTTCCAAACAGCTGAATCAAAAGTAAGGTTTAAGTCTCTGAGCTGAATGCACACATCACAGAGCAGTTTTGCAGATAGCTTTATTCTAGGTTTTATCACGGGATATTTGGTTTTTCAATATATGCCTCATTGTGCTCTGAAATGTCCCTTCACAGATTCTACAAAAAGAATATTTCCAGCCTTCTGAATCAAAAGAAAAGTTTAACTTTGTTAGCTGAATTCACACATCACAAAGCAGTTTCACAGGTAGCTTCTTTCTAGTTTTAATCACGGAATATTCTGTTTTTCACTGTAGGCCTCACTGAGCTCCAAAATGGCCCTTCTCTGATACTACAAAAAGAGTGTTTCCAAACTCCCGAATTATAGGAAACATTTAACTCTGTGAGCTGAATCCACACATTCTAAAGTAGTTCCCCAGATAGCTTCTTTCTAGTTTTTACCCTGGGATATTTGTTTTTTTTACTATAAGCCTCAAAGCGATCCAAAATGTCCCTTTGCAGATACTACAAAAAGATTGTTTCCAAACAGATGAATAAAAAGTAAGGTTTAACTCTGTGAGCTGAATCCACATATCACTAAGCAGTTTCACAGATAGCTTCTTTCCAGTTTTTATCATGGGATGTTTGGTTTTACACTATAGGCCTCAAAGCACTCTGAAATGTCTACTGGCAGTTTTTACAAACAAAGTGTTTCCAACCTGCTTAATGAAAAGAAAGGATTAACTCTGTGCTTAATCCACACATCACAAAGCAGCCTCAGAGATAGCTTCTTTTGAGTTTTTAACATGGGATATTTGGTATTTTACTATAGGCCTAAAAGCGCTCCAAAATGTCCCCTCACAGATTCTACAAAAAGAGTGTTTCCAAACAGCTGAATCAAAAGTAAGATTTAACTCTGTGAGCTGAATCTACATATCACTAAGCAGTTTAACAGATAGCTTGTTTCTAGTTTTTATTGTGGGATTTTCAGTTTTTCACTAGCCTCAATGTGCTCCAAAATGTCTTCTTGCAGATTCTACAAAACGAGGGTTTCCAAATTGCTGAGTCAAAAGTAAGATTTAACTCTGTGAGCTGAAAACATACTTCACAAAACATACAGTTTTTACTGTGGGTCTCAAAGAGCTCCAAAATGTCCTTTCACAGATTCTACAAAAAAAAAGTGTTCCCAAATTGCTGACTTAAAATAAAGATTTAACTCTATGAGCTGAATCCACACATCACAAAGCAATTTCACAGAAACCTTTCTGTGGTAAAAACCATAGGATGTTCGATATTTCACTATAGGACTCAAAGCACTTCATCATGTCCCTTCACAGCTTCTTTCTTGTTTTTATCGTGGGATATTCATTTTTTCACTATAGGCTTCAAAGTGCTCCTAAATGTCCCTTTGCAGATTTTATACAAAAAGTGTTTCCAAACTGCTGAATCAAAAGAAAGGTTTAACTCTGTGAGCTGAATACACACATAATGAACAGTTTCACCCATAACTTCTTTCTAGTTTTTATCGTGGGTTATTCAGTTTTTCACTATAGGCCTAAAAGCCCTCTAAAATGTCTTTCGGCAGATTGTTCAAACAAAGTGTTTCCAAACTGCTGATTGAAAAGTATGGTTTAACTCTCTGAGCTGAATACACACATCACAAAGCAGTTTTCCAGATAGCTTCTCTCTACTTTTTATTTCAGGATATTCATTTTTTTCTGTAGGCCACAAAGCAATCTGACATGTCCCTTCACAGATTCCACCAAAAGACTGTTTCCAAACAGGTGAATCAAAAGTAAGGTTTAACTCTGTGAGCTGAATCCACATATCACTAAGCAGTTTCACAGATAGCTTCTCACTAGTTTTTTTCCCGGGATATTCGGTTTGTCAGGACAGGCCTTAATGCAGTCTGAAATGTCTATTGACAGATTCTACAAATACAGTCTTTCCAAACTGCTGAATGTAAAGAATTATTTAATTTGGTTACCTGAATCTACATATTACAAAGCTGTTTCACAGATAGCTTTCTTCTCATTTTTGTCACAGTATATTCAGTTTTTCACTACAGGCTTCAATGCACTCCAAAATGTCTCTTCACAGACTCTACAAAAAAGTGTTTCCAAGCCACTGAATCAAAAGAAAGGTTTAACTCTGTGAGCTGAATGCACACTTCACAAAGCAGTTTTTAGGTTGCTTCTTTGTCGTTTTTACCATGGGATATTCGGGTTTTTACTGTGGGCCTCAAAGAGCTCCAAAATGTCCTTTCACAGATTCTACAAAAAAAGTGTTTCCAAATTGCTGAGTTAAAATAAAGATTTAACTCTATGAGCTGAATCCACACATCCCAAAGCAGTTTCACAGAAATCTTTCTAGTTTTTACCATAGGATGTTCGATATTTCACTATAGGACTCAAAGCACTTCATAATGTCCCTTCACAGATCCTACAAAAAGAGTGTTTCCAAATTTCTGAATCAATATAAACGTTTAACTCTGTGAGCTGAATCTACACATCACAAAGCAGTTTCACAGGTAGCTTCTTTCTAGTTTATATCACAGGATATTCGATTTTTCACTATAGGCCACAAAGCGATCCAAAATATCCCTTCACAAATTCCACAAAAAGATTGTTTCCAAACAGGTGAATTAAAAGTAAGGTTTAACTCTGTGAGCTGAATCCACATATCATTTAGCAGTTTCACAGAGAGCTTGTCTCTAGTTTTGATTTTTCACTATAGGCCTCAAAGCGATCCGAAATGTCCCTTCACAGATTCTACAAATACAGTGTTTTCAAACTCCTGAATCTAAAGTAAGGTTTAACTCTGTGAGCTGATTACATACATTACAAAGCAATTTCACAGAGAGCTTCTTTGTAGTTTTTCATATGGGATAATTTGTTTTTCACTATTAACCTCAAAGCACTCTGAAATGTCCCTTCACAGATTCTACAAAAAGAGTGTTTCCAAACAGCTGAATCAAAAGAAAAATTTAACTCTGTGAGCTGAATCAAGATAACAAACAGTTTCACAGGTGTCTTCTTTCTAGTTTTACAGAAGGATAATTGTTTTTTTGCTATAGGCCTCAGTTGGCTCTGAAATGTCCCTTGGCAGATTCTACAAAAAGATTGTTTCCAAACAGGTGAATCAAAAGTAAGGTTTAACTCTGTGAGCTGAATTCATGTATCACTTAGCAGTTTCACAGGGAGATTTTCTCTAGTTTTTATTGCAGGGTTTTCTGTTTTTCACTATAGGCCTCAATGCGCTATAAAATGTCCATTGGCAGATTCTACAAAAAGAGTGTTTCCAACCTGCTGAATCAAAAGAAAGTTTTAACTGTAAGCTGAATCCACACATCACAAAGCAATTTCACAGATAGCATCTTTCTAGTTTTTATCAAGGGATAATCGGGTTTTTACTGTAGGCTTCAAAGCGATCTGGAATGTGTCTTCGTAAAGTCTACAAAAAGAGTATTTCCAACATTGTGAATAAATAGTAAGGTTTAATGCTGAGAGCTGAATCCACACATAACACAGCAGTTTAACAGATGTCTTCTTTCTGTTTTTTATCATTGGGTATTAAGTTTTCCACTCTAGGCCTCAGTGGGCTCTGAAATGTCCCTTTGCAGATTGTACAGAGAAAGTATTTTCAACCTGGTGAATGAAAACATAGGTTTAACTCCAAGAACTGAATGTACACATCAAAAAACATTTTCATAGATAGCTTCTTTCTAGTTTTTATCACGAAATATTTGATTTTTCACTATAGGCCACAGTGTGCTCTGAAATGTGTCTTTGCAAAGTCTACAAAAAGAGTGTTTCCAACCTGCTGAATAAATAATAAGGGTTAATGCTAGGAGCTGAATCCACATATCACACAGCAGTTTAACAGATGTCTTCTTTCTAGTTTTTATCACTGGATATTCAGTTTTTTACTATAGGCCTCAGTGGGCTCCAAAATGCCTCTTTGCAGATTCTACAATGAGAATGTGTACAACCTGCTGAATCAAAACATAGGTTTAGCTCTGTGAACTGAAAATACACATCACAAAGCAGGTTCACAGATAGCTTCTTTCTAGTTTCTATCAACAGATATTCAGCTTTTCACTATAGGCATCAGTGTGCTCTGAAATATCACTTCACAGATTCTACAAAAAGAGCATTTCCAACCTCCTGAGTAAAAAAAAAAAAAAAAAAAAAAAATTAACCCTGTGAGCTGAATCCACACATCACAGAGCAGTTTCACAGATAGCTTCTTTCTAGTTTTCATTGCTAGATATTCGATTTTTCACAATAGACCACAATGCTCTTTGAAATGTCCCTTCACAGATTCTACAAAAAGAATGTTTCTAAATAGCTGAAGCAAAATTAAGGTTTTACTCACTGAACTGAATGCACACATTGGAAAGCAGTTTCACAGATAGCTTCTTTCTAGTTTTTATCATGGGATACCCTTTTCTTCACTTTAGGCCTCAATGCACTCCAAAATGCCCCTTTGCAGATTGTGCAAAAAGGATGTTTCCAACCTGTTAAATAAATAGAAAGGTTTAACTCTGTGAGATGTATCCACCCCCCACAAAGTGGTATCACAGATAGCTTCTTTCTAGTTTTTATCACTCAATATTCTGACTTTCACTGTAAACATCAAACATCAAAGCACTCTGAAATGTCTCTTCACAGATTCTACAGAAAGACTGTTTTTAAACTGCTAAATCTAAAAAAAAGGTTTAACTCTGTGAGTGAAATCCACACATGACAAAGCAACTTCACAGAGAGGTTCTTTCCAGTTTTTATTGCAGCATTTTCAGTTTATCAGGATAGGCCTCAATGCTCTTTGAAATGTCCTTTCACAGATTCTACATAATGAGTGTTTACAAACTGCTGAATCAAAAGAAAGTTTTAACTCTGTGAGCTGAATCCACACATCACAAATCAGTTTCACAGGTAGCATCATTCTAATTTTTATCACAAGACATTTGGTTTTTCACTATATGCCAGACTGTGCTCCGAAGTGTCCCTTCACAGATTCTACAAAAAAAATTTAAAAAGTTTTTAAACTGCTGAATCGAAAGAATGGTTTAACTCGGTTAACTGAATCCATATATTACAAAGCAGTTTCCCAGATAGCTTTTTTCTAGGTTTTATTGAGGGATAATTGGTTTTTCACTACGGGCCTCAATGTGCTCTGAAACGTCCCTTCACAGATGCTACAAAAAGAGTGTTTTCCATCTGCTGAAAGAAAACAGGTTTAAATTTGTGAACTGCATGTACATGTCAAAATGCAGTTTCACACATAGCTTTTTTCTAGTTTTTATCACCAGATATTCAGTTTTTCACTGTAGGCCTCAGTGTGCTCCAAAATGTCCCCTTGCAGATATTACAAAAAGAATGTTTCCAACCTGCTGAATCAAAAAATGGTTTAACTCTGTGAGCTGAATCCACACATCACAAAGCAGTTCCACAAATAGCTTCTTTCTAGTTTTTCTCGTGGGATATTCAGTTTTTCACTATACATCTCACTGCACTCCAAAATGTCCCTTCTCAGATTCTACAAAAAGAGTGTTTCCAAACTGATGAATGAAAATAATTGTTTACCTCAATTAGCTGAATCCACATATTACAACGCAGTTTCACAGATAGCTTCTTTCTAGTTTTTATTCTGGGATATTTTGTTTTTCACTATAGGCCTCAGTGAGCTCCCAAATGTCCCTTTGCATATTCTACAAATAGAGGGTTTCCACATTGCTGAATCAGAAGTAAGGTTTAACTTTGTCAGATGAATCCACACATCACAAAGTTGTTTCACAGATAGCTTCTTTCTAGTTTGTATTGCAGGATATTTTGATTTTATATATAGGCCTCAGTGGGCTCTGAAATTTTCCTTCACAGATTCTTAATAAAAGGGCGTTTCCAACCTGTTGAATCAAAAGAAAGGTTTACCTTTGTAAGATGAACCCACACATCACAAAGCAGTTTCACCGCTAGCTTCTTTCTAGGTTTCATCACGGGATATTCGATTTTTCACTATAGGCCTCAGTCAGCTCCGAAATGTCCTTTTGCAGATTCTGCAAAAATAGTGTTACTAACCTGCTGAATCAAAAGAAAGCTTTAACTCTGTAAGCTGAATGCATACATTAAAAAGCAGTTTCACAGATAGCTTCTTTCTAGTTTTTAATATGGGATACTTAGTTTTTCACTATAGGCTTCAGTGGGCTCTGAAATGTCCCTTTGCAAATTCTACAAAACAGTGTTTCCAACTTGCTGAATCAAAAGACAGTCTAAGTCTGAGAGCTGAATCCACACATTACAAAGAAACTTCACAGATCGCTTATTTCTAGTTTTTATCGTCGGTTATTCTGTTTTTCACCATAGGCCTCAGTGCACTCTAAAATGTCCCATTGCAGATTCTAAAAAAAGAGTGTTTCAAACCTACTCAATCAAAAGAAAAGTTTAACTCTGTGAGCTGAATGCACACATTACATAGAAGTTTCACAGATAGCTTCCTTCTAGTTTTTATACTGGAATATTCGTTTTTTCACTCTAGTTAGCAGTGGCTTCGATATGTCCTTTTGCACATTCTACAAAAAGATGGTTTCCAACCTGCCAAATGAAAAGAAAGGTTTTACACTGTGAGCTTAATGCACACATCACAAAGCAGTTTCACAGGTAGTTTCTTTGTAGTTTTTATCACGAGATATCCAGTTTTATACCAAGACCACAGTGAGCCCTGAAATGCCCTTTCTCAGATTCTACAAAAAGAGTGTTTCTAACCTGTTGAATAAAATTAATGTTTAACTCTGTGACCTGAATGCATATATCATGAAAAGTTTCACAGATAGCTTCTTTCTAGTTTTTATTGTGGGATATTCTCTTTTTCATTATAGGTCTCAGTGTGCTCCGAAATGTCCCTTCACAGATTCTACAAAAAGAGTGATTCCAACCTGCTGAATCAAAAGTAAAGTTTAACTCTGTAGGCTGAATGGTCACATCATGAAGCAGTTTCACAGATACCTTCTTTATAGTTTTTATCACGGGATACTCATTATTTCATTGTAGGCCTCAGTGGGCTCCAAAATGTCTTTTCACAGATTCTATAAAAGGAGTGTTTTCAACATGGTAAACCAAAAGAAAGATTTTACTCTATGAGCTGAATGAAATATCACAAAAAACTATCACAAATAGCTTCTTTCTTGTTTTTATTGTGGGATATTTGGTTTTTTACTATGGACCACTGTGGGCTTCTTAATTTTTCTTCAGAGATTCTACAAAAAGACTGTTTCCATCCTGCTGAATCAAAAGAAATGTTTCACTCTGTGAGCTGAATCCACACGTCACAAAGCAGTTTCACAGACAGCTTCTTTGTAGTGTTTATCGTGGGACATTCCATTCCTGACTATAGGCCTCTGTGAGCTTTGAAATGTTCCTTTGCAGATTCCACAAAAACAGTGCTTCTAACTTGTCAAATCAAAAGAAAGGTTTAGCTCTGTGAGCTAAATGAACACACTACAAAGAAGTTTCACAATTTGCTTCTTTCTAGTTTTTATCATTGGAAATTCCATTTTTCACTATATGCCTTGCTGGGCTCTGAAATATTACTTCACAGATACTACGAGTGTTTCCAACCCGCTGAATCAAGGGAAAGGTTTACCTCTGTGGGCTGAATGCAAACATCACAAAGCAATTTCACAGATAGCTTCTTTCTAGTTTTTATAGTAATATATTTGGTTTTTTACTGTAGGTCTCAGTGGGCTTTGAAATATCCCTTCACAGATTGTAAAAAAAGAGTTTTTCCAACTTGATGAATCAAAAGAAAGCTTTAACTCTGAGAGCTGAATACACACATCACAAAGCAGTTTCACATATAACTTTTTTCTAGTTTTTATCATGGGTTGTTCTGTTTCTCACTATAGGCCTCCGTGGGCTCCCACACTTCCCTTTGCAGACTCTACAAAACTAGTGTTTCCAATGGGGGTTTCTGGGATGGGACAGGTCTCCCTGGGACTATGTAGCACCCACTGAAGCCTCACCACTTCTCCCCTCTGATTTTCTCAACATCCCCCTGAATTTTTGCTGGCCCGAACAGGCCTGCCTGTGGCCCCGCTGTCCTTGGGGGCCTTCCAGGAGAGAAACAGGCACCCTAGGCTGGTGGCCAAAGCTCTAGCCCGGACCCAAAAAATGCCCTAGGGGATTCTGGGAAGGATGAGGCCTTTCTGGGATGTCCTGCTCAGGACACACTGCTTCTTCCATTCCACGGCCTCAACACTCCCTCGAGTTCTGTTTGCCCACAGAGGCCCACCTGAAGCCCCACCCAGGCCTGTGTGTGCTATTTGTGAAAAACACACGCACCCTAGGCTGGAGCCTGGGGCTCTAGACCCCACCCGCATGGCTCCCCGTGGTCTTTCTGGAAGGGAGAGGCCTCCCTGGGAAAATGCAGAACCTGCTCAGGCCTCGCCGCTTCTCCTCTCTGCCTGTGTCAACATCCCCCTGAGTTTCTGCCTTCCCGCACAGGCCTGCCTGTGGCCCTGCTGCTGCCAATTGGGGCCTCCATAAGAGACACAGTCATACTGGGTCAGAGCCTGAGCCTCTAGCCCCCACCCAGAGGGGGGAGCACCATGGAGAATTCTGAGAAAGGAGAGGCCTCCCTATGAGGATCCAGCACCCATTCAGGCCTGGCTGCTTCTTCCCTCTGCCTGCCTCTACTTCCCCCTGAGTTTATGCTGGCTAGCACAGGCTCGCTTTTGGGCCTGCTGTTGCCCTTGTGGGCCCTGTTTGAGAGACACAGCCGTCCTGGGCCAGAACAGAGTCTCTAGCCTCTACTAGGAAGGCACCTGGGGGTTTTCTTGGAAGGAAGAGGCCTCCCTGGAGGAAACCAGCACCCTCTCACTTCTTGCCACTTCTGCCATCTGCCTGCATCAAGGATCCCTCAGTTTCTCCCGTCCCATAGAAGCCCACATGTGGCCCCGCCGCTGCCCACAGGGGCCCTCTGCAAGAGACAGAGGCATCCTGTTTTGGAGCCCAAGGCATTAGGGCAGTGTGCCTGTGTCTCTCGTAGGAGGCCCCAACAAGCAAAAACAGGACCACACAGTGGCATGGGTGGGCCACTGGGACTCAGGGTGACCTTCAGGCAGGCAGAAAGAAGAAGTGGTAAAAATGCAGAGACAGCTGGGAACCTCCCAAGAAAAACTCTCCCAACCCAGAAGTCCCCAGGTCTGTTTTGGGAGGGCTGTAAGCCCCAGGCTTTGGAGCAGGGTGCGTGTGTCTCTTGCAGAAGACCCCAAAAAGTGAAAATGGAAAAACAGTGTGGCGTGGGTGGGCAGCAGAGACTCAGTAGGACATTGAGGCAGGCAGAGCAGAGAAGCAGCGAGACCGCAGAGAATGCTGGGAGCCTCTAAGGATGACTGTCTTATCTCAGAAGCCACCAGGGCTGTCCTGGGTAGGCTGTAAAGCCCAGGCTTTGAAGCAGGTTACCTGTGTCTCTCACGGAAATTCCCCACAAACAAAAATGGAGCCGCAGGGTGGCGAGGGTGGGCCAAAGTGTCTCGGGGGACACTTGAGGCAGGCAGAGGGGAGAAGCGACAAGGCCTCAAGGAATGCTGAAAACTTCTCGAGGAGGTCTCTCTCATCCCAGAAGCCCCCAAGACTGTCCTGGACAAACTCTAAAACCCCAGTCTTTGGAGCAGGTTTCCTGTGTTTCTTGTAGAAGGCCCTCACAGGCGAAAATGGGGCTGCAGTGTGGCATGGATGAGCTGCAGAAATTTAGAAAGACGGTGAGACAGGCCGAGGGAAGAATCGGTGAGACTGCAGGGAATGCTTGGTGTCCCTCCAAGGAGGCCTCTCCCATACCTGAAGCTTTTAGGGCTGTCCCAAGTGGGCCGTAAAGCCTCAGCATTTTGAGCAGTGTGCCTGTCTTTCACTGAAGGCAACCACCAGTGAAAACGGGGCTCCTGGGTGCCATACACAGAATGCAGGGACTAAGGGTGATGTTGAGGCAGGCAAAGGGGAAAAGTGGTGTGACTGCTGGAAATGCTGGAAGCCTCCAAAGGAGACCTCTCCCATCCCAGAAGCCCCAGGGCTGCCCTGGGCAGGCTGTACATTTCCAGGCTCTGGAGCAGGGTGCCTGTGTCTTTCACAGAAGGCCCCCACAATGAAAATGGGGCCACAGGGTGGTGTGGATGAGCCTCAGAAATTTAGAAGAACAGTGAGACAGGTGAAGGGAAGAATCGGCAAGACAGCAGGAAATGCTGGAAGCACCCCAAGAAGGCCTCTCTCATACCCAAAGCTTTTATGGCTGTCCCAAGCGGGCTGTAAAGCCCCAGGGTTTGGAGCAATGTACCTGTGTCTTTCGATGAAGGCTCCCACAATTAAAAACGGGGCCGCTGGGTGGCGTGGGCGGGCCACAGGGACTCAGGGAGATGTTGAGGCAGGCAGAGGGGAGAAGCGTCGAGACCGCAGGGAATGCTGGGAGTCTCCCAAGGAGGCCTCTTCCATCTCAGAAGCCCCCAGTGCTGTGCCGGGAGGGCTTTAAAGCCCTAGGCTTTTGAGCAAGGTGCCTGTGTCTCTTGCAGTAGGCTTCCACAAGTGAAAACTGCACCACAGGGTGGCATGTGCGCAACGCAAGAACTCTAGAGGACGTTGAGGCAGGCAGAGGGGAGAAGTGGTGAGATCACAGGGAATGCTGGGATGAATCTTCCATCCCAGAAGCCCTCAGGACATTCCCGGGAGGGCTATAAGGCTGCAGGCTTTGGAGCGGGGTGACTGCGTCTCTCATGAAAGGCACTCACAAGCAAAAACGGGGTCGCAGGGTGGCGTGGTTGGGTGGCAGGGACTCAGGGTGATGTTGAGGCAAGCAGAGGAAAGAAGCAGTGAGACCACAGAAAATGCTGGGAGTCTTTCAAGGATGACCTTCCCATCCCAGAATTCCCCAGGGTTGTCCCAGGCAAGCTGTAAAGCCCAAGGTTTTGGAGCAGAGTGCCAGTGTCTCTTGTGGAAGGCCCAAACAAGTGAAAATGGGGCCGCAGAGTGGCGTGTTTGGGCATCAGGGACCTCAGGAGGATGTTGAGGCAGGCAGAGGGGAGAACCGGTGAGAACACAGGTCTCAGAAGCCCCCAAAGCTGTTCCAAGTGGGTTGTAAAGCCACAGGATTTGCAGCAGTGTGCCTGTGTCTCCCGCCAAAGGCCCCCAAAAGCAAAAACCGGACCACAGGATGGTGTGGACAGGCCACAGAAACTCAGGGAGACATGGAGGCACTCAGAAGGGAGAAGGGGCAAGACTACAGGGAATGCTGGGAGCCTCCCAAAGAGGTCTCTTCCATCCCAGAAGCCCACAGGGCTGTTCTGTGTGGGCTGTAGAAGACCCAGGCTTTGAAGCAGGGTGCCTGTGTCTCTCGCTGAAGGCTCCAACAAGAGAAAACGGGGCAGCAAAGGGGCATGGGTGGGCCTCAGGGACACAAGGGGACGTTAAAGCAGGCAAAAGAAAGAAGTAATGAGACCACAGGGAAGGCTGGGAGCCTCACCCAACGGCCTCTCCCATCCCAGAAGCCCCCAGGTATGTCCCGGATGGGCTGTAAAGCTCCAGGATTTGGAGCAGGGTGGCTGTGTCTCTCAGAAGGCCACCACAAGCGAAAACAAGGCTGCAGGGTGGCATGTGTGGGCCACAGGGACCCAAAAGGAGGTTGAGGCAGGCAGAGCAGAGGAGCAGCGAGACCATAGAAAATGCTGGGAGCCTCCCAAGGAGGCCTCTCCAATCCCAGAAGCCCCCAGGCTTTGTAGCAGGGTGCCTGTGCCTGTGTTTCTCACGGAAAACCTCCACAAGCAAAAACAAGGCAGCAGTGTGGCATGATTGGGCCGCAGGGACTCTGTGACGTTGAGGCAGGCAGAGGAGAAAAGCAGCGAGTCCACAGGGAATGCTGGAAGCGTCCCAAGGAGGACTCTCCCATCCCAGAAGCCATTAGGGCTAACCAGGGTGGGCTGTAAAGCCCCAGCATTGAAATTGGGTGCCTGTGTCTCTCATGGTAGCTCCCCCCAAGCAAAGACAGGGCCACAGCTAGGCATGGAAGGGCTTCAGGGGCTCAGATGGAGCTTGAGGCAGGAAGAGCAGAGAACCAGTGAGACCACAGGGAATGCTGTGAGCCTCCCAAGGTGATCTCTCTCATCACAGAAGTCCCCAGGGCTGTGCCAGGTGGGCTGTTAACCCCAGACTTTGGAGCAGAGTGTGGTGTCTCTCGTGGCAGGCCCCCACAAGTGAAAATGGTGCTGCAGGGTTGTGTGTGCAGGCAGCTAGGACACTGGGTGATGTTGAGGCAAGCAGAGAGAAGAAGTGGTGAGACTGCAGGCAATGCTGTTAGCCTTACAAAAAGGCCTCTTCGATCCCAGAAACCCCCAGGACTGTCCGAGACAGGGTGTAAAGCCCCAGGCTTTGGAGCAGCGTGCCTGTGTCTCTCACAAAAAGACACCACAAGCGAAAATGGGCCCGCAGGTTGGCATGGTTGGGAGGCAGGGTCTCAGAGCACGTTGAAACAGGCAGAAGGGAGAAGTGGCAAGACCGCAGGAAATGCCGGGAGCCACTTAAAGACAACCCTCCCATCCCAGAAACCCCCAGGGCTGTTCCGGGCAAGCTGTAAAGTCCCAGGCTTTGGAGCAGAGTGGCTATGTCTCCACGGGACTCCACAAGCAAAATGGGGCCGCTGCTGGTGTGGGCTGTCTGCAGAGACTCAGTGAGATGTTGAGGCAGGCAGAGGGGAGAAGTGGCAAGTCTGGAGGGAATGCTGCAGCCTCCCAAGGAGGTCTCTTTCATCCCAGATGTCCACAGGGCTCTCCTGGGAGGGCTGTAAAGTCCAAGTCTTTGGAACAGGATGCCTGTGTCTCTTGCAGAAAGCCCCCAGAAGCGAAAATGGGGCCACAGGGTGACATCAATGGGACACACGAACTCAGGGGGATGTTGAGGCAGGCAGAGGGAAAAAGCAGTGAGACCACAGCGAATGCTAGAAGCCTCCCAAAAAGGCCTCTCTCATCCCAGAAGACCTTAGGAATATACTGGGTGGGCTATAAGGCCACAGGCTTTAAAGCAAAAACGGGGTCACTGGGTGGCTTGGATGGGGGGCACCTACCCAGGGGACAGTTATGGCAGGCAGAGATGAGAGGTGGCGAGACCTCAGGGAATGCTGGGAGCCTTCCAAGAGGCCTGTTTCATCCCAGAAGCTTCCAGAGCTGTCCCGGGCAGGCTGTAAAGCCCCACGTTTTGGAGCAGAGTGCCTGTGTCTCAAGCCGAAAACTTCCAGAAGTGAAAATGGGGGGGCAGGGTTGTGTTGGTGGGCCACAACGACTCAGAGGAACAGTGAGGAAGGTAGAGGGGAGAAGCGGCATGACAACAGGTAATCCTGGGAGCCTCCCAAGAAGTCTTCTCCCATCCCTGAAGCTCTCAGGGCTATCCCAGGTGGGCTGTATAGCCCGAGGCTTTGGAACAGGGTGCATTTGTCTCTCGTGGAAGGCCCCCACAAGCAAAAACAGGGACACTGGGTGGTGTGTGCAGGCTGCAGAAACTCAGGGGGTTGTTGATGCAGGCCGACTGGAGAAGTGGTGAGACCGCAGGGAATGCTAGGAGCCTCCCAAGGATGCCTCTCCCATCCCAGAATACCCCAGGTCTGTCCCGGTCGGTCTGTAAAGCCCCAGACTTTGAAGCAGTTGGCTGTGTCTCTCAAGTAAAACTCCCAGAAGCAAAAACAAAGGCACAGGGTGGCTTGGGTGGGACGCAGGGACTCGGGAACGTTGAGGCAGATAGAGCGAAGAATCCGCAAAACAGCACGGAATGCTGGGAACTTCCCAGTGAGTCCTCTCCCATCCCAGAAACCCCCAGGGCTTTCCAGTGCAGGTGGTGGTTTCCGGCTTTTGAGCGGAGTGCCTGTGTTTATCGCGGAAGTCCCCCACAAGCAAAAACGGGGCCGCAGGGTGGCGTGTTGCATGGCAGGGACTCAGGGGTACATGGAGGCAGGAAGAGCTGAGAAGCAGCAAGACAGCAAAGAATGCTGGGAGACTCCCAAGGGAGCATTTTTCATCCCAGAAGCCCCCAGGAGTGTCGCGGGCAGCCTGTAAAGCCCCAGCATTTGGAGCAGGGTGACTGTGTTTCTCGTGGATGGCCCAACAAGCGAAAACGGTGCCGAGAGGCAGGGTAAGCGGGCCACAGGCACTCAGGGGGACGTTGAGGCAGGTAGAAAGAATAAGCGGTGGGACCACAGGGAAGGCTGGAAGCCTCCCAAGGAGGCCTCTCACATCCCAGAAGCCAACAGGGCTGTCCCAGGCAGGCTATAAAAACCCAGACTTTGAAGCAGGGGGACTGTGTCTTTCATGGAAGGCCTTCACAAGCGAAAACGAGGCTGCAGTATGGCGTGGGCGGGCCGCAGGGACTTAGGGGGAGTTTGAGACAGGCAAAGGGGAGATGCAGTGAGACCGCAGGAAATGCTGGGAGCCTCTCAAGGAAGCCTCTCCCATTTCAGAAGCCCACAGGGCTATCCCGCGGGGGCTGTAAAGCCCCAGGGTTTGAAGCCGGGTGCCTGTGTCTCTCGCAGAAGGCCACCACAAGCCAAAATGGGGTGGAAGGGTGGTGTAGGCGGGGAGAGGCAGAGGGGAGAACCAGTGAGACAGCAGAAAATAATGGGAGCCTCGCAAGGAGGCCTCTCCCATCCCAGAGCCCCCACTTCTGTCCAAGACGGGCTGTAAAGCCACAAACTTTGGAGCAGGGTGTCTGTGTCTCTCGGGGAAGGCCCCCACAAGATCCCCACTAGTGAAAACAGAGATGCAGAATGGCATGGGCGGGCCTCAGGGACTCAGGGGAACATTGAGGCATGCAGAACAGAGAATCAGTGAGACAACCGGAACGCTGAGCGCCTCCCAAAGAGGTCTCTCCCATGCTAGAATCCCCCAGGGCTGTACCAGGCGGGCTGCAAAGCCCCAAGATTTGGAGCAGGGTGGCTGTGTCTCTCGCGGAGGTCCCCCTCAAGCGAAAATGGGGAGGCAGGGTGGAGTGAGAGGGTGGCAGGGACTCAGGGGGACGTTGAGATAGGCAGAGGAAACAAGCCAAGGGGTGATACCACAGGAAATGCTGGGATCGTCCCAAAAAGGCCTCTCCAATCCCAGAAGCCCCAGGGCTGTCAGGGGGCGGGCTACAAAGCCCCAGGATTTAGAGAAGGGAAACTGCTTCTTTCGCGGAAGGCCCGCACAAGCAAAAACGAGCCGAAAGGTGGCGTGGGCTGACCACAGGGACTCAGAAGTACGTTGAGGCAGGCAAAGGGGAGAAGCAGTGAGACTGCAAGGAATGCTGGGAGCCTCCCAAGTCCTCTCCTATACCAGAAGCCCCTAGGGCTGTCCTGGGTGCACTGTAAAGCCCCAGGCTTTGGAACAGAGGGCTTGTGTCTCTCAGAGAGGGCCCCCACAAGCGAAAACGGGGCCGTTGGGTGGCGTGGGTGGGCAGAAGGGACTCGGGGGGACTTTGAGGCTGGCAGAGGGGAGAAGCGTGGAGACCGCAGGGAATGCTGGGAGCCTCCCTGGAGGTCTCTTTCATTCCAGAAGCCACCAGGACATTCCTTGGCTGGCTGTAAAGCTTCAGGTTTACCAAGGGAATGCTGGGGGCCTCCCAAGGAGTCTTCTCCCATCCTAGAATCCCTCAGGGCTGTCCCGGGGGTGTGTGTAAATCTCCAGGCTTAGTAGCAGGGTGCCTGTGTCTCCCACGGAAGCTCCCCTCAAGCTAAAACGGAGAGGCAGAGTGAAGTGGGCGGGTGGCAGGAACTCAGTGGAACGTTGAAGCAGGCAGAGGGGACAAGCGGCAAGACCGCAGGAAATGCTGGTAGCTTCCCAGGGAGGCCTCTCCCCTCCCAGAAGCCCCAGAGCTGTCCCAGGCGGGTTGGAAAGCCCCAGGCTTTGAAGCAGAAAGCTTGTGTCTCTCACGGACGACCCTCACAAGTGAAAACAAGGCCGCAGAGTGGCGTCAGCTGGCCGCAGGGACTCAGGAGGACATTGAGGCAGGCAAAGAGGAGAAGCACCTAGACCGTAGGGGATGCTGGGAGCCTTCCAAGGATGCCTCTCCCATCCCAGAAGCAGCCAGGGCTAAACCAGGCAGACCTTATATCCCCAGGCTTTGGAACAGGGTGCCTGTGTCTCTTGCGGAAGGCCCATAGAAGCAAACACCAGCCCGCAGGGTGGCGTTGGCAGGCCGATGGGATTCAAGGCGACGTTGAGGCAGACAGAAGGGAGAAGTGGGGAGACTGCAGGGAAAGCAGGGAGCATCCCAAAAAGGCGTCTCCAATCCCTTAAGCCCCGAGGGCTGTTCCAGGTGGGTTGCAAAGCCCCAGGCTTTGGAACAGGGTGCCTGCGTTTTTCCCAGAAGGCACCAACAAACGAAAACAGGGCCGCAAGCTGGCGTTGGCAGGTGAAAGAAACTCAGGGGGATGTTGAGGCATGCAGAGGGGGGGAAGCAGTGAGACCACAAAGAATGCTGGGAGCCTCCAGAAAAACCTCTTGATCCTTGAAGTCCCCCAGGGCTGTCCCAGGAGGGCTGTGAAGCCCCAGGATTTGGAGCAGGGTGCCTGTGTCTCCCGTGGAAGGTCTCCTCAAGCAAAAAGAAAGATGCAGGGTTGAGTGGCCGGGTGTCAGGTACTCAGTGGTCCATTGAGGCAGGCAGAGGGGATAAGTGGCAAGACTGCAGGGAATGCTGGGAGCCTCCCAAGACGGCCTCTCCCATCCCAGAAGCTCCCAGGGCTGTTCCAGGAGAACTGTAAAGCCCCAGTCTATGGAGCAGGGTGCCTGTGTCTCTGGGGGAAGGCCCCCACAAGCAAAAATGGGGCCGCAGGGTGGCGTCTACAGGCAGCAGGGACTCAGGAGGATGTTGAGGCAGGCACAGGGCTGAAGCAGCGAGTGAGCAGAACATGCTGGGATCCTCCCCAAAAATCCTCTCCCATCTTAGAAGCCCCCAGGGCTGTCCTGGGTGGTTTATAAAGCCCCAGCCTTTGGGGCACGGTGACTGTGTCTCCTGCGGAAGGCGGAGAAAAGTGAAAACTGTGCCGCAGTGTGGCACAGGGACGCAGGAGGATGTTGTGACAGACAAAAGGGGAAGTGGTGAGACCTCAGGGAATGATCAAAGCCTCTCAATGAGGCCTCTCCTATCCCGGAAGCATTTAGGGCTGTCCCAGGCGGGCTGTAAAATCCTAGGCTTTGGAGCAGGGTGCCTCTGTCTCTCACGGAAGGCCTTCACAAGTGAAAACGGGGCCACAGGGTGGCGTCGGTGGGCTGCAGGTACTCAAAGGAAGTTAAGGCAGGTGGAGGAAAGAAGCGGCGAGACCGCAGGGAATGCTAGGAGCCTCCTAGGAGAACTCTCCCATCTCAGACGCTTCCAGGGCTGCCCCAGGCAGGCTGGAAAGCTTCAGGCTTTGTAGCAGGGTGCCTCTGTCTCTCCCAGAAGGCCCACACAAGCCAAAACGGGGCCGCATGGTGGCATGGTCCAGCAGCAGAGACTCAGGGGGACATTGAGGCAGGTAAAGAAGAGAAGCGGCAAGACCACAGGGAATGCTGGGAGCGTTTCAAGGATGACTCTCCCATCCCAGAAGCTACCAGGGCTGTCCTGGGCAGGATGTGAAGCCCCAGGCTTGGAAGCTTGGAGCCTGTGTCTTTCACAGAAGGTCCCCACAAGCGAAAATTTGGCCACAGGATGGCATAAGTGGACCGCAAAAAATCAGGGGGACGTTGAGGCAGGAATAGGATAGAAGCGTCGAGACCGCAGGGAATGCTGGGCGTCTTCCAAGGAGGCCTCTTGTATCCCAGAAGCACCTAGAATCTTCCCGGGTGGGTGGTAAATCCCCAGGCTTTGGAGCAGGGTGCCTGTGTCTCTCACATAAAGCCCCCACAAATGAAAACTGGGCAGCAGGGTGGCGTGGGCGGGCCGAAAAGACTCAGGGGAATGTTGAGGCAGGCAGAGGGGAGATGCATCAAGACCACAAGGAGTGCTGGGATCCTCCCAAGGAGGAACGTTCCATCGTAGAATCCCTCAAGTTTTCCCAGGTGCTCTGTAAAGCCCCAGGTTTTGGAGCAGGATGCCCATGTCTCTCTTGAAAGTCCCCCTAAAGCAAAAACAAAAACGCAGAGTGGAGTCGGCAGGTGGCAGGGACTTAGGCAGATGTTGAGAAGTACAGAGAGGAGAAGTGGTGAGATTGCAGGGAGTAATGGGAGCCGCCCAAGGATGACTCTTTCATCTCACAAGCCCCCAGGGCTTTCCCTGGTGGTCTGTAAAGCCACAGGCTTTAAAGCAGGGTGGCTGTGTCTCTCGCGGAAGACCACGACAAGCAAAAACGAGGCTGCAGGGTGGCGTGGACAGGCGGCAGGGACTCGGGGTCACTGAGGCAGGCAGAGGAAATAATTGGCAAGACCGCAGGGAATGCTGGCCGTCCCTCAATAAGACCTTTCCCATCCCGGAAGCCCCCCAGGGATGTCTCGGGCAGGCTGTAAAGTCCCAGACTTTGGAGCAGGGAGCCTGTGTCTCCCACGGAAGGACCACACCAGCGAAAACGGGGCGGCAGGGTTTGGTGGGCGGGCTGCAGAGACTCAGTGGGACGTTAAGGCAGGCAGAGGGTAGAAGATGCGAGACCACATGAAATGGTAGGAACCCCCCACAGAGGCCTCTCCCATCCCTGAAGCCCCCAGGGCTGTCTCAGATGGGCTGCAAAGACAGGCTTTGGAGCAGTATGCCTGCGTCTCTCACAGAAGGCCCCCATAAGCGAAAACGGGGCGCAGGGTGGCATGTGCAAGCCTGAGGAACTCAGGAGGACATTGCGACATGCAGAGGCCAGCAGCAGCGAGACCACAGGGAATGCTGGGAGCTTCCCAAGGACTTCTCTGCCATCCCAGAAGCCCCAGGGCTGTCTCGGGAGTGCTATAAAGACCCAGGATTTGGAGTAGGGTCCTGTGCCTCTCACGGAAGGCCCCACAAGCGAAAACGGGGCACAGAGAAATGTGGGGGGAGGCGCAGGGACTTGGGGGATGTTGAGGCAGATAGAGCAGAGAAGCAGCGAGACTGCAAGGAATGCTGGGAGACTCTCAAGGAGGCCTCTCCCATTCCAGAAGCCAACAGGTTTGTCTCGGGCAGGCTGTAAAGCCCCAGGCTTTGGAGCAGGGTGCCTGTGTCTCTCACAGAAATCTCCCACAAGTGAAAACGGGGCAGCAGCGAGGCATTGGCGGGCAGCATGGACTCAGTGGGACGTTGATGCAGGCAAAGGAGAGAAGGGCTGAGACCCCAAGAAATGCTGGGAGCCTCCCAAGGAGGCCTCTCCAAACCCAGAAGCCCCAGGGTCTTCCCGGGCAGGTTGTAAAGCCTCAAGCTTTGGAGCTAGGTGCCTGTGTCTGTCGTGGAAGGCCCCCAAAGGCAAAAACAGGTCCACAGCGTGACGTTGGTTGGCCGCAGGGACTTCAGGGGACATGGAAGCAGGCAGACAGGAGAAGCAGCGAGACCACAGGGAATGCTGGGGGACTCCCAAGGAGGCCTCTCCCATCCCAGAAGCTTTCAGGGCTGCCCCTGGTGGGCTGTAGAGCCCCAGGCTTTGGAGCTGGGTGCCTGTGTCTCTTGCGGAAGGACCCCACAAGCAAAAACGGGGCCACAGGTTGGCATGGGTGGGCTGCAGGGACTCAGGGATACATTGAGTCAGAGACTGGGGAGAAATGGTGAGACTGCAGGGAATTCTGGGAGACTCCCAAAAAAGCCTCTCCCATCCCAGAAGCCCCCAAGGCTGTACCGGGGTGGGGGCTATAAATTTCCCGGCTTTGGAGAAGGGCTCTGGTGTCTCTCGCGGAAGGCCCCACAAGCAAAAACGGGGCTGCAGGGTGACGTGGTTGGGCAGCAGGGACTCAGTGGGATGTTGGGCAGGGAAGAGGAAAGAAGCGGCCAGACCGCATTAAATGCTGGGTGCCTCCCAAGGATGCTTCTCCAATCCCAGAAGCCCCCAGGACTGTCCTGGTTGGGCTGTACAGGCCCAGGCTTTGGAACACAGTGCCTGTGTCTCTCCTGGAAGGCCACCACAAGCGAAAACGGGGCCGCAGAGTGGCGTGGATGGGCCGCAGAAACTCAGGAGATCATTTAGGCAGGCAGAGAAGAAAGCGGCGAGACGGCAGGGAATGCTGATAGCCTCCCAGGGAGGCAGGTCCCATTTCAGAAGAGACCAGGGCTGTCCTGGGCGTGCTGTGAAGCTCCAGGCTTTGGAGCAGGGAGGATCTGTATCTTGTGGAAGGCCCCCACAAATGAAAACAATGCCGCAGGTTGGTGTGGGCGGGCCAAAGCGTCTGGGGGGATGTTGAGGCAGGCAGAGGGGTGAAGCAGCAAGACCACAGATAATGCTGGGAGCCTCCCAAGAAAACCGCTCCCATCCCAGAAGCCCCCAGGGCTGACCCGGGAGGGCTATAAAGCCCCAGGCTTTGAAGCAAGGTGCCTGTGTTTTTCGCGGAAGGCCGAGACAAGAGAAAACTGCCAAAGGGTGGTGTGGGCGGACAACAGAGACTCAGGGGAATGTTGAGGTAGGCAGAAGGGAAGCGGCAAAACCGCAACAAATGCTGCAAGCCTCCCATGAGGTCTCTCCCATCCCAGAAGCCCTAGGGTTGTCCTAGGCGGGCTATAAAGCACCAGGCTTTGTAGCAGGGTGCCAGTGTCTTGCAGAGGATCCCCACAAGTGAAAGTGGGGCCGCAGGGTGGCGTGGGTGGATCGTAGGCACTCAGCGGGAAGTTGAGGCAGGTGGAGGGGAGAAGTGGCGAGATCGCAGAAAATGCTGGGAGTCTTGTCGGAGGCCTCTCTCATCCCAGAAGCCACCAGGGCTGTTCTGGGTGTGCTGTAAAGTCCCAGGCTTTGGAGCAGGGTGCCACTATCTCTTGCCAATTGTCCCCACAAGCGAAAACAGGGCCACAGAGTAACGTGGTTAATCGGAAGAGACTCAGGGGGACGTTAAGGCAGGCAGAGAAGAGAAGCAGCAAGTCCGCAGGTAATGCTGGGAGCCTTTCAAGGAGGTGTCTCCCATCTCAGAAGCCCCCAGGGCTTTCCCAAGCAAGCTTTGGAGCAGGGTGCCGGTGTCTCTCACCGTATACCTGCAAAAGGGTAACCAGGGCCGCAGCGTGGCGTGGGCGGTCCGCAGGTACTAACAGGGATGTTGAGGCAGGCAGAGGAAAGAAGCTGCAACACAGCAGGGAATGCATGGAGCCTCCCAAGGGGGCTCTCCCATCCCAGAAGCACCGAAGGCTGTCCCGGGCGGGCTGTAAAGTCCCAGGCTTTGGAGAAGGGTGCCTGTGTCTCTGTCGGAAGGCCCTCACAAGTGAAAACGAAGCCACAGCTTGTTGTTGTAGGGCGGCAGGGACTCAGGAGGATGTTGAGGCAGGGAAAGAGGAGAAGTGGCAAGATCACAGGGAATGCTGGGAGCCTCCCAAGGAGGACACTCCCACCCTACAAGCCCCCAGGTCTGTCCCGGGCAGGCTGTAAAGCCCCATTCCTTGGAGTAGGCTGCCTGTGTCTCCAGCAGAAGGCCCCACAAGCAAAAACGGAGCTGCAGAATGGCATGCGCGGCCCGCAGGGACTTGGGGGGACATTGAGGCAGGGAGAGGGGAGAAGTGCAGGGAATGATGGGAGCCTCCCAAGGAGGCCTCTCCCATCCCAACCCCCCAGAGCTATATCAGGGTGGGGGACTGTAAAGCTTCAGGCTTTGGAGCAGAGTGCCTGTGTCTCTTGCGGATGGTCCCCACAAGTGAAAACGGGGCTGAAGGGCTGCATGGGCGGGCGGCAGAGACTCAGGGGGACATTGAGGCAGGCAGAAAGGAGAAGCGCCAAGACCGCAGGGAATGCTGGGAGACTCCCAAATATGTCTCTCGTCCCAGAAGCCCCGAGCTTTGTCCTGGGCAGGCTACAAGCCCCAGGCTTTGGAGCAGGATGCCTGTATCTGTCGTGAAAGGCCCTCACAAGTGAAAACGAGACTGCAGGGTGGCGTGGGCGGGCCGCAGGGACTCGGTGACGTTGAGGCAGGCAGAGAAAAGAAGCGGGAAGAATGCAGGGAATGCTGGCAGCTTCTCGAAAACGCCTTTCCCATCCCAGAAGTCACCAGGTCTGTATCGGGTGGGCTGTAATGCAGCAGCCTCTTTAGCAGGGTTCCTGTGTCTCTCGCGGAAGGCCCCAACCAGGGAAAATCGGGCCGCAGGGTGGGGTGGGCTGGCCGCAGAGACTCAAGGGGACGTTGAGGCAGGCAGATGGGTGAAGAGGTAGACCACAGCGAATGCTGGGAACCTCCCCCAAAAACTCTTCTATCCGAAAATTCCCCAGGGCTGTCCCGGGTGAGCTATAAAGCCCCAGGATTTGAAGCAGAGTGCCTGATTCTCTCGAGGAAGGTCCCCCAAAGCAAAAACCGGACCACAGGGTGGCATGGGTTGCAGCAAGGGCTCAGATGGACATTTAGGCAGGCAGAGGCTAGCAGTTGAGAGACCGAAGGGATTGTTGGAAGCCTCGCAAGGAGGCCTCTCCCATCCCAGAAGCCCCCAGGGCTGTCCCGTCGTGCTGTTAAACCTTATATTTGCAGCAGGGTGCCTGTATCTCTCGTGGAAGGCCCCCACAAGCAAAAATGGGGCCAGAGAGTAGCGTAGGTGGGCCTCAGGGACTCAGGAGGACAATGAGGCAGACAGAAGAGAGACTTGGCAAGACCACGGGGAATTCTGGGAGCCTCCCAAGGAGGCCTCTCCCAACACAGAAGTCCCCATGGCCTTCCCAGGTGGATTGTAAAGCCTCAGGCTTTGAAGCTAGATGCGTGTGTCTCTCAAGGAAGGCCGCCACAAGCTGAAACGGGGCTGCAAGTTGGCGGTGGCTGGCCGCAGGGACTCAGGGAGACCTTGAGATAGGCAAAGAGGAGAAAAGGCAGCACTGCAGGGAATGCTGGGAGCCTCCCAGGGAGGACTCCCTATCCCAGAAGCTTCCAGATCTGCCCCGGGCAGGCTGTAAAGCCCCAGGATTTGGAGTAGGGTGACTGTGTCTCTCACAAAGGTCTTCACAAGCAAAAACAAAGCTGCAGGTTGGCGTGGCTGGGCTGCAGGGACTCAGGGGGATGTTGAGGCAGGGAAAGTGGAGAAGCGGCGAGACCACAGGGAATGCTGGGAACCTCCCAAAAAGGCCTCTCCCATCCCAGGAGTCTTCAGGGCTGTCCTGGGTGGGCTGTAAAGAACCGGGCTTTGTAGCAGGGTGCCTGTGTCTCTCTCAAAAAGCCCCAACAAACGGAAATGGGGCCGCAGAGTGGCGTGGTTGGTCAGGAAGGACTCAGTGGGACGTTGACAAGGAAGAGGGGAGAAGCAACAAGACAGCAGTGGTGGGAGCCTCGCAAAAAGGCCTCTACCATTTCAGATGCCCCCAGAGCTGTCCTGGACGGACTGCAATGCCCCAGATTTTGAAGCAGGATGCCTGTGTCTCTTGTGGAAAGCCCCCACAAGAGGAAACGGGGCCACAGAGTGGCATGGTTGGACAGGAGGGACTGAGGGACGTTGACACAGGAAGAGGGGAGAAGCGGCGAGACCGCAGGGAATGCTGGGAATCTCAAGAATGACTCTTCCTTCTCAGAAGCCCCCAGGGCTGTCCAGGGGAAGCTGTAAATTCCCAGGCTTTAGAACAGGGTGCCAATGTCTCTCGTGGAAGGCCCCCACAAGCGAAAACGAAGCCCCAGGGTGGCATGGGTGGCCCACAGGAACTCAGGGGAACGTTGAGGCAGGGAGAGAGGAGAAGCGGTGAGACCACAGGGAATGCTGGGAGCCTCCCAAGGATGATTCTTTCACCCCTGAAGCCCCCAGAACTGTCCCTGGCAGGCTGTAAAGCACTGGGCTTTAAAGCAGGGTGCCTGTGTCTCGCGGAAAGCTCCAACAAGTGAATTCAGGACTGCAGTGTTGCGTGGGCAAGCGGCAGGGACTCAGGGGGACATTGAGGCAGGCAGAGGAGAGAAGCACCGAGACCACAGTGAATGCTGGGAGATTCCCAAAACTGCCTCTCCTGTCCCAGAAGCCTGCAGGGCTTTCCTGGACAGGCTGTTAAAGACCCAGGCTTTGGAGCAGCATGCCTGTGTCTCTCACGTAAGGCCTCCACAAGTGTAAACGGGGCCGTAGGTTGTCGAAGGCGGACAGCAGGAACTCGGGGGGACGTTAACACAGGCAGAAGAGAGAAGCAGCGAGATCACAGGGAATGCTGGGAGCCTCACAAGGAGGCCTCTCCCATCCCAGAAGCAACCAGAGCTTTCCCAGGCAGGCCGTAAAACCTCAACTTTGGAGCAGGGTGCCTGTGACTCTCGCGGAAGGCCCCCACAAGCCAAAACAGGGCCGCAGGGTGGCCTAGGCCGGACGCAACTTCAGGAGGACATTGAGGCAGGCAGAGAATTGAAGTGACGAGACTGCAGGGAATGCTGGGAGCTCCGAAATAGGCCTCTCTCATCCTTGAAGCCCCCAGGACTCTGTTGGACGGGCTGTAAAGCCACAGCCTTTGTAGCAGGTTGCCAGTGTCTCCCTGGGAAGACCCCCACAAGCAAAAATGGGTCCATAAGTTGGTGTGGTTGGGTGGCACGGACTCAGGGGTACGTTGAGGCAGGCAAAGGGGAAAAGTGGCGAGACGGCAGGGTATGCTTGTAGACTCCCAAAGACGCCCCTCCCATCCCAGAAGCATCACTTTCCCGGGAGGGATGTAAAGCTTTGGGCTTTGGGGAAGGGTGCCTTTGTCTCTCACGGAAAAACCCCATAAGCAAAACGGTCGGGCCATGGAGACTCAGGAGGCCGTTGACTCAGGCAGAGGGAAAAAGCAGCGAGAACGCAGGGAATTCTGCAAGCCTTCAAAGAAGCCCTCTCATCCCAGAAGCCGGCAGGGCTCTCCCAAAGGAACTGTAAAGCCTCAGGCTTTGGAGTAGGGTGCCTGTGTCTCTTGGGGAAGGTGCCCACAAGCAAAAACTGGCCGCAGGGTGGCGTCGGTGGAACGAAAAGACTCAAGAGGACATAGAGGCAGGCAGAGGGGAGAAACGGCGAGACCTCAGGGAATGCTGCAAACCTCCCATGAAAGCCCACCCCTCCCAGAACGCCTAGGGCTGTCCAGGATGGGATGTAAAGCCCTAACCTTTGGAGCAGGGTGCCTGTGTCTCTCGCGGAAGACCCCCACAAGCGAAAACAGGGCCACAGGGTGGCCTGGGTGGGCCACAGATACTCAGGGGGAAGTTGAGACAGGTGAAGGGGAGAATCTGAGAGATCGCAGAGAAGGCTGGGAACCTCCAAGGATGCCTCTCCCATCCCAGAAGCACCCAGGGCTTTCCCAGTCAGGCTGTAAAACCCCAACTTTGGAGCAGGGTGCCTGTGTATCTCACAGAAGGGCCCCACAAGTGAAAATCAGGCCACAGTGTGGCATAGGTGGGTGGCAGGGACTCAAGGGGACGCAGAGGCCGACAGAGGGGAGAAGCAGCGAGACTGCAGGGAATGCTAGGAGCCTCCAATAGAGAACTCCCATCTTAAAACCCCTCAGGGCTGTCCTGGGCGGGCTCTAAAACCTGTCCTTGGAGCAGGGTGCCTGTGTCTCTCGCAGAAGGCCCCTTCAAGCCTAAACAAGGACGCAGGATGGAGTGGGCGGGTGGCAGGGACTCAAGAAGATGTTGAGGCTGACAGAGGGTTGAAGCGGTGAGACCACAGGGAATGCTGGGAGCCTCCCAAATAAACCTCTCCTATAACAAAAGCCCCCAGGGCTGTCCCGGGCTGGCTGTAAAGCCCCAGGCTTTGGAGCAGGGTGCTTGTTTCCCTCGCAGAAAACTCCCACAGGCAAAAATGGGACAAAAGATTGGCCTGGGCGGGCCGCAATGACTCAGGTTCAGGTTGAGGTGGGCAGAGGGGGATAGCAGCGAGACCACAAGGAATGCTGGGAGCCTCCCAAGGAAGTCTGTCCCATCCTAGAAGCTTTCAGGGTTATCCCAGGCGAGCTGTAAAGCCCGAGGCTTTGGAGCAGGATGTCAGTGTCTCTCGCGGAAGTCCACTGCAAGTGAAAGTGGAGATGCAGAGTGGAGTGGGAGGGCAGCAGGGACTTAGGGGGACATTGAGGCAGGCAGAGGAGAGAAGTGGTGAGACCACAGAGAATGCTGGGAGCCTACGAAGGAGGCCTCTCCCATCCAGGTAGCCCCCAGGGCTGTCCCAAGCGGTCTGTAAAGCCCCAGGCTTTGGAGCAGGGTAGCTGTGTCTCTTGTGGAAGGCCCCCACAAGTGAAAAACGGGGCCTCAGGGACTCAGGGGGATGTTCAGACAGGCAGAGGGGAGAAGCGGTGAGATAGCAGAGAATTGATGGAAGCCTCCCAAGGATGACTCAGTCATCCCAGAAGCCACCAGGGCTTTCCCGGACAAGCTGTAAAGCCCCAGGCTTTAAAGCAGGGTGCCTGTGTCTCTCGCAGAAGGCCCCGACAAGCGAAAACAAGGCAGCAGGTTGTCGTGGGAGGGCCGCAGGGACTCATGGGGACTTTGAGGAAGGCAGAGGAAAGAAGCAGAGAGACCACAGGGAATGCTGGATGTCTCTCAAAAAGGCCTCTCCCATCTTAGAAGCCCCCAGAGCTGTCCCGAACGGGCTATAAAGCCCCAGCCTTTGATGCAGGGTGCTTGTGTCTCTCACAGAAGGCTTCCAGAAGCGAAAACAGGGCCACAGGGTATCGGGGGCAGGCCGCAAGGACTCTGTGGGACCTTGAGGCATGAATATGGGAGAACAAGCGAGACCACACTGAATGTTGGGAGCCTGCCAAGGAGGGCTTTTCCATCCCAGAAGCTTCCAGGACTGCCCATGGCTTTGGAGCAGGGTTACTGTGTCTCTCATGGAAGGCCCATACAAGCAAAAACACAGCCCCATGGTGGCAGAGATGGGCTGCAGGGACTCAGCAGGACGTTGAGGCAGTCAGAGGAGAGAAGCGGCGAGACCGCAGGGAATGCTGGCAGCCTCTCAAAAAGACGTCGCCCATCTGAGAAGCCCCCAAGGCTGTACCGGGAAGGCTGTAAAACCCCAGGCTCTGGAGCAGGGTGCCTATGTCTCTCTCGGAAGACCACCACAAGCGAAAACGGAGCAGTAGGGTGGTGTGGGTGGGCCGCAGGGACTCAGAAGGTCTTTGAGGCAGGCAGAGGAAAAACTGGCCAGGTCACAGAAAATGCTGGGAGCCTCCTAAGGAGGCCTCACCCATTGCAGAAGCCCCCAGGGCTGTCTGGGGCGGGCTGTAAAGCCGCAGACTTTGGAGCAGGGTGCCTGTGTCTCTTGCGGAAGGCCCCCACAAGCAAAAACAAGGCTGCAGTGTGGAGTGGGTGGGTCACAGGGCCTCAAGTGGACGCTGAGGCAGGCAGAGGGTTGAAGTGGCGAGACCGCAAGGAATGTTGGGAGCCTCCCAAGGAGGCCTCTCCCATTCCAGAAGCCTCCAGGGCTGCCCCAGGCGGGTTGTAAAGCCCCCAGGCTTTCAAGGAGGGTGCCTGTGTCTCTCACAGAAGGCCACCAAAAGCGAAAACAGGGACTCAGGATGGCTTGGGTGGGCTACAGTGACTCAGGGGGATGTTGAGCCAGTCAGAGGGGAGAAGAGGCAAGACCACAGGGAATGCTGGGAGCCTCCCAAGGATGACTCTCCCATCCCAGAAGCCCGCAGGGCTGTTCCAGGCTATTTGTAAAGTCCCAGACTTTGGAGCAGGGTGCCTGTGTCTGTTTCGGAAGGTTCTCACAAGTGAAAACGGTGCCACAGCGTGGTGTGGTCGGGCCGCAGGAACTCAGGGGGAAGTTGAGGGCAGCAAAGGGGAGAAGCGGTGCGATGGCAGGGAATGCTGAGAACCTCAAAAAGAGGCCTTTCTTATCTCAGAAGCCCCCAGGGCTGTCCCCGAGGCCTGTAAAGCACCCAGGCTTTGGATCAGGGAACCTATGTCTCTCGCGGAAAACCTCCACAAGTGAAAACGGGGCCACAGGGTGGTATGTGCTGGTGGCAGGGACAAAGAGGGAAGTTAAGGCAGGCAGAGGGGAGAAGGGGCGAGATGGCAGAAAATATTGAGAGCCTCCGATGGAGGCCTCTCCCATCCCAGAAGCCCCCAGGGCTGTCCCAAGTGGACTGTAAAGCCCACTTTGGAGCGGGGTGCCTGTGTCTCTCGTGGAAGGCCCCCACAAGTGAAAATGGGGCCGCAGAATGGCGTGGGAGGGCTGCAGGGACTCAGAGGGACGTTGAAGCAGGTAGAGTGGAGAAGCGGCCAGACCGCAGGGAATGCTGGGAGCTTTTCAAGCCGTCCTCTCCCATCCCAGAAGCCCCCAGGGCTGTCTCAGGTGGGCTGTGAAGCCCCCGGCTTTGGATCATGGTGGCTGTGACTCTCTCGGAAGACCCCCACACGCAAAAACGGGGCCGCAGGGTGGCATGGACAGACGGCAGGGACTCAGGAGGAAGTTGAGACAGGCAGAGGGGAGAAGCAACGAGATTGCAGAGAATAATGGTAGCCTCCCAAGGACGACTCTCCCATCCCAGGGCCACCAGAGCTTTCCTCAGGCAGGCTGTAAAGCCCCAGGCTTTAAAGCAGGGTGCCTGTATCTCTCGCGGAAGGCCCCCACAAGCGAAAATGAGACTGCAGTGTGGCGTGGAGGGGCTCAGGGACTCAGGTGGACTTGAGGCAGGCAGAGGAAAGAAGCGGCCAGACCGCAAGGAATGCTGGCTGTCACTCAAAAAGTCCTCTTTCATCACCAAAGTCCCCAGGGCTGTCCCGGGGGATTGTAAATCCTCAGGCTTTGGAGCAATTTTGGCTATGTCTCTTGAGGAAGGCCCCCACAAGCGAAAATGAGGCCACAGTGTGGCGTGCCTCGGTGGCACAAACTCAGGGGGACGTTGAGGCAGGTAGAGGGAAGAAGCATTGAGACTACAGGTAAGGCTGGGAGCCTCCCATGACTGTTTGTCCCATCACAGAAGCCCCCAGGGCTCTCCCGTGAGGGCTGTAAAACCAGAAGCTTTGGAACAGATTGCCTGTGTCTCTCGCCGTTGTCCCACACAAGCTAAAACGGGGCCGCAGGGTGGCATGGGCAGTCAGCAGGGACTCAGGGAGACCTTGAGTGAGGCAGAGGGTAGAAGTGACAAGACTACAGGGAATGCTGAGAGCCTCCTATGAAGGCCTCTCTTATCACAGAAGCTTCTAGGGCTGTCCTGGGCGGGTTATAGAATTCCAGACTTTGGTGAAGGGTGCCTGTGTCCCTGTGGAAGGCTCCCACAAGCAAAATGAGGGCCATAGGTTTTCATTCTTGGGCAGCAAGGACTCAGGGGAATGTTGAAGCTGGCAGAGGGGAGAAGCAGCGAGATCGCATAGAATGCTGGGAGACTTTCAAGGAGGCCTCTCTTATCCCAGAAGCCCTCAGGGCTTTCCTGGGCAGGCTGCATGCTACCCAGGCTTTGAAGCAGGGTGCCTGTATCTCTCATGGAATGCCCCCAGAAGCAAAAACGGGGCCGCAGGCTGGCGTGGGCGGGCCAAAGGGACGCAGGGGGATGTTGAGGCAGGCAGAGGGGAGAAACAGCAAGACCGCAGGAAATGCTCATCGCAACGTGGCCTCTCCCATCCCAGAAGTCCCCAGGGCTATCCGGGGTGGGCTGTAAAGCTTCAGGCTTTACAGCAGGGTGACTGTGTTGGTCACGGAAGTCCCCCTCGTGCAAAATTGGGGCTGCAGGGTGGTGTGGGCTGGCTGCAGGTACACAGGGGGATGTTCAGGCCTGCAGAAGGGCGAAGCAGCGAGACCGCGGAGAATGCTGGGATACTGCCAAGGAGGCCTCTACCATCCAAGAAGCCCGCAGGGATGTCCCGAACTGGTTGTAAAGCCCCAGGCTTTTGAGCCAACTGCCTGTGTCTCTAGCGCAAGGTTCCCACAAGCGAAAATGGGGCCGCAGGGTGGAGTAGGTGGGCCGCAGGGACTCAGTGGGACATTGAGGGTGGCAGAGGTGAGAAGCGGCGAGACCACATGGAATGCTGGGAACCTCAGAAGGAGGCCTCTCCCATATCAGAAGCCCCCAGTCCTGGGTGGGGTGTAAAGCCCTAGGCTTTGGAGCAGAGAGCCTATGTCTCTCGTGGAAGGCCCCCCCATGAAAAAGCTTGGCCACAGGGTGGCGAGGGCAGGGGGCAGGGACCAAGGTGGATGTTGAGGCAGGCAGAAGAAAGAAGCGCTGAGAATGCCAGAAATGCTGGGAGCCTCCCAAGGAGGCTTCTCTTATCCCAGAAGTTCCCAGGGCTGTCCCGGGCAGGCTGTAAAGTCCCAGGCTTTGAAGCAACGTGCCTGTGTCTCTCGCTTAAGGCCCTCACAAGAGAAGACGGGGCCGTAGGATGACGTGGGCGAGTGACAGGGAATCAGGGGCTGGCAGGTGGGAGCCCCAAGCTTTGGAGCAGGATGCCTGTATCTCTCATGGAAGGCCCCCAGGGTTGAGACCCCTTGAGGCTGGTAGATGGGAGAAGCGGCAAAACCGCAGAAAATGCTGGGAGCCTTTTAAGGAGGTCTCTCCCATGCCATAAACTTCCAGGGCCGCCCCGGGCGGGCGTTAAAGCCCCAGGCTTTGGAGCAAGAAGTGTGAGTCTCTCGAATAAGGCCCCCACAAGCGAAAACGGGGCTGCAGAGTTTTGAGGGCTGGCCTCAGGGACTCATGGGTCGTTTAGACAGGCAGAGAGGAGCAGCAGCGAGACCACGGGGAATGCTGGGAGCCTCCCAGAGAAATCTCTCCCATCCCAGAAGCCTCCAGGACTGTACCAGCGGGCTGTAAAGCCCCAGGCTTTGGAGCACTGCGCTTGTGTCTCTCTCAGAAGGCCCCCACAAGCAAATATGGGACCGCAGGTTGGCGTGGGTGGGCTGCAAGGACTCAGGGGTAAGTTGAGACAGGCAATGGGGAAAAGCATTGAGACTGCAGGGAATGCTGGAAGCCTCCCAAAACAGCCTCTGTCGTCCCAGAAGCCCCCAAGCCTGTCAAGGGCGGTCTATAATGCCCCAGGCTTTGGAGCATGTTTCCAGTGTCTCTTGCGGAAGGCCCCCACAAGCGAAAACAGGGCCACTGTGTGGCGTTGGTGGGCTGCAGGGACTCTGGGGGACTTTGAGGCAGGTAGAGGGGAGAAGCGGCCAGACCGCAGGAAATGCTGGTCACCTCTCAAGAAGGCCACTACCATGATAGAATCACCCAGGGCTGTCCTGGGTGGGCTGTAAATCCCCAGGCTTTGGAGAAGGGTGCCTGTGTCTTTTTCAAAAGGCCCTAGCAAAAGAATACGTGGATGCAGTGTGGGGTGTCTGGGTGGCAGGGACTCAGGGGGACGTTGAGACAGGCAGAGGGGACAAGTGGCGAGACCACAGAAATTGCTGGGATCATCCCACGGAGGGCTCTCTCATCCCAGAAGCCCCCAGGTCTGTCCTGGGCAGGCCGTTAAGCCCAGGTCTTGGAGCAAGGAGCCTGTGTCTGTCACAGAAGGCCACCATAAGCAAAAATGTGTCCGCAGGGTGGCGCAGGCCGGCCGCAGGCACTCACAGGGAAGTTGAGGTAGGTGGAGGAAAGGAGTGGCAAGACCGCAGTGAATGCTGTGAGCTTCCTAGGAGGAATCTCCTATCCCAGAAGACCCTAAGCCGCTTCCAGGCGGGCGGTAAACCTCAAGCCTTTGGAGCAGAGTGCCTCTGTCTCTCACAGAAGATCACCACAAGTGACAATGGGGCTGCAAGGTGGCATGGGCAAGCGGAAACGAATCAGAGGGATGTTTAGGCAGGCAGAGGGGAGAAGTGGCGGGACCGCAGGGAATTCTGGGAGCCTCCGAAGTAGACCTCTCCCATTTCAGAAGCCCCCAGGGCTCTACCAGTCGGGCTGTAAAGCCAAGGCTTTGGAGCAAGTTTACTACATCTCTCGAGGAAGGCTCCCACAAGAGAAAACAGGGCTGCAGAGTGGCGTCAGGGCCATAGAGTGGTGTTGTCTGGCCGCAGGCACTCAGGGGGACGGCAAGGCAGGCAGAGGGGAGAAACGGCGAGGCTGCAGGGAATGCTGAGAGTCTCCCAAGGAGGTCGTTTCCATCCCAGAAGCCCCCAGAGCTGTCCCATGCAGGCAATAAAGTTTCAGGTTTTTTAGCAGGGTGCCCGAGTCTCTCGCAGAAGGCCCCCCATAAGCAATAATGAGGCCACAGGGTGGCGTGGTTTCGTGACAGGAACTCAGGGGGAAATTGAGGCAGGCAGACAGGAGAAGTGGTGAGATGAAAGGGAATCCTGGGGACTCCCAAGGAAACCTCTCCCATCACAGAAGACCTCAGGGCTTTCCTGGGAGGGCTATAAAGCCCTAGAATTAAAGCAGGGTGCCTGTGTCTCTCACGAAAGGCCCCCACAAGTGAAAACGGAGCCATAGGTTGATGTGAGCGGTCCGCAGGTACTCAAGGGGATGTTGAGGCAGGCTGATTGGAGAATCGGCGAGACCACAGGGCGAGCTGGGAGCCTCCCAAGGAGGCCTCTCCCATTTCAGAAGTCCAAGGCTTCAGAGTAGGGTGCCTGTGTCTCCCGTGGAAGGCCCCCACCAGCGAAAATGGGAATGCAGGGAGGAGTGGGAGAGCAGTGGAGACTCAGGGGGACATATAGTCAGGCAGAGGTTAGAAACGGGAGACAGCAAGAAATGCTGGGAGCCTCCCAAAGAGAATTCTCGCATCCCAGAAGCCCCCAGGGCTGTTAAACTCCAGGCTTTGGAGCAGAGTGCATGTGTTCTCCTGGAAAACCCCCACAAGCTAAAACAGGGCCACAGGGTCACGAGGTTGGGCCGCAGGGACTCAGAGGGACATTGAGGCAGGCAAAGGGGAGAAGCAGCAAGTCCACAGAAAGTGCTGGGAGCCTTGCAAGAAGGTCTCTCTCATCCTAGAAGCCCCCAGGCCTTTCTCAGGCGGGCTGTAAAGCCCCAGGCTTTGGAGCATGGTGCCTGTGTCTCTCGTGGAAGGACCCCACAAGTGACAACGGGGACGAAGAATGGAGTGAGCAGCCAGCAGAGGCTTAGGAGGACCTTGAGGCCGGAAGAGGGGAGAAGCGATGAGAATGCAGGGAATGCTTGGAGCCTCCCAAAGAGGCTTCTCCCACTTCAGAGGCCCCCACGGCTGTCCCAGGCGGGCTGTAAATCCCCAAGCTTTGAATCAGGATCCCTGTGTTTCTTGCAGAAGGTTCCCAGAAGCAAAAACGGGGCCGCAAAGTGGGGTGAGCGAGCCACAGGGACTGAGGGGGACGTTGAGGCAGGCAGAAGAGAGAAGTGTGGAAACCTCAGGGAATGCTGGGAGCCTCCCAAAAATGCCTCTTTCATCCCAGTAGCCACCAGGGTCTTCCCGGAAGGAATATAAAGCCCCAGGCTTTGGAGCAGTGTACTTGTGTCTTTCAGAAAAGAGCCCCACAAGCAAAAATTGTGCCGCAGGGTGGCTGGGGAGGGCAGCAGAAACCGAGGGAGACACCAAAGCAGGCAGAGAGGAGAAGCAGCCAGACGGCAGGGAATACTGGGAGTATTCATAAAAAGCCACTCCCATCCCAGAAGCCCCCAGGGTTATCCCAGAAGCCCCCAGGGCTATCCCAGGAGTGCTCCAAAGCCCCAGGTTTTGGTGCAGGGTGCCCGTTTCTCTCGTGGAAGGCCCCCACAAGCGAAAACGGGGCCGCATGGTGGTGTGGTTGGCTGGCAGGGACTCAGGGAGTTGTTGAGGCAGGCAAAGGGGAGAAGTGGCGAGACCACATTGGATCCTGGGAGCTTCCCAAGGAGCCCTCTCCCATCTCAGAAGCCCCCAGGGGTGCCCCAGGCAGGCTGTAATGCCCCAGGCTTTTGAGCAGGGTGCCTGTGGCTCTAGCGGAAGGCTGCCACAATCAAAAACAAGACCACAGGGAGGCGTGGGCTGGACGCAGGGACTAAGGGGGATGTTGAGGCAGGCAGAGGGTTGAATTGTTGAGAGTGCAGGGAATGCTGGGAGCCTCGCAAGGAGGCCTCTCCCATCCCAGAAGCCCCAAGGGCTGTTCCAGGCGGGCTCTAAAGCCCCAGGCTTTGGAGCAGGGTGCCTGTGTCTCTCGCGTAAGGTCCCCAGAAGTGAAAACGGGGCAATCATGCAGCGTGGGGGGCCGCAGGGATTCAGGTGGACATTGAGGCAGGCAGAGGGGAGAAGCGGCGAGACCGTAGAAAATGCTGGGACCCTCCCAAGATGGCCTCTCCCATCCCAGAAGCACCCAGGACTGTCCCAGGTTGTAAAGCCCCAGGATTCAGAGCAGGGTCTCAGTATCTCTCCTGGAAGGCACCCACAAGAGAAATCAGGGCCGCAGGGTGGCATGGGTAGGCAGCAGGGACACAGGGGGACGTTGAGGTAGGCAGAGGTCTGAAGCAGAGAGAC
Source organism: Homo sapiens (assembly GCF_000001405.40). Classification (NCBI taxonomy): domain Eukaryota; kingdom Metazoa; phylum Chordata; class Mammalia; order Primates; family Hominidae; genus Homo; species Homo sapiens. The sequence goes on from NC_000008.11 coordinate 46,427,503, forward strand.
CGCAAGGAATGTGGGGGGCTCCCAAAAAAACCTCTCCCATCCCAGAAGGCCCCAGGGATATCTCGGGCTTCCTGTAAAGCCCCAGGCTTTGCAGCAGGGTGACTGTGTCTCTCACAGAAGGCCCCTACAAGTGAAAACGGGGCCGTAGTGTGGCGTGGGCGGGGCACAGGGAGTCAACAAGACTTTGAGGCAGGCATAGGGGAGAAGCGACGAGACTGCAGGGAAGGCTAAAAGCCTTCCAAGGAGGCCTCTCCCATCTCAGAAGGCCCAGGGCTGTCCCAGTTGGGCTGTAAAGCCCCAGGCTTCGGTGCAGGGTGACTGTGTCTCTTGCAGAAGGACCCCTCAAGCAAAAACGGGGCCGAAGGGTGGTGTGGTCTGGCCGTAGCGACTGAGGCAGACGTTGAGGCAGGCAGAGGGGAGAAGAGGCAACACACAGGGAATGCTTGGAGCCTCCTGTCAGGCCTCTCCCATCCCAGAAGACCCAGAGCTGTCTCGGAGGGCTGTAAAGCCCCAGGCTTTGGAGCAGGGTGCCTGTGTCTCTCGCGGAAGGCACCCATAAGCGAAAACGGGGTCGCAGTGTGGCGTGGGAGGGCCGCAGGGATTAAGGGGAATCTTGAGGCAGGCTGAGAGGAGAAGCAGCGAGACAGCAGGGAATGCTGAGAGACACCCAAGAAGGCATCTCCCATCCCAGAAGCCCCCAGGGCTGTCCTGTGGGGGCTGTAAAACCACAGGTTTAGGAGCAGTGTGCCTGTGTCTCTCACGGGAGGCCCCCACAAGCAAAAACGAGGCCACAGGGTGGCGTGGGCTGGCCACAGGGACTCATGGAGACTTAGAGGCAGGCAGAGGGGAGAAGCAGCAAGACCGCAAAAATTGCTGGGAGCCTCCCAAGGTCGGATCTCCCAACCCAGAAGTCCCCAGGGCTGTCCTGGCAGTACTGTAAAACCCCTCGCTTTGGAGTAATGTGTCTGTGTCTCTCGTGGAGGCCCCTACAAGCGGAAACAGGGCCTCAGGGTGGCATGGACGGGCCGCAAGGACTCAGAGGAAAGTATAGGCAGGCAGATGGGGGAGGCGCTGATACAGCAGGGAATGCTGGGAGCCTACCGCTGAGGCTTCTCCCTTCCCAGACGCCCCCAGGGCTGTCCCGGGCAGGATTGTATAGCCACAGGCTTTTGATCAGCGTGCCTGTGACTCTCATGTAAGGCCCCCAGAAGCAAAAACAGGGCAGCAGGGTGGCATGGGTGGGCCACAGGCACTCAGCGAGACATAGAAACAGGCTCATTGGAGAAATAGTGAGGCCGCAGGAAATGCTAGGAGCCTCTCAAGGAGGCCTCTCCCATTTTAGAAGTCCCAGGCTTCAGAGCAGGGTGTCTGTGTCTCTCGCGGAAGGCAAGTGAAAATGGGGATGCAGGGTGGAGTGAGTGGCGGCGGGGACTCAGGGAGACATTGAGGTAGGCAGAGGTTAGAAGCGGTGAGACTACAAGAAGTGCTGGGGCCCTCCCAAGAAGACCTCTTGCATCCCAGAAGCCCCTGGGGTTGTCCCGGGTTGGCTGTAAAGCCGTAGGCTTTGAACCAGTGTACCTGTGTCTCTTGTGGAAAGCCTCCACAAACAAAAACAGGGACTCAGGATGGAGTGGGAGGGTGGCAGAGACTCAGGGGGAGGTTGAGGTCAGCAGAGCGGAGAAGCGGTGGGAATGCAGGTAATGCTGGGAGCCTCCCAAGGAGGCCTCTCCCATTTCAGAAGCCCTCGTGTTGTCCCAGGCGGGCTGTAATGCCCCAGGCTTTGAACCAGTGTGCCTGTGTCTCTTGCAGAAGGGTCCCACAACCGAAAACAAAGCCACAAGGTGGTGGCGGCAGGTTGCAGAGACTTAGGGTGACATTGAGGCAGGCAAAGGGAAGAATAGCTGAGACCGCAGGGAATGCTGGGAGCCTCCCAAGGATGCCTCTCCCATCCCAATAGCCACCAGGGCCCTCCCAGGTGGGGTATAATGCCCCAGGCTTTGGAGCAGTGTGCCTGTGTCTTTCGCAAAAGACCCCACAAGCAAAAACCGTGAGGCAGGGTGGCTGGGGCAAGTGGCAGAAACTCAAGGGGACTTTGAAGCAGGCAGAGAGGAGAAGCAGCAAGTCCGCAGGGAATGCTGGGAGTATCCATAGGAAGCCACTCCCATCGCTGAAGCCCCCAGGCTGTCCCGGGCAGGCTATAAAGCCCCAGGCTTTGGCGCAGGGTGCTCTTGTCTCTAGTGGAAAACCCACACAAGCAAAAATGGGGCCGCAGGGTGGCCAGGGCGGGCCGCAGGGACTCAGGGGTAAGTTGAGGCAGGCAAAAGGGAGAAGTGGTGAGACCGCGGGGAATGCTTGGAGCCTCACAAGGAGGCCTCTGCCATCTCAGAAGCCCCCAGGGCTGTCCCAGATGGGTTGTAAAGGCCCAGGCTTTGGAGCAGGGTGACTGTGCCTCTCATGGAAACCTTCCACAAGAGAATACGGGGCAGTATGGTGGCGTGGACGGGCTGCAGAGACACAGGGATAAATGAGGCAGGCAGAGGGAAGAAGCGGTGAGATTGCAGGGAGTGCTGGGAGCCTCCCAAAGACGCCTCTCCCATCCCAGAAGCCCCCAGGGCTGTCCCGGGCGGGCTGTAAAGCCCCAGGCTTCAGAGCACGTTGCCTGTGTCTCTCGCTGAAGGCCCCTACAAGCAAATATGGGGCCGCAGGGTGGTGTGGACGGGCCTCACGGACTCAGGTGGAAATCGAGGCAGGCAGAGGTGGGAAGCGCTGAGACCACAGGGAATGCTGGGAGCCTCCCAAAGAAATTTCTCTCATCCCAGAAGCCCCCAGGGGTGTCCTGGGCGGGCTGTAAAGCCCCAGGCTTTGGAGCAGGGTGACTGTATCTCTCACGGAAGGTCCCCAGAAGTGAAAACGGGGCTTCAGTGTGGTGTGGGCGGGCTGCAGGGACTCAGCCAGACATTGAAGCAAGGTACGCAGAGAGGAGAATCAGCGAGATCACAGGGAAGGCTGAATCTCCCAAGGAGTCCTCTCCCATTTCAGAAGCCCCTAGTGCTGTCCCAATCAGGCTGTAAAGTTCCAGGCTTTGGTACAGGGTGCCTGTATCTCTCGTGGAATGATTTCACAAGCGACAACAAGGCCAAAGGGTGGCATGGGAGGACCACAGGGACTCAGGGAGACGTTGAGGCAGGCAGAAGGGAGAAGCGGTGAGCACGCAGAAAATGCTGGGAGACTTTTATAAGTCCTCTCCCATCCCAGAAGGCCCAGGGCTCTCCCGGCGGTTTCTAAAGATCCATGCTTTGGAGCAGAGTGCCTGTGTCTCTTGCGGAACGCAACCACAAGCAAAAACGGGGCCGCAGGATGGCGTGCTTGGGCGGCAGGGACTCATGGAGACGTTGAGGCAGGCAGAGGGGAGAAGCAGCGACACAGCAGGGAATGCTGGGAGACACCCAAGAAGATCTCTCTCATCCCAGAAGTGAAGGGGTGGCCTGCCCCTCCACACCTGTGGGTATTTCTAGTTGGGTGGGATGAGAGACTGAGAAAAGAAATAAGACACAGAGACAAAGTATAGAGAAACAACAGTGGGCCCAGGGGACCAGCACTCAGCACACCAAGGGCCCGCACCGACATTGGCCTCTGAGTTCCCTCAGCTTTTATTGATTATTATTTTCATTATTTCAGTAAAAAGGAATGTAGTAGGAGGGCAGGGTGATAATAAGGAGAAGGTCAGCAAAACACATGTGAGCAAAATAATCTATGTCATAATTAAGTTCAAAGGAAGGTACTATGACTGGACGTGCACATAAGCCAGATTTATATTTCTCTCCACCCAAACATCTCAGTGGAGTAAAGAATAACAAGGCAGCATTGCTGCAAACATGTCTCACCTCCCACCATAGGGTGGTTTTTCTCTGATCTCATTATTGAACAAATGTACAATCGGGTTTTATACCGATACATTCAGTTCCCAGGGGCAGGCAGGAGACAGTGGCCTTCCTCTATCTCAACTGCAAGAGGCTTTCCTCTCTTACTAATCCACCTCAGCACAGACCCTTTATGGGTGCTGGGCTGGGGGACGGTCAGGTCTTTCTCATCCCACAAGGCCATATTTCAGACTATCACATGGGGAGAAACCTTGGACAATACCCCGCTTTCAAGGGCAGAGGTCCCTGCGGCTTTCTGCAGTGCATTATGCCCCTGGCTTATTGAGACTAGAGAATAGTGATGACTTTTACCACGTATACTGCTTGTAAGCATTTTGTTAGCAAGGCACAGCCTGCACAGCCCTAGATCCCTTAAACCTTTATTTTATACAACACATGTTTTTGTGAGCTCCAGGTTGGGTCAAAGTGGCTGGGTCAAAGTGGTTGCCGCAAAGCTACAAATTAACAACATCTCAGCAAAGCAATTGTTTAAAGTACAGGTCTTTTTCAAAATGGAGTCTCTTACATCTTTCCTTTCCACATAGACACAGTAACAGTCTGATATCTCTTTTTTTCCATACACAGAAGCCCTTAGGCCTGTCCAGGGCGGGATGTAGAGCCCCAGGCTTTGAAGCAGAGTGCCTCTCTCAAGGAAGGCACCCACAAGCGAAAACAAGGCTGCAGGGTGGCGTGGTCGGGTGGTAGGTACTCAGGGAAACGTTGAGGCAGGCAGAGAGAAGAAGCAGTGAGACCACAGCAAAAGCTGGGAGACTCCCAAGGAGGCCTCTCCTATGAGAGAAGCCCACAGGGCTGTACCCGGAAAGCTGTTAAACCCCCAGGTTTTGAGCAGGGTGCCTGTGTCTCTCACGGAAGGCCCCCACAAGAGAAAATGGGGCCGCAGGGTGGTGTGTACTGGTCGCAGGGACTCGGGACGATGTTGAGTCAGAGACGGGAGAAGCAGAGAGATGAGAGGGAATGCTAGGAGCCTTCCTAGGAGGCCTCTCCCATCCCAGAAGCCCCCAGGGCTGTCCCCTGTCGGTCTGTAAAGCCCCAGGCTTTGGAGCAGGGTGACTGTGTCTCTCGCTGAAGGCCCCCACAAGTGAAAACAGAACCACACGGTAGCATGTGCAAGCCGCAGGGACGTGGGGGGACGTAGAGGAAGGCAAAGGAAAGAAGCGGCGAGACCGCAGGGAATTTTGGGAGCCTCCCATGAGGCCTCTCCGATTTCAGAAGCCCCCAGGGCTGTCCCTGGAGGGCTGTAGATCCACAGTCTTTGGAGCAGTGTGCCTGTGTCTCTTCCTAAAAACAACCCACAAGCTAAAACGGCGCCACAGAGTGGCGTCGTTGGGTGGCAGGGACTCAGAGGGACATTGAGGCTCGCAGACGGGAGAAGCGGCGAGACCGCAGGGAATGCTGGAAACCTCCCAAGCTGGCCTCTTCCATCCCGGAAGCCCCCAGGGCTGTCCGGTGCGGGCTGTAAAGCCCCAGATTTTGGAACAGGTTTCCTGTGTCTCTTGCCATAGGCCAACACAAGCGAAAACGGGGCCATAGAGTGGCATGGGCGGGCATCAGGGACATAGGGGGACGTTGAAGCAGGCAGAGGGGAGAAGCAGTGAGACAACAGGGGATGCTGTGAGCCCCCCATAAGACATCTCCCATCCCAATAGCCCCCAGCCTCCCCTGGGCATGCTGTAAAGCCCCAGGCTTTGGAGTAGGGTGCATGTGTCTCTCACAGAAGCCCTCCACAAGCGGAGATGGGGCCGCAAGTTGGCGTGGGAGGGACACAGGAACTCAGGGGGATGTTAAGTCCGTCATTGGGGAGTAGTGGTGAGACCGCAGGTGTTGCTTGAAGCATCCACACCAGAACCTCCCAGGGCTGTCCCTGGCCAGCTGTAAAGCCCCAGACTTTGGATCAGGGTGCCTGTGTCTATCACGGAAGGACCCCACAAGTGAATATGGGGCCGCAGGTGGCGCGTTTTGACGGCAGAGACCCTGGGAAACATTGAGGCAGGAAGATGGGGGAAGCGGTGGATGGCAGGGAATGCTGGGAGCCTCCCAAGTTGGCCTCTTTTATCCCAGAAGCCCCCAGGGCTGTCCGGGCTGGCTATAAAGCCCCAGGCTTTGGAGCAGGTTGCTTGTGTCTCTTGCAGAAGGCACCCACAAGCAAAAACGACACAGCAGGATGACATGGGCAGGCTGCAGGGACTAAAAGGAACATTGAGACAGGCAGACGGGGGATGCCACGAGACCACAGGCAATGCTGGGAGTCTCCCAAAGCCTCTCCCATCCCCGAAGCTCCCAAGGCTGTCACAGTCATGCTGTAAATCTTCAGGCCTTAGAGCAGGGAGCTTGTGTCTCTGGCTGAAGTACCCCAAGAATGAAAACGTTACTGGAGGGTGGCATGGGAGGGTCATAGGGAGTCAGGGGGACGTTGAGGCAAGCAGAGGGAGAATCGGCGAGACTGCAGGGAATGCTAGGAGCCTCCCAAGACGCCTATCCCATCCAAGAAGCCTCCATGGCTCTCCAGGGTAGGCTGTAAATCCCCAGGCATTGGAGCAGGGTGCCTGTGTCTCTCACGTAAGGGCCTCACAAGAGAAAACGAGAGAGCAGGGTGGCGTGGGTGGCTGCAACAACTCAGGAGACATTGAGGCAGGCAGAGGGGAGAAGCGGCGAGACTGCAAGGAATGCTGGGAGCATTTCAAGGAGGACTCTCCCATTTCAGAAACCCCCTAGTCTGTCCAAGAAGGACTGTAAAGTCCCAGGCTTTGGAGCAGGGTGCCTAACTCTCTCAAAGAAGGCCGCCACAAGCAAAAATGGGGTCGCAGGGTGGCGTGGGCATGCTGCCAAGACTCCGAGGGACCTTGACGCAGGCAGAGGGAAGAAGAGGCAAGACTGCAGGGAATGCTGGGAGGCCTCTCTCATCCAAGAAGCCCCAATGGCTGTCCCGGGTGAGCTGTAAATCCCCAGGCTTTGGAGCAGGGTGCTTGTGTCTCTCGCTGAAGGCCCCCACAAGCAAGGCCACATTTCGGCTTGTGGCTTCTCCCCTCTGCCTGCCTCCACGTCCCCCTGACTATCTGCGGTCTGCCCACATCACCCTGCAGCCCCCTTTTCTCTTCTTGCGGCCTTCTGCGACAGACACTGTCACCCTTCTCCAAACTCTGGGGCTTTACAGCCTGCCGGGGAAGGCTTTGGGGCTTCTGGGATGGAAGAGTCTTCCTCTGAAGGCTCCCAGAATTCCCAGTGGTCTCACCGCTTCTTCCCTCTGCCTGCCTCAGGATCTCGCTTTGCCCCTGCTTCCCGTCCACGCCACCCTGCGGCCCCGTTTTTGCTTGTGAGGGCCTTCCACCAGAAACACAGGCACCCTACTCCAAAGCCTGGCGCTTTGCAGCCAGACAGGGACAGCCCTGGGGTATTCTTAGATGGGAGGGGCCCCTATGAAAGGCTCCCAGCTTTCCCTGCTGTCTCGCCACTTCTACCTTCTGCCTGCCTCAACGTCCCCCTCAATCACTGCCGCCCGACCACTCCACCCTGCTGTCCTGTTTTCGATTGTGGGGCCCTCCTCGAGAGACACAAGCACCCTGCTCCAAAGTCTGGGGCTTTACAGCCTGCCCCAGAGAGCCCTCCGTGCTTCTGGGAGGGGAGAGGCCTCCTTGGGAGGCTCCCAGCATTCCCTGCAGTCTAAGCACTTCTCCCCTCTCCCTGCCTCTGTGTTGCCCTGAGTACCTGTTGCCCGCCCACGCCACCTTGCGGCCCCGTTTTCACTTGGGGAGCCTTCCGGGAAAGACACATGCACCCTGCTTCAAAGCCTGGGGCTTTACAGCCTGCCAGGAACAGCCCTGGGGTCTTCTGGGATGGGAGAGTCCTTTTTGGGAGGCTCCCAGCATTCCCCGCGTTCTCACCGCTTCTTTACTCTGCCTGCCTCAATGTCCCCCTGAGTTCCTGCGGCCCACCAACGCCACTCTGAGGCCCCATTTTCGCCTGTTGAGGCCTTCCACGAGAGACACAGACACCCTGCTCCAAAGCCTGGGGCTTTACAGCCTGCCTGGGACAGGCCTGGCAGCTTCTGGGATGAAAGAGACCTCCTTAGGAGGGTCCCAGCATTCCCTGTGGGCTCGCCGCTTCTCCCTTCAGTCTGTCTCAATGTCCCTCTGAGTCTCTGCCACCCAACCACACCACCGTGCGGCCCCATTTTTGCTTGTGGGGTCCCTCCGCGTGACACATAGGCACGCTGCTACAAAACCTAGGGCTTTACAGCCCGCCCAGGATGGCCATGGGGGCTTCTGGGAAAGGAGAGGCATCTTTGGTAGACTCCCTGCATTCCCTGAAGTCTCGCTGATTTTACCTTCTGCCTGCCTCAATATCCCCGTCAGTCACTGCTTCCCTCCCACGCCTCCCTGCGGCTCCGGTTTCACTTGTGGGGGCCTTCTCTGAAAGACACACGCAATCTTTTCCAAAGCCTGGGGATTTACAGCCTGCCCAGGACAACCCTGGGAGCTTCAGAGATGAAAGAGTTTTCCTTGGGAGGCTCCCAGCATTCTGTGCGGTCTCAACAACTCTCCCCTTTGCCTGCTTCAACGTCCCCATGAGTCCCTGTGGCAGGCCCACGCCACCCTGCGGCCCCATTTTCACTTGTGGGGGCCTTCCGCAAGGGACACAGTTACCCTTCTCCAAAGCCTCGTGGTGCACAGCCTGCCCAGGACACCCTGGGGGCTTCTGGGATGGGACAGGCCTTTTTGAGAAGCTCTCAGCATTCCCTGCGGTCTTGTCGCTTCTTCCCTCTGCCTGCTTCAATGTCTCCCTGAGTCTCTGCGTCCCTCCCACGCCACCCTGAGGCCCCGTTTTCTCTTGTGGGGGTCCTCCGCCAGAAACACGGGCACACTGCTCCAAAGCCTGGGGCTTTTCAGCCCTCTCAGAAAAAACCTGGGGGCTTCTGGGATGAAAGAGGCCTCTTGGGCGGTTCCCAGCGTTCCATGCCGTATCGTCGCTTTTCCCCTCTGCCGGCCTCAAAGGCCTTCAGAGTCCCTGCGGCCTGCCCACGCCAAACTGCGCCCCCATTGTCGCTTGTGGGCACATTCTGTGAGAGACACAGGCACCCTGCTGCAGAGCCTGAGGCTTTATAGCCTGAGCAGGGCAGCCTTGGAGGCTTTCGGGATGAAAGAGAATATTTTGGAAGGATCTGAGCAATCCCTGCGGTCTTGCCGCTTTTCCCCTCTGCAGGCCTCAACGTCCACCTGAGTCCCTGCGGCTCACCCACACTACCCTGAGGGCCCGTTGTCGCTTGTGGGGGCCTTCCACGAGAGACACAAGCACACTGCTCCAAAATCTGCAGCTTTACAGTCCCACCGGGAAAGTGCTGAGTGCTTCTGGAATGGGAGAGGCCTCCTTGGGAGGCTTCCAGCATTCACTGCGGTCTCGTTGCTTCTTCCCTCTGCCTGCCTCAACATCCCTTGAGTCCCTGCCTCCAGCCCACGCCACGCTGCTGCCTTGTTTTTTGCTTGTGAAGACCTTCTGCGAGTGACAAGGAAACCCTGCTCCGAAGCCTGGGGCTTTACAGCTCACCTGGGACAGCCCTGGGAACTTCTGAGATGTAAGAGGCCTTTTCGGGATGTGAGCAGCAGTCCCTGTGGTCTATCCACTTCACCCCTCTGCCTGCTTCAAAGTCCCCCTGAGTCCCTTCATTTCACCCACGCCACCGCGTGGCTCCGATTTTGCTGTGTCAGCCTTTTGCAGGAGAAACAGGCACACTGCTCCAAAGCCTGGGTCTTTAAAGGCCGTCTGGGACAGACTCGGTGGCTTCTGGGATTGGAGAGGCCTCATTGGGAGACTCCCAGCATCACTGAGCTCTCGCCGTTTCTCCCTTTTCCCTGCCTCAACATCCCCCTGAGTTTCTGCAGCCCGCCCACCCCACACTGAGGCCCTGTTTTGCTTCTGGGGGCCTTCCATGAGAGACAAAGACACCATACTCAAAAGTCTGGGGCTTTACAGCTCGCCTGGGGCAGATCTAGGGGCTTCTGGGATGGGAGAGGCCTCTTTGGGGAGCTTCCAGCACTACCTTTGGTCTTGCCACTTTTCCTCTCTGCCTGCCTCAATGTCCCGCTGAGTTCCCACGTCCCGCCCACGCCACCCTGCGGCCCTGTTTTCGCTTGTGGGGGCCTGCCGCGAGAGACACAGGCATCCTGCTCCAAAGCCTGAGGCTTTATGGGCCGCCGAAACAGTCCTGGGGGTTTCTGGGATGGGAGAGGCCTCTTTGAGAGGCTCCCAGAATTCCCTGAGGTCTCGTCGGTTCCCCCACTGCCTGTCTCAACATCCCCCTGAGTTTGTGTGGCCCACCCACGCCAGCCTGCTGCCCTGTTTTTGCTTGTGGGGGCCTTCCGTGAGACACACAGACACCATGCTTCAAAGCCTGGGTATTTACAGCCTGCGAGGGACAGACCTGAAATCTTCTGGAATGGGAGAGGCCTCCTTAGCAGGTTCCCCATATTCTGTGCCGTCTCACTGATTCTCTCCCTTTTGCCTGCCTCAACGTTTCCCTGAGTCCTTGCCACCTGCCCATGCTATCCTGCAGCCCCGTTTTCACTTGGGGGCCTTCTGCAAGAGACACAGGCACCATGCTCAAAAGCCTGGGGCATTACAACCTTACAACCCGCCCCAGACAGTCTTGCAGGCTTCTGGATTCGGAGAGTCCTCCTTGGAAGGCTTCCAGTATTCCCTGCAGTCTCGCTGCTTCTTTCTTCTGCCTCTCTCAACATCCCCTTGAGTCTCTGCAGCCCTGTTTTTCTTGTGCGGGCCTTCGTCGTGAGACACAGTCACCCTACTCCAAAGCCTTGGGCTTTACCATCAGCCCGGAGAGCTCTGGGAGCATCTGACATGGGAGAGGCCTTTTTTGGAGGCTCCCCCACATTCTCTGCGGTATCACCACTTCTCTGCTTGCCTCAATGTCCTCCTGAATTCCTGCGGCCCACCCACGACACCCTGCGGCCCAGTTTTCGCTGGTGGGGGCCTTCCGTGGAAGACTCATAAACCCTGTTCCAAAGCCTGGGGCTTTACAGCTTGCCCGAAACAGACCTGGGGGCTTCTGGGATGGGAGAGCCCTCCTTGAGAGGCTCCTGTCATTCCCTGCAGTCTCCCCGCTTTTCCCCTCTGCCTGTGTCAACCTCCCTGAGACCCTGCGGCCCGACCATGTCACCCTGTGGCTCCATTTTTGCTTGTGGGGGCCTTCCACGAGAGACACAGGCACACTGCTTCAAAGCATGGGCATTTGCAGCCTGCCCGGGACAGCCCTGGGATCTTCTGGAATGGAAGAGGCCTCCTTGGGAGGCTCCCATTATTTTCTGAGATCTCGCCGCTTCTCCCTTCTGCCTGCCTCAACGTCCCCCGGAGTCCCTGCGTCCCGCCTACACCACCCTGCAGCCTCGTTTTCTCTATTGGGCACCTTCGGCAAGAGACACAGGAACCTGCTCCAAAGCCTGAGGCCTTGCAGGCCACCAGAAACAGCCCTGTGGGCTTCTGGGATGAATGAGGCCTTGTTGGGAGGCTCTCAGCATTCCCTGCGGTCTTGACAATTTCCCCTTTTGTCTGCCTGAATGTCCACCTGAGTCCCTACTTCCCACTGATGCTACTTTGAGGCCTCGTTTTCACTTGTGGAGGCCTTCTGTGAGAGACAAGTCACCGTGCTTAAAAGCCTGGGGCTTTACAGCTTGCCCAAAACAGACTTGGGGGCTTCTGGGATGGGAGAGTCATCCTTGGAAGGCTTCTAGCATTCCCTGTTGTCTCGCCGCTTCTTCCTCTGCCTGCCTGTAGGTCCCCCTGAGTCCCTGCGGCCTGCAACCGCCACCCTGCTTTCGCTTGTGGGGGCCTTCCACGAGAGACACAGGCACCCTCCCTGTTCCAAAGCCTGGGTCTTTACAGCATGACTGAGATAAAGCGTGGGGCTTCTGGGATGGGAGAGTCTTCACTCCCAGAATTCCCTGCAGTCTCACTGCTTCTCTTCTCTTCCTGCATAAACGTCCTCCTGACTCCCTGCTGCCAGCCTATGCCACCCTGCAGCTTCCTTTTCGCTTGTGGGGGCTTGCCACCAGAGACACGGGTACCCTGCTCCAAAGCCTGGGGCTTTATAGTCAGCCCGGGAAGGCCCTGGGGGCTTCTGAGATGGAAGAGGCATCCTTGGGAGGCTCATAGAGTTCCCTGCAGTTTCACCGCTTCTCCCCTCTGCGTGCCTCAACATCCTGGGAGTCCCGGCTGTCTGTCCCCGTCACTCGGTGGACCCCTTTTTCTTGTGGGATCCTTCTGCAAGAGACACAGGCACCCTGCTTCAAAGGCTGGGGCTTTACAACCTGTCCAAGACAGCACTGGGGGCTTCTGAAATGGGAGAGACCCCCTTGGGAGGCTCCCAGCATTCCCTGCAGTCTCACCTTTTCTCCTGTCTGCATGTATCAATGTCCTTCTGAGTTCGTGCGGCTGCCCCATGCCACCCTGCAGCCTTGTTTTCGCTAGTGGTGAAGGGGTGGCCTGCCCCTCCACACCTGTGGGTATTTCTAGTTGGGTGGGAGAGAGACTGAGAAAAGAAATAAGACACAGAGACAAAGTATAGAGAAACAACAGTGGGCCCAGAGGACCAGCGCTCAGCATGCCAAGGACCTGCACCAGCACCGGTCTCTGAGTTCCCTCAGTTTTTATTGATTATTATCTTCATTATTTCAGCAAAAAGGAAGGTAGTAGGAGGGCAGGGTGATAATAAGGAGAAGGTCAGCAACAAACATGTCAGCAATAGAATCTACGTCATGGTTAAGTTCAAGGGAAGGTACTATGACTAGACGTGCACATAAGCCAGATTTATGTTTCTTTCCACCTAAACATCTCAGTGGAGTAAAGAATAACAAGGCAGCATTGCTGCAAATGTGTCTCATCTCCCACCACAGGGAGGTTTTTCTCTGATCTCAGAATTGAACAAATGTACAACCGGGTTTTATACCGATACATTCAGTTCCCAGGGGCAGGCAGGAGACTGGCCTTCCTCTATCTCCACTGCAAGAGACTTTCCTCTTTTACTAATCTACCTCAGCACAGACCCTTTATGGGTGTCAGGCCGCGGGTCGGTCAGGTCTTTCTCATCCCATGAGGCCATGTTTCAAAACATCACATGGGGAGAAACCTTGGACAATACCCCACTTTCAAGGGCAGAGGTCCCTGCGGCTTTCCACAGTGCATTATGTCCCTGGTTTATTGAGACTAGAGAATGGCAATGACTTTTACCAAGTATACTGCTTGTAAATATTTTGTTAACAAGGCACGTCCTGCACAGCCTTGTTTAGATCCCTTAAACCTTGATTTCATACAACACATGTTTTTGTGAGCTCCAGGTTGGGTCAAAGTGGCTGAGGCAAAGCTACCAATTAACAACATCTCAGCAAAGCAATTACTTAAAGTACAAGTCTTTTTCAAAATGGAGTCTCTTATGTCTTCCCTTTCTACATAGACACAGTAACAGTCTTATCTCTCTTTTCCCTACAGTGGAGGCCTTCCGTGAGAGACACAGCATGGTGCTCCAAATCCTGGGGCTTTACAGCCTGCCTGGAACAGCTTGGGTGCTTCTGGGATGGGAGAGGCCTTCTTCAGAGGTTCCCAGTATTCCCTGCTGTCTTGCTGTTTCTCCCTTCTGCCTGCCTCACTGTCTCCCTGAGTCCCTGCGGCCTGACTATGCCACACTGCGGCCTCATTTTCTCTTGTGAAAGCCTCCTGGGACAGAGACAGGCATGCTGCTCCAAAGCCTGGGGCTGTACAACCCGCCCAAGAAAGAGCTGGGGGCTTCTAGTATGGAAGAGTCGTCCGTGGGAGGCTTTCAGCATTCCCTGTGGTCTCGTCTCTTCCTTACTATGCCTGGCTCAACGTCCCCCTGAGTCCCTGAGGCCCGCCAACGTCACCCTACTGCCCGGTGTTCACTTGTGGGGTCTTCCTCGAGGGACACATGGAACCTGCTCCAAAGCCTGGTGCTACACAGCTAGTCTGGGACAGCACTGATGGGTTCTGGGATAGGAAAGGCATCCTTGAGAGACTCCCAGCATTCCCTGTGGTCTTGCCACTTCTCCCCTCTGCAGGCCTCAACGTTTCCCTGAGTCCCTGTGGCCCTCCTACGCCACCCTGCGGCCACGTTTTCGCTTGAGAAGGCCTACCACGAAAGACATAGGCACTCTGCTCCAAAGCCTGAGGCTTTACAGCCCACCCAAAACACCTCTGGGGGCTTCTGGGATGGGAGAGTCATCCTTGAGAGGCTCTCAACATTCCATACCATCTCGCCGCTTCTTCCCTCTGCCTGCCTCAATGTCCTTGTGAGTCCTTGCGGCCTGCCCATGTCCCCCTGCCGCCCCATTTTTGCTTGCAGAGGCCTTCCACCATGGACACATACACTCTGCTCCAAAGCCTGGGGCTTCCCAACTTGCCCGGGACAGCCCTGGGGTCTTCTGGGATAAAAGATGCCTCCTTTGGGCAGAGCTTTCAGTAAGCCGAGATCTCACCACTGCACTCCAGCCTGGGTGTGAGACAGCAAGACTCCATCAAAAAAAAAAAAAAAAAAAAACTAGACAGAGGCCTCCTTTGGAGGAGCCCAGCATTCCCTGAGGTCTCATCGCTTCTCCCCTCTGACTGCCTCAACGTCCACCCTGAGTCCCTGTGGCCCGCCTTCCTTACCCAGTGGCCCCGATTTAGCTTTTGGTGGCCTTCTGCGAGAGACACTGACAACCTGCTTCAAAGCCTGGGACTTCACCGCCTACCCAGTAGTGCCCTGGGGGCTTCTGGAATGAAAAAGGCCTCGTTGGTACTCTCCCAGTATTCCCTGCGGTCTTGACCCTTCTTCCCTTTGCCTGCCTCAATGTTCCCCTGAGTTTCTGCAACTCATCCAGGCCACCCTGCTGCCCCCGTTGTTGGGGCCTTCTGGGAGAGGCACAGACAACCTGCTCCAAACCTGGGGCTTTAGAGCCCACTCGGTACAGCGCTGGGAGCTTCTGAAAACGGAGAGGCCTCTTTGGAAGGACCCCAGCATTCCCTGCAGTCTTGCTACTTCTACCCTCTCCCTGCCTAAACATCCTCCAGAGTCCCTGCGTCCCGCCCACACCATCCTACGGCCCAGTTTTCCCTTTTGGTGGCCTTCCGTGATAGACACAGGCAACCTGTTCCAAAGCCTGGGGCTTTACAGCCCACCCGGGACAGCTGTGGGGGCTTTTGGGATAAGAGAGGCCTTTTGGGGAGGCTCCAAGCATTCCCTGCTGTTTCACCACTTCTCCCCTCTGCCTGCCTCAACGTCCCCCTGAGTGTCTGCTCCCTGCCCAAGGAAATGTGAGGCATTTTGTTGGCTTGTGGAGACCTTTCACAAGAGGCACAGGCACCCTGTTCCAAAGCCTGGGGCTTTACAGCCTGCCCAGGACAACCCTGGGTGCTTTTGCGATGGGACAGGTGTCTTTGGGAGGCTCCCAGCCTTCCCTGCTGTCTTGCCCTTTCTGCCCCTTGCCTGCCTGAATGTCCCCCTCAGTCCCAGTGCCTGGCCCACGCCATCCTACGACCCAGTTTTCGCTTTTAAGGGCTTTCCGCAAGAGACACAGACACCCTGTTCCAAAGCCTGCAGCTTTACAAGCCTCCCAAGACAGCCCTGCGGGCTTCTGGGATAAGAGAGGCCACAATGAGAGGCTCCCAGCATTCCCTGCCATCTCGCTGCTTCTCTTTTATGCCTGCCTCAACATTTCCCTGGGTTCCTGCAGCCTGCTCAAGACAACCCAGGGCCGCATTTTCACTTGTGGGGGCCTTCCGTGAGAGAAACAGGCACCCTGTTTCAAAGCCTGGGGCTTTACAGCACACCTGGGACAGCCCTGTGGACTTCAGAGAAGGGAGAGGCCTTTTTTGGAGGCCGCCAGCATGCCCTGCAGTCGTGCCTCTACTCCCCTCTGCCTGTCTCAACATTTCCCTCAGTTCCTGTTGCCTGCCCACGCCACCATGCCTTCCATGGGGAACACAGGCACTCTGCTTCAAAGCCTGGGGCTTCACAGCCTGCCCGGGTCAGCCATGGGGCTCCTGGGATGGTAAAGGCCTCCTTATAAGCCTCCTAGCATTTGCTGGGGTCTCCCCGCTTCTCCCTTCTGCTGGCCTCAATGTTCCCGAGTCCCTGCGTCCTACCCAGGCCACCCTGAGCCCTCATTTTCCCTTTTGGGGGAGTTCCACGAGAGACACAGACATCCTTCTCTAAAGCCTGGGGCTTTAGAGCCAGCCCAGGACAGCCCTGGGGGCTTCTGGGATAAGAGAGTCCTCCTTGGGAGGCTCCCAGCATTCCCTGCCGTTTTGGCCCTTCTCCCCTCTGTCTACCTCAACATCCCCCAGAGTCCCTGCCACCCGCCCATGCCATGCGGCCTAGTTTTCTCTTGTGCAGGCATTCGGCGAGAGACACAGGCACTCTGCTCCAAGGCTTGGATCTTTACAGCCCACCCAGGATCACCCTTGGTTCTTCTGAAATGGAAGAGGCATCCTGGGGAGGCTCCCAGAATTCGCTGCGATCTTGCCGCTTCTGACCTCTGCCTGCCTAAACATCACCCTGTGTCCCTGAGGCCTGCCAACGCCAATCTGCAACCCCATTTTTGCTTGTGGGGGCCTTGCGTGAAAGACACAGACACCTGACTCCAAAGCCTGGGGCTTTACAGCCTGCTCAAGACAGCCCTGAGGGCTGCTGTGATGAAAGAGGCCTTTTTGGCAGGCTCGCAGCATTCCCAGCGGTCTCGCCGCTTCTTTCCTCTACCTGCTCAACTTCCCCCTGTGTCCCTGCGGCCCACCCACGCCACCCTGCGGCCCCGTTTTTGCTTGTGGGGGCTTTCCGTGACAGATACAGGCACTCGGCTCCAAAGCCTGTGGCTTTACCAACTGCCTGGGACAGCCCTGGGGTCATCTGGAATGGGAGAGGCCTCCTTGTGCAACTGCCAGTCTTTCCTGCTGTCTCCCCGCTTCTCCCCTCTGCCTGACTCAACATTCCCCTGAGTCCCAGGGACTGCCCACGCCACCGTGAGACTCCGTTTTTCATTGCGGGGGCCTCCAGCGAGAGACACAGGGACCCTGCTCCAAAGCCTGAGGTTTTACACCTAGCCCAGGAAAGCCCTGGGGCTTCTGGTATGGGAGAGGCCTCCTTGGGAGGTTACCATCATCATTCTCTGTATTGCTGCTTCTTCCCTCTACCTGCCTCCACGGCCCCTGAGTCCCTGCCACTTGTCCATGCCACCCTGTGGCATTCTCTGTGTTCAAGCTGCTTGTCCCCTCTGCCTGCCTCAACGTCCCCCTGAGTCCTTGTGGCCTGCCCACGCCACACTGTGGTCACGTTTTCGCTTGTGAGGGCCTTCCCACAGGGACACAAGCACCCTGATGCAAAGCCTGGAGATTTACAGCCTGCACTGGGAAGCCCTGTAGGCTTCTGGGATGGGAGATGCTTCCTTGGGAGGCTCCCAGCATTTTCTGCGGTCTTGCCCCTTCTCCCCTCTGCCTGACTCAACATACTTTGAGTCTTTGCGGCCCACCCACGCCAGCCTGCGGCCCTGCTTTTGTTTGTGGGGCCCTTCTGTGAGAGACACAGGCACCCTGCTTCAAAGCCTGGGGCTTTACAGCCCGCCCGGGACAGCCCTAGGGGCTTCTGAGATGAGAGAGGCCTCCTTGGGAGGCTCCCAGCATTTTCTGTGGTCTTGCCGCTTCTCCCTTCTGCCTCAACATCCCCCTGAGTACTTGCGACCTGCCCATGCCAACCTGCGGCCAAGTTTTCGCTTGTGGCTGCCTTCCATGAGAGACAGAGGCACGCTGCTCCAAGGCCTGAAGATTTAGAGCCAGCCTGGGACAGCCCTTGGGACTTCTTGCATGGGAGAGACCTTATTGATAGGCTCCCAGCATTCCCTGTGATCTCGCTTCTTCTCCTTTCTGCCTGCCTCAACGTCCCCCTGAGTATCTGCGGCCCACACATGACCCCACTGAGGCCCCGTGTTCGCTTGTGGGGGCATTCCGTGAAAGACACAGGCACCCTGCTCCAAAGCCAGGGTCTTTACAGCCCACCCAGGACAGCCCTGGCTGTTTCTGGGATAGGAAAGTTGTCCTTGGGAGGCTCCCAGTATTCCCTGCCATCTGGCCGCTTTCCCTCTCTGCCTGCTGCAATGTCTCTCTGAGTCTCTGCCACCCGCCCACGGTACCCTGCGGCCTCGTTTTTGCTTGTGGGTGCCTTTTGTGAGAGACACAGGCAGCCTGCTCCAAAGTCTGGGGCTTTACAGCCTGCCCAGGACAGCCCTGAGGGCTTCTGGGATGGAAGAGGTATCCTTGGGAGGCTCCCAGCATTCTCTGCGATGTCGCTGTTTCTCCCCTATGCCTGCCTCAATGTCTCCCTGAGATTTTGCCACCTGCCCAGGCCACCCTGAAGCCCCGTTTTCTCTTGTGGAGGCCTTCTGTGAGAGACACAGACACACTGCTCCAAAGCCTGAAGCTTTACACCCTGCCCGGGACAGCCCTGGAAGCTCCTCAGATGGAAGAGTCCTCATTGGTAGGCTCCCAGCATTACATGCGGTCTCGTCACTTTTTCCCTCTGCCTGCCTAGACGTACCCGTGAGTCCCTGCGGCCCGACGGCGCCACCTGGCAGCCTGCTTTTCCCTTGTGGTGGCCTTCGGCACAAGATACAGGCACCCTGCTCCAAAGCCTGGGCCTTTACAGCCCGCATGCGACTGCCCTGGGGGCTTCTAGGATAAGAGAGGCCTACTTGGGAGGCTCGCAGCATTCCCTGCGGTCTCGCCACTTCCACACCCCTCTTGCCTCAACGTCCCTCTGAGTCCCTGCAGCCCGGTGATGCCATCCTTTGGGCCCGTTTCTGCTTGTGGGGGCTTTCACCGAGAGACCCAGGGACACTGCTCCAAATCCTGGGACTTTAAAGCCCACCCCGGACAGCCTTGGGGGATTCTCAAATGGGAGAGTCCTCCCTGATAGGCTCCCAGCATCCCCTGTGGTCTCGCCGGTTCTCCCTTCTGCCTGTCTCAAAGTCCCCATGTATCTCTGCACCCCCGATTTCTCTTGTGGGGACTTCCACGAGAGACACAGGCACTCTGCTCCAAAGCCTGGGCCTTTACAGTGTGCCTGTGACAGCCCTGGGGCTTCTGGTACTGGAGAGGCCTCACTAGGAGGCTCCCAGATTTTTCTGCGGTCTCACAGCTCCTCCCTTCTTCCTGACTCAACGTCCCGCTGAGTCCTTGCCACCCACCCACGACACCCTGGGGCCCCGTTTTCGCTTGTGGGTGCCTTCCACAAGAGACACAGGCACGCTGCTCCAAAGCCCGGGGTTTTACAGCCCGCTAGGGACAGCCCTGGGGGCTTCTCAAATGGAAGAGGCCTCCTTGATAGGCTCCCAGCATTCCCTGCAGTCTCGTCACTTCTCCCCTCTGCCTGCCTCAATGTCCCCATGAGTCCCTGCAGCCCGCCCTCATCACCCTGTGGCCCCATTTTCACTTGTGGGGGCCTTCTGAGAGAGACACAGGCACCCTGCTCCAAATCCTGGGTCTTTACAGTTCTCCCGGGACAGCACTGGGGGCTTCTGGAATGGGAAAGGCCTCTTGGGAGGCCCCCATCATTCCCTGTGGTGTCGCTGCTTCTCCCCTCTGCCTGCCTGAAAGTTCCCCTAATCCATGCCGACCGCCCACGCCACCCTGCAGCCCCGTTATCGCTTGTGTGGGCCTTCGGCAAGAGACACAGGCACCCTGCTCCAAAGTCTGGGGCTTCACAGCCCGTCTGGGAAAGCCCTGGGGGCTTCTCAAATGGGAGAGGCCTCATTGATAGGCTGCTAGTATTTCCTGCGATCTGGCTGCTTCTCCTCTCTACTACCCGGGACAGGCCTGGGGACCTTTAGATGGGAGAGGCCTCCTTGGGAGGCTCCCAGCATTCCATTCGGTTTCACCGCTTTTTCCTTTGCCTGCCTCAACTGCCCCCTAAGTCCCTCTGGCCCACACAGCCACCCTGCCGCCCACCCAGACAGGCTGTGATGCCGTGTTCCCTTGTGGGGGTCTTCTGTGAGAGACACTGGCACCCTGCTCCAAAGGAAGGGGCTCTATAGCCTGCCTGGAACAGCCCTAGGGGCTCCCAGGATGGGGGAGGCCTCCTTGGGAGGCTCCCAGCATTCCCTGCAGTCTAGCCGCTTTCCCTTTCTGCCTGCATCAACGTCCCCCTGAGTTTCTGTGGGCCACCCACGTCACCCTGCGGCTCGGTTTTCGCTTTTGAAGGCCTTCCTGGAGAGACACAGGAAAACTGCTCCAAAGCCTGGGGCTTCACAGCTGGTCCGGGCCATCCCTGGAGGTTTCTGTGATGGTAGAGGCCTCCTTGGGAAATGCCAGCATTTTCTGTGTTCTTGGCGTTTCTCCACTCTGCCTGCCTCAATGTCCCCCTGAGTCCCTTCTGCCCACTCACACCACCCTGTGGCCCTGTTATCTCTTGTGTGGGCCTTCCGTGAGAGACACAGGCACACTGCTCCAAAAGCTGGGGCTTTACAGCACTCCTGTGACAGCTCTGGGGGTTTCTGGAATGAAAGAGGCTTATTTGGGAGGCTCCCAGTATTCTCTTAGGTATTGCCGCTTCTCCCCTCTGCCTGAGTCAACGTCCCCCTGAGTCGTTGCAGCCCACCCACAAGACTCTGCGTGCCGTTTTCACTTGTGGGGGCCTTCCAAGAGAGACACAGGCACGCTGCTCCAAAGCTTGGGGCTTTACAGCCCGCCAGGGATAGCCATGGGGACTTCTCAAATGGGAGAGGCCACCTGATAGGCTCCCAGTATTCCCTGCGGTCTTGCCGCTTCTCCCTTCTGCCTGCCTCAACGTCCCCCTATGTTTCTGCCCACCCAGAAAGGTCTGTCGGTAGCCATGCTGCCGCCCGAGGAGGGGCCCTCCACAAAAGACAGGCACCATGGTCAGTCGCCCAGGGTTCTAGCCTCAACCTGAGGGGCGGCCCAGGAGCTTCTGGGAAGGGAGAGGCTTCCCTGGGATGACCGAGCACCTGCTCATATATCGCCACTTTTCTCCTCTGCCTGCCTCAACATCCCCTTGAGTTTCTACCTGCCTGCACAGGCCCGCCTGCAGCCTCGTTGTTGCCCGTTGGGGCCCCTCGTGAAAGACACAGACATTTTTGGCCTGTATTTGGGTCTGTAGTGCCGGGACGCCCCGGGGGTTTCCGGGAAGGGAGAGGCCTCCCTGTGGGGACCAAGCACCCGCTCAGGCCTCTCTGCTTCCCCTCTGCCTGCCTCAACGTCCTTCTGAGTTTCTGCCAACGTGCACAGGCCCACCTGCGGCCCCAACTCCACCCTTGTGGGCCCTCTGTGAGAGACACAGTCACCTTGGGCCGAAGCTGGGGCTCTAGTTTCAATCTGGGGGCACCTTGGAGGCTTCTGGGAAGGGAGAGGCCTCCCTGGGATGACCCAGCACTCGCTCAGGCCTCACTGCTTCTCTCCTCTGCATTCCTCAACCTACCCTTGAGTTTCTGCCCGCCCACACAGGCCCTCCTGTGACCCGGTCACGGCCTGTTGGTTCTGTGAGAGACACAGGCACCCTGGGCCAGAGTCTAAGTATTTAGCCCTAACCTAGGGAAGCCTCGGGAACTTCTGGGAATGAAGAGGCCTCCCTGTGAGGACTCTGCACCCACTCAGGCCTGGCAGGTTCTACCCTCTGCCTGCCTCTTTTGCGAAATGTCTTTTTCTATGAAATGTCCTTTTGCAGATTCTACAAAAATAGTGTTTCCAACTGGCTGAATCAAAAGAAATGTTTACCTTTATTAGCTGAATCCACACATCACAAGCAGTTTTACAGATATCTTCTTTCTAGTTTTTATCACGTGATATTATGTTTTACATTATAGGCCTCAGTGGGCTCTGAAATGTCCTTTAGCAGATACTACAAAAAGAGTTTTTCCTACCTGCCAAATAAAAATAAAAGTTTAACTCTGTGAGGCGAATGCAGACATCACAAAGCAGTTTCACAGATAACTTCTTTCTAGCTTTCATAGCAGGATAATTGGTTTTCCACTGTAGGCTCCAGTGGGCTCTGAGCTGACCCTTCACAAATTCTACAAATGGAGTGTTTCCAACCTACTGAATTAATATAAAGGTTTAACTCTGTGAGCTGAATGCTCACATCAAAAAGCAGGTTCGCAGATAGATTATGTCTAGGTTTTTTTTTTTTTGACAGAGTCTCATGCTGTCACTCAGGCTAAAGTGCAGTGCCACGATCTCTGCTCACTGCAACCTCCACCTCCTGGGTTCAAGCAAACTCCTGCCTCAGTCTCCCAGATAGCTAGGACTACAGGCATGTGCCACCATGCCTGGCTAATTTTTTGTATTTTTAGTAGAGACAAGGTTTCACCATGTTAGCCATGATGGTCTCAATCACCTGACCTCTTGATCCACCCACCTGAGGCTCCCAAAGGGCTTGGATTACAGGCATGAGCAGCCACACCTTGCTGATTCTTTCTAGTTTCTGTCATGGGATATTAGGCTTTTCACTATATGCATCAGTAGGCTCTGAAATGTCTCTTCACAGATTCTACAAAAAGATGTTTCCAAGTCGTGTAATGAAAAGCAAGGTTGAACTCTGTAAGCTGAATGCACATGTCACAAAGCTGTTTCATAGATAGATTTTTGGAATTTTTATTGCGGGATATTTGGTTTTTCATTATAGGCCTCAGTGGGCTGGAAAATGTCCCTGCACAATTGTACAAAAAATATGTTTCCTACATGCTGAATCAAAAGAAACTTCTAACTTTAGGAGCTGAATCCACCCATCACAAAGCAGTTTCACAGATAGCTTTTTGATAGTTTTTATCATGGGATATTCAGTTTTTCACTACAGGCCTCAGTGAGCTCTGAAATGTCCCTTTGCATACTCTACAAAAAGTGTGTTTCCGACCTGCTGAATCAAAAGAGAGGTATAACACTGAGCTGAATCCACACATCACAAAGCAGTTTCACACAGTTTCTTCCTAGATTTATTGTGAGATATTCAGTTTTTTGCTGTAGGCCTCCATGGGCTACAAAATGTCCCTTTGCAGATTCTACACAAAGAGTGTTTCCAACTTGTTTAACCAAAAGAAAAGTTTATCTCTGTGAAATGAATGCACATATAACAAAGCAGTTTCACAGATAACTTATTTCCAGTTTTTATCACAGGATATTTGGTTTCTCACTATAGGCCCCAGTGGCCTTTGAAATGTCCTTTCACAACTTCTACAGAAGTAAAGTTTCCAATGTGCTGAATCAAAAGAATAGTTTAACTCTACAAACTGAATGCACACATCACAAAACGGTTTACAGATTGCTTCTTTTTATTTTTTATCATGGAATATTCAATTTTTCCCTATAGGAATCAATGGGCTCCAAAATGTCCCTTTGCTGCTTCTACAAAGATTGTGTTTCCAACCTGCTGAATCAAAAGAAATGATTAACTTTGTGAGCTGAATCTACACATTGCAAAGAAGTGTCACACATAGCCTCTTGTAGTTTTTATGACAGGATATTCGATATTTTATTATAGGCCTCAGTGGGTTCGAAATATCCTTTCGCAGATTCTACAAAAAGAGTATTTCCAACTTGCTGAATCAAAAGAAAGATTTAAATTCGTGAATGCACACATCATAAAATTTTTACAGATAGATTCTTTTGACTTTTTTTCATGGAATACTTGGTTTTTCACTATAGGCCTCAGTAGGCCTCAAAATGTCCCTTTGCTGATACTACAAAAAAGTGTTTCCAACCTTCTGAATCAAAAGAAAGGTTTGACTGTGTGAGTTGAACCCACACATCGAAAGGAGTTTCATAGATAGCTACTTTCTAGTTTTTATCATGGGATATTCAGTTTTTCACTATAGAACTCAGAAGGCTCCGAAATCTCTTTTCAGATTTCTACAAGAAAGCATTTACAACCTGCTGAATCGAAAGAAAGGTTTATGAACTGAATGCACACATCAGAAAACAGTTTCACAGACACGTTCTTTCTAGTATTTACCGTGAAATATTCAGATCTTCACTATTGGCCTCAATGCCATCTGAAATGTCCCTTCACATATTCTACAAAAAGAGTATTTCCAAACTGCTGAATCAAAAGAAAGGTTTAACCCTGTGAACTGAATGCAAACATCATGAAGCTGTGTCATAGCTCCTTTCTAGTTGTTATTGCGAGATTTTTGGTTTTTCTCTACAAGCCTCAGTTTGCTCTGAAATGTCCCTTCACAGATTTTTTTAAAAAGAGTGTTTCCAACTGTTGAATCAAAAAAAAAAAAGGTTTAACACTGCAAGAAGAATTCACACATCACAAAGCAGTTTCACAGATAGGTTTTTGTAATTTTTTTATCACAGGATATTCAGTTTTTCAGTAAAGGCCACTGTGGGCTCTGAAATGTCCCTTTGGATATTCTATAAAAGGAGTGTTTCCAACCTGCCAAACCAAAAGAAAGGTTTAACTCTGTAAACTGAATCCACACATCACAAAGCAGTTTCACAGATAGATTCCATATAGTTTTTATCATGGGATATTCAGTTTTTCACTATAGGCCTCTATGCCCTCTGAAATGTCCCTTTATAGATTCTACAAAATGAGGGTTTCCAACCTGCTGAATCAAAAGAAATGTTTAACTCTCTAGGTTGAATCCACACCTCACAAAGCAGTTTCACAGATACCTTCTTTCTAGTTTTTATTGCATCATATTCGGTTTTTCACTATAAGCCTCAGTGGGTTACAAAATATTTCTTTGCATATTCTAAAAACGAGTGTTTTCAACCTATTGAATCAAAAAAATGGTTTAACTCTGTGAACTGAATGCAAGCGTCACACATCAGTTTCATAGATAGCTTCATTCTAGTTTTATCGCAGGATTTTCAGTTTTTCACTATAGGACTCAGCTTGCTCCAAAATGTACCTTTGTAGAATCTACTAAAGGAGTGGTCCAAATTGCTGAATCAAAAGAAAGGTTTAACTCTTTCAGCTGAATCCACACATCACAAAGCAGTTTTACAGATAGCTTCTATCTAGTTTGTAGCGCAAGATATTCAGTTTTTCACTGTAGGCCACAGTGGGCTCTGAAATGTCCCTTTGCAGATTCTACAAAAAAAAGTGTCTACAACCTGCTGAATCAAAAGAAAGGTTTAACCCTGTGAACTGAATGTAAATACCACAAAGCAGTTTCACAGATAGCTTCCTTCCAGTTTTTATCATGGGATTTTTGGTTTTTCAATGTAAGCCACAGTTTCCTCTGAAATGTCCCTTTGCATATTCTACAAAAAGATTGATTACAACCTGCTGAATTAAAAGAAAGATTTAACTCTGTGAGTTGAATCCACACTTCACAAAGCAATTTCACAGATAGCTTCTTTGTAGTTCTTATTACGCAATATTCTGTTTTTCACTATAGGCCTAGTTGGGCTCCCAAATGTCCCTGGCAGATTCAACAACAAAAGAGTTTCCAACCTGCTGATTCAAAAAAAGGTTTAACTCTGTGAGCTGAATGCACACGTCACACAGCACTTTCACAGATAATATCTTTGTATTTTTATTGCAGGTTAATTGATTTTTCACTATAGGCCTCATTGGGCTTTGAAATGTCCCCTCACAGATGGTACAAAAAAAGTGTTTCCAATCTGCTGAATCAAAAGAAAAGTTTACCTCTGTGAACTGAATGGAAACATAACAAAGCAGTTTCACAGATAGCTTTTTTTTAGTTATTATTGCAAGATATTCAGTTTTGCACTCTAGGCCTCAGTGGGCTCTGAAATGTCCCTTTGCAGATTCTAAACAAGATTGATTCCACCTGCTGAATCAAGGGAAAGGTTAAATCTGTGAGCTGAATCCAAACAGCACAGAGAAGTTTCACTGATAGCTTCTTTCTAATTTCATCACAGGATGTTTGGTTTTCAGTATGGGTTTCAGTGAGCTTTGAAATGTCTTTTTGCCAATTCTACAAAATCAGTGTTTCCAATCTTCTGAATAAAAAACAAAAAGACTTAACTCTGTGAGCTGAATCCACACATCACAAAGTAGTTTCACAGATAGATTTTTGCAGTTTTTTTCACGGGATATTTGGTTTTTTACTAGAGGCCCCGGTGGGCTCCAAATCGTTTCTTTGCAGGTTCTACAAAAAAAGGGTTTCAAACCTCCTGAATCAAAAGATAGGTTTAACTCTTTGAACTGAATCCAGACATCACAAAATAGTTTCACAGATACCTTCTTTCTAGTTTATATCACAGTATACTCGGTTTTTCACTAAAGGCCTCAGTGGGCTCTGAAATGACTTTTTGCTGATTCTACAAAAGTGTGTTTTCAACCTGCTTAATCAAAAAGAAGGTTGACTTTGTGAGCTGAGTCCACACATTACAAAACAGTTTCACAGATAGCTTCTTTCTAGTTATTATCTTGGGATACTCAGTTTTTCTCCACAGCCCTCACTTGGCTCCAAAATGTCCCTTTGCAGATTCTGCAAAGAAAGTGTTTCCAACCTCCTGCATCAAAAGTATTGTTTTACTGTGTGACGTGAATGCAAACACCACAAAGCAGTTGCATAGATAGCTTCTTTATAGATTTTATCACAAGATATTCAGTTTTTCACAGTAGGTCTCAGTGGGCACTGAAATTTCCCTTCACCAATTCTACAAAAAAAAAGTGTTTCCTACTTGCTGAATAAAAAGAATGGTTTAACTCTGTGAACTGAATGGAAAAATCACAAAATAGTTTAACAGTTAATTTCTTTCTATTTTTTTATCAGGTGATTTTCAGGTTTTCACTACAGGCCTCTGTTTGCTCCATAACATCACTTCACAGATTCTACAAAAAAAGTGTTTCCAACATGCTGAATCAAAAGAAAGGTTTAATTCTGTGAGCTGACCCACACATCACAAAGCAGTTTTACAGATAACTTCTATCTAGTTTTTATCACAGGATATTCGGTTTTTAACTATAGGCCTCAGTTTCCTCCAAAATAGTCCTTCACAGATTCTAAAAGATGAGGGTTTACAACCTGCTAAATCTAAACAAAGATTTAACCCTGTGAGTTGAGTCTACATTGCACAAAGTAGTTTCACAGATAGTTTCTTTCTAGTGTTTATTGCAGGATGTTCTGTTTTTTGCTACAGGCCTCTGTGTGCTCTGAAATGTCCCTTCACAAATTCTACAAAATATGTGTTTCCAACCTGCTGAATCAAAAGAAAGGTTTAAATCTGTGAGCTGAGAGCACACATCACAAAGCAGTTTTACAGATAGATTCTTGTTTTTATCATGGGTAATCTTTTTTTACTCTAGGTCTCAGTGGATTTTCACAATGTCTTTTTGCATATTCTACATAAAGTGTGTTTCCAACAAGGAAAATCAAAGGAAAGGTTTAACCCTGTGAGCTGAATCCACACATCACAAGACAGTTTCACAGACATCTTCTTTTTAGTTTACATCGTGGGATATTTGATTTTTCAATATACCCTTCAGTGGGCTTTGAAATGTCTCCTCGCAGACTCTACAAAAAAAGTGTTATCAAAAAGCGAAATCAAAAGAAAGTTTTAATTATGTGAGCTGAATCCAGATATCATAAAGCAATTTAAAAGCTAGCTTTTTTCTAGATTTATTGTGACATATTCGATTTTTCATATAGGCTTGAGTGGGCTGCGAAATTTCCCTTTGTAGATTCTACAAAAAGAAATTTTTAACTTGCTGAATCAAAACAAAGGTTAAATCTGTGAACTGAATGCACACATCACAAAGCAGTTTCTCAGACAGCTTCTTTCTAGTTTTTATTGTGGGATATTTGGTTATTCAGTATAGGCCTCTGTGGGCTTTGAAATGTAACTTCACAGATTTTAAATCAAGAATGTTTCCATCTGCTGAATGAAAATAAAGTTTTAACTCTTTGCGCTGAATCTACACATCACAAAGCATTTCACAGAGAGCTTCCTTCTAGTTTTGATCGTATGATAGCCTTTTTTTCCCTATAGACCTTAATGGGCTCCAAAATGTTCCTAAGCAGATTCTACAAAAAGAGTGTTTCCAACCTGTGAAATTGAAAGAAAAGTTTAACTCTGTGAGCTACATCCATGAAGGGGTGGACTGCCCCTCCACACCTGTGGGATATCTCATCAGGTGGGATAAGAGACTGAGAAAAGAAATAAGACACAGAGACAAAGTATAGAGAAATAACAGTGGGCCCAGGAGACCAGCACTCAGCATACCAAGGACCTACACCAGCACCAGTCTCTGAGTTCCCTCAGTTTTTATTGATTATTATTTTCATTATCTCAGCAAGAGGAACGTGGTAGGAGAGCAGGGTGATAATAGGGAGAAGGTCAGCAAAAAAACATGTGAGCAAAAGAATCTATATCATAATTAAGTTCAAGGGAGGTACTATGCCTGGATGTGCACATAGGCCAGATTAATATTTTTCTCTACCCAAACATCTCAGTGGAGTAAAGAAAAACAAGGCAGCATTGCTGACAACATGTCTTGCCTCCTGCCATAGGGTGGTTTTTCTCTTATCTCAGAATACATCAAATGTACAATTTGGTTTTATACCAAGATATTCAGTTCTCAGGGGCAGGCAGGAGACAGTGGCCTTCCTCTATCTCAACTGCAAGAGGCTTTCCTCTTTTACTAATCCACCTCAGCACAGACCCTTTATGGGTATCAGGCTGGGGGATGGTCAGGTCTTTCTCATCACATGAGGCCATATTTCAGACTATCACATGGGAAGAACCTTAGACAATACCCAGCTTTCTAAGGCAGAGGTCCCTGCGGCTTTTCACAGTGCATTGTGCCTCTGGTTTACTGAGACTAGAGAACGGTGATGACTTTTACCAAACATACTGCTTGTAAACATTTTGTTAACAAGGCACGTCCTGCACAGCCCTAGATCCCTTAAACCTTGATTCCATACAACACATGTTTTTATGAGCTCAAAGTTGGGGCAAAGTGGCTGGGACAAAGTGGCTGAGGAAAAGTTACAAATTAACAACATCTCAGCAAAGCAATTATTCAAGGTACAGGTCAAAATGGAATTTCTTATGTCTTCCCTTTCTACATAGATACAGTAACAGTCTGATCTTTCTTTTCCCTACACATCCACACATCACGAAGTAGATTAACAGATAGCTTCTTTCTAGCTTTCATTTTGAGATATTTGGTTTTTCACTATAGGCTTAAGTGGGATGCAAAATGTCCCTTTGCAGATTCTATAAAAAGGGTATTTCCAACCTTCTAAATCAAAAGAAATGTTTAACTTTGTTAGCTAATTCCAGACATCACAAAGCAGTTTCACGGATTGCTACTTCCTTGTTTTTAGTCGCAGCATATTTGCTTTTTCATTATAAGCCTCAGTTGGCTCTGAAATGTTTCTTTGCAGATTCAACAAGAGTGTTTCCAACCTGCTGAATCAAAAGAATGCTTTAACTTTGTAAACTGAATGCAGGCATCACAAAGCAGTTCCACAGATAGCTTCTTTCTAGCTTTTATTGTGGGATTTTTTTTTGTTTTTCTCTATAGGCCTCAGTTTGCTCTGAAGTGTCCTTTCGCAGATTCTACAAAAAGAATGTTTACAACCTGCTGAATCAAAAAAAGATTTAACTATGTGAGCTGAGAGCACACATCACAAAGCAGTTTCACAAATAAATTCTTTCTTGTTTTTATCATGGGTAATCTGTTTTCTCTATAGGCCTCAGTGGGTTTCAAAATGTCCTTTTGCATATTCTACAAAAAGTGTATTTCCAACCCGGAGAATCAAAAGAAAGTTTTAACCCTATGAGCTGAATCCACGCATTGCAAAGCAGTTTCACAGATAACTTCTTTTTAGTTTTTATCTGGGATATTTGATTTTTCAATATAGCCCCCAGTGGGCTTCAAAATGTCTTTTCACAGGTTCTACAAAAAGAGTGTTTCCAACAAGTGAAATCAAAAGAAAGGTTGAGCTCTGTGAGTAGAATCCTGACATCACAAAGCAGTTTAACAGATAGCTTTTTTATAGATTTATTGTGGGATATTCAGTTTTTTACTATAGGCTAAATTGGGCTGCGAAATTTCCCTTTGCAGGTTCCAGAAAAAGAGTGTTTTTAACCTGCTGAATCAAAAACAGTTTGACTCTGTGAAGTGAATGCACACATAACAAAGCAGTTTCACAGACAGCTTCCTTCTAGTTTTTATCACCGGAAATTTGGTTTTTCACTATAGGCCTCAGTGGGCTTGGAAATGTAACTTTGCAGATTCTAAAACAAGAGTGTTTTCATCCTGCTGAATGAACAGAAAGGTTTAACTCTGTGAATTGAAACCACACATCACAAAGAGGTTTCACAGATAGCTTCCTTCCAGTTTTGATCATGGGATATTCATTTTTTCCCTATAGGTCTTAGTTGACTCCAAAACATTCCTATGCAGATTCTACAAAATGAGTGTTTCCAACCTGCAAAATTAAAAGAAAGGTTTAACTCTGTGAGCTAAATTCACATGTCACAAAGCAGATTAACAGATAGCTTCTTTCTAGGTTTCATTGCGGGGTGTTTTGATTTTCACTATAAGCTTAAGTGGGCTGCAAAATGTGTCCCTTCACAGATGCTATAAAAAGAGTGATTCCAAACTGCTGACTCAAAAGAACGGTTTGACTTTGTTATCTGACTCCAGATATCACAATACAGTTTCAGAGATAACTTCTTTCTAGTTTTTATCATGGCATATTCGGTTTTTCACTATAGGCCTCAGTAGGCTCTGAAATGTTTCTTTGCAGATTCAACAAGAGTGTTTCCAACCTGCTGAATGAAAAGAATTCTTTATCTCTGTGAACTGAATGCAAATATCACAAAACAGTTTCACTGATAACTTCTATCTTGTTTTTACCATGGGATATTCCGCTTTTCACTATAGGTCTCAGTGGGCTCTGAACTGTCTCTTCGTAGAACCTACAAAAAGTGTGTTCCCAACCTGCTGAGTCAAAATAAAGTTTTAACTCTGTGACCTGAATCTACACATCACAAAGCAGTTTCACAGATAGCTTTTTTGTAGTTTTTATGGTGGGATATTCAGTTTTTCACTATAGGCCTATGTGGGCTATGAAATGTCCCTTCACAAATTCTACAAAAGAAAGTGTTTCTTACCTGCAGAATCAAAAGAATGACTTAACTCTGTGATCTGAATGCAAACATCACAAAGCAGTTACACAGACAAGTTCTGTATAGTTTTTATCTCGGGATTTTCAGTTTTTCACTATAGGCCTCAGTTTGCACCAAAAAGACCCTTCACAGATTCTACAAAAAAAAGTTTACAACCTGCTGAATCAAAAGAAATGTTTAACTCTCTGAGCTGAATCCACACATCACAAAACAGTTTCACAGATAGACCTTTTTTAGTTTTTATCACAGGATATTTGGTATTTCACTAAAGGCCCCAGTAGACTCTGAAATGTTTCTTCACAGATTCTACAAGAAAAGTGTTTCCAACCTGCTGAATCAAAAGAAAGGTTTAACCCTGTGAGTTGAATCCACACCTCAAAAAGCAGATTCACAGATAGCTTCTTTTCTGTTTTTATCTTGGAATATTTGGTTTTCACTATAAGCCTCAGTCCATTTTGAAATGTCCCTTCATAAATTTCACAAAAATAGAGTTTCTAACCTGCTGAATCAAAGGAAATTTTTAACTCTGCAAGCTGAATCCACACATCACAAAGCAGTTTTACAGATAGCTTCTTTCTGGATTTTATTGTGGGACATTCAGTTTTTCACTAAAGTTCTCAGTGGGCTCCAAATGAATTCTTTGCAGATTCTACAAAAAAAGTGTCTCCAATCTGCTGAATCAAAAGATTTAAATCTGTAACCTGAATCCACACATCACACAGCAATTTCACAATAATTTCTTTCTAGTTTTTATTGCAGAATATTCCCTTTTTGAGTCTAGACTTCAGTGGGCTTTGAAATGTCCCTTTGTGGATTTTACAAAAAAAGTGATTCCAACTTGCTGAATTAAAAGAAAGGTTTAACTCTGTGAGCTTAATTCACAAAACACAAAGCATTTTCACAAATACCTTCTTTCTTGTTTTTATCATGGGGTATTCAGTTTTTTTCTATAGTCCTCAGTGGGATTCAAAATGTCCCCTTGCATATTTTACAAAAAGTTTATTTCCAACCTGGAGAATAAAAAAAAGTTTATCCCTGTGAGTTGAATCCAAACATCACAAAGCCATTGCACAGATAGCTTCTTTCTAGTTTTTATCATAAAATATTCAATCTTTCAATGTAGCCTTCAGTGGGCTTTGAAATGTGTCTTCACAGATTTTACAAAAAGTGTGTTTCCAACAAGTGAAATAAAAATAAAGTTTTAATTCTGTGAGCCGAATGCACACATCACAGAGCAGTTTAACAGATAGCTTCTTTCTAGATTCATTACCAGATATTCAGTGTTTCACTATAGGCTTAAGTGGGCTGTGAAATATTCCTTTGCAGATTCTACAAAAACAGTGTTTCCAACCTGCTGAATCAAAAGAAAGGTTTAACTCTGTGAACTGAATGCACACATTACAAACAGTTTCACAGATAGTTTCTTTTTAGTTTATATCATGGGATATTTGATTTTTTACTACAGGCCTCAGTGGGCTCTGAAATGCCTCTTCACAAATTCTACAAAAATAGTGTTTCCAACCTGTTGAATAAAAGAAAGGTTTATCACTTTGAGGTGAATCCACACATCGCAAAACAGTTTCACAGATATCGTCTTTCTAGTTTTTATCACAAGATAATTGGTTTTTCCCTACAGGCCTCTGTGGGTTTTGAAATGTAACTTCACAGATTCTAAAACAAGAGTGTTTCCAACCTGCTGAAAGAAAAGAAAGGTTTAACTCTGTTAGCTGTATCCACACATCGCAAGGCAGTTTCACAGATAGCTTCTTTCTAGTTTTTAGCATGGGATATTGATTTTTTCCCTATAGGCTTCAGTTCGCTTAAAATGTTCCTCTGCTTATTCTACAAAAAAAGTGTTTCCAACCTGCAAAACCAAAAGAAAGGTTTAACACTGTGAGCTGAAGGCACACATCACAAAGCATTGTAACAGCTTCTTTCTAGTTATTATTGAAGGATAGTCGGCTTTTCACTACAGGCTTAAGTGGGCTGTGAAATGTCCCTTTGCAGATTCTACAAAAAGAGTGTTTCCAATGTGGTGAATCAAAAGAATTGATCTGTGATCTGAACCCAGACATCACAATGCAGTTTCACAGATAGCTTGTTTCTGGTTTTTATCATAGGATATTTGGTTTTTCACTGTAGACCTCAGTGGGCTTTGAAATGTTTCTTCACAGATTCAGCAACAGAAATATTTTCCAATGGTTGAAACAAAAACTGCTTTATCTCTGTGAACTGCAGGCAAACATCAAAAGCCATTTCACTGATTGCTTCTTTCTAGTTTTTATTGCAAGGTTTTCATTTTTTTACTATAGGCCTCAGTTTGCTCTGAAATTTCTCTTCGCAGATTCTACAAAAAGAATGTTCACAACCTGCTGAATCAAAAGAAAGGCTTAACTATGTGAGCTGAATCCACACATCACAAAGCAGTTTCACTGATAAAATCTATGTCATTTTGATCATGGGGCATTCCGTTTTTCACTATAGCCTCAGTGGGTTTAAAATGTACCTTTGTGTGTTTTAGAAAACATGTGTTTTCAACCTGCAGAATCAAAACAAAGGTTTATCTCTGTGAGCTGAATCTGCACATCACAAAGCCATTTCAGACATAGCTTCTTTCAAGTTTTTATCATAGGATGTTCAATTTTTCAATATAGTCCTCAGTGGGCTTCAAAATATCTCTTCACAGATTCTACAAAAAGAGTGTTTCCAACAAGCATAATAAAAATAAAGGTTTAATTCTGTGGGCAGAATTCACACATCATGAAGCTGTTTAACAGATAGCTTCTTTCTAGATTTATTACCAGATATTCAATTTTTCAGTATAGGCTTAAGTGGCCTGTGAAACGTTCCTTCGCAGATTCTACAAAAACAGTGCTTCCAAACTGCTGCATCAAAAGAAAGGTTTAACTCTGTGAACTGAATGAACACATCACAGTTTCACAAATAGTTTCTTTTAGTTTATATAATGAGATATTTGGTTTTTCACTATATGCCTTAGTGGGCTCCAAAATGTCTCTTTGCAAATTCTACAAAAAGTGTGTTTCCAACCTGCAGAATGAAAAGAAAGATTTAACTTTTTGAGCTGAATCCATACATCATAAAGCAGTTTCACAGATAGCTTCTTTCTAATTTTTATTGTGAAATAATTGATATTTCACGATAGGCCTCAGTAAGCTTTGAAATGTAACTTCACAGTTTCTAAAACAAGAGTGTTTCCAACCTACTGAATGAAAAGAAAGGTTTAACTCTGTGAGCTGAATCCACACATCACAAAGCTGTTTCACAGACAGCTTCTTTCTAGTTTTTGTTATGGGATATTCATCCTTTCCCTATAGGTTTCAGTTGGCTCGAAAATTTTTTCTGCACATCTTCTACAACAGGAGTGTTTCCAACGTGTGAACTCAAAAGAAAGGTTTAACAATGTGAGATGAATCCACACATCACAAAGCAGTTCAACAGATCGCTTCTTTCTGCTTTTTATTGCAGAATATTCAGTTTTTTACTACAGGCTTAAGTGGATTGTGAATTATCCCTTTGCAGTTTCTACAAAAAGAGTGCTTCCAACCTGCAGAATTTAAAAAAAAAAAAGGCTTAACTCTGTGAGCTGAATCCACACATCACAAAGCAGTTTCCCAGATAGTTTTTATAGGTTTTATCTTGGCATATTCAGTTTTTCACTAAAGGCCCCCATGGGCTCCAAAATGTTTCTTTGCAGATTCTACAAAAAGAGTGTTTCCAACCTGCTAAAAAAAAAAAAAGAGAAAGGCTTAACTCTGTGAACTGAACCCAGATATCACAAAGCACTTTCTCAGACTCCTTCTTTCTAATTTATATCACAGTATATTCCGTTTTTCAATATAGGCCTCAGTGGGCTCTGAAATGTCTGTTTGCAGATTCAACAAAGAGAGTGTTTCCAATCTGCTGAATCAAAATCAAGGTTAACTCTGTGAATGGAATCCACACATCACAAAGCCATTTCACAGATAGCTTCTTTCTAGTTTTTATTTTTGGATATTCAGTTTCTCTCTATAGACATCAGTTGGTTCTAAAATGTCCCTTTACAGATTCTACAAAAAGAGTGTTCCCAACCTGCTGACTCAAAAGAATGGTTTAACTCTGTGATCTGAATGCCATCATCACAAATCAGTTTCACAGGAAGGAATCTGTGTCCTTCCACAGATTCTACAGAAAGAGTGTTTCCAATCTGCTGAATGAAAGGAAAGGTTTAACTCTGTAAGATGAATCCACACATCACAAAACAGTTTCACAGAGAGCTTCTGTCTAGTTTTTATTATGGAATATTCAGTTTCTCATTATAGGCCTCAGTAAGCTCTGAAATGTCCATTTGCCATTTGCAGATAGTGAAAAAGTGTTTTCAACCTGCTGAATCAAATAAAGGTTTAAATCTGTGAGCTGAATCCACACATCACAAAGCAGTTTCACCAGATAGCATCATTTAATTTTTTATTGTGGGATATTCGGTTTCTTACTGTGGTTTTCAACGGCTTTTGAAATGTTCCTTCCCAAATTCTATAAGAAGACTGTTTCCAAACTACAGAATCAAAGGAAAGTTTTAAATCTTTGAGCTGAATGTATGCATCACAAAGCAGATTCACAGATAGCATCTTTCCCATTTTTATTGCAGTATATTCGGTTTTTCACTATGAGCCTCAGTGGGTTGCGAAATGTCCCTTTGCAGATTCTACAAAAAAAGGGTCTCCAACCTGCTGAATCAAAAGAAAGGAGAAACTCTGTGAGGTGAAACCACACATCACAAAGCAGTTTCACAGATAATTTCTTTCTAGTTTGTATCATAAGGTATTCAGTTTTTCACCACCAGCCTCAGTGGGTTCTTAAATATCCCTTCACAGATTCTACAAAAAGAGTGTTTCCATCCTGCTGAATCAAAATAAACGTTTAACTCTCTGAGCTTCATGCACACATCAGAAAACAGTTTCACAGATAGATTTTTTGTAATTTTTCTCAGTGGATATTTGGCTTTTTAAAATAGGCCCCAGTATCTCCAAAATGTCCTTTCACAGATTCCACAAAAAAAGTGTTTCCAATCTGCTGAATCAAAATAATGGATTAACTGTGTGAATTGAATCCACACATCACAAAGCAGTTTCACAGATAGCTGCTTTATAGTTTTTATCACGGGATATTGAATTTTTTATTATACACCTCTGTGGGCTCCAAAATGTCCCATTGCTGATTCCACAAAAAGAGTGTTTCCAACAGTGGGATCAAAAGAAAAGTTTAAATCGTTGAGCTGAATCAACACATCATAAAGGAGGTTCACAGATAGATTATTTCTAGTTTTTATCAAATGATATCTTGTTATTTACTATAGGCTTCACTGGGATCTGAAATGTCCATTTACAGATTCTAAAAAAAGAGTGTTTCCAATCTGCTGAATCTAAAGAAAGGTTTAACTCTGTGAGTTGAAAGCACACGTCAAAAAGCAGCTTCTCAGAAAGCTTCTTTCTAGTTTTGATCATGGGATATTCGTTTTTTTTACCATAGCTCCCATTGGGCTTTGAAATATTTCTTCACAGATTATGTAAAAATATTTTTTCTAATCTGCTGAATCATAGGAAAGGTTTAGCTCTTTGAGTTGAATCCACACATCACAAAGCAGTTTCACAGATAGCTTCTTTCCGGTTTTTATCATGAGGTATTTTCTTTTCCACTATGGCCCCCTTGGGGTACAAAATATCCCTTTGCAGATTTTACAAAAAGATTGTTTCTAACCTGCTGAATCAAAAAACGTTTAACTTTGTGATCTAAGTCCACACATCACAAAGCAATTTCAAAGATAGCATCTTTCCGGTTTTCATCGTGATTTACTTGGTTTTTACTGTAGGTCGCAGTTGGCTGTGAAATGTCCCTTTGCAAATCCTACACAAAAAGTGTTTTCAACCTGCTGAATAAATAAAAAGATTTAACTTTGTGAAGTGAATCCACACGTCACAAACCTGTTTCATCAATAATTTCTTTCTAGTTTGTATTGTGAGATATTTGGTTTTTCACCACAGGTCTCAGTGGGCTTCGAAATGTCCCTTTGCAGATACCACTAAAAGAGTGTTTCCAACCTGCTGAAAAAAATGAAACATTTAACTCTGTGTGCAGCAACCACAAATCACAAAGCAGTTTCACAGATAGCTTCATTCTAGTTTGTATCATGGGATATTTGGTTTTTCACTATAGGCCTCAGTGTCTCTGAAATATTTCTTCAAAGATTCCACAAAAAAGTGTTTTCAACTTGCTGAATAGAAAGAATGGATTACCTCTTTGAGGTAAATCCACAGATCACAAAGCGGTTTCACAAATTCCTTCTTCCTAGTTTTAATTGCAGGGTATTCAGTTTCTCACTATAGGCCTCAGTAAGGTCTGAAATGTCCATTTGCAGATTGTACAACAAGAGTGTTTTCAACCTGCTGAATGAAATGAAGGTTTAACCCTGTGAGCTGAATCCTCACATCACAAAGCAGTTTCAAAGATATAATCTTTTTTAGTTTTTATAGTGGGATATTCACTTATTTACTGTGTTCCTCAGTGGGGTTTGAAATGTCCCTTCACAAATTCTACAAGAAGACTGTTTCCAAAATGCCGAATCAAAAGAAAGGTTTATGTCTGTGAACTGAATCCACACATCATAAAGCAGTTTCACAGATAGCATCTTTCCAATTTTTATCATGGTATATTTGGTTTTTCACTATGGGCCTCAGTGGGATGTAAAATGTCCCTTTGTAGATTTTACAAAAAGAGTGTTTCCAACCTGCTTAATCAAAACAACCATTTAAATCTGTGAGCTTCATCCACAATTCTGAAAGCAGTTTCACAGATAGCATTTTTGTATTTTTTATCAGGGACATTCAGTTTTTCACAATAGTCCTCAGTACCTCAGAAATGTCCCTTCACAGATATTACAAAAAACGTGTTTCCAACCTGCTGAATCAAAAGAATGGATTAACTCTGTGGGATGAAGCCCCACATCACAAAGCAGTTTCACAGATAGCTTCTTTATAGTTTTTATCGCAGGATATTCATTTTTTTATTGGCTTCTGTGGGCTCTGAAATGTCCCATTGCAGAGTCTACAAAAATAGTGTGTCCAACCTACTGAATCAAAAGACTGGTTTAAACTGGTGAGCTGAATCTACACATCATAAATCGGGTTTACAGATACATTCTTTCTAGTTTTCAATCAAATGATACACAATTTTTTATTATAGGCTTCAGTGGGTTTTAAAATGTCCATTTTCAGATTTTACAATAAGAGTGTTTCCAACCAGTTGAATGTAAAGAAAAATTTAACTTTGTGAGCTGAAAGCACACATCACAAAGCAGTTTCACAGATACCTTCTTTCCAGTTTTTATCACAGGTTATTCAGTTTTTCACCATAGATCCCAGTGGGCTCTGAATTGTTTCCTTGCAGATTCTACAAAAATACTTTTTCCAACCTGCTGAATCAAAGGAAAGATTTAACTCTGTGAGTTGAACCCACACATCATAAAGCACTTTCACAGATAGCTTCTTTCTCATTTTTATCACAGGATATTTGCTTTTTCACTATTGGCACAGTGGGGTTTAAAACGTCACTTTGAAGATTTTACAAAAAAGATTGTTTCCAACCTGCTGAATCAAAAGAAAGGTTTAAATCCGTGAGCTGAATCCACACATTACAAAGCACTTTTGCAGATATCAACTTTCCAGTTTTCATCCCAGTTTTCTCGTTATTTTTTACTATAGGACTCAGTGAGCTGCAAAATGTCCCTTTACAAATATTACAAAAATAGTGTTTCCAACTTGCTGAATCAAAAGTAAGGTTTAACTCTGTGAAGTGAATTCACACATCACAAAGCAGTTTCACAGATAACTTCTTTCTAGTTTGTATTGTGGGATATGGAGTTTTTTACCACCGGCCTCAGTAGACTCCATAATGTCCCTTTGCAGATTCTACAAGAAGAGTGTTTCCAACCTACTGAATCAAAGAAAAGCGTTTTAACCCTGTGAGCTGAATCCACACTTTGCAAAGAAGTGTCAAAGATAGCTTCTTTCTCTTTTTTGTCATGGGAAGTTCAGTTTTTCACTATAGGCCTCAGTGGGCTCGAAAATTTGCCTATGCAGATTCTAAAAAAAGAATGTTTCAAACCTACTGAATCAAAGCAAAGGTTCAACTCTGTGAGTTGAATGCACACTTCACAAAGGAGTTTGGGAGATAGCTTCTTACTCTTTTTTTTCACAAGACATTCCATTTTTCACTATAGGCATCAGTGGGCACTGAAAAATCCGTTTGCAGATTCTACAAAAACAGTGTTTCCAAACTGCTAAGTCAAAAGAAAAAACTCTGTGAGCACAAACAATGAAGCAGTTTCACAGAAAGATTCTTTCCAGTTTTTATTGTAGTGTATTCCATTTTCACAATTGGCATCAGTGGTCTCTGAAATGACACATTGCAGAATCTAAGTGAAGAGTTTTTCAAACCTGCTGAATGAAAAAAAATGTTTAACTCTGTGAGCAGAATCCACACATCACAAAGTAGTTTCGTGGATAGCTTCTTTCTAGATTTATTGCGAGATAGTCCCTTTTTAACTATAGGCCTCAGTGGGCTCTGAAATATCTTCATGTAGATTCTATGAAAAGAGTGTTTCCAACATACAAAATGAAAAGAAAAATGTAACACTGTGAGCTGAATGCGCATATCACAAAGCACTTTCACTGATAGGTTCCTTGTAATTTTATCATGGAATATTCTGTTTTTTATTATAGGCTCCAATGCAATGTCCCTTTGCAGATTCTACAAAAAGAGTGTTTCCAACCTACTGAATCAAAAGAAAGGTTTAACTCTGGGAGCTGAATCTACACATCACAGAGCAGTTTCACAGGTAGCTTCTTTCTAGTTTTTATCATGGTATATTTGGTTTTTCACTATAGACTTCAGTGGGCTTGAAAATTTTCCATTGCAGATTCTACAAAGAGTGTTTCCAACTTGCTGAATCAAAAGAAAGGTTTAACCCTGTCAGCTGAGTACACACATCAAAAAGCAATTTCACCAATCACTTCTTTCTTATTTTTGCCACAGGATATCCAGTTTTTCAATATAGGCCTCAGTGGGCTTCAAAATTTCCCTTTGCATATTCTACAACAACAGCGTCTGACCTGTCAAATCAAAAGAAAGGCTTAACTCTGAGTTGAATGCACACCTCACAAAAGACTTTACAGATAGCTTCTTTCTCATTTTTATTGCAGGATATTCAGTTTTTCACTATAGGCCTCAGTGGGCTCTGAAATGTCCCTTCACAGATTCTACAAAAAGAGTGTCTCCAAGCTGCTGAATTGAAAGAAAATTTTAAATCTGTGAGCCAAATCCACACATCACCAAGCAGTTTCACAGATAGCTTCTTTTTAGTTTTTATCGTGGGACATTCTGTTTTTTACTGTAGGCATCAGTGCCTTATGAAATGTTTCTTCACAAATTCTACAAAAATATTGTTTCCAACCTGCTGAATCAAAAGAAAGATTTAACCCTCTGAGTTGAATCATCTGATCACAAAGCAGTTTCACAGATACTTTCTTCCAAGATTTTATCATGGGATATTCAGTTTTTCATTATAAGCCTCTGTGTGCTCCTAAATGTTCCTTCACAGATTCTACAAAAAAAGTGATTCCAATCTTCCGAGTCAAAACAAAGGTACAACTTTGTAAGCTGGATCCACACATCACAATGCAGCTTCACAGGTACCTTCTTTCTAGATTTTATCATGGGATATTCAGTTTTTCTCTATAGGTCTCAGTGCACTTCAAAATGTTCCTTCACAGATTATACAAAAAGAGTGTTTCCAACTTTCTGATTAAGTACAAGTGTTTAACTCTGTGAACTGAATCCACACATCACAACTTCCTTTTACATATAGATTCTGTGTAGTTTTTATCATGGGATATTTGATTTTTCACTATTGGCCTCAGATCACTTTGAAATGTCTCTTCACAGATTTCACAAAAAGAGTGTTTCCAACCTGCTGAATCAAGAGAAAGGGTGAATTCTGTGAGGTAAATCTACATATCACAAAGCAATTTCACAGATAGCTTCTTTCTAGTTTCCATCATGGGATATTCAGTGTTTTGCTGTAGGCCTCAGTGTGCTTTTAAACTTCCCTTCACAGATTCTACATAAAGAGGGTTTCCAACCTGCTGAATTGAAAGAAAGGTTTAACTCTGTGAGCTGAATTCACACGTCACAAAGCCATTTCACAGATATCTTCTTCAAAGTTTTTATCATGGGATATTCTGTTTTTCACTATAGGCCTCAGTGCTCTCAGAAATGTCCCTTTGCAGATGCCACAATATGAGTGTTTCTAACCTACTGAATCAAATCAAAAATTTAACTCTGTGAGCTGAGTCCACACTCCACAAATAAGTTTCATATATACCCTGTTTAGTGTTTTTACCCCCAAATATTTGGTGTTTCACTATAGGACTCTGAGGGCTCTGAAATGTCACTTTGCAGATTCTACAAAAAGAGTGTTTCTAACCTGCTGAATCAAAAGTAAGTTTTAACACTGTAAGCTGAAACCACACATCACAAAGTAATTTCATACTTAGATTCTGTGTAGTTTTTATCACAGGATATTTGATTTTTCACTATAGGCCTCAGCGTGCTCCAAAATGTCCATTCGCAGATTCCACAAAAAGAGTGTTTCCGATCTGGTGAATCAAAAGAAAGGCTTAACTCTGTGAGCTGAATCAACATATCACAAAGCAATTTCACAGATAGCTTCTTTCTAGTTTTTATAATGGAATATTCAATGTTTCACTGTAGGCCAATGTCTGCTTTTAAATGTCCCTTTGCAGATTCTACAAAAACAGTGTTTCCAACCTGCTGAATAAAAACAAAGATTTAACTTTGTGAGCTGAATCCACATATAACAACGTAGTTTCACAGACAGCTTCTTTCAGTTTTTATCACAGGATATTCAGTTTTTCACTATAGCCCTCAGTGGGCTTTGAAATATCCCTTCACAGATTCTACAAAGAGCATGTTTTCACATTTGGTTAATTAAAAGAAAGGTTTAACTCTGTGAGATGAATCTGCACATCTGAAGCATTATCACAGACAGCTTCTTTCTAGCTTTTTTTTTTTTTTTTTTTTTTTTTTTTTTTTTTTTTTTTTTGAGACGGAGTCTCGCTCTGTGGCCCAGGTGGAAGTGCAGTGGCGCAATCTCGGCTCACTGCAAGCTCCGCCTCCCGGGTTCACGCCATTCTCCTGCCTCAGCCTCCCGAGTAGCTGGGACTACAGGCGCCCGCCATCACGCCCGGCTAATTTTTTTGTATTTTTAGTAGAGACGGGGTTTCACCGTGTTAGCCAGGATGGTCTCGATCTCCTGACCTCGTGATCCGCCCGCCTCGGCCTCCCAAAGTGCTGGGATTACAAGCGTGAGCCACCGCGCCCGGCCCTTTCTAGCTTTTATT
The DNA here is from genome assembly GCF_000001405.40 of Homo sapiens. NCBI lineage: Eukaryota > Metazoa > Chordata > Mammalia > Primates > Hominidae > Homo > Homo sapiens. The sequence goes on from NC_000008.11 coordinate 46,470,035, forward strand.
GTGGGATATATTGTTTTTCACTATATTCCCCAGGGTGCTCTTAAATGTCCCTTTGTAGATTCTGGGAAAACAGTGTTTTCAACCTCCTGACTCAAAAGAAAGGTGTAACTCTGTGAGCAGAATCCACACATCACAAAGCAGTTTCACAAATAGCTTGTTTCTTGTTTTGACCATGGAATATTTGGTGTTTCACTATAGGCCACATTACACTTTTAAATGTCCCTTCACAGATTCAACAAAAAGAGTATTTCCAACCTTCTGAATTAAAAGAAAGTTTTAACTCTGTGAGGTAAATCCACACTTCACAAAGCAGTTTCACAGATACTTTCTTTGTAGTTTTTATCATGGGATATTCGAATTTTCACTGTAGGCCTCAGTGTGCTTTAAAATTTCCCATCACAGATTCTACAAAAAGAGATTTTCCAACCTGCTGAATCTAAAGAAAGGTTTAACTCTGAGAGGTGAATCCACACATCTCAAAGCAGTTTCACAGATACCTTCTTCCTAGTTTTTATCACGGGATATTCATGTTTTCACTATAGGCCTCAGTGCTCTCTGAAATATCCCTTTGCCGATGCCACAATAAGAGTGTTTTCAACCAGGTGAATCAAAACAAAGGTTTAAATCTATGAGCTGAATCTACACATCACAAAGCAGTTTCACAGATACCTTCTTTCTAGTTTTTAATCTTAGGATATTCGTTTTCTCATTATATGCCTCAGTAAGCTTTAACATGTTTCTTCTCAGATTTGATAAAAATAGTGTTTCAAACCTTCTTTTTAAAAAGATAGGTTTAACTCTTTGAGATGAATTCAAACATCACAAAGCAGTTTTACAGATAGCTTCCTTCTAGTTTTTATTGTGGGATATTTGGGTTTTTACTATAGGCCTCAGTGCACCCCAAAATGTCCTTTTGCAATTCTACAAAAGTAGTGTTCCCAACCTGCTGAACTAAAAAAAAGGTTTAACTCTGTGAGCTGAATTTGCATATCACAAAGCAGTTTTACAAATAGCTTCATTTTAGTTTTTATCACATGATTTTCAGTTTTTCACTACAGGGTCAGTGCTCTTTGAAATGTTCTTTTGCAGATTCTACAAGAAGAATGTTTCCAACTTGCTAAATAAAAAGAAAAGTTTACCTCCATCAGCTGAATCGACACATCACAAAGCATTTTCACCGGTAGCTTCTTTCTAGTTTTCATCGCAGATATTCATTCATTTTTTCACTGCATGGCTCAGTGGGTTCCAAATGTTCCTTTGTAGATTCTATGAAAACAGTGTTTCCAACTTGCTAATTGTTACAAAAGTCTTAACATTGTGAGCTGAATGCATGCATTACAAAGCAGTTTTGCAGATAGCTTCTTTCTAATTTTTATCTTGGGATATTTAGTTTTCGACTATAGGTGTCAGTGAGCTTCAAAATGTTCCTTTTAATATTGTACAGAAACGATGTTTCAAACCAGCTGATTGTAAACAATGGTTTAACTCTGTGAGGTGAATCCACATCCCCAAAAGTGGTTTCACAGATAGCTTCTTTATAGTTTTTATTGCAGGATATTCATTTTTTCACTATAGGCTTCAGTGCCCTTTGAAATATTCCATCACGGATTCTACAAAAAAAGTATTTCCAACCTGTTAAATGTAAAGAAAGGTTTCACTCTGTGAGCTGAATGCACATATTACAAATCAGTTTCAAAGACATCTTCTTTTCAGTTTTTATCACAAAATATTTGGGTTTTCACTGTAGGCCTCAGTAGGCTCCAAATGTTCTATCAAAGATTCTACAAAAACATTTTTTCCAACTTGCTGAATGTAAAGAAAAATTTTACTCTATGAGATGAATTCACACCTCACAAAGCAGTTTCACAGAGAGCTTCTTTCCAGGTTTTAATTGAGAGATATTTGAATTGTAACTATAGGCCTCCATGACCACCAAAATGTCCTTTTGCAGATTCTTCAAAAACAATGTTTCCAATCTGCCAAATGTAAAGAAATGTTTAATTGTGTAAGCTAAATTAACACATCAAAAAGTGGTTTCACAGATAGCATCTTTCTAATTTTTATCATGGGATATTCTGTTTTTCACTATAGGCCTCAGTGAGCTCTGAAATGTCCCTTCACAAGTTCTACAATAACAATGTTTCAACTTTGCAAAATGTAAAGGAAGGTTTTAATCTATGAGCTGAATCTACACATCACAAAGCAGTTACACAAAAAACCTCTTTCTGGTTTCTATCGTGGGATATTCAGTTTTTCACTATAGGCCTCAATTGGCTTTGAAATGTCCCCACACAAATCCTACAAAAATAAAATTTCCAACCTGGTGAATGTAAAGGAAAGTTTAACTCTATGAGCTCAATATACATCAATAAGTGGTTTGACACATAGCTTCTTTGTAGTTTTTATCTTGGGTTAATCCATTTTTCACTCTTGGCCTCAGTGAGCTCCAAAATGTCCCTTCACAGAATCTATAAAAACAGTGTTTCCAACCTGCTGAATGCAAAAAAAGTTTAATTCTGTTTCCAACCTGCCAAATGTAAAGAAACGTTTAATTGTGTAAGCTAAATTAACACATCACAAAGTGTTTTCACAGATAGCATTTTTCTAGTTTTTAACATGGGATATTCGGTTTTTCATTATAGGCCTCAGTGAGCTTTGAAATGTCCCTTTGCAGATTATACATAAACAGTGTCTCCAACCTGCTGAATGTAAAGAAAGGTTTCACTCTATGAGCTTAATACACACATCACAAAGTGGTTTCACTGATAGACTTTTTCTAGTTTTTATCACAGGATATTTAGTTTTTCACTATACACTTCAGTGGGTTCGAAATGTCCCTTTGCAAGTTCTACGAAAACAGTGTTTCCAACCTGATGAATGTCAGAAAGTTTTCACTCTATGAACTGAATCCACACATCACAAAGTGTTTACACAGTTAGCTTCTGTCTAGTTTTTATCATGGGATATTTTGTTTTTCATTACAGTCCTCAGTGAGTTCCAAAATGTTCCTTCACAGATTTTACAAAATCAGTGTTTCCAACCTGTTGAATGTGAAGAAAAGTTTCCCTCTATTAGCTGAATCCACACACCACAAAGCAGTTTCACACAAAGTTTCTTTCTAGTTTTTATAGCACAACATTCTGTTTTTCACTATAGGCCACCATGGGCTCTGAAATGTCCTTTCGCAGATTCTACAAAATCAGTGTTTCCATATTGCTGAATGTAAACAAAGATTTAACTCTGAGGGCTGAATCCACCCATCACAAAGCAGTTTCTCAGAGAGCTTCTTTCTCGTTTGATTGCCATATACTTGCTTTTTCACTACAGGCTTCAGTGAGCTCCAAAATGTCCATTCACACATTTTACAAAAACAGTGTTTCCAACTTCTCAAATGTGTAAAGAAAGATTTAGCTTTGTGAGCTGAATCCACACATCAGAAAGCGTTTTCACAAGTAGCTTCTTTCCAGTTTTTATGGTGAGATATTTTCCTTCTTACTATAAGTCTCAGGGAGCTAGGAAATGTTTCTTTGCAGATTCTACAAAAACAGTGTTTCCAACCTGCTGAATGTAAACAATGGTTCAACTCTATGAACTGAATCCATACATCACAAAACAGTTTCACAGAGAGCTTCTTTCTAGTTTTTATTGCAGGATATTAGGTTTTTCACTACTGGCCTCCCTGGGCTCTGAAATGTCCCTTATCAGATCCTACAAAAACAGTGCATTCAACCTGCTCAATATAAAGAAAGGTTTCACTCTATGAGCTGAATCCACACAACACAAAGCTGTTTCACAGATAGCTTCTTTCTAGATTTTATCATGGGATATTTCATTTTTCACTATTGGCCTCAGTGAGCTCTGAAATGACCCTTTGTAGTTTCTACAAAAAACAGGGTTTCCAAACTGTCAAATGTAAAGAAAATTTTATCTGTGTGAACTGAATCCACGCATCACAAAGCAGTTTCACGGATAGCTTCCTTCTGGTTGTTATCACAGGATACTTTGTTATTCATTATAGACCTTGGTAAGCTCTGAAATGTGTCTTTGTAGATTCTACAAAAACACTGTTTCCAACCTGATGAATGTAAAGAAAGTTTCTGTTCTTGAACATAATCCACACATCACAAAGTGGTTTCACAGATAGCTTCTTTCTAGTTTTTATCCTGAAATACTATGTTTTTCACTATACACCTCAGTGATCTCAGAAATGTCTTTTTGCAGATTCTACAAAAAGAGTGTCTCCAACCTGCTGAATGTAAACAATGGTTTAACTCTGTGAGCTGAATCCACACATCACTAAGCAATTTCAAAGATAGCTTCTTTCAAGTTTTCATTGCAGGATATTCAGGTTCTCACTCTAGGCCTCAGTCAGATCCGAAATGTCCCTTTGCAGATTCTACAAAAACTGTTTCCAAACTGCTAAATGTAAAGAAAGGTTTGACTCTGTGACCTGAATCCGCACATCACATAGTAGTTTAACAGGAATCTTCTTTCTAGTTTTTATTGTGGGATATTCAGTTTTTCAGTATAGGACTCTGTGAGCTCCAAAATATGTCTTCATAGATTGTACAAAAACAGGGTTTCCAACCTCCTGAATGTAAGGAACAGTTTCACTCAATCAGCTGAAACCATACATCACAAAGTTGTTTCACAGAAAGATTTTTTCTAGTTTTTAATCACAGATATTTGGTTTTTCTCTTTAGGCCTCCACGGGTTCCAAAATATCCCATTGCAGAACCTACAAAAACAGTGTTTCCAATCTACTACTGAATGTAAAGAAAGATTTGACTCTGTTGAGTTCATTCCACCCATCACACAGCAGTTTTACAGATAGCATCTTTCTTCTATTTATAGTGAGATATTTGGTTTTTCACTGTAGGCCTCAGTGAGCTTTGAAATGTCCCTTGGCAGATAGTACAAAAACAGTGTTTCCATCCTGCTGAATGTAAAGAAAGCTTTAACGGTGTAAGCTGAATCTACACATCAAAAAGCGATTTCACAGATAGCTTCTTTCTAGTTTTTATCATGGTATATTCTGTTTTTCAATATAGGCCTCAGTGACCTCCAAAAAGTCCCTTTGCAGATTCTACAAAAATAGTGTTTCCAACCTGCTGATTGCAAAGAAAGTTATCACTCTATGAGCTGAATCCACACATCACAAAGTAGTTTCAGAGATAGCTTCTTTTTTGTTTTTATCTCGGAGTATTTTGTTTTTTTCACTGTATGTCTCCATGGGCTTTGAAATGTTTCTCCGCAGATACTGCAAAAAGTGTTTCCAACTTGCCGAATGTTAAGAAAGGTTTAACTCTGTGAGCTGAATCCACACATCACAAAGCAATTTCACAGATAGCTTTTTTCACGTTTTCATCACAGGATATTCAGTTTTTTACTATAGGCTTCAGTGAGATCCAAAATGAACCTTTGCAAATTCTACAAAAACAGTGTTTCCAACCTGCTGAATGTAGAGTAAGTTTCAACTATGTGATCTGATTACACACATCACAATGTGGTTTCACAGATAGCTTTTTTCTAGTTTTTATCCCGAGATTTTCAGTTTTTCACTATAGGCCTCAATGAGCTCAGAAGTGTTCCTTCCCAGATCCTACAAAAACAGTGTTTCCAATCTGCTGAATGTAAAGAAAGGTTTCATTTGACAATCTGAATCCACACATCACAAAGCAGTTTCACAGAAAGCTTCTTCTTAGTTTTTATCATGAGATATTCTGTTTTTCTCTGCAGGCCGAAGTGAGCTCTGAAATGTCTCTTTGCAGATAATACAGAAACAGTATTTCCAACCTGCTGAATGTAAAAAAAAAAAGGTTCAACTGTGTGAGCAGAATGCATGCAACACAAAGTGATTTCACATACGCTTCTGTCTAGTTCTTATCACGGGATATTTAGTTTTACACTACAGGCCTCAGTGAGCTCCAAAGTGTTTCTTTGCAGATATGAACAAAAACATTGTTTACAACCTGATGAATGTAAAGAAAGGTATCACTCTATGAGCTGAATCCACATTTCACAAAGTGGTTTCACACATAGAGTCTTTTTAGTTTTCATCATGGGATATTCAGTTTTTCACTATAGGCATCTTTGGGCACTGAAATGTCCCTTTGTAGATCCTACAAAACAGTTTTTCCAATTGCTGAATGTAAAGAAACGTTTAAATGTGAGCTGAATCCACACATCACAAACTGGTTCACAGATAGCTTCTTTCTAGTTTTTATTGGGGGATATTCGATTTTTCACTATATTACTCAGTAAGTTCTGAAATGTCCCTTCACAGATTCTACAAAAACAGTGTTTTAATCCTGTTGTATCGAAAATATGGTTTAACTCTGTGAGCTGAATCCACACATCGCAAAGTGGTTTCACACATAACTTCTTTCTAGTTTTTATTGTGGAATATTCAGTTTTTAACTACAGGCTTCATTGTCCTCCATAATGTCCCTTCAAGGAGTCTACAAAAACAGTGTTTCCAACCTGCTGAATGTAAAGAAATGCATCACTCTATGAGCTAAACCCACACATCACAAAGCACTTTCAAAGATACCTTATTTCTTGTTTTTATCATGAGTTATTTGGTTTTTCTCTATAGGTCTCCATGGGCTTTGAAGTGTCCCTTCACAGATCTTACAAAAACAGTGTTTCCAACTAGCTGAAAGTAAAGATAGATTTCATTCTGTGAGCTGAATCAACCCACCACAAAGTGGTTTCACAGATAGCTTCTTTCTAGTTTTTATCACAAGATAATCGGTTTCTCACTATAGGCCTCAGTGAACTCTGAAATGTCTCTTGGCAAATACTACAAAAACAGTGTTTCCAACTTGCTGAATGTAAAGGATGGTTTCACTTATGAGCTGAATCCACACACTACAAAGTGGTTTCACAGATAGCTTCTTTGCAGTTTTTATCATGGGATATTCGGTTTTTCACTATAGAAATCTGTGAGATCCAAAATATCCCTCCACAAATTCTACAAAAACTGTGTTTCAATCTTGTTGAATGTAAAGAAAGGTTTAATGTATAAGCTGAAACCACACATCAAAAAGCCATTTCACAGATAGCTTCTTTCTAGTTTTTATCATGGGATATTCAGTTTTACACTATAGGCCTCAGTGTCCTCCAAAATTTCCCTTTGCAAATTCTACAAAAACAGTGTTTTGAACCTCCTGAATGTAAAGAAAAGTATCACTCTTTGAATTGAATCCACACATCAGTAAGCGGTTTCACAATTATTTTCTACTTGTTATTTTGGGATATTCGACTTTTCACTGTAGGCTTCAGTGAGCTCTTAAATGTCCCTTCTCAGGTTCTACAAAAACCCTGTTTTCAACCTTCTGAATATAAATAAAGGTATCACTTTATGAGTTGAATCCACACATCACAAAGCACTTTCACAGATAGCTTCTTTCTAGTTTTTATCACGGGATATTTGGTTTTTCACTATAGTCCTCCATTGGCTTCAAAATGTTCCTTTGCAGATCCTGAAAACAATGTTTCCAACCTGTTGAATGTAAAGAAAGTTTTAAGTATGTGAGCTGAATCCTAACATTACAAAGCTGTTTCACAGACAGCTTCTATCTAGTTTTTATCACAGGATGTTTTGTTTTTCTTTATAGGCCTCAATGAGATTTGACATGTCCCTTCACAGATTCTACAAAAACAGTGTTTCCAACCCGCTGAATGTAAATAAAGGTTTTACTCTAAGAGCTGAATCCACCCATCACAAAACAGTTTCACAGACAGCTTCTTTCTAGTTTTTATTTTGGGGTATTCAGTTTTTTACTATGGGCCTCCAATGGCTCCAAACTGTTCCTTCACAGATTCTACAGATTCAGTGTTTCTAACCTATGAAATACAAAGAAAGGTTTAATTCTGTGAGCTGAGTCTATACATCACAAAGCAGTTTCACAGATAGCTTCTTTCTAGTTTCAATCACAGGATATTAAGTTTTTCACTATAGGCCTCACTGAGCTCTGAAATGTCCCTTTGCAGATCTTACAAAAACAATGCTTCAGCATTGCTGAAAGTAATAAAGGTTTCACTTTATGTGCTGAAAGCAATAAAGGTTTCACTTTATGTGCTGAAAGCACACAGTACAAAGCAGTTTCACAGATACTTTCTTTCTAGTTATTATCATGAAGTATTTGGTTTTTTACTATAGGCCTTCATGGGCTCTGAATTGTCCTTTGGCAGATCTTACAAAAACAGTGTGTACAACTTGCAGAATGTAAAGCAAAGTTTAAGTCTGTGAGCTGAATCCACGTGTCCAAAACCCATTTCACAGGTAGCTTCTTTCTAATTTTATCACAGGTTATTCTCTTTTTCACTATAGGCCTCAATGAGCTTTGAAATGTCCCTTTGCAGATTGTATAAAAACAGTGTTTCCAACTTGCTGAATGTAAAGAAAGATTTAACTCTTTGATCTTAATGCACACATTACAAAGCAGTTTCACAGATGGCTTTTTTCTAATTTTTATGCCAGAATATTCTGTTTTTCATTATAGGCCTCAGTGAGCTCAGAAATATCTCTTTGCAGATGCTACAAAATCAGTGTTTCCAAATTGCTGGATTTAAAGAAAGGTTTGACTCTGTGAGCTGATTCCATGCATCACAAAGCAGTTTCACAGGTAGCTTCTTGCTAGTTTTTATCCTGGGATATTCTGTTTTTCACTATAGGTCTCAGTGACCTCTGAAATGTCCCTTTTTCAGATTCTACAAAAACAGTGTAGATTCCAGCAGTGTCTGTGAGGTTGCTTTTTGATGTGTGGATTTAACTGCAAAAACACCCTTTTGTAGAATCTGCAAGTTTTCAACTTGCTGGATGTTAAGAAAGGTTTCACTTTATGAGCTGTATCCACCCATCACAAAGCGGTTTCACGGATAGCTTCTTTCTAGTTTTTATCACAGGATTTTTGGTTTTTCACTATAGGAGTCAGTGAGCTCTGAAATCTCCCTTTGCAGATTCTACAGAAACAGTGTTTCCAACCTACTGAATGCAAAAAGAAAACAAAGGTTAACTTTATGAGCTGAATCCACACATTATGACGAGGTTTCACATATGGTTCATTTCTAGTTTATATTGTGGTATATTTTAATTTGTTACTATAAGCCTCAGTGAGCTCTGAAATGTCCTTTTGCAGATTCTACAAAAACAATGTTTCCAAGCTGCTCAATGTAAAGAAAGGTTTGACTTTATGAGCTGAATCCCCACATCACAAATAGTTTCACAGATAGCTTCTCCCTAATTTTTATCATGGGATATTCCGTTTTTCACTATAGGCCTCAGTGAGCTTCTGAATGCCCCTGCATAGATTCTACAAAAACAGTGTTTCCAACATGCTAAATGTAAAAAAAGGTTTCATTCTTTGAGCTAAATCCAAACATCACAAAACGGTTTCACGAGTAGATTCTTTCAACTTTTTATTGCGGGATATTCAGATTTTCACTATAGGCCTCTGTGGGCTCCAAAATGTCCCTTTGCAGATCCTACAAAAACAGTGTTAAAACCTGCTGAATGTAAAGAAAGTTTTACTTGGTAAGCTCAATCCAAACATCACAATGTGGTTTCACAGATAGCGTCTGTCTAGTTGTATTTGGGAGATAATCATGTTTTCCCTATAGGCCTCAGTGAGCTTCAATTTCAGTCTATGAGCTTAATCCACACATCTAAAAGTGGTTTCACAGATAGCTTCCTTCAAGTCTTTATCGTGGGATATTTGATTTTTCACTTTAGGCCTCAGTGAGCTCTGAAATGTCCTTTTGCAGATTCTACCAAAACAGTGTTTCCAAGCTGCTGCATGTACGAAAGGTTTCACATTAGGAGCTCAATCCACACGTCACAAAGCAGTTTTACATATAGCTTCTTTCAAGTTTTTATTGTGGTATATTCAATTTTTCACTTTAGGCCTCAGTGAGCTCTGAAATGCCCTTTTGCAGATTCTATTAAAACAGTGTTTCCAACCTGCTGAATGTAAAGAAAGGTTTCACTTTATGAGTTAAATCCACACATCACAAAGTAGTTTCACAGATAGCTTCTTTCTAGTTTTTGTCAGGGGATATTCAATTTTTCACTATAGGCCTCAGTGAGCTCCGAAAAGTCCTTTCGCCACTTCTACAAAAAGAGTCTTTCCAATCTACTGAATGAAAAGAATGGTTTTACTCTATGAGCTGTATCCAAATATGGCAAAGCGGTTTCACAGATAACTTCTTTCAAGTTTTTATTGCAGGATATTCTGTTTTTCACTATAGGCCTCCATGGGCTCCAAAATGTTCCTTTGCAGATCCTACAAAAACACAATTTCCAACCTGCTGAATGTGAAGAAATGTTTCACTCTATGAGCTGAATACAACGTCTCAAAGCAGTTTATGAGATAGCTTCTTTTCAGTTTTTATCGAGGTTTATTCAGTTTTTTAATATAGGCCTCAGTGAGCTCTGAAATGTTTTTTCACAGATCCTACAAAAACAGTGTTTCCACCCAGCTGAATTTAAAGAAAATGTTTAACCCTGTGAGCTGAATCCACACATCACAAATCAGTTTCACAGACAGCTTCTTTGTAGTTTTTATCACGGAATATTTGGTTTTTCACTATAGGCCTCAGTGAGCTTTGGAATGTCCTCTTGCAGATTCTACAAAAACAGAGTTTTCAACTTGCTGGATATAAAGAAAGGTTTCTCTTTGTGAGCTGTATCCACATATCACAAAGCTGTTTCACAGATAGCTTCTTTCCAGTTTTTATCATGGGATATTTTGTTTTTCACTATAGGCCTCAGTGAGCTCTGAAATTTTCCTTTGCAGATTCTACAAAAACACTGTTTTCACCTGCTAAATGTAAAGAAAGGTTTACTCTATGAGCTGAATTCTCATATCACTAAACGATTTCACAGATAGCTTCTTTCTAGTATTTATTGCTGGATATTTGGTTTTTTATTGTAGGCGTCCAGGGGCTCCAAACTGTCCCACTGCATATTCCACAAAAACAGTGTTTCCAAGCTGTTGAATGCAAAGAAAAGGTTTATCTCTGTGAGCTGCATTCACACATCACAAAGCCATTTCACAGACAAGAGTCTTTCTAGTTTTTATTACATGATATTCAGTTTTTCCCTATAGGCCTCAGTGAGCTCTGAAATGTCCCATCACAGATTCTGCAAAAACAGTGTTTCAAACCTCTTGAATGTTAAAGAAAGGTTTCTGTTTTTGAGATGAATCCACACATCACAGAGCAGTTTCAGAGATAGGTTAGCTCTTGTTTTATCACAGAATATTCAGTTTTTTACTATAGGCTTCAGTGAGCTCCAAAATGTCCCTTCACAGATTTTACCATAACAATGTTTCCAACCTGATGAATGTAAAAAAAGATTTCATTCTATGAGCTGTATCCAAATATGGCAAAGCAGTTTCACAGATAGGTTTTTTTGACTTTTTATTTTGGGTTTTTCAGTTTTTCACTATAGGTCTCCATGGGCTACAAAATGTCCCTTTGCAGATCCTACAAAAATAGGGTTTCTAACCTGTTGAATGTAAAGAAAGTTTAACTCGGTTAGCTGAGTAAGCACATCAAAAAGCACTTTCACAGAAAGCTGCTGTCTAGTTTTTATCATGGGATAATCTTTTTTTCACTTTAGGCCCAAGTGAGCTCCAAAATGTCCCTTCACAGATTCTGCAGAAAGAATCTTTCCAACCTCCCGAATGTAAAGAAAGATTTCACTCCATGAACTGAATCCAACACCTCAAAGCAGTTTAACAGCTTCTTTGCAGTTTTTATTGCAGTTTTTATCTCAGTTTAACATCTTCTTTGCAGTTTTTACTATAGGCCTAAGTGAGCTCTGAAATGTCCTTTTGCAGATTCTACAAAAACAGTGTTTCCATCCTGCTGAATGTAAAGAAAGGTTTCAATTTATGAGCTGAATTCAACGTCTTAGATCAGTTTAAGAGATAGCATCTTTCCAGTTTTTATCGTGGGTTGTTTGGTTTTTAACTATAGGCCTCAGGAAGCTCTGAAATGTCCTTTTGCAGATTCTACTAAAAAAGTGTTTCCAACCTGCTTATTGTAAGAAAGGTTTCACTGTATGAGCTGAATCCACACACCTCAAAGCAGTTTCACAGATAGATTCTTTCAAGTTTTTATTGTCGGATGTTCCATTTTTCACTATAGGCCTTAGTGAGCTCTGAAATGTCCCTTTGCAAATTCTACAAAAACAGTGTCTCCAACCTACTAAATGTAAAGAAAGGTTTCACTCTATGAGCTGAATCCTCACATCACAAAGCAGTTTCAGAGATGGCCTCTTTCTAGTTTTTATTGCTGGATATTTGGTTTTTCACTACTGGCCTCCAGGGGCTCTGAAATGTCCCATCACAGAACCAACAAAATCAGTTTTTCCACCCTGCTGAATTTAATGAAAAAATTTAACTCTGTGAGCTGAATCCACACATCAGAAAGAGTTTCACAGATAGATTCTTTGTAGTTTTTATCATGGGATATTTGGTTTTTCACTATAGGCTTCAGTGAGCTCTGAAATGCCCTGTCACAGATTCTACAAAAACAGTGTTTCCAAGGTGCTGAATGTAAAGAAAGGTTTTAATTTATGAGCTGAATACCCACATCACAAACAGTTTCACAGATAGCTTCTTTCTATTTTTTATCATGGGATATTGTTTTTCAATAAAGGCCTCAGTGAGCTCCAAAATATCTCTTTGCAGATCCTATAAAATAGTGCTTCCAACCTGATCAATGTAAACAAACTTTAGCTCAGTTAGCTCAATCCACACATCACAATGTGGTTTCATAGATAGATTCTGTCTGGTTTTTATCATGGGATATTTGGGTTTTTACTATAGGCCTCAGTGAGATTCAAAATGTTTCATCACAGATTCTACAAAGCAGTGTTTCCAACCTGCTAAATGTAAAGAAAGGTTTCACTCTATGAGCTTAATCTACACATCTAAAAGCAGTTTCTCAGACAGCTTCTTTATAGTTTTTATAATGGATTATTCGGTTTTTTACCATAGGCCTCAAATGTCCCATCACAGATTCTACTAAAACAGTATTTCCAAGCCACTGAGTGTAAGAAAGGTTTCACTTTAGGAGCTCAATCCACACATCACAAATCTGTTTTACAGAGAGATTCTTTCAAATTTTTATCACAGGATGTTTGATTTTTCACTTTAGGCCCCAGTGAGCTCCAAAATATCCTTTTGCAGATTCCATGAAAACAGTGTTTCCAACCTGCTTAATGTAAAGAAAGGTTTCACTTTTTGAGTTAAATCCACACATAACAAAGCAGTTTCACAGGGCACTTCTTTCTAGTTTTTATCACAGGATATTCAATTTTTCACTATAGGCCTCAGTGATCTCCAAAATGTCTCTTCGCAGAGTTGACAAAAACAGTGTTTCCAGCCTGCTGAACATAAAGAAAGTTTTAACTGTGTGAGCTGAATCCACACACCATGAAGCAGCTTCACAGATAGCTTCTTTCTAGTTTTTTGTTAAGCACCCCATGCCCTATATCAGACTGAGTGAAGGGGGACAAATGTGGGAAGAAAAGACAAGGAGACAAAAGAGTATATTTGGAAGAAGGGGTCAGTGGGCACATTGCCTCTAGTGGACATGGGCCCCGACTTTCCACTGCCATTCTTATTTATTGCTAAAAGAGATAATGAGAAGGGTTTGGAAGAGTAGCTCACCTGCCTAGTCTGGTGTAGGCTTGTAAGACTGCATTCCTCGAACAATAGGCTCTATGTATTTTGGTAGATAACTTCAAGGAGCATGGAACCAGGGAGTGATGGCCCTCAGCAATCCTTCTACGGCAGGCACAGAATCGAGTTTGCCCACATTCTGTATTCATGATAAACAGTTTGCTGTTTGATTATATGGCCTCCAGCAAAATGCTGAGTTGGTCACAAGCCCTTCAGCCTTTTCTTCTCTCAACATTTTCCCCTCTCAGTTTATGAATTAACTGAAAAAATGTAAGGCCAGGCTGGGCAGTTCTCATCTGATTGGCTGTTCATCCAATTTTGCAGACTATGAACAGAAGACGGAGATAAAACTATTCCAAGAACTATATATGGAATATTAACATAGGACTTTAGATAGATCCAATAATTGAGGCTCTCCAGGCCTTGCTGGAATTCAGTCCAGTCTTTTAAAGAAGGCTGAAAATCTTGAGTTTGTTTATTTAAGTCAATAATTTTGTTTTGTAATTCACCAATACAAAAAGTGATGTTGGGTGTGAAAGCTCCCTGCAAATGGGCTTTCACAAGGCCCCATGGATAGTCACTTTTGTTATATTCTAAGTTGGTTGCACATATATGAGTGTGGTTAAAATGACAACGCAATTGTTGCTGCAACTGCAATCTTTGTCCTTGTTCCCCTAACCACAGAACTGTGGATTTCAACATTGCCACTTCATTTTGTAGCTCAGTATTAATTTTATTCTGAAGTGGCTATGCTTGGTTGGCTGTACATGTCCAATTCTCTTCGTACTGAGCCATTTGAACAGAACTATGCAACGCTACAAAGGACATCACTCCAGAAGTTATTAGCATGACCAAGGAAACAATACCAAAAATTATCATGCCTAAGGCTCTATGGACAATGAGTAAGCTAAGTTAGAAGTTTCACAAAGTGCAAAGCAGTTGTGGCAGCTCTAGGCTCAGACGGATTAACAGGAATCCAGAGGCCAGGGATGCAACCTAAAATCATCAAAGTAGATACACTATGTGTTTCCAATGTGCTATGATTAATGCAGTGATATAACTGGCAAGATTTACAGGTCAATTGGGTATTGTTTACCTGGAGCTTGTCCTTCTTAGCTGCCAAAAAGACATAAGGGTTAAAAACACAAACTGTAAATTGAGTGGTGATACATTAAGACTGTGTTGCCTACTACTGCTATTATTGGCGTATCCCAATCCAGATGCTGCCATTCACAAATGGGAGTGCTGCCTTTCATATTGTTTCTTGGACTGGTCCCGTTTTTCCTAAATAAGGCCATTGAGGCAAAGGCAGGCTAAAGCCTACTCCATGCCAAGCAATCTGGGTGCAGACTGGGATTGCATTCCAGCGTTGTATGTGGAATAAGTATTAAAAGCTCGCCACCAATGGCAGGGAAGTTTATGCCATGATTTCTGACTTTTATCTTTACCATATAGTTGACTTTTTGGTCCTCAATCCATAATGTCTCCAGTTAACATAGATTGTTTTCTAGCCAGGGGACCAAGGCACTGGGTCCACGGAGAGTGATAGGAACTATTGGATGGAATCCATTCTGTAAAATTAGTGCAACTAGGGTGATTGGGCTGGGAATGGTAGGTTAGTACACCTGTTACATTAATAGAACCAAGACTTAATAAGTACCTGATTTTTCCACAGTGACTCAACCATGTTTGAGCTTGAATTGTAAGACAGCTATGGCTCAGTGATATCTTTGTGGTGATACATAAAGGAAGTCCTTCCAGTGGAGTGGTATAATTAATGACATTTTTCTGAGAGTCTAAGTGTTCTATTTCAGGGGGAGTTAGGAATCCTGGAGCCCACTCTCCCTGATCGTGATAAATCTCAGGAGGAGTGTCATTCTGAAGTACAGGTTGTAATATTGGGGGAGTGGGAACATATGCCCAATATGTTTTTGCCTCTGCACAGGGAAAACATACTGCACAGGACATTATGGTTAACATGGCCATGAACATGGAATCAGGGGTTTTTGTCTGGCCTTGAAACTCCAGTAGTTTCTCAGCTTCCTGCGTGGTTTTCTTGAGTTGTCCTTAGGTTATGGGGGTTGGTGTCATCATGACCTTGCTTGTTCTTCTCTTTGTCTTTGCACTCAGGCTCAGCTGGCTCACAGCACATGCTGGAGGGACTGGGCCCATGGTTGGCCACCCTGGGTTCCTCTAGTCTCCCATTCCATGGTCGCACACACCCTGAGGGCAGCCACACGGCTTGTCCATCTCCTGTAAAAATGTCAGCATACTCTCGTCCCCACATCAGTAAATCCACTGGACGTTTCCATTGTCCTTCTTCTTGGGATTTCCATAACACTTTCCTATAAATTTTCCTCTTTTCTTGTAACATTTGCCTATGTCTTTCTGCTGGAGTTTTACCATCCATACCAGGAGTTGAAAAATTTAAAGTAAATAAGGCTAAATGCAGTTTGGATTGTGGTAGTAAATGGTCTTCTATACTTCCTTTTTGTCTCTTCAACATGAGTTGTAATGTTTGAGGTTCCTGCTCTATAATTCCTTGTCCTCTAGGATTATAAGGAATTTCTCTTTTATGGGTTATAGCCCAAAGCTGTAAGAAATTTCGAAAAGCATGACAAGTATAAGTCAGTCCATTGTCAGTTTTTAATTGTTTACTTATCCCCATATGAGGAAATAATGACAGACAGTATCACCATAAATGGCCAGCTGTCTCACTTGCTTGGCATGTAGCATGCAGCATATGAGAATAAGTGTCTACAGTCACATGAACATAGCTAGACTTGCCAAAGGCTGTTATGTGTGTAACATAATTTTGCCAAATTTCATTTGGAGCCAAACCCATGGATTACATCCTTCTACAAGTGTGGCACCAGGGACATGGTGGCAAGTAGGAGAGCTTGTATTATAACCCTAGCTTGGCTGCCAGGTAAATGGAACATGTGAGTAAGGGCAGAAGTATTTTGGTGCAGTAGCACATGAGATGTTTGAGCTTACTGAAACAGAGAACAAATCAGTTTATCTGCTCTCTCATTAGCTAGACATAGTGGCCCAGGAAGTTGTGTGTGAGAACGAATATGAGAAATATGAAAAGGAGCTGCACGAGAGTGAATAACTTGTTCAAGTCTTAAAAATAAATTAGGCAGTTCTGGGTCTAGTGTACTTTTAACTGTCACAGTTTCTATGTGACTGGCTACATTTACAACATAAGCTGAATCACAGACAACGTTGATATTATCTAAAGCTGTGAGATGTAAAACCTGAATGATGGCAATTAGCTCTGAGAGTCGAGCTGAAACCCGAGATGTCATTATAATTTGAGTATGATTAGGTCCACAGACAGTGGCATGACCTTTGGAAGAGCCATCAGTAAAATAAGTCTAGCCACCTGGAATAGGCTTGTGATGAGTAATCACAGGAAGAATGAAATAATGGAATTTATAAAAGTGCAGAATTTTGTGTGAGGAATAATGGTTACCTGTAGCACCCACAAAGTCTGCAAAAGCAGTTTGCCAGGCAATTGACATTTCCCAAGCTGCAGCTTGTTGCTGAGAGTCTAAAGGAACAATAATTTTACCAGGGTAATATCCCATAAGCATTTTTGACCTATGTCAGCCCATAGTCACAATTTGTGTAATTAAAGAAAGATAAACTTGTAGGGTTTTGACTGTTTGATTAGGTAGAACGAGCCATTCTATTACTGTTACAGACTTGTCTGTGAACTGGCCCAAAAGTCCTGTTGGAGAATGGGGGTAGGAAGACTAAACTAAAGCAAAAGTTTTTGCAGTTGTAGCTGTGTGGCATCTCTCTGATGAAGCATCTGCTCTACAAGATGTAACTAGGCTTCTGCCTCTTTTGTTAATTGCCACAGGGAATTTAAAGAAGAATCTTATTGCAGAGTTTGGTAAAGATGTGTAAATTGATAGGTTGCAATACCTAGCATCGGGCGTAGCCAATTAATGTCTCCTAATAATTGTTGAAAATCATTTAAAGTCTGCAACCTGTCTTTACAGAGAACTGCTTTCTGAGGCCTTACACTTCTTTCAATAACAATTGTTCCTAAGTAATGGTATGGGGAAGTTGTTTGTACTTTTTCTGTTGCTATTTTGAGACTCCATTTAGCCAAAGCCTGGTTTGTTTCTCTGAATAAATGATGTAGGATTTGATCTGTAGGAGTGGCCAAAAAAATCATCCATAAAATGAATGATGTAAGCCATAGGAAACATCTTCTGAGAATTCTTTAATGCCTGTCCTACAAAGTGCTGACATAGCGTAGGACTGTTAAGCATGCCTTGGGGTAAAACTCTCCATTGGTAACGATAAACATGATCTCTTTGATTAATAGAAGACACCGAGAAGGCAAATTGAGGCTTATCCTTCGATAAGGGTATAGTTAATAATCCTTAAAATTTGTTACAAGAGGCTAGTCTCTTGGAAGAGCTGGTAGAGATGGTAAATCTTTCTGTAAGACACCCATCAGTTTAATTTGGGCATTAATAGCTGTCAAATCATGCTGCAGTCGACATCTTCTGGACTTTTTTGGAATAACAAGCGCTGGCATATTCCAGGAGCTACATGACTTCTCTATGTGTCCTGCGTCCAATTGTTCTTTTACTAGCTACTGAAGCTGCATCAGCTTCTCCCGAGATGGGGCCATTAATCCACCCATACAGGTTTTTCAATGAGCCATTCTAATGGTAAGGCAGAGGGTGAAGGAGAAATGTCAAAGACCTCTATCAGAAATCCTGACGTCCTAGCCCTTTTCTATCTGTTTTTCCAATTACTGATATCAGTTAGAATTTTCCTGTAGGAACCTCCTCAAACCTCTTCCACTCTGATATCCCATGTCCTTCAACATTTTAAGTCCTGGGTTATCAAAGTTTTCATTTGTAAGTCTCATATCCCATGCTGTAAGTCTTGACTCTGTAAATTGATAGTTATATTTGCAACATAAGGCTGAAAAGTACATGACTGTCCATCCACACCAAGACAAGGTAAAGTCTCAACACTTTGTTGAACACTTTGAGCTGATCCTACTCCCACTAGAGACATAGAAGTTAATTGCCCGGGCCAGGATGGGGGCCAATTGTCTTTAGATATTACTGACACATCAGCTCCCATATCTGTAAGCCCATAAAATGTATTTCCTTTAATTTGTACTACACAGGTAGGTCTATTAAAGGCTATGGTTTGGGATAGATAGATTTCTCGTGTAGTTGTGCTCCCAAACCCTTTATTTTCCTTTTTCTCCTTTCGTGGGGAAGAGTGTAGTTTGCAGGGAATAAGCAATAATTGAGTGATATACTCTACCGGTTCAAAAACCCAAAGGTCTTGTGACATTAAAACTACTTAAATTTCTCCTTCATAATCAGAGTCGATCACTCCTGGGACTACAGTGATGCCTTGAAAGTTAAGATGGCTTTTGCCTAAAATTGGTGCAGTGTATCCTGTTGGTAAATGTCCCCAAATACCAGTGGAACTTTGATGGGTTTTTTCCCCAAACTAATGCAATTCTTTCTCTGGTGGGTAGATCTAATCCTGCACTTCCTGGTTTTCCTGGGGGAATCAATGTGCTCCTGGAAACCCATGCCTGAAACTGGATTGAGGTCTGGACTGAGAATGCCCTCACTGTTTGTGGGGTCTGGGTCCCGGTCCCTGTCTCATTTCCCAACAGGGGGGCGCCATTCTGATGAAGTTGTGAAAGGCACTGATTAGCCCAGTGATTTCCTTTGTTACAGTGAGGACAAAGTGTTGGCATTTTTTTCCCTTGTCAGGGGGGAACTTCATTATAAGGTCCTTTCTGTCCTGCTATCTGGTAATATTCCTTTTTAAAATGTCCAGTTTTTCCACAATTATAACACTTTCCCATTTTAGAGTTTGACTGTTGGCTCCTTTTAGATTTGTCAACTCCTGAATTAGCCATTAGTATGAGGAATCTGATGCTTCAGTGTCTCTTGGAATAATGCAAGAAAATGTGCATGAGACTCATGTGACCATTGCATGATATGTAGAAAGGGTTGAACTGGGACTCCCTCTTCAGGAATTGTGGCCCAGGAACATTTAGTGGTCTGTGCACACTGCTGATATGCAGCATCTGGTGGTGCCATTTGTTGTTCCAGGTCTGAATAAAGGCATTACCTAACAGCATATTCTCTGTAATGTCTCCATGCGCAGCAACAGGATTCTGTCTAGCCTGCTCTCCACACATTTCTTGCAAATTCAAATTCCATGACAGATATCCACTAGCAGACAAGCAAGTTCAAGCCAAATGTTTTACATCAAAGGGTAAAAGATGCATAGCACCAAACACAGATTCTAGCAATCCTAAAATGAGTGGGCTTTGTACACAATTATTAACCACACCCACTTTTAATTCTTTCAACAACTTATACTCTAGTGGGGCTTGTTCATGAATAAGCTTCTGTGGATTATTTGGATCAGGCCTTACAAAAATAGGAAAAGTTCAAGGTCCTAAAGTCTCTCCAGCTATGGCAGCAGAACATAAAATTCTTTGTGTTGGGGTCTCTATTTCTGCTACCAAAGAGGCAGTAAAGATGTTTCTGCAAGTTGAAGGGGTGGTATAAGCCAATTTTTATCCTCCCTCTCTGGTTTTTTATTTTCAATTGGAGCTGTGGGTGGGACAACAAATTCTTTCACATTTTTTGTCTCAGAACATGACTCCTTCTGTCCAGCAGAATAAGAAAGAGATAATGGCAGAAGTACAGTATGAACTAAACTCCAAGTGTAGAAAACAGAAGAATCAATTTAAGTCTTTTTGATGAGCCCATTTTAATTTTTCTTCTGCTCTGTCCCAATTTTCCACATCAAGAGTGCCTACCTGTGGAAACCATGGGTTATGTGTAATAACTTCTTGCAGCATCATAGTTAGCTTCTGAGATCTAACCTTAGCACCAGTTTGTTTCAACAAAACTTTAAGCAACTGCATATGTTTTTCTCCAATAGACAGACTCTGCCCCATGTTATCCTGATTCAGAAAACTTCCCATTCCCAGTACTTCTTTAAAGCACTGCTCCCATTACCATTTTGGACAATGATCAGTACCTCTTTAAAGCACTGACCTTACTTGCCTTGCCAGCAGACTTGTCCCAGGGTCCCGTTTGTCTTGCTAATTTCAGTTCCTCTTCTCCAGCAGACCTTCTCTGTTCACATCCTCAAAGACCATCTGCTTGGGTGCCACTTTTTAAAGCACCCCATGACCTGTATCAGACAGAACAAAGATGGACGAACACAGGAATAAAAGACAAAGAGACAAAAGAGTGTATTTGGAAG
This sequence comes from Homo sapiens, assembly GCF_000001405.40. Lineage (NCBI taxonomy): Eukaryota > Metazoa > Chordata > Mammalia > Primates > Hominidae > Homo > Homo sapiens. Next base: position 46,491,025 of record NC_000008.11, read on the forward strand.
AAGAGGTTGGGGGCACCTTACCTCTAGTGGACAAGGGTCAGCTTTCCATAGCCCTTCATATTTATTGGTAAAAGAGATAGCAAGAAGGGAATGGGAAAAGAGGTCAACTGCTAGGTCCATAGCAGGCTTGGAAGACTGCATTCCTTGAACAAAAGGCTCTAGATGTTCCAATAGATACAATTAAGGAACACAGTGCCAGGGAATGATGGCCCTCAGCCAACTTTCTCGGGCAGGCAGAGAGGCGAGTTTGCCCACATTCTGTATTCATGATAAACAGTTTGTGGTTTGATCATATAGACTCCAGTGGAATGCTGAGAAGGTCATGATCCCTTTGGCCTTTTTTGGCTTTCAACAGTTTTTATTGCAGGATATTCTGTCTTTCATTATAAGCCTAAGTGAACCCCAAAATGTCCCTTTGAAGATTCTACAAAAACAATGTTTACAAACTGCTGAATGTAAAGAAAGGTTTAACTCTCTGAGGTGAATCCACACATTACAAACCCGTTTCACAGTTAGCTTCTTTCTAGTTTTTATAGTGGGATATTCTGTTTTTCACTATAGACCTCAGTGAGTTTTAAAATGTTCCTTTGCAGATTATACAAAAACAGTGTTTCCAAAATACTGAACATAAAGATAGGTTTTCCTCAATGAGCTGAATCCAAAAATCACAATGCAGGTTCACAGATAGCTTCTTTCTAGTTTTAATCTAGGGATATTTTGTTTTTTACTATAATCCTCAGTGAGCTCTGAAATGTCCCTTCATAGATTACAGAAAAATGGTGTTTCCAACCAGCTAAATGTAAACAAAGGTTTCACTCTATGAGCTGAATCCATGGGTCAGAAAGTGATATCACAGATGGCTTGTTTCTAGGTATTGTTGCAGGATATTTGATTTTTCACTATAGGCCTCAGTGAGCTCCAAAATGTCTCTTTGCAGATTCTACCAAAACAGTGTTTCCAACCTGCTGAATGTAAAGAAAGTTTTCACTCTATGAGCTGAATCCTAACATCACAAAACAGATCCACAGAATGATTCTTTCTAGTTTTTAGTCGTGGGATATTTGGTTTTTCACTACAGGCCTCTGTGAGCTCAGAAATATACCTTTCCAGATACTACAAAAACAGTTTTTCCAACCTGCTAAATATAAAAAAGGTTTCACTCTATAAGCTGAATCCAAACCTCTAAAATCAGTTTCATAGATAAGTTCTTTCCAGTTTTTATCATGGAATATTCAGTTTTTCACTGTAGTCTTAAGGGGGCTTTGCAATGTCCCTTCACATATTCTACTAAAACAGTGTTTCCAAATTGCTGAATGTAAAGGAAGATTTCACTTAAGAGATAATGCACACTTCACAGGTAGATTCTTTCTACTATTTATAGCATGATATTCAGTTTTTTCCTATAGGCCATAGTGAGAACCAAAATGTCCCCTCACAGATTCTACAAAAACAGTGTTTCCAACCTGCTGAATGTAAAGGAAGGTTTCATGTTAGGAGTTGAATCCACACATCAAAAAGCAGTTTGACAGTTACCTTCTTTCTAGGTTTTACAGTAGGTTATTTATTTTTTCTTTATAGGCCTCAATGAGCTCTGAAATGTCACTTTGCAGATTCTGCAAAAACAGTTTTTCTATCCTGCAGAATGAAAAAAAAATGTTTAATTCTGTTAGCTGAATCAACACAACACAAAGCCATTTCACAGAGAGCTTTTTTCTAGTTTTCGTCATGGGATACTCTTTTACACCATTGGCCTTAGTGTGCTCCAAAATGTCCCTTTGCAAATTCTAAAAAACAGTGCTTACAGCCTGCTGAATAAAAAGAACAGTTTCACACTCTGAGCTAAATCTAAATATCACAAATCAGTTTCACAGACAGCTTCTTTCTAGATTTTATTGTGGGATATTCAGTTTTCACTATAGGCCTCCATAGCCTCCAAAATGTCCCTTTGCAGATCCTACAAAAACAGGGTTTCCAACCTAATGAATGTTCAGAAAGGTTTAACTCTATGAGACCAATCTACACATCACAAAGCAGTTTCACAGAGAACTTCTTTCTAGTTTTCATTGTGGGTTATTTTGTTTTTCATGATAGGCCTCGGCTCCAAAATGTCCCTTCACAGATTCTACTGAAACGGTGTTTCCAACCTGTTGAATGTAACAAAAGTATCACTTTAGGAGTTGAATCCATGCATCACAAAGCAGTTTCACAGGTAGCTTCTTTCAAGTTTTTATCATGGGATATTCCGTTTTTCACTATAGGTCTCAGTGAGCTCCAAAATGTTCTTTCACAGATTCTACAAAAACAGTGTTTTCAACCTGCTGACTGTAATGAAATGATTCACCTTATGAGCTAAATCCACACATTCCAAAGTGGCTTCACAGATAGTTTCTTTCTGGTTTTTATCGTGGGATATTCAGTTTTTAACTATAGGCCTCTGTGAGCTCAAAAATTTCCCTTCACAGATTCTACAAAAACAGTTTTTTCCAACCTGCTAAATGTAAAAATATTTCATGCTATAAGCTGAATCCACAAATCCCAAAGCAGTTTCACAGATATCTTCTTTCAAGTTTCTTTTGCAGAATATTTTGTTTTTCACTAGAGGCCTCTGTGAGCTCCAAAAAGTCCCTTCACATATTCTACAAAAACAGCTTTTCCAACCTGCTATATGTAAAAAAATTTCACTTTATAAACTGAATCCATATACCACAAAGCAGTTTCACAGATAGCTTCTCTCTAGTTTCTTTCATGGGATATTAGGTTTTTCACTATAGGCCTCTGTGAGCTCTGAAGTATCTCTTTGTAGATTCTATAAAAACAGTTTTTCCAACCTGCGATATGTAAAAAATGTTTCACTTTATGAGCTGAATCCACACACCTCAAAGTAGTTTCACAGAGAGCTTCTTTCTAGTTTTTATCATGGGATATTTGGTTTTTCACTATAGGCTTAAGGGAGCTTTGAAATGTCGCTTCGCAGATTCTATTAAAACACTGTTTCCAACCTGCTGAATTTAAGAAATGTTTCACATTAAGAGCTGAATCTGCATATCACAAAGCAGTTTCACAGATAGCTTCTTTAAAGTTTTTATTGTGTGATATTCAGATTTTTATTATAGCCTCAGTGAGCTCTGAAATGTCCTTTTGCAGATTCTACACAAACGGTGTTTTCAACCTGCTGAATTTAAAGAAAGATTTCACTTTATGAGCTAAATGTGCACATCACAGAGCAGTTTCACAGATATAGATTCTTTTCAGTTTTTCTCATGGGATATTCAGTTTTTCACCATAGGCCTCAGTGAATTCCAAAATGTCCTTTCACAGATTCTACAAAAACAGGGTTTCCAACATGCTGAATGTAAAGAAAGGTTTTGTTTTATGAGCTGAATCCACACATCATAAAGCAGCTTCACAAATAGCTTCTTTCTAGTTTTTATAGCAGGATATTTGGTTTTTCACTATAGGCCACAGTGACTTCCCAAATATCCTTTCACATATTCTACAAAAACAGTGTTTCCAGCCTGCTGAATATAAAGAAAGTTTTCATTTTATGAGCTGAATCCACAAATCACAAATCGGTTTCAAAGATAGCTTCTTTCTAGTATTTATTGCGGGTTGTTCAGTTTTCACTATAGGCCTCAGTGAGCTATGAAATGCTTTTTTCACAGATTCTACTAAAATAGTGTTTCCAAACTGCTGAATGTAAAGAAAGGTACCAGTTTATATCCTGAATTCAAACATCACAAAGCAGTTTGACAGATAGCTTCTTTTTAGTATTTATTCTGGGATATTTTGTTTTTCACTATAGGCATCAGTGAGCTATGAAATGTTTTTTTGCAGATTATACTAAGACAGTGTTTTCAACCTGCTGAATGTAAAGAAAGGTTTCATTTTATAAGTTGAATCCACACATTACAAATCGGTTTCACAGATAACTTCTTTTTAGTTTTTATTGTGGGATATTTTTTTTCTCATCGTGGGGGTCAGTGAGCTGTGAAATGTCCCTTCACAGATTCTACAAAAACATTGTTTCCAACCTGCTGAATGTAAAGAAAGATTTCACTCTATGAGCTGAATGCAAACATTGCAAAGCAGTTACAAAGATAGCTTCTTTCTGTTTTTTTTTTTTATCTCAGGATATTTTGTATTCCACTATACGCCTCCATGGTCTCCAAAATATACCTTTGCAGATCCTACAAAATCAGTTTTTCCATCCTGCTAAATGTAAAGAAAGTTTTAATTCTGTGAGCTGAATCCACACATCAAAAAGCAGTTTCACAGACAGCTTCATTCCAGTTTTTATCATGTTTTTGGTTTTTCACAATAGACCTCAGTGATCTCCAAAATGTCCCTTCACAGATTTTACTAAAACAAAGTTTCTAACCAACTCAGTGCAAGAAAGGATTCATTTTAGGAGCTGAATCCACACATCCCAAAGCAGTTTCACAGGTAGTTTCTTCCGAGTGTTTATCAAGTGATATTTTGTTTTTCACTGTAGGTCTCAGTGAGCTCTGAAATGTCCTCTTGCAAATTCTAAACATACCATTGTTCCAACCTGCTGAATGTAAAGAAAAGTTTCACTCTATGAGAGGAATCCACACATCTCAAAGTAGTTTCACAGATAGTTTCTTTCTAGTTTTTATCACAGTTTGTTCAATTTTTCACTATACGCCTCAGAGAGCTTTGAAATGTTTCTTTGAAGATTCTATTAAAACAGTGTTTCCAACTTGCAGAATGTAAAGAATAGTCTCACCTTAGGAACTGAATCCACACATCACAAAGCAGTTTCACAGATAGCTTTTTTCTATTTTTTATTGTGGGATATTGTGTTTTACTCTAGGCCTCAGTGAGTTTTAAAATGTCCTTTCACTGATTGTACAAAAACAGTGTTTCCAACCGGCAGAATATTAAGAAAGTTATCAGTTTATCAGCTAAATATACACATCACAAAGCAGTTTCAAAGATACCTTCTTTCTAGTATTTATTGCAGGATAGTCCAGTTTTCACTATAGTCCTCAATGAGCACTGAAATATCTCTTCACAGGTTCTACAAAAACAGTGTTTTCAACATGCTGGATGTAAAGAAAGTTTTAACACTGTGAGCTGAATCCACACATCACAAAGTAGTTTCACAGATAGCTTCTTTCTAGTTTTTATCTTGGGTTATTCTGTTTTTCACTATAGGCCTCTGTGAGTGCTGATATGTCTATTTGCAGATTCTACTAAAACAGTGTTTCCAGCCTGTTGAATGTAAGAAAGGTTTCACATTCTGAGCTGAATCCACACATCACAAAGCAGTTTCACAAATAGGTTTTTTTCAAGTTTTTGTCATGGGATATTCAGTTTTTCACTACAGGTTTCAGTGAGTTCCAAAATGTTCTTTCACAGATTCTGCAAAAACAGTGCTTCCAACCTCCTGAATGTAAAGAAAGTTTTCAATTTATGAGCTGAATTCCCACATCACAAAGTCGTTTCACAGATAGTTTCTTTCTAGTTTTTTCATGGGATATTCAGTTTTTTACTATAGCCCTCAGTGAGCTCTGAAATGTCCCTTCACAGATTCCATAAAAACAGTGTTTTTAACTTGCTGAATGTAAAGAAAGTTTTAACTCTGTAAGCTGTATGCACACATCATAAAGTGGTTTCACAGATAGCTTCCTTCTAGTTTTTATTGCAAATATTCTGTTTTTCACTATAGTTCTCAGTGAGCTCTGAAATTTTCTTTTGTAGATTCTACAAAACAGTGTTCCAAAAATGCTGAATGTGCAGAAATATTTCACTCTATGAGCTGAATCTAGGCATCACAAAGCTGTTTCACAGATAGCTTCCTTCTGGTTTTTATTGCAAGATATTCAGTTTCTTACAATAGGCTGCAGTGAGCTTTAAAAAGTTCCTTTGCAGATTCTGCAAAAATAGTGTTTCCAACCTGCCAAATGTAAAGAAAGCTTTCACTTTACAAGCTAAATCCACATATCACAAAGCAGCTCCACAGATAGCCTTTTTTCTAGTTTTTATCATGGGATATTCAGTTTATCATGATAGGCCTCCATGGGGTCCAAAATGTCAATCTGCAGATCTTAAAAAACAGTGTTTCCAGCCTGCTGAATGTAAAGAAAGTTTTAACTCTGTGAAATAAATCCACACATGACATAGAAGTTTCACAGATAGCTTCTTTCTCGTTTTTATCATGGGATATTAAGTTTTTCATTGTAGGCCTCAGTTAGCTCAGAAATGTGTTTTTGCACATTCTAAAAAAAACAGTGGTCAAACTTGCTGAATGAAAGAAAGGTTTAACTTTGATAGCTGAATCCACACATCTCAAAATAGTTTTAAAGATAGCTTCTTTCTAGTTTTCATTTTGGGATATGCGTTTTCTCACTATAGGTCTCAGTGAGCTCTGAAATACCCCTTTGCAGATTCTACAAAAGCATAATTACAATCCTGTTGAATGTAAAGAAAAGTTTACCTTTATGAGCTGAATCCACATATCACAAAGTGGTTTCACAGATAAATTTTTTCTAGGTTTTATCACGGGATATTCAGTTTTTCACTACGGGACTCCATGGACTGTGAAATGTCTTTTCACAGATCCTGCACAGTGTTTCCAACCTGCTGAATTTATAGAAAACTTTAACTGTGTGAGCTGAATTCACAAAAAACGAATCAGTTTCACAGATAGCTTCTTTTTGGTTTTTATCATGGGATATTTTGTTTTTCATTATAGGCCTCCATGAATTCTGAATTGGCCCACCATAGATTCTACAAAAATGGTGTTTCCAGCTTGCTGAATGTAAAGAAATCTTTCAGTTTATGAGATGAATCCATATATCACAAAGCAGTTTCACAGGTAGCTTCTTTCTAGTTTTTATGATGTGATATTCTATTTTTCATTATAGGCTGAAGTGAGCTCAGAAACATCAGTTCGCATATTCTACAAAAACAGTGTTTCAATCCTGCTGAATATAAGAAAAGTTTAACTCTTTGAGGTGAATCCACACATCACAAAGCAGTTTCCCAGTTAACTTCTTTCTAGTTATAATTGCTGGATATTTGATTTTTCAGTAGAGGCCTCAGTGAGCTCTGAAATGTCACTTGGCAGATTCTACAAAAACAGTGTTTTTTACCTGCTGAATTTAAAGAGCAGTTTCACTCTATGAGCTGAATCCACACAACGCAAAGCACTTTCACAGACAGATTCTTTCTAGTTTTTATTGTGAGATATTCGGTTTTTCACTGGAAGCCTCCTTGAGCTCCTAATTGCCCCATTGCAGATTTTATAAAACAGTGTTTCCAACCTGCAGAATGTAAAAAAAGGTTTAACTGTGTGAGCTGAATCCACACTTCACAAAGTTGATTCTCAGATAGCTTCTTTCTAGTTTTAATTGCCAGATATTTGGTTTTTCACTACAGGCCTCAGTGAGTTTCAAAATTTCCCTTCACAGATTCTCCACAGTGTTTCCAACACGTTGAATGTAAAGAAAGATTTCACTTTATGAGCTAAATCCATTTACCATAAAGTGGTTTCACAGATAGCTTCTTTGTAGTTTTTATTGTGGCATATTTGATTTTTCATATAGGCCTCATTTAGCTCTGAAGAGTCTTTTTCCAGGTTCTACAATAACAGAGTTTTAATCCTGTTGAATGTAAAGAAACGTTTAACTCAATGAGGTGAATCCACATATCACAAAAAGGTTTCACAGATATCTTCTTTCTAGTTTCTATTGCAAGATATTTGGTTTTTCAATACAGGCCTCCATGGGCTCTGAAATATTCCTTCTCAGATTCTACAAAAACAGTGTTTTCAACCTGGTGAATGTATAGAAATGTTTAACAGTTTGAGCTGAATCCACACATCACAAATCAGTTTCACAGATAACTTCTTTTTAGTTTTTATCATGAGGTATTAAGTTTTTCACTATAGGTCTCTGAGAGCTCATAAATGTTTTTTCAAATATTCCACAAAAACAGCACCTCAATCCTGCTGAATAAAAGAAAGATATAACTCTTGAAGTTTATCCACACATGAAAAGCAATTTCACACGTAGATTCTTTCTAGTTATTATTGTGGGATATTCAGTTTTTCACTATAGTTCTCAATGAGCTCTGACATGTCCTTTTGCAGAATCTACAGAAACAGTGTTTCCAACCTGCTGAACATAAAGGAAGGTTTCATTTTTTGAGCTGAATCCACACATCAAAAGCAATTTCACAGGCAACTTCTTTCTAGGTTTTATCTTGAGATATTCAGTTTTTCACTATAGGATTTAGTGAGCTCCAAAATGATCTTTCACAGACTCTACAAAAACAGTCTTTCCATCCTGCTGAATGTAAAGAAAGGTTTAATTATGTGGGCTGAATCCACACATCACACAGCCATTTCAGAAATAGCTTCTTTCTAGTGTTTATCCTGGGATATTCAGTTTTTCACTATAGTGCTCAATGAGCTCCAAAATGTCCCTTCTCAGATTGTAAGAAAACAGTGTTTCCAACCTGCTGAATATAAAGAAGGGCTTAAGTCTGTGAGCTGAATCCACACATCACAAAACAGTTTCACAGATAGCTTCTTTCTCGTTTTTATTGCAGGATATTTGCTTTTTTCACTGTAGTCCTCAGTGAGCTATGAAATATCCTTTCAGAGACGCTACAAAAACAGTGTTTCCAACCTGCTTGATGTGAAGAAATATTTCACCCTATGAGCTGAATCCACACATCACAAAGAAGTTTCACAGACATCTTCTTTCAAGTTTGTGTGTGTGTGTGGGGGGCAGATATTCTGTTTTTTACTACAGGTCTCAATGATCTCTGAAATGTCCCTTCACAGATTCTACAAAACAGTTTTTCCAACCTGCTGAATGTAGAGGGAGGTTTAACTCTTTGAGCTGAGTCCACACATCACAAAGCAGTTTCACACATACCTTCTTTCTAGCTTTTATTGCAGGATATTCAGTTTTTCACTACTGTCCTCAGTGAGCTCTGAAATGTCCCTTTGCAGATTCTACAAAAACAGTGTTTCCCACATGCTGAATATGAGGAAAAATTTTGCTCTATGAGCTGAATACACACATCACAAAGCAGTTTCACAGATAGTTTCTTTCTAGTTTTTATCCCAAGGTATGTGATTTTTCACAATAGGCTTTAGTAGCTCTGAAATGTTTTTTGCATATTCTACAAAAATAGTATCTCCAGCATGCTGAATGTAAAGAAATTTCTAATTCTGTGATCTGAATACACACATCAAAAATCTGTTTCACAGACAGTTTATTTCTAGTTTTATTCTCAGGATACTCATTTTTCCACTGTAGGCCTCAGTGAGTTGTGAAATGTCCATTCACAGATTCTACTAAAACGATGTTTCCAATATGCTGAATGTAAAGAAAGGTTTAGTTCTGTGACATGAATGTACACATCACAAAGCGGTTTTACAGATAGCTTCCTTCTAGTTTTTATTGTGAGATAATCAGTTTTTCACTATAGGCCTTAGTGAGCTGTGAAACATCCCTTCACAGATTCTACAAAAACAGTTTTTCCAACCTACTGAATGTAAAGAATTGTTTAATGCTGTGAGCTGAATGCACACATCAAAAAGCGTTTTTCAGAGATAGTTTCATTCTAGTTTTCATCACAGGATATTTGGTTTTTCACTATAGGCATCAGTGAGCTCTGAAATGTCTTCTTTCAGATTCTACAAAAACAGTGTTTCCAACCTGCTGAATGTAAAGAAAGGCTTAACTCTGTGAGCTGAATCCAAACATCACAAAGCAGCTTCACAGATAGCTTATTTTTAGTTTTTATTGTGGGATATTTGCTTTTTTCACTATAGTCCTCAGTGAGCTCTGAAATGTCCCTTCAGAGACAGATGCTACAAAACGGTGTTTCCAATCTGCTGAATGTGAGAAAAGATTTCAGTCTATGAGCTGAACCCGCACATCACAAAGAAGTTTCACAGATAGCTTCTTTCAAGGATTTTTCGTGGGATATTCTGTGTTTTACTATAGGTCTCGGTGAGCTCTGAAATGTCCCTTCACAGATTCTCCAAGAACAGTGTTTCCAACATGCTGAATGTAAAGAAAGATTTAACTCTGTGAACTGAATCCACACATCACAAAGTCATTTCACAGATACCTTCTTTCTAGTTTTTATTGCAGGATAATTTGTTTTTCACTATTGTCCTCAGTGAGCTCCGAAATGTTCCTTTGCAGATTCTACAAAAACAGTGTTTCCCACCTGCTGAATGGGAGGAAAAATTTTACTCTATGAGCTGAATACACACATCACAAAGCGATTTCACAGATAGCTTCTTTCTAGTTTTTATCCCAAGGTGTTTGTTTTTTCACAGTAGGCTTTAGTGAGCTTTGAAATGTTTCTTTGCAGATTCTACAAAAATAGTGTTTCCAACCTGCTGGATGTAAAGAAATGTCTAATTCTGTGAGCTGAATGCACACATCAAAAAGCGGTTTCTCAGACACCTTCTTTCTAGTTACTAGTGTGGGATATTCAGTTTTTCATTCTAGGTCTCAGTAAGCTCTAAAATGTTTTTTCACAGATTCTGCAGAAACAGTGTTCCAACGAGCTGAATGTAAGGAAAGTTTTCACTTTATTAGTGGAATTCACACATCACAAAGCAATTTCACAGATAGCTTCTTTCTAGTTTTTTCATGAAATAGTCAGTTTTTCACTATAGCCCTCAGTGAGCTCCAAGATGTCCCTTCACAGATTCTACAAAAACAGTGCTTACAACCTGCTGTATGTAAAGAAAGGTTTGACTTTGTGAGCCTAATCCATACATCATAAAAACGGTTTCACAGATAGCTTCTTTCTAGTTTTTTCATGAAATAGTCAGTTTTTCACTATAGCCCTCAGTGAGCTCCAAGATGTCCCTTCACAGATTCTACAAAAACAGTGCTTACAACCTGCTGTAAGTAAAGAAAGGTTTGACTTTGTGAGCCTAATCCATACATCATAAAAACGGTTTCACAGATAGCTTCTTTCTAGTTTTATTGCAAGTTATTCTGTTTTTCACTATAATTTTCAGTGAGTTCCAAAACGTTCCTTTGCAGATTCTCCAAAGCAGTGTTTCCAAAATGCTGAATGCAAAGAAAATATTTGCTCTATGAGCTCAATCCAGACATCAAAAAGCAGTTTCACAGAGGGCTTCTGTGAGCTGAATGCACATATCAAAAATCAGGTTCACAAATAGGGTCTTTCTGGTTTTATTTGCAGGATATTGGTTTTTTCACTATAGGCATCAGTGAGTTTTGAAATGTCCCCTCACAGATTCCACTAAAACAGTGTTTCCAACATGCTGAATGTAAAGAAAGGTTTAGCTCTGTGAGCTGAATGCACACATCAAAAAGCAGTTTTACAGATAGCTTCTTTCTAGTTTTATTATGAGATAATCAGTTTTTCACTATAGGCCTTAGTGAGCTCTGAAACATCCCTTCACAGATTCTAGAAAAACAGCTTTTCCAACCTACTGAAGGTAAAGAATTGTTTAAAGCTGTGAGCTGAATGCACACATCAAAAAGCGTTTTTCAGAGATAGCTTCGTTCTAGATTTCATCACAAGATATTTGGTTTTTCACTATAGGCATCCATGAGCACTGAAATATCTTCTTTCAAATTCTAAACAAACAGTGTTTCCAACCTGCTGAATGTGAAGACAGATTTCACTCTAGGGGCAGAATCCACACATCACAAAGCAGTTTCACAGATAGCTTCTTTCAAGTTTTTTTTTGGTGGGATATTCGGTGTTTTACTACAGGTCTCAGTGAGCTCCAAAATGTCCCTTCTCAGGTTCTACAAGAACAGTGTTTCCAATGTGCTGAATGTAAAGAAAGTTTTAACTCTGTGAGCTGAATCCACATATCACAAGGTGGTTGGTTTCACAGATTGCTTCTTTCTAGTTTTTACCATGGCATATTCAATTTCTTATTATAGTCCTCAGTGAAATCTGAATGTGCCTTCATAGATTCTCCAAAAACAGTTCTTCCAATCTGCTGAATGTAATGAAAGGTTTTACTTTATAAGCTAAATACACATATCACAAAGCAACTTCACAGGTAGCTTCTTGTTTTATCGTGGAATATTCAGTTTGTCTCTATAGGCCTCAGTAACCTCCAAAATTCCCCATGGCTTCTCCTTCACAAACAGTGTTTTCAACATCATGAATGTAAAGGAAAGTTTAACTGTGTGAGCTGAGCTGAATCCAAGCATCAGAAAGAAGTTTCACAGATAGCTTCTTTCTAGCTTTTATCATGGGATATTTGCTTTATCACTATAGGTCTCCATGGGACTCAAACTGTCCTTTCGCCGATACTTCAAAACTGTGTTTCCAACCTGCTGAATGAAAGAAATTTTTAACTCTGAGGGCTGAATCCACACAGCTCAAAGCAGTTTAACATATAGCTTCTTTCTAGTTTTCATCACTAGACATTTTGTTTTCCACTTTAGGGCTCAGTGAGCTCTGAAATGTCCCTTCACAGATTCTACAAAAGCAGAATTTCAATCCTGCTGAATGTAAAGAAAGGTTTAACTCTATGATCTGAGTCCACATGCCACAAAAGAGTTTCACAGATAAATTATTTCTAGTTTTTATTGCCGGATATTTGGTTTTTCACTGTATGCCTCCACTGACTCCAAAGTGTCCTTTTGTAGATCCTACAAAAACAGTGTTTCCAACCTGCTGAATGTATAAAAAAGTTTAACTGTATGAGGTGATTTCACAAATATCAAATCAGTTTCAAAGATAGCTTCCTTTTAGTTTTTATCATAGGATACTCTGTTTTTCACTATTGGTCTCAGTGAGCTCTGAATTGGCCCTTGGTAGATGCTGCAAAAATAGTGTTTCCAACCTTCTGAATGTAAAGAAAGGTTTCAGTTTATGAGCTGAATCCACACATCACAAAGCAGTTTCACAGATAGCTTCTTTCTAGTTTTTATCATAGGATATTCTATTTTTCATTATATGCCTAAGTGAGATCAGAAATACCCCTTTGCATAGTCTACAAAAAGAGTGGTTTAATTCTACTGAGTATAAGAAAGGTTTAACTCTTTGAGCTGAATCCACACATCATGAATCAGTTTCACAGATAACTTCTTTCTCATTATAATCATGGGACATTTTGTTTTTCAGTAGAGGCCTCAGTGAGCTCTGAAATGACACTTCGCAGATACTACAAAAACAATGTTTTTAATGGCCTAATGTAAAGGACCATTTCATTCTATGAGCTGAATCCACACAACACAAAGCACTTTCACCACAGATTCTTTCTAGTTTTTATCATAGGATATTCGATTTTTTACTACAGGTCCCTGTGTGCTCTGAATTGCCCCTTCGCAGATTCTACAAAACAGTGTTTCCAACCTGCTGAATGTATAGAAAAGTTTAACTCTGTGAGCTGAATCCACACTTCACAAAACTGTTTCTTAGAAAGCTTCCTTCTAGTTTTAATCACAGGATATTCCTTTTTTCAGTATAGGCCTCAGTGAGCTTCAAAATGTCCCTTCACAGATTCTCCAAAAACAGTGTGTCTGACATGCTGAATGTAAAGAAAGTTTTCACTTTACAAGCTAAATCCACACATCATAAAGTGGTTTCAAAGATAGCTTCTTTCTAGTTTTTATGTGGCTTATTCATTTTTTTACTACAGTAAAATTCTGTGATATCTGAAATGTATTTTCAAAGATTCTACAAAATGTCTTTTCACAGATTCTACAAAAACAGAGTTTTAATCTTGTCAAATGTAAAAAAAGGTTTAACATAATGAGGTGAATCCACATATCATAAAGTGGTTTCACAGATATCTTCTTTCTAGCTTGTTGGTGGGATATTCACTTTTTAACTTTAGGCCTCCATGGGCTCTGAAATTTCCCTTCACAGATCCTACAAAAACGGTATTTCCATCCTCATGAATACGAAGAAAGTTTTAACAGTTTAAGCTGCATCCACACATAAAAACCGTTTTCACAGACAGCTTCTTTGTAGCTTGTATTGTTGGATATTAGGTTTTTCACTATAGGTCTCACTCAGCTCAAAAATGTTTCTTTGAATATTCCACAGAAACAGTGCTTCAACCCTGCTGAATAAAAGAAAAGTTTAACCCTTTGAGCTGTATCAACACATCACAAAGAGGTTTGACATATAGATTCTTTCTAGGTATTATTGCAGGATATTCAGTTTTTCACTATATCCGTCAGTGAACTTCAAATTGTGTCTTTGCAGATTCTACAAAAACAGTGTTTTCAACCTGATAAATGTAAAGAAAGGTTTAACTCTGTGAGCTGAATCCACACATCACAAAGCAGTTTCACAAATAGCTTCTTTCTAGTTTTTATTGCAGAATATTTTGTTTTTCACCATAGTCCTCTGTGAGCTCTGAAATGTTCCTTCACAGATTCTAAAAAAGCAGTGTTTCCAAAATTCTGAATGTGAAAAAAGATTTCTTTCTGTGAGTTGAATCCAGATATCACAAAGTGGTTTCACAGATAGCTTCTTTCTAGTTTTATTTGTGTGATATTCATTTTTTCACTACAGGCCTCAGTGAGTTTTGAAATGTCCCTTCACAGATTCTACTAAAACAGTGCTTCCAACATGCTTAATGTACATAAAGGTTTAACTCTGTTAGCTGAATGCACACAACACAAAGCACTTTCAGAGATAGCTTCTTTCCAGTTTTTATCGTGAGATAATCAATTTTTCACTATAGACCTTGGTGAGCTCTGAAACATCTCTTCACAGATCCTACAAAAACAGTGTTTCCAACCTACTGAATGTGAAGAATGGTTTGCCTCTGTGAGCTGAATGTACACATCAAAAAGCAGTGTCAGAGATAGCATCATTCTATTTTTTATCACAAGATATTTGGTTTTTTACTATTGGCATCGGTGAGCTCTGAATTGTCCCTTCACCGATCCTACAAAAACAGTGTTTCCAACCTGCTAAATGTAAAGAAAGTTTTAACTCTGTTAGGTGAATCTGCACATCACAAAATGGTGTCTGAGATAGCTTCGTCCTATTTTTTATCACCAGTTATTTGCTTTTTAACTATTGGCATTGCTGAGCTCTGAATTGTCCCTTCACAGATTCTACAAAAACAATATTTCCAGCCTGCTGAACATAAAGAAAGGATTATATCTGTGAGCTAAATCCACATATCACAAAGTGCCTGCACATACAGTTTCTTTCTAGTTTTTTATCACAGGATATTTGGTTTTTCACTATAGGCCTCAGTGAGCTCTGAGTGTCCCTCAGTAGATTCCAAAAAAAACAATGTTTCCAACCTGCTGAATGTAAAGAAAGGTTTCACTTTATGAGCTGAATACACACATCACAAAGCAGTTTCACAGGTAGCTTCTTTCTAGTTTTATCGTGGAATATTCGGTTTCTCTCAATAGGCATCAGTGAGCTGTGAAATGTCTCTTCTCAGATTCTACAAATAATAAAAAAGAAATTCCAACCTGCTGAATGTAAAGAAAGGTTTCACTCTTTCAGCTGAATGCACACATCACAAAGCAGTTTAACAGACAGTTGTTTATTTCTAGTTCTTATCACTTTTTTACTATAAGCCTTCATGGGCTCCAAAATGTTCCTTCACAGATCCTACAAAAACAGTGTTTCCAACCTGCTGAATGTAAAGAAAGGTTTATATATGTGAGCTGAATCCACATACCACAAAGTGGTTTCACAGATAGCTTCTTTCTGCTTTTTTATTGCTGGATATTCATTTTTGTCAATGTAGGCCTCAGTGAGGTCCCAAATGGTCCCTCACAGAATCTACAAAAACTGTGTTTCCAACCTGCTCAATGTGAAGAAACGTTTTAATCTATGAGCTGAATCCACAAATCACAAAGCGCTTACACAGGTAGCTTCTTTCTACTTTTTATCTCGGGATATTATTTTTTTACTATAGGCCTCAATGACCTCTGAAATGTCCCATTGCTTAGCCTAGAAAAACAGTGTTTTCAACACACTTAATGTAAAGGGAGGTTTATCTTTGTGAGCTGCATCCAGTCATCACAAAACAGTTTTGCAGATAGCTTTCTTCTAGCTTTTATCATGGGATATTGGCTTTTTCACTATAGGCCTCCTTGGCATCTTAAATGTCCTTTTGCTGATGCTTCAAAAATAGTGTTTCCAACCTGCTGAATGAAAAGCAAGTTTTAACTCTGTAAGCTGAATCCACACATCATGAAGCAGTTTCACAGATAGCATCTTTCTACTTTTTATCAAGGGATACCCTTTTTTTTGCTATAGGATACAGTGAGCTCTGAAATGCCCTTTCACAGATTCTACTAAAACAGTGTTTCCAACCTGCTGAATGTGAAGAAATGTTTCACTCTATGAGCTGAATCCACACATCACTAAATGGTTTCACAGATAGCTTCTTTCTAGTTGTTATCAGGGGATTTCATTTTTCCAGTATAGGCCTCCATGGGCTTAGAAATGTCCCTTGGCAGATCCCACAAAAACAGTGTTTCCAAACGGCTGAATGTAAACAAAATTTAACTCTGTGTACTGAATGTAAATATCACAAAGTGGTTTCACAGATAATTTCTTTCTAGTTTTTATCATGGAATATTTCTTTTTTCACTATAGGCCTCAGTGAGCTATGAAATGTCCCTGTGCAGATTCTACAAAAACAGTGTTTCCAATGAGCTGAGTTTAAAGAAAGGTTTAAATCTATGAGCTGGATCCACATATCACAAAGCGATTTAACAGGCAACTTCTGTCTGGTTTTCATCTTGAGATATTCAGTTTTTCACTATAGGACTCAGTGAACTCTGAAATGTCCCTTCACAGATTCTACAAAAACAGTCTGTGCAACCTGCTGAATGTAAAGTAAAGTTTAACTCTGTGAGCTGAATCCATACATCACAAAGCAGTTTCAGAGATAGTTTCTTTCTAGTTTTTATTCTGGCATATTCATTTTTTCACTATAGTGTTCAGTGAGCTCTGAAATGTGCCTTCTCAGATTCTACAAAAACATTGTTTCCAACCTGCTGAATGTAAAGAAAGGTTTCACTCTATGAGCTGAATCCACACATCACAAAGCAGTGTCACAGATAGCTTCTTTCTTGGCTTTTCACGTGATTTCAGCTTTTCACTATACCCCTTAGTATGCTCCAAAATGTCCCTTTGCAGATTCTACAAAAACAGTGTTTCACACCTGCTGAATATAAAGAAATATTTTCCTCTGTGATCTGAATCAACACATGTCAAAGCACTTTCACACATACCTTCTTTCTAGTTTTATCTCAGGATATTTGGTTTTTCACTGTAGTATTCTATGCGTTCCAAAATGATTTTTTCACAGATTCTATACAAATAGTTGTTCCATCTTGGTGAATGAGAAAAAAAAAATCACTCATAAGCTGAATAAACACATCACAAAGCAGTTTCAGAGATACTTTATTTCTGGTTTTTATTACAGGATATTCAGTTTTTCACCGTAGACTTTAGTGAGCTCCAAAATGATTCTTCACAGATTCTACAAAAATAGTGTTTTCAACCTGCTGAATGTAAATATATCTCTAATTCTGTGAGCTGAATGCATACATCAAAAAGCAGTTTCACAGATAGCTTCTTTCTAGTTATTATTGTGGGATATTCAGATTTTTACTACAGGTCTCAATGAGTTCTGAAATGTCGTTTAACAGATTCTGCAAAAACAGTGTTTCCAACATACTGAATGTAAAGAAAGATTTAACTCTGTGAGCTGAATGTACACATCACAAAATGGTTTCACCGATAGCTTTTTTTCTAGTTTTTATTGTGAGATGATCAGTTTTTCACTATAGACCTTATTGAGCTCCATAACATCCCTTCACACATTCTACAAAAGCAGTGTTTCCAACCTACTGAATGTAAAGAATTGTTTAAGTCTGAGAACTGAATGCACACATCACAAAGTGGTTTCAGAGATAGCTTCATTCTAGTTTTTATCATGGGACATTTTGTTTTTCACTATAGGCATCAGTGAGCTCCAAAATGTCCCCTTTCAGATTCTACAAAAATAGTGTTTCCAACCTGCTGAATGTAAATAAAGGTTTAACTCTGTGAGCTGAGCCCACACAGCACAAAGCAGTTTCACAGGTAGCTTCTTTTTAGTTTTTATTGCGGGATATTTGTTTTTTTCACTATAGTCCTCAGTGAGATCTTAAATGTCCCTTCACAGATACTACAAAAACAGTGTTTCCAACCTGCTGAATGTGAGAAAGATTTCACTTTATGAGTTGAATCTACACATCAAAAAACAGTTGCACAAATAGCTTCTTTCAAGTTTTTTTCATGGGTTGTTCCATTTTTCACTACAGGCCTCACTGATCTCTGAAATGTCCCCTCGCAGATTCTACAAAACCAGTGTTTCCAACCTGCTGAATGTAAAGAAAGGTTTCACTGTATGAGCTGAATACACACATCACAAAGCAGTTTCACAGATAGATTCTTTCTAGTTTTGTCACAGAATATTCCATTTTTCTGTATAGGTGTCAGTGAGCTCTGAAATGTCTCTTTTCAGATTCTACAATAAAAAGTTTCCAATCTGCTGAATGGAAAAAATGATTTCACTCCATGAGCTGAATCCACACATCAGAAAGCAGTTTCATAGATCTTTTCTAGTTTTTATCATGGGACAATCAGTTTTTCACAATAGGCTTTCCTGGGTTTTGAAATGTCCCTTCGCTGATCCTACAAAAACAGTGATTTCAACCTGCTGAATGTAAAGAAAGGATTATATCTGTGAGCTAAATCCACATATCACAAAGTGGTTTCACATATAATTTGTTTCTAGTTTTTTAATCACAGGATATTCGGGTTTTTGCTATAGGCCTCAGTGAGCTCAGAAATGTCCCCTCACAGAATCTACAAAAACAGTGTTTCCACCCTGCTCAATGTGAAGAAAGGTTTCACTTTATGAGCTGAATCCACACATTACAAAGTGCTTACACAGGTAGCTTATTTCTACTTTTTATTGTGGGATATTTTGTTCTTTAATATAGGCCTCAATGACCTCCCAAATGTCCTGTCACTTATGCTTACAAAAACAGTGTTCCCACATGCTGATTGTAAAGGAAGTTTTAACTCTGTGAGTTGAATCCATGCATCACAATGCCATTTCACAAATAGCTTCTTTCTAGCTTTTATCACAGGATATTCACTTTTTTACTATAGGCCTGCATGGGATATGAAATGTCTTTTCACCAATGCTTCAAAAACAGTGTTTACAACCTGCTGAATGAAAACAAAGGTTTAACTCTGTGTGCTGAATCCACACATCACAAAGTGATTTCACAGATAGCATCTTTCTACATTTTATCAAGGGATATTAGGTCTTTTGCTATAGGCTTCACTGAGCTCTGAAATGCCCTTTCACAGATTCTACAAAAACACTGTTTCCAAACTGCTAAATGTAAAGAAAGGTTACACTGTGTGAGCTAAATCTACACATCATGGCGGTTTCACAAATAGCTTCTTTCTAGTTTATATCACGGGTTATTCAGTTGTTCAATGTAGGCCTCAGTGAGGTCTGAAATGTCCTTTCACAGATTCTACAAAAACAGTGTTTCCAACCTGCCGAATATGAAGAAATATCTCCCTCTATCAGCTGAATCCACAAATCACTAAGCAGTTCCACAGATAGCTTCTTTCTAGTTTTTATCACAGGATATCTATTTTTTAATATAGGCATCCATGGGCTTAGAAATGTCCCTTGGCAGATACTATGAAAACAGTGTTTCCAAACTGCTGAATGTAAAGAACATTTAACTCTGTAAGCTGTATCCACACATCACAAAGCGGTTGCACAGATAACTTCTTTCTAGCTTTCATTGTGGAATATTTGCTTTTTCCCTACAGGCCTCAGTGAGCTGCAAAGTGTCCCTGCACAGATTCTACAAAAAGAGTGTTTCCAATGTGCTAAGTTTAGAGAAAGTTTTCTCAGTGAGCTGAATTCACACATCACAAAGTGATTTCACAGACAATTTCTTCCTACTTTTTATCTAGAGAAATTCAATTTTTCACTATAGGACTCAATGAGGTCTGAAATGTCCCTTCACAGAGTCTATAAAAACAGCCTTTCCAACCTGCTGAATGTAAACAAAGCTTTGACTTTATGAGCTGAATCCACACATCACAGAGTAATTTCACAGATAGCTTCTTTGTAGTTTTATCACAGGATATTCAGTTTTTCACTATAGGCCACAGTGAGCTTTAAAATGCCCCTTCTCAGATTCAACAAAAACAGTGTTTCCAACCTGCTGAACATAAAAAAGTTTCACTTTATGAGCTGAATCCACACATCGAAAAGCAGTTTCACAAATAGCTTCTTCTAGTTTTTATTGCAGAATATTCGGTCTTTCACTATAACCTCAATGAGCTCTGAAATGTCCCAGTGTGGATTCTAAAAAAAAAAGTACTTCCAACGTGCTGAGTATAAAGAAATATTTACCTCTGTGAGCTGAATCCACCCATCACAAAGCGATTTCACAGGCAAATTCTTTCTAGTTTTTATCTTGAGATATTCAGTTTTTCACTATAGGACTCAGTGAACTCTGAAATGTCCCTTCACCAATTCTACAAAAACAGTGTTTCCAATCTGGTGAATATAAAGAAAGCTTTAATTATGTGAGCTGAATTTACACATCACACAGCAGTTTCAGAGACAGCTTCTTTCAAGTTTTTATCATGTGTTATTCAGTTTTTCACTATAGTGCTCAGTGAGCTCCGAAATGTCCCTACTCATATTCTACAAAAACAATGTTTCCAACGTGCTGATGTAAAGAAAGGTTAACTCTGTGAGCTGAATCCACACATCACAAGGTGGTTTCACAGATAGCTTCTTTCTAGTTTTTATTGTGAGATGTTTTTTTTTTCACTGTAGGCCTCAGTGAGCTCCAAAATTTCCCTTTGCAGGTTCTACAACAAAAGTGTTTCCAACCTGCTCAATTTAAAGGATGGTTTCCCTCTATGATCTGAATCCACACATCACAAACCAGTTTCACACATAGCTTCTTTCTAGTTTTTTTCACGAGATAGTCAGATTTTTACTATCAGCCTCAGTGAGCTCTGAAATGTCCCTTTGCAGATTCTACAAAAACAGTGTTTCTAACCCATTGAATGTAAAGAAAGGTTTAATTCTGTGGGGTGAATCCACACATCACACACCGGTTTCATTGATCTCTTCTTTCTAGTTTTATTGTGGGATATTCAATTTTTTTCCTATAGGTCTAGTGTGCTCCAAAATGTCCCTTCACAGATTCTACAAAAACAGTGTTTCTAACCTGTTGAAGGATCTGTGAAGGCACATTTTGCAACCCACGTTGGCCTATAGTGAAAAACAGAATATTCCATGATAAAAACTTGAAATACGCTGCCTATGAAACTGCTTTGTGATGTGTGGAATCAGCTCATAACATGAATTCTTTCTTTATATTCAGCAAATTTGAAACACTGCTTTTATATGATCTATGAAGAGACATTTCAGAGCTCACTGAGGCCTGTAGTGAAAGACAGTATATCCCACAATAAAAACTAGAAAAAAGCTATTGAGAAAACCACTTTGTGATTTGTGGATTCATCACATGAAGTGAAACCTTGCTTTATATTCAACAAGTTGGAAACACTGTTTTCATAAAATCTGTAAAGGGGCATTTCAGAGCTCACTGAGGCTTATGGTAAAAAAATGAATTTCCCATGAAAAAATTAAAAAGAAACTGCCTTTGAATTGCTCTGTGATGTGTGGCTTCAGCTCACAGAGTTAAACCTTTCTTTAGATTAAGCAGGTTGGAAACACTCTTTTTGTAGAATCTGCGAGGGGAGATTTCATAGCTCACTGAGGCTTGTAGTGAGAAAAAAGAATATCACGTGATAAGAACTAGAAAAATGCTATCTGTGAAACCACATTGTGATGTGTGGATTCAGCTAATAGAGTGAAACTTTTCTTTACATTCAGCTGTTGGAAACACTCTGTTTGTAGAAACTGCACAAACACATTTTGAAGCTCACTGAAGCCTAAAGTGAAAAACCGAATATCCAACTATAAAAACTAGAAAAGATGGGAACCACTTTGTGATGTTTGGATTCAGCTTATAGAGTGAAATCTTTATTTACACTTAGTAGGTAGAAACACTGTTTATGTAGAATTTACAAAAAGACATTTCAGAGCTCACTTAGGCTTATACTGAAAAACCAAATATCCTGCAATAAAAACTAGAAAGAAGCTATCTTTGAAAATGTTTTTTGATGTTTGGATTAAGCTCGTAAAGAGAAACCTTGCTTTGCATTCACCAGGTTGGAAACACTGTATTTGTAGAATCTGCAAAAGGATATTTCAAAGCTAACAGAGGTCTATAGTAAAAAGTGAATATCCTGTGACAAATACTAGAAAGAAGCTATCTGTGAAACCGCTTTGTGACATTGGATTCAGCTCACAGAGTTAAACCTTTCTTTACATTCAGGAGGTTGGAAACACTGCTTTTGTGGAATTGACAAAGGGACATTTCAAAGCTAATTGAGGCCTATAGTGAAAAAACTAATATCTTGTGATGAAATGAAGATAGAAGCTATCTGTGAAAGTGATTTGTGGTGTATGGAATCAGCTCATAAAGTGAAACCTTTCTTTATATACAGTAGGTTGGAAACACTGTATTTGTAGGATTTGTAAAGGAAAATTTCAGAGCTCAATGAGGCCCTGTGATAAAAACTAGAAAGAAGTTATATGTGAAACCACTTTGTGATGTGTGGATTCAGCTCACAGAGTTAAACCATTTTTACATTCAGCAGGTTGGAAACACTGTTTTTGTAGGATATACAAAGGGACATTTGGGAGCTCACTGAGGCCTATAGTGAAAAAACAAATATTACATTATAAAAACTAGAAAAAATCTATCAGAGAAACTGCTTTGTGATGTGTTGATTCAGCTGACAAAGTGAAAATTTTCTTTGGATTCAGGAGGTTGGAAAGACTGTTTTTGTAGAATCTGCAAAGGGACACTTTGAAGCTCACTGAGGCTAATAGTGAAAAGCTGAATATCTCATGAAAAAAAAACTAGAAAGAAACTATCACTGTCTTTGATACCACTTTGTGATGTCTGGATTCAGCTCAAATAGTTAAATCTTTCTTTACATTCAACAGGTTGGAAACACTGGTTTTGTAGAAACAGTGAGGGGAAATTTTAGAGCTCACTGAGGCCAGAAGTGAAAATCTGAATATCCCACGTTAAAAACTAGAAAGAAGCTATCTGTGAAACTGCTTTGTGATGTGCAGATTCAGCGCATATAGTGAAAAGTTTCTTTATAATCAGCAGGGTGGAAAAACTATTTTTGTATAATCTGTGGACACATTACTGAGCTCGCTGAGCTCTAAACTGAAAAACAGGATATTCCATGATAAAAACTAGAAAGAAGCTATCTGTGATACTGCTTTGTGATGTGTGGATTCAGCTCATAGAATAAAACCTTTCTTCATATTCAGCAGGTGGGAATCACTCTTTTTAGGATCTCTGAAGGTACATTTCAAAGCTTACTGAGGACTGCAGTGAAAAACAAATTATCCCACAGTAAATACTAGAAAAATGCTATATGTGAAACAGCTTTGTGGTGTTTGGATTCAGCCCCCAGGGTTAAAACTTTCTTTATATTCATCAGGTCGGTAACATTGTTTTTGTAGAATTTGTGAAGAGACATTTCTGAACTCACTGAGGCCTATAGTGAAAAACTGAATATCCTGCAATAAAAACTAGAAAGAAGCTATCTGTGAAACCACTTAGTGATGTGTGGAACCAGTTCACATTGTGAAACCATCCTTTATATTAAGCAGGTTGGAAACACTGTTTTTGTAGGATCTGTGAAGGAATATTTTGGAGTTCAATGAGGATTATAGTAAAACGAAAATGTCCTGTGATTAAAACTAGAAAGAGACTGTCTGTGAGACTGCTTCATGATGTGTGGATTCAGCTCAAATAGTTAAATCTTTCTTTACATTCAGCAGGTTAGAAATACTGTTTCTTTAGAATCTGTGAGGGGTAACTTTGAAGTTCACTAAGTCCTGTAGTGAAAAACCATGTATCTTGAGATAAAATCTAGAAAGAAGCTATCTGTGTAAGCACTTTGTGATGTGTGGATTCAGCTCATATAGAGAAACGTTTCTTTACATTCAGCAGGTTTGGAAAACTGTTTTTGTAGAAACTGCATAAACACAGTTCTGAGCTCATTGAGGCCTAAAGTGAAAAACAGAACATCCCATGATAAAAACTTGAAAAAAGCTATTTGTCATACTGGTATGTGATGTTTGCATTCAGCTCATAGACTGAAACCTTTCTTTACATTCGGTAGGTTGGAAACACTGGCGTTTTTCTTTTTCTAATTTTACTTTAGGTTTTAGGGTACATGTGCACTATGTGAAGATTTGTTACACATGTGTACATGCACCATGTTGGTGTGCGGCACCCATTAATTCATCATTTCACCCCACAACAGGCCCCGGTGTGTCATGTTCCCCTTCCTGTGTCCATGTGTTCTCATTGTTCAATTCCCACCTGAGTGAGAACTTGTGGTATTTGGTTTTTTGTCCTTGTGACAGTTTGCTGAGAATGATGATTTCCAGCTTCATCCACGTCCCTACAAAGGACATGAACTCATTTTTTATGGCTGCATAGTATCCCATGGTGCATATGTGCCACATTTTCTTAATCCATTCTATCATTGTTGGATATTTGGGTTGGTTCCAAGTCTTTGCTATTGTGAATAGTGCCACAATAAACTTACATGTGCATGTGTCTTTATAACAGCATGATTTATAATCCTTTGGGTATATACCCAGTAATGTGATGGCTGGGCCAAATGGTATTTCTAGTTCTAGATCCCTGAGGAACCGCCACACTGACTTCCACAAGGGTTGAGCTTGTTTACAGTCCCACCAACTGTGTAAAAGTGTTCCTATGACTCCACCTCCTCTCCAGCACCTGTTGTTTCCTGACTTTTTAATGATCGCCATTCTAACTGGTGTGAGATGGTATCTCATTGTGGTTTTGATTTGCATTTCTCTGATGGCCAGTGATGATGAGCATTTTTTCACGTGTCTTTTGGCCTCATAAATGTCTTCTTTTGAGAAGTGTCTGTTCATATCCTTCACCCACTTGTTGATGGGGTTGCTTGTTTTTTTCTTGTAAACTTGTTTGAGTTCATTGTAGATTCTGGATATTAGCCCTGTGTCAGATGAATAGATTGCAAAAATTTTCTCCCATTTTGTAGGTTGCCTGTTCACTCTGATGGTAGTTTCTTTTGCTGTGCAGAAGCTCTTTAGTTTAATTAGATCCCATTTGTCAATTTTGGCTTTTGTTACCATTGTTTTTGGTGTTTTAGACATGAAGTCCTTGCCCATGCCTATGTCCTGAATGGTATTGCCTAGGTTTTCTTCTAGGGTTTTTATGGTTTTAGGTCTAACATTTAAGTCTTTAATCCATCTTGAGTTAATTTTTGTATAAGGTGTAAGGAAGGGATCCAATTTCAGCTTTCTAAATATGGCTAGCTAGTTTTCCCAGCACCATTTATTACATAGGGAATCCTTTCCCAATTTCTTGGGAAACACAGGTTTTTTAGACTCTGCAAAGGGACTCCTATAAGCTCTCTGAGGCCTGTAGTGAAAAACTCAATATCCCATGATATAAAGTATCTGTGAAACCACTTTGTTATGTATGAATTCAGATAACAGTGTGAAACCTTTCTTTACATTTATCAGGATTGAAACACTGTTCTTAGAATCTGTGAAGGAACTTTTCAGAGCACACTGAGTTCTATAATGAAAAACCACATATTCTGTGATAAAAACTAGAAGGAAACTGTCAAACTGCTTTGTGATGTGTGATTTTAACTCATAAAATAGAACCTTTCTTTACACTCAGTAGGTTGCAAACACTGTTTTTGTTGGTTCTTTCAAGGGACATTTCTGAGATCACTGTGGTATATATTGTAAAATGGATTATCCTGTAATAAAAACTAAAAAGAACCTATCAGTGAGACCACTTTGTGTTGTGTGGATTCAGCTCACAGAGTTAAGACTTGTTGACATTCAGCAGGTTGGCAACACTTTTTTACTGGGATTTGTGAAGTGACATTTCTGAGCTCACTGAGGCCTATAGTAAAAAAAATTCTCAAGATAAAAACTAGAAAGGAACTTGTGATTTGTGATGTCTGGATTCAGCTCATAGAGTTAAACCTTTCTTTACATTCAGCAATTTGCAAACACTCTTTTTGTAGAATCTGCAAAAAGACTTTTCAAAGCTCAGTGAGGTCTATAGGAAAAAAACAAATATCCCATGGTAAAAACTAGAAAGGAGCTATGTGTGAAATGGCTTTGTAATGTGTGTATTCAGCTTATAAATGGAAACATTTCTTTACATTCAGCAGGTTGTAGGCACTGTTTTTGTAGATTCTGTGAAAAAACATTTCAAAACTCACTGAGGCCTATAGCCAAAAACTGAATATCATGCAATAAAAACTAGAAAGAATCTATCTGTGAAACTTCTTTGTGATATGTGGATTCAGCTCATAGAGTGAAAACTTTCCTCACATAGAGCAGTTTGGAAACACTTTTTCTTTTCTTTTTTTTTGGACGTGCAATGAAATATTTTAAATCTCCCTAAGGATTATAGTGAAAAACCAAACATTGCATGATAAAAGGTAGATGGAAGCTATCTTTGAAACAGCTTTGTGATGTCTGGATTCAGCTCACAGAGTCAGACCTTCCTTTAAATTCAGAAAGTTGGAAATGCTGTGTTTGTATGGTCTGCAAAGAAATATATTGGAGCCCATGGAAAACTATACTGAAAAACCAAATATCTCAAGTTAAAAACTATCTGTGAAACCAATTTGTGATGTGTGGATTCAGTTTATAGAGTGAAACTCTTTACATTCAGCAGGTTGGAAACACTGTTTTTGTAGAACCTGTGAAGGAACATATCTGAGCTCACTGAGGCCTATAGTGATAAATTGAATATCCCATGATAAAAACTAGAAACTATATGTGAAATTGCTTTGTGACATGAATGCAGCTCACAGAGTCAAACCATTCTTTACATTCAGCAAGTTGGAAACTTTGTTTTCATAAAATCTGCAAAGAGACATTTCAGAGCTTACTTGGGCCTATAGTGAAAAACTGAATATCCCATCATAAAAACTTAAAGAGTCTATCCGTGAAATTGCTTTGTAGAGTGAGGATTCAGTTCATTAAGTGAAACTTTTTTGACATTCAGAGGGCTGTAGACACCGTTTTTATAGATTCTGTGAAGGGACGTTTCAGAGTTTACTGAGGTCTACAGTGAAAAACTGAATATCCTGCAATAAAAACTAGAAAGAAGCTATCTGTAAAACCATTTGTGATTTGTAGATTCAGCCCATAGTATTAAATCTTTCTTTACAAGCATTAAATTGGATATATTGTTTTTGTAGGATCTGCAAAAAGACATTTTGGAACTCACTGATGATTATAGTGAAAAACTGAATATCTTGTGATAAAAACTAGAAAGAATTTATCCATGAAACTGTTTTGTGATGCATGGGTTTGGCTCATAAAATAAAACCTTTCTTTACATTCAGCAGATAGAAAACACTGTTTTTGCAGGATCTGCAAAGGGACTTTTCAGAGCTCACTGAGGCCTGTAGTGAAAAACCGAGCATCCCATGATAAAAACTAGAAAGAAGCTTTCTGTGAGACCGCTTTGGGATGTGTGGATTCAGCTTACATCCTTAAACCTTTTTTTACATTCAGTAGGTTGGAAACTCTGTTTTTATAGTATCTGAGGGGACGTTTCAGAGCTCACTGAAGCCTGTTGTGAAAAACTGAATATCCCACCATAAAAACTAGAAAGAATCTATATGTTAAACAGCTTTGTAATTTGTGGATTCAGGTTGTAAAGTGAAACTTTTCTTCACATTCAGCAGGTTGTAGACACTGTTTTTGTAGAATCTGTGAAGACATTTCAGAGCTCACTGAGGCCTACAGTGAAAAATCAAATATCCCATGATAAAAACTAGAAAGAAGCTCTCTGTGACTGATTTGTGATATGTGCATTCAGCTCATATAGTGAAATGTTTCTTTACATTCAGTAGGTTGGAAACACTGTTTTTGTAGAATCTGCAAAAAAGACATTTTTCAGTTCACTGAGGCGTATAGTGAAAAACCAAATGTTCCACCATAAAAAGAAGAAAGAAGCTATCTGTGAAACTGCTTTGTGATGTTTGGATTGAGCTCAGAGAAGGAAACCTTTATTTTCATTCAGCAGGTTGGAAACACTGTTTTTGTAGCATCTGCAAAGAGACATTTCTTAACCCACTGAGGCCAATAGTGAAAAGCTGAATATTCCTGGGTAAAAACTAGAAGAAATCTATTTGTAAAACCACTTTGCCATGTGTGGATTCAGCTTCCAGAATTAAACCATTCTTTACATTTAGCAGGTTAGTAACACTGTTTTTGTAGAATTTGCAAAAAGACATTTCAGAGCTCACTGAGGTATATTGTCAAAAACCTAATATCCCATGATAAAACACTAGAAGGAAGCTATCTGTGAAACTTCTTTGTGATGTGTGGATTCAGTTCACACAGCTCACACAGTTAAACATTTCTTTATGACCAGGCATGGTGGCTCACGTCTGTAATCTCAGAACTTTGGGGTCCAAGGTGGGTGGATCACGAGGTCAGGAGATCAAGACCATCCTAACACAGTGAAACCCCATCTCTACTAAAAATTACAAAAATTTGGGCAGGTGTGGTGGTGGGTGCCTGTAGTCCCAGCTACTCAGGAGGCTGAGGCAGGAGAATGGCATGAACCCTGGAGGCAGAGCTTGCAGTGAGCCAAGAGTGTGCTTCTGAACTCCAGCTTCGGTGACAGAACAAGACTCCATCTCAAAAAAATAAAAATTTCTTTACATACAACAGGTTGGAAACACTGTTTTTGTAGAATCTGTGAAGGGATATTTTGGAGCTCACTGAGGCCTATAGTAAAAAACCGACTGTCCTGAAAAAAAAAAAAAAAACAGAATACCCCACTATAAAAACTACTAAGAATCTTATTGTGAAACTGCCTTGTGATATGTAGATTCAGCTCACAGAGTTAAAACTTTCTTTACTTTCAGCAGTTTGAAAACACTGTTTTTGTAGGATCTGTGAAAGGACATTTAGTAGTTAATGGAGGCCTATTGTGACAAATCGAATATCCCGTGATAAAAACTAGAAAGAAGCTATCTGTGAAAATGCTTTGTGATGTGTGGATTCAACTCATACAGTGAAATCTTTCTTCACATTCAGCACGTTGGAAACGCTGTTCTTGTGGGACCTGCAGTGGAACATTTCAAATCTCACTAAGAACCATAGTGAAAAATCGTATATTGCATGATAAAAACTACATGGAATCTATCTGTTAAATCACATTGTGGATTCAGCTCACAGAGTTAAGCCTTTCTTTAAATTCAGTAGATTTGAATTACTATTTGTTTATTTGTGTTTTTTTTTTTTGAAACTTGTAAAGGGACATTTGGAGACCCTGGAAAACTATAGTGAAAAAACAAATAATTTGCAATAAACACTATTTGTGAAACTGCTTTCTGATGTGTGGATTCAGCTCACCATGTGAAAACTTTCTTTACATCCAGCAGGATTGAAACACTGTTTTTAGAAATTGTGAAGGGATATTTAGGAGCTCAATGGGGCCTGTAGTGAAAAAATGAATATTCTGTGATTGAAAACTAGAAAGAAGCTATATTTGAAACTGCTTTGTAATGTGTGAATTCACCTCACAGAGTTAAACATTTATTTACATTAAGCAGTTTGGAAACACTGTTTTTGTGGAATCTGAAAAGGGATATTTCAGAGCCCATAGAGGCCTATGGTGAAAAACTGAACATCCTGTGATAAAAACTAGAAAAGTGCTATCTGCAAAACCGCTCTGTGCTGTGTGGATTCAGCTCATAGAGTGAAATTTTTCTTCATATTCAGCAGGTTGTCAATGCAGTTTTTGGAGAATGTGTACAGGGACATTTTGGAGCTCACTGAAGCCTATAATACAAAACGGAATATCCCATGATAAAAGCTAGAAAGAAGCTCTCAGAGAAACTGCTTTTTGATGTGTAGATTCAGCTCACATAGTGAAACATTTCCTTACCTTCAGTAGATTGGAAACACTGTTTTGGTAGAATCTATGAAAGGGCATTTCAGAGCTCACGGAGGCCTATAGTGAAAAACTGAATATCCCATGATAAAAACAATAAAGAAATTCTCAGTGAAACAGGTTTCTGATGTGTGGATTCAGCTTATAAGTGAAATTTTTCTTTACTTTTAGCAGGTTGGAAACACTCTTTTTGTAGAATCTGTGAAGGGACATTTCAAAGCTCACTGAGGACTACAGTGAAAAACTAAATATTCTGCAATAAAAATGAGAAAGAAGCTATCTGTGAAACTGCTTTGTGATGTGTGGATTCAGCTTAAAGAATAAAACCTATCTTTACATTCGGCAGGTTTTAAGCACTCTTTTTGTAGAATCTGTGTTGGAACATTTCCAAGCTCACTGAGGCTTATAGTGAAAAACCAAACATCCTGCGATAAAAACTAGAAAGAAGCTATCAGTGAAACTGCTTTGTGATTATATGTGGACTCAGTGCCTATAGTGAAAAGTTTATTTACATTCAGCAGGTTGGAAACACTGTTTTTGTAGGATCTGCATAGGAATATTATGGAGCCCATGGAGGCATATAGTGAAAAACTGAAAATCCCACAATAAAAACTAGAAAGCACTTATCTGTCAACCTCCTTTGTGAAGTGTGGATTCAGATCATAGAGTAAAACCTTTCTTTACATTCAGGAGGTTGGAAACACTGTTTTTGTAGAATCTGCAAAGAAACATTTCAGAGCTCACTCAGGACTGTAGTGACAAATGGAATATTTCACAATAAAAACTAGAAAGAAGGTATGTGAGAAACCACTTGTGATGTGTGGATTCAACACACAGAGTTAAACCTTTCTTTACATTCAGCATGTTAGAAAAACTTTTTTGGAAGAATCTAGGAAAGGACATTTAGAACCTCTTTGAAGCCTGTAGTGAAAAACAGAATATCCTACAATAAAAACTAGAAAGAAGCTATTTGTGAAAAGGCTTTGTGATGTGTGGAATCAGCTCACAGGTTAAACACTTCTTTATATTCAGCATGTTGGAAACTCTGTTTTTGTGGATTCTGTGAGGGACATTTTAGAGCTCAAGGAGGTCTATAGTGAAAAACAGAATATTGTGTGATAAAAACTGTAAAGAATCTATTTGTGAAAGCACTTTGTAATGTACAGATTCACCTCATAAAGGGAAACCACTCTTTACATTTAGCAGGCTGTAGGCACTGTTTTTGTAGATTCAGCAAAAGGACATTTCAGAGCCCATGCAAGCCTCTCGTGAAAAACTGTATAACTTGTGATAAAAACTAAAAAGGAGCTATCTGTGAAACCCCTTTGTGATGTGTGGATTCAGCTCGTAGAGTGAAATGTTTCTTCACATTCAGCAGGTTGAATCACTGTTTTTGTTAAATCTGTGAAGGAACATTTTGAAGCTCACTTATGCCTATAGTGAAAAACAGAATATCCTGAGATAAAAACTAGAAAGAATCTATCTGTGAAACCCCTTAGTGATGTGTGAATTCAGCTCTCACAGTTAAACCTTTATTTGCATTCAGCAGGTTTTAAGCACTGTTTTTGTAAAATCTTGAGGGGACATTTCAGAGCCCAGTGAGGTCTCTAGTGAAAAACCAAATATTCCATGATAAAAACTTGAAAGAAAGTTTCTGTGAAACTGCTTTGTGTTGTGATGTTTCAGCTCACAGAGTTAATATTTTTAACATTTAGCACGTTTGAAACACTGTTTTTATAGAGTCTGTGAAGGGACAATTTGGAGCTTATAGAAGCCTACAGTGAATAACAGAATATCCCATGAAAAAACTTGAAAGAAACTATATGTGAAACCTCTTTCTGATGTGTTTATTCAGCTCATAAAGCGAAACCTACCTTCACATTCAGCAGGTTGGAAATGCTGTTTTTGCAGAAAAGGTGAAGAGACATTTTGGAGCTCACAGAGGCCTATTCTAAAAAACCAAACATTTCCTGATAAAAACTAGAAAGATGCTATCTGTGAAACTGCTATGTGATGTGTGGATTCAGCACATAGAATGAAATTTTTCTTTACATTCAGCAGGTAAGAAACACTGTTTTTGTATAATCTATGAAAGAACATTTCTGATCTCACTGAAGCCTATAGTGAAAAACTGAATATCCCATGATAAAAACTAGAAAGAAGCTATCTGTGAAACCCCTTTGTAATGTGAGCATTCAGCTCTCAGAGGCAAACCTTTTTTTTACATTCATCAGGTTGGAAAGACTATTTTTGTGGAATCTGCATAGTTACATTTCAGACCTCACTGAGTCCTGTAGTGAAAAAAACAAATATTCTACCTTAAAAACTAGAAAGAAGCTATCTGTGAAGTCTATTTGTGATATGTGGATTCAACTCATGAAGTGAAACATTTTTCAGTTGGAAACAATGTTTTTGTAAAATCTGCAAAGGGACATTTTGGAGCTCATAGTAGCCTATAGTTAAAAACAAAATATCTTGTGATAAAAACTAAAAAGATGCTCTCTGTGAAACCACTTTGTGATGTGTGGATTCAGCTCACACAGACAATCTTTTCTCTTCATTCAGCAGGTTGGAAGCACTGTTTTTGTAGAATCTGCAATGGGACATATTAAATCCCATGGAGGCCTATCATGTAAAGCCAAATATCTTGTGATAAAAGTTTGAAAGAAGCTAGCAGGGAAACCTCTTTGTGATGTGTGGATTCACCTCATAGAGTGAAAGCTTTCTTCACCTTCAGCAGGTTGGAAACACTGTTTTTGTAGAATCTACGAAGTGTTCACTGAGGCCTACAGTGAAAAACAGAATGTTTCATGATAAAAACTGTAAAGAAGCTATTTGTGTAACCACTTTGTGGTGTGTGTTTTCAGATCACAGAGTTAAACCATTTTTTACATACAGCAGGTTGGAAACACTGTTTTGGTAGAATCTGCAAAAACACATTTTGGAACCCACTGAGGCCTATAGTGAAAAAATGAATATCCTGAGATAAAGACTAGAAAGAATCTGTCTGAGAAATTTATTTGTGATTTGTGGATTCATCACACAGAGTTAAACCCTTCTTTTGATTCAGCATGTTGGAAACACTCTTTTTTAGAATCTGCAAGGGGACATTTTGAACCCCATAGAGGCCGGCAGAAGAAATCAACTATCCTGTGATAAAAACTAGAAAGTAGCTATTTGTGAACAACCTTGCAATGTATGGATTTGTCTCACAGAGGTAAACCTTTCTTTTGATTCAGCCGTTTGGAAACACTCTTTTTGCAGAATCTACAAGGGGACATTTGGGAGCTAAATGAAGCCTATAGGGGAAAAACTGAATATCCTGTAATAAAAACTAGAAAGAAGCTATCTGTGAAACCACTTTTGTGATGTGCTGATTAATCACACAGAGTTAAACTTTTCTTTTGATTCAACTGTTTGGAAACATTGTTTTTGTAGTATCGGCAAGGTGATATTTGGAAGACCATCGGGGAATATAGAGAAAAACTGAATATCATGAGCTAAAAACTAGACAGAAGCAATATGTGAAACGGCTTTGTGATGAGTGAATTCATTGTGCAGAGTTAAACCTTTCTTTTCATTTAACAGGTTGGAAATACTCTTTTTGTAGAATCTGCAAAGGGACATTTTGGAGCCCACTGAAGTCCATAGTGAAAAACAAAATATCCCATGATAAAAACCAGAAGGAAGCTATCTGTGAAACAGCTTTGTGATATGTGGATTCAGCTCACAGAGTTAAACCTTCCCTTTGATTCAGCATGTTTGAAACAGTCTTTTTGCAGAATTTGTGAAGGGACTTTTTAGAGCCCACTGAGGCCTACTGTGAAAATCTGAATATTCCGTGACAAAAACTAGAAAGAAGCCATGTGTATAACCACTTTGAGATGTGTGGATTCATCTTGCAGAGTTAAATCTTTCCTTTGGTTCAGAAGTTTGCAAACAGTCTTTTTGTAGGATCAGCAAATTTACATTACATAGCCCATTGAGGTATATAAGGTGAAGCCAAATATCCTACAAAAAAAAAAAACTAGAAAGAAACTATCTGTGAAATGACTTTGTGATGTGTGAATTCATTTCACAGAATTAAAACTTTCTTTTAATATAGCAGTTGTAAATACTCTTTGTAGAATGTATGATGTAATATTTTGGGTCCCACAAAGGCTTAGAGTGAAAAACCAATATCATGCTGTAAAATATTGAAAAAAGCCATCTGTGAAACCGCTTTGTGATGTGTGGTTTCAGTTCACAGAATTAAACATTTTTTTTATTCAGCAGGTTGGAAACACTCTTTTTGCAGAATCTGCAAAGGGACATTTCAGGGCCACTGAGGTTCAGAGTGAAAAACTGAATATCCTGTGATAAAATCTAGAAAGAAGATATCTGTAAAACTGCTTTGTGATGTGTGAATTCACCTCACAGATTTAAAGATCTCTTTTGATTCAGCAGGTTGGAAACACACTGTAGAAACAGTGAAAGGACATTTCAGGGCCCACTGAGGCCTATAGTGAAAAAAACAAATATCACATGTTAAAAACAAGATAGAAGCTGTCTGTGAAACTGCTTTGTGATGTCTGGATTTAGCTCAAAGGTGTAAACCTGTCTTTTGATTCAGCAGGTGAAAAACACTCTTATTGCAAAATCTGTGAAGGGACATTTCAGAGTCCACCGATTCCTGTAGTAAAAACAGGACATCCCATGATAAAAACTAGAAGAATCTATAAGTGAAATTCCTTTGTGATGTGTGAATTCAGCTCACGGAGTTAAACCATTTTTTGTTTCAGCAGGTTGGCAACACTCTTCTTTTAGAATCTGTGAAGGAACATTTCTGAGCCCACTGAGGCCCATATTGAAAAATTGAATATTCTGTGACAACAACTAGAAAGAAGCTATCTGTGAAATTGGTTTGCAATGTGTGGATTCAGCTCACAGAGGTAAAATTTTTTTATTCAGCAGGTTGGAAACACTGAGTTTGTGAAATCTGTGAGGGGACATTTAGTAGCCCACTGTGGCCTATAGTGAAAAACCAAATATCATGAGAAAAACTAGAAAGAAGCTATCTTCGAAACTGCTATGTGATGTGCAGATCCAATCACAGATTTCAACCTTTCTTTTTGAGCATTTTGAAAATGCTCTTTTTGCAATATCTGCAAAGGCTCCTAAAGGGCCACTGAGTATTATATTTAAAAACCGAATGTTTTGTGATTAAAAAGTAGAAGGAAGCTATCTGAAAATTGGCTTTGTGATGTGTGGATTTGTCTTCACAGAGTTAAACCTCTATTTCGATTCAGCACATTGGAAACACTTTGTAGAATCTGTGAAGGGATATTTTGGGCCACTGAGGCCAAAAGTAAAAAGTGAATATCCTACAATAAAACAAGAAAGATACTGTCTGAGAAACTGCCTTAGATTGTGTGGTTTAGCTCTAAGATTTAAACATTTCTTTTGATTTAACAGATTTGAAACATTCTTTTTGCAGAATCTGTGGGGGGACATCTTGGAAATCACTGTGGCCTATAGTGAAAAAACAAATATCCTGTGATAAAAACTAGAAGAAGCTCTCTGTGAAACTTCTTTGTGATGTGTGGATTTAGCTCACAGAGTTGAGCTTTTCTTTTTATTCAGCTGGTCGGTAACACTCTATTTTAGAATCTGTGAAAGGACATTTCGGAGCTCACTGAGATCTATAGTGAAAAACTGTATATCTTGCAAAAAAAACTAGAAAGAATCTATGTGTGAAACTTTTCTGTGATGTGTGGATTCAACTCACAGAGTTGATCCTTTCTTTTGATTCAGCAGGTTGGAAACACTTTTTGCAGAATGTGCGAAGGGACATTTCACTGACACAGAGGCCTGTAGTGAAAAACCAAATATCCCACGAAACAATTTAGAAAAAAGCTATCTGTAAAACTGCTTTGTGATATGTGGATTCATCGCACAGAGTTAAACCTTTCTGTTGATTCAGCAGGTTGGAAACACTGTATTTTTAGAGTCTACAGGAGATATTTAGGAGCCCATTGAGGAATACAGTGAAAATCTGAATTTCTTGTTGCAAAGAAAGAATCTAGCTGTGAAAACTCTTTGTGATGTTTGTATTAATCTCACAGAGTTGAACCTTTGTTTAGATTCAGCAGTTTGGAAACATTCTTTATTTAGAATCTATGAAGGGCTTTTTGGAGCCCTTTAAGGCCTATGGAGAAAAACTGAATATCCCTCAATAAAAACCAGAAAGAAGCTATCTTTTAAACTGCATTGCAATTTGTGCAATTATCCCACAGATCTAAACCTTTCCTTTGATTTAGCAGGTTAAAAACACTCTTTCCATAGAATCTAACAAGGCCCATTGAGGCTTATAGTGAAAACCTGAATATCCCATGATAAAAACTGAAAGGCATAATCTGGGAAATTTTTTGGTGATGTGTGGATTCATCTCACAGAGTTAAAACCTTCTTTTGATTTAACAAGTTGCAAACATCCTTTCTGTGGAATCTACAAAGCAACATTTTTGAGCCCATTGAGGCCTATAGTGTAAAAGATAATATACCACAATAAAAAGCAGAAAGTAGCTATCTGTGGAACAGCTTTGCGATGTGTGGATTCATCTTTAAGAGATATAACTTTCTTTTGATTCAGCAGATTGGAAACACTCTTTGGGTAGGATCTACAAGGGAACATTTCAGAGCCCATTGAGACATATACCAAAAATCTGAATATCCTGTGATAAAACTAGAAAGACACATATGGTAAATTGCTTGGTGATGTGTGGATTCATATCACAGAGTTAAACCTTTATTATGATTCAGTAACTTGGAAACACTCTTTCTGTTGTATCTGCAAAGAGACAATTCAGAGCCCAGTGAGGCCTATAGTGAATATCCAAATATCCTGATAAAAACTAGAAAAAAGCTATGTGTGAATATGTATTGTGGTGTGTAGATTCATCTCACCGAGTTAAACCTTTATTTTGATTCAGCAGGTTTGAAACACTCTTTTTGTAGAATCTACTTTCTTGGTCATTGAGGTCTATAGTGAAAAACCTGAATATCCCGTAATAAAAACCAGAAATATATGTCTGTGAAACTGCTTTGCAATGTGTGGATTCACCTCATAGATTTAAATGTTTCTTTTGATTCAGCAGGTTGTAAACACTCTTTTTGTAGTATCAACAAAGGGAAATTTCAAAACCCATTCTGGCCTATAGTGAAAAAATGAATCTCTCTCAATAAAAAGAAAAATAAAGCTATCTGTGAATCCACTTTGGATGTCTGCATTCATCTCACAGAGTTAAACGTTTCTTTTGATTCAGATGGTTGGTAACACTCTTTTTGTAGAGTCTATGAAGTGACACTTCAAAGCCCCTTGGGTAACTATGTGAAAAACTTAACATGCCATGATAAAAAAAATAGAAAGAAGCTATGTATGAAACTGCTTTGTGATGTGTGGATTCATCTCATAGAGTGAAACCTTTCTTTTGATTCAGCAGGTTGGAAACACTCTTTGTAGACTCAACAAAGATTCATGTCATAAGCCATTGAGGCCTACAATGAAAAACCAGATATCCCATGATAAAAACTAGAAAAAACCTATCTTTGGAACTGATTTGTGATATGTGGATTCAACTAACAGAGTTCTCTTTTGATTCAGTGAAGTGGAAACACTCATTTTGTAGAATCTGTGGGGGACAATTGGGAGCCCATTGTGGTCTATAGGGAGAAAACAGAATACCCACAATAGAAAAATAGAAATAAGCTATCTGTGAAACCACTTTATGATGTGTGGGTTCATCACACAGAGTAAAATCTGTTTTTTGATTTAGCAGGTTGGAAAAAAATCTACTAAGGGACCATTTGGAGACAATTTAGGCCTGTAATGTAAAACGAAATATCCTATGATAAAAGCTAGAAAGAAGCTATCTGAGAAACTGCTTTGTGATGTGTGGATTTCTCTTACAGAGTAAACGTTGTATTAGCTTCAGCAGGTTGGAAACACTCTTTCTGTAGAATCTAAAAGGGACATTTCAGAGCCTGTTGAGGAATATACTGAAAAACTGAATAAATCACGATAAAAACCAGAAAGAAGCTATCTGTGAAACCATTTAGTGATGTGCAAATTCATCTCACAGAGTTAAAACTTTCTTTGGAGGCACTGTTTTTGTAGAATCTTCAAAGAATATTTCAAAGCCAATAGATACCTATGTTGAAAAACTGAATATCTGGTGATAAAAAAAACAGAAAAAAATATCTGTGAAACTGCTTTGTGATGTGTGTTTCATCTCACATAATTAAACCTTTCTTTTGATTCAGCAACATGGAAATACTCTTTTTTAGAATATTTGAAGAAACATTTCATAGCCCATTGAGGCCTATAATGAAAAATTGAATATCTGATGATAAAAGCTAGAAAGGTGCAATTTGGGCAAGGACTTTGCAATGTGTGGATTCATCTCACGGAGTTAAGCCTTTCTTTTGATTCAGCAGGTTGGAAACAATCTTTCTGTGGAATCTATGAAGCGACGTTTCAGAGCCCAGTGAGGCCTATAGCAGATTTCCAAATATCCCATGATAAAAGCTAGAAAGGAGCTATATGTGAAACCATTTTGTGATTTATGGATTCATCTCACAGAGATAAACTTTCTTTTGATACAGCAGCTTGAAATACTCTTTTTGCAGAATGTATGAATGTACCATTCTGAGCCCAAGGCAAATAGTGAAAAATGAATATCCCACAATAAAAATTAAAAATAAACTATCTGTGGTACTGTTTTTCTATGTGTGCATTGATCCCACAGTGATAAACCTCACTTTTGATTCAGCAGGTTGGAAAGACTTTTACAGAATATACAAAGGGACATTTCAGATCCCACTGAGGCCTTTAGTGAAAAATCAAATATCCCACAATAAAAACTAGAAAGATGCAATCTGAGCAACTGCTTTGCAATGTGTGGATTCATCTCACAGAGTTAAGCCAAAAAAAAAAATCTCTGTGAACTGCATTGCAATGTGTGGATTTACCTAACAGAGATAAATCTTTCTTTTGATTCAGCAGGTTCAAAACACTCTTTTTTGTAGAATCTATGAAGAAACATTTTGAAGACCATTGAGGGCTATAGTCAAAAACTGGATATCCCACAATAAAAGCTAGAAAAAAGATTCTGTGAAACTCTTTGTGATGTGTGGATCCAGTTCACAGATTTAAATGTTTCTTTTGATTCAGCAGGTTAAAAACACTCATTTTTTAGTATCTAAAAGGGACATCTCAAAGACAATTGAGGGCTACAGTGAAAAACTGAATATTGCCCAAGAAAAACTAAAAAGAAGCTATCTGTGAAAACACTTTGGTTGTCTATATTTATGTCACAGAGTTAAACATTCCTTTCGATTAAGCAGATTGAAAACACTCTTTTTGTAGAGTGTACAAATAAATATTTCAGAGCCCACTGATGCCTGTTGTGAAAAACTGAATACCTCAAGATAAAAACTAGAAAGAAGCTATTTGAGAAACTGCTTTGCAATGTGTGGATTCATCTTGCAGTGATAAATCTTTCTTTTGATTCAGCAGGTTCAAAACTCTCTTTTTTGTAGAATCTATGAAGAAATATTTTGGAGCCCATTGAGGATTATAGTCAAAAACTGAATATTCCATGATAAAAACTAGAAAGAAGATTCTGTGAAACCGCTTTATGATGTGTGGATTCAGTTCACAGATTTAAACATTTCTTTTGATTCAGCAGGTTGAAAACACTCATTTTTTAGTATCTACAAAGGGACATTTTAATGTCAATTGAGGCCTATAGTAAAAAAAAATGAATATCCCTGAATAAAAACTAAAAAGAAGCTATCTGTGAAAACACTTTGGTTGTCTATATTTATCTCAAAGACTTGAACGTTTCTTTTGATTCAGCAGGTTGAAAACTCTCTTTTTGTAGAGTCTACAAAGAAACACTTCAAAGCCCACTGAGGCCTGTTTTGAAAAACCAAATATCTCATGATAAAAACTAGAAAGAATCTATCTATCTGTGGAACCACTTTGTGATGTGTGAGTGTATCTCAGAGATAAACCTTTATTTAATTCAGCAGGTTTTAAACACTTTTTTTGTAGATTCGACAAAGGAACATTTTGTGGAGTATTAAGGCCTAGAGTGAAAAACCTAATACCCTGCAATAAAAACTAGAAAGATGCTTTGTGTGCAATCACTTTGAGATGTGTGGGTTCATATCACAGGGTTAAACATTTCTTTTGATTCAGCAGGTTGGAAACACTATTTTGTAGAAACTCCAAAGGAACATTTCAGAGCCCTTTGGGAGACCTAGGCCTGTGGTGAAAAACAGAATATTCCATGATAAAAACTAGAAAGAAGCTATCTGTGAAACTACTTTGCAATTTGTGGATTCATCCTAGATAGTTAAACCGTTTTTTTTTATTCAGCAGCTTGGAAACTATTTTGTAGAATCTACAAAGGCACATTTCAAAGCCCCTTGAGGCCTATACTGAATATCAAACTATCCCACAATAAAAACTAGAAAGAAGCTATCTGTGAAACCGCTTTGCAATATGTGGATTCATCTTACAGAGTTAAACTTTTAATTTGAATCAGCAGGTTGGAAACCCTCTTTTTAAAGGGTCTACATAGGGACTTTTCAGAGCCCATTGAGGAATATAGTGTAAAAACGGATATCCCATGATAAAAACTAGAAAGAAGCTATCTGTACAACTGCTTTGGCATGTGTGGATTCATCCCACACTGCTAAACGTTTCATTTGATTCTACAGGTTGGAAACACTCTTTGTAGAATGTAGGAAAGAACATTTGGGAGCCCATTGAGGCATATTGTGAAAATCAGAATATCCTATGCTAAAAACTAGAAAGAAGCCATCTGTGAAACCACTTTTCAATGTGTGGATTCATCTTACAGAGATAAACTTTTCCTTTGATTCAGCAGGTTGGAATCACAGTTTTTGTGTTATTTATGATGGGATACTTCAGAACCCATTAAGGCATACAGTGAAAAACAGAATATCCCGAGATAAAAACTGGAAAGAAGGTATCTGTGACACACCTTTGTGATGTGTGGAGTCATTTAGCAGAGATAAACTTTCTTTTGATTCAGCAGGTTGGAAACACTTTTCATGTAGAATCTATGAAGGGACAACTTGAAGCCCAATGAGGCCTATATTTTAAATCCAAATATCCCACAATAAACACTAGAAAGAAGCTATCTGTGAAAACACTTTGCAATATGTGGATTCATCTTACACAGTAAAAGTTTTCTCTTCATTGAGTAGGTGAAAAACAATCTTTTTGTAGAATTATGAAGGGACTTTTTGGAGTCCATCAAGGCCAACAGTGAAAAACCGAATATTCCATGAGAAAAACTAGAAAGAATCTATCTGTGAAACTGCTTTGTGATGTGTAGATTCATCTCACATAAATAAACCTTTCTTTGTATTCAGAAGGTTGGAAACACTTTTTTTGTAGACTCTAATAAGGGACATTTCAGAGTCCATTAAGGAATAGAGTGAAAAACTGGATATCCTGCAATAAGCATTAGAAAGAAGCTATCTGTGAAACTGCTTTGTGATGTATGGATTCATCTCACAGATTTAAACCATCCTTTTGATTCAGCAGGTTTAAAGCACTCTTTTTGTAGAATCTACAAAAGGACATTTTGAGCCCATTGAAGCATAGTGTGTAAAAGTGAATAACCCACAACAAAAAGTAGAAAGAAGCTATTTGTGGAACTGCTTTGCAAAGTGTGAATTCACCTCACAGAAATAAACCTTACTTTTGATTCAGCAGGTTGGAAACACTGTTTTGTAGAATTTACAAAGGGACATTTCAGAGCTGATTGAGGCCTATAGTGAAAACCCAAATATCCTGTGATAAAAACTAGAAAGACACAATCTGGGAAATTGCTTGGCCACTTGTGGATTAATCTCACATACATAAACCTTACTTTTGATTCAGCAGCTTGGAAATACTGTTTTGTAGAATCTACTAAGAAACATTACAAAGCCCATTGAGGCCTATAGTGAAAAACTCAATATCCTTGATAAAAACTAAAAAGAAGCTATCTGTGAAACTGCTTTGGATCTCTGTATTCATCTCACACAAATAAACGTTTCTTTTGACTCAGCAGATTGAAAGCAATCTTTTTGTAGAGTCTACGAAGGGACAGTTTAGAGTCCATTAAGGCCTATTGTAAAAAAGCAAATAGCCCACAATAAAAACTAGAAAGAAGCTATGTTTGAAACCACTTTGTGATGTGTGGATTCAACTCAGAGAGTTAAACTTTTCTTTTCATTCAGCAGGTTTGAAACACTCTTTTTGTAGAATCTGCGAAGGAATATTTTGGAACCCATTGAGGCCTATAGGGAAAAACGAAATATCCTGTGATAAAAACTAGGAAGAAGTTGTCTATGAAACTGCTTTGTAATGTGTGGATTAAACTCCCAGAGTTCAAACTCTCCTTTGATTCAGCAGGATGGAAAAACTTTTCTGTAGGGAAACACATTTCTGTAGGGAAAAATGCTTATGGGTTGCCTGTATAAATTGGCCATAAAAATATAGGACAATAAGTCGTGGAAAGTCACAGGAGGCCTCTGAGCAGGAAAGCCTCCTTATTGCCATCATGTTCCCATGCCCAGAGCTTGATCCGCTTGCTTATCTATGAAAACTGTGCTCAAGGAGAAAGACAATCCTTTGAATCATTGGAATGTGGCCAGACTTGCTGGCTCCTAGTTAAGCCTACTCCCAACAGCTGCTCTCAGTAAGTTAAAGAATAAATCAGTAGTTAAGTAAATGCTGCTTAAGCACAAAGGAGATTCACTTAAACTGCCACTGCTATAGTTTATGTGTATGATGCTCCTCCTTTCA
Source organism: Homo sapiens (assembly GCF_000001405.40). Lineage (NCBI taxonomy): Eukaryota > Metazoa > Chordata > Mammalia > Primates > Hominidae > Homo > Homo sapiens. The sequence continues at coordinate 46,534,044 of NC_000008.11, forward strand.
CGTTTTCACCCCTGAACATCTGCTTATTAGATCTAAGTGATTGTATTCAATAAATAGTGTGGAGTCCAGAGCTCCAGGTCTTTGCAGCCTCCTACTTTGCACTGGCCCCCTTGCCCCCACCTTTATGCACTCTTAACTTGTCTCTTCTCATTCCTTTGTCACCATCAGACTTTCAGTATCCTACAGGTGGTGTTGAGGCTGGTCCTCAACACATTTCAGTGCCCATTGTTCCCTATAATGAAAAACTGAATATCCTGTGATGAAAACTAGAAAGATGCAATCTGGGTAACTGCTTTGTGATATGTGGATTTATCTCAGAGTTAAGTCTTTCTTTTGATTCAACAGGTTGGAAACACTCTTTCTGTGGAATCTGCAAAGGGACATCTCAGAGTCCAGTGAGGCCTGTAGTGAATTTCCAAATATCACACAATAAAAACTAGAAAGAAGCTATATGTGAAACTGCTTTGTGATCTGTGGATTCATCCTGAATAGATAAAACTTTCTTTTGATACAGCAGTTTGCAAACACTCTTTTTGTAGAATCTATGAGTGTACATTTCTTAGCCCACTAAAGCCAGTAGTAAAAAAAACCTGAATATCCCATGATAAAAACTAGAAAGAAGATTCTTTGAAACTTCTTTTCAATGTGTGGAACCAGTTCACAGGTTTAAATGCTTCTTTTGATTCAGCAGGTTGAAAACACTCATTTTTTTGAAAGGGACATTTCAAAGCCCAGTGAGGTCTATAGTGAAAAACTGAATATCCCCCAATAAGAACTCAAAAGAAGCTATCTGTGAAATCGCTTTGGATGTTTGTATTCATCATCTCACAGAGTTAAATGTTTCTTTTGATTCAGCAAGTTGGAAACATTATTTGTAGAATCAATGAAAGGACATTTCTGAGCCCCTTTAGGCATATAGTGAAAAACAAAATGTCACATGATAAAACTAGAAAGTAGCTAACTGTGAAACCACTTTGGGATGTGTGCATTGAACTCAAGGAGTTAAACTTTTCTTTTTATTCAGCACGTTGGAAACATTCTTTTTTATAATCTGCTAAGGTACATTTCAAAGCCAATTGGGTCCTGTAGTGAAAAACAAAACTTGCCGAGATTAAAAACTAGAAAGTAGCTATCTGTGAAACCGCTTTGTGATGTGCACATTCTTCTCACAGAGATAAACCTTTCTTTAGATTCAGCAGGTTGGAAACACTCTTTTTGTAGTATATACGAAGGGACATTTAGAAGCCCATTGAGGCATATAGTGAAAAGCAGAATATCCCATGATGAAAACTAGAAAGAAGTTATCTGGGAAACAACTTAGGATGTGTGGATTCATCTCACATACTTAAACCTTACTTTTGATTCAACAGGTTGAAACACAATTTTTGTAGAATATATGAAGAAACATTTCAGTGTCTATTGCAGCCTATAGTGAAAAATGGAATATACCATAATGAAAACTAGAAAGAAGCTATCTGTAAAACTGATTTGGGATGTGTGCATTCATCTCAAGTAGTTACACTTTTCTTTTTATTCAGCAAGCTGGAAACTCACTTTTTGTAGAACCTATGAAGGGACATTTCGTAGCCCATTGAGGCCTATAGTTAAAAGCTGAATATCCTGTGATGAAAACAAAAAGAAGCTATCTGTGAAACTGAATTTCAATGCATGGAATCATCTCACAGAGTTAAACCTTTCTTTTGATTAAGCATATTTTAATCACTGTTTTAGTAGAATATACAAAGGGACATTTCAGACCCTATTTAGGCCTATTGGGAAAAACAGAACATCTCACAATGAAAACTAGAAAAAAGCTATCTGTAAAACTGCTTTGTGATGTGTGGATTCATCTCACAGAGATATAGCTTTCTTTTGATTCAGAGGGTTGGAAACACCCTTTTTGTAGAATCTATGAAGGGATATTTCAAATCACATTAGGACTATCGTGAAAAACTGAATATTTCACAATAAAATTTGGAAAGAAGCTATTTGTGCAACCTCTTTGCAATGTGTGGATTCATGTCACAAAGGTAAACCTTTCTTTTGATTCAACCTGGTTGGAAACACTCTTTTTGTAGAATCTACAAAAAGACATTTCACAGCCCTTTGAGGCCTATAGTGAAAACCAAATATCTTGTGATGAAAACTAGAAAAAAAGCTATCTGTGAAAATGCATTGTGATTAGTTAAACTTTTCTTTTTATTCTGCATGTTTTAAACACTTTTTATGTAGAATTGACAAAGGACATTTCAGATCATATTGAGGCATGTAGTAAAAAAAAATCATGTGATAAAAACTAGAAACAAGCTATCTGTAAAATGCTTTGAGATGTCTGAATTCATGTCACAGACATAAACCTTTTCTTTGGTTCATCAGGTTAGAAACTCTCTTTTTGTAGGATCTAGGAAGGGATATTTTGGAGCCCATTGTGGCCTAGAGTGAAAAACTGAATATTTTGTGATAAAAACTAGAAAGAAGCTATCTGTGAAATGCTTTGTGTTGTGTGGATTCTTCTCACAGAGGTAAACCTTTCTTTTGATTGAGCAGATTGGAAACACTCTTTTTGTAGAATCTACAAAGGGACATTTTGGAGCCCTTTGAGACCTATAGTGAAAAAACGAATATCTCTCAATAAAAACTAGAAAGAGGTTATATGTGAAACCACTTTGTGAGGTGTGGATTTATCTCACAGAATTAATCCCTTCTTTTAATTCAGCAGGATTGAAACACTTTTTGTAGAATTGAAGAATGGACATTTCAGAGCCCATTGAGGCCAGTAGTATAAAACCAAATATCCTATGATAAAACCTAGAAAGAAGCTATGTGTGAAATTGCTTTGTGATGTGCTGATTCATCTGACAGAGTTAAGCCTTTCTTTTGATTCAGCAGGTTGGAAACACTTGTTTTGTGGAATCTATGAAGGAATATTTCAGAGCGCTATAAGCATGTTGAGGCTTATAGTGAAAAATCAAATATCACACAATAAAAACTAGGAAGAAGCTATCAGTGAAACTGCTTTGTGATGTGTGGATTCATCTCACAGAGATAAAACTTTCTTTTGGTTCAGAAAGTTGGAAACATTCTTTTTGTATAAACTATGAAGGGACATTTTAGAGCCCATTAAGGCCTATAGAGAAAAACTGAATACCACGTTATAAAAACTAGAAAGAATCTGTCTGCTAACTGCTTTCCAATATGCAGATTCATCTCAGAGATAAACTTTTTTTTTTATTCAGCAGGTTGGAAACATATGTTTTGTAGAATCTTGGAAAAGACATTTCAGAGCCCATTGAGGCATACAGTGAAAAACCAAATTTCCCACGATAAAAACTAGAAAGAATGTACCAGAAAGAAGCTACTGTTAAGCTGCTTCACAGTGTGTGGATACATCCTAGAGAGTTAAATTTTCTTTTGATTTGGCAGATTGGAAACAGTATTTTGTAGAATCTATGAAGGGACATGTCACCAGCCCATTGAGGCTTATAGTGAAAAACAAAATATCCCATGATAAACACTAGAAAGAAGCTGTTTATGAAACTGCTGTGTGACATGTAGATTCATCTGACAGTGTTAAGCATTTTTTTTTTATTCAGCACGTTGGAAACAATCTTTTTGTAAAATCTAAGAAGGGATATTTCAGAGCCCATTGAGGCCTATAGTTAAAATTCCAATATCCCACAATAAACACTAGAAAGAAGTTATCTGTGAAAATGCTTTGTGATGTGTGGATTCATCTCACACATTTAAACCTTTATTTTGATTAAGCAGGTTGGAAACAATCTTTTTGTAGAATCTATGAAGGGATATTTTGGAGCCCATTGAGGCCAACAGTGGAAAACTGAATATCGTGAGATAAAACTACAATCTGTGAAAACACTTTGTGATGTGTGAATTTGTCTCACAGATTTAAACCTTTCTTTTGATTCAGCAGATAGGAAACACTCTCTTTGTAGAATCTATGAAGAAACATTTTGGAGCCTATTGAGGCCTATAGTGAAAAACGAAATATCTTACATTAAAAATTAGATAGAAGCTATCTGTGAAAAAGCTTTGGGATGTGTGGATTCATCTCATAGTGTTAAACAAGTTTTTTTATTCAGCAGATTGGAAACACTCTTTTTGTAAAATCTAAGAAGGGATATTTCAGAGCTCATTGAGGACTCTAGTTAAAAACACAATATCCCATGATAAGCACTGGAAAGAAGTTATCTGTGAAAACGCTTTGCAATGTGTGGATTCATCTCATAAAGTTAAATATTTCTTTTGAGTAAGCAGGTTAAGAACAATCTTTTCATGGAATCCACAAAGAGATATTTTGGAGTTCATTGAGGCCAACAATAAGAAACCGAATATCCCATAATCAAACTAGCAAGAATCTATCTGTGAAATCACTTTGTGATGTCTGGTTTCATCTCACAGAAATAAACTTTTTTTTTTAGCAAATTGGAAACACTATTTTTGTAGAATCTGCAAAGGGGCATTTCAGAGACCATTGAAGAATACAGTGAAAAACCACATTCCACAGGAAAAAAAAAAAACACTAGAAAGAAGCTCTCTGTGAAACTGCTTTGTGATGTGTGGATTTATCTGGCTGAGGTAAACCATTCTTTTGATTCAGCAGGTTGGAAGCACTCTTTTTGTAGAATCTACAAAGGGACATTTTGAATCTTATTGAGGCCTATACTGAAAAACCAAATATCCCACGATAAAAACTAGAAAGAAGCTTTCTGTGAAACTGCTTTGTGATGTGTGGGATCATCTCACAGATTTAAATCATTCTTTTGATTCTGCAGGTTGGAAACCCTCTTTTTGTTTAATGTACAAAAGGACATTTTGGAGCCCATTGAGGCCTACAGTGAAAAATTGAATATCCCGTGATAAAAACTTGAAAGACGTTATCTTTGAAACTGCTTTGTGATGTGTGGATACATCTCACAGTGGTAAACCTTTCTTATGATTCAGCAGGTTGCAAACACTGTTTTTGTAGAATCTGCGAATGGACAATTCAGAGACTATTGAGGCCTATGGGGAAAAACTGAATATCCCACCATAAAAACTAGAAAGAAGCTATCTGTTAAACTGCTTTGCAATGGGTGGATTCATCTCAAAGAGTTAAACCTTTCTTTCAATTCAGCAGGTTGAAAATCATTTTTTTTGTACAATGTACAAAGGGACATTTTGGAGCCCATTGAGGAGTATAATGTGATAAAAACTAGAAAGAAGCTATCTGTGAAACTGCTTTGTGATGTGTGTATTCATCTCACAGAGTTAAACCTTTGTTTTGATTCACCATGTTGGAAACAATCTCTTTGTAACGTCTACAAAGGCACATTTCAAAGCCCATTTAGTCCAACAGTGAAAAATCAAATGTCTCATGATAAAAAGTAGAAAGAAGCTAGTTGTGAAACCACTTTGTGATGTATGGATTCATCTCATTTAGTTAAACTTTTTTGTGATTGAGCAATTGGAAATATTCTTTTTGTAGAATCTATGAAGGGACATTTTATAGCCTGTTGAGACCGATAATGAAAAACAATAACCCACATTAAAACTAGAAAGAAGCTATCTGAGAAACTGCTTTGCAATATGTTGGTTCACCTCACAGATTTAAACCTTTCTTTTTATTCAGCACTTTGAAAACATTCTTCCTTTTAGAATCTAGAAAGGGACATTTTGGAACCCATTGAGGCCTATAATAAAAAACAATATCCTGTGATAAAAACTAGAAAGAAGCTCAGTGTGTAACTGTTTTGTGATGTGTGGATTCATCTCTCAGAGTTAAACATTTCTTTTAATGCAGCAGGTTGGAAACACTCTTTTTGTAGAATCTACAAAGAGGCATTTTGGAGGCCATTGAGGTGTATAGTGAAAAATTGAATGTCCCACAATCAAAAGTAGAAAGAAACAATCGGTGAAATGCTTTGTGCTATGTGGATTCACCTCACAGTGTTAAACCTTTCTTTTGATTCAGGAGGTGGGAAACACTCCTTTTGTAGAGTCTATAAAGGTGTATTTCAGAGCCCACTGAGGCCTATAATTAAAAACCGAATATCCTGAGATAAAAACCAGAAAGAAGCTACTTCTGAAATTGCTTTGTGATGGGTGGATTTATCTGATAAATTTAAACATTTCTTTTGATTCTGCAGCTGGAAACCCTTTTGTTGCACACTCTACAAGGGATATTTCAGAGCCCATTGAGGACTATATTGAAAACCCAAATATCCTGTGATAAAAACTAGAAAGCCGCTATCTGGAAACCACTTTGCAATGTGTGGGTTCATCTCAGAGATAAACCTTTTTTTTAATTTATTTAGCAGGTTGGAAACAATCTTTTTGTAGAATGTAAATTTCAAAGCCCACAGAGGCCTACGTTGAAAAACCGAATATTCTGTGATAAAAACTAGAAAGAAGCTACGTATGAAACGGCTTTGTGATTGGTGGATTCATCTCAAAAAAGTTAAGCATTCCTTCTTTTGAAAGCCCTATTTTGGTAAAATCTACAAAGGAACATTTTGGAGCTCATTGATGCCTATAGTAAAACAACAAATATCCCATGATAACAATTAAAAAGAAGCTACCTCTGAAACCATTTTGTGATAGGTGAATTCATCACACAAAGTTAAGCATTTATTTTGATTCAGCAGGTTGGAAACACTTTTTTTGTACAATCTACAAAGGGACATTTCAGAACCAATTGAAGCCTATGGTGAAAAACCGAATATCCCTGGATAAAAACTAGAAAGAAGTTATCTGTGAAACCACTTTGTGTAGATTCATCTCAAAGGGTTAAACATTTCTTTTGACTCAGGAGGTTGGAAACACTGAGTAGAATCTTCAAAGAGACATTTCAAAGCTATAGTGAAAAACCTAATATCCCGTGATAAACACTAGAAAGAAGCTTCCTCTGAAACTGCTTTTTGATGGCCAGATTTATCTCACAAAATTAAATGTTTCTTTTGATTCTACAGGATGGAAACCCTTTTTTTGCACCCTCTACATAGGTACTTTTCAGAGTGCATTGAGATCTATAGTGAAAAAGTGAATACTTCACGATATAAAGTAGAAAGCATCTATCTGTGAAACCGTTTTGTGATGTGTGGATACATCTCACAGAGACAAACGCTTCTTTTGATTCAGCACATTGGAAACACCATTTTTGTAGAATCTGTGAAGGGACATTACAGAGCTCATTGAGGCCTATAGGGAAAAACCTAATATCCCACCATAAAAACTAGAAAGAAGCTATCTGTGAAACTTCTTTGCGATATGTTGATTCAGCTCACAGAGTTAAACCTTTCCTTTTATTCTGCAGGTTGGAGACACCCTTTTTGTAGAATCTGCGAGGGGACATTTCGGAGCCTATTGAAGCCTACAGGAAAAAACCAAATATCCCATGATAAAAACTAGAAAGAAGCTATCTGTGAAACCACTTTGTGATGTGTGGATTCATCTCAGAGTTAAACCTTTCTTGCTATTCAGCAGGTTGAAAACACATTTTTTGTAGAATCTTTGAATGCACATTTCAGAGCACATGGTGGCCTATAGCAAGAAACTGAATATCGGATGATAAAAACTAGAAAGAAGCTATCTGTCAAACTGCTTTGTGATGTATGGATTCATGTCACAAAGTTCATTCTTTCCTTTGATTCAGCAGGTTGGAAACACTGTTTTTGTAGAGTCTGTGAAGAGACATTTTGAAGCCTATTCAGGCTTTTAGGAAAAAATCAAATATCCCCTGATAAAAACTAGAAAAAAGCTATCTGTGAAATAGTTTTGTGATGTGTGGATTCTACTAATGGAGTTAAACTGTTTTTTAAATTAAGCAGGTTGGAACACTCTTTTTGTAGAATCTGTGAAGGGACATTTTGGAACCCATTGAGGCCTATATAGGAAAACCAAATATCCTGTGATAAAAACTACAGAGGAATTATCCATGAAACTGCTTTGTGATGTGTGGATTCATCTCACAGAGTTAAACATTTATTTTGATTCAGCAGGTTGAAAACATGCTCTTAAGAATCAGTGAAGTGACATTTTGGAGCCCTTTGAGGACTATAGGGGAAAAAAATCCCATGATAAATACTAGAAAGAAGCTATCTGTGAAACCCCTTTGTGATATGTGGATTCATCTCACAGAGTTAATCCTTTCTTCTGATTCAGAATGTTGGAAACACCCTGTTTATAGACTCTATGAAGGGAAATTTTGGAGGCCATTTAGTCCTACAGGCAAAAACTGAATATCCCAAGATAAAAACTAGAAAGAAGCTATCCGTGAAACTGCTTTCTGAAGTTTGGATTCATCTAAAAAAAAAAAACTTTCTTTTGATTCAGCAGGTTGGAAACACTCTTTTTATAGGATCTGAGATGGGACATTTCAGAGCCCATTGTGGCATACTAGGCAAACTGAATATACCATGATAAAAACTAGAAAGAATCTATCTGTGAAACTGCTTTGCAATGTGTGGACTCATATCACAAAGTTAAACCTTTCCATTGATTCAGCATGTTGGAAAAACTCTTTTTGTAGAATCTGTGAAGGGACATTTGGGAGCCCATTGAGGCCTATAGGGAAATATTGAATATCCCATGGTAAAAACTAGAAATAAGCTATCTGTGAAAATTCTTAGTGATGTGTGGATTTATCTCATAGAGTCAAAATGTTCTTTTGATTCAGCCCATTGGAAAATGTTTTTTTATAGAATCTACAAAGGCACATTTCAGAGTCCATTGATGCCTATAGAGAAAAACCGAATATTATGTAATGTAAACTAGAAAGAGTCTATCTGTGAAATCACACTGCAATGCGTGGATTCAACTCACAGAGGTAAACCTTTCTTTTGATTCAGCAGGTTGGAAACACTCTTTTTGTAAAATCTATGAAGGGATCTTTCAGAACCCATTGAGGCCTACAAAGAAAAACCAAATATCCCATGATAAAAACAAAAAAGAAGCTATTTATAAAACTGCTTTGTGATGTGTGGATTCATCTTACAGAGTTAAATGTTTTTGTGATTCAGTGGTTTGGAAACACTCTTTTTGTAGAATCTGCAAAGGGACATTTTGAGGCCATTGAGGTGTATAGGGAAAAACCAAATATCCCACAATAAAAAATTGAAAAAAGCTATCTGGGAAACTGCTTTGCAATGTGTGAATTCATCCCACAGAGTTAAATCTTTCATTTGATTCAACAGGTTGGAAACTCTCTTTTTGTAGAATCTGCAAAGGAATATTTTGGAGTCCATAGAGGCCTGTAGGGAAATACTGAATATCCCAGGTAAAAACTAGAAATAAGCTATCTGTGAAAATGCTTAGTGATGTGAGAATTTATCTCACAGAATTAAAACTTTCTTTTGATTCAGCAGGCTGGAAGCACTCTTTTTGTAGAATCTGTGAGGGGATATTTCAGAGCCAATTGAGCCCTACAGGAAAAACTGAATACCCTGTGATAAAAAAACAAGAAAGGAGCTATCTTTGAAACCGCTTTGTGATGTGTGGATTTATCTCACAGAGCTAAAGCTTTCTTTTTATTCAGCAGGTTGGAGACATCCTTTTTGTAGAATCTGCAAGGGGACATTTCAGACCCTATCGAGGCCTACAGGGAAAAACTGAATATCTCGCCATAGAAACTAAAAAGAAGCTATCATCTGTGAAAACACTTTGTGATGTTTGGATTTATCTCACAGAGTTAAACCTTTCTTTTGATTCAGCACTTTGTAAACACTCTTTTTGTAGAATCTGTGAAGGGACATTCTGGAGAAAATTTTCTGGAGAAAATTCTGGAGAAAATTGTTTCTGTGAAACCGCATTGCTATGTTTGCATTCATCTCACAGAGTTAAACCTTTCTTTGGATTCAGCAGATTGGAAATACATTTTTGTAGAATCTGCAAAGGGTCATTTCAGAGCCCATTGAAGTCTACAGTGAAAACCCAATTATCCCATGATAGAAACTAGAAAGAAGCTGTGAAACCACTTTGTGATGTGTGGATTCATCTCACAGAGCTTAATCTTTCTTTTGATTCAGCCAGTTGGAAACACTCTTTTGGTAGAATCTGCAACAGGACATTTCAAAACCTATTGAGGCCTATAGGGAAAAACTGAATATCCTGTGACAAAAGCTAGAAAGAAGCTATCTGTCAAACCGCTTTGAAATGTGTAGATTCATCTCACAGGATTAAACCTTTCTTTTGACTCAGCAGGTTTTAAACACTCTTTTTGTAGAATGTGTGAAGGGATATTTTGTAACCCATTGAGGTCTATAAGGAAAAACTGAATATACTGCAAAACAACTAGAAAGAAGCTGTATGAGAATTTGTATTGTGATGTTGGGATTTCTCTCACAGAATTAAGCCTTTCTTTTGATTCTGTGGTTGGAAAGACTCTTTTTGTAGAATCTGTGAAGGTACATTTTGGAATCCATTGAGGCCTATAGTGAAAAATGCAATATCCCGCTATGAAAACTGAAAAAAAAAAGCTGAATGTGAAACAGCTTTGTGATGTGTGCATTCATCTCCCAAATTTAGGCCTTTCTTTGGATTCAGTAGTTTGGAAATACTCTTTTTGTATAATCTTCAAAGGGACATTTAGGAGCCCATTGAGGCCTATAGTGAAAAACTGAATATCCTGCAACAGAAACAAGAAAGAAGGTATTTGTGAAACTGCTTTCCAATATGTGGATTTACAAAGAATCTATGTGGGAAACTGCTTTGCAGTGTCTGCTCCAGCCCCAGGGTAGAGCTTTGCCTGAAGTGAGTCTGGGTGTTTTCCCATCTCTGTGACTACTTGCTGCTCACCCACTTTCCATTCACAGTGGTCACAAATACCCAGAATACTTATTTCTCTGCCTTTCATCTTAGACAACTTTGAATATCATTGTTTGAAATTAGACTTATTACTCAGTCTAAAATTGAGAGCACATGTTTAGACTGCTTAATCAGATTAGGTTAATAAATATGTATTTTAAACTGTATTTGAACACACTAAGTACTGAGGAGTTTAAGCAAGCAAAAATATGCAAATAAATGTTAAATTTAGATAAAGTTTAATACAATGCATGATGCTACAAATAAGCAGACAGAATAAGCCCAAATTGAAGAAGTAATGATGTAATGTACTTTGTGCATTACAAGTGAATGGCATTTCTAAGTGTCAATGTCTTGGTAAAAACAGCAATTTGTTCCCTATCCTCCTGCCCCAATCTAAGGAATGGGAGGTTTGCTTGAGAGAAGCAGAGAATACACACGGTATAATAAAGTCTTACACTATTTGTTGATGAGAACTTTTATGCCTCACCTTCTGCCCCATATGTGGGCGAACTGATAAGAAACCCTGGGTACTTAGACCTTTGGGTCCAGCAGAAAATTCAAATTACACAAGTGTATTAGTCCGTTTTCATGCTGCTATAAAGAAATGCCCAAGACTGGGTAATTTATTAAGAAAGAGGTTGAATTGACTCACAGCATGGCTGGAGAGGCATTAGGATACTTACAATCATGGTGGAAGGGGAAGGAATACAGCCTCATTCACATGGAGGCAGGAAGGAGAACAATGAGAGCCAAGCAAAGGAGCTCCTTATAAAACCATAAGATCTCATGAAAGCTTACTCATTATCACGAGAATAGCATGAGGAAACATCCCCGTGATTCAGTTACCTCCCACCAAGTCCCTCCCACAACAAGTGGGGATTGTGGGAACTACAATCCAAGATGAGATTTGGGTGGGGACAGAGCCAAACCATATCGACAAGCCTCTGCCTATGTGCAATCCCAATCTAATCCCAATCCCACCCACTAACCACCATAAAAACTCCAAGCCATTCTTTTTTCTCTCTCTCAAGCCTCACTCTCCTCAGAAAGCCTCCTTGTATAAGAAACATTTCACACCTTGTGTGTATGTAGCATCATTGATCTTGACATCAAAACTAAATTGTAGTTGGGGGCCATTTCTGCTTCTGTGGGGTGGTAACAACATATAGTATATTGGAATAGAAGAGACACATTCTTACCCCAGGACCCCAAGGATTAGAACTCTTCAGTAGCAATAAAGCAAAGGAGGTCATGGTGGGTAGCAGAAATTATCCCAAAGTGTTTGAGTAGGACTGGTGAAGGTGTAGTTTATTCAGAGTTTATCTACCCTCTCTGCCATGCACTGTTATTATGAAACTGATACATTTTTGCTATGGATGCTGATGACCATCCCCTGAGTCTGAACAGTTTTGTTGGAGGAAAACCAAAGAGAAGCAAAATGTATCTCTGCTCTTCATTGCTTCCACACAAAGCAGGAAAAATCCAGCCAGAAGTGCATAGTTGGGACATGTATGCTGCAAACAGAGATTATTTTGTCACAAGAGAGAGACTTTTTCATGTTGCCTATAATCTTAGGTTACCTTTCCTAAAACTTCACACAAAATGATTGATAATTATTCATTGCTTGGCTGAAATATTTCCATAATATTGGCAGGTTTGATGAGATGAAAACTGCAGACTGTGAAGTCAAGCTTATCAGATTAAAATCCAGTTTGCCAACTGAAAGGCAAGTGTTCTCCAATTTGATGAATATGTGGAATAGAAAAATTGCTTTGTCTCAAATATATAGAATACTGCATTTGATAAATAGAGAACAAACATCCTCCACAGAAAAAAAACTGATAAAAATGCATTTCATTTTCACTTTAAAATGCTTTAGAAGCAATGCATTGGATAGTATACTAAGAGTACACCACAAGTGCTTTCTCTTCTTTTTTTTCAATATTTTATTATTCTCATTTTTCTTCTGAATCTCAGAAGCTGAGCATGCAACAGCTCTGAAAGATGAAAAGACAACAAATTATTCTTTTCTGTGTTTTGTAATTTTACAAGCCATTCTGTATCCGTTTATTTATTTCCTGCTAGTGACTAAATGAATGTCTTCAATGTCTCTTTACAGATGAGAACCCAGGAGATAGGTAGAAAAGAACTTTATCAGTGATCATCACCAACAAGTGATTACTCAGCATCCTCCATGGTCATGACAAGATATAGATGACAGGAATTAAGAGTGGGTTAATCCAGAGAATATTACCCTTCCTGTAAAGCTGGAAGTTGTCTTCTGGGATAGAGATGTTTATAAGAACAGAGATAGAAATATTTAAGTAATTTTGCTGGGTGCAGTGGCTCACACCTGTAATCCCAGCAGTTTGGGAGGTTGAAGCGGGCAGATCACAAGGTCAAGAAATTGAGACCATCCTGGCAAACATGGTGAAACCCCATCTCTACTAAAAATACAGAAACTAGCTGGGCGTGGTGGCGCTTGCTTTTAGTCCCAGCTACTTGGGAGGCTGAAGCAGGAGAATCGCTTGAACCCATGAGGTGGAGGTTGCAGTGAGCTGAGATCACACCACTGCACTCCAGCCTGGTGACAGAGCAAGTCTCCATCAGAAAAAAAGAAAGAAAGAAAGAAAAAAGAAATATTTAAGTAATTTTTTAAAACTTAAAAGTAACAGCTAGTAGTTGCTATGCCTTATTCACTCCACCATGTAACATAGTACCTAGTATGTAGTAGGCATGTAACAAATGCAAAAGGAAATAAATATGTGAATTAGAATCATTAAGTAATTTTACTGGCAATCAAAATTATTTTCTATTAACACTAATAAATTAAAGATGGCGATAGCTATATCATTCTATTGTTAAAATTAGTCTGAGAAGCATGCTCTGAATTACACAAACAGAAAAATGCTCACTGAAAATAACTATGAAGAACATTTGTATACATCCCCCTGGATACCTGGATAAGAGTTTCTCTAGGATATATTTTCAGCATTGGAGGTACGGTGTTGTGGGGATTCTTATCTTTAACTTTTCTAAACACTGCCAATTTACTTTCCAAAACTGTTGTACAAATTTAAACTTCCTCAAGCCAACAAAAAAGATATTCATCAATCCACATCTTTGCTAACACTTGGGCTCATTAGGTTTTTCAAATTTTTATAGCATGATGTGCACTGTTCTTGTAGTTTTATTTGCATTTTTTTTATTTCTAGTGAGATGGAGCATCTTTTAATATTTTATTACTCACTCAAGTTTACTCTTCTGCTCTTAAATTATCTCACAATTTTTTCCTCATTTTTATACTGAGGGTTTTTTTAATCTTCTTTCTATTGATTTGTAGGAGTCTTTTTATGCATCTGGAATACCAACACTCTGTTGGTTATATATACTGAAAATAAATTCAGTAGATTATCTTTTGTATAAGATATTTTTGGTACAGTATTTATTTTAATATAATTGAATCCATTGATCTTTTCATTCACAGTCACAGTAGTATTGTTTGTAAAAATTAAAAAAAGGAAACATTCTATTAATATATCATGAGGAAAATGGAAAAATAAATACATTTAGATATATTCAAACAATGTAATTTTATGTAGCAGTGAATTAGAGCTATACATATAAACATAGATAAATATAATAAACAGAACATTGAATGAAAAACACAAGGTGAAGAAGACAAAAAGCAATATAAATGTACATAAACTTTAAAAAACTTTTAAAAAGATTTAACGGGCCAGGCACAGGGCTCACATGTATAATTCCAGCACTTTGGGAGGCTGAGGTAGGCAGATGGCTTGAGTCCAGGTGTTTGAGACCATCCTGAGTAACATGGTAAAACACTATCTCTACAAAAAATTCAAAAATTAGCCAGGTGTGGTGGCACATGCCTGCAGTCCCAGCTACCTGGAAAGCTGAGGTGTGAGGATCACCTAAGCCCAGGGAGGTAGAGGCTGCAATGAGCCATGATTGCGCCACTTCACTACAGTCTGAATGACAGACTGAGACCTTGTCTCTAAAAAATAAAATAAAGTAAAATAAAATAAATTAAAACAAAATGATTCAACATAAAGTATAAAGAAACATATGAGAAAACAAACTTCAAAGTCAGGCTTATCATGCAGTTCTTTGAATGTCTTCATATTTTTGCATGTTGAAATAATAAAGTTGTTGAATGCAGCAGCAGTTCTGGCGTCACTTTCTCTAGTGAGCTAGATCAGGCTTCCCCTGCAGCCACGTTGAAGAAACTTGCAGTTGGCACTTATCCTTCACCATCCATTCCTAAAAGGGGGTCTTTCAGACTGAGAAGACTGAGATCATTGCCAATACTCAGCCACATTATGCTGCCTTTACAGATATAACGTGATCGATCACTGATACTGCAAATAGTCAAGCTACAATGAACTCCACAATATGATTCTTAGGGCCAAATGTATACTTGGACAACGATTTGATTACTCAACTCTCCAGTAAGACAAGCAGTGTAGGTAGAGTATAAAAAGGAGATTAAAAATTTCTGGCTGGGGCCAGGTGCTGTGGCTCATGCCTGTAATCCCAGCACTTTGGGAGGTTGAGGTGGGAGGATCACTAGAGATCAGGAGTTGAAGACCAGTCTGGTCACATGATGAAACCCTGCCTCTACTAAAAATACAAAAATTGGTAGAGTGTGGTGGCATGCACCTGTAATCCCAACTACTTGGGAAGCTGAGGCATGAAAATCCTTTGAACCTGAGAGGCGGAAGTTGTAGTGAGCCGAAATTGCACTAGTGTACTCCAGCCTGTGTGACAGAGCAAGACTCTGAAAAAGGAAAGATGGAAGGAAGAAAGGAAGGAAGAGAGGGAGGAAGGGGGGGAGGGAGGGAGGGACAGAGAGAGAGAGAAAGAAGAAAGAAAGAAAGAGAGAAGAAAGAAAGAAAGAAAGAAGAAAGAAAGAAGGAAGGAAGGAAGGAAGGAAAGAAAGAAAGAAAGAAAGAAAGAAAGAAAGAAAGAAAGAAAGAAAGAAAAGAAAGAAAGAAAGAAAGAAAGAAAGAAAGAAAGAAAGAAAGAAAGAAAGAAGAAAGAAAGAAAGAAAGAAAGAGAATTAATTAATTAATTTCTGGCCAGGCATGGCACCTCATGCCTGTAATCCTAGCACTTTGGGAGGCTGAGGCTGGAAGATCATTTGAATCAGGGGTTTGATACCAGCCTGGCCAACATGATGAAACCCCATCTCTATTAAAAATACAAAATTAGCTTGGTGTGGTGATGCATGTCTCTAATCCCAACTACTTGGGAGGGTGAAGCAGGAGAATCACTTGAACCAAGGAGGCAGAGGTTGCAGGGAGCTGAGATCACGCCATTGCATTCCAGCCTGGACAAAAAGTACAAAACTCCATCTCAAAAAAAAATATACGTATATATATGTGTGTGTGTGTGTATATATATATATACACACACACACACACGCACACAGACACATATATATATATATATATATATATATATATATATATATATATATATATATATATATATAGGCAAGGCAGGATAGTCTTCAGGACTGCTTGGTGGTAGTGGTGGGCTAGGCATATCTTTCCTTGGGCCCCTAGGCGACATATGCAGGCATTGGTGTTAGTGAGCCCAGATAGGCCAATTCTTGGTTTTCCAGGGACCTTGTTCAGGTGTCAGACGACACCAACATATATATAAATTTTGAATGGAAGAAGATGAACAAAATTACAGCAGCTCACTTTGGCCACCTGTGACATCACCACAGTACCAGAACTTTAATGACTCTCAGCGCCAAGGTGCCAACAATGCTATAAATGTTACTGGTCTCTGTATTTCCTGTGACCCAAATGCCACTGCTACTGCTTAAGGCTTGATCAGGATGGTTGCTGTCAAACAAAATGTGTTGATCCTTGAAACAGGAGGCAGCACTTTTGATGTATCCATCCTCACTTGTGAAGATGGTATCCCTGATTTCTAGTTTTCAACTAAGGACATTTCTTTAGATGGATAAAATTTTCTTAACTCAGTCAGGCACAGTAGCTCATGCCGGTAATCCGAGGACACTGGGAGGCCAAGACACGCAGATCACTTGAGATCAGAGGTTTGAGACAATCCTGGCCAACATGGTAAAACCCCATATCTTTTAAAAATACAAAATTTAGCTGAGCATGGTGGCGAGCACCTGTAATCCCATCTACTCAAGAGGCTGAGGTAGGAGAATCACTTGAACCTGGGAGGCAGAGGTTGCAGTAAGCAGAGATCATGCCACTGCACTCAAGCCTGGGTGACAGAGTGAGACTCCATCTCAAAAAACAAAAACAAAACAAAACTAAACAAAAAAACTTTCTTAACCAAGCATCAATCATTCAAATGTTAAAGTCAAGAGCAAATTAATAAAGACAATAATGAAAACAAGAAGTCTATCTGAGCACTGTGTGGGGGCCTGGGGATCAACCAGCCCCGCCTTCCACTTACGTTAAAAATGCACACCATCAGGGGGCCTAATACCAAGGCCCAGCTCACCCGCTCCTGGCTTCTGAGCACGTCATTCAGTGGTCTGGAGACTACCCCACCCACTACTGCCAGTATCCACGTGCTCCTCCCAGGAGCCTGAGGATGGATACTCACAGCCTACTGCCACCAACACCAGTGAGACCCACCTGCACAGACCACCTGGGAACCTGGAGACTGGCCCTACCAACCTATTGCAGTCACTTCTGGCACCAACACACACAACCTGGGGGCACACAAGTTGGCCCACCATCACTACTGCTGTGGTTGATGACACACATGCTGCCTAGAAGCCCAAGGATGCCCCACCTAACCACAAATTCTACTGCTGCCACAGCTGACACCTGAACAAGCTCCCTGGAAACCCAAGAATTGGCCTATCTGGGCTCAGTAACATCAGTGCCTTCATGTGTTGCCTAGGGGCCCAAGGAAAGGTATGCCTAGCCCATCAATACCACCAAGCGGGCCTGAAGACTATCCTGCCTTGCATAGCTATTCCCAGCAAAGACTAACCACAGCCTTCACTAACAACTGCAGCCTAAGCCACTGAGAAAATCACAGGCACCACTGATGCCGATTGTAGCCAAATAAATCATTCAAAGATTACACTACTACACATACTCAGAATCAAATCTAAAGCACCTATACAACTAACACTTATAGATACATGTACGGAAAAAGCCTATCCCTATAAAAACCAATCCAAAAAAAATTGGAAGAAGTGACTAATGCACGAGAAGTGCAGATATCAACATAAGGACAAAAGAAATATGAAAAAGCAAGGAATATGACATCTCCAAAGGATCACAATAATTCTTCAGCAATAGATTCCAATGGGAGGGAAAAAAACCCATTAAATTCCTGAGAAATAGTTCAAAATAATGGCATTAAAAAAGTTCAGTTAGATACAAGGAAGCATAGATAAAAAATACAAAGAAGTTAGAAAAACATGAAATTGGAAATTAGAAATTCATGATCTGAATGAGAAATTCAATAGAGACAAATATCATTAAGAAAGAACCACACAGAAATCCTAGAACTGAAGAAATCAATAAATGAAATTAAAAATGCAATCAAGAACTTTAACAATAGACTAGGTGGAGCAGAAGAAATAATTTCTAAACTTAAACACGGGTCTTTTGAAATAACCCAAACCAAAAAATAAAAATAAAAAAGAATGAAGATAGTCTATGTGACATGTGGGACACAATAAAGTGACCAAATTTTCCAATTTTGGATTTTCCAGAAGAAGAGTTGAGCAGAGACAGAGAAAATCTATTTAATGAAATAATAGCTGAAAACTTCCCAAGTCTTACAAGATAAATAGATATCTACAAGAAATATAGATGCAGAAAGCTCAATTATACCCCAAATAGATTCAAGCAGAAAGGTCTTCTCTGAGGTACGTTACACCCAAACTGTCAAAAGTCAGTAATAAAGATGGAATTCTAAAACAGTGAGAGAAAAGCATATAATCACTTAGAAGGGAACCCCATCAGACTAAGATTGGATTTCTCAGCAGAAGTCTTAGAGGCCAGAAGAAAATGAGATGATATATTCAAAGTGTTGAAAGAAAAAAAATGACTGAGAGCCAAGAATACTATACCCGGTAAATCCATCCTTCAAAAATGAAGGAGAAATAAAGACTTTCCGAGACAAGCAAAATGGAGGAAATTTATTACCACTAAAGCAGCCCTACAAGACGTGTTTAAGGGAGTCCTACCTTTGAAAGTGAATGAGTAATATTTACCATCATGACAACACACAGAAGTATAAAACTCACTGATAGAGCAGACACACAAATGAGAAAGAGATGGGACTAAAATTTTTTATCACTGCAGAAAACCAGCAAACTGTTAGGACAAAAAAATAAGACAGAAAGAATGGGACAAAGAATATACAAAGCAACCAGAAAGCAATGAACACTATGATGAAAACAAAACCTCATATGTCAATAATAACTTTGAATGTAAATGGATTAATTTACTGAATTAAAAGATATAGACTGGCTAAATAAATTTTTTAAAGTAACCCAACTGGAGCCAGGCATGGTGGCTCATGTCTGGAATCCCAGCACTTTGGGAGGCCAAGATGGGCAGATCACTTGAGGTCAGGAGTTCAAGACCAGCCTGACCAACATAGTGAAATCCTGTCTCTACTAAAAATACAAAAATTAGCCACACCTGGGGGCACATGCCTGTACTGTCAGCTACTTGGGAGGATGAGGCAGAAGATTCGCTTGAACCTAGAAGGCAGAGGTTGCAGTGAGCTGAGATCATGTCACTGAAATCCGGCCTGGGTGGCTGAGCAAGACTCCATCTCAAAAAAATAAAAATAAATATAAAATGAACCAACTATATGCTGCTGCCTACAAGAAAATTGCTTCACCTGTAAAGACACATGTAGACTGAAAGTGAAGGGATGGAACAAGATATTCCATGAAAATGGAAACCAAAATCATGCAGAAGTATCTAATGTATATCAGATAAAACAGACCTTCTAGTCAAAAACAGTATGAAGAGACAAATAAGGTCATTATATAATGACAAAGGGGTTGATTCAGCAAGACGATATAATAATTCTAAATATATATGTATACCCAACACCAGGGGAACCAGATATATAAAGCAAACAGTATTAGATCTAACAGAAAATCATCACAGCCAACTGATTTTTGACAAAGGTGTCAAAAACATGTATCAGAGGAAGGATGGTCTCTTAAATAAACGGTGCTGGGTAAACTGGATATTCATAGGCAGAAGAATTAAACTGGATCCCTGTCTCTTCCCATACACAAAATACAAAAATCAACTCAAATGGATTAAGGACTTAAACAAAGACCCAAGACTATAAAACTTCCAGAAGAAACCACAGGGGAAACACTTCAGGACATTCGTCTAGGAAAAATTTTATGGTAAGACCTCAAAATCACAGCCAACTAAAACAAAAATAGACAAATGAGATGATACTAAACTAAAAAGCTCTGTACAGCAGAGGAAACAATCAACAGAGTAAAATGATATTTTCCAAAAAGGACATACAAAAAGCCAACTGCTAAATGAAAAAATGCTTAACAGCACTAACATAAATCAAAATCACAGTGGGATACTTTCTTACCCCAGCTAGAACAGCTATTATGAAAAACATGCTGTGGAGGATGCAGAGAAAAGGAAACTCTTATACACTGCTGGCGGAGATGTAATTTATTATAGCCATTATGAAAAATACTACAGGGGCTCCTCAAAAAGTTAAAAATAGAATTACCTACGATCCACCTACTGATAATTTCACTACTGATTATTTACCCAAAGGAAAAAAATTAACCTATCAAAGGGATACCTGCAACTCCATGTTTACTGCAACACTCCTTACAATAAGCAAGATATGAACACAATTTACATGTCCATCAATGAATGAATGGATAAAGAAAATGTAGCATATGTACACAATAGAATGCTATTTAGCCACAAAAAATAATAAAATCTTGTCATTTGCAGCAACATGGATGGAACTGGAAGTCATCACGTTAAGTGAAGTAAGTCAGGAACAGAAAGACAAAAATATCGCATGTTCTCAATGACATGATGGAACTAAAAAAAAGTTGATCTCATTAAGGTAAAGAGTAGAATAATAGCTACCAGGAGCTGGGAAGGTTTTATGGGGGAGGAGAATAGGGAGAGAAGTTAGTTAATGGACACAAATAAAGAGTTAGATAGAAGGAATAAGTTCTAGTGTTCAATAGCACGGTAGGGTGACTACAGTTAATGATAATATATTGTATATTTCAAAATAGCTAGAAGAGAATATTTGAAATGTTCCCAACACAAAGAAATGATAAATGTTTAAGGTGATGAATATCCTAAATACCCTGAATTGATCATTAGACATTGTATGTATGTATCAAAATATCACATTTATCCCATAAATATGTGCATATATTATTTATCAGTAAGAAATAAAATAAAAAATTACATTTTGGGGGAAAATACGTGTGAAACCAGATAGTAGTGATGGTTACACATTATGAATATAATAAATGCCACCGAATATTAAACTTAAAAAATGATTACAGGAGACTAGGTCACATAGCAGTTAGTGCTGCAGATGCCTGACCCACACTGCCTGGGTTCAAATCCCAGTTGTGGCATTTATGAGCTGTGTGAGGCTGGGCACAGTGGCTCATGCCTGTAATCTCAGCACTTTGGGAAGCTAAGGTGGAAGGACTGCTTGAGACCAGGAGTTGAAGATCAGCCTGGGCAACAAAGCAAGACTCTGCCTCTACAAGAAATCTAAAAAATTAGCTGGGCATGGTGGTGTGCATCTGTAGTCCCAGCTAAGGAGGAGGATATCTTGAGCCCAGGAGTTAGAGGTTTCAGTGGCTTATCATCATACCACTGTATTCTCAGCCCACATGACAGAGCAAGACTCTATCTCTAAAATAAATTTTTCTAATATATAAGCTGTATGACCATAGGTAAGTTATTTAATCTCTCTGTGCTTCACATCCTTCAACCATAAAGCAGCATTAATAATCAAAGCATCAACTTCCTATGCCAGTTATTTTGAACTAAATATTAATAGCACCCCCTTCACTTCAAAAGAGTTGCAGTTCAGAGAACAAATTACATGGTTGTTCAACTCATGTTGATCCACTCTTGAAGTGGTTTTCAGATCAGAGCATAGAGAGTGTCTTCTACATAATCACAAAATGTAAGGCACTCAAAATTTTTATGAGAAATCTGATGACAGTTCTTTATAAAAAATGTGAACTTCAGTATATATACAAGAGTGGTTATTCTGAAAACTTGAATGTTGGAGCACATAAAAAAGAAATTCATGTCCTGAAGAATAACACTCCTTTCAAAAGAGGAAACAAATAAAATAGAAATATTTTATAACAAATGTTTTATAAAGAAGGGCAAAACAACTAAATGAAATACAACCTAATGCTAGTAGTTGGCCTCGGAGTAGAAGATTAGAAGTGCTTGTTTTTTTTCTTTTTTATACCTCTGCAGTTCCAAGTTATTTTACGGTAGCCACATATTACTTTTATAATCAAAAAGAGATTTTTAAAAAAATGTTCAGACAGACTCACAAAAAATCAAAACATAATTGCAGCATACAAGACATACTTAAAGTGATTCAGAAAGGCTGAACATAAAGAGACAGTAAAGGTATACCAGGAAAATATAAACAAAAACTGGATACCAAAAAAGGTATACCAGGAAAATAAAAACAAAAACAAATACCTAGTAATGTAGAATTTAGACCAGAAAACATTATACCTGGTAATGTAGAATTTAATACCTGGTAATGTAGAATTTAGACCAGAAAACATTAAACAAGACAAAAAAAGGCTAGTGTTAATGCTAAACGCTACAATTTACAAAAAGCTATAATATCCTATGCACCCAAATGACATAAAAACAAACTTCAAAACTCAGAAGCTACAAGACAAGCAAGAATAGACAAAAACTTAGGTAATATCATTCTGTTTTCCAAGTAAACGTGGCACACTAATAAAAATTAATCATGTATTAACTCATAAAGAAAACCTTAGGCCAGGTGCGGTGGCTCACACCTGTAATCCCAGCACTTTGGAAGGCCGAGGCAGGTGGATTGCCTGAGGTCAGCAGTTGTAGACCAGCCCGGCCAACATGGCGAAACCCTGTATCTATAAAAATACAAAAAGAATTAGGCGGGCATGGTGGCATGTGCCTGTAATCCCAGCTAATCGAGAGGCTGCGGCACGAGAATCACTTGAACCCAGGAGGCGGAGGTTGTAGTGAGCCGAGATTGAGCCACTGAACTCCAGCCTGGGGGACAGAGCAAGACACCATCTCAAAACAAACAAAGAAAAGCTTTATAAGTCTCATCATAGTAAGGATAATCAAAACTATTATCTAATTACAATGTAATAAACCAGAAGTTCATAATAAAATTTTAAAACACCCTTCTATCTGGAAATTTTATAACTTAATATTACATAATTCTTCGATCAAAGTAGAAATAAACTGAAATTTCAGAATTTCTAAAAAATATGTATACAAATATGACATTTTAGAATCTATGGAACATAATTAAAAGTAACCAGAGGAAAATTAGTAACATTAAATATCAATTAAGTCAATTAAATGAAAGAAAAATTAACTAGATATCCATGCTTGGTAAAAGCATAAAAACATTAGTGTAAATAATTTTAAATGAAAGAAGGTTATGTGTAAGGATCAAAAAAATAGAAAAAGCACTAGCTCACCTCACTGAAAAAAAAAAAGACTCCAAGCACACATACTGAAAATAAAAAGTTCAATGAGAAAGTAACCATCAAATACAGAATATTAAAAATTATAACAGATTACTTGCATGCATGCCAAAAAAACTAACAAACACATTGAAAACCTCAATGTAGTAAGTAATTTTCCAGGAAAACTTAATATACAGAAACCAACCCAGCAAAGACTATTAATCAAGTTGTTTAAGTATATCACATTTTACAGAAGCAATAGCAAAAATAGAAGACCTATCCCTACCCCTATGAGAGCACCAGGCCTACAAAACATCCCAAGGGAAATATACCAACTTCAAAGAGTGGATAATATCAATCTATTTAAAATGTTCTAAAGCATAAAGAAGAAAAAGAAACTCCAAGAGTTTGAAGTGAGCATAACATTGACAACAAAATCTAATAAACATTGTTTATTTACACACACACCGAAGAAAATCATGGACCACTGGCACTTATAGCAATGCAAAAACCTTAAATAGAATATTAGCAAGCAAAATACAAGAGCAGCCTTCTAAAAATATATCATGACCAAGTGGGGCTTATTGAGGAAATTAAAGAGAAAATTAATATTGAAAACCCATTAATATAAAATTCATCATACTCAGAGGTCGGGGGTGAAAAAAATCACTTGATCTTCCACAAAGATGCTAAAATTTATCCAACAAAAGTATAAAACTCTTCTAATAAAACTTAATGAACTATAAAGTGAAGCATATTTCCTTAACATGAATTTGTGTTTACATATATATTTCAAATGCAGTACATGTATCCTGGTTGGTTATGCCTTAAAAAAAAGGAATTTATAAAATCATTCTAGAAATTATGCAGAAATTTAAATACCTATAAAATATTAGATGATGTTAGTAAAATATTGCTAATTTTCTTAGTTTTGATAATAGTGTTATAGTTACTTAGGAGAATGTCCTTATTCTTAGGAAATGCATACTGAAGTATTTAGGAACCAAAGTATAATGATACCTGAAATTTAGTCTCAATTATCCTACAGAATAAAAGTATATATGAAAAATATTAATTGTCATATTTGGATAGTGGTTATAGAGGTGATCATAGCACAATTCTTGCAACTTTTCTGTGTTTGACAATTTTCATAATAAAATATCAGAGATTAAATAAAATGTATAAATATTGTAATGACAAAAGCTTTTCAATATAGTTCCACTAACTATTCTAGTTAGACTCTTTTGTTTCCAAAGATCAAAATCCCACTCAAGTTAACTTAAGAAAATATTTTTAAAGATACAGGTGAATCGGACCTAAAATTGGAATCTGACACTCAAGGGACATTCAGGAGGCTCTAGGACCTGCATGTTCTCCCAGTGGCCACTAAGGGACCATTCATTGCTCTCACTGGGTCTTCACTTTCCCCAGTGCTTCTACTGCCTTCTCACTTCTCCCATTAGATTTCCTTTGCTATCTTCAATTTCAGCTGTCCTCACCTAGCAAAGTTATACATGGGCCCTTTCACCCATCAACCTCACTCCCGGAAATCTAGCTCTGACATGTTGGCAAAAAACACCAAATGATATCTATACAAAGCTATTCATTGTAACATCATTTGCATAAGCATAAAGGTGAAAACAACCCAACTTCCATCAAAAAGGGACTAATTGAGTAGACTATTATACATGCATATGATAGAAGACTGTGTATCCATAAAAAGTAATGAGAACAATATATACTGATAGGGAATGATCTTTAGGTTATATTGTAAAGGGAAAAAAGGCTTGTATAGTATCCTACTTCCAGTATTTTAATTTTTGTGTAAAAAGGAAAATAAAAATGTAAATATACATATTTATTTATATTTTCATAAAGAAATAATGAAATAAGTAAAAAATTAATTTTAAAAAATGCTTCACTATAGTGGGAGGGAGAAAAGAGGCTGAAGGAGCCAGGGACAGAAGCTTCCCTAGATGTAAATTTGGCCAGCATTCCTGGAGTCTGGGCCTGTAACTGGCTGTGAGCATTCTGCTGGCCAAGCAGAGCACAAGATTAAGCCCAGACTGAAGGGAGGAGAAAGAGACTCCAACTCTCCATGGGAAGTGTGACAAACAATATATGGACAGATTTTCTAAAAGCAGGACAACCAGATTTGATGTGCTTCATAACAGGGCATACTAAAAAGTATACGACAGTAGTTACGCAAAGTGATCTTGCCTAAAAATTTATACTTGAATGTCTAATCAAGCCTCTAACTCTCAGTTTCTAGGCAATATAAGGGATAGAAGGAAATGTTTAACTTTTAAAAGGTTAAAGAAGCAATCAGAATGTGAGAATGTGAGAAATTCTAGAGGACCAAACAACCAGAGAGAGCTGTCAGAGAATAACTGAATATAACATGAAGGTGTGGTTTGAATTCTAACTCAAACTAAAAAGACATAATTGAGACAATTGGAGAAATCTTAATGTGGACTGGCTATCAGACAATGTTTAAAAATTACTATTAGTTCTGTAAAAACATTTTAAAAATCTTTATCTGTTCAAGGTTCATCGCAAAATATTTAGAGATGAAATAACATGTTATCTAGGATTTGCTTTTAAAATGTAAGAGAAGAAAGCACAGGTGGTGAATGAAATAAAATGAGCAAAATGTTGATGAAACTGCTCTTGAAAATATTTTTTTTTGCATCTTTCTGCTACCACCCTAACTTTCCAAGCATCTTGATGTTACTTAGTTTAAACTCCCTGAAGAGTAAATACAAGTGAGTCAGCTAAGCCATAAGCCACTGGCTGGGGTCTGTGGTTGAGCTATCTTTGGGTTTACTGTTGGCTATGGACTGAATGTTTGCATCTCCCCAAATTCATATGTTGACATCTAATTCCTAATGTAAAGGTATTAGGAGGTAGGGCCTTTGGTAGGTAATTAGGTCATAGGGGTGGAAACCTGAAGAAAAATGGGATTAGTATACTTATTAGGGGCTGCAGAGACCACAGTTGCCCCCTTCTACCATGTGAGGACACAGCTAGAAGGTTTATGAACCAGGAAACAGACCCTCTCTAGACACTGAATCTACCAGCACCTTGATCTTGAAACTCCAGCCTCCAGAATGGTGAGAAATAAATTTTTTTTGTTTATAAGCTACTCAGTCTATGGTATTTTGTTATAGCAGTCCAAACAGACATTGCCCACTCACCCTGGGTCCAAAAAACTGGGAAATGTAGGTTACAAAGTAAAAAAACTTAATCCCCTGGGCCTGTTTCTTCAGCAGGGCTTGAAGACTAGGGCGATTCCATAGAGTAGAAGAAACAGAGGGGAGCAGACACACTAATCAGCACCTCTAGTGCTATCTTCCTGAGGGTGGGAAGAGCTGATTCTTTAATCGATCAGTTTCACATGCATTTCAAAACCAACAATAACATCTTTTTGACTTATCAACTTCTCTTGAGTCCCACATCTATTTACCTACTATCTCCTTTGATTTCTCATTGTTTCAAGAAATAAATGAGAATCAGAAGTTACTATCATTTCTTTATAATCAAGGCAAGTGGCCAAGTGATTTACCCAATGCACAGAGCAATTGGTTCTAGGGGAAATAAATAAATTGCATTTTGTATATCAACTAGACTGCATCTTCAGGGAATTGTGCTGCATCAAAAACAATTTTCAAGCAACCTAATAATTATCTGTAAACATCATCTCCCCTTTAAAACATTTTTAAGACTTTCCTGTGGAAAATCTACACTGTCATCCCAGATGAGTGTTGGAATAGCAGGAAATAAGATGGAGAATCAGAGAAAAATCTGCTTATGAAAGGCCTTAAGAAGCAGACTAAGGGATTTAGAATTTGTGGCTTTGCTGAAAGGGATCACCATGAAGGTCAAATTCATAGAAAAGCAGGGTTAATTCAAAAGACAGAGAGTGATGAAGGCCGGGAGACCAGCTAGGAAGTTCGGTAATAAAAGCCTATTCTACAAAGTGGGAGCTGAAATGTAGAGGATGCACAGCATCTGAAAGATATTCCAAAGGGAGAAATCATTTATTTTAATGGTCCTGGAGTTTAGGAGTGGAGCAGAATAAAAAGTCAAAGATGACTTAAATGTTTCTGATTTGGAAGACTAAAATGTATTGATATCCCAGACAGATGTGAATGATAAGAATGGGAATAACAGAAGGAAGGCAGCCATTTAATAAGTCCCTGATAAGTAGGAGTTGAAAGTACTTTTAGGGTAAGGAAGACACCTTGTAGCCAGCCATTGTGGCACTTGCCTGCAGTCCCAGCTAGTCAGGAACCCAAACTCCTAAGACACTAAGGTGGGAGAATTGCTTGAACCTAAGAGTTGGAGACTGTAGTGCCTGGGCAACAGAGTGAGGCCCAATCTTAAAAATATAAAAATAAAAATCTTGAAAGCAATGCATATATACATACAAAATTCTCCAGTTCCTTTGTGATATGGTTTGGCTGTGTACCCACCCAAATCTCATCTTGAATTTTAGCTCCTATAATCCCCACATGTTGTAGGAGGGACCCAGTGGGAGTCTTACACTGAATCATGGGGCAGGTTTTCCCATACTGTTCTTGTGTTAGTGAATAAGTCTCAGGAGATCTGATGGTTTTACAAAGAGCAGTTCCCATGCACACACTCTCTTGCCTGACGCCATGTAAGAGGTGACTTTGCTCTTCCTTCACCTTCCACCATGATTGTGAGGCCTCCCCAGCCATGTGGAACTGTGAGTCCATTAAACCTCTTTTTCTTTATAAATCACCCAGTCTTGGGTATTTCTTCATAGCAGTAAGAAAATGGACTAATATGCTTTGTACGTACATATTTCATTGTAAAAAAGGTGGAATTCAGACAATTTTCATTGTTTTGTGAAGATAATCCTGGACACAGAAAATTAATGTTAAAGTTAATTTATTAATACCACATAGAGCTATATACTGGGTGGGCTGAGAGTTTAGAATATCTGTAGAGTTATTTAATCATTCTTGAATTTCCTTCATGTCACTGCTTCTAAAAGCTTTACTAGTTGTCTAATACTCTTAGCCATGGGAAATTTAATACAATTTCCTTTACTTTAAGTTATACTTATTGTTAAAGGTTTTAATTACCCCTACATGATAAATTTAACTGATAATGGAAATCTTTTCCAGGTTTGAAAGTGCATATTTGACAGACAAGTTATTATCATGGTTGATACTAAAAAACAGCAATCTAAATCCACATGGAAGCCAATATATCATAACCTAGTGTCAGTATCTTCAAACAGTGATAATCCAAGGGAATTGTAGGCTATTTGCCAAGAGAAATCACCCTAAAGGTATACCTAGCTCTCTACTTTTGAAAACACATATATCTTGTTGTAATTTAACCATCATCTAAAAGTTAACGCCTTTAAATTGAGGATGGTTCTCCCTAATCCAGTAGCTTTCAATCTTAACTGCACATTGGAATCTCATGAAGAACTTTCAGAAGTATACTAATACCTAGCTCTCATCTTCTTCCTCTTTCTACTCTAATTGTTCTGGAGTGTGGTTTGAGGATCAAGATTTTTAGAAGCTCCCCGAGTGATTCTAATGGGTAGACAAGGCTGAGAATCTCTGCACCATTTTCCTAATGATTCTCTGAAAGTTCAGATTTCCTTTCACTTTTTAAACATTTCCTAAAGTTATAATAAAAGCCTTATTAGAATACACCACTGGTATAAAGAGAAATAATGTCAGAGGTAATCAAACAAAAAAATAAAGCAAGGGGGTATGAGGAATCATTTTTCTAGGAAGTAGGAGAGCACTTGAGGGAGAAAATTGTTATTCTGGGAAATTATTTAAAGGCTTTTTATGGTGAAGCATGGTGGCTCATGCCTTTAATCCCAGCACTTTGGGAGGCTGACGTGGACAGATTACCTGAGGTCAGCAGTTTGAGACCAGCCTGGCCAATATGGCGAAACCTCGTCTCCACTAAAAATACAAAAAAAAAAAAAAAATAGCTGGTGTGGTGGCAAGTACCTGTAGTCTCAACTACTCAGGAGGCTAAGGCAGAAGAATTGCTTGAACCTGGGAGGTGGAGGCTGCAGTGAGCCAAGGTTGTGCCACCCTACCCCAGACTGGGCAACAGAGCAAGCCTTCATCTCTAAATAAATAAATAATTAATTAAATAAGGTTTTTAGATGGACAAACCAAGAACAAAAGACTAATTTGGGAAATACTGAGTCTCAAAGTGGTTGAAATTTTCCAGCATAATGAGGTAAAACATGTTTCTTTTTGGCAGAAAAGCCATTTCCTATAGGTTTTGTTGTTGCTTGGTTCGTTGCTTGGCCAACAGGTATGGTATTCTTAAGTGCGAATTTTGGTGATTTCTTCTTACAGTGGAGAAATTGTTGCTTATTTGTTTGATTTCTTTGTTTACAGAATGACTTTGGGAAAAGAGAAAGAAGATATAGGGAAACGGCCTTTGAATGGCCTCTACATTCATTCCAATGGGTCAAATCCTAAAATCTGGAGAGAAACTTCCATGGTAGGGTTTGGTTGCCTGAGCTTTCAAACAGCAAATTGAATTTCTTTCTTTTCCATGTTGGAATGCTCCCTTGATTGTACATTTAGGCCTTCAATAAATCTTTGCTAATAATCACTACTACCTGTTGTCTAGCCTGTGTTGGTGTGGTCTTAGAGAATGAAGAAAGGGAGCTGTGCTGACGTTTATAGCAAATTGAGTCAGCCTGCAGTAGCAGAGGCAAAACATCAAAAGCCAGGAACAGCTATTGGGTGGGAGGTGACAATCAGCAATCCTATAAAGACTTTATTGAAACTTTCTGCAGTTTTACAGGAAGAAAGCTTAAGGTGTTCTGTTTAGAGATGAAAGTAACCAATAACTCCAGAAAGTATAAATATTCAAGGAACTTGTGCCTTTATCTCATAGCCTAGATCATAATTCTAAACTTATTACAGCTGAGAACACTAGAACTCCTCATTATCCATGTTGTTTCTCTTCTTCCTGAGAACTCCCCTAAAAAATCTGCTCGCCTTACTACAATGTTGGGCCAAGAAGTTGGAGTCCAATTAATGGAAAGTGAGCAGAGCTATTGTAAAACACTTTCAGATTGAATCCTAGAACTTCTTGTATAATCTTTCATGTTCTTTCTCTTTGCTCATTAGGCAGCTGAATGAAGAGGTTCCAGTGCAGAAATTTGAAAAGAACATAGAGGATGGTAAAGCCACTAAATGAAGGAGACTGAGTACCTCAATCATTAAAGAAACAGTTTCCCCTCACTATTTAGGCTACGAAAAATATAAAACACTTATTATGTTAAGCCCTGAGATCTGTGGGTTTTTTGTTATAGCAGCACTAGCAGCTAGTTTTACTTAACCTTATAATATACTAAGTGACTACCCAAATCCAAAAGTCCCATTCTGTACAGTCATTCAAAAGAAAAGAAAAAACTATTTTAAAATTCATTTGGAACCAAAAAAGAGCCTCAATAGCCAAGGCAATCCTAAGCAAAAGAACAAAGCTGGAGGCATTACGCTACCTAACTTTATACTATAGGGCTACAGTAACCAAACAGCATTTTACTGGTACAAGAACAGACACATAGACAAATTGGTCCAAATAGCCCAGAAACAAGGCCACACACCTACAACCATCTGGTCTTTCACAAAGCTGACAAAAACAAACAATGAGGAAAGGACTTCCTATTCAATAAGTGATGTTGGTATAACTGGCTAGCCATAGGCAGAAGATTAAAACTGGACCCCTTTCTTACACTATATACAAAAATCAACTCAAGATGGATAAAAGACTTAAATGTAAAACCCAAAACTATAAAAACCCTGGAAGACAACCTAGACAGTATCATTCTGGACATAGGAATGGGCAAAGATTTCATGACAAAGATGCCAAAAGTAATTGTAACAAAAGCAAAAATTGACAAATGGGGTCTAATTAAACTAAAGAGCTTCAGCACAGCAAAAGAAACTGTCAATAAACAGACAACCTACAAAATGGGAAAAATTTTTTGCAAACTATGCATCTGACAAAGGCTCAATATCCACTATCTATAAGAAACTTAAAAATTCAGCAAGCAAAAACAAATAACCCCATTAAAAAGTGGGCAAAAAACATGAACAGACACTTTTCAAAAGAAGACATATATGTGGCCAACAAGCATAAGAAAAAAGTTCAGCATCACTGATCATTAGAGACATGCAAATCAAAAACACAATGAGGTGCCATCTCACACCAGTCACAATGGCAATTACTAAAAAGCCAAGAAACAACAGTTGCTGGTGAAGCTACAGAGAAATTAAAATGCATAGTTGGTGGGAAGGAAAATTAGTTCAGCCACTGGGAAAAGCAGTTTGGCAAATCCTCAAAGAGCTAAAAAAGACCTACCATTTGACCCAGTAATCCCATTACGGGGTACATACCCAAAGGAAAATAAATCCTTCTATCATAAAGATACATGGACATGCATGTTCATTGCAGCACTATTCACAATAGTAAAGACATGGAATCAACCTAAATGCCCATCAGTGGTAGACTAGATAAAGAAAATGTGGTATATATACAACATTGAATACTCTGCAGCCATAAAAAAGAATGAGATTATGTTCTTTGCAACAATATGGATAAAAGTGGAGGCCATTATCCTCAGCAAACGAATACAGGAACAGAAAAACAAATGAGAACACATGGACACATAGAGGGGAACAACAGACACTGGGGTGTCTGGCCTACCAGAGGGTGGAGGATGGGAGGAGGGAGAAGATCAGAAAAAATAACTATTGGATACTAGGTTTAAAGCCTGGATGACAAAATAACCCTCATGACATGGGTTTACCTATATAACATACATGCACATGTACCCCTGAACTTAAAATGAAAGTTTAAAAAACTTAATAAACTTTTAATAATTCATACAAACAATGCTTTCTGACCATAATAGAAATAAAATAGGAAATCAACAAATAAAGAAATGCTGGAAAATTCCCCAAATACTTGAAAACTAAATCACATACTTCTAAGAAACCCACAGGTAAAAGAAGAAATCAATAGGGAAATTGGGAAGTATTTTGAACAGGTGACAATAAAAATACATTTCAAAATTTATGGGATAATGTTAAAGAATTATTTAGGGAAACTTTTAGCACTTTAAATTATAGTTATTTCCTTAGGAGATCTATAGTGCATTTCTTCAACTCTGTTTCTCTCTTCCTCATTATTTTCTTTCTGCCCACATGAGGAAGGAAACTATGGTTTGATCTTTGTTCTCCTACTAGTTATAATTTGTCCACTAAATTAACATGTATTGAGAAACTACTGTTGGCCTATAGTGCTGGCTCAGAGTAGGAGCTTGACAAATATCTACTGAAAAAATAAATGAGGAAATTTCAATTTGGAGACAGGGAAATGAAAGAAATAAAGAGAACTTGCAGTTCCATTGTCTATTGCTAAATCAAAACATTTTATATTTAGATTCATACTACTCATAAGATTGATCTTTATTTTCCTCTCTTAACAGCCCTTTCAAAAGACTAACTCATAGAATCACAAATCTAATCTAACCACATCAAATGTGTAAGTCTGCTCTAGCATCTCCAATAAGATCTGTCCAACTTCCTCTGAACGCCTCCAATAAAACTATTCAATATATGAATTGAATAGTCAATTCAGTCTATGAATTTTCTAGACTCATGGTAGCACAATGCTTTGCATTTACCTTTCCAAACTGAATTGTAATTCTGATAAAAATAGAAACATAATCTCTGGCACAGGGTTTGAGTTTCTCTAGCTCAAGTGACCTGCCTCTGTAACCCACAGTCATTTGTAAAAAGTCAGACCTACCTTCACTCAGTTACTTCAACCTCAGAAGATGGGATGTATCTCCAAAACTTTCATTTTCTCCCTTTTGAAACTTATTAGAAAACACCTTATTTAGATGCATCACCTTCAACATGTTCGCATTTTTATCTTCTACACACTCTTGATATGCAAATTCCATGAATATACACATCTGAAAGCATATATTAACCCCTTTAGAAGGTAAAGCAATTCCCAATGACCATGGAAAAAATGATTCTGATCACATTCCCATTTCCCCTTTATTGTTTGATGAAGACTCATCTTTTGAGTCCCCCTTAACATGGTTCCTGTTCATTTCTTTTGACCATTTTAGTGTACTCTTCCCAGACTTCTGCATTTCCGCTATATCTTCCTCAGATGTGCATACACTATCCAAGAACTTACATAACAGAAAAGTGGTGTTTGTAGTTGGATTTCCATTACCTTTTTGATGATTCCTTCCATTTGGACTGCATCATTTGTTGTTTGTATTCCAGGATATCTCTTGCCAGTGTCTGCAAAGAACAATCAACTACTCAGTAGTTGAACAGCCACATCCTGTTCTGGAGCTAAAACTTAGACAACAAAGTTTATTATATTTTAAGTATATTTTGGAATCTGATTTTCCACGACACATTACTTGATTCAGTAACAATAATCAAATTTTTTTCTTAAATCCTTGGCACTATTCAATATTTTGCATACTCAGGTGAAGTTAATTTCATAAATCTTTTGTGTTCCATGTCTGGTAAACTAATATTTTAAATGACATTGTATCAAACATATAAATTCAGTCCTCTCCCAAAAAGGCAGTGTGTGACTTTTACTAATTTTTATTAGAACACAATAAACACTGCCATTAATATAGCATTTGAGGCTCCTGGGTAAAATCAACACCTTGTATTTAGAATGACAAGTCAATAATCACTGCCATCTGCAGGCAACAAAAAAAAATCTGGTTTATACCAACTTGTTTGATCAAAGGCAATTTCAAGTGAACAAAATAATTATATTTCCAGGGAACAATGCACTCATAGATAAAAAAGACACTTGTCTATTTCCTCCCTTCTACACTTCCATTGGTGCAAACAGCATCCAGAGCAATCAGAAGAATAATAAGAATAATATTGAGCAAAAGCAGTTGCATTGGCAAACATGAGGTCACAATTTGTGCTAAAAAGTACAGAATGAGAACTTGAGGAAATGCGAAATAGAGGTATCCCCAGTAGTATTTTTTAGCATCACAAGATTTTAACTACTCTCAGTTTATAAGTCCAATTAATTAATTCCAACCCCCTCTGCAACTCTTTCTGAGAAAATCAGTAATTTAACTTACCTGATAAGTCAAATTGATAACCAGTCACCTGTCTAGTGTCCATACACATCTCAAGACTGTTATCTTGACAGATTGGATAAAGCAATTTAAACCTTATTAAACAAAGGTTTCATGTATTCCAATCCACTACGTTTACATATATAAATACACTGTGGAAAAAATACTACCACGTCTCAGCTGGAAATGTGTTTTGATGCAATGCTTTCAAAAAACAGTACTTTTTAAAGATGTCCTTGGGTAGTCTAACAGTTTTTCTCAATGGGAGCTGCTCCTGACAGTCAGGAGGAACAACTCTTCATTGTTCTGTACATTGCCGGATGTTTAGCATTCCCGGATCCCACCCACTAAGTGCCAGTAGATTGTCCCAGTCATATATGTATGGGAACAAGAAATGCTCCCATATATTTCAGAACGGCCCCCCAGGAAACAGTGCTGCCCTCTCTCCCAGTTAAGAACCTTTGGGAAGACTTCCCCAAAAAAGTTAAAGGATTTCGTCATTTCCCTATTGCATGGTCAAGTATTCTTTAGAGAAATTCTAAATCAAAGAAAAGAGAGCTAATTCTATAGGATAATTTCTAATGAGCCATAAAAATGCTCATCCTTGCTTCTACCTCTTTCTAAATGATGCCTAAATGATTTTCTAATCTAAAATTAGAAATTTAAAGGAAAAATACTTATCACAAAATAAGATAAATAAAATAAAAAGACTTATAAAATGTTAAATTTTGTATGACAAAAATAGAATACAAAATAAAATACAAATATGAAACTAGAAACATAATTGCAGGGTTTAATAACTTAAACATACAAAAAATTCCTATATAGCAATGAGAAAAAAACTAATGTCTGATAAAAAACTGAACTGAGGAATTAGCAAGCAAACAATAAGAAAAATGGCTAATAACATAGAAAAACCATATTCAACCTCATTAGTAATCAAGTATAAATAATATGCATATAAACAATTAAATATATTCATATGTTTTACCTATGGTGAAAATATATTTAAATGAAAGTACTCAGTATTGGTGAGGATTCACAGAAGTGTGAGAACAGGGACAAAATTGATGTTGCCCTTATGAAGGAAATTTAGCCATAGCTAGCAAAGCCTTAAAATTTTGCAAGTCATATGTGTGTGTGTATATATATATATATATATATATATATTTTTTTTTTTTTTTTTTTTTTTGAGACAGAGTTTCACTCTTGTCACCTAGGCTGGAGTGCAGTGGCATGATCTTGGCTCACTGCAACCTCCACCTCCTAGGTCCAAGAGATTCTCCTGCCTCAGCCTCCCGAGTAGTTGGGACTACAGGCTTGCACCACCACACCCAGCTAATTTTTTTTTTGTATTTTTAGTAGAGACGGGGTTTCACCATGTCGGCCAGGATGGTCTCAACTTCTTGACCTTGTGATCTGCCCACCTCAGCCTCCCAAAGTGCTGAGATTACAGGTGTGAGCCACTGCATCCAGCCTTTGCAAGTCATTTAATTCATCAACCCCAACTTTGGGCATTTAGACTAGGAATATAATTGTGGTTGCAGGCAAAAATTTGACTAAAATATTGTTCACTGAATCTCTTTTTCTTATATTTTGTGTACATAGTAGGTGTATGTATTTATGGAGTACATGAGATATTTTGATATAGGCATATGATGCGTAATAACTAAATCAGGGTAAATGGAAGTGTCCATCGTCTCAAGCATGTGACCTTTATGTTACAAACAATCCAATTATACTCTTAGTTACTTTGAAATGTACAATAAATTATTATTGACTGTAGCCACCCTGTTGTGCTATCAAATACTAGATGTTATTCATTCTGAGTATATTTTTATAGCCATGAATCATTTTTTATAGTAAAAAAGCAGATTTACACATATATTTTCAAGAATAGGGAAATTTAATGAATAAACTATGATATATCTAGAAAATAAAATATTATGAATTTAAAATAATGCCTTTCAAAATTATTTAATGACATGGAAAAATATTCTTAGTATATCATTAGTGGGAAAAAGCAAGGCTCCGCATCCATGGAGATTGGTCCCAGGATCCCAGTGGATATCAAAATTCAAGAATGCTTAAGTCCCTGATATAAACTAGCATAGTATTTCCATCTAACATACACACAATCTCTGAGATACATTAAATCTCCTCTAAATTACTTATAATATGTAACACATTGCAATTGCTATGTAAGTAGTTGTTATACTATATTGGGTTATATTTGTATTATTTTCTATTGTACTGTAAAAAAATTTTTCCAAATATTTTTGATCTGTGGTTGGTTGAACTCATGAATGCACAACAGCAGACACAGAGGGCCGACTGTTTGTAAAATATGACACTCTTTTTGTAAAACTTATATATGCATGTGTTTATATAATCAGAGACAGAGGGGATATATTTGTCTTGTAGAGAAAGACGATCTGTCTTGTTCTTTGCAAACTTAAAACCTGGCATGGTGCCTGGAACAGAGTGTACCAGGTCAATCACATGTATAAATAAATTGGTAATAAAGGACATTCCCTAAAATGCTATTGGTTATTGAGGCTGAGATTAATTATATTTTTCTTTCTTCTTTTTGTTTATATTTATTTTGGGGGTTTTATAGAATGAGCATGGACTACTTTTGTGACTTCAAAAAAAGCGTAAGTCCTACGGAAACCTTTAATTTGGTTGGAAAGAAATATGTGGATCTTAAAGGGAAGGATTTCAGTCATGGTACAGCAAGTTTGCCTCTATTGGTCATGATCAACTCTTTCTTAGCCATACTTTGAGCTAATTTAAAAGCCTACTCACCTGCTGGGGTTTTTCTCCCATAGAAATGTGATTCCAGGTGAGGCATGGTGGCTCACACCTTTAATCCAAGCATTTTGGGAGGCCAAAGCAGGAGGGTAGCTTGAGCCCCAGAGTTTAAGACAAGCCTGGGAAACATGGTGGACCTCTGTCCCTATAAAAAATAAAATAATTAGCCGTGCATGGTGGTGCATACCTGTGGTCGGGACCTGCAGCCCACCATGCCTGAGCCTCCCCCACTCTGTGGGCTCCTGTGCCGGCCCAAGCCTCCCCGATGAGCCCCGCCACCTGCTCCACGGCACCAAGTCCCATCCACCACCCAAGGGCTGAGGAGTGCGGGCGCATGGCACGGGTCTGGCAGGCAGCTCCACCTGCGGCCCCAGTGCAGGATCCACTGGGTGAAGCCAGCTGGGCTCCTGACTCTGGTGGGGACTTGGAGAATCTTTATGTCTAGCTAAGGGATTGTAAATACACCAATCAGCACTCTGTATCTAGCTCAGGGATTGTAAACGCACCAATCAGCACCCTGTGTCTAGCTCAGGGTTTGTAAAAGCACCAATTGACACTCTATCTAGCTACTCTGGTGGGGACTTGGAGAACCTTTGTGTGGACACTCTGTATCTAGCTAATCTAGTGGGGACGTGGAGAACCTTTGTGTCTAGCTCAAGGATTGTAAACGCACCAATCAGCACCCTATCAAAACAGACCGCTAGGCTCTCTGTAAAATGGACCAATCAGCAGGATGAGGGTGAGGCCAGATAAGAGAATAAAAGCAGGCTGCCAGAGTCAGCAGTGGCAACCCACTCGGGTCCCCTTCCACAATGTGAAAGCTTTGTTCTTTTGCTCTTTGCAATAAATCTTGCTGCTGCTCCTGCTCACTCTTTGGGTCCACACTGCCTTTATGAGCTGTAACACTCACTGCGAAGGTCTGCAGCTTCACTCCTGAAGCCAGCGAGACCATGGACCCACCAGAAGGAAGAAACTCCAAACACATTGCAGCATCAGAAGGAACAAACTCCGGACACGCCGCCTTTAACTGTGACACTCAGTGCGAGGGTCCGCGGCTGCATTCTTGAAGTCAGTGAGACCAAGAACCCACCAATTCCGGACACAATATTACTGCCCAAAGAGGAACACACATTTCCCCCTCCTTCCACACTGGCCCTCCCCAACCCTTGCTTTCTCCTGTATTCCCTATCTCAGCTTGGGAGACCACCTCCGCCACCACTATCCAAGATGAATCACAGTCAGGGTGAACCACTGGGCATAGTGTATTTCAATGTCAAGAAGATGGAAGAAGGCTGGCTTTGCAATGCAGTCCAAGGTCTGTGACATTACATATCACATAGCACAATACGACAAAGATGTGTACAAGGTTATTAGCTGGGGTTTTGGTTTTAATTTATGACCACAAAAAGTACTAAACTACAAATTAACAGATGCACAGGATTTAGATGTTAAAACTGACACAAAAATTCCCCAAAGTTTGTGGAACAGTCAGTTGAGTATCATCTTGCCCCACCTTGTGGTCATTTGGGAGCATACAACCTAGATAACTCCCGTGCTAAATACAACAGATAATGTCTTACATTATCCTTGCTCACAGGATAATGTAATAGCATTGCTATAATGTTGCCTTTGGTGTGTTGAGCAAATCTCCCAAGCTAGCAGTTCACTGAATTTGATCTGGTCAGTTGGTACAGAGCCCCAGAAACCCAGCCACTTAATCCAGTAATGAATCATTCTTTTTAACTGCGTTTTCTTCTCACTCCCTGAAATGGACCAACACATATGCCGGGTTCTTCCCTGCCCCTCCGCTTTCATACCTGCTGCTCCATTACTTCCAACTTTTCCACTAAAACTACTGCCTGTGAGTTCTTTACTGGTAGGAACTAAAAGCACTTCTTGCCCAGAAAAAAAGGTCATCGTAATGGTGGCTCACCAAGTTCTACGAGTCATCTATCTACATATGAAAATTGCCTTGTAATATAGAACTATTTTCTGTGCTATCCATTATAATAGACGATTTCATTGGCCACAAATTGACCATCTTGTTGTTTAATGTTTGGGCTACTTGTACATTGTTTCTTCAACCATAAAATGGGGATGGTACCAACAGTGGGTTCCTCTCAGAATTGTCATAGAGACTGAGTATGGTCTTACACCAGTGTTAGGTGCACAGTAAGTCATCAGCACACTTTAGCTGATATTATGTGTAAACTAAGTGCTCAAATATGCATTCTGTTTTTTAGCTACATTTGCATAAACTGTGACAAGTCAGGGTCAGTAGAGTGGGTGATTATGAAAATGAGTTTATGTAGATTTTTGCTACATTCAAAAAGCAAATAGCAGATTTGAGGTTGTTCACATCTTTCCTTACCTTCCGGATCTCACTTATGTAAGAATACACATTGTGCAGGTATCTTTAGGCTAGTGGATCAAAGAAGAGGGAGACAAAAGGTTCACAAAAACAATACATATACAACTTCATAGTGGCCTGTACAACAGTCATATGATATCTACAAGTTAAAACTGCTCACCAAGTACCTATAGCAAATTATAGAACTTCTGTGCTTGGATCATTTTATGAAATAAAGATGTCATCTCTTCAATTTAGCATAAAATATTTTCCCCACACCACTACCTTTCAAAAAAGGCATAAAATTGCCTCCAGAGAAAAACGTGTTGTGGCTGCCACTCTGTGGTTTTGTTTTATATTGTAGCCCTCAGATATTAAATAAACGTTTTATATAGCCACAACCAATTTCTAAAATATACTGGCAATTTCTAGGTATGGCTTTCTTCCTAGTATTATTAAAAATTCACCAGTTGCAAAGAGGACTATGAATTAATTTATTGGTATCAGTTATTGACTAAGTGGGGCCTGAAATCAGGTAAAAACTCACAGAGATCAAAATCACAGCTAAGTCACAGAAGAGCTAAATTGCACCACTGATGCATACATATACATGCTCATGACAACTTTAAAAAATTAAAATAGTATCTTATGCTTAAATTTATAGTTGTGTTAAATAACTTATGAGCTACCCATAAAATAGACCACATACTCCCATTAACAAGAAAAAAAAATAAGGAGTTGTATTTTTTCAATGTACATAATTATATTCTATAGTCTATCCCTTTGAAAGGTAACACAGAGTAGGGGTTAAGCATAAGGCGCCAAAAACCCTGAACCTGGGATCCAATATCCCACTTCTATTATGTGTTAGCTATGTAATCTCAGGCATGCAACGTAACACCACTGTATGCTGCTTTCCTCATCCACAAAACATGGATGAGCTCAAAGGAACAAACTTCAGAAGCTGTTGTGAAGACTGATTATAGCTTTTAGAGCAGTCCTTGGCACTCAGGAAGGGTATCCAATTAATGTTAACACTTACTCTGTATAACCAAAATTATAGTGGTATGAGCCAAATTGGCTTTATTGCTAGAAATCAGCCCTTCCCCTTCAAACTGTTCCATTTCTCACCTGTGATCAGACACTGATTCCCCCATTTCTTTCAATCTGCCTCCTTCTCCCAAAACACTGATGTCATGGCTGCTGGTGACCCCTGAAGGGCAATTTTCTGCTGGAGTTGGAAGCCCTCAAATGACTGACTTCAGGATGTCAAAATTGCTCCTGAGTAGGGTTTCCCATATTTCTTCTGTTTTATTCTTTTTAAATATGTTTTGTTGTCGCAGTTATTCTATTCCTGCTGAATTATATATTGGACAGATGGGGAGCAGATTAATTTTTTCTTAGTTTATGAAGTGCCGTCTCCAGCCCTGAAATAGACTTGCACATAAGGACATGACCCAAAGGTCCTAAACTCTGGGCTTGGTGTCCTTGCACAATGGAATTCCCCAGTTGTAACCCTCAAAAAGGGGTGAATATATTTCTTGCATAGGAGAGTGAATTCAATATTTTGTTACTGAAGAGCAGATTTGGGGAGTCACTAGTGCTGTTCTTCAAATATTTTATTTTCCTTTCTTGTACATGCTCCCTTGAAGTTAGGTGTGGCCACATGACTTATATCTAATGTGAACAAAAGTGATGTGTCACTTCAGAGTGGAAGTTTTAGTTTCAGTAAATAATTCACCACTTTCTCCATCCCCTGCCTTGCTGATGGTGGAATTATGTCAAGGTTGTGCCTCCATCAGCCTGGGTTCCAGAGTATGTAAAACTCCTTCAACAATGTGCAGAGCCCCCATTTAGGCCAAGGTGGACATACAGTTTGAGCAAAAAAAAAAAAACCAAAAAAACAAAAACAAACAACCAAACAAAAAACCCTTTTGTGGTAATGCACTGAAATTTGGGGATTGTTTCCTCAGTTCACCTAGCCTATGCCATTACAGAAAATGATTAGCCTCACTGCAGTCCCTGGGAGATTCCCTGAACTCCCTGTTCTTGCTCCCAATAAAAGCCTTTTCCCTTAGTCTCCTGATTCACACCAGAGACCCAGGCTATAGTTTCAGGCTGATATTGCAAGACAATATTTAGAAAAGAACAGCTCAAAGGCTCTGCAGTCAACCTACCTGGATAATTTGAGGTTCCACCACTTACTCATTAGCCAAGTGACTGAGCGACGTATTTAATATGTGTAAAATGGTGGTAACAGTGTTTACCTGTTCCAGTTACTATGCCTGTGTAAGAAACTACAAAACTTAATGTTGTCAAACAAGCTTTTGTTTGTGAATGAAGAACTTTGACAGAGCACACAGCAGGGATGGCTCATCTCTCCTTCCCATGCGTGGGCTCCCAGTAGAAGACTCAAAATTGGCAGCTGGAGTCATCTGGAGGCTCACTCCTG
This sequence comes from Homo sapiens, assembly GCF_000001405.40. Taxonomy (NCBI): domain Eukaryota; kingdom Metazoa; phylum Chordata; class Mammalia; order Primates; family Hominidae; genus Homo; species Homo sapiens. The sequence goes on from NC_000008.11 coordinate 46,576,384, forward strand.
ACAGCTGGCACCTGACACAGCTGGCAGTTGTTAGTGGCTATTGTTGACTGTCGACTGAGCCCTTTGCTAGGGCAGTCAGCCCAAACTCACATACAGCCTCTCCATGTAGTCTGGGCATTTTTATAATGTACATCAAAAGAGAGAAAGCAGAAGCCAGATCACCTTTTGTGACCCAATTTCAGAAGTCACATAGCATCACTTCCACTGTATTCTACTAGAAGGCAATTGCAAAATTCTGACCAGGCTCAAGGAGAGAGGAAATAGGCTGCTTCTTCATAGGGCTAGCCAGGCTCTGGAAAAGTTCATGGCACCAGGAACACTGCTATGGCTACTTTTAGAAAAGAAAATCTGCCACACTTCCTAAGATTGGAATGAGCTAAGACAATAAAAGTTCTTAGAAAAGCTGCTAAGTACTTGCTTGGTATTGTTTTTTCCACTGCACAGTCTAGAACCACATGTAACTGCCTCCCTGCGCAGCTTCCACTCTGCTTCCTCATAGCCAGACTTTCCCTTCCTAGGGACCTACTCCAAGGATCCTTTATCACTGATTCTAGACCAAACTAAGGCAATTCCAAGACAGGAGGCATTCAGGAGCATGCTCTGACTCTGTGGCCTCAAGATGGTCATATCACAGTCTAATTCAAGCTAATTTCCCACAAAGTATAATCATTTGGAGGCTGGGCTATGATAGGCTTAGGATTCACTCCTTTTTATATTTTCCTTGTAAAGGACTTAAGATTTCTGGCCTTATGTTAACCAAAATAATCTACTCACACATATACAATTGTCCCTTTATAGGAAGAGATCTTCAAGAAAATGTTAAAATTTTAAAAGTACATTTTGGTGGATTTTACTTTTCATTTTTTTTTTTAAATAGAAGTGTATCATTTTGTCAAACTATATGGTACCTTTTAGCAGATTTTAAGAGAAAGTGAAATGAACCTCCAAAGGGCAGGTCATTCACAATAGTTCTCACATCAGACTGAAATGGCAGAATGACATCACCTAATAATCTTTTAATTTTGCTTAAAAGGACTGGACTATTGGTTGTTAGAGATGCTGTGTAGATTAGTGTCTCCTTGGCACTAAATTACCAATATCCAGGAAAACAGCCTTGGCCAGTAAGTGAGCTATTAAGTCATGTATACAACAACCCAAGGGCCACCATTTCTTTGAAACTTCTACAATTTAAATTGCAAAAGAAGAGAAAAAGCTATCTTTATTCTTTGTGCCAAAAACCTGTGTAAATCTTGTGTGTGGCTTGAAATCCAGGAAGTTGCTGCCATTATACTTGACCTGTAGTTTGCTGCTATGAAATAGCCTTAACTAAGTATCTTTACTATGAAACTTCTGGGTGGTAACTAAATATGCCAGATCTCAGTCACTAAAGTTAAAAATGTAGAGCCAAACCCCACTCCCTGGAAAACTGGCAGTTTGGGGTTCATGTTATACCTTAATCTTGTCGTATACACTGTGTAATCATTATCAACCAAATTTCCCAAGTATTTTCGATGTCATTTACCATGGCTGTCTGAGGCTCTACCAGGAATAAATGTGCCTAGAATCAAATCATTCTAGGTTTAGGCAATTTAAGCAACTGCAAACACAAGATAATCATTAAAAGTCATCTACTAGGGCTGGGTGCAGTGGGTAACATCTGTAATCCCAGCACTTTGGGAAGACAAGGTGGGTGGATCACTTGGGGCCAGGAGTTTGAGACCAGCCTGACCAACATGGCAAAACACCATCTCTACTTAATATACAAAAATTGGCCAGGCACAGTGGCACCTGCCTGTAATCCCAACTATTTGCTAGTCTGCGGTACAAGAATTGCTTGAACCCAGAAGGTGGAGGTTACAGTGAGCAAAGATAGTGCCACTGCACGCCAGCCTGGGTAACAGAGCAAGTCTATCTAAAACAAAATAAACAAACAAGCAAACCAAAATCATCTAATACTAATGACATTTCCTCAGTTTCTTAGAGATATTCTTAAATTGTAAAGGCCTACAGCTAGCAAAAAATACATTCTTCTTCCAATTTTATTTATCTGTACACCAGCAGTTCCCTTTTCAAAAGTTTTTAAGAGCTAAGTTCACCCTAAACAACAAATTACCATTCAAATGAAAATCTTCTACCTGTTCTTTGAATGTGTTACTACGCTCTCTTTCAAGTAGGTTTAGACTTTTACCAGAAATGCTTAGTTAGCTTGGTTGTCCCTCTACAACAGAGATCAAGAAACTATGGCCCATGGATCGTATGTGGCCCGCCATCTGCTTCTATAAGTAACTTTTAATAGAACATGGCCATGCTCATTTCTTTACACATTGTCTATGTAACTGCTTTTGCACTATAAGGGCAGAGCTGAACAGTTCCAAAAGAGGTCCACAAAGCCTAAAATGTTTACTATCTGGCTCTTTATTAAAAGAAAAGCCTGACCCCTGCTCTAGGACAAGTCTCCAGAAGTGACTTTGGCTCAACATAAAAGAAAAAAATGAACTATTATCTTGCTAAATAGAGCTGTCATGAACTCCTATACAAGACTCAAGTCTCAAGTCTGCCTAGGCAGCTGTTAGGAATGCAGGCAGAACAAAAATAGTGTAGTCCTTTGATGACTTCCCTAAGATGAGGCAAGGACTGGAAGGAAGCCATGTGGGCACACGACGCAAATGTCATCTAAAGCAGCTCTGCCAGGAGAGTGCTGTGAGTTCTTGTAGACATCAGAGCATTTTCCCTTCTCCTAGATTACCCTTTGCTTCACTGTGATACAGCAAAAAATTTCTAGTTACCTCTTATGAGGAGACTGTATGAACATAAATGACTATAGCAATGTTTTAGATTTAGGACTTTTATTTTTTTCACATTCAAGTTAGCCTGAGTTGACTTTCATTGTTCCCCTATCTACCCATAGTCCCCATACAATAAGAAGAAATATTTGCTTTCATATTACAGCATAAAGAGCACCTAAGCTTTGGCAGCTGACTTGTAGTGGGTCAGTGTGTGGGCAGAAGGGTCAGTGGCATCGATCCACTTGGGCACCCAGTAATGGCTCAGCCAGTCAGCCTGGCCTGGGAAATGGTGTTCAAGGATTTGATGGTAGTAGTATCCTTTGGTTTTAGGAGTATTGAAGGGAAATTTCTGGGCTGCATTTGCCATCATTGCATCATCAACCTGTAAGAATAAAAATATAAGAGCAGAACAGTTTCTTTAAAATGGCATGGAAATACTTGTATTTACTCTAGTTTCACAGAACAGAAAACGTAAAGATAAGATATGACTGTAAATTGTATGAGACCCTTTGAATCACCCATCACTTAGAAAATGTTAAAGTATTCATAATATGCATAGCTGCAGTGACTTTTAAGAAACATTCATATGCATATTTTTAATTCTTGGTGGCTCTGTTTCAGTAATTTGTGCCTAACAAGATCTGGCACCCAGAAGGTGCCCAAAAATGTGTTAAATGAAGGTCAGTGATGATTAGTAGTAAGTCTCCTCTCTCTTTCAATTCCAGATGGTACTTTATAATCCTTCATGCTACTTAATTCTTATATAATTCTTATAAAAGAGATAATTGTTTCCAGAGACTATGAATCTCTCTTAAAGGGACAAAGCATTCAAACTAAATACAAAATGAACAGCAATGACAGCTCTGCATCCAAAGTGTCCTATTCCTGAAAATGTTTTTAAAGACAATATACCTGATGTTCAACATATTTCTGTAAAATCTTAAACCAGGAATTCTTAACTGAAGTTATTCCATCACTGAAGACTTCTTTTGGTCACCAGAGAATCTCTTTGAGTATCAGATTGGAGTCCTCAAATGTCTCTCTCAGGAGATGTTTTTCTATCTCATTCTAACATGAAAAAAAGGAGCATCAGTAAAAGTTACAAATATAATCTGATGGCAGTGGACAGTTTGTTGCGGGAAGCCAGGGACCACGAACAGAGGGACCCGCTGAAGCCCTGGCAGAAGAACATAAATTGTGAAGATTTCATGGACATTTATCACTTCCTCAATTAATACTTTTATAATTTCTTAAGCCTGTCTTACTTTAATCTCTTAATCCTGTCATCTTCATAAGCTGAGGATGTATGTCACCTCAGGACCCTGTGATGATTGTGTTAATTGTACAAATTGTTTGTAAAGCATGTGTGTTTGAACAACATGAAATCTGATTGTAAAACATGTGTGTTTGAACAATATGAAATCAGGGCACCCTGAAAAAGAACAGAATAACAGCGATTTTCAGAGAATGAGGAAAGATAACCATAAGGTCTGACTGCCTGCGGGGCTGGGCAAAACAGAGTCATATTTTTCTTCTTGCAGAAAGCGAATAGGAGAAATATCACTGAATTATTTCCCAGTAAGGAATAACCCTGGGGAAAGAATGCATTCCCAGGGTTAGGCCTATAGATGACCACTCTGGGAGAGTCTGTCTTATGCGGTTGAGAGAAGGGATGAAATAAGCCCTGTTCTCCTGCAGTGCCCTCAGGCTTGCTGGGATTGGGAAATCCAGCCTGGTGAATTCTAGTCAGACTGGTTCTCTGCTCTTGAACCCTGTTTCCTGTTAAAATGTTTATCAAGACAATGTGTGCCCAGTGGGACATGGACCTTCATCAATAATTCTAATTTCGCCCTTCCCTTGTGATCTTTATGGCCCTTTAAAGCATGTGATTGGCTGGGTGCGGTGGCTCACGCCTGTAATCCTAGCACTTTAGGAGGCTGAGGTGGGTGGATCACAAGGTCGGGAGATCAAGACCATCCTAGCTAACATGAAGAAACTGCATCTCTACTAAAAATACAAAAAATTAGCCAGGCAAGGTCGCGGGCACCTGTAGTCCCAGCTACTGGGGAGATTGAGGCAGGAGAATGGGGTGAACCCAGGAAGCAGAGCTTGCAGTGAGCCGATATCACGCCATTGCACTCCAGCCTGGGCAACAGAGTGAGACTCCATCTCAAAAAATAAATAAATAAATAAATAAATAAAGCATGTGATCTTTGTTACTTACTCCCTGTTCATACCCCCTTCCCCTTTTGAAGTTCCTAATAAAAACTTGCTGGTTTTGTGGCTGAGGGGGCATCACAGAACCTACTGAAATGTGATGTCACCCCCAGTGGCCCAGCTGTAAAATTTCTTTCTTGTACTCTTTCTCTTTATTTCTCAGACTGGCTGACACTTAGGGAAAATAGAAAAGAACCTACGTTGAAATATTGGGGGCTGGTTCCCCCGATATCTGGCACCCAGCATGGTTTTTCTTTTTCCTAAGTGCATGTGGGAACCTGATTCCCTTTGGTAGGTGCAGAGAAACATTCATCGGTTTGGTCCACAGAAACGCGTGTTCGACTCCCTGACAATTGGTGAGTAGTCTGTGAATTTATCCGGGTTAACTTTGGGTCACGCAGAGTCTAAACATTATACTTATCTCTTCCGTATTAAATTCCAGTTAAAACAGAAAAGGGTTCGAGTGCCCATGGAAAATATGGTCACTCTATTCAGGGCAGTGGGAAAACACTGTCCTTGGTTCCTGAAAAAGTAACCTTAGATGTAGACCTGTTAAAACAGGGAACGGTTCAAATGCCTGTGGAAAATATGGTCACTCTATTCAGGGCAGTGGAAAAATGCTGTCCTTGGTTTCCTAAAAAAGGAACTTTACATGTAGAACTATGGGATCGTGTGGTGCAACATTCCGGGAATTGGTCTTGACAGGGAATTTTGTTCCCATCACTGTTTGGGGTGATTGGGCCTTGGTATGTGCTGTCCTAATGACATACCAATCCCTTTACCCCCTGCAGTTACCACAGTTTTCTGAATCTGACGACCCTCCACCTCTTCCTCAACCTTCCTTTCCCACACGGCCTTCATTATCTGATCAGCCTCTCCCTTCGCCTACTCCTCCCCCACCTAACGATTCTGAGAATTCAATATCTAACTCTGGTGACTCTTGCTTAATGTCATCCCCTGATGATCTTATTTCTTTTCACAAAGAGCTGGTACCTGTAGCTCTCGCAGCCCTGACTCAGTCAGCCCAGGACCATATATATGCTAATTCTTCCCTTTTCAAACCTTTGCAGCATTTGCCTCCAGAGTCAGCTAATGGCTCGGGGACCAAACTGCAATTTACCTATAATTCTGCAGGCCCTACCCCATCCACTGCAGCCCCCCACCCTCCTGTCATTTCGGTTCCTCAACCAGTCACTTTGCCATCCACTCAGCCTGCTTCTCTGTACCCTTCTTCACACATGGATGCCAGTAATCACCAGTATACTTCTGCTCTTTCTGCTCCCCCAATGCCCCTTTCTCACTCTCTCATTCCAGTCCAACCCCCTCACCTTCAGTTTCCTTTATCTACACATGCTTTTCCTGTCACTTCTATGCCAACTCCATCTCAGATGCCTACTCTTGAAACTTCAATGCAACGCTTAGTATGCCAAAACAAAGAAATAAGTGGATTAGATGCATGGGCTTATCCGGTCCCGCTAGAACCTCCTAACATCCAAGGGGTACAAATGGGTTATGTACCTCTCAATGTTACCTTTGTAAAACACTTTAAGGATGCTTGTACTCAGCATGGTCCTACTTCTCCTTACGTTAAAATGGTATTACAAACTTTTTGTACTGAGGTCATTTTGCTTCCTTTAGACTGGGACCTTTTGGCAAAAGCTGTTCTAACCCCAGCTCAGCATTTACAATTCTGTACCTGGTGGTCAGAGCAGGCCTGTCTGCAGGCTCAGCTAAATCAGACTAATGGCATTTTTTTTTTTTTTTTCTGAGGCGGAGTCTCCCTCCGTTGCCCAGGCTGGAGTGCAGTGGTGTGATCTCGGCTCACTGCAAGCTCCATCTCCTGGGTTCACGCCATTCTCCTGCCTCAGCCTCCTGAGTAGCTGGGACTATAGGTGCCTGCTAACATGACCGGATGATTTTTCTTGTATTTTTAGTAGAGACAGGGTTACACCGTGTTAGCCAGGATGGTCTCCATCTCGCAACCTGGTGATCCGCCCGTCTCAGCCTCCCAAAGTGCTGGGATTATAGGCATGAGCCGCCATGCCTGGCCCGGACTAATGGCATTCTAATTACTCAGGCTCAGCTCACAGGCTCTGATAGTTTGTCTGATACTTATGCCCAATTAGGCTTTGATGCTCTTACCATGTAACAAGTAACCAAGGTGTGTATGAGAGCTTGGGATAAATTATGTGCCCCAGGCCAAGCTCCTGTTTCTTTTACTACTGTTAAACAAGGTCACACTGAATTATACCCTGATTTTTTAGCTAAATTACAAGATGCTGTGGAAAAATCTACCTCTGATGAGTGCACTCAAGGTATTCTCCTTCGTATGTTAGCTTTTGAGAATGCGAACCATGAGTGTAAAATGGCCATGTGTTCCATCCAACAACAAAATTTACCTGATCACAAGATGTTGCCTGCATATATTAAAGCTTGTGAAGGCATTGGATCAGAGACCCACAAAACTATTCTGTGGGCACGGGCCATGAAAGACAGCAATCAGACTGGCTCGACTGATTCTTTTCTTGGAGCCTGCTATAATTGCGGTCAACTTGGTCATAATAAAAAAAAATCGCACTGTTAAAAACTTAAAAGCAGACAAGCCGGCTCAACAAACACAGCCAAATACTGCTGCTACTGTTTGCCCATGTTGTTGCAAAGGTAAACATTGGGCAAGTACTTGCTGCTCTAAGTATGATATAGATGTAAACCCCCTGCCACAGAACCAGAGAAACGGGAAGTGGGGCCAGTCCCAGGCCCCAATATCAAATGGGATGCTTCAGACTCAGACCAACGTTGTGTTTCCACTTCAGGCAGTCAAAACGCAGCCCCCAGCACAAACAAATTTACCTACAGCCAACCCAGATGGGTCCCAGCCTCTTCTTCTGCCTCAGTACAATGCTTGCCCACCTCCACAATAGGGGGCAGGGCGGTCGATCTCTGTAGTACTATTCCTCTAAATTTACTACCTAATTCTTTGCCTTTAATTGTCCCCACAGGGGTCACTGGCCTTCTACCTCAAGGTTTGGTGAGCCTGGTGTTAGGTAGGGCATCCAACTCTGCTAAAGGAATCACCATTCATACTGGTCTCATTAATTCTAATTCCTTTGACAACATTAAACTTATCATGTCTGCCAAGGTTCCTTGTTTCCATTCTGGCCAGTGAGTCAATTGCTCAATTGCTTTTACTATCTAATATCATTTTAAACAAAGGAGATGAGACACGTGGCCCTGGGATGGGCTCCGGTGGTGAAAAAGCTGCTTATTGGATTAATGTAATTTCTAAACAATGGCCCACCTGCATCATACACATGCAAGGAAAAATGTTTGAGGGCCTAGTAGATACTAGGGCTGATGTTTCTATTATTTCCTCTAATTTATGGCCTTCTTCCTGGCTTAAACATCCCACTAACATAGGACTAGTAGGTGTTGGAAAAACTGATGAAGTTTACCAGAGCACATTTATCTTGGCTTGCACTGGCCCAGGTGGTCAAAAGGGTACAATTCAGCCTTGTATCACACCAATCCCCATTAATCTTTGGGGTAGAGATTTGCTAGCACATTGGGGGCTGAAATTAATATTCCACATAACTCCTATACTGCTCCCAGTCAACATATGATGGAAAACATGGGGTTTGTCCCCAGACTCAGTCTTGGCCCAAAACATGAAGGGATTACTGAACCCCTCCCAGTTACTGTAAAAGAAGACAGGGCTGGTTTAGGTTATCCTTTTTAATGGTGGCCACTGTCATGCCTCCTGATCCTATCCCTTTACAATGGAAATCTGACATATCTGTTTGGATTGAGCAGCCATTGCTCTCTAAAGAAAAACTGGAGGCTTTGACTCAATTGGTTTCTAAACAGTTACAACTTGGAAATGTGGAACCTTCTCTTTCCCCCTGAAATTCTCCTGTGTTTCTAGTAAAAAAGAAATCAGGCAAGTGGTGGATGGTAACCGATTTAAGGGCCATTAACGCTGTAATTAAACCTACGGGAGCCGTCCAATCCAGCATGCCTGCCCCTGCTTTAATACCTAAAAATTGGCCTTTCATAGTTATTGATCTTAAAGATTTTTTTTCATATTGCTTTATATAAATCAGATTGTGAAAAATTTGCTTTTACTGTACCATCTATCAATAATCAGGAGCCTGCAGCTCACTATCAATGGAAAGTGCTTCCTCAGGGAATGCTAAATAGCCCTACAATCTGCCAGCTTTATGTTGGACAAGTGCTTTCACCAGTTCGAGCTCAATTTCCCCATGCCTATATTCTTCATTATATTGATGATATTTTCATTGCTGCCCCCACTGATAAAGAATTAATTGACTGTTATCAAATTTTGAGCCACTGTGTCACAGAGGCTGGATTATACATTGCTCAGGATAAAATACAACAGACTGCTCCTGTTCAATATTTAGGAATGGTGGTCGATAAACAATATACTCAACCACAAAAAGTTCAGATTAGGAGAGATTCTTTAAAAACTTTAAATGACTTCCAAAAACTTTTGGGTGACATTAATTACTTACGATCTACTTTCAGCATTCCAACCTATGCGCTAACTTGTTTTCTATGCTGTGGGGAGATTCCAATCTCCACAGTCCCAGGACTTTGACCCCTGAGGTTTCACTAGAACTGTAATTTGTGGAAGAAAGAATCCAGACTGCCCAGTTATCTAGAGTACAGCCATCTCAGCCTTTTCAGCTTTTGGTTTTTGCTTCATTGCACTCCCCTACTGGGCTAATAGTTCAACATAATGATTTAATGGAGTGATGTTTTCTTCCTCATTCTGTGTCAAAAACTTTGTCTGTTTATCTGGACCAAATTGACATCCTAATTGGACAAGCTTGGTGTAGAATACTTAAAATTTCTGGATTTGATCCGAATTTAATTGTAGTTCCTTTAAATTGGCTCAAAATTCAAGCCACTTTTCAACGTTACATACTGTGGCAAATTCACTTGGCTGATTTTATCAGCATTATGGACAATCATTATCCAAAAAACAAACTGTTTGATTTTATAAAAATGACTTCTTGGGTGGTCCCTTGATTGAGCAAAGATCAGCCCATTCCTGAGGCCGTTACAGTGTTCACTGATGGCTACAGTAACGGAAATGCTGGTTATGTGGGTCCTACAGACAAGCTCATTTCTACCCCTTATACTTCTACTCAAAAGGCAGAGTTAATTTCTGTAATTACTGCCTTACAGGATTTCCCCAAACCTTTAAATATTGTCTCCGATTCTGCTTAACGTGGGAAAGAGGATATGCTTGTGTTTCACCAGGAGATCATCAATCCCCTGTCCGGGTGCCCACTACAAGACTTAAACTTCGTGTAAATACTGACAATGAAAACCACAGGGAAAAGATGTCCATGTCAGAGACTGCCCTCAGACATGGTGAGAACTGTGCCAACTCCCCAGAAGCTGGCACACCAAATCAAAATGGGTCTGGTTCAATCCTCCCTAATGGCAATGAAGACCCCTGTAACTAATCCCACTTCTCCTAATTACCTTTCTTTTTCCCCTTACAAACCTAAAAATCTCACCATTTCTATTAGCCTGAAAATAACATCCCTCTGTTCTTCTCTTCCTCCTTCAGCACTGGATCTCTCTTACAATAGGTTTTATTTAATGATTCTCCTCCTTACACCTTCTGTCTCACCAGTTTCCTCTCACACTGACTTACCTGCTACACAAAATTATTCTTACTGGGCTTATGTGCCTTTTCCTCCACTTATTCGAACTCTCACCTGGATGGATGCTCCTGCAGAAATCTATACTAATGATAGTGTGTGGATGCCTGGAGCTACAGAAGACCATTGCCCCGCTCAACCAGGAGAAGAAGGCACTGCATTTAATGTTACTATGAGTTATAAATACCCCCCTCTGTGCCTCGGATATGCACCTGGTTGTATCTATCTAGAAATTCAAGTCTGGGCTGCTTATCTTCCAGAAAATTCAGCTACAGAGGAACCAGGACATTTGGTCTCTGGCCTCTCCCTTTCTCCTTTAAGACAAATGAAAGGGGAAGTAATGGGAGATACCCCATACTTTCAATATAAACCTGCAGGAAAACCATGCCCTAAAAATTTTGAGGGCCCATCTAAAACTTTAATTTGGGATGACTGTGTTAACTCACATGCAGTAATATTAAAAAATGACTCATATGGTTTAGTAACAGACTGGGCACCAAAGGGCTATTTAAAAACAATTGCTCCTCTGGCAGAAGGGAATGCCTGAGGCTACTTATTTTATTTCTTATACGGAGAACGAGAATCATCCTTCTACTTTGCACAAGAGGTTCAGTTCATTCTTTCTCTTAAAATGGGAAGATAAAGGCATTACCCCCTGAGGCCTCATATGATATTCCCCATTCTGAGCCCAGAAAACCCAGAACTTTGGAAATTGGCTATTGCCATGTCTGGACTGTGAGTATAGGAAGGTGAAACTTTTCTGTCTGCTGTCCCCACCACCATGACCCTCGCTCAGTATCAACATAGATTCAGACATTCTGCTTTGCTTCCCTCCAATCTGACTATTCCCATACAGAGTTGTGTTAAGCCACCTTACATGCTGTTAGTGGGAAATATCAAAATTTGGACGAACAATCAATCCAATAAATTAATTGTCATTTATACACTTGTATTAACTCCCGTTTTGACTCCAGGAAAAGTGTAATGTTGGTTCGAGCTCAAGAAGGAATCTGGATTCCAGTAACTTTGCCCAGGCCTTGGGAATCCTCCTCCTCAATACATTTGATTAATGAAGTGTTACAGTGAATTCTAAAAAGATCTAAGAGATTTGTTTTCACTTTAATGGCTGTGATCATGGGCCTAATTACAGTCACTGCAATGGCCATCACTGCTGGAATGGTGTTACATCAATCTATTCAAATGGCTCATTTTGTTAATGATTGGCAAGCCAATTCCACCCAAATGAGGAATTCTCAACAAGGCATTGATCAAAAATTGGCTAATCACATTAACGTTTTAAGACAGTCTGTTATTTGGCTTGGAGATCGGGTAGTGAGTCTCAAACATCGCATGCAAATGCAGCGCGATTGGAACACTTCTGATTTCTGTATCATGCCATATTCCTACAATGAGACTGATAATTCACGGGAAATGGCCAAAGGACACCTTCTGGGTAGGGAAGATAATTTATAATTATACTAAATTAGAGAATCAAATTTTTGAAGCCTGTCAAGCTCATTTATCCATTGTGCCTGGAGCTGAGGCGTTAGATCAGGTGGCAGAAAATCTTTCTGGATTAAACCCCATGACTTGGATTAAGTCTATTGGGGGCTCCACTGTAGTAAATTTTGGAATTATGTTTATCTGTTTAATTGGTTTGTATTTAGTATGCTGGACCAGTCAAAGAATCCTGCATCAAAATTGAGAGAATTAACAAGCCTTCATTGCCATGGCACATTTATATAAAAAGAAAGGGAGAGATGTTGTGGGAAGTCAGGGACCCTGAACGGAGGGACCGACTGAAGACGTGGCAGAAGAAGATAAATCGTGAAGATTTCATGGACATTTATCACTTCCCCAATTAATACTTTTATAATTTCTTAAGCCTGTCTTACATGAAATCTGATTGTAAAACATGTGTGTTTGAAAAATATGAAATCAGGGCAACCTGAAAAAGAACAGAATAACAGCGATTTTCAGGGAACAAGGAAAGATAACCATAAGGTCTGACTGCCTGCAGGGCTGGGCAGAACAGAGTCATATTTTTTTTTTTTTTGCAGAAGGGGAATAGGAGAAATATTGCTGAATTCTTTTCCCAGCAAGGAATAACCCTGGGGAAAGAATGCATTCCAGGGTTAGGCCTATAGATGACTGCTCTGGGAGTGTCTGTCTTATGCGGTTGAGAGTAGGGATGAAATATGCCCTGGTCTCCTGCAGTGCCCTCAGGCTTGCTAGGATTGGGAAATTCCAGCCTGGTGAATTCTAGTCAGACTGGTTCTCTGCTCTTGAACCCTGTTTCCTGTTAAAATGTTTATCAAGACAATGTGTGCCCAGCAGGACATGGACCTCCATCAGTAATTCTAATTTTTGCCCTTGCTTTGTGATGTTTATGGCCCTTTAAAGCATGTGATTGGCTGGGCACGGTGGCTCATGCCTGTAATCCTAGCACTTTGGGAGGCTGAGGTGGGTGGATCATGAGGTCAGGAGATCGAGAGCATCCTGGCTAAAATGATGAAACCCTGTCTCTACTGAAAATACAAAAAAATTAGCCAGGCGAGGTGGCGGGTGCCTGTAGTCCCAGCTACTGGGGAGGCTGAGGCAGGAGAATGGCATCAACCCAGGAGGCAGAGCTTGCAATGAGCTGAGATCATGCCACTACACTCCAGCCTGGGCAACAGAGTGAGACTCTGTCTCAGATAAATAAATAAATAAATAAAGCATGTGATCTTTGTGACTTACTCCCTGTTCCCACCCGTCTCCCCTTTTGAAATCCCTAATAATAACTTGCTGGTTTTGCGGCTCGGGGGAATCACAGAACCTATCAAAATGCGATGTCACCCCCAGAGGCCCAGTTGTAAAATTTCTTTCTTGTACTCTTTCTCTTTATTTCTCAGACTGGCTGACACTTAGTGAAAATAGAAAAGAACCTATGTTGAAATATTGGGGGCTGGTTCCCCCAATAACAGTTTTATCTTGAGTTGATTTACTACCTTTGGAATTCTCATTTCTGTTGACAGATACAAGTAATAGGAAGAAAACTGATGATCTAGAAATGGGACTCTCAGTTCAAGGCTTAAAGGAGAAAATAAGAAAATCTAAATTAAAATGGGTGTTTAGTGCCCAACAGTTTAGGTTCTGATTCAGTTTCCCATCAATTCAACCAGATCCTAAGAAATGTTAAGGTCATAAAGTCACAAGCCTCCTAATGACTGCCCTACACTAATGAATGAATACAAAAAAATCTTCATTTAAAATAATATATATATCATGTCATCTAGGAAGTAAAACTAACTGAGACTATTACTTTTACTTTCCTTTCTAGGAATAGTTAAATGAATATTTCAAAAAGCAGAAAAAGTTACAAATCATGAGTGACCTAATCATTAAGTAAATACCTTGACTGGACCTTTCTAACTCAGTGTTTTCTAGGTGAGACCATCTCTTCTAACAATTGTGATGACGACACAGTATTTTTTTTACCACTGGTTAATAATTCACATCCAATATGCAATATAAACCAGCATTCTGCTATATTTCATCAAATGCCATATAACCAGTTTCCTGAAGCCTAGTGACTCTAGTTAAGACAAGCATAAGATAATAACCGAATTCAGTTCATTCCCCAAACCCATATTTAATTATATCCAAATCTAAGTGTGATTCAGCAGAGAGAAATAAAACATTTAATGTTAGCTGTTTATCCTATACAGTAAAAGTCTTCAGTTCCTCAACATAACTTTAGACAACCAGAAATGATACCAAAGAAACCCAGTTCTTTATAATGAAATCAAACCCCTTGCAGGTTCACAACCCTATCCCCTCAGGGTCACTACAGCACCAAACAGGCATGGTGGGCACTCAATACTTGTCACATAATGTTTACAATCTTTACCTCTCTTTAAAACACTTAACAATGCTGTAACAACTTTCCCTCTTCCCTCTTGGTTGTTCAGATGTGAGTAGAATGTTGTTACCCTTTAAGGTGAAAATTCCACCTCAAACAACCTGTGGAAGAAGACGTCTCTACATGTACCACAACAACACTTTGAAATGTGGCCTAATTCTTTTGGGACTAAGTTAAGAAACAGCTTCATTTTTTCTATAAAAGTCTCACTTGGTAACATATAGCCAACTCTATGTAACATATAGCCAATTAGCTATTTTTTTTTTATTTTTTTCAGGGCATTGGGCTTTATTTTTTTTTTGGTGTTTTTTGTTTGTTTGTTTTTGTTTTTGTTTTACAATAGCTTCTGTTACCTGTGGGCAGCAGTAGTTTGATCTGCATGGAGAACATCAAACAAATAGAGTTCCCTCAGAAGCCTCTCACTCTCCTCCTTGGCTTTTTCAGAAGGAGCCCATTTCACAAACAAAAGCACCATGAGTTTTGCTTTTGGCCCATAAAGCAGTTTTTATTTCTCCCTCTCTAATCCTAAAGGTGGATAAGACAAAAAGCAAAACAAATTTACGGAAGGGAGTAATAACTGAACAGAGGAAGGCAATGCTTTACAAAACATACCTTCCTCCCCACCAAACTGCTAGTATTAGAATAAAATGAACACACTGGACAATGGTCATAATTCCACAGGGGGCTAAGAAACAGCAGAAAGGTGATTCTTAAGCTTAACTAGTTTTATTTATTTATTTTTAACTTTTTTTTCTTTTTGTAGAGACGGAGTCTGCTCTATCAACCAGGCAGCAGTGCAGTGGTGCAATCACAGCTCACTGCAGCCTCGACCTCCTGAGTTCAGGTGATCCTCCCACCTCAGCCTCCTGAGTAGCTGTGAGTATAAGCATGGGCCACCATACCCGGCAGTGACTACTTTTAAAGAATAAAAATTATCTGACGCTATTAAAATTTCTTTCTTCCCCAAGAGATAGAAAACAAACACTATCAGATTCCCTTTTGTAACCTCACAAGAGACTCAAAAATATTACTGTCATACTGAAAGATGATATAAAATAGTCAAATAATTCATACTTTTCTTAATATAGCACGAATATCCTTCCACTTCAGAGTGCTTACATTGTGAAAATATATGTAACCCTGAATAAGTTCATCTGATCCCTCTCCAGAAAAGATCACCACGCTATCTGTGTTCTTCCGAATATACTTGGAAATTAAATACATACCTTAAATGAGAGAGAGAAATTAACTTTAATGCCAACATAACCTTCCACCAAAAATGCCCTTGATGTGATTTTTGGAAATAATTGAAAACTTTACTACTATACTGGACTTCATATTAATATAAAGTAGTTTCCACAATAATGACCTTATATTTACAAGCAATTTATATGTACTTAATCCAAAAGTACTACTGTAAAATAAAATAACCCAGAACCATTCTGTCATTTTATAAATAGGTTTTAAAATTCTAATATTTTAGACCAAGAATGTCCACCTCAAAACTTTGCTGAGCTAAACAATGACTCAAATACCTAAAAATCATGCCTTTTATGGTGGTATTACAACACAAAAATAAGAATAAGCATTTTGGTGGTTTAGTGTTAATTTTGTTAGGTATCTTGTCCCTGTCACTCCCCATTCACCAGACTTCACATGAAGTTGGGGAGACTATATAAGTTATTAAACCTAACTCCTTGGTTCTGCACCACATCTCTCTAAACCAGTGTTTCTTTTCAACCTTGCTTGTATCATCACCACAGCTAGAGAGACTTTTTAGACATTTATTTTCCTAACCCCACCCCAGCCCCATGAAATTCCAATACCAGAACTATCCTGTCTATCCGTTTATTTATTGTGATGCTTTGGAGGGCCATAAACCATTGTAATACCTAAGATATTTTTGCCCTCCAAGGCAAGTTTCTTGGAGAGAGAGGCAGTAGCATATAAAGGCTCAATAACATTGGATCAGTCTGATTTGGAGTATACTTCCAATCTCAGTAGATACACTATCTATAAGATAAAATTAGTATTGTTTGCAGAGCAAGGATAGCTAATGACTGGCAAGTTGTGTGATGCAATATTTACCAAAATTTATCTAAAATGAGTACTTCTTATCAAAAATGCATTACCAAATAGACCTATTTCCTACAGACTGTACCCCAAGAAACTATAAGAGAAATGGGAGGTAGAGGGCAGAAAATATGTATCTACTTCCTGGGAAAACACCAACAGTGATACCAAAAATGTGGAGGTTGAACTATATATTTATCGTTCCCTTTACTCCAAAAGAGATTCAGAGAATTCTTAAGTGGTCTTAAATAATCAGTAACATAGGGATTTAATTTGCATTCATCCTTAAATAACTATTATTTTAAATAGCTAAATATTTTAAATTATCGCCTGAAATTTTTTTTAAACCTTACATTTTTTCAGTATTAAAAAATCTGTTTATTTAATAATCATAATACCTTACTTACTGAAGCATCAGCTGTTGTAATGTTGTAAGTTTCCAAGGAAAATATGACTTCATCCAGAGCCTGAAAGCCTTCCTCAGAGTTAAAGAGAACTTCATGATGTTCACTTCCAATATGATTTGCCACCTTATTATATAAATGCCCATTTACTTGTTAAAGAAAATAACTTCCCTTGAAAATCAAACATGACAAGAGTTCACAAAGCTTTATGAATTAACAACGGTGAAAATTAAACAAGGAAAAAAGGGAAAAATGATTTTACAGGCCACTACATACAACCCCATCCAGGCCCTGCTTCAACTCCACCACCAGGAAGTAAGTCTCCCCTCAGCTCCTCTGGTGCCAAGACTTTAACCATTCTCCCAGTTGGCGCCTCCCTCCCCACCTATTTTACCTAACCCACCTCATCTCTCTCTAGTCCAACATGGTCCCACACTAAGCTTGGTCTTTTTTGGTCCTTCGGCAATGCCTAATTTTATATCCAGGATGTTATTGCTACATAGAATGGCTCCTCCCCTTATTCTACTTTCCTTGGCTATTTTGGATTCTCTAAGCATTGCTCACCTTGCATTGAGAGTGCTCTCTAGCTCTTTCTCATCCATGCTACAAAAGTTCTCCATAGTGGGAACAAGGTTTCCTGCTCACTGAATACAGACAAGCTGCCCTCTGCCCACAGTATTCTAAATACAGCACTTTTTAAAATAATAATAACAGCTAACACTTACTAAGTACTTACTACATACTAAGTTCTACCCTACTTACTTTACATGAATTATGCCATTTCACCTTAAAACTACCCCACAGAAGACACTATTTTTTTTTTTACATAAATGAGTAGAGCCAGGCTTTCAAACCACAATTCAGGCTCCAAAACCTGCAGTCTTCATCACGATACCAAGCCTTTACGTTATTTTTTAAAAAACAAAAAACAAATAAACACATGAAAAACCTCTTTTTTGAATTTTTCAAGATGGGGTCTTGCTATGTTGCCAGGCTGGACTTGAACTCCTGAGCTCAGACCTCCCACTACAGCCTCCCAAGTATCTGGGACTATAGGTGTGTGCCACTGCACCTGACTTACGCCTTTTCTTTTCTTTCTTTCTTTCTTTCTTTCTTTCTTTCTTTCTTTCTTTCTTTCTCTCTCTCTCTCTCTCTTTCTTTCTTTCTTTCTTCTTTCTTTTTTTTTCACAAGGTCTCACTCTGTCATCCAGGCTCCCACAAACCCAAGACTACAGGTATGCACAACCAAGCCTGGCTAATTTTTGTATTTTTTTGTACAGATGGAGTTTCACTATATTGCTCATGCTGGTTTCAAACTCCTGACCTCAAGTAATCCACCTCCCTTGGCCTCCTAAAGTGCTGGGATTACAGGTGTAGTCACCATGCTCAGACACCTTTACTTTCAAAAGAGCATAATTATCATCATAGGGTCTTTGTGAGAATTGTATGGGTCATAATAGATAAAAGTACATAGAGGACAATGTACAACACAGGGCATATTCAACAGCCATTTCCTTCCATTTTAATACATTTAATTTAAAACAACTGCCCCAGTCAATACAGTAGCAGAAGTAGAGTCATCCATTATTGACTCCACTTTCATTCTAATAACAAGCCTACTCTAACTACACAAGGGAAAGAGACAACACCTTACCTTTCTAGCAGCCAGTAAATCAGGGCTGTCTTCCATGCCAATTACAAATGTCTGGAGAGGATACTGTACTTGGGCCTCTTTGAGCTGCTTCAACAGGGTAGCAGCAACAAGCTGGAGTCCAAGCCCTCTACATGCAAAAGAGGAAGTGGAAGTGTCCTAGTTATGTGTCTTGCATAAGACAGGGACAGAGGATGTACAATCCTGATAAACACCAAGATAATAGTTTTACCATTTAAAATCCCCAAGTTTTATAAACTGAAATCAACTTCAAGAAGAGAAAAGTATATAAACTGTGATAATAGTAGTATTTGAATTGGTTAAAAATCACTACACAGAATTCTAAAGAATGTTCACTGGCTCACTTTTACACCAATAATATAGCTATAGTGTAACTCAAGTTGGAGTATTACTATGACTATTAAATGCAGCTTATAAAAAATTGTTTCCATCCTATAATGAAGGAAAGATTAAATCATATAGTAAATATTTTATAGTAAAAACCAAAGGGATGGCTGCACATCATTTCAATTAAACATGCACGAAGTATAATTAGGTTTCTTAATTGACTTCACCTGATAAAAGGCAACCTGTCTATCATAAAACGCCTCTTTATAGCATCATGAAAAAGGATCCGGAGTTTGTTCTTCACAGTTTCTGTCTCAAAACCTATAAACACGGCAAATAAATCAAACAGCTCCAGAAAATCTTGGGCTGGATGAGTTATTGAAATAAAATACACAATCATCAACATCTATCATGATGGCATTTACTCAATGCTGGAGTCTGCCAAATCTTTATGTATTCCCTCCAAACAAAATAGGAAGTAGGTCTTGAAACTAAAATCATTCAATTGATGTGAAAGTACAGCTTATAACTTTTTCCCTTAGAGAAGGATGGGGAATAGGTGGGTGGGTGGGTGTCTGCTACCTGGAAAGAGTTTCTCCACATTGTAATAGAGCACGTGTGGGGGTTCATCCCGACAGTGATGATATTTAACCATTACCACGGATGCAACTTGGTCATTTGGCTTTAAATCAAAAACTTCATAGTGTCCAGGAAGAAAGGGCTCCACTTTTAAAAAGGGAGTCTTGAAGTGCTTCAATGTAACAAGACCTACAAATTCAAAATGATACATTTATTCAAATTAGGTAACCCTTCCCAATAACTTTCACGATTAGTTAACATCCTCTACATTCCTATTTATTTTCCCTTTTTTAAGACAAACACATGTCCATTCAATAAGCAAAATGGGAAAAAAATTTTAATCACCCAAAGCCCAACTATCTACTTACCAAAGAGAAAATAATGACACAGGGATATACTGCCAAATTACACTAACTTTTAGTAATTCAAAGCAATAGAAAAATCTCCAGTGTTCAATTTCTTCTTAGATAGATTTCTAATCAAGAAAACCTATTTTCTATACTAAAGCAAATATACACAAAAGGAAAAAACACACTTATGAAGCAAAGGGATGAACTGGAGTCCTAATGTTATGATAGGCTGGCAGTCATTTATTTGTCATCCCTGAGGTATTTTCAGAAAATAGCCATGGTTCCCAGACCTTTAACAATCACAATGATCCATTCTTAGCTACTTTAAAGTCAGATGAGAAGACATCTATCCCTTAACTAGTTGTTATACATATATGTAAATAAAACCATATAATTTAAATTTCCTCAATTAATTCTCACAGACAGTACCCAACATCACATCACCATGATCTTTGATACAAACATCAATGTTTTATTGTAAATCGTAACAGACTACCTACATGGAATACTCGTGATTTACAATTTGAGATTGTCAACCCAGGCAGTAACCTGTGTAACACTGAATTCAAATACCAGGAAAAGGACCCAGATTCCCTCACCAGCTAGCAGAGCTCAAGTGAGCCACACAGGCCGGGTAGGGAATGGGGAGTAATTAAAAAGTTTTAAGCAGGCAGTACTATAATCAGATGAGTTTATGACAGGTTATTCTAAAAGCACTGAGAAAGGAAAATTGTTGCAGTATTTCAGATAAGATCATTTGGTCTGGAAAAGGACAGTGTCAAGGATATAAAAAAGAACAATCAAGGAATTTCAGAGGGTAAACTGGATGTGATTATAGTTCCATATCAAGTGATCATCAGGCTCAGAGAAGGTACAGGGAGCAGGTGGCTGCTTTTCCTCAGTGTTCTCTTTGCCAGGCTTGCCCAGCAGTCCTGGCAACTGACAAATATATGATATACATATTCATATACATATACATATATACACTAAATAATCTTGGCACCCTTGTCAAAAATCAGTTGATTATTTATGTATAAGTTCATATCTGACTCTGAATTCTATCCCACTGGTCTATACATCTATCCTGCCAGTATTATGCTGTCCTTATTACCATTGTCTTGTAGTAAGTTTTAAAGCCGTAAGTATGAGTTCTCCTACTTTGTTCCTCATTTTCAAAAGATTATTTTGGCTATTCTTAGTCCATTGCAATTCCATATGAATTTGAGAGTCAGCTTGTCGATTTTACAAAAAACTCATCTGGCATTCTGATAGGGATGAAGTTAAATCTGTAGATCAGTTTAGGGAGGACTGCCATCTTAACAATGTTCAGCCTTCGTCCATGATCATGGGATACTTTTCCATTTATTTAGATCTTCTTTCATTTCTTTCAACAATGTTTTATGGTTTTCAGAGTACATGTTTTATACTTCTTAAATTGATTTCTAAGTATTTTATTCTTTTTGATACTATGATAAATGAAGTTGCTTTCTTTTTTCTTTTTCTTTTTTCTTTTTTTTTTTTTTTGAGATGGAGTCTCACTCTGTCGCCCAGGCTGGAGTCCAGTGGCAGGATCTCGGCTCACTGCAAGCTCTGCCTCCCAGGTTCATGCCATTCTCCTGCCTCAGCCTCCTGAGTAGCTGGGACTACAGGTGCCCGCCACAACACCCGGCTAATTTTTTGTATTTTTAGTAGAGACAGGGTTTCACCGTGTTAGCCAGGAAGGTCTAGATCTCCTGACCTCATGATCCACCCTCCTCGGCCTCCCAAAGTGCTGGGATTACAGGCATGAGCCACTGCACCTGGCCATGAAGTTGCTTTCTTAATTTCATTTTCAGATTGCTCATTGCAAGTATGTAGTACTCAGTTAAAGTGTGTCAAATACCACTGATTTTTGTATATTGATTTTGTATTCTGCAACCCTGATGAACACAAGGGATTTGTACCTAGAATACATAAGGAACTATTACAGTTCAGTAATAAAAAGACAAAATAACCCAATTAGGGATTGATAATTCAAGAATGGATAAACAAACTGCAGTACATGCCAACAAATGGAATATCATTCAGCAATTTAAAAAATGAGCTATCAAGCCATGAAAAAACACAGAAGAACCCTAAGTGTATACTGCTAGGTGAAACAAGCCAGTCTGAAAAGGCTCCATACTATGTGACTACAACTATTATATGACATTCTGGGAAAAGCAAAATTAGAAAAGTAAAAAGATCAGTAATGACTGGGGGTTTAGGAGGAAGAGGGAGAGGAATGAATCAGTGGAGCACAGGAGATTTTTAGGGCAATGAAACTGTTCTACATAATACTTTAATGGTGGGTACATGACATTATACATTTGTCAAATCCAAAATTCTATAAAACACATAGAGTGAACCCTAATGTAAACTATGAACTTCAGTTAATATATAAGTATCAGTTCATCAAATATAATAAATGTAACAGAGTAATGCAAGATGTTAAGAGTTGGGAAAATTGGGCAGGGGCACTGTAGCGGAAGCATATGTGAACTCTCTGCACTTTTCTCTCAATT
This sequence comes from Homo sapiens, assembly GCF_000001405.40. Lineage (NCBI taxonomy): Eukaryota > Metazoa > Chordata > Mammalia > Primates > Hominidae > Homo > Homo sapiens. The sequence goes on from NC_000008.11 coordinate 46,598,932, forward strand.
TTTTCTAAAACGGCTCTAAAAAAATAAAGTCTATTATGTTTCCAAAATAAAATGATCCCTAGCAGGAAAAAAAAATGGCAAAGGATCTGAAGAAATATTTCTCCAAAGAAGTTATACAAATGGCCAATAAGCATGAGATAAGATGCTGGACATCATTGTAAACAGGAAAATCAAATCAAAATCACAATGAGATACCACTTCACATACATTAGAAAGGCTAGAATTAAAAAGTGACACAGTAAGTGTTTGTGAAGATGTAGAGAAACTGAAATTTTAATAAACTGCTGGAGGGAATAAAAAATAATGTAGCCATTTCAAAAGTAGTCTGGCAGTTCCTCAATTATACATAGTTATCATGTGTCCCAGCAATTCTACTACTAGATATACATCCAAGGGAAATGTCTACACAAAACTTGTACACGAATGTTTATAGCAGCATTATTCGTAATAGCCAAAAGGGGTAAACAATGTCCTCAATATCCATCAACTGTCAAGTGGATAAACAAAATCCAGTGTATCCATGTAGTGGAATATCATTTGGCCATAAAGTAAGTACTGATACATGTCACCGCATAGACAAATTTTGAAAGCATTATGCCAAGTGAAAGAATCCAGTCACAAAAGCCCATATGATATATAATCCCATTTATATGAAACATACAGAATAGGGAATCCAGAGGCAGAAAGATTGGTGATTGCCAGGGCTACAACTTCGGGAGTGCAGATGATGGATAGAGAGAGATGGAATTGAAAGCTAAAGGGCACAGGAGGCAGGGAGTTCTGGTGAGTGCCTGCACTCCTAGCTACTAGGCAGGCTGAGGTGGGAGGATTGATTGAGCCCAAAATTTCAAGTCTGCACTAAGCTATGATCACACCACTGCACTGCAGCCTGGGCTGGGCAACTGAGCAAGACACCATCTCAAAAAAAATAATAATAATAAAAAAAAAACCCTGGTTGACTCTTCCAGTAAAAAATAAGGTAAAGGGCATAGGATTTGGTGGAAAAACAATTCTAAAATTGATTGGAGTGTTGGTTACCAACATCTGTAAATATACTAAAATCCACTGAACTGTATACTTCAAGTGAGTGAATTATACATGGTATGTGAATTACCAATAAAGCTGTTTTTGAAATCCTAATATTTGCTGTGCTATAACTTCAGCAAAGTACTGCAGTGCAATAATTGCAGAGCCAACCCTTCCATTACAGTATGGCACAGGAAAACTTAAAACAGCACTTAGGATCAAGCTAGATGCAGAGCATCTATTAGCACAGCAAAAAATAAATGATTGCACTAAAAACTCATCCTTCAAGGATTACAGAATTGAAGTGCTGAAAAGGAGAGTACAACTCCTCTGTTATTTTTAAAAAAGGTAAAGACTCATAACTTAATTAGTTACTGGTAAGCTTCTGGATTGCTCTCTAAGAGATTTTCAAATATAATTTAAAAGAAAACACACAACCAAGATAATAATGAAAATCTATAGAAGAATTTATTATTACCTTTAGCTTCTGAACATACAGCCAAAAATCCCCGTCTTCTGTCATTGCTTTAAACAAAGGTCTGAATCCTTATGTATCTCTGCCCAGGAACACTTTCTTATTGGCAGTATCCAGAAAAAAATTGCAAACACACCATCCAACACACAAATTGTTTGCTCATTTCCTCCTTTGTCATAAAGATGAAAAATTATCTCACCATCCATTTTGGTCTGATATTCAAATTCAAAATGCTGTTGTACCTTAAGAACCACTAGCAAAACCAAAATATTACACTCCTTGTACATTCACTAATAATATTTTTATTGCAAAGTTGCTTCAGTATTTCTGAGCTCTATAATCATTTCATGCACTTTGGTGATTTAGGAGAATCATAGCAATATCAAACTAGGATTTGCTTCAACTCATAATTCTGCAAATTCTGTTCAACATAAAGCTGAACCCATGAAAATTGTAGTTGCAGTCTGATAAACAGAATATAATGGGAACGTATCAGAACCTGTAACCTGTAAATGTAACCTGTGGAAGAATGGAAATGCATATAATACACATACTATACATGTAAAACATATATGTTTATGTATATGCAGATTGAGTATCCCTTATCTCAAATGTTTGAAACCAGAAAGGTTTTTGGTTTTTATTTATTTGTTTATTTTTGGATTTTGGAATATTTGCATATATGTGAGATATCTGGGGGATAAGACCCAGGTCTAAACATGAAATTCATTTATGTTTCATATATCTTATACACATACCCTAAAGGTAATTTTATATAATATTTCAAATAAATTTGTGCATGAAACAAAGTTTGTGTACATGGAACCATCAGAAAGCAAAGGTGTCACTATCTCAGCTACCATGGGAAAACCTATGGCTGTTTGACATCATTGGCCATGATTCCTGTCTCTGAATTTATATGCTACTGATGAGCAATCATTTTCATACACTTATTCACACATAAGTAAAAAATGTGACATACCATTAATACACTAAAAAATAATAAGCAGCATAGTAGCTCACCAGAATACCCGCATCAGCTGTTAAACAGCTGTACAAACAATGGCAGGCAATCAAACTCTACCTACAATTCTGTGTTTTTTTATTAAAATGTTACTATACACTGTATTTTTTTCTTTTTTTTAGATAAGAAGAAATATCAGAAGACTTCAGGGACTAGGAAGCGAGTCCTCTGAGGTTGAGGAGCCATTCTGCCACATGGCTTTTTAAAATGTTTCTCCAGAGTCATCTACCTCATTAACAATGGCTTTTGTCTTGGAAATCTTTGATTTTGCCTGTTCACTCTGATGGTAGTTTCTTTTGCTGTGCAGAAGCTCTTTAGTTTAATTAGATCCCATTTGTCAATTTTGTCTTTTGTTGCCATTGCTTTTGGTGTTTTAGACATGAAGTCTTTGCCCATGCCTATGTCCTGAATGGTAATGCCTAGGTTTTCTTCTAGGGTTTTTATGGTTTTAGGTCTAATGTTTAAGTCTTTAATCCATCTTGAATTGATTTTTGTATAAGGTGTAAGGAAGGGATCCAGTTTCAGCTTTCTACTTATGGCTATCCAGTTTTCCCAGCACCATTTATTAAATAGGGAATCCTTTCCCCATTGCTTGTTTTTCTCAGGTTTGTCAAAGATCAGATGGTTGTAGATATGCGGCGTTATTTCTGAGGGCTCTGTTCTGTTCCATTGATCTATATCTCTGTTTTGGTACCAGTACCATGCTGTTTTGGTTACTGTAGCCTTGTAGTATAGTTTGAAGTCAGGTAGTGTGATGCCTCCAGCTTTGTTCTTTTGGCTTAGGATTGACTTGGTGAGGCGGGCTCTTTTTTGGTTCCATATGAACTTTAAAGTAGTTTTTTCCAATTTTGTGAAGAAAGGCATTGGTAGCTTGATGGGGATGGCATTGAATCTATAAATTACCTTAGGCAGTATGGCCATTTTCACAATATTCATTCTTCCTACCCATGAGCATGGAATGTTCTTCCATTTGTTTGTATCCTCTTTCATTTCCTTGAGCAGTGGTTTGTAGTTCTCCTTGAAGAGGTCCTTCACATCCCTTGTAAGTTGGATTCCTAGGTATTTTATTCTCTTTGAAGCAATTGTGAATGGGAGTTCACTCATGATTTGGCTCTCTGTTTGTCTGTTGTTGGTGTATAAGAATGCTTGTCAATTTTTGTACATTGATTTTGTATCCTGAGACTTTGCTGAAGTTGCTTATAAGCTTAAGGAGATTTTGGGCTGAGACAGTGGGGTTTTCTAGATATACAATCATGTCGTCTGCAAACAGGGACAATTTGACTTCCTCTTTTCCTAATTGAATACCCTTTATTTCCTTCTCCTGCCTAATTGCCCTGGCCAGAACTTCCAACACTATGTTGAATAGGAGTTGTGAGAGAGGGCATCCCTGTCTTGTGCCAGTTTTCAAAGGGAATGCTTCCAGTTTTTGCCCATTCAGTATGATATTGGCGGTGGGTTTGTCATAGATAGCTCTTATTATTTTGAAATACGTCCCATCAATACCTAATTTATTGAGAGTTTTTAGCATGAAGGGTTGCTGAATTTTGTCAAAGGCTTTTTCTGCATCTATTGAGATAATCATGTGGTTTTTGTCTTTGGCTCTGTTTATATGCTGGATTACATTTATTGATTTGTGTATATTGAACCAGCCTTGCATCCCAGGGATGAAGCCCACTTGATCATGGTGGATAAGCTTTTTGATGTGCTGCTGGATTTGTTTTGCCAGTATTTTATTGAGGATTTTTGCATCAATGTTCGTCAAGGATATTGGTCTAAAATTCTCTTTTTTTGTTGTGTTTCTGCCTGGCTTTGGTATCAGAATGATGCTGGCTTCATAAAATGAGTTAGGGAGGATTCCCTCTTTTTCTATTGATTGGAATAGTTTCAGAAGGAATGGTACCAGTTCCTCCTTGTACCTCTGGTAGAATTCGGCTGTGAATCCATCTGGTCCTGGACTCTTTTTCGTTGGTAAGCTATTGATTATTGCCACAATTTCAGATCCTGTTATTGGTCTATTCAGAGATTCAACTTCTTCCTGGTTTAGTCTTGGGAGAGTGTATGTGTCGAGGAATTTATCCATTTCTTCTAGATTTTGTAGTTTATTTGCGTAGAGGTGTTTGTAGTATTCTCTGATGGTAGTTTGTATTTCTGTGGGATCGGTGGTGATATCCCCTTTATCATTTTTTATTGCGTCTATTTGAGTCTTCTCTCTTTTTTTCTTTATTAGTCTTGCTAGCGGTCTATCAATTTTGTTGATCCTTTCAGAAGAAAATTTTCACAACCTACTCATCTGACAAAGGGCTAATATCCAGAATCTACAATGAACTCAAACAAATTTACAAGAAAAAAACAACCCCATCAAAAAGTGGGCAAAGGACATGAACAGACACTTCTCAAAAGAAGACATTTATGCAGCCAAAAAACACATGAAAAGATGCTCATCATCACTGGCCATCAGAGAAATACAAATCAAAACCACAATGAGATACCATCTCACACCAGTTAGAATGGCGATCATTAAAAAGTCAGGAAACAACAGGTGCTGGAGAGGATGTGGAGAAATAGAAACACTTTTACACTGTTGGTGGGATTGTAAACTAGTTCAACCATTGTGGAAGTCAGTGTGGCGATTCCTCAGTGATCTAGAACTGGAAATACCATTTGACCCAGCCATCCCATTACTGGGTATATACCCAAAGGAATATAAATCATGCTGCTATAAAGACACATGCACACGTATGTTTATTGTGGCATTATTCACGATAGCAAAGACTTGGAACCAACCCATATGTCCAACAATGATAGACTGGATTAAGAAAATGTGGCACATATACACCATGGAATACTATGCAGCCATAAAAAATGATGAGTTCATGTCCTTTGTAGGGACATGGACGAAATTGGAAATCATCATTCTCAGCAAACTATTGCAAGAACAAAAAACAAAACACCGCATATTCTCACTCATAGGTGGGAATTGAACAATGAGATCACATGGACACAGGAAAGGGAATATCCCCCGCTGGGGACTGTTGTGGGGTGGGGGGAGGGGGGAGGGATAGCATTGGGAGATATACCTAATGCTAGATGACGAGATAGTGGGTGCAGTGCACCAGCATGGCACATGTATACATATGTAACTAACCTGCACAATGTGCACATGTACCCTAAAACTTAAAGTATAATAATAAAAATAAATAAATAAATAAATAAATAAATAAATAAATAAAAAGGAAATCTTTGATTTTATAAACTGACATGACCTCTTATTCTGTTATGAATGCAGGTAGCTCTAGTCCTTCAAAATCTCTATCACACATTTTCAGCATGTCATCTATACGTTTAAACTACAGTCCAATTTCTCCAACAGCTTAACTTTCTGTGTTATAAATGTTTCTACTTTTCCTTATCATTGCTGCTTATAGGGATATCTACAGGCCTTGTTGACATTTTCAGTATCTTAACACCACAGAGCAGAGAATAAGCAAAAATACACCACGGGTAATGCACATAGGTCCCATCTGTGGGGATCCTGCCATTGGCGTGTCCTGCTTGCACATGAGCCATTCTATTACCCTTTGTGGACGTGCTTGCATGGGGAAATCTGAGCATGTGTAGAAAAGTTATACTGCAGCTGAAGCAGGATGAGAGGGTCTTTTTTCCCTAGAGAATGCCAAATAAACTGTGTGTTGTAGACCTGCATTTTGACTGTGACATCAAAATACACATGTAGTGTCATGTCAGTGCTCAAAAAGTTTCACAGTTTGGAGCATTTCAAATTTCAGATTTTCAGATTAGGGATGCTCAACCCCTAAATTTAAGTTAAGACAATATGTTGCCTGGTTGCCATGACACTAAAAAACATGACTTCTGCAACTGTAAACTTTTGGTTTGAGAAAATAGTATTGGCTAAGAAGTTTCTCCAGTTCAGCTTTGAAGACCTAGCTATAAAAATGTAAAGCAAAGGGACAAACATCATTTGGCATCATTCCCTGAAAAATAAATAGCTCCATCAAAATAAAAGATACATGATCCAAAACAAAGCTGCTGGTCCCCAGAGGTGGATGACAACACCCAGTGCTTCCACCAATGCAGTAGCATTAAAGCTACGCCTCACTGACAGATAAAATGATGGTGGTGCTTTATTAGTCAGCATGCCCCAAAGGGACAGCAAAGGGACTGCCACTGCATGCAGAGTAAGAAGGTTTGATTAGGCTACTCCCCAATTCTGACACTCTCCACCATCACTGGCAAACTATGAGGACAAAAAGGTCCTTGATGTATTCCTCTTTGTATATTGTACATTTCTGGCTGACACTAGAGAAAGAAGAGGTTTAAAACAGGTGGAAGTCCTAGATAAGTTTAAAACATGTTTTTGAATTTCAAAAAGTAAACCTATTATTTATTGCATGACCCGTAAATACACTTCACACTCCATCCAGCTCACTCCATAATTTGTGAAACTTTTGTCTATAAGCCCTCACTGAACTGTCCAAAAATGGGCTTTGTCTGCAGCGACTATAAAGCCACTACCTGGTCACCCCTCTCTGCTGTATGAGGAATGATCCTATAACTAGCAGTTGGGGTCTGGAAACAATCTTCTGCTGACTGTTCTGGGCTAAACTGCCTGAAGCATAAGTGACCATCAAGCATTCGGTGATATTAGCAAGCAACAGCTTCCCAAATCTACCTTGCCCATCTCTTTGGCCTAATCTTTGCAAGTAATTTATTTTAAAAAGAGAAGGGTCCTTTGAGTAATGGATGTATCATGTCCTACTCTCTTAAACCAAACTCCAATGCTGCATCTTAGATAGGAGCCCTCTAATCTTGCTTCCTGAAGTGATGCTGTCATTTGACTTGGCTGCAGGCCCCTGATACTCCCCTGCAGGGAGAGGGCCTGCTCTTTGCCCCAGCCTTTACCCCATTCCTCCTTTCTTTCATTCAGTCTCCCTCCACTCCCAGCACACCTCTGGCTGTATTTTATTGTGGTGGTAAACTTTATTTTTATCAAAAAGGTGGTGGGGGGATTTTTGAGCTTATGTTGCAGAATACTTTATATAAGCCTAAAATATACATTTTGCTAATTAGACAGATTTCTAGCTTCCCCAAGTACACAATCTTAGATGCTTGGTAGAAGCAATGGAACGAACTTCTCTACTTTTACAAATATAACATTTGACGAATTTAGAATAGAAATTAATTATTTTCAAAATATTTAACTTCTTATAACTTTTTAACAAAAGAAACAACACTGTTCAAGTAAAACAGGGCACTTCCTATTTCATTTAAGGGAAAGCCAAGCTGATAATGCCATAATACCACCTAGCATTCTCTTGTATATGACACTGACTTGACTTAGAAAGAAAAAAAATTTTCTTACTTTCTCCTTCTATTTTCCACTAGCAGGAAATTCCATTCTTGCCTTTCCTTTTCACCATTTCATCTCCAATCACCTAGAAAAATGATGTCTAGTGCATGGCAGGCTCTTAATAAGGAATAAAGAAATGTGTGAATGAAATTTCATGAATATTTTAACTTTTTAAATGAGACTATTATTAAGAGTGTTCCTATGAGCAGGCAACAATGACAAAAGCTATTGTTTGAGATAAAAATGTCCAAAACTTGGTTAGAATATAAATCTCTATCAATGCATGACAGGTATGTATCAAGAAGTCTCAAAAAATACCATGAAATATCACAACCAAATGCATGAAACTTGAATGACATCTGGCTCAAAACAAACAAAAACCAGCTATAAAGATAATCCTGGTAGCAATTTGAGAGGACAAGGTGGGCAGATTGACTGAGCTTAGGAGTTCCAGACCACCCTGGGCAACATGGTGAAAATCCGTCTTTACTAAAATACAAAAAATTAGCTGGGCATGGTGGCAAGTGCCTGTACTCCCAGCTACTCAGGAGGCTGAGGCAGGAGAATTGCTTGAACCTGGGAGGCAGAGGTTGCAGTGAGCCGAGATTGCACCACTGTACTCCAGCCTGGATGAGTGAGACACTGTCAAAAAAAAAAAAAAAAAGATAATCTCCGGACACTTAGGGAAATTTAAGTATAAACTGAATATGAGGTGGTATTATGGATTCTTAGGTTTAATAAGGGTATTGATGTTATGTAGAAGAATGTCCTTATTCTTAGGAGATAAATGCTTATATATTTAGGAGTAAGTGTCATAATATCTGCACCATAGTCTCAAATGATTCAGCAAAAAAGATGTGTGTGCATGTAGGGGGGTGGGGTAGAAAGAAAAATCAAGCAAATATGACAAAACATTAATGAGTATTCAATCTGGGTGCTTCTGTTATTTTCTGTATGTTAGAATTTTTTTCAAAATGAAAATCTGGGGAGAGGCCGGGCGCGGTGGCTCACGCCTGTAATCCCAGCACTTTGGGAGGCCGAGGCGGGTGGATCATGAGGTCAGGAGATCGAGACCATCCTGGCTAACACGGTGAAACCCCCGTCTCTACTAAAAATACAAAAAAGTTAGCCGGGCGAGGTGGCAGGCACCTGTAGTCCCAGCTAGTCAGGAGGGTGAGGCAGGAGAATGGCGTGAACCCTGGGGGGCGGAGCATGCGGTGAGCCGAGATCGCGCCACTGCACTCCAGCCTGGGTGACAGCGAGACTCCGTCTCAAAAAAAAAAAAAAAAAGTCTGGGGAGAAAGAGAAAAAATCCTAAGAGTTGGAGGCTGGCACGATGGCTGAATAGGAAGAGCTCTGGTCTGCAGCTCCCAGCGAGGTTGACGCAGAAGGTGGGTGATTTTTGCATTTCCAACTGAGATACCTGGTTCATCTCATTGGGACTGGTTGGACAATGGGTGCAGCCCATGGAGGGAGAGCTGAAGCAGGGTGGAGTGTTGCCTCACCTGGGAAGGGCAAGGGGTTAGGGAATTTTCTCCTCTACCCAAGAGAAGCCGTAAGGGACTGAGCCTGAGGAACTCTGGCACAGACACTGCAGTTGTCCCATGGTCTTCGCAACCTGCAAACCGGGAGGTTTCCTCCTGTTCCTACCCCACAAGCGCCCTGGGTTTCAAGCTGGTCAGCCATTTGGGCAGACACCAAATTAGCTGCAGGAGTTCTTTTTTTCCATACCCCAGTGGCGCCTGGAATGCCAGTGAGACAGAAACGTTCACTCCCCTGGAAAGGGGTGCTGAAGCCAGGAAGCCAAGTGGTCTGGCTTGGCAGGTCCCACTCCCATGGACCCCAGCAAACTAGCTTGAAATTCTTGCTACCAGCACAGCAGCAGTCTGAGATCCACCCAGGAACTTCCAGGTTGATGCAGGGAGGGACATCTGCCATTGCTGAGCCTTGAGTAGGCGGTTTTACCCTCAGAGTGTAAACAAAGCTGCTGAGAAGTTCAAACTGGGCAGAGCCCACAGCAGCTCAGCAAGGCTGCTGTGCCCAGACTGCCAGATTTCTCCTCCAGTCAAGGCATCTCTGAAAAAAAGGCAGCAGCCCCAGTCAGGGACTTATAGTTAAAACTGCCGTCTCCCTGGGACAGAGCACCTGGGGAAAGGGGTGGCTGTGGGTGAAGCTTCAGCAGATTTAAACATCCCTGTCTGACAGCTCTGATGAGAGCAGTGGACCTCACAACACAGCAGTTGATCTCTGCTAGGGGTCAGATTGCTTCTGCAAGTTGGTCCCTGACCCGTGTGTATCCTGACTGAAAGACACCTCCCAGTAGGGGTTGACAGACATCTCATACAGGAGACCTCTGCTGGCATCTGGCAGGTGCCCCTCTGGGATAAAGCTTCCAGAGAAAAGATCAGGCAGCAATCTTTGCTGTTCTGCAGCCTCCACTGGTAATACCCAGGCAAACAGGGTCAGGATTGGACCTCCAGCAAACTCCAGCAGACCAGCAGCAGAGGGGCCTGTCAGAAGGAAAACTAACAAACAGAAAGGAATAGCACATGCACTCAAAGACCCCATCCGAAGGTCACCAACATCAAAGACCAAAGGTACATAAATCTACAAAGATGGGGAGAAACAAGCACAATAAAAGCTGAAAATTCCAGAAACCAGAATGCCTCTTCTCCAACGAAGAATCACAACTCCTCGCCAGCAAGGAAATAAAACCGGACAGATAATGAGTTTGACAAATTGACAGAAGGAGGCTTCAGAAGATGGGTAATAACAAACTCCTCTGAGCTAAAGGAGCATGTTCTAACTCAATGCAAGGAAGCTAAGAACCTTGAAAAAAGGTTAGACAAATTACTAACTACAACAACCAGTGTAGAGCAGAACATAAATGACCTGATGGAGCTGAAAAACAGCACAAGAACTTCGTGAAGCATACACAAGTACCAATAGCCAAATCGATCAAGTAGAAGTAAGGATATCCGTGATTGAAGATCAAGTTAATGAAATAAAGACAGAAGACAAGATTAGAGAAAAAAGAACAAAAGGGAACAAACAAAGCCTTCAAGAAATATGGGACTATGGGAAAGACCAAATCTACGTTTGATTGGTATACCTGAAAGTGAAGAGAAGAATGGAACCAAGTTGGAAAACACTCTTCAGGAGATTATCCAGGAGAACTTCCCAACCAAGCAAGACAGGCCAACATTCAAATTCAGGAAATAGACAGAATACCACAAAGATACTCCTCAAGAAGAGCAACCTCAAGACACATAATTGTCAGATTCACCAAGGTTGAAATGAAGGAAAAAAATGTTAAGGGCAGCCAGAGAGAAAGGTCGGGTTACCCATAAAAGGAATCCCATTAGACTAACAGTGGATCTCTCTGCAGAAACCCTACAAGCCAGAAGAGACTGGGGGCCAATATTAAGAGACAAGAAGTGCATTATATAATGGTGATGGGATCAACGCAGTAAGAAGAGCTAACAATCCTAAATATATATGCATCCAATACAGGAGCACCCAGATTCATAAAGCAAGTTCTTAAAAGACCTACAAAGAGACTTAGACTCCCACACAATAATAGTGGGAGACTTTAACACCCCACTGTCAATATTCTACAGATCTATAAGACAGAAACTTAACAAGATTATTCAGGACTTGAACTCAGCACTGGACCAGGCAGACCTAATAGACATCTATAGAACTCTCCACCCCAAATCAAAAGAATATACATTCTTTTCAGCACCTCATCACATTTATTCTAATATTGACCACATAATTGAAAGTAAAATATTCCTCAGCAAATGTAAAAGAATGGAAATCATAACAAAAAGTCTCTCAGACCACAGTGCAATCAAATTAGAAATCAGGGTTAAGAAACTCACTCAAAACCACACAACTACTGGAAACTGAACAACCTGCTACTGAATGACTACTGGGTGAATAATGTAATGAAGGCAGCAGTAAGATGTTCTTTGAAACCAATGAGAACAAAGACACAATGTACCAGAATCTCTGGGACACATTTAAAGCCGGGTGTAGAGGGAAAATTATAGCACTAAATGCCCACAAGAGAAAGCAGGAAAGATCTAAAATTGACACCCTAACATCAAAATTACAAGAAATAGAGAAACAACAGCAAACAAATTCAAAATCTAGCAGAAGACAAGAAATAACTAAGATCAGAGCAGAACTGAAGGAGACAGAGTCATGAAAAAATCCTTCAACAAAATCAGTGAATCCAGGAGGTGGTTTTATAAAAAGATCAACAAAATAGATATACCACTAGCCAGACTAATAAAGAAGAAAAGAGAGAAGAATCAAATAGATGCAATAAAAAATGATAAAGGGGATATAACCACTGATCCCACAGAAATACAAACTATCATCAGAAAATACTATCATCAGAATACACCTCCACACAAACTAAAATCTAGAAGAAATAGATAAATTCCTGGACACATACACCCTCCCAAGACAATATACCAGAAAGAAGTCGAATCCCTTAATAGACCACTAACAAGTGCTGAAATTGAGGCAGTAATTAACAGCCTACAAAACAAAAAAAGTTCAGCACCAGACAGATTCACAGCTGAATTTTACCTGAGGTACAAAGAGGAGCTGGTACCATTACTTCTGAAGCTATTCCAAACAATAGAAAAAGAGGGAATCCTCCCAAACTCATTCTATGAGGCCACCATCATCCTGATACCAAAACCTGGCAGAGATAAAACAAACAAACAAAAAATTTCAGGCCAATATCCCTGATGAACATCAATGCAAAAATCCTCAACAAAATACTGGCAAACTGAAGCCAGCAGCACAGCAAAAAGCTTATCCACCAAGATCAAGTCAGCTTCATCCCTGGGATGCAAGGCTGATTTAACATATGCAAATCAATAAACATAATTCATCACATAAACAGAACCAATGACAAAAACCACATGATTATCTCAATAGATGCAGAAAAGGCCTTCGACAAAATTCAACACCCTTCATGCTAAAAACTCTCAATAAACTAGGTATCAATGGAACATATCTCAAAATAATAAGAGCTATTTATGACAAACCCACAGCCAATATCATACTGAATGGACAAAAACTAGAAGCATTTCCTTTGAAAACTGGTACAAGACACCACTCCTATTCAACATGCCTTCTGTCACCACTCCCATTCAACATACTATTGGAAGTTCTGGCCAGGGCAATCAGGCAAGAGAAAGAAATAAAGGGTATTCAAATAGAAAGAGAGGAAGTCGAATTGTCTCTGTTTGCAGGTGACATGATTATCTATTTAGAAAACCCCATCCTCTCAGCCCAAAATCTCCTTAAGCTGATAAGCAAATTCAGCAAAGTCTCAGGATACAAAATCAATGTGCAAAAATTACAAGCATTCCTATACACCAATAACAGACAAACAGAGACACAAATCATGAGTGAGCTCCCATTCATAAGTGCTACAAAGAGATTGAAATACCTAGGAATACAACTTACATGGGATGTAAAGGACCTCTTCAAGGAGAACTACAAACCACTGCTCAAGGAAATAAGAGAGGACACAAACAAAGGGAAAAATATTCCATGCTTATGATTAGGAACAATCAATATCATGAAAATGGCCATACTGCCCAAAGTAATTTAGAGATTTAATGCCATCCCCATCAAGCTACCAATGACTTTCTTCACAGAATTGGAAAAAAACTACTTTAAACTGCATATGGAACCAAAAAAGTGCCTGCATAGCCAAGACAATCCTGGGTAAGAAGAACAAAGCTGGAGGCATCACACTACCTGACTTCAAAGTATACTACAAGGCTATAGTAACCAAAACAGCATGGTACTGGTACCAAAACAGATATATAGACCAATGGAACAGAACAGAGTCCTCAGAAACAAAACCACACATCTACAACAATCTGATTTTTGACAAACCTGACAAAAACAAGCAATGGGGAAAAGATTCCCTATTTAATAAATGTTGTTCAGAGAACTGGCTAACCATATGCAGAAAACTGAAACTGGACCCCTTCCTTATACCCTATACAAAAATCAACTCAAGATGGATCAAAGACTTAAACTTAAGACCTAGGACCATAAAAATCCTGGAAGAAAACCTGGGCAATACCATTCAGGACATAGGCATCGGCAAAGACTTCATGTCTAAAACACCAAAAGCTATGGCAACAAAAGCCAAAATTGACAAATGCGATCTAACTTAACTAAAGAGCTTCTGCACTGCAAAAGAAACTATCATCAGAGTGAACAGCCAACCTACAGAATGGGAGAAAATTTTTGCAATCTATCCATCTGACAAAGGGCTAATATCCAGAATCTACAAAAAACTTAAACAAATTTACAAGAAAAAAACAAACAACACCATCAAAAAGTGGGCGAAGGATATGAACAGACACTTCTCAAAAGAAGACATTTATGCAGCCAACAGACATATGGAAAAATGCTCATCATTAGTGGTCATTAGAGAAATGCCAATCAAAACCACGATGAGATACAATCTCATGCCAGTTAGAATGGTGATTATTAAAAAGTCAGGAAACAACAGATGCTAGAGAGGATGTGGAGAAATAGGGGTGCTTTCACACTGTTAGTGGGAATGTAAATTAGTTCTACCATTGTGGAAGACACTGTGGTGATTCCTCAAGGATCTAAAACTAGAAATACCATTTCACCCAGCAATCCCATTACTGGGTATATACCCAAAGGATTATAAATCATGCTGCTATAAAGACACATGCACACTTATGTTTACTGCAGCACTATTCACAATATCAAAGACTTGGAACCAACCTAAATGTCCATCAATAATAGATTGGATAAAGAAAATGTGGCACATATACACCATGGAACACTATGCAGCCATAAAAAAGGATGAGTTCATGTCCTTTGCAGGGACATGGATGAAGCTGGAAATCATCATTCTTAGCAAACTATTACAAGAACAGAAAACCAAACACTGCATGTTCTCACTCATAAGTGGGAGTTGAACAATGAGAATGCATGGACATAGGGAGGGGAACATCATCCACCGGGGCCTGTCAGGGGGTGGTGGGCTAGGGGAGGGATAACATTAGGAGAAATACCTGACGTAGATGACGGGTTGATGAGTGCAGGAAGCCACCATGGCACGTGTATACCTATGTAACAAAACTGCACGTTCTGCACATGCACCCAAGAACTTACATTATAATAAAAATAAAAAAAATTAAGAGTCAAAGAAACTGAACTGTAATCCCCATTTTTATCACTTTTTTGTGATCAAGTCATTTCACTCACCATTTCATTCATGAGTTCCCTATCTACATACTTGAGCAAATGAGATAGTGAACATAGTGTGCTTTGCAAAGTAAAACGCATGATACAGAATATATAATATCATCATTATCAACAAGATCTTAAGTTTAATCACATCTAGACATCTGGTGTCTCTTTCCTCACCTTCTTATGGTTGTAGATTTCACCACTGTAACAGAGCCACAAATATGGATATTTCTTCACTTGAATTGGCTGCATTCCAAACAGCGGTTCTGGTGAAATCCAAAGCAGCTATTGGTGTATCCACTGACATTCTCAAAACAGAATGCATCTGGACCCCTGTGTGCAATCTACATAGCACTCAGACACTGAACAGAAAGGCGGTCATCACTGCCAAACAGGGCCAAATGCCACACGTGGTGGAATGAAGCTATAAGCTCTCTATGGAGAGAAAAGCAGACAAATAAAAAATATTCAATATCCAATCCAAGTCTGCATTCAATCTTGATTCCAGAAACGTGCTTAAACCACTTCAAAGACTAAAATTTAAACCATCTTTTCTGTAGCGATCTCCCATCAGGTTGGTAGACACACGGGAGTAGAGAATAATTTAATTTACTTAACTAGTATTCAGAAAAGATAGTGACCTCTACATTCAACCAGCTATAGCAGCTTAGCACCCAGCCAAAGCCTGCATCTCTCCCACCTTAGGATTCAGTGGTTGGCTAGAGCTGGCAGCATCCAGGCCACATCTGTCTCTGCATTCTAAGTCTGCTTCCAAGATACAGATACAAATGCAGGCTGGCTCCAACCTAGCCAGAGATCCCAGCCCCACTCTCTCCATCCCCAAATCCCTCAAAGATCCAAGAGACTTTCCAGATTACTAGAGTCTCCTCTCAGATTCTCTTGACAGTTAAATGCCCTCTCTTTACTGAACTAGCTGCAGGTAGAATATAATGGGTACAACAGAAAATCATACTGCTGTAAATGCAATACTAAGATACACAGGTCTTTTAAGTATTTCACTATATTACATCTAGCTTACCTCTAAGTGATTTATTCAGGTGTGATTGAAGAAAGTCTAAAGGGAAAATAAAGCAATTTAATTTGATATCAGATATCCTGGCTATAACAAATAAAACATTCTAAGTTGACAGAAGATACAAAATGTTTGCTATCAAAATATTCTGACTGACAAAAATGTTCTCAAATATTTCTGTCTGAAAGTTGCATTGTTTAGGAAGGAAGCCAAGTAGGTGGGACATATACAGCAACAACATTTCTAAAAAAAAAAAAAAAACAACTGGGCTCCTTCCTATAAACCTGGAAGCAAATAAATCATCCTTACATACATCAATTAACTTCCAATTTCAAACTCTCAACTGTGAAATAAAGGGCTGTTTTATTTGGCTGCTGCCAGCTCAAAATGACTGCTTTTACTAAAACATCTCTAACTTGAAAAATAACTATTTTTTTTTAACTGCAAATTGCAGCAAATAGCCAGATAATTTGGGATAAACACCCTAAGGAAAAAATATATATTCAAGCTGCATAAGTCAGTTTGAGCAATCCTTTGAAGATATTTCATTTATATCTAAATAAAACAAAGGTTTAGCTGGCTTTTCTGGAAAACCAGAACCAAATAATATATGATTATAATGAAAATCATCTCAAGTAATTTGGAAATGAACTACCACATGTCCTAATGCTGTCCCTTCCATGCACTTGACCAAATAGCCTATAATAGCCTATAACAAATTACTTACTTTGAGATTTAGTGGGAAAATTCTATGAGATTTAAATGAGATGACTACTAATAAGCCATCTGTCTTTGACTCTGTACCAATTAAAAATGGGTTAGGAAATTGCTTTGAAAATCAAGTGTGGTCATCAGGGAATCATTTACCTAAGTCTTCTTAATGCTGCTTAGTGAATATTTAGCGTGCTATAGTAAATACAAGCTAACCACTAAATTGGAGGGGAAGGAGGGAGAACAAAGAGGCATGTAAAATATACTTATTTTTTCTAGTAGGAAAAAGCCAATTAAAACTGTCACCTATTTTTATTGTAATCAGTCTTAAAGGTTGGCAAACTTCCTACTGCCGCTACCTGTTTTCAATATTTTTCTTATTTCTTCCTAAACTTCTGGAGCAGGGCTGTCCAATAAATATGTGAGTCACGTATGTAATTTTAAATATACTAGTAGCCCCATTAAAAAAAAGGTGAAATTAATTTTAAGTATACTTAACTCAATATGTCCCAAATAGTATCACTTTAACATGTAATCAATATAAAAAATTATCAAGCAGATATTTTGCACTGTTCTTCTTACTCCAATGACAAAATCCAATGTATTTAACACAACACATCTCAATTAGGACTAGCCACCATTTCAAGTGCTCAACAGTTACAGGTGGCTAGCGCCTACCGAATTGGACTTCGCACTTACAGTGCATTTAATTTCTATTCCACTTAGCGCTACTTAAAACTTCACCCTCTCACCTTACTTTTTTTATGTTAAGATCTCAGTAAGTAACGAACTACAGACAGGTTCAAGCCCTACTTTACCTCTAATTACTCTTACAGCAATGCAATGAATCGTGATTTAAAATTAAAAAAAAAAAAACTGCTGTTAAATTATTAGTCAAGCGCCCAGGGCAACGGACAGTAAAGAAATAATGTAGGCCATGGGCCGAGACGAAAACTATCCTTTTATTTAAAGCTATAACAATAATCTACAGCCAGTCCTGTAAAATAGACATCCATTGAAAAAGCCATGCTAATTCTTTTGCTTTTTCTGTACTTGGCTTCCTGTGTCCCTAAACAGACCTCTTCTCTCAGGGTTTGCTCAGCACGTCACTTGTTGAGTCTTGCAGTCTACAGAGAGGGGTGGGTACCGGGGTGGCAGAGGAGTGAGAGGAAAGGAGGCATGGTGAGGGAGTCCAGGTGAGGAGGGAGGCAGTTTAAGGGGAAAGCACAGACACCGAGGTGGTGATAAAGCCGGAGTCTCTGCTTCCTAGATCAGGACCACAGACACCTGACTGTGCCCTAGCCATGTGCACGCTCCCACCTGTCCGAAACAGAGGCTCTGGACTGGGAAAATGTCCACAGGCTTCGATGCCACATAGTAAAAAAAGTACATATATAACATTTACAGGGGCTCAGGCCGCCGCTGCCTTCTCTCTGGAGTAGCTCTGCCTCCCGGCCATGGTTCCCTTCATGCCTCAGTGTACCAGGACAGAGAGGTCCTTCCGCACCCTCTTGCTGCCAGGTGCGCAACAATAGCTGGGCGTCCGCCCCGCCCTCTCTACCGCAGGAGCCACAGCGTCCGCCCTCGCCCCCAAGCCGCGTCTGCCGGGTGCCAAGCTGAAGAGCGCATCCTCGCCTCCTTCCTCCCGGGGCAGCCCCAGAGCACGCGAGGAGGGTGCTGCGCGGGACGCGGGGGTCGGCTCACCAGGGCGCAAACAGGTCAGGGCGATGTGGGCAGTGGAGGCCAGGGCTGTGGACAGCATGCCGGCGGCGGGGCTGCTGGCGCTTATACCGGCTGGGCTGCTGTAATGCGTGCGGGAAGTTTCATCATGCCTGCGAGGATCAACCAGCGCGTGCAGAGGCGGGGCTCGCGGGGCGGCTGGGGCGGGGCGGGACTAAGAGGGGCGGCGGGAGGCAGCAAGAAGGCATTCTTTTGTTTCCATCGCCTTCTGTTTCTCAGTGCGCGTGTTAAAGGACAGCCTCAGAGATCTGCCCAGGTTACCCGCTGTTCTGACAATTAGGGAGTCTTCTGCACTTGGTTTGTTCTTAGGGAAATCGTCACCGTTTTTTGTTGCACTACCGTCTGATTTATTATGGAGTGCAGAGAAAAGCTTGTCCTCAGAAACTGATGCGTAAGGCCTAAAATGTCCTTATAAAATATATTAATAAATCGGAGTCAGGAGTGGTGGCTCACGCCCATAATCCCAACATTTTGCGAGGCCAAGGCAAGAGGATCACTTGAAACCAGGAGTTCAAGACCAGCCTGGGAAACACAGCGAGATCACACATCTACAAAAAAATGGTGGCACACCCTTTAGTCCCAGCAACTCAGAAGGCTGAGGCAGAAGGATAACTTGAGCCCAAGAGTTTGAGGCTGCGGTGAGCTCCACTCCAGCGAGGGTGACAAAGTGAGACTCCCATCTCTAAAACAATAAAAGAAAATCTAAATCTAATTGATTCATGAAGCCAAAACACATCAGTGGTCCTTAAACATTTTAAGTACAAAGATTCCTTTTACAATCTCAAAAAGGATTTTGTCAACCTACATCCACAGATGATTATGTGCTTTTAAGTATCTCTTTGATGAACAAAAGACATCACAATTTTTAAAAAGTATCATAACACTCTTAAATC
Organism: Homo sapiens; assembly: GCF_000001405.40. NCBI lineage: Eukaryota > Metazoa > Chordata > Mammalia > Primates > Hominidae > Homo > Homo sapiens. The sequence goes on from NC_000008.11 coordinate 46,618,477, forward strand.
ATATTTTACTAATTACATCAGCACCAAAATAAATTGAGAAATAGTAAAATTATATGTGCACGACCTACTAAGATCAGACTACAGTCAATGCTTGGAGAGAATGCAGGTTTGATATCCCCATACAATGCATTCCCCACTAAATAAAAAATGCCAACGATATAAAATCCCTAAGCACAGAAGATGGAGTAGATTTTGGTAGTTATAGGCAAGAGTAAAGATAAGAGATGACTTGTTCTAAGGTTCATTCTTGCTGGAAAGTTTTCAGCATCAAACAGATTTTGCTGTATCCTAATTGATGTATTTTAAACCTGAGAGCAATGTGGGAAAGTAGGTCTTCTATCTACATTTAAAGATGAGAAAACAAGACTCAGATAAGTTGAGGGATTTATCCAAACACAGTTTCAGAACAATAAAGAATTGTGTCATAATCTGTGTAAACCCATTTCCAAGGTGTCCATTTCCCGTAGCACCTTGCCTATGTAGTGGAAGATGGGTTCTCCTACTTCATGTGTTATCTGGTGTGGTTGGTTGTGCTGCTTATCTCCTGCTTGTCCCTCCAGAGCTCTACTGTTCTCCACCTCACTTTCTGTCCTGGCTCCCTTGCCCTCCTCTTTCAGGGAGAGTGTGTGAAAGAAGACATTTCAAGGAGATGCAAAAGGTGGGATGGAGTAGTCTCAGGACATTTAGCCGCCTGGCTCCCTGACGTCAAAGCTCATCTCAAGAAGACCACAGTTCCTGTTACCTGACCCTTCCCACACCTCCTTTTCTTCAGATTTTAGGAACTGCTTCCTATTCAGCTACTCTATCACAATGCTACTTGCTTTCTCGCTCTAGGATCTGTTAAAACAAAATTGAGGCTGGGTGCAGTGTTTCACGCCTATAATTCCAGCACTTTGGGAGCCCAAGGCAAGAGGGTGGCCTGAGGCCAGGAGTTCAAGACCAGCCTGAGCAACATAGTGAGACCCACCCCCATCCCTGGTCTCACACACATACATACGTGCACAAATTAAATTTAATTTAAAAATTAGAAATTTGTTTTAAAAGTGAAATATTTACATGGATTACGTATGTATTCATTTTGGAGAACTATAGATCCCATAGAACTGGGAACGCTTTACTCTTTGAACAAAACATTTATTTAGCCACAAATAAACGAAGACCAGTGATTTAGCCTGCACACACACACACACACACACACACACACACACAAAAGAAAACACTGGTTAGGCTGGGGCAGGGGTTGGAGGAAGAGATCTAAAACATTAAAATGTTATTGGGAAAGACCACTAATTAGAATCAGAATAATTACTGCTTTAAAGTATTTAAGAATAGAGCACAATGAACCCAGAGAAGAACTAGATACGATTCAGAGTAGAGCTCACAGAGCAGAAGGTATCTGAGCTGAGACTGATAGAATAACACTAATAAGGACATTTGCTGTCATTTATTATCTCTTAACTGCAGTGCGTTTTGTATATGTTATTTCCACTCTTCACATCAACCGTGGAAAATAATAATTATTCTTCTCTTGTGAAGTTAAGGAAGTGGTAAGTGGTCTAAGAAGATAAATTAACATACCAATACCAAACAACTCAAGTTCCGTGACTCAGGACTGCCCGTGTCTTCCCAAGAGGTTCCGTAGCATGCAAAACAGGTAGAGAGAGCCCTTCCAAGAAGTGACAGTGAGATGTGAAAGGTCTCAGTGTGTCTCTGAGAACAACAGAAACCAGTAAGTAGACCAGGCGGAAAAAGCCAAGGAATGGGCAAGGATTTCTTCTTAAGAGAGCAAGAAGAATAAACAGAGCAGGACTGAGAGAAGCCATGGGAAATGGGCAGAACACCATGCATTTAGCGAGAAAAAATAACTTTTACTTTAGAACAGAAAAGAGGGAAAGAATGGTAGTGGTCTCGGTAAACCTAGAAAAGGAAAGGGCAGCGGGGAAAAAATAAACGAGGTGTATTAGTCAGGGTTCTCCAGAGGGACAGAACCAATAGGATACACGTATATGTAAAAGGGAGTTTACTAGAGAGAATTGGCTCACACGATTACAAGGCAAAGTCTCACAATAGGTTGTCTGCCAGCTGGGGAAAGAGACAAGCTAGTAGTGGCTCAGTCCAAGTCCAGAAGCCTCAAAACCAGGGAAGTCCACAGTGCAGTCTTCAGTCTGAGGCTGAGGGCCTGAGAGTCCTGGGTAAGCTGCTGGTGCAAGTCCCAGAGTCCAAAGGCAGAAGAACCTGGAGTCTGATGTCTAAGGGCAGAAGGAACAGAAGCAAGCATCCTGCATGGGAAGGAGGAAAAAGGACAGCCAGAAGCCTCAGCTAGCAAAGTTATCCCAGCTTCCTCCACTTGCTTTGTTCTAGCTGCTCTGACATGTGATTGACTGGTGCCCACCCACCTTGAGGGTGGGTCTTCCTTCCCAGTCCACCAACACAAAAGTCAATCTCCTCTGGCAACACCCTCACGAACACACTCAGGAACAATACTCTAGGCAGTTCTCAGTCCAATCAAGTTGACACCTAATATTTACCATCATACAAGATTTATAAGCTAAGTATGTCGATGATGATAAATAAGTGCTGTGGAGAAAAACAGCTGAGAAGAGAAAAGAAATGCGAAGGAGAGTTTACAAGTTTTAGAATAATTCATACTTATAGGCCACTGTTTTTCATAAAAAACAAGAGGCTCATCTTCTGCAGGTACTGAAGGGTTTGAGATGTTGTGAGGGTGAACTTGAAAATAACAGGCAAATATCAGAGTTAATGAGGGGAAAAGGAAAAGATGGGTGGGCATCATGGTGGTCCAGCAAAGGAGGAAAACCCAAGCATGAATGTGGACTGGCGACGTCGGGGAGGGCAGAGCCTCCAACAACACAGGGCAGTCTGAGAGCCAGTGTCAAGACATGGAGGGAATGGATCCAGGTTCTGTGTTTGGAAGAGTGTGTGTGGAAGAAGGATAAGAGGGCTCAGGAGCACAGGTGCAGTGAGTGTGCTTCTGCAGGGATACACTTTTGGTATGTTCTATTATTGCTCAAAAATATGCAATGCACCTCTCTGGGGGAGGATTATACTATATCTAACCCATTGATATCAGCATAGCCAGGTGACTTGCTATTGCCAATGAAACATGAGCAGAAGTGACAGGTGTCACTTGTAAGCAGAAATTATAAGAACCATGATGTAGCTCAACACCATCTCTTTTTCCTCTGCCAGCATTCCAGGTAGGAGCAACTCCACCAACCAAGGGCCCAGAATGAGAATTATGTTGAGAAGGGTCACAGCCTACCCATGATCAATATGTAGCTGAAGTAAGCAAACAAACTTTTCTGGGTGTATGTGTCTGAGACTTGGGAGTCATTTGTAACCGCAGCATAACCCAATCTAAACTGGCTAATAGAGCTTAAATATTTTAAGTTGGAAGGGAAATAAGTAAAGCCAGAAGTGACCTAATTTGTTGAAAGTGTAACAGGGGCTGATGATTAGAGGCTTGGTTGCAGGCTAGAGAAGTATAGGGCTGAAAAAGACAGATGAACTGGACATTTTCATGGGCAAGGAATGTATAATTTTATAGCATTAGATAAAATGGTGAATGTAAGATTATCGAGCCCAGGTTCCTGAATATAATGTGTGTTAAATAAACAAAAGCCTTCCTCTAACAGAATTCCCCTAAGCATTTCCAGGTTATGGCCTGTCCAGCCACAGATATGCCCAGTCCAGTCATAGATACTGTTTATAGCTTCTGAACTAGGAATCAGGAGCCCTGGAGTAACAGGCCCCAACAAAATCAGAGTCGAATTGTGAGCCCAAAAGCTTAACAAATATCCACCTTCCTTGTCTTCCAACTGTATCTCTTACTTCCCTCTCCCTAGTTCATTGCATCCCAGTCATATTGATCTCTTGGCTGTTCTTGAACACAACAAGCAGAGGTGAACATGGTTTTTAGCTGCTGAAAGTTACACTTGTGGCTAGAGACCAGACTAACCCTTTTTCCTTCTTTTGGAGGTTATGATTAGGATTGTCAGAGGGCAAAGGGTTTAATTTTTTCATTAAACTAACAACATGTTTTGAGCATGTATTATGTTCTGGGGCATGGAGCTTATTGCATTCATGGTGCAGGGGAACAGGAGAAATTAATGAGACACATAAATTACATGTATAAATGAAGACAAGTGCTATGGAGAAAAATAAAGGAGAAAATATTATAATGGGGCCCGGATATTGCATTACGTAATATCCTATATAGTCTGCTATAGTCTGAATAGTCTGCTATTATTTGGTTTTCTCATTGAATAAAATGTTGTGAACATCTCTCTGGGATGAAACAAAAACATTCTGCATTGCTGTAGTGAAAGATCCTCAGAAGGGAATCATCTAGTCATTCCTGAGGCTTGTTAGATATGACCAACCCATCCACTGCATCTCAGTCATAACTACTCTAAACAACACCCACCAAAGGGGAAAAGGGCTTGCTGGAATCCAGCCATCAGTACATCCTTGAAGCAGCTGAAGACTCATTTCACTTTTACCCTAATTTGGCCATCGTGACAGCACCCAGCCCAATATTCCAAAGCTAGGTTCTTAACACCATAATGGGGACCAGTGCTTCCTAGCAGGTACTGAAGGGTTTCAAAGACTGCAGATACAAATTATACTCACTGCTATATCTGCAGTGCAGAAAGCTGAGAGCAAAAGTGATGAGATATCAAGGCTGCCTCTATGTTCTGAATGCTTCCTTTAAAAAACTGGCACCTAATGTAGGCTATATGCAGACTGTCCAGATCAATTGTGGCAGACCTCAAAATAACAATCATAGATACTGTTTGTTGAGAGCATTTTGGGTCACCTTTTCAAAGTGATTTATTTTTGTCTACTGCTAAGTAACCGTCTTAGAAGCTGAACTCACAGGGTATGGCACGGTCAGTCTCAACCTCAGGAAATCCTTCAGACCAGGCATGTCTAAGCCATCAGGCCCCAGCATAGACAGAAAAACACATCTCCCCACAGCATTTGGCTGTGATCCAGAATATCTGGTGACAGAACAAAGGTGAGAAGACTGAGAGGAATTTATCAGAGCAAGCAAATAACAGTCTGAAATTTGGGCTTCTCTGTGAGGCTACCTCTGTCCATTTATATCTCTGAACATAGTATGTAGAGGAGTTGATATAGTAGTTGAATGGTGGCCCCCCAGAAATATATACACATGCCCCAGAACCTGTGACTGTGACTTTATTTGGAAAAAAGCATTTTTGCAGATGTAATTAAGTGAAGGACTTCAGGATGAGATCATCCTGGATTATTCAGTTGGACCTTAAATCCAAGGACAAGTGTTCTTAAAGAGACACACAGAAGGGAAACGGAGAAGGCCATGTGAAGGTAGAGATTGGAGTCATGCAGTCACAAGCCAAGGAACATCTGGAGCCACCAGAAGATGGAAAAGGCAAGGAAAGTATCTTCCCTAGATGCTTCTTAGGAAATGTGGTTCTGCTGACACCCTGAAGAGAGACTTCTGGTCCCTAGAACTTCAAGAAAATAAACTTATGTTGTTTTAAGCCACTCGGTTTGTGGTAATTCATTACAGTAGTCCTAGGAAACTAATACACTTGATGACTCTTTAGCTTGACCTTTGATGCCTACCACCAAGACAAGAAGCAGCCCAGGTAGCAGCACCACTGCCAATTCTAAATGCCTCTCCAATTGTCATGGCCTCCGTTTCAGATGCACTGCCTGCCATATTTAAATTAAGGGATCTCTTGCACCTCCATCCACCCAACAACCACCCAGGTTGAAGCAAACTACATAATCATTAAAGAGATTCCCCATCTTCATGGACTATTCAGCCAGTCAGCCTCCAACCTTCCATTCCAATGGATGCCCACACTTTGCAAGAAGCCATTCAAAACTGCCCATGCAATTACCAGATGCCCTTCTGGTACACCCCTCCAGACACCTTGGTTCTTTTACCTGCTCAGACTACATAGAAATGGCTACAGTGAATCAGTAAATTGCTGTTTTCCTCTTACAGAATAGCCATTTCTCTGAAAGGTATCATTTCCTCCTCTACCCTTTTTCAGGTCTCTGCTGCTCTTGACACCTTTCAAAGCCAAGCACAATGCCTGGCACATAGGAAGCACCCAATAAATGCTTGCCAAGTGAATAACTAGAGGCCAGGCAGCTTAGGAACACCCAGGAGGGTAACCTAGAACCCACAAAAACATCAGAGAATGCTCTAAACACTTTCCCACAGGCACTGCTACCACTGGCTTCCTAATACATTTCACCACTCTTCTTAGCTTGACCCTATTTTTGATGCCTGTCACCTAGTGATGGTGGAAACCTATTCTGGGCTCCCCACAGTGGACACATTGAGCTTGCTTCAGGCAAACTCTTCCTGCCAAAGGAAGAGGAGTTTACCAGGTGAACAAGCAAAACTTCAAGCACAACCTCTACTTTTTGGCTAGCATTCTGCCCCTGCCTCTTTTCTGTTTTGGCCTCCCTGGTTCCATGCATTGGGTTCAGACACCTGGAAGTCTTGTCTCTTAGTGTTTGAATCAGCTTCTCTACTTAATGTTAGGCTCACAAGTTCTCATGCTGTGTTTTGGGAGTGTGATAGTAAGAAATATGTACTTGGTCTTTGTCTTTGGTTTCTCACACAGAGCTTTAAAATAATAATAATAATAATTTTTAAGAGACATGGTCTCACCAGTGGCATGATCATAGTTCACTGCAGCCTTAAACTCCTGGGCCCAAGTGATCCTCCTGCCTCAGTATCCTGAGTAGCTAAAATGACAGGTGCTTGCCACCATGCTGACTCCTGACAGAGTTCTAAAACCCTTGGAATTCCCTGAGTGACAGGGGTAATAGGAGCATCTTTTGTTACTCATAGTAAGCACCTTTCAACCATATCTGAGTTTATGCTAACAACGTAACTCTTGGAGCATAAGGAGTCCTTTTTCTAGAAACCAATGAAATGATTAGAGAGTTGGAACTTTCTGCTCCACCCCTCAACATCCTGGGAGGAGAGTGGGGCTGGAGATTGAGTTAATCAGCAATGGCCAATTGTTTAATCAATCATGCCTATGTAATGAAACCTTCATAAAACACCTAAATTATGGGTCCCAGAATACCTCTGGATTGGTAAACACAGCCAGGGACTGAGAGTGTGGTGCACCTAGAGAGGGCATGGAAGCTCCATGTACCCCTATACCTTACACTATGCATCTTTTCCATTTGGCTGTTTCTGAGTCATATCCTTTAAAACAAATTGGTAATATTAGGTAAAGTGACTTTCTGTGTTCTGTGAGCTATTCTAGCAAATTATCAAACATGAAGAGGGAGTCCTGTGAACCCGAGTTTGCAACCAATCAGTCAGAAGTATGGGAGGCCTGGGACTTGGGATTCGTTTCTGAAATGAGGGCAGTCTTGTGGGACTGAGCCGTTAACCTTTGGGGTTCATGCTTACTCTAGGTAAATGGTTAGAATGGAACTGAATGCTTGGACACCCAACTGGAGTCCAGAGAGTTGAGGGAGTGAGGATCTGGGCTATGGCATCATACAGATCAAATATGGAAACCTCAGCTACATTACTTTTAAACTATATGACCTTGAGCAAGTCCCCTCAGATTCTGTTTCTTCACTTGCCAAGCGGAAAAAAGATAAGAACTAGGCAGGCTTGTTGGGAGATTTAGGAATAATGTGAAGATTTGCAAACTGGCAGGATAGTTGGAACACAATAAAATTTCAAAATGTATCAGCTTTTGTTATCATTGGACTATATTCATATTTGGCCTCCAAATTCATAGCATTTAATCCAGAAAGGAGTTCTTGCTGAACCCTAGGCAGCCTTGCTCACTCTTTCAGACCTGAAGAGGTGAACAGAACACTCCCAATATTCCGAGAGATTTCTACAATTCTATCTCACTGAACTGGGGATGGAAATAACAAAAACCATTAGAAAATAATAGTTTGAAAAAATTAACTTTCTTAGTGTTTAATTTTATCTCTTGCAAATGTAACTTTCTAGTTTTACACAATATAAGCAGATGTAACTGAAAATTTCTTACGAGAATACCTCAGTCACACAATGTTGTGATGCATTACATATCACTGAATTGTACACTTTAAAATGGTGAATTTTACCTCAATTTAAAAAATTGTTTAAATGCGGTTGATACAAGAGTTAGGAAGAAATTACTTAGGCACATAGTGAGAGTACGGAAGTCCTTGGTAACATTTTCCTTTTAATGAAAGGCAACCCCAAATTATTTTCCTTTCTAACAAAGAGCAGCCTGTAAAATCAAGCTGCAGATGATGCTGCCAGTTTATACCAATCATGTTCAAGATGGTGGCTCCATCTTCCCTTCTCTTTGTCAGCCAGGTGTACAGTAAGGAGCAGACAAGATGGTGCCACCAATGGGAAAGTTCATTTGCATAATAAGATTAGGGTGGGGCAGCCAGCTCCCCCATGTCATACCTGTTTGAGCCAATCTGTGAGCCCTGTGTAAATTAAACACCGCCTCCTCAAGCCTGTCTATAAAATCCAGCATATCTGCCACAGGCAAATCTTTTCCTCAGAAGTCCCCAATCTCTCACTAGAGAGAGAGCTATTTTCCTTTCTCTTTATTTCTTTTTCTTTTGCCTATTAAACCTCCACTCCTAAACTCCTCATGTGTGTCCATGTACTAAATTTTCTTGGCGTGAGATAAAGAACCCCGGGTATTTACCTCACACAATGTAGCTGCTGCACAGTGACTGATGTTGCCTCCAGAAATAGAATGTTGTCCTGGGATTCATTTTAAGAAGTTTCTTGAGATTCTGATTCTCTAGGTCAAGGTAGAGCATGGTCATCCCGGCCTTGTAAAAACTCCCTTAGAGATTCACATGAGCCAGAGTTGAGAACCAATGACTCATGATTTAAAATATCACAAAATTGGGCAAAGGATATGAATAGAGTAGAAACTGCATACACAGACACACAAAGACATGTTATCTGGCTAAGATGGTTGGATTCTGGGGGCATTCTTTTCTCTATCATTTCTATTATTTGAGTTATGATAAAGTTTGTGTTTTCTTGTTGTTGTTGTTGTTGTTTTGGGTTTTTCTTTTTTTTTTTTTTTTTGAGACAAGGTCTCACTCTCATTTCCCAGGCTGCAGTGCAGTGGTGTGATCCTGGCTCACAGCAGCCTCAACCTCCTTGGCTCAGGTAATTCTCTCACCTCAGCCTCCGGAATAGCTGAGACTACAGCCACACACCACCATGCCTGGCTTTTTTTTTTTTTCTAATTTTTATAGAGATGGGGTTTTACCATGTGGCCTAGGCTGGGCTTATGAATCCAGGGCAGATTACTCATGGGCTCAAGCAATCCACTCACCTGAGCCTCCCAAAGTGCTGGGATTATAGGTGTGAGCCACCATGCCCAGTCTACGATAAGGTTTGACCAATGCATTTAACTATGTAAATTACACTTTTCTGTAAACCATGGTCACTATAGCACCACCTGGATTCTCCTCATCCAGGAGACAATGAGACAAGCTGGGGCAACATAGCAAGACCCCATCTCTACGTTGAACGTCTTCCATTCAAAAGGGTCCCAACACCAAAAGCAATTTCAACAAAAGCAAGATTTGATAAATGGGACCTAGTTAAACTAAGGAGCTTCTGCACAGCAAAAGAAACTATCAACAGAGTAAACAGAGAACCGACAGAATGGGAGAAAATATCTGCAAACTATGCATCCAACAAAGGTCTAATATCCAGAATTTATGATGAGCTCAAACAAATCAATAGGCAAATAACATGAATACTTTTCAACAGAAGACATTCAAGTGGATAATGAGCATATGAAAAAATGTTCAACATTACTAATCATTAGAGAAATGCAAATCAAACTACAATAAGATACAATCTCACACCCATCACAATGGTTATTATTATTATTATTTTATTATCATTATTTTTAGACAGAGTCTCTGTCACCCAGGCCGGAGTGCAGTGGTGCTATCTCGGCTCACTGCAACCTCCACCTCCCAGGTTCAAGCAATTCTCATCCCTCAGCCTCCTAAGTTGCTGGGACTACAGGTGTGTTCCACCATACCTGGCTAATTTTTGTATTTTTAGTAGAGATGGGGTTTTGCCACATTGGCAGGCTGGTCTCCAACTACTGACCTCAAGTGATCTGCCCACCTTGACCTCCCAAAGTGCTGAGATAACAGGCATGAGCCGCCATGCCCAGCAGCAACGGCTATTACTAAAAAGCCAAAAAACTACAGATGCTTGTGCAGCTACACAGAAAAGGGAATGCTTATACATTGTTGGTGGGAAGTTAAATTAGTTCAGCCACTGTGGAAAGCAGTTTGGTGATTTCTCAAAGAACTTAAATCAGAATTACCATTTGACCCAGCAATCTCCTTATTGGGTATATACCCAAAGGAATATAGATCATTCTACCATAAAAACATATGCACACCTATGTTCATTGCAGCACTATTCACAATAGCAAAAGCATGGAATCAACCTGAATGTCCATCAATGATGGGCTGTATAAAGCTAATGTGGTACATATATACCATGGAATACTATGCAACCATAAAAATAATGAAGTATGTTCTTTGTAGCAACATGGATCAACATGGATGCAGCTGGAGGCCATTATCCTAAGCAAACTAACACAGACGGGGACAGAAAACCAATTACCCCATGTTCTCACTTATAAGTGGAAGTTAAACACTGAGTACATATGAATACAAAGAGAGTAAAAACAGACACCGGGAACTACTTGAGGGTGGAGGGTGAGAGGAGGGTGAAAATTGAAAAACTACCTATCAGTTACTATGCTCATTACCTGGGTGATGAAATAATTTGTACACCAACCACCCCTCCATTGCAACACATAATTTACCTATTTAACAAACGTGCATGTGTACCCCTCAACCTAAAATAAAGGTTTAAAAAATAAAATAAAGTTGGATTCCTAGGTATTTTATTCTCTTTGAAGCAATTGTGAATAGGAGTTCACTCATGATTTGGCTCTCTGTTTGTCTGTTATTGGTGTATAAGAATGCTTGTGATTTTTGTACATTGATTTTATATCCTGAGACTTTGCTGAAGTTGCTTATCAGCTTAAGGAGATTTTGGGCTGAGACAATGGGGTTTTCTAGATATACAATCATGTCATCTGCAAACAGGGACAATTTGACTTCCTCTTTTCCTAATCGAATACCCTTTATTTCTTTCTCCTGCCTAATTGCCCTGGCCAGAACTTCCAACACTATGTTGAATAGGAGTTGTGAGAGAGGGCATCCCTGTCTTCTGCCAGTTTTCAAAGGGAATGCTTCCAGTTTTTGCTCATTCAGTATGATATTGGCTGTGGGTTTGTCATAGATAGCTCTTATTATTTTGAGATACGTCCCATCAATACCTAATTTATTGAGAGTTTTTAGCATGAAAGGTTGTTGAATTTTGTCAAAGGCCTTTTCTGCATCTATTGAGATAATCATGTGGTTTTTGTCTTTGGTTCTGTTCATATGCTGGATCATATTTATTGATTTGCATATATTCAACCAGCCTTGCATCCCAGGGATGAAGCCCACTTGATCATGGTGGATAAGCTTTTTGATGTGCTGCTGGATTCGGTTTGCCAGTATTTTATTAAGGATTTTTGCATCAATGCTCATCAAAGATATTGGTCTAAAATTCTCTTTTTTGGTTGTGTCTCTGCCCGGCTTTGGTATCAGGATGATGCTGGCCTCATAAAATGAGTTAGGGAGGATTCCCTCTTTTTCTATTGATTGGAATAGTTTCAGAAGGAATGGTACCAGCTCCTCCTTGTACCTCTGGTAGAATTCGGCTGTGAATCCATCTGGTCCTGGACTCTTTTTGGTTGGTAAGCTATTGATTATTGCCACAATTTCAGATCCTGTTATTGGTCTATTCAGAGAGTCAACTTCTTCCTGGTTTAGTCTTGGGAGGGTGTATGTGTTGAGGAATTTATCCATTTCTTCTAGATTTTGTAGTTTATTTGCGTAGAGGTGTTTGTGGTATTCTCTGATGGTAGTTTGTATTTCTGTGGGATCGGTGGTGATATCCCCTTTATCATTTTTTATTGCATCTATTTGATTCTTCTCTCTTTTCTTCTTTATGAGTCTTGCTAGTGGTCTATCAATTTTGTTGATCCTTTCAAAAAACCAGCTCCTGGATTCATTAATTTTTTGAAGGGTTTTTTGTGTCTCCATTTCCTTCAGTTCTGCACTGATTTTAGTTATTTCTTGCCTTCTGCTAGCTTTTGAATGTGTTTGCTCTTGCTTTTCTAGTTCTTTTAATTGTGATGTTAGGGTGTCAATTTTGGATCTTTCCTGCTTTCTCCTGTGGGCATTTAGTGCTATACATTTCCCTCTATACACTGCTTTGAATGTGTCCCACAGATTCTGGTATGTTGTGTCTTTGATCTCGTTGGTTTCAAAGAACATCTTTATTTCTGCCTTCATTTCGTTATGTACCCAGTAGTCATTCAGAAGCAGGTTGTTCAGTTTCTATGTAGTTGAGCAGTTTTGAGTGAGTTTCTTAATCCTGAGTTCTAGTTTGATTGCACTGTGGTCTGAGAGACAGTTTGTTATAATTTCTGATCTTTTACATTTGCTGAGGAGTACTTTCCTTCCAACTATGTGGTCAATTTTGGAATAGGTGTGCTGTGGTGCTGAAAAAAATGTATATTCTGTTGATTTGGGGTGGAGAGTTCCGTAGATGTCTACTAGGTCCACTTGGTGCAGAGCTGAGTTCAATTCCTGGGTATCCTTGTTAACATTCTGTCTCATTGATCTGTCTAATGTTGACAGCAGGGTGTTAAAGTCTCCCATTATTATTGTGTGGGTGTCTAAGTCTCTTTGTAGGTCACTCAGGACTTGCTTTATGAATCTGGGTGCTCCTGTATTGGGTGCATATATATTTAGGATAGTTAGCTCTTCTTGTTGAATTGATCCCTTTAGCATTATGTAATGGCCTTCTTTGTCTCTTTTGATCTTTGCTAGTTTAAAGTCTGTTTTATCAGAGACTAGGATTGCAACCCCTGCCTTTTTTTGTTTTCCATTTGCTTGGTAGATCTTCCTTCATCCTTTTATTTTGAGCCTATGTGTGTCTCTGCACATGAGATGGGTTTCCTGAATACAGCACACTGATGGGTCTTGACTCTATAACCAATTTGCCAGTCTGTGTCTTTTAATTGGAGCATTTAGTGCATTTACATTTAAAGTTAATATTGTTATGTGTGAATTTGATCGTGTCATTATGATGTTAGCTGGTTATTTTGCTCGTTAGTTGATGCAGTTTCTTCCTAGCCTCGATGGTCTTTACAATTTGGCATGATTTTGCAGTGGCTGGTACCAGTTATCCCTTTCCATGTTTAGTGCTTCCTTCAGGAGCTTTTTTAGGGCAGGCCTGGTGGTGACAAAATCTCTCAGCATTTGCTTGTCTGTAAAGTATTTTATTTCTCCTTCACTTATGAAGCTTAGTTTGGCTGGATATGAAATTCTGGGTTGAAAATTCTTTTCTTTAAGAATGTTGAATATTGGCCCCCACTCTCTTCTGGCTTGTAGAGTTTCTGCTGAGAGATCAGCTGTTAGTCTGATGGGCTTCCCTTTGTGGGTAACCCGACCTTTCTCTCTGGCTGCCCTTAACATTTTTTCCTTCATTTCAACTTTGGTGAATCTGACAACTATGTGTCTTGGAGTTGCTCTTCTCGAGGAGTATCTGTGTGGCGTTCTCTGTATTTCCTGAATCTGAATGTTGGCCTGCCTTGCTAGATTGGGGAAGTTCTCCTAGATGGTCCTCTTCGAGGAGAACTACAAACAACTGCTCAATGAAATAAAAGAGGATACAAACAAATGGAAGTACATTCCATGCTCATGGGTAGGAAGAATCAATATCATGAAAATGGCCATACTGCCCAAGGTAATTTATAGATTCAGTGCCATCCACATCAAGCTACCAATGACTTTCTTCACAGAATTGGAAAAAACTACTTTAAAGTTCATATGGAACCAAAAAAGAGCCCGCATCACCAAGTCAATCCTAAGCCAAAAGAACAAAGCTGGAGGCATCACACTACCTGACTTCAAACTGTACTACGATGCTACAGTAACCAAAACAGCATGGTACTGGTTCCAAAACAGAGATATAGATCAATGGAACAGAACAGAGCCCTCAGAAATAACGCCGCTTATCTACAACTATCTGATCTTTGACAAACCTGAGAAAAACAAGCAATGGGGAAAGGATTCCCTATTTAATAAATGGTGCTGGGAAAACTGGCTAGCCATATGTAGAAAGCTAAGACTGGATCCCTTCCTTACACCTTATACAAAAATTAATTCAAGATGGATTAAAGACTTAAACGTTAGACCTAAAACCATAAAAACCCTAGAAGAAAACCTAGGCAATACCATTCAGGACATAGGCATGGGCAAGGACTTCATGTCTAAAACACCAAAAGCAATGGCAACAAAAGCCAAAATTGACAAATGGGATCTAATTAAACTAAAGAGCTTCTGCACAGCAAAGGAAACTACCATCAGAGTGAACAGGCAACCTACAAAATGGGAGAAAATTTTCACAATCTACTCATCTGACAAAGGGCTAATATCCAGAATTTACAATGAACTCAAACAAGTTTACAAGAAAAAAACAAACAACCCCATCAAAAAGTGGGTGAAGGACATGAACAGCCACTTCTCAAAAGAAGACATTTATGCAGCCAAAAAACACATGAAAAAATGCTCACCATCACTGGCCATCAGAGAAATGCAAATCAAAACCACAATGAGATACCATCTCACACCAGTTAGAATGGCAATCATTAAAGAGTCAGGAAACAACAGGTGCTGGATAGGATGTGGAGAAATAAGAACACTTTTACACTGTTGGTGGGACTGTAAACTAGTTCAACCCTTGTGGAAGTCAGTGTGGCGATTCCTCAGGGATCTAGAACTAGAAATACCATTTGACCCAGCCATCCCATTACTGGGTATATACCCAAAGGACTATAAATTATGCTGCTATAAAGACACATGCACACGTATGTTTATTGTGGCTCTATTCACAATAGCAAAGACTTCAAACCAACCCAAATGTCCAACGATGATAGACTGGATTAAGAAAATGTGGCACATATACACCATGGAATACTATGCAGCCATAAAAAATGATGAGTTCATGTCCTTTGTAGGGACATGGATGAAATTGGAAATCATCATTCTCTGTAAACTATCGCAAGGACAAAAAACTAAACACCGCATATTCTCACTCATAAGTGGGAATTGAACAATGAGAACACATGGACACAGGAAGGGGAACATCACACTCTGGGGACTGTTGTGTGGTGGGGGAAGAGGGGAGGGATAGCATTAGGTGATATACCTAATGCTAAATGATGAGTTAATGTGTGCAGCACACCAGCATGGCACATGTATACATATGTAACTAACCTGCACATTGTCCACATGTACCCTAAAACTTAAAGTATGATAATAATAAAATAAAGTAAAATAAAATAAAAGGAAGCCATAGAGACTGGAACGAAGTGGCAGTTTTTCAGGTGCTGAAAGAAATGAACAGTTAACTCAAAATTTAATATCCAGTAAAAGTGATCCTTCAGAACAAGGAAAAAAATCAAGACATTCTCAGACGGAAAACTAAGAAAATGTGTCCCCAGCAGACCCACAATAAAATAATGACTAAAGGAAGTTCTAAACAGAAAGAAAAGGATAAAAGAAGGAAGCCTGGAAAATTAGAAGGAAGGAAAAACACTATAAGCAAAATCATGGGCACAAGCAGTAAGCTTCTCTTCTCAGTTTTTAAAATTGTCTGATAGTTGAAATAAAAATTAAAACACTGAAAAAAAAAAACCCTTGGGTGGTAGAGAGAGTTTCATGACAGGGACCAGCAAAAAGTTCATATTGGGACTCTATTACACCCCCAGGTGAAGCAAATGTTGTCACCATCCCATGTGTCCAAAGCCTACTGTTAAGGGCCTGAGTCTAACAAGTGAATACAGTGCAAAGTTGGAATTGTGATCTTCATATGTGGATCTGGCCACAGGTGGGATGGTGGTTCATTTCTGGATCTAGCTCATAGGCATAATAATAAGCCTCATCCCTGAACCCAGCCTACAAAAGACATGTTGACTGTTATAACTGGGTTTAAGGCAATATGCAAGATTATGAATCCAAAGAAGCATGTAGGCTTCAGAGTGGCTTGCAACTCTCATATATGCAGTATAAATCCTTCAAATGTTGTAGTGTCATACAATGGCCCAGGAAACATGTTAGATTGTGACTCTCATATACACATCCAGCTCACAGTTAATGGTGTCACACTCAAAGACAAGGAAATTTGGCCTATTACTAGGCTTAGCACCCAGGTGTTGAGACTTTTTGGGTTAAATTCCTTACCATGGGTACATTGTGACATATCGCTGGGTTAGAATCAAAATAATGTAACTATTCTGCCTGGACGCTGACAACAGGGAATATTATCACGTATCTGTGGGCCTATAAGCTAGTTGATTTGTCTCTTCTGCCTCTGCCCTGTCCCCAGAGGACATTGTGAAATATCATTTGACTTAACATCTAGGTCATGTGATTCTCCTCTCCTGCCTGGGTCCTGCTCACCAAAGAAATTGTGACATATCGCTAATTGCAAAATCTAGGTGATGTGACTTTCATCCATATTCTAGGTTCTTCCAGGAGAGGGGATTATTACATATTGCAGAGC
Source organism: Homo sapiens (assembly GCF_000001405.40). Classification (NCBI taxonomy): domain Eukaryota; kingdom Metazoa; phylum Chordata; class Mammalia; order Primates; family Hominidae; genus Homo; species Homo sapiens. The sequence continues at coordinate 46,635,233 of NC_000008.11, forward strand.
CTAGCACTCAGGTAGAGTGGCTCTCCTCTTTTTTTTTCTTCCCTGTCTATGGTCGGCTTAGTGACATACTATTTGAGGCTGTACCCAGGTGATGTGACTCTTCTGACTAGGCCCAGCCTGCATATGAGATTATGCTGTATCACTGGCTAAGCACCCAGATGATGTGACTCTCCTGCCTTGTCCCTGCTCACAGGTGAAATTGTGACATATATGTGGGTTAATCACACATGTGCAATAATAAGTCTCATACCTGGATCCAGTCAGTAGCGGTATTTTGACTCTCATAGCCAGTCTCATGGCTATGGGTAAAGTCCTGGATTTTTCACTTGCATAAAGTTCACGAAGAATTATAGCACTCAGGTATATCATATAAAGCCGTAATGTTACAAAGAGTGTCATAACAGAGACCAGCAACCAGGTGAGAATGTGAGTCTTATGTGCACACCTAGCTGACACGATTGTCATTCTTGCACATGAACAGGGCCTTGGAATGAGGTACTGAATCTCACACATATAAAGCAATTGAAGGTTGAAATAACTACTTTCATACAGGGATCTTGTTCACAGGTGGCTTGGTAACATTTGAACCATGATTCAGCACACCTGTGGTGCTGTGACTCCCCTACTGGAACACAATCTTCAAGTGGGATTGGGGCTGTTATACATGGATCTTGTGCATTGTTGAGACTGTGACTCCTCTACTTAGACCCAACTCATAGAAAGAGTTGACTCACATGCACGAAACCAGGGCTTGTGTGGGATGCGAAACTTATATCCAGACCTTTCTGGGAGTGTGATTGGGACAGGTAACTTTCCCCAGCACATTAATAATTTCACTCTCTTTTCTAGGCCCAGACCACAGAGAAAATTGTGCCATACATAGAACAAGCACCTAAGCAATATATAATGGCTTCCTTGGCTCTGCCTATAAAGGGCACTTTTATATATACTGGGACCTCACCCAGGTGATGTGAATTATCTGCGAAAAGCCTACCTACAAAGAGAACTGTGTCTTATATCTAGGTCCATCACATAAGTGATGTAACTCCCTTCTACTGCATTGGCGAGGCATTTACAATGCATTGTGACACATAACTGGGTACTTCACCCAGGCGATGTGATTCTCCTTTTGGGTTCTGCCAACAGGAAGCATTGTAACATATCACTTGGCTCAGCACCTGGGTGATGTTTTTTCACTTTTGCCTGCGTCCTGGCCACAGGGAAATTGTGACATATTGCTGGGCCCAGCAACAACATGAGGTCACTCTCCAGCTTTGGTATTGCCCATTAGTACCATTGTGACATATATCTAGGGCAATTGCATAGGTGAAGTGAGTCTCTTGCCAAAGTCCTGCCCATAAAGGAGGTTTTGATATGTCACTGAAATCAGGATCCAGATTATGTGACTCTTCTGCCAGTGTCCTGTCCACAAGGTGGATTGTGACATCTCACTGGACCTGAACCCACATAGGTGATGTGACTTTCTTGCCTTCTCTCTGGCCACAGGTGATATTCTGTCATATACCTGAGACCATAACAAAAGCCTAATAACAACTCATATGCCTGAAGCCAGGACACGTGCAGGATGGTGACTCTTATTCTTAAACCTTTTCACAAGTGTAATTGTGACATATATATTTGCCCAGCTCCTGAGTGATTTAATAATTATGCCTAGGTATAGCCCACAAATGAGATTTTGACAAGTACCTGGGCCAAGCACCTTGGTGATTTGATGGTGCTATCTTAACAGTGTCCTCTGGGGGGATTGTAACATATTGCCGGACCCATCATCTAGGTTACATGACACTCCTCTCCTGCCTGTACCCTGCTTCCTTTGGCAATTGTAGCCTTTCTAAACACTGCATCCAAATGATATGACTCTCTTGCCTGGGCCCTGTCAACAGGCAGCATTGTGAAATATTTTTTGGCCCGTCATTAGGTAATATGACTCTCCTCTCCTGCCTAGACACTGCCCACAAAGAACATTGTGCCACAGAGCTGGACCTAGCACACAAGTTATGTGATGTTTCTGACAGGACCCAGCCTACAAAGAGAATATTGGAATATTTCTGGTCCAGCATTTAGGTGATGTGGCTGTTCTGCCTGCTTCATAACCACAGAGGGAATTGTAATATATACCTAGGCACAGCTCACAGGAATGATAATGGCTTTCATATGTGGACTCAGCCAATAGAGGATATTGTGACTCTTATAACTAGGTTTAGGGACATGTGTGATGTCCTGGATCACCTTCTTGTGCAAATGCCACAAAAGAATACAACACTCACACATATTTTACAAAGTCTTTGGGTTATACAGAGTTAAATCAGTGCTCAGCATACAGGTGAAATTGTGAGTCTTGTACGCACTCCCAGCTGACAGTAAGGACTGTCATCATCTCACATGGATGAAGCCAACTGTCACACATGAAAACAGGACATATGCGGTATTGTAAATCTCATCTTTGGAATTTTCTGGCAGTGTGATTGTGATATAAATTTTTGCCAAGCACCTGTGTAATTTGACTCTCCAGACTTATTCCAGCCCATACATGGGATTGTGATACCTACCTAGCCCAAGCTCGAGGTGATGTGACTCTCCTGCCTGGGCCCTTCACTCAGTAAGGATTGTGACATATCACTGGATCTAGCGCCCAGGTGATGTTACATTTTTACGGGCGCCATTCCCACCAAAATTATTATGACATATTTCTGTGTTCATCTCATAGGTGATGTAACTCTCCTCTCTGAAATGGGCTGTGCATAAGGGAATGATAGTGAAATATTGCAAGGCCAGGCACACAGGTGAGGGTACCCTTTTTCCAGAGCCGTGCCCAAAGGAGAGCATTGTGATGTATCTCTGGGCCTATCATCTAAGTTATGTGGCTCTCCTGCTTGGGCCCAGCAAACCGAGAGAGTGATATATTTCTAGGTCAGGCACACAAGTGATGGTACTCATTGTCAGGGCTATGCTTCATAGAGGACATTGTGACATATTTCTGGGCCTATCACCTAGGTGAAGTGACTCCCTCCTTGGGCCCTCCCACATGGTGAATTGTGGCATAAGCAGATAACCTGCACCTAGGTGATGTAACACTCTTACCTGGGTGTTGTCCTAAGAGATCCTTGTGACATATCTCAGGACCCAGCTCCCGAGTGATGTGGCTCTTCTGCCTGGTTTCTGCCCAACATGTTTCATTGCGACATATTCCTAGGGAAGCACCTAGGTGATATGACTCTCTTCATCTGCCAGAGCCCTTCCTGGTGGGGACATTGGGGCATATCTCTGAGCCCATGACCTAAGTGATGTGACTCTGTTTTTCTGCCTGGGCCTTCACAATAGGAGGATTTTGACACATAGCTGAGCCCAGCACTCAGGATATGTGGCTCTCCTCTTTTTCCCAAACCATGCCCACAAAAAAGGAATTTTGACCTATTGCAGGGCCCATCACCCAGATGATTTTACTCTTCTGCCTGAATTCTTCATAAAGAGAAAATTATGGCATATTTCATATTGCTGGGCCCAGCACCCTTATGATGTGACTTTCCTATGCTGAAGCCCTTGAAGGTATTTTTATATTTCTTGGGCCCATTGGGTAGGTGTTTTGGGGCTCCCATAACTTGTCTGGGTTTTTTCCTCATGTGGAATGGTGTCATATTGTTGGGTCCAGCACCCAGTTAATGTGGCCCAATTTCCCAGCCCTGCCTAGAGTAGGCATTGTGACATATTGCTTGTCACAGCACCTAAGTGATGTTATCCTCCTGCCTAGTTTTTTGCCAACAAATGAGATTATGACATATACCTTGTTTCAGTTCACAGGCATGATGATCAAACTTATATTGGGATTAAGCCAACAGGAGATATTTTCCCTCAATTGCTAGACTTAGGACAATAGGTGAGGTCCTGGGTTGCATATTTATACCAAGCTCACAGAAGCTTACACCACTAACTTATATTGTATAAACTCTTTTGTGGTAGAGAGTTTCATAACAGGAAACAGTAAAAAGTTCAGATTGGGATTCTTGATTACACCCCCAGGTGAAATTAAAAGTTGTCACCATCCTACATTTACAAAGCCTGCTGTTGAGGTCCTGAGTCTAACAAAGTAATAAAGCAAAAAGTTGGAATTTTGACTTTTATATGTGGATCTGGCCACAGGTGGGATGGTGACTCATTTCTGGACCCAGCCCACAGGCTTAGTAATGGGTCTTCTCCCTTAACCCTGCCTATAGGAGAGACGTTGACTATCAAACCTGGATTTAGGGAAATATGTAAATTGTGAGTCCATAAGCCTCAGAGAGGTTTGCAACTCTCAAGCAGGTTTTATAAAGCCCTTGGATATTGTAGACAGTGTCATACATTGGCCCAGCACATATGTGTGATTGTGACTCTAATATACACACTCAACTAAAAGTTAAAGGTGTCACCCTCAAAGATCAGGAGATTGTGTCATATCACTGGGCCCTAGTACCCAGGTGTTGAGACTTTTTGGCTCAAATTCCTTTCCATGGGTGCATTGTTACATATCGCTGGGTCAGAATCATAATACTGTAACTCTTCTGCCTGGGCCCTGTCAACAGGGGATATTATCACATGTCTCTGATCCTATTAGCTAAGTGATGTGTCTCTCTTCCCAGTGCCCTCCTACAGGGGACACTATGACATATCACTAGATACAGTATCTAGGTAACGAGACTCTCCTCTCCTGCCTTGATCCTGCCCACTGAAGAATTTGTGACATACCACTGAGTGCAAAACTTAGGTGATGTGACCCTCCTCTTTGTGCTGGACTCTGCCAAGAGAGGGAATTTTTACATATTGCTGAGCCCAGCACCTGCGGGGTGTGACTATCCACTATTTTTTCAACCCTGTTTTCATTGGGCATGATGACATATTATTTGAGACTGTACCCAGGTGATACGACTCTTCTGCCTGGGTCCTGTCTACAGAGGAGATTATAATATATTCCTGGCTCAGCACCCAGATGATGTGACTCTTCTGTCTTTTCTCTATGCAAAAGTGAAATTGTGACATACACCTGGATTCAGCTCATATGCACAATAATAACTCTCATACATAGACTCAGCCAGGGAGATATTTCAACTCACAGGCAGTCCTATGACCATGGGTAAAGTCCTAGATATCCCACCTGTAAGAATTCACAGAAAAGTATGCTACTCAGGCATATCATATAAAGCCTGAGTGGTATGAAGAGTGTCATAAAATGCACCAGAAACCAGGTACTGTTGTGACTCTTGGATGCACACCCAGCTTATACGATTGTCATTCTCACACATGAACAGAGCCTATGAATGAGGTGCTAAATCTCATGCATATAAGCAGTTCACACTTGAAATTGTTACTCTCATACATAAATCTGATCCACAGGTGGTTTGGTGATGTTTGAGCCATGATTCAGCCAACCTGTTGGGCTTTGACTCTCCTACTGGAACACAATCTTCAAGTGGGATTGGGGCTCTTATACATGAATTTTTCCCATTGTTGAGATTGTGACTCCTGTGTTTTGACCCAACTCATAGGAGGTGTTGACTCTCATACCTGAAGCCAGGTCTTGTGTGGGACTGTGAAACTTATTTCTGAACATTTTTGAGTGTGTGATTGAGAAGTATGACTTTGCCGAGCATCTGAGTGTTTTGACTCTCCTTTCTAGGCTCAGAGTTGAAATTGTGACATATGTGCACCAAGCACCTAAGTGATGTGTAACACCTTCTTTGGCAATGCGACAAAGTGCACTTTTACATATCACTGGGACCAGCACCCAGCTAATGTGAAATCTTGACCTGAACCCTGCCTACAAACAGCATTGTGTCTTATCTAGGTCCATCACATAAGTGATGTGACTTCCTTCTACTGCCTTGGCCCTGCACTTATGGTGCACTGTGACACGTAACTTGGTACTGCACCCAGGAGATGTGATTCTTTTTTGTGGGGGAGTGATTCTGCCAATAGGAAGCTTTGTAACATATCACTTGTCTCAGCAACTAGGTGATGTTTCTTCTCTCTTGCCTGGGCCCTAACCATGAGAGAGATTGTGACATATTGTTGAACCCAGCACCAAGGTGAGGTCACTCTCTTACCTTGGTCCTGCATGCAGGGGCCATTGTGACATATAGCCATGCCAATTGCCTAGGTGAAGTTTGTCTCCTCTCTTGCCTAAGCCCTTTCTACAGCGGGGATTTAGATGTATCACCGAAACAAGCCTCCAGGTGATGTGACTCTTCTTCCAGAGTCCTGCCCACAAGGAGGATTGTGACATTTCACTGGACCAGCACCCACTCAGGTGATGTGACTTTCCTTTCTTCTCTCTGCCCACAGGTGATATTTTGCCATGTACCTGAGACCATATCAAAGACCTAATAACAACTCTTGTACCTGGAGCCAGGACATGTGCAGGATGGTGACTCTCATCCCTGAACCTTTCCATAGGTGTTATTGTGACATATACCTTTGCCCAACTCCTGAGTGATTTAATAATCCTGCCTAGTTACAGCATATAGATGACATTTTGACATATACCTGGGCCAAGAACCTTGCTGATTTGACCCTCCTCTCTTAGCAGCCTCCTCAGAAGGGATCATAACATTTCTCTGGACCCATTGTCTAGGTAATGTGACTCTCCTCTCCTGCCTGTACCCTGCTTCCAGTGAAGAGTGTAGCATTTCTAAGCACTGCATTCAAATCACATGACACTCTTGCCTGAGCCCTTTAAACAGGAGGCATTGTGACATATATCTAGGCCCATCATTTAGATGATATGACTCTCATCTCCTGCCTGGACGCTCCCCACAGGGGACATTATGCCATTGAGCTGGGCCTAGCACCCAAGTTTTGTGACTTTTCTGTTAGGGCCCTGCCTACAAAGGGAATATTTGATTATTTCTTGCTTAGGATTTAGGTGATATATTTGTCATGCCTATTTAATAACCACAGAGGGGATCATGACATATACCTAGGTACAGGCATGATAATGACTCTCATATGTGGACCCCACTAATGGGAGAAATTTTGACTCTTATAACTAGGATTAGGGACATGAGTGATGTCCAGGATCTCCTTCTGACAAAAAGATCACAGAAGCTTACAACACTCACACATATTTTATAACATCCTTGGGTTGTATAGGGAGTGTCATAACAGGGCCTAGCACACAGAGGAAATTGTATCGTATGCACACCCAGCTGACAGTAAGGACTTTCACAATCACGGATGGATAAAGGCAAATGTCATACATGAAAACAGGACATGTGTGGTTTTGTAAATCTAATCCCTAGAACTTTATTGCATCGTGACTGTGATATAAATTTTTGCTAAGCACCTGTGTGATTTCACTCTTCAGACTGGTTCCAGCCTACGTATGGCATTTTGATATCCACCTGGGTCAACTTCGAAGTGATGTGACTCTTCTGCCTGGGCCCTGCTCTCAGTAAGAATTGTGACATCACTAGATCCAGCACCCAGGTGACATTACATTCTGCCTGCACCATGCTCACAGATATCATTGTAACATATCACTGTGTCCATCAATTAGAAGATGTAACTTTCCTCTCTGGAATGGGCCCTGCACACAGGGCAGGTTAGTGACATATTCCTAGGCCAGGCACACAGGTGATGATACTCTTTTGCCAGAGCCATGCACAGAAGAGGGCATTTTAACATATCACAGGGCCTATCATGTAGGTGATATGGCTCTTCTGCTTGGGACATGCCCACTTGAATAGTGACATATGGCTAAGCCAGCCACAAAGGTGATGGTACTCTTTTGCCAGGGCCATGCTTTAAGGAAGGCTTTGTGACATATCTCTGGGCCTATCACCTAGGTGATGTGACTTCCTGCTTGGCCCTGCCCACATGGAGCATTGTGACATAAGGGTGGAACCTGAACTTAGGTGATGTAACTCTCTTGCCTGGGTCATTTTCTAAGGGGGACTTGTGAATATCTCAGGACCCACGATCAAATGATGTGGCTCTTCAGCCTGGTTTCTGCCCACATATTAAATTTTGACATATACCTAAAGAAGCACCTAGGTGATATGATTCTCTTTTTCTGCCTGAGCCCAGCCTACTGGTGACATTGGACAATATCTGTGAGCCAATAGCCTAAGTAATGTGATTCTCTTCTGTCTGGGCCTTTACAATGGGAAGATTGTGACATATTGATGAGCCCATAATTTGGGTCATGTGACTCTTGTCTTGTTGCTCAACAATGCCTATGAACAGCACTTTTGCCATATTTCAGGGCCCAGCACATGGATGATGTCACTCTTCTGCCAGGTCATGCATAAAAAGGAAATTATAGCACCTTTCTCGGCCAAGAATCCTAATGATGTGACTCTCCTGCTTGTGCCAGAGCCACAGAATGTATTTTGACATGTTGTTGGCCCATTCTGTAGCTGTTTTTGCTCTCATCATTTTGCTGGGTTTCTTCCACGTATGGTTTTATCATATTGCTGGCTCAGGCCATCAGTTAAGGTGAGCCTCTTTCCTACGCCCTGCCTAGAGAGGGCATGGTGACATATTGCTTGGCACAGCACCTAAGTAATGTTAACCTTCTGCCTTGTTTTTTTGCCACAAATGGGATTATGACATATAACTTGCTTCAGTTCAAAGGCATGATGATCAAACTTATTTTGGGATTCAGACAATAGGAGATATTTTGCCTCTCACCAGTAGGTTTAGGTCAATAGATAAGGTCCTTCATTCCGTATTTGTACAAAGCTCACAGAAGTTACAACAATAACTCATATCATAAAAACTTCTTGGGTGGTACAGAAAGTTTCATAACAGGGCCCAGCAAAAAGTTAAGATTGTTACTCTTGACTACACACTCCAGTGATAGTAAAAGTTGTTACCATCCTACATTTACAAAGTCCATTGTTGAAGTCCTGAGTCTAACAAATGAATACAGCACAAAATTGGAATTGTGACTTTCATAAGTGAACCTGGCCACAGGTGCGATGCTGACTCATTTCTGGACCCAGCTCATAGGCATAATAGTGATCTTATCCCTGAATCCAGCCTATAGAGAATTGTTGACCGTCATACCTGGGTTTAGGACAATATGTAAGATCATGAGTCCATATAAGCATGTAGGCCTCAGAGAGGTTTGCGGCTCCCATGCATGTTTTATAAAGTTCTCAGATGTTGTAGAAAGCATCATACAATGGCCAGCACACATGTGAGATTGTGACTCTCATATACACAACTAGCTAACAGTTAATGGTGTCACCTTTAATGAGAAGATTGTGTCATATCCTTCGGACTAGTACCCCGGTGTTTAGACTTTTTGGTTTAAATTCCTTTCCATAAGGGCATTATTAACATATCACTGGGTCAGAATCACGATAATTAGACTCTTCTGCCTGGGCCCTGCAAACGGGATATTTTCAGGTATCTCTGGGCCTACAGGCTATGTGATATGTCTCTCCTCCCTGTGTCCTGCTCACAGGGGAAACTGTGACATATCGCTAGATATAGCATCTAGATAATGTGACTCTCCTCTCCTGCCTGGATCATGCCCACTAAAAATACTATGAAATACCACTGAGTGGAAAACCTAGGTGACATGACTCTCTTTGTCCTAAACTCTGCCAAGAGAGGAAATTATTATGTATTGCTGAGCCCAGTACCCAGCTGGTGTGATTCTCTTTTTCTTCTTCAAACCTGTCTACAATGGTCATGGTGACACATTACTTCAGGCTGTACCCAGGTAAGGTGGCCCTTCTGTCTGGTTTCTGCCCACATGTTAAATTGTGACATATAACTAGGGAAGCACCTAGGTGATATGACTCTCCTTTTCTGCCTTGGCCCTCCCTACTGGGGACACTGGCATGTATCACTGAGCCCATGACCTAAGTGAAGTGACTCTCTTCTTCTGCTTGGTCTTTAAAATGGGTTATTGTGCCATATTGCTAAGCCCAACACTCAGGTTATTTGACTCTCTTTTTTTTCTCAAACCATGCCCACGAACAGAAATATTGACCTATTGCAGGGCCCAGCACCCAGATAATGTTACCCTTTTGTGTGGGTCCTGCATATAGAAGGAATTATGGCATATTGCTGGGCCCAGCATCCTGATAATGTGAATCTCATACCTGTCCCAACACCACAAAAGGTATTTTGACATATCCTGGGCACATTATGTAGGTGTTTTGGCTCTCATCCCTTGGCTAGGTTTTTTCCACATGTAGGATGGAGTCCGATTGCTGAGTGCAGCACCTAGTTAACGTGACACTAATTCTTATACCCTGCCTAGAGAGGGCATTGTGACATGTTGCTTGGCACAGCACCTAACTGATGTTACCCTCCTGCCTAGATTTTTGCCCACAAGTGGGACTATGACATATACCTTACTACAGTTCACAAGCATGATGGTCAAACTTATGCTGGGATTCAGCCAACAGGAGATATTTTGTCTTTCATCACCAGGCTTAGGGCAATAGGTAAGGTCCTGGGTTGCATATTTGTACCAAGCTTACAGAACTTTACAACACTAACTCATAATGTAGAAACTCCTTGGGTGGTACAGAGAGTTTCATGACAGGGACCAGCAAAAAGTTCAGACTGGGACTCTCAATTACACTCCCAGGTGAATGCAAATGTTGTCACCATCCCACATGTCAAAAGCCCACTGTTAAGGTCCTGAGTCTAACAAGTGAGTACAGTAAAAAGTTGGAATTGTGATCTTCATATGTGGATCTGGCCACAGGTGGGGTGGTGACTCATTTCTGGATCTAGCTCATAGGCATAATGATGGGTCTCAACCATGAACCCAGCCTACAAAAGACACGTTGACTATTATACCTGGGTTTAAGGCAATATGTAAGATCTTGAATCCATATGAGCATGAAGGCCTCAGAGTGGTTTTCAACTCTTCTGTATGCTGTATAAAGCTTTTGAATGTTTTAGAGTGTCATACAGCAGCCCAGGAAACATGGGAGATTGTGACTCATATATACACCCAGCTCACAGTTAATGTTGTCAACCTCAAAGACAAGGAGATTTGGCCTATTATTAGGCCTAGCACCCAGGTGTTGAGACTTTTTGGTTCAAATTTTTTTCCCATTGGTGCATTGTGGCATATCGCTGGGTTAGAATCATAATAATGTGACTCTTCTGCCTGGACACTGCCAATGAGAGATTTTATCACATATCTCTGGACCTATTAGCTAGGTAATTTGTCTCTTCTGCCTCTGCCCTGTCCCCAGAGGACATTGCGACATTGTGAAATATCATGACTTAACATCTAGGTCATGTGACTCTCCTCTCCTGCCTGGGTCCTGCTCACCAAAGAAATTGTGACATATCGCTGACTGCAAAACCTAGGTGATGTGACTCTCTTTCATTTTCTAGACTCTGCCAAAAGGGGATTATTACATACTGCAGAGCCCAGCACCCAGGTAGAGTGACTTTCCTCTTTTTCTTCTTGTCTGTGGGGGGCTTGGTGACATACTGTTTGAGGCTGTACCCAGGTTATATGACTCTTCTGACTAGGCCCAGCCTACAAATGAGATTATACTGTATAATCTCAGGTGATGTGACTCTCCTGCCTTGTCCCTGCTCACAGGTGAAATTGTGACATATACCTGGGTTAATCACACATGTGCAACAATAACTCTCATACCTGGACCCAGCCAGTAGAGATATTTTGATGCTCATAGCCTGTCTCAAGGCCATGGGTAAAGTCCTGGGTTATTCACTTGTATAAAGTTCACGAAGGATTATAACACTCAGGTATATCATATAAATATGTAAATATTACAAAGAGTGTCATAACAGAGACCAGCAGTGAGGTGAGAGTGTGACTTTTATATGCACACCTAGCTTACGTGATTGTCATTTTCATACATAAACAGGGCCTTGGAATGAGGTACTAAATCTCACACATAAAAGGCAGTCGAAGGTTGAAATAATTTCTCTCATACATGGATCTGATTCACAGGTGGTTTGGTAACATTTGAACCGTGATTCAGCACACCTGTGGTGCTGTGACTCCCTTAATGGAACACAATCTTCAAGTGTGTTTGGGCATCTTATACATGGAACTTGCCCATTGTGGAGACTGTGACTCCTCTACTTCGACCCAACTCATAGAAAATGTTGACTCACATACACGAAACCAGGACTCATGTCGGATGTGAAACTTATTTCTGAACTTTTCAGAGTGTGATTGGGACAGGTAACTTTGCCCAGCACATGAATAATTTGACTCTCTTTTCTAGGCCCAGACCATAGATTTAATTGTGCCATGTTTGGAACAAGCACCTAAGCAATATATAACACTTTCATGGCTTTGCCTACAAAGAGCACTTTCATATATCACTGGACCCATCACCGAGGTGATAGGAATTATCTGCAAAAAACCTTCCTAAAAAGAAAATTATGTCTTTTACATTTATGCAGCCAACAGACACATGAAAAAATGCTAATCACTGGCCATCAGAGAAAAGCAAATCAAAACCACAGTGAGATACTATCTCACACCAGTTAGAATGACGATCATTAAAAAGTCAGGAAACAGCAGGTGCTGGAGAGGATGTGGAGAAATAGGAAAGCTTTTACACTGTTGGTGGGACTGTAAACTAATTCAACCATTGTGGAAGACAATGTGGTGATTCCTCAAGGATCTAGAACTAGAAATACCATTTGACACAGCCATCCCATTACTGGGCATATACCCAAAGGATTAAGAATCAGGCTGCCATAAAGACACATGCACACGTATGTTTATTGTGGCACTATTCACAATAGCAAAGACTTGGAACCAACCCAAATGTCCATCAATGATAGGCTGGATTAAGAAAATGTGGCACATATACACCATAGAATACTATGCAGCCATAAAAAAGGATGAGTTCATGTCCTTTGTAGGGATATGGATAAAGCTGGAAACCATCATTCTGAGCAAACTATTGCAATGACAGAAGACCAAACACCACATGTTCTCACTCATAGGTGGGAAATGAACAGTGTGAACACTTGGACACAGGGTGGGGAATATCACACACTGGGGCCTGTCATGGGGTGGGGGGAGGGAGGAGGGATAGCATTAGGAGATATACCTAATGTAAATAAGGAGTTAACGGGTACAGCACACCAACATGGCACATGTATACATATGTAACAAACCCGCACGTTGTGTATATGTACCCTAGAACTTACTCTTGTACAGAGGTCACAAAAGATTATAACACTCACAAATATTTTATAAAGTCTTTGGGTTACACAAGGTCAAAGCAGGGCTCACCACACAGGTGAAATTGTGAGCCTTGTATGAACACCTAGCTGACAGTAGGAACTGTCATCATCTCACACGGATGAAGACAACTGTCACACCTGAAAACAGGACATGTGTGGTATTGTAAATCTCACCTATGGAATTTTCTGACAGAAAGAAAGAAAGAGAAAGAAAGAAAGAAAGAGAAAGAAAGAAAGAAAGAAAGAAAGAAAGAAAGAAAGAAAGAAAGAAAGAGAAAAGAAAGAGAAAAAGAAAGAAAGAAAGGAGAAAGAAGGAATGAAAGAAAAAAGAAAGAAAGAAAAAGAAAGAAAGAAAGAAAGAAAGAAAGAAAGAAAGAAAGAAAGAAAGAAAGAAAAAAAAAAGAAAATTATGTCTTCTATCTAGTTCTGTCATGTAAGTGATATGAGTCCCTTCTGTTGCCTTGGCCCTGCACTTACAGTGCATTGTGACACAAAACTGGGCGCTGCACCCAGGTGATGTGATTCTTCTTTTTGGGTTCTGCCAAAAGAAAGCACTGAAACATATCACTTGGCTCAACATCTAGGTGATGTTTGTTTGCCTTTGCCTGTGCCCTGACCACGGGGAGATTGTGACATATTGCTGGGTCCAGCACCAATGTGAGGTCAGTCTCCAGCTTTGGTACTGGGCAGAAGAGACATTGTCACATATACCTAGGCCAATTGCCTAGGTGAAGTGAGTCTCCTCTCTTTCCAAAGTTCTGCCCACATAGGAATTTGTCATGTCACTGAAACCAACATCCAGGTAATGTAACTCTTCTGCCAGGGTCCTGCCCACAAGGTGGGTTGTGACATCTCACTGGACCTGCACCCACGTGGGTGATGTGACTTTATGGCCTTGTCTCTGGCCACAGGTGATATTGTGCCATATACCTGAGACCATAACAAAAGCCTAATAACAACTTATGCCTAGAGCCAGGACATGTTCAGGATGGTGACTCTTATTCTTAAAACTTTGCACAAGTGTAATTTCGACATAAACCTTTGCCCAGCTCTTGAGTGATTTAATAATTCTCCCTAAGTATAACCCACAAATCAGATTTTGACAAATATCTGGGCCAAGCACCTTGATGATTTGATGGTGCTATCTCAACAATGTCCTCAGGAGGGGTTGTAACATATTGCTGGACCCATTATCTAGGTTACATGGCTATCCTCTTTCGCCTGTACCCTTCTTCCTTTGGTAAATGTAACATTTCTAAACACTGCACCAAATGATATGACTCTCTTGCCTGGGCCCTGTCAACAGGCAGCATTGTGACATATTTTTGGGCCCATCATTTAGGCGATATGACTCTCCTCTCTGCCTGGACACTGCCCACACGGGATATTGTGTCACAGAGCTGAACCTAGCACACAAGTTATGTGATGTTTCTGACAGGACCATGCCTACAAAGAGAATATTGGAATATTTCCGGTCTAGCATTTAGGTGATGTGGCTGTTCTGCCTGCTTCGTAACTACAGAGGGAATTGTAACATATACCTAGGCATGGCTCACAGGAATGATAATGGCTCTCATATGTGGACTCAGCCAATAGAGGATATTATGACTCTTATAACTAGGTTTAGAGACATGCATGATGTCCTGCATCACCTTCTTGTACAAAGGTCACAAAAGATTATAACACTCACAAATATTTTACAAAGTCTTTGGATTATACAGGGTCAAAGCAGGGCTCACCACACGGGTGAAATTGTGAGCCTTGTATGAACATCTAGCTGACAGTAAGAACTGTCATCATCTCACATGGATGAAGACAACTATCACACCTGAAAACAGGACATGTGTGGTATTGTAAATCTCACCTATGGAGTTTTCTGACAGTGTGATAGTGACACAAATCTTTGCCAAGCATCTGTGTAATTTGACTCTCCAGATTTGTTCAAGCCCATATATGGGATTGTGATATCCACCTAGGACAACCTCGTAGCCATGTGACTCTCCTGCCTGGGCCCTTCTCTCAGTAAGGATTGTATGTGACATAATACTGGATCTAGCACCCAGGTGATGTTACATTCTTGCCTGCACCATGCCCACCAAAATTATCGTGACATATTTCTGTGTTCACCTTATAGGTTTTGTAACTCTCCTCTCTGTAATGGGCCCTGCACAAAGGAAGGGTAGTGACATCTTGCAAGTACAGACACACAGTCGAGGGTACTCTTTTGCCAGAGCCATGCCCAAAGGAGGGCATTGTGACATGTCTCAGGAGCCAGCACCTAGGTGTTGTAACTCTTTTTGCTGGGTGTTGTCCTAAGAGAGCCTTGTGACATATCTCAGGACCCAGCACCCAAGTGTTGTGGCTCTTCTGCCTGATTTCTGCCCACATGTTACATTGTGACATATTCCTAGGGAAGCATCTGGGTGATATGACTCTCTTCATCTGCCTGATCCCTGCCTACTGGGGTCATTGCAACATATCTCTGAGCCCATGACCTAAATGATGTGACTGTTTTTCTGCCTGGGCCTTCACCATAGGAGGATTTTGACACATTGCTGAGCCCAGCACTCAGGATATGTGACTCTACTCTTTTTTCCAAACCTTTCCCACAAAAAAAGCTCTTTTGACCATTGCAGGGCACAGCACCCGGATGATATTACTCTTCTGCCCGGGTTCTTCATAAAAAGAAAATTATGGCACATTTCATATTGCTGGGCCCAGCACCCTTATGATGTGACTCTTCTGCCTGTGCTGGAGCCACCGAAGGTATTTTGAAATATCTTGGGCTGGTTATGTACATGTTTTGGCTCTCATAACTTGACTGGGTTTTTTCCACATGTGGGATAGTGTCATATTGCTGGATTAGAATTATAATAATGTGACTCTTCTGCCTGAGCCCTGCAACGGGATACTATCACATATCTCTGGACCTAACAGCTAGGTGATATGTCTCTCCAGCCTGTGCCCTGCCCCCAGATGACATTTTGAAATATCACTAACACTAGCTTCTAGGTAATGTAACTCTCCTCTCCTGCCTCGGTGTAGGAGATTGGTCAGGGTGGTGGAAAAAACTGCAGAAAGATGCAAATCTTCTTTGAAGGCCAGAAGTTTTTATACAAAACCTTCAGAATAGGATTTGGCTTGAAGCAGGCAGATTCTCTTATCCGGTGCCTGAAAGCTTAAGTTAGATAACAAGGGGATGTTAAGAAACTGATCTAGATAAGTTAGTTTACTTAGGCCTCGGAACCTGGCCTTTAATCATTGGCAAAACTGCTCTCTTCAGGGAGGGCAACCATGTTAACTATCCCCAAGTGTGATGACTCAAGGCCTTTGTCATTAAATCTATACTGCATAAATGCCCACAGTGCCAGCTTGTGAGGGCTGTGGCTGCTGACTCTTTACAGCACCCTCCTCAGGGTCTGTAAGTGGCCTGGTCCCCTAGCGTGCTCTTTCACTGGATACCTGTGTCTGAGTGCATTCCTTCATACGTCGTTCAGCCAGGGTCTGTGGGTCAGACCCAGAAGGTGGTGCCCCATGTGAGGAACACTGCAACAAATCACCACAGAACTCTCAAAAATGAAGGTAAATAGACTGCACAGTCAGTAAGTCAGTCTTTGGTGCCCGCTCAGGATTTCCAAGTTCGAGGGCATTGTTCAGGCTGGGGTTTCATCATGGGACAGCAGTTATCAGCACAATAGAAGCAGTATATAAAAGTATTGAAACAGCTGCTTAAAGCTAGTGGAGCCTCGGTTTCACAAGCTCAATTAAGGGACCTAATGCAAACTGTTGTATCCCATAACCCATGGTTCCTGGAAGAAGGTATGCTAGATGTAGAGCTCTGGGAACAGGTGCGGAGAAATCTTAAACAACATCATGTGCAAGGGCAATGGGTCCCAGTAACATCTTTAACGTTATGGGCTTTAGAACAGTTCTGGTCCTGCTCTACACAGAAGAGCCTAGACAGGGAAGGGAGGAAGAACCATCACCTACCTTACTGCCTCCTTATCCCTCAGCCCCGCCATCACTGGGCCAAAATAACAAAGAGGAAATGGAGGTTGTGCCTGAGCCTGCTCCTCCAATAGACTGAATAAAAGACAAGGGATACACTACAGCTATGGGACCCTGTCTTTGGCAAGTGGCATTAGAAGGGGAGCTCTTACCCTGTCCGGTAATGCAAGATCAACAAGGCAATCAGGTACATAAAGAGATAAGGAAAAGCATTAAAGATAACAAAGCTGCTAGCCCATTTACAAAAAGGATTAATTAAAGCTATAGCAAATAACTCCCGTATGACTCCACGGACTGGTCAGTGCTCACTAAAACAACTTTAAACACCAGTCAATACCTCTTCTGGAGGGCAGAAATTGATGAATTATGTCAACAGCAAACCTCTTTCTAATAACGGCCACTGTTTTTCCTCCTCTACCCCTCTTGTGGCTCTCTCAAAATCCTATTTGGGTAGAACAGTAGCCTTTAAAGGTAGGGAAATTACAAAGAGCCCAAGAGTTAGTTGAGGAGCAATTAAAAGCCAGCCATATAGAACCACCAAACAGCCCTTGGAATTCACCCATTTTCATCATTCCCAAAAAGTCTGGTAAATGGAGACTTTTGTATGACTTATGTACCATTAATGCTAATTTGCAAGTTTCGGGGCCCCTTCAGCAAGGACTCCCCTCCCCCACAGTGATTCCTTGAGATTGGCCTATAATCGTTATTAACTTAAAAGACTGCTTTTGTAATATTCCCCTAGCAGAAGAGGACAGAGAAAAATTTGCATTTACAATACCAGCTATCAATAATGAAAGGCCAGCTCACCAATTTCATTAGAAAGTGCTTCCTCAAAGAATGCTGAACAGTTCTACCATGTGTCAGTATCATGTAAATCAGGCTTTGCTACCCAGTAGAAAATAATTTCTTAATTGCAAGATTATTCATTTTATGGATGATATTTTACTAGCAGCCCCAACAGAGCCAGTACTTTTAAAGTTACATGCCTCTGTAGTAAAGAATACACAGTTAAGAAGTTTAATCATAGCACCTGAAAAAGTACAGATGTCTTCTCCTTGGAAATATCTTGGGTACATACTAACTTCTCGATCAGTAAGACCTCAAAAGGTTAAATACCAGCAACTTATACACCTTAAATGATTATCAGAAATTACTAGGTGATATTAACTGGCTTTTCCCCACCTTAGGCATAACTACTGATAAGGTACAGAACCTGTTTTCTGTCTTAAAAGGCAAAGCTACCCTAGATTCTCCTAGGCATTTAACTCCTGCAGCACAAAGGGAAATTGAAGAGATAGAGCAAACTATTTCTCATAGGAAACTAGATCGCATAGATCCGTGGTATTCAGTTCAATTGTTTATTTTTCCCACTAAACACGCTCCTACATGATTAACAGGACAGATGGTCCCAGAGCTATGCTTTCTAGAATGGGTTTTTTGCTCACATACTGGGACTAAAACACTCTCTCCCTATATCCAGTTAGTCAGTAAAGTCATCTATTCAGGCCATGGATTATGCAATCTGACCCTGATATCATCATAATTCCTTTAAGTAAAAAGCAATTTGAAGTAGTGATGCCCTTATCTATGGACCTGCAAATGGCAGTCTCTGATTACACAGGCCATACAGAGCATGCCCTCCCTGCTGTCAAACTCCTTAAGTTCTTATCTTGTACTTCTGTGGTTTAGCCTACAAAAATAGTTCAATCCACCACAACTAAAGTTTTTTTTTTTTGAGACGGGGTCTCGCTCTGTCGCCCAGGCTGGAGTGCAGTGGCGCGATCTCCGCTTACTGCAAGCTCCATCTCCCGGGTTTACGCCATTCTCCTGCCTCAGCCTCCTGAGTAGCTGGGACCACAGGCGCCCACCACCACGCCAGGCTTTTTTTTTTTGTATTTTTAGTAGAGACAGGGTTTCACCGTGTTAGCCAGGATGGTCTCAATCTCCTGACCTCGTGATCTGCCCGCCCGGCCTCCCAAAGTGCTGGGATCACAGGTGTGAGCCACTGTGCCCAGCCTACCTTTTAATACTGTTTAGTAATGTCTCTGGTAAACATGGAAAAGCAGCGGTTTGGTAGAGACCACGTAATTCCCTCACTCGTTCTGGATTTACTAGCACTCAGAGAGCTGAGGTTGGAGCCTTAATATTTTGCCTTGGAAACTTTTTCCCCTCAGCCCGTTAATACTGTTAGTGACTCTGCTTACTCTATTTATTGCAGAACCTTGAAACAGCCCTCATTAAGTCCACTCTGGAGCCCACCCTGTGTGCACTTTTCTCCGACTTCAGCAAATTGCTAGATCAATGCACACATCCTATTTTTATTGCACACATCCTATTTTTATTACACACATTCAGGGCCACAGCTCACTGCCTGGCCCATTGGCTTATGGCAATGATCAAGCAGACCGACAGGTTATGACATCACTGCTTGACCAAGCTACCCAATCACATCAATTTTTCCACCAAAACTGGAGAAAATTATCTAAACAATTTCAACTTACCCAAAGACTAGCTAAACAAATTATCCTACAATGCCCAGATTGCCAGCTCACAGGCACATCCCCTCCTTCAACAAGTGTTAACCCTAGAGGACTAGAACCTAATCATTTATGGCAAATGGATTTTACACACATCCCTGAATTTGGAAAGGCTAAATATGTACATGTATCTGTTGATACCAATTCTCATTTAATACAGCACTCAAGCTCTTCCTGGAGAGTTCACCCTGTATGTCATTAAACATCTTCTTCTAACTTTTGCATTTATGGAGCAGCCCACAAAAATTAAAACTAATAATGGTCTGGCTGATGCCAGCCCACAATTTCAATAATTTTGTCACACGTGGAATATCCAACATTCCACAGGCATCCCGTATAGCTCTCAAGGACAGGCCATAGTAGAACGGGTCCACTCCACCCTTAAAAATATTCTCAGTAAACAAAAACAGGGGACTATGAGTAAGGACTCTGCAACACTATTGGCACAAGCCTTATTTACCCTTAATTTTTTAAAATTTAGATGATAAATTTCAATCAGTTTTTGAAAAGCACTTTGCTAAAACCTCTAAGACATAAAACTCGCAGTTTTTTGGAAAGATGTAAACAGTAATATATGGTGTGGGCCAAATGAATTGAAGAGGATATGCTTATGTTCACACCCCCTCAGGTTCTCTTTGAATTCCAGCATGATGCATCGAACCGTACCATGACATGGCTAGGACCCAACCTGGTACCAGAAATGAAGAAAATGACCCTACAGGACCCACAGCCCTGGACGCTGTGGCTTCCTTGGACAACACAGGCCCCAGACATTATGCTGAAGAAGCAGAAGGCTTAGCAAATCCTGCTCCAAGCCGAAATACCTGTCACTCCAAATAATTTGTTCCATTTTTATTCTCTCACTCTGCCTACAACTGGTACCTGCTACACTCTATTGGGCTCATCTCTTAAATCCATCTTTCTTCTGCCCTGTTACTTAGACAAACACCCACTTCCCAGCTTCTAACAACGTGACGGCTTGGCTAAAAGGGATTAATATACCTTCAGTGGGGTTCCGTAGCAATGGCACACATCAGACTAAGGTACCAGGTCACTCCTTGATTGGAAAATAATGTTGCTAATAATACTCATGTTTGTCTTATGTTATTTACTAATTCTAGGATGAAAAGCCAGAATACAAGCAGTGACCACCACACCTGACAGACCTCTTGCTGCACATATCTGTACTCTCCAATTAACAAAACCTGATGCTAAAAACAGAAAAGAGGGGAGATGTAGGAGATTGGTCAGGGTGGTGGGAAAAATTGTAGAAAGATGAAACCTTGGAAGGCTGGAAGGTTTTACAAAAGCTTCAGAATAGGATTTGGCTGAAGGCAGCCAGATTCTCTTATCCTGTGCCTTAAAGCTTAAGTTAGATAACAAGGGGATATAAAGAAACTGATCTAGGTAAGTTAGTTTACTTAGGCCTTGGAACCTGGCCTTTAATCATCTGCAGGACTGCTCTCCAGGGAGGGCGACTATGTTAATTATCCACAAGTGTGTTAACTCAAAGCCTTTGTTATTAAATTTATACTGAATAAATGCCTGCAGTGCCAGCATGTCAGGGCCATGGCTGCTGACTCTTTATGGCACCCTCCTCAGTGTATGTAAGCTGCCTGGTCTGTTAGCTCGCTGTTTCACTGGATATCTGTGTCTGAGTGCATTTCTTCATCTGTCACTCGGTCAGTGTCTGTGGGTTGGACCAGGTAGGAACTGAAAACCAAACACCACATGTTCTCACTCATAAGTGGGAGTTGAACAAGGAGAACACATGGAGACAAGAAGGGAAACATCACACACTGGGGCCTTTTGGGGGTTTAAGGGCTAGAGGAGAGATAGCATTAGGAGAAATACCTGATGTAGATGACGGGTTGATGGGTGCAGCAAACCACCATGGCACTTGTATACCTATATAAGAAACCTGCAGGTTCTGTGTATGTATCCCAGAACTTCAACTATAATAAATAATCTTTTTAATAAAAGAAAGAAAAGAAGCAGGCTTAGGCTGTGTGTGGTGGCTCACACCTGTAATCCCAGCACTTTGGGAGGCCGAGGCGGGCAGATCACCTGAGGTCAGGAGTTCAAGACCAGCCTGGCCAACATGGTGAAACCCCATCTCTATTAAAAATACAGAATTAGCCGGGCGTAGTGGCGCAAGCCTGTAATCCCAGCTACTTGGGAGGTTAAGGCAGGAGAATCACTTGAACCTGGGAGGCGGAGGTTGCAGTGAGCCGAGATCGTGCCGTTGCACTCCAGCCTGGGATAAAAGAGTAAAACTCCATGTAAAAAAAAAAAAAGAAAAGAGAAAACAGATTAACAGATTACAAAAAGCGCTGCTGAGTTTCTGAGAAGTAATATGTTAAGCAAATTATTCTTTATCTTTGTGTAACATCATTTTAAAATCAACACATTATGTACACAGGAAAATGCAGAGATTTTAATGAGTTTTACCAACATTTAAATCCAGAAAGTTTCCTCAGGCCCCTTTCAAGTAGGTTTTCTCATCCTAATGAAAAACACTGTTCAAATTCCTCTTGCCCTGGAATAACTTTGCCTATTCTTAAGTTTCACATGAATGAAATAAAAAAGTACAGACAATTTTGTGTCTGGCTTTTTCTACTCAGTATCTTGACTTTGAGATTCATCCACTTTGTTTCATGTATAAGTAACTGCTTCTCCATTGCTGACTAGTATTCTTTGAATAAATACACCACAGATTGTTTATCACCCTCTTCTTGGACATGTTGTTTCTATTTTTAGGCTATTTTGATTAAGGTGCTATTAACATTCTTATATGTCTTTTTGTGGACATATGCTTTCATTTACATTGAATAGATAGTTAGGAATGTAATTTCTGGGTTATATAGTAACTGCATGTTAATTAAAAATACTAAACAGAGGCCAGGTGTGGTGGCTCATGCCTGTAATTTCAGCACTATGGGAGGCCAAGGCAGGAGGATTGCCTTAGCCCAGGAGTTTGAAACCAGCATGGCCAACATGATGAGACCGTGTCTCTACTAAAAATAATAAAATTAGCCAGGTGTGGTGTCCTGTGCCTGTAATCCCAGTAAGACTGTCTCTCAGAATCCCCAACACTCCCCCAGAAAGCCCAAAACTACTGAAGAGTTGTTTTTATTTTTTTCTTTTTTGAGATGGAGTCTTGCTCTGTTGCCCAGGCTGAAGTGCAGTGGCACAATCTCAGCTCACTGGAATCTCTGCTTCCTTGGTCCAAGCAATTCTCCTGCCTCAGGCTCCTGAGTAGCTGGGATTACAGGCACCCACCACCATGGTTGGCTAATTTTGTATTTTTTTTTTTTTTAGTAGAGATAGGGCTTCACCATGTTGGCCAGGCTGGTCTTGAACTCCTGACCTCAAGTGATCCACCTGCCTTGGCCTCCCAAAGTGCTGGGATTACAGGTGTGGGTCACCATGCCCAGCCTCCAAGGGCACCATTTTGAGAGCAAGCACTTGCCAGACTGCATCCTGCCCCAGGGCCCAAAAGCTCCGGGGCCTCCACATCCCTGGAGCCCCACTGACATCCCCTTCATGTCCTCCTGGACAGCTGCAGTGATGCAACACCAGCTGGACCCAACTGTGCAGCCAGATCCCCAGCACTGTAGCCCATACTGTAGCCGATACGGTGTACTACACTTCAGGGAATGAGGGAGGCTGCCTTTGGGACACAGGCAGCTGAAGCATGCGCTCCAAGCTGGCTTCTGGGGGTGCTGCCACTGACAGCAACGCTGCTCCCCAACCCCCTGCAACAGAACTGCTGCATACTTCATAAAGCATACAGCATACAGCCGGGGTACCAGCAGGCACAGATACCATCCCAGGCTCAGAAGACAGGCTCTATTTGCCTACCACAGCTGCAGCTGTTGCCACCCAAGCACACCACCCGAAGACCATCTTGGGGGCCACCTAGGGGTTGCTTACCCATCTATTGCCCTGGGCACACGTGCACACCATCAGTAGGTCTGACAATTGACCCGGCTGGCCTGCAGATGGTGCTGGAGCATGCAGTCCCAGAGCCCGGGGATCACACTGCCCCACACACCATAGTCTGCACCCATGGGCACCATAGCAGGGCCTGAGGAATGGCCTGCAACAGCTGATGCCATTGCCCCTGTGCCCAAGTGCACTTTCCAAGGGCCTGGGGATTGCCTTCCCACGCCTACCCCCTCTGGCATCTATGCACTTCTATCAGGGGACAGAAGACAGGCCTGCCTACCCTGCCACCACTCCCACTGTGGGCGCTCACCCTCACATGCCACCTGGGGGCCTACAGAGTGCCTGTCCAGCTCATTGTCACTGCAGCTAACACCAGTGATTGCTGCCAGTGAGCTCAAGGGTTGGCTCACCCCCTCTACTGCCAATGTCAAGCATGCTGCCCAGGGACCCGAGGACCTGCCCACCTGCTTGGGCCACCACTGCCACTGTCTGTGCTCAAGCAAGCCACCTGTGGGCCAAGAATTGGCTTGCCTGGATCTGCTAACAATGGTATCCGTGTAGGCTACCCAAGTCAAGATCTTTAACCTTAATCATAATCTCCCCAGCTCAAGATCTTTAACCTTAATCATATCTGCAAACTGTCTTTTGCCAGGTAAGATAAAATACTCATAGGTTCTGGGGATTTAGATGTGATCATCTTTGGGGGTGATGGGCATTATTTTGTCTGCCGAGCTCTGAATCCTATAACCCAGAAACTGAGCTAGTAAACATTGGCTCCATAACGTCAAATTTAAGAATAACTGAAGTTTCCAACTATGCTGTGGTAACAATGAGTACAGATTCTTTATTTTTTTTTTATTTTTATATATTTTTTGAGACGGAGTCTCACACTGCTGCCCAGGCTGGTGTGCAGTGGCGTGATCTCAGCTCGCTGCAACTTCCACCTCCCTGATTCAAGTGATTCTCCTGCCTCAGCCTCCTGAGTAGCTAGGACTACAGGCGCCTGCCACCTCACCTGGCTAATTTTCTGTATTTTTAGTAGAGATGGGGTTTCACTATGTTGGCCAGGCTGGTCTCGACCTCCTGACCTCGTGATCAACCCACCTCAGCCTCCCAAAGTGCTGGGAAACAGGTATGAGCCACCACATCTGGCCACGTATAGATTTTTATTGAACCTATGCGGATAATTATAAGGCCATGAAAATAAGAGTTTTCAATTTCTGGAGAAGCCAGGCAGGGAAAATAAGATAAGAAAAATAAATGTTTCACTTCTATTTACAAAATCATAGACTATTAAATTTTTATATGTCATAGATATCTTAAGAGAAAAAGGAGGTTTCTTATATATGCAAAAACTAGAACATTAGAACATCAGCAATAGTCCAAAAGTCATTCCTCATCAGCTCACTCATTACTGTGTAATTAATTCTTCTTCAGCTCTATCTTGAATTTAGTAGACTGCAGAACCAATCTGCTTCTTAACTAGAATTCTGGAATTTGTGACTCGGTTTACTGGTAGGGTCTCAAATTTGTTTAAGTGATGCTGTCAGAAGCTGGTACCCCAAAGTACCTGGTATAATCCTTTTCCATTGAGCTCTGAGACAATGCATTTTTTTTTTTTTTGAGATGGTGTCTTGCTCTGTCACACAGGCGGGAGTGCAGTGGCATGATCTCGGCTCACTGCAACCTATGCCTCCTGGGCTCAAGCAATTCTCCTGCCTCAGCCTCCCAAGTAGCTGGGATTACAGGTGTGTGCCACCACATCTGGCTAATTTTTGTAGTTTTAGTAGAGACGGGGTTTCGCCATGTTGGTCAGGCTGGTCTCAAACTCCTGACCTCAGGTTATCCATCCAGCCTCAGCTTCCCAAAGTGCTGGGATTACAAGCATGAGCCATGATACCTGGCCAATAGTGCTTCTTTGTTTAAGATGAAGTGCCACAGCCTGTAGCTGATGACAAGTGCTTTCAGAGTCAGACAAAAAGCTACTGGTAGACTACAAGAGACTAAAAATGACTGTGGTTAACTTACACCTGTATGTAATAATGGCAGTGGCATCAGTGCCCAAGGTGCAAATGGCCTTGTTGCTGTATTGGTAATAATGTGTGGGCTGGGTGTGACAGCTCACACCTGTAATCCCAGCACTTTGGGAGGCTGAGGCAGGCAGATCACATGAGGTCAGGAGTTCAAGACCAACCTGGCCAACATGGTGAAATCCCGTCTCTACTAAAAATACAAAAAAATTAACTGGGCATGGTTGTGCACACGTGTAATCCCAGCAACTCGAGAGACCGAAGAAGGAGAATTGCTTTGAACCTGGGAAGCAGAGGTTGCAGTGAGCCAAGAACACGCCACTGGACTTCAGTCTGGGTGACAGAGTGAGAGTCTGTCAAAACAAAAAAAAAGTGTGTGAAGCGTAGGTGCTCACAGAGTGGATATGGAAACAGGATCTGGAACACAGGCATGCACAGAGTTACTGCTTCTCTTGGGACTGTAGTGCAGACACACACCAGCTGTAGCAGATAACTCCAGTGTCAATTGTACATGTACTTATGGAGTATCTGAAGAGCTGGGGTCTAGAACATAGGCAAGGCCAGGCATGGTAGCTCACACCTGTAGTCCCAGCACTTTGGGAGGCTGAGGCAGGCGGATCGCCTGAGGTCAGGAGTTCGAGACCAGTCTGGCCAATATGGTGAAACCCCATCTCTACTAAAAATACAAAAAAAATAGCCAGGCATGGGTCACAAACGCCTATAATCCCAGCTACTAGGGAGGCTGAGGCACATGAATCTCTTGAAACCGGGAGGTGGAGGTTGTACAAAGTCAAGATTGCACCACAGCACTCTAGCCTAGGTGACAGAGTGAGACTCTGCATCCAAAAAAGAAAAAAGAAAAGAAAAGAAAAAGAAAAGAATCCAAAAAAGAAAACATAGGCGTGCATGGAGTGACAATGAGTCCAGGGTCCACAGTGCAGGCTAGCTCACTGTAGAGGTGGTTCTGATGTCTGAGACGGTGGGCACTCATGGAGCAGTGGTGGAACTGAACTCTGGAGCACAGATATGCAGAATGGCCATGCTTTCATGAGCTGGGGTAGGGCTAGCCAGCTGTGGTTGTAGTTTTGATGCCTTGGTTGTGGGTATGCATGGTGCAGCCACAGAGCTTGAGACTGGAGTGCGGGCACACAGGGGGCATCTTTATCTCTAGTATGGAGATGGTTAGGGTTGTGGGTGTTGATGACTCCAGCCAGGGTGGTATGACAGTGGGTTTCTGGTGGGAACAGTAGCAGCTTTCTCTCCAGGAGTTGTGCGGTGGCAATGGCTTTTAGTTACTTCAATGGCAACGCTGGTGTCCTCTGCAGAAGAGGCCACTGTTCTGGTGGAACCCAATTTGTGGCTGATACTGATAGCTTCTGCCCTTCTTTGTTCCTAGCCACCCTCAGACATCTCAGATATGTCAATCTCCCCAGCAATTCTTTCTGTGTGATTTTATTATTCATTTTTGGCTGTGCAGTGTTGCTGCAGGTTTTTAAATGGACATGTGAGCCCTCTTGAAGCTATTTGCATTCATGGCCAGCTCTGTAATTTTTTTTTTATATTTCCAACTTTTATTTTAAGTACATGTGCAGGATGTGCAGGTTTGTTTTATAGGTAAATGTGTGCCACAGCGTTTTGCTGCACAGATCATCCCATTACCTAGGTATTCAGCCCAGCATCCATTAGCTGTTCTTCCTGATGCTCTCCCTCCTCCCACCTCCCACCCTCTGACAGGACCCAGTGTGTGTTGTTCCCCACCATGTGTCCATATGTTCTCATCATTCAGCTCACACTTGTAAGTGAGAACACATGGTATTTGATTTTCTGTTACTGTGTTAGTTTGCTGAAGATGATGGCTTCCAGCTCCATCCATGTCCCTGCAAAGGACATGATCTTGTTCCTTTTTATGGCTGCGTAGTATTCCATGGTATATCTATACCAAATCTTCTTTATCCAATCTATTATTGATGGGCATTTAGGCTAATTCTGTTATTGTGAATAGTGCTGCAGTGATCATACAAGTGCATGTATCTTTACAATAGAATCATTTATATTCCTCCGAGTATATACCCAGCAACGGGATTGCTGGGTCAAATGGTATTCCTGCCTCTAGATCTTTGAGGAATCATCACACTGTCTTCCACAACGGCTGAACTAATTTACACTCCCACCAACAGTGTAAAAGTATTCCTTTTTCTCCACAACATCACCAGCATCTGTTGTTTTTTGACTTTTTAATAATCATTATTTTGACTGGTGTGAGATGGTATCTCATTGTGGTTTTGATTTGCATTTCTCTGATGATTAGTGATGCTGGGCATTTTTCTATATATTTGCTGGGTGCTTGTGTGCCTTCTTTTGAGAGGTGTCTGCTCATGTCCTTTGCCCATTTTTTAATGGTCTTGTTTTTTTCTTGTACAGTTGTTTAAGGTCCTTATAGATTCTGGATATCAGACATTTGTTAGATGTATAGATTTCAAAAATTTTCTTCCATTGTCTAGGTTTTCTATTTATTATGTTAATAATTTCTTTTACTGTGCAGAGGCTCTTTAGTTTAATTCGATCCCATTTGTCAATTAGTACTTTTGTTGCAATTGCTCTGGCCTCTATGTTCTGAAATCTTTGCCCATGTCCATGTCTTGAATGGTATTGCCTAGGTTTTCTTCTAGGGTTTTTATAGCTTTGGGTTTTACATTTAAGTCTGTAACCCATCTTGCATGGATTTTTGTGTATGGTGTAAGGAAGGCATCCATTTTCGATTTTCTGCATATGGTTAGCCAGCTCTCCCAGCAGCTCTGTAATTTTTTAGAGACACGGTCTTTCTCTGTTGCCAAGGCTGGAGTGCAGTGGCACAATCCTAGCTCACTGCAATCTCAAATTCCAGGCTACTTTTTAGTTTTCAAAAAGTTATTTATGTAATCTAGATTCAAGTTCAGCGTTAAATGTGTGGTTTGAAAATATTTCCCCCAGTCTGTAGCCTGTCTTTTCACCCTTTACACAGAATTTTCATGTGCAAATATTTTTAATTTTTAAGTCTTGGTGATATTTAATTTACCAGTTTTTTTCTTGTATGTATTGTCTTTATTGTCAAGTCTAAGAATTTTTCACCAGTGCCAGGTACTGAAATTTTTCTCCTTAAGTTTTTTCAAAACTTTTATAGGGGCCAGGTGCAGTGGCTCACACCTGTAATCCTAGCACTCAGGGCAGATCTCCTGAGATCAGGAGTTTGAGACCAGCCTGGCCAACATGGTGAAACCCCACCTCTACTAAAAATAAAAAAAATTGGCTGGGCATGGTGGCTCACGCCTGTAATCCCAGTGCTTTGGGAGGCCAAGGTGGGTGGATCACCTGAGGTCAGGAGTTTGAGACCAGCCTGGCCAAAATGGTGAAACACCGTCTCTACTAAGAAAATGCAAAAATTAGTCTGGTGTGGTGGTGCATGTCTGTAGTCCCAGCTACTTGGGAGGCTGAGGCAGGAGAATCATTTGAACCTGGGAGGTGGCAGTTCCAGTGAGCCAAGATTGCGCCACTGTACTCCAGCCTCACAGACAGAGTGAGACTCAGTCTAAAAACATAAAAATAAAGATACAAAAATTAGCTGGGTATGGTGGCACATGCCTATAATCCCAGCTATGTGGGAGGCTAAGGTGGGAGAATCGCTTGAACCTGGGGGCAGAGATCAGGCCACCACACTCCAGCCTGGGTGACAGAGTAAGACCCTGTCTCAAAACAAACAAACAAAAAACCACAATGATATAAGACTTCACACCTGTAAACCAAAAACAAAATTCTAAGCCTTCCCAACCATCTGAATGGACCCCTCCTTTCAACCAAGGGCATTTTAAAGTTAACCTGAAAAACTAGTTCAGGTCAGACATGCCTCATTACACCCTCCTCCTTTTTGGAATTTAGGAAAAACTGATCTGCATTAACATCAACACAGACCTTAAATCTGATAAGAAACATTTACAATCTATTCTCTCTGAAGCCTGCTACTTGGAGGCTTCATCTGCATGATAAAACCTTGGTCTCCAGAACCCCTTATTGTAACCCAGACTTTCCTTTCTATTGATAATAATTCTTTCAACTGAATGCCAATCAGAATATTTAAAAATCTACTTATGACCATGACAGGCGAGGTAGCTCACACCTGTAATTCCAGCACTTTGGGAGGCTGAGGTGGGCAGATTACCTGAGGTTGGGAGTTCAAGACCAGCCTGACCAATATGGAGAAACCCTGTCTCTACTAAAAATAAAAAATTAGCCAGGCGTGATGGCACATACCTGTAATCCCAGCTACTGGGGATGCTGAGGCAGGAGAATCACTTGAACCTGGTAGGCAGAGGAAGCAGTGAGCCAAGATTGTGCCATTGCACTGCAGTCTTGGCAACAAGAGAAAAACTCTGTCTCAAAAAAAAAAATCTGCTTATGACCTTGAACCTCCCCTCCCCTCACCACTTCAAGTTGTCTGACCCTTCCAGATCAAACCAATGTAAATCTTACACATATTGATTGATGTATGTTATGTCTCTCTAACATACAAAAACAAACTGTAGGCAGGGTGCAGTGGCTCACACCTGTAATCCCAGCACATTGGGAGGCTGAGGCAGGTGGATCACCTGAGGTCAGTTTGAGACCATCCTGGCCAACATGGTGAAACCCATCTCTACTAAAAATACAAATAATTAGCTGGGCGTGGTGGCAGGTGCCTATAATCCCAGGTACTCAGGAGGCTGAGGGAGGAAAATCGCTTGAACCCAGGAGGCGGAGGTTGCAGTGAGCTGAGAAGACACCATTGGACTCCAGCTGGGCAAAACTCCATCTCAAAAAAAAAAAAAAAGGCAAACTGTACCCCTGACCACTTTGGGCACATATCATTGGGACCTCCTGATGCTGTGTCACAGGAACTTCATTAACCTTGGCAAAATAAACTTTCTAAATTGATTGAGACCTGTCTCAGATACTTTTGGGTTCACACACACATTAGGATGGCTGCTATCCAAAACCGGACAGTAGCACGTGCTGGTGAAGGCATGGAGAAGATGGCATCCTGTGCGTGACTGGTGGGAATGTAAAATGGTGCAGCTGCTCTGTTTGGGTTTTCTTCAAAAATTAAACATAGAGGCTGGGTGCGGTGGCTCATGCCTGTAATCCGAGCATTTAGGGAGGCTGAGGCAGGAGGATCATTTGAGGCCAGAAGTTTGAAACCAGCCTGGCCAAGATGGCAAAACCCCGCCTCTACCAAAAATACAAAAATTAGCCGGGCATGGAGGTGGCTGCCTCTAATCCCAGCTATTTGGGAGGCTGAGGCAGGAGAATCGCTTGAACCTGGGAGGTGGAGTTTGCAGTGAGCCAAGATCACGCCATTGGACTCCAGGCTGGGCGACAGAATGAGATTCAGTCTCAAACTACAACAACAGCAACAAAATTAAACATAGAATTGCTATATGATTAACCAGTTCCACCTCAGGGTATATGCCCAAAAGAATAGAAGGCAGCTTCTAGAAAAGACATTTGCACTCTTACAT
Source organism: Homo sapiens (assembly GCF_000001405.40). NCBI lineage: Eukaryota > Metazoa > Chordata > Mammalia > Primates > Hominidae > Homo > Homo sapiens. The sequence goes on from NC_000008.11 coordinate 46,666,502, forward strand.
TTACAGCAGCATTATTCACAATTGCCAACAGGTGGAAGTACCCAAATGTCCACTGTCCACTGATGAATGAATGGATAAGCAATATATGGTATGTATGTACAATGGAATATCATTTAGCACTAAAAAGGAATGAAATTCTGACACATGTTACAACAGAGAGGAACCTTGAAGGCATTATGCTAAGTGAAATAATTCAGTCACAAAGGGACAAATATTACATAGTTCCATTTGTATGAGGTACCTAAAGTAGTGAAGTTCATAGAGACAGAAAGTACAATTGTGAGTCCCAGAAATAGGGGAGGAAGGGTAGTTATTGTTTATGGATATAAAGTTTTAGTTTGGGAAGATTTTTTAAAGTTCTGGACATGGAGGGTGGTGGTGGTTGCACAAGAATGTGAATATATACAGAATGCCACTGAACTTTCCCTTAAAAATCAAGATGGCACATTTTATGTTATGTCTATTTTACCACAATAAAAAAGTACAAAGAAAAAAAGACAGCTGAATTCTTACATCTGCTTCTACATTTAGTCTCCTGAAATATGTTGTTTTGCTTAATGTTGCTGAAGAAAATCTGGCTTCATACAGATTCATAGTTGGTAAAAGGAATCACTTAGTAATCTTCCAACATGATTGTGAATATTATTCCTTCATACTCCACCAAAATTGGACAAGATTAGTTGCAATGTGAAATCTGAAACTATTTTCACACACTTTTGTTACATTTAAATTAATATGGCAAAGACAAGTCTGCACGCCCATGTTTATTGCAGCACTATTTCCAAAATGAAGTTATAGAATCATCTTAAGTGTCCATAAATGTATAAATGGAGAGAGAAAATGTATGTATACACCATGGAATACTATTCAGCCTTTAAAAAGTAAGAGATTCTGTCATTTCCCACAACATGGATGACATCAGAGAATGTTCTGTTAAGTGAAATAAGGCAAATTCCGAAAGACAAATACCACATGTTCTCATGTAAAGGTGGAAAGTAAAACACTAATTGTTTTACTTCTGAGTTTAATACTCAGAAGCAGAGTGTATCCTGGTGGGAGTGTGGAAATGATAATCGAAGGGTACAGGGCCTCAATTAAATAGCAAAATTATGTTTGGACTTTTTGAGATCTATTGCACAGGTTGGTGAATATACTTAATAATTGTGCACTGTCCATTTCAAAATTACTAAGACAGTACATTTCAAATGTTCTTAGCAAAAAAATCAAATATTTCAGGTTATGAGTATGTTCATTTGATTAATTTAATTATTTCATATTATACTAAAAATTTATGACATCACTTTGTACCCATAAATATATACAATGATAATTTGTCAACGTATAATACAATTTAAAAAAAAATCTAGTCTGACTCTTCAAATGGATCCTGAACTCATGTATACCTTTGTAATGTCAAGCATTGGTCACTCGAAAAACATCTGTTGGCCAGGTGCAGTGACTCACACTTGTAATCAATCTTAGCACTTTGGGAGGCCCAGGTGGGTGGATCAGCTGAGGTCAGGAGTTCAAGACCAGCCTGGCCAAAATGGTGAAACTCCATCTCTACTAAACACACAAAAATTAGCCGGGTGTGGTGGTGCATGACTGTAGTCCCAGCTACTCCGGAGGCTGAGGCAGGAGAATCGCTTGAACCCAGGAGGTGGAGGTTTCAGTGAGCTGAGACTGAGCCACTGCACTCCAGCCTGGGCGACAGAGTGAGACTCCATCTCAATAAAAAAAAAAAAGAAAGAAGGAAAGAAAGAAAAACATCTGTTTACTGAGTTATCTAATTTAGTAGTTCTTAGCTCAGAGTTATTTTGCTCTCCAATTTGGCCAATGTCTGGAGATGTCAGTTGCCACACTTGGGGGTTGCTAGTGACATCTAGTGGATACAGACCAGATATGCAGCTAAGCACTCTAGTGCATTAAACAGTCTTCAGAACAAAGAATTATACAGACCAATATATTAACAGTGTGGAGGTTGGGAAACTTCCACACTGTTAATAATTAACAGTTAATAATTAAATAAACTTAATCTATTTAATGTTGTCACATTTCATTATGCAATATCAAACATTTGCATTGTTAATATCACCACCAATGTTTTTAGAAAACTTTTTAGAAAAGTTTTTAAATGTTGGAAAGCTATCAAGATCATGATGATTGATACAAGTTCTCTAAAAACTATTTTAGGAGTAAACCTCACATCACAAAATCTACAAAAATGTAAATTTTATCATTTAAAAAGTACATTTTCGGTTAGTTTTCTTTTCATTCTTTTTTTTTTTTTTTTTGGACAGGGTCTCACTCTGTTGCCCTGGCTGGAGTGCAGTGGCGCAATCATAGCTCACTGCAGCCTCAAACTCTGGGGCTCCAGCAATCTTTCTGCCTCAGCCTGCTGAGTAACTGCGACTACAGACACACACTACCATGCCTGGCTAATTTTTAAATTTTTCTTTTGTGGAGACCAGCTTTTACTATGCGGACCAGCCTGGTTTCAGACTCCCGGGCTCAAGCAGTTCCCCTGCTTCAGCCTCCCAAAGTGCTGGGATTACAGGATCCACCTCGTTCTTTTTCTTGTTCTTTTTCTTTTTTTTTTTTTTTTTGAGACTGAATGTCGCTCTGTTGCCCAGGCTGGAGTGCAGTGGTACAATCTTGGCTCACTGCAAGCTCTGCCTCCTGGGTTCTCGCCATTCTCCTGCCTCAGCCTCCCGAGTAGCTGGGACTACAGGCGCCTGCCACCACGCCCGGCTAATGTTTTGTATTTTCAGTAGAGAGGGGTTCCACCGTGTTAGCCAGGATGGTCTTGATCTCTTGACCTCGTGATCCGCCCGCCTTGGCCTCCCAAAGTGCTGGGCTTACAGGCGTGAGCCACCGTGCCTGGCCCGCCTTGTTATTTTTCTTAATGTTACAAACCACGCCTCATTCATTTTCAAGAAACTGTCTTAGAAATCCCCAAGCTTAAGTAATCAGTGTTTTTCAATTGTACTTGAAATTAATAATGTTCCATGAAAAAAGGAGTTCCTATTTCTCACAACACAATCAATCACAGAACTTGTTTTCCTCAAGACAACCATCATACTTCTATACAGTATAAATACTTAATGGCTATTTACTGTTTTTTGTTGTTGTTGTGAATGTGTGAGGTGAATAATGCAATAACTAATAATACAATTTGGTGCCATTTTCTTATGAAGGTAGCAGTAGATTTTTGTTTGTTTGTTTTTGAGACAGTGTCTCGCTCTTGTTGCCCAGGCTGGAGTGCAGTGGCGCCATCTCGGCTCACTGCAACCTCCGCCTCCCGGGCTCAAGCGATTCTCCTGCCTCAGCCTCCCGAGTAGCTGGGATTACAGGTACCTGCCACCATGCCCAGCTATTTTTTTCTATTTTTAGTAGAGACGGGGTTTCACCATGTTGGCCAGGCTGGTCTCGAACTCCTGACCTTAGGCGATCCACCTGCATCGGCCCCCCAAAGTGCTGGGATTACAGGCATGAGCCGACGTGCCCAGCCAAAGGTAGCAGTAGTTTTAACCCCCATTGTTTTTGAACCATCAGGGTAAATATCAACAGAGTGGAAAGGCAAATTAAACCCTAGTATTGGCCAAGTGCCGAGGGCATACTACTCACACCTGTAATCACAACAATTTGGGAGGCTAGGCAGGAGAATTGCTTGAGTTTAGGAGTTCAAGATCAGCCTGGGCAACATGGCAAAACCCTGTCTCTACAAAAAATACAAAAATTAGCAGGGTGTGATGGCAGATGTCTGTAATCCCATCTACTTGGGAGGCTGAGGTGGGGAGGATCACTTGAGCTTGGGAGGTCAAGACTGCAGTCAGTTGTGATTGCGCCTCTGCACTCCAGCGTTGGTGACAGAGTGAGACCCTATCTCAAAATGAAAGCAAAAAAACAAAAAACCCTAGTGTTATTAGAAAAAAAAATTGAACCCATGGGCCCCCCAAAAGAGTCTCAGGAATCCTCAAGGCCCAGTGATCGTAATTTGAGAACTTCTGCTCTAGACTTATGTGAAAGAAATAAATCCCTCTTTGTCTGAGACATTTAATTAGGCTTTTAAATACAAGACAAGTTGTGTCTCTAGTTCCTAAATGAATTTTGGCAGATTTGCCAAAAATTCAGCCATTATACAGAGATAGAGACTTATGAATTTGTAGTAATTTACTTCTAATTACTACAATATTTCAAAAACAATATTATTGTTGATTTAAATAAACATTGTTATTTATTTATTTATTTATTTATTTATTTATTTATTTATTTATTTGAGTCAGAGTCTTGTTCTGTCACCCAGGCTGGAGTGCATGGTGAGATCTTGGCTCACTGCAGCCTCCACCTTCTGGGTCCAAGCAATACACATGCCTCAGCCTCCTGAGTAGCTGGGATTACAGGCCTGTGCCACTATGCCCGGCTAAGTTTTGTATTTTTAGTAGAGACGGGATTTTGCTTTGTTGGCCAGTCTGGTCTCAAACTTCTGGCCTCAAGTGATCTTCCTGCCTTGGCATCCCAAAGTGCTGGGATTATAGGCACGAGCCACTGTGCCCAGCCAAACATTGTTGACTTAAATCAACAATGCTTATTGCTGATTTCTATTAAAGGGTGGAAATTACTGCAATGTCCACCATTAAGTTTCTGATAAATAAATTAAAAAACCTTTGTATATACTGGAATAGAGTAAACCATACAACAAAACAGAACTCTGTCTATATCAGGAAACCTTGTTTAATTTTAGGGAAAATGATATACATTTGAATACTAAAGTGCAATAATCCTCAAGATAGAGCAAGTGAAGAGATTATGGCACAGAGCCATTCTTTGATTCTGTTTGCTTCTCAAATATTTCAAATATTTGTTTTATGAATATATAATATTTCCTTTTGAAACATGCCTCATATTTTTAGTATCTTTGCGCTGTGTTCAAAAGTAGGGTAGCATGGCCTTCTCAGGCAGTTCTGCTTGGAGATGAGCACAGCACGCTGTCTTGTACCTCTCCTCCCTGTTCCCAACTGTTACAAACACAGTGAATATTTATTTGGTCCACAACTTGGGACAGTGGAAAGGAGACCAGCTTGGAATCAGTTCGGACCTGTGTCTGCTGCACAGCTGAATCCCTGGGAAAGTAAGTTACTTAATCATTCTGAGTTTGAATTTTTTCACCTGGCATATGGCAATGAAAATACGTATATCTCAGATCTACTATGAGGACTTGTGGAGGTAAATAAAGCACATAAACCCTTAGCACAATGCTAGGTGCATAATAGATGCTTCATAAGTGAGAATTATCATTATTTTAGTTCAGTGTCTATAGGACCCTTTTAGATTGTATAAGGTCTGCTTTCACAATTTCCTTTCAATGGGTAGACTCGAATACCCAAGCCTCCTCTGGAATGCTACTCTGGAAAGTTAAGTGCTTATGAGTGTCTTACTTTTTTTTTTTTTAACCATTTTTAAAGCAAAAATTTCTACTTTCCTTTTTTATGACCAAAGAGTCATTTAAAGAAGAAGAGTGCTCTTATCCTCTTGATTTCCAAAGAGAGTTTAAGATGCTTTTTGTGTGCTTATGGACAAATGTATTACTCTACATTATAAGTTGAATATTACATATTATTCATTATATAGAACCCCATCTAGCAAGACAGGCACAGTTTAAAACAGATCAATAGTGTGAACTAAAAACTAAAACTTATAAAAATACCTATATTATGCCCCCAAATTGATCTAAATTTTATAGCAAGAATATAGTCTTTGTAAGTAATTTTTAAAAATGTTCATTTTTTTTTATTTTCAGCTCTTTTAGTGTGGCATGGCAGAAAGAACAATGTATATGCCCACACAAATACCTGCTGATGGAGATACAGTTAAGTATATCTTTCAAATATAACTCTGCATTTTGTACTTCAACAAGATTACATACCTTCAAAATATTGACTTGTTAAACTGATGTAGGCATAGATGATGAGGTCTCGTTTGTTATGTTTGGGCATGAATTAGCTTTTATATTAATTGGAGAATATCAATGGTGATTTAGATAATTGGTTACATGTTTTTTGAGTCTGACAACCTTGTTAGTAGTGCAAAAGACTATTTCTATTTAACACCAAAAATACTCAAAGTAAAACTTCTGAATCTCCCAATCAGTGAGAACAACAGTACTGTTTTGATGGATATATTTTCAGAACATATGCATTGACAACAAATAATTTTTTAGTGAAGCTATTTAGCAAATGGTTGGATGGCTGCGAAGTTGGACCAGGTTTTTTTTTTTGTTTTTTTTTTTTTTTTAGATGGAATCTTGCTCTGTCACCCAGGCTGGAGTGCAGTGGTGCAATCTCAGCTCACTGCAACCTCCACCTCCTGGGCTTAAGTGATTCTCCTGCCTCAGCCTCCCTAGTAGCTGGGATTACAGGCACGTGCCATCAGGCCTGGCCAATTTTTGTATTTTTAGTAAGAGATGGGGTTTCACCATGTTGACCAGGCTGGTCTCGGACTCCTGATCTCAGCTGACCCACCCTTCTCAGCCTCCCAAAGTGTTAGGATTACAGGCGTGAGCTACTGCCTCTAGCCTAGGTTGGACCAAGTTTTATTTTAAGATTAGCCTCTGTACTAGAGAAAAAATATGGTAATTCACATGAATACATATTAAGCAAGAGGGAAGTATGTTTGAATAGGTGAAATTTAACTTTCATAATTCTTTACAGTATATATACATTTGACATGCAGCTATGTTAAATAGTGTTTGTTTATGTCAGTAAATAACGGCTTTTTTCTTGTAGTTTTCTGTTCTTCCACAGATGCATTTTATTTTTTTGTTTATTAGTTTGAATCAGCAAACTACTGTATATGTTTTTCTTCCTCTTCTCATTGTTACTCCTCTGGAGTGAATAGTTTATCTCACCTTTACTTTTTTTAAAAAAAATTGTTTAAATTTTATTTACTTGTTTATTTATTTATTTATTTAGATGGAGTTTTGCTCTTGTTTCCCAGGCTGGAGTGCAGTGGTACAGTCTCAGCTCACTGCAACCTCCACCTCCCGGATTCAAGCAAAATCACTTGAACCCGGAGTTCCACCATGTTGTCCAGGCTGGTCCTGCCTCAGCCTCCCGAGTAGCTGGGATTATAGTCATGTGTCACCATGCCCGGTTAATTTTGTATTTTCAGTACAGACAGGGTTTCACCATGTTGGCCAGGCTGGTCCTGAACTCCTGACCTCAGATCATCCACCTGCCTTGGCCTCCCAAAGTGCTGGGATTACAGACATGAGCCACTGCTCCTAGCCACCTACCTTTACTTTTAATCAGCCAGTTTCAAATTCACATTTAATTCCCCTCTTGTTGTCATTGCTTTTCTTTTTTTTTTTTAGACAGAGTCTGGCTCTGTTGCTCAGGCTGGAGTGCAGTGGCGTGACCTCAGCTCACTGTGACCTCTGCCTCCCAGGTTCAAGTGATTCTCCTGCCTCAGCCTCCTGAGTAGCTGGGATTACAGGCCTGGATAATTTTGTACTTTTAGTAGAGATGGGGTCTTGCCATGTTGGCCAGGCTGGTTTCAAACTCCTGACCTCAGGCGATCCACCCACCTCAGCCTCCCAAAGTGCTGGGATTACAGGCATGAGCCACTGTGCCTGGCTCCAAATAGTATTTAAATGTGTATACATACAACTTTTTAATGCATGTATCTGTTGATGGACACTTAGGTTGATTCCATGTTTTTGCTGTGGTGAATACTGCTTCAATAAGCACAGGGATGCAGAGATCTCTTCTATATACTGATTTTTTTTTCCTTTGGGTATATGCCCAGTAATGGGATTGCTGGATCGTATGGTAGTTCCATTTATAGTGGAAATAAAGGATGAGAGAACTAGAGGGAGGAAGGGAGAGAGGGATAAAAGAGTGAAGGGAGGGATTGAAAAAAGAGTGAATAGAATCATAATATAGCTTAAGTTTCCATATCTTGGCTATTGTAAATAATGTTGCAATGAACACAGAGCATCACACTTCCTGATTTAAAATTATATTACAAAGCTATAGTAATCAATATAGTATGGTACCATCATAGAAACAGAAACATAGACCAGTGAAACACAATAGAACTCCCAGAAATAAATCCAAACATTCATGGTTAGCTAATTTTTGAAAAGGGCACCAAGACATAATGAGAAAAAAATAATCTCTTCACTAAATGGTTCCAGAAAAACTGAATTTCTATATGCAAAAGAATGATATTGGACCATTATCGTACACTATACCAAAAAGCCAACTCAAAATAGATAAAAGACCTAAAAGTAAGACCTGAAACCATAAAATTCCGAGAAGAGAATATAGGGGAAAATATCCTTGACATTGGTCTTGACAATTTTTTTTTTTTGAAAACAAAGTTTCACTCTTGTTGCCCAGGCTGGAGTGCAGTGGCCCAATCTTGGCTCACCACAACCTCCACCTCCCGGGTTCAAGTGATTCTCCTGCCTCAGCCTCCCGAGTAGCTGGGATTACATGCACCAACATGCCTGGCTAATTTTTGTATTTTTAGTAGAGACGGGATTTTGCCATGTTGATCAGGCTGGTCTTGAACTCCTGACCTCAAGTGGTCCACCTGCCTCGGCCTCCAAAAGTGCTGGGATTACAGGCATGAGCCACCATGCCCAACAGTAATAATTTTTTGAATATAACTCCAAGAGCTCAAGCTATAAAAGCAAAGATAAATAAATTGGACTGTGTAAAACTAAAAAGTTTCTGAACAGCAAATGACATAATTTTATTCTTTTTTATGACCAGATAGTATTCCCTAATGTAGATGCACCATATTTTCTTTCTTTCTTTTTTTTCTTTTCTTTTTTTTTTTTTTTTTTTTTTTTTGAGACAGAGTCTTGCTCTGTTGCTCAGGCTGGAGTACAGTGGCATGATCTCAGCTCACTGCAGTCCTCACCTCCTGGGTTCAAGCGTTTCTCGTGCCTCAGCCTCCCAGGTAGCTGGGATTACAGGCGAATGCCACCATGCCCAGCTGATTTTTGTATAAAATGCCTTTTTTTCTGAAACTCCAAATCTTTAATTTTTTTCACATAATGTTTTAACTTAAGTTCTGTTATGACCCTAGTCACTCTTCTTTGAGTCCCTTCCTTCACTTCTTTTCTCCCTCTCTCCCTCCCTTCCTCTCTTCCTCCCATTCTTTTTTTTTTCTACTATAAATAGAACTATCAATTATGTAATACAGAAATCCCACTACTGGGTCTATATCCAAAGGAAAGAAAATCAGTATACAGAATAGATATCTGCACCCTCATGTTTATTGCGACACTATTCACAATAGCAAAGATACGGAATCAACATAAGCGTCCATCAATGGGTAAATAGATTTTTTAAAAAGTATGTATACACAATGGAATACTACTTGGCTACAAAAAGAATGGAATTATGTCATTTGCAGCAACATAAATGGAACTGAAGGTCATTATGTTAAATGAAATAAAACAGGTGCAGAAAGGCAAATATCGCGTGTTCTCACTCATATGTGGACGATATCAAAATTGATCTTGCGGAGGTAGAGAGTAGAATGACAGCTACCAGAGGCTGAGAAGGGTGGTGGGGGAATGAAGAGAGGTTGGTTAATGGGTGCAAACATACAGTTAGGTGGAAGAAATGCGTTCTAATGTTGGATAGCAGAGCATGAAGATCACAGTTAATAACAGTTTATTGTATATTTCAAAATAGCTAGAAGAGAGGACTTGAAATGTTCCCAACACTAGAAGTGAGAAACACGTGAGGTGATGGACACCCCAAATACCCTGACTTGATCATTACACCTTCCATGCATGTAACAAAATACCACATGTACCCCATAAATATGTATAAATATTATTTAACAATAAAAATACATTGCTCAAGTTTCTTCTAGCTTGGAGATTTCTGAATAGAAACAGTGTAATGATGATTTTTGCTCCTCCGTATTTAATGTATATTTTTTTTCTCCGTTTAGCTTTAACATTTTATCTTTGCCTTCTGGTCTTACCAGTTTGAATATAGTGTCTTGTTGCTTTTGTTGTTATTGTTGTTTTTATTCATCCTGATTTGATTTTCTCTGAACTGGTATTTGTGGTTTGGTGTTTGTTATTAATCCTTCCTAAATTATTGATCATTATTTACAAATATTTCTTCTGCCTTGTTCTGTCTCTTTTCTCCCTCTGAGATTCTAACAATGCTTATCTTAGCATGTTTGATTATATCACAGAACTCTTGGATATTGTGTTCTATTCTTTTTTTTATTATTATTATACTTCAAGTTTTAGGGTACATGTACACAACGTGCAGGTTAGTTACATATGTATACATGTGCCATGTTGGTGTGCTGCACCCATTAACTCATCATTTAGCATTAGTTATGTCACCTAATGCTATCCCTCCCCCCTCCCTCCACCCCACAACAGTCCCTGGTGTGTGATGTTCCCCTTCCTGTGTCCATGTGTTCTCATTGTTCAATTCCCACCTATAAGTGAGAACATGCGGTGTTTGGTTTTTTGTCCTTACAATAGTTTTCTGAGAATGATGGTTTCCAGCTTCATCCATGTCCCTACAAAGGACATGAACTCATCATTTTCTATTCTTTTTTAATTTTTTTTATTTCAATAGTTTTTGGGATACAGGTGTTTTTTTGTTACTTGAATAAGTTCTTTAGTGGTGATTCCTGAGATTTTAGCTTACCCCTCACCTGAGTAGTGTACAATGTACACAATGTGTAGTCTTTTAGCCCTCACCGCCCCACATGTCCTCTCCCAAAAGTTCATTATATCACTTTAATTCGTTTGCATCCTCATAGCTTAGCTCCCACTTATAAGTGAGAACATATGATATTTGGTTTTCCATTCCTTAGTTACTTAACTTAGAATAATTACTTCAACTCCATCTAAATAGCTGCAAAAGACATTATTTCATTCCATTTGATGGCTGAGTAGTATTCCATGGTGTATACATACCATATATTCTTTATCCACTCATTGGTTGATAAGCACTTAGGTTGGTTCCGTATCTTTGCAATTGTGAATTGTGCTGCTGTAAACATGTATGTGCATGTGTCATTTTCATAGAATCACTTCTTTTCATTTGAGTAGATACCTGGCAGTGGAATTGCTGGATCAAATAGTAGTTCTACTTTTAATTCTTTAAGAAATCTCCATACTGTTCTCCATAGTGGTTGTATTAATTTACATTCCCACCAACAGTGTAAAAGGGTACCCTTTTTGCCACATCCATGCCAACATCTATTGTTTTTTGACTTTTAAATTATGGCCATTCTTGCAGGTGTAAGGTGGTATCTCTTTGCAGTTTTAATTTGCATTTCCCTGATGATTAGTGATGTTGAGCTTTTTTTCATGTTTATTGGCTGTTTGTATATCTTCTTTTGAGAAATGTCTATTCATGATATTCATGTCCTTTGACCACTTTTGGATGGGGTTGTTTGTTTGTTTGTTTGTTCTTGCTGATTTGAATTCCTCATAGATTCTCGATACTAGTCCTTTGTCAGATACAAAGTTTGTGGATATTTTCTCCCACTGTGTGGATTGTCTGTTTACTCCGCTGATTATTTCTTTTGCTGTGCAGAAGGTTTTTAGTTTAATTAGGTCCCATTATTCATTTTTGTTTTTGTTGCATTTGCTTTGGGGGTGGGTCTCTTAGTCATGAATTTTTTGCCTAAGCCAATGTCCAGAAGAGTTTTTCTGACATTATCATCTGGAATTTTTATGGTTTTAAGTCTTTGATTCATCTTGTGTTGATTTTTATATAAGGTGAGAGATGGGGAACCTATTTCATTCTTCTACTTGTGTCAGTTTTCCCAGCACTATTTATTGAATAGAATGTCTTTTCCCCAATTTATGTTTTTGTATGCTTTGTCAAAGATCAGTTGGCTGTAAGTATTTGGCTTTATTTCTGAATTCCCTATTTTGTTCCATTGGTCTACATGCCTATTTTTATACCAATACCTTGCTATTTTGATAACTATAGACTTGTAGTATAATTTGAAGTCAGGTAATGTGATGCCTCCAGATTGGTTATTTTTGCCTAGTATTGCTTTGGCTATGTGGGCTCTTTTTTTGTTCCATATGAATTTTAAGATTGTTTTTTCTAGTTCTGTGAAGAATGATGATGGTATTTTCATGGGAATTGCATTGAATCTGTAGATTGCTTTGGGCAGTATGGTCATTTCCACAATATTGATTCTTCTCACCCATGAATGGAATGTGTTTTCTTTTGTTTATGTCATCTATGATGTCTTTTAGCAGTGTTTTTTGTAGTTTTCTTTGTAGAGATCTTTCACCTTCTTGGATAAGTATATTTAGGTATTTTTGTTGTTGTTTTTGCAGCTATTGTAAGGGGGATTGAATTCTTGATTTTATTCTTGGCTTGGTTTTTGTTGGTGTATAACAATGCTACTGATTTGTGTACATTGATTTTGTAACCTGAGACTTTACTGAATCCATTTATCAGATCTAGGGGCTTTTTAGATGAGTCTTGAGCGTGTTCTAGGTACATAACCATGTCAGCGAACAGCGACAGTTTGACTTCCTTTTTTCCAATTTTGATGTCGTTTATTTGTTTTTTCTGTCTGATTGCTCTGGCTAGGACTTCCAGGACTATGTTGAATAGAAGTGGTAAAAGTGGGCATCCTTGTCTTATTCCATTTCTCAGGGGGAATGCTTTCAATTTTTTCCCATTTGGTATGATGTTGGCTGTGAATTTGTCTTATATGCCTTTTATTACTTTGAGGTAAGTCCCTTCTATGCCCATTTTCTTGAGGTTTTTTATCATAAAGGGACGCTAGATTTTAGCAAATGCTTTTTCTGCATCTATTGTGGATGATCATATGGTTTTTGTTTTTAATTGTTTATGTGATGTATCCCATCTATTGACTTTTGTATGTTGAACTATCCCTGCATCCCTGAGATGAAACCCACCTGATCAGGATGTATTATCTTTTTGATGTGCTGTTTGATTTGATTAGCTAGTATTTTGTTGAAGATTTTTGCATCTATATTCAGCACGTTTACTGGTTCGTGGGTTTTTTTTTCTTATGTCCTTTCCTGGTTTTGGTATTAGAGTTATCCTGGCCTACTAGAGTGATTTAGGGATAATTCCCCTTTCTCTACCTTTTGGAATAGTTTCAGTAATATTGGTACAAATTCCTTTTTAATGTCTTGTAGAATTTAGCTCTGAATCCATCTGATCCTGACTTTTTTTGTTGGTAATTTTTAAATTACTGATTCAACCTTGCTGCTTATTATTGGTCTGTTCAGGGTTTCTATTTCTTCCTGATTTAATCTGGGAGGGTTGCATATATCCAAGAATTTATCCATTTTCTCTAGTTTTTCTAGTTTGTGTGTATAAAGGTGTTCATAGGAGCCTTGAATGATCTTTCGTATTTCTGTGGTATTGGTTATAATATCTTCAGTTTCATTTCTAACTGAGCTTATTTGGATCTCTCTTCTTTTCTTGGTTAGTCTCACTAATAGTGTATCATTTTTGTTTATCTTCTCAAATAACAAGCTTTTTTGTTTCATTTATCTTTTGTATTTTTTTGTTTCAATTTCATTTAGTTCTGCTCTGATTTTTGTTACTTCTTTTCTTCTGCTGGGTTTATTCTTGTTTCTCTTGTTCCTTGAGGTGTGACATTAGCTTGTCAATTTGTGCTCTTTCAGACTGTTTGATGTAGGCATTTAATGCTATGAACCTTCTTCTTAGCACTGCTTTTGCTGTATCCCAGAGGTCTTGATAAGTTGTGTCACTACTATCATTCATTTCAAAGAATTTTTAAATTCCCATCTTGATTTCATTGCTAACTCAAAAGTCATTCTAGGCCGGGTGCAGTGGCTCATGGTTGTAATCCCAGCACTTTGGGAGGCCAAGGCAGGTGGATCCCTGAAGTCAGGATTTCAAGACCAGTGTGGCCAACATGGTGAAACCCCATCTCTACTAAAAATACAAAAAAATTTGCTGGGTTTGGTCGTAGGCACCTGTAACCCCAGCTACTCGGGAGGCAGAGGCAGGAGAATCACTTGAACCCAGGAGGCATAAGTTGCAGTGAGCTAAGATCATGCCATTGCACTCCAGCCTGAGCAACAAGAGTAAAACTCCATCTCAAATAACAAAAATCATTCTGGAGTAGATTATTTAATTTTCATATATTCATATAGGTTTGAGGGTTCCTTTTGGAGTTGATTTCCAGTTTTATTCCACTGTGGTCTGAGAAGATTCTTGATATAATATCAGTTTTTTTAATGTATTGAGACTTGTTTCGTGGCCTATCATATGTTCTATCTTGGAGAATGTTCCATGTGCTGATGAGAAGAATATGTAGTCTGCTGTTGTTGGGGACAATGTTCTGTAAATATCTGTTAAGTCCATTTGTTCTAGGGTATAGTTTAAGTTCATTGTTTCTTTGTTGATTTTCTCTCTTGATGATCTTTCTAGTGCTGCCAGTGGAGTATTGAAGTCCCCCATTATTATTATTGTGCTTTTGTCTATCTCACTTCTTAGGTCTAGTAGTAATTGTTTTATAAATCTGAGAGCCCAATGCATATAAGTTGAGGGTTCATATAAATATGGGTGCATATGAATCTAGGATTGTAATATCTTCTTGTTGGACTAACTTTTTATCATTATGTACTGTCCTTCTTTGTCATTTTTTACTTTTGTTGCTTTAAAATTTGTTTTGTGTGACATAAGAATAGCTACTCCTGCTTGCTTTGGGTTTCCATTTGTGTGGAATGTGTTTTTCCAGCCCTTTACCTGAAGTTTATGAATTCTTATGTGTTAGGTGAGTCTCTTGAAGACAGCAGATATTTGGTTGGTAGTTTTTCATCCATTCTACCATTCTGTATCTACTGAGTGGAGCATTTAGGCCATTTACATTCAATGTTAATATTGAAATGTGGGGTACTGTTTTATTCATCATATTAGTTGTTACCTAGATACTTTGCTTTTTTCATTGTGTTATTGTTTTATAGGCCCTGTGAAATTTATGCTTTAGGAAGGTTCTATTCTGATGCATATCAAACTTCTGTTTCAAGATTTAGAAGCCTTTTCCATCTCTTATAGTGCTGGTTTGGCAGTCACAAATTCCCTCAGCATTTGTTTGTCTGAAAAAGAATTTATCTCTCCTTCATTTATGAAGCTTAATTTTGCTGGATGCAAAATTCTTGGCTGACTATTATTTTGTTTAAGGAGGCTAAAGATAGGACCCTAATCTCTTCTGGCTTGTAAGGTTTCTGCTAATAAATCTGCTGTTAGTCCAACAGGCTTTCCATTATAAGTTACCCGATGCTTTGGTCTCAGTTCTTAAAACTATTATCTTCATTCTGACTTTAGATAGCCTGATGACTACGTGACTTGGTGATAATCTTCTTGCAATGAATTTCCCAGGAGTTCTTGGAGCTTCTCGTATTTGGATATCTAAATCTCTAGCAGGGCCAGAAAAGTTTTTCTCAATTATTCCCTCAAATAAGTTTTTCAAACTTTAGGCTTCTCTTCTCCCTCAGTAACACCAATTATTCTTAGGTTTGGCCATTTTACATAATCCTATATTCTTTGAGACTGTTTTCCTTTGATTCTTTTTCTTTATCTTTTCTGATTGGGCTAATTTGAAAGCCTTGTCTTTGAGCTCTCAAATTCTTTTTTCTATTTGTTCTAGTCTATTGTTGAAATTTTCACTGCATTTGGTATTTCTCTGAGTGTGTCTTTCATTTCCATAAGGTCTGATTGGTTTTTCTTTATGATACCTATCTCTCTGGAAAATTTTTCATTCATATTCTGGATTTTTTTATTTCTTTATGTTGTTTTCACCTTTCCCTGGTATCTCCTCAAGTAGCTTAACAACCTTATGAATTCTTTGTCTGGTATTTCAAAGATTTAATCTTGGTTTGAATCCATTGCTGGGGAGCTCATGTGGTCTTCTGGGGGTGTTACAGAACCCTGTTTTGTCATATTACCAGACTGACTTTTCTGGCTTTTTCTCATTTGGGTAGATGATTTCTTCAAATTGTTCTTGAATTCATTTTTTATTTGACTGTGTTTTTTAAAAAAATTATTTTTCCCTCTTAAGGATCTGACTTTAATGTTTGTAGTTTTTTATAGCCTAAATTGTTCTTGGTGCTTTTATGGGTAAAGACTCCATATGAGTTCCTTAGTTATAGAGAGTCTTTGTGCACCGGCTTTCCTAGATGATGATAATGTACTTGGTGTGTGGGCAAGTTTACTACCTCCTATGGGTTTGAAATGTCAAGGATCTCTTGAAACTGTTCTTATTCTCCCATGGTGTACACTTTTTGAATTTACTTAATTTTCCCCCATTATTTTATTTGCTGAGTTGATGATTCAGGCTTCAGACCAGTAGGGGAGGTATCCCTGGGTAGGGAGTGGTTGTAGCTAAAGTAGGTGGGTAGATGTAATACACAACGGAGGGCAGAGGTCCCAGCCTTGATGAAGGTGGCTAGGGGAGCTCTCAATTAGATGTGCGGAGGTTTTATCAGGGTAAAGGATGGGAGCTACCTCAATTCTCCTTCCAGAAAGCTATCCTTTCCCAGTGTTCTAGCTATTCAGATCTGACAGGCACCATGTTTCATCTCTAGGAATGTTGATATTCCAAGTAGGGAGGAATTGTGGCTCTGCCTCTTGTGCAAGCCTGAATCTGGGGTGTGCTCCTCCTGTGGGGATGCAATCACCCCAGATTGTTTCAGGAAGGCTGTCTATAGGTGTATCTGTGCTGTATTCCCACGGGAGCAGCTCCAGCTTTGTCTGCAGTGGTGTACCAGGGGCAAACAAGGACCCCTTCTCCCAGACCCTTTATGATCACAGAGGCTGCCTGCCTGTTGGAGTAGAGATGCAGACTTTCAATACTGCACTCAGCAATGCAATTGTGTTTCTGCTGTAAAAGCGTTCTTACCAGTGAAAATATCTGGGACTCAAGGCCTGCCATTCAGATTTTTTCATCCCATGGGGTGGTACCTTAATATGGTGCTCTCCCCCTTCTCCTAGGAATGGGAGTTCCTGAGAGCCAGACAACAATGATTGTTATTGCTCCTCTGGGTCTAACAACCCAGTGGTGCTGCCAGACTCTGGGCTTGTGCTGGAGACTGTCTGCAAGGAATCCATTGATGTGACCTGTCTTCAGGTCTCCCGGCAGTGGATACCAGTGCCAGTTCTGATGGAGGTGTCAGGGCAGGGATGTAGACTCCGAGATTCCTTGGTTGTAGATAGGCTTAGTGTGCTGGCTTTCATGAATTCTGATTAAAGTTGTAATGAACTTGTCACATGGATAGACTCAGGACCTCTGGTTAGCCAGGGTGTTGTACCCAGTGGTGATAGCTGAGGTCACGTAGCCATTGTCTCCTTCCTTGATGCAGTGTTAGTCTACTTAGAGGGACTGTAAAGGATTGTGTTGGTTGGCCTCCAGCCAGGAGGGGGCACTTGCAAAAGAGCACCAGCTGTGGTAGTAGCGGTGAGATTTGAGCTTGTCCTAAGTTGTCCAGGGGAAGTATTCTGATGTCTTAGGTGATGGGCAGGGCTATTAAGCTTCCAAAAGTTTATGTCCTTTGTGTTAAGATACTAGGGTGGGGGAAGGGGTACCACCAGGTTGGGGGCAGGGTTAGGTGGGTCTACGCTCTGACTCTCCTTGGGCAGGGCAGGACTTCAGCCCTGTGATGGTTGGAGTGTGATTCTCAGGCTGCTGGGGCAATGTTCCAGAGGGGAGTAATACTGTCTCTGCCACACTGCAGAGTTGGCAAAGGGAGTGGGGAGTAGTGGGTGTCAGTAAGCCTCACCCAGCTCCCATGCAGTTGGCGAGGCTGATCTCACTCCCACAGTGCTCTGATGATAATGCAGGGTTTGGATCCAGGTAGTCTGTGCACAGAGCTCAGACCTACCCCAGGCCATAAGCTTCCCCACAGAGATAGCAAGCATGGCGTTTAGGCCATGCCCCTTCCCATCTGCCCACAAAACCAGGTGCCTACTTCCTGCACTAGTAGCTGCAGCTCAATACTCACCCCTAACCCCCTTTTGCTGCTTTCTGATCAGAGGAGTTTATCTCTATTGGAGATTATGCCACAAAATTCTGTTGGGTGCTTCTTTCACCCTGTGACCCCTCCCTGAGCTTCTTAGCTGATTTCCCTGATGGCTCCTGTTAGATACAGTCAGGAACGGCTTCCCTTCATTTATCCTGGAGACTGGGAATGCCTGCATTGCACTTCCCACTGCCACTTCTACTTTTTTTTTTCTTTTCTTCTCTTTCCTTTTATTTTCTTTTTTTTTTCTTTTCTTCTCTTTTCTTTTCTTTTATTTTCTGAGACAGGGTCTTGCTTTGTCACCCAGGCTGGAGTGCCATAGTGCAATCTCAGCTCACTGAAACCTCTGCCTCCTGGACTCAGGTGATTGACCTTCCTCAGCCTCCTGAGTAGCTGGGACTACAGTCATGAACCACTTTGCCTGGCTAACTTTTGTATTTTTTGTAGAGACATGGTTTCACCATGTTGCCCAGGCTGAACTGCTACTTCTACTTTTATATTTCACACTGCTCCCTGAAGCCATTCGAGTTCTGGGTAGGGTAAAGTCCTCTTCCATGGCCTGGAATTTCGGATTCCCCAGTGGGGATGTGTACTGGAGGCAGACTCTCTTCTTCTCACACTCTAGGGACTTACAGTTTTTTGCCTCTCTCAGGGAGTAGGCTGCAACCTGCTGCTTCTTTCAAAGGGTCTATGGATTCTTTCAGTTTTTCTATTAAGTTCCTGCATTGGTTCTTGGAAAGAAAATTCACAGTGTGAATCTCTACACACTATTCTGTTCTTCCAAGTGAAAGAGGCATGCTAACACTGCCTCCAATCAGCCATCTTAGAATAGAATTCCTCTGTCTTTTTCTCCACTCTTTCTATTCTGTGTGGTTTTTTTCTAATTCTATAGACTTACCTTCAAGTTCACTGATACTTTCAAGCAGTTGAGTCTACTGATGAGCTCATAAAAGGTATTATTTATATCTGTCAACTTATTTCATTTCTAGCATTTTCACATGATTTTCTTATAGTTTCCATGTCTCTGCTGAAATTAGTCATCTGTTCTTGCACATTGTACATATTTTCTATTAGGATTTTAACATATTAATCATAGATATTTTAGGTTCCTTACAAGATTGTTGCAACATCTGTTTCACATGTGAGCCTGGTTTCACAACTGCTTTCACAACTGCTTTCATTTTTATCTTCTTTTGTCTCCCAGGATATCTTTATTCCCCTCTTTTTAAGCTTTGTAATTTTGGGGCTGAAAATTGGACATCTTATGTAGAACCAAAGAAACTGAGATAAGTAGATTTTATGTCTGAAAACTGAGATGCATTTTCTTTGACTAGGGCTTTAGTACAGAGGTTTGTGTTTCTCTGAGTAAAGCTGGGTTTGAGATTTGATGTTGCTATAGTGTGATTCTTACTACCCTATGGGCCGGTTTTTTTTTTTTCCTTTTTTTTTTCTTTGTTGTTGTTGTTGAGGTGGAGCTTCACCCTTGTTGCCCAGGCTGGAGTGCAATGGCATAATCTTGGCTCACCACAACCTCTGCTTCCCAAATTCAAGTGATTCTCCTGTCTCAGCCTCCTGAGTTGCTGGGATTACAGGCATGTGCCACCACCCCTGGCTAATTTTGTATTTTTCATAGAGATGGGGTTTCTCTATGTTGATCAGGCTGGTCTCAAACTTCCATCCTCAGGTGATCAACCTGCCTTGTCCTCCCAAAGTCCTGAGATTACAGGCATAGGCATGAGCCACCACACCTGGCCTCTCCTATGGGCTTTGAATGCCTCTGGTGATACCTTGTGTTGAGGGTAGGGGTTGGCTTGCCAGAGGATGTTTCTCTGATGATGATTTCATCCTCAACCTTAAGTTTTCCTTTTGTGCTATGCCTCAGAAACAGCATGTCTCTTGCAATATCTCTTGCAAATAATATGTATCTTGACAGCAGTTAGCCTGATGCTGGGGGGTAGGTGAGAATACTTTTTTATCTGGTTGGCAGTCTTAGGCAAGCTCTCTGCCTCTGGGCCCCAGGGGTATGAACTTCTCTTTCTCTTCTTCTGACATGGTTCTGAATCCATTGTGAATTTCTGCACATCTTCTAGGGCTTCAAGCATTTTTTGTGTGTTCCCTACTTCCAGCAGTAATGTACTTTCACCAGCACCCTAAGAGAGTGCTTCTTGGCTCTTTCCCCACAGATGAAGGCTTTTTTATTCTGTAGAGGAGAAAGGTCTCAGTGGAGCTTCTTGCCAGCATTGCTGCTGTTGCATCTCCCAGTTCTGTACCTTGGGAGAGATTTTTTTCTTCAGAGTTAGTTCTATCAATCTTTCACTGAATGTCTAGTTGGGTTTGAGGAGAAAAATTCTTCCAGGAGCTAAAGATTATATTTTGTTCTACAAAAAACTACATGCACGCTTGTTTGCTTTTTTAAAAAAAAATTTGAGATGGAGTTTTTCCTCTCTCACCCAGCCTGGAGTGCAGTGGCATAATCTCAGCTTACTGCAACCTCCGCCTCCTGGGTTCAAGTGATTCTTGGGTCTCAGCCTGCTGAGTAGCTGCTATTACAGGCATTCACCACCATACCCAGCTAATGTTTGTATTTTTAGTAGAGACTGGTTTTCACCATGTTGGTCAGGCTGGTCTCAAACTCCTGACCTCAAGTGATCCACCCACCTTAGCCTCCCAAAGTGTTGGGGTTATGGGCATGAGCCACCATGGACCTGGTCGGCACTTGTTTTTATCTCAGTGCTATATTAAATAGCTAAGACATGGAATCAACCTAGGTGTCCATCAACGGCAGATTACATTTAAAAATGTGGTACATATATACTGTGGAATACTATGCAGCCATAAAAAATGAAATATGTTATTTACAACAACACAGATGCTGCTGGGGGCCATTATCCTAAGTAAATTAATGCAGGAACAGAAAACCAAATACCACATATTCTCATTCATAAGTGGGGGTAAACATTGGGTACTCATAGACTTATGAGTATGAGACTCACGCCATAGATGGCAACAGTGGACACTGAGGCTTACTAGAGGGTGAGGGAGGGAGGGGTTGAGGGCAGAAAATCTACCTATTGAGTATTATGCTTGGTACCTGGGTGATGGGATCATTCACACCCCCAAACCTCAGTATCATGGCAGTATTCCTGCACATGTACGCCCTGAATCTAAAAGTTGAAATTACAAATAAAAATTAAATACACATATTAAATCAAAGCTTACTAAATTAAAAAATATAATTAATATACCCTGTATTCTCTAGTTAGAATTACAAATTTCCAAATAAGGACAGATAAAAAAAACAAAAAAAGCAGCTACAGATGATTTCTTTTTATGGCTCAAAGTTTTTGCTCTTCTGCCAAGGCATGTTCTAGCAATTTGCTCCTCACTTTAGAACTCTTCTTACTGATGTCTGCATGTTTCTTGCCTAGAAATGTTGACACTCCCATCTTGTCTTTTCCTGTGAGTTCCTGTCTCTCCATCGATTCTGGAACAATTGGTTGACCTGAAACATCAGTACTAGGATGAGTTAAAAAAGAAGTTGCGACCTCACCTTAGTCCATTATTTTATTCCCGTAGTGTTAGTAGTGATGTCTTGTTTTCTGGTCTCCACATCTCTGAGTAGAAATTAGAAATGAATATAACTGATTTTTGTATATTGACTTCATATCTTGTAATTTTGATATATTCTCAGTAGTTCTGCTGGATGCTCTGTAGATTCTTGTATACTTTCTACCTTTTTTTCCAATATAAGATAACAAACTCTTTTGAATATTTATGCTTTTCATTTGCCCTATTGACTGTAAGAACCTCCAGTACAATGTATAAAAATGTCAAGATCTGACATTTCTGCTTTATTTTCAATATTGTGAGGAAAGTACTCAGATATTTACTAGTAAGTATGACGTTAGATTTAAATTTTTTTGTAATATAGTTTTTATCAGATTGAGGAAGTTCTCTTTAATAGATTTTAAAAATCACAAATGGGTATTCAATTCAATTTGTCAAATATAATATTTTTCATTTATTGAGTCAGTCATATGGTGATTTTCCTTTATACCATTAATATGGTTAAACACATTTATTAATTAATTTTTAATTTTTTTGAGACAAGGTTTTACTTTGTTACCCAGGTTGCACTGCAGTGGCACAATCATAGCTCACCTCAACCTCTAACTCCTGGGATTAACTGATCCTCCCACCTCAGCCTTCAGAATAGCTGGGACTATGAGCATGCACCACCACATCCAGCTATTTTTTTAATTTTTATTTTCAGTACAGGCAAGGTTTCACTATGTTGCCCAGGCTGGTCTCAAACTCCTGAGCTCAAGTGACCTCCTAGCCTCAGCCTTCCAAAGTTCTGGGATTACAGGCGTGAACCACCATGCTCAGCCCCTAATTTTTAATTTTTATGGATACATAGTAGGTCTGTATATTTTAGGGGGAGATGAGATATTTTCTTATAGACATCCAATGTGTAATAATCATATCAGAATAAATGGGGTATCCACTACCTTAAGTATTTTTCATTTCTTTGTGTTACAAACATTTCAATTGTACTCTTCATTCTTCTACAATGTACAATTCACTGTTGACTATAGTCACCCTGTTGTGCTATCAAATACTGGGCCTTATTCAGTCTATCTAACTATGTCCTTGTACCCATTAACCATTCCCTCACCACCCCCACTACCCTTCTTAGCCTCCGGTAACCATCCTTCCACTCTCTATCTCCATGAGTTCAGTTGTTTTAATTTTAGCTTCAACAAATAAGTGAGAACATGTGAAGTTTGTCTTTCTGTGCCTTGCTTATTTCACTTAACATAATGTTAGGTTCCATTCATGTTATTGGAAATGACAGGATCTCATTCTTTTTTATTTTTTTGAGACAAAGTCTCCCTCTGTCGCCTAGGCTGGAGTGCAATGGCGTGATCTCAGCTCATTGCAACCTCTGCCTCCTGGGTTCAAGCGATTCTCCTGCCAGAGCCTCCTGAGTAGCTGGGATTATAGGCACCTGCCACTACATCTGGCTAATTTTGTATTTCTTGTAGAGACAGGGTTTTACCATATTAGTC
The DNA here is from genome assembly GCF_000001405.40 of Homo sapiens. Taxonomy (NCBI): domain Eukaryota; kingdom Metazoa; phylum Chordata; class Mammalia; order Primates; family Hominidae; genus Homo; species Homo sapiens. The sequence continues at coordinate 46,689,623 of NC_000008.11, forward strand.
AGGCTGGTCTTAAACTCCTGACCTCCGGTGATCCACCTGCTTTGGCCTCCCAAAGTGCTGGGATTACAAGCATGAGTCATCGGGCCCGGCCAGGATCTCATTCTTTTTAATGGTTGAATAGTACACCATTGTGTGTATGTACCACATTTTCTTTGTCCATTTGTCTGTTGATGGACACTTCAGTTGCTTCCAAATCTTGGCTATTGTGAATAGTGCTGCAATAAGCATGAGAGTGTAGATATCTCTTTGATATACTAATTTATTTCTTTTGGGTATATACCTAGCAGTGGGATTGTGGGATCATATGGTAGTTCTATTTTTAGTTTTCTTCTTACGAATTCACTTCTCTCCAACAGTGTAAGATGGTTCTCTTTTTTCTACATTCTCACCAGCACTTGTTATTGCCTGTCTTTTGGGTAAAAACCACTTTAACTCAGGTGAGATGACATATCATTGTAGGTTTGATTGGAATTTCTCTGATGGTTAGTGATGTTGACTTTTTATATACTTGTTTGCCATTCGTATGTCTTCTTTTGAGAAATGTCTATACTGATCATTAGCCAGTTTTTAATTGGATTATTAGATTTTTTCCTATTGAGCTATTTTAGCTTCTTATATACTCTGGTTATTAATCCCTTATCAGGTGGATAGTTTGCAAATATTTTCTCACATTCAGTGGGTTGTCTTCTCACTTTGTTGACTGCTGTCTTTGGTGTGCAAAAGCTTTTTAATTTGATACGATCTCATTTGTCCATTTTTGCTTTGGTTTCTTGTGCTTGTGGGGCATTGTCCAAGAAATATTTGTCCAGGTCAGTGTCCTGGAGAGTTTCCATAATGTGTTCTTTTAGTAGGTTCATAGTTTCATGACTTAGATTTATGTCTTTAATCCATTTTTATTTGATTTTTTTCTTCTTTTTTTTATTATACTTTAAGTTTTAGGGTACATGTGCACAACGTGCAGGTTTGTTGCATATGTATACATGTGCCATGTTGGTGTGCTGCATCCATTAACTCATCATTTAACATTAGGTATATCTCCTAATGCTATCCCTCCCCCTCCCCCCACCCCACAACAAGCCCCAGTGTGTGATGTTCCCGTTCCTGTGTCCATGTGTTCTCATTGTTCAATTCCCACCTACGAGTGAGAACATGCAGTGTTTGGTTTTTTGTAACTGCAATAGTTTGCTGAGAATGATGGTTTCCAGCTTCATCCATGTTCCTACAAAGGACATGAACTCATCATTTTTTATGGCTGCATGGTATTCCATGGTGTATATGTGCCACATTTTCTTAATTCAGTCTATCATTGTTGGATATTTGGGTTGGTTCCAAGTCTTTGCTCTTGTGAATAGTGCCGCAATAAACATATGTGTGCGTGTGTCTTTATAGCAGCATGATTTATAGTCCTTTGGGTATATACCCAGTAATGGGATGGCTGGGTCAAATGGTACTTCTAGATCTAGATCCCTGAGGAATCGCCACACTGACTTCCACAATGGTTGAACTAGTTTACAGTCCCACCAACAGTGTAAAAGTGTTCCTATTTCTCCGCATCCACTCCAGCACCTGTTGTTTCCTGACTTTTTAATGATCGCCTAACTGGTGTGAGATGGTATCTCATTGTGGTTTTGATTTGCATTTCTCTGATGGCCAGTGATGGTGAGCATTTTTTCATGTATTTTTTGGCTGCATAAATGTCTTCTTTTGAGAAGTGTCTGTTCATATCCTTCGAACACTTTTTGATGGGGTTGTTTGTTTTTTTTCTTGTAAATTTGTTTGAGTTCATTGTAGATTCTGGATATTAGCCCTTTGTCAGATGAGTAGATTGTGAAAATTTTCTCCCATTCTGTAGGTTGCCTGTTCAGTCTGATGGTAGTTTCTTTTGCTGTGCAGAAGCTCTTTAGTTTAATTAGATCAAATTTGTCAATTTTGGCTTTTGTTGCCATTGCTTTTGGTGTTTTAGACATGAATTCCTTGCCCATGCCTATGTTCTGAATGGTATTGCCTAGGTTTTCTTCTAGGGTTTTTATGGTTTTGGGTTTTTATGGTTTTGGGTTTTTATGGTTTTATGGTTTAAGTCTTTAATCCATCTTGAATTAATTTTTGTATAAGGTGTAAGGAAGGGATCCAGTTTCAGCTTTCTACATATGGCTAGCCAGTTTTCCCAGCACCATTTACTAAATGCCAAGATGGCCAAATAAAAACAGCTCCAGTCTACAGCCCCCAGTGTGAACAGTGCAGAAGACTGGTGATTTCTGCATTTCCAGCTGAGGTACTGGGTTCATCTCACTGGGGAGTGTTGGAAAGTGGGTACAGGACAGTGGGTGCAGTGCAACGAGTGTGAGCCAAAGCAGGGCAAGGCATTGCCTCACCCAGGAAGTGCAAGGGGTCAGGGAATTCCCTTTCCTAGTCAAAGAAAGGGATGACAGACAGCACCTGGAAAATTAGGTCACTCCCACCTTAATACTGTGCTTTTCCAATGGTCTTAGCAAATGGCACACCAGGAGATGATATTCTATGCCTGGCTCGGAGGGTCCTACGCCCACGAAGCCTCACTCATTGCTAGCACAGCAGTCTGAGATCAAACTGCAAGGTGGCAGCAAGGCTGACAGAGGGGCGCCCACCATTGCCAAGGCTTGAGTAGGTAAACAAAGCAGCCAGGAAGCTCGAACTGGGTGGGGCCCACCACAGCTCAAGGAGGCCTGCCTGCCTCTGTAGACTCCACCTCTGGGTGCAGGGCATAGCCAAACAAAAGGCAGCAGAATCCTCTGCAGACTTAAATGTCGCTGTCTGACAGCTTTGAAGAGAGTAGTGGTTCTCCCAGCATGCAGCTGGAGATCTGAGACCGGACAGACTGCCTCCTCAAGTGGATCCCTGACCCCTGAGTAGCGTAAGTGGGAGGCAACCCCCATTAGGGGCAGACTGACAGCTCACACAGCCGGGTAGTCCTCTGAGACAAAACTTCCAGAGGAACGATCAGGCAGCAACATTTGCTGCTCACCAATATATGCTGTTCTACAGCCTCCGCTGCTGATACCCAGGCAAACAGGGTCTGGAGTGGACCTCCAGCAAACTCCAACAGACCTGCAGCTGAGGGTCCTGACTGTTAGAAGGAAAACCAACAAAGAGAAAGGACATCCACACCAAAACCCCATCTGTACATCACCATCATCAAAGACCAAAGATAGATAAAACCACAAAGATGGGGAAAAAACAGAGCAGAAAAACTGGAAACTCTAAAAATCAGAGCACCTCTCCTCCTCCAAAGGAACACAGCTCCTCACCAGCAATGGAACAAAGCTGGACAGAGAATCACTTTGATGAGTTGAGAAAAGAAGGCCTCAGACGATCGAACTACTCTGAGCTAGAGGAGGAAGTTCGAACCCATGGCAAAGAAGTTAAAAATCTTGAAAAAATTAGATGAATAGCTAACTAGAATAACCAATGCAGGGAAGTCCTTAAAGGACCTGATGGAGCTGAAAACCAAGGCACGTGAACTATGTGATGAATGCACAAGCCTCAGTAGCTGATTCGATCAACTGGAAGAAAGGGTGTCAGTGATGGAAGATCAAATGAATGAAATGAAGTGAGAAGAGAAATTTAGAGAAAAAAGAATAAAAAGAAATGAACAAAGCCTCCAAGAAATATGGGACTATGTGAAAAGACCAAATCTACATCTGATTGGTGTACCTGAAAGTGACAGGGAGAATGGAACCAAGTTGGAAAACACTCTGCAGGATATTATACAGGAGAACTTCCCCAATCTAGCAATGCGGGCCAACATTCAAATTCAGGAAATACAGAGAATGCCACAGAGATATTCCTTGAGAAGAGCGACTCCAAGACACATAATTGTCAGATTCACCAAAGTTGAAATGAAGGAAAAAAATGTTAAGGGCAGCCAGAGAGAAAGGTGAGGTTACCCACAAAGGGAAACTCAGCAGACTAACAGCAGATCTCTCGGCAGAAACTCTACAAGCCAGAAGAGAGTGGGGGCCAATATTCAACATTCTTAAAGAAAAGAATTTTCAACCCAGAGTTTCATATCCAGCCAAACTAAGCTTCATAAGTGAAGGAGAAATAAAATCCCTTGCAGACAAGCAAATGCTGAGAGACTTTGTCACCACCAGGCCTGCCTTGCAAGAGCTCCTGAAGGAAGCACTAAACATGGAAAGGAACAACTGGTACCAGCCACTGCAAAAACATGCCAAACTGTAAAGACCATCAAGGCTAGGAAGAAACTGCATCAACTAATGAGCAAAATAACCAGCTAACATCATAATGACAGGATCAAATTCACACATAACAATACTAACCTTAAATGTAAATGGGCTAAATGCTCCAGTTAAAAGACACAGACTGGCAAATTGGATAAAAAGTCAAGACCCATCAGTGTGCTGTATTCAGGAAACCCATCTCATGTGCAGAGACACACATAGGCTCAAAGTAAAGGGCTGGAGGAAGATCTACCAAGCAAATGGAAAACAAAAAAAGGCAGGGGTTGTAATCCTAGTCTTTGATAAAACAGACTTTAAACCAACAAAGATCAAAAGAGACAAAGAAGACCATTACATAATGGTAAAGGGATCAATTTATTTGATTTTTATATATGGTGAGACATAGGAGTCTGTTTTCATTCCTCTGTATGTGGATATCCAATTTTCCCAGCACCATTTATTGAAGAGACTCTTCTTTCCCCACTGTATGCTCTTGGCATGTTACTCAAAAATGAGTTCACTTTACATGTCCGAATTTATTTCTGTGTTCTGTATTTCGTTCCCTTGTTCTATGTGTCTGTTTTTATGCCAGTACCATGCCATTTGGGTTACTGTAGTTCCATATTATAATTTAAAGTCAAGTAATATGATTCCTTCAGTGTACTCAGAATACTCAGCATTTGAGTATTCTGGGTCTTTTGGGGGTACATGTAAATTTTAAGATTTTTTTTCTATTTCTGTTGAGAATGTCATTGGATTGAGCAGAATATGTAGATTGCTTTCAATGGTACCAACATTTTAACAATATTGAGTCAACCCATGAACATGGAATATCTTTTCATTATTTTGTGTCCTCTTCAATTTCTTGCATCAATATTTTATAGTTTATCATTTATTTATTTTTGAGTGCTGAACTAACCTTGCATTTCTGGAATAAATGCCAATCATTTTAATCTATTAACTTTTTTATATACAAGTGAATTGTATTTGGTAATGTTTTGCTATGATTAAAAAAACCATGCAGTATGATTTCTTCTAAATGAAATTCTAGAAAAGGTAAAACTATACTATCTGAAAACAGATGAGAGGTTGCCAGGGCTGAGGAGTGAGGGTTGTGAATTGACTGAATAGTGTTAAGAGAGAAAGCTTTAAGAATGTCAGAAATGTTCTATATGGTGATCATGATGGTGATTACATTACTATACACATTTGTTAAAATTAATCATTGTGCACATAAAGTTGGTGAATTTTATTATATATAAATTATTCCTCAATAAAGCAAACTAATTAACTTATATAAATTTTTAGTAGAAAAAAGCAAGTTGCAGAATTATGTGTTTTGTTTTGTTTTGTTTTGTTTTGAGACAGAGTTTCACTCTTGTCACCCAGGCTGGAGTCCAATGGCATGATCTCGGCTCACTGCAAGCTCTGCCTCCCAGGTTCAAGGGATTCTCCTAGCTCAGGACCTCCCAAGTAGCTGGAGTTACAGGTGCCTGCCACCATGCCCAGCTATTTTTTTTTTTTTGTATTTTTAGTAGAGATGGGGTTTCACTACAATGTCCAGGCTGGTCTTGAACTCCTGACCTTAGGTAATCCTCCTGCCTCATCCTCCCAAAGTGTGGGGATTATAGGTGTGAGCCACCTCACCCAGCTATGTATGTGTTTCTGAAATTTAATACCTCTATATTTGTGTATATAAAAGTATTTTTAATGTCTAGAATCATAAAAATAGAGTAAAGAGGAAGGGGATGGGATGTGGGGAACAGTCAAATGGAATATTATTTATCATTTCAATATTTCAGTTGTTAAGAAAAATTTATTTGCACATTCACTAGTTGTACATTTAAAATTAATTATGGTAGTGAGAAAGAATTTTTGCAGCTATGCACATGACAGAAATTAATGTATAGTTTTCTTTTTGTGATGTCTTTGCTATTTTTGGGGGGAAGGGTATGGAGTCTCACTCTGTCACCCAAGCTGGAGTGCATGGTGCAATCTCGGCTCACTGCAACCTCTGCCTCCTGGGTTCAAGGGATTCTCTTCCCTCAGTCTCCCAAGTAGCTGGGATTACAGGCACGTGTCACCACACCCGGCTAATTTTTTGTATGTAGTAGAGACAGGATTCCATCATTTTGGTCAGGCTGGTCTTGAACTCCTGACCTCAGGTGATCCACACACCACGATCTCACAAAGTGCTGGGATTACAGGCGTGAGCCACCACGCCCAGCCTGTAAGGCATTTATATTGACATTATATCTGGCTTCATGAAATACATTGGAAAAAATTCCCCCTCTTCTGTTTTGTAGACAGTTTGTGTGAATTTTTCTTTCACTGCTTGTTGATAGACTTCAGTAGTGAAACCAGCAGGGCCTGAAGATTTCTTTGTAGAAAGGTTTTTGACTACAATTTCTTCAGTAGATATATGACTATTTAGATTTCCTGTTTCCCATTGTGTCATTTTTGTAACTTGTTTTTTTTCAATGAAATTTATTTATTTTCAAGTTTATTGGCAAAAGAGTAATTTCAAATTCTTTGGCAAAATGTGTTTATAGTATTCTGTTATAATTTTGATATCTGTGTGGTCTGTAGTGATATTCTCTCATTTCTGCTATGAGCAATTTCCATTTTGGGTGTTGTTATTAGTCTAGCTAGGTGTTTATCAATCTTATCAATCTTTCCAAAGCAGCAGATTTTTGCTTATTTAATTTTCTCTAAGATCTGTCTGTATTTCCTATTTCTTTGCTTTCTGCTTTTATTTTATTTTATTTATTTATTCATTTATTTACTTATTTATATATTTAACTCTTTTTTTTTTTTGGAGTCTCACTCTTTCTCCCAGACTGGAGTGCAGTGGGCATGATTTTGGCTCACTGCAACCTCTGCCTCCCTGGTTCAAAGGATTCTCCTGCCTCAGCCTCCCGAGTAACTGGGATTACAGGCATCTGCCACCATGCTTGGTTAACTTTTGTATTTTTAGTAGAGACAGGGTTTCACCAAGTTTGCCAGGCTTGTCTCAAACTCCTGACCTCAGGTCATGTGCCTGTTAGTAGTGAAGATGCAAGGGGTTTGATTTCATTATAAAGAACTGGGTTTCTTTGGTATCATTTCTGGTTGTCTAAAGTTATGTTGAGGAACTGAAGACTTTTACTGTATAGGATAAACAACTGACATTAAATGTTTCAGTTATCTCTGCTGAATTACACTTAGATTAGGATATAATTAAATATGGGTTTGGGGAATGAACTGAACCTGGTTATTATCCTATCTGCTTGTCTTAACTGGAGTCACTAGGCTTCAGGTAACCAGTGATATGGCATTTGATGAAATATAGTGGAAAGCTGGTTTATATTCCATATTGTATGTCAATTGTTAACCAGTGGTTAAAAAAAAAACTGTATTGTCATCACAATTGTTAGAAGAGATGGTCTCACCTAGAAAACACTGAGGTAGAAAGGTCCAGTCAAGGTATTTTCTTAATGATTGGGTCACTCATGATTTGTAACTTTTTCTGCTTTTTGAAATATGCATTTAACTATTCCTAAAAAAGGAAAGTAAAGATAATAGTCTCAGTTAGTTTTACTCCTTAGATGACATGATACATATATTATTTTAAATGAAGATATTTTTGTATTCACTTGTTAGTGTAGAGCAGTCATTCAGAGGCTTGTGACTGTATGACCTTAACATTTCTTAGGATATGGTTGAATTGATGGGAAACTGAATCAGAAGCTAAACTGTTGGGCACTAAACACCTACTTTAATTTAGATTTTCTTCTTTTCTCCTTTAAGCCTTGAACTGAGAGTCCCATTTCTAGATCATCAATTTTCTTCCTATTACTTTTCTCTGACACCAGAAATGAGAATTCCAAAGGCAGGTGAATCAACTCAAGATAAAACTGTTCATTGCCATCAGATTATATTTGTAACTTTTACTGGTGCTCCTTTTTTTTCATGTCAGAATGTGATAGAAAAACATCTCCTGAGAGAGACATTTGAGGACTCCAATTGGATACTCAAAGAGATTCTCTGGTGACCAAAAGGAGCCTTCAGTGATCAAATAACTTCAGTTAAGAATTCCTGGTTTAAGATTTTACAGGAATACATTGAACATCAGGTATAATTACTTTAAAAACAATTTCAAGAATAGGACAATTTGGATGCACAGCTGTCATTACTATTCATTTTGTATTTAGTTTGCTTTGTCTCTGTAAGAGTAATTCATCGTCTCTGTAAACAATTATCTCTCTTATAAGAATTATATAATAATTAAGTAACATGAAGGATTATAAAGTACCATCTCAAATTGAAAGACAGAGGAGACTTAATACTAACCATCGCTGACTTTCATTTAACACATTTTTGGGCACCTGCTGGGTGCCAGATCTTGTTAGGCACAAATGACTAAAACAGAGCCACCAAGAATTAAAAATTTGCACACGAGTGTTCTTTAAAAGTCACTGCAGCTATGCATATTATGAATACTTTAACATTTTCTAAGTGTTGGGTGATTCAAAGGGTCTCATGCAATTTACAGTCATGTCTTATCTTAACGTTTTCTGTTTTGTGAAACGAGAGTAAATGTAAGTATTTCCATGCCATGTTAAAAAACTGTTTTGCTCTTATATGCTTATTCTTACAGGTTGATGATGCAATGATGGCAAATGCAGCCCAGAAATTTCCCTTCAATATTCCTAAAAGCAAAGAAGGATATTAATATCATCAAATCTTTGAATGCCATTACCCAGGCCAGGCTGACTGGCTGAGCCATTACTGGATGCCCAAGTGGATCAATGCCACTGACCCTTCTGCCCACACACTGACCCACTACAAGTCAGCTGCCAAAGCTTAAGTGCTCTTTATGCTGTAATGTGAAAGCAAATATTTCTTCTTGCTGCGTGGGGATTATGGATAGATAGGGGAACAATGACAGTCAATTCAGGCTAACTTGGGTGTGAAAAAAATAAAAGTCCTAAATCTAAAACTTTGCTATTGTCATTTATGTTCATACAGTCTTTTCATAAGAGGTAACTAGAATTTTTTTCCTGTATCACAGTAAAGTGGAGGGTAAGCTAGGAAAAGGAAAAATGCTCTGATGTCCACAAGAACTCACAGCACTCTCCTGGCAGAGCTGCTTTAGATGACATTTGCGTCTTGTGCCCACGTGGCTTCCTTCCAGTTCTTGCCTCACCTTAGTCATCAAAGGACTACACTATTTTTGTTCTGCCTGCATTCCTACAGCTGCCTAGGCACACTCAAGACCTAAGTCTTCTATAGGAATTCATGTCAGCTCTATTTTACAAGATAGTATTTCATTTTTTTCTCTTTTATGTTGAGCCAAAGTCACTTCTGGAGACTTGTCCTAGAGCAGCGGTAAGGATTTTTTTATTATTATTATACTTTAAGTTTTAGGGTACATGTGCACAACGTGCAGGTTAGTTACATATGTATACACGTGCCATGTTGGTGTGCTGCACCCATTAACTCATCATTTAGCATTAGGTAGATCTCCTAATGCTATCCCTCCCTGCTCCCCCCACCCCACAACAGTCCCCAATGTGTGATGTTCCCCTTCCTGTGTCCATGTGTTCTCATTGTTCAATTCCCACCTATGAGTGAAAACTTGCGGTGTTTGGTTTTTTGTCCTTGCGATAGTTTGCTGAGAATGATGGTTTCCAGCTTCATCCATGTCCCTACAAAGGACATGAACTCATCATTTTTAATAGCTGCAGAGTATTCCATGGTGTATATGTGCCACATTTTCTTAATCCAGTCTATCATTGTTGGACATTTGGGTTGGTTCCAAGTCTTTGCTATTGTGAATAGTGCCACAATAAACATATGTGTGCATGTGTCTTTATAGCAGCATGATTTATAATCCTTTGGGTATATCCCCAGTAATGGGATGGCTGGGTCAAATGGTATTTCTAGTTCTAGATCCCTGAGGAGTCGCCACACTGACTTCCACAATGGTTGAACTAGTTTACAACCCCACCAACGGTGTAAAAGTGTTCCTATTTCTCCACATCCTCTCCAGCACCTGTTGTTTCCTGACTTTTTAATGATCGCCATTCTAACAGGTGTGAGATGATATCTCATTGTGGTTTTGATTTGCATTTCTCTGATGGCCAGTGATGATGAGCATTTTTTCACGTGTCTTTTGGCTGCATAAATGTCTTCCTCTGAGAAAAGTCTGTTCATATCCTTCGCCTACTTTTTGATGGGGTTGTTATTTTTTTCTTGTAAATTTGTTGGAGTTCATTGTAGATTCTGGACATTAGCACTTTGTCAGATGAGTAGATTGCAAAAATTTTCTCCCATTCCATAGGTTGCCTGTTCACTCTGATGGTAGTTTCTTTTGCTGTGCAGAAGCTCTTTAGTTTAATTAGATCCCATTTGTCAATTTTGGCTTTTGTTGCCATTGCTTTTAGTGTTTTAGCCATGAAGTCCTTGCCCATGCCTATGTCCTGAATGTATTGCTTAGGTTTTCTTCTAGGGTTTTTATAGTTTTAGGTCTATAATTTAAGTCTTTTTTTTATTATACTTTAAGTTTTAGGGCACAAAAAATCACTTAAGTCTTTAATCCACCTTGAATTAATTTTTGTATAAGGTGTGAGGAAGGGATCCAGTTTCAGCTTCCTACATATGGCTAGCCAGTTTTCCCAGCACCATTTATTAAATAAGGAATCTTTTCCCTGTTTCTTGTTTTTCTCAGGTTTGTCAAAGACCAGATGGTTGTAGATACATGGCATTATTTCTGAGGGCTCTGTTCTGTTCCATTGGTCTATATCTCTGTTTTGGTACCAGTACCATGCTGTTTTGGTTACTGTAGCCTTGTAGTGTAGTTTGAAGTCAGGTAGCATGCTGTCTCCAGCTTTGTTCTTTTGGGTTAGGATTGACTTGGCAATGTGGGCTCTTTTTTGGTTCCATATGAACTTTAAAGTAGTTTTTTCCAATTCTGTGAAGAAAGTCATTGGTAGCTTGATGGGGATGGCATTGAATCTATAAATTACCTTGGGCAATATGGCCATTTTCACGATATTGTTTCTTCCTACCCATGAGCATGGAATGTTCTTCCATTTGTTTGTATCCTCTTTTATTTCATTGAGAAGTGGTTTGTAGTTCTCCTTGAAGAGGTCCTTCACGTCCCTTGTAAGTTGGATTCCTATGTATTTTATTCTCTTTGAAGCAATTGTGAATGGGAATTCACTCATGATTTGGATCTCTTTCTGTTACTGGTGTATAAGAATGATTGTGATTTTTGCACATTGATTTTGTATCCTGAGACTTTGCTGAAATTGCTTATCAGCTTAAGGAGATTTTGGGCTGAGATGATGGGGTTTTCTAGATATACAATCATGTCATCTGCAAACAGGGACAATTTGACTTCCTCTTTTCCTAATTGAATGCCCTTTATTTCTTTCTCCTGCCTGATTGCCCTGGCCAGAACTTCCAACACTATGTTAAATAGGAGTGGTGAGAGAGATCATCCCTGTCTTGTGCCAGTTTTCAAAGGGAATGCTTCCAGTTTTTGCCCATACAGTTTGATATTGACTGTGAGTTTGTCAAAAATAGCTCTTATTATTTTGAGATACATCCCATCAATACATAATTTATTGAGAGTTTTTACCATGAAGTGTTGTTGAATTTTGTCAAAGGCCTTTTCTGCATCTATTGAGATAATCATGTGGTTTTTGTCATTGGTTCTGTTTATATGCTGGATTACATTTATTGATTTGTGTATGTTGAACCAGCCTTTCATCCCAGGGATGAAGCCCACTTGATCATGGTGGATAAGCTTTTTGATGTGCTGCTGGATTTGGTTTGCCAGTATTTTATTGAGGATTTTTGCATCAATGTTCATCAAGGATATTGGTCTAAAATTGTTTTTTTTTATTGTGTCTCTGCCAGGCTTTGGTTTCAGGATGATGCTGGCCTCATAAAATGAGTTAGGAAGGATTCCCTCTTTTTCTATTGATTGGAATAGTTTCAGAAAGAATGGTACCAGTTCCTCCTTGTACCTGTGGTAGAATTTGGCTGTGAATCCATCTGGTCCTGGACTTTTTTTGGTGGTAAGCTGTTAATTATTGCCTCAATTTCAGCTCCTGTTAGTGGTCTATTCAGAGATTCAACTTCTTCCTTGTTTAGTCTTGGGAGGGTGTATGAGTTGAGGAATGTATCCATTTCTTCTAGATTTTCTAGTTTATTTGTGCAGAGGTGTTCATAGTATTCTCTGATGGTAGTTTGTATTTCTCTGGGATCAGTGGTGATATCCCCTTTATCATTTTTTATTGAGTCTATTTGATTCTTCTCTCTTTTCTTCTTTATTAATCTTGCTAGCAGTCTATCAATTTCATTGATCTTTTTCAAAAAAACAGCTCCTGGATTCATTGATTTTTTGAAGGGCTTTTTATGTCTCTATTTCCCTCATTTCTGCTCTGATCTTAGTTATTTCTTGCCTTGTGCTAGCTTTTGAATGTTTGCTCTTGCTTCTCTAGTTATTTTAATTTTGATGTTAGGGTGTCCATTTTAAATCTTTCCTGCTTTCTCTTGTGGGCATTTAATGCTATAAATTTCCCTCTACACACTGCTTTGAATGTGTCCCAGAGATTCTGGTATATTGTGTCTTTGTTCTTGTTGGTTTCAAAGAACATCTTTATTTCTGCTTTCATTTTGTTATGTACCCGGTAGTGACTCAGGAGCAGGTTGTTCAGTTTCCATGCAGTTGAGCAATTTTGAGTGAGTTTCTTAATCCTGAGTTCTAGTTTGATTGCACTGTGGTCTGAGAGACAGTTTGTAATAATTTCTGTACTTTTACACTTGCTGAGGAGTGCTTTACTTCCAACTATGTGGTCAATTTTGGGATAAGTGTGGTGTGGTGCTGATAAAAATGTATCTTCTGTTGATTTGGAGTGGAGAGTTCTGTAGATTTCTATTAGGTCCACTTGGTGCAGAGCTGAGTTCAATTCCTGGATATCCTTTTTAACTTTCTGTCTTGTTGATCTGTCTAATGCTGACAGTGGGGTGTTAAAGTCTCCCATTATTATTGTGTGGTTGTCTAAGTCTCTTTGTAGGTCTCTCAGGACTTGCTTTATGAATCTAGGTGTTCTTGTATTGAGTGCATATATATTTAGGATAGTTAGCTCTTCTTGTTGAATTGTTCCCTTTACCATTATGTAATGTCCTTCTTTGTCTCTTTTGATCGTTGTTAGTTTAAAGTCTGTTTTATCAGAGACTAGGATTGCAACCCCTGCCTTTTTTTTGTTATCCATTTGCTTGGTAGCTCTTCCTCCATCTCTTTATTTTGAGCCTATGTGTGTCTCTGCACTTGAGATGGGTTTCCTGAATACAGCACACTGATGGGTCTTGACTCTTTATCCAATTTGCCAGTCTGTGTCTTTTAATTGGAGGATTTAGCCCATTTACATTTAAGGTTAATATTGTTATGTGTGAATTTGATCCTGTCATTATGATGTTAGCTGGTTATTTTGCTCATTAGTTGATGCAGTTTCTTCCTAGCCTTGATGGTCTTTACAATTTGGCATGTTTTTGCAGTGGCTGGTACCAGTTGTTCCTTTCCATGTTTAGTGCTTCCTTCAGGAGCTCTTGCAAGGCAGGCCTGGTGTGACAAAATCTCTCAGCATTTGCTTGTCTGTAAAGGATTTTATTTCTCCTTCATTTATGAAGCTTAGTTTGGCTGGATATGAAATTCTGGATTGAAAATTCTTTTCTTTAAGAATGTTGAATATTGGCCCCCACTCTCTTCTGGCTTGTAGAGTTTCTGCCGAGAGATCAGCTGTTAGTCTGATGAGCTTCCCTTTGTGGGTAACCCAACCTTTCTCTCTGGCTGCACTTAACATTTTTTCCGTTATTTCAACTTTGGTGAATCTGACAATTATGTGTCTTGGAGTTGCTCTTCTCAAGGAGTATCTTTGTGGTGTTCTCTGTATTTTCTGAATTTGAATGTTGACCTGCATTGCTAGATTGGGTAAGTTCTCCTGGATAATATCCTGCAGAGTGTTTTCCAATTTGTTGCCATTCTCCGCATCACTTTCCAGTACACCAATCAGATGTAGATTTGGTCTTTTCACATAGTCCCATATTTCTTCGAGGCTTTGTTCATTTCTTTTTATTCTTTTTTCTCTAAATTTCTCTTCTCACTTCATTTCATTCATTTGATCTTCCATCACTGATACCCTTTCTTCCAGTTGATTGAATCAGCTACTGCGGCTTGTGCATTCATCACGTAGTTCTCGTGCCTTTGTTTTCAGCTCCATCAGGTCCTTTAAGGACTTCTCTGCATTGATTATTCTAGTTAGCCATTTGTCTAATTTTTTTTCAAGGTTTTTAACTTCTTTGCCATGGGTTCGAACTTCCCCCTTTAGCTTGGAGTAGTTTGAGTGTCTGAAGCCTTCTTCTCTCAACTCATCAAAGTCATTCTCCATCCAGCTTTTTTCCATTGCTGGTGAGGAGCTGCATTCCTTTGGAGGAGGAGAGGTGCTCTGATTTTTAGTTTCCAGTTTTTCTGCTCTGTTTTTTCCCCATCTTTGTGGTTTTATCTACCTTTGGTCTTTGATGATGGTGACGTACAGTTGGGGTTTTGGTTTGGATGTCCTTTCTGTTTGTTAGTTTTCCTTCTAACAGTCAGGACCCTCAGCTGCAGGTCTGTTGGAGTTTGCTGGAGGTCCACTCCAGACCCTGTTTGCCTGGGTATCAGCAGTGGAGGCTGCAGAAGAGCATATATTGGTGAGCAGCAAATGTTGCTGCCTGATCGTTCCTCTGGAAGTTTTGTCTCAGAGGAGTACACGGCTGTGTGAGGTGTCAGTCCGCCCCTACTGGGGCGTGCCTCCCAGTTAGGCTACTCAGGGGTCAGGGACCCACTTGAGGAGGCAGTCTGTCCATTCTCAGATCTCCAGCTGTGTGCTGGGAGAACCACTACTCTCTTCAAAGCTGCCAGACAGGGATATTTAAGTCTGCAGAGGATTCTGCTGCCTTTTGTTTGGCTATGCCCTGCACCCAGAGGTGGAGTCTACAGAGGCAGGCAGACCTCCTTGAGCTGTGGTGGGCTCCACCCAGTTCGAGCTTCCAGGCCACTTTGTTTACCTACTCAAGCCTCGGCAATGGCAGACGCCCCTCCCCCAGCCTTGCTGCCACCTTGCGATTTGATCTCAGACTGCTGTGCTAGCAATGAACAAGGCTCCATGGGTGTAGGACCCTCCAAGCCAGGTGCAGGATATAATCTCCTGGTGTGCCATTTGTGGAGCCCATTGGAAAAGTGCAGTGGGAATGACCTGATTTTCCAGGTGCTGTCTGTCACCCCTTTCTTTGACCCCTTGCACTTCCCGGGTGAGGCCATGCCTCACCCTGCTTCGGATCATGCACTGTGCACTGCACCCACTGTCCTGCACCCACTGTCTGACACTCCCCAGTGAGATGAACTTGGTACCTCAGTTGGAAATGTAGAAATCACCCATCTTCTGCGTCGCTCATGCTGGGAGATGTAGACTGGAGCTGTTCCTATTTGGCTATCTTGGCTCCACCCTCCGAGTAGTTCTTTTCTAAATATTGTCTTGCAATGTCAGCCTGAAACTGTAGCCTGGGTCTCTGGTGTGAATCGGGAGACAAAGGAAAGGGGCTTTTATTGGGAGCAAGAACAAGGAGTTCAGGGAATCTCCCAGGGACTGCAGTGAGGCTAATCATTTTCTGTAATGGCATAGACTAGGTGAACCGAGGAAACAATCCCAAAATTTCAGTGCATTACCACAAAAGGGTTTTTTTTTTTTTTTTTTTTTTGCTGAAACTGTATGTCCACCTTGGCCTATGGGGGGCTCTGCCCATTGTTGAGGGGATTTTAAGTACTCTGGAACCCAGGCTGATGGAGTCACAACCTTGACATAATTCCACCATCAGCAAGGCAGGGGATGGAAAAAGTGGTGAATTATTTACTGAAACTTAAAGTGTCCACTCTGAAGAGACACATCACTTTTGTTCACATTACATGTAAGTCATCTGGCCACACCTAACTTCAAGGGAGCATATATTAGAAAGGAAAATAAAATATTTGGAGAACAGCACTAGTGACTCCTCAAATCTGCTCTCTAATAACAAAATATTGAATTCACTCTCCTATGCAAGAAATATATTCACCCCTTTTTGAGGGTGACAACTGGGGAATTCCATTGTGGAAGGACTCCAAGCCCAGAGTTTAGGATCTCTGGGTGATGTACTTATGTGGAAGTCTATTTCAGGGCTGGAGATGGCACTTCATAAACTAAGAAAAAAGTGATCTGCTCCCCATCTGTCCAATATGTAATTCAGCAGGAGTAGAATAACTGCAGCAACAACAAAACATATTCAAAAAGGATAAAACAGAAGAAATATAGAAAACCCTATTCAGGAGCAATTTTGAAATCCTGCTGTCAGTCATTTGAGGGCCTCCAACTCCAGCAGAAATTGCACTTCCGGGGTCACCAGCAGCCACAACATCAGTGTGTTGGCAGAAGGAGGCAGAATGAAAGAACTAGGGGAATCAGTATCTGATCACAGGTGAGAAACGGAACAGTTTGAAGGGGAAGGGCTGATTTCTAGCAATAAAGCCACTTTGGCTCATACCATTATAATTTTGGTTATACAGAGTAAGCGTTAACATTAATTGGTTACCCTTCTGAGTGCCAAGGACTGCTCTAAAAGCTATAACCAGTCTTCACAACAGCTTGTGAGGTTTATTCCTTTGAGCTGATCCATGTTTTGTGGATGAGGAAGGCAACATATAGAGGTATTACACTGCATGCCTGAAATCATGTAGCTAACACATAATAGAAGTGGGATATTGGATCCCAGGTTCAGGGTTTTCAACCCCTTATGCTTAACCCCTACTCTGTGTTACCTTTCAAAGGGATAGACTGTAGAATATAATTATGTACATTGAAAAAATATAGTTCTTTATTTTTTTCTGTCTTGTTAATGGGAGTATATGGTCTGTTTTATGGGTAGCTCATAAGTTATTTAGCACATCTATAAATAAGCAGAAGATAGTATTTTAATTTTTTAAAGTTGTCATGAGCATGTATATGTATGCATCAGTGATGCAATTTAGCTCTTTTGTGACTTAGATGTGATTTTGCTCTCTGTGAGTTTTTACCCTATTTCAGGCCCCACCTAGTCAATAAATTGATACCAATAAATTAATTTATAGTCCTCTTTGCAACTTGGTGAATTTTTAATAATACTAGGAAGAAAGTCATACCTAGAAATTGCCAGTATATTTTAGAAATTGGTTGTGGCTGTATGAAATATTTATTTAATATCTGAAGGCAACAATATAAAACAAAACCACAGGGTGGCAGCCACAACATATTTTTTTCTCTGGAGGCAATTTTACGTCTTTTCTGAAAGGTAGTAGTGTAGGGAAACTATTTTATACTAAATTGAAGAGATGACATCTTTATTTCATAAAATGATCCAAGCACAGAAGTTCTATAATTTGCTATAGGTACTTGGTGAGCAGTTTTAACTTGTAGACATCATATGACTGTTGTACAGGCCACTATGAAGTTGTATATGTATTGTTTTTGTGAACCTTTTGTCTCCCTCTTCTTTGATCCACTAGCCTAAAGATACCTGCACAATGTGTGTTCTTATGTAACTGAGATCCTTTATACTATGGAGGGTAAGAAAAGATGTGAACAACCTCAAATCTGTTATTTGCTTTTTGAATGTAGCAAAAATCTACATAAACTCGTTCTCATAATCACCCACTCTACTGAGCCCTGACTTGTCTCAGTTTACGCAAATGTAGCTAAAACACAAAATGTGTATTGAGCACTTAGTTTACACATAATATCAGCTAATGTGTGCTGATGACTTACTGTGCACCTAACTCTGGTGTAAGACCATACTCAGTCTCTATGAGAAGTCTGAGAGATACCCGCTGTTGGTACCATCCCCATTTTATGGTTGAAGAAACAATGTACAAGCAGCCCAAACACTGAACAAGAAGATGGTCAACTTGTGGCCAGTGGAATAATGTGTCAATTATAATGGATATGACAGAAAAGAGTTCTATATTACAAGGCAACTTTCATATGTAGAAAGATGACTCATAGAACTTGGTGAGCCACCATTATGATGACCTCCTTTCTGTGCAAGAAGTGCCTTTAGTTCCTACCAGAAAAGAACTCACAGGCAGTAGTTTTAGTGGAAAGTAGGAAGTTATGGAGCAGCAGGTATGAAAGTGGAGGGGCAGGGAAGAACCCAGCATGTGTGTTGGTCCATTTCAGGAAGTGAGAAGAAAACACAGTTAAAAAGAATGATTCATTATTGGGTAAAGTGGCTGGGTTTCTGGGGCTCTGTACCTACTGACCAGATCAAATTCAATGAACTGCTAACTTGGGAGCTTTGCTAAACACACCAAAGGCAACATTATAGCAATTCTATTAC
Source organism: Homo sapiens (assembly GCF_000001405.40). Taxonomy (NCBI): domain Eukaryota; kingdom Metazoa; phylum Chordata; class Mammalia; order Primates; family Hominidae; genus Homo; species Homo sapiens. Next base: position 46,708,276 of record NC_000008.11, read on the forward strand.
ATATTCCTGTCACCAATGAAAATGTAAGACATTATCTGTTGTATTTGGCACAGGAGTTCTCTAGGTTGTATGCTCCCAAATGACCACAAGGTGGGGCAAGATGATACTCAACTGACTGTTCCACAAACTTTGGGGAATTTTTCTGTCTCTTTTAACATCTGAATCCTGTGCATCTGTTAATTTGTAGTTTAGTATTTTTTGTGTTCATAGATTAAAACCAAAACCCCAGCTAATGACCTTGTACACATCTTTGTCATATTGTGCCATGTGATACGTAATGTCACAGACCTTGGACTGCGTTGCAAAGCCAGCTTTCTTCCATCTTCCTGACATTGAAATACACTATGCCCTGTGGTTCACCCTGACTCTGATTCATCTTGGCTAGTGGTGGGGGAGGTGGTCTCCCAAGCTGAGATAGGGAATACAGGAGAAAGCAAGGGTTGGGGAGGGCCAGTGGAGAAAGGGGGAAAATGTGAGTTCTTCTTTGGGTAGTAATATGGTTTAGATGTTTATCCCCTCCCAAATTATGTTAAAGTGTGACCTCCAATGTTGAAGGTGGGTCTAGTGGTATGTATTTGGGTCATGGGGGCAGATCTCTTATGAATGGCTTAGTGTCATCCCCTGGTTGATGAGTGGGTTCTTGGTCAGTTAGTTCACATGAAATCTGGTTATTTAAAAGAATCTAGGCTCTTCCCCCACCCCCCACTGTTTGCTCCTTTTCTGGCCATGTGACCTGCCTGCTTTTCCTTTGTCTTCTGCCATGAGCAAAAGCTCCCTGAGGTCTCCCCAGAAGCTTAGCTGATTCAGGTGCCATGCTCGTACAGCCTGCAGAACTGTCAGCCAAATAAACCTATTTTCTTTATAAGTTACCCAGTGTCAGGTATTCCTTTGTAGCAATGCAAAAGGACTAGAACTGGCAGGAAAGTTTGTGATGACAGCAGTGGACATATGGACCATGTGATATGTAATGTCATACATTATCACCCAACCAGAAATTACACATGCTGCAAGGGGCCAGGCAGGTGGACATGTGAAGCCTCTTGGTCAGGGGTGGGGAGCTGTGGCCAATGGCAAAGAAAGTCCAGGCACAGTCCACTCCTCAGATCCAGGCTTTTGATGCCATGTGGCAACACTGGTGGTCTTTTATTGTGAGGGAATCCAGAAATCCAGATTTTTGTGAAAAAAAATCCCGATTTTAAAATATCAAAATGTTTAAGAATTTTCAAGTCAAACAAACCATGTCCTGAGTGCTAACATTAATCTAGATAGATTAATCTACACATACTCTGTATAACTCACACAATCAGTAGCCCTCCCTTGATTCCTCTTCTTAATATAATAACTAGAACATTGTTAAACACCAGAAGGAATTTTGTGCAGTTTTATTTCACTTCTGCATTGAGGCATTCCTTCAACAATCCTGTGTTCAGTGCCTTCTTGTCAGGCATTACTCTACTTAGTGGAGAATAAGGGCTGTACGTGTAGGAAAGGAAAATAATCTTTTCCTCACCCACCCTAGGTTCATGGCTGAGGCTCCTATAACAAAATACAGATGAACAAGAAAACGGCCTACACATTTATTTATTTATTTATTTATTTATTTATTTAGGAGACAGATTCTTCCTCTGTCACCCAGGCTGAGTGCAGTGGCACAATCTTGGCTCACTGGAACCCCCACTTTCTGGGTTCAAGTGATTCTCCTGCCTTACCCTCCCAGGTAGCTGGGGCTACAGGTATGTGCCACCATGTCCAGCTAATTTTTTTGTATTATGGTAGAGATGGGGTTTCGCCATGTTGCCCAGGTTGGTCTTGAACTCCTGAGCTCAGGCAATCTGCCTGCTTCAGCATCCCAAAGTGCTAGGGTTACAGGCGTGTAACTCTAGGACAGGGGAAAAGTTAAGCAAAGATGAAGTTTCTGCTGTAGTTCAGCCTCAGCCTGCTCCCACAGAGAGTTTGAATGGCATCACAAAGTTGGCATCACCTTAAGGTGAGGGGGTCAGGTTTTGCAGGCCTCTGTATCAGCCCTCAGTTGTGAATGCCTTTGGAGGAAGGCAAAGTCCTCCAGAAACTTCCAGGTGAATAGCAATTCTTTGGAGAAGTGTGCAGTTGTGAGCCATTGGTGGCTATCACTCACAGCAGCTGGGGAACTTGGTGTACCAATCTGGTAAGGGTTTGGGGTGGACAAAGCACCAACAGCATTACTGCATTTTGCCACAGTGATTTCTACAAATGTGCAGTGAGCTTTACAGGAATGGTAATCATGCAAGAAACCTGTTGTTTTATTCTTCGCCAACACACTAATTGTAAGTTTGGTAACTTTTTTAGTCTTGTGCGTTTTCCCCTTTAAATATGCTTTTATTTTTGGTTACCCAGTCCTTCCAAAACCTAACTTTTTTTCTAAATATCTTAGTTTCTGAATCTTTCTTTGTGCCTAGATGTTTTATTTTCATCTTTCAGACTTACCTTAGATGCCAGTTTCTCTAGGAAGCCTCCCTCAATCTTCTAAAGCTGGGATACTTTCCTGCTACTCAATTTTCATAAAATCTGATACAGTCTGGTTTTCATGACACTACAGCAATATTGTAGAATTATCTAGCTATGTGTATTATCTAGCTATGTGTTTGAGTCAGTCAGGGTTGGTCAGGAAAACAGGAGACACTCCATGTTTTGGGGGCAGAAGGGGTTTGTTATTAGGAATTAGGGACTTGCTTGACTGTTGGTAAAGCTGGGGAATATTGAAGGCCAGGGAAGCCAGGGGAAGGAAAGCAGACATTGGAGATCTCATCCGGAAACAACAGGGCAGGGGCTTCTCAGGAACTTACCAGCAAGCTGCTGCAACTCTTAAGAATCTCTAAGAGGTCCCCCACTCCCTCCGAGTGTAGCAGTGACACAGATGAGTTCTCAAGAGCTCACCAGGGAGCCATTCTGAAGCTCTCATTTGCTTCAGTCAAGATGAGGTTGCCTCTAGAGGATAGAACTTCTCTTTTTCTTCTGTCTTCCAAATCTTGAGTGACTTCTATGGGCAGTTCCACATCCTAGGTAAGTGGATTGTGGGAGAAGACCTTAAAAGGAATGATGGTGATGCCCAGTTGACAACAGATCATTCAACATAGTATCTCATGGTAAACGTTAAGAGACAAAATTGCAACAAGTTTAGTTAAATCGTCAAATTGACTTTTATTTGTGATTCATGAGTCAGGTAGCATCTCATCTAAAAAATAGAGTGGTGCTCTGTTGGGAGTGATGGAAGAGTCAAGTGTTGTTGTTGCTGTTGTTGCTGCTGCTGAGACGGAGTCTCACTCTGTCACCCAGGCTGGATGGAGAGCAGTGGTGTGATCTCAGCTCACTGCAACCTCCGCCTCCTGGGTTGAAGTGATTCTCCCATCTCAGCCTCCCGAGTAGCTGGGACCACAGGTACGTGCCACCATGCCTGGCTAATTTGTGTGTGTTTGTGTGTGTGTGTGTGTGTGTGTGTGTGTGTGTGTGTGTGTGTGTGTGTGTTTGTTTAGTAGAGACGGGGTTTGCCATGTTAGCCAGGATGGTCTCAATCTCCTGACCTTATGATCCACCCTCCTGGGCCTCCCAAAGTGCTGGGATTACAGGCGTGAGCCACCGCCCCCAACTGGAAGAGTCTGTTTTTAAAAGCTTGAGGAGAAATAAGGAAACAACATAATACAAAAAGCAGATTGGTTAACAGCAGGTTACTTTCCTTGTAAGGGTTAAAGCAGAGGGGACTTCCTTACTATATTCACTAAAACTGGCCTGTTTGGGGATTTGGCTATTATTTCTTTTTCTCTCTTACTTTCTCAGAAGGTCAGACAAAAAACTTAGTTTTGGTGATGGGGAACTTTAGCATGGGTTACTTCATTTTGGTTTGGTCTGTTGGGGCCTAGTGCAGGAGCTCAGTTCAAACCAATGGCCTTCTAGAAATTTTACTTAATATATAGTATGAGTGTTTCACCAGCTGGAGAATGTATCTTTCTCATGTTTATGTTCCCAGAGTCTAGTGTGGTTCCTGGAAAATAAAGGCGTTCAATAAATGTTCATTAAATAACAGAATAAGTAATGAGGAGAGGACAATAGCTCCCTGAAACCAGATAATTTTGGTTATGTTATAAACGGTGTTATGAGAGATCAGTAGTTAATCTCCAGAAGAGCCTCGTGTTTAGTAACTTATGGTAGAGATAACGGCAATTCGGGTTGATATTTTTTCTACGCTGACCAAAACTGTCACATTTCTGAAAGCTAAAATCCTCGGTAGAAGGAAACCTTTTGCAATTCAGGGCACTGAACCTGTTGAGGCATGTTACGCCAATCTCTGCAATATTATCACCTCTTTTCAACTTTTTCTTAAGTTTCTTCCAGTGCTCAGGAACCATGTATATATTTAGTGAGCTGCGACGAGGTGGTACCCTTGCTTATTTGTTATAGTAGGCCACTGCCTTCTACACAAGGGATGTGATGGAGCCAGAAATCTTAGTCTTAAAGCAACTAAACCGTCCCTCAAATTATAACATTGTTGTTAGTTGACGTAAGATACACACATTGCTTCAAACAAGAATTAAAGCAAGCTCAAAAGTGAAAGAGAAAATCAGAGCCTAACGTCGTTGTCTATAATGCTTTTACCATCTGAGTTACTGAACAACAGGCACTAGAATCTTGTTCTCTGAGGTGTCCCCAGGGATTCTTCTCTTCAGTTACTATGTCTCCGCTTACTGTGTTAGTTGGGATGATTCAGAGGTCTATTGTCTTACCTTACTTCTGAAGTCTATGGGGGGACTCACTCCTCCTCCCCCTCTTCCTCCTCCTCCTCCCCTTCTTCTTCTTCCTCCTCCTCCTCTTCTCCTTATCCTTCTTCTTCTTTCTTCTTCTTATTTTTGTTTCTTTTTGAGACAGTACCTCCCTCTGTCATCCAGACTGGAGTGCAATGGTGCGATCACAGCTCACTGCAGCCTCGACCTCCATCCAGGGCTCAAGCAATTCTCCTACCTCAGCTTCCTGAATAGCTTGGACCACAGGCATGCACCACCATGCCCGGTTAATTATTTTATTTTTTATAGAGACAGTGTTCCCCTATGTTTTCCAGGCTTGTCTTGAACTCCTGGGCTCAAGCTCTCCTCCTGCTTCTGCCTCCCAAAATGCTGGGATTACAGGTGTGAGCCACCACGCCTGGCCGGGACTCACTTTTCTACCCCAGCAGTGAGTAGGCTTTTGAATTAGCTCAAATTATGTCTAAGAAAGAGTTGATCATGACCAATAGAGGCAAACTTGCTGTATCATGACTGAAATCCTTCCCTTTAAGATCCACAAACTTCTTTCCAACAAAGTTAAAGCTTTCCATAGGACTTACACTTTTTTTGAAGTCAGAAAAGTAATCTACGCTCATTGTATAAAACCCCCCAAATAAATGTAAACAAAGAGAAGAAAGAAAAACATAATTAATCTCAGCTTCAATAGCATTTTAGGGAATGTCCTTTATTACCAATTTATTTATACATGTGATTGATTTGGTACACTCTTAGCACATACTCTGTTCCAGGCACCATGCCAGGTTTTGAATTTGCAAAGAAGAGTAAAATAGACAGTCTTTCTCTATGAGACAAATATGGCCCCTCTCTCTCTCTGATTATATAAACACATGCATATGTGTTTTATAAAAAGAGTGTCATATTTTACGAACAGTGGGCCCTCTGTGTCTGCCATTCTGCATTCATTAGTTCAACCAACCACAGATCAAAAATATTTGGAAAAAAATGTTTACAGTACAATAGAAAATAATACAAATAAAAACCAATATACTATAACAACTACTTACATAGCAATTGCAATATATTAGGCATTATAAGTAATTTAGAGAAGATTTAATGTATCTGAGAGATTGTGTGTAGGTTAGATGCAAATACTATGCTAGTTCATATCAGGGACTTGAGCATTCTTGAATTTTGATATCCACTGGGATCCTGGGACCAATACCCATGGATGTGGAGCCTTGCTTTTTCCCATTAATAATATACTAAGAACATTTTTCCATGTCATTAAATAATTTTCAAAGGCATTATTTTAAATTCATAATATTTTATTTTCTAGATATACCATAGTTTATTCACTAAATTTTCCTATTCTTGAAAATATACATGTATCTACTTTTTTACCACAAAAAAATGATTCATGGCTATGAAAATATAGTCAGAATGAATAGGATCTAGTATTTGATAGCACAGCAGGGTGACTACAGTCAATAATAATTTATTGTACATTTCAAAATAACTAAGAGGATAATTGGATAATTTGTAACACAAAGAAAGAATACATGCTTGAGATGATAGATGGTTCCATTTACCCTGATTTAGTTACTACCCATCATATGCCTATATCAAAATATCTTATGTACTCCATAAATACATACACCTACTATGTACCCACAAAATAAGAAAAAGAGATTCAGTGAACAGTGTTGTAGCCAAATTTTTGCCTGCAACCACAATTATATTCCTTGTCTAAATTCCCAAAGTTGATGCTGATGAATTAAATGACTTGCAAAATTTTAAGGCTTTGCTAGCTATGGCTAGATTTACTTCATAAGGGCAACATCAATTTTGTCCCTATTCTCGCACTTCTGTGAATCCTCACCAATACTGAGTATTTTCATTTAAATGTATTTTCACTATACATAAAACATATAAATGTATTTATATTTCATTGTTTAAATGTATATTATTTATACTTGATTACTAATGAGGTTGAATATGTTTTTTCTACATTATTAGCCATTTTTCTTATTGTTTGCTTGCTAATTCCTCAGTTCAGTTTTTTACTGGACATTAGTTTTTTCTCATTGCTATGTGGGGATTTTTTGTATGTTTAAGTTATTAACCCCTGCAATTATGTTTCTAGTTTCATATTTGTATCTTATTTTGCATTTTTTGTCATACAGAATTTAACATTTTATAAGTATTTTTATTTTATTTTATCTTATTTTATTTATCTTAGTTTTTGGCATGTATGTTTTCTTTAAAGTTTCTAATTTTAGATTAGAAAATCATTTAGGCATCATTTAGAAAGAGGTAGAAGCAAGGATGAGCATTTTTATGGCTCATTAGAAATTATCCTCTAGAATTAGCTCTCTTTTCTTTGATTTAGAATTTCTCTAAAGAATACTTGACCATGCAATAGGGAAATGATGAAATCCTTCAACTTTGTGGGGGAAGCCTTCCCAAAGTTTCTTAATTGGGAGAGAGGGCAGCACTGTTTCCTTGGGGGCCATTCTGAAATATATGGGAGCATTTCTGGTTCCCATATATATCCCAAATATATGACTGGGACAATCTACTGGCACTTAGTGGTTGGCATCCAGGAATGCTAAACATCCAGCAATGTACAGAACAATGAAGAGGTGTTCCCTCTGACTGCCAATAGCAGCTCCCATTGAGAAAAACTATTAGACTACTCAAGGACATCTTTAAAAAGTACTGTTTCTTGAAAACATTGTATCAAAACACATTTCCAGCTGAGATGTAGCAGTATTTTTTCCACAGCGTATTTATATATATAAACGTAATGGATTGGAATACATCCAACCTTTGCTTTAATGAGGTTTAAATTTCTTTATCCAATCTGTCAAGATAACATAGGCTTGAGTTGAGTATGGACACTAGACAGGTGACTGGTTATCAATTTGACTTATCAGGTAAGTTAAATTACTGATTTGCTCAGAAAGAGTTGCAGAGGGGGTTGGAATGTAAACTGAAAGTAGTTATAATCTTAATGATGCTAAAAAACTGCTATTGGGGATACCTCTATTTCCCATTTCCTCATGTTCTCATCCTGTATTCTTTAGTAAAGATTGTGACCTCATGGTTGCCAATGCAACTGCTTTTTCTCAATATTATTATTCTGATTGTTCTCTGTACTGTTTGCACCAAAGCAAATGTAGAGGGCAGGAAATAGACAAGTGTGTTTTTATCTATGTGTGCATTTTTCCCTGGAAATATAATTATTTTGTTCACTTGCAGTTGCCTTTGATCAAACCAGTTGGTATAAACCAGAGATTTTTTTCTTTTTGTTGCCTGCAGATGACAGTGATTATTGTCATTCTAAATACAAGGTGTTGGTTTTACCTAGGAGTCTAAAGTGCTATATTAATGGCAGGGTTTATTATGTTCCAATAAAAATTAGTAAGAGTCACACACTGCCTTTGGGAGAGAGGCCTGAATTTATATGTTTGATATAATGTCATTTAAAATATTAGTTAACCAGACATGGAACACAAAATAGTTATGAAATTAACTTCACCTGAGTATACAAAATGTTGAATAGTGCCAAGGATTTAAGAACAAAATTTGATTATTGTGACCAAATCAAGTAATGTATCTTGGAAAATTAGATTCCAAAATATACTTAAAATATGATAAACTTTGTTCTCTAAGTTTAACCCCAGAACAGGATGTGGCAGTAATGGTTGATTGTTCTTTGCAGACGCTGGCAAGAGACATCCTGGGATACAGGCAACAAATGATGCAGTGCAAATGGAAGGAATCATCAAAAAGGTAATGGAAATCAAACTACAAACACCACCTTTCTGTGATGTAAGTTCTTGGATAGTGTATGCACATCTGACGAAGATATAGTGGAAATGCAGAAGTCTAGGAAGAGTACACTAAAATGGTCTAAAGAAATGAACAGGAACCATGTTAAGGGGGACTCAAAAAATCAGTCTTCATCAAACAATAAAGGGGAAATCGGAATGTGATCAGAATCATTTTTCCATGGTATTGGGCATTGCTTTACCTTCTAAAGGGGTTAATATATGCTTTCAGATGTGTACGTTCATGGAATTTGCATATCAAGAGTGTGTAAAAAATAAAAACGCAAAAATGTTGAAGGCAATGCATCTAAATAAGGTGTTTTCTAATAAGTTTCAAAAGGGAGAAAATGAAACTTTTGGAGATACATCCCATCTTCTGAGGTTGAAGTAACTGAGTGAAGATTGCTCTGCCTTTTTACAAATGACTGCAGGTTATGGAGACAGGTCACTTGAGCTAGAAAAACTCAAACTCAGTGCCAGAGATTATGTTTCTATTTTTATCTGAATTACAGTTCAGTTTGGAAAGGTAAATGCAAAGCATTGTGCTACCATGAGTCTAGAAAATTCATAGATTGAATTGACTATTTGATTCATATGTTGAATACTCTTATTGGAGGTGTTCAGAGGAAGCTGGACAGATCTTATTGGAGATGCTAGAGGAGACTTATGCATTTGATGTGACTAGATTAGATTTGTAATTCTATGAATTACTCTTTTGAAAGGGCTGTTAAGAGAGGAAAATGAAGATCAATTTTATGAGTAGTATGAATCTAAATATAAAATGTTTTGATTTAGCAATGGACAGTGGAGCTGCAAGTTCTCTTTATTTCTTTCATTTCCCTGTCTCCAAATTGAAATTTCCTCATTTATTTATTCAGTAGATATTTGTCAAGCTCCTACTCTGAGCCAGCACTATAGGCCAACAGTACTTTCTCAATACATGTTAATTTAGTGGACAAATTATAACTAGTAGGAGAACAAAGAAGATCAAACCATAGTTTCCCTCCTCACGTGGACAGAAAGAAAATAACAAGGAAGAGAGAAACAGAGTTGAAGAAATGGGCTATAGATCTACTAAGGAAATAACATAATTTGAAGTGCTAAAAGTTTTCCTAAGTAATTCATTATTCCATAAATTTTGAAATGTATTTTTATTGTCACCTGTTCAAAATACTTCCCAATTTCCCTATTGATTTCTTCTTTGACCTGTGGGTTTCTTAGAAGTATGTGATTTAGTTTTCAAGTATTTGGGGAATTTTCCAGCATTTCTTTATTTGTTGATTTCCTATTTTATTTCCATTATGGTCAGAAAACATTGTTTGTGTGATTTGAATTATTAAAAATTTATTAAGTTTTTTAAACTTTTATTTTAAGTTCAGGGGTACATGTGCATGTTTGTATATAGGCAAACCCACGTCATGAGGGTTATTTTGTCATCCAGGTGTTAAGCCTGGTACCCAATATTTATTTTTTCTGATCTTCTCCCTCCTCCCATCCTCCATCCTCTGGTAGGCCCCAGGGTTTGTTGTTCTCCTCTATGTGGCCATGTGTTCTTATCATTTAGCTCTCACTTATAAATGAGAACATGCAGTATTTGTTTTTCTGTTCCTGCATTAGTTTGTTAAGGATAATCGTCTCCAGTTTTATCTATGTTACTGCAAAGAACATAATCTCATTCTTTTTTATGCCTGCATAGTATTCAATGTTGTATATATACCACATTTTCTTTATCCGATCTATCACCGATGGGCATTTAGGTTGACTCCTTGTCTTTATTCTTGTGAATAGTACCGCAATGAACATACTCATGCATGTATCTTTATGACAGAAGGATTTATATTCCTTTGGGTATGTGCCCAGTAATGGGATTGCTGGGTCAAATGGTAGTTCTGTTGTTAGCTCTTTGAGGATTTTCCAAACTGCTTTTCACAGTGGCTGAACTAATTTACCTTCCCACCAACTATGCATTTTCTTTTCTGTGTAGCCTCAACAGCATCTATTGTTTTTTGGCTTTTTAGTAATAGCCATTGTGACTGGTGTGAGATGGCACCTCATTGTGGTTTTGATTTGCATTTTTCTAATGATCAGTGATGTTGAACTTTTCTCATATGCTTGTTGGCCACATATATGTCTTCTTTTGGAAAGTGTCTGTTCATGTCCTTTGCCCACTTTTTAATGGAGTCATTTGTTTTTGCTTGCTGAATTTTTAAGTTTCTTACAGATAGTGGATATTAGACCTTTGTCAGATGCATAGTTTGCAAAAAAATTCTCCCATTTTGTAGGTTGTCTGTTTATTGACAGTTTCTTTTGCTGTGCTGAAGCTCTTCAGTTTAATTAGATCCCATTTGTCAATTTTTGCTTTTGTTACAATTACTTTTGGCATCTTTGTCATGAAATCTTTGCCCATTCCTATGTCAGAATGATACTGTCTAAGTTGTCTTCCAGGGTTTTTATAGTTTTGGGTTTTACATTTAAGTCTTTAATCCATCTTGAGTTGATTTTTGTATATGGTGTAAGAAAGGGGTCTAGTTTTAATCTTCTGCCTATGGCTAGCCAGTTATACCAACATCACTTATTGAATAGGAAGTCCTTTGCTCATTGTTTGTTTTTGTCAGCTTTGTCAAAGATCAGATGGTTGCAGGTATGTGGCCTTGTTTCTGGGCTGTCTATTCTGACCCATTTGTCTATGTGTCTGTTCTTGTACCAGTAAAATGCTGTTTTGGTTACTGTAGCCCTATAGTATAGTTTAAAGTTAGGTAGTGTGATGCCTCCAGCTTTGTTCTTTTGCTTAGGATTGCCTTGGCTATTGAGGCTCTTTTTTGGTTCCATATGAATTTTAAAATACTTTTTCTTTTCTTTTGAGTGACTGTACAGAATGGGACTTTTGGGTTTGGGTAGTCACTTAGTATATTGTAAGGTTAAGTAAAGCTAACTGCTAGCACTGCTGTAACAAACAACCCACAGATCTCACGGCTTAACATAATAAGTGTTTTATATTTTTCATAGCCTAAATAGTGAGGGGCAACTGTTTTTTTAATGATTGAGGTACTCAGTCTCCTTCATTTAGTGGCTTTATCATCCTCTAAGTTCTTTTCAAATTTCTGCACTGGAACCTCTGCATTCAGCTGCCTAATGAGCAAAGAGAAAGAACATGAAAGATTATACAAGAAGTTCTAGGAGTCAATTTTGAAAGTGTTTTACAATACCTCTACTCACTTTCCATTAATTGTACTCCAATCACATGGCCCAACATAGTAGTAGTAAGGCAAGCAGAAGATATTTTTTAGGGGAGTTCTCAGGAAGAAGAGAAACAACATGGATAATGAGGAGTGCCAGTGTTCTCAGCTGTAATAAGTTTAGAATTATGAACTAGGCTATGAGATAAAGGCACATGTTCTTTGAATATTTATAGTTTCTGAAGTTATTGATTACTTTCATCTCTAAACAGAACACCTTAAGCTTTCTTCCTGTAAAACTGCAGAAAGTTTCAATAAAGTCATTTTAGGATAGCTGGTTGTCACCTCCCACCCAATAGCTGTTCCTGGCTTTTGATGTTTCGTCTCTGCTGCTGCAGGCTGACCCAATTTGCTATAAGCATGAGCACAGCTCCCTTTCTTCATTCTCTAAGACCACACCAACACAGGCTAGACAATAGGTAGTAGTGATTATCAGCAAAGATTTATTGAAGGCCTAGATGTACAATCAAGGGGGCATTCCAACATAGAAAAGAAGGAAATTTGATTTGCTGTTTCAAAGCTCCAGCAACAAACCCTACTATGGAAGTTTCTCTCCAGATCTTAGAATCTGACCTATTGGCATGAATCTAGGGGCCATTTGAAGACTTTCTCCCAATATCTTCTTTCTCTTTTCCCAAAGTCCTTCTCTAAACAAACAAACCAAACAAATAAACAACTAAGTCTCAGCTACCAGAAGAAATCACCAAAATTCTCACTTAAAAATACCATACCTGTTGGCCAAGCAACCAACCAAGCAACCACAAAAACTATAGGAAATAGCTTTTCTGCCAAAAGGAAACATCTTTTGCCTCTTATGCTGGAAAATTTCAACAACCTTGAGACTCAGTATTTCCCAAACAAAGGAGTCTTTTGTTCTTGGTTTGTCCATCTAAAAAGCCTTATTTAATTATTTATTTATTTATTTAGAGATGAAGGCTTGCTCTGTTGCCCAAGCTGGGGTATTGTGGCAGGATCTTGGCTCACTGCAGCTTCCACCTCCCAGGTTCAAGCAATTCTTCTGCCTCAGTCTCCCAAATAGTTGAGACTACAGACACGTACCACTACACCCGGTTAATTTTTTTTTGTATTTTCAGTGGAAACAGGATTTCGCCATGTTGGCCAGGCTGGTCTCAAACTCCTGACCCCAGGTGATGTGCCTGCCTCAGCCTCCCAAAGTGCTGGGATTACAGACATAAGCCACCATGCCCTGCCATAAAAAGCCTTTAAATAATTTCCCCAAATGACAATTTTCTCCCTCAAGTGCTCTGCTACTTCCTAGGAAAATGATTCCTCATACCCCCTTGCTTTGTTTTTTTGTTTGATTCCCTCTGACATTATTTCTCTTTATACCAGTGGTATATTGTAATAAGGCTTTTATTATAACTTTAGGAAATGTTTAAAAAGTGAAAGGAAATCTGAACTTTCAAAGAATCATTAGGAAAATGGTGCAGACATTCTCAACCTTATCTGCACATTAGAATCACTCGGGGAGTTTCTAAAAATCTTGATCCTCAAACCACATTCCAGAACAATTAGATTAGAAAGAGGAAGAAGATGAGGGCTAGATATTAGTGTACTTTTGAAAGTTCTTCATGAGATTCCAATGTGTGGTTAAGATTGAAAGCTACTGGATTAGAGAGACCCATCCTCAATTTAAAGGAGTTAACTTTTAGATGATGGTTAAATTACAAGATATGTGTGTTTTCAGAAGTAGAGAGTTAGATATAACTTTAGAGTGATTTCTCTTGGCAAATAGCCTACAATTCCCTTGGATTATCACTGTTTGAAGATACCGACACTAGGATATGATGTATTGGCTTCCATGTGGATTTAGATTGCTGTTTTTTCTGCAAGCAATAGTATCAGCCATGATAATAACTTGTCTGTCAAATATGCACGTTTCAAACCTGGAAATGATTCCCATCATCAGTTAAATTTTATCATGTAGGGGTAATTAAAACATTTTGCAGTAAGAATAATTTAAAGTAAAGGAAATTGTATTAAATTTCCCATGGCTAAGATTATTAGACAACTAGTAAAGTTTTTAGAGGCAGTGACATGAAGGAAATGAAAGAATGATTAAATAACTTTACAGTTTTTCTAAACTCTCAGCCCACCCAGTATATAGCTCTATGTGGTAATAATAAATTATCTTTAAGATTAATTTTCTGTGCCCAGGATTATGTTCCCAAAATAATGAAAATTGTCTGAATTCCACCTTTTCTACTATCAAATAGGTGTTTACAAAGTATATTAGTCCATTTTCATACTGCTATGAAGAAACACCCAAGACTGGGTAATTTATTTAAAAAAAAAAAAGGTTTAATGGACTCATAGTTCCACATGGCTGGGGAGGCCTCACAATCATGGCAGAAGGTGAAGGAAGAGCAAAGGCACCTGTTACATGGCATCAGGCAAGAGAATGTGTGCAGAAGAACTGCTCTTTGTAACACCATCAGATCTCATGAGACTTATTCACTAACATGAGAACAGTGTGGGGAAACCTGCCCTGTGATTCAATTACCTCCCACTGGGTCCCTCCTACAACATGTTGGGATTATAGGAGCTAAAATTCAAGATGAGATTTGGGTGGGGACACAGCCAAACCATATCACAAAGGAAGTGGAGAATTTTGTATGCATATATGTATTGTTTTCAAGATTTTTATTTTTATTTTTTTAAGATGGGGCCTCACTCTGTTGCCCAGGCACTACAGCCTTCAACTCCTAGGTTCAAGCAATTCTCCCACCTTAGTGTCTGTTTGTGCTTCTGACTAGCTGGGACTACAGGCAAGTGCCACCATGACTGGCTACAAGATGTCTTCCTTACCCAAAAAGTACTTTCAAATCCTACTTATCAGGGACTTATAAAATGGCTGCCTTCCTTCTGTTGTTCCCATTCTTATCATTCCATATCTGTCTGGGGATATCAATACATTTTAGCTTTCCAAATCAGAAACTTTCAAGTCATCTTTGACTTTTTGTTCTGTTCCATTCCTAAACTCCAGGGCCATTAAAATAAATGATTTATCCCTTTGGAATATCTTTCAGATGTTGTGCATCGTCTACATTTCAGCTGCCACTTTGTAGAATAGGCCTTTATTACCGAACTTCCTAGCTGGTCTCCCAGCCTTCATCACTCTCTCTGTTTTGAATTAACCCTGCTTTTCTATGAATTTGACCTTCATGGTGATCCCTTTCAGCAAAGCCACAAATTCTAAATCCCTTAGCCTGCCTCTTAAGGCCCTTCATAAGCAGATTTTTCTCTGAGTCTCCAACTTATTTCCTGCTATTCCAACACCCATCTGGGCTGACAATGTAGATTTTCCATAGGAAAGTCTTAAAAATTTTTTTAAAGAAGAGAGGATGCTTACAGATAATTATTAGGTAGCTTGAAAATTGTTTTCAATGCAGCACAATTCCCTGAAGATGCAGTCTAGTTGATATACAAAATGCAATTTATTTATTTCCCCTAGAACCAATTGCTCTGTGCCTTGGGTAAATCACTTGGCCACTTGCCTTGATTATAAAGAAATGATAGTAACTCCTGATTCCCATTTATTTCTTGTAACAATGAGCAATCAAAGGAGATGGTAGGCAAATAGATGTGGGACTCATGAGAAGTTGATAAGTCAAAAAGTTGTTATTGTTGGCTTTGAAATGCATGTGAAGCTGATCCATTAAAGAATCAGCTCCTCCCACCCTCAGAAAGATAGCACTAGAGGTGCTGATTATTGTGTCTGCTCCTCTCCATTTCTTCTACTCTATGGAATCACTCTGGTCTTCAACCCCTACTGAAGAAACAGGCTCAGGGGATTAAGTTTTTTTACTTTGTAACCTACTTTTTCCAGTTTTTTGGACTCAGGGTGAGTGGGTAATGTCTGTTTGGGCTGCTATAACAAAATACCATAGACTGAGTAGCTTATAAAAAACAACAGAAATTTATCTCTCACAGTTCTGGAGGCTGGAGATTCAACATTAAGGCACTTGTAGATTCAGTGTCTAAAGAGGGTCTGCTTCCTGGTGCATAGACCTTCTAGCTGTGTCCTCACATGGTAGAAGAGGACAACTGTGGTCTTTGCACCCCCTAATAAGGGTACTAATCCCATTTTTCTTCAGGATTCCACCCCTATGACCTAATTTCCTACCAAAGGCCCAACCTCCTAATAGCATTACATTAGGAATTAGATTTCAACATATGAATTTGGGGGATGCAAACATTCAGTCCATAGCCAACAGTAAACCAAAGATAGCTCAACCACAGACCCCAGCCAGTGGCCTATGGCTTAGCTGACTCACTTATATTTACACTTCAGGGAGTTTAAGTAACATCAAGAGGCTTGGAAAGTTAATGGTGGTAGAAGAAGGATGCAAAAAAAATATTTTTAAGACCAATTTCATCAACATTTTGCTCATTTTATTTCACTCACCACCTTCACTTTCTTCTCTTACTTTTTTTTTTTTTTTTTTGAGATGGAATCTCACTCTGTCACCCAGGCTGGAGTGCAGTGGTGCGATCTCAGCTCACTGCAAGCTCTGCCTCCCAAGTTCATGCCATTCTCCTGCCTCAGCCTCCAGAGTAGCTGGGACTACAGGCGCCCACCACTATGCCTGGCTAATTTTTTGTATTTTTAGTAGAGACGAGGTTTCACCGTGTTAGCCAGGATGGTCTTGATCTCCTGACCTCGTGATCCACCCACCTCGGCCTCCCAAGGTGCTGGGATTACAGGCGTAAGCCACCACACCCAGCCTTTCTCTTACATTTTAAAAGCAAATCCCAGATACCATGTTATTTCATCTCTAAATACTTTGTTATGGACCGTGAACAGATAAAGTTTTTTAAAAAAAATGTTTTTACAGAACTAATAGTAATTTTTAAACATTGTCTGTTACCCAGTCCACATTGAAATTTCTCCAGTAATCTCAATTATGTCTTTTTACAGGTAGTTAGAGTTAGAATCCAAACCACACCTTCATATTACATTCAGTTGTTCTGTGACAGTTCCCTCTGATTGTTTGATCCTCTAGAATTTTTCACATTCTGAATTTGTCTGATTGCTTCTTTAACCTTTTAAAAGTTAAACATTTCCTTCTATCCCTTATATTGCCTAGAAACTGAGAGTTAGAGGCTTGATTAGACATTCAAGTATAATTTTTAAGGCAAGATCACTTTGTAGCTATTGTATACTTTTTAGTATGCCCTCTTACGAAGCACATCATGTCCGGTTGTCCTGCTTTTAGAAAAGCTGGCCATATATTGTTTGTCACACTTCCCATGGAGAGTTGGAGTCTCCTTCTCCTCCCTTCAGTCTAGGCTAAATCTTGTGCCCTGCTTGGCCAGCAGTATGCTCACAGCCAGTTACAGGCCCAGACTCCAGGAATGCTGGTCAAATCTACATCTAGAGAAGCTTCTGTCCCTGGCTCCTCCATCCTCTATTCTCCCTTCCACTATAGTGAAGCATTTTTAAAATTTAATTTTACTTATTGTTTCATTATTTCTTTATGAAAATATAAATAAATATGTATATTTATGTTTTATTACCCACTTTTTGCACAAAAATTAAAATACCTGAAGTAGGATACTATACAAGGCTTTTGTCCCTTTACAATATAACCTAATGATCTTTCCCTATCAGTATATATTGTTCTCATTACTTTTTATAGTTACACAGTCTTCCATCATATGCATGTATAATAGTCTACTCAATCAGTCCCCTTTTGATGGAAGTTGGGTTGTTTTCAGCTTTATGCTTATGCAAATGATGTTGCAATGAATAGCTTTGTGTAGATATCATTTGGTGTTTTTTACCAACAGGTCGGAGCTAGATTTCCAGGAGTGAGGTTGAAGGGGAAAAGCGCCCATGTATAACTTTGCTAGGTGAGGACAGCTGAAATTGAAGATAGCAAAGGAAATCTATTGGGAGAGGTGAGAAGGCAGTAGAAGCACCAAGGAAAGTGGAGACCCAGTGAGAGCAATGAGGTGGCCCCTTAGCTGGCCACTGTGAGAGCAGGCAGTTCCTAGAGCCTCCTGAATGTCCTTCGAGTTTCAGATTCCAATTTTAGGTCCAATTCACCTGTATCTTTAAAAACTATTTTCTTAAGGTAACTTGAGTGGGATTCTGATCTTTAGAAACAAAGGAGTCTAACTAGAATAGTTAGTGGAACTATATTGAAAAGTTTTTGTCATTACAATTTTTATAAATTTTATTTAATCTCTGATATTTTATTATGAAAATTATCAAGCACACAGAAAAGTTGAAAGAATAGTGCAATGATCATCTCTATATCCACCATCCAAATATGACAATTAATAATATTTGTCATATATACTTTTATTCTGTAGGGTAATTTAGACTGTTTCACATATCATTGCACTTCAGTTCCTAAATACTTCAGTATGCATTTCCTAAGAATAAGGACATTCTCCTAATAACTACAACACTATTATCAAAACTAAGAAAATTATCAATATTTTCCTAACATCATCTAATATTTTATAGATATTTAAATTTCCACATAATTTCTAGAATGATTTTATAAATTCCTTTTTTTCAAGGCATATCCAACCAGGATACATGTACTGCATTTGAAATATATATGTAAACACAAATTCATGTTAAGGAAATATGCTTCACTTTATAGTTTATTAAGTTTTATTAGAAAAGTTATATACTTTAGTTGAAAAAATTTAAGCATCTGTGGGGAAGATCAACTGATTTTTCCCCTGACCTTTTAATATGATGAATTTTATATTAATGGGTTTTTCAATATTAATTTTCCCTTTAATTTCCTCAATAAGCCCCACTTGGTCATGATATATTTTTAGAAGGCTGCTGTTGTATTTTGCTTGCTAATATTCTATTTAAGGTTTTCACGGCGGGAGGTACCCAAGATGGCCGAATAGGAACAGCTCCAGTCTACAGCTCCCAGTGTAAGTGATGCAGAAGATAGGAGATTTCTGTATTTCCAACTGAGGTACCGGGTTCATCTCACTGGGGAGTGCCAGACAGTGGGTGCAGGACAGTGGGTGCAGTGCACCGTGCATGAGCTGAAGCAGGGTGAGGCATCATCTCACCCAGGAAGCACAAGGGGTCAGGGAATTCCCTTTCATAGTCAAAGAAAGGGGTGACAGACAGCACCTGGATAACCGGGTCACTCCCACCCTAATACTGCACTTTTCCAATGGGCTTCACAAATGGCACACCAGGAGATTATATCCTGCACCTGGCTCGGAGGGTCCTGCGCCCATGGAGCCTCGCTCATAGCTAGCACAGCAGTCTGAGATCAAACTGCAAGGTGGTTCCTGAAGGAAGCACTAAACATGGAAAGGAACAACCGGTACCAGCCACTGCAAAAACATGCCAAATTGTAAAGTCCATCAAGGCTAGGAAGAAACTGCATCAACTAATGAGCAAAATAACCAGCTAACATCATAATGACAGGATCAAATTCACACATAAAAATACCTTAAATGTTAATGGGCTAAATGCTCCAATTAAAAGACACAGACTGGCAAATTGGATAAAGAGTCAAGACCCATCAGTGTGCTGTATTCAGGAAACCCATCTCATGTGCAGAGACACACATAGGCTCAAAATAAAGGCATGGAGGAAGGTCTACCAAGCAAATGGAAAATGAAAAAAGGCAGGGGTTGCAATCCTAGTCTCTGATAAAACAGACTTTAAACCAACAAAGATCAAAAGAGACAGAAGGCCATTACATAATGGTAAAGGGATCAATTCAACAAAAGAACTAACTATCCTAAATGTATATGCACCCAATACAGGAGCACCCAGATTCATAAAGCAAGTCCTTAGTGACCTACAAAGAGACTTAGACTCTCACACCATAGTAATGGGAGACTTTAACACCCCACTGTCAACATTAGACAGATCAACAAGACAGAAAGTTAACAAGCATATCCAGGAATTGAACGCAGCTCTGCACCAAGCAGACCTAACAGACATCTACAGAACTCTCCACCCCAAATCAACAGAATACACCTTCTTTTCAGCACCACACCACACCTATTCCAAAATTGACCACATAGTTGCAAGTAAAGCACTCCTCAGCAAATGTAAAAGAACAGAAATTATAATAAACTGTCTCTCAGACGACAGTGCAATCAAACGAGAACTCAGAATTAAGAAACTAACTCAGAACCACCCAACTACATAGAAACTGAACAACCTGCTCCTGAATGACTACTGGGTACATAACGAAATGAAGGCAGAAACAAAGATGTTCTTTGAAACCAACAAGAACAAAGACACAATATACCAGAATCTCTGGGACACATTCAAAGCAGTGTGTAGAGGGAAATTTATAGCACTAAATGCCCACAAGAGAAAGCAGGAAGGATCTAAAATGGACACCCTAATATCACAATTAAAAGAACTAGAGAAGCAAGAGCAAACACATTCAAAAGCTAGCAGAAGGCAAGAAATAACTAAGATCAGAGCAGAACTAAAGGAAATAAAGACACAAAAACCCTTCAAAAAATCAATGAATCCAGGTGGTTTTTTTGAAAAGGTCAACAAAATTGATAGACTGCTAGTAAGACTAATACAGAAGAAAAGAGAGAAGAATCAAATAGATGCATTAAAAAATTACAAAGGGGATATCACCACCGATCCCACAGAAATACAAACTACCATCAGAGAATACTATTAACACCTCTACACAAATAAACTAGAAAATATAGAAGAAATGGATAAATTCCTCAACACATACACCCTCCCAAAACTAAACCAGGAAGAAGTTGAATCATTCAATAGACCAATAACAGGCTCTGAAATTGAGGCAATATTTAATAGATTACCTACCAAAAAAAGTCCAGAACCAGATGGATTCACAGCCAAATGCTACCAGAGGTACAAGGAGGAGCTGGCACCATTCCTTCCAAAACTATTCTAATCAATAGAAAAAGAGGGAATCCTCCCAAACTCATTTTAAGAGGCCAGCATCATCCTGATACCAAAGCCTGGCAGAGACACAACAAAAAAAGAGAATTTTAGACCAATATCCTTGATGAACATTGATGCAAAAATCCTCAATAAAATACTGGCAAACTGAATCCAGCAACACATCAAAAAGCTTACCCACTATGATCAAGTGGGCTTCATCCCTGGGATGCAAGGCTGGTTCAACATATGCAAATCAATAAACATAATCCAGCATATAAACAGAACCAATGACAAAAACCACATGATTATCTCAATAGATGCAGAAAAGGCCTTTGACAAAATTCAACAATGCTTCATACTAAAAACTCTCAATAAATTAGGTATTGATGGGACATATCTCAAACTAATGAGAGCTATCTATGACAAACCCACAGCCAATCTCATACTGAATGGACAAAAACTGGAAGCATTCCCTTTGAAAACTGGCACAAGACAGCGATGCCCTCTCTCACCACTCCTATTCAACATAGTGTTGGAAGTTCTGACCAGGGCAATCAGGCAGGAGAAGGAAATAAAGGGCATTCAATTAGGAAAATAGGAAGTGAAACTGTCCCTGTTTGCAGATGACGTGATTGTATATCTAGAAAACCCCATCATCTCCCCCCAAAATCTCCTTAAGGTGATAAGCAACTTCAGCAAAATCTCAAGCAAATGTACAAAAATCACAAGCATTCTTATAAACCAATAACAGACAGAAAGCCAAATCATGAGTGAACTCCCATTCACAATTGCTTCAAAGAGAATACAATACCTAGGAATGTGACTTAAAAGGGATGTGAAGGACCTCTTCAGGGAGAACTACAAACCACTGCTCAATGAAATAAAAGAGGATACAAACAAATGGAAGAACATTCCATGCTCATGGGAAGGAAGAATGAATATTGTGAAAATGGCCATACTGCCCAAGGTAATTTATAGATTCAATGCCATCCCCATCAAGCTACCAATGACTTTCTTCACAGAATTGAAAAAACTACTTGAAAGTTCATACGGAACCAAAAAAGAGCCCGCATCGCCAAGTCAATCCTAAGCCAAAAGAACAAAGCTGGAGGCATTACACTACCTGACTTCAAACTATACTACAAGGCTACAGTAACCAAAATAGCATGGTGCTGGTACCAAAACAGAGATATAGACCAACGGAACAAAACAGAGCCCTCAGAAATAATGCCGCATATCTACAACTACCTCATCTTTGACAAACCTGAGAAAAACAAGCAATGGGGAAAGCATTCCCTATTTAATAAATGGTGCTGGGAAACCTGGATAGCCATATGTAGAAAGCTAAAACTGGATCCCTTCCTTACACCTCATACAAAAATTAATTCAAGGTGGATTAAAGACTTAAATGTTAGACCTAAAACCATAAAAACCCTAGAAGAAAACCTAAGCATTACCATTCAGGACATAGGCATGGGCAAGGACTTCATGTCTAAAACACCAAAAGCAATGGCAACAAAAGACAAAATTGATAAATGGGATCTATTTAAACTAAAGAGCCTCTGCACAGCAAAAGAAATCACCATCAGGGTGAACAGGCAATCTATGGAATGGGAGAAAATTTTTGCAACCTGCTCATCTGACAAAGGGTTAATATCCAGAATCTACAATGAACTCAAACAAATTTACAAGAAAAAAACAAACAACCCCATCAAAAAGTGGGCAAAGGATATGAACAGCCACTTCTCAAAAGAAGACATTTATGCAGCCAAAAAACACATGAAAAAATGCTCACCATCACTGGCCATCAGAGAAATGCAAATCAAAACCACAATGAGATACCGTCTCACACCAGTTAGAATGGTGATCATTAAAAAGTCAGGAAACAACAGGTGCTGGAGAGGATGTGGAGAAATAGGAACACTTTTACACTGTTGGTGGGACTGTAAACTAGTTCAACCATTGTGGAAGTTGGTGTGGTAATTCCTCAGGGATCTACAACTAGAAATACCAGTTGACCCAGCCATCCCATTACTGGGTATATACCCAAAGGATTATAAATCTTGCGGCTATAAAGACACATGCACACGTATGTTTATTGCGGCACTATTCACAATAGCAAAGACTTGGAACCAACCCAAATGTCCAACAATGATAGACTGGATTAAGAAAATGTGGCACAGATACAGCATGGAATACTATGCAGCCATAAAAATGATGAGTTCATGTCCTTTGTAGGGACATGGATGAAGCTGGAAACCATCATTCTCAGCAAACTATTGCAAGGACAGAGAAACCAAACACCGCATGTTCTTACTCATAGGTAGGAATTGAACAATGAGAACACATGGACTCAGGAAGGGGAACATCACACACTGGGGACTGTTGTGGGGTGGGGGGAAGGGGGAGGGATAGCATTAGGAGATATACCTAATGCTAAATGACGAGTTAGTGGGTGCAGCAAACCAACATGGCACATGTATACGTATGTAACAAACTTGCACGTTGTGCACATGTACCCTAAATCTTAAAAGTATAATAATAATAAAATAAAATAAAATAAAAGGTTTTTGCATGGCTCTAAGTCCCAGTGGTCCAAGATTTTCTTCTGTGTTTGTGTAAATAAACAATGTTTATTCGATTTTGTTGTCAATGTTATGTTCACTTCAAACTCTTGGAGTTTTTCTTTTCTTCTTTATGCTTTAGAACATTTAGAATAGATTGATATTATCCACTCTTTGAAGGTTGGTATATTTCCTTTGGGATGGTTTGTAGGCCTGGTGCTTTCAAGGGAGTAGGGATAGGTCTTCTATTTTTCCTATTGCTTTTGTAAACTGTGATATACTTAAACACCTTGAAAATAGTCTTTGCTGCGTTAGTTTTTGTGCATTAAGTTTTCCTGGAAAATTACTTATTACATTGAGGTTTTTAGTGTGTTTGTTAGTTTTTGGCATGCATGCAAGTAATCTGTTATAATTTTTAATATTCTGTATTTGATGGTTATTTCATCATTGCAAATTTTTATTTTGGGTATGTGTGCTTGGAGTCTTCTTTTTTCTTTTTTTATTTTATTTTATTTTATTTTATTTTATTATACTTTAAGTTTTAGGGTACATGTGCACAATGTGCAGGTTAGTTACATATGTATACATGTCCCATGCTGGTGTGCTGCACCCATGAACTCATCATTTAGCATTGGGTATATCTCCTAATGCAATCCCTCCCCCCTCCCCCCACCCCACAACAGTGCCCAGAGTGTGATGTTCCCCTTCCTGTGTCCATGTGTTCTCATTGTTCAATTCCCACTTATGAGTAAGAATATACAGTGTTTGGTTTTTTGTTCTTGTGGTAGTTTACTGAGAATGATGATTTCCAATTTCATCCATGTCCCTACAATGGACATGAACTCATCATTTTTTATGGTTGTGTAGTATTCCATGGTGAATATGTGCCACATTTTCTTAATCCAGTCTATCATTGTTGGACATTTGAGTTGGTTCCAAGTCTGCTATTGTGAATAGAGCCGCAATAAACATACGTGTGCATGTGTCTTTATAGCAGCATGATTTATAGTCCTTTGGGTATATACCCAGTAATGGGATGGCTGGGTCAAATGGTATTTCTAGTTCTAGATCCCTGAGGAATCGCCACACCAACTTCCACAGTGGTTGAACTAGTTTACAATCCCACCAACAGTGTAAAATTGTTCCTATTTCTCCACATCCTCTCCAGCACCCATTGTTTCCTGACTTTTTAATGATCGCCATTCTAACTGGTGTGAGATGGTATCTCATTGTGGTTTTGATTTGCATTTCTCTGATTGCCAGTGATGGTGAGCATTTTTTCATGTGTTTTTTGGCTGCATAAATATAAACAGAACCAAAGACAAAAACCACATGCTTATCTCAATAGATACAGAAAAGGCCTTTGACAAAATTCAACAACCCTTCATGCTAAAAACTCTCAATAAATTAGGTATTGATGGGATGTATCTCAAAATAATAAGAGCTATCTATGACAAACCCACAGCCAATATCATACTGAATGGACAAAAACTGGAAGCATTCCCTTTGAAAACTGGCACAAGACAGGGATGCCCTCTCTTGCCACTCCTATCCAACATAGTGTTGGAAGTTCTGGCCAGGGCAATTAGGCAGGAGAAGGAAATAAAGGGTATTCAATTAGGAAAAGAGGAAGTCAAATTGTCCCTGTTTGCAGATGACATGATTGTATATCTAGAAAACCCCACTGTCTCAGCCCAAAATCTCCTTAAGCTGATAAGCAACTTCAGCAAAGTCTCAGGATACAAAATCAATATACAAAAATCACAAGCATTCTTATACACCAACAACAGACAAACAGAGAGCCAAATCATGAGTGAACTCCCATTCACAATTGCTTCAAAGAGAATAAAATATCAAGGAATCCAACTTACAAGGGACGTGAAGGACCTCTTCAAGGAGAACTTCAAATCACTGCTCAATGAAATACAAGAGGATACAAACAAATGGAAGAACATTCCATGCTCATGGGTAGGAAGAATCAATATTGTGAAAATGGCCATACTGCCCAAGGTAATTTATACATTCAATGCCATCTCCATCAAGCTACCAATGACTTTCTTCACAGAATTGGAAAAAACTACTTTAAAGTTCATATGTAACCAAAAAAGAGCCTGCATCACCAAGTCAATCCTAAGCCAAAATAACAAAGCTGGAGGCATCACGTTACCTGACTTCAAACTATACTACAAGGCTGCAGTAACCAAAACAGCATGGTACTGGTACCAAAACAGAGATATAGATCAATGGAACAGAACAGAGCCCTCAGAAATAATGCTGCATATCTACAACTATCTGATCTTTGACAAACCTGAGAAAAACAAGCAATGGGGAAAGGATTCCCTATTTAATAAAGGGTGCTGGGAAAACTGGCTAGCCATGTGTAGAAAGCTGAAACTGTATCCCTTCCTTACACCTTATAGAAAAATTAATTCAAGATGGATTAAAGACTTATACATTAGACCTAAAACCATAAAAACCCTAGAAGAAAACCTAGGCATTACCATTCAGGACATAGGCATGGGCAAGGACTTCATGTCTAAAACACCAAAAGCAATGGCAACAAAAGCCAAAATTGACAAATGGGATCTAGTTAAACTAAAGAGTTTCTGCACAGCAAAAGAAACTACCATCAGAGTGAACAGGCAACCTACAAAATGGGAGAAAATTTTTGCAACCTACTCATCTGACAAAGGGCTAATATCCAGAATCTACAATGAACACAAACAAATTTACAAGAAAAAAACAAACAACCCCATCAAAAAGTGGGCAAAGGATATGAACAGACACTTCTCAAAAGAAGACATTTTCTTTTTTTTTTTTTGAAAAGGTAAGCTAGTGCTTTTTCTTTTTTACTTTTTTTTCTTTTTCTTTTTTTTTTTTTTTTTTTTTTTTTTTTGAGATGGAGTTTCACTCTTGTTGCCCAGGCTGGAGTGCAATGGCATGATCTTGGCTCACCGCAACCTCCACCTCCCAGGTTCAAGCAATTCTCCTGCCTTAGCCTCCCAAGTAGCTGGGATTACAGGTATGCACCACCACGCCTGGCTAATTTTTGTATTTTTAGTAGAGATGGGGTTCCTCCTTGTTGGTCAGGCTGGTCTTGAACTCCCGACTTCAGGTGATCCACCCACCTCAGCCTCCCAATGTGCTGGGATTACAGGTGTGAGCCACTGCGCCCAGCTGAGCTAGTGCTTTTTCTATTTTTTGATCCTTACAAATAACCTTCTATCATTTAAAATTATTTATACTAATATTGTTATCCTTTTACCAATTTATTCCTTCTGCTTTTTTGAGGTAGTTGCTTTCTTGTTCTGTTTCTAACTTCTTGAGTTGGATATCTAATTAGTTAGTTTTTGTTTCATTTAATTGATTTCATTGATATTGTTAATGTTATTAATTTTCCTCTGATTACAGTTTTAATTATATTCCATAGATTCTGAAATGTAGTATTTGTGTAAATATTTTTGAGAAATCTGAAATTTCAGTTTGTTTCTACTTTGACCCAAGAATTATGTAATATTAAGTTTTAAAATTTCCAGATAGAAGGGTGTTTTAAAATTTTATTATGATCTTCTGGTTTATTATATTGTAATTAGATAACATTTTTATTATCCTTACTTTGATGAGACTTATAAAGTTTTGTTTGTTTTGAGATGGCATCTCTCTTTGTCCCCCAGGCTGGAGAGCAGTGGCGCAATCTCGGCTCACTGCTACCTCTGCCTCCTGGGCTCAAGTGACTTTCATGCTGCAGTTTCTCGAGTAGCTGGGATTACAGGCATAAGCCGCATGTCATATTTTTAGTAGAGGCAGGGTTTCACCATGTTGGCCAGGCTTGATCCACCTGCATCAGCCTCCCAAACTGCTGGGATTACAGGTGTGAGCCACCGCACCCAGCCTAACGTTTTCTTTATGAGTTAATACATGGTTAATTTTTATTAGTGTGGCATGTTTACTTGGAAAACAAAATATTACCTAAGTTTTTGTCTATTCTTGCTTCTCTTGTAGCTTCCGAGTTTTGAAGTTTGTTTTTATGTCATTTGGGTGCATAAGATACTATAGCTTTTTGTAAATTGTAGCCTTTAGCATTAAAACTAGCCGTTTTTTGTCTTGTTTAAAGTTTTCTGGTCTAAATTCTACATTACCAGATATCCTAATCACAGTTTTAGTTTGCATTTTCCTAGTATACTTTTGATGTCTTTTTTTCAGCCTTTCCGAATCACTTTAAGTATGTCTTGTATTCTGCAATTATGTTTTGATGTTTTGTGAGTCTGTCTGAACATTTTTTAAAAATCTCTTTTTGATTATAAAAGTAGTGTCTGCCTGCTGCAAAATAACTGGGAGCTGCAGAGGTATAAAAACGAAAAAAAAAATCCAAGCACTTCTAACCTTATACTCCAAGGACAACTACTAGCATTAGGTTGTATTTTATTTAGTTGTTTTTCTCTTCTTTATAAAACATTTGTTATAAAATATTTCTATTTTACTTGTTGCCTCTTTTGAAAGGAGTGTTATTCTTCAGGACATGAATTTCATTTTTATGTGTTCCCACTTTCAAGTTTTCAGAATAGCCACTCTTGTATATACACTGAAGTCCACATTTTTTTAAAAGAACTGTCATCAGATTTCTCATAAAAATTTTGAGTACCTTACATTTTGTGATTATGTGGAAGATACTCTCTACTCTCTGGTCTGGCAATCTCTTCAAGGGTGGATCAACGTGAGTAGAATAACAATGTAATTTGTTCTCTGAACTGCGACTCTTTCAAAGTTTAGGGGGTGGTATTAATATTTAGCTCAAAATAACTGGCATAGGAAGTTGACGCTTTGATTATTGGTGCTGCCTTATGGTTGAAGGATGTGAAGCACAGAGAGGCTAAATAACTTACTCAAGGTCACACAGCTTATATATTTTAAAAAATTTATTTTAGAGATAGAGTCTTGCTCTGTCATGTGGGCTGAGAATACAGTGGTATGAAGATAAGTCACTGAAACCTCTGACTCCTGGGCTCAAGGGATCCTCCTCCTTAGCTGGGACTACAGACCCACACCACCATGCCCAGCTAATTTTTTAGATTTCTTGTAGAGGCAGAGTCTTGCTTTGTTGCCCAGGCTGATCTTGAACTCCTGACTTCAAGCAGTCCTCCCTCCTTAGCTTCCCGAAGTGCTGAGATTACCAGCATGAGCCACTGTGCCCAGCCTCACACAGCTCATAAATGGCAGAATTGGGATTTGAACCCAGGCAGTGTGTGTCAGGCATCTGCAGCACTAACTGCTGTGTGACCTAGTTTCATGTAATCATTTTTTAAGTTTACAATTCAGTGGAATTTATTATATTCATAATGTGCAACCATCACTACAATCTGGTTTCACACGTATTTTCCCCCAAAATGTAATTTTTTACTTTATTTCTTACTGATAAATAATATATGCACGTATTTGTAGGGTATATGTGATATTTTGATACATACATACAATGTGTAATGATCAAATCAGGATATTTAGGATATTCATCACCTTAAATATTTATCATTTATTTGTGTTGGGAACATTTCAAATATTCTCTTCTAGCTATTTTGAAATATACAATATATTATCATTAACTATAGTCACCCTACTGTGCTATCGAACACTAGAACTTATTCCTTCTATCTAACTGTTTATTTGTATCCATTAACTAACTTCTCTCCCTATTCTCTTACCCCATAAAACCTTCCAAGCTCCTGGTAGCTATTATTCTACTCTTTACCTTCATGAGATCAACTTTTTTTAGTTCCTTCATGTCACTGAGAACATGTGATATTTTTGTCTTTCTGTGCCTGGCTTACTTCACTTAACATGGTGACTTCCAGTTCCATCCATGTTGCTGCAAATGACAAGATTTTATTACTTTGTGGCTAAATAGCATTCTATTGTGTACATATGCTACATTTTCTTTATCCATTCATTCCTTGATGGACACGTAAGTTGAGTTTGTATCTTGGTTATTGTGAAGAGTGTTGCAGTAAACATGGAGTTGCAGGTATCCCTTTGATATATTAATTTTCTTTCCTTTGGATAAATAATCAGTAGTGAAATTATCAGTAGCTGGATCATAGGTAATTCTAGTTTTAACTTTTTGAGGAGCCTCTGTAGTATTTTTCATAATGGCTATAATAATTTACATCTCTGCCAGCAGTGTGTAAGAGTTTCCTTTTCTCTGCATCCTCCACAGCATGTTTTTTATAATAGCTATTCTAACTGGGGTAAGAAAATATCTCACTGTGATCTTGATTTATGTTAGTGCTGTTAAGCATTTTTTCATTTAGCAGTTGGCTTTTTGTATGTCTTCTTTGGAAAATATCTTTTTACTCTGTTGGTTGTTTCATTTGCTGTACAGAAGCTTTTTAGTTTAATATCATCTCATTTGTCTATTTTTGTTTTAGTTGGCTGTGATTTTGAGGTCTTACCATAAAATTTTTCCTAGATGAATGTCCTGAACTGTTTCCCCTGTTTTCTTCTAGAAGTTTTATAGTCTTGGGTCTTTTGTTTAAGTCCTTAATCCATTTGAGTTGAGTTTTGTATTTTGTGTATGGGAAGAGACAGGGATCCAGTTTAATTCTTCTGCCTATGAATATCCAATTTACCTAGCACCATTTATTGAAGAGACCATCCTTCCCCCGATATATGTTTTTGACACCTTTGTCAAAAATCATTTGGCTGTAATGATTTTCTATTAGATCTCATACCGTTTGCTTTACATATCTGGTTCCTCTGGTGTTGGGTGTATATATATTTAGAATTATTATATCTCCTTGCTGGATCAACCCCATTTTTCATTATATAATGACCTTATTTGTCTCTTCATACTGTTTTTGACTAAAAAGTCTGTTTTATCTGATATACATTAGATACTCCTGCATGATTTTGGTTTCCATTTGCATAGAATATCTTGTTCCATCCCTTCACTTTCAGTCTACGTGTGTCTTTACAGGTGAAGCAATTTTCTTGTAGGAAGCAGCATATAGTTTGTTCGTTTTATTTTTATTTTTATTTTTTTGAGATGGAGTCTTGCTCAGCAACCCAGGCTAGAGTGCAGTGACATGATCTCAGCTCACTGCAGTCTCTGCCTTCTGGGTTCAAGCGAATCTTCTGCCTCAGCCTCCCAAGTAGCTGGGACTACAGGCATGTGCCACCAAGTGTGGCTAATTTTTGTATTTTTAGTAGAGACAGGATTTCACTATGTTGGTCAGGCTGGTCTTGAACGCCTGATCTCAAGTGATCTGCCCATCTTGACCTCCCAAAGTACTGGGATTCCAGACACGAGCCACCATGCCTGGCCTCAGTTGGGTTACTTTAAAAAATTTATTTAACCAGTCTATGTCTTTTAAGTCAGTAATATAATCCATTTACATTCAGAGTTATTATTGACATATGAGGTTTTGTTTTTGTCATAGCTTTCATTGTTTTCTGGTTGCCTTTATATATTTTTTGTTCCATTCTTT
The DNA here is from genome assembly GCF_000001405.40 of Homo sapiens. Lineage (NCBI taxonomy): Eukaryota > Metazoa > Chordata > Mammalia > Primates > Hominidae > Homo > Homo sapiens. The sequence goes on from NC_000008.11 coordinate 46,739,043, forward strand.
CTGTCTTTTTTTTTTGTCCTAACAGTTTGCTGGTTTTCTGCAGTGGTAAAAATTTTAGTCCCATCTCTTTCTCATGTGTCTTCTCTACCAGCGAGTTTTATACTTCTGTGTGTTTTCATGATGGTAGATACCATTCATTCACTTTCAAATGTAGGACTCCGTTAAACATGTCTTGTAGGACTGCTTTAGTGGTAATAAATTTCCTCCATTTTTCTTGTCTTGGAAAGTCTTTATTTCTCCATTTTGAAGGATAGATTTACTGGGTGTAGTATTCTTGGCTCTCAGTCATTTTTTTTCTTTCAGCACTTTGAATATATCTTCTCATTTTCTTCTGGCCTTTAAGACTTCTGCCGAGAAATCCAATGTTAATCTGATGGGGTTCCCTTCTAAATGACTATATGCTTTTCTCTCACTGTTTTAGAATTCCATCTTTATTACAGACTTTTGACAGTTTGCCTATAATGTACCTCAGAGAAGGCCTTTTTGTGTGAATCTATTTTGGGTATACTAGAGCTTTCTTCATCTATTTCTCTTGTAGATATCTATTTCTCTTGTAAGACTTGGGAAGTTTTCAGCTATTATTTCATTAAATAGCTTTTCTCTGTCTCTGTTCATCTCTTCTTTTTCTGGAAAATTCAAAATTTGAATATTTGGTCACTTTATTGTGTCCCACAAGTCACATAGACAATCTTCATTCTTTTTTATATTTATTATTTTTTTAAAAATCACAGTTTATTTTAAAAATTGACTCAAAATTAATAAGGGATATAAGTGTAAAATATACAACAAAATATTTTAAAAACATTGATAGAAAAAAATCTTTAAGATCTGGGTTTACATAGAATGTTTTTATTATTATTATTATACTTTAAGTTTTAGGGTACATGTGGACAACATGCAGGTTTGTTACATATCTATACATGTGCCATGTTGGTGTGCAGCACCCATGAACTCATCACTTAGCATTAGGTATAGGTCCTAATGCTATCTCTCCCCACTCCCTGCACTGGACAACAGTCCCCGGTGTGTGACGTTCCCCTTCCTGTGTCCATGTGTTCTCCTTGTTCAATTTCCACCTAGGAGTGAGAGCATGCGGTGTTTGGTTTTTTGTCCTTGTGATAGTTTGCTGAGAATGATGGTTTCCAGTTTCATCCATGTCCCTACAAAGGACATGAACTCATCGTTTTTTATGGCTGCATAGTATTCCATGGTGTATATGTGCCACATTTTCTTAATCCAGTCTATCATTGTTGGACATTTGGGTTGATTCCAAATCTTTGCTATTGTGAATAGTGTAGCAATAAACATAAATGTGCATGTGTCCTTATAGCAGCATGCTTTATAATCCTTTCAGTATATCCCCAGTAATGGGATGGCTGGGTCAAATGGTATTTCTAGTTCTAGATCCCTGAGGAATCAGCACACCAACTTCCACAATGGTTGAACTAGTTTGCAGTCCCACCAACAGTGTAAAAGTGTTCCTATTTCTCCACATCCTCTCCAGCACCTGTTGTTTCCTGACTTTTTAATTATTGCCATTCTAACTGGTGTGAGATGGTATCTCATTGTGATTTTGATTTGCATTTGTCTGATGGCCAGTAATGATGAGCATTTTTTCATGTGTTTTTTGGCTGCATAAATGCCTTGAGAAGTGTCTGTTCGTATCCTTCACGCACTTTTTGATATGGTTGTTTTCTTCTTTCTCATAAATTTGTTGGAGTTCATTGTAGATTCTGGATATTAGCCCTTTGTCAGATGAGTAGGTTGCAAAAATTTTCTCCCATTCTATAGGTTACCTGTTCACTCTGATGGTAGTCTCTTATGCTGTGCAGAAGCTCTTTAGTTTAATTAGATCCCATTTGTCAATTTTGGCTTTTGTTGCCATTGCTTTTGGTGTTTTAGACATGAAGTCCTTCCCCTTGCCTATGTCCTGAATGGTATTGCCTAGGTTTTCTTCTAGGGTTTTTACACTTTTAGGTCTAACATTTAAGTCTTTAATCTATCTTGAATCAATTTTTGTATAAGGTGCAAGGAAGGGATCCAAGTTCAGCTTTCTACATATGACTAGCCAGTTTTCCCAGGACCACTTATTAAATAGGGAATCCTTTCCCCATTGCTTGTTTTTCTCAGGTTTGTCAAAGATGAGATAGTTGTAGATATGCAGCATTATTTCTGAGGGCTCTGTTCTGTTCCATTGATCTATATCTCTGTTTTGGTACCAGTACCATGCTGTTTTGGTTACTGTAGCCTTGTAGTATAGTTTGAAGTCAGGTAGTGTGATGCCTCCAGCTTTGTTCTTTTGGCTTAGGAATGACTTGGCGATGTGGGCTCTTTTTTGGTTCCATATGAACTTTCAAGTAGTTTTTTCCAATTCTGTGAAGAAAGTCATTGGTAGCTTGATGGGGATGGCATTGAATCTATAAATTACCTTGGGCAGTATGGTCATTTTCACGATATTGATTCTTCCTACCCATGAGCATGGAATGTTCTTCCATTTGTTTGTTTCCTCTTTTATTTCATTGAGCAGTGGTTTGTAGTTCTCCCTGAAGAAGTCATTCACATCCCTTGTAAGTTGCATTCCTAGGTATTTTATTCTTTTTGAAGCAATTGTGAATGGGAGTTCACTCATGATTTGGCTCTCTGTTTGTCTGTTATTGGTGTATAAGCATGCTTGTGATTATTGCACATTGATTTTGTATCCTGAGACTTTGCTGAAGTTGCTTATCAGCTTAAGGAGATTTTGGGCTGAGACAGTGGGGTTTTCTAGATATACAATCATGTCATCTGCAAACCGGGACAATTTCACTTCCTCTTTTCCTAATTGAATGCCCTTTATTTCCTTCTCCTGCCTGCTTGCTCTGGCCAGAACTTCCAACACCATGTTGAATAGGAGTGGTGAGAGAGGGCATCCCTGACTTGTGCCAGTTTTCAAAGGGAATACTTCCAGTTTTTGTCCATTCAGTGTGATATTGGCTGTGGGTTTGTCATAGTTAGCTCGTATTATTTTGGGTTACATCCCATCAATACCTAATTTATTGAGAGTTTTTAGTATGAAGCATTGTTGAATTTTGTCAAAGGCCTTCTCTGCATCTATTGAGATAATCATTTGGTTTTTGTCTTTGATTCTGTTTATATGCTGAATTACATTTATTGATTTTCATATGTTGAATCAGCCTTGCATCCCAGGCACGAAGCCCACTTGATCATGGTGGATAAGCTTTTTGATGTGTTGTTGGATTCAGTTTGCCAGTATTTTATTGAGGATTTTTGCGTCTATGTTCAAGGATATTGGTCTAAAATTCTCTTTTTTTGTTGTGTCTCTGCCAGGCTTTGGTATCAAGATGATGCTGGCCTCATAAAATGAGTTAACGAGGATTCCCTCTTTTTCTATTGATTGGAATAGTTTCAGAAGGAATGGTACCAGCTCCTCCTTTTACCTCTGGTAGAATTCGGCTGTGAATCCATCTCGTCCTGGACTTTTTTTGGTTGGTAAGCTATTAATTATTCCTCAATTTCAGAGCCTGTTATTGGTCTATTGAGAGATTCAACTTCTTCCTTGTTTAGTCTTAGCAGGGTGTATGTGTCAAGGAATTTATCCATTTCCTCTAGATTTTCTAGTTTATGTGCATAGAGGTGGTTATAGTATTCTCTGATGGTGGTTTTTGTTTCTGTGGGATCGGTGGTGATATCCCCTTTGTAAATTTTTATTGCTTCTATTTGATTGTTCTCTCTTTTCTTCTTTATTAGTCTTGCTAGTGGTCTATCAATTTTGTTGATCTTTTCAAAAAACCCACCTCCTGGATTCATTGATTTTTGAAGGGGTTTTTGTCTCTATTTCCTTCAGTTCTGCTCTGATCTTAGTTATTTCTTGCCTTCTGCTAGCTTTTGAATGTGTTTGCTCTTGCTTCCCTAGTTGTTTTAATAGTGATGTTAGGGTGTCCACTATAGATCTTTCCTGCTTTCTCTTGTGAGCATTTAGTGCTATAAATTTCCCTCTACACACTACTTTGAATGTGTCCCAGAAATTCTGGTAGGTTGTGTCTTTGTTCTCATTGGTTTCAAAGAACATCTTTATTTCTGCCTTCATTTCATTATGTACCCAGTAGTCATTCAGGAACAGGTTGTTCAGTTTCTATGTAGTTGAGCAGTTTTGAGTGAGTTTCTTAATCCTGAGTTCTAGTTTGATTGCACTGTGGTTTGAGAGACAGGTTATTATAATTTGTCTTCTTTTACATTTGCTGAGGAGTCCTTTACTTCCAACAATGTGGTCAATTTTGTAATAGGTGTGGTGTGGTGCTGAAAAGAATGTATATTCTGTTGATTTGAGGTGGAGAATTCTGTAGATGTCTATTAGGTCCACTTGGTGCAGATCTGAGTTCAGTTCCTGGATATCCTTGTTAACTTTCTGTCTCATTGATCTGTCTACTGTTGACAGTGGGGTTTTAAAGTCTCCCATTATTATTGTGTGGGAGTCTAAGTCTCTTTGTAGGTGACTAAGGACTTGCTTTATGAATCTGGGTCCTCCTGTATTGGGTGCATATATATTTAGGATAGTTCATTCTTCTTGTTGAATTGATCCCTTTACCATTATGTAATGGCCTTCTTTGTCTCTTTTGATCTTTGTTAGTTTAAAGTCTGTTTCATCAGAGACTAGGATTGCAACCCCTGCCTTTTTTCATTTTCCATTTGCTTGGTAGATCTTCCTCCATGCCTTTATTTTGATCCTCTTTGTGTCTCTGCACATGAGATGGGTTTCCTGAATACAGAACACTGATGGGTCTTGACTCTTTATCCAATTTGCCAGTCTGTGTCTTTTATTTGGAGCATTTAGCCCATTTATATTTAAGGTTAGTATTGTTATGTGTGAATTTGATCCTGTCAGTATGATGTTAGCTGCTTATTTTGCTCATTAGTTGATGCAGTTTCTTCCTAGCCTCAATGGTCTTTACATTTTGGCATGACTTTGCAGCGGCTGGTACTGGTTGTTCCTTTCCATGTTTCGTGCTTCCTTCAGGAGCTCTTTTAGGGCAGACCTGGTGGTGACAAAATCTCTCAGCATTTGCTTGTCTGTAAAGGATTTTATTTCTCCTTCACTTATGTAGCTTAGTTTGGCTGGATATGAAATTCTGGGTTGGAAATTATTTTCTTTAAGAATGTTGAATATTGGCCCCCCTCTCTTCTGACTTGTAGAGTTTCTGCAGAGAGATCAGCTGTTAGTCTCATGGGCTTCCATTTGTGGGTAACCCGACCTTTCTCTCTGGCTGCCCTTAACATATTTTCCTTCATTTCAACTTTGGTGTATCTGACGATTGTGTGTCTTGGAGTTGCTCTTCTCAAGGAGTATCTTTGTGGCATTCTCTGTATTTCCTGAATTTGAATGTTGGCCTGCCTTGCTAGATTGGGGAAGTTCTCCTGGATAATATCCTGCAGAGTGTTTTCCAACTTGGTTCCATTCTCCCCGTCACTTTCAGGTGCACCAGTCAGATGTAGATTTGATCTTTTCACATAGTCCCATATTTCTTGGAGGCTTTGTTCATTTCATTTTATTTTTTTCTCTAAGCTTCTCTTCATGCTTCATTTTATTCACTTCATCTTCCATCGCTGATACCCTTTCTTGCAGTTGATTGCATTGGCTACTGAGGCTTGTGCATTCATCATGTAGTTCTCATGCTGTGGTTTTCAGCTCCATCAGGTCCTTTAAGGACTTCTCTGCATTGGTTATTCTAGTTAGCCATTCATCTAATTTTTTTTCAAAGTTTTTAACTTCTTTGCCATTGGTTTGAACTTCCTCCTTTAGCTCGGAGTCATTTGATCTTCTGAAGCCTTCTTCTCTCAACTCGTCAAAGTCATTCCCCATCCAGCTTTGTTTCATTGCTGGTGAGGAGCTGTGTTCCTTTGGAGGAGGAGAGGTGCTCTGATTTTTAGAATTTCTGGTTTTTCTGCTCTGTTTTTTCCCCATCTTTGTGGTTTTATCTACCTTTGGTCTTTGATGATGGTGACGTACAGATGGGTTTTTGGTGTGGATGTCCTTTCTGTTTGTTAGTTTTCCTTCTAATAGTCAGGACCCTCAGCTGCAGGTCTGTTGGAGTTTGCTGGAGGTCCACCCCAGACCCTGTTTGCCTAGGTATCAGCAGCGGTGGCTGCAGAACATCGGATATTGGTGAACCACAAATGCTGCAGCCTGATCGTTCCTCTGGAAGTTTTGTCTCAGAGGAGTACCCGGCCATGTGAGGTGTCAGTCTGCCCCTACTGGGGGGTGCCTCCCAGTTAGGCTACTCGGGGGTCAGCGACCCACTTGAGGAGGCAGTCTGCCTGTTCTCAGATCTCCAGCTGCATGCTGGGAGAACCACTGCTCTCTTCAAAGCTGTCAGACAGAGACATTTAAGTCTGCAGAGGTTATTGCTGTCTTTTTTTTGTCTGTGCCCTGCCCCCAGAGATGGAGCCTACAGAGGCAGGCAGGCCTCCTTGAGCTGTGGTGGGCTCCACCCAGTTGGAGCTCCCCAGCCACTTTGTTTACCTACTCAAGCCTGGACCATATCAGGCGCCCTTTCCCCAGCTTCACTGCCACCTTGCAGTTTGATCTCAGACTGCTGTGCTAGCAGTGAGTGAGGCTTTGTGGGTGTAGGACCCTCTGAGCCATGTGCGGGATATAATCTCCTGGTGTGCCGTTTGTTAAGCCCATTGGAAAAGCACAGTATTAGGGTGGGAGTGACCCAATTTTCCAGGTGCCGTCTGTCACCACTTTCTTTGACTAGGAAAGGGAATTCCCTGACCCCTTGCAATTCCTGGGTGAAGTGACTCCTCGCCCTGCTTTGGCTCATGCACAGTGCGCTGCACCCAGTGTCCTGCACCCACTATCCAGCACTCCCCAGTGAGATGAACCCAGTATCTCAGTTGGAAATGCAGAAATCACCCGTCTTCTGTGTCACTCATGCTGGGAGCTGTAGACTGGAGCTGTTCCTATTTGGCCACCTTGGCTCCACCCTCTTTTTTATTTTTATTTTTTGGCTTGGGTTATTTCAAAAGACCTGTGTTTAAGTTTAGAATTTATTTCTTCTGCTCCACTTAGTCAATTGTTAACGTTCTTGACTGCATTTTTAATTTCATTTATTGATTTCTTCATTTCCAGGATTTCTGTGTGGCACTTTCTTAATGATATTTATCTCTTTATTGAATTTCTGATTCAGATCATGAATTTCTAATTTCTAATTTTATGTTTTTCTAACTTCTTTGTATTTTTTGTCTGAGTTTCCTTGTATCTAACTGAGATTTTTAATGCCATTATTTTGAATTATTTCTCAGAAATTTAATAGATTTTTTCCCTTCTATTGAAATCTATTGCTGAAGAATTATTGTGATCCTTTGGAGTGTCATATTCCTTGATTTCTCATATTTCTTGTGTCCTTATGTTGATATCTGCACTTCCGGTGCATTAGTCACTTCTTCCAATTTTTTTGAATTGGTTTTATAGGGATAGGCTTTTTCTGTACATATATCTATAAGTGTTAGTTGTATAGGTGCTTTAGTTTTGATTCTGGGTTTGTGCAGTAGTGTCATCTTTGAATGATTTCTTTGGCTACAATCGATATCAGTGGTGCCTGTGATTTTCTCAGTGGCTTAGGCTGCAGTCGTTAGTGAATGCTGTGGTTAGGCTTTTCTGGGAATAGCTAGGTAAAGCAGGATAGTCTTCAGGCCCACTTGGTGTTAGTGGTGGGCTAGGCATACCTTTCCTTGGGCCCCTAGGCAACATACGCCGGCACTGATGTTAGTGAGCCTAGATATGCCAATTCTTGGGTCTCCAGGGAGCTTGTTCAGGTGTCAGCTGTGGCAGCAATAGAATTTGTGGTTAGGTGGGGCATCCTTGGGCTTCTAGGAAGCATGTGTGTCATCAGCCACAGCAGTAGTGATGGTGGGCCAACTTGTGTACCCCCAGGTTGCATGTGTTAGTGCCAGCAGTGACTGCAATAGGTTGGCAGGGCCAGTCTCCAGGTTCCCAGGTGGTGTGTGCATGTGAGTCTCACTGGTGTTGGTGGCAGCAGGCTGTGAGTATCCATCCTCAGGCTCCTGGGAGTAGCACATGGATACTGGCAGTAGTGGGTGGGGTGGTCTCCAGGCCCCTGAATGACGTGCTCAGACGCTAGCAGCGGGTGAGCTGGGCCTTGGTATTAGGCCTCCTGATGGTGAACATTTTTAACATAAATGGCAGGCAGGGCTGGTTGATTCCTAGTCCCCCAGACAGTGCTCAGATAGACTTCTTGTTTTAATTAATGTCTTTATTAATTTGCTCAACTTTGACCTTCAAATGGTTGATGCTTGGTTAAGAAAGTTTTTTTGTTTTGTTTTGTTTGCTTTTTGAGATGAAGTCTCACTCTGTCACCCAGACTGGAGTGCAGTGGCATGATCTAGGCTCACTGCAACCTCTGCCTCCCGGGTTCAAGTGATTCTCCTACCTCAGCCTCCTGAGTTGCTGGGATTACAGGTGCCCGCCACCATGCTGAGCTAAATTTTGTATTTTTAGAAGATATGTGGTTTTACCATGTTGGCCAGGATTGTCTCAAACCTGTGACCTCGGGTGATCTGCCTGTCTTGGCCTCCCAATGTCCTCAGATTTCAGGCATGAGTTACTGTGCCCAGCTGAGTTAAGAAAATTTTATCCACCCAAAGAAATGTCCTTAGTTGAAAACTAGAAATCAAGGATACCATCTTCACAAGTGAGGGTGGATACATCAAAAGTGCTGCCTCCTGTTTCAAGGATCAACACATTTTGTTTGACAGCAACCATCCTGATCAAGCCTTAAGCAGTAGCAGTTGGCATTTGGGTCATTGGAAATACAGAGACCAGTAACATTTATTGCATTGTTGGCACCTTGGCACTGAGAGTCATTAAAGTTCTGGTACCGTGGTGATGTCGCAGCTTGCCAAAGTGAGCTTCTGTAATTTTGTTAATCTTCTTCAAACCAAAATTTATATATATATGAAGTTTTGCTCTTTTTGTCCAGGCTGGCGTGCAATGGCATGATCTCAGCTCCCTGTAATCTCTGCCTCCTGGTTTCAAGCGATTCTCCGGCTTCAGCCTCCCAAGTAGTTGGGATTAGAGGCATACACCACTACACCAAGTTAATTTTGTATTTTTAATAAAGATGGGGTTTCTATTTCTCCACATCCTCTCCAGCACTTGTTGTTTCCTGACTTTTTAATGATCGCCATTCTAACTGGTGTGAGATGGTATCTCATTGTGGTTTTGATTTGCATTTCTCTGATGGCCAGTGATGGTGGGCATTTTTTCATGTGTTTTTTGGCTGCATAAATGTCTTCCTTTGAGAAGTGTCTGTCCATGTCCTTCACCCACTTTTTGATGAGGTTGTTTGTTTTTTTCTTGTAAATTTTTTTCAGTTCATTGTAGATTCTGGATATTAGCCCTTTGTCAGATGAGTAGGTTGTGAAAATTTTCTCCCATTTTGTAGGTTGCCTGTTCACTCTGATGGTAGTCTCTTTTGCTGTGCAGAAGCTCTTGAGTTTAATTAGATCCCATTTGTCAATTCTGGCTTTTGTTGCCATTGCTTTTGGTGTTTTAGACATGAAGTCCTTGCCCATGCCTATGTCCTGAATGGTAATGCCTAGGTTTTCTTCTAGGGTTTTTATGGTTTTAGGTCTAACGTTTAAGTCTTTAATCCATCTTGAACTGATTTTTGTATAAGGTGTAAGGAAGGGATCCAGGTTCAGCTTTCTACATATGGCTAGCCAGTTTTCCCAGCACCCTTTATTAAATAGGGAATCCTTTCCCCATTGCTTGTTTTTCTCAGGTTTGTCAAAGATCAGATGGTTGTAGATATGCGGCGTTATTTCTGAGGGCTCTGTTCTGTTCCATTGATCTATATCTCTGTTTTGGTACCAGTACCATGCTGTTTTGGTTACTGCAGCCTTGTAGTATAGTTTGAAGTCAGATAGTGTGATGCCTCCAGCTTTGTTCTTTTGGCTTAGGATTGACTTGGCGATGCGGGCTCTTTTTTGGTTCCATATGAACTTTAAAGTAGTTTTTTCCAATTCTGTGAAGAAAGTCATTGGTAGCTTGATGGGGATGGCATTGAGTCTGTAAATTACCTTGGGCAGTATGGCCATTTTCACGATGTTGATTCTTCCTACCCATGAGCATGGAATGTTCTTCCATTTGTTTGTATCCTCTTTTATTTCCCTGAGCAGTGGTTTGTAGTTCTCCTTGAAGAGGTCCTTCACATCCCTTGTAAGTTGGATTCCTAGGTATTTTATTTGAAGCAATTGTGAATGGGAGTTCACTCATGATTTAGGTGTCTGTTTGTCTCTTGTTGGTGTATAAGAATGCTTGTGATTTTTGTACATTGATTTTGTATCCTGAGACTTTGCTGAAGTTGCTTATCAGCTTAAGGAGATTTTGGGCTGAGACAATGGGGTTTTCTAGATATACAATCATGTCGTCTGCAAACAGGGACAATTTGACTTCCTCTTTTCCTAATTGAATACCATTTATTTCCTTCTGTTGGTGGGACTGAAAACTAGTTCAACCATTGTGGAAGTCAGTGTGGCGATTCCTCAGGGATCTAGACCTAGAAATACCATTTGACCCAGCCATCCCATTACTGGGTATATACCCAAAGGACTATAAGTCATGCTGCTTTAAAGACACATGCACACGTATGTTTATTGCAGCATTATTCACAATAGCAAAGACTTGGAACCAACCCAAATGTCCAACAATGATAGACTGGACTAAGAAAATGTGGCACATATACAACACAGAATACTATGCAGCCATAAAAAATGATGAGTTCATGTCCTTTGTAGGGACGTGGATGAAATTGGAAATCATCATTCTCAGTAAACTATAGCAAGAACAAAAAACCAAACACCACATGTTCTCACTCATAGGTGGGAATTGAACAATGAGAACACATGGACACAGGAAGGGGAACATCACACTCTGGGAACTGTTGTAGGGTGGGGGGAGGGGGGGGGATAGCATTAGGAGATATACCTAATGCTAGATGACGAGTTAGTAGGTGCAGCACACCAGCATGGCACATGTATACATAAGTATCTAACCTGCAGATTGTGCACATGTACCCTAAAACTTAAAGTATAATAATAATAATAAATAAATAAATAAATAATTAAATAAAATAAAAAATAAAGATGGGGTTTCACCATGTTGGCCAGGCTGGTATCAAACACCTGAGCTCAAGTGATCCACCTGCCTCAGCCTCCCAAAGTTCTAGATTACAGGCATGAGCCACCACGCCCAGCCAGAAATTTTTTTTTTCTTTCTTTCTTTCTTTCTTCCTTCCTTCCTTTCTTTCCTTATTTTCTTTTCTTTCTCTTTCTTTCTTTCTCTCTCTTTCTTTCTTTTTCTCCCTTTCTTTCTTCTTTCTTTCTCTTTCTTCTTCATTCTTTCCTTCTGTCCGAACATCTTTCCTTCTTCAGAGTCTTGCTCTGTCACCCAGGCTGGAGTGCATTAGAACAATTTTGGCTCACTACAACCTCAGCCTCTCAGGTTCAAAGGATTCTCATGCCTCAGCTTCCCGAGTAGCTGGGATTACAAGTGCATGCCACCACACTCTACCAATTTTTGTGTTTTTAGTAGAGGCAGGGTTTCACCATGTGAACAGACTGGTCTCAAACTCGTGATGTCTTGTGATCCTCCCACCTCAACCTCCCAAAGTGCTGGGATTACAGGCATAAGCCACAGCGCCTTGCCCCAGCCAGAAATTTTTAATCTCCTCTTTATACGTTACCTACTCTGCTTGTGTTACTGGAGAGTTGAGTAATCAAATAATTGTCCAAGTATACGTTTGGCCCCAAGAATCATATTGTGGAGTTCATTGTAACCTATTTACAGTATCAGTGATTGATCATGTTATAACTGTAAAGGTGACATAATGTGGCTGAGTATTGGCAATGATCTCAATCTTCTCATCTTGAAAGACACCCACTTAGGAAAGGATGGTGAAGGATCAGTGCCAGTTGCAAGTTTCTTCAACATGGCTGCAGAGGAATCCTGATCTAGCTTACTAGAGAAAGTGTCACCAGAACTGCTGCTGCATTCAACAACGTTATTATTTCTACATGCAAAAATATGAAGACATTCAAAGAACTGTATGATAAGCCTGACTTTGAAGTTTGTTTTCTCATATGTTTATTTATACTTTATGTTGGATCGCTTTATTTTAATTTATTTTATTTTATTTTACTTTATTGTCTAGAGACAACGTCTCAGTCTGTTATTCAGGCTGTAGTGAAGTGACGCAATCATGGCTCACTGCAGCCTCGACCTCCCTGGGCTTAGGTGATCCTCACACCCCAGCTTTCCAGGTAGCTGGGACTGCAGGCGTGTGCCACCACATCTGGCTAATTTTTGAATTTTTTTGTAGAGATAGTGTTTTGCCATGTTACTCAGGATGGTCTCAAACACGTGGACTCAAGCGATCTGCCTACTTCAGCCTCCCAAAGTGCTAGGATTATACATGTGAGCCACTGTGCCTGGCCTGTTAAATCTTTTTAAAAGTTTTTTATAGTTTATGTATGTTTATATTGCTTTTTGTCTTCTTCAACTTGTATTTTTCATTTAGTGTTTTGTTTATGAGATTTATCTATGCTTATATGTATAGCTCTAATTCGCTGCTACATGCAATTTCATTGTTTGAATATATCTAAATGTATTTGTTTTTCCATTTTCCTCATGATATATTAATAGAATGCTTTCTTTTTTTAATTTTTACAAACAATACTGCTGTGACTGGGAATGAAAAGATCAATGGATCCAATTATATTAAAATAAATTCTGTATCAAAAATATCTTATAGAAAAGATAATCTACTGAATTTATTTTCAGTCTATGTAACCAACAGACGGTTGGTATTCAGGATGCCTAAAGAACTACTGCAAATCAATAGAAAGAAGAGTTTAAAAAACCCTCAGTATAAAAATGAGGAAAAAAAATTTAAGAGCAGAAGAGTAAACTTGAGTGAATAACAAAATATTAAAAGATGCTCCATCTCATTAGCAACAAAAAATGCAAATAAAACTACAAGAACTATGCACATCATGCTATAAATTTTTTAAACTATTATTATATGGTACATGTGCACAATGTGCATGTTTGTTACATATGTATACATGTGCCATGTTGGTGTGCTGCACCCATTAACTCGTCATTTAACATTAGGTATATCTCCCAACGCTATCCCTCCCTGCTCAACCCACCCCACAACAGGCCCCAGTGTGTGATGTTCCCCTTCCTGTGTCCATGTGTGCTCATTGTTCATTTCCCACCTATGAGTGAGAACATGTGGTGTTTGGCTTTTTGTCCTTACGATAGTTTGCTGAGAATGATGGTTTCCAGTTTCTTCCATGTCCCTACAAAGGACATGACCTCATCATTTTTTATGGCTGCATAGTATTCCATGGTGTGTATGTGCCACATTTTCTTAATCCAGTCTGTCACTGTTCGACATTTGGGTTGGCGCCAAGTCTTTGCTATTGTGAATAGTGCCACAATAAACTCATGTGTGCATGTGTCTTTATAGCAGCATGATTTATAATCCTTTGGGTATATACCCAGTAATGGGATGGCTGGGTCAAATGGTATTTCTAGTTCTAGATCCCTGAGGAATCGCCACACCAACTTCCACAATGGTTGAACTACTTTACAGTCCCACCAACAGTGTAAAAGTGTTCCTATTTCTCCACATCCTCTCCAGCACTTGTTGTTTCCTGACTTTTTAATGATCGCCATTCTAACTGGTGTGAGATGGTATCTCATTGTCATTTTCATTTGCATTTCTCTGACAGCCAGTGATGATGAGCACTTTTTCATGTGTCTTTTGGCTGCATAAATGTCTTCTTTTGAGAAGTGTCTGTTCATATACTTTGCCCAATTTTTGGTGGTTTTTTTTTCTTGTAAATTTATTTGAGTTCATTGTAGATTCTGGATATTAGCCGTTTGTCAGATGAGTAGGTTGCAAAAATTTTCTCCCATTCTGTAGGTTGCCTGTTCACTCTGATGGTAGTTTCTTTTGCTGTGCAGAAGCTCTTGAGTTTAATTAGATCCCATTTGTCAATTTTGGCTTTTGTTGCCATTGCTTTTGGTGTTTCAGACATGAAGTCCTTGCCCGTGCCTATGTCCTGAATGGTATTGCCTAGGTTTTCTTCTAGGGTTTTTATGGTTTTAGGTCTAACATTTAAGTCTTTAATCCATCTTGAATTAATTTTTGTATAATGTGTAAGGAAGGGATCCAGGTTCAGCTTTCTACATATGACTAGCCAGTTTTCCCAGCACCGTTTATTAAATAGGGAATCCTTTCCCCATTGCTTGTTTTTCTCAGGTTTCTCAAAGATCAGATAGTTGTAGATATGCAGCATTATTTCTGAGGGCTCTGTTCTGTTCCATTGATCTATATCTCTGTTTTGGTACCAGTACCATGCTGTTTTGGTTACTGTAGCCTTGTAGTATAGTTTGAAGTCAGGTAATGTGATGCCTCCAGCTTTGTTTTTTCGGCTTAGGATTGACTTGGCAATGCGGGCTCTTTTTTGGTTCCATATGAATTTTCAAGTAGTTTTTTGCAATTCTGTGAAGAAAGGCATTGGTAGCTTGATGGGGATGGCATTGAATCTATGAATTACCTTGGGCAGTATGGCCATTTTCACGATACTGATTCTTCCTACCCATGAGCATGGAATGTTCTTCCATTTGTTTGTATCCTCTTGTATTTAATTGAACGGTGGTTTGTAATTCTCCCTGAAGAGGTCCTTCATGTCCCTTGTAAGTTGGATTCCTAGATATTTTATTCTCTTTGAAGCAATTGGGAATGGGAGTTGACTCACGATTTGGCTCTCTGTTTGTCTGTTATTGGTTTATAAGAATGCTTGTGATTTTTGCACATTGATTTTGTATCCTGAGACTTTGCTGGAGTTGCTTATCAGCTTAAGGAGATTTTGGGCTGAGAAAGTGGGGTTTTCTAGATATACAATCATGTCATCTGCAAACAGGGACAATTTGACTTCCTCTTTTCCTAATTGAATACCTTTTATTTCCTTCTCTTGCCTGCTTGTCCTGGCCAGAACTTCCAACACTATGTTGAATAGGAGTGGCAAGAGAGAGCATCCCTGTCCTGTGCCAGTTTTCAAAGGGAATGCTTCTAGTTTTTGTCCATTCAGTATGATATTGGCAGGGTTTGTCATAGATAGCTTTTATTATTTTGAGATACGTCCCATCAATACCTAATTTATTGAGAGTTTTTAGCATGAAGGGTTGTTGAATTTTGTCAAAGGCCTTTTCTGCATCTATTGAGATAATCATGTGGTTTTTGTCATTGGTTCTGTTTATATGCTGGATTACGTTTATTGATGTTCATATGTTGAACCATCCTTGCATCCCTGGGATGAAGCCCACTTGATCATGGTGGATAAGCTTTTTGATATGCTGCTGGATTCAGTTTGCCAGTATTTTATTGAGGATTTTTGCATCGCTGTTCATCAGGGATATTCGTCTAAAATTCCCTTTTTCTGTTGTGTCTCTGCCAGGCTTTGGTATCAGGATGATGCTGGCCTCATAAAATGAGTTAGTTCCCTCTTTTTCTATTGATTGGAATAGTTTCAGAAGGAATGGTACCAGCTCTTCCTTGTACATCTGGTAGAATTCATCTGTGAGTCTATCTGATCCTGGACTTTTTTTGGTTGGTAAGTTATTAATTATTGCCTCAATTTCAGAGCCTCTTATTGGTCTACTGAGAGATTCAACTTCTTCCTTGTTTAGTCTTGGGAGGGTGTATGTGTCGAGGAGTTTATCCATTTCTTCTACATTTTGTAGTTTATTTGCATAGAGGTGTTTATAGTATTCTGTGATGGTATTTTTTATTTCTGTGGGACTGGTGGTGGTATCCCCTTTATCATTTTTATTGCATCTATTTGATTCTTCTCTCCTTTCTTCTTTATTAGTCTTGCTAGTGGTCTATTGATTTTGTTGATCTTTTTAAAGACCCAGCTCCTGGATTCATTGATTTTTTGAAGGGTTTTTTGTGTCTCTATTTCCTCCAGTTCTGCTCTGATCTTAGTTATTTCTTGCCTTCTGTTAGCTTTTGAATGTGTTTGCTCTTGCTTCTCTAGTTCTTTTAATTGTGATGTTAGGGTGTCCATTTTAGATCTTTCCTGCTTTCTCTTGTGCGGATTTAGTGCTATAAATTTCCCTCTACACATTGCTTTGAATGTGTCCCAGAGATTCTGGTATGTTGTGTCTTTGTTCTCGTTGATTTTAAAGATAATCTTTATTTCTGCCTTCATTTCATTATGTACCCAGTAGTCATTTAGGAGCAGGTTGTTCAGTTTCCATGTGGTTGAGCAGTTCTGAGTGAGTTTCTTAATCCTGAGTTCTCATTTGATTGCACTGTGGTCTCAGAGACAGTTTGTTATAATTTCTGTTCCTTTACATTTGCTGAGGAGTGCTTTTCTTCCAACTATTGTGGTTAATTTTGTAACAGGTGTGGTGTGGTGCTGAAAAGAATGTATATTCTGTTGATTTGGGATGGAGAATTCTGTAGATGTCTATTAGGTCCGCTTGGTGCAGAGCTGATTTCAGTTCCTGGATATCCTTGTTAACTTTCTGTCTTGTTGATCTGTCTAATGTTGACAGTGGGGTGTTAAAGTCTCCCATTATTATGGTGTGGGAGTCTAAGTCTCTTTGTAGGTCTCTAAGGACTTGCTTTATGAATCTGGGTGCTCCTGTATTGGGTGCATATATATTTAGGATAGTTAGCTCTTCTTGTTGAATTGATCCCTTTAGCATTATGTAATGGCCTTCTTTGTCTCTTTTGATCTTTGTTGATTTAAAGTGTGTTTTATCTGAGACTAGGACTGCAACCCCTGCCTTTTTTTGTTTTCCATTTGCTTGGTAGATCTTCATCCATCGCTTTATTTTGAGCCTCTGTGTGTCTCTACATGTGAGATGGGTTTCCTGAATACAGCACACTGGTGGGTCTTGACTGTTTTTCTAATTTACCAGTCTGTGTCTTTTAATTGGAGCATTTAGCCCATTTACATTTAAGGTTAATATTATTATGTGTGAATTTGATCCTGTCATTATGATGTTAGCTCGTTATTTTGCTCATTAGTTGGTGCAGTTTCTTCCTAGCCTTGATTGTCTTTACAATTTGGCAAGTTTTTGCAGTGGCTGGTACTGGTTGTTCCTTTCCATGTTTAGTGCTTCCTTCAGGAGCTCTTACAGGGCAGACCTGGTGGTGACAAAATCTCTCAGCCTTTGCTTGTCTGTAAAGGATGTTATTTCTCCTTCACTTTTGAAGCTTAGTTTGGCTGGATATGAAATTCTGGGTTGAAAATTCTTTTCTTTAAGAATGTTGAATATTGGCCCCCCTCTCTTCTGACTTGTAGAGTTTCTGCAGAGAGATCAGCTGTTAGTCTCATGGGCTTCCCTTTGTGGGTAACCCAACCTTTCTCTCTGGCTGCCCTTAACATTTTTTCCTTCATTTCAACTTTGATGAATCTGACGATTATGTGTCTTGGAGTTGCTCTTCTCAAGGAGTATCTTTGTGGCATTCTCTGTATTTCCTGAATTTGAATGTTGGCCTGCCTTGCTAGATTGGGTAAGTTCTCCTGGATAATATCCTGCAGAGTGTTTTCCAACTTGGTTCCATTCTCCCTGTCACTTTCAGGTACACCAATGAGACGTAGATTTGGTCTTTTCACATAGTCCCATATTTCTTGGAGGCTTTGTTCTTTTCTTTTTATTCTTTTTTCTCTAAACTTCTCTTCTCGCTTCATTACATTCATTTGCTCTTCCATCACTGATACCTTTTCTTCCAGTTAATCAAATGGGCTACTGAGGCTTGTGCATTCATCATGTATTTCTTGTGCCTCGGTTTTCAGCTCCATCAGGTCCTTTAAGGACTTCTCTGCATTGGTTATTCTAGTTAGCCATTCGTCTAAATTTTTTTCAAGGTTTTTGATTTCTTTGCCATTGTATCGAACTTCCTCCTTTAGCTCGAAGTAGTTTGATCATCTGAAGACTTCTTCTCTCAATTCGTCAAAGTCATTCTCCATCCAGCTTTGCTCAGTTGCTGGTGAGGAGCTCTGTTCCTTTGGAGGAGGAGAGGCACTCTGATTTTTAGAGTTTCCGGTTTTTCTGTTCTGTTTTTTCCCCATCTTTATGGTTTTATCTACCTTTGATCTTTGATGATGGTGACGTACAAATGGGTTTTTGGTGTGGATGTCCTTTCTGTTTGTTAGTTTTCCTTCTAACAGTCAGGACCCTCAGCTGCAGGTCTGTTGGAGTTTGCTGGAGGTCCACTGCAGACTCTGTTTGCCTGGGTATCAGCAGCGGAGGCTGTAGAACAGCATATATTGGTGAACAGCATATGTTGCTGCCTGATCATTCCTCTGGAAGTTTTGTCTCAGAGGAGTACCTGGCCGTGTGAGGTGTCAGTCTGCCCCTACTGGGGGGTGCCTCCCAGTTAGGCTACTCAGGGGTCAGGGATCCACTTGAGGAGGCAGTCTGTCCATTGTCAGATCTCCAGCTGCATGCTGGGAGAACCACTACTCTCTTCAAAGCTGTCAGACAGGGACATTTATGTCTGCAGAGGATTCTGGTGCTTTTTATTTGGCAATGCCCTGCCCCCAGATGTGGAGTCTGCAGAGGCAGGCAGACCTCCTTGAGCTGTGGTGGGCTCCACCAAGTTTGAACTTCCTGGCCACTTTGTTTACCTACTCTAGCCTTGGCAATAGCAGGCACCCCTCCCCCAGCCTCGCTGCCACCTTGCAATGTGATCTCATACTGCTGTGCTAGCAATAAGCGAGGCTCCATGGGTGTAGGACCCTCTGAGCCAGGCGCAGGATATAATCTCATGGTGTGCCATTTGCTAAGACTGTTGGAAAGGTGCAGTATTAGCATGGGAGCGACCCAATCTTCCAGGTGCCATCTGTCACCCCTTTCTTTGACTAGGAAAGGGAATTCCCTGTCCCCTTGCACTTCCCGGGTGAGGCAATGCCTCACCCTGCTTTGGCTCATGCTCAATGCATGCTGCACCCACTGTCCTGCACCCACTTCCTGACACTCCCCAGTGAGATGAACCTGGTACCTCAGTTGGAAATGCAGAAATCACCCGTCTTCTGCGTCGCTTATGCTGGGAGCTGTATACTGTAGCTGTTCCTATTTGGCCATCTTGGCTCCACCCCCTGGCTTTATTTTTCCATCCCTACTTCCTGGTTCACTCATCTGTGCCACACATGAGAGAGACATTGAAACCTATAGGGTCAGTACTCTGAACAAACATTAAAACCTGTACAGATGGTTTGGTCTTTCTTGGGAGATTTATGAATAAAAATGTTTTGAAATGTAAATGTGTCATGTTACAGGTCTGTTATCTCAAGTAGTTTCATCTTTACATTATTTTATTTAAAACAAAACAAGGCCAAACTGCACAAAACGAGAAAATAAAGACATGTCAGTTGATCCAATAAGGATATGTTGTCTCTGCTTCATTGGCAGATGGAATATGCAATTTATTTCCAGCGTAAAACTCTTTCCCTGTCGCTGTGGGCATATAAATGTGTGGCATGCTCAACACTCCAACTCAGTGCTGAGAAAGAAAAATGATAAGATGATCATTGTACTGTTTGTGAAGCCAGGCGTCTTGACCTTCAATAAACTGGTTTTGTGCTGCAACTTAATAGATGTTAATGATTAAACACACTCAGTGATACAAGTTTTCCTATAAAGCTTGGATAAATTCTAAATTGTGAAATCTCTATACTCACCTCACTGTGATTTGGGACTCCTATTAACACAACAATCTGATGAAGAGTCTTAGGATTTGTTTTGTTTATTCCTCTTGTTATATTTGAAGACTAAGAGGATATCTTTCTCTTTTTTAAGTTACAGAATTAATTAAGGTTCACTGTAGAGATATTAATAGTACAGACAACCAAAAACATTCTACAGTCCCAATCAGAGAAAAATCATTGTTAAATTCTGGATATGCCTCCTTCTGTATTTAAAAAATGAAGACATTTATTTGAATGTTGTGAGGTTGGGAACATCCAGGGCCTGTCTGTGCCACAGTACTAAATTGCCACTCTTCCACCTTCCATGTTCCCTGGGTTATTTCCAGCGGCTTCTGACCCAGAGCTCAGAATAAACTCATTCACCTTTCTCAGCCCACTTTTATTCAGCCATGCCCCACCGTAACCACTTTCCTCTAGCCTTACCTACTCCTTCCTCCCTCCTTTCAATCCCTCAATCACTTTCAATCCCTTTCCTTCCCTGCTATCACCTCCCAGGGCTTTTCTATATTCACTGTATATTAAGCGCAATCAGTCCATGTCTGTAAATGTTGACTTGCATTATTATTGTAAGCAGTTGCATATTATTTCTTCAGATGCCTATAATGTAATTTGTTGAGCCAATCCTATATTGTTAAACAATTTTTAGTTTTTACTGTAACAAAAACCACTGTGATAAATGTCTTATTTGCAAATATTTACATTTTTTGAGACAGAGTCTTGCTATGTTGCCCAGGCTGGCCTTGAACTCTTAGGCCCAAACATCCTGCTGCCTTAGCCTCCCCAGTGGCTGATGTAGCCCAGAGTCCCTGGTTTTCTGGGTACCACTATGAAAAACTACTTCTTATAACTGTTGCACCTGGAGTTCTTGTTGTTTATAAAAGTTCCAGGGGGAAAAAAAACATCTGGATCCAGAGTGGCCTGAGTCTAAGATGAACTTTGGCAAACTCTCCTCATCACCATACTAAAAACTCCACCCAGGGAGGAGCTCATTTGCCATGTTCTATTCATGGGACTATGCCAATGCTACATACAATGACTCAGCTAACCAGCCTATTAAAAATCCTGTTTTCACCTCTGTTCAGGGAGGAATTGCTTTGGGGAATTATCACTGGTGTCCTTCTTACTTGTTGCAAATGGTAAAATATCCTAGTTAATTAAATTCTCCTTGGTTGTGGTCATTTGGCTGTCACCCACTGACCTCTTCCCTTGTGTAACACTGGGACTACTGGCACATGCCACTGTGCCTGGCTATATTTGCATCTTTTTCCAGTTATTTTTTTGGGATAAGGTACTCCACATAGAATTGCTGAGTAAACTGCTGTAATGGGTATTTTTCCTTTTTTGACTATTCAGCATCTACCCACTCTCTTGTTTGGAAACAAAACTAAGCACTCTAATTCTTCAGGGGTGCCACCATCCCCTCTTTGTGTGTAGTATTGGCAGATTTATAACATAAATTGTCCTGCTCTCACCAATCAAGCTAGGTCAATCGGATTATCTTGGTAGTAGTTCTTGAGGGAAGTGATGTAAGAAATTAAAAATGTTAGGGGCTCTTTTGTTTATTCATTCTTTTATTCCATGAGGATGATCTGATGATTTGTCCAGTTCCACTTTTTTCCTGGACTTGTTTTCGTACTTTCCCTTTGATTCTGTGAACTATCCAACATCCTTCCAACAAATTTATTTTTCACATAAGTTAGTCAAAGATAGTGTCTGTTAATTCCAACCCTACTGGAAACAAAGGAAACTAAAATTTTAAGATTTTAAAATGTAAATCATCAAGCTGACTTTCCAAAGTATATTACTTTACATTCCTATCAACAATGTATTAAACTGTCCTTTCTCTCATTCCTTCCTTAAGACAGAATATTATAAAATATTTTAATGTTTTGCTGAACCAATGAACAGTCTTTTACTGTCAATTTTTTACTTTATGTATAGATGCTCCTAGACTTAACGATGGGCCTATGTTGGGATAATCCATCATAAGTAGAGGAGCATCCTAAATGTATGTCACTTTCACACTGTGGTAAAGTGAAAAAATTTAGGCCAAATAAATTGAATATTAGGGACTATTTGTATTTATCTCTGCCTTTAAAAGACTTTTTGTAACCTAGGATTACAAAACTCTAAATTTTTCTTTTTCAAAATAAGTTTAAAAAAATTTAGATCGTGAATTTATTTGAAATGTTTTGGAATTTTGTTAGACATAAGGCTGGGTTCTAATTCTTTTAGTGGTATTATTGGCTATGGTGAGCCAATACTGATTCAAAGTGACCCTTTACCACCTTGACCAGCACTGAAATAGCCAGTCATTTTCCTTTTTCCAACAAGCTGAGTCCAAAGACATCTGTTACTTTATCTTACTTTCTATTACACTGATTCTTTCATATTCCCTTTTTTCTACCAAATCTATTAAAGATTTAGGAACACATATTTTAAAACCACTATTATATTTTAGTTAATTTTATCTTTACCTTTTAGAAGTTTTCACTTTGTATATTTCAATGCCATGTGATTTTTAAAGTAAATATTCATAAGTTATTTTCATTGTGGATTATATACTTTTTGTCCCATTTAATTATTTGCTTTGAATATTGATATTAATTTTATGGTACTATGCTTCTTCTTTTTTAATCTTAAATTTTTTTGACCCACCAGATTTTTACATTATTTTAATTTGTTTGATTTCCTTTGTCTTAGATTACTCTCCATATATAACATACAGTTTCAGTGATTTCACTTTTTATAAGCAAGTTTATCCTACTTGCATGTATTGTTATAGTACATGTGTTTGGTTTTGCATCTGCTATCTTTGCTTATATTCCCAGTTTTACTATTCCTTCTCTTTTGATATGTAGTCTCTGATTTCTTCACATTTTTACCTTCTTCCCTTCTCTTCCTTTCCCAGTTGGAAGATAAAAGCATCTGCTTTTTATTCTCCTTGAAATTTTCTATGTATCTTTCAAATAAATTCATAAATCTGTGTTTCCCCATGTGTCAACTTTTGAAGTAAAATTATATTTCCTGTCAGTCCCCAAGACAAATAATAAATATATGCTTTTATGTTATCACTCCTGCCTTTTACCTTCATTGTGTTGTCATTTTTTGAAATTTTTGGCCTAGTCCATTATCCTCAAACTGTTCTTATTTTTACATTATGTAGCGGTTTTTTCAAAAACTATAGCAATTACATTTTATTCTGTAACTCTTGTTAGCATAGTGATTTAGACTGAATTGAGTGGTCATTAAGAGTTTTTTTTTTGTATTTTTGCCTTTTCCAATTGTCAGTTTTAAATTTTGTTTTATTTTTCAATTGGTTTATTTTCCTTGATATATGAATTACCTAGGAATACCACATTTTGGATAAGATCTTTTTCTCCACAACACTTAGTGGACAGTTCTTCAATTAGCAAAGTTAACTGCTAATTAATTAATTCTGCTCTCCAGCTACCACCTCCTCTGCCTGGAAGGTGTCCTTGCTTTTCTATCAGAAAGCTTGTGGAATTGCTTTTTATCTTTTAGTTTCTGTAACTTCTTGGTCTTTATGTTCCTTAATGATTTTTTCATAGGGAACTCTCTCTTTTGGGTTGTGTCCATTTCTCATCGTGATGAACAGTGTTTTTATATACATTTTTATACATGCTTCCTGATATATTATTTACATAAAATTTTCTCTAGGATATACTTTTTTGGAGTAGGATTCGTGAGTTGTATGGTATGCACATTTTCCACTTTACTAGGTAATGCGAAATTATTTTCCAAAGTGTTTAGCCAATTTCCATATAATAGCAGCTGCATAAGAGGATTCCTATTTATTGGTCCAGATTCAGGGCAGGGGCAAATATCATTCAAGCAGAGAATCAATACAGGTACTTGTGCTCATAAAATAACTGGAATAACTAGGGAAACAAAAGTTAAGCCTGCCACTGTAATAGTGAATTCAAGAGCACAGTACCATAGCTGAAATGCAAGGGACAGAAGCTGCTGTTGCTGCACATTGCAACCCTGAGTCTGGCTGCCACATCTGTCTCTAAATGCTCACACTTCCATGGCCTGGCTTGCAAGCAATAACAGCAGAAGGAATATAGCCTGTGCTTCATCTTACCTTCCAAAACTTGTTGAATACACCTACTTAGACAACTCTACTTTTCCTTCATGTTATTTTTCATCTGCAGGAGAGGTTTTCGCTTCCTTTCTTTTACATATATATATATATATATATATATATATATATATATATATATATATATCCAATTCTTGGTTTTAATTAGGATTTTATCTGGCCCATCTCCCTGCCCTTCCAAGGAGACACAATGTATAGTCCACCACTTTCTACCCTCCACAATGTACAAAATATCTAGGCTAAATTTTTTTAATCAAAGCAACTGATTAATGGTTTATAAAGTTAATTTAGTACAGCATGACCAGCATTAAAAATGAAATAAAATAGTATAGGAGAACATAAAAATAACAGTTTATCACATATAGTATGTTCTTTTAGTAAGAGTATTTTTTGACACCAATTATATACATACATGCAGTAGGTATGTATGTATATGTATTAGTTTTCTGTTGCTGCCATAATAAATTACTACAAATTTGTGGCTTAACATATAAAGGAATGAATTAATGGCATTCACAGCAACCTGGATGGAATTGAAGACTATTATTCTAAGTGAACTAACTCAGGAATGGGAAACCAAACATCATATGTTCTCATTCATAAGCGGTAGCTAAGTTATGAGAATGCAAAGGCATAAGAATGATACAATGGACTTTGGAGACTCGGGGGAAGGGTGGGAGGGGAGTGAGGGATAAAAGAGTATAAATTGGGTTCAGTGTATACTTCTCAGGTGATGGGTGCACCAAAATCTCACAAATCACCACTAAAGAACTTACTAATGTAAACAAGTACCATCTGTTCCCCAAAAACTGAAGGAAATAAAAAATAAAAGTAAATTAAAAAAATAAAAAAAGTAATGGCTTAAAACAGCACTCATTTATTATCTCACAGCTGTACAGGTCAAAATTTCCAATTCCCATAAACACCAGCTGCATAAAAGACTTCTTGTTTATGGATACAGTGTGGTTCAGTGGAGTCCTCTGCTTAGAGTGCCACAGTACTGAAATAGAAGTGTCACGCAGGCTGTATTCCTTTCTGGGAGTTCTAAGAATGAATCCACTTCCAAGGTCACTCTGGTGGTTGGTAAATTTCAGTTCCACGTGGTTATTCTACTGAAGTCCTCATTTCCTTGCTGGCTGTCAGATTAGGATATTCTAGCTCTCGGAGGCCACCCACAACCCTTGGCTCATGGCTCTTTTTCTCTGCCTTCAAAGCTAGCAATGGATGAGAATGAGATGAAGTGAGTCAATTAGAGTACAAAATTAAAAGAGGCACTCACTTATGCAAGTTCACTTGCAGGACTCTGAAAGTGAGATCCTCTTTAAATTTCATATCCTGGGTATCTTATTCACCTCACTCCTGACTCCACTACAGTGTGTGTGTGTGTGTGTGTGTGTGTGTGTGTGTGTGTGTGTGTGTATTGTGTCACAAAGAACATTTTCTTTGAGTCAAAAAAGTTTGGAAGACATTACTCTAGGCCAGTGGTTCTCAAATTTTAATGTGCCTAAGTCACCTGGGAATCTTGTTAAACTGCAGATTCTGATGTGGTAGGTCTGGGGTAGGGCCTGAGAGTCTGCATTTCTAACAATGCTGCTGTTTCCCAGAATATACATTGAGGAAGTTAACAAGCCCTCTAAATAATTCTGATATATGCTATCCTTTCAGAACTACTGTAGTTCTCTTCAAACACTAATTACTGGGCCCAGCTTCCAAAGTTATTGATTTAGTAGGTTTAGGAAGAGACTTAGGAAGTAGTTAGAAATACAATTTCCTAGGTGCTACTGCTGCTACTGGCCCGGGGAACACACTTTGAGAACCATTATAGTGCTCTGGACCTCTGGGCTCCAAACTTACCTTATCGGGCTGGAGTTCCTGCTTTGCTGTCAGCTTCACATGGCTTATCACAACTTCTCAACAGTGTCTTTCATCAATTTAAAAGCATATTTTAAAATATTCCTTCTTTTAAAATAGTTTAAATGATTAGAGGCTATATGACTTTGGGTTCTCTGGTATTCCATATTGCTAAAAATTGAACAAAATTCACATTGCTTTTACTTCATGGCTCAGCATTTGTCTTAAATCAACTCATTTCATTGAGGAGCTGTAGGGTTCATTTACAATTTTTCTTGGTTAGGAAGCTAAGTATTTTTTATTTTAGCTATACACAGAATCCCCTCTCTTCCCTCAAATTCAGTAAGTTTCAGCGGGGATAAAATATAACATATGAGTAAACTGCAGACAGAACTCGGAACATGATAACCCAAAATATGACATCTTGGAATAGTGAGTGTCTTAAGCTGAAAAATTAAGAAAACTACAGAAGCAGGAAGGTCTCTTTGACCTTCTCCTGTCCCCCTCTCTCCTCAAGCAGACCATAGAAACTAGAATTCTTTTTTTTTCCTTTTCTTTCCTGAAGTGGGCCATAAAACAAAACTGACCTTCCCCTGAAGTAGGTTATGCGACCCTAATTCCAAAAGACCCTCATTCCAAAAAGTCCTCCATCTAACTGGATGAAAGGACCATCCTTATCCTTGAAGACACAGAAAAGAATCTGAAAAATCAGGCCTTGCTGACTTCCCCCCAGTTTATTACCATTGTATTATCTTCCTTTTTCTCCAATCATGTTTCTTCACAACCATCTATTTTTTAAATCAGACTTAGCATAAAATATACAAAGATATTCCTGTTTTTTTTTCAGATCATTTCTGAGGCTTCTGTGTCACATACAATTTATAATAAATCAATTGGTATGCTTATATTAATCTGTTTTTTGTTATAGGCATCTCAGCCATGAACCTTGAGCTGGTTAAGGAAAAGATGGTACTTTTTCTCTCCTATGCTTACTACCATCTTTATCAGCAGCTCATGTCTTAATTTCTGGTTGGTCTTCCTGAAAACCAGGATAGCCTCACTACCAAATAGATAGTAATCAGTAAATGCACAGTAAGTAAAATATGGAAGTTGTTCAATCATTTTAAGAATTGCAGGGGTTCTTAGGGTAAAGAATATTTTATGGCTCAACAATTATGAAACTCTAACATGAAACAACAATTCAATACATTGATCATTCTCAGGCATTCATTATATTCATCTTTAAGAGATGAAACTGAGTTCAAAGATTGCTCGTTCATCTCTGTAATGCCAGTGCCTATTACAGAGCCTGATACCTAACAGACACTCAGTAAATGTGTGGCAAATGGATAGTGTTTGGATGAATGAACTAAAGAATGGCACAGAATAGAGCAGCATTAGCAACTAGAATAAAATATTGTTGTGTCTGAATCAGACATCGGGTAAGATCACAATAAATTTGTTAATAATAGTAAAAAATGAGAAGATTTTGAAATTTGAAAAGAATAAGAGTGAAAGTTAAGGCAAAAAAAGCATCATCTTAATTCACTTACATTCTCTTATGTTTTCTCAAGTGTAAGTTTTTTGAGGGTCACCTCATTAGGAATTGTTGATAATGTTTGGAATCTCCTGTCTCTTCTGCAGCCCTCCATCTAGATATATATCTTGTGATTGCATCACACATGTTTTGTGAATATCATGCATTGTGGTTCCATAGTAAAGTCCTTTTTGAGAACCACTGAAATATATCATCCAAATGATATATTTCCAATCATTTATAATAAAATAATTTTATATAATTATTTAAAATTAATCCTCATAACACTAAATAAAATGATATTTATATTAAACATTATTTTTGCCTAATAACATAATATAAATCACACAGGAAAACAGTTACAGTTTTATTTAAACTTGAGTAGTAATTATTAATCATATATCATTACATAATTACAAATTATTACATAAATGATTTGCTCTTCAAAGGAACATTTTCCTTAAGTTTCAATAGTTTCTAAAATATTTGAAAAATTGTTTGCTTAGAAATTTTTCTTTCTCAGTTTCTTCTCCTTAAATCAAGACAATTACATCCACAAGCTTGTAATAAATTTTTTATAAAGTTTTGGAAGAGTAAGGAGACGTGACATTCTCTTCTATATTATTACAGTAATTTTGAGGAAAACCTTGACAACCCCAAAAACAAAGTGAAAAGAAAAATGAGACAGGCACATTGTTTAATATACAACAAGCACTTTTTAATATTCTTTATACTATTGTTGGTTAATAGAACTTCTGAAGCTTTTTTCTTCCCCCATTGAAAACCAGGATTTGAGGTGACCCACAAGATTGATTCATTTTCTGGGTCAACTGCAAAGAGGACAGAGTATCTTAGACTATTATTGAATAATAGAAGATATATGTAGTTAATATAGAAAGTATACAAAAAAATATAGTCTATCCGGAACATTGAGGAAAATACACTGGCATGCCTTCCCTATGTATAATATTGACACCATCAATAATATATCACAATGATGAAATGAGATAAAGTATGTTAGCCATCTAGGAACATAGATAAGAACCCTTTCTGATCAATCTTTCACTATTTAAAAATAAGGTATTCTTTGATTTGCTCTATGGAATATGTCACTGCAGGGTATTACATTAGAGATGGGTATCCACTCTGAACTTTTGCAAGGCTATTTTCTGTGTTTCAGAACCAACTACATGTTTTCATTAATTTAAATAACTCTAGTCTTCTCTATATTCTTGTTTGCTACAAAATGACTCTTGAAAATGATAATTTCAGACTTTCAAGTCATTGGTCTTATTTTATTCCAAGCTTTTATTAAATTGTTGGTAACTCAGAAGCTCCAGTATATGGTCACTTAGTACTTCAGCCCCATTGATCTTTCAAAAAATATTCTATTATATTGTAGTGAGTAGCTGAATATGTATTTAAATAAAATTGTAAACAAGTCATTTTGTTTACATAATATATATTAAAATACATAATAAAAAATTAAAAATAATTATATAAAATAATTTTATATAATTATTTATAATTAATGCTTATTACATTAAATAAAATCTAAACAAGTCTCCTTTCCACTTTTTATATACTTTGCCATTATGTACAGCAAATATTCTGAGAATGTAATTGGAGTACCTCTTTAAGATATCCAGCAATAATGTTACTCAACTGATTTATTTGTACATTTAATTAGAGAAAATATCAGGAAGCTCAAATATCAAAGCCACTTTTAAAAGATAACAATGTAGCCATTGTGGATGTTTAGAGGAGCTGATGCAGATTCTGAAGGCAACTTCTGGAGTTTTATGCATATATTAAATATTGTTAGCATCATGGAACTAAGTGCATAACACACCAAAGGTGACTCTTTTGAAATGAACAGCACCTTTTGATGGATGAACCATAGTTCAACAAATCTCCCCTAGTTCCTGGGACTGCCTTTGCCTTTATGTTCATGGATGTTTTCTTAAGTTGTTGTGACAGGACAAGTGTGGAGAGGGAGGTTTAAGACCATGCTGAGGTAATTATTGTTGAAAAGAACTGAATTAAGTCAAAATAAAACTCACGAGAATGATCTTGATTTTTTAAATTGCCTTATGTAATTTCTGATGACCAGATTATTCCATTATCCAAGCCCAGGTCATGTGTCACCTCTTTTCTCATTCATTCATTTCCCCGCTTCCCCATTCAATAAGCACGAGCACCTGCTATGGGCCAAGCACTATTCCAGGTGCAAGGGATGACCAGAGAGAAAGAAGAAAATGATCTGTGCCATCACAGAGGCGATTGAACATTTTTTAAAAAAATTATCTTATGGTGATTAACATAGTTTTGTTATTTAGGCATATTTCGATTTCCTATTAGATATGAGGTGTTTTGATGTCAGCCTCATGGTCTAATTCATGAATATTTTCCCCATTGCACTTATCACAACGTCTTACCACTATAAAACCATTAAAGTGTGATGGATGAATGAATGATTAAATAGAGGACCAAATGAATCAATCTTTCTGGTCTGTTATGTCTGAGCAATGCAATATAATTTTTAATCTTCTGAAATAGTACAACCTTTGGATTAGAGTCATATAAAATTGGCGGGCACCAAAAAGGTATTATAATAAAATTTTGAAAGTCATCCAAACCTATTTATTTGGAATTTTGGAATGCATTTTTATAACCTAACATAACCGAACGAGGAAGAGAGAAAAGGCTGAAAAAGTAGAATGATATATTTACCTAATAGAATTAACACTTACTTAGAAGAAGCCATTAATGTGTATTATAAAATAATAGTATTTTATGAAATTGCAGTAGGGGAGTTTTTTATACTTCCCTAAATATTTCTTTTTGCATAATAATGACATGAATACGTGAACAAAGCTTAGAAATTATCTCTGCACTTTGGTTTATTTAGAAGGAGTTTCCTTTCATGTGTGTAAATGATCTTTGAAGAAATAAATTACACAGGTAAATTTTTTTTTAATGAGATTAATATGAACAAAATTTAGGGAAGAGAGGAAAGGAAATGTCTATTGGAAATGTCTTCCACTGAGGCATCTTCCTTCCTTTCTGAGATGTCATTTGGGTTTGGATTATTCTGCTCTGTTCTTTAGCTTTTAATTTCTTCCTATACTTCCTGTCCCAACATTGTCATTTTATCTTTACTTTTTTATATACTTAAATTATTTTGGTATAAATTATTTTTGTTCATGAACAGAATCAACTACAATATTTTTTATACAAGGTGTTTCACTTAACTTTAAAAATTGTCCTTCTGTTTCAAAAGTCATGGGGCAAGGGAAGGAGAATTTATTTCAAATTTATGGGTTTGCCCAGAAATTCAGAGGTAGAGTTAGGCAATAGTAGTAAAATGGACTATAGTTCCTCACATGCACACACACATTTGCTTCACTCTTCCTTTCAAGATGCAAGATAGTTAGCATAGGGGAAGGCAAATGTTGGTCACCACCACTTGCCATCAATTTGCAAGACTGATGTCTAGAGAAAAGTTAGAAATGATGGAGCTATGAAAGATGTTTGTCTTGAATCCCATAACTTTAAAAAATTGTGTATATGTAATGTTACATACCTGTGTACTCCTCTTTTCTTTCCTCTAGCAAAGGAAACCACTATCTGGTGTTTGGTGTTAATTATGTCCTTGGTTTTCTTTATGGTTTTGCCACTTACTTATGTATCTCTAAACAATGTATTATTTACTTTATTTTTTTTAACTGAGTAAAAACTGCAAACCTAGCTGTGTAAGGAAAGGAGAATATTGCCACTATTAGATGAAGGTTCCAGGGAAGGTAAGCCAAATAGAATTTCTGGGCCATGTGCTGGTCTCAACTTCCTTTGGAGTTTACAAGTGCCCCGCCTGAGGAAACTGGAAAAAGCCATGAATTTGTCCTAGAAAGCATAAAGAAATTTGGCAGAAAGGTGGGCCAGATGTGATACCAGATACCAAGAAGAAGCATGGCCATAGAGAGTGGGCTGCTTTCTGTTTTCTGTTTACAGCCCACAGAGGCCCAACTCCAGCTCTCAGGAGTATATTGAAGCAGAACCTTTTGGCAGGATAAAATGAGAGTCCTCAGCTGATCCAGGCATAAGGCTTAGAAGGGACAGTGGGGACCTCATTAGCACATGGGCCAGTTCTCCTGAATGTTCTGTTCCTGCGTTTAAAAGATAGCAGAATTTTAGCAGGGATCTTAATGATGACAAACCACATCACATTGAATAAAACTTTTGTAACCTATATTAGAAGCTCAAAGTACAGTGAAGTCTTCATCTCTAGAAAGAGAAACCTGATATAACTCTTAAATTACATTTCTCTATCTCTGAAAAAAACTTAAACATCAAACAGGTACTACATTGGCCTTAACACAGAATCAAGAAAGATCTGGTAAGATCTCATGCAAGCCTGTCTCTCTAACCTCATGTCTCACCACTTTCTCTGTGCTGTAACAATGCTCAAATATTGCACACCTTGGAACACATCCCATTTTTTATACCTCTTTGTCTCTGTTCATATTATTCTCTTGGTTTAGGGCTCACTTCCTGCCTAATTTCCCTGCCAAACTTCTCATCCTTTAAGATTCATATCTCTCTTATACAAGAATTATTCCTTCAGCCTCCTAGGTGGTACTTGTCTCTGTGCTCCCATAATACTTTTCACTTATCACTGGCATAGCCTTATCAAATTGTATTTTAATCATTTTTCAACCTGCATATTCCCCCCACTTTCTGTGAGCTTCTTAAGATCAATGACTGCAACTCATATATTGTTTAACCATAACTGTATACCATTATCACATCTAAATGCTAACAATAATTCCTTATTGTCATCAAATGTCCAGTGTTCAAAGTTCTCTGATTAACTCATACCTCATTTGTATTTGTTAATATAGGATTAAAAGAATGTCCATATATTGCAATTGGTTGATATATCTCTTAAATCTCTTTTCATCTCTAAATTACTCTTCCATTTCCTTTCCTTTTCTTTAATCTTTAAATGTATTTGTTGAGGAGCTGGGTATTTTTCTTTAGAATTTCCATTGTCTTTCCCATGGAGTCATTTATTATGTGCCTCTGACTTTTATATTTCCTCTACATTGGTAGTTAGATCTAGAAACCTGATCAAGCTTGAACATTTTTGGCAAGAGTTCATATATAATGTTGTGTAATTCCATTAAGAAACACATATAACTTGTTTATTTCTCATTTGTGATGTTAGTATTGATTGATGATTATTGCCTAGATCTGTTAGTTTATAAAGGCTGTGAAATAATGATGTTCTAATTCTAACATGTTTTCTTCATTTGTTAGCTGGAATACTTCCATATAGAGAAACTTTTGACAGCTTATTTACTAAAGGCGGGATAAATGCTTGATTCCTTACCTTTATTCACTATAATAGAAAATAACAAGTGGTTCTCTGGCAAAAGACTAAGATTTGTTTTCTTTGGGTAATTAATGCTTAGTACAACAACTATCACATAAAAGAAATGTCCTAATAGCATGTTATATGAGTGAATAGAATCAATAAATTAACACACAAGTTAAGTGAATGACTGAATCACACTGATTGTACACAGCCCTACACATACAACACATAGCAGCACTGTAAATAGCTGCTTCTTGAGATAGACCTGGAGGTCCTTAGCAGACTGATGTTCAGACATTCCAGGACCCAGTCATGCCCACTGAGTGCTGCATGATCCCAAATAGGATGGGGGAACTGAGTTCTCATAGCCCCACTGCAAGATTATGTAGCACTGGATTGCTGCCTAATTGGTTTTGCCTTGTGTACTGATAATCATACTCTGCACTGGCTTGTGCACATCTTCTACTAAAACATTTCTTAGGCATGCCATTGACATGTCAGTGTACAATTATTGGTTTTTAGTATAGTTATGAAGGTGTGGATTTCTCTACATTTTTACCAACACTTGTTATTTTCTGTCTTTTTTATTATAGCCACCCTAGTGTGGGTGAACTGGTGTCTCATTGTGAGTTTGGTTTACCTTTCCCCAAGGGTTAATGATGTTGAATAACTTTTCAGGTGCGTATTGGTCATTCTTTGGAGAAATGCCTATTTAGATATTTGCCCATAGTTGTCCCTTATCAGATATGTGATTTTCAAATACTTTCTCCTATTCTATGGGTTGTCTTTTCACCTTCTTGATAGTGACATTTGACAGAAAAGTTTTCAACTTTTGGTGAAGTTTAGAAAAATTTATCTAATTTTTGCTTTTGGTTTCATATCTATGGAGGCTTTCCTAACCCAAGCTGCAAAGATTTACCCCTGTGTTTTATAGTTTTAGGTCACCCTAAAGGTCTGCAATCCATTGGAGTTAATTTTTGTGTATGGTGTGAGGAAGGAATCCTCCATCATTCCTTCACATGTGGATATCTGTAGCTATCCCAGTACCATTAAAAAAAGAAGACTATTCTTTCTCCCATTGATTGCTTGAGCACACTTGCAAAAAGTCAGTCAACCATGAAGATGCAGTTTTATTACTGATTCTCAGTTCGATTGCAACAATCTATATCATTAACCTTATACCAGATCTGCACAGTCTTGGTTATTGCAGCTTTGTAGTAAGTTTTGACATTGGTAAGCATGAGTCCTCCAAGTTTGTTCTTTTTCAAAATTGTTTTGGCTATTTTGGGTCAGTTGGCTTTTTACAAAAATTTTAGGATCAGCTTGTCAATATCTCCAAAAGACAGCTGGGAAAGAGCTTTGAGACCCACCTTCACCTTTAAGATGTTATCGAGGTACATTACAATGATAAGCTTTCTAATGTTTCATTTCTGGGAAAGCCTTATTTAATCTTTTTATATGTGTATGTGTGTAATATTTTATAACATATTACATGTAAGTAATATGTACATATACATATTATATAATCATATGTTATACATTGTTTACATAGCATATATAATAGCATGTGCATAGATTTGTTATGTATATTATTTGTTTCTATGGTCACAAGTGGGTATGGCCTACAGTTTTCTGTTCTAGAGTCCTTCCTTTGGTTTTATATCAGGGTTAGGCTAGTCTTCCTAAATGGGTTGAATAGTTTCTTTTAGGTTTAGACTGACCTCATTAAATGTGTTGGAGAGTTAACTTGCACTTATTTTCTGATTTCTGAAATAGTTATTAAAAATGGAAAATGTTCATTGCCTTCATTCTTAGAGTTTTAGTTGGAATTATCTATTAAATGGACTGGGCTACTGCATTTTAGATGTCAGTGTAAGTTAGGAGGTGTAGTTAATGAGTACAGCTATAAATAATTTCATTGTCATTGGGCTATTTTAATACTCTAATTTTGAACAATAGTACTTTCTAATAACCAAAAATTATACTTTCACACATTCATTGGTGTAGAATTTTGTATAGCAGCATCTTAAACATTTTTCCAACTCCCATGTATGTATAGCTATTTTTTTGTCATTGTCAATTTTACCTTGTCTCTTATTTTTTAATAGCTTTCCAAAGTTTTTCTCTTTAAAATTGTTTCTTTCATTTTTTGTCCTATTGTTCAAATATCAGAAAATTCTATATATATTTTAAAGTATGTCTATTCGGTAAAGTTTCTTTCCCCTCAGTTTTATAGAGTATAATTGACAAATAAAGATTGGATATATTTATGGTGTACAACTTGACGTTTTGGTATATGCATACCTTGCAAAATCATGAAATCAATAATTAACATATATCTCTCACCTCACAAACTTTTGTGTGTGTGTGATGAGAAAATTTAAGATCTATATTTTTGGCAATTTTTAATATGCAATACGTTATTAACTGTAGCCACATGCTGTACAAGCTCAATGTTTCAGAACTTATTCATCCTGTCTAACTGAAACTTTTTTACCTTTTGACCAACATCTCCACATTCCTCTTCCCTCCCCCCAGCCTCTGGCAACCACCATTCTACTCTCTGCTTCTATAAGCTTGACTTTTTTTTTTTTTTTTTGAGACGGAGTCTTGCTCTGTCACCCAGGCTGGAGTACAGTGGTGCGATCTCAGCTCACTGCAGAGCTTGACTTTTTGAACTCCAAACATAAGTGAGATCATGTAGTGTTTGTCTGTGGCTGGCTTATTTTACTTAGCATAATATCTTCCAGGTTTATCCATGTCATTACAAATGAACAGATTTCCTTATTTGAAAAGATTGAACAGTGTTCCATTGTGTGTGTGTGTGTGTGTGTGTGTGTGTGTGTATACGCACATAAGCATCCATTGACAGATAAATGGATAAAGAAAATGCAGCACATGCATATATATAAAGAAAATGCTGCATTTTCTTCATCCATTTATCTGTCAATGGATTTTTAATTTGATTCCATATCTTGGTAATTGTGAAGAATGCTGCAATGAACATAGGAATGCAGGTATCTCTTCAACGTACTGATTTCATTTTTTAAAATTTATATACCCAGAAGTGGGATTGCTGGATCATATAGTAGTTCTGTTTTTATTTTTTTGAGGAATATCCATGCTGCTTTCCATAATAGTTATGCTAATCTACATTCCCACCAATGGTGTACAAAGTTTTCCATTTTCTCCACATCCTTGCAACATTTGTTGTATTTTGTCTTTTTGATAATAGCTATTCTAAGAAGTGTGAGGTGATAGTTCACTGTGGTTTTTATTTGCATTTCCCTAATGATTAGAGATATTAAGGATTTTTTCATATGCCTGTTGTCCATTCATATGTTTTCTTTTAAGAAATGTCTGTTCTCATCTGTTGCCCATTTTAAAATTGGGTTATTCATTTTCTTGATATAAAGTTGTTTGAGTTCCTTATAATTTTGAATATTAACCCCTTATCAGATGTATGATTTGCAAACATTTTCTCCCTTTTTGTAGGCTGTCTCTTCACTTTTATTTTCTTTGCTGTCCAGAAACTTTTTAGTTTGATACAATCTCATTTGCCCAGTTTTGCTTTTGTTGCCTGAGCTGTGGGGGTCATATCCAAAAAGTAATTTCCCAGACCAATGTAAAGAAGCTTTTCCCTACGTTTTCTTTTAGTAGTTTTATAGTTTTGGGCCTTACAATTAAGTATGTAATCTATTTTCAGTTGAGTTTTACATAGGGTGCAAGAAATCAGTCTAATTTCATTATTTTGCATGTGTATATTCAGTTTTGCCAAAACCACTTATTGAAGAGCCTGTCCATTCCCCATTGTGTGTTCTGGCTGCCTTTGTTGAAGGTCATTTGACTGTAAATGTGTGAATTTCTTTTTGGGCCCACTATTCTCTTCGATTGGTCTATATATTTGTTTTTATGCCAGTACTGTGCTGTTTTGATTATTATACCTTTGTGGTATATTTTGAAGTCAGGTGGTGTGATGCCTTCAGTTTTGTTGTTTTGGCTCAAGATTGCTTTGGTTATTCAGGATTTTTGTGGTGCCATACAAATTTTAGATTTAAAAAAATTTCTGTAAAAACATCATTGGAATTTGTAATAGGAATTTCATTAAATCTGTAGGTCACTTTGAGTAGTATAGGAATTTTAATGATATTAATTCTTCCAATCCATGAAAATAAGATATTTTTCCATTTATTCTTTTCAATTTATTTCATCAATATTTTATAGTTTTCAAGGTAGAAAACAATGTAGAAACTCCCTGGTCAAATTTATTTCCAAATATTTTTTGTATTTTTAAAATGCTATTATGTAGAATTTTATTGATTTCTTTTTTGGATAGTTTGTGGTTAGTATACAGAAATGCTGTTCATTTTATAGCTGATCTTGTATTATACAACTTTATGGAATTTATCAGTTCCAAGAGTTTTTGGTGAAATCTTTACAGTTTTCTATGTATAAGGTCATGTCATCAGCAAAGAGGGACAATTTTACTGCTTTCTTTTCAATTTGGATGCTTTTTATTTCTTTTTCTTACCTAATTGCTTTGGCTAGGACCTCCAGTACTATATTGAATAGAAGTGGTAAGAGTAGAGATCCTTGCTTTGTTACTAATCTTAGAGGGAAAGCTTTCAACTTTTTACGGTGGAGTATAATGTTAACTGTAAGCTTGTCATGTGTGGCCTTTATCATGTTGAGAAACATAACAAAAAGAATATCGGTGTATTCTTTCTGTAGTTATTTGTTGAGAGTTTTAATCATAAATGAGTGTTGAATCTGTCAAATGCTTTTTCAGCCATCTATTTAAATAATCACATGATTTTTATCTTTCATTTTATTAAATCACATCAATTGATTTGTATATGTTAAACCATCTTTGCAACCCAGAAATAAATACTATGTAATCATGGTATATGATTCCTTTAATGTGCTGTGGAATTTGGCTTTATATATTTTTTGAGGATTTTTGTGGTTCATCAGGGATGAAGATTCTTGATTGCATATGTCTATTTGTCTTAATTCTCTGTATGTCTATTTTATAAAAATTCTTATGTTATTTAATTCCTCTTACTCTTGGTTACCTTTTGACTGAAAAAGCATGACATTTTTCATAGCAATTATTTG
Source organism: Homo sapiens (assembly GCF_000001405.40). Classification (NCBI taxonomy): domain Eukaryota; kingdom Metazoa; phylum Chordata; class Mammalia; order Primates; family Hominidae; genus Homo; species Homo sapiens. The sequence continues at coordinate 46,776,873 of NC_000008.11, forward strand.
TGTATTTTTAATACTTTAAAATATTTTGATTGGCATATATATATACACACACTTCTTAGAATAGCTATCACCAAAAAGACAAAATACAAGTGTTGCAAGTATGTGGAGAAAAGAGAAACTTTGCACACTATTGGTGGGAATGTAAATTAGAACAACTGTTAGGAAAAACAATATGGAGATTCCTCAAAAATTTAAAAACAGAACTACTATATGATCACTTCTGGGTATATGTATATATATATTTTTAAATGAAATCAGTACATTGAAGAGATACCTGCATCCCTACATTCATTGCAGCATTCTTCACAATTACCAGTAAAAATATATTTATAAATATGTGTATATATGTGTATATATATATTTATATATATATGTGTTTATATATGTATGTGTAAATATATACAATTTTAAAAATTCTCTTTGGTAGAGATGAGGTCTTGCTATGTTTCCTGGGCTAGTCTCCAACTCCTGGACTCAGGCAACACTTCTTCCTTGGCTTCCCAAAGTGCTGTGATTACAAGTGAGAGCCACTTTGCCCAGCCTGCTTTATATGTTTGAACATACCTCATATTCATAAAGTTTTGATGCTGTTATGTGTTCTTAGTAGATTGTTCCTTTTATCAATATTAATGATCATTTTTTATTTCCTGGAAATTTTACCAGGAAAATTTTTTACTGACTTGTACGACAGGAAAATTGCTATATAATCATTATGTTAGTATTTGGCAGATTTTTTAAATATCCCTTTGTTTTTTAACACTTTTCTTTTTCAGGTTTGTCTTTTGGTAAATAATAAATAGCTACATTTTTATCTTTATAGCAACCTGACATCTCTGTCTTTTAATAGGTCTAATAAAACAATTCAGATTATGTGATTCTCCTTTTTGGGTTCTGCCAACAAGAAGCATTGTAATATATCACTTGGCTCAGCACATAATTAATGTTTCCTCGCTTTTGCTTGGGCTCTGACCACAGGGAGATTGTGACATAATGCTGGGCCCAGCATCAAGGTGAGGTCACTCACCAGCTTTGGTACTGCACAGAACAGACACTGTGACATATACCTAGGGCAATTGCCTAGGTGAAGACTCTTCTTTCTTGCCAAAGTCCTGCCCACAGAAGGGGTTTTAATATACCACTGAAATCAGCATCCAAGTGATGTGACACTTCTGCCAGGGTCCTGCCCACAAGGTGAATTGTGACATCTCACTGGACCCACACCCACATAGGTGATGAGACTTTCTTGCCTTCTCTCTGACCACAGGTGATATTGTGCCATATACCTGAGACCATAACAAAAGCCTAATAACAACTCATATGGCTGGAGCCAGGACATGTGCAGGAGGGTGACTCTTAAACTTTTCCACAAGTTTAATTGTGACATATACCTTTGCCCAGCTCCTGAGTGATTTAATAATTCTGCCTAGGTATAGCCCACAAATCAGATTGTGACAAATACCTTGGCCAAGCACCTTGGTGATTTGACTGCACTATCTTAACAATGTCCTCAGAGGGGATTGTAACATATTTCTGGACTCATCATCTAGGTTCCGTGACTCTTCTCTCCTGCCGGGACACTGCTTCCTTTGGTAATTGTAGCATGTTTTTTTTTATTTATACTTTAAGTTTTAGGGTACATGTGCACAACGTGCAGGTTTGTTACATATGTGTACATGTGCCATGTTGGTGCGCTGCACCCATTAACTCTTCATTTAACATTAGGTATATCTCCTAATGCTATCCCGCCCGCCTCCTCCCACCCCACAACAGGCCCCGGTGTGTGATGTTCCCCTTCCTGTGCCCATGTGTTCTCATTGTTCAATTCCCACCTATGAGTGAGAACATGCGGTGTTTGGTTTTTTGTCCTTGCGATAGTTTGCTGATCCAAATGATATGACTTTCATGCCTGGGCCCTGGCAACAGGAGGCATTGTGACAAATGTTTGCACCCATCATTTAGGTGATATGACTCTTCTCTTCTGCCTGGACACTGCTGACAAGGGACATTGTGCCACAGAGCTGGACCTAATGCACAAGTTATGTGACATTTCTGACAGGACCCTGCCTACAAAGAGAATATTGAAATATTTCTGGCCCAGCATTTAGGTGATGTGGCTGTTCTGTCTACTTCATAACTACAGATGAAATCATAACGTATACCTAGGCGTGGCTCACAGGAATGATAGTGGCTCCTATATGTGGACTCAGCCAATAGAGGATATTTTGAGTCTTATAACTAAATTCAGGGACACGCATGATGTCCTGGATCAACTTCTTGTACAAAGGTCACAAAAGATTACAACACTGACATGTATTTTACAAGGTCTTTGAATTGTACAGACAGAGTCAAAGCAGGGCTCAGCACACAGGTGAAACTGTGAGTCTTCCAAGCACACCCAGCTGACAGTAAGGACTGTCATCATCTCACATGGATGAAGCGAACTGTCACACATGAAAACAGGATATGTGTGGTATTGTAAATCTCATCTTTGGAATTTTCTGACAGTGTGATTGTGATATAAATGTTTTCCAAGCACCTGTGTAATTTGACTCTCCAGACTTGTTCCAACCCATATATAAGGTTGTGATGTCTACATAGGCCAACCTTGAGGTGATGTGACTCTCCTGCCTGGGCCCTTCTCTCAGTAAGCATTGTGACATATCACTGGATCTGGCATCCAGGTGATGTTACATTCTTGCCTGGGACATGCCCACCAAAATTATTGTGACATATTTCTGTGTCCACCTCATACGTGATGTAACTCTCCTCTCTGGAATAGGCCCTGCACAAAGGAAGGATAGTGACATATTGCAAGGCCAGCTACACAGGTGAATGTACTCTTTTGCCAGAGCCATGCCCAGTGGAAGGCATTGTGACATATCTCTGGGCCTATCACCTAGGTGATGTGGCTCTCCTGCTTGGGCCCTGCCAACCTCGGGAGTGACATACTTCTAGGCCAGGCACACAGGTGATGGTACTCTTTTGCCAGGGCTATGCTTCATAGAGGACATTGTGACATATCTCTGGGTCTGTCACTGAAGTGAAGTGATGTCCTTCATGGACCCTACCCATATGGAGCCCTGTGGAATACTCAGAGAACATGCATCTAGGTGATGTAACTCTCTTGCCTGAGTGCTGTCCTAAGAGAGCCTTGTGACATATCTCAGGACCCAGCACCCAGGTGATGTGGCTATTCTGCCTGGTTTCTGCCCACATGCTACATTGTGACATATTTCTAGGGAAGCACCTAGGTGATATGACTCTCCATGTCTGCCTGAGCCCTGCCTACTGGGGACATTGGGACATATCTCTGAGCCCATAACCTAAGTGATGTGACTCTCTTTTTCTGCCTGGGCCTTCACCATTGGAGGATTTTGACACATTGCTGAGCCCAGCACTCAGGATATGTGACTCTCTTCTTTTTCCTGAACCATGCCCACAAAAAAAGAATTTTGACCTATTGCACAGCCCAGCACCCAGATGATGTTATTCTTCTGCCTGGGTTCTGCATGAAGAGGAAATTATTGCATATTGCATATTTCTGGGCCCAGCACCCTTATGATGTGACTCTTCTGCCTGTGCTGGAGCCGGCAAAGGTATTTTGACATATCTTGGGCCCATTATGTAGGTGTTTTGGCTCTCATAAGTTGGCTGGGTTTTTTCCACATATGGGATGGTGTCATATTGCTGGGTCCAGCACCCAGATAATGTGACCCAATTTTCTATACCCAGCCCAGCGAAGGCATTGTGACACATTGCCTGGCACAGCATCTAAGTGTTGTTACCCTCCTGCCTAGTTTTTGCCCACAAATGGAATTATGATACATACCTTGCTTCAGTTCACAGGCATGATGATCAAACTTATGTTGGGATTCAGCCAATAGGAAGTATTTTGCCTCTTTTTGTTAAGCTTAGGGCAATATTTAAGGTGCTGGGTTGCATGTTCATACCAAGCTCATGGAAGCTTACAACACAAAAGCTTATAAACTCTTTTGTGGTAGAGAGATTCATAACGGGGCCCAGCAAAAAGTTCAGATTGGGACACTCAGTTACACACCCAAGTGAAATTAAAAGTTGTCACCATCCCACATTTATAATGACCACTGCTGAGGTCCTGAGTCTAACAAGGGAAGACAGCACAAAGTTAAAATTGTGAATTTTATATGTGGATCTGGACACAGGTGGGATGGTGACTCATTTCTGGACCCAGCCCACAGGAATAATGGGTCTTCTCCTTAACCCTGCCTGTAGGAGAGATCTTGACTATCAAACCTGGGTTTAGGGCAATATGTAAGATTGTGAGTCCATACCAGCACGTAGGCCTCAGAGAGCTTTGCAACTCTCATGCAGGTTTTATAAAGTTCTTGGATGTTGAAGAGAATGTCATACATTGGCCTAGCACAGACGTGAGATTGTGACTCTAATATACACACTCAGTTAAAAGTTAGAGGTGTCACCCTCAAAGATAATGAGATTGTGTCATATCACTGGGTATAGTACCCAGATGTTGAGAATTTTGGCTCAAATTTCTTTCCATGGGTGCAATCTTATATATCGCCGGGTCAGAATCATAATAATGTGACACTTCTGCCTGGACCCTGTCAACAGGGGATATTATCACATATCTCTGGGCCTGCCAGCTAGGTGATGTGTCTCTCCAGCCTGTGCCCTGCTCCCAGAGAACATTTTGAAATATCGCTGAGTCTAGCGTCTAGGTAATGTAACTCTCTTTTCCTGCCTGGGTCCTGCTTACCCAAGGAATTGTGACATACGGCTGAATAAAAAACCTAGGTGGTATGTCTCTCCTCTGTGTTCAAGAGTTTGTATCTGTGCTGCATTCTGTTTCATTATTTTGATTACTTTCATGTTCTACCTTTATACTGGCACCAAAGTGCTTTGATTACTGTAGGCTTGTTTTGTGTTTGGAAATTATTAAGAGTAATGCTTCCAATACTTTTCTTCTTTTTAAAGATTGTCAGGCTTTTCATGGTCCTCTGAGATCTTAGGTAATTTTGCGGGGTTTTTTTTTTTCTATTTTTGGAAAAGTATAATTTAAAATTGAAAAGGGATGTGTTGAATGTGTGGGTCACTTTAAGCAACATGGACATCTTCGCCATATTATGTCTTCCAAACCTTGAAAAAGAGCATGCTTGGCCGGGCGCGGTGGCTCACGCCTGTAATCCCAGCACTTTGGGAGGCTGAGGAGGGCACATGGCAAGGTCAGGAAATCGAGACCAACCTGGTAAACATGGTGAAACCCTGTCTCTACTAAAATACCAAAAATTAGCTGGCCGTGGTGGTGCGTGCCTGTAGTCCCAGCTACTCGGGAGACTGAGGCAGGGGAATCACTTGAAACTGGCAGTTAGAGGTTGCAGTGAGCCAAGATTTCCCCACTGCTCTCCAATCAATAAGGGAACGAAAAATTTGAATGCACTATACAATAATTACACCTAACAAATGTATACAGACAAGAGAATCTGAATACACATTCTTTTCAACAGCCCACAAAACATTTTCCTAGATGGAACACCTGTGACACCACAAAAGAAGACTTAACAATCTGTCTAGCAACAGAGTGATACTCATCTCAAAAAAAAAAAAAACTGTGTTAATTTTTATATTTTTTGAATTTTTCAGCTTTTCTTCTGCCACTGATTTCTAGTTTCATTCCACTTGCACTATAAATAATTGTCTGTAAAATTTCAATTAAAAAAATTGTTAAGTAAGTCTTCTTTTGTGGTGTCACAGGTGTTCCATCTAGGAAAATGTTTTATGGGCTGTGGAAAAGAATGTGTATTCTCTTGTCTGTATATGTTTGTTAGGTGTAATTATTGTATAGTACATTAAAGTTTTTCATTCCCTTATTGATAGTCTGTCTTGCTTTATTTATTACTGACAGTGGGATATTGATATATCCTTTTTTTATTATATTGCTGTCTATTTTTGCTTCAATTCTGTCAATGTTTGCTTTATGTGTTTGGGAAAATGGTCATATATTTATAGGTTCTCAGTGAATGAATCCTCTTACTGTAATTGAATGTCCTAGTTTGTCTCTTTGAATTTTGACTTAAAGTAAATCATATGAAATATAACAGTTTTCAACTTCATAAGTTGTTGCCTGTACTCCTCTTATTTGTTTAACACCTGCATGGAATGCATTTTTCATCCTGCCATTTTCAGTCTATTTTTTTTATTAGTTCTGAAGTGAGTCTCTTGAACCCATGACATAGATAGATCTTGATATAGATCATGATATAGTTAGGTTTTTTTATTTTTTGTTTTCAAGGACACTTTTGCTGGATATAGTATTCTTGCTTAGACTTTTTTTTTCCAGTGTTTTAACTATGTCATCCTCCTCCAATCTTGCCCAAAAGATTTATGTTCATAAATTTACTGGTAATCTTGCAGAAGCATGCATATAAATAACACATCTCTTTTTTCTTCCTGCATTCCAGATTATCTTCTTGTCTGTGACTTTCAAAACATTGCTTATGTTGTGTCTTGTTAGAAATCTCTTTGTGTTAATCTTAGTTGAAATTTGCTGAGCTTCTTGATTTTCTTATATTTTTTACTAATGTAGAAGTGCATATTAGTCATTTTTTGTACTTCTATTCCACAATATTTATTTCTTTTTGTGCTTTTTATCTTTTTGTTGTTTTCATTTTTTATTTTATTTTATTTTATTGATTTCCATTGTATTCATTGAGCATCATTGAGGTGGTAATTTTGACTTTTTAGGTTAATTTATTTTTTTCTTTTAAGAAATAGATCTAGACATTAATTCAAATTGTCTCAGGTAATTTTTACATCTCTCTTTTTTATAATTGATTTCTGGATATTCATTTTTATCTTTGAGCCATATTATCTTGATATTTTGTATATGTTGTAATCTTAGGTTGCAGTTTGTGTAATATAAAGCCACATGTCAAAATCCTTATTAAGTTGGCTTTTGTCTGGGGAAATATGATACCAATTTTTTAGGCGAGAGATTCTTGGAGTCTTTCAAGCCTGTTGTATGGATGTTTTCTCTGGGCTTGTGTGTCTTTTAGTTAAAAAATTTTCCCCATGTTTTTTCTTTTCTTTTTTGATTTGGAGTTTCACTCTTGTTGCCCAGGCTGGAGTGCAATGATGTGATCTTGGATCACTGCAACCTCCAACTCCCAGGTTCAAGCAGTTCTCCTGCCTCAGACTCCCACACAGCTGGGATTACAGGTGCCTGCCACCACGCCTGGCTAATTTTTGTATTTTTTGTAGAGACGGGGTTTCACCATGTTGACCTGGCTGATCTTGAACTTCTGACCTCAGGTGACCCACCTATCTCAGCCTCCCAAACTGTTGGGATTACAGGCATGAGCCACCACTCCCAGCCATTCCCCATGTTTCTTATTGAAATCCTGTAGTCAGTTGCTATACCCATTGTCTGTCTGTGATACTGAAGTGTTTCTTCTCTTGTAACAGTCCAAAACTGTCAAAGTATACCACCTTTTCTTTCAATATTGTCATAGAATATAGAAATTAGTCTTTGGTAAGGTCTCAAAAAGCCAGAAGCATGGACACAGGTGCCACTATTTTATTTATTTTTGGAGGGGGAAGACAGGAGTTGGGAGTCTATATTTAAAGTCATCATAGGATGAAGAATGGCTGTTGTGGGTAAATATGAAGTACCCTTGCTACACTTCTATGTGGTTCTTGGTATTTTGCTCACTTGGAGTGCTGCAAATGCTTAGCTGGTCCTTAGACTTCTCACAAAGGCATTTTGGTCAGTATATTTCTGTTAAGTTAATAAGTTTATAAAGGAATTAGAGCCTGTGGTATTTTATTGTCACCTTGTTAGTGTGCTTTGTATAATTATATATTTGTAAATTGTATTCACCTGAGTCTAATGAGGAATAAATCTTGTTGTTCTTTTTTTTTAATTCAGCTGGCTCTTTTCATTTTACTGCAGAGATATTGCCAGAGCACAACATAAAAGATTAATTTCAAAAAGTGATTCTGATAAAATATGGAAGCTGTGACCTTAATAGTTTATTTAAAGAAAGACTACCAAAGTGTTGCTAATTGCAAGGGGCAGAAAAGCAGTTACAATGGCCTTCATCAATGTTTGTCAACTACCCATAGCTAAACCTGTCAATGTAATACATGTGGCAAAGCTTTTGAGTTATGCTCAACCTTTACTGAACATAAGAAAATTTTTAGCAGAGAGAAATGCTACAAATGTAAAGAATGTGGCAAAAACTGTAGGTTGTTCTCAGATTTTACTATACAGAGGAGAATTCATACTGCAGAGAGATGCTACAAATGTGAAGAATGTGGCAAAGCCTTAAAAAGTTCTCAAACGTTACTAGTAGATCATAAGAAAATTCATAGTGGAGAGAAGCCCTACAAATGTGAAGAATGTTTCAAAACCTTTACCTTCTCCTCAACCCTTATTCAGCACAAGAGAAATCATACTGAAGACAGACTGAACAAATGGGAAGTATGTGGTAAAGCCTTTAAGTTTTTTTCAGACCTTATTAATCATAAGAGAATTCATACTGGAGAGAAACCCTACATATGTGAAGAATGTAACAAAGCCTATAGGTGGTTCTCAGACCTTACTAAACATAAGATAATTCATACTGGAGAGAAACCCTACAAATGTAATGAATATGGAAAAGCTTTTATGTGGTTCTCAGCCCTTAGTAAACATAAGAGAATTCATACTGGAGAGAAACCCCACATCTGTGCAGAATATGGCAAAGTTTTACCCGCTCCTCAACCCTTATTAACCAGAAGAGAATTCATGTGGAAGAGAGACCTTACAAATGTGAAGAATATGGGAAAACCTTTAAGTGCTTCTCAGACCTTGCTAATCATAAGATAATTCACACTGGAGAGTAAACCCTACAAATGTGAAGAATGTGGCTAAGCATTGATCTCATTTTCACATCACATTAGAGATAAGAGAATTCATACTAGAGAGAAGCTCCAGAAAGTGTTAAAAATGTAGAAGAGCCTTTAACAAGTCCTTATATTGTGTTTAACATCAGAGACTTAATACTGAACAAAAGCAGTATAAAGGTAATTACTGTTGAAGAACATTTAACTTAACATCTTGGAAGGTCTCTAAGAACTTGCTTTATAATCTGGGTGCTTTTGTGTTGGGCACATATATAGCACTTTACTATTATGTAATGCCCTTCTTTGTCTTTTTTTAAACCTATATTGATTTAAAGTCTGTTTTGCCAGAAACTAGGATTGCAACCCCTGCTTTTTTCTGTTTTCTATTTGCTTGGTGGATTTTCCTTTTTCCCTTTATTTTGAGCTTATTTGTGATAGGTGTCTCAATTACAGCATACCATTAGATATTCATTCTTTACTCAGCTTGCCACTCTGCTTTTTAATTGGGGCACTTAGCCCATTTACATTTAAGGTTAGTATTCATATATGTGGATTTGATTCTGTCACTGTGATCTTAGCTGGCTATTTTGGACATTTGTTTACGTTGTTGCTTTATAGTGTCAGAAATTTACGTACTTTAGTGTGTTTTTGTAGTGACTGGTAATAGTCTTTTTCTTCTTTTAGTGCTTTCTTCAGAAGCTCTTGTAAGGCAGGTCTTGTGGCAACAGATTACCTCAGCATTTGCTGATCTGAACTGGATCATATTTATTTTTTTACTTCTGAAGCTTACTTTGGTTGAATATGAAATTTCAGGTTGGAGCTCTTCTTTTAAGGATGTTGAATATTGGCCCCTAATCTCTTTTGACTTGTAGGATTTCAGATGAAAGGTTTGTTGTTTGTCTGATAGGCTTTTTTTGGAGGTTACCTGGCTTTTCTCCCTAGCTGCCTTTAAAACATTTTTTCTTTCATTTTGACCTTGGAGAATCTCATGATTATATGTCTTGGGGATGACCTTCTCATGGGTTATCTTACTGGGGTTCTCCACATTTCCTGCATTTAAATGTTGGCCTCTCTATCTGAGTTAGGGAAATTCTCATGGACAATATCCCAAAATATGTATTTCAAGTTGTTTTCATTATCCTTATTACTTTCAGGCATTCTCTTTAATTGTAGATTTGCTTTCTTACATAATCCCATATTTCTTAGAGGTTTTGTTCGTTCCTCTTTATTCTTTTTTCACTCCTCTTGTCAGTCTTATTTCAGAAAGCGAGTTGTGAAGCTCTGAGATTCTTTCCTCTGCATGGCCTATTCTGCTGTTAATGCTTGTGATTATATTATGCAGTTTTTGTATTGTGTTTTTCAGCTGTATCAGGTTGGCCACATTTTTCTCCAGATTGGCTGTTTTTTTCTGTCTGTTCCTGAAATTTTTTCCCTTCCTTGAATTGGATTGCAACTTACTTTTGTAGCTCAATGAAGTTATTTCTATCCATATTCTGAATTCTACTTCTGTCATCTTAGGCCTTGCTGGAAATGTAATTTGGTCATTTGGATGAAATAAGTCACTCTGGCTTTTTGTGTTTTCAATATCTTTGCACTGACTTTGTCTCATCTTTGTGGGCACATCTTTGAGGTTGCTGACCTTTGAATGGGATTTTGGTATTTTTGGTCCTATTTGATGGTCTTGAGTATTTGATTGTGGTATAAGGTGTTTGCAGCCAACAGGCTTTGTTCCTGGGAGTTTTGTTTTTTGGTGGTGGTGGTGGGAGCAATGCTCAGCTCAAAACTCAGAGGCTGCATACTCTGGGGGACTTGCATTGAGCCCCAACTGTCTTCTCTGGCTCCATGATATTTGGAGTCCACCACTCTGTGGGACTAAGGTCCCACAGTGGCAGCAGAGTGCTAGTGGATATGGAGTTTCTGCCTGTCTTTGGACATTCACCTCAGTGGCAGGAGCAAAGCAGCTGGGAGTGGACTAGGGGGTAACTGCTGGAGACTGTATGTGCTGTTGCACTAAAGATGGTGTTGGCTTGGAGCAGAATGCTGGGCAGCAAGGATTCTGATGCCTTCTTTGTGCCCCTCCAAGAAGGAGTGATTGTGGAGGTTGTGGGAAGATACCTGTTCTCCACACAGTGTTAGCACAAAGTCAGGGGTGGGGCTTTCTGCCCATCTGCCCACCAAAGCTTCATTTACAATGCCAGTTGCTGGGGGTGGCTAGGGCATACTGCATTCCCATTTGCTGGTGGGGCAAGCAAAGCCAAACCTGCCTTTGCAGACATGTGCCAGCAAAGTAATATGGGGATTTGCCTTCATCTCAGGGGAAACTGCAGTATGGGGAAGAAAAATGTGGGCTGGTGCAGTCATAGGGACTGCCTTGCTGGAGCTCCTCAGGAGTCAGGCATGGCCCACCAGTGCAGATGCTATGGTATGGGCTCCCAGTATACCTGAGACTGCCCTGTAATTGTCTGTAGCCAGAGTGGGTCCCTGGGAGAGGCCAACAGACCAAGGAGTACTAAGTTGGACCAGGTTCTTATGATTTGCAAGACCATCCTGCAGAAATTAAGTCCAACTGTTCCCCTAGGGCTCAAGTCTCTTATGGGAGAAAGTTGAGTCTAGGAAAATGACCATCACTGACAACACTTTATTACAGATGCTCTCATGCCAAACCCTCTGGGCACCACATGAGCTGGCTTGCTGCCCCACCTCTTTGCTCATTTTCTGGGGACTGCATCTCAGAGAGATGTAGGTCTGCAATCCCTCAGTGCAGTCAGCCCAGGATGGAGGATCCACAGTTTCGGCCAAGTTATGGGTTCACTGTCTAGGGAGGAGCAATGGATAGTTTGTGGGACCCATGGAGGATGGACTGGCCTCCTCTGTTGGGTAAACTGCAGCTTGTTTGAGGTGTGAAAAAGGCACTTAGGGTTTTGGATTTATCATTAGTCTGAGAGTAGCAAGGACAGTTCTACTGCAGAGGCAGTGGCAGAAATATTTTCAGTTGCCCCTAGAGGCTCTGTCCAGGGAGTTGCTAAGTTGCTGCTGGCTCAATACCTCTGGCAATGATTGGCTAGTGGCACAGGCCTAGAGAAACTGCCCAGTGAGAATATATGCGAGCAGGCACTCACGTAAGGGTCTGGCCACTTTTCTGAAGGGCTGCTGAAGTATGTTGGTGTCCACTGCAGTTTCTAGTCACCTCAGATTTTCCAGTACCTAAAGTGATCACCAGTGAATGCTGCAAAACAGCAGCAATGGCAGCATGCCCTTTTCTCTGGGAGCTCCATCCCACAGAGGTATAGACCTGTTTCCAGCCCAGAAGCCCCTTTAGGAAGTAGCTGGAAACCCTTGTTGAAAGGTCTTACCCAGTGAGGAGAACATAATTGGAGACCCACTTAAGAAAGCAGTCTAGCCACATTTCTGTAGGACAGCTGTGCTGTGTAGAGGTACCACTTCCACTGCCAGTTTTTTTGGATTCTCCAAAGCTAGAAGCCTGAAACAGCTAAGTCATATAAACAGCAAAAATGGCAGCTCGCTCTTTGCTCTAAGAACTATATCACAAAGAGGTTTCAAAATTCCATCAACCAAAGAGCACCAGTGGTGGTAGCTTGTCACCCTGGTTGGGAAGTACTTTCTAGTGAGGAGAAACGAGTTTGGGGAAAGGCTTTAACAGACAGTCTGGCCATGTCTTTTTAGAACATCTGTACTGTGCTAGGAGATCCTTTCTGCCCTAGTCAGCTTGAGCTCTTCAAAGCCTGAAGGCTGGAATGCCTAAGTTGCCCAAGCAGCAAAGATGGTGGGCCACTCCTCTTTCTGGTAGCTCCATCCCAGGGAGGTGCAGTGCTGCTGCCAATGATTGGCTGGAATTCTAAGCCAGCAGGCCTTACCCTGTGAGGCACTGTGGAAGTGGGTCCTATGGACCATCACTGTTCAGTCCCCTGAATCCTGCCTCTTTCCTATGGGTACAGGGGAGTAACCTCCTGTTTTGCTGGAGTTGCAGCTACTTTTTCTGGGAAGCCTGGAAAGCCAGAGTATCTAAGGCTCTTGAATCTCTGCACAGGCCTTAGTGGCTGCTCTGCTAAGACTCCATGTAGCTCTGTGTGTTCAACTGAAGGCCTTGGTGAAGTGGGTTCATGAGGGTATCTCCTCACCTGAGAGTTGCAAAGATCAGTGGGAGAATCGTGAGTTCCCAGGGTCACACCTGCACTCACTGCTTTACTGGGTGGGGAGGTTCCCTTGGCTCCATGTTGTTCTCAGGTGGCCCATTGTCCTGCCTTGCTTTACTCCATTCTCCAAAACTTAAGTTGTTTCTTTGATTAGTCCCAAAGCAAGTACCTGGGTGTTTCTGTTGAATGTGCTGTATTTATGCATACCTTGCATTCCTCTATAGGAGAGCTGCACAGTCTAGCTGCTTCTAGTCAGCAAACTTGATCACTTCTCTCTAAAAGGAACCTACTTTTTTATATTAAAAGAATTTAATATATTTCAAAAGCAAATATTGATATAATTTAACACATTTGATGCTATGTGTTCATTTCTAGAATTTATGTGAAAGAACATGGTCAATGGTTACTGCACCAGATTTATGGGAGGTTCTTCTATATTAGATGGACAGATTTATATACTTTCCCACAGAAGATTAAGAAAACTGAAATCTAAGATACATGGAGATATTCTAAGTGGAAAGGCCACTTAGTGGTTGGTTTACAACAGTATCATAAGTGACAGGATGATAGGAGAGTGGTAAGTGATCAGGATAATATTCTGCATGGCAAGAGAAATGATTTGAATTTTAGAAGGAAATTGCTTTACCATTTGCAAATTAAGGCAATTAAAATACAGTGAATTTCAAAATGCCTTTTTATTGACAATGTGTGGACTAAACTTGTTTTAATAAACCAAAATTGTTGTTATTGTGTTAAGGCTATTTTACTTTGAATGTGTACCTTGCCACTGATATTAACTTATCCCATCTTACCCAAGGTTGTAGGTAACAGATGGTAACAATACACTATTGGGTGACAGTGAAGTAACATCCCTAGTGATTCCTTTGTCAGTGATCTTTATCTTAAAATAATTTGGTAAATATGGCTCCTACAACTTACATTTTTGTTTTTCTTGTAACTCCAGGTTATTATGATGGTTGTAATGAAGATTATATGAGTATAATGGAGCTATTTGTTTCTGAATTCTGAACAACTATTTACAAAATATCCTACTTTTTTCTGTTAAACATATGACTTCTTTGGTCTGCTAAACACATACAGACCTTTAGTTTTGATTTATATGCATTTAAATATACAGATATATCACTCTAAAATAAACTTTAGGTGTGTAACCTAAATATGATTATAAAGAATAATCATATTTGTTTATGGTTGTGTACCTACTTTGAGAAGAAAAAAATATTAGAATGAAATAGATAATTTTACAAGTGTTGATAACTTGCCAGCAAACCAGAAAGTTCAAAGATTTTGAAAGCAAATCTATTTTCTCTGCTTTGTATTAAACTCATTTATCTAAAATGTTATTGCTCCTGGCTTAGAATCATCTTATGCAAATTCTCCTTTTTTGTTGTTGTTGTTTGTCTGTTTGCCTGTTGCTCTCTGTAGACATATAATCTCTACTAAAAATACAAAAATTAGCTGGGTGTGGTGGTGGGCACCTGTAATCCCAGTTACTTGGAAGGCTGAGGCAGGAGAATCACTTGAACCTGGGTGACAGAGGTTGCTGTGAGCCAGGATCGCACCATTGCACTCCAGCCTGGGCAACAAGAGTAAAACTCCTTCTCAAACAAATAAACAAAAAATTCTTTGTATAATCCCCTCAGAGATTATGAAAGTTACTTTGATAAAATTTAATGGTATGCACAAAATAAGTTTCACATGCGAGTAATTTAACACTGTGTGTATTGTATGTTCTCTAGCATATTTTATATTTTGTTTCCATTAAAGAATGCTATTTAATCCAATTTTTGTTTAGTTGTTATTCATTTTGCTTTATAAAATCGGCATAATTTAGTTTATTAAATTTAATGGGCCAATTTATTCAAGTAAACAGTTGAACATTTAATAAGTCATGAGGTCTTTTTGGCATAAACATGAAGTAAACAGAGACAATACTGGCTATGTAATAGAAGCTACATAATTAGAAATAAATATTCTTTTTAAAATTAGCCTGTGGTGTCAGGTGAAAAATTGAAAATATCTATAATAAAGAAATGGCATTAATTCTGCATATGAAGAGAGCATAATTGTACCTATGCTGCACAATTAACTCTCATAATTGAAACAAGGAGATGGACCTTTTTCCAAAACTAAGTGCAAACCTTGTAAAATTTTCAGATTATGTTTCTACATTTAAACATCTACTGAGGTAGGTAGAAGGCAAGTCTATTCAGTCAAACCTGGAATTGCTGGCACATGTGAAGAGTATGCACCACAGGCATCAAAGCCTAAAATGCCCTGAACTATTTTCATTTAGATTAATGAAATATGGTTTTAGTCTTCCTCCTCTCTATTCTGGCTTAGACAGAATTATCAAGCCATTTCAAGTAGATTTGATTCTAGATCTTTTTTTTGTTTTTTTTGAGATGGACACTCCCTCTGCTGCCCAGGCTGGAGTGCAGTGGTGTGATCTCAGCTCACTGCAACCTCCTCTTCCTGGGTTCAAGCAATTCTCCTGCCTCATCCTCCCAAGTAGCTGGGACTACAGGGGCTTGTCACCATGCCCAGCTAATTTTTTGTATTTTTAGTAGAGACAGCGTTTCACCATGTTAGCCAGGATGGTCTGGATCTCCTAACCTCACGATCCTCCCACCTCAGCCTCCCAAATTGCTGGGATTACAGGTGTGAGCCAGCACAGCCAGCCTTGATTCTGGATGTTGACACAGCACATCCTCAACTTATTGTCTCTGAGGATAGAAAAGGTGTGTGATATGGAAGAACAAAACTCAACTTTTGTTATACCTAAGGAGATTTTATTTCTGCCCTGGGGTCCTGGGTAGTTCTGGCAGACATTCCTGGAAGGTAGAAGTGGGAAACAAGCCTAAATGAAAATTGTGTGTGTGTCAAGGCTGTCTTCTTAGGAACTGGCAGGATCAGCCTTCAGTTCTGGGTGGATTTTGGGCAATTGGGTGATACATAAAGAGTGGTTATGTTGCATCAAGTCCTAAGGCAACCTGGCTTCTGCCAGTAGTAAAACCCAGTAAGATTGGCATTTTTTTGGAGTATGCATTGGGTGATTTTTAAAAATCATATACATGATAGGTTTGTTCTGTATATTTTAATGATTATTTTACAAGAGCTGTTTGGCCTTATTTCTATACTGAAGCCCATTCTGAATGTCGTAAAGTCTCTTTGTTATCAGATACTGAAAGATAAAGAACAAGTAAATGAATCTGTTTCAGTTCTTGTGGGTAATTTAGTCAGTAAATTTAATCTCATTCTTGTAATCTTTAAGTTTTACTACTGAAGACCAGAATAAATTTTTTTCACCTAAATTTTTTGCAACTATAAAAGCATGTTCATAATGTCACTTTCATAGATACTATGAATATTGTCAAGTGTGTTGATTTCTAATATAAAGTATTTGAGTATTATGTTACCCAACATATCCAATAAAATGTTTTTAAGTTGCCTATTTAAAAAATCTGTCAATTTTTGAATTGCATGCCTAGCTAAAATTTTTTAAGATGTAGGATAAGATGTAAAATAATCAGACAAGTAATATAAATAAGTTTACTGAAATTTTTTACTTATTTAAGAAACCTAATTGCATTTTAAATAAATTGCTGTCATCTGTTATTATTTTTGTAGCACTTTTTTTTAAGATTTTGCCTCTAAAACAGGCAACAAGATGAACAGAGAAGGAAACAAAAATTCAATGATTGTCATGGAAATAAATTTCAGGAAAATAAAAGGTTTTTATAATGACCTAATTAAAATAACATAAAGGATAAAAATCATAATTTTTGCTTTTACACATTATTGGGCAAAAGTAACCCTGAGATAATAATGTGAAGAAAACACTATTAATTATATTTTTGAGACTCCCTTACTGACTTTGCCACTTAGAGAACCTCCAGCACAGGCCCAGGATTCCCTAGGCATTTCTTCCAGGAGAATATCCAATGGAAATGAAACAGAAGGCCATGTCCACAAAGATATATCAATGCTCACCTCCTAGAGACCAGTGAGTGCAGGTTGCAGAAAGAGTAGGCCCTTCTTGGATGTCCAGGAAGGGGCTACGGGCACCATCCTAGAAAAGGGGACAGGAACTCCACTGAGTCCTCCCACCTGCAGGGGCCTCAGAGGGCCCGGGGGAGGCCAGCCTAGGTGCTCTGTCCTGTTCCTGGCCCTTGAGTCCTGCCTCACCAGCTAGCTTTTTCCACAAAGAAATCAGAATGGCAACCCCCAATGCAGCCCCACTAGAGGAAGGAGATCAAAAGTGTAAAGGCCCACACCCATCTTAGCACATTAAGTGAATTATTATCTAGTCCATAAGTTAGAGCAGAATGTGCTGCTGTGACACCCTGAGATCACATTCTAGGAGGAAACCTGGGTGGCACCTGCCTGAGGCTGTGCATTGGAGGAAGGATGGACAGGCCACCTGGGCTTCAATGAGAATGTGCCCCTAGCCTACCCGGGGAGACATGGGTTTGACAAGAGCAGGCAATATAGGTGGCATGCAGCAGACATGCTGAGGTGTCAGGTGGGCACAGAGGGGTAGGCATGAGGGGAGAACCCTCTCAGGGCACGGTACTCAGCCCAGAGATCTCCCAGCCTTTTGAAGCGCAGGCAATACCTGGAGCTGCAGTGTGGGCACTGTGCAATGGCCTGGTAAAAGTGGGGTGAGCAGCCAGTCACTGAGGGGCTTTCATTGCCCATTTTTCTGATGAGCAAATTGAGCCCCCAAACCCACAAGCCAGGAGGGCCAAAAGCGCTGGGCTGAGGCATCACTTTTTTTCTTCACTGGCTCCCATAAGCATCAGACTTCCCTGGGCTTGCCTGAAAACTCCCTGGGCTTGCCTTGAGGAAGAAAATTCCTCTTCCTTGTGAGTATAGGCACAGAAGTAACCAGGCTTGTGTGGTAAGCCCACCTACAGCCACTTTTGTGGGCCCACCTGGGCCTCCTCACTTCACTGGCACTGGCCTGTGAAACCCAACTGGAATTCCAGAGTCCAGGATTCACATTTGGTTCTAGAACCAAAGAGTTCAGCACCTAGGCCAAAGCAGATGTGGGCCTGTTAATTCCATGGCACAAGTCCCAAATCAGAGAACTAGCTTGACTGTTCAGCTGCACCAAGGCAATGTGTGTACTGTTCCAAGCAGGTCACATTCTCTTCCTGCCTCCAATTATTTTGCCTGCAACTTGTCATTTGTACCAGCTCTTTCTCTACCCCCCACATCCTATGGTTTTTGAAATTCCTCTGAAGACTGCATGAGCCAAGCATTAAGGGTCACAGTGCTCTAGCCTACTCAGGCTGTGCCAGGAAGATAGATCAGATCTTTCAACCTACCTTGACACTTAAGAGTCATGTATAAATAGTAACAGCTCTAGCAGGAGGGCTGTCACATACTCAGACTCTTTTCTGGTCTCCATACCAAAAGACATGTTAGAATGACAAGGCAAATAAGATACAAACCTGGCAGTTCTGCCTTTTAAAGGGCAGCCTCAGCCTGATCACCCTGAACCACAATTTCAGGATCTGGTTTAGCATGCCCTGCCTTGGAAAACAATGGAACTGGGGCCCCAGAGTGTCATGGGCCAAGAAAATCTGGAGAAGGGCATCTCAGCAGCCTGTACACACTTGTAACAGGAACAGACCCTACCAACTAAGAAGCCATCTCATAAACTTAGACAATCATATCAGCAATGTGCACACACATCAGGCCTAATAGATAAACTGCTGTCAACCCAACAATTCAAGTAAAAGTAAAAAATTTTTTGAATCTAGAGTTTCAGGAAGAAGAATGTCCACTCCCTGAACCAGCCTGTATGATGGATGCAACTGACAGTGTTAACTTGACTTGGGCATGGAGACTGACCCTATATAAAAAATGCTTCTGAGTGTTCAGAGTTCCAAGCTAAAAAATCTAGCAGTGGCCTGGCTGTGTGTGGTGACTCACGCCTGTAATCCCACCACTTTGGGAGGCCAAGGTAGGCGGATCACCTGAGGTCGAGAGTTTGAGAGTAGCCTGACCAACATGGAGAAACCCCACCTCTACTAAAAATACAAATAAGCCGAGCCTGGTGGCACATGCCTGTAATCCCAGCTACTCAGGAGGCTGAGGCAGGAGAATCACTTGAACCCAAGAGGTGGAGTTTGTGGTGAGCCAAGATTGTGCCATTGTACTCCAGACTGGGCAACAAGAATGAAACTCCATATAAAAAAAAAAATCTAGTAGTGGCCAACCTGGAGATTGTTCTTCATCATGAGGAGCATCTGAGCCCCTGGTCTGTCCTGGGCATGGTTATCTTGCTAAGCCCACTGACACTGGACTTTCTCCCCTCTATGTAAGTCCCCAGTAAAACTCCATATCTCATTCACTGGTTCTGAGTCTCTTCTTTGACACCTTGAATCTGGTGCCATTTACATGGGAGTTGAAGTTGACACAGCTTACCACATAGTGAGGAAGGATTTCAGGCTCTGCTCAATGTGCTTCAAAGCTCACCAGGGCACCAGCTATAGAAGGATGCAGTTGTTCTCTTTACCACTATCATGCTCTTTTCCTCAGATGCACAATCAGCAGAATACCAAGAATGATGAAGAAGAAGCATACCGTGGTCAGAAGCAAGATTAATGCCAGAATAAGCAGTGACCACTTGGAAAGCAAAAGGAAGCATTTTGCTTTCTCCTGTGGGCAGCCCTTAAATTCTGTCATCACTTTCTGGCTTCAGTAATGGTTTTTCAACTCCATCCTGGCTCTGGGGAAACCATGGGCCCTGGGTGGTAAAAACCTTCACTTAATCCTGGTGCAAAAAAAGCTTTCACTTGACAAATATGACCTCTGTGATCATGAGCTTCTAAGCAATCTGGACAATGCACAACGTAAAAACCTATGAAAGGGAGATGAGTAGGTCTGATGGAAACAATTTCCCACCTTTTTCCTTGGCAAGTTCAAACAACTGGGAAGGTAGACAAATGTGCAGAAGAGGGCAGCATAGTATAACTCCTCATCATGTGAGTTTACAACCAAGAGTTTTCCATTCTAGCTGTGAGAGCTCCAAATGAAAACCAGAAGTTACTTCACTGTGCATCTATCAATGATTGGTTGCACCACATTTTGTCTATCATACTGAGGAATCTTCACTGAGGATCTTCCCATTGAACATATGGAGATAGTGACAGGAAAAGGTAAAATAGCAACTCCATGAAATCATTAATCAAAGTGTAGAAATGTTCCTCTTAACTCATTAGCATTTTTGCACATATTTGCATGTATATCTACCCATAAAGCTGACATTTTTATAATAATTTTTATAATAATTAAGTTATATGTCAAGTTAAAATTAAAAAAAATTTTTTCAGCTGTACAAGTGGCAGCTCACTTGAGGTGAGGAGTTTGAAACCAGGCTAGCCAAGGGCTGGAGCCAAGATGGCCGAATAGGAACAGCTCTGGTCTACAGCTCCCAGCGTCAGCGACGCAGAAGACCAGTGATTTCTGCATTTCCATCTAAGGTACTGGGTTCATCTCACTAGGGAGTGCCAGACAGTGGGCACAGGACAGTGGGTGCAGCGCACCGTACGCGAGCCGAAGCAGGGCGAGGCACTGCCTCACTCAGGAAGCACAAGGGGTCACAGTGTTCCCTTTCCTAGTCAAAGAGAGGGGTGACAGACAGCACCTGGAAAATCGGGTCACTCCCACCCCAATACTGCGCTTTTCAGCCAGGCTTAAAAAACGGTGCACCAGGAGATTACATCCGGCACCTGGCTCGGAGGGTCCTATGCCCACGGAGTCTCTCTGATTGCTAGCACAGCAGTCTGAGATCAAACTGCAAGGTGGCAGCCAGGGTGGGGGAGGGGCGCCCGCCATTGCCCAGGCTTACTTAGGTAAACAAAGCAGCCAGGAAGCTGGAACTGGGTGGAGCCCACCACAGCTCAAGGACGCCTGCCTGCCTCTGTAGGCTCCACCTCTGGGGGCAGAGCACAGACAAACAAAAGGACAGCAGTAACCTCTGCAGACTTAAATGTCCCTGTCTGACAGCTTTGAAGAGAGCAGTGGTTCTCCCAGCACGCAGCTGGAGATCTGAGAACAGGCAGACTGCCCCCTCAAGTGGGTCCCTGACCCCTAACCCCTGAGCAGCCTAACTGGGAGGCACCCACCAGTAGGGGCAGACTGACACCTCACACGGTGTCTGAGACAAAACTTCCAGAGGAATGATCAGACAGCAGCATTCCCGGTTCACGAAAATCCACTGTTTTCCAGCCATCGCTGCTGTTACCCAGGCAAACAGGGTCTGGAGTGGACCTCTAGCAAACTCCAACAGACCTGCAGCTGAGGGTCCTGTCTGTTAGAAGGAAAACTAACAAAGAGAAAGAACATCCACACCAAAAACCCATCTGTACATCACCATCATCAAAGACCAAAAGTAGATAAAACCACAAAGATGGGGAAAAAGCAGAGAAGAAAAACTGGGAGCTCTAAAAAGCAGAGTGCCTCTCCTCCTCCAAAGGAACACAGCTCCTCACCAGCAATGGAACAAAGCTGGACAGAGAATGACTTTGACAAGTTGAGAGAAGAAGGCTTCAGACGATCAAACTACTCCGAGCTACAAAAGGAAATTAAATACAAAGGCAAAGAAGTTGAAAACTTTGAAAAAAATTTAGATGAATGTATAACTAGAATAACCAATACAGAGAAGTGCTTAAAGGAGCTGATGGAGCTGAAAGCCAAGGCTCGAGAAGTACATGAACAATGCAGAAGCCTCAGGAGCTGATGCAATCAACTGGAAGAAAGGGTATCAGTGATGGAAGATGAAATGAATGAAATGAAGCGAGAAGGGAAGTTTAGAGAAAAAAGAACAAAAGAAATGAACACAGCCTCCAAGAAATAAGGGACTATGTGAAAAGACCAAATCTACGTCTCATTGGTGTACCTGAAAGTGATGGGGAAAATGGAACCAAGCTGGAAAACACTCTGCAGGATATTATCCAGGAGAACTTCCCCAATCTAGCAAGGCAGACCAACATTCAGATTCAGGAAATACAGAGAACAACACAAAGATACTCCTTGAGAAGAGCAACTCCAAGACACATAATTGTCAGATTCACCAAAGTTGAAATGAAGGAAAAAATGTTAAGGGCAGCCAGAGAGAAAGGTCAGGTTACCCAAAAAGGGAAGCCCATCAGACTAACAGCTGATCTCTCGGCAGAAACTCTACAAGCCAGAAGAGAGTGGGGGCCAATATTCAACATTCTTAAAGAAAAGAATTTTCAACCCAGAATTTCATATCCAGCCAAACTAAGCTTCATAAGTGAAGGAGAAATAAAATACATTACAGACAAGCAAATGCTGAGAGATTTTGTCACCACCAGGCCTGCCCTAAAAGAGCTCCTGAAGGAAGCACTAAACATGGAAAGGAATAACCGGTACAAGCCACTGCAAAATCATGCCAAATTGTAAAGACCATTGAGGCTAGGAAGAAACTGCATCAACTAACAAGCAAAATAACCAGCTAACATCATAATGACAGGATCAAATTCGCACATAACAATATTAACTTTAAAAGTAAATGGACTAAATGCTCCAATTAAAAGACACAGACTGGCAAACTAGATAAAGAGTCAAGACCCATCAGTGTGCTGTATTCAGGAAACCCATCTCATGTGCAGAGACACACATAGGCTCCAAACAAAAGGATGGAGGAAGATCTACCAAGCAAATGGAAAATAAAAAAAGGCAGGGGTTGCAATCCTAGTCTCTGATAAAACAGACTTTAAACCAACAAAGATCAAAAGAGACAAAGAAGGCCATACTGTAATGGTAAAGGGATCAATTCAACAAGAAGAGCTAACTATCCTAAATATCTATGCACCCAACACAGGAGCACCCAGACTCATAAAGCAAGTCCTGAGTGACCTACAAAGAGACTTAGACTCCCACACAATAATAAACGGAGACTTTACCACCCCACTGTCAACATTAAACAGAACAACGAGACAGAAAGTTAACAAGGATACCCAGGAATTGAACTAAGCTCTTCACCAAGCAGACCTAGCAGACATCTACAGAACTGTCCACCTCAAATCAACAGAATACACATTTTTTTCAGCACCACACCTCACCTATTCCAAAACTGACCACATAGTTGGAAGTAAAGCTCTCCTCAGCAAATGTAAAGGAACAGAAATTATAACAAACTGTCTCTCAGACCACAGTGCAATCAAACTAGAACTCAGGATTAAGAAACTCACTCAAAACAACTCAATAACATGGAAACTGAACAACCTGCTCCTGAATGACTACTGGGTACATAACAAAATGAAGGCAGAAATAAAGATGTTCTTTGAAACCAATGAGAACAAAGACACAACATACCAGAATCTCTGGGACGCATTCAAAGCAGTGTGTAGAGGGAAATTTATAGCACTAAATGCCCACAAGAGAAAGCAGGAAAGATCCAAAACTGACACCCTAACATCACAATTAAAAGAACTAGGAAAGCAAGAGCAAACACATTTAAAAGCTAGCATAAGGCAAGAAATAACTAAAATCAGAGCAGAACTGAAGGAAATGGAGACACAAAAAACCCTTCAAAAAATTAATGAATCCAGGAGCTGGTTTTTTGAAAGGATCAACAAAATTGATAGACCACTAGCAAGACTAATAAAGAAGAAAAAAGAGAAGAATCAAAGAGATGCAATAAAAAATGATAAAGGGGATATCACCACCAATCCCACAGAAATACAAACTACCATCAGAGAATACTACAAACACCTCTACGCAAATAAATTAGAAAATCTAGAAGAAATGGATAAATTCCTCAACACATACACCCTCCCAAGACTAAACCAGGAAGAAGTTGAATCTCAATAGACCAAAAACAGGCTCTGAAATTGTGGCAATAATCAATAGCTTACCAACAAAAAAGAGTCCAGGACCAGGTGGATTCACAGCCGAATTCTACCAGTGGTACAAGGAGGAATAGGTACCATTCCTTCTGAAATTATTCCAATCAATAGAAAAAGAGGGAATCCTACCTAACTCATTTTATGAGGCCAGCATCATCCTGATACCAAAGCCGGGCAGAGACACAACAAAAAAAAAAAGAGAATTTTAGACCAATATCCTTGATGAACATTGATGCAAAAATTCTCAATAAAATACTGGCAAACAGAATCCAGCATCACATCAAAAAGCTTATCCACCATGATCAAGTGGGCTTCATCCCTGGGATGCAAGGCTGGTTCAAGATATGCAAATCAATAAATGTAATCCAGCATATAAACAGAACCAAAGACAAAAACCACATGATTATCTCAATAGATGCAGAAAAGGCCTTTGACAAAATTCAACAACCTTCATGCTAAAAACTCTCAATAAATTAGCTATTGATGGGACGTATCTCAAAAAAGTAAGAGCTATCTATGACAAACCCACAGCCAATATCATACTGAATGGGCAAAAACTGGAAGCATTCCCTTTGAAAACTGGCAGAAGACAGGGATGCCCTCTCTCACCACTCCTATTCAACATAGTTTTGGAATTTCTGGCCAGGGCAATAGGCAGGAGAAGGAAATAAAGGGTATTCAATTAGGAAAAGAGGAAGTCAAATTGTCCCTGTTTACAGAAGACATGACTGTATATCTAGAAAACCCCATTGTCTCAGCCCAAAATCTCCTTAAGCTGATAAGCAACTTCAGCAAAGTGTCAGGATACAAAATCAATGTACAAAAATCACAAGCATTCTTATACACCAATAACAAACAGAGAGCCAAATCATGAGTGAACTCACATTCACAATTGCTTCAAAGAGAATAAAATACCTAGGAATCCAACTTACAAGGGACATGAAGGACCTCTTCAAGGAGAACCACAGACCACTGCTCAATGAAATAAAAGAGGATACAAACAAATGGAAGAGCATTCCATGCTCATGGGTAGGAAGAATCAATATCGTGAAAATGGCCATACTGTCCAAGGTAATTTATAGATTCAATGCCATCCCCATCAAGCTACCAATGACTTTCTTCACAGAATTGGAAAAAACTACTTTAAAGTTCATATGGAACCAACAAAGAGCCCGCATCACCAAGTCAATCCTAAGCCAAAAGAACAAAGCTGGAGGCATCATGCTACCTGACTTCAAACTATACTACAAGGCTACTGTAATCAAAACAGCATGGTACTGGTACCAAAACAGAGATATAGATCAATGGAACAGAACAGAGCCCTCAGAAATAATGCCACATATCTACAACTATCTGATCTTTGAGAAACCTGACAAAAACAAACAGTGGGGAAAGGATTCCCTATTTAATAAATGGTGCTGGGAAAACTGGCTCGCTATATGTAGAAAGTTGAAACTGGATCCCTTCCTTACACCTTATACAAAAGTTAATTCAAGATGGATTAAAGACTTAAATGTTAGACCTAAAACCATAAAAACCCTAGAAGAAAACCTAGGCATTACCATTCAGGACATAGGCATGGGAAAGGACTTCATGTCTAAAACACCAAAAGCAATGGCAACAAAAGCCAAAATTGACAAATGGGATCTAATTAAACTAAAGAGCTTCTGCACAGCAAAAGAAACTACCATCAGAGTGAACAGGCAACCTACAGAATGGGAGAAAATTTTTGCAACCTACTCATCTGACAAAGGGCTAATATCCAGAATCTACAATGAACTCAAACAAATTTACAAGAAAAAAGCAAACAACCCCATCAAAAAGTGGGTGAAGCATATGAACAGACACTTCTCAAAAGGAGACATTTATGCAGCCAAAAAACACATAAAAAAATGCTCACCATCACTGGCCATCAGAGAAATGCAAATCAAAACCACAATGAGATACCATCTCATACCAGTTAGAATGGCAATCATTAAGAAGTCAGGAAACAACAAGTGCTGGAGAGGATGTGGAGAAATAGGAACACTTTTACACTGTTGGTGGGACTGTAAACTAGTTCAACCCTTGTGGAAGTCAGTGTGGTGATTCCTCAGGGATCTAGAACTAGAAATACCATTTGACCCAGCCATCCCATTACTGGGTATATACCCAAAGGTCTATAAATCATGCTGCTATAAAGACACATGCACACGTATGTTTATTGCGGCACCATTCACAATAGCAAAGACTTGGAACCAACCCAAATGTCCAATAATGATCGACCGGATTAAGAAAATGTGGCACATATACACCATGGAATAGTATGCAGCCATAAAAAATGATGAGTTCATGTCCTTTGTAGGGACATGGATGACATTGGAAATCATCATTCTCAGTAAACTATCGCAAGAACAAAAAACCAAACACCTCATATTCTCACTCATAGGTGGGAATTGAACAATGAGAACACATGGACACAGGAAGGGGAACATCACACTCTGGGGACTGTTGTGGGGTGGGGGTGGGGGAGGGATAGCATTAGGAGATATACCTAATGCTAAATTATGAGTTAATGGGTGCAGCACACCAGCATGGCACATGTATACATATGTAACTAACCTGCACATTGTGCACATGTACCCTAAAACTTAAAGTATAACAATAATAAAATAAAATAAAATAAAAAAAGAAACCAGCCTGGCCAACATGGTGAAACTCCGTCTCTACTAAAAATAAAATAAAATAAAAAATCAGCCGGGCTTGGTGGCACACACCTACAATCCCAGCTACTTGGAAGGCTGAGGCAGGAGAATTGCTCAAGTCCAGGAGGCAGAGGTTGCAGTCAGCTGAGTTCATGCCACTGCACTCCAGCCTGGGTGACATAGCAAGATTCTGTCTCAAAAACAAACACACAAAAACATTTTTTTTTTTTACAACAAAAAGACACACATATGGTCTAGGCATGCTCTGGTGCAGTGGAGTGGGTGTGGAGCCTGTCCTGTGAAAGAAGGAAGAAGAGTCAGTGCCCTGCATTATGTGTGGGGGATCCATTGGGACACAAATAAAGAGGCAGTCAGGGCCTCGGCATAGCAACACTGAGGCTTGCAGGGGGCTTCTGAAAGCAGCAGAAATGGCCTGTGACACTGAATGCTACGTGGGCCTGTAACAATGAAAGCTCTGCCCAGGGATCTTAGCAATCCTGCTAGGAGGTCCTGACTATATCCTAGATTGGAGACTCCTGAAGTAGAGTGGCTGGCAGAGAGCCTCAGCAAACAGGAGTCTTAACCACTGTGGCTGGGCCAATCTAAAATAGCACATTTATTCTTTTTTACAAAACAAAATATAGAAAAATAAAGTGAAAAAATGAAATCAAGAGAAGTAAAATAAAATTTAAAAATAAATTTAAAGTAATTAAAAATAGTAAGGACACATAAACTGAAATAAAATAGAGAAAAATAAAGAGAAATGTAATTAAGATCAGTGAAAATAAATAAAATGAAGATGAACTTAATAAATACTATAAAATTAAGAGAAATAAAAGAAATGAAATAATTTGCAGTGCAACAAAATAAGAAAATTTTTAAGAATGAGGAGAAAAAACTGAAAATAAAAAATAAAGGTAAATATGGAGAAAGAAAATAAAATAATATGAAGGGATATTAATGGAAATAAAAGAAACAAAAAGAAATTAAATAAAAAGTTACAAACAAGATACAAATTGGAGAAAATTTGAAATGAAGAGAATGTAATAAGAAAAATTAAAATAGAAAATTAATAGAAAAAATGAAAGTAAATAAAAAATAAATAGTAACAAAATAAAGATAAAGACAAATATACAGAGAAATAAAAGGTTATAAAGAAAAATAAGACCTGGGGATAATCTACAAAACACTTCACCCAACAATAGCATAATAAATAATATTTCTAATTACATATGGCACGTTTTCTTAGATAGGCAAACTGCTAGGATAGAATGCAAGTTTTAGCATGTTTAATCAGATGGTAATCACAAAAAGTATTATTTCGGACTACAATAAAATATAACTGGAATTTAAAAACCAAAAGAAAACTAGCATGTCTGCATATATATGAAAACTAGACAAATTCTTGAGCATACTATTTTTCAAGAGTTAGAACATGCAAGTTTCTTTAGATGTTAATAGTATTCGAAATGATCTACAGATCAATCAGATCTCTTTCACAAAACCAGTGGTTCTTATTGCAGAAGTACTAAAATACTCTAAAATGTTTGAGTCAATATTTAGCTGTGTCACCCAAGCTAGAATGCAGTGTCATAATCATGGCTCACTGTAGCCTTGACCTCTCAAGCTCTATTGATCCTCCCACCTCAGCCTCACAAGTAGCTGGCACTGCAGTTGCATGCCATCATGCCCAGAAAGTTTTTGTATTTTTTGTTGAGACAGGGTTTCTCTATATTTCCCAGGCTGGCCTCAAACTCCTGGGCTCCAGCAATCCAACTGCCTTGGCTTCCCATGTTCTGGGATCACAGGAGTGAGCCACCGAATATTGCCCTATAACTTCTATAAATACTCAAAAAAGCAAAAGTAGCCAAACAACCTGAAAAAAAGAATAAACTCAGAGGCATAATTCTTTTTTATTTCAAAACATATTACAAAGTTACAGTAATCAAAACAGTGTGGTGCTGGCATAAAGACAGAAAAATAAATGTTGAAACAGATAAGAGAATCCAGAAAGAAACCCACATGCATATACTCAGCTTATCCTAAATGACGGTTCCAAATCCTCATGTTGCAGAACTTTCTCCTTCAGCAAAATTGGGTTCTTGTCACATGACTAGGAAAAATTAGGCTCAGGGACACTCTGAAGGATGAGGAGTACAGTTGATTGGGAAAAAAAAAAAAACCTCTCAACAAAGTGAGTGGGAATCCTGTTTACAGGCCCCAAGTCCCAGACTGGTAAACAGCAGACCATCAAAGAAGAACTGAAGAAGCCAGGCACCTCCTCCCTGCACAAGGGGTGAACTTTCCATGGATCCACTACCTTCCCCCAGTGTGCAGGTGGACAATATTCAGAGAGAATCAGTTGGAAAGAGGCAGGCTTCATCTGGGACAGCAGTATGATTTTTCAGCCTTCACGCTGTTTTAGGCTTGAAGGTGGGGTTTTACCCAAGGCCCTTGGCTGTTTCCTAACTCTGTTATTTCCCCCTCTAAAGAAGTACATCTAACTGCTATTACAATAAGGATAAGGATGAGGACAAAAACCACTTCTAAGTGCTTCCTGCTGAAAGGGGGTACTGTTTTGGAAAAATGGCAGTCAGATCTCCTTAAGATGCCTATCTAAGTGTCCCCAGTGAAAGGGACCATTGTCTGAGGCTCTGGTTGTGTGACTGTTTAAAGTTTGGTAGCCTGAAGGTGAGAAGAATCAAACTGGGTTATTGAAAAACATGTACTAAAATGAAACAAGGGGAAGGTGGCAAGGATGGGTAAAAAATTCCAAGGTCTTTTACCAGTTTACATAGGGAGAGGGAGGCCAAAAGCACAACTGGAAAAAAACAAACAACAAACAAACAAACAAACAAACAAAACCCAAAAAAAGGAAGCATTTGTTCAAAGGAGTCCCAAGGGCTCAGGATGCCTTCAAAAGGGCTATAGACTGAAGATGAATGGCTACTCATTTAGAAAGAGAGAGGGGACCAGATGTCCCTGGTTCCTTTCTCTTCCTAGCAAATACCCACTGCATGTTGTGGGATAGGAAAAAAATGTTCTCTTTCTCCCTTCATTCCTTGTATCCCTGAGTCCTAGTGATTGTGACAGGGTGCCACCCATGGGTGTCAAGCAGCTTTAACCCATGTTAACAGGGAGGCATAGGGGGTGAATATATCTGCTGTTACTAATATATGCCCTATCTCTCCTGCTGTCAGTAGTTCTGGAGTTCACTAGACCTCATTTATGACATGGATACTAGCATATTCTTCACTCATGAAATAGGAGGCTTGTCTTAATCAGCTGGAATTAGTCATGCTCACCTTCACCGTGCCTTTTAACCTCCATTGTCATCTGCCTCTGGATTTCTCAGATCCAGGATTCTTTCCTAGGGCTTCAACCTGAAACTTGGAACTGAGGTTGGGACAAAAATGTGTCTCAGGGGATTGCATGGACTCCTTATCATGAGCTGAATGCTAAGATGAAGCTGTGAAATTGAGTCCTCTTTCCACAAGGGAGAGAAAAGAATGTCTTGTGACACACCCAGAAGACTAGTGGCTATAGTTATGCTTGCTAAGATTTGGGTGGGCACCCTATTTATTCCCATCACTCTACAGGATTTGCAGGATAATTGCCCAGAACTAGAATATTAATCCAGATTTTTACATTACCCATCTCTTTTTGTTTCTTCTGAGCTGCAGTTGAGGATTGCTAGTTGGTTCACAGAAATAAGCAGGGTTGGTCTAAAATGTAGGCAAAAATGCCCAACTAATGAGTTTAGAATTTAATGACAAATGTATAAGTTTTGAAACATAATCTTTATTCCGTCCTCTTTTCTGTTAAAAACAAATCATGATAGGACTGAGTTGTTTGTGAAATAAACTTTAGTCTTATACTTGGCCTGATTATTTGTATAAAGTGCAGCAAGAATAATTATTTCTACATAGGTCTTTGACATTGGCTTTGATGGAACTCTGTTCCACAAGAAATTTCAGAAATTTCAGACTTTCTAAAGTCAAGCCTAGCCATGGGTTTGTACCACCAAATACTTATGAGTTGTGTGATCCTCTCCTCTTATGGTCCCACGATTAACCTGAAGCTCCTGGGCTTGTCAGAGAGTGTCATTCTTTACTTACCACTGATCAGAAACCATAGAGAAGGACTGTGTAGATGAGGTATGAGGCCAGTCTTCCCAGGGGGCTTTGATTGGCTCTGCAAGTTGAGCTTGACTCCTCAAAGGGAAACATACCCTTTCAGTTAAGGCCTTGGTAAAACAACCAGTTTCTCCAATTGTGTCCTGTTGCAAAGGAAAGTGGATTATTATTGCACTGATACAAATAGCTATATTGCCGTAAGTTAAGAATACTCACAACTATTTTTCAAATTCTGGAGAAGCCAGGCAGAGAGAGACATACATTCTTCAAATTTTGTTCACAGGAGTACACATTACTCACATATTAAAGGCTGTCACTATCTCAAGATAAGTTTCCTTCACTCTGGTAAACAATACAGGGATCAGTAATGTTACAAGCAAAAGTCAGAAAGATTACTTTGGATTTCTATTAGTCAACTGCATTCAGTTAACTCTTGTTTTGTTTGGTATTCATGAACATTTTAGCTCTTCATGAGTCCTGTATGTTTTTCCTGTATTCCAGTGTCACAAGCTCCAATGTTATCAGAAGCCTGCATTTGAGATCACCTGTCAAAGTTTTATACCTGATTAAAAACCATTTTTTGAAAAAATCAAAACAAGGCAACAATTGTCTGTGTATAACAAAATGTCCAGAGTAGTTACAGTCAGAAACATGATTGACAAATAATTTTGCTTATTTCTGTTGGTTTACAATAACTTAACATAATAACCTAATTGTGGTTGATAGCTTATACTTCAGACATTAGAATTTTAGAAATCCCATACAATTTTGGAACTTATATTAGTATTATTCACCAAAATATTACCTAAAGAATATTGAACACCATTTTGGCAATTCCATGTAACTAAACATGTCATATAACCCTATTTACCTCTCTTGTGGGTACTCCAGGGGCCCTCTTTAGCATCTAACAGCCAGTAGTTATAAAAGACAATTTTGTAACTGAAGTTTGATTTTCAGAAGGATGTTAAATGTTAGGGGTTTAAAACACTTGATATTATGAAATAAAATTCCAGACTCCCATAAATTACTTATTTAACTGAAATGATGACTTAAAAATGTAGAAAGCAAAAACCTTTTAAAATTATTTACAAATTTTGCTAAAGAACAGATTAGTGCCTTATGAGGATCTTGTGCTTTTATTTCAATGCTCAATATACAAAAAACCCACATAATAGATTTCTGAATTTAATTAATGTTCACACACAGAATTTCTTTGGCAAGATTTATTTTAACAATCCTTCCACAACTTGTTTGAACTGTTAGCTTTATCTTATCTAATTCAAAACAATTGTTTGACCCTAGGCAAAAATTTATATTTTCATCCCTTCTTATAATCATTTATTAAAAACACATTTTACTGTTATTGCACACCTTGTATGTAAATCTACTTCCAGTGGCTTCAATTACATGTTATAATGGTAACTTCTAGCAATTTTAACTTTAATGTGAAACCAGGTAAATTGTTGTAATTATGTGCTAGGTGCAGCCAAGGGTTTGACTCCTTTCAGCATAATTAAGGGTGTGGTTAATTCCATGTGTCCTCAGGCCTTACCAATTGTGAGGCAAAGTTGAGCTGTTCTCAAAAACCAAAAAATAGTTTATAACCTTAAGACATTTAGCAAACCTAGTATCTGACCTGCATAATTAAGTCCAC
The DNA here is from genome assembly GCF_000001405.40 of Homo sapiens. NCBI lineage: Eukaryota > Metazoa > Chordata > Mammalia > Primates > Hominidae > Homo > Homo sapiens. The sequence continues at coordinate 46,809,294 of NC_000008.11, forward strand.
CTACTCATCTATTGATCACATTTGTGTTTTGCGGATAATCTTTTAGGTTGTTTTTATTTCTCAAAGATTAAAAGTCATGTGAACTAACACGTACACAGTTTTTATCTTCCCTTCAAAAAATATTTGATCCAAGTTCTTACCATTCTTTAAGTCAATTTATTAGAGCTCTGTTTTATAGACATCACACACATAACACATATATAACTACAGACAGGCAGAAGAAAACTCAGTAACCATAAGATTTATTATTTGCCAATTTCCTGATTGAATTACTGGCCTCTCATGCATGTACTAGAGTGGCAAGACAAAATGAAGGAAAAAAATCAGTTGGCTGAGAAAAAACCTTTTCCTAGCAAAACAAGATCCCAGAAGAGAAAAATATAAAGATCTTTTAAATATAGCTATAATTTGGGTATCCACTTTTAATTAAGTTGAGCACTCTTTAAGAAAGTCTTTTAAATTCCTTATTACCTGACTCTAGCAGCACCAAGCAGCCAGTATTTCTGGCATTCAAACTTTACCAAAGTTAACTTACCAGGTGCTCAGAGGAAAAAACAATTTAGGGCAGTTTGTGAAGGGAAAGAAAATCAGAAAATCTCAAAGGTTACATGCTGATATAAAATCAGAAGGGACTTATTGCCTAAGCCAGGATTAAACCTGGGCCACCATTGTAAAATGGCAGAGGCCAAAACAAAACATTGCCACGTGGTTACAGATCATGCTCCTAAAAACATAAAACAAGATGGAGGCCTGCAGCAAAATGTCCTAACAACCATAGAGAATGGCATACAAAGCACACCAGATTGGCCACAGCTCCAGACCAACCTCACAAATACCCTTTCACAGTGAAAACTCTACAAAGAATATAAGCAGTGATCGTTGGGATCCTAGCCCAGCAAAACATTTTCTAAGAAGAAAAAAAATAGCCTTTTGATTAAAAGTAAACTGCTGACAGGGTAAAGGAAAAAAATAAGGCTTAGGTGTAGGGCAGGGAAAAAAATTTTCATTCTTATGCAAATGGGTTCCTTCAACAGAGAGAAAAACTTAATTGCTGTTGGATGAGGCTGGGTCCCTTGGCCGATGAAGGGGAAGATACCACAAATGCCTGCCATTTTCCAGCCCATAGGAGATGGGGGTGAGGAGCCGCCATTCACCTGTCTATCCCGCATGTGCTTAGGGCTGTTAGAGTGGGGTGGTGCACAGTTTCCTCTACCCTTGGGAGAAGTCCAAGGATGAAAAGGCATACAAACAGAAGAGAAAAAGAGTTTTTAGTTTACCTCTTACCCTTCCTCAAGCCCCACATCTAGACACCAAAATGTTGTAGAACTTTCTCCTTAATTCAGCTAAAACCAGGATCTTGTAACATAACCAGGAACAAATAGGCTAACGAACACACTGAAGGTTGAGGAGTAAAGTTTATTGGGCAAAAAGGAAAAAGAAAAGAAAAACTGTCAGCAAAGTGAGACAGACTCCTGTTAACAGGCCACCACCTCACAGATTGATGAACACCAGGTAACCACATAGCAACTGAATAGTCCAGGCTCCTCCCCTGCCAAAAGGTGTGAATTTCCATGGCTCCACCTCCTTTTCCCAGTGCACAGGTGGGCGTTATTCAGAGAGAAACAGTCAGGAAAGGGCTGGCTTCATCCTAAACCGGGAGTCCAATTTTTCAGCCTTCAGGCTGCTTTAGGCTTAAAAGAGGAGTTTCGCCCAGGACCCTTGACTGTCTCTTGTCTCTAACACTCAAAGTGGGAAAAGGTCCTTTGGCTATCTCCTGTCTCTATCACTCAAAATGAGAAAAGAACAGTCTCTTTAACAAACGGGTTGGAGAATACTGAATATCCAAATGATAAAAAATAAAGCTGAACCTTACCACAAGCATGAACTTAAAATGAAGTAAGATTTATTATTTATAGTTGTTGTAAATAATTTTTTTCTTGAATTTCTTTTTCAGGTGGCTTGTTCTTGGCATGTAAAAGTGCTCCTACTAATTTTTTATGTTAATTTCATATTCTGCCACTTTACTGAATTTCTTTATTAGTTCTCCATTTTTAGTGTAGTATTTAAGTTTTACTATAAAGACAATTATGTGATCTGCAAAGACAATTGGAATTTCTCCTTTTTTATTTGGATGTCTTTTATTTCTTTCTCTTGCATAAATAATCTGGCTGGGACTTCCAGTACTCTGTTAAATAAAAGTAAAAGCAGACATCATTGTCTTGTTCCAGGTCTTAAATAAAAAGCTTTCTTCTTTTCTTGTTCAGTGTGATATCAGCTATTGATTTGTCATATTTTGCCTTAACTGTGTTGAGACACAGACCTTCTATACGTAATTTGTTCAGTTGTTTTAATCACAAAGGCATGTTAAATTTTTCCAAATACTTTTTCTGCATCTAGAATAAAAAATAAAGGAGTTTAGTAGTTAACTTAATTAAAAAGATAAACACAGTCTACACTATAAGTTATAAAACTGATGAAGGTCCAGGCACAGTGGCTCACGCCTATAATCTCAGCACTTTGGGAGGCCAAGGCATGGATCATGAGGTCAGGAGATCGAGACCATCCTGGCTAACGTGGTGAAACCCCGCCTCTACTAAAAATACAAAAAAATTAGCCAGGCGTGGTGGCAGGTTCCTGTAGTCCCAGTTACATGGGAGGCTGAGACAGAGAATTGCTTGAACCGAGGAGGCAGAGCTTGCAGTGAGCTGAGATAGCTCCACTGCACTCCAGCCTGGGCAACAGAGCGAGACTCCATCTCAAAAAAAAAAAACTGATGAAGAAACTAAAACATGAAAAATTTGAGAGATATTTTTTGCTCATGAGTTATAAAAAACATTGTTAAAATAGCTATGCTACTCAAGGTAATCTACAGATTCAATACAAATTCTTTAAAAATACTAATGACATTTTTTTCACAGAAATGGAAAAAACAGGCCTAAAATTTATAGGGAACAAAAAAAAAAAAAACTCCCCAAATAGCCAAAGTAAGCTTGCGGAAAAAGAACAAAGTTGAAAGCATCAAACTACCTGACTTCAAAATATACTGCAAAGCTATAGCAAGCAAAAGAGCATGATACTGGCATAGAAAATGGACACATGGACCAAAGTATCCAGTGATCCCAGTAATAAATTTATAAACCTAGAGCCAAGTAATTTTTAAGTTATTTGAAACACACATTTAAGAAAAGTCAATCTTTTCAATGAATTGTGCTAGGAAAATTGATTATTTAAATGAATACAACTAAGTGCCTCACTGTTACCATATTAAAACAACTTAATTAAAAATAAATAGAAGATTTAAATGTAAAACTCAAATTTATAAAACTATTTGAATAAAACATAAATTCTTTACCAAATAGGACAGAAAAAAAATTTTAATAAGACCTCAAAAGCACAGGCAACAAAAGCAAAAGGAGACAAGTGAAATTACCAGAATCTGAAAAAAATTTACATAGCAAAAATAAATTAACAGAGTGAAAAGACAACCTACAGTGTGGGCAAATATATTTGCAAAATATACATATGACAATGGATAAACATACAAAATATATAACAAATTTAACAGCAAAAATAACACACAATTTAGTAATAGGCAAGAGACCTTAAATGACATTTCTCCTAAGAAGACATACAAATGGCCAAGTACATGCAAAGATGCTCAACATTGAAGAAAAGAATTTTCAACCCGGAATTTCATATCCAGCCAAACTAAGCTTCATAAGTGAAGGAGAAATAAAATACTTTACAGACAAGCAAATGCTGAGAGATTTTGTCACCACCAGGCCTGCCTTAAAAGAGCTCCTGAAGAAAGCACTAAACATGGAAAGGAACAACCGGTACCAGCCACTGCAAAATCATGCCAAATTGCAAAGACCATTGAGGCTAGGAAGAAACTGCATCAACTAATGAGCAAAATAACCAGCTAACATCATAATGACAGGATCAAATTCACACATAACAATATTAACTTTAAAAGTAAATGGACTAAATGCTCCAATTAAAAGACACAGACTGGCAAATTGGATAAAGAGTCAAGACCCATTAGTGTGCTGTATTCAGGAAACCCATCTCACGTACAGAGACACATATAGGCTCAAAATAAAAGGATGGAGGAAGATCTACCAAGCAAATGGAAAGCAAAAAAAAGCTGGGGTTGCAATCCTAGTCTCTGATAACACAGATTTTAAACCAATAAAGATCAAAAGAGACAAAGAAGGCCATTACATAATGCTAAAGGGATCAATTCAACAAGAAGAGCTAACTATCCTAAATATATATGCACCTAATACAGGAGCACCCAGATTCATAAAGCAAGTCCTGAGTGACCTACAAAGAGACTTAGACTCCCACACAATAATAATGGGAGACTTTAACACCCTACTGTCAACATGAAACAGATCAACGAGACAGAAAGTTAACAAGGATACCCAGGAATTGAACTCAGCTCTGCACCAGGCGGACCTAATAGACATCTACAGAACTCTCCACCCCAAATCAACAGAATATACATTTTTTACATTTTTTTCAACATTAATTATTAGAAAAATGCAAATCAAAGCCACAGTAAGATACCAAACCACTTCAGTTAAAATGACTATAATCAGAAATGATATGTGACTGGCCCTTTCATCAGGAGGCATTGTGACATATCTCTGTGCCTATTATTTAGGTGATATGACTCTCCTCTTCTGCCTGGACACTTCCTACAAGGGGCATTGTGCCATACAGTTGGGCATAGCCCTGAAGTTATGCGACTTTTCTGCCAGGAACTTGCCTACAAGGAGAATATTGGAACATTTCTGCCTCAGCACTTAGGTTATGTGGCTGTCATGCCTGTTTCATTACCACAAAGTAAATTTTGACGTATACCTAGGCACAGCTCACAGGCATGATAATGACTCTCATATGTGGACCCCACAAATAGGAGTAATTTTGACTCTTGTAACTTGCTTTAGAAACACAAGTGATATCTTAGATCTCTTTCTGATAAAAAGGTCACAGAAGATTAAAACAGCCTCAGATATTTTATAAAGCCTTTGGCTTGTACAGAGGGTGTAATAACAGAACCCAGCAGAAAAGTGAAATTGTGAGTCTCATATGCACACCCAGCAGACAGTAAGTGCTGTCACATCTCACATATATGAAGCTGTCACTCATGAAATCAGGACATGTGTGGTATTGTAAATCTCATCTCTGGAATATTCTGCCAATGTGATTGTGATATAAATATTTGCCAAGCATCTATGGGATTTGACTCTCCAGCCCATATATGGGATTGTGATCGCTACATGGGCCTGCCTCTAGATGATGTGATTCTCCTGCCTGGGCCCGTCCCTCAGTAAGGATTGTGACATATCACTGGACCTATCTCCTAGGTGATATGACTCAATGCTTGGGCCTCACCCACATAGAGTATTGTGACATAAAAGTTAAACCTGCACAAAGGTGATATAACTCTTTTGCCTTGGTTCTGTCCTAAGTGAGCCTTGCAACATAGCTCAGGACCCATCACCCAGGTGATGTGGCTCTTCTATCTGGTTCCTACCCATGTGTTAGATTGTGATGTATAACTAAGGAAGCACCTAGGTGATGTGACTCTCCTTTTCTGCCAGAGTCCTGCCTACTGGGGATATTGGGACATATCTCTGAGCCCGTGACCTAAGTGATATGACTCTCTTCCCCTGCCTGGGCCTTTAAAATGGTGGGATTGTGACATACTGCTGAGCCCAGCATTTAGGTAATGTGACTCCAATCTTTTTTCTGAACCATGCCCACAAAGGGAAATGTTGACCTATTGCACCCAGATGATGTTACTCTTCTGCTAGAGTCCTGAATAAAGAGGGGATTATTGCATACTGGTAGGCCCAGCACACTGATGATGCTATGGTCCTGCCTGTGGCACAGCCACAGAGAGTATTTTGACATATCTTCAGCTTATTCTGTAGGTGTTTTTTGTTCTCCTCCCTTGGCTAAGTTTTTCCACATGTGAAATTGTGTCATATTGCTGGGTCCAGCACCCAGTGAATGTGACACTCCTTCCTAGATTCTGCCTAGAGAGGGCATTGTGACATGTTTGCCACATCACCTAAGTGATGTTACTTTTTCCTAGTTTTTTGCCCAAAAATGGGATTATGACATATACCTTCCTTCAGTTCACAGGTATGATGGTCAAACTTATATTGGGATTCAGCCAATGGAGGATATTTTGCCTCTCATTGCTAGGCTTAAGTTAATAGGTAAAATCCTGGGTTGCATATTTATAGAAAGTTCACAGAAGTTTATAACACTAACTCATATTGTATAAACTCCCTGAGAGAGCTTCATAACAAGGCCCAGTACAAAGTTAAGATTGTCACTCTCAATTACACACCCAGGTGAAAGTAAAAGCTGTCACCATCCCATATTTACAAAGCCCACTGTTGAGGTACTAGGTCTAACAAGTGAAAAGAGTACAATGATGGAATCGTGACTCTCACATGTGGATCTGACTACAGGTGCGATCGTGACTCATTTTTGGACCCAGCTCACAGGTATAAAAATGGGTACATTCTTGAACTCAGCATAAATGAGAGATGTTGACTATTATACCTGGGATTAAGGCAATATATAAGGTTGTGAGTCCATATGAGCATGTGGACCTCAGAGTAGTTTGCAACTCTCATGCATGCTGTATAAAGCCCTCAGATGTTGTAGAGGGTGTCATACGATGGCCAAGCACACATATCACATTGTGACTTATATGCACACCAAGCTAACAATTAAAAGTGTCACCCTCAATGATGAGAAGATTGTGTCATATCACTGGGCCTAGTACCCTAGTACCTAGGTTGTGTGACTCTCCTCTTTTTCTTCAACCCTGTCTACAGAAGACATGGCACCATGTTTCTTGAGGCTATACCAAGGTGATGTGACTCTTCTGACCTGGCCCTGCCTGCGAAGGAGATTATAATACATCCCGAATTCAGAATCCAGGTGATGAGACTCTCCTGCCTTGTTTCTCCCCACAGGTGAATTTGTGACATACCTGAGTTCAGCTCACATGCATGAACATAACCATAATACCTGGACCCAGAAAGGAGAGATATTTTGACTCATGATGCCAGCCTCATGGCCATAAGTAAAGTAATGGGTCTCCTAATTGTATAAAGTTCACAGAGGATTATGACACTCAGGAATGTAATATAAAACCTGAGTGGTACAAAGAGTGTCATAACAGGGAACAGCAACCAGGTGCGATTGACTCTTGGGTGCACACCCAGCTGACCCTAATGTCATTCTCTCACAGTAACAGGACCTACAAATAAGGCAGTAAATCTCACACAAAAGAGCAAATGAAGGTTGAAATTGTTCCTCTCATACACAGATCTGACCCACAGGTGGTTTGGTGAAGCATGATTCAGCACACCTGTGAGGCTGTGACTCCCCCACTGGAACACAATCTTCAAGTGGGATTGGGCATCTTATACATTGATTTAGCCCATTGTTGAGATTGTGACTCCTCTGCTTCAACCCAACTCACAGGAGGTGTTGACCCACATTCACGAAACCAGGACTTGTGTGGGACTGTGGAACTTACTTCGGAATATTTACTTCTGTGTGATTAGGACATAAAAGTGAGCACACCTCTTCAGTGATTTGACTCTCCTTTTTAGGACATGACCACAGATGACATTGTGACATACATGGACCATACACCTAAGTAAAAATGCCTGGGCCTGCCCACAAAGGGCACTTTTACATGTGACTGGCACCAGCACCCAAGTGATATGAATTCTTTGCCTGATCCCTGACTAGTAAAGGCACTGTGGCTTATACCTAGGTCCATCATGTAAGTGATGTGACTCCCTTCTACTGCCTTGCTCCTGCACTTATAGTTCATTATGACACATAACTGGGTACTGCACCCAGGTGATGTGACTGTCCATTTTGTGTTCTGCCAACAGGAAGTTTTGTAACATATCATTTGACTCAGCATCTTGGAGATGTTTCTCCTCTCCTACCTTGCCCTGACCACAGGGGAGATTGTGACATATTGTTAAACCCAGCTCCAAGGTGAGGTCCCTTTCATACCTTGGTTTTGGACATAGTGGCCATTGTGACATACATCTAGGCCAATTGCCCAGGTGAAATGAGTCTCCTTAACTTCCTAAGCCCTGCCCACAGGGGGATTTTGATAAATCACTAAAACCAGCATCCAGGTGCTGTGACTCTTCTTCCAGGGTCCTGCCCACAAGAAAGATTGTGACATCTTACTGGACAAACACCCACCCAGGTGATGTGATCTTCCTGCTTGCTCTCTGCCCACAGGTGATATTGTGCCATATACCTGAGACCAGATAAGAGGACTAATCATGACTCTTAAACCTGGAGCCAAGTCATATGCAAGATGGTGACTCCAATTCCTGGAACCTTCCACCAGTGTTTTTGTGACCTATACCTTCACCCAGCTCCTGAGTGATTTAATAATCCGGCCCAGGTGTAGCCCACAAATGAGATTTGGACATTTGCCTCAGCTGAGCGCCTTGGTGATTTGACTCTCCTGTCTTAACAATATCCTCAGGAAGGATTGTAACATGTATCTGGACCCATCATCTAGTTGCCTGACTCTCCTCTCCTGCCTGGACCCTGCTTCCACTGGGGATTGTAACATTTCTAAGCACTTTATCCAAAAGATATGACTCTCTTGCCTGGTCATTTCAGGCTAACAGAAGACATCGTGACATATCTCTGTGCATATCATTTAGGTGATATGAGTCTCCTCTTCTGCCTGGACACTGCCCACAAGGGGCACGGTGCCATACATCTAGGTGTAACCCCAAGTTATGCAACTTTTCTGCCAGGAAAATATCTAAAAGGATAATATTGGAAAATTTCTGGCTCAGCATTTAGGTGACTTGGCTGTCATGCCTGTTTCATTACTACAGAGTAAATTGTGACATATGCCTAGGAACAGTTCACAGGCATGATAATGACTCTCATATGTGGACTCCACAAACAGGAGTAATTTTTACTCTCATAACTTGCTTTAGAAACACTAGTGATTAAATCTCTTTCTGGTAAAAAAAAAAAGGCAAAGAAGATTTTGATAGCCTCAGATATTTTATAAAGCCCTTGGTTTGTACAGAGAGTGTCATAACAGAACCCAGCAGAAAGGTAAAATTTTGAGTCTAAAATGCACACCTAGCTGACAGTAAGGACTGTGATTGTCTCACATATATGAAGCCAACTGTCACTCATGAAAACAGGACATGCATGGTATTGTACATCTCATCCTGGGAATTTTCTGCCAGTGTGATTGTGATATATATCTTTGCCAAGCACCTGCGTGATTTGACTCTCCAGACTGGTTAGATCCGGCATATGTTATTGTGATATCTACCTGGACCAACCTCGAGGTGATGTGACTCTCCTGCCTGGGCCCTGCTGTCAGTAACAATCATAACATATCACTAGATCCAGCACCCAGATCATGTTACATTTTTGCCTGAGCCATGCCCACAGATATCACTGTGACATATCACTGTGTCCACCACTTAGGTGACATAACTCTCCTCATTAGAATGGGCCCTGAACACTGTGGGGGATAATGACATATTGCTGGGCCAGGCACACAGGTGATGCTACTCTTTTGCTAGGGACATGTCCTAAAGAGGGTACTATGACATATCACTGAGCTTATCACCAAGGTGATGTTGCTGTCCGGCTTGGGTCCTGCTTACCTGGATAGTGACATATTGCTAGTCTAGGCACACAGATGATGGTAGTCTTTCAGTAGGGCCATGCCTCAAGGAGCACATTGTGACATATCTCTGGGTCTATCACCTAGGTGATGTGACTCCCTGCTTGGGCCCTGCCCACATGGAGCATTGTGACATAAGAGTAGAACCTGCATCTATTTGTTGTAACTCTCTTGCCTGGTTCCTGTCCTAAGGGAGCCTTGTGACATACTTCAAAACCCAGCATCAAGGTGATGTGGCTCTTCTGCCTGCTTTCACCCCACATATTAGGTTGTGTCATGTAGCTAGGGAATCACCTAGGTGATGCGAGTCTTCTCTTCTGCCTGACTCCTGCCTATTTGGGACATTGGGCCAGATATCTGAGGTTGTGTCCTAAGTGATGTGACACTTTTCTTCTGCCAGAACCTTTACAACAGGGTGACATGGCATATTGCTAAGCCCAATACTTAGGTAATATGACTCTACTTTTTTTCCTGAACCATGCCCATGAAAAGTAATTTTGATGTATTGCAGGGCCCAGCACCCAGATGATGTTCCTCTTCTGCCTGGGTCCTGCATAAAGATAATTATGGCATATTGCTAGGCTTCCCACCCTGATGGTGTAACTCTCCTGCCTGTACCAGAGGAACAGAAAGTATTTTTACATATTTTGGACCTATTCTGTAGGTGTTTTGGCTCTCATCATTTTTCTGGTTTTTTTTTTTTTCCACATTTGGGATTGTGTCATATTGCTGGGTCCAGCACCCAGGTAATGCAGCCCTGATTTCTAGATCCTTCCTAGAGAGGGCATTGTGACATATTGCTTGGCACAGCACCTAAGTTGTGCTATCCTCCTGCCAAGTTTCTTTCCTACAAACGGTATTATGAAATGTACATTGCTTCAGTTCATGGGAATGATCATTAAACTTAAATTTGGGTACTACCAATAGTAGATAATTTGCCTCTCATCATTATGCTTAGGGCAATAAATAAGGTTATCAGTTACATATTTGTACAAAGCTCACAGAAGGTTACAACACTAACTCATATTCTATATACTCTTTGGATGGTACAGAGTTTCACAACAGGGCCCAGCAAGAGGTTAAGATCGAGACTCTTGATTACACATGCAGGCGACAGCAAAAGTTGTCACCATCCCACATTTACAAAGCCCACTGTAGAAGTCCTGAGTCTAACAAGCAAATAAAGTACAAAGATGGAATTGTGAATTTCATATATGGATCTTGCTACAGGTGAGATAGTGACTCATTTCTGGACCCAGATCTCAGGCATAATAATGGATCTCTTGTCTGAATCCAGCCTATAAGAGAGAGATTGTCTATCATAACTGGGTTTAGGGCAATATGTAAGATTGTGTGTCAATACAAGCATGTAGGCCTCAGAGATTTTTGCAAGTCTCATTCATGTTGCATAAAGCCTTTGAATGTTGTAGAGTGTGCCATACGATGACCCAAAACACAAGTGAGATGGTGACTCTTATATGCACACAAGGCTAACAGTTAAAGGTGTCACTCCAAAAGATGAGGAGATTGTGTCATATCACTAGGCCTACTACCCCGGTGTTGAGACTTTTTGGTTTAAAGTATTTCCCATGGGAGCATTGCGAAATATTGCTGGGTTAGAATAATAATAATGTGACTCTTCTGCTTGGATCCAGCCAACAGGAGACATTATCACATGTCTCTGGGCCTATCAACTAGGTGATGTGTCTCTCCTGCCAGTGCCCTGCCCACAGGGGACACTGTGACATATTGCTAGATATAGCATCTGGGTAATGTGACTCTCCCCTCTAGCATGGATTCTGCCCACTGAAGAAATTGTGATATAACACTGAGTGCAAAGCCTAGGTGATGTGACTCCCCTATTTGTCCCAGACTCTGCCAAGAGAGGGAATTATAACATATTGCTGAGCCCATCACCTAGGGAATGTGACTATCCACTATTTTTTCAACCCTGTATGCAGTGAGCATGATGACATGTTATTTGAGACTGTACCCAGGTGATATGACTCTTCTGACTTGGTTCTGCCTACAATGGAGATTATAATGTATCCCTGGCTCAGCACCAGCGTGATGTGACTCTTCTGCCTTGTCTCTGTCCAAAGGTGAATTTGTGACATATACCTGGATACAGCTCATATGCACAATAATAACTCTCATACCTAGACCCAGCCAGGGGATATATTTTGACTCTCATAGCCAGTCCTTTGGCAGTGAGTAAAGTACAGATCTCCCACCTGTAAGAATTCACAGAAAAGTATACTACTCAGGCATGTTATATAAAGCCTGAGTGGTAAAAAGAGTGTCATAATAGGCACCAGCAACCAGGTGCTATTGTGACTCTTGGAACCACACCCAGCTGACACAATTGTCATTCTCACACATGAACAGAGCCTACAAATGAGATACTAAATCTCACACACATAAGCAGTTGAAGAAGCTTGAAACTGTTATTGTCATACATGAATCTAGGCCACAGGTGGTTTGGTGATGTTTGAACCACGATTCAGCAGTCCTGTGGGGCTTTGACTCTTCTACTGGAAAAATCTTCAAGTGGGATTGGGACTCTTATATGTGGATCTTGCCCTTTGCTGAGACTGTGACTCCTGTACTTCGACCCAACTCTTAGGAGGCATTAACTCCCATACCCAAAGCCAGGACTTGTGTGAGACTGTGAAACTTATTTCTGAACATTTTCAAGTGTGTGATTGAGAAGTATGACTTTGCCCAACATCTGAGTGTTTTCACTCTTCTTTTTAGGCCCAGAACACTGTTGAAATTGTGACATACATGCAGCGAGCACCTAAGCAATGTATAACACCTTCTTTGGCAATCTGACAAAGGGCATTGTTTATTATCACTGATACCAGCACCCAGCTGATGGGAAATCTTGGCCTGATCCCTTCCTATAAAGTGCATTGTGGCTTTTTTTTAGCTCCATCATATAAGTAATGTCACTTCCTTCTACTGCCTTGGCCCTGCACTTATGTTGCATTGTGACACATAAATGGATAGTGTACACAGGTGATGTGATTCTTTTTTTTTTTTTTGAGGTGGGGGTGGTTCTGCCAATAGGAAGCTTTGTAACATATCACTTGGCTCAGCACCTAGCTGATGTTTCTTCTGTCTTGCCTGGGCCCTGACAACCAGAGAGATTGTGACATATTGCTGTACCCAAGGTAAGGTCACCCTCCTGCCTTGGTCCTGCACACAGGGGCCATTGTGACATATATCCAGGCCAATTGCCTAGGTGAAGTTTGTCTCCTTTCCTGCCTAAGCCCTGCCCACGGGGAAGATTTAGATATATCACTAAAACCAGCACCCAAGTGATGTGACTCTTCACCAGAGTCCTGCCCACAAGGAGGATTGTGACATTTCACTGGACCAGCACCCACTCAGGTGATGTGACTCCTTTCTTCTCCTTGCCTACATATGATATTATGCATATACCTGAGGCCAGATCAAAGGCCTAATAACGACTCTTGTACCTGGAGCCATGAAATACACGGGATGGTAACTCTCATCCCTGAACCTTTCCACAGGTGTTATTGTCAAATATACCTTTGCCAAGCTCCTGAGTGATTTAATAATCCTACCTAGTTATAGCCCACAGAAGAAATTTAGACATATACCTGGGCGAAGAGACTTGGTGATTCGACTCTCGTGTCTTAACAGTGTCCTCAGAAGGGGTAGTAACATCTCTCTGGACACATCCTCTAGGTTATGTGACTCTCCTCTCCTGCCTGAACCCTGCTTCCAGTGAAGAGTGTAGCATTTCTAAACACAGCATCCAATTGACATGACTCTCTTGCCTGGGCCCTTTCAACAGGAGGCAATGTGGCATATCCCTGGGCCCATCATTTAGGTGATATGACTCTCCTCTCCTGCCTGGACACTCTCCACAGGGAGCATTATGCCATAGAGCTGGGTCTAGCACCCAAATTTTGTGACTTTTCTGTTAGGGCCCTGCCTACAAAGAGAATATTGTACTATTACTGGCTTAGGATTTAGGTCATGTGGTTGTCCTGCCTGTTTCATAATCACAGAGAGGAGGGTGACATATACCTAGGCACAGCTAATAGGCATGATAATGACTCTCATATGTGGACCCAGACAATAGGAGAAATGTTGACTCTTATAACTAGGTTTAGGGACATGAGTGATGTCCAGGATCTCCTTCTGGTGCAAAGGTGCAAAGGTGCAAAGGTCACAGAAGATTACAACACTCACACATATTTTATAACAACCTTCAGTTTTACAGAGAGTGTTATAACAGGGCCTAGCACACAGAAGAAACTGTGAGTCTTGTATGCACAGCCAGTCGACTGTAAGGACTTTCACCATCACAGATGGATGAAGGCAACTGTCCTACATGAAAACAGGACATGTGTGGTATCATAAATCTAATCCCTACAATTTTATTCTCTCAATTGTGATATAAATCTTTGCCAAGCACTTGTGTGATTTCATTCTTCAGACCATTTCCAGCCTACATATGGGATTTTGATATCTACCTGGTCCAACCTTGAAGTGATGTGTCTCTTCTGCTTGGGCCCTGCTCTCAGGAAGAATTGTGACATCACTGGATCCAGCATCCAGGTGATGTTCATTCTTGCCTGCACCATGCCCTCAGACATCATTCTAACATATCACTGTGTCCATCACTTAGAAGACATAACTCTTTTCTCTGAAATTGGCTCTACACATAGGGCAGGATAGTGACATATTCCTAGGCCAGGGAGACAGGTGATGATACTCTTTTGCCAGGACCATGCCCCAAAGAGGGCATTGTGACATATCACAGGGCCTGTCATGTAGGTAATATGGCTCTTCTGCTTGGGGCCTACACACTGGAATAGTGACATGTTGCTAGGTCAGGCACAAAGGTGATGGTATTCTTTTGCCTGGGCCACGCTTTAAGGAAGGCTTTGTAATGTTTTGCTGGTCCTATCACCCAGGTGATATGACTTTCTGCTTGACCCTGCCCACATGGAGCATTGTGACATAAGGGCGGCACCTGCACATAGGTGACATAACTCTCTTGCCTGGGTCCTTTTCTAAAGGGGACTGGTGAATGTCTCAGTACCCAGGACCAGGTGGGTCTCCAGCCTGGTTTCTTCAGCCTGGTTTCTGCCCACATATTCAACTGTGACATATATCTAAAGAAGCACCCAGGTGATATGACTCTCTTTTTGTGCCTGAGCCCTGCCTACTGGTAACATTGGGCCATATCTCTCTGAGCCCATGACCTAAGTGATGTGACTCTCTTCTTCTCTCTGGGCCTTTACAATGGGATGATTGTGATGTATTGTATTCATGAGCCCAACATTTAGGTAATACGACTCTCATGTTGTTGCTGAACATTGCCCACGAACAGGACCTATGCCGTATTTCAGGGCCCAGCACCCAGATGATGTAACTCTTCTGCCTAAGTCCTGCATAAAGAGGGAATTATAGCAATTCTTCAGCCTAGCACCCTAATGATGTGTCTCTCCTGCCTGTGCCAGGGCCACAGAAGGTATTTTGACATATCTTTGGCCCATTCTGTATGTGTTTTGGCTCTCATCACTTTGCTGGGTTTCTTCCACGTGTGGTTGTATCATATTGTTGGCTCCAGCCCCCAATTAATGTGACCCTCTTTCCTAGGTGCTGCCTAGAGGGGGCATTGTGACATATTGCTTGGCAAATCACCTAAGCAATGTTAACCTTCTGCCTAGTTTTTTGCCCACAAATGGGATTATGACATATACCTTGCTTCAGTTCAAAGGCATGATGATCAAGTTTCTTTAGGGATTCAGCCAATAGGAGATATTTTGCCTGTCACCACTAGGTTTAGGTCAATAGGTAAGGTCCTCCATTGCATATTTGTGCAAAGCTCGCAGAAGTTTACAACACTAACTCATAATGTATAAACTTCTTAGGTGGTACAGAGAGTTTCATAACAGTGCCCAGGAAAAAGTTAAGATTGTGCCTCTCAGCTACACACCCAGATGAGGTAAAAGTTGTTACCATCCTACATTTACAATGCCCATTGTTGAGTTCCTGAGTCTAACAAGTGAATACAGCACAAAGTTGGAATTGTGACTTTCATAAGTGATTCTGGCCACAGATGGGATGGTGACTCATTTCTGGTCCCAGTTCACAGGAGTAATAGCAGTCTCATTCCTGAGGCCATCCTATGGGAGAGCTGTTGACTATCATACCTAGGTTTAGAGCAATATGTAACATCGTGAGTCCATATAAACATGTAGGCCTCAGAGAGGTTTGTAACTCTCATTCATGTTGTATAAAGTTCTCAGATGTTGTAGAGAGTGTCATACAATTGCCAGAGCACACATGAGATTTTGACTCTAATATACACAACTACCTAGCTGTTAATGGTGTCACCCTTAAAGATGAGGAGATTGTGTCATATCCCTCTGCCTAGTACCACAGGCTTGAGACTTTTTGGTTTAAATTCCCTTCCATAAGGGCATTGTTACATATCACTGGGTCAGAATCATGATGATGTGACTCTTCTGCCTGGGTCTTGAAAACAAGAGATATTTTCACATATGTCCAGGCCTATTGGCTAGGTGATATGTCTCTCCTGCCAGTGCCTTGCCCACAGGGGACACTGTCACATATTGCTAGATACAGCACCTGGATAATGTGACTTTCCTCTCCTGCCTGGATCCTGCCCACTGAAGAAATTGTGACATACCACTGAGTACAAAGCATTGGTGACATGACTCTGCTGTTTGTCCTGGACCCTGCCAAGAGAGGGAATTTTTACATATTGATGAGCTCAGCAGCCAGGTGATGTGATTGTCTTTTTATCTTCAAACCTGTCTTCATTGGTCATGGTGACACATTACTTGAGGCTGTACCCAGGTGATGTGGCTCTTCTGTCTGGTTTCTGCCCCCATGTAAGATTGTGACATATAATTAAGGAAGCACCTAGGTGATGTGACTCTCCTTTTCTGCCTGGGCCCTCCCTACTGGGGACACTGGGATATATCTCTGAGTTCATGACCTAAGTGAAGTGACTCTCTTCTCTGGCCTGGTCTTTACAAGGGAGGGATTGTGACATATTGCTGAACCCAGCACTCAGGTATTTGACTCTCTTTTTTTTTTTTGAACCATGCACACAAACAGAAATTTTCATCTATTGCAGGGCCCAGAATCCAGATAATGTTACTTGTTTGCCTGGGTCCTGCATATAGAGAGAATTGCGGCATATTGCTGGGCCCATCCCCATAATAAAGTGACTCTCATGCCTGTCCCAGAACCACAGAAGGCATTTTGACATATCCTGGGCCTATTATATAGGCCTTTTGGCTCTATAACTTGGCTGGGTTTTTTCCACATGTGGAATAGTGTCATACTGGTGAGTCCAGCACCCAGTTAATGTGGCCCTAATTCTTATATCCTGGCTACAGAGGGCATTGTGACATGTTGCTTGTCACAGCACCTAAGTGATATTATCCTCCTGCCTATTTTTTGGCCACAAATGGGACTACGACATATACCTTACTTCAGTTCAGAGGGATGATTGTCAAACCCATATTGGGATTCAAACAATAGGAGATAGTTTGACTTTCATCACTAGGCCTAGGGCAATAAGTAAGGTCCTGTCCTGGGTTGCATATTTGTACCAAACTCACAGAACTTTACAAAACTAACTCATGATGCATAAACCCCTTTGTGGTACAGAGGGTTTCATGACAGGGACCAGCAAAAATTAAGATTGGGACTCTTGATTACATATCCAGGTGAAAGCAAATGTTGTCAACATCCCACATATCCAAAGACCAATGTTAAGGTACTGAGTCTAAAAAGTGAATACAGTACAAAGTTGGAATTGTGACCTTCATATGTGGCTCTGGCCACAGGTGGGATGGTGACTCATTTCTGGATCCAGCTGACAGGCATAATAATGGAACTCAGTTTTGAACTCAGCCTACAGAAGAGATGTTGACTATTATACCTGGGCTTAGGGCAACATGTAAGATCGTGAATCCATACAAGCATGTAGGCCTCAGAGAGGTTTGCAACTGTCATAAATGCTGTATAAAGCCTTCAAATGTTGTAGAGTATCACACAATGGCCCAGGAAACACGTGAGATTGTGACTCTCATACACACCCCCAGCTCACAGTTAATAGTGTCACCCTCAAAGACAAGGAGATTTGGCATATCTTCTTGTATAATCACTTAGTGCTTTTACTTAGGTTGTGTATTAGAAATGCAGTAGTTGTTAAAAGTAAATAATCAGGTTTAGAATGGTAATATTTGGGTTATAAATTAGTACTGCTATTATTCTACCTATGTGAGTAATTGAGGAGTAGGCTAGGAATTTATGAAGTTGTTTTTGATTAAGTCCTCCCCAACCACCCACTATAATGAATAAGATTGTGATAGATAGGAGAATATTCATGTTTATTGATGGAAAATTTGAAACATAATCAAGATACAGGCTAGTTTTTGTCATGTGAGGAGAAGTATGCCAGATATTAGAGAGCTTCCTTTGGTTTTTGCTGGGATTCAGAAGTGAAAAGGGGCTATTCCTAGTTTTATTACTAGGGCTGTTATTATTATTAATGATGAAAATTTATTAATAGTGTTTATTATTGTTCATTGTCTGCAGGACAGGTTAGTGGAAAGGATACCTATCATGAGAATTATAGATGTGGTTGCTTGTGTAAGGAAATATTTGGTGGATGCTTCTTTAGAGCGGGGATTAATTTTTTAATTAAGATTGGGGTAAGAACTAGTATATTTATTCCTAGTCCTGTTCAGATGAGAAATCAGTATGAGCCTAGCATTGTGCTAAGAGTTCCTGTGACAATAGTAAAGGAGATAATAAGTTAAGCTAATGGATTAGTTAGTAAGGGAAGGGTATAACCAATTTTTTCAGGGTATGGGTCTGATAGCTTATTTAGCTGAACTTACTTTACGACATGGTGTAATAAGTAGCACAGAGAATTTTGGGTTCTCAGGGGTAGGTTCAATTCCCATAGTTCTAGAAATAAGAGGATTTTAACCTCCATTGTTTAGTCTATCAAAGTAATTCTTTTGTTGAACATATTTCCTATGTTTGGTGTGGAATTAGAAGATCTGGTATAGGAAGGGGAGTCCACATATAGGAAGGGGAGTCCACAAGAGGAGAAAGGGTAAGGGTTGTAGCAATAATATAAAGGGTAATAGTAGATGTTGAGAGCCGTAACAGTTCCTTGGTGAGAAGTTTTATTGCATCAACGAATGGTTGAAGTAGTCTTTAGGGACCTACAGTGTTAGGTCCTTTGTGTAGTTGTATATAGCCTAAGATTTTTTGTTCAATTAGTGTAAGGAATGTTATAGTGATTAGAGTGGGAATAATTAGTAGAAGTTTAATTATAGGCATATTGTTAAGAAGAGGTGTTGAACTTCTAATTATAAAGTCTTAAGTTTTATGCAATTGCTGGGCTATGCCATCTTAACAAACCCTGTTTTTGAGCAGGGTGTGTGGTGAGTTGTTAGACTGAGATAACATCATCTATGCAGTGAGGGTGCTTTATGAAGTTGGCCCTATTTCTCTTACCCTTTCATACTAGGAGAAATGTTAAATAGATAGAAACCGACCTGGGTTACTCTGGTCTGAACTCATATCACGGAGGACTTGAATCCTTGAACAAGTGAACCCTTAATAGCGGCTACACCATTAGGATGCCCTGATCCAACATCGAGGTCATAAACCCTATTGTCAATATGGACTCCAGAATAGGATTGTGCTGTTATCGCTAGGGTAACTTATTCTGTTGATCAAATTACTGGGTCAATGTGTGTCAACTCGCTTAGACTAGTGCCATCTTAGTTTGGGTTGTTCGGAGATTGAATTATGCTCCAAGGTCAACCCAACTAAAAATTTTAATGCAGGGATAGTATGCTAGAGCCTGTCAGCTTTTTTGAGTTTTTATTTGCAATAATGAATTAAAGCTCCATAGGGTCTTCTCATCTTATTTGTTTATATCCACCTCTTCACAGATAGGTCAATTTCATTAATTAAAAGTGAGAGACAGCTGAACACTCATGTGGCCATTCATACAAGTCCCTATTTGCGGAACAAGTGATTATTCTACCTTTGCACTGTCAGGATACTGCGGCCATTGAACATATGTCACTGGGCAGGCAGTGCCTCTAATACTCGTAATGCTAGAGGTGATGTTTTTGGTAAACAGGCAGGGTAAGACTTGCAGAGTTCCTTTTAGTTTTTGTAATCTTTCCTTAGAGCATACCTGTGTTGGATTAACAGTATAAATAATAGGGTGTTTATTATATTGCTTATTAATATTAGGCTGTTAACTGTCAGTGGATTATTGGGGTCTGATATAAGCTTATGCAATGGAGAATATCTTCATGTTACTTATATTAACATTACTGGTTCTATTAAGTAATAGATTAGTCCAATGTGATGTTAGGAGTTCAGTAGGATGATTAGAATTTTAGATAATTAGATGTTGAGCTTGAACGCTTTCTTAATTGGTGGCTGCTTTTGGGCCATATATGCCAACTATGGTGGTGATATTTTTTATTCCCTGTAGGACAGTTGTTTCCTAATGTCTAAAGAGCTGTCCCTCTTTAGACTAACACTTAAAGTTACAGGGAGATTAAGTAAGTCTGTGGGTAAGTTTAAAGTTGAAAACAATCAGCTGTTACCAGGCTTGGTAGGCTTGTCACCACTACTCATGAATCTTCCCACTATTTTGCTACATAGATGGGTGTGCTGTTTTAGCTGTTACTGAGTAGCTCGTCTGGTTTTGGGGGACTTGGTTATGGTTCTCTGTGTAAAGTTATTTCTGGTTAATACATTATGCAGAAGGTATAAGGGTTTGTCTTTGCTTTTTAATGCTGTATTCAGTTCTTTCATCTTTCCCTTAGGGTATTATGTCTATTATGCCAGGGTGAAAATTTCTATCACCTATAGCTTTTTCTAAGGTAAATGGTTGGTTTAAGATGGTTTGATAATATTTTTAGTGAAGTTTGGGTTTAGAGTTGGCTCAAAGTGATCAGGTCGTGACAAAATCTTCTGGATGTAAGCCAGATGCTTTAAGTTAAGCTGTACTTTGGTTTATCCAAGCACACTTTCCAGTATGTTTACCATGTTACAACCTATCTCCTCTATATGTGCATAGAGAGTTTTTAGTAATTTCTAGAATAATATTTGAGGAGAGTGATGGGAGGGGTGTGCATGCTTCATGGCTTTATTCAACCAAGCACTCTGATCTTGGTTTACTGCTAAATCCTCCTTGAGCCCTTCGATTTCATAAAGGTTGTTGTGAGATTTTCTGGGTATACAAAATGTAGTCTACTTCTTGCCACCTCATGAGCTACACCTTGACCTAACGTTTTTATGTGTACACTTGTGCTTACTCTATAACCACTTTAGGGTTTGCTGAAGATGGTGGTATATAGGCTGGGCAAGAGGTGGTGAGGTATATTGGGGTTTATTAATTATAGAACAGGATCCTCTAGAGGGATATAAGCAGCATCAAATCCTTTGAGTTTTTAGCTGTTGCTGGTAGTATTCTGGCAAATTTTTTTTTAAATGTAACTATTAGAGTTTAGGGGTAAGCATAGTGGGGTATCTAATCCCAGTTTGGGTCTTAGCTGTTGCATCTTCAGGATATTAAAGGCACATTCATAGTATATTTTATTTCAGCTGGAGTTTTTTACAACTTAGACGGAGTTTAGCTTTATTGAGGGCAGACCTTAAGCACTGTTTTCACCAAGTTCAATTAGCTTGGGTTAATCGTATGGCTGCGGTGGCTGGCATGAAATTGACCAATGCTAGATATCACTATAGATTAAAGTCTCACTTATTACTAAATATTTATCAGTGCTTTTTCCCATGGGGGTGTGGTTGAGTAAAGTGTTTTGAGCTGCATTTGTGCATGCTTGATACTTGCTCCTTTTGTTCCGGGTGATCTAAAAGGCATTTTCACTGGGGTGGGGATGCTTGCATGTGTAATCTTACTAAGAGCTAATAGAAAGGCCAGGACCATGCTCACTTCGGCAGCACATATGCTAAAACTGGAAACATACAGAGAAGATTAGCATGGCCCCTGAGCAAGGATGACACGCAAATTCGTGAAGTGCTCCATATTTTCATGTAGCTGAAAACCACGGCACGAGAACTACGTCATGAATGCACAAGCCTCAGTAACTGATGCGATCAACCAGAAGAAAGGTATCAGTGATGGAAGATCAAATGAATGAAATGAAGCATGAAGAGAAGTTTAGAGAAAAAAGAATAAAAAGAAACGAACAAAGTCTCCAAGAAATATGGGACTATGTGAAAACACCAAGTCTACATCTAATTGGTGTACCTGAAAGTGACGGGGAGAATGGAACCAAGTTGGAAAACACTCTGCAGGATATTATTCAGGAGAACTTCCCCAATCTAGCAAGGCAGGCCAACACTCAAATTCAGGAAATACAGAGAACACCACAAAGATACTCCTTGAGAAGAGGAACTCCAAGACACATAATTGTCAGATTCACCAAAGATGAAATGAAGGAAAAAATGTTAAGGGCAGCCAGAGAGAAAGGTCGGGTTACCCACAAAGGGAAGCCCAAAAGACTAACTCCTGGTATTTTGGCACAAACTCTATGATCCAGAAGAGAGTGAGGGCCAATATTCAACATTCTTAAAGAAAAGAATTTTCAACCCAGAATTTCATATCCAGCCAAACTAAGCTTCATAAGTGAAGGAGAAATAAAATACTTCACAGTAAAGCAAATGCTGAAAGATTTTGTCAACACCAGGCCTGCCCTAAAAGAGCTCCTGAAGGAAGCACTAAACATGGAAAGGAACAAACAGTACCAGCCACTGCAAAAACATGCCAAATTGTAAAGACCATTGAGGCTAGGAAGAAACTGCATCAACTAATGAGCAAAATAACCAGGTAACATCATAATGACGGGATCAAATTCACACATAACCATAATAACCTTAAATGTAAATGGGTTACATGCTCCAATTAAAAGACACAGACTGGCAAATTGGATAAAGAGTCAAGACCCATTAGTGTGCTGTTTTCAGGAAACCCATCTCACATGCAGAGACACACATAGGCTCAAAATAAAGGGATGGAGGAAGATCTACCAAGCAAATGGAAAACAAAAAAAGGCATGGGTTTCAATCCTAGTCTCAGACAAAACAGACTTTAAACCAACAAAGATCAAAAGAGACAAAGAAGGCCATGACATAAAGGTAAAGGGATCAATTCAACAAGAAGAACTATCTTAAATATATATGCACCCAACACAGGAGCACCCAGATTCATAAAGCAAGTCCTTAGTGACATACAAAGTGACTTAGACTCCCACACAACAATAATGGGAGACTTTAACACCCCACTGTCAACAATAGACAGATCAATGAGACAGAAAGTTAACAAGGATATCCAGGAATTGAATTCAGCTCTGCACCAAGTGGACCTAATAGACATCTACAGGACTCTCCACCCCAAATCAACAGAATATACATTCTTTTCAGCACAACACCACACCTATTCCAAAATTGACCACATAGTTGGAAGTAAAGCACTCCTCAGCAAATTTAAAAGAACACAAATTATGACAAACTCTCTCTCAGAACACAGTGCAATCAAACTAGAACTCAGGATTAAAGAACTCACTCAAAACCGCTCAACTAAATGGAAATTGAACAACCTGCTCCTGAATGACTACTGGGTAAATAATGAAATGAAGGCAGAAATAAAGATGTTCTTTGAAACCAATGAGAACAAAGACACAACATACCAGAATCTCTGGGACACATTCAAAGCAGTGTGTAGAGGGAAATTTATAGAACTAAATGCCCACAAGAGAAAGCAGGAAAGATCTAAAATTGACACCCTAATATCACAATTAAAAGAACTAGAGAAGCAAGAGCAAACACATTCAAAAGCTAGCAGAAGGCAAGAAATAACTAAGATCAGAGTAGAACTGAAGGAATTAGAAACACAAAAAACCCTTCAAAAAATCAATGAATCCAGGAGCTGGTTTTTTGAAAAGATCAACAAAATTGAAAGACACTTAGCAAGACTAATAAAGAAGAAAAGAGAGAAGAATCCAATAGATGCAATAAAAAATGACAAAGGAGATATCACCACTGATCGCATAGAAATACAAACTACCATGAGAGAATACTATAAACATCTCTATGCAAATAAACTAGAAAATCTAGAAGAAATGAATAAATTCCTCGACACATACACTCTCCCAAGACTAAACCAGGAAGAAGTTGAATCTCTGAAAATACCAATAACAGGCTCTGAAATTGAGGCAATAATTAATAGCTTACCAACCAAAAAAAGTCCAGGACCAGATGCATTCACAACCAAATTCTACCAGAGGTATAAGGAGGAGCTGGCACCATTTTTCCAAAACTATTCCAATCAATAGAAAAAGAGGGAATCCTACCTAACTCATTTTATGAGGCCAGCATCATCCTGATACCAAAGCCTGGCAGAGACACAATAAAAAAAGACAATTTTAGACCAATATCCTTGATGAACATTGATGCAAAAATCCTCAATAAAATACTGGCAGACCAAATCCAGCAACACATCAAAAAGCCTATCCACCATGATCAAGTGGGCTTCATCCCTGGGATGCAAGGCTGGTTCAACACACACAAATCAATAAACATAATCCAGCATATAAACGGAACCAAAGACAAAAACCCCATGATTATCTCAATAGATGCAGAAAAGGCCTATGACAAAATTCAACAACGCTTCATGCTAAAAACTCTCAATAAGTTAGGTATTGATGGGACGTATCACAAAATAATAAGAGCTATCTGTGACAAACCCACAGCCAATATCATACTGAATGGGCAAAAACTGGAAGCATTCCCTTTGAAAACTGGCAGAAGACAGGGATGCCCTCTCTCACCACTCCTATTCAACATAGTGCTGGAAGTTCTGGCCAGGGAAATCAGGCAGGAGAAGGAAATAAAGGGCATTCACTTAGGAAAAGAGGAAGTCAAATTGTCCCTGTTTGCAGATGACATGATTGTATATCTAGAAAACCCCATCATCTCAGCCCAAAATCTCCTTAAGCTGATAAGCAATTTCAGCAGTCTCAGGATACAAAATCAATGTGCAAAAATCACAAGCATTCTTATACACCAATAACAGACAAACAGAGAGCCAAATCGTGAGTGAACTCCCATTCACAATTGCTTCAAAGAGAATAAAATACCTAGGAATGCAACTTACAAGGGATGTGAAGGACATCTTCAAGGAGAACTAAAAACCACTGCTCAATGAAATACAAGAGGATACAAACAAATGGAAGAACATTCCATGCTCATGGGTAGGAAGAATCAATATCATGAAAATGGCCATACAGCCCAAGGTAATTTATAGATTCAATGCCATCCCCATCAAGCTACCAATGACTTTCTTCACAGAATTGGAAAAAACTACTTGAAAGTTTATATGGAACCAAAAAAGAGCCCACATTGCCAAGTCAATCCTATGCCAAAAGTACAAAGCTGGAGGCATCACGCTACCTGACTTCAAATGATACTACAAGGCTACAGTAACCAAAACAGCATGGTACTGGTACCAAAACAGAGATATAGACCAATGGAACAGAACAGAGACCTCAGAAATAACACCACATATCTACAACTATCTGATCTTTGACAAACCTGAGAAAAACAAGCAATGGGGAAAGGATTCCCTATTTAATAAATGGTGCTGGGAGAACTGGCTACCCATACATAGAAAGCTGAAAGTGGATCCCTTCCTTGCACCTTATACAAAAATTAATTCAAGATGGATTAAAGACTTAAATGTTAGACCTAAAACCATAAAAACCCTAGAAGAAAACCTAGGCATTACCATTCAGGACATAGGCATGGGCAAGGACTTCATGACTAAAACACCAAAAGCAATGGCAACAAAAGCCAAAATTGACAAATGGGATCTAATTAAACTAAAGAGCTTCTGCACAGCACAAGAAACCACCATCAGAGTGAGCAGGCAACCTACAGAATGGGAGAAAATTTTTGCAACCTACTCATCTGACAAAGGGCTAATATCCAGAATCTACAATGAACTCAAACAAATTTACAATAAAAATACAAACAACCCCATCAAAAAGTGGGCAAAGGATATGAACAGACACTTCTCAAAAGAAGACATTTATGCAGCCAAAAAACACATAAAAAATGCTCACCATCACTGGCCATCAGAGAAATGCAAATCAAAACCACAATGAGATGCCATCTCACACCAATTAGAATGGCGATCATTCAAAAGTCAGGAAACAACAGGTGCTGGAAAGGATGTGGAGAAATAGGAACACTTTTACACTGTTGGTGGGACTGTAAACTAGTTCAACCATTGTGAAAGTCAGTGTGACGATTCCTCAGGGATCTAGAACTAGATAATACCATTTGACCCAGCCATCCCATTACTGGGTATATACCCAAAGGATTATAAATCATGCTGCTATAAAGACACATGCACATGTATGTTTATTGCAGCACCATTCACAATAGCAAAGACTTGGAACCAACCCAAATGTCCAACAATGATAGACTGGATTAAGAAAATGTGGCACATATACACCATGGAATACTATGCAGCCATTTAAAATGATGAGCTCATGTCCTTTGTAGGGACATGGCTGAAGCTGGAAACCATCATTCTCAGGAAACTATCGCAAGGACAAAAAACCAAACACTGCATATTCTCACTTATAGGTGGGAATTGAACAATGAGAACACATGGACACAGGAAGGGGAATATCACACACTGGGGACTGTTGTGGGGTGGGGGTACGGAGTAGGGATAGCATTAAGAGATATAGCTAATGCTAAATGACGAGTTAATGGGTGCAGCACACCAACATGGCACATGTATACATAGGTAACAAACCTGCACATTGTGCACATGTACCCTAAAACTTAAAGTATAATAATAAAAAAATTAAAAAATTAAAAATAAGAAAAAGAAAGGACAGGGCCAAACCTATTTGTTCATGGTGTTGTGCAGACCCATCTAGACATTTTTAGTGGTGTCTTGCTTTGAAATAATTAAGCTACATTAACTGTATAAATACTTAAGTCTAAAATTAGAACATGAGAAGGAAAGAAATAAATATAAATAGCCATTTACAGTTCTTGGAATTCAGGGTCTTTACAGTTGAATTGGAAGAGGTTGAGAGGATTACTCATAATTAGAATATAATCGATTTAGGGTACAATATAGGGGGTAGCGCTTTTACAGGAATATGCTCAAGGTATTATATTACTTTAGGGTGGAAGTTTAGTTATTGCATTTATTATATAAAATGGAGGCTTGATTTGGGGGGAATCTTAAGATTTTTAGGAAAATTATATCAATCGAGGGGTAGCTGTTGGGGTATTCATGGTTAAAATATTATTTTGGGGCTCTGACTGGGTTGCATTTTAGTGTCTTGTTTTTGGGGTTTGGCAAGGGTACATTTACCTTGGTTGATGGTAAAGTCAGAGATGGGAGAGGAGGAGTTTGCAAATTTAATCAGAAATAGTTCTTGAAAGTGAGCATACGTGCATGAGCATACGTACGTGAGCATACGTGTCTATTAATTGTTATGTCCTTCAAGCATTAATTAATTCACAACTTATTGTTATTATGCCAGCCCAGAATATTCAATTTAAGCTCAGCTTCTACGATTGATTTGGCAGGAATCAAATCCGAGTTCGTCTACAGCTGATTCGGCAGGTACCAGGGCGTCCGCGATGGTGAGTGATAGCACCGCGATGGTGAGTGACAGTGCTGCCGTGACTGGTTAATAGGGTGGTAGTCGTTAGTCCATCGAGATATCTTATTTAAGGGGAATGTGTGGGCGATTTTAGTTTCATGGTCCTGAAGTAAGAACCAGATGCCAGGTATAGTTTCAAAACAGTCACCCCCAAGTGTTGTGGGCCCAGAGCGAGGAGGTTAGTACTCCCAAGCAGGATGATGATTTCAAGGAGGTTGGTGGATTAAGAGATCAGAATGTAGTAGGGGATATCCATGTTGATAAGGGATTTCTTGACTGAAATGTGCTGTGTCCAATGAACGAAGTATGCACTATGTAATATTAAGGATATCTAGTACGGGTCAATATTCGCATGGATTAGACTTGTATTGTACAGTCAATAATAGTAGATGTACCACAGTTGATTAAGGGAATGTCAATACATGCTTATATGTATATGGACTGGATTTGTAATGTATCTTCATGTATCAATGTACTATGTATAAGTAAACAATTATAGTACTATATAATTCATGGGTGCTAACAGTAATGCACAAAGTACATGAAACCACTAATGTATTAGTGCTAGTTGATTAATATTGACATAGTAGTTAAAGTGTGTGCTGTGAAAAAATTCAAGGAGTAGTTTAATTAGAATTTCAGCTTTGGTTGTTGACGATGAAGTGGGAATGCTTTTTCCCTGAGTTGTCCTGGGGAGGGGATTCTCCATTTCTCGTTTACAAGACCAGAGTATTCAATTATACTGCAAGAGCATTTTCATTTAAGTAATTTATTTTCAATTAGGGTAGTGAGCAGTATAAGGGTGAGGATGGTAGAGAAGTACATGATAGATACTGTCTGTCTGATGGCAATAAAAGATTATTGGACTGGCTGCCCTCCGATTCAGGTGAGTGTAAGCAGGTCAGCCACTAGGGTTCATAATAGGCATTAACTTAATGGCCGCAATATTATGCTTTGTTGTTTAGACTTGTGAAATATGGGAATACTGCTAGAATGAGAATGGAGAATACGAGGGCCAGTGCGCTTCCTAATTTGTAGGGATAGATCACAATATTGCATATGCAAACAAAAAGTACCACTCTGGCTTAATGTGGGGTGGGGTATTGAGGGGGTTGGCTAAAGGGTAATTATCAGGTTTGCTCAGGAGATCAGGCAAAAATAGTATTAGAGTTATTAGAAGGAGGAGAAGAAAAATTAAACCTAGAATATCTTTGGTTGTACAGTAGGGGTGGAAAGTGATTTTGTCGGGATCTGATGAAACCCCTGAAGGGTTGTTAGATTCTGTTTCATGCAAGAATAAAAGAACAGTTGCGAGCACTATAATGATGAAGGGTAAGATGAAATGGAAGGTGAAAAATCGTGTGAGGGTGGCTTTGTCAACTGAGAATCTGCCTCAGATTCGTTGTACAATGTCAGTTCCAATATATGAGATGACTGATAGTAGATTTGTAATTCCTGTAGGGCCTCAGAATGATATTTGGCCTCATGGGAGCACGTAGCCCATGAATGCTGTTGTTATAGTCGTGAATAGGAGGATAATGCCAATATTTCAGGTTTCTAGGAATGGAAATGAACCGTAGTATAAGCCTCAACAACATGTAAGAAGAGGCAGATGAAAAATATTGAAGCCCCGTTGGCATGAAAATAGCAGACCATTCAGCCTTAGTTTACATCTTGGCCAATATGAGCGACTGAAGAAAAGGCAGCTGAGGTGTCTGATGTATAGTGCATGG
This sequence comes from Homo sapiens, assembly GCF_000001405.40. Classification (NCBI taxonomy): domain Eukaryota; kingdom Metazoa; phylum Chordata; class Mammalia; order Primates; family Hominidae; genus Homo; species Homo sapiens. The sequence goes on from NC_000008.11 coordinate 46,838,552, forward strand.
CCAAAAATAATCCTGTGATGATCTGGAGAATTAGGCAGGCACCAAGAAGAGAGCCGAAGTTTCATCATGTGGAAATGTTAGGTGGTGTGGGAAGATCATTAAATGAGTAGCTAATAATTTGTATTAGTGGATGTGTTTTGCAGGTATTGGTCATTAGTGTTCTTATAAATGTAGTACAAAAATGGTTTTTCATATCATTAGTCATTTTTATAGTTCATGTGGGAATAATGGCATATGCTTTATTTTTATTAAGTATTCTCTGGTTATAGGGTTTTTAGGTTTTTCTTTGAAACTTTCTCTTATTTATGGAGCCCTAGGGCTAATTATTAGGGGTGCTGTGGGTTGTGATATACTGTTGAATTTTGGTGTGGGTTTCGTGGGGTTAATAGTCTTTTTGATTTATTTGGAGGGCATGATGATTGTTTTTGGTTATACTATGGCTATGGCTATTGAGGAATATCCTGAAATATGAGGGTAAAGTATTGACATTTGAGGGGCTTTCTTATTAGGATTATTAATAGAGTTGATGTTGGTTCGATGAATAGTTGAGTACGATGTGGTATTCACGATTGATTTTAATAGCGTAGAGAGTTGGGTTATTTTTTAGCATGAGGGGGCAGGGTTATTGCCTGAGGATTCTGTAGGTGTCGCTGCCTCATTCAGGAGATGAAGGCCTAGTACTCAGGTGTTGAGACTTTTTGGCTTAAATTTCTTCCCATGGGTGCACTGTGACATATCACCGAGTTAGAATTGTAATAATGTGACTCTTCTGCCTGGACCCTGCCAACAGGGGATATTATCACATATATCTGGGCCTATAAGGGGGTTATTTGTCTCTCCTGCCTCTGCCCCCAGAGGAGATTGTGTAATATCGTTTGACTTAACATCTAGGGTAATATGACCCTCCTCTCCTGCCTGGGTCCTGCTCACCAAAGAAATTGTGACATACCACTGATAGCAAAACCTAAATGATGTCACTGTCCTTCATATTCTAGACTCTGCCAAGAGAGAGGATTACTACATATTGCAGAGCCCAGCACCTAGGTGGAGTGACTTTCCTCTTCTTCTTCCCTGTCTATGGTGGGCTTGGTGACATACTTTGAGGTTGTACCCAGGAGATGTGACTCTTCTGGCTAGACCCAGCCTACAAATGAGATTATACTGTATCACTGGCTGAGCACCCAGGTGATGTGACTCTGTTGGCTTGTCCCTGCTCACAGGTGAAATTGTGACATATACCTGGGTTAAGCACACATGCACAATAATAACTCTCATACCTAGATCCAGAAAGTAGAAATAATTGACACTCATAGCCAGTCTCGTGGCCATGGGTAAAGTCCTCAGTTTTTCACTTGTATAAAGTTCATGAAGGGTTAAGAGTGTCATAACAGAGACCAGCAACTAAGTGAGAATATGATTCTTCTATGCACATCTGGCTGACATGATTGTCGTGCTCACACATGAACAGGGCCTAGGAATGAGGTACTAAATCTCACACATAAAAAGCAGTCAAAAGTTGAAATAATTACTCTTATACATGGATCTGATTCACAGGTGAATTGGTAATATTTGAACCATGATTCAGCACACCTGTGGTGCTGTGAGTTCTTTACTGGAACACAATTTTCAAGTGGGATTGGGGCAGTTATACATGGATCTTGCCCATTGTTGAGATTGTGACTCCTCTACTTCCACCCAAACCACAGAAAGTGTTGACTCACATACAGGAAACCAGGATTTGTGTGGGATATGAAACTTATTTCTGAGCCTTTCTGAGAGCGTGATTGGGACAGTTAACTTTGCCCAGCACATGAATAATTTGACTGTCTTTTCTAGGCCCAGAACACAGATGAAATTGTGCCATATGTGGAACAAGCAGCTAAGCAATATGTAATACCTTCCTTGGCTTAGCCTACAAAGGGTACTTTTATATATCACTGGGACCATCATCCAGGTGATGTGAGTTATCTGCCTAGAACCTGCCTACAAAGAGAATTGTGTCTTAAATCTAGGTCTATCACATAAGTGATGTCACTCCCTTCTACTGCCTTAGCCCTGCACTTACAGTGCATTGTGACACACAACTGGGCACTTCACACAGGTAATGTGATTCTCCTTTTTGGGTTCTGCCAACAGGAAGCATTGTAACATATCACTTGGCTCAGCACGTGATGTTTCTTTGCTTTTGACTGGGCTCTGACCACAGGGTATTGTGACATATTGCTGGGTTCAGCACAAATGTGAGGTCACTCTCCAGGCTTGGTACTGCACAGAACAGACATTGTGACATATATCTAGGCAAATTGCCTAGAAGTGAATCCCCTCTCCTGCTTAAGTCCTTCCCACAGAGAGCGGTTTGATATGTCACTGAAACCAGCATCCAGGTGATGTGATTCTTCTGCCAGGGTCCTGCCCACAAGGTGGATTGTGACATCTCACTGGACCTGCACACACATAGGTGATGTAACTTTCTTGCCTTCTCTCTGGCTGCAGGTGGTATTGCTCCATATGCCTGAGACCCTAACAAAAGCCTAATTACAACTCATATGCCTGGAGCCAGGACATGTGCAGGATGGTGAGTCTTATTCTTAAACCTTTGCAAAAGTGTACTAGTGACATATACCTTTGCTCAGCTCCTGAATGATTTAAAAATTCTACCTGGGTATATCCCTCAAATCAGATTTTGACAGATACTTAGGCAAAGCACCTTGGTGATTTGACTGTGCTATATTAACAATGTCCTCTGAGGGGACTGTAACATATTTCTGGACTCATCATCTAGGTTACATGACTCTCATCTCCTGCCTGTACCCTGCTTCCTTTGGTAATTGTAGCATTTCTAAGCACTGCATCCAAATGATATAACTGTGTTGCCTGGGCCCTGTCTACAAGAGGCATTGTGACATATTTGGAGGCCCATCATTTGGATGACAAGACTCTCCTCTCCCTGCTTGGACACTGCCCACAAAGGACATTGTGCCACAGAGCTGGACCAAGAGCACAAGTTATGTGACATTTCTGACAGGACCCTGCCTACAAAGAGAATATTGGAATATTTCTAGCCCACCATTTAGCCCTGAAGTAGCTGTTCTGCCTGCTTCATAATCACAGAGGGAATCGTAATATATACCTAGGCATGGGTCACAGACATGATAATGACTCTCATATGTGGACTCAGCCAACAGAGGATATTATGACTCTTATAACTAGGTTTAGGGACATGTGTGATGTCCTAGGTCACCTTCTTGTAAAAAGGTTACAAAAGATTACAACATTCTCACATATTTTACAAAGTCTTTGGGTTATACAGACAGAGTAAAAGTAGGGCTCAGCACACAGGCGAAATTGTGAGTCTTTTATGCAGAACCAGCTGACAGTAAGGACTGTCGTTATCTCACATGGATGAAGCGAACTGTCACACATGAAAACAAGACATGTATGGTATTGTAAATCTCATCTTTGGAATTTTCTGACAGCATGATTGTGCGGTATAAATCTTTTCTAAGCACCTGTGTAATTTGACTCTCCAGACTTGTTCCAGCCCATAGAAGGGACTGTGATATCTACCTAGGCCAACCTCCAGGTGATGTGACTCTCCTGGCTGGGCCCTTCTCTCAGTAAGGATTGTGACATATCACTGGATCTAACACTCAGGTGATGCTACATTCTTGCCTGCACCATGCCTACCACAATTATTGTAACATATTTCTGTGTCCACCTCATAGGTGATGTAACTTTCCTCTCTGGAATGGGTCCTGCACAAAGGAATGATAGTAACATATTGCAAAGCCAGACACACAGGTGAGGGTACTCTTTTGCCAAAGCCATGCCCAAAGGAGGACATTTTGACATATCTCTCAGCCTATCATCTAGGTTATGTGGCTCTCCTACTTGGGCCCTGCCAGCCTGGAGAGTGACACATTTCTATGCCAGGCACACAGGTGATGGTACTCTTTTGCCAGGGCTTTGCTTCATAGAGGACATTGTGACATAACCCTGGGCCTATCACCTAGGTGAGGTGACTCCCTCCTTGGGACCTACCCACATGGAGCATTGTGGCATAAGAGAGAACCAGCACCTAGGTGATGTAACTCTCTTGCCTGGGTGCTGTCCTAAGAGAGCCTTGTGACATATCTCAACACCCAGCACTCAAATGATATGGCTCTTCTGCCCAGTTTCTGCCCACATATTAAATTGTGACATATTTCTAGGGAAGCATCTAGGTGATATGACTCTCCTCATCTGCCTGAGTTCTGCCTACTGGGGACATGGGGACATATCTGTGATCCCATGACCTAAGTGATATGCCTCTCTTCCTCTGCCTGGGCCTTTAAAATGGTGGGATTGTGACATATTGCTGAGCCCAGCATTCAGGTCATGTGACTCTACTCTTTTTTGTGAACCATGCCCACAAAGGGAAATTTTGACCTATTGCACCCAGATGATGTTACTCTTCTGATAGAGTCCTGAAAAAAGAGGGAATTATTGCATACTGGTGGGCCCAGCTGCTGATGATGCTACAGTCCTTCCTGTGCCAGAGCCACAGACAGTATTTTGACATAATTTCGGCCCATTTGGTAGGTACTTTGGCTCTCATCCCTTGGCTAAGCTTTTCCACATTTGGAATTGGGTCATATTGCTGGGTCCTGCAACTAGTTAATATGACTCCCCTTTCTAGGTTCTGCCTAGAGGGGGCATTGCGACATATTACTTGACACATCACCTAAGTGTTGTTACTCTTTTCCTAATTTTTTGCCCAAAAATGGGATTATGACATATACCTTTCTTCATTTCACAGCCATGATGGTCCAAGTTATATTGGGATTCAGCCAATAGAAGATATTTTGCCTGTCATCCCTAAGCTTAGGACAATAGGTAAAATCCTGGGTTGCATATTTGTACAAAGCTCACAGAAGTTTACAACACTTACTCATAATGTATAAACTTGGGTGGTACAGACAGTTTCATAACAAGGCCCGGCAAAAAGTTAAGATTGTGACTCTCAATTACACACCCAGGTGAAAGTAAAATCTGTCACCATCCCACATTTACAAAGCCCACTGTTGCAGTACTGAGTCTAATAGGTGAAAACAGTACAAAGATGGAATTTTGACTCTCATATGTGCATCGGGCCACAGGTGCGATTGTGACTCATTTTTGGATCCATCTCACAGGCATAAAATGTGTCTCATTCCTGAACTTGGCCCAAATGAGAGATGTTGACTGTCATACCTAGGTTTAAGTCAATGTATAAAATTTTGACTCCATATGAACGTGTGGGCCTCAGAGTGGTTTGCAACTCTGATGCATGCCGTATAAAGCCCTCGGATGTTGTAGAGGGTTTCATGCAATTACCTAATATGCATGACATTGTGACTCTCATATAAACACCAAGCTATCAGTTAAAGGTGTCACCATCAAAGATGAGGAGACTGTGTCATGTCACTGGGCCTAGTACCCAGGTGTTAAAACTTTTCCTTTAATTGTATCGCAAGTGTGCATTGTGACATATCGTTGGGTCAGAATCATAATAAAGTGACTCTTCTGCCTGGGCCCTGTCAAAAAGGGATATTATCACATACTTCTGAACCTATCAGCTAGGTGATTTTTCTATTTTTCCTGTGCTTTGCCCACAAGGAACATTGTGACATTGCTGGACGTAGCATCTAGGAAATGTACTCTCCTCTCCTGCCTAGGCCCTGCCCACTAAAGGAATTGTGACATACCACTGAGTGCAAAACCTAGGTAATGCAATCTGCTCTTTATTCTGGAGTCTGCCAAAAGAAGGGATTATTACATATTGTTGAGCCCAGCACCTAGGTGGTGTGACTCTCCCCTTTTTCTTCAACCCTGTCTGCAGTGGACATGGTGCCATATTACTTGAGGCTGTACCCAGGTTATGTGACTCTTCTGACTTGGCCCTGGCTGCAAAGGAGATTATAATGGATCTTAGCTCAGAATCCAGATAATGAGACTCTTCTGCCTTATTTCTGCCCATGGGTGAAATTGTGATATAAGGAGAGATATTTTGACTGTCATAGCCAGTCTTATGGCAATAAGTAAAGTAATAGGTCTCATAATTGTATAAAGTTCACAGATGATTATGACACTCAGGCATACCATATAAAGTCTGAGTGGTACAGCATGTCATACCAGGGAACAGCAACCAGGTGAGATCATGACTCTTGGATGGACATCTAGCTGACACGATTGTCATTTTCACAAGAACACATACAAATAAGGTACTAAATGTCACACAGAAGAGCAGTTGAAGGCTAGGCACTGTGGCTCATGCCTGTAATCCCAGCATTTTGGGAGGCTGAGGTGGGTGGATCATCTGAGGTCAGGAGTTCAAGGCCAGCATGACAAATATGGTGAAACCCAATCTCTACTAAAAACACAATAATTGGCTAGGCATCATTGCATTTGCCTGTAGTCCTAGCTACTTGGGAGGCTGAGGCAGAAGAATCACTTGAACCCAGGAGGCAAGGGTTACAGTGAGCCAAGATTGTGCCACTGCACTCCAGCCTGAGTGACAGAGGGAGAATCTGACTAAAAAAAACAAAAAAACAAAAACAAAAAAAAACAGTTCTCAAAGATTGAAATTGTTCCTCTCATACACGGATCTGACCCATGGGTGTATTGGTGATGCATAATTCAGCACACCTGTGAGGCTGTGACTCCCCTACTGGAACACAATCTTGCAGTGGGATTGGGCATCTTATACATGGATTTTGCCCATTGATGAGATTGTAACTCTTCTCTTTGACCGCACTCATAGGAGGTGTTACTCACATACACAAAGCCAGGACTCGTGTGGGACTGTGAAACTTATTTCTGAATATTTTCTAGTGTGTGATTAGGACGTAAAAGTTAGCCCATCCCCTTGAATAATTTGACTCTTTTTTAGGCCATGACCACAAATGAAATTGTAACATACTTGGACTATACACCTAAGCAAAGGTGACTGGGCCTGCCTACAAAGGGCACTTTTATGTATCACCTGGGACCAGCACCCAAGTGATGTGAATTCTTTGCCTGTTCCCTGCCTATAAAAAGCACTGTGGCTTATATCTAGGTTCATCATGTAAGTGATGTGACTCCCTTCTACAGCCTCGGCCATGTACTTATGGTGCATGGTTACACATAACTTGGTACTGCACCCAGGTGATGTGACACTCTGTTTTGGGTCCTGCCAACAGGAAGCTTTGTAACACGTTGCTTGGCTGAGCACCTACATGATGTTTCTCCTCTCTTGCCTTGCCCTGACCACAAGGGAGATTGTGACATATTGCTAAACCCAGTACCAAGGCGAGGTCACTTTCATACCTTGGTCCTGCACATAGCAGCCATTGTGACACACATCTAGGCCAATTGCTTAAGTGAAGTGAGTCTCCTCACCTTCCTAAGCCCTGTCCAGGGGGAATTTTGATGTATCACAAAAACCAGCATCCAGTTGATGTGACTCTTCTTCCAGGGTCCTGCCCACAAGAAAGATTGTGACATCTCACTGGACAAGCACCCACCCAGGTGACGTGACCTTCCTGCTTGCTCTCTGCCCACAGGTGATATTGTGCCATATACCTGAGACCAGATAAGAGGACTAATCATGACTCTTAAACCTGGAGCCAGGTCATATGCAAGATAGTGTCCCCATTCTTGGAAATTTCCACCAGTGTTATTGTGACATATATCTTTTCCTAGCTCCTGAGTGATTTAATAATCCTGCCTAGGGTAGCCCACACATGAAGTCTGGACATTTACCTCAAGTGAGACCCTTGGTGATTTGACTCTCCTGTCTTAACAATATCCTCAGGAAGGATTGTAACATGTTTCTGGACCCATTTTCTAGGTTACCTGACTCTCCTCTCCTGCCTGGACCCTGCTTCCACTGGGGACTGTAGCATTTCCAAGCTCTGCATCCAAATGATAAGACTCTCTTGCCTGGTCCTTTCAACAGGAGATATTGTGACATATCTCTGGGTGATATGAGTCTCCTCTTCTGTCTGGATATTGCCCACAAGGAGCATTTTGCCATACAGTTGGACGTAGCCCCAAAGTTATGTGACTTTTCTGCCAGGAACTTGCCTGCAAGGAGAATATTGGAAAATTCTGGCTCAGCATTTAGGTGACATGGCTGTCATACCTGTTTCATTACTACAGAGTAAATTGTGACACACACCTTAGCACAGCTCACAGGCATGATAACGACTCTTATATGTGAACCCCACAAATAGGAGTAATTTTGACTCTCATAACTTGCTTTAGAAACACGAGTGATTAAATCTCTTTCCGGTAAAAAAAAAAAAAAGTCACAGAACATTATAACAGCCTCAGATATTTTATAAAGCCATTGGCTTGTACACAGAGTGTCATAACAGAACCCAGCAGGAAGGTGAAATTGTGAGTCTCATATGCACACCCAGCCAACAGTAAGAACTGTTACTGTCTCACATATATGAAGCCAACTGTTACTCATAAAAACAGAACATTTGTGGTATTGTACATCTCATCCTGGGAATTTTCTGCCAGTGTGATTGTGATATAAATTGTTGCTGAACACTTGTGTGATTTGACTCTCCAGACTGGTTAGAGCTGGCATATGTTATTGTGATATCTACCTGGGCCAACTTCTAGGTGATGTGACTCTCCTGCCTGGGCCCTGCTCTCAGTGAGAATCATGAAATATCACTAGATCCAGCACCCAGGGCATGTTACATTTTTGCCTGAGCCATGCTCACAGAAATCACTGTGACATATCACTGTGTCAAACACTAAGGTGACATAACTCTCCTCATAGAATGTGCCCTGCACACAGTGGGAGATAGTGACATATGGCTGGGCCAGGCACACGGGTAACAGTACTCTTTTGCTAGGGCCGTGTCCTAAAGAGGGCATTGTGACAAATCTCTGGGCCTATCACTTAGGTGATGTTGCTCTCCTGCTTGGGTCCTAATTACCTGAATAGTGACATATTACTAGGCTAGGCTCACAAGTGATGGTACTCTTTTGTCAGGGCCATGCCTCAAGGAGGACATTGTGACAAGTCTTTGGAACTATCACCTAGGTGATGTGATTCCCTGCTTGAACCCTGCCCACATGGAGCAATGTGACATATGGGTAGAACCTGCACCTATTTGTTGTAGCTCTCTTCACATGTTAGATTGTGTCATATACCTAGGGAAGCATGTAGGTGATAGGTCTCTGCCAACAATGGATATTATCACTTATCTCTGGGTTTATAAGCTAGGTAATTTGTGTCTCCTGCCTGTGCCCTGTCCCCAGAGGACATTGTGACATGTTGTTTGGCTTAACATCTAGGTAATGTGACTCTACATTCCTGCCTGGGTCCTGCTCACCAAAGAAATTGTGACTTACCGCTGATTGCAAACCCTAAATGATGTGACTGTCCTTCATATTCTAGACTCTGCCAAGAGAGGGGATTATTACATATTGCAGAGCCCAGCACCTAGGTGGAGTGACTCTCATCTTTTTCTTCTACCCCGTATATAGCCAGCTTGGTGACCTACTATTTGAGTCTATACCCAGGTAATGTGACTCTCCTGTCTTGTCCCTGCTCACACATAAAATTGTGACATATACCTGGGTTAAGCACACATGCACAATAACTCTCATACCTGGACCCAGCCAGTAGAGATTTTTGACTCTTATGGTCAGTCTCACGGCCATTGGTGAAGTCCTGGGTTTTTCACTTGTATAAAGTTCACAAAGGATTATAACACTCAGGTATAGCATATAAAGCCTTAATGGTACAGACTGTCATAACAGGGACCAGCAATGACATAAGAATGTGACTCTTGTGTGCACAACTAGCTGACACGATTACCATTCTCACACATGAACAGGACCTAGGAATAGGGTCTAAATCTCACAAATAAAAAGCAGTCGAAGGTTGAAATAATTACTCTCATACATGGATCTGATTCACACGTGGTTTGGTAACATTTGAACCATGATTCAGCACACCTGTGATGCTGTGACTGCCCTACTGGAACACAATCTTCAAGTGGGATTTTGGATCTTATACATGGATCTTGCCCATTGATGAGATCGTGACTCCTCTACTCAGACCCAACTCATAGAAAGAGTTGACTCACATACATGAAACCAGAACTTTTGTGGGATGTGAAAATTATTTCTGAACATTTCTGAAAGTGTGATTGGGACAGGTAACTTTGCCAGCACATGAATAATCTGACACTCTTTTTTAGGCCCAGACCACAGATGAAATTGTGCAATATGTGGAACAAACACCTAAACAATATATAACACCTTCCTTGGCTCTGTCTACAAAGGGCACTTTTATATATCACTGGGACCATCAACCAGGTGATGTTAATTATCTTCCTGAAACCTGTCTACAAAGAGAGTTGTGTCGTATACCTAGGCCCGTCATGTAAGTGATGTCAGTCCCTTCTACTGCCTTGGCCCTGCACTTACAGTGCATTGTGACACATAACAAGGTACTGCACACAGACGATGTGATTCTCCTTTTTGGGTTCTGCCAAAAGGAAGCATTGTAATAAATCGCTTGGCTCAGTACCAAGGTGATGTTTCTTTGCTTTTGCCTGGGCCCTGATAACAGGGAGATTGTGATCTATTGCTGGGCCCAACAAAAATGTGAGGTCACTCTCCAGCCGTGGTACTTCACATAAGCGCCATTGTGACATGTATCTAGGCCAATTGCCTAGGTGAAGTGAGTTTCCTCTCTTGCCAAAGTCCTGCCCACAGAGGGGGTTTTGATATGTCACTGAAATCAGCATTCAGGTGATGTGACTCTTCTGCCAGGGTCCTGCGTACTAGGTGGATTGTGACATCTCACTGGACCCGCAACCATGTAGGTCATGTGACTTTCATGCCTTCTCACTGGCCACAGGTGATGTTGTGCCATATAACTGAGACCGTATCAAAAGCCTAATAACAAGACGTATGTCTGGAGCCCCGATATGCACAGGATGGTGAGTCTTATCGTTCAACTTTTCCACAAGTGTAATTGTGACATATACCTCTGCCCAGCTCCTGAATTAATTATTCTGCCTAGGTATCGCCCACAAATGAGAATTTGACAAATAACAGAGCCAAGCACCTTGATGATTTGACCGCGTTATCTTAACAATGTCCTCTGGAGGGATTGTAACATATTTCTGGACCCATTTTCTAGGTTACATGACTCTCCCCTCCTGCCTGTGCCCTGATTCCTTGGTAACTACAGCATTTCTGAGCACTGCATCCAAATGATATGACTGTCTTGCCTGGGCCCTGTCAACAGGAGGCATTGTGACATATTTTGGGGCCCATCATTTAGGGGATAAGACTCTCCTCTCCTGCTTGGACACTGCCCACAAGGGACATTGTGCCACAGCGCTGGACCTAGCACACAAGTTATGTGACGTTTCTGACAGGTCTGCCTAAAAAGAGGATTTTGGAATATTTCTGGCCCAGCATTTAGGTGATGTGGCTGTCCTGCCTGCTTCATAACCACAGAGGGGATTGTAACATATGCCTAGGCACAGCTCACAGGCATGATAATGACTCTTATATATGGATTCAGCCAATAGAGGATATTTTGACTTTTATAACCAGATTTACATACATGCATGATGTCTTGGATCACATTCCTGTACAAAGGTCACAAAAGATTACAACACTCACACATATTTTACAAAGTCTTTCGGTAATACAGACAGAGCCAAAGCAGGGCTCAGCACACACGTGAAATTGTTAGTCATGTATCCAGACCCAGCTGACAGTAAGGATTGTCATCATTTCACATGGATGAAGCCAACTGTGACACATGAAAACAGAACAAGTGTGGTATTGTGAATCTCATCTTTGGAATTTTCTGACAGTACGATTGTGATACAAATTTTTTCCAAGCAACTGTGTAATTTGACCCTACAGAGTTTTTCCAGCACATATATGGGATTGTGATGTCTACCTAGGCCAATCTCAAGGTGATGTGACTCTCCTGCCTGGGCCCTTCTCTCAGTAAGAATTGTGACATATCACTGGATCTAGCACACAGCTGACGTTACATTCTTGCCTGTGCCATGCCCACTAAAATTATTGTGACCTCTTTCTGTATCCACATATAGGTGATATAACCCTCTTCTCTGGAATGGGCCCCACACAAAGGAAGGATAGTGACATATTGCAAGCCCAGGCACACAGGTAAGGGTACTTTTTTGCCAGAGTCATGGACAAAATAGGTCATTGTGACATATCTCTGGGCCTATGACCTAGGGTAAGTGACTCTCCTGCTTGGGCCCTGCCAACCTGGAGTGTGACATATTTCTAGGCCAGGCACACAGGTGAGGGTACTCTTTTGCCAGGGCTATGCTTCATAGAGGACATTATGATATATCTCTGGGCCTATCACCTAAGTCAAGTGACTCCCTCCTTGGGCCCTACCCACATGGAGCATTGTGACATAAACAGAGAACCTGTACCTAGTTGATGTAACTCTCTTGTCTGGGTGCTGTCCTAAGAGAGCCTTTTGACATATCTCAGGACCCAGCACCCAAGTGATGTGGCTCTTCTGCCTCATTTCTTCCCACATGTTACACTGTGACATATTCCTAGGAAAGCAGCTGGGTGATATGACTCTCCTCTTCTGCCTGAGCCCTGCCTACTGGGGACATTGGGACATCTCTGTGCCCGTGATTTAAGTGATGTGACTCTCTTTTTCTGCCTGGGCCTTCACAATAAGAAGATTTTGACACATTGCTAAGCACTCAGAATATGTGACTCTCCTCTTTTTCCCAAATCATGCCCACCAAAAAGGAATTTTGACCTATTGCAGAGCCCAGCACCCAGATGATGTTACTCTTCTGCCTGGGATCTGCATAAAGCAGAAATTACGGCATATTACATATTGCTGGGCCCAGCACCCTTATGTTGTAACTCTCCTGCCTGTGCTGGAGCCGCCGAAAATATTTTGACATATCTTGGGCCCATTATGTAGGTGTTTTGGCTCTCATAACTTGGCTGTGTTTTTTCCACATGTGGGATGGTGTCATATTGCTGGGCCCAGCATCCAGTTAATGTGACCCAATTTCCTATGCCTTGCCTAGAGAAGGCATTGTGACATATCGCCTGGCACAGCACCTAAGTGATGTTACCCTACTGCCTAGTTTTTTGCCCACAAATGGAATTATGACATATACCATGTTTCAGTTCCAACTCATGATGATTATACTTATACTGGGATTCAGCCAATAGAAAATATTTTGCCTCTCATCTTTAAGCTTAGGTCGATAGGTAAGGTCCTGAGTTCCATGTTTGTACCAAGCTCACAGAAGCTTACAACACTAACTTATATTGCATAAACTCTTTCTTGGTAGAGAGATTCAACAGGGGCAGCCAAACATTCAGATTGAAACTCTTCATTACACACCCAGGTGAAATTAAAAGTTGTCACCATCCCACATTTACGCAGCCCACTGTTGAGGTCCTGAGTCTAACAAGGGAATACAGTTCAAAGTTTTAATTGTGACTTTTATATGTGGATCTGGACACAGGTGGGATGGTGACTCATTTCTGGACCCAGCCCACAGTTACAATAATGGGTCTTCTCCCTTAATCCTGCCTGTAGGTGAGATGTTGACTATCAAACCTGGGTTTAGGCAATATGTACGACTGTGAGTCCATATGAGCTTTTAGGCCTCAGAGAGGTTTGCAACTCTCACGCAGGCTTTATAATGCCCTTGGATGTTGTAGAGAGTGTAATACTTTGGCCCAACACACAAGTGAGATTGTGACTCTAAAATACACACTCAGCTAAAAGTTAAAGTTGTCACCCTTAAAGATGAAGAGATTGTGTCATATCACTGGGCCTAGTACCCAGCTGTTGAGATTTTTTGGCTGGAATTCCTTTTCATGGGTGCATTTTTACATGTTGCTGGGTCAGAATCATAATAATGTGACACTTCTGCCTGGGCCCTGTCAATAGGGGATATTATCACATATCTCTGAGCCTAATAGCTAAATGATGTGTTTCTCCTGCCAGTGCCCTGCCCACAAGTAACACTGTGACATATCGCTAGGTATAGCATCTAGGTAATGTGACTCTCCTCTCCTGCCTGGATCCTGCCCACTGAAGAAATTGTGACATAACACTGAGTGCAAAACCTAGGTGATATGACTCCCCTGTTTGTCCTGGACTCTGCCAAGAGAGAGCATTATAACATATTGCTGAGCCCAGCACCTAGTCATGGGGGTTCAATCAGGCTTGTGTGAAAAATATTAAAGATAGTTATAGTAATATCCAGAAGCCTTCCTGGAAGGCCGAGAAGTTTGCATAGCTTTAGTAAGGGTTATGGCTGAAGGCAACCTGATCCTTACCTTAAGTAAATAGCTTAAAGTGAGTACCAAGGAATGTAGAGTAGTTTATCTAACTAACTTGTTTTCCTAAGACTCACGTTTGTTTCACCATAGGTGCTTAATTGCTTTCTACTACTTGGGAGGTCCACAATGCCAATTGCCCTTTAGTATTGACTCAAGCCTTTGTCAAGTAAACATTCCTGAATAAATGTGAGTCTCACTGGCTGGTCAGGGCTGCAAATGTTTACAGCACTCTGCTTGGAGTCTGTAAGTGACCCAGATGCTCAGTAGAACTGGCAAAGCAGAATATCTGTGTGTCAGTATCTTCATTTATCAGTCATTGAGTCAGGGTCTGCAGGACAGACCCTGCACCTAGGGGGTGGGACTATTCACTATTTTTTCAACCCTGTGTTCAATGGGCATGATGACTTGTTATTTGAGACTGTACCCAGGTGATATGACTCTTCTGACTGGGTCCTGCCTACAGAGAAGATTATAATGTATCCCTGGCTCACAACCCAGATGATGTGACTTTTCTGTCTTGTCTCTGTCCAAAAGTGAAATTGTGACATATACCTGGATTCAGCTCATATGCACAATAATAACTCACATAACTAGACCCAGCCAGGGGATATATTTTGACTCACATAGCCATTCTTATGGCCATGGGTAAAGTCCTAGCTCTCCCACCTGTAAGAATTCACAGAAAAGTGTGCTACTCAGGCATATCATATAAAGCTTGAGTGGTACAAAGAGTGTCATAACAGGCACCAGCAACCAGGTGCTATTGTGATTCTTAGATGCACATCCAACTGACATGATAGTCATTCTCATATATGAGCAGAGCCTATGAACGAGGTACTTAATCTCACACACATAAGCAGTTGAAGCGTGAAGTTGTTACTCTCATACATTAATCTGATCCACAGGTGGTTTGGTGACGTTTGAACCATGATTCAGCAAATCTGTATTGCTTTTACTCCCCTACTGGAACACAATCTTCAAGGGGCATTGGGGCTTTTATACATGGATCTTGCCTATTGTTGAGATTGCGACTCCTGTATTTTGACCCAACTCATAGGAGGTGTTATCTCTCATACCTGAAGCCAGGACTTTTGTTGGACTGTGAAACTTATTTCTGAACATTTTTGAGTGTGTGATTGAGAAGTATGACTTTGCCCAGCGTCTGAGTGTTTTGACTCTTCTTTCTAGGCCCAGAGCACAGTTGAAATTGTGACATATGTACACCAAGCAACCAAGCAATGTATAACACCTCATTTGGCAATGGAATCGAGGGCACTTTTACATATCACTGAGACCAGCGCCCAGCTGATGTGAAATATTGGCCTGAACCCTGCCTACAAAAGCATTGTGGCTTTTATCTAGCTCCATTACATAAGTGATGTGACTTCCTTCTACTGCCTTGGCCCTGCACTTATGGTGAATCGTGACACAAAATTGGGTAGAGCAACCAGGTGATGTGACCCTTTTTTTTTTGGCGGGGGGCCAGTCTGTCAATAGGAAGCTTTAACATATCACTTGGCTCAGCACCTAGATTGTGTTTCTTCTCTCTAGCCTGGGCCCTGACCAGCACAGAGATTGAGGCATATTGCTGAACCCAGGACCAAGATGAAGTCACTCTCCTGCCTTGATCCTGCACACAGGGACCCTTGTGACATATATACAGGCCAATTGCCTAGGTAAAGTTTGTCTCCTCTCCTGCCTAAGCCCTGCCCATGGGGAGGATTTAGATATATCACTGAAACCAGCATCCAGGTGATATGACTCTTTTTCCAGAGTCTTGTGACATTTCACTGGACCAGCACCCACTCAGGTGATGTGACTTTCCTTTCTTCTCCCCACCCACAGGTGATGTTGTGCAATATACCTGAGACCAGATCAATGGCCTAATAATGACTCTTTTACCTAGAGCCAGGACATGTGCAGGATGGTAACTCTCATCCCTGAACCTTTCCACAGGTGTTATTGTCACATATACCTTTTCCAGCTCCAAAGTGATTTAATAATCCAGCCTAGTTATAGCCCACAGATAATATTTGGACATATACCTGAGTCAAGAACCTTGGTGATTTGACTCTCATGTCTTAACAGTGTCCTCAGAAGGGATCATAACATATCTCTGGACCCATCATCTAGGTTATGTGACTCTCTTCTCCTGCCTGAACCCTGCTTCCAGTGAAGAGTGTTGCATTTCTAAGCACTGCATCCAAATGACATGAGTTTCTTGCCTGGGCCGTTTCAACAGAAGGCATTGTGACATATCTCTAGGTCTATCATTTAGGTGATATGACTCTCCTCTCCTGCCTGGACACTCTCCACAAGGGGCATTATGCCATAGAGCTAGAGCTAGCAACCAAGTTTTGTGAATTTTCTGTTAGGGCCTTGCCTACAAAGAGAATTTTGGAATATTTCTGGCTTAGAATTTAAGTAATGTGGTTGTTCTGCCTGTTCAGTAACCACAGAGGAGAAGGTGAAATATATCTAGGCACCGCAAACAGGCATGATAATGAGTCTTGTATGTGGACCCAGCAAATAGGAGAAATTTTGACTCTTATAACTAGGTTTAGGAACATGAGTGATGTCCAGGATCTCCTTCTGGTAAGAAGGTCACAGAAGATTGCAACACTCACAATTATTTTGTAACACCTTTGGGTTGTATAGGGAGTGTCGTAACAGGGCCAAACACACAGAGGAAATTGTGACAGTCATATGCACACCTACCTGACAGTAAAGACTTTCACAATCACAAATGGATGAAGGCAACTGTCCTACATGAAAACAGGACATGTGTGGTATTGTACATCTAAAACCTAGAATTTTATTCCATTGTGACTGTGATATAAATCAATGCCAAGCACCTGCGTGATTTCACTCTTCAGACTGGTTCTATTCTACATATGGGATTTTTATATCTACCTATGCCAACCTTGAAGTGTTGTGACTTCTCTGTCTGGACCATGCTCTCAGTAAGAATTGTGACATCACTGGATCCAGCATCCAGGTGATGTTACATTTTAGCCTGCACCATGCCCACAGACATAACTGTGACATATCACTGTGTCCATCAGTTAGAAGATGTAGCTCTCCTCTATGGAATAGCTCTGTACACAGGGCAAAATAGTGATGTATTCCCAGGCCAGGCACACAGGTGATGATATTCTTTTGCCGGGGCCAGGCCAAAAAGAGGGCATTTTGACATATCACAGTTCCTATCATGTAGGTGATATGGCTCTTCTGCTTGGGACCTGCCCACTTGGGTAGTGACATATTGCTAGGCCAGGCACAAAAGTGATGGTACTCTTTTGCCAGGGCCATGCTTTCAGAAAGGCTTTGTGACATATCTCTGGGTCCATCACCTAGCTGATGTGACTTCCTGCTTGGCTCTGCCCACATGGAGCATTGTGACATGAGGGTAGAACCTGCACCTAGGTGATGTAACTCTCTTGCCTGAATCCTTTTCTAAGGGGGACTTGTGAATATCTCAGTACCCAGGACCAGGTGATGTGGCTCTCAGCCTGGTTTCTGCCCACATAATAAATTGTGACATATATGTAAAGAAGCACCTAGGGGATAGGACTCTCTTTTTGTGCCTGAGCCCTGCCTACTGGTGACATTGGGCCATATCTCTGAGCCCATGACCTAAGTGATGTGACTCTCTTCTTCTGTCTGGGCCTTTACAATGGGATGATTGTGACATATTGATGAGCCCAGCACTTAGGTAATGTGACTCTTGTCTTGTTGCTGAACAACGGCCACGAATAGGACTTTTGCCATATTTTAAGGCCCAGCACCTGGATGATGTTACTCTTCTGACTAGGTCATGCATGAAGGTGGAATTTTGGCATAATGCTTGACCCAGCACCCTAATTATGTGACTCTCCTGCTTGTGCCTGAGCTACAGAAGGTATTTTGACATAAATTTGTCCCATTTTGTAGGTGTTTTAGCTCTCATCACTTTACTGGGTTTCTTCCTCATGTGGTTGTATCATATTGCTGGCTTCAGCCCCCAGTTAATATGACCCTCTTTCCTAGGCGCTGCTTAGAGAGGGCATCATGACATATTGCTTGTCACAGCACCTAAGTGATGTTAATCTTCTGCCTAGTTTTCTGCCCACAAATGGGATTATGACAAATACCTTGCTTCAGTTCAAAGGCATGATGATCAAGCTTCTATTGGGGTTCAGCCAATAGGAGATATTATGCCTCTCACCACTAGGTTTAGGTCAATAGGTAAGGTCCTTCATTGCATATTTATACAAAGCTCACTGAAGTTTACAACACTAACTCATATCATAAAAACTTATTGGGTGGTACAGAGTTTCATAACGGAGCCCAGCAAAATGTTAAGATTGTGACTCTCGACTACACACTCAGTTGACAGTAAAAGTTGTTACCTTCCTACACTTACAATGCCCATTGTTGAGGTCCTGAGTCTAATAAGTGAATACAGCACAAAGTTGGAATTGTGACTTTCATAAGTGAATGTGCCCACAGGTGGGATGGTGGCTCATTTTCTGACCCAGCTCACAGGCTAATAATGGTCTCATCTCTGAAACCAGCCTATTGGAGAGCTGTTGACTGTCATACCTGGGATTAGGGCAATATGTAAGATCATGAGTCCATATAAGCATGTAGGCCTCAGAGAGGTTTCCAACTCTCATGCATGTTGTATCAAGTTCTCGGATGTTGTAGAGACTGTCATACAATGGCCAGCACACACATGATATTGTGACACTCATATACACAATGAGCTAACCATTAATGGTGTCACCCTTCACAATGAGGAGATTGTGTCATATCCCTTCACCTAGTACCCTGGTGTTGAGACTTTTTGGTTTAAATTTCTTTCCGTAAGCGCATTGTTACATATCACTGGGTCAGAATCATGATAATGTGACTCTTCTGCCTGGGCCCTGCAAACAGGGGATATTTTCATATATGTCCAGGCATATTGGCTAGTTGATATATCTCTGCTGCCAGTGCCCTGCCCACAGGGGACACTGTGACATATCACTAAATATAGCATCTATGTAATGTGGCTCTCCTCTCCTGTCTGAAGGAGATCCTGCCACTGAAGAAATTGTGAGATACCACTGAGTGCAGAACCTAGGTGACATGATTCTCCTCTCTGTCCTGGACTCTGCCAAGAGAGGGAATTACTACATATTGCTGAGCCAGCACCCAGGTGGTGTGATTCTCTTTTTTTCTTTAAACCTTTCTACATAGGGTATGGTGACAAATTACTTGAGGCTATACCCAAGAAATGTGGCTCTTCTGCCTGGTTTCTGCCCACATCTTAGATTGTGACATATAACTAGGGAAGCACCTTTGTGAGATGACTCTCCTTTTCTGCCTGGGCCCTGCCTACTGGGGACATTGGGATATATCTCTGAGCCCATGACCTAAGTGAAGTGACTCTCTTCTTCTGCCTGATCTTTACAATTGGGGGATTATGGCATATTGCTGAGCCCAGCACTCAGGTTATTTGATTCCTTTTTTTCTCAAACCATGCCCACAAACAGAAATTTTGACCTATTGCAGGGTCCAGCACACAGATAGTGTTACTGTTTTGCCTGGGTCCTGCATATAGAGAGAATTATGGCATATAGCTGGACCCAGCATCCTGATACTCTGACTCTCATGCCTGTGCTGGAGCCAAAGAAGGTATTTTGACATAACCTGGGTCCATTATATGGGTGTTTTGGCTCTCATAACTTGGCTGGGTTTTTTTCCACATGTGGAATGGTGTCACATTGGTGAGTCCAGCACCCAGTTAATGTGACTGTAATTCCTATACCCTGCCTACAGAAGTCATTGTGACATATTGGTTGGCACAGCACCCAAGTGATGTTAACCTCCTGCCTAGTTTTTTGCCCACAAATGGGACTATGACATAGATGGTCAGACTTATACTGGGATTCAGCCAATAGGAGATATTTTGCCTTTCATCTCTACGCTTAGGGCAATAGGTAAGGTCCCAAGTTGCATATTTTTATCAAACTCACAGAACTTTACAACACTAACTCATAATGTTTAAACTGCTTGGGTGGTACAGAGAGTTTCATGACAGAGACCAGCAAAAAGTTCAGATTGGGACTCTTGATTACACACCCAGGTGAAAGCAAAAGTTGTGACCATCCCACATGTCCAAAGCCCACTGTCACCCTCAAAGACAAAAAAAATGGCATATTACTATGCCAAGTACCCAGATGTTGAGACTTTTTGGCTTAAATTCCTTCCGGTGACTGCATTGTGACATATCGCTGGTTTTGAATCATAATAATGTGACTCTTCTGCCTGGACCCTGTCAACAGGGGATATTATCACATATCCTTGGGCCTATAAGCTAGGTGATTTGTCTCTCTGGCTTCTGTCCTGCTCCCAGAAGACATTGTGAAATATTGTTTGACTTAACATCTAGGTAATGTGTCTCTTCTCTCCTGCCTGGTTCCTGCTCATCAAAGACATAGAGCTGTGACATAGAGCTGATTGCAAAACCTAGGTGATGTGACTCTCCTTCATATTCTAGACTCTGCAAAGAGAAGGGGTTGGTACATATTGCAGAGCCCACCACCTAGATAGTGTGACTCTTCTCTATTTCTTCTTCCTTGTCTATAGTTTGCTTGGTGACATATTATTTGAGGCTGTACCCAGGTGGTGTGACTCTTCTGACTTGGCCCAGCCTACAAATTAGATTATACTGTATCACTGACTCAGTATGCAGTGGATATGACTCTCCTGTCTTGTCCCTGCTCATAGGTGAGATTGTGAATATACCTGGGTTAAGCACACATGCACAATAATAATTCTCATACCTGGACCCAGCCAGTAGAGACACTTTGACTCTCACAGCCAGTCTAAGGACCATGAATATAGTCCTGGATTTTTCACCTGTATAAAGTTCATGAAGGATTATGACACTCAGGTATATCATATAAAGCCTTAATGGTACAAAGAGTGTTGTAACAGAGGCCAGCAATGAAAAGAGAATGTGACTCTTGTATACAAACCTAGCAGACAAGATTGTCATTCTCTCACATGTACAGGGCCTAGGAATGAGGTACTAAATCTCACACATAAAAAGCAGTCGAAGGTTGAAATAATTACTCTCATATATGGATCTAATTCACAGGTGGGTTGGTAACATTTGAACCATGATTCAGCACACTGTGGTGCTGTGACTCCCTGACTAGAACACAATCTTCAAGGGGGATTGGGGCTCTTACACATGAATCTGGCTCATTGTTGAGACTATGTCTCCTCTCTTTTGACCCAACTCATAGAAAGTGTTGACTCACATACAAGAAACCAGGACTTGTATGGGATGTGAAACTTATTTCTGAGCATTTTTGAGAGTGTGAATGGGACAGGTAACTTTGTCAGAACATGAATAATTTCACTCTCTTTTCTAGGCTCAGACAACAGATGAAATTGTGCAATATGTGGACCAAGCAGCTAAGCAATATAAAACACAATCCTTGGTTCTGCCTACAAAGGGCACTTTTATATGTCACTGGGACCATCACCCAGGTGATGTGAGTTATTTGCCTGAAACCAGCCTACAAAGAGAATTGTGTCTTATATCTAGGTCCATCACATAAGTTATGTGACTCCCTTATACTGCCTTGGCCCTGCAGTTACAGGGCATTGTGACACATAACTGTGTACTTCACCCAGGTGATGTGATTTTCCTTTCTGGGTTCTGCCAACAGGAAGCATTGTAACATATCACTCAGCTCAGCACCTAGGTGATGTTTCTTCATTTTTGCCTGTGCCCTGACCACAGGGAGATTGTGACATATTGCTGGGCCCAGCACCAATGTAAGGTCACTCTCCAGCCTTGGTACTGCATATAATGGCCATTATGACATATATTTAGGCCAATTGCCTAGGTAAAGGCAGCCTCCTCTTTTGCCAAAATCCTGCCCACACAAAGGGGATCACTGAAACCAGCATCCAGGTGATGTGACACTTCTGCCAGGGTGCTGCCCACAAGTTGGATTGTGACATCTCACGGACGCGCACCCATGTAAGTGATGTGAATTTCTTGCCTTCACTCTGGCCACAGGTGATATTGTTCCATATACCTGAGACCATAACAAAAGCCTAATTACAACTCATGTGACTGGAGCCAGGACATGTGCAGGATGGTGACTCTTCTTAAACCTTTCCACAAGTGTAATTGTGACCTATACCTTTGCCCAAATCCTGAGTGATTTAATAATTCTGCCTAGGTATAGCCCACAAATCAGATTCTGACAAATACCCGGGCCAAGCACCTTGGTGATTTGACTGTGCTATCTTAGCAATGTCCTCAGGTGAGATTGTGACATATTTCTGGACCCATCATCTAGGTTACATGACTTCTCTCCTGCCTATACCCTGCTTCCTTTGGTAATTGTAGCATTTCAAAACACTGCATCCAAATGATATGACTCTCTTGCCTGGGCTCTGTCACAGGAGACAATGTGACATATTTTGGGGCCCATCATTTAGTTGATATGACTCTTCTCTCCTTCCTGGACACGGCCCCCAAGGGGCAAGTCCAGGACCAAGCACACAAGTTATGTGACATTTCTGACAGAACCCTGCCTACAAAGAGAATATTGGAATATTTCTAGCCCAGCATTTAGGTGATGTGGTGTTCTGCCTGCTTCATAACCACAGAAGGAATTGTAACATATACCTAGGCACAGCTCACAGGCATGATAATGACTCTTACATGTGGACTCAGCAAATAGAGGATATTTTGACTCTAATAGCTAGGTTGAGGGACATGTGTGATGTTCTGGATCACCTTCTTGTACAAAGGTCACAAAAGATTACAGCACTCACATATTTTACAAAGTCTTTAGGTTATACAGACAGAGTCAAAGTAGGGCTCAGCACATGGGCAAAATTCTGAGTCTTATACGCACACCCAACTGACAGTAAGGACTGTCATCATCTCACATGGATGAAGCGAACTGTCACTCATGAAAACAAGATCGGTGTGGTATTGTAAATCTCATTTTTGGAATTTTCTGACAGTATGATTGTGATATAAATCTTTTCCAAGCACCTGTGTAATTTGACTTTGAAGAATGTTTCCACTCCATATATAAAATTGTGATATCTACCTAGGCCAACCTCAAAGTGATGTGACTCTCCTGCCTGAGCTTTTATCTCAGTAAGAATTGTGACATATCACTGGATCTATCACCCAGGTGATGTTACATTCTCGCCTTCTCCATGCCCACCAAAATTATTGTGACATATCTCTCTGTCCATCTCATAGGTGATGTAACTCTCCTCTCTGGAACGGGCCATGAATAAAGGAAAGATTGTGACATATTGCAAGACCAGGCACACAGCTGATGTTACTCTTTTGCCAGAGCCATGCAAGGAGAGCATTTTGAGATATCTCTGGACCTATCACCTAGGTGATGTGGCTCTCCTGCTTGGGCCCTGCCAGTCTGGACAGTGACATATTTCTAGGCCAGGCACACAGGTGATGGTACTCTTTTGCCAGGGCTATGCTTCATAGAGAACAATGTGACAAATCTCTGAGCCTATCTCCTAGGTGAAGTGACTCCCTCCTTGGGCTCTACTCACATGGAGCATTGTGACATAAGCAAAGAACCTATGCCTAGGTGATGTAACTCTCTTGCCTGGGTGCTGTCCTAAGAGAGCCTTGTGACATATCTCATTACCCAGAACCCATGTGATGTGGCCCTTCTGCCTGTTTTTTCTGCCCACAAATTAAATTGTGACATATTTCTAGGGAAGCACCTAGGTGATATGACTCTCCTTGTCTACCTGAGCTCTGCCTACTTGGTACATGGGGACATATCTTTGATCTCAGGTCCTAAGTGATATGATTCTCTTCTCCTGCCTTGGTCTTTAAAATGGTGAGATTGTGACATATTGCTGAGCCCAGCATTTAGGTCATGTGACCCTACTCTGTTTTCTGAACCATGCCCACAAAGGGAAATTGCGACCTTTTGCACCCAGATGATATTACTCTTCTGAAAGAGTCCTGAATAAAGGGAATTATTGCATACTGTTGGGCCCAGCACCCTGATAAGGCTATCATCCTGTCTGTCTGTACCAGAGCCACAGAGAGTATTTTTGACATATCTTCAGCACATTCTGTAGGTGTTTTGGCTCTCATCCCTTGGTTAAGTTTTTCCACATGTGAAATTGTGTCATATTTCTGGGTCCAGCACCCAGTTATTGTGACCCTCCTACCTAGGTTCTGCCTAGAAAGGCGTGGTGACATGTTGCTTGCCAGATCACCTAAAGTGATGTTGCTCTTTTTCCTAATTTTTTGCCCACAAATGGGATTATGATATATACCTTGCTTCAGTTCACAGGCCTGATGGTCTGACTTATATTGGGATTAGGCCAATAGAAGATATTTTGCCTCTTATCTCTAGGCTTAAGGTAGTAGTTAAAATCCTGGGTTGCGTATTTGTGCAAAGCTTACAGAAGTTTACAACATTAATTCATGTTATATAAACTACTTGGGTGGCACAGAGAGTTCCATAAAAAGGCCCAGCAAAAAGTTAAGATGGTGACTCTCAATTACACACCCAGGTGAAAGTAAAATTTCTCACCATCCCACATTTACAAAGCCCACTGCTGCAATACCTCGTAAGTCTAATAGGTGAAAACAGTACAAAGATGGAATTTTGACTCTCATATGTGCATCGGGCCACAGGTGTGATCTTGACTCATTTTTGGAGCCAGCTCACAGGCATAAAATGTGTCTCATTCCTGAACTCAGCCCAAATAAGAGATGTTGACTGTCATACCTAGGCTTAAGTCAATATATAAAATTGTGACTCCATATGAGCCTGGGGCCTCAGAGTAGCTTGCAACTCTCATACATGCTGCATAAAGCCCTCGGATGCTGTAGAGGACTTCATACAATTGCCTAGCACACAAGTGAAATTGTGACTTTCATACACACCAAGCTAACAGTTAAAGGTGTCACCCTCAAAGATGAGGAGATTGTGTCATGTCACTGGGCCTAGTACCCAGGTGTTAAAACTTCCTTTAATTGTATACCAAGTGTACATTGTGACATATCGTTAGGTCAGAATCACGATAATGTGATTCTTCTGCCTGGGACCTTCCAACAAGGGATATTATCACATATATCTGGCCTGTCAGCTAGGTGACTGGTCTATTTTTACTGTGCTTTGCCCCCAAGGAACATTGTGACATCGCTGGATGTAGCATCTACGAAATGTGACTCTCCTCTCCTGCTTAGGTCCTGCCCACAAAAGGAATTGTGACATATCACTGAGTGCAAAACCTAGTAAATGCAACTCTCCTCTTTATTCTGGAGTCTGCCAAAAGAGGGGATTATTACATATTGTTGAGCCCAGCACCTAGGTGTTGTGACTCTCCCCTTTTTCTTCAACCCTGTCTGCAGTGGACATGGTGTCATATTACTTGAGGCTGTACCGAGGTGATGTGACTCTTCTGACATGGCCCTGTCTGCAAAGGAGATTATAATGTATCCTGAGCCCAGAATCCAGATGATGAGACTCTCCTGCCTTGTTTCTGCTCACAGGTGAAATCGAGTAGGCTAGAACACTGTGACCCTTAATGCTTGGCTCATGCAGTCTTCAGAGGAATTTCAAAAACCACAGGATGTTGGTGGGGGTAGACAAAGAGCTGGTACAAATGACAAGCTGCAAGTGAAATAATTGAAGGCAGGAAGAGAGTGGGACCTGCTTCGAACAGGACACCCACTGCCTTGCTGCAGCAGCACAGTCAGGCCAGTTCTCTGATTTGGACCTTATGCCAAGGAATTAACAGGCCCACTTCTGCTCTGTCCCAGGTGCTGAACTCCTTAGTTCTGGAACTAAATGTGAATTCTGGACTCCGGAATGCCAGTTGGCTTTCACATGCCAGAGGAGTGAGGAGGCCCAGGTGGGCCTAAAAATGTGGCTGTTGGTTGGCCTTCCACACATGTCTGGTTGCTTCTGTGCCTATGCTTGCAAGGAAGAGGGATCTTCTTCCTCAAGACAAGCCCAAGGAGGTCTCAAGCAAGCCCAAAGAGGTCTGAGGCTTATGGGAGCCAGTGGAAAAAAAAAATGATGCCTCAGTCCAGTGCTTTTGCCCTTCCTGGCTTGGGGCTTTGGGGGATCAATTTGCTGATCAGAAAATAGGCAATGAGAGCCCCTCATTGACTGGCTACTCACCCCACTTTTAATAGGCCACTGCACCGTGCCCACCATGCAGCTCTAGGTACAGTCTGGGCTTCAAGATCCTGGGGCATCTCTGGGCTGGGTTCAGGGCCCTGAGAAGGTTCTCCCTCTCAGGGACCCCCCATGCCTACCCCTTTGTGCCCACCTGACAGCTCAGCGTATCTGCTGTATGACACCCTTATTGCCTGCTCTTGCCAAGCCCATGTCTCCCCGGGGTGGCCAGGGGCACATGCTCACTGAAGCCCAGGTGGCCTGTCCATCCTTCCTCCAATGCACAGCCTCAGGCAGGTGCCACCCAGGTTTCCTCCTAAAATGTGATCTCAGGGGGTCACAGCAGCACATTCTGCTCTAACTTACTGACTAGTTAATAAGTCACTAAATGTGCAAAGTTGGGTGTGGGCCTTGACACTCTTGATTGCCTTCCTCTAGTGGGGCTGCATTGGGCATTGCCATACTGAATTGTTTGTGGAAAAAGCTAGCAGGTGAGGCAGGACTCAAGGGCCAGGGAAAGGACAGAGCACCGAGGCTGGACTCTCCCAGGGCCCTCTGAGGCCCCTGCAGGTAGGAGGATGCAGTGGAGCTCCAGGCCCCTTTTCTAGTGTGGTGCTGAATAGAGCCTTCCTGGAGCACCAAGAAGTCCCTACTCTTTCTGCAACCACCACCCATTGGTCTCTAGGAAGTGAACATCCATTTATATTTGTGGACATGGCCTTCTGCTTAATTTCCATTGGATGTTCTCCTAGAAGAAATGTCTAGGGAATCCTGGGCCTGTGGTGGAGTTTCTCTAAGTGCCAGTCTCAAGAATACAATTAATAGTATTTTGTGCACATTACTATCTCAGGGTTACTTTTGCCCAATAATGTGTAGAAAATAAATATTAACATTTTTATCCCTTACATTATTTTAATTAGGTAATCTTAAAAACTTTTTATTTTCCTGAAATTTATTTTCATGCCAATCATCAAATTGTGGGTTTTTCTTGTTCAAATTATTACCTGTTTTAGAGGCAAAATCTTAAAAATAATATGCTACACAAATACTAACAAGTGAGAGAAATGTATTTAAAATGTAATTAGATTTCTTAAATAAATAATTTAAGTAATTATTTACTTAATTATAGTTTATATACAAATTATAGTTTATATTATTTGTATGAATTATTTTACAGCTTATCCTCAATGTTAAAAAAAATAGCTAGGTATGCAATCAAAATTGACAGATTTTTTTAAATAGGCAACTTAAAAACATTTTATTGGCCGTGTTGAGCAATATAATTCTCAAATATTTTATCTTAAAAATTAACACACTTAATAGTCATAGTATCTATGAAAGTAACATTGTAAGCATGTTTTTATAGTTGCCAAAATATTAGGAGAAAAAAATTATTTATTTTCCTTATAAAATTTAAATTGTTTCTCTTACTATATGCAGAATATTATGCTGATCACTTTCCACTCTCCTATCATCCTGTCACTTATGATACTGTTGTAAACCAACCACTAAGTGGCCTTTCCACTTAGAATGTCTTCAGGTATCTTAGATTTCAGTTTTCTAAATCTTCTATAGGAAAGTATGTAAATCTGTCCATCTAATGTAGAAGAACCTCTCATAACTCTGGTGCAACAAGCATTGACCATGTTCTTTCCCATAAATTCTAGAAATGAAGACATAGCATCAAATGCAAGAGGTAAATTATGCCAATATTTGAGTTTGAAAATATATTAAACTCTTTCAATATAAAAAAGTAGATTCCTTTTAGAGGAAAGTGATCAAGATTGCTGACTGGAAGCAGCTAGACTCCCTAGTTCTCATAAAGAGGAATGCAAAGTATGCATAAATACAGCACCTTCAAATGAAACATCCAGCTACTTGCATTGGGACTAATTTAAAAAACAACTTAAGTTATGGAGAATGAAGTAAAACAAGGCAGGACAACAGGCCACCTGGGAACAACATGGAGCCAAGGGAACCTCCCCACCCAGTAAAGCAGTGAGTGCATGTGGGCCCTGGGAACCCATGATTCTCCCACAGATCTTTGCAACTCTCAGGTGAGGAGATACCCTCATGAACCCACTTCATCAAGGCCTTCAGTTGAACACACAGAGCTACATGGAGTCTCAGCAGAGCAGCCACTCGGGCCTGTGCAGAGACTCAAGAGCCTTAGATACTCTGGCTTTCCAGGCTTCTCCAAAAACGTAGCTACAAGTCCAGCAAAGCAGGAGGTTACACACCTGTACATAGGAAAGAGGAATTTCCTATTCCTCTTTCTTCAGGCTTTGAAGAGTCCAAGTTGACTGGGGGCAGAAAGGATCTCCTAGCACAGTACACATGCTCTAAAAAGACATGGTCAGACTGCCTGTTAAAGCAGGTTCCCAATCTCATTCCTGCTCACTCAAAAATACTTCTTAACCAGGGTGTCCCGTTACCACCTTTCCATCTTTGGTCAATGGAATTTTGAAACCTCTTTGGGATATAGTTTCTAGAGCAAGAGGGAGCTGCCATTTTTGCTGTTTTCGTGACTTAGCTGTTCCAGCCTTCTGGCTTTGGAGAATCCAAATAAATTGGGGATGCAAGTGGTACTTCTGCACAGCACACCTGTCCTACAAAAATGTGGCTAGGCTGCTTTCTTAAGTGGATCCCTAATCATGTTCTCTTCACTGGGTAAGACCTTTCAACAGGGGTTTCCAGCTACTTCCTACAGGAGCTTTTGACCTGGAAACAAGCCTATACCTCCCTAGGATGGAGTTACCAGGGAAAAGGGCATGCTGCCATTGCTGCTGTTTTGCAGCATTTGCTGGTGATCACTTTAGGTACTGGAAAATCTGAGGTGACTAGAGACTGCAGTTGACACCTAGCAAACTATAGCAGCCCTTCAGAAAAGTGGCCAGACTGTTACATGAGTGCCTGCTCGCATATATTCTCACTGGGCAGGTTCTCCAGGCCTGGGCCAGAGGTATTGAGCCAGTAGAAACTTAGCAACTCCCTGGACAGAGCTTCCAGGGGAAACTGAAAATATTTCTGCCACTGCCTCTGCAGTAGAACTGTCCTTGCTATGCTCAGACTAATGATAAATCCAAAACCCTAAGTGCCTTATTCACACCTCAAACAAGGTGCAGTTTACCCAAGGAGATGAGGCCAGTCCATCCTCCATGGGTCCCACAAACTACCCATTGCTCCTCACCAGACAGTGAATGCCTAAATTGGCCAAAAGCACAGATCTTCCTTCCTGAGCTGACTGCACTGAGGGATTGCTGACCTACATCTCCCTGAGATGCAACCCCCAGAAGACAAGCAAAAAGGTGGGGCAGCAAGCCAGCTCATGTGGTGCCCAGAGGGTTTGGCACAAGAGAATCTGTAGTTAAGTGTGGCCTGTGATGGCCATTTCTCTAGGCTCAACTTTCTCCCATAAGAGACTTCAGCACTAGGGGAACTGTTGGACCTAATTTCTGCAGGATGGTCTTGCAAATCAGAAGAACCTGGTCCAACTGAGCACTCCTTTGTCTGTTGGCCTCTCCCAGGGACCCAGTCTGGCTACAGATGCTGACAGGGCAGTCTCAGGTACCCTGGGAGCCCATACCATAGCATCTGCACTGGTGGGCCGCACCTGATCCCTGAAGTGCTCCAGCAAGGCAGTCCCTATGACTGCACCAGCCCATATGTTTCCTCCCCATACTGAAGGGGAAGCCCTGGCATCATGGCAACTCCCCACATTACTTTGCTGGCACATGTCTGCAAAGGAGGGTTTGGATTTGCTTGCCCCACCAGCAAATGGGAATGCAGTATGCCCCTGCCACCCTCAGTGACTGCCAATGGAGATGAAGCTTTGGTGGGCAGAGAGCCAGAAAGCCCCACCCCTACCTTTTTCCTAACACTTTATGGAGAATGGGGTATCCTTCCAGACACCTTCTTGGGAGGGCATAAAAAGCATCAAAATCTTCACTAGCCAGCATCCTGCCCCAAGCCAACACCACCTTTAGTGCAACAATGCACAGTCTCCAGCATGTATCCCCACTCCCCTCCCAGCTGCTTTGCTCCTGCCACTGAGGTGAATGCCCAAAGACAGGCAGAAACCCCATATCCACTAGCACTCTGCTGCAGTGGTGGCACTTTAGTCTTACACAGTGGCAGACTCCAAATATCAAGGAGCCATGGAAGACAGTTGGGGCTCAATACAAGTCCCCCAGAGTATGCAGCCTCTGAGTAGTGAGCTGAGCATTGCTTCCCCACCACCACACACAAAAAAATCTCCCAGGAACAAAGCAAGTTGGCTGAATCCACCTTATACCACAATCAAATATTCAAGAGCATCGAATAGGATGAAAAAAAACCAAAACCCCATTCAAAGGTCAGCAACCTCAAAGATATGCCCACAAAGATGAGATTAAATCAGTGCAAAAATGTTTAAAACCCAAAAAGCCAGAGTAACTTCTTTAACCCAAATGACCAAATTATGTTTCCAGCAAGACCTAATATGTCAGAAGTAGAATTCAGAATATGGATAGAAATAAACTTCATTGAGCTACAAAAGTAAGTTGCAACCCAATTCAAGGAAGGGAAAAAATTGCAGGAACTGTCAGAAAAAAACAGCCAGTCTGGAGAAAAATGTGGCCAACCTGATAGATCTGAAAAACACAATACAAAAACTTTTTAATGTAATCACAAGTATTAACAGCAGAATAGGCCAAGCAGAGGAAAGAATCTCACAGCTTCAAGCCTGGATTTCTGAAATAAGACAGACAAGAATAGTGAAAAAAGAATAGACAGGAATGAACAAAACCTCTATTAAATAAGGGATTATGTAAAGAAACCAAATCTGTGATTAAAGAGAGTGCCTGAAAGTGATGAGGAGAATGAAAACAACTTGAAATACATATTTCAGGATATCATCCATGAGAACTTTCCCAACCTAGATACAGAGGCCAACATTCAAGTGCAGGAAATGTGGAGAACCCCAGTAAGATACCCCATGAAAAGTTCATCCCCAAGATATATAATCATGAGATTCTCCAAGGTCAAAATGGAAGAAAAAAATGTGTTAAAGGCAGCTAGAGAGAAAGGGGAGGTCACCTCTAAAAATAGCCCATCAGACAAACAACAAACCTTTCAGCTGAAATCCGACAAGTCAAAAGAGATTAGGGGCCAATATTCAACATTCTTAAAAAAAGAATTTCAACCCAGAATGTCATATCTGACCAAAGTAAGCTTCACAACTAAAAAATAAATATAATTCTATTCAGATTAGCAAACACTGAAGAGATCTGTTACCACAAGACCTGCCTCACAAGAGCTTCTGAAGAAAGCATTAAATAAGAAAAAGACTATTACCACTCACTACAAAACGACAGTGAAGTACAACTGTAGACACTATAAAGCAACCATGTAAACAACTGCGCAAAGTAGCCAGCTAAGATTACTTGTAGTGACAGAATCAAATCCACACATCTGAATACTAACCTTAAATGTAAATGGGCTGAATGCCCCAGTTAAAAGAGTGGCAAGCTGAATAAAGAATCAAGATCTAATGGTAGGCAGTAATCGAGACACCCACCTCAAATAAGTTCAAAATAAAGGGAAAAAGAAAAAACCTACCAAGCAAATATAAAACAGAAAAAAACAGGGGTTGCAATCCTAGTTTCTGGCAAAACAGACTTTAAATCAACATAGATTTTTTAAAAAAGACAAAGAAGGGCATTCCATAATAGTAAAAGTCTATATATGCACCCAACACAAAAGCATCCAGATTATAAAGCAAGTTCTTAGAGACCCCCCAAGATGTTAAGTTAAATGTTCTTCAACAGTCATTACCTTTATATTGCATTTGTTCAGTATTAAGTCTCTGATGTTGAACACAATATGAGGACTTGTTAAAGGCTTTTCCACATTTTAAACCCTTGTGGAGCTTCTTTCCAGTATGAATTCTCTGATGTCTGATGAGGTGTGAGAATGAGCTCAATGCTTTGCCACATTCTTCATATTTGCTGAGTTTCTCTCCATTGTGAAATCTCTTATGATTAGTGAGGTCTGAGAAGCACTTAAAGGTTTTGCCACATTCTTTGCATTTTTAATGTCTCTCTTCCATATGAATTCCCTTCTGGTTAATAAGGGTTGAGGAGTGGGTAAAGGCTTTGCCACATTCTTCACAGATGTTAGGTTTCTCTCCAGTATGAATTCTCTTATGTTTACTAAGGGCCAAGAACCATGTAAAAGCTTTTCCACATTCATTACATTTGTAGGGTTTCTCTCCACTATGAATTATCTTATGTTTAGTAAGGTCTGAGAACCACCTATAGGCTTTGTTACATTCTTCACATTTGTAGGCTTTCTCTGCAGTATGAATTCTCTTATGATTAGTAATGTTTGAGAAGCACTTAAAGGCTTTGTCACAATCTTCACATTTGTAGGATCTGTCTCCAGGATGATGTCTCCTGTGTTTAATAAGGGTTGAGGAGAGGGTAAAGTTTTGCCACATTCTTCACATTTGTAGGGTTTCTGTCCAGGATTAACTCTCTTATGTTCAGTTATGTTTGAGAAATTTGTAAAGACTGCCACATTCTTCACATTTGTAGCATCAGTCTGCAGTATGAATTCTCTTCTGTATAGTAAAATCTGAGAACAACCTACAGTCTTAGCCACATTCTTCACATTTGTAGCATTTCTCTCTGCTAAAAATTTTCTTACATTCAGGGAAGGTTGAGCACAACTCAAAAGCTTTGACATATTTATTACATTGACAGGTTTTGTTATGGGTAGTTGACAAATATTGAGGAAGGCCATTATAACTGCTTTTCTGTCCCTTGCAATTACTCACACTTTGGTAGTCATTCTTTAAATGTAAACTATTAAGGTCACAGCTTCCATATTTTACCAGAATTGCTTTTTGAAATGAATCTTGTATGTCATACTCCAGCAATATCTTTGCAGTAAACTGAAAAAGCCAGCTGAAGAAATACAGAACAACAAAATTTCTCCTTCACTGGACTCAGGTGAATACACTTTACAAGTATATAATTATACAAAGCATATTAGGAAGGTGACAGTAAAATACCACAGGCTCTAATTCCTTTATAGACATATAAACTTAACAGAAATATACTGATAAAAATGCCTTTGTGAAAAGTCTAAGAACCAGATAAACCTTTGCAGGACCCTAAGTGAGCAAAATGCCAAGAACCACATAGTAGTATATTAAAAGTGTTCCATAGTTACCCACCACAGCCATTCTTTATCCTATCATGACTTTACATGCGTAGAGGCAGGTGCCTGTAATCCCAGCTACTTGGGAGGCTGAGGCAGGAGAATTGCTTGAACTTGGGAGTTAGAGGTTGCAGTGGGCCAAGATTGTGCCATTGCACTCCAGCCTTGGCAACAAGAGTGAAACTCCAACTCAAAAAAAAAAAAAAAAGAAAGAGAAAAAGAAAAATAAAAAACATTTGGAATCTTTTTTTTAACTAAAAAATACACAAATCCAGAGAAAACATCCAGAGAACAGGCTTGAGAGACTGTAAGAATCTCTAGCCTAAAAAATTGGCATAATATTCCCACAGACAAAAGCCACTTAATAAAGATTTTGATATGTGGCTTTTTATTATACAAATTGCAACCTAAGATTACAACATATACAAAACATAAAGAAAATATGGCTCAATCAAAGATAAATATGAATATCCAGAAATCAATTATAAAAAAAGGAGATTTAAAAATTACCTGAGACATTTTGAATTAAAGTCTATACATATTAAAAAAAAATTACCCTAAAAATCCAAAGTTACCATCTCAGTGATGCTCAATGAGTAAAATGGAAATAAAGAAAACAAAATGAAATAACAAAAATGAAACCAAACCATAAAATAAAAACCACAAAAAGAAATAAAAATTGTGGAGTATAAGTACAAAAAAGAATAATATGCACTTCAACATTAGTAAAAAAATATAAGAAAATCAAGAGCTCAGCAAATTTCAACTAAGATTAACACAAAGAGATTTCTAATAAGACACAATGTAAGCAATGTATTGAAAGTCACAGAGAAGTAGAGAATGTGGAAAGCAGGAAGAAAAAAGAGATGCGTTATTTGTGTGCAAGCTTCTGCAAGGTTACCAGTAAATGTATGAACATAATTCTTTCAGGCAAGAAAGGAGTAGAAAGGCATAGTTAAAACACCGAAAAAGAAAGTCTAAGCAAGAATACTATATCCAGCAAAAGTATCCTTCAAAATGAAAATAACAGTCTAACTATATCATGACCTATATCAAGATCTAACTATGTCATGTTTTCAAGAGACTCACTTCATATCTAATAAAAAATATAGATGGAAAATGGTAGGATGAGAAATACTTTCCATGCAAGCGTTAACCAGATGAGAGAAGAAGAGGCAATAATTTAAAACAGTCCTATTTCATGTAATTTACTTTAAGTCAAAATTCACAAAAGAAAAAGTAGGATATTCAATTATAGTAAGAGGGTTCATTTACTGAGAACCTACAAATATATGACATTTTTCCCAAACACATAAAGCAAACATTGACAGAACTGAGGCAAAAATAGACAGCAATATAATAATGGAAGGATACATCAATATCCCACTTTCAGTAATAAATAAAGCACAATAGAATATCAATACAGGAACAAGAAACTTGAATGCACTGTACAATAATTACACCTAACAAATGTATACAGACAACAGAATACACATTATTTTCAATAGCTCATAAAACGTTTTCCTAGATGGACCACCTGTGACACCACAAAAGAAGCCTTAACAATATTTTAATTGAAATTTTACAGACAATTTTTATAACCCATAAGGAATGGAAATAGAAATCAGTAACAGAAGAAAAGCTGAAAAATTCAAAATGCAAAAATTAAACAGCACACCAGGTTCAAGTGATTCCCCTGCCTCAGCCTCCTGAGTAGCTGGGACTACAGGCATGCACCACCATGCCAATCTAAGTTTTTGTATTGTAGGAGAGATGAGGTTTCACCATATTGGCCAGGTTGGTCTCAGTCTCCTGACCTTGCCATGCACCCTCCTTGGCCTCCCAAAATGCTGAGATTACAGGCATGAGCCACTATGCCCAGATAACAACACACTTTTGAGCATGCTCTTTTTCAACGGAACATGAAAAACCTCACAATCTTTAAAAAGAAAAAAAATATTGGAAACATTACATTTAACAATTTACAAACATAAATAAACCTTCAGTAATCAAAGCACTTTGGTACTGTTATAAAGGTAGAACACCAAAGTAATGAAACAGAATGCAGCACAGATATAAACTCTTTACTAGAGAGAAGAAACATACCACCTAGGTTTTGCATTCAGCCGTATGTCACAATTCCTTCAGTAAGCAGGACGCAGGCAGGAGAGAAGAGTTACATTACCTAGACACTAGTTTCAGCGATATTTCAAAATGCCTTCTAGGGGCAGGGCACAGGCTGGAGAAACACATCACCTAGCTTAGAGGCCAAGAGATGTGTGATAATATCCCCTATTGACAGGGCCCAGGCAGAAGAGTCACACTATTATGATTATTACCTAGCAATATGTAACAATGCACCCATGGAAAGGAATTTGAGCCAAAAAGTCTCAACACCTGGGTATGAGGCCCAGTGATATGACACAATCTCCTCATCTTTGAGGGTGACACCTTTAACTTTTAGCTCAGCATGTATGTTAGAGTCACAATCTTACATGTGTGCTGGGCCAATGTAAGACACTCTCTACAACATCTGAGGGCTGCATAAAACCTGCATGAGAGTTGGAAACCTCTCTGAGGCCTACGTGCTTGTATGGACTCACAGTCTTACATATTGCCCTAAACCCAGGTTTGATAGTCAACATCTCTCTTATAGGCAGGGCTAAGAAAGAAGACCCCTTATTATGCCACTGGGCTGCTTCCAGAAATGAGTCACCATTCCACCTGTGGCCAGATCCATCTGTAAAAGCCACATTTCCAACATTCTACTCTATTCCTCTGTTAGACTCAGGCCCTCAAGAGTGGGCATTGTAAATGTGGTATGGTGACAACTTTTAATTTCACCTGGGTGTGTAACGGAGAGTCCCAATCTGAACATTTTGCTGGGCCCTGTTATGAAACTCTCTACCACCAAAGATTTTATATAATATAAGTTAGTATGTCATAATCCCATTTGTGGGCAAAAAAACCAACGAGAAGGTTAACATCACTTAGGTGCTATACCAAGCAATATGTCAAGATGTTTTCTCTTGGCAGTGCCTAGCAAATAGGTTCACATTAACTGGGGGCTGGAGCAAGCAATATGATACAAACACACCTGGAAGAAACACAGCAAAGTGATAAGAGACAAAACACCTACAAAATGGGCCAAAGATATGTCAAAATACCTTCTGTGGCTCTGAAACTAACAGCAGAGTCACATCATTAGGGTGCTGGGCCAAGCAATTTGCTACAATTACCTCTTTATGCATGACCTAGGCAGAAGAGTAACATCACCCAGGTGCTGGGCTCTGAAATACAGCAAAAGTCCTGTTCATGGGCATTGTTCAGCAACAAAATGAGAGTCACATTACCTAAATGCTGGGCTCATCAATATGTCACAATCTTTCCATTGTAAAGGCCCAGATAGAAGAGAGTCACATCACTTAGGTCATGGGCTCAAAGATATGGCCCAATGTCACCAGTAGGCAAGGCTCAGGGAGAAAAAGACAGTCATATCAGTCAAGAGATTGAGACCAGCCTGGCCAACATGGTGAAACCCCTCTCTACTAAAAATACAAAAATTAGCTGGGCACTGTGGCACATGCCTATAGTCCCAGCTACTGAGGAGGCTGAGGCAGGAGAATCACTTGAACCTGGGAGGTGGAAGTTGCAGTGAGCCAAGATGGAGCCACTGCACTCCAGCCTGGTGACAGAGCAAGACACCATATTTAAAAAATAAATAAGACAGTCATATCACCTAGGTGCTTCTTTAGGTATATGTCACAATTTAATATGTGGATGGAAAACAGGCTGAAGAGCCACATCACGTAGTACTGGGTCCTGAGATATTCACAAGTCCTCCTTAAAAAAGGACCCAGGCAAGAGAGTAACATCACCTAGGTGCAGTTTCTACCCTTATGTCACAATGCTACATGTGGGCAGGGCCAAGCAGGAAGTCACATCACCTAGGTGATAGGCCCAGAGATACATCACAAAGCCTTCCTTAAAGCATGGCCCAGGCAAAAGAGTACCTTTGTGCCTGGCCTAGCAATATGTAACTATTCAAGCAGGCACATCCAAGCAGAAGAACCATATCACCTACATGATAGGCCCTGTGATACATCAAAATCCCTCTTTTGGGCATGGCCCTGGCATGAGAGTATCATCACCTGTGTGCCTGGCCTAGGAATATGTCACTATTTTGCACTTTGTAAGGGCCCATTCCAGAGAGGAGAGTTATGTGTTGGGAACAGGCCTCCCAAAATCTGGCCATAAACTGGCTCCAAAACTGGCCATAAACAAAATATCTGCAGCACTCTGACATGTTAATGATGGCTATGATGCCCATGCTGGAAGGTTGTGGGTTTACCAGAATGAAGGCAAGGAATGCCTGGCCCACCCAGGGTGGAAAACTGCTTAAAGGTGGTTTTTAAACCACAAACAATAGCATGAGCGATCTGTGCCTTAAGGACATGCTCCTGCTACAGATAACTAGCCAGACTCATCCCTTTATTTGGTGCATCCCTTTATTTCCCATAAGAAATACTTTTAGTTAATCTATAATCTATAAAAACAATGTTTATCACTGGCTTGCTGTCAATAAATAACGTGGTTAAATCTCTGTTCAAGGCTCTCAGCTCTGAAGGCTGTGAGACCCCTGATTTCCCACTCCACACCTCTATATTTCTGTGTGTGTGTCTTTAATTCCTCTAGCGTCACTGGGTTAGGGTCTCCCCAAACAAGCTGGTCTCGGCAATTGGCATCCATCATACGGGCTGGAATCCAGGTTGAAGGGTCACCTGATAAATGGTTGGAGAATGTGGAACAAAGCTGGAGGACACCAGAGTACTCTTAAGCGATCTGCGTGGTAAGAAGGGGAGTTCAGAAGCATCAAGGTAACAATGGGACAAGTATGAGCTCTGGTTCATTCCACCTTGGAACTTTTTCACACTGATGATGAGGAGGAAGGAGAGTATAACAAAGTAACAGAGCAGGTTTGTTTGCCAGCTAAACCTAAAGCAGCAAAGGAGGAAGAGGTTTATCCCTACACTTCTGCACCCTGTCATTATTATTTTGAAGAAAAACAGTGGCCTGGCCCTCCAGATATTTCTTTTCTGGAGGACACTGGGTGAAAAGTAGTTGCCGCAGGGACAGTTTGAGCAGCACCTTGAGCGACCGCTCTCAGTTCTATTCAGACAGGAATCCAGCAAGCTAGATGAGACGGTGATATAGAGGCTTGGCAGTTCCTTGTTAGAATGCACCCCCCCAGATCAACAGGGAAATTTTATAGCTACATTTAAGCCTTTTCCTTTTAAATTACTCAAAGAATTTGAACAAGCTCTTCATACTAAAAAAGAATGTAGAATAAATCAGCTAGTCAGGCTGCCAGATAGGGGAAAAAAGAAAACTGCTGAGCCTGAAATATTTCCAAAAGGTAGTAAAGGAAAACATTAGGCTAATCAGTGTCACTCTAAGTTTGATAAAGATGGGAACCCAATTTTGGGAAATGCCATGAGGGGCCCATCCTGGACCCCATTCCAAACTGGGGCATTTCTGGCTCAGGCCATTCCCTCACACCTGTACCATGTCTGTCCCCTGCCACAGCTGGTAGTGCCACAGTAGATTTATGCTGTACAAAAGCTGTGAGCCTTCTGCCTGGGGATCCCCTGCAAAAGGTCCCAACAGAAGTCTGTGGACCCTTGCCAGTGAGGACAATAGGATTACTTCTAGGAAGGTCTAGTTTAAATTTAAAAGGGGTACAAATATAAACAGGAGTCATTGATTCAGATTATAATGGGGAAATTCAAATTGTGATATCTACTTCTGTTCCCTGGAAAGCAGAGCCAGGAGAGCGTATAGCACAGCTCCTGATTGTGCCATATGTGGAAATAGGGAAAAGTGAAATTAAATGAACAGGAGGAT
This sequence comes from Homo sapiens, assembly GCF_000001405.40. Taxonomy (NCBI): domain Eukaryota; kingdom Metazoa; phylum Chordata; class Mammalia; order Primates; family Hominidae; genus Homo; species Homo sapiens. Next base: position 46,878,217 of record NC_000008.11, read on the forward strand.
TTGGAAGCACAAACAAACAAGGCAAAGCAGCTTATTGGGTAAATCAAATTACTGATAAACATCCTACCTATGAAATAACTACTCAGGAAAACAAATTTAAAGTTTTGGTAGATACAGGAGCAGACATTTCAATCATTTCTCTACAGCACTGGCTGTCCACATGGCCAATTCAACCCACTCAATTTAACATAGTTGGGGTTGGTAAAGCCCCTGAAGTATATCAAAGTAGCTACATTTTGCATTGTGAAGGGACCAATGGACAACCTGGAACTATTCAACCAATTATAACTTCTGTACCTATAAATCTATGGGGGAGAGATTTATTACAGCAATGGGAAGCACAAGTTCTAATTCCAGAACAATTGTATAGCCCTCAAAGTCAACATATGATGCATGAAATGGGGTATATCCCTGGTATTGGACTAGGAAAAAATTTGCAAGTTTTGAAAGAACCACTTCAAGAGGAAAGACAAAGTTCCCGCCAAGGTTTAGGATATCATTTTTGATAGCGGCCATTGTTAAGCCTCCAGAAACTATACTTTAAAATGGTTAACAGATAAACCAATTTGGATAGAACAATGGCCACTGAGTAAACAGAAACTGGAGGCTTTAGAGGAATTAGTTACTAAACAATTAAAAAATGGGCACATAGCTCCAACATTTTCCCCTCGGAATTCTCCAGTTTTGGGAATTAAGAAAAAATCAGGTAAATGGAGAATGTTAACTGACTTAAGAGCCATCAATTCAGTTATACAACCTATGGGAGCATTACAGCCAGGATTGCCTTCTCCTAATTCCAAAAAATTGGCCTTTAATTGTCATAAATTTAAAAGATTGTTTCTTTACTATCCCCTTAGCTGAGCAAGACTGTGGACGGTTTGCATTTACAATTCCTGTGGTAAACAACCTGCAGCCTGCTGAGCATTTTCATTGTTTCACAGATGGATCTAGTAATTGTAAAGCTTCTTATTCTGGATCAAAAGGTAAAGTTTTCCAGACACCCTATACTTCAGCTCAAAAAGCGGAGCTTGTAGCTGTAATTGAGGTACTGACTGCTTTTGATATGCCTATTAATGTGATTTCTGATTCTTCATACGTGGTTCATTCCACACAGTTAATTGAAAATGCTCAGTTACCATTTCATACAGGCAAACAACTGATGACTTTATTTACCCAATTACAAAGAGCAGTTAGGAATAGAATGCACCCTTTTTACATCACTCACATTAGGGCTCATACACCTTTTCCAGGACCTTTAACTAAAGGGAATCAAATGGCTGATTGCCTGGTAACTAATGCAATCCAATAACAAAAATTTGGAAAATAGGTAAAATAATAACTTGGGGTAGGAGTTATTCTTGTGTTTCTCCAGGACTGAATCAACAGCCAATTTGGATACCAACAAGACACCTAAAACCTTATCATGAGCCAGATGTTGAGGAAAAGATTCCAGGAGGATCCTGAGGATCCCCTAGTTACAGCCATGTTGAGACTGACACCGAGGAAGACCCCAACTGTCATGAGCAACACCCGTTGAACACAGCCACCAACCTGGGGACAGATCAAGAAGCTGTCACAGATGGCAGGAAAAAAAACTGAGAAAAGCAGGACAGCCAGTCACAATGAGTAATTTAATGGTAGCTATGATAGTAATGATCACCATTGCCATGTGTATTCCTTAAACAAGGGCTGACACAGAGAACAATTATACTAACTGGGCATATTTATTAATCTTGGCTGGTAATAATGCCTGAATGTAATCACTCCATGACACAGTTACACATGCTTTCTGGTCTCAGTATTTACCATAATAAATCTGCTCCTATAATTGAGGCATACCGCCCTCAAAAACCTATTTGTAAACAGGATTGGACCCAGTTAGAAATAATGAACGTACTTGTTTAGGAAGACTACATTACAGAACAGGCAGAGGTGCTGCACAGTGATTCCTATGGAATCATTATTGATTGGTCCCCTAAGGGGATGTTTAGCTTGAATTACACCTCTCAGTCTGCGTGCCATGGCCACACTATGTTCAGCTGGTCTGAACAAAATGGTCAGATGGTAGAAATGATAAGAAGTATGGCAAGAGTTTCTGTTATCTGGAACCATGGCAGTATAGTGGCACCTCAACCTCAAATGATATGGCCCTTTGTAGGAGCTAAACATAAGGATTTGTGGAAACTATTAATAGCTCTTAATAAGATCAAAATTTAGGAAAGAATAAAAAAGCATCTAGAGGGGCACTCTACAAACTTGTTTTTGGATATTACAAAGTTTAAAAAACAAATATTTAATGTGTCCCAGGCAAACCTGACCTTAATGCCAGGAACTGGAGTGCTTAAAGGAGCTGCAGACAAATTAGCACCTAGTAACCCATTAAAATGAATAAAAACACTTGGAAGCTCTGTGATTTCAATAACGATTGTACTTTTAATCTGAGTTGTTTGTCTTTGTATAGTCTGCAGATGCAGATCCCAACTCCTGTGAGAACACCGTGATGAAGCTGCCTTTGCTTTTATCACTTTGCAAATCAAAGAAGGAGGACATGTTGGGAACAAGCCCCCCAAAATCTGGCCATAAACTGGCCTTAAAACTGGCCATAAACAAAATATCTGCAGCACTCTGACATGTTAATGATGGCTATGACACCCACGCTGGAAGGTTGTGGGTTTACCAGAATGAAGACAAGGAACACCTGGCCCACCCAGGGTGGAAAACTGCTTAAAGTCATTCTTAAACGACGAACAATATAGCATGAGCGATCTATGCCTTAAGGACATGCTCCTGCTACAGATAACTAGCTAGACTCATCCCTTTATTTTGGCCCATCTCTTTATTTCCCATAAGAAATACTTTTAGTTAATCTATAATCTATAAGAACAATGCTTATCACTGGCTCACTGTCAATAAATATGTGAGTAAATCTCTGTTCGAGGCTCTCAGCTCTGAAGGCTGTGAGACTCCTGATTTCCCACTCCACACCTCTATATTTCTGTGTGTGTCTTTAATTCCTCTAGCACCACTGGGCTAGGGTCTCCCTGACCGAGCTGGTCTTGACAGTTATGTCTTTTAAGTGATGGACACAGTGATATGTCACAATGATGTCTGTTGGTATGGTGCAGGATAGAATGTAACATCACCTAGGTGTAGGATCCAGAGATGTCACAATTCTTACTGAGGGAAGGGCCCAGGCAGAAGAGTCACATCACTTCAAAGTTGGCCCAGGTAGATATCAAAATCCCACAGGTATGCTGGAACCACTCTGAAAAGTAAAATCATGCAGGTACTTGGCAAAGATTCATATCACAGTCACAGTGGAATAAAATCCTAGGCATTAGATTTACAATACCACACATGTCCTGTTTTCATGTAGGACTGTTACCTTCATCCAACTGTGATGGTAAAAGTCCTTATTGTCAGCTGGGTGCATATACAAGATGCACAATTTCCTCTGTGTGCTAGGCCTTGTAATGACACTCTCTACACAACCCAAGGGTGTTATAAAATATGTGTGAGTGTTGTAATCTTCTGTGACCTTTTTACCAGAAGGGGATAATGGACATCACTCATGTTCCTAAACCTAGTTACAGAAGTCAAAATTCCTCCTATTGGCTGGGCCCACATATGAGAGTCATTATCATGCCTGTAAGCTGTGCCTAGGTATATGTCACCATCCACTCTGTGGATATTAAACAGGCAGGACAACCACATCATGTAAATCCAAAGCCAGAAATATTCCAATATTCTCTTCGTAGTCAGGGCCCTAACAGAAAATTCACAAAACTTGGGTGCTAGGTCAAGCTCTATGGCATAATGCCCCTTGTGGATTGTGTCCAGGCAGGAAAGGAGAGCCATATTACCTAAATGATGGGCCCAGAGATATGTAACAATGCATCCTGTTGCCAGGGCCCAGGCAAGAGGGTCATGTCATTTGGATTCAGTGTTTAGAAATGCTGCAATTACCAAAGGAAGCAGGGTACAGGTAGGAGAGGAGAGTCATGTAACCTAGATGATGGATCCAGAAATATATTACAATCCCCCCAGAGGACATTGTTAAAATAGCACAGTCAGATCACCAAGGTACTTGGCCCAGGTATTTGTCAAAATCTGATTTGTGTGCTATACCTAGGCAGAATTATTAAATCACTCAGGAGCTGGGCAAAAGTATATGTCACAATTACACTTGTGGGAAGATTTAAAAATAAGAGTCACCATCCTGCACATGTCCTGGCCCCAGGCATATGAGTTCTTATTAGGCTTTTGTTAGGGTCTTAGGTATATGGAACAATATCACCTGTGGCCAGAGAGAAGGCAAGAAAGTCACATCACCTATATGGGTATGGGTCCAGTGAGATGTCATAATCCACCTTGCAGCCAGGACCCCGGCAGAAGTGTCGCATCACCTGGATGCTGGTTTCAGTGACATCTCAAAACCCCCTCTGTGGCCAGGACTTTGGAAAGATAGGAGATTCACTTCACCTAGGCAATTGGCCTATATATATGTCACAAAGACCCTTATGTGCAGTACCACAGCTGGAGAGTGATCTCACATTGGTGCTGGGCCCAGCAATATGTCACAATCTACCCATAATCCAGGCCCAGGAAAAGGTGAAGAAACATCACCTAGGTGCTGAGCCAAGTGATATGTTACAATGCTTCCTTTTGGCAGAACGCAAAAAGGAGAATCACATCACTTGGGTGAAGTGCTGAGTTATGTGTCACAATGCAGGGCCAAGGCAGTAGAAAGGAGTCACATCACTTACATGATAGACCTAGATATAAGACACAATTCTCTTTGTAGGCAGGTTTCAGGCAGTTAATTCACATCACCTGGGTGACAGTCCCAGTGATATATAAAAGTGACCTTTGAAGACAGAGCCAAGGAAGGTGTTATATATTACTTAGGTGCTTGTTCCACATATGGCACAATTTTATCTGTGGTCTTGGCCTAGAAAAGAGAGTCAAATTATTCATGTGCTGGCAAAGTTACCTGTCCCAATCACACTCTCAGAAAGGTTCAGAAATAAGTTTCACATCCCACACAAGTCCTGGCTTCGTGTATGTGAGTCAACTCTCTCTATGAGTTGGGTCGAAGTAGAGGAGTCACAGTCTCAACAATGGGCAAGTTCCATGTATAAGATGCCCAAACACCCTTGAAGACTGTGTTCCATTAAGGGAGTCACAGCACCACAGGTGTGCTGAATCACGGTTCAAATGTTACCAAACCACCTGTGAATCAGATCCATGCAAGAGAGTAATTATTTCAACCTTCAACTGCTTTTTATGTGTGAGATTTAGTACCAAATTCCTAGACCCTGTTCATGTGTGAGAATGGTAATCATATCAGCTTGGTGTACATAAAAGAATCACATTCTCACCTGGTTGCTGATCTCTGTTATGACACTCTTTATACCGTTAAGAATTTATATGATATACCTAAGCGTTATAATCCTTCCTGAATTTTATATAAGTGAAAAACCCAGGACTTTACCCATGGCCATGAGACTGACTATGAGACTCAAAATATCTCTACTGACTGGGTCCTGGCATGGGAGTTATTATTACGCATGTGTGCTTAAGCCAGGTATATGTCACAATTTCATCTGTGAGCAAGGACAAGGCAGGAGAGGCACATCACCTGGGTACAGCATCAAACAGTATGTCACCAAGCCCACTACAGACAGGGTAGAAGTAAAAGAGGAGAGTCACTCCACCTAGGTGCTAGGCTCTGCAATTTGTATTAATCCCATCTCTTGGCAGAGTCTAGAATATGAAGGAGAGTCACATCACCTAGGTTTTGCAATCAGTGGTAGGCCACAATTTGTTTGCTGAGCAGGACCGAGGCAGGAGAGGAGAGTCACATTACCTAGATGTTAAGTCAAATGATATTTCACAATGTCCCCTGGGGGCAGGGCACAGGCAGGAGAGACAAATCACCTAGCTTATAGGCCCAGAGATATGTGATAATATCCCCTGTTGGCAGGGTCCAGGCAGAAGAGTCACATTATTATGATTCTAACCCAGTGATATGTCACAATGCAACCATGCAAAGAAATTTAAGCCAAAAAGTCTCAACACCAGGGTACTAGGCCTAGTAATATGCCAACTATCCTAGTCTTCGATGGTGACACCATTAACAGTGAACTGGGCATGTATATGAGAGTTACAATCTCACGTGTTTCCTGGGCCATTGTATGAAGGTTTTATACAGCATGCATGAGAGTTGCAAACCACTCTAAGGCCTACATGCTCATATAGATTTATGATCTTACACATTGCCATAAACCCAGGTATAATAGTCAACATCTCTTCTGTAGGCTGTGTTCAGGGAGGAGACCCATTATTATGCCTGTGAGCTGGGTCCAGAAATGAGTCACCATCACACCTGTGGCCAGATCCACATATGAAGGTCACAATTCCAACTTTTTACTATATTCACTTGTTAGACTCAGGACCTTAACAGTGGGCTTTGGACATGTGGGATGGTGACAACATTTGCTTTCACCTGGGTGAAATCAAATCAAGGGTCCTAATCTGAACTTTTTGCTGGTCCCTGTCATGAAACTCTCTCTACCACGCAAGGAGTTTGTACATTAAGAGTTAGTGTTGTAAGCTTCTGTGAGCTTGGTAAAAATATGCATCCCAGGACCTTACCTATTGCCCTAAGCCTAGCGATGAAAGGCAAAATATCTCCTATTGGCTGAATCTCAATATAAGTTTGACCATCATGCCTGTGAATTGAAGTAAGGTATATGTCAGAGTCTCATTTGTGCAAAGAACTAGGCAGGAGGGTAACATCACTTAGGTGCTAGACCAAACAACAAGTCACAATGCCCTCTCTAGGCAGGGTATAAGAATTAGAGTCCCATTAACTGGGTGCTGGACTCAGCAGTATGACACTATGACACATGTGGGGAAAAAAAAGCCAGGGGATGAGAGTCAAAACACCTACAGAATGGGCCCAGGATATGTCAAAATACCTTCTGTGGCTCTGGCACAGGCAGGAGAGTCACTTTAACAGGTGCTGGTCCCAGCAATATAACATAATTTACTCTATATTCAGGACCAAGGCAAAAGGGTAACATCTGGGTTCTGGACCCTGCAATAAGTCAAAAATTCTATTTGTGGACATGGTTTGAGAAGAAAAGGAGAGTCAAATAACCTGAATGCTTGGCTCAGCAATATGTCACAATCCCCCATCATAAAGACCAGGCAGAAGAACAGAGTCACTTCACTTAGGTCATGTGCTCAGAGATATATCCCAGTGTCCCCAGTAGTCAGAGCCCAGGAAGAAAAGGAGAGTCATATCACCTACGTGCTTCCCTAGTTATATGTCCTAATCTAACAGGTGGGCAGAAGCCAGGCAGGAGAGCCACATCACCTGGGTATAGACTCAAGTAATATGTCATCCTGCCCAGTGTAGACAGGTTTAAAGAAAAAAAAGAGAATCACACCACCTGGGTGCTAGGCTCAGCAATGTGTAATAATTCCCACTCTTGGCAGAGGCCAGGACAAAGAGGAGAGTCATGTCACCTAGGTTTTTCACTCAGTGGTATGTCCCAATTTCTTCAGTGGGCAGGATCCCAGGGAGGAGAGTCACATTACCTAGATGTTATATCTAGTGATGTGTCACAGTGTCCCCTGTGGAAAGAACACTGGCAGGAGAGACATATCACCTAGCCAATAGGCCCAGAGATATGTGAAAATATCCTCTGTTTGCAGGGCCCAGGCAGAAGAGTCACAATCTCATGATTCTGACACAGTGATATGCAATAATGCCCTTATGGAAAGGAATTTAAACCAAAAATCTCAATACTGGGGTACTAGGCCAAGGGATATGACACAATCTTCTCTGCTTTCAGAGTGACACCATTAACAGTTAGCTACTTGTATATATGAAAGTCACAATCTCACATGTGTGCTGGCCATTGTATGACATTCTCTACAACATCTGAGAACTGTATGCAACATGCATGAGTGTTGTAAACCTTTCTATGGCCTATGTGCTTATATAAACTTTTGATTTTACATATCGCCCTAAACCCGGGTATGACAGTCAACACCTGCCTTCAGGGATGAGACCACTATTATGCCTGTGAGCTGAATCTAGAAATGAGTCACCATCCTTCCTGTGGCCAGATTCACTTAGGAAAATCATAATTCCAACTTTGAGATTTATTCACTTGTTAGACTCAGGACCTCGACAATGGGCTTTGTAAATGTAGGATGGTAACAACTTTTACTTCTAGCTGAATGTGTTGTCCAGAGTCACAGTCTTCACTTTTTGCTGGGTTCTGTTATGAAACTCTATGTGCCATCCACTAAGTTTTATAATATGAGTTAGCGTTGTCAACTTCTGTGAGCTTTGTACAAATATGCAACGAAGGACCCTACCTATTGACCTAAACCTAATAGTGAGAGGAAAAATATTCCTGTTGGCTGAATCCCAATATGAGCTTGATCATCATGCCTTTGAACTGAAGCAAGGTGTATGTCATAAACCCATTTGTGGGCAAACAACTAAGCAGAAGGTTAACATCACTTAGGTGCTGTGCCAAGCAATATGTCACAATGCCCTCTCTAAGCAGCGCCTGGGAAAGAGGGTCATATTAACTAGGGGCTGGAGCCAGCAATATGATACAACCACACATGGAAGAAGCCCAGCAAATTGATAAGAGCCAAAACGCCTACAGAATGGGCCAATGATATGTAAAAATACCTTCCCTGTCTCTGGTACAGGCAGGAGACTCACATCATTAAAGTGCTGGTCCCTGAAATACAGCAGAAGTCCTGCTCATGGGCATTGTTCAGCAACAAGATGAGAGTCACGTTACCTAAGTGCTGGGCTCAACAATATGTCATAATCTTCCCATTGTAAAGGCCTGGACAGAAGAAGAGAGTCACATTACTTAGGTCATGGTCTCAGAGATATGGTCCAATGTCACCAGTAGGCCAGGCTCAGGCAGAAAAAGAGAGTCATAACACCTAGGTGCTTCTTTAGTTATATGTGGGCAGAAACCAGGCTGAAGAGCCACATCACCTTGTCCTGGGTCCTGAGATATTCTCAAGCACCCCTTAGAAAAGGACCCAGGCAACACAGTTACATCACCTAGGTGCAGGTTCCACCCTTATGTCACAATGCTCCATGTGGGCAGGGCCAAGCAGGAAGTCACATCACCTAAGGGATAGGCCCAGAGATGTCACAAAGCCTTTCTTAAAGGAAGGCCCTTGTAAAAGAGTACAATCACATTTGTGCCTGGCCTAGCAATGTGTCACTATTCAAGTAGGCAGGTCCCAAGCAGAAGAGCCATATCACCTACATGATAGACCCTGTGATATGTCAAAATGCCCTCTTTTGGGCATGGCCCTGGCAAAAGAGTATCATCACCTGTGTGCCTGGCCTAGGAATAGGTCGCTATTTTGCACTTTGTGTAGGGCCCATTCCAGAGAGGAGAGTTATGTCTTTTAAGTAATGGACACAGTGATATGTCACAATGATGTCTGTGGTCATGGCACAGGCAAGAGTGTACCATCATCTGTGTGCTTGGATCCATTGATGTCACAATTATTACTGAGAGCAGAGCCCCAACAGAAGAGTCACATTACTTCAATTTTGGCCCAGGTAGATATAAAAATCCCATAGGTAAGCTGGAACCAGTCTGAGTAGTGAAATCACACTGGTGCTTGGCAAATATTTATACCACAGTGATGATGAAATAAAATTCTAGGGATTACATTTACAATACCATACATGTCCCATTTTCATGTATGACAGTTGCCTTCGTCCATCCTGTTTTTATGTATGACAGTTGCCTTCATCCATATGTGATGGTGAAAGTACTTGCTGTCAGCTTTTTGGTTATTAAACAGACAGGACAACCACATCACCTAAATCCTAAGCAAGAAATATTCCAATATTCTCTGTGTAGGCAAGGCTGTAACAGAAAAGGCACAAAACTTGGGTGCTAGGTCCAGCACTATGGCATAATACCCCGTGTGGGGAGTGTCCAGGCAAGGGACGAGAGTCATACCACCTATATGATGGTCCCAGAGATATGTCACAATGCCTCCTGTTGAAAGGGCCCAGGCAAGAGAGTCATGTCATTTGGATGCTGTGCTTAAATCCTCCTTGTGGCCAGGACCCTGTAGAAAGAGTCACATCACCTGCATGCTGTTTTCCATGACATATTTAAATCCCCTCTGTGGGCAAGGCTTGGCAGGAAAGGACAGAAACTTCACCTAGGCAATTGGCCTGGATATATGTCACAATGGCCCCTATGTGCAGGTCCAAGGCAGGAGAGAGATCTCACTTTGGTGCTGTGTTCAGCAACACGTCACAATCTCTCCGGTGGTTAGGACCTAGGCAAGACAGAAGAAACATCACCTATGTGTTGAGCCAAGTGATATATTACAAAGTTTCCTACTGGCAGAACCCCATCCAAAAAGGAGTCACATCATCTGGGTGCAGTACCCAGTTATGTGTCAAAATACACCATAATTGCATGGCCAAGGCAGTAAAGGAAGTGACATCACTTATGTGATGGACCTAGATGAAAGCCACAATGCTCTTTATAGGCAGGGTTCAGGTCAAGATTTTACATCAGCTGGGTGCTGGCCCCAGTGATATGTAAAAGTGCCCTTTGTCGCATTGCCAACGAATGTGTATATGCTTAGGTGCTTGGTGCACACATGTCACACTTTCAACTGTGCTCTGGGCCTAGAAATGAGAGTCAAAACACTCAGATGTTGGGCAAAGTCATACTTTTCAATCACACATTTGAAAATGTTCAGAAACAAGTTTCACAGTCCCGCACAAGTCCTGGCATCAGGTATGAGTGTCCACACCGCCTATGAGTTGGGTGGAAGTACAAGAGTCACAGTCTCAACAATGGGCAAGATCCATGTATAAGAGCCCCAATCCCACTTGAAGATTGTGTTCCAGTTGGGGAGTCAAAGCACTACAGGTCTGCTGATTCATGGTTCAAACATCACCAAACCACCTGTGGATCAGATTCTTGTATGAGAGTAACAATTTCAAGCTTCGACTGCTTATGTGTGTGAGACATAGTACCTCATTTGTAGGCTCTGTTCATGTATCAGAATGACAATCATGTCAGCTGGGTGTGCATCCAAGAGTCACAATATCATCTGGTTGCTGGTGCCTGTTATGACACTCTTTGTACCACTCAGGCTTTATATGATATGCTTGAGTAGCACGGTGAATTCTTACAGATGGGAGATCCAGGACTTTACTCATGGCCGTAAGACTTTCTATGAGTGTTGAAATATCTCCTCTGGGTTGATCTAGTTACGAGAGTTATTATTGTGATTATGAGCTGCATCCAGGTGTATGTCACAATTTCACCTTTCAACAGAGACAAGACAAAAGAGTCATCATCATCTGCTGAGCCAAAGATACATTATAATCTCCTTTGTAGGCAGGACCCAGTCAGAAGAGTCATATCACTTGGGTGCAGTCACAAATAATATGTCATTATACCCACTGTATACAGTGCTGAAAAAATACTGTATAGTCACATTTCCTACGTGCTAGGCTCAGGAATATGTTATAAGCCCCTCTCTTGGCAGAGTCCAGCACAAAGGGAAGAGTCATATTATGTAGGTTTTGCACTCAGTGGTATGTCACAATTTCCTTAGTGGGCAGGATCCTGGCAGGAGAGGAGAGTCACATTGTGTAGATACTATATCTAGCGATATGTTACAGCATCCTCTGTGGGCAGGACACTGGCAGGAGAAACACATCACCTAGCTGATAGGCCCAGAGATACATGATAATATCCCCTGTTGACTGGATCCAAGCAAAGAGTCACGTTGTTATGATTCTTACCCAGCAATATTTCACAATGTACTCTTGGGAAAGATTTTAAGCCAAAAATTCTCAACACTTAGGGGTACTAGCCCTAGTGATATGACACAATCTCCTTATCTTTTAGGGTGACACCTTTAACTGTTAGCTTGGTATGTATATAAGAGTCACAATCTCATGTGTGTTCTGGGTCATTGTATGACACACTCGGCAACATCTGAAGGCTTTATGCAACATGCATGAGAGTTGCAAAATCTCTGAGGCCTACATGCTCATATGGACTAACAATCTTACATATTGCCCTAAGCCCAGTTATGATAGTCAATATCTCTCTTTAAGGCTGGGTTCAGATTGGAGACTCATTATTATGCCTGTGATCTGGGTCCAGAAATGAGTTACCATCTCACCTGTAGCAAGATCCACATATGAAAGTCACAATTCCATCTTTGTTCTTTATTTACTTGTTAGACTCAGGACTTCAACAGTGGGCTTTGTAAATGTGGGATGGTGATAACTTTTGCTCTCAACTACATGTATAATCAAGAGTCACAATCTTAACTTTTTGCTGGGCCCTGTTATGAAACTCTGTGTACCAACCAAGGAGTTTACAGAATATGAGTTAGTGTTGTAACCTTCTTGAGCTTTGTACAAATATGCAACTCATAAACTTATCTATTGCACTAAGTGTAGCGATGAGAGACAAAATATCTACTATTGGTGGAATCCCAGTTTAAGTTCGATCATCATGCCTGTTAACTGAAACAGTGTAAATTTCATAATCCCATTTATAGGAAAATAACTTGGCAGGAGGATAGCGCAACTTAGGTGCTGTGCCAAGCAATATGTCACAATGCCCTCTTTAGGCAGGTTCTACATTAACTGGGTGCTGGATTCAGCAATATGACACAATCCCAAATGAGGAAAAAAGAAACACAGACAAATGATAAGAGCAAAAACACCTACAGAATGGGCCCAACATATGTAAAAATATATTCTGTTGCTCTTGCACAGCCAGGAGAATTGCATCATCAGGGTAGGAGTCCAACAATATGCCATAATCTCTCTTTAGGCAGGACCCAAGCAGAAGAGGAGCATCATCTGGGTGCTGGGTCCTGCAATATGTCAAAATTCCTTTTCATGGGCATGGTTCAGGAGAGAAAGAAGAGTCATATTACCCAAGTATTGGGCTTAGTAATATGTCATATCACCCCATTGTAAAGGCTCAGGCAGAAGAAAAGAGTCACATCACTTAGGACATGGGCTCAGATACATGGCTCAATATCCCAAGTAGGCAAGACTCATGCAGAAGAGAATGGTCATATCATCTAGGTTCTTCTCTATGTATATGAAACAATCTAACATGTGAGGTGAAAGCAGGCAGAAGAGTCACATCATCTTGATACTGGGTCCTGAGATATGTCACAAGGCTCCCTTAGGACAGGACCCAGGCCAGAGAGTTACAATAAATAGGTGCAGGTTCTACCCTTATGTCACAATGCTCCATGTGGGCAGACCGAGCAGTGAGTCACATCACCTAAGTAAGTGATAGGCCCGAAGATATGTCACAATGTCTTCCTTGAGGCATGGCCCTGCTGAAAGAGTACCATCACCTGTGTATCTAGCCTAGTAATATGTCTCTATCCAGGTTAGCAATACCGAAGCAGGAGAGCAACATCACCTTGGTGATAGGTCCAGAGATTTGTCACAGTGCCCTCTTTAGGACATGACCCTAGCAAAAGAGTACCATCACCTGTGTGCCTGGCCCAGCCATATGTCACTATCCCCCGCTGTATGCAGGGCCCATTCTAATGAGGAGAGTTGTGTCACCTAAGAGGTGGACACAGTGATATGTCACAGTGATTTCTGTGGGCATGGCCCAGGAAAAATGTGACATGACCTGGGTGCTGGATCTAGTGATGTGTCATGATTTTCTCTGAGAGCAGGGCCCAGGCAGGAGAGTCACATCACCTAGAGGTTGGCCCAGGCAGATATCACAATAACATATGCTGGCTCTAACCAGTCTGGAGAGTCAAATCACACAGGTGCTTGGCAAAGATTTATATCACAATCACACTGGTAGAAAATTCCTGGGATGAGATTTACAATACCACACATGTCCTGTTTTCATGAATAACAGTTGGCTTCATATAGTACAGTTGACAGTAAGGACAGTGACAGTCCTTACTGTCAGCTGGGTGTGCATATGGGACTCACAATTTCACCTTTCTGTTGGGTTCTGTCACAACATTCTCTGTACAAGCCAAGGGCTTTATAAAATATCTGAGACTGTTATAATTTTCTCTGACCTTTTTTTTACCAGAAAGACATTTAATCAGTTATGTTTCTAAAGCAAGGTATGAGAGTCAAAATTACTCCTATTTGTGGGGTCCACATATGAGAGTCATTATCATGCCTGTGAGCTGTGCTGAGGTATATGACATAATTTACTCTGTGATAATGAAACAGGCACGACAGCTAAATAACATAAATGCTGAGCCAGAAAATTTCCAATATTCTCCTTGTAGGCAAGTTCCTGGCAGAAAAGTTGCATAACTTTGGGGTATGTCCAGACATATGACACAATGCTCCTTGTGTGCAGTGTCCATGCAGAAGAGGAGAGGCAGGAGAGGACAGTCAGGTAACCTAGATGACGGGTCCAGAGACAAGTTACAATCCTTCCTGAGGATATTGTTAAGACAGGAGAGTCAAATCACCAAGTTGCTCAGCTGAGGTAAATGTCCAAATCTCATTTGTGGGTTGCACCTAGGCAGGATCATTAAATCACCCAGGAGCTGGACAAAGGTATATGTCACAATAACACTGGTGGAAAGTTCCAGGAATGGGAGTCACCATCGTGCATATGACCTGGCTCCAGGTTTAAGAATCATGATTATTCCTCTTATCTGGTCTCAGGTATATGGCACAATATCATCTGTGGGCAGAGAGCAAGTAGGAAGGTCACATCACCTGAGTGGGTGCTTGTCCAGTGAGGTGTCTCAATCCTTCCTGTGGGCAGGACCCTGGAAGAAGAGTCACAGAACCTGGATGCTGGTTTTAGTGATATATCAAAATTTGCCCCGTGGGCAGGACTTAGGAAGGAGAAGAGACTCACTTAACCTGGGCAATTTGCCTAGATATACATCACAATGGCTGCTATGTGCAATACCAAGGTATGAAAGTGACCCTACCTTGGCGCTGGGTTTAGCAATATGTCACAATCTTCTCTGTGGTCAGGGCAAGGCAGGACAGGAGAAACATCACATCACCTGGATTCTGGTCCCAGTGATATGTAAAAGTGCCCTTAGTAGGCAGGCCCAGGCAGCTTATTTTAGGAATGGCCCCTATTCACAGAAGAGAGGGCCATGAAAACACACCCATAGCATGGCAGCAGCTATCAGCAGCCATGTCTGATCAAACTGGGTGGGCCACATCTCAAATATGAGTGCCCATCCCCATCTCCAGAAATGTCACCCTTAACTGCCCTCTGTGTACAGCGTTTCCTGTTCTTCTTTTGGCTGAGTGTCAGTGAATTCTTTCAAACTAGTAAGGTCATTGTCCTGATAAGTAAATTTTCTCAAAAAAATCACAGGACAGAATTCTCACAGGGAAATATTCAACGTATTTATCGGCCATACTCTTCTCAACTCACGAGAATGTAGAAATTATCAGAGAGGAACGCCCTCTGTGTCCAGAAGATAAACAAAAACTATGGCTTCCTATACTGTGTACATTTTCTATTCTCCTAATACAACAGAAGTGGCTTCCATTCTATGAGAAATGGCTGACTTTTAAGCAGTACTTGCTGTGTGCCAGTCACTGTACTAAGCAGATGACACATATTTGTTCATTAAATCCTCACAAGAACCCTGTGAGATATCATCATTATACTAATTTTACTAATAAGAAATGTGAGGATATTAAGAAATAAAGACCCAGAAGATAGCCAAATAGGAACAGCTCCAGTCTGCAGCTTCCAGTGTGATCAACACAGAAGACAGGTGACTTCTGCATTTCCAACTGAGGTAACTGGTTCATCTCATTGGGACTTGTCAGAAAGTGGGTGCAGCCCATGGAGGGTGAGCCAAAGCAGGGCAAGGCATTGTCTCACTCGGGAAGCACAAGGGGTCAGGGGATTTCTCCTTCCTAGCCAAGGGAAGCCATGGCAGACTGTACTGGGAAAATCAGGACACTGCCACCTAAACACTGCACTTTTCCAATAGTCATAGCAAAAGGCACACCAGGAGATTATATCCCACACATGGCTCAGCGGGATACCCACAGAGCCTTGCTCACTGCTAGTCCAAGATCAAACTGCAAGGCAGCAAGCCTGGCTGGGGGACAGGTGTCCACCATTGCTGAGGCTTGAGTAGGTAAACAAAGTGGCCAGGAAGCTCCAACTGGGTGGAGCCCACCACAGCTCAATGAGGCCCACCTGCCTCTGCAGATGCCACCTCTGGGGGCATGGCATAGCTGAACAAAAGGCAGCAGAAACTTCTGCAGATGTAAACGTCCCTGTCTGACAGCTCTGAAGAGAGCAGTGGTTATCCCAGCATGGTGTTTGAGCTCTGAGAATGGACAGACTGCCCCCTCAAGTGGGTCCCCAACCCCCGTGTAGCCTAACTTGGAGACACCTCCCAGTAGGGGCCGACTGACACCTCATACAGCTGGGTGCCCCTCTGAGATGAAGTTTCCAGAGGAAAGATCAGGCAGCAATATTTGCTGTTCTGCAGCCTCTGCTTGCGATAACCAGGAAAACAGGGTCGGGAGTGGACCTCCAGCAAACTCCAACAGACCTGCAGCTGAGGGACCTGACTGTTACAAGGAAAACTAACAAACAGAAAGGAATAGCATCAACATCAACAAAAAGGACATTCACACCAAAACCCCATCTGTAGGTCACCATCATCAAAGACCAAAGGTAGATAAAACCACAAAGATGGAGAGAAACCAGAGCAGAAAAGCTGAAAATTCTAAAAACCAGAGTGCCCCTACTCCTTCAAAGATTCACAGCCCCTCGCCAGCAATAGAGCAAAGCGGGATGGAGAATGACTTTGATGAGCTGACAGAAGTAGGCTTCAGAAAGTTGGTAATAACAGACTTTTCCGAGCTAAAGGAGGATGTTTGAATCCATTGCAAGGAAGCTAAAAACCTTGAAAAAAGATTAGATGAATGGCTAACTAGAATAACAAGTGTAGAGAAGTCCTTAAAGGACTTGATGGAGCTGAAAACCATGGCACAAGAACTACATGATGCATGCACAAGCTTCAGTAGCTGATTCGATCAAGTGGAAGAAAGGATATCAGTGATTGAAGATCAAATTAATGAAATGAGGTGAGAAGAGAAATATAGTGAAAAAAGAGTAAAAAGGAATGAACAAAGCCTCCAAGAAACATGGGACTATGTGAAAAGACCAAATATATGTCTGACTGGTGTACCTGAAAGTGATGGGGAGAATGGAACCAAGTTGGAAAACACTCTGCAGGATATTATCCAGGAGAACTTCCCCAATGTAGCAAGGCAGGCCAACAGTCAAATTCAGGAAATACAGAGAATGCCACAAAGATACTCCTTGAAAAGAGCAACTCCAAGGCACATAATTGTCAGATTTGCCAAGGTTGAAATGAAGGAAAAAATGTTAAGGGCAGCCAGAGAAAGGTCGCGTTACCCACAAAGGGAAGCCCATCAGACTAACAGCTGATCTCTCTGCAGAAACCCAACAAGCCAGAAGAGAGTGGGGGCCAATATTCAACATTCTTAAAGAAAAGAATTTTCAACCCAGAATTTCATATCCAGCCAAACTAAGCTTCATAAGTGAAGGAGAAATAAAATCCTTTACAGACAAGCAAATGCTGAGAGATTTTGTCACCACCAGGCCTGCCTTACAAGAGCTCCTGAAAGAAACACTAAACATGGAAAGGAACAAACAGTACCAGCCACTGCAAAAACATGCCAAATTATAAAGACCATTGAGGCTAGGAAGAAACTGCATCAACTAATGAGCAAAATAACCAGCTAACATCATAATGACAGGATCAAATTCACACATAAAAATATTAACCTTAAATGTAAATGGGCTAAATCCTCCAATTAAAAGACACAGACTGGCAAATTTGATAAAGAGTCAAGACCCATCAATGTGCTGTATTCAGGAGACCCATCTCACATGCAGAGACACATGTAGGCTCAAAATAAAGGGATGGAGGAAGATCTACCAAGCAAATGGAAAGCAAAAAAAAGCTGGGGTTGCAATCCTAGTCTCTGATAAAACAGACTTTAAACCAACAAAGATCAAAAGAGACAAAGAAGGCTGTTATATAATGGTAAAGGGATCAATTCAACAAGAAGAACTAACTATCCCTAATATATATGCACCCAATACAGGAGCACCCAGATTCATAAAGCAAGTCCTTAGAGACCTACAAAGAGACTTAGACTACCACACAATGATGATGGGAGACGTTAACACCCCACTGTCAATATAAGACGATCAACAAGACAGAAGTTTAACAAGGATATCTAGGACTTGAACTCAGCTCTGCACCAAGTGGACCTAATAGACATCTACAGAACTCTCCATCCCAAATCAACAGAATATACATTCTTCTCAGCACCACATCGAACTTATCCAAAATTGACCACATAGTTGGAAGTAAAGCAGTCCTCAGCAAATGTAAAAGAACAGAAATCACAACAAACTCTCCCTCAGACCACAGTGCAATCAAATTAGAACTCAGGATTAAGAAACTCACACAAAGACACACAACTACATGGAAAATGAACAACCTGCTCCTGAACGACTACTTGGTACATAAGGAAATGAAGGCAGAAATAAAGATGTTCTTTGAAACCAATGAGAACAAAGTCACATTGTACCAGAATCTCTGGGACACATTTAAAGTAGTGTGTAGAGGGAAATTTATAGCACTAAAAGAACACAAGAGAAAGCAGGAAAGATCTAAAATCAACACCCTAGCATCACAATTAAAAGAACTAGAGAAGCAAGAGCAAACACATTCAAAAGCTAGCACAAGGCAAGAAATAAATAAGATCAGAGCACAGCTGAAGGAGACAGAGACACAAAAACCCTTCAAAAAATCAATGAATCCAGGAGCTGGTTTTTTGAAAAGATCAACAAAATTGATAGACTGCTAGCAAGACTAATAAAGAAAAGAGAGAAGAATCAAATAGATGCTATAAAAAATGATAAAGGGGATATCACCACCGATCCCACAGAAATACAAACTACCATCAGAGAATACTATAAACAGCTCTATACAGATAAACTAGAAAATCTGAGAAGAAATGGATAAATTCCTGGACACATACACCCTCCCAAGACTAAACCAGGAAGAAGTTAAATCTCTGAATAGACCAATAACAGGCTCTGAAATTGAGGCAATAATTAATAGCCTACAAACCAAAAAAAAAAGTCCAGGACCAGACAGATTCACAGCCAAATTCTACCAGATGTACAAAGGGAAGTTGGTACCATTCCTTCTGAAACTATTCCAATCCATAGAAAAAGAGAGAATCCTCCCTAACTCATTTTATGAGGCCAGCATCATCCTGATACCAAAGGCTGGCAGAGACAAAACAAAAAAAGAGAATTTTAGACCAATATCCCTGATGAACATTGATGCAAAAATCCTCAATAAAATACTGGCAAACTTAATCCAGCAGCACATCAAAAAGCTTATCAACCAAGATCAAGTTGGCTTCATCTCTGGGATGCAAGGCTGGTTCAACATATGCAAATCAATAAACATAATCCATCACATAAAGAGAACCAAACACAAAAACCACAAGATTATCTCAGTAGACGCAGAAAAGGCCTTTGACAAAATTCAACAGCACTTCATGCTAAAAACTCTCAATAAACTAGGAATAAACTAGGTATTGATGGAATGTATCTCAAAATAATAAGAGCTGTTTATGACAAACCCACAGCAAGTATCATACTGAATGGGCAAAAACTGGAAGCATTCCCTTTGAAAACGGGCACAAGACAGGGATGCCCTCTCTCACCACTCCTATTCAACATAGTGTTGGAAGTTCTGGCCAGGGCAATCAGGCAAGAGAAAGAAATAAAGGGTATTCAATTAGGAAAAAAGGAAGTCAAATTGTCCCTGTTTGCAAATGACATGATTGTATATTTAGAAAACCCTATCATCTAAGCCCAAAATCTCCTTAAGCTGATAAGCAACTTCAGCAAAGTCTCAAGATACAAAATCAATGTGCAAAAATCACAAGCATTCCTATACTCCAATAACAGACAAACAGCCAAAACATGAGTGAACTCCCATTCACAATTGCTACAAAGAGAATAAAATACCTAGGAATCCAACTTACAAGGGATGTGAAGGACCTCTTCAAGGAGAACTACAAACCACTGCTCAACTAAATAAACGAGGACACAAACAAATGGAAGAACATTACATGCTCATGGATAGGAAGAATCAATATCGTGAAAATGGCCATCCTGCCCAAGGTAATTTACAGATTCAATGCCATTCCCATCAAGCTACCAATGACTTTCTTCACAGAATTGGAAAAAACTATTTTAAAGTTCATATGGAACTAAAGAAGAGCCCACATTACCAAGACAATCCTAAGCAAAAAGAACAAAGCTGGAGGCATCACACTACCTGACCTCAAACTATACTACAAGGCTGCAGTAACCAAAACAGCATGGTACTGGTACCAAAACAGAGATATAGACCAACAGAACAGAACAGAGGCCTCAGAAATAACACCACACATCTACAACCATCTGATCTTTGACAAACCTGACAAAAACAAGAAATGGGGAAATGATTCCCTATTTAATAAATGGTGTTGGGAAAACTGGCTAGCCATATGTAGAAAGCCGAACCTGGATCCCTTCCTTACACCTTATACAAAAATTAATTCAAGATGGATTAAAAACTTAAATGTTAGACCTAAAACTATAAAAACCGTAGCAGAAAACCTAGGCAATACCATTCAGGACATAGGCATGGGCAAGTACTTCATGACTAAAACACCAAAAGCAATGGCAACAAAAGCCAAAATTGATAAATGGGATCTAATTAAACTAAAGAGCTTCTGCACAGCAAAAGAAACTACCATCAGAGTGAACAGGCAACCTACAGAATGGGAGAACATTTTTGCAATCTACTCATCTGACAAAGGCCTAATATCCAGAATCTACAAAGAACTTAAACAAATTTACAAGAAAAAAATCAAACAACCCCATCAAAAAGTGGGCAAAGGATATGAACAGACACTTTTCAAAAGAAGACATTTATGCAGCCAACAGACACATGAAAAAATGCTCATTATTACTGGCCATCAGAGAAATGCAAATCAAATCCACAGTGAGATACCATCTCACACCAATTAGAATGGTGATCATTAAAAAGTCAGGAAACAACAGGCACTGGAGAAGAAGTGGAGAAATAGGAACACTTTTATGCTATTGGTGGGGGTGTAAACTAGTTCAACCATTGTGGAAGACAGCATGGTGATTCCTCAAAGATCTAGATCTAGAAATACATTTGACCCAGTGATCCCATTACTGGGTAAATACCCAAACGATTATAAATCATGCTACTATAGAGACACATGCACAAGTATGTTATTTGTGGCACTATTCACAATAGCAAAGACTTGTAACCAACTCAAATGTCCATCAATGATAGACTGGATTAAGAAAATGTGGGACATATACACCATGGAATACTATGCAGCCATAAAAAGGATGAGTTCATGTCCTTTGTAGCAACATGGATGAAGCTGGAAACCATCATTCTGAGCAAGCTATTGCAAGAACAGAAAACCAAACACCTCATGTTCTCACCCATAAGTGGGAAATGAACAATGAGAACACTTGGACACAGGGCGGAGAACATCACACGGCAGAGTGTGTGGGGTGTGGGGGATGGGGGAAGGATAGCATTAGGAGAAATACCTAATGTAAATGATGAGTTAATGGGTGCAGCAAACCAACATGACACATGTATACATATGTAACAAACCTGCAAGTTGTGCACATGTACCCTAGAACTTAAAGTATAGTTTAAAAAAAGAGAAACAAACGTGAATCACACAAAGTTAAAATAATTTCCCCAGGTTTCATTAAATGCTGCAGTTAAAATTTGGAGGCACAAAATCAGACTCCAGAAGCCATATCTAACCACAATACAGATGGCCAACCCTATCCATATGGTTTAGATTCCATCCCTTCCCAATTTCTTTCATATTTTTCTTCTTGGTAATTGTTTTTCATTCATATATATTTTTATATATATATATATATATATATATATTTACACATATTCTCTCTGTGTACTTGTTCTTTACCATAAGCTTTTAAACAACTTTAGGTAGATCTTAGTTAAAAACAAAACAAACAAACAAACAAACAAAATACAAAGAACTCCCTTTATCGCTTCAAATTGTGAAACCAATTTCCTGCATTTATCTCCCCTCTATTCTAAGACTAATTTAAAATAATAAGAAGAATATTTAAAGTGATGTAACCCAGTAAAAATTTTAGAAATCATGACAGGGGTGATCAGCAGCTTAGAAATTCTTAACAGGTTTCTCGAAGATAGAATATAGTTAAGCACACAACCTGTGGAGGAGACCAGGAGGAAGGTGGTGGGAAGGCCACCTGGCAGATCGTGGATGGGGTAGACCTGGAGGAAGGTGGTGGGAAGGCCACCTGGCAGATCCTGGATGGGAGAGACCCAGAGGAAGGTGGTGGGAAGGCCACCTGGCTGAGCCTAGATTCCTGGAGTGGCTTCAGGTTGGATTTCATAGTACAGGGAGCCAGGAAAAGGGAAGCAGACACTGTGGTTACCGTAACCTGGAAAAGTCTATAGAGGTCATTTACTGCATCTGCCCCATTTTCTCAGCAAGGAAGCAGATGTTCAGGGAGGCCTCATGTCTGTTCAGTGATTGAGGGTGGGCTTGTAGACTGGCACAGTGCAGGGCTCTTTCACCCTGGCCCGGCTGCTCCACACTGGCCACCCACCTCCCCTCCTACTTCAGGTTTCTCTCAAACGTTCTGCTTTGTGTACCTGTTACATCATTTCACCAGTGCGGAAACAGCTTGCTACATATAAAGTTGATGCAATAACAATTTTTCATTAATTTACTGTTGACTTTTAACTTGCAAATTAACTGATTAGTACAAAGTTCATGTACATGAAGTTGTGAGGTGTATCATATGAAGGATTGGAATCATTTTTTTCACCTACTCTGAACACATATAACCTATATACTGGGCAAAAATATTTGGCAGTAATTTCTGCCCCTCAAGAGTCATTAGCGTAGGGGATTTTTATGTCTCAAATGTCATTGCTGAGACTGAAAATCTTCCATCCACCTCAACTCTTACTATGGCGGGTGGTGGAGGCAGACAGGCTTATCCAATAAAATCTGGCGGTCAAGCTGAGCATTCAGAGTAGCCGGCAGACACTCCCTAAATGGGGAAGCAGGGGTGCTGCAAGCACAGCAGGGCCATCTGTAGAGCTCAGCACTGCCTGGATGACCCCTCTCTGCAGCTCCCCACTGCTTTCTCTCTAGCATTTGCCAATCACCTGCCACCCCCTAGGAGCCAGTGATTTCTATGACAGGATTGTGGCCTAGATGAACCAGCTATCTCTCTGTCCAGGGGCATGGTTTCTCCCTGTGCCTGTGACAAGGGCCTTTAATCATTCTCTCTGCACTGGTGTCAGCCACAAATCCCAGCAGGCTCATTAAAATGTGCACCTGTCGAGGAGCACATTGTCAGGAGGATTCACTGGAGGCTGGAACTCAATGCTGCCTCCACCTGGAAAAGGGTCTGACCCTGCAGAGGTGCCTTTGGCCCGAGCCCCTTTTCATCTTTACCCTCAGAAAGCTTGGGGCCAGCACAGGCCAGGGCCTTTCCAGGGCTCTGAAAGCCGGAGAGAAGGAAAGACAGTGAGAGGAGAAGGCACCTGCCCACCTGAGTCCCTCTTCTTTCTGCAGCCTCCCCTGCCGGGCTTCAGAGCCAAGAATGCCCCTTGTGAGTACAGCCCTGGCTCTTTGAGTTAGCAAAAGAGATTGATGGAAACAAGTTTCTGCCCCAGGCTCTTGTTGACCACACAGTGATTTCAAGAGGATTTTCAATTTTTTTCTGCGCTGGAACCTTAGATGTTCAGATGGGCCAGAAATGAAGGCTGTGTGGGTGGGACAAGCCACTTGCCAGGCCTCTGACCCTCCTGAGCCTCAGCAGTGAAGAGGGGACAATATGCTGCCCTGCCTGCCACCAGGTCATGTGAAGAAGGGAGAAGTGATGGGAGATCACTTCATTTGAAAACATTGTCAATGTACAAAACAATAGAAATCACACATATAATTAAAGAAGAAATGCTTTATACTGCCACAGATTTTATATTGGTTATAAATAAGTGATCAAACAGACCCTGTGCTGCATTATTTTATAATTTATTCAGTTAAATACCTTTTTGCTTGCATTATATTCATTTGTAGCAAATTCATTTGCTTGCATTATATTCATTTGTAGCCATGCAATTAGCATAATGCAACCTTGTAAACTATAAGATTAGTTTTATTATGGGACTCTGGTGACATCATTTCAGAAGAAAGACAGAGAAGGACAAAAAAGAAGCAGAAAGAAAAATAGAAGGAGACAAGAAGAAAAGAAGGAGAGAGGGAGAGAGAAAAGAAAGAGAAGACAGAGAATGGGGTAGAGGAGAGAAGGAGGGGAGGTAGAGAAGGAAAGAGAGGTAGGGACAGAAACACATGGAGAGGCAGAGGGAGATTCAAAGGCAGGAAAGAAGAAAAGCCATGATAAGTTCTCTGAGGGCCAAGGTCACATCTTGTTTATTTTCTCTATAGCACTTACACAGTGACTGGCATGTACTGTGTGCTATCTAAGTATTTGCTGAGTTGAACTGAATCATTCCACTGGGGACAGAGGGAAGAGGGAAAGAGAAGTAGAGAGAAAACTAGAGAAAGAGATGAAGATAGAGGTAGAAGGGAAGGGAGAGACACTGGGGGGAAGAGCATCTAAGTGGAGTGGAGGCTAAATGAAAGAAAGGTAGAGAAGGAAGAAAGGGGAGGATAAGAGTGAGTAGAGGAGGGTGATAGAGGAAGGAAAGGAGGAAGAGAAAAGAGGGAGGAGGGTGGGTAAAACAGTTTATTCAGGGTCTGGTGAAGTCAATCCAAGAATGGAATAGACTCACAGATTTGGAGCTGCTGTTAGACCCAGGGCAGTTCCTTGTAGGAACATGTCTCAGAAGCCACCCAGCACCTTCCTGTTTCACCTCCGCATGGCCTGAAATGAAGGCTCTCCAGCTCAGAGAAACCATGTCCAAAATGCTGCTTCAGAAGGCACCCAGAAAGCGTCTTCACAGCTCCACAGCCACTTGCAGTGGTGATGTGGAAATGTATTCAAGAGATACCTGGACCAGATGCTGGAAAAAGACCTGGAAATGTCAGGTCCCCGCTTTTCAAACTGCTGCCCTGTGGCCAGGGACAGAGTCCCTGCTCTGGGGAGATGAGACAGCCCCTGCTGGGATCGATCGCCCTGCCTCTTGTCTCAACTTAGAGCAGTGTTTGCTAATGTCTCTTGCATTAAGAACAGGGAAAAAGAAAGGAATCAGGGCAGCCTCATCTTACAATCTGGTAAGAGGAGACAAGCATGTGTGTATTAGGTTTCTGTCATATGCCATTTCCTTTACAAATATCATGTCATGTAACATGCACAATTCTCTGAAGAATTGTTACTGTATTTATTTTCATGAATGCTCTCACATAAGTCTCTTCAGGATACAGAGGCCACTGTGTCACCCAGGTTCTCACCAAGAGGTAGATATTCACCTAAACTTTGTGACCTCAGGTTCAGAGACCCTGCTTATGCACCTCCTTTGCCAAAGCTAACCTGGCATCATTCTCTGTCCAAACTCTGCTCTCCAACCAGTACAAGTTTTGCCTCTTCCACGAAGCTCCACCCAGGCACCCATTCTTGGTCTGCATCTTCTCACTGCCTGTAGTCAGGGTGAGTCTTTGGCACTGGGCATCTGCCGTCTGCTACTCAGGTTGTGTAATTATTCTTGTGTACACAAGTCTGTCTCATTTGTGCTTACAAATTTCTTATGGGCCTCTAACACTATAAAACAAGCCAGTGCTCTAATTTTACAGATGAGAAAACTGAGGTTCAGAAAGTCCTACGAAAACTTCAGTGGGTCATGCAACCAGTAAATTTTGGCTCCAAGAATGATCTTCTTTTATCTGCACTCTGTTTTTAATAGACAAGAGCCAAAGGAAGTCAATACAAACAAACACAACAGCTATTTAATTACAAGGGATGTGATACTACAGAGAGAAGATTGTCTGGTTTCTCTTTATGAAAACTTTAAAAGAAAGAGTAAATACTCCTCTGTATGGGAAGGCTAAGATGCAATTCTACTCAAAAAATCTCCAGACTGCAAAATATGGTGTTCCAGTCTTTCTCTGGCTTGTGAAAGAGTGACTCTCCTGGTGTTTCCTGCAGTGCTATTCTAGCTCCTGGCATTGCCTGGGGCGGCCATTGGCAGAGAGTGGAAAATGCTATGGCTCATCCCAGCACTCCCAGAGACCGTGAGGTCCTAGGGGCTGCACTGCCAGAGAGCCACTGACAATTTCATAAGGTTCGTTTACCCTCACTGCTTCATCCCTTATGGTTATTTGTCTAAAAGCTAATTTAAAAATGCATCTGCATCCTTAAGAAGACACTGCAGATGGATTCCAGAGCTGTAACTTTCTTCCTCTCTGACAAGGCATTGTGCAATGCACTGACTGAAGGACCTGACTCAGCTACTCATGCTGGGCTTTCATGGCTTCAGGAACTGATGATTCCAGAGGTTTGTCCAAGACTTATCCGGACAAATTTTTAAAATGGTCATCCCAGTAAGCAGCTCTTCTGCTGCTTAAAGCTAAAATACAATCATGCTTTTCTCTTCATAACCCTCTCTCCAGCCAACCCATGTCCCCCACATGTTCCCACCAAGTCTCCATCCCTTTGCTTTGGGGCATCCTCCCCCTCGCTGGTTCTCTGTCTCCAGACCCCTCTGACACCTCTGGGCCCTGCTACCAGGGCTCTTGCCTCAGCATACCCTATTGTTCTTTCAGCTCCCTGTTTTCTATAGAAAGATCTCGTTATTAAGAATCCCATCAGCCCGAGGGTAGGAAACCTGGTAGGAGGGCTCACATGCAGTACAGGGCAGGGCTCAGGGCACAGGCTCTGCAGCTAGAATGCCTGGGGCTGAAACCCAGATCTGCTGCTCATGACCCATACTCCAGGCCTCACTCTCCATCTGTGAAATGGGAATAATAATTGTACTACTGAATAGTCACCACACGTAGGAAAAACACGTGGAAAACCACCTTATATCTAGCAGATGCTTAGTGAACGTTATCTATTGATATTGTTACTTTTCCATAGTAACTTCCCCATACTCCCTTCAAATACCCCCAGTTCCCCAGGCTTCACTGTAGCTGATCCAAGCATAAGCCAGGGATTCTGGCATGAGCGGGGTGAGCTCCTAGGGCTGCACATAAAGTAGACCCATCTAGAATAATGCCTTATGATGGAAGAGTTATTTTCTTCTGACTATCTGAGCCAACTGAAATCTGCTTCAAATGAAGCATGTGACTGTGTGGTCAGTCCGTCTTCACAGACAGCAGTGATAAAAGCTGGTGTGCATCAGCCACCCACCACATGCCAGGGGTTCTGGCTGACCCGGACATGCACTTGCCCTATGCTCACAGTGGGCCTGCAAGGGGGCACCACAACCCCACTTTGTAGGTGGAGACAAAGAGGCTCAGAGAGGCTGGTGATGCAGCCAAAGTCACCCACTGGTGAGAGGCAGAAATCAGACTTGAAATTGAATCTTCTGACTCTAGATCTACAGGGAGCTGAGCCTGGGTTCCTTCCACTTTCAATGTTCATGATTCTGTGATCCTAACACTGGTTCTTATTCCATGAGGGTGAAATGGCTTGGTTTTCAGGCCTTAGAGAGACCTTATCTGATAGCTCCTGGCTTCTGTACTTCTTGAACTACATTCTCCTGTCCCCTCCAGCCTGGGATCTGGGTCTGGCCAGAGGCAGGACCTACCCGGTGATCTTAGGAAGCCCCAGGCCTGAAAAAACTCAGGATCAGGTCCAAGTAACTGCATTTTTGGACTGTTGGCCTTTGGGAAGCAGGATGACAGTGAGGGAAATACTGGTGATTTTCATAGAGGATTTTGAACCTTGTCTGATGGAGATAATGAAGCTCCTGCCCCCTCACATGTGTGGCCCATTTTGCTGCTGGGGAATAATGCTAGGTCTCTCTTGTCTTTGCAGATCCTGGCCTGCTCTTGCACACATATCTCAAGCCCCACACCCCGGGTTCCTGGATCATCAATTTGTCTAAGCCTCCAGAGCCTCCACCGGCTCATGGCCTGAGAATGGGATCTGTCTGGCAATCAATCTTTTTCAGCAGTGCTGAAGATCTAACCTCACAGAAAAGAGTCTAAGGCAAAAAACGAAAGCCAGCTTTTGCCAGGCAAAGCACCTTGTGCCTCTCCCAGGCATCTAGCATGCTCCTGCATAGCCCAGGCTCAGCCTGGGGCCTCTCGCTCTCATCAGGGCACGTGCAGACAAGGAGCCACCGTTCAACTTCACAGAGAGGCCACATTCTTGCCCTGGTCTTGAAAGAATCCCAGACTGTAATGGAAAAGGATCGACGTGGGAGAAAGAGGTTTGCTCACTTTCTGACTTGTTCTCTCGTGCTCACCTAAATCTCTGTCTTTGGACATCGCCCTCAGTGCTGTCAGGAGTCTGGATGCACAATTGGGGTCCTCTGCACCAATTCTCCCCTGGGCAGACACCTGGAAATATCTGGGTTTGCTCAGGGCCTGCTCCTCCTACTGCAGCAAGTGTTCCTGCCAGGACCCTGTAAACAGAGAAGGCATGCATCCTCTGCAGGGACTCCTGGTGCCACATGTCCCATGAGTCAACAGATGTATATGATATTTACTTGGAGCCAACACAAGATTCTGTTCTCCCAACTCTTGGTCATGAGCCCTATGTCCTACAGGCTGCATGCTCAGCTTTGTCTCTTAGTTTAACTGGGAAGTCCATCATTATTGTCCACAGCAATGCGTGTCTGGAGCACACATTATTGAATTCCTGCAGACCTGGGTTCGAGTTCTCATTCTGCAGTTTATTAGCTAGACCACCCAATAAAACCACTGTTACTCTAAATCTGTTTCCTTAGCTTTAGAAAGAGTTTAATTATACCAATTTTATGAATAATGTTCCAAAAATTAATGAGATAATGCATATAAAGCCATCACCACAGTGCCCCATAAGACGTACAAACAGAGTAATACCCATCCTTGCCTTCAGGACCTGGTCCCTGTCTTTGGGGACAGAAAGGTGGCTCTCAGGAAGAAATGAAGGGAAACACCACAACCTCAGCTCAGCCCCGTGCTTCTCCATCCCAAAGGCTCTGATGAAAGGTGTTTCTATTTGCCAAACTCCTATCTTGACATACGCTTGTCACAGGACTCTGTAGGCTGAAGTAACACCGGTGAGACAATAAATTGTCCCATGGCTCTCTGTTTCCTTTTTTTATCAAAGGAGCAGCTGTAGAATTAAAAATATGCTGTTGAATTGTCTAGAAGCTACTTTGTCAGCTGGGACCCACCTCTCTGATGCTGATAAAAGGGTCTAGCCAAGCAGTGGGTATCTGCTGCTCTTTGAATAAAGAACAAGGTTATCAAGTAGGAGGGTGTGCGTGCATTCTGCCTGTGGGTCTCACTCCTTATCTCTCTCCTATCCTCTTCTTCCAAGCATGCTTCATGACAACCAATGGTTGTTGCTCAAGAAATATCCCTGTCACCATGGACAATGGAGATTCTTTTATGCTATCAGGAGTTTGGTCCTCTTAGAATGGGTTAAGGAAGAGCCAGAGGGAAGGAGGCAGGCCTGTGTTGCAAATGTGGCTGTCTTTATGTGAGAATCAAGGCAGGAGAGGAGAGGGTGGGAGTGAGGAAAACCAGCCTCAGTGCTTCCAAATATCAGTATCTGTTTATATGCAAACACATGCCATGGATCTTGGAGACATTCACTCTGCCTTGTCATTCCTAATTTCCCCTTTCCAGCTAATAACACTGATACACACACATATACAACATACACACATGGTCACACACACATATATAAACACACAGATGTGTGCACACATACACATATACACACACCCACATACACACATACATACATATGCACATATACATACTTATGCATGCACATGTGAACACAAATACATACATGAGCACACATACATATGCGTGCACATAAACACACAAATACTGAGCACAGATTCCATTCAGCAAGCCAACAAACATTTAGTAGTAAATGTGAACTACAAACCAAATGCTGAGAAGAGCTGGAGGAATGCAAAACTGAGTAAAAAAATGATTCCTGCCTGATATAGTTTGGCTGTGTCCACACCCAAGTCTCATCTTGAATTGTAGTTCCCATAATCCCCAAGTGTCATAGGAGGGACATAATTTAATAATAACAGCGGTTACCTCCATGCTATTTTCATGTTAGTGAGTGAGTTCTCGTGAGGTCTAATGGTTTTACAAGGGGCTTCTCCCCCATTCTCTCCGCCCTTCTTGCTGCCGCCATGTGAAGAAGGACACGTTTGCTACCCCTTCTGCCATGATTTAAGTCTCCTGAGGCCTCCCCAGCCCTGCGAAATTGTGAATCCATTAAACCTATTTTCTTTATAAATTACCCAGTCTCAGATATGTCTCTTTATTAGCAGTATGAGAAAGGACTAATACACTGCCCACAACGCTTTTAAAAAGAACTGGAAGATAAATGCACATATGGCACGTACTAAAATGGAAGCTTGGGACAATTTTGGAGACAAGCAGTATGTGTAGAACGGGAGTCAGGAGAACAGCCTCAGCGACTGGCTCACTGCACAGCCTCAGGATGGGCCTTTAGCTTGCTGTGCTGTGCCCTCATCCATAAAGTGCAGATGAAGAAACTTGCCTCAGAAGGAGGCTCAGAGAAACAAACAAACACTACATCTACGGGCTGCAAAAATAAAGGACTATTATTACAAAACCCACAGGGGTATCAGGAAGATGAAATTGAACAGGGCATGACCAAGATAGCCCTGACAGCCAGCTTATGAAGTCCAGCAAAGATGATACACAGGCTGATAGAACACTGTGAAGAAAGCAGGTGGAACACACTGCCGGCCTCAGGGCACCAGCAGGAGGGGTGTGCAGGGCATTAGGAAGCAGCCAGGAGATGGATCTAGAAAGCAGGCTGGGAACAGATAGCCTGGAGACCTGGAGAGCACAGCTGAAAAGCCCACACGTTCCCCTGCAGGTAGTGAAGCCGGTTAGAGAAGGTGGAGCCGGCCCCACTGGCTGGAGTCTGCATTCCACAGAGTCATGTCCCATCCTCCTGATGGTCCCACCTGCAGCCCAGGGATCACTGTCCTCAGTATCTTCATATGTGAAAGAAAGAAAGAAAAGCAGTGTGCTGGGTGACTTGGGGTGTCTTCTGCCTCTCAGTTTTGGCCCCCATTCAGCTGCTCTCAGGAGAGCCTCACAGGCCCGTTTCTCCCCTCCCAGTTGAGAGTGCAAGTCCTGGGTCTTTCTAGGTTCCCCGGCTGTAGGCCTGCATGGAGTAATCATTTAGGAGAGCCAGCTCCCTTGCCCCAGCTCCCTGGATGCTTTCTGGGCTTGGCTCACGCAGAAGATATCCCATGAAGGTGACTGCCTGCAGGAGTATTAGCCAGGACCCCCTGTCCTCCTCAAGAGGAGGGGACAGGCTCTGTTTAATTTTCTACACAGGCCCACCTCTCTTTCAGACTTGAGGCAGGAAAATTATACCTCATTCTCCCCATTCAGGGAGACAGATCAAGGTACAAAGATAAGAAAAATATATATATATTTTCGGAACACTATATTTTCATTAATTTTTTTAAAAAAATGTGCAATCTTGAAGACATAGAAAAAGGCGTATGAATATTGTCATAAGTGTGTGTGCCTACACACAGAGCTCAGGACACAAAACGCCGCATTTCAGGAAAAGCCTGCACACCAGCCTTAGCCTCCCTGCTGCCGGGATCCTCCCCAGGCCTGTGTGTGTATCATGTGACCTACTGTGCTCTTTCCCAGAATTTTAACCTTAAGAAATGATGTGACACTGGTGCTGTCCTCCTGTTATTTCCTTTTTCATTCCATAATGTTTTGACATTCATCTGTGTGGACATATAATTAATTATTTCTCACTGTCTTAAAATTTTCCACTGAATAATCTGCCACATTCTATTAATTAAGGTTACTGGACATTTAAGTTGAATTATCATACACTGCTGATTGGAGTACAAAAGGGTTCAGCCACTTTAAGGAGCAACTGGGCAATACTAATGCTGAAGTGACTTAACCCAGGGGTGTCCAATTTTTTGGCTTCCCTGGGCCACATTGGAAGAAAAAGGATTGTCTTGGGCCGCACACAAAATACACTAACACTAACAATAACTGATGAGATAAAAAACTCATAATGCTTTAAGAAAATTTACAAATTTGTGTTGGGTCATATTCAAAGCCATCCTGGGCTGCATGTGGCCTGCAGGTTGGACAAGCTTGACTTAACCTATGGCCACCACTTTTACTCCAAAGTATGTATCTGAAAGAAAGCTTACACATATACCAGCCCTTTGTACCATAAAATTATCTTTCCATGCAGTCTTCTATTTAATTTACTCACACTAACATGTTTTATTCCTATTTTATAGATGAGAAAACTAGGGCCAAGGGAGGCTAAGGCAATTTCCTGGCTCACATTGCCAGTGTGTGACAGAGCTAGGGTTTGGGGACATCTCCTGTTCTCAGGGAGTCCCCACTGCCCCACCCCAGCCTGGCCACCTCCAACCACAGAGGCAGCCTGTGTGTGCTCATGGCTCACCACCCTAAAAAGGGGAAAGAGGTCTCTCATCAGGAAGGAGAAACTCCAGTGTGGCTGCTCCAGCTGGTGCCACCAGTGCTGGTGACGTTGCCTGCAGTTGCCCAACACTGGGGAACAAGACAGTTTTTATCCAGGTGTCCTGACAAGCCTATGGACACATTCTGAAAATGCACAAGTGGCATATGAAGCCTTCCTCTCACTTGATGCCCAGCACCTGTCACCTACAGTTGAGCTGTGGCTGAACCCCATGAGAGTCTCAACAAGGCTGCCCTGAGGCCTGCCCCAAATGATGTTTCTTAACACTTTTTAGAAAGAAGGAAACTGAGCCTCACAGAGGCAGAATCTGCATGCCCAGCTCCAAGCCTGAGGTTGCCATGGAGAGTAGAAATAATCCCAGTAGTAATGGATTGCTGAATGCTGACCAAGTGTTCCCTGCCTGGCAGCACCCACTGTGCCGACTGTATGGCCCCCTCTTGGCCTTACAGTTTCAGGGGCCTCTGCTACCTCCTAGGAGGTAGTATGCTGACAGAGGAGGCTCTGGAACCTCCAGGCAGACTGTTTAGTGGTTCTTGAGGGAGAGCCAAGCACTGACAGGCTAATCCCCAGTTAAAACCTACCCACACTCCTGGGGGTGAATTCATCTGCATGAAGAGCAATCCTCAGAGACACTATAATTATGCAATTGTGTGTGCTGGGATGCAGGGGTTATGGAATTTAAGACAGAGCCAGCTGCCTGGTTGCCAGTTCAAGCATGTGTTAGCAACCAGGGAAGGAGAGAGACCTGCACCAGGAGACTCAGTTAAAACCACACAGTGCAGGACCAGGGGGACCTCTGCCTCCTGCAGTCCCAGTGCATGGCTGCCAGCTTTGGTTGCCTTAGGTGGTGGAATCAGAGCGCTCTGGACACATGAGCAGTGCTGGGGACAGGCAGTGCTGGGCAGTCCGGAGCATTTTCTACTTCTTTCTGCCTTACCAGCTCTTGTTTTTGTGATCTTGTGGGCTCCTCTCCAGCTTTACCAGCTCTTGTTTTTGTGATCTTGTGGGCTCCTCTCCAGCTGGTCTTCCACAAGGGACTCTCCCTGTGAGAACTGTCATTGTTAATGAAGGAGTGATTCAATTTGTCTGACAAAAGCTCCACCAGGATGGTAGAGGACCCTGTTGGGCCGATCTGAGGTTTTTGGAAGAGTTGAGATGGACTTTGTTTCTCTAATGTTGTGGCAAATGAGTTAAGGAGAGAATGAAAAAGAGAGAGAGGCAGCAGGTGCAGTCATGTTCACAGGCATCTCTGTGTTCACAGAGACCCCGTTCTCCAGTTTGCAGCTCTTCCTGTGCTTCTGTGTTGGTGACTGCAGTTCTCTGCTGATGGGCTCGCGGCTGATCTATTAGCCTATGTGACTCTCGGCAGGGTGGCCCTGCCCTCCCTCTTCAGAGCACATGCAGCATACGGGGGCACAGACTGGGAGCTCACATGGGGTGCAGGGTCACACACCCCTGCCACTGAGGGACACATTCTGTGGGGCCACCTCAGCTGAGCACCTTCTCATCTCCTGGGCTGAGATCTTGGGGCATGTGTCAGTGCCCAGGTTACAGACGGAAACCTGAGGCCCAGAGACTGGGCCAGTAGTGAGGGGGCCCCTCCACCCCAGGCCTCGGAGCTCCAGGCTCCGTGCCCCAACTAGCACGCACATGGCCTCAGACCCTCCAGATATGCGGACAAACCAGCCACCCACTCTCCCGAAAACAGCTGCAGGGGGCGCCTTCTCATGGGAACAAGGTGCCCTCCTGATAACTCACGTTTCCCACAGTCTCCCTGCCCTGGGCTGTAGACTTCCTGCCCGGCACTGCCTCTCCCCTGAGCATCAGTCCCCAGTGTGCCTGCTCCTCGTCCTGAATCTCTCACAGTGCCTGACTCCTCTAACATCCTGGTCTCTCTTCTCTGCCACAGCTGTTGGAGAGGCTTGTGAGTGAGCCCTGTTGCTGTGGTCTTTGGCACCAGGGAGCCATTTGCTGATCCCCTGATGGGCAGGGTCCCTGTCTTTGTGCCGCCTGTTCATGTCCCCCTGAGGACGTGTGCTCTGTGTTGAGGACCACCGTTGCTCAGCATGATGTGAGGAGTCAGCTGGGGGCCTGTCCCCTCCTGGGCTGTGAGCTCCTTGAGGGCAGGAGCTGTGCCCAGGCAGCTCCTCTCTCCAGAAGTTCTCAACACCCTACTTGCCCCAGCATGAGCAGCTTTCCATGTGGGCCAGCGACCCCTTTTCTCTTTGCTCAGGAAGTGCAAGCATTTGTCCGGACAGCCCATCACTAGTGACAATTTCATTAACCGCAGAGCCACGTGTGATGGCAGGTGAGGGTCAGTCCCTGTGTTTGCTCTCTCAGCCTTGGCTGTGGGGGTAGCAGGTGGAAGTGGAGGAGGACCCACCGCAGTGGTTTTTCCTGGGAGCCACAACAGACTCCCCAGCAAGGGGAAAATGGAAGACACATTCCCAAGACACGTACGACCTCAGTGGCAGCAACTGTCAAAAGACAGCATTATAACAAGTTTAGTTTAAAGATCTTAATTGGCTTTTGTTCATGATTCTAGAATCAGGTAGCCCTCAGGACCAGAACAGGTTCAAAGAACTGTGGCCGGAAGCATGGTCAGGCAGCATCCAGGGCAGAGACCAGAAGTGCGGTGTGGGGCCTGATGGGCTCCAGCTTTGCTTGAACTCACTGGCCATGGTGGATGCCTCAAGCTCAGCCCTCCTGCACATGAGGACAAAGCTCAGTTTCACTTAGCATGAATGGTTCCATATTGGTTTGGTCTGTTGGACCCAGTACAGGAGCTGAGTCCAACTCAACAGCCTGATAAAAAGGTCATTTAACACAACACAGAAGAAATAGGGGGGACTGGGTATTTATCTCAAAGGGTGTCTCATTCAACTCAACTGAGAAGTCTTGGACTTGCTTTATTGCATCTTTGTTACCCAGAAGGTAGAAAATGACAGAGGACCAAAGAGGAAGATAAGATTGGTGACGTGTGCATGTCAGGGACCACAAGGGCATTTGAGGTCATGCAGCCCCGGCAGGCCCCTCCCCAGTCTCCCTGCTAATTTCACAAGAGCCCCATCCTCCCCTCAGCACCTCTGCTTCCCTCGCTCCTCTTTGCTTCACCCCCAGGTCCAGGACTGTCCCCAGCTTGCACTGAGCTTGAGGCTGGCCTCAGGGAGGAGGATGCTTGGGGTGTTCACACTAACCTCCCCCAGTCACAAGCAGCCCCTTAAGCCACTTCAGGCATTAGGATCCCACTATGTCGTGGAAGCTGGCCAAGACAAACCTCAGTGGCCCCTTTGCCCCTCTCTTCAAACATCCAGCCTCCCTGGGACACTGGCCACAGGCAGACCCCCGGGGCACTGCAGAGGCTAGTCTGCTTTTCCTATCACTCTGGGCAGTTTGATTTCTGTGTGTCCCACTTTCCTAGACTGCAGAGTGGGTCTGATCTTTGCCTGACAACTTTCAAAGTTATTTCTTTTCTGAGTTTTATTTTTTGGAGGCCTCTGTCCCTGGACATTGCTGATAGGAGGATGGAAAACGGAAGGAAGAGAGCCTATGGAGCAGATCACCCACCCTGCACACACTCCTGCCCCAGCTGGCTGCTGACCCCAGTCCACCGGGTTTTACTTGGCTTTCCCGCATGGCCTTTGCCAGAACAGCTGCAGCTCAGCGACTTATTGGGCATCAGTGCCCTCACTAATAACCCTCCTGATTCCTTCTCCCAGTGTAGCCTCAGGGGAGCTGTGCTCTTCCGAGTTGAATTTGCAGTGGTGTGCCATCCTCTTGAGTCATAGGCAGCTCTTGCTCTGTACTCAGCACCTAGAACCAAGTTCAGACCTAAATTCAAGCCCAAGTGCTGCCCCTTCTGAGCTCTGTGAATGTGTAATATGAAATGTCCCTGGCCTTCAGTTTCTTCATTATTTGAGTATGTATGAGACAAATGTGTAAAATGTTTGCTAAGGGCCATGGATACAATATGAAATTAATAAATTAATTTGTTTAGTCAGTGAAACTTGCGGGCCACTTGCTTTATTCCAGGGACAATGTCAGCTGCCACAGATGCAGCGGAAGCAGGAGAGGCACAGTTCCTGGCATGGCTTCATTGCGTGGGAAGGGGCGAGGGCAATCACTAAGTGCACAGGCAGGCACAGCACAGTCCTCAAATCCAGGGGAGGAACCAGGGAGCTGTGGCCCTGAGAAGTAAGGCTGAGAGCAGATCTTGTTCAAAAGAAGCCCATCCCAAGGGCGTGTCATTCAAGATATGCCCCAAAGGCTGAGAAGGAAGCAACCTCGGCAAAGTGCAGAAAAAGAGCATTGCAGGTGAGACCCTGGTGGGAGAGCTGTGGGTTGAGGAGGAGAAGGCAGGTAGGGCGGCCACTGTGGAGAGGCAGAGAGAGGCGGTGAAGCTAGGCCAGGCAGGTCCTTGTAGACCAGGAGAGTCCTAAGCATAAGGGAAGCAGAGAGTAGGGCAAGCTGGAAGCCAGTGCTCAGCAGGCTGCGCAGGGCTCAGGACAGGAAGGGAAGGCAGGCATTGGGTCCTTCTGCCAGGGTGCATGCAAGACACAAGGAGGCTTGAATCTGACTGGTGGCAAAATGGGCGAAGACCCTGAGTAGTTTCAGGACATATTTTAATTATAAACAACAGGACTTCATGATAGAGCTCAAGAGAGAGAAGCATAGGTGGCTTCCAGACTGCAAACTTGAGCAATAGGTAGTTACGGGTATAATTTATCTTAAATGGGGAAGACTTGGGGGAGGGTAAGGTGTGGGGGGAAGGGTGCATTGTGGGGTTGTGAGGTGAAGGGGTGCATCGTGGCAAGGGGGTGCATTGTGGTGGTGGAGGGTGCAGTGTGTTGGGGAATGCATTATGATGGGTGGGGTGTGCTGTGGGGAGGGAGAGTACATTTTGGTGGGAGGAGAGTGCAGTGTGTTGGAGAAAGTTGCACTGTGGTGTGTAGGGGGCGCTTTGTGGGGTGGGGTGTACATTGTTGGGGAGGGTACATTATGCGGGGAGGGTGCAGTGTTGTGTGGGAGAAACAGGTTTTTGGGGGAGGGTGCGGTGTGATGGGGGTGTCTTTGGACCTGGGCCAGCAGAGTGTGGAGCCCAGCTGGAGGGAAGAGCTGGGGATACAAAAGTAGAGGCCACAGCTGGGAGGGTCTGCAAAGCCTGAGGAGGAAGGAAGCAGGCAGCCATCCAGGAGGAAGGTGCGAGAAGGGAAAGTGTGGCCAGGACTGCCTTGGGGGAACTCAGGCCTGCTGAGGTCTGCAGGGAAAGATGTGTCAACCACAAAGACTAAGAAGCAGCAAAGCAGCCGGGAAGCCAGCGGGGCCAGGGTGTGGGTCCCTGAGCCCAGGATGGAAGATTCTGGGAGGAGCCTTGGCTGTGGCTGAGACCCCTAGATCCAGGGCTGAAATGTGAGGGATGCCTGCATGGGCACAGAGGAGGTGGTCGCCTGCCCAGAGCAGCCTGGGCCGAGGACTAAACCAGGTGGCGAGGGAAGGCAGCCCCAGGGCTGATTTGGAAAGCCTTTCTATGAAGGGGAGAGGAAGACAGGACAATCAAAAAGAGATGCAAAATCCAGTGGAACTTTTGTTTTAGCAGGTGTGGCTGCAGCAAGTCTGCACAGGGGGTGCCCAAGCGAGGGCTGAAATCAGCCTTAGAGAGGAATGAGCCCCCCCACACCCCAACACCAGGCAAGGTTGTTGGGAGGCTGGGGAAGATGCTAGTGTGTCTGGATTTCCTGATGGGAGCTGGGGCTCTTCCTCTGACAGTTTGTGCGTCTCCAGAGAAATGTAGCCTGTCCACCGCACATACGTCCAACACCACCTCCACTGTCACCACTAGCTGGGTGCAAGACTGACTTAGGCCTCAGTGATTCTGAAACCACCACTGCAAAATTAGAACTGAGACAGTGAAAGACATCTGACCCAACCAATTCCATCTTGCTTCTAACCTCCCAGCGGTCCTTGTTCATTCCTGGGCGTAAGCTGAACTAACTTTGGGAGGAACTTAGTTTATTGTTTATAGTTTGAAACAAAGATGAAAACAGCCCTTTCCCAAAACAAACCCCCTTCTTTCCTGAGGAGTAAACTGCCTTTGTAGGACTAACACATTAGCCAAAAGATTAGAAATTATGGTTTAGTAGTCATGCAGCTGGGGACTGCAAGATTCTAAAACTCCCCAGATTGCTCCTGGGGATCACATCACTGTTGTAAAACGTAAGATCAGTGCTTGAGATATTTTGCAGACCTTGTGCTGGATGGATCAGCTGGCACCACCCAGATGGATAAACGGGCTCACTGGGTCATGGTCTTGGGTCATTGGTCAGTTCCCCCTCCCAGGAACTGACCCAGCACAACAGGACAACTTAAACTCCCTAGGATTTCCTCTCCTGACCAATCAGAAATCCTGATTCACTGGCACCCCCCCGCCCACCCGCCAAATTATCCTTAAAAACTCTGATCCCCGAAGTCTCGGGGAGACTGATTTGAGTAATAATAAAACTCCAGTCTCCTGCACAGCTGGCTCTGTGTGAATTACCCTTTCTCTTTTGCCATTCCCCTGTCTTAATAAATGGCTCTGTCTAAGAGGCGAGCAAGGTGAACCCACTGACGGTTACAATTCTAGGGCTTTTGCCCTCAGCAATTCAGTACCGGCTCCTCAATGTATTCCAGGCCAGATGCAGGAAGCCGCGAGGCGGGATTCCCAGGGAGAAGCCAGGAGCCTGAAGCGGGCGTGCGGCGCTGCGGGGCCAGCAGGGGGCGCGCCAGGCGCGGGGAGCAGGAGGCCGGGGCGGTGGTTTCCGACTCTGCCAGCCGCGGTTGGAGTTCGTCCCATGAGACTGGTAGTGGCTTCCTGTTGTCTAGAGGTGGGCCTGATCGTCACCCAGCCCCACCCCAGGAATAGCAACGAAATCAAAAAGTGCCATAAACTGCTGGGCTGTGGCCGAGGGTGAACCCCGGCCCAGGGAGAGCACGGCAGGGAAGTCATAGGAAAACACAGCCGGCCCTGCCCGGGTGGACCCTGCCCCGCCAGCTGCCGGCCCAGGGGGCCCTCGCCTTGCAAGGAGCCAGCAGGCTGGCGGGAGAGGCGGGTTCACGACCCTGGGGGGGGGTCATCCCCAGGTCGGAAGGTACTGGCAGAGCGGGGGTACCAGGACCTCCAGGCAGGAGACGGCCCTGGACCACCCAGGCCAGCGCAGAGCCCTGGCGCTGATCCTTCAGAGCCAGGATGGAGCCGGGATGGGAGGAGATCGGGGGACGCTGCGCCACAGGCTTTGAGACGAGGAAGGAGCCAGGACCCGAAGAGTAGAGGAAGGCAGGAAGCCAGGCTGCCCCCAGAGCCTCTGCAGGAACCAGCCCTGCGCGCGCCTGGATTTTAGACCCTTCAGACGCTGACCTCCAGAGCTGTAGGATAATACATGCGTGCTGCTTCAGCCATTCAGCGTGTGGTCATTGTTATGGTAGCCGTAGAGAGCTGATATGGCCAGATGCGGCGGTATGGAGGAAGGAGCACTGCCATGTCAGATACATCTAGTTTCAATCATGCAGTGAAAGAAGCGTGGGAACCCAGGGCCTGGCGAGTGGCTTTTAAGTGTTTTCGTGTGCGTGAAATTGCCTAGACGCAGATTAAAGTTTGCCCTCGTTTTCTTGCCCGCAGGAACTGCACAGAGTGCACATTGGAAACCATGGTGATTTGATACACGCTGCCACGTCCACTCTGTGACTTCCTCCCCACCAGATTCACAGCAGCGGGACCTAAGGTGGGCTCCAGCCACTGCTGCACCAGGGGCCATCACTGCCTCCCAGGCTGTGGCTGTGCCCCTGCTCCTGGAGCTCACCCAGCCACAGCCTCCACCCCCAGGGAACCTTCTGGAGTTTGCGCTGGCCCTGGGTTCCTTCCCACAGGAGAGAGGAAGCCCGGCTGGACCCACGTGGCTTACTGTGAAATCAGCCAGTATGGCCTGCGGTGGGGAGAAGATCAGAAAGGTAGAGGACAGCACAAAAAGCCAGAAGGGAGAGACTGGAAGAGGAGGCAAGGGGAGGAGGGCGCCACTGTCCCCTCTGGGTCCTCTTCCTGAGAAGAAGTTGGACACAAGGAGGGAGGGGGGAAAGGAGAGAAGAGAAGGGAGAATGAGATGGAGAAGGAAGAGCATGCCAGAAAATCTCCGGAAAGAAGGGGCAAGGCCCAGTGGCTCAGGCCTGTAATCACAGCACTTTGGGAGGCCAAGGCAAGCAGATCACTTGAGGTCAGGAGTTTGAGATCAGCCTGGCCAACATGGTGAAACCTCATCTCTACTAAAAATACAAAAATTAGCCATGCACAGTGGGACATGCCTGTAATCCCAGCTACTAGGGAGGCTGAGGCAGGAGAATCGCTTGAACCCAGGAGGCAGAGGTTGCAGTGAGCCCAGATCATGCCATTGCACTCCAGCCTGGGTGGCAGAGCGAGACTCTGTCTCAAAAAACAAAAGAAAACAAACAAAAAAAAAGGAAGGGAAGGGGTGGCAACGATGCAAATCCTGCAGTCTCAGGCCCAGTGCCCAGGAGGACCCTGCACACCAGAGGCCCACGCCCCCTGTGAAGGGAGAGCTCCCAGCAGCTTTGCTTCTAGAGCTGGACTCCTCCTCTCAGCTGACACCAAGGACTCTGCAGGCCCACCCATGGCCAGCTATGCTCCTGCCTTGCCCTGCCTGAATCCAGGTCCCTTCCTTTGCCCTGCTGCCATCCTAGCAGGAGACAGAGAGAGGCCTCCTACTCAGAGTAGGGTGTTTGTGAAGGTGAAGGCAAACTTTATTTGAGATTTATTAACCTTGGTTGAGCAACTTCCAAAGGCTCTGCCACTGTGACCTAGGCATAGAGCAAGAGGAAATCCAGGATCCAAAGGGCCTTCCTTGGGAAACAGCCATCCAGTGGGAAGCCAGTGCCAGCCTGTCCTTTTCTCCTGCAGCTGCCTCTGGGCTCTGAAGGTCTGATGTAGAAATGGGGGAGCTGGCGCTGCACTGGGGAAAGTTTCTCTGGAAGTTTTTTTCTTTTCATTTTCCTAGAGGGGATTTCTTACTGGCAAAAATCTGGAGAATGGATAAGTAGTTGCCCACAGGTCATTGAGGGAGGAGAGAGCCAGGATCATGGCTACATAGACTCGGGAGGGCCTGGTGGGGTATTTGTCTCTTCCCTGGTGCCACCGGAGACAGTAAGTGCTAGGCCTT
This sequence comes from Homo sapiens, assembly GCF_000001405.40. NCBI lineage: Eukaryota > Metazoa > Chordata > Mammalia > Primates > Hominidae > Homo > Homo sapiens. Next base: position 46,920,287 of record NC_000008.11, read on the forward strand.
GCCACCAGGGCACCAGGACAAGCTGGGACAGGGCCAGGGACAGAGGCCAACAACCCTGGGGCCGTGGGGCCTCCTGCAGGCTGAAGAGGGTGCTGAGAGACCAGCCCTCCCAGCAGTGCAGGCCCCTTTGCAAGGAGCAGCTCATGCATTCTGCCCAGTCTGATGACTTTCCACCAGTCCTGACATGGCCAAGGTTTTCCTCGCTCGGTGACAAGGGAGGGATGCGGGATGTAGAAAACCCAAGATATCAGCCTTTCCGGTTCCAGCCCTGCCCGGGAAACATCAAAGGCATTGAACATTCCACACTGAGCTGTTTAGGGGGCACCACAAGGCGCTTAGATAAGAGGGGTCCTTGAGTATCTGGCTCCTCCATGCCACCCTCCCTGCCCTACATAGCCCCACTCTCCATACAGGCCACATGTTTCTGTCCTGTTTTGATGGGGCAGTAGCATGCCTTCACCTTGTCCAGTATGGCTTCATTCTTGACCCCCATGACCACTCCCGATGGCCTCACACTCCTCTACCCCTCACCAGCAGGGATGGGTGGGAACAGCCCCTCCAAGGACCCATCCCACCCGAGAGCCCACTCCTGTGGCTGCCACACTCATCCCAGGCCTGGAGAGGGTTTCTGCTCATCAGGACATCCTGTCCTTCAGGGCTTGGGATGCCAGCCCATGCACAGGAGGCTGTGACCTCAGGGAGGGAGCTCTGTTTCCTCTCAGGGCTGGGCAGTTACAGGGGAGGGGAGGAGGGGAGAGGCACAGGGGGCCAGGCAGGCTGCCAGAGAAGCCCAGAGGGCAGCACCTTCACTGGCCCTTCAAAAATCCATGCGCTGACCCCCAGGCTCCTGCTCCAGACCTTTTAAATTAGATCTCCAGGGAAAGGAGGAGAAAGGGTCAGAAGTTCTCATCTCAGTGCACACAGCCTGTGTTGCTTATCCTCAGAGGGCCCTGGAAAGGAGAATGAGCTGCGGAGTTGTCTGGGTGAAGGGGACTGGAGGCCAGGGGCTCCCCTGGAGAAGGACAGGTCAGGGCTCAGGGGAAGGAGGAACAGGCTGGGTGGGGCAAAAATTGGTGTCACCCCTCCTCTCCCATGGGCTTGCTTTGGGACACGTGCTCCCAGGGCAGCACAGTCTGTCTGCAGTCAGACCCAGGAGAATCAGACGATGCCTGGCAGATGACACATTGCCAGCAGACACTCGGAAGATGGCTGAGTGATAAATGAATGGACAGGGCACCGAGGAAGCTGTGCCCCTGCTGCCCATCACAAGGTCCTGCAGTGCCCTGCCCTCCTGCCCCACACTGTGCTAGGTGTTCATGCCAGCCCCTCACCCACCAAGTCACTCCTGTCTCTTGCCGATGTCCCAGAGGATGTGGGGTGAGACCCACCATCCACATGTGCCATGCACTGGCTCTGCTGAAATAAAGAAGATCCCTCTGGGTTAGGGAGGGCAGGTGAGAGGCCCTGGGGTCTGCACAGGTGGTGTCGGCTCAGGTTCCGCTTCTGCCTGCCAGCTGTGTGTCATGGGCAGATCAGCTCATTCTTCTAAAGCTCAATTTCCACTTCCACAGAACGCAGGCAACAGCAGCCCTTCATGGGGCTCTTGTGAGTCCTGTTATTTATCACACATGGAGTGTCTCCTAGAATTCTCTGGCACACAGTAGGAGCTTAATAACTGTTACTACCGTCATTCACAGATCCCAAAAGAATCCTTGATTGCTCTTTTATTCTGTTCCCAAATATGCTTACCTGCCTCTGTGCAGAGACCTTTGGGGATGGGGAAGGCGGTGAAGGGGGAGCACGTGGGCTCTGCCCCACCAAGCTCTTAGACACACCTGTTCCTATGCTGGGCTGCTGAGCCATGGATGGTCGCCTGGCCAGGGAGGTGCCCATCAGCACATCATGACTGACTGGAATGGAGCTGGGACAGACCTAAGGATGCAGCATTCTACAGATGAGAGCTGAGGCTCAGAGGAGTGAGGTGGCTTCAGCCACTCCAGCACAGCCATGCCTGTCCCCGGGTAGGCTCTGCTGTAAGCCATCCCTCCCCACTCCAACCCTGTTAGCTGGATTCCATTGTTCTCTCTGTTTTCTGGATAAGGAAACAGACTCAGGGTCACATGAAAATGAAATCCAGCTCTTCCCAACTCAAAAGCCAGCTGTGACTTCCTGTTGGCTGGGAACTGGCCCAAAGGCAGCCTGTGTGCCCTGTCCTCGAAGTGTCACTCAACCTTTCCTGTAAAAAATAGAACAACAGCACAGAAGCACTCCCATAAACTCACTGCCAGTGGGAAGAAAGCTTCAGAATGCAGAAAAGCTACCCAGCCTCCATGCCAGATGAATCTGAGAATCAGGAAAACTGGGGTCAAAAACCACTTAACGGGAGCCCAACTCCCAAGGAGCTCTTAGGAGACAAGGAGGAGTCAAGCCTTGGATTCCAGGCATTATCTGATTCCTTCCAAGCACGATCCCCAGACCCCAGATGCCAGGCCACCCACAGAGCCCTGACGTCCTCCTGTGGACACCCTCCCAGGGAGATGCCCATACTCCCCCAGGGATAAAGTCGCTTGGATACCACAGATGCTGCGGCCACACGGTGATGCTGGAGACTGGATGGAACTATAAAACATCAAGTTGCCTTTGAGAAGCTCTAGGGTCTGCAGCCCCAGCACCTGCACCTAGGTAGGATTTTTTCACCCCAAGCTTTTCTCTGTCTTGCATCCTTGCCGCCTTTCTGCCTATCTTCTCCATCTTCCTGGGAGCGGTGTTTGGCCTGCTCGCCCATCCACCTCAATGCACATGCCAGTCTCGGTTACTTGCCAACACCATGCAAGCTGCGGAGACACATAGAAGATGCACAACGTTTGCTCCCTGTCTACAGGGAGATGGCAGTCTCAGAGACGAAGCCAGACAAATGCCTCTGTCGTTTAAATCAATCATGTCCAACTACAATTGAGGACAAAGTAAGAGGACTGGTGATCTAATAACAGGAATTTAGAGAAGTGGGAACTCACCGAGTGGTCGGAGCCATCCTCCTGTGTTCAGGCTTGATGCATGAGTAAGATTGTACTATGTGGAATGGAGAGGAAGGGTGTGCTCGGCAAGAGGAACAGCAAGTGCAGAGGCTCAGAGGTTAAAGAGAGGAAACCAGAATGAGGAGTGAGGGCCAGAGTTGGGGCCAGAGAGAAATGCAGCTAGACTCTTATGGTAGTGGTGTGCTTAGCTGTGGTCTGTGCAGGATAGTTTCCGAATAGAGCAGGGAGACATGAATGCCCTGAGATCAAGGGCAGTGGGAAAGTGCCTTGTGGGGAGCCTGGTGTCTGCAGGCAGGCAGAGCAGGGACCAGGAATGGCTGATGGCTGGAATCGCTAAGCCGCATAGGATGGACTATTATAAGTTCAGCACCTGGACACTGGCCACTTCAGATCTGTCTATACTCAGTTGTAATCCAGGCCTTTACCATTGTCCTCCATATTTCCACCCAGCTTTCTTTTCCATTTATTGGAGAGCCAGGCCACCTGGGTTCTGGTGCTGCTGGATTCAGGCCCTGCCCTCAGGCTCATGGCAAGCAGGTAGACAAAGAGAAAAGTAGACAAAAAAGATGGGGAGAAACCACTAAGCCAATACCATACCCACATAAACTCCAAACTCACATGTCTTTTAACATGGCACTGGGTGCTCCTGCAGTGGAAATCCACACGTGTTGTGGTTACAGCATCTTGTCTCTGAAAAAACTTCACAACCACCATTGTGCTTTGCCCCGCATGGCCCTGCTCAGGGGTAACTGTCCATCTTCCCTAAAGGAGGAGAGGCTGCCTGATGTTCAGGGAGCCCAGAGGTCTTGGCCAAAGCCACAGCAATGCCTGTGGATATAGGCCCACAGAGCAGCCCTACTCAAACTAGGCCCTGGCCCATCAGAATGCTCTGCCCTACAAGCCCTGCCATCCCACCACCCACCCCTCTGCTGGGCCTTGTTGGGCTGCCATGGGAATGTGACTGGCCAGCTCTCAGTGCCCTGAAACCCATGAGGTAGACCATCGGGCCAGCCCAGCTGTTCTTGGATCCTTCCTGATGCATGCCAACATCTGGGGCCACTTGGGTCCCAAGGAGAATTGTTGAGCACCAGGGCAAGAAGCATAAGGACTCACACCATCCCTCCCAGGTTCCATCACCCATCACTTCACCTGGGCTTGCATGAGCAGCCCCATCAGGCATGAGAAGCACATAGCATGTCCTGCCCATGGGGAGGCCTCCCAGGGGAAACAGGCCAGGCTGGGGGGCCATGGGGCTTTACAAACATCTCAAAGGCAGCAAAAGGAGGACTTTTCCTCAGCCAATAGCACCCCAGGATTTGAGCCGAAAGTAGGATTCAAGACACATGACTCCTTGCTAGAGGGATGCCATTTTTAGGGTGAAAGTTTCCCCCAGTGAAAAAACTATGCCAGGAGGCCAGCTCAGGTCAGCATCTCCAGTGCCAAACTCAAACAGATAGTTGATGTCTGGTGATAAATAGTGAAAACTTCAAGGAAAGGAAAGGCCGGGCCCATGCTTTGGACATTTATGTTCACACATCAGGAACTTTTTGCCAAGTGCATAACCATTCAGAGGTACAAAAAATTAACAAGAGCCACAGAAAAGAGGGGTATTCTATAATATTGCATAATACATGGTGGACTTGTTAATCACTGTATCACATAGGCCAGTGCTTTATGCACAGACTTGCTACAGTGCTCTCTTTTCATTTACCCCAGGGTTTATCTCTACACTAAGTCTCTCCGGGAAGTTTAGATGCACAGCTTCTGAATCTCTTCATACCAGAAATCCTCCCAGCATCCCAAACCTTTTGTCGGCAGTTCCTGCCATTGGAGGAATTATTGCAAATGGTGCATTAGTTATCTATTGCTGTGTGACACATTTCCACAAACATACCAGCTTTAAATTCCTTGCAGTCATCATCTCGCAGTTTCTGGAGGGGCAGAAATCTGGGCTCACCTGGGTTCTTTTCCTTAGGAGGTCTCATGAGCCTTCAGCCAAGATGTTGACCAGAGTTGAAGGTCTCATCTCAAAATGTGACTCGGGAGAGATCCACTTCCAAGCTCATGTTGTCTTTGGAGGATTGGCATTTCGTGGGCTGTTGAATTGGCCACAAGTCCTGCCCACACTTAGGGGAAGAGGTGACATGAAGACCTGGATGCCAGGGGGTGGCATCACCAGCGGCCAGCAGGCTGGCTGCAGTAGGTGGCCTCTAGATTGCCCCAGCAGCCCCTGCTTGCTGGTATTCACAGCCTAGTGCAATTCCCTCTTCTTGAGTAACTCGCTGTGATGTTAGGATCTCTCAGGGTCAAGGGGATGCCACTTCTGTGACAGATGTGATTGAATAACATGAGATTGTAACATCCTTATTGACAGCAGACACTCACCCTTGCCAGCTTGTATGACGCTAGCTGCTACACCATGAGCTGTCCGTGTGGCCAGGAACTGAGGGTGTCCTGCAGCCACAGCCATCAGGAAATCAAGGGGCTCAGCATAATAACCCACAGAGAACCGAGTCCTGCCAATATCACAGGAGGGAGGAACAGCCCTGTCCCAGCCAAGATCTCAGGTAGGGATTAGCCAGGGTTCTCCAGAGAAAGAAAATTGATAGCGTATATATGTGGATATATGAAAGGGGATTTATTATGGAAATTGTGATTACAGAGGCTGAGGAGTCAGCCCCATAACCTGTCCTCTGCAAGCTGGAGACCCAGGAAAGCCCATGGTGTAGGTCAATCAGCATCCAGTGGCCTGAGAACCAGGAGCCCCTATGTTGGAGGGCAGGAGTAGATGCGTGCCTTAGCTCAGCAGATCCCCTCTTCCCCAGCCTTCTGTTCTGTTATGTTCAGGATGCCAGCCCACATCAGTGAGGACAATTCTTTTTTACTCAGTGTGATGGTTAATTTTGTGCGCCAGCTTGACTGGGTTAAGAAATACCTAGAGCACCGATAAAGCATTATTCCTGGGTGTGGGTAAGGCTGAGTGGGGAAGATGCCCTGGATGTGGGTAGGCACTGTCCAATCAGCTGGAGAGAATCCTAAAGAAAAAGGCAGAGGAAAGGTGATTATCCCGCTCTCTCTCCTGGAGTTAGGACACACTTCTGCCCTTGGTCATCAGAACTCCAAGCTCTCTGGCCTGTGGACTCCAGGACTCACACCAGAACCATCCCCCAGCCCCCACCACCCCACTGGATTCCCAGACATTGAGCCTGGGACTGAGAGTTACATATGGGCTTCCCTGGGTCTCCAACTTGCACACGGCTTATTGTGGGACTTTGCAGGCTTCATAATCATGTGATCCAGTTCCCCTAATAAGTCTCTTCTCACATATCTCTGTCTGTAGCTAGATATTGATATCCTACTGGTTTTTTTCTGGAGAACCCCAGCAAAAACACCATCCATTGATTCAATTGCTAATCTCTTCCAGAAACACCTTCACAGACTCACCCAAAAATGCTTTACTAGCTATCTGGGTGTCCCTTAATCCAGTCAAGTTGACACATAAAATTATCCATTGCAAGGTGAGACAACAACCCTGGCTTACACCTTGTTTGCAGGCTTGTTCCAGGGCCAGAATCAGAGGACTCAGCCCCACTGGGCCTGGATTCCTGACCCACATAAACTGTGAGATAAATGTGTCATGTTTTAAGATGCTAAATTTGTGGCGATGTGTTACACAGCAGTAGATGGATAATACGGACTGCCTTCTCTAAGAACCTGCTGCTCAACTCTCTGTGCAAGTCTTTATTCTTCAAGATTTCTCCAAACTTTCCTTCTATACAGGGTTGACTGAGAAAGTCTTTCAATGGATGACAGCACCTTGGAAGAGGGAAAACTGCATAAATTCTACTTCATCAACACACCAACAGTCCACTCTATGCTTAACACAGAAGGAATGTGATGCCCTGGGCAGGAGAGCATTTGGTGTTTAAGTGCAATGACCCCTAGCAATAGCCACAATTGTTACCACTTGTCTCAACCTAAATAATTTCTACTGCATATCTAAGCTTCTACAGAACTTTTGCATAACAAACAAGTATGGTTTCTGTCAGTAAATGTAAATGCTCAGGATGTATTGCTGGCACCCTCATTGCCTTTACTTTCAGAAGCAAAGGACACACAAGGTCTTTCCCATCTCATTCGCCCTCTTTTAGATAAAATGACAGATATGACTTCTGGATCAGACCCTGGTCTGACTTGCCTACTTGTTCCTCACCTTTGAACATTCTGGCTCTGCTGCCAATTAGAAAGTTTTCCATCACTCTTTCTAGTGTGTCATTGTAAAATCCAAAGGAAGAAAGTACACCTCCCACGGGTCCTCTCTAGTTTAGGGAGAGTGTTCCTGAAACATGTGTTAATAAACACGTACTTACAATAACACATATTGGCTCACTGGCTCAAGTATAAAATCCCAAGACCCAGGGCGTCCACATACCCAAATATGGCTCCTGCAGGGCCCTTCCTCCAACCAGGCTCTCCAGGACCACACATCACCCTGAGAGCACCTGCACCAGCCCTCCCCTCCCTGACCTTGTTCCCCAAAATTCTCCACCTGGGCATCAGGTTCTTTCATGTTATCCCTGAGCTCACAGTCCCACAGAAGGATGTAAAACATCATTCCCACTCCCTCATGTGGCTACAGTGGTGGAAATGAGTGATGCTTCAGAACTGTGCTCTTCCATGTGCTTCACACTGCCCTTTCAAAATGCACCTTTACAGGTATTGTTCCACTCAAACGTCAGAACAATCTCATAGTAGACAGGCAAGAAATTATTTATTCCTATTTTAAAGATGATGAACGTGAGACCCAAAACAGATCGTGTGACTTGCCTTAGTCACAAAACCATTTGAGGCAGCTTTTCTTAAGTACGTTGGGTTCAGTACTTTCCTTTTAGTTATCCCCTCAGTCTTCCAAGGTCTAGTGGGGATGATTCCTGCAGAGAGAGGTCAGTGTGGGCCCACAGTGTGTGCTGTACATTGCCCTCATCTGGCCTCTGCCATTGGATTCTGCATCCTGGATTCCTGAGGCTGCACTCAGCCTGCTGTGGAGACCTAGTACCCAGATCCATGGTGCCATTGGTCTTGGCTTGCTGTAGACACTCCTCGGCTATGTCTGAGGTCTGGGATAATTGTTAAATATGCAAACATTCACTTCTGAAAGTTGCACGGATGAGATAATAAATGTATTGTCACTCTTCATGAGCATCAGTGAACATTGCTTACCTCACTTGGAGCTGTGAGATTTCACAATCTGTTACTTTGTAGCAAACTTGATATAAATGTAATCCTTCCATTTCTTTTCCTGCCTCAAACATAGGTCAACTGACTCTCTTCCCAAAGTCATCCACACCTGGGGATGAGCTTGCCCACATCCTGCAGAGGAAAAGCCAACTTTTGTCAAAAATCAGAATGCACCAGCCTTGCCTTTGGAGCCACCTACATCGACTTCCTGAACCATGCCTTGCTGAGGGCTTGTTTCTGTGGAGCCAGCCTCTTCTCCCTGCCTTAGGGAACACTTCTCACCATGGTTTGTTTCAAACTGCAGAGTTCTAGGTATCCGAGAGCTGAGGGACCTTTGTCAGCCATCTCTGAGGCTCAGCTTCTTGGGCTCTACAATATAGATAATAATGCCCAGTTCATGAGGTTGTCTTGAAGGCAAAATAGGTATGCAATGTGATAAGGTGTCACAAAAAAAGGTGAGAGGTTTACTGATTTATTTTGTCTCCAATGTACCCAAGTCATCCTCCAAACTGAAACCTTGTCACTGACCCACCAACAAACCCTGCCATGTGCCACAGCCTCATGATTCTCTCCTCTCACTAGAGGAGTGCATGGAGTGAATTTTTTCCACTTGGTGATCTTTTTGTATTAGTCATTCATTAATTCTGCAGTTTGATGAGGGTCTGCTTGTGCCAGCCTCTTACTATTCACCTCCCTCTCTCCTTAATTCACATGAATGAATTTTTTCATTCAGCTACAATGTGCATTCAAGGAGCATTCACAAACAGCACTCATTAGCTGTGGAATGATGCCAAGTGGCTCACGTGGACTGAAGCCCATGTGCTTGGTCCATGAACAACCTTCCAATCTGCCAGGTTCAGCCTAGTTTCCAGGTTCTACACACAGCCTCCTCACCACAGCAAGGCCACTTGATCCCTATCTACAGAAAGTGTCAGCCCTTCTAGCAGAGGTCCTGTAGTACTTCAACAACTATGGCCACACTCAGGGACTTGATATTAAGAATACTTATTACCAGCCCAACTCTGACCTAGTGCCCAGAATCCAGTAGTATGGTTTCTGAGCCCAAGCCCTACTCTGGGCTTTAATCCTTAGGACTATATTTCTACCCTGGGTCCTGTTTTAGCGGATGCCTTAGTACTCCAAGTCTCTCCTGAGTCCAAAGCACTGCCTAGGTATTACCAGCCTTTCCTGAGAATAAGCCCTCAATTCTAGGCTGACTGGGGTTCTGCTCCATGTGAAGAGACTTCTGTGGGGCTCAGCTGCCTAGACTCCCAAATTCCACCCACTCTGTGTGTCAGAGAAACTTTTGCTTCTTTACTTTGGGCCCAACCTTTCTTGACTCTCTACCTGGTCCACCATTATCATGTGTATTTAGATGTCCTTCATGGCCAACCAAATGGAGTTATTCACCTGTATCAACAGCAAGATCAAGTACCCTCAGGTGCAGTCCCACCTGTGTGGGAGAGTCTATGTGCAATCTCTCACCTGGTCTCCTACTCATTTCTGATGAATCTGAAGACAAGGCCAACAAATTGGATAAACAGAGTCCACCACCTCCCTCACTCAGTGTTGAGCAGATTTCTGGGGTTGCTGTCCACTCTCTCATGGTCCCAGGAGCTCTAACATGCCCCAACTTTGTCTTGACTTTTGAGGCATTCTGCCCTTTCCTTCAGTGAGGAGTTGAGACAGAGAGGCTGTAGACAGGAACGGCAGGGGTCTGGGCTTGGCTACATTGCCTCTGACTGGCACTTGCTCCACTACACTTCTTCACAGCCACACGTGAGACCTTAGAGGGATCATCAAGGTCATTGCTCATCCCCACAGGAAAACCAGCCTTGGAAAATAAATAAACGACCATGGACTTGTTTGATGGGCCAAAGACAATAAAGGGGCTGATGTTTGACAAAACAGTAAAGACACCAACCAGTTAGCGCCCCAAACAATGCAAGTTATCTAGAAAGGGAAGAAAGCCTTGGCATGATTAATTAGCACCTGGAATACAAATTCACATGAGAATGAGGAGAAGACACATAAAGTAATAAATGCATTGTGAAATCCAGATCTTGAGCTTAGTCTTGATATTTTTTAAAAAGTCAATTATTTTCAGCAATGCCTGAAAATCATGTTGTTTAACGAAGTAAGAAGAAGACTTTTGGGGTAGAGAACTGTGTGGTGCACACATCCTGAGATGATAAGTTTCTGATGTCAAGCCCCAGGCTTCCAACAAGACAAGACAGACATGAGGCAGCTTGTTTATATCTCAGTGAGGGAGGGAAGAGGAGGGCACAGGAGAACATTCCAGGGAGAAAAGACACAGAAGCTGCTAGAAGATGGATGCACAGCTGATAAACCCCCTAAGGAGAGACAGGGAGAAGACAGCCATTACGTTAAGTTCTGTTATAGAGACAGGTAAGTCACAGATCTTTTCATCTATCTGGCTTGGTTTGGGTTCCTTCTACGGTGTGTGTACGTCTGTTTTCTGTTTGTAATTTACTCTGAAGTGAAGCCTTCCTGCAGGCCATGTTTCTCATCTGTAAGGCATGGCTTCTCTGGGTCTGATGGAAGGGCCTGCAGTGCTTGGTGAGTTCTCTCAATCCCACTGGGCAGGATTCCCACATCTCCCAGCCCTGCCTCTGTTCAGCTGTCAGCTGCGGAGGCCTTCTCTTGCAGAATGTGGAGTTTGAGCCTGCACATGCCCAGCCAGCCCTGAAACAAGGGCATGGACATGGAGAACCCATGCGGATGTCTGCCCTCACCTACCATGTGACCACAGGTGCCGCCTGCCTGCCTCTGCAGCTGCAACTCTGCTCTGAACTGGGCTCCAGGGCTCAGTGAGGCTGTGGCTCTTCCTGCTGCTTCACTCCCCACCATCCTTTGCTGTGGCCAGGAGGAAGAAAGCCATGGTGATGTTGGGGTGACGGTGGGCTCACTGTGTGTGTCTCTTGCCTATGTCCACTGTTCTATATCACCTGCTGATTGATGCTGGAGGGTTAGTCCAGTACCAGTGACCATGCCACAGTGGAAAGCAAAATGCCACATATGCACAGACCACATTGTAGAGGCTGATGAGCACTTCCCGTGGTGGTTCTAAATAAGAGAGTGCATAAAGGGGCAAGTGCTTTGTTTCCCAGGGAGCGCAGGGCTGTAGAGGCACCATCTCTGATATTTGCCTGGGATACACCAAGCCAGGACCACATTATCCCTGTGTGGTGGGGGCAGTACAGGGCCAGGCCCTCTCTCCAGGGCCCACTGAGGCAGGCACAGGAGCAGCACACCTGCATTACAGACCCAGTGACTCCAAGAACAAGTGGAGCTAAGCACACAGCCCCTGTCTTCTGGCCGCTGCTCCCAAGGCTGTGCCCCCTCCCTCACCACTCTCCATACACCTGGATCCACCTGGATTAATCTCCAATCAGCCAAGCCTAGAACTGACACTTATAACACCTTATGATATGAAGCCCTTTATGACTTTGGAAGGATTAATCCATTTGTAGCCCCTCTGAGAAGTACAGCATCCTACAAATTAAAGAAAATAAAGCTCATAGAAGGGGGGTGGCCGGTAGAAAGTCACCAGCCAAATATGGAGCAGAGCCAGGCCCATGGCTCTGCAGGGATCTCAGCTGCTGAGTGAATGGCTGGGGAGAGGCTGGGCACTTCTAAAACCCAGGCCTCTCCTTTTGCTGGGCGCTCCATCAGCCTTTCCTGTGGTGCTGCCAGCCCTGGACTCTCTCGGTCCCCTGGACCCAGATTCATGTCTCCAAGTGTCCATCTCTGGGGCTATTTTTGTGGCCTGGAGTTTTGCTCCTTGGAGATGGCCACACATGACTCTTCTATCTGGGTTATAAACTAATGAGAGCAGTAGAGGCCATTTATCATTTTAATGGGGTCTTCACATTCAGATATTAGGGCCTCTAATTTATTGGAGCTTTAGAGTAAAATACTAAGGAAATCACTACCTCCTGCAACCAAGAGGTTCTGTGAGGGCTTTTCGTGTCACCCACAGAGAGATCCTGAGACATATGAGACCCCCTCCCTTCTCCCAGCCTCACTCCCCACGGAGGCAGCTCCTCCTGCCTGGGCTGGGCCTGGCCTGGCCTCCCATTCTGTGTCAAGTTCTGCCTCTCACCACCCACTCAGCACAAGCCCAATAGTTGTGGGGTTCTGATTCCTCCACAGCAGGCTCTGGGGCCTGGCTGCACACTGCCCTCGCCACCTCCTTCCCACCTGCTGATGCTTGAGCCTTCCCTCACTGCCACATTCCACAGCTAAGGTCCCACCACGTCAGCTGTGCCATCTCCCCAGTAGGGTGCCCACCAGGATCTGCCTTCCAGCTGCTCACAGGACAACAGGGGAAACCTTCTGGAGCAGCACAGAGGGGCCCAGAGCCCCAGGTGTTGCAAGGGCAGCAGCTTCTCTGGCCAGGGTGTGTCTACGTGCCGTCCTGGGCCTCCTGTATCTTAAGAGAGTGCCTGCTCATAGACGGTACCTGACAAAAGAGCACTGGGCAAGGGCCCTGGAGACATCCTGTGTCAGGCCAGCCACATACGGGACATGGCCCTCTTCTGAACTGTAGGTCACTTGTCACTGTGAGCCTCGGTTCTTCACTGGGATGCCTGACTCATTGTCACTTACAATGGGCATGTGAGTGTCGCCTGAGTGTCACTCAGCTCTCCCCCACTTGTCCCAGGAAGAGTCCCCCTGGATGCTCCCTATCTCCACAGACCCCTGCTGTGATAGCCCTAGGCCTGGAAAGACTATCCCTGCAGCCCCAGGACCAGCCAACTCATCCACACTTTCCTGTGGGCCACCATCCCCCAGGTGCCAATTCAGCTGAAGTGAGGACACAGCGGGCAGCACTGAATGATATTCCCTTCTACCATGGACCTCATAGTGCTGCCTCTATATGGCCCAAAGCCTTCTGTGGCCTCAGCTTTTTGACACCCACAGTGATCCTGCCTGCTATCCTTGTCCACACTTTCACAGGTGAGGGAGCCTGAGACTATGCGAGGGGAAGGACCTCCCCAGAGCCTCACAGACAGTGGGTGATGGAAAGAGACTGGCACCGGGCAGTGTGGCCCCAGGGTGAGAGCCCTGCCCTGCTCTCCTGGATACAACAGCCCTTCAGCCTGACTGCTCCCAGAGCCCACAGGCCTGGCCTGGCCCCATGCTCCCCCTGGCAGCTGGCTGCCCTTGCACCTGCTACTTAGGGTGAAAGTTGGCTTCACCCCACCTTTGAGAGGGTCTTAAGTATGTTTTGCCCCCTCAGATTCTCATCCCTCAGGCCTCACCACAGACAAAGACCCACAGCCTAGGCCCCATTTCCCATCCCTGTAACTGGCCCTTCCGAAGGAGAGTTTCCATGCAGAGGTCGCTCCTGGAGCTCAGCAGGACTTAGAGCCGGTGGCATCAGCACCAAGGAGTCCCTCCTTGACCAACTGTAGTCCAGCTCCTCTAATCCCTATTCTTGACTAAGCCTGAACTTGGGCTTCTGTAGATTCCTGCTAAATCAGTTTAGTGAGGAAGCCCCCTTCCCAACCTTGATAATCTGGCTCCTTGGCTTGTTTTTAGAAAGACACTTTTGTAGCCCAGTTTAATAAGAACCCCCCTTACCTTGATACCTCATCAAGTTCCTCTTAGTGACTGTCCATCCGCTGACCCTCTGCTCATTGTCCATAAACACTCCACTCACTGTCCATGCTGCCTCCAGAGCTGAGCTCAACTCTGTACTGAGGGTCGTAGCCTAATGCAGGAGTTCCAATAACATCTGTCTTGCTGGTTTTCACAAGTGTCCGGAGCAGATTTTTTCTTTTACATATGTCAACATCAGGATGAGAGACACACACAGTAGCAGGGGTCCTGTCCTCACATCGTTCTTTCCAGACTAAAAAACAAAACAATTTTTTCAACCCTTTAAGCATTAAATATATACATGAAAATGTATGCATATGGGTAAAATGTGGTATATTTTATGAGTTGAATACATCTGCTCATGCAGATCAAGAATCCAAATGAGACCAGCACCCTCCCTTTTAATGATGAGTTTCCTCAGAGCCCAGCCTCAAATCATACCTCAAAGTGGAAGAAGGACCCTAAATAGGCACCTACTGCTCAGATTCAACAAGTTCCAGCTGTAACTTTCCTTCGCCACATTTACCCTAGCCCTGCTTGGGCTGAGGGGTCTCTACTGTACATGAGTAAATTATTATATTACAAACATAACATGCCAAGGGCAAGAAATATGAGGACAACTTTACAAATGATTCAAATGCTGCCTTGTGATTTTCTCTTAAACCATAAACACTTCTTCTTGTTAATTAAAATTCTGGCATTCCTGAGTAGACTGTAAGAGCTGTGAGGAAAATTAAAAACAATTGTGGTTATCCCCATAGATTGAGCTCTCATCCTGTGTCGGGGACTGGTGTAGTGACAACATCTATTAAGCATTCCGTTCTTATAGCCACTGTGTAAGGTGAGTATTTAATAAGAGGTTCTGAGGTGCCACATTGACAACCAAGAGGGGTCTGCATAACCTCTGAGAGCAGGACTGACCACAGAACCCTGCCATATTGAAGGTGTGACCCCACAAAGACAGGGTGCTCTCCTGAAAGCCTTGCTGTCTGACCAAGGCCAAGCCCAGCCCTCTGCCAGATGAGGGTGTTCACAGCCCCCTGCTTCTTCTCTGAAAGATGTCACACTCTTTAATATAGATATGGGTGAGGGTCTCTAGAATCTGAATGATTGTATCTTCCTAAAATTCATATCTTGAAATCCTCACCCCAAAAGTGATGGTATTAGGAAGTGGGGCTCATGAAGTCATAAAGAAAGAGCCCTCAAGAATAGGATTGGTGCCTTTATAAAAGAGGCTCAGAGGCCCTTGCCCTTCCCACCACACAGACACAGTGGAGGCACCATCTAAGAATGAGGAAGAGAGCCCTCACCAGGCACCAAACCCCCTGGTGCCCTGATCTTGGGCTTCCAGCCTCCAGAACTGTGAGAAATCAATGCCTGCTATTTGTAAGCCACATAACCTATAATCTGTACAGCAGCCTGACTGGACTAAGACACATGGGTGAATGTCTCCTGCTACACTTCATGATTTACTCTATGACAAAAAGATCCCTAAATCTAGAAAATCTCTTACAACCATTAATATTTTCTCCTCCTGGAAATAACAAAATGCATCAAGCCTATCCCATGAAAGCAGCAAAGATCTCCCTGCTCCTCTGTATTCCTGCAGCCTCTGTGGGGGAATCAGCCCCAGCTCACTCCTGAGTGTCCCCTCAGACAGACCAGGCCTGCCGCTCACCTCCAAGCAGAAGTTGTGAGCCTTGGTGTGCTCCCTCCTCACAACCTAGCGTGGAAACCCCACTGTAATTTTAAGTCCATGAAAGGCAGAGCTATGTGGGCTTCTCTGAAGGCCCAGAAGCTGTCTTAGGGTCCCATCAGCTTCCACCAATCCGTGGCTCCCTACTGACCACCCCACACTCATGCACACAACTTAGCTGCAGATAAAACCAGCAGACACAATCTCACTAATGTGGGGATTTTCTTAATTTAGAATTTTTATTCTTTCAAAGTCTATCTTTATCTTTTCATTTGTGTTTTAAAAAGATTTGCTAAGCAAATTAAGAGAATAAATGAGATTTAGTAAAAATGCTTGAACTGTTTAAAAGAACAAACATATTAAGCTCCTTAGGCATATAGTTTTACATTATAAAAACCCCTCAGTCTTAACCAAGCATTAAAACAGGTCCTCCAGAGACCTTACTAGATAATAATAATCCCCCTGAACCTACGGTTCCAAGCAGACTGTGCAGTCAGCCGGCCATGCTCCCCAGGCCCCATGAGGCCAAAGCAGCCCTGAGCTCCTTCCTCAGCCTCCCAAAGTGCTGGTATTACAGGTGTGAACCACCATGCTTCAGCCTTTCTTTAATTTTTAAGTAAGATTTTCTTTATTTCTTTGAAAAAATATAGATAGCTAATTGCTTTGAAGTCTCTTTCCTTTAAGTTCACCATCTGGGTCCTTTAAAGGCAATTTCTATCACTTGCTTATTTTCATGTGTATAAGTCACACTTTCTTTTTTCTTGACATGTCTCTCATGTTTTGCTGTTCAAAATTGGACATTTTAGATAATATAGTATAACAACTCTGAATATGGAGTCTACATCCCCCAAGGGTGTGGCATTGTTTTTGCTTCATTGCTTGCTCATTTGCCTGGAGATTTGGCTGAACCAATTCTAAGAGGTCTGTTCCCTCTGCAGTGTGTAGCATTTGATCTTTCTGAGAGAGAGAGAGAGAGAGAGAGATAGATAGAGAAGATGCAAGTCCTCTCCTTTGAGTGGTCCATTCATGTCAGAGAGCTACAGGAAGTACATAGGGCCCTGGTGAGCTCAGGGCCCATCTGTATGAGCACTAGGGTTTTATTTTTATCTTTTAACCTGGGTTTCTAGAGGTCAATTCTGGGTCAACAAAAGCCACTTATAGGTCAAATGTTGTGCTTAGGTCCACTTAGTTACATGTTTACCTTTTATTGTTAGATGTGTGTGTGTGGCTTAGAAACTCTAATTACAATACAGGGAGTTTATTTTTTGCTCCATTTTTTTCCCAGTGACTAGAAGCTTGGAGGTTCTTTCTCTAATTGCCTCTGAGAGGCAAAGCCTTGAACCTGCTCACTGTCTTCCAGACTTCTAGGGGGGCACTGAGAAGTTATTTTTAATGTGGCTTTCTGTTCACTTTGTGTTTAGCCAGGGGTTGTGCTGGGTGGCTTTGCCGGTGTGTTGCTGGGTCTGTGTGCAGCACGGGGAGTGCTTTCTTGCTTCTAATGCATCCTGCTGTGATCACTCCTGTGTTGGTGCTACCTAGACCACGCACACAGCATTCACACCCCAGAGTTCACTGTTGTTTCAGGGGGGCTCTTCTTATCCGTCTCTTTTCCTAGTTCTCTGTTAAAAATCTGGCTTCTCTGCTGTTTTACTTGTATCAAAGCTCCCAGCCTTATCATTGCTCTCCCCAGTGGAACCATTGCCTGTTCTAGTGCCCTCAGGCATTGAGCCCCTCACTTTCAGTCCCTTCAGGAACAGCTGCTGAGCTTTTCATCCTCATGCACTGCCTTTCTCCTTGGGCAGATCCCCTGCATCCTTGCATTGGAGTTGGTGGTAGAGAAATGGCTTTCTTGGATTGACACCGCTGCTCTATGAGGGGTTGCTGTTGGAGTGATTGGCAGCCCCTGGTCTTCTTGATGTGCTCTTACTGGTATGGAATTCCCATCGTGTGAGTGAGCTTAGGTGAGGCCAGTAGGAACCTATTACTCCCAGACTGCCATGCCTGGGATAGAGTTTCTGCCTCAGAGTGGGGGCTGATTTAGGGAAAAAGAGGACCAGTCCTCTCTCCCATACCTACCTGGAATACAGTTTCTGCAACACAAAGCCAGGGGAATGAGAAACTCCTGCAGCCTCCCCTTCCAGTGTAAAACTGTAGTCCTAGACTCTGGGCTGGGGAGAAAGAGCCCTCATTTTCTGGGCTGCACATGCCCAGAGCAGAGGTTCTGTAACCTGGGTTCACGGTGTGGATAATGGGGTCTCGGCTCAAATGCCACAGACTCTCACTGTACACCAAGGTTTGGTGGATTTTCTTAAATGCATTTTCTCCATTTCCTCTAGGTCCCTAGGACAATTTCCAGAGATGTTGAATGATTGTGTTTTTGTCTGTTTTGTTTGTTTTAAATAATTTTCACCAGTTACACTGTTTTGCTGGGCAAAGGGCCTGCCAAACTCTATTCTGTCATTCAGAAGTCCTGACTTCTCCTACTGAGTTTTGGGGTAGTTTCTTGAATATCAATATTCTCTTAGCTAATTGGTGGAAGCACTGATGCTGATAAGTGAGTCATGGCTTTCTGGAATGCTTGCTGAGAAAATGCCTGACAGGATCCAGGAGGGAAGTTGGCTGAGAAGGATTGGTGCTATCGGCCATAAGTGCAGCAGGAGAGGTTGTTGTGGATTCACTATCCTGGTGCACAGGAAAGGTAAGGGCACAAACTTGACACCTCTTAAACACAAGATTCACTTTTCTAAAATTATGATTTTATTTTCCGGTTTAAAGAAAATTATAATGCAAACAATTTGGAATTGGGAGAGACAAAAAGTAAAATAATATCTTCCAAATGATTTCCAGAAATAAACAATAGTTACAAACTAAAACTTCTGAAGCATGCTTCTGACTTAAAAATCTCTGGTTCTCTGTCTTCAATTCTGCATTGACAGCATCAACAGCACCAATTGTGGGTTGAAGACCATGGTCACCAGGCTATGGGCTTGTGGGACATGGATGCTGTAAAGACACTAGAGTGCGGCATTTCTTTTGAGAAATTGAAACAGACCATCTCTTATTTCTTCATCTTCAGAGCATATTTTATGTTTCACTTAAATACCACTTTCTGGCTTATCCTAGTGGAAGATTTTCCCTACTGCTCACAATAGATGAGATGGGATTACTGCCTGTAATCCCAGCACTTTGGGAGGCCAAGGTGGGTGGATCACCTGAGGTCAGGAGTTGGCCAGGTCAGCCTGGCCAACATGGTGAAACCTCGTCTCTACTAAAAATACAGGCCAGGCACAGTGGCTCATGCCTGTAATCCTAGCACTTTGGGAGGCTGAGGCAGGTGGATTGCCTGAGCTCAGGAATTCGAGACCAGCCTGGGCAACACGGTGAAACCCCGTCACTATTAAAATACAAAAAATTAGAGGCATGGTGGTATGCACCTGTAATCCCAGCTACTCGGGAGGCTGAGGCAGGAGAACGGCTTGAACCCAGGAGGTGGAAGTTGCAGTGAGCTGAGATCACGTCACTACACTCCAGCCTGGGTGACAGAGCGAGACTCAGTCTCCAAAAACAAAAAAAAAAAATACAAATGGCAGGCTCCTGTAATCCCAGCACCGCACTCTAGCCTGGGCAACAGAGCGAGACAGTCAGACAGAAAGGAAGGAAGGCAGGCAGGCAGGCAGGCAAGAAGGAAGGAAAGAAAGGGAAGAAGGAAGGAAGGAAGGAAAGAAATGGAAGAAGGAAGGAAGGAAGGAGAGAGAAAGGAAGGAAAGAAGAAAAAGAAAGAGGAAGAAAAGAAAGAAAGAAAGAAGAAAGAAAGGAAGAAAGGAAAGAAAGAAGAAAGAAGAACAGTTCAGATCCTGCTCCCAGAGATTCTGATTTTATTGGTTCTGGAATGACCCAGGGATCTTTATTCATTAAATACACCTCAGTTGATTCTAATATCGCTGATTTAAAGATCAGTCTTACTGTGAGAAACATTAATCTAGTATTGCAGATGTTTTCCCATTTAACATGTCATTTGAATCTCACAGGATCCTGGAGACAGAGAGAGAGAAAAGTCAAATTCATAGAAACAGAGGGTAGAATGATAGTTTCCAGGGACTTGGAGGAGTGGGAGATGGGGAGTTATTGTTTAATAGGTAGAGTTTCAGTTTGGGAAAATGAAAAGATTCTGGAGCTGGATGGTGGTGATGGTTGCACAACAGTGTATTTACTGCCATTGAACTGTAGGTTTAAAATGTTTATGATGATAAATTTTATGTTTTGTATATTTTACATTTTTTAAAAGAAACTTTCTCTGCCAGGAAGCCAAATAAATAGAAAAGATTCCAGGTATGAGAAGAACTTACCCTAAGGTGAAATATTAAACCAAAAGGCACAACACAGAGTAAGAAGTGTGTTTGGAGAAGTAAAGAAAACATTCCTAGCTTGGAAAGATCAAGGAAGGACTGCTGAGTGATACCTTTCTAAAAACTGTAACAGGAAAGATGGAATAAAGGGAGTTGGGCTGTAAGTTTTTGTTTTCATTTCTTAAGATTTCATGAAGAAAAGTTTTGAGCAGATGGTTTTCACTTTCTTTGTGGGGTTGGATCCAGTCCATCAGTGGAGGGTGCTGGGGGCTGGGGTGGAGGTGTGGTGAAGGGATATACTTAGCTGTGCTAAGGATGAGAAAGTTGACCATAGGGACAAGGATGCAAGTCAGAGGCCCTCATACAGATTGAATCTTGCCTGTTTTTATACCTTCTCTCAAGATAAGAGGAATATTTACATTGTTCAACTGTATTTTTATCAAATAAATTACATTTACATTGTTTAATGACTAAAAACTAAAAGGCAGGTCTGTCCAAGATGGCCAAATAGGAACAGCTCCAGTCTACAGCTCCCAGCATGAGCAAAGCAAAAGACAGGTGATTTCTGCATTTCCAACTGAGATACCGGGTTCATCTCACTGGGGCTTGTTGGACAGTGGGGGCAGGAGAGTGGGTGCAGCCCACAAAGTGTGAGCCAAAGCAGGGCGAGGCATCACCTCACCCGGGAAGTGCAAGGGTCAGGGAATTCCCTTTCCTAGCCAAGAGAAGGGGTGACTGATGGCACTGGGAAAATCAGGTCACTCCCACCCTAATACTGCACTTTTCCAACAGTCTTAGCAAATGGCACACCAGGAGATTTTATCCCGCACATGGCTCAGGGGGTCCCACACCCACGGAGCCTCACTAATTGCTACCGCAGCAGTCTGAGATTGAACTGCCAGGTGGCAGTGAGGCTGGGGGAGTGGCACTCACCATTGCTGAGGCTTGAGTAGGTAAACAAAGTGGCCAGGAAACTCCAACTGGGTGGAGCCCACCACAGCTCAAGGAGGTCTGCCTGCCTCTGCGGACTCCACCTCTGGGGGCAGGGCATAGCTGAACAAAAGGCAGCAGAAACCTCTGCCGGCTTAAATGTCCCTGTCTGACAGCTGTGAAGAGAGTAGTGGTTCTCCCAGCACAGAGCTTGAGATCTGAGAGTGAAGAGATTGCCTCCTCAAGTGGGTCCCAACCCCTCAGTAGCCTAACTGGGAGGCACCCCCCAGTAGGGGCAGACTGACACCTCACACAGCCAGGTACCCCTCTGAGATGAAGCTTCCAGAGGAATGATCAGGCAGCAACATTTGCTCTTCACCAATATTCGCTGTTCTGCAGCCTCCGCTGCTGATACCCAGGCAAACAGGGTCTGGAGTGGACCTCCAGCAAACTCCAACAGACCTGCACCTGAGGGTCCTGACTGTTAGAAGGAAAACTAACAAACAGAAAGGACATCCACACCAAAACCCCATCTGTACATCACCATCATCAAAGACCAAAGGTAGATAAAACCACAAAGATGGGGAAAAAACAGAGCAGAAAATCTGAAAATTCTAAAAATCAGAGCACCTCTCCCCCTCCAAAGGAAGGCAGTTCCTCACCAGCAATGGAACAAAGATGGATGGAGAATGACTTTGATGAGTTGAGAGAAGAAGGCTTCAGACGATCAAACTACTCCGAGCTAAAGGAGGAAGTTCAAACCCAATGCAAAGAAGCTAAAAACCTTGAAAAAAGATTAGATGAATGGCTAACTAGAATAACCAGTGTAGGGAAGTCCTTAAATGACCTGATGGAGCTGAAAACTGTGGCACAAGAACTACGTGACGAATGCACAAGCTTCAGTAGCTGATTCAATCAACTGGAAGAAAGGGTATCAGTGATTGAAGATCAAATGAATGAAATGAAGCAAGAAGAGAAGTTTAGAGGAAAAAGAGTAAAAAGGACAGAGCCAAGATGGCCAAATAGGAACAACTCCAGTCTACAGCTCCCAGCGTGAGCAACGCAGAAGACGGGTGATTTCTGCATTTCCAACTGAGGTACTGGGTTCATCTCATAGGGGAGTGCCAGACAGTGGGTGCAGGACAGTGGGTGCAGTGCACTGTGTGTGAGCCGAAGCAGGGCGAGGCATCACCTCATCCCAGAAGTGCAAGGGGTCAGGGAATTCCCTTTCCTAATCAAAGAAAGGGGTGACAGACAGCACCTGGAAAATTGGGTCACTCCCACCCTAATACCGCACTTTTCCAATGGGCCTAACAAACGGCACACCAGAAGATTATATCCTGCACCTGGCTTGGAGGGTCCTACGCTGATGGAGCCTCACTCATTGCTAGCACAGCAGTCTGAGATCAAACTGCAAGGCGGCAGCGAGGCTGAGGGAGGGGTGCCCGCCCTTGCCTAGGCTTGAGTGGGTAAACAAAGTGGCCAGGAAGCTCAAACTGAGTGGAGCCCACCACAGCCCTAGGAGGCCTGCCTGCCTCTGTAGGCTCCACCTCTGGGGGCAGGGCACAGACAAACAAAAGACAGAAGTAACCTCTGCAGACTTAAATGTCCCTGTCTGACAGTTGTGAAGAGAATAGTGGTTCTCCCAGCACACAGCTTGAGATCTGAGAATGGGCAGACTGCCTCCTCAAGTGGTTCCCTGAGCCCCGAGTAGCCTAACTAGGAGGCACCCCCCAGTAGGGACAGACTGACACCTCACACGTCCAGGTACCCCTCTGAGACAAAACTTCCAGAGGAACGATCAGGCAGCAGCATTTGCAGTTCACCAATATCCGCTGTTCTACAGCCACCGCTGCTGATACCCAGGCAAACAGGGTCTGGAGTGGACCTCCAGCCAACTCCAACAGACCTGCAGCTAAGGGTCCTGACTGTTAGAAGGAAAACTAACAAACAGAAAGGACATCCACACCAAAAACCCATCTGTAAGTCACCATCATCAAAGACCAAAGGTGGATAAAACCACAAAGATGGGGAAAAAAACAGAGCAGAAAAACAAGAAACTCTAAAAATCAGAGCGGCTCTCCTCATCCAAAGGAACGCAGCTCTTCACCAGCAACAGAAGAAAGCTGGATGGAGAATGACTTTGATGAGTTGAGAGAAGAAGGCTTCAGAAGATCAAACTACTCCAAGCTAAAGGAGGAAGTTCAAACCAATGGCAAAGAAGCTAAAAACCTTGAGAAAACTTAGATGAATGGCTAACTAGAATAACCAATTCAGAGAAGTCCTTGAAGGATGTGATGGAGCTGAAAACCATGGCACAAGAACTACGTGACAAATGCACAAGCCCCAGTAGCCAATGCGATCAATTGGAAGGAAGGGTATCAGTGATGGAGGACAAAATGAATGAAATAAAGCGGGAAGATAAGTTTAGAGAAAAAAGAATAAAAAGAAACGAACAAAGCCTCCAAGAAAGATGGGACTATGTGAAAAGACCAAATCTACATCTGATTGGTGTACCTGAAAGTGTCAGGGAGAATGGAACCAAGTTGGAAAACACTCTGCAGGATATTATCCAGGAGAACTTCCCCAATCTAGCAAGGCAGACCAACATTCAAATTCAGGAAATACAGAGAATGCCACAAAGATACTCCTCGAGAAGAGCAACTCCAAGACATATAATTGTCAGATTCACCAAGATTGAAATGAAGGAAAAAATGTTAAGAGCAGCCAGAGAGAAAGGTCAGGTTACCCACAAAGGGAAGCCCATCAGACTAACAACTGATCTCTCAGCAGAAACTCTACAAGCCAGAACAGAGTGGGGGGAAATATTCAACATTCTTAAAGAAAAGAATTTTCAACCCAGAATTTCATATCCAGCCAAACTAAGCTTCACAAGTGAAGGAGAAATAAAATCCTTCACAGACAAGCAAATGCTGAGAGATTCTGTCACCCCCAGGCCTGCCCTACAAGAGCTCCTGAAGGAAACACTAAACATGAAAAGGAACAACTGGTACCAGCCACTGCAAAAACATGCCAAATTGTAAAGACCATCAAGGCTAGGAAGAAACTGCATCAACTAACGAGCAAAATAACCAGCTAACATCATAATGACAGGATCAAATTCACACATAACAGTAGTAACCTTAAATGTAAATGGGCTAAATCCTCCAATTAAAAGACACAAGACTGGCAAATTGGATAAAGAGTCAAGACCCATCAGTGTGCTGTATTCAGGAAACCCATCTCACGTGCAGAGACACACATAGGCTCAAAATAAAGGGATGGAGGAAGATCTACCAAGCAAATGGAAAGCAAAAAAAAGCTGGAGTTGCAATCCTAGTCTCTGATAAAACAGACTTTAAACCAACAAAGATCAAAAGAGACAAAGAAGGCCATTACATAATGGTAAAGGGATCAATTCAACAAGAAGAGCTAACTATCCTAAATATATATGCACCCAATACAGGAGCACCCAGATTCATAAAGCAAGTCCTTAGAGACCTACAAACAGACTTAGACTCCCACACCATAATAATGGGAGACTTTAACACCCCACTGTCAACGTCAGAAAGATCAACGAGACAGAAAGTTAACAACGATATCCAGGAATTGAACTCAGCTCTGCACCAAGCAGGCCTAATAGACATCTACAGAACTGTCCACCTTAAATCAACAGAATATACATTCTTTTCAGCACAACACCACACCTATTCCAAAATTGACCACATAGTTGGAAGTAAAGCACTCCTCAGCAAATGTAAAAGAACAGAAATTATAACAAACTCTCTCTCAGACCACAGTGCACTCAAACTAGAACTCAGGATTAAGAAACTCACTCAAAACCACTCAACTACATGGAAACTGAACAACCTGCTCCTGAATGACTATTGGGTACATAACGAAATGAAGGCAGAAATAAAGATGTTCTTTGAAACCAATGAGAGCAAAGACAACATACCAGAATCTCTGGGACACATTCAAAGCAGTGTGTAGAGGGAAATTTATAGCACTAAATGCCCACAAGAGAAAGCAGGAAAGATCTAAAATTGACACCCTAACATCACAATTAAAAGAACTAGAAAAGCAAGAGCAAACAAATTCAAAAGCTAGCAGAAGGCAAGAAATAACTAAGATCAGAGGAGAACTGAAGGAAATAGAGACTCAAAAAACCCTTCAAAAAATCAGTGAATCCAGGAGCTGTTTTTTTTTTGTTTTTTTTTTAATTATTTATTATTATTATACTTTAAGTTTTAGGAATATGCAGGTTAGTTACATATGTATACATGTGCCATGCTGGTGCACTGCACCCACCAACTCGTCATCTAGCATTAGATATATCTCCCAATGCTATCTCTCCCCCCTCCCCCCAACCCACAACAGTCCCCAGAGTGTGATGTTCCCCTTCCTGTGTCCATGTGTTCTCATTGTTCAATTCCCACCTATGAGTGAGAATATGCGGTGTTTGGTTTTTTGTTCTTGCGATAGCTGGTTTTTTGAAAAGATCAACAAAACTGATAGACTGCTAGCAAGACTAATAAAGAAGAAAAGGGAGAAGAATCAAATACATGCAATAAAAAATGACAAAGGGGATATCACCACCTATCCCACAGAAATACGAATTACCATCAGAGAATACTATACACACATCTATGCAAATAAACTAGAAACTCTAGAAGAAATGGATAAATTCCTCGACACATACACTCTCCCAAGACTAAACCAGGAAGAAGTTGAATCTCTGAATAGACCAATAACAGGAGCTGAAATTGTGGCAATAATCAATAGTTTACCAACCAAAAAGAGTCCAGGACCAGATGGATTCACAGCCGAATTCTACCAGAGGTACAAGGAGGAACTGGTACCATTCCTTCTGAAACTATTCCAACCAATAGAAAAAGAGGGAATCCTCCCTAAGTCATTTTATGAGGCCAGCGTCATCCTGATACCAAAGCCTGGCAGAGACACAACAAAAAAAGAGAGTTTTAGACCAATATCCTTGATGAACATCAATGCAAAAATCCTCCATACAATACTGGCAAACTTAATCCAGCAGCACATCAAAAAGCTTATCCACCATGATCAAGTGGGCTTCATCCCTGGGATGCAAGGCTGATTCAACATATGCAAATCAACAAATGTAATCCAGCATATAAACAGAACCAAAGACAAAAACCACAACATTATCTCAATAGATGCAGAAAAGCCCTTTGACAAAAGTCAACAGCCCTTCATGCTAAAAACTCTCAATAAATTAGGTATTGATGGGATGTATCTCAAAATAATAAGAGCTATTTATGACAAACACACAGCCAATATCATGGCTGTGTGGGCAAAAACTGGAAGCATTCCCTTTGAAAACTGGTGCAAGACAGGGATGCCTTCTCTCACCACTCCTATTCAACACAGTGTTGGAAGTTCTGGCCAGGGCAATCAGGCAGGAGAAAGAAATAAAGGGTATTCAATTAGGAAAAGAGGAAGCCAAATTGTCTCAGTTTGCAGATGACATGATTGTATATTTACAAAACCCCATCATCTCAGCCCCAAATCTCCTTAAGCTGATAAGCAACTTCCGCAAAGTCTCAGGATAC
Source organism: Homo sapiens (assembly GCF_000001405.40). Lineage (NCBI taxonomy): Eukaryota > Metazoa > Chordata > Mammalia > Primates > Hominidae > Homo > Homo sapiens. Next base: position 46,946,748 of record NC_000008.11, read on the forward strand.
AAAATCAATGATGCAAAAATCACAAGCGTTCTTACACACCAACAACAGACAAACAGAGAGCCAAATCATGAGTGAACTCCCATTCACAATTGCTTCAAAGAGAATAAAATACCTAGGAATCCAACTTACAAGAGATGTGACGGACCTCTTCAAGGAGAACTACAAACCACTGCTCAATGAAATAAACGAGGACACAAACAAATGGAAGAACATTCCATGCTCATGGATAGGAAGAATCAATATCGTGAAAATGGCCATAATGCCCAAGGTAACTTATAGATTCAATGCCATCCCCATCAAGCTACCAATGACTTTCTTCACAGAACTGGAAAAAAAACTGCTTTAAAGTTCATATGGAACTAAAAAAGAGCCCGCATTGCCAAGACAATCCTAAGCAAAAAGAACAAAGCTGGAGGCATCACACTACCTGACTTCAAACTATACTACAAGGCTACAGTAACTAAAACAGCATGGTACTGGTACCAAAACAGAGATATAGACCAATGGAACAGAACAGAGCCCTCAGAAATATTACCACACATCTACAACCATCTGATCTTTGACAAACCTGACAAAAACAAGAAATGGGGAATCGATTCCCTATTTAATAAATGGTGCTGGGAAAACTGGCTAGCCATATGTAGAAAGCTGAAACTGGATCCCTTCCTTACACCTTATACTAAAATTAATTCAAGATGGATTAAAGACTTAAATGTTAGACCTAAAACCATAAAAACCCTAGAAGAAAACCTAGGCAATACCATTCAGGACATAGGCATGGAGAAGGACTTCATGTCTAAAACACCAAAAGCCATGGCAACAAAAGCCAAAATTGACAAATGGGATCTAATTAAACTAAAGAGCTTCTGCACAGCAAAAGAAACTACCATCAGAGTGAACAGGCAACCTACAAAATGGGAGAAAATTTTCGCAACCTACTCATCTGACAAAGGGCTAATATGCAGAATCTACAATGAACTCAAACAAATTTACAAGAAAAAAACAAACAACCCCATCACAAAGTGGGCAAAGGACATGAACAGACACTTATCAAAAGAAGATATTTATGCAGCCAAAAAACACATGAAAAAATGCTCACCATCACTGGCCATCAGAGAAATGCAAATCAAAACCACAATGAGATACCATCTCACACCAGTCAGAATGGCAATCATTAAAAAGTCAAGAAACAACAGGTGCTGGAGAGGATGTGGAGAAATAGGAACACTTTTACACTGTTGGTGGGACTGTAAACTAGTTCAACCATTGTGGAAGTCAGTGTGGCGATTCCTCAGGGATCTAGAACTAGAAATACCATTTGACCCAGCCATCCCATTACTGGGTATATACCCAAAGGACTATCAATCATGCTGCTATAAAGACACATGCACACATATGTTTATTGCAGCATTATTCACAATAGCAAAAACTTGGAACCAACCCATATGTCCAACAATGATAGACTGGATTAAGAAAATGTGGCACATATACACCATGGAATACTATGCAGCCATAAAAAATGATGAGTTCATGTCCTTTGTAGGGACATGGATGAAATTGGAAATCATCATTCTCAGTCAACTATCGCAAGAACAAAAAACCAAACACCGCATATTCTCACTCATAGGTGGGAATTGAACAATGAGAACACATGGACACAGGAAGGGGAACATCACACTCTGGGGACTGTTGTGGGGTGGGGGGAGGGGGTAGGGATAGCATTGGGAAATATACCTAATGCTAGATGACGAGTTAGTGGGTGCAGCGCACCAGCATGGCACATGTATACATATGTAACTAACCTGCACATTGTGCACATGTACCCTAAAACTTAAAGTATAATAATAATAATAAAAAGAGAAAAAAAACAAAAATATACTTCTCTCTATACCTATAGCACCCTTTTATGCCAGATAGACCTCCTCATTCACAAGCAGGAGCAGCCTGTGTCAGGCAGTGGGTGTGAGAGAGAGAGAGAGTGTGTGTGTGTGTGTGTGTGTGTGTGTGTATGTGTGTATTTGATGAGGGGATGTCATGATTAGCAACAATGGAAACAATTCTCTCCTTCCCACAAAATGGGACATCCTTTGCCGTCTTCACTGATTTTTCTTGTTTCCCACACCCTCAACTTTCACATTTTTCCCCACTGACTCATTCTCCTGGTGCTGTGTGGCTGCCCCATTAACCCATCGGTGAAAGCTTGTAATCCCTTTGCCCCGCAATTATGTCACCAAGCCAGGCCTCACGCAGAGTCTCCCTGGGGAGGGCCTTCCCTTTTCTAATGTCCCCAATCAGGAGGGAAAATTCTCTTTGAGTTCAAGACTTGTCCCAAGACGGGTGGACCCCACAGACATGGAATATCCTTAAGCAGCAGTCACCTTGACTCTTGGGCTTGTCATGCCCACTCGATGATCCTCCTTGGCAGTACCCCCAACACCAGCTTTCTTAAGGCTCCCTGACACTGTGTCCACTGGGCAGCGGCTAGATTTTTTTAACATCCAAAGAGTCACTGTTTCCTGCAAAACGTGTCATCTTTCAATGCTTTCAGAGCTGGGCTGCCTTGGTATGAGTGGCAGGTGGGGGCAAAGTGACCCAGGCCATGGGTTAATTTTTATGTCCCTGACTTGGAATCCAGTTCTTCTTGTGGATAAACAAAGAGCTGAGTACTGCTTGAACACACTTTGAGATCTTTTTTTCCTTTCTCTCCTTTCTCAGCCTAATGATATGTTTGTTCTCCATCGACCCCTGGGTGTGCTGAGACCTTGCCCCTGCTCTGCCCGCCCTTTGGCCTCCTGTCACTGTCTGCAGAAACAGAGCTGGAGTCCTGGACTCCTTGCTGCTCTGGAGAGGGGAAGGGCAGCTGGCTGCTGACCTGACTGTCCATGTTCCTAAAGGCTAAGCTAAGAATTGAGAGCAGTGCTCTTCCCTCACCCACACTGGGAATAAAAGGAGATTTTGGGAAACTAGAAGCCTATTTCCTTCCAAAATATTTAGGGCCATGGAGATCACTTCTTACCCTTCTGAACTTAGACCCCCAAACTCTAGTTCCGTATTTGGGACATGTAAAGTTTCTTGTCATTTTTTTTTTCCTGGAACCTGAGTGGGAAGGTTTTTACCCTATGGCACCTGCATAACCCCAAGCACTATATATAGCCCATGGCTGGTAGGTAGAATGGTGGGGAAAAACAGAGGGCTGAAAAATGCAAGCCTCAGACATGTTCTTTAGTGGACTCTATTACATGTTGAGCCCCTGCTGAGTCGCTCTTTTTTTGTAAGGATAGATTTTAGGAAACTGAAGATGCTGATGTGTGCAATACCACTACGTAGCTCTGCCTGACCCTTCAGCTTCAAGAAGTCCAAGCTGGCTGTCATTAACAGCTGAAAGCAAGCTCTTCTCTCTCAGCCCCAGGTGACCATCACAGCTGTATGAGGTAGACAAGCCTGGTGCTGTCTCCAAGAACAGTCTGAAAATAGGGATGCCATCAACTTTTACAAAGTGAAGACCCAACAAATTTTGCCTCCAAAAATCCCCAACATTTCTTCTGTGGCATCTCATATTATCACCAGTGGGTAAGAAGCATTGCCCATTTCCATCTTGTTTAATTCCTATGAGGGGCAGAACAGGGATGGGGAGAAGTGTTCCAGGTTCTGATTCCCTTTTTTTGGGCCTCTCCCTTGAGAACTCACTCTTTTGAGAACTGACTCCAGGAACTGCTGTCTTCAGTCTGGGGACTTGGAACTAATGGGAAGGGTGAGATGAAGGTGACCCCTGAGGAACTCAGGGTGGGGCAGCAGAACCTCACTTCAAAGCTCCCATCTTCCTCCTGACTCTGAGTTGCCAGGTGAATGACAAGAAAAAATGGGAGTTTTAGACCATCCTTCTCTCCTCTTTCTAAAAAAGCAGCAGGCTGGGCACAGTGGCTCACACCTGTAATCCCAACAGTTTGGGAGGCTGAGGCAGGAGAATTGCTTGAACCTAGGATTTCAAGACCAGCCTTGCCAACATGGAGAAACCCCGTCTCTACAAAAAATACTAAAAATTAGCCAGGTATGATGGTGCACGCCTGTAGTCCCAGCTATCCGGGAGGGTAAGATGGGAGGCCCCCTTGAGCCCAGGAGTTTGAGGGTGCAGTGAGCTGCAATTGTGCCATTGGACTCCAGCCTCCATCCTGCGTGACAGAGTAAGACCCTGTCAAAAAAAAAAAAAAAAACAGTGAACTTTTCTTAATTAATTACGTGACTTCCTATGCTGATTTAATTGAGATATTGCTTTCATGTTATTCACTTTTAAAATGGATCATGTTTTGTTTGACTCCTTCTCTGTCAATTTCAAATAAAGAATTGTTTTTCATATTTGCTTCTAAATGCATATTTCAGACAGCAGTCCTGGGACTCCTGGAAAGTCCTCTACTGAGAAAGAGCACAGATTTGCAGACCTTTGGGAACTTCTGCTCCATTCTCTAGGATTCTGCCTCCTGAGGACAAATGGAGGAGTAGAAAGCAGCCAGAGCCTCTCACAGGTCAGCACTGCTCTCCAGCTCAGCCCTAACTCTTAGGAGAGTTGTGGCCCAGAGCCTCCTGTGACGGAAAGGCTGCTGGTGAGCAACTCTTGAGGGCCTGTTCCCCTCTGGTGTCCTGAATTCTTTAACAAACCAATCTATGGGCCTGAATTCCATGGTATTTGTGATTTTACCACACCTGGGCAAATGGTCTGTAACTTTTGGATAAAAGCCTTTGTCCCCACCTACCTTCTGTGCTGCCCAACCTGTTCTCCTAGACCAATGCTATTCTAATGTCCCCCGAGAGTTCCCATTCCTGAGGTCTCTCCATCCCAAGGATAGATTATGAAAAGAGAAAATAGGAATAGGAAAACAGAAGTTAACCTCTAATGTGGGCAGCCCTTGGGATTCCTTACCAGATTGATGTCTGTGTCTTTTCAAACATGGATAAATATGGATATCACTGAATGCAGAGACATGATAGAAAGATGATCTCAACCTCACTCAAATAAAGAAAGAACCAAAGAAAGCCCCAGGGATTGTTAAAATGCAGAAGAAACCAGCCCAAATTCTCCAGCATCTGTAGCTAGTGGCTTCCCCGGGCAACTGAGCAGAGAATGTGCTCTCTAGACTAGAGTTCCTGACCCGCATCACAAAGATATGGTACAGTCACAAAGGGGTCTTGAGCTTAGGGAGGGGACAAAGGAGGAAGTAACCCCAAGGCCCCCATTATTCTCCCCTCTCTTCTCTGGTCCTTCCTACTTGTCACCCATAACTGTTCTTTCTATCATCTATCTATCTATTCACCCATCCATCTACTCATCATCTATCCATCTATTCACCCATCCACCTACTCATCATCTATCTATTTATCAGCAATTGTCATGTATCATCTGTCTATTATCTATCACCTATTGATCTATCAATCAATTATCTATCATCTATCACTTATTAATCAATTATCTATCAACTGTCTATCACAATCACTGTTTCAATCTATCCTCATCTATCTGGTACCTATTAATTTATATCATCCATCTGTCATCCATCAACTATCATCTGTCATACATTCATCTATTTATCTGTCATTTATTAATTAATCAATCAATCTATTATCTATCACCTATCACCAATTAATCTATGTCTCTCTTATACCTATCTTTCTTATCTATATATCATCTCCCTTAATGCAATTTCCTCTTTACCCCAACTTTACCCCAGATATTCATGAAATTTTCTTTTCTTCCTTAGAGATATGCTTGGACCTCACCATCTCCACAGCTTTTAGAGGTCTGATCACCTCCCAGGAATTATTATTAAATTTCCAGGCATTATTTTTAAAATGTTGACTTTAAAAGTATAATACAAAGACAGAAAATGTAAACATCATCAGCACACAGCATGACGATTTATTAATCACTGACTTACACCAAGAAACCAGCGCTGCATCAAAGCAGATTTCCCAGGATCTGGACGCCACCCTCACGCTCTCTGCCTATCACTCCTTAAGACCACCTCCCTTCTGTGCCCAGTGCATCACTCTATGATTCTCACCAGTGCTGATGACTTTCCCCAGGCACACTGTTTTGCTTCTCCTCTGTACCTACTCCCTTAGCCCTCGCAATATTCCTCACATTACATATGAGGAACCCAGTGAGCAGAGTTCACAGTGACTGCCAAGGTCACACTTCTAGGAACCACAGCAGAGCTAAGACCAACCCAGGGGCTCAGGCTCTGGAATCACATCCTTTAACCACTGGGCTGGGTTGTGTCAAGCATCATGACAGATGGGGGCATGGTTAGAGTGCACAGTGAGATGTGGGTTCACAATACTCTTCTTTTACTTCCTCTCACTTGCAGCAGAGTTCAAGTTGAGAAGATGTAAAAGAAGAGTATTGGGGGGGCCGTGGTGAGGAGGCAGGGCTACAAGAGGGGAAGGAAGGGTCACAGGACACAGCTATTAGGTGCAAAGGCAGATCTGAGCCTAGGGCAGATTAGGGGCCATTATTTATTTGCCATTTCACAGAGGACAGGAGAAATCTGAGGTGAGTAATAGCCCTGTATCCAGCAGGCGCAGCTCAGTGCTCTGCTTGAGGCTGTTGCTAGATGTGTCTGAAGTCAGTCATTGTCTCTGGACTGAGGGGTCAGGTGAAACCTGACTCCTTGGCACTCTGGGGGGCCTGGGTTCCTGACTGCACTCAAGCAGTTCACAGGATGTCTGCCCAGGTCCATGCTGTAGGAGGATCAGGGGAGAACTGAGAAGTGCGTGAGGCTCAAGGTGAGCATGGCAGGGCTAGGGGTGAGTGTGGGCTCCAGGACGGGTGGACTTGTCATGGTGGCCCACGGTTAGCTAGGGGAGGGGATGAGGCTATGGGGCAGGAGGCTTTCCTCTCAGCTCCACCACTCACTGGTTATGAACTGTGGATGGGCAACTTTATCTCTCAGAGTACTGCTTTCTTCATGTCTGAGACTGATTGCATCACTGCCCAAATCAAATTGACATGTGAATTAAATAAGGTAGAATTTTATTTATCTTATAGATGGCACATAAGGGCCATTGATACCTTTCAATTTCTCTTCCCTGTGTTGTCTTTGCTGAACTCTCTTCTCTTTGATACTGATCTAGGGTAAGTATTGATGAGATCTTACTATCTTGCAAAAGAGAGATAAAATGGAAAAATAATGTTTTCTTTGAATGATTTCTTGGTGTTAGGGGTTTCCATCACTCTTGCATAATTAGCAACAAGACCTGACTTAGACATTCAGCATGGAGCAAAGAACCCTGGCAGTACAGCCAGAACCAGCTGCGGGCTGGATGGGTGTATCAGTCAGTGTTCCCTAGAGAAATACTTACATATGATATACATTATATGTTTACAAGTATTATACATTCATATCAATTTATATAACTATGTAATTTATATTAATTAGATATATGACATAATTATATATAACGAGTATTATGGGGGCTAAGTCCTAAGGTCTGCAGTCATCAAGAGACCCAGCAGGTTCCAGTCCAAATGCTGGCAGCTTGAGACCCAGGAAGAACTCATGTTTCAGTTGGAGTGTGAAGGCAGGAGAAAGCTCATGTCCCAGCTCAAAGGCAGTCAGGCAGAAGGAGTTCTGTCTTAATGAGCTTTTGTGTTCTATTCAGGCCTTTGGCTGATTGGATGGGGCCCACCCAAATTAGGGAGGGCTCTCTTCTGTACTTAATCTAAGATTACAATGTTCATCTCATCCAAAAGCACTCACGGAGACCTGCCCAGAGGAATGTTTGCTCAAATCTCTGTGTAGCGCACAGCCAGTCAAGCCGACGCCTGGAATTAACAGATCAATGGTGACTGAAGTTTCAGACTGGCCTCACACCAACCCTGATGAGATTCGGGGTGGAGAGAACTTTGTCAAGTGCTGCTGAAGGATGAATGGGATTAGTAACTAGGCAGCGGGAGATGGAAACCAGAGCACGGGGCTCACGGGGTGGTGGTTGGCTGGCACTGGCTGCGCGGCAGCTGAGGGGGTCCCCCGGAGCACCCGCGGGGTCCTGGTGCACTCAAGCCTCTCCGGAGGCGGCCGTCTTTGTCCTTAAGGTGGAGTGCCGCCCGGGCCTCCAGGGTGATCGCCGGCGCAGGGATGCAGAGCCGCTGCCTTTCTGGGCGCAGGGAAGGGGCCAGCGACTGCGGTGCAGGGAGGCTGCGAAGTATCTGCAGGAGGAGGGTGAGGCCGGCTGGCTCCGGGAGGATGGGATTGGCAAAGGCCTGTAGGACCCGGGGGTGTCAGGGATTCTCCCATTCGATTTCTGTCTGTTTGCGACCCCTGTGAGGCGCGAAAGAACAGGAGTGGCGGACGCTCACGGCTTTGGACCTGGGGGTCCTGCATGGCGGCCTCAGGCGTGCCCGACGCTTCCCTTCTGAAAAGCGGGGAGATTTTCCTGGAGGAGTGATTTCCTGAAGAGCCATGGCCGGAAGCCCTGAACTTTCATGGTCACAACCAACCCCAAGGAAAAGGGAGTGTGGGAGCCGGCGTCCCACATTGGAGCAGTGGACCCGGTCCTGTGGCCCACAGGTGTGCTGCCGTCCCCGCCTCCAAGAGCAGAACTAACTCATGTAGCCATGCCTGAAGGATGTCAGGGCTATCAACAGAAAAGAAAGGCATCTCTATGGGGGACAAGGCATCTCTGTGGAGACATTATTCTTTGTCACTTGTTCAGCATTTTGCAATTTATTTTATTTTATTTATTGTCATCGTATTCTTATTCCATCAAGTAGGACAAATAACCCCAATTTTCTGACTTGTCCGGACTGGGATTTGTTTTCAGTCAAGATGGGGGTGAGATCGCTTTTCTTCCTATGCATTTGTAAACATCTGATCCCGGATCTCTGCTGCGGATGCTGGAAGCGATGGGGCGGTGGGGCCTGTCTTGGCTAGTGTGGGCTCCCCAGAATCAGCATGCTGGGGTGTCTCTCAAAGGGAATTGCAGGCGACTCCGCTACCAGGGCTGTGCACAGAACCGAGAGCAAGGCAATGGCAGGGGTCTGGAGAAGAGAGATCCAACGGGCTTCCCCTGCCGTCACAGGTGTCCCCTGAGACTCAGAGTGGAGAACCACACTGTAGGACAATCACGGGAGCCAAAGTAAACCAGAGTCAAAGCAGGCAGAGATTCTGCACATTTCCTGGCTGGAGGATGCTGTGGGAAGGCAATCAGGTCCAAGGCCTGGGCAGGTTGTCAAGCAACAGGTTTATGGTGACCTCCTATCTGGGCTGTCCTGGGAGAGTCCCAATTTCAAGTATGTTATCCAGTTTGTTAGATATGAGTCTCTATTTTATTAATTCAGTTGTATTTGACACCTGTTCTATGCCTGGTGCTGAGCTGGGGCCTACGCTACAGTCAGAACCAAGGTGTGGACTCTGTTCTTAGGTTGCTGACCGGTGAGGGAGGCTGAGGATTATAATACAGAGTGATGAACTTTGTAGATTGGGTGCCAGGTCCACCACATCATAACCTCATCTCCACTTCAACACTGTTGTAGCCACTTTTCATTATTCTGACCTGATGCTATTTTAGGGTATAAAAGATTTTATCACATCCCCTGGGGAAAGGAAGACTCAGTGCTTTAGGAATAGCAGGCAATGCATATTAGATCTTGTCTATGTTAACCACAAAATTTCCCACTTTGGCAAACTTCTGCTGAGACATCCTGCCAATGTTCTTCATTATGTCTCTCAAAGTTTCAGTTCCATTTTCCCTGTCTTACAACATAATGAAAAAGCAGCGACGTGATTGGCAAATGTCTATATTATATCTAATTCTCAAAAGGTATTTTACATAGACATGTTTATACCAGCCTGGGCAACACGGCAAAACCCCGTCTCTGCTAAAAATACAAAAAATTAGGGGGTGTGTGGTGGTGCACACCTGTAGTCTCAGCTACTCTGGGGGCTGAGGTGGGAGAATCACCTGAACCCAGGAAGTTGAAGCTGTAGTGAGCAGTGATCTCACCACTGCAGTACAGCCTGGGTGACTGGAGTGAGAGCCTGTAAAAAAAATTAAAAAAAAAAACCACACACACACAAACACAAAACACAAAACATAGACATATCTATAGATGGATGGATGTGGAGGGAGGGACACATCTGGGCACAGATTGTGAGGTTGGACACATACTTTGTATGTGGCACAAGCTTAATCTTCCAGTTAGAGGATTACCTTACATTTGTTCCTTGTAGTGAATTTGCATTTAGCTCCCAACTGATATTGCAGAATAAAAGCAAATAATCATTTTATAATGAAGCTCCCTAAGGTTAGAAAATATGTGCTAAGGAAGACTCCCTTGTAAAACTTATGAGGGAGGGGTAGTGTCCTTGTCCTAATCCGTCACCCACTGCCCTCTGGTGGCTGCAGGGGAAATGGCATGAACGTTGCCTAGCTCCAGGCATTCACACTTAGACATCTTAACAAACTTGCTGTTAGATCGAATCCAAATTCTGTTAAGAGTCAATGTTTTTGGAGTGTCCACTAGTGGGAGCCCTTGTTTTGTCATTTTACACCATGAAAAAATAGGCTCCTTCCCAAGTTCAATGTTTCAGTGAGTTATTTGTTGAGCACGTGTTCTGCCCTGGATTCAGGGCAGAACACAGAGTCAAGGGCTACTGACCTCAGGCCCCGCAGGATGTGGAGAGGGGATGCAGTGAGCAGAACTGGTCCAGATCACAGCTAGGTATGTCTGGCTTCGATCAAATACCGTTTCAAACCAAAGCACATTTATGAAATCCTTCTGATTATACATAAAAAAGCACAGTTTAGAAAATTTAAAAACAATCACCCCACATATCCGTGTACTTTTTATTTTATTATTTTTGGTTTGGTGAAAGGGTGTCACTCTGTTGCCCAGGCTGGAGTGCAGTGGTGCAATCTCGGCTCACTGCAAACTCCACCTCCTGGATTCAAGCGATTCTCCTGCCTCAGCCTCCCAAGTAGCTGGGACCACAGGTGCCCCCCACCATGCCCACTAATTTTTGTATTTTTAGTAGAGACGGGGTTTCAACATGTTGGCCAGGCTGGTCTCGAACTCCTGGCCTCAAGTGATCTGCGCACTTTGGCTTCCCAAAATCATATCTATATGCTCTTATCTGTTTAGATATAGAGTTTTCCTAAAACTGGGATCAACTTTTATTCCCAATTAATTTTGCCCTTAATATGAGCACTCATCTATGTCATTTAATGTTTTGGAAAATATGATTTTAATGTATGTATAGTTTTCCTTAATATATATTATACATAAATTACATGCTTCTATAGTTCCCACTCTCATCTTCTTCCACAACCAAGTCTTGTTTATTTCTGAAAGTGAATCTCAATTGCTATCATCTTGAGACAGGTCTCCAACTGATATATATTAATAATTTGTGATTTCTAGTGTCTCAAAATGGATTCATTCATATTAGGTGGCATTAAGCCCACAGCAAAATTAGTTTTCTTTAAAATGATAAGCATATGTGAGCACTGAAGTTACAGTAAGTTTATTTTTCTTTAAAGTGATAAATATATATATGCTAGACTAAGGTAATGAGATAACACCTGCTGTGGCTGGGTGCCAGGTGAGACCCTGTGGCTGAGATCATGATAGTGAGACCCCTGTGGAGAATCATAAAGGTGGCAAGGGACTGGCAATGTCTGAGGCGCTCTTGGAATCTCAGCCCCTGAGGATTCTGAAAGTCTCCTCCACACTCGGGCAGCTGCAGCCAAGAATGATTGCCTGGAGAGCAGCAGATTTACCCCCCACCAATGGGCACCCCAGGGGGACTTCCAAACTCACTGCAGTTCATCCATCAGTGGGCTGGCCTTCTGAGCATCCACTGTGGTTTGTTATCCCGTAATTATTGCCTTTAATAATTTATTGTGAATGCTTGCTTGATTGTGTGTGAACTCATGTGTCTTTGTTAAAAACTAAGATGCACTGCCAGGTGCAATGGCTCACATCTGCAATCCCAGCACTTTGGGAGGCCAAGCACTTTGGGAGGATTGCTTGAGCCCAGGAGTTTAATACCAGCCTGGGCAACACAGTGAGACATCACCTCTACAAGAAATAAATATAATTTAAAAAAGAAATTAAGACACAAACACACTCATTAGAGTAGGTCAACACAGGGTCAGGATCATCAATCCCCACGACTTCCACCTCCACATCTTGTCGCCCTGGCAGCCCTTCAAGCACAATAGCATGCATGGAGCTGAGCTGTCCTCTCCTGTGATAACAATGCCTTATTCTGGAAAACCTCCTGAAGGACCTACCTGAGGCTGTATTACAGCTAAACCTTTTCATAAGGAGAATGAGTACACTCTAAAATAATGATAAAAAGCATAGTATAGTAAATACATAAACCAGCACACTAGTAGTGGATGACCATTATCAAGCATTGTGTACTGTGTATAATTCTATGGGCTATTCTTTTATATGACTTGCAGCACAGTAGGTTTATTTACACCAACATCACCACAAACACGTGAGTCATACCTTGGGTTATGAAATTACTATGGTAATGGCATCACTAAAGAATAGGAATTTTTCAACTCCATTACAATATTATGAAACCACCATCACATATGTGGTCTATCATTGACCAAAATGTCCTTATACAGCTCATGACTGTAAAGGTGGGGAAAAACGATCAAGTGCTACGTAGTAATACATCAGACTGCTGCAAGGGAGAGCCGGAGACCTCTTCATGGGGTATCTGAAAGGGCATCAGTGAGGTAACATTTGCCTTGGAAGCAGAATGAAAAGTGGAAATGAGCCCTCCAAAAGTCTGGGAATGGCGTGCTGGGGGAAGGTTCAACTGCACAGAGATCCAAGGCAGAAGTGAGTTTGGCCAGGGAGAAGGTGAGAAAGGCAGCCAGTGTGATTGCAGGGAATTTGGGGGGAGAGGAGGGAAGGGAGGCAGAAGGGCAGGGGCAGATTCTGAAGCAGGTAGACTGTATTAGGGATCTATTACTTTATGAAAACATTATTCCAAACACAGGGGCTTACAGCAACAAACATTCATCATCTCACAGTTTCTGTAGCTCAGGAACCCAGCAGGGCTCAGCTGGGTGCTTCTGCAAAAAGGTGTCCCACAAGGCTGGGGCTGCTTTCTCAGCAGAGGCTCACCTGGGGCAGGATCCACTTCCAAGCTCATGGGGTGCTCATTGGGAGAATTCAATTTGCACAGAGGCCCTGAGTGTCCCTCCATCTGTTGCCCTTTTTAGGTCTTAAGACACATGAGAGAGACAGAAAAAACAGATAAATACGGAGAGAAGAGGAGAGAGAGTGCAACATTAACTACAGTCATTTCATAACTAAATCCTGGAAGATACATCCGTGGCTTTTGCCATATTTTACTGTTAGAAGTGAGTCGTTAAGTCCAGTCTACACTCATGGGGAAGGAGTTATACATGATTCATGAACTAGGAGGTGGGAGTCGTGGCAGCCACTAAGGAGGCTGAGATGAAGCATATGGATCTGAATCTAAAAATAACGGGAAGCCACTGCAAGTTTTTTATGGAGAATGTGCAGACAGGAAAATGAGGCCAAGAGAGGAAGTGACATTTCCAAGGTTACACGGCAAGAACCCAGGCATGCTTTCAGTTGCTGGAAAGCATTCCATGCTACGTCCCACCCCTTCCTCTATTTTATCTCTAATTTTGTGCATTGGCTACACATGATGCCGGCCCACAGGTGTTTCTTTTTTTTTAATTTTTTATTTCTATAGGTTTTCAGGGAACAGGTGGTGTTTTGTTATATGAGTAAGTTCTTTAGTGGTGATTTGTGAGATTTTGATGCACCTATCACCAGAGCAGTATACACTGAACCTGATTTTTAGTCTTTTATCCCTCACCCCCTTCCCACCCTTTCCCCATGAGTCCCCAAAGTCTATTATGTCATTCTTATGCACTTACATCCTTATAGTTTAGCTCTCACTTATGAGTGAGAACATACGAGGTTTGGTTTTCCATTCCTGAGTTACTTCACTTAGAATAATAGTCTCCAATTCCATCCAGATTGCTGCAAATTCCATCAATTCATTCCTTTTTATGGCTGAGTAGTATTCCATCATATGGAATATATAGTTTCTTTATCTATTCATTGATTGATGGGTGTTTGGGTTGGTTCCACATTTTTGCAATTGGGAGTTGTGCTGCTATAAACATGCATGTGCAAGTATCTTTTTGTATAATGACTTCATTTCTTCTGGCACATACCAAGTAGTGCAGCCCACAGGCTTCATAACATCATCTCACACGTACCTGAGGACAGCCCCAGGAAGCGGGTGCTAGAATGATCCTCACTGTGCAGGGGCAAACCTGGGGAGACCCTGAGAGGCAAAGTGGGTTATCCAGGGTCACATAAGTGGTAAGGAGAAGCTGGGTCTAAACCCAGGTCTGTCCCTCAAAGCTGGGACCCTGGCTATACCCAGGCCTTCCACAGCAGCTGTAGAGAGGTGATCTTCTTGTAATTACGCACAGATATGGCGATGTCCCAGGGTAGGAGATGAGAAGTCAGCCAAGAGGAGCACTTGGGGTCTTATCACAGGAGGGGCCAGGTAAGGTAAACTCAGGAAATGACCTCACTTCCTTGGCAATAGGTCCCAATAGAACTTGGAATCCTTGTAATCAGGCACCCATAATTTAGAAACAGCTCCCTCCCCAGCTCACTTGGCCAAGATGCTCAAGAAAACATCCTGCTGTAGCCTGACTTATCCAGGCTGTAGCCTCAGGAAACCCTGGCATGAGAGCCTTTTCTGATGCTACAGATGTGGGTTCAGCCCTCACCACAAGCCATTTTCCAGGAGACCCCCAAAGGAAACACAGGCAGCCAGGGCAGGCCAGTCCAGGATAGGCCATCACTGTGAGCATGCCTGGGCAGCCCACACCCCTCTGCCTGAGGGCAGGGGAAAGGGGTTGTAAGGGGAGGTCTGCTCTTGGCAGGAACAGGTGGGTGGGAGGTGTCATCCTCGAGGTCATGTCATGCTAACACCCAGGATCCTGGCTGGCAGAGTGGGAAGGTGACGGCCGGGCTATTCTCATCTTCTCCAAAGTGAATCCCTGACCCTCAGGTGGCCATTTCCTTCCTTCTTGGGTAGAAGTCCTTGTCATACAAGGATCTGTGTGCATAAACAGCCTGGATAATGGCAGGCAGGGCTCTGTGCTTCCTACTCTGCTGCAGGAATTGTCACTACAGAGCTCCATGCAGGAGAACAGCAGGAGCTGCTCGGTGGGGTCCTCTACTATATCTCCCTCCACGAGGGCAGAGGCCCCTCACTGCCAGCAAGGACCATGAGGGCTGCTGCTGAGTGTGGGTGCAGAGAGGACTCCACACTCGGGGACTGAGACAGCCAGAGAGGGCCCTGGGGCCCAGATGCCTCCCTAACCTCCTCCGTCCCAGGGCTTTGCTGCTGGAGGGGGCTGTGCTTCTGCTCCCACAGGCATCTGGGCCCCATGTCCTCCCTATTACAAGACAAACTTGGGACTGTAATGTGCCCCCACAAACTGAGAAGGTGCTATTAGCCCAAAGACTGACTCAGACAAGCTCAGTTTGAGCAGTAGATGAGTTCATTGGGACTTACATGCAGGGCATCCCTGGATGGCAGCAGGACAGCTCTAGAGACCTGTGCCACCTCCCACCTCTAAACTGCTTTTAGGCTGATGTTCTGGCTCTGCCTACTGTGTTTGAGCAGTAAGTTTGTTTGCTTTGGTGTGCTCTCAGATACTCTCTGGGATGTTCGGGTTCTCAGGAACACCTGCTTCTTGGCTAGGAACTGTGGCCTTGGCTCACCGACCAGCATACAAGTTTTGAGCAATTGACATAATGCCCTTAAGTAACCCAGGGAGGAACTCATCACACTACATTCCTCAATGCCACCTCACTGCCCAGTCATGTCCTTGGCCAGGTGCAAAGTCTCTGTTCCACATGTTCATTGGAATATCAAAAAATACACTATTTTATACTATTTCACTTCAGGCCATAATTATTTTGTATTTTACCGTGTTTTGACTTCTGTCCCAGGTATCCTGGTAACAGGTGGCCTGTCTGTGATTCCACATCATCTCCTAGACTCACACATTAGCATGAGTAGTAGCACCGTTTACCCCAAAAGGACAGGGAATTATGCTATTGGGCACATTTCCCCACCATGCTGTCTTGAGGAAGACGTGCCCATAGCCAAGAAGGTTGGGACCAGGGGCCCCTGCTATACAGCTGGAAGGGAGGCCATCACCACAGCAATTCAGCCTTCCTCTGCTGTGGGACCTCCATGGGGTCTCTTCTGTGGCCATTTTCCCGACACCACAGTGAGAATCCTCCTGTGCAATGCACTGCCCCCTCTCACCCGGGTAAGCCTCTGTCTTCTCATCTCTAGAACAGGATATTTTGTCAGGACTCACTGGGATAATCTTCTTAATACAGAATCATTACTCCGCTAACAACCTGATCTGAAAGTACTAATATTTTAAATTATTTCTTTCTGAAATTCTACTTTTTTTTTTTTTGAGACAGGTTGTGGCTCTGCAGCCCAAACTGGAATGCAGTGGTGCAATCACAGCTCACTGCAGCCTCAGACTCCTGTGCTCAAGGGATCCTCTCACCTCAGCTGCTTGTGTAGATAGGACTATAGGTACACACCACCACACTCAGCTGATGTTTTTATTTTTTTGTAGAAACAGAGTCTCACTACATTGTCCAGGATGGTCATAAACTCCTGGCCTCAAGTGATCTTCCCACCTTGGCTTCCTGAAGCAGTGGGATTATAGGTGAGAGCCACCATGCCTAGCCTAGAATAGGCAAATTGCTGGAAAAATTTATTGAGACAGAAAGTAGATTCATAGTACCCTAAGGTCAGGGGTTGAAAGGAAAAGGGATGGTGACTGCTAATGGGTATGGGGTTCCTTTTTGTATTGGTGAAAATGGTCTAAAGTTGGTCATGGTGATAGTTGCACAATTTTATGAATATGCTAGAACTATTAAATTGTACACTTTAAATGAGTGAATTGTATTTGAATTATATCTCAATAAAACTATTTTTAAAAAGATGTCTGACTAGTGCAGCAGGGTATAAGAGAGAGAGGCAGGTAGACGGGTGCAGGGGCATTGTGGCTTCCACTCCAGGCTGAAATCTCTCAGAGGAGTTAGGGCTGAGGGGAAAGCCAAAGGCAGAGGGGCTGTTCCCCTGTTCACTGTTTTGAACTTTGGTTGGATGGGGCTGCAATCACAGAGCAAGATGTGCTATGGCAGGGCAGAGGGAGTCTCGTTAGCATACTGGGGACCTGAAGGCCACAGGGGAGGTCCATGATCACCAACTCTGCTGCAAGCTGACACCTGCTTCCAGGGGCCACCATGGTAAATGGGTGTGAACCTGTTGCAAAGGCCATAGCACAAACAGCCCTCCAGAAAACAGACATGGCCATGGAAGAGACTTGGGGTTGGGGTGGTGGGGAAAGGGCCCACAGCCCCACCAGGCACTGACCCAGAAAAGAGAGTAAATACATCATCACCAGGCACACCTTAGCAGAATCTGCAGGCACCAGGAAACATAGCCAGCTGGTGGCTCTAGAGCAGAAATTAGTGAAGACTCAAAGAACTCATGCAGACCCAAAACCCCTTTCTTACATTACATATGCCCATTGCCTGGGCCACCACCATGGATACCCGAAAGGCTGAATATTTACCCCAAGAGACAGAGCCAGGTGCTAAGAGACTATCTGAACTGTAAGAGAATGAGACAATATTAAATGGAAAATTGAAAGGGTTTCACTCCAACTCCCCCTTGTATCCCAGCATGGTGGAGGCTGGTGAGAGAGCCAATTAGTTATAAAAAATGGATTCTACCTTTTCTTTGCCTGAGTAAAAGTGTATATGACTTTTAATTCCATTACATACTCTTTGACCGAGAGAGAACAGAGATCATTCCGAATCCTGGCAGGCAGTTTCTCTCACTGGACAATCTCCCACTCTGGAACTCTTGTGGCTGTTCCTGCTAATTTTGCAAACCTGAAAGTCAGACTTTTATGCCTGTCACCCATGCTGTGTTAGGAGGCTCTGTGGAGAGTCATATATATCTTAAGTTTTCCTGGGTAAGTTTTCTGGAGTATTCATTTATGTGTGAAACAGACTTGGTCCCAAACCATTTGAACTCGGGAGAATGAACTGTCATTGGTTCAGGGAGTTAAAACATATTTCCCCAGGAGCTGATGATTTCAAAAGGGTATTTTTTTATTCTGAGCTAGATAGACATTCATCATCAAATAGGTATATAGCATATGTCTTCATTTCTGGCCATCAACTCCAGATGTAGGCTCTGACTGGATTTCTGGCCAGTCTCACTGAGTTAATATTTGGATGGAGCTTTAAAGTTTTCATAGTACCTTCCTGTGCATTTATCACATCAGGCAGTGGTACTGGTAGTGAATGATTTGTGCCTTTGTCTGCTGATCCAAACACCTTGCCTATGGGGTTTTGCCTCTTTCTAAGAATTTCTTCAAGAGGCTAATTCAGTTACTCAAAGCATGAAAGAACTTAAAGCAGAAATAGCATTTGACCCAGAAATCCCATTACTGGGTATACACAAAGAAAAATACATTGTTCTACCAAAAAGACATTTGTACCTTTATGTTCATCACAGCACTATTCACAATAGCAAAGACATGGAATCACCTAGGCGCCCATCAACTGTGGATTAAAGAAAGAAAATGTGGTATATATACACCATGGAATACTACACAGCCATAAAACAACAAAATCATGTCCTTTGCATCAACATTGATGGAGCTGGAGGCCATTATTCTAAGCAAATTAATGAAAGTACAGAAAAGCAAATACTGAATGTTCTTACTTATAAGTGGGAACTAAACATTGAATACACATAGACACAAAGATGGAAACAACAGACACTGGGGCCTACTAGGTATGCAAGAGAGGGAGGGAAATGTGTGCTGAAAAACTACCTGCTGGGTACTATGCTTACTACCTGGGTGATGGGAGCATTTATACCTTAAACTTCTGCATCATGCAATATGTCCATCTAACCAATTTGCACATTTACCCTTCAATCTGTATTAAAAGTTGAAATTTTCTAAAAATTAAGCAAACAAACAAAAATAAAAATACATTGAACTAATTAAAAATGCAAACACAACTTAACATTTGTGGGAAACTTCTTACGCATTGCTGAAATAGGAAGTTATAACACTACATCTATATATCAGAAAAGGGAGTGGCCTCAAATCAATAATCTAAGCTCCCAACTCAACAAACTGGAAAAAAAGAGCAAAATACATCTAAAACCAGGAGGAAAAAAGAAATCATAAAGATAACAACTTCAATCAATGAAATCGAAAACAACAAAATACTATAAAGAAAATCTATGAAACCAAAAGTTGGTTCTTTGTAAAGATCAATAATGTTGTCAAACCTCTTGCAGTGATTACAAAGAAAAAAGAAGAAACAAATTATTAATATCAAAAGTATTGGGGAACCTGCCCCAATAGTCACGTAGGTTCTTTTCTATTTTCCCTAAGCGTCAGCTGGTTTGAGAAATAAAGGGACAGAGTACCAAAGAGATAAATTTTAAAGCCGGGGGAGACATCACATGTCGGTAGGTTCCATGATGCCCCACAAGCCGCAAAACCAGCAAGTTTTTATTAGGGACTTTCAAAAGGGGAGGGAGTGTACGAATAGGGTGTGGGTCACAGAGATCACGTACTTCGCAAGGTAATAGAATATCACAAGGCAAATGGAGGTAGGGTGAGATCACAGGACCACAGGACCGGGGTGAAATTAAAATTGCCAATGAAGTTTCAGGCACTGCTGTCATTGATAACATCTTATCAGGAGACAGGGTTTTGAGAGCAACCAGTCTGACCAAAATTTATTAGGCGGGAATTTCCTTTTCCTAATAATCCTGGGAGCGCTATGGGAGACTGGGGTTTATTTCACCCCTACAGTTTCAACCATAGAAGATGGCCACACCCAAGGGGGCCAGTTCAGAGACCCACCCCCAGGCACGTATTCTCTTTCCCAGGGATGTTCCTTGCTGAGAAAAAGAATTCAGTGATATTTCTCCCATTTGCTTTTGAAAGAAGAGAAATATGGCTCTGTTCCACCTGGCTCACCAGCAGTCAGAGTTTAAGGTTATCTCTCTTGTTCTCTAAACATTGCTGTTATCCTGTTCTTTTTTCAAGGTGCCCAGATTTCATATTGTTTAAACACACATGCTCTACAATTTGTGCAGTTAAAGCAAGTATCACAGGGTCCTGAGGTGACATACATCCTCCTCAGCTGACAGGATTAAGAGATTAAAGTAAAGACAGGCATAGGAAATCACAAGGGTATTGATTGGGGTAGTGATAAGTGTCCATGAAATCTTCACAATTTATGTTTAGAGATTGCAGTAAAGACAGGCATAAGAAATTATGAAAGTATTAATTTGGGGAACTAATAAATGTCCATGAAATCTTCACAATCCATGTTCTTCTGCCATGGCTTCAGTCAGTCCCTCCGTTTGGGGTCCCTGACTTCCCGCAACACAAAAGGAAACAGGTTATCACTAGAGGCCCTTCAGACATTTACAGGAAAATAAGAGGCAAATAGGGTCCTTTCTAATTTAGCCTACATAACCAGTTTATCAAAATATTTATGATGTCATAAAAAAGGTTAGAATGTTATAATTTTTTTTTACCGTCTATTTCCCAACTGTTAAAAAATGTCACACATTTTTATTATGGTAACACCTGACTTTGGCAGTTTATATTAGTTAGAGTAACTATGCCTCCATAACAAAACTAACAATAATTTAGTGAGTCAAGCAATTAAAAGTCCCCCCCCCACCAACACCTCTGCTGTCATGTACCAATCAGGCTGGTTCAAGTAAACAGGAAGTTGGCCTCAGATGGTTATTGAGGTACCCAGGCCTGGCAACTCTGCAATCCTTAGCACATGACTTTTGAGGTAACTTCCAAGATCACTCTGCTCATTTCCTTCCTGGCTAAGAGAAACAGGGAATTGAATATGGAGAAAGCATGCTGCTATCTGGAAGACCCACCCTCAAGTGGTACATACCAGTGCCATTCACATTCTACTGCCTAAATTACTCACTTTGCCTCACCCAACTTTCACAAAGCATGGCAAATGTAGTCTATATCTGTGCTCAGTAAGAACAGCAGCATACATTTTGGTGAACAACTACAGTCTCTGACAGAACTGCTATTATCAAATGAGTTAGGAGAGGGTACATAAATTCAGTAAGGGAGAGAATGGAGATCGATTTGAAAGAAATTTTCTCTATTTTCATTGCATGTAGCTCTGGGTGGCTGACATAGTATAAAGGTCTAAGTAAGAGCCAACCACAATATAGAGAATTTAATATTGAGATGTTCTGAATACAAAGAAATATTACCAGTATTGTCCTCTAGGAATTACTTCATTGTCAATTTATAGAGGAAAAAGTATGTGTTGCTGAATCACACTGATATTCAATAATGCAAATTTACGTATAGCAAGTATCACATACGTATTGCTATATGAATCAGCTCAATAAATAATTATTGATTAATAAAATAGAGTTCTATTCCTTTCTAGGGTTATTTTCTAGAATATCTTATCACTTGGAAAAGTACTATTTGGTTATAAAGTTGGATTTTTAAGTGTCAAGAGATAGATTAATATGTGATATGGTTTGGGTGTTCACCCCCTCCAAATCTCATGTCAAAATGTGATCCCCAGTGTTGGAGATGGACACTCACAGGTGGCGTTTGTGTCATGGGGGTGGATCTTTCATGAATGGCTTGGTGCAATCCCTGGGATAATGAGTGAGTTCCTGCTCTATTAGTCATGTGAGAGCTGATTGGTTTTTTTTTTTTTTTTTTTTTTTTTTTTTTTTTTTTTTTTTTTTGAGACGGAGTCTCGCTCTGTCGCCCAGGCTGGAATGCAGTGGCGGGATCTCGGCTCACTGCAAGGAGAGCTGATTGTTAAAAAGAGCCTGGCACCTCCTCCTTTCCCTCTTTTTCCCTCTTTCACCATATAACACACCTGCTTGCCCTTCACCTTCTGCTACAGTTATGTGTCCTGAGGTCTCACCAGAAGCAGAGGCTGGCACCATGCTTGCTCAGCATGCAGAACCGTGAGTCAAATAATCCTCTTTTCTTTATAAATTACCCAGCCTTAGGTATTCCTTTACAGAAACACAAAACGAACTAACACAGTATGCATTACCAAAAGCATGATTTTACTTAATAAAGTTAATTAATGAATGATTTACATTTCATATTGAATATTTATTTTAAAACAGATCCATTAGAGCAAAATTTTGAAAAATATTAAGATTTAGAACAGTAATAAAATCTCTAATCCTTGACTGTTTTATTATTAATTGTTTTTCTAATCATAGTATTTTAACCAGCTATCTTTGGTATAGATGCTGAAAATATTTAAATTTTATATGGTTTTAAAACTATTAATACAAATATGAAAGCAAATAATTTTGTCTACCATTATTCTTTTTGTGTTTGTGTGTGTATATGTATTCTAGGTATGTTTATGTATTGTTAAAATTTGCATGGGTCTATAATAGCAATCTTAATCTCAATACAAATGCAAGAGAGAATTAAGGCCAATAGTTAGAAATATTTTGCACAAGCAAAAACAAAAAAATGCACGCATGTAATAGTAAACTATTAACAAGGAAAAAGTGGGATTGTTGCCTTGATGAACTTTACATGGATGTAATAGGGGAAGTCATTTAGTGGTTAACTCTTCATGCTGTGAGAGGCATTGTCTATTTGTCTGCAGCATTGGAAGTGCAGGCAGAATGAGCTGGGGCTGACATATTTGAATTTGATGGGGCTCGTCTACAACCAAAACCAGAATATATCCTTATACTAGGACACAACATTGTTTCTAAGAACTTAACTTTAGTTTCTTTTTATTTAATAACTCAAAATTGAGCCAAATTTTTTAGGAAGCTCGCATAGGTTTACCTTCTTAAAACAAATTTTTATTTCAAGTTATTTTGGGAACATAATAGGTATATCCATATGTATTATGGGATCCATGTGATGTTTTTATACAAGCATACAATGTGTAATGATCAAATCAGGATAATTGGGGTTTCCATCACCTCAAATATTTATCATTGTTTTGTGTTAGAAACATTCCAATTCTACTCTTTTCATTATTCTAAAACAGGCATTTCATTCACAATGGCCACTTAAGTGAAAACAAAAAAATATTGCTGTTACATAACAGCATATAGGTGATTTTCTTGATAGAATTACTTTGAAAATCAGGAAGGCATTTACCGTCTTATCAAAGCATGTGCGGGTACTTCTCTGGGCCAATCTGGAGTGTATCCGATGATGGTCTCTAAGCCATCTCCTTTATTTAAAGGGATTTCACTTGCACTGTAGTACATTTAGATAATAACATGGGACAGAGTCAGGACTGAGTAAGCTGTTGGCCAAAAGAGTGTAAACAAAATGAAAATTTCAAGTAGAGTCTTGTGAATTGTTTATTAATGCCACATTTATTCCAGGAGAATACTGGCACTGAAAGTAATTTGCTTTTCTAATTGAGATTTTTATACTCTATTTTTTCCTCTTAAAAAAAGAATTATTTTAGTTTCTAAGAAGTTTTGCTTTCCTCGTAAAATAAGATCTTGTTATACAGTTTCAATTATCTTATTTTTATTTTTATGTAATTGATTTCTCTATTAGTTTAAAACCATTTGAAATAGATAAAAAGTTAATTTTATATAAACAAGACATTCCTCCAAAATGGGAGAAGAAAATGGTCTAACTTTTCTGCTTGTCATGATATTTTAAACTCATCTAATTCAGGGACTGTGTCCTTCAAAAGTTTCTAGGGTGACTTGTGCAGAACATTACACAGAGTAAGATCCTTAAACATTTTATAGAAATATTGGCCGGGCGCGGTGGCTCACGCTTGTAATCCCAGCACTTTGGGAGGCCGAGGTGGGCGGATCACGAGGTCAGGAGATCGAGACCATCCTGGCTAACATGGTGAAACCCCGCCTCTACTAAAAATGCAAAAAATTAGCCGGGCATGGCGGCGGGCGCCTGTAGTCCCAGTTACTCGGGAGGCTGGAGGCAGGAGAATGGCGTGAACCCGGGAGGCGGAGCTTGCAGTGAGCCGAGATTGTGCCACTGCACTCCAGCCTAGGTGAAGGCAGAGCAAGACTCCATCTCAAAAAATAAAAAATAAAAAATAAATATTTCTTAGATAACATTTGATGGAGATTTCTTTTTCATTTGCACAAAATACAGAATTAGAAACCTCACCTAGAGTTGCTGTTTAATGTACACGTTTTCCAAGACAATAGGTAAACAAGGAAGATCCCTTTATAGCTTAGTGAAAACTATGATGATATTAAATTTTAAGTTTCTCAAGAGTAAAGACCATACTTTGATCATAGTCACATTTCCAAGAAAATCTAACATTGTTTTCTAATGAAAGTAGGTGTTTAATAAATATTTTTTTCTTTTAACACAAACAGATACAACATGAAGGACAAGTGGCCAAGTTTATTTTATTTTATTTTTCTACATTTAACCTAATTTTATTCATGCTTGCCTTGGGATGGGGAATAGATCATTCAGTAAAAACATACAGTAAAAACAAAATGTCTTATCACGTACAACTTTTAAACTACAACAATGATGTACCTTAATTACTTCCATGCACACAAGTCTAACATTCTTTTTTTTAACAAACACAATTAAGACTTCTAGGAGCACTTCATAATAAAGTAATTCCTAATTAATTTTTCTTTGTAGATAGATCAAGCACCTCCAGAATACAAATTCCTATACACAGTGAGCACGTTACTGTGTAACACCTAAGTAAATGAACTCCTAAGTAAATTAAGTACGTGGACAGCTTTAAGATAAGCTGACATTATATATTCAGCTAGGTAGGCAACAAACCATAGAGCCAAATGGAAAAAGTGTATTTGCAAATAAATTTTTAAAACTAAGTTAATTTTTATAATTAAATACAGAAAATATACTGATTTGCTAAAATAAATAAGATGTGATGTATTAACACTTCACAGTAATGCAGAACTTTTATAAACAACAAATGAGTCTTATTAAGAATAGTTTACTACAATAAATGCTGGCTAAATAGAAGTGCATATTGTGAAGCACTGTGGGTGGTATATGTGTTGCCACATACTCTTGTTACCTTGAGGTAGATAACACATGTGTGCCAAACTCGGCATTCATTTTCAGTTGCTGCTGGTATCATGTGTTTTAAGAAATGTGTATAGTATGAAAAACTGGAAAATACTCATGAATGAAAAATGTCTTAGGAAAAAATAGACATTTTCATGCAATTATGTAGAGTCTCACTGTGTAAATTTCAAGGCAAGATTTGTCTCCTATAAAACAGATCACTGTTCTATGAAAGAATGTTCTTTACTTGTCTTAGTGCATTCCTTTTGTCTCCTTCTACATTGCATTATTTTGCTCTATTCTTCATTTTTGTGTGCAAATGGCATGCCAGTTAAAATGAAAACTATCTCACCTATAGAAAAAGACAGTCTGGATTTTAAAACCAAGAACTAATAAAATCCTTACTAAATGACACCACTGGATTCAAGTAAAAAATGACTTAAACACTAGTAATAAAAAAAGACAAGCCCATTTCATGAAGAATTCAAAGATAAATGTCTGCTGAATATTTTAGCTCAGATGTTTCAGAATGCTGCTGTATGTTTGATGAGGAATTTGAGGGGAAGATTTCATAGCAGAAGGTGTTCCTGTGGCCTGTGTTGACTTAAGTGGTGACCCAACTGGACTGTGAAACTGCGGGATGCCTATGGACTCGAGCTGCTTGTTAGAGAGGAACTCCCCACTGTTGTTCAGAAATCCTTCCTCATTTCCTCTCTCTCCAAGCTTCCCATCCTCTACTGGCTCAGTTTCTAGCATTTCAGGATCTTCTTTCCTGCTAAAGAACTTGTCCAAGTAACTGGTGTGAGTGTTTTCCTTCTCAACTTGTTCATCCTTCCTTACCTCACAAAACTGATTTGTGAGAAAACAGTCCTCCCCACCACTCACAAACTGGCTGTCCCAAGAAGATTGGTACGAGGCTTCTAATTGAGCCAGATTTGCCATTCCTTTTTCCTGTTTTTCTTGGCTTACTGACTTTGGTATCAAACTTTTCAATTCTAGTTGGGACACTGAGCTATTCAAGTCATTTATCAACAACATCAGTAGGCTCATATTGGGAACTAAGATGAACAGTTCCTGCAATAAAAGAATCAAAGTCAAACCCCTGTTTCTTTTCTCTTTCTTTTCCAGCCAGTTGCTATGATGCTTCCTCTAGTGCTATCTGGGCTTTAACCAATCCATACCTTTCACATTTTGATTTGCCTTTCTTATCAGATTTTTCTTTGCTTTGTTCTTTCCAATTGGAAAGATCTATAACAAGCCTGAGTTCATAGTAATGGTTAACTTCACTCCCTCTCCAAGCTAAGTTATCTAAATATGATGATGACCTCGTTTTGTAGTTACAAGTATGGCTACATTCCAGATCACAATATTTGTTTTCATGATGATCCTTGGTACTGCCAACAAGGCTCAGTAGAATAATTGGTATCAAAAGTAAGGTCCTCCAGATACTTTTCCCAATCTCCATCCAAATATTTTCGGGGATCAACTTGTACTTCTTTTTCATCAGTGACATCAGACAGAGCTCTTGGATCAGGCTGAAATTCATCAATATCAAAGTTGTTATGTACAGGCCAATCACAATCTGAAAGCTGACTATCATGGTACCTTTCCCAGTTATAAATGTAACTGTGAGTTTCATCCATAAGCAAAATATTATCAACTTCATCTTCAATACGAAAAGGATGGCTTGAAATTGGCTCATCCGTTGGAAAAGAGTATATGCTCATGTAAGAATGGGAGAGAGCTTCTGCTGTTAACCAATCCATGGAGCTAAATGTAAAAATTTGTTCCAGGAAATCCAGTGCTTCTCGACTAATTCCTGGAAACACCTGAGTTAAAGGTTTGTGTGGCTCAGTCATGTCATTTCTAATGTAAACTGGAATTACACTGAGAAGCTCCTGATGATCTTCAAAACAGGAATCGATTATAAAATCAGTTGCATCTGTTCAAGTTCATGTGCACCTGCAAAAAGGATTTTACCAGTCAGCATTTCAGCAAAGATGCAGCCTGCAGCCCACATGTCAATGGCTTTAGTATAATTGTTAGGAGAAAGTAAAAGACGTGGAGATCTGTACCATTTAGTAACCAATCCTTCAGAAAGATGACCCTTATGGGAATAATGAGTATTCGTAATCCGTGCAAGACCAAAGTCACATATCTTCAGCACCAAGTCTTCAGTATTAATGAAAAGATTCACTGGTTTGAGATCTCTGTGCAGTACATTTGCAGAGTGAATATTCTTGACCCCCCGTAGCAGCTGATACATGAAAAGCCTGGCATGCTCTTCCAGTAAAGTGCCCTGCTCCAGCACATTAGCTAGGTCTGTCTCCATGTACTCCTGAGCAATGTAAACACTGTTCAGCTCTGTAAGAGAGCCCACATCGTCTGTTTCGCCTGGGACCAAGA
Organism: Homo sapiens; assembly: GCF_000001405.40. NCBI lineage: Eukaryota > Metazoa > Chordata > Mammalia > Primates > Hominidae > Homo > Homo sapiens. Next base: position 46,974,369 of record NC_000008.11, read on the forward strand.
ATTTCAAACACTTTCACAGTGTTGTCATGGTCAAGTCTTCTAATAATTTTGATTTTACGTACAGCGTGTTTGACATTCTGGGGATTGGTGAGAACCATTTTCTTGATGGCCACTCTTTTGTTACAGTCATTGTCTATAGCAGAAAAAAACCAAGCCATTGCCTCCACAATCCAATGGTTTTAAGACCATATACCTGGAACCCAGATCAAAACCATGAATGTTCATGAGACTTTCAAATTTCTCTGCCATTTTGAAACCCTTACTATTGCCTTTTCCTTTCGAATTGTTGAACTTGTGTAAACAAGGAAGAAAATTGGCATCAGAAGGAAAGATCTTTCAAAAAGGGAGAAGAAAAATAATTATGGTTCCACAGCAAGATGGTTTCTTGATGTTCACTGCATATGTCAAACAGGCCTGTTGAGTTACCCTTAGACTTAAAGCTCAAAAAGCTCTACTCACAAGGAGAATTAAAAAGATTGCAGTACTCATAGTTCAAGAAAGGGGCAGCAACTCTGCAGACATTTAAAGAAAACACTCAAGAAACTCAAACGGCATGAAATGACATATTATGCACTCAGATTACTGTGCTAAATGATATGACATTTAACAAACATGTGAATAAATATGCACACAACAGTCTTCTATGAACATTCTCCTCACAGTACAGATACATTCAGTGTTGGACTAGTCCTGAGCAGCATTGTTCTAAGGTGCTGGCAAGCACTATTTCTGTTTTGCTTCTTTTCTTCCTTTGTTGCTATATATTTCAACAGGAAGCCCTGGCGGCTGTTGGTTAACAGAAGATGTCTTCTGTTAGTGATCAGGTGGCTCTAGCTCACCACGATCACAATCAAAGCTACCGTCCATCTTACTCTGATACAACGGGACTTTTGCAACTCCTCAAGAGAGTGTGGGGCCCGCGGACAGCCCCCAGTGTCGGCTTAGGTCTCTGGCTGTCCTGGCGGCAGCAGCATCTCTGAGGTTCTCGCTTTGCCACAGTCACCGCTATGTAACCCCTACCCGTGAGAGCCAAGTGACCAAGTTTAAATTGTGGAATCCTCCTCCTCTCCTAGGGTCTGCAATATTCAGTGTTTTATTTATTTATTTATTTATTTATTTATTTATTTATTTGCTTATTTATTTTTGGAGACAGAGTCTTGCTCTGTCGCCCAAGCTGGAGTGCAGTGGCGTGATCACAGCTCACTACAACCTCTGCCTCCCAGGTTCAAGTTACTCTCCTGCCTCAGGCTCTGCAGTAGCTAGGATCACAGGCACCCACCACCACACTCAGCTAATTTTTGTATTTTTAATAATGAAGAGGTTTCACCATGTTGGCCAGGCTGGTCTTGAACTCCTGACCTCAGGTGATCCACCCGCCTTGGCCTCCCAAAGTGCTGGGATTACAGGTGTGAGCCACCGTGCCTGGCCTAGTATTCAGTGTTTTAAATTTCTGAACAAATCAACTCCAAAATACCAGGGGCTTACTAACGGAGCTTTGTGGCACGTGTGGCAGCCTCATGTGGCTGTGCAAATGGGTGTGCAGTTATCCTACCCAATGATTCTGGAACCTGAGTTTCTTCCTTCCCATACTTTGCTGCTTCCTAGGGCCTCCTCAACCTCTGCCATCCACCTACCAGAAGACTAAAGAGAGTGGGAGAGGCACAACCACTTCTTGAAATCTGGGTGGGACACTCCTAATCATTCTTAACTAGTCATATTGGCTGGAACTAACTACATGGCCAGATGCAGATGCGATGGAGACGCAGCGGGTGGAAGGGGGGATTTAAGCAGAAGCAATTAAAATCAAAGCAAGCAGGCATAAAAGTGCCTTGTATATTCCAAGAATGGAGATTTGTCTGCTTCTCTCCAAAATTACGTGTAGAAAGCAAGGGATAAGGACTGGAGTCAAAAGATAACATAAAACTAAAGTGTGAGGAACTTGAAAAGTGGATGGGGTCTGAAATTTTGGGGGTCTGTAATTTTTTTCTTGAGACAGAGTCTTGCTCTGTGGCCCAAGCTGGAGTGCAGTGTGGCAATCACAGCTCATTGCAGTCTCAGCCTCCTGGGCTCCAGCGATCCTCCCTCCTTAGCCTCTTGAGTAGCTAGGACTACAAGTACATGCCACTATGTCTGGCTAATTTTAAATTTTTTGTGTGGAGACAGGCTCTCACTCTGTCACCCAGGCTGGAATGAAGTGGTGCAATCATGCCTTACTGGAGCCTCGACCTCCCAGGCTCAAGTGACCTTCCCACCTCAGCCTCCAGAGTAACTGGGACTGCAGTTGGTGCCACCACACCTGGCTAATTTTGAAATTTTCAGTTTGTAGAAATGGGGTCTCCCTATGTTCCCCACGCTGGTCTTCAACTATTGGACTCAAAGGATCCTCCTGCCTCAGCCTCCCAAAGTGCTGGGAATACGCGCATGAGCCAGCGCACCCAGCCTGGCTCTGTATTTTAAACGACAGTGTTTATTTCTAGCCCCATGGCAGATTGGAATCACAAAAGTCTGGATGGGGCTTGGAGAAATACATAGTTTCCAGAGTGAAGCTCGTCATTGGCACAATAATTACCTGCATATTTATTAAATTCTTGAAGCAGGAGGAAGACACTTAGGTTCTCCATGTCCTGAACACTGGCTTGTGCAGCATCAAGACACCCAGCCCAGAGAATGGAGATCTAGAACAGAACACGGACTGTAACAGCTAAACCTGGATGTTTCATCATCAGGCCTCTGTCTAGATCTTTGGAAAATGCATACATTTGCATATAATCTTTGGAAATAACATTTTCATCTCATCCACACAGCTTTTCTCCCCACGTTTTTACCTATTACAAATAATTAATCTATTGGGCACCACATGTTTATTTCAAAACCTTTTATTTGGGATATATTTTACTTCTAGATCGAAACACACAAGTTTAGTTATGTTATAATAAAAATGCGTTGGGTTTATCTATGAGCTAAAGCATCACTGGAACATGACCAGTGTACACATTAGAGGATTTGTGGCAAATAAATGCAGTTATTACTTTAAGTGTCAAGCATTTATTGCTATTCATATGTTTTCTTCATTAGAAAGCCAATGATGAACATGACACTACATTTTTATGTAGTCTTGGTTCTCTTTAGAAAAAAGTTATAAAAATAGTGAGAATGAAGCTGCATAACTAAGAAATAAAATAATTTGATAACCAAGTACTGTTGCTTTAAATATAATCTAGAATATAATGGACCGTTACACACAAAAATATTATTAATGATACTTTATTTTCTAGCATGGCATAATATAATAAAAAGGAGTTTTTAACTACTTTTATTTTGTTGTTGGATAATTGGATAATTAGTATTAGTGATAATAATAAGTAATTCAGTTTTTTTCATTTATCTTGTCAGCAATAAAAAATAATGATATAAAAAAGTTGGAACTTGCTTCCTGACACTGAAAACATTGAAAGGCCTACACAGTTATTTGCAGTGGAACAGCACAAAGATCCCTGCAGGGCTAAATGAATATTGAAATATTTTCCCTTGATATTTCAGATTCTCATGGATGATAAAAATGCCTTCAAAGAATGACCAGAAAAGTTACATAAATTGAATTATAATAGCTAAGTAAAATATCAGATTAATTAGAAAATCCCCCATTGTTTCATGAAAATAAAAAATATTTTTTTTTACTCCTTGGTTAATTGCAATAAATAATACCCTCAATGTCAAATCTTAGGAGATTGACAACAAATTTAGAAGAGAATCTCAAAGTCATTTTATTTATACAAAGAAAACATTTATAAATATAAATTGAAACAGTCTGACTGCAATGCAGCATACCCAACCATATTGTTTGCAGTATTAGAGTACAAATGATAGGGTTCTTCATTTCCAAATGAAATGTAAGGTTCACTTTATACATTTTCTCTTTAGAGAACATAGAGAAAGATTCAGCTCTCTCCCTGGTCAGCAAATGAACCAATATTGTAATGCCTGCTATTGGTATTTTTAAAGTGTTCTGCAAATTGAAGGCATTAAAGAGCCATTTGTAAATAATAGAACATTTCCAAAACTACAAAATGAGAACATTATTTCTTCTATAATACTTATTAACTTTCTGTATAGTTAGAAAAGTTTTAGAAGTATTATTCCTCCACAAATAGGGAAAAAATGCACAAGTTTATTCAGTGTGCCATTATTGGAAAAAAAAAAAACCAGGGACCACAATTAATGCTCATCAACATAGAACACATACCCAAGTGGAATATTTTTCAACTAAACACACACACACAGAGAGAGAGAGAGAGAGAATAAAAAGTCACCAGGATATATTTGTAAGTGATCAAAGCAAGGGGTACAGGATATTGTATATATTGTGTAAAAAAAGAATAAATAAGAATATATCCAAACACTAGACATATATCTGGATATCAACTAGGAACTAATGAAAATGATGGGTAACAACAGGGTAGATGATTTTGGAGTAGAAGCAAGACTTGTATATTTTAAAATGATAGTTTTGATCTTTTATTTTAAATATACAAAAATTAAATTAAAGACAACAGAAACAACTGCTAGAATTGAAAACATTAACAAGAAAAATAGAATATTTTTAGAGACTAAATTAGCATGACCAAATTAGACACCCAAGATGAGAAGCCAGCTAGGGAATTGATAGGGGGATGTGTGGGGCTATAATCTCTTCTCTAATTTAGAACTTATCCCCACCATCATGATATTGAAAACTGCAATAGACATTCTGTCTTCACATAATATTTCACTTGATACTTTTCCCTGGAACTGAGCTAGCAGGCTATTCCATAAATTTTTCTAGTATGTCCTTTAAAAAAGTTGGTGCAGTTTAGTTTTTATTGTGAGATGGCTGAAAAAACAGTTCACTGTGTCCCACAGATCTGTTCATAAGCTGTGATGCAGCCAACTGGCAATTAATGTTCTGATTACTTTATTCATAATGCATAGAGCTCGTCAAAGGGGTCAATGAAAAGAAGATAAATAGAAACTGATTACAGCACAAGTCAAGTGTGTAAATAAACATCATAATCTCATTTTGACACCCAGGGTTTGTAGGCAGTTCAGCAACCCTCAGTCATGCCCCAAGCAGGTGACCACCTTGCACTGGTGGACAACCCAGCAGATGCCTGGTCGATAGACGCTCCCATCATGCCTCTTCCAGGCCCTGAGAACTACACCTCTTTCAGATCAAATTCAAAAGTCTCTGGCCTGGCATGCCAGGTTCTTAGTATTCTTATTCTGCTTTTCTCTCCAGCTTGCTGAAATGATTCTATCTATATCTCTACCTCTATCTATTATCTATCTATCTTCTATCCTATTCTGTACTTCCTCTATTCTAAATGCCATGCCCATATTTTCCTATGCTTCCATCTTTTTTTTTAACCACTGAAGATCTATCATTTCTGCCATCTTTCTGTCTTAATAAGACTACCTCTTATTGATTTCATAGTGAAAACTTCCCACAATTTATCTGTCCCTCTATCCCTTTTTGGTTATACAATTCGCTTTATAATGTTAGAATATCTCAACATTTTCTTAAGATGATTTAGGTATTTAAAAGATATTTCCCCAGACTTTTTTTTTTTTTTTTTTTTTTTGAGATGGAGTTTTGCTCTTGTTGCCCAGGTTGGAGTACAATGGAGCGATCTTGGCTTACTGCAAACTACGCCTCCCCAGTTCAAGAGTTTCTCCAGCCTCAGCCTCCAGAGTAGCTGGGATTACAGGCACCCGACACCACGCCCAGCTAATTTTTGTATTTTTAGTAGAAACGAGGTTTCGCCATGTTGGCCAGGCTGGTCTTGAATTTCTGACCTCAGGTAATCTGCCCACCTCATTGTCCCAAAGTGCTGGGATTACAGGCGTGAGCCACAATGCCCAGCCTTCTCCAAACTATTATAAAAGTTTTAAAAATCTCTCTTTTTCTATTTTCTAATACCTTCCAGAATTGGAGAGTTAGAAGATGTTATTGACTTAATGAAGCACCAGAATAGTTTTTTCAACATGTCCAGTTGAAAATCTATATTAATATAAAAGTCTTATGCTATTGATATCTCCATTAATTAAATTTAGAAAAACATGCACTTTTAAAATTACATGAAAGATTATTTAAATTGATATAATTTCCCCAAAGTGGGGGAAACCTTTGGTATCTATCTAATTATCTGCTACTAAGAGAAATTATAAAATTAAAACAAATAAAACATTTTATTATCTAAATATTTGGAAGGAATATTCTCATTTTATTTGAAGCAACATTTTGTTTTTCTTCCAATGAACTACAGAGTTGCTGGGTTTGCAAGCTGTGCAAATTCGGAGGTTTAAAGAAGTATCATTTCCACTAATTCCCCCCCTATATAGATGGAAAATAGACACTGATGTCTAAGATTCTATACTTAGAAGTGTATTCATGGCCAAGTGTGGTGGCCCACGTCTGTAATCCCAACACTCTGGGAGGCTGAGGCAGGTGGATCACCTGAGGTCAGGACTTCGAGACCAGACTGGCCAACATGGTGAAACCTCATCTCTACTAAAAAAACAAAAACTAGCCGGGAGTGGTGACACATGCCTGTAGTCCCAGCTACTCAGGAGGCTGAGGCTGAGGGAGGAGAATCACTTGAACCTGGGAGGCAGAGATTGCAGTGAGCCGAGATCATGCCATTGCACTCCAGCCTGGGTGACAGAGCGAGACTCCATCTAAAAAAAAAAAAAAAAAAAAAAAAGTGTATTCATTTGACCAAATCTTTTTCTATTAAAATGTATATGATAAACATTCATTTAAATGTGCTGAACATTCTGTAAGATGATGTATGAACTTAGAAAACCCTAGTAGTCAGTGCAAGATTATGTGAGTCAGCTCAATGCCTGAAGGGAAAGATGGCATTGGAGGGAGTATGTGGTCACTTAGTGGCCAGGAGGAAGTGCATATCCAAGATGAACAGCTGCACAGAAGATGCAGAACTCTCCTATGCCAAGACGAATTGCCAACTACTCATATTCTGCCTGACACAGAGAAAATATATTTCCAGGATATTTATGAATGAAGAGATTCAGATAATTGTGTTTTAAATATTCATCTGGCAACACATTAAAATCATGAAGATACCTTGCTGCTTATTTAAAATACTCAGATATGGAATGACAGTCAAACTGTTTTCTCTCCATTCTGAAGGACACAGCAAGAATGTTTGTGAATGGACATGACTTCTCTATTTAAGCCCTTTCTGGTTGCAGTGGCTGCACTTCAGCCTTTTCAAATTTGTCTTGTTAGTATGGCAATACATATCAAACTACCCTTTCACAGCAGCTGCTCTTAGTAGCTGGCATCATTGACTAGCCGTTTTGCAACAAAACATCACATAGTCAGGAAAAGCTAAATCCAACTGGATGATCAATACACATGATACTGGAAAAAAACAAATCAATGTTTTCTTTATCAGGTTTCTGCTTTGTACTTACAAATGGATTTTTCAATCCCAACAGTATGAGAGGTCATCTAATTTAATTAATAGAAACTAATATAGCCTCTAATGAAAAAAATCAGAAAACAGGAGACTTGTCAATAATTTATTTTACTTTCAATAGAAACACAAGGAAGATAAGTAAAATTTTAAGTAGCAAGTTGTGTGATAAGTATTTAAGTAATAATTCAATGCTACAGTTTTATAACCATATTATACACCCTGCATCCTTTAATACACATTGAAGATTGCTCGCTGACTTTCTATAAGATCACCAGACAGACAACAAAAAATAAAATTAAATGTGGATAGCCCTGCTGTTATATCCCATAGAAATAAATAAAATAGGCTCAGTTTTAAAAGTTCTATGGATTTCTATGTCTTGTTATTTGTTTTTTTCTTTTCTTCCATGATGGTATAAATAGTCACTTCTAAGGGGGTGGGGTGGGATGGGGTGGTCGTTAAAATAACTTTAGATTTTAATATAAAGTTTAATTTATATATTTGTTAAAGCAAAAATCTCTACTTGAAGTTTTGGTGACATCAAGAAAATAGTGGGAAATGGCTTATGTATTTCTTGATATAAAATGAATAAATAATAACATAAATTACTGAAATTTTATATTTTTAAGATTTAGTTACTTATGATGTATTACATAGTAACAGAAAATACTATTTAGTCATAATATAATTTTTTATTTTGCTCACCAAACAATTATAGATACGAGCTCAATAAAATAATAATATCTGCCACAAAGGACTAATTGAAAAATTTGGCAATTATGAATATTCTTATGTAGATATTTGTAAACATGCTTTTATTTGTCTTAGGGAAATACCTAAAATTGGAATTGTGGGGTCTTGAGGTAAGTATAATTTTAGCTGTTTAATATAACTTATTTTGCAAAGTAGTTCTATTATTTTCCACTTCCACCAACAATATATGGGTGCTTCGGTTGCTCTACACTCTTGCCCACATTCAGTGTTATTGGCTTTTTCCGTTTCTTCTATATCTGCTAGAGGCTTTAATTTACACTTCCCTGAATACAAGTGATATTGAGAACATTTTATGTAGATATTGTCCATTTATACTCTTTCTTTGAAATGACTGCTAAGATCTTTCATATGAGGTAATTTGTACTTTTATTATTTGTTATAGAAATTCTTAATAAATATCGGATTTATAAAGATGTCAGCCTTTTGTTATGGATTGCTTTGTAAATATTTTCTCCAAGTCTTTTACTTGTACATTTTATTCAATAGGGTAGTTTTTTAATTAACAGAAGTTGTTCATTTTAATGGACTCTATCAAATGTCATGATTATTTCTTTCTATACCATAAAAAACCTTTGCCACAGGGACAAAAGCTTATTTCTCTTTTCTCTTCTGAAAGCTGTATTGTTTTAGTTTCTACATTTATTTGTATCAATGAACATTTCTTTTGAAACAAAATGTCACTCTGTTGCCCAGGCTGGAGTGCAGTGGCTCAGTCACAGTTCTCTGCAACCTCTACTTCCTAGGCTCAAGTGATCCTGCCACATCAGCACCCCAAGCAGCTGTGACTACAGGTAAGTGCCACCATGCCCAACTAAATTTTGTATTTTTTGTAGAGACGAGGTCTCGCTATATTGCCCAGGCTGATCTCAAACTCCTGGGCTCACGTGGAGATGCCAAACTGTTAGGATTACAGATGTGAGCCACCACTCCTGGCTTATTTCAAACTAATTTTTGGGCATAGTGTAAAATGGGGTTAAGTTTTACTTACATTTTTTTCTATATGGATATGTATTTATTTTAGCACCCTTTGTTGAAAAACATTTTTATTTCCCAGTTACCTTTGACATGATTAAATTCCAAGGACCCTCAGATCTTTAGGGATGGAATAAATGGCTGGTAGCATTGCTCTCAAAAGTGTCTTGAACTTCATGGAGCTTATGTTGATAAAGTTTATATTTTTTATTTCATCTTTTTTTTTTTATACTTTAAGTTTTAGGGTACATGTGCACATTGTGCAGGTTAGTTACATATGTATACATGTGCCATGCTGGTGCGCTGCACCCACTAACTCGTCATCTAGCATTAGGTATATCTCCCAATGCTATCCCTCCCCCCTCCCCCCACCCCACCACAGTCCCCAGAGTGTGATATTCCCCTTCCTGTGTCCATGTGATCTCATTGTTCAATTCCCACCTATGAGTGAGAATATGCGGTGTTTGGTTTTTTGTTCTTGTGATAGTTTACTGAGAATGATGATTTCCAATTTCATCCATGTCCCTACAAAGGACATGAACTCATCATTTTTTATGGCTGCATAGTATTCCGTGGTGTATATGTGCCACATTTTCTTAATCCAGTCTATCATTGTTGGACATTTGGGTTGGTTCCAAGTCTTTGCTATTGTGAATAATGCCGCAATAAACATACGTGTGCATGTGTCTTTATAGCAGCATGATTTATAGTCATTTGGGTATATACCCAGTAATGGGATGGCTGGGTCAAATGGTATTTCTAGTTCTAGATCCCTGAGGAATCGCCACACTGACTTCCACAATGGTTGAACTAGTTTACAGTCCCACCAACTGTGTAAAAGTGTTCCTATTTCTCCACATCCTCTCCAGCACCTGTTGTTTCCTGACTTTTTAATGATTGCCATTCTAACTGGTGTGAGATGGTATCTCATAGTGGTTTTGATTTGCATTTCTCTGATGGCCAGTGATGATGAGCATTTTTTCATGTGTTTTTTGGCTGCATAAATGTCTTCTTTTGAGAAGTGTCTGTTCATGTCCTTCACCCACTTTTTGATGGGGTTGTTTGTTTTTTTCTTGTAAATTTGTTTGAGTTCATTGTAGATTCTGGATATTAGCCCTTTGTCAGATGAGTAGGTTGTGAAAATTTTCTCCCATTTTTAAATTTAATTTTTCCATGAAATTTTTGAAGTCCCCTCATATCTTGATTATATGATGCTCTAAAAACAAAGACAAGATTGATATTTTATTGTTTTTCTTCTTCATAGCATCTGGCTCAGGACTTCACAGTTTTAACAAGTGTTCATTGAATGGTATTCCTTGGGCTTATTACTATCAGCTTTAGTTTGCAAATTGTCATAAGAGCTAAATGTTTCCTTCTAAGTAAAATGAAGGTGGGATGGGAATGGCAGGTTTTACCAGTTAAGGGTGCATGAACCAAATGGAAACAAAGGGATAAACATGAACTGTGAGTTGATTAACTTCTTCATTTCCATTATGTTATATTCTTATATTTATTAAATTAATATGCAACCGAGTATTTTACCTATGAAATTAGCTAGTTTTACTCTTGTCACTTAATCCTGTATGTATGGTTTGAGGGTCCTCGCCAAAATTCATGTCAAAACCTTAATTCCCAGTGCAGCAATGCTGGAAAGTGGAAATTTCAAAAGGTGGGACTGAAGGGAGATGTGTGGTGTTGGGTCGTGATGTGTGGTTAAGTCACCTTCATAGGTGGCTTAGTGCCATGGTAGTGGTAGTGAGTGAGTTCTCACTCTTGAAGCTGAGTTCTTGTGGGAATGAATTCACTTCTAAGAAAGCAGGTTGTTATTGAGCAAGGTTGCCTCTGGTGTCTTGCTCCTTTTGCATACCTGTTTCTGTGTTCACTTGCACTTCTCTACCATGTTGTGATGCAGCATGAAGCCCTCACAAGAAGCTGACCAAATGCCAGCACCATGCTCTTTGGACCTCCCCACCTCCAGAATCATGAGCCAAATAAACCTCTTTTCTTTATACTTACCCAGTCCCAGGTATTCTGTTAACAGCAACACAAAATGGAACAAGACAAACTTTATTACAGGAAATGACATTTAAAGTTAATCCATACCTTTTAAAATATTTATCCTGATGATATATTTTTACCACCCTTGAATGCATAAACTTTCTAGGAAAACCATTCAGTCATTCATTTGTTTATTGCTTCATCATCAATTTAACATTGTAATGTCTCTGGAGATATAAAGAAGAACAAGACATGTTTCATACAAGCAAGGGACTGAGAGCAAACCAGAAAAGGTAGATAAATAAAGATCTAATTATAAAACAATGCAAACATGCCCTAATAAAGGACTGGCAGAAGGTAAAGGAAGAAAATCATAGAAATGATATCATGGGAAAAAAGGAATATTTTGAAGGTTAAGAGTACTGAACAGCATAAAATAACCCTGAGAAATCAAGCACTGAATGATATAAAATATGTTAAGAGGGTTTAGCATATGAAGGTTATTTGTCATTTGCAAGGTCACTTGCAGAAGATGATTGGACTAAAAGCTAAGTTGCAATGTGGTGGGGTGTTTTTAATTGGAGGTGACACCAGGTAGCCAGGGCATGCAGATAATTTGATTAAATAAGCTTATTCTTGAAAGTGAGTGGAGAGCCAGAGTAATAACTAGATGCACAGAGCTCATACTTTTTTTTTGCTTCATTGTTGGTTTTTAAAATTTAAACAATGATAGGAAGGAGCCTGTGGAGAGTGTGTGAAAATACAGACGATGTTATCAATGCAATATAAACGGAATAAGTTGAGAAGGCAGGAAGAGGCAGAGGCAGGAACCAGAGTCAAGAAAGAGGGATTAACCATGTAGAAAAGAAACACTTCCTTTTTTTTTTTTTTGAGATGGAGTCCCACTCTGTCTCCCAGGCTGGAGTGCAGTGGTGCAAACTCAGCTCACTGCAATCTCCACTTTCTGGGTTTGTCTGCTTCAGCCTCCCAAGTAGCTGGGACTACAGGTGCAACACCACACCCTGCTAAGTTTTTTTGTAGTTTTAATATAGATGGGGTCTCATCATATTAGCCAAGCTGGTCTCAAACTCCTGGCCTCAAGTGATCCACCTACCTCAGTTTCCCACAGTGCTGGGACTGCAGGCATGAGAAGAAACACTTCTGATGAACAATGATGGAAGGTGAAAGGGAAGCTGCACATCCAGGCAAGATTTTATATTTCATGACAGGACAACAGAAGGGGTTCCATTCTAATGCTATTTTTTTCTAAGAAGTAGGCAGCAAGGAATCACAAAATTACTTGATTTGACAAACTATCATTGTCAGGCCTCTGAGCCCAGGCCAGGCCATCGCATCCCCTGTGACTTGCACGTATACATCCAGATGGCCTAAAGTAACTGAAGATCCACAAAAGAAGTAAAAACAGCCTTAACTGATGACATTCCACCATTGTGATTTGTTCCTGCCCCACCCTAACTGATCAATGTACTTTGTTTTCTCCCCCACCCTTAAGAAGGTTCTTTGTAATTGTCCCCACCCTTGAGAATGTACTTTGTGAGATCCACCCCTGCCCACCAGAGAACAAACCCCTTTGACTGTAATTTTCCATTACCTTCCCAAATGCTATAAAACGGCCCCACCCCTATCTCCCTTTGCTGACTCTCTTGTCGGACTCAGCCCACCTGCACCCAGGTGAAATAGACAGCCATGTTGCTCACACAAAGCCTGTTTGGTGGTCTCTTCACACGGACGTGCATGAGAATCATATTATCTTCCATTTCAATATTCTCAACTAAAAGACAGGAATATGAACGGTTGATCTGTCTCCTCCAGAGATATTAAATGTATGTGTACATTTTTATTAATGTAGTACTTAACATGGAGGTTATGTGATAATATCAGAGAAGATATCAGCCTGAGTATTTCCAAGTTTAAAATAGTATGTCACTTCTTAGATATGCATCCAATGATTGATGATAAATTCTCTCACTTCAACCACCACCACTGTCAGCACCCCAAGCCTCTCACCACCACCACTAAACATCTTTTTGGCAGTAGTGTGTATTAGCCGTTGTTTCAAGCATTTTATGTATACAGTATAATGTCTTTCAACCATCCTACCTATCCTTAAAGGTAGGTCACGTTAACATTTCTATTATAAAGTTGAGGAAACCAAAACAGAGACTTCAAATAATTTACAAAATGTCACACAGTAAGTGAGAGGCAGATCCAGGATTCTACCCAGACAATCCAACAGTGGAACCCCGATGTTAACTGCTTACGCTGTACTAATGTGCAGTTGTGTCAAATTCACTCCACATTCATACAGGTTACCTGAAACTCAAGTGGCTAAATGTCATAGAAAGAGGCATTTGGAGAAGAGCAGACCCACAGTGTCCTATCCTGATGGATGTACAGAAAGTAAGAGAGCCAGGATGAAAATTTGGTTATCAAATTTAAATGTTTTTAAACACCTAGTGCTACATAAGTAAGTGATTGTTGATGTTTATCCCATAGATTGTAAATTAAAAAATAAACATTTTCTTTTGAAATCATCACATTCAAGCTTTTAGTAGTACCTTGATATTATGCTTATTTTATAATTTAGTAAGAAATATTTCTCTGATGTTATTAACTGTTTGCACATACATACTTTGACAAGATCCTATTTCAATCTTTATCTTTCAAGGTCAATTCATAATTTTGTGTACTACAATATGGAAAACTGCTTTATTAATTTTAGAAGTTTTAATTGACATTTCATTTAAACATTTCATATGGGGAACTTACAAAGCTATTAATAGTACTACTTGGGTGTCATACAGAACAAGTAATTTTTATCTTTTCAAATCTTGTTCTACTCTGGTTTTGAGTAACAACAAAGACATACCCAACTTGACAAATCTGGAAGAATGTGAACTTCTGGATCTAGTACACTTAGATCATAGAATATTTGTTATAAAGTTTGACTTGTTGTCAGGATGAGAAACAGAGTCTAATTTTGGCTCCATAAAGACATGCCGCCTTTTGGATCTATGTACTCAGCTAGCAAACAAAAACCTGAGCCACCCATTCCTCTAGCTGAAGGGTGTATTAGGGTTCTCTAGAAGGACAGAACTAATAGGATATATATATTCTATATAGATCCCATATATATCTATATAGATCCTATATATATATATATCCTATATAGATCACATATATATAATCAGATGATATATGATATATATAGGATATATAATATATATGATATTATATATACTATTATATACAGGATATATATAATATATAGTATCCTATTATATATAGGATATGTAATATATAATATCCTATTATATATAGGACATATAATATATATAATATCCTATTATATATAGTATGTATAATATATATAATATATCCTATTATATATAGGACGTATAATACATATAATATATCCTATTATATATAGGACGTATAATACATATAATATATCCTATTATATATAGGACATATAATACATATAATATATCCTATTATATATAGGACGCATAATACATATAATATATCCTATTATATATAGGACGTATAATACATATAATATATCCTATTATATATAAGACGTATAATACGTATAATATATCCTATTATATATAGGACGTATAATACGTATAATATATCCTATTATATATAGGACGTATAATACATATAATATCCTATTATATATAGGACGTATAATACATATAATATCCTATTATATATAGGACGTATAATACATATAATATCCTATTATATATAGGACGTATAATACATATAATATCCTATTATATATAGGACGTATAATACATATAATATCCTATTATATATAGGACGTATAATATATAATATCCTATTATATATAGGACGTATAATATATAATATCTTATTATATATAGGACGTATAATACATATAATATCCTATTATATATAGGATGTATAATATATAATATCCTATTATATATAGGATATATAATATTCTATTTTATATATACTATTATATATATCCTATATATGTATCTCCTATTATATATGTGTGTGTGTGTGTATATATATAAAGGGGAGTTTATTAAGTATTAACTCACATGATCACAAGGTCCCACAATAAGTTGTCTGCAAGCTGAGGAGCAAACAGAGCCAGTTTGAGCCCCAGACCTAAAGAACTTGGAGTTTTGTGTTCAAGGGCAGGAAGGGTCCAGCACAGGAGAAAGAGGTAGGCTGGGAGGCTAGGCCAATCTAGTGTTTTTTTTTTATGTTTTTCTGCCTGCTTTATATTTTAGCCACACTAGCTGCTGATTAGATGGTGCTCACCCAGATTAAAGGTGAGTCTGCCTTTCCTAGCCCACTGACTCAAATGTTAATCTTTTTCACCAACACCCTCACAGACACACCCAGGATCAATACTTCGCATCCTTCAATCCAATCAAGTTGACACTCAGTATTAACCACCACAAGGGGCCTCTGCAGCATCTCTTCAGATCTCAGGATCTGAGCCCCTGGAGCACAATGGAGTCAATATGTCTATCAGCCCTGATAACCTTGAAAAACTATCCATACATTTTCTACACACCATACTAATCAGAGCAGAGGGGAAAATGATGTTTCTACTTTGGCGTTATCAGTCTGATAATTTCAAGCGGAAAAAAATGCTTTTTGAATTTTTTGCATAGTCATTGAAAAGGATGTCTTAATTTAACTAATAACCCTAAAGGCTCATTCCAGAGTTACTCTTAAGTAGTTTTAATTTTTCCTCCCTTCAATGAAATGATCTTGTACTACTGTGCTAAGAGCAATTGGCTGATCTGATATTTACATCAAAGGGCTTGTTAAATAAATTCCCGTGAAAGAAATATAAACAAGGTGAAAGTGCATTTTTGCTTAAATGCCTCCTTCTGAAAGTCAAGAGAAAAGAATATACAAATCTTGATCGTAATTATGTCTTTTGTCTCTTATATAATATTTAATTTATTCTTACAGAAATGCCCTTGATGAATACAGCTCTCTCCAGCTTGAGGTCTATATTTTGGGAAGTAATTCAGAGTTCAAAGCTTCCAACTTTGATAGGTTGGTCATCACTGCAAGAGTAAACATATTTTTTTGATATCTGCTTACAAATAGAGATTTCATGGGCCAAGCAATGAAAAGTAGAAGTTTAGTGCAGGTGCTTTCCCTAGTTTAAGCACATTTGGTATTCCACTCCTAGTAATGATGTTTACTTGCCTTATGCATTATAATTTACAAAAGGCTGCCATATTCTTTTCTCCTTGCTATAGAATTTGCTGTGATTTCTGAATCATTCCAAAAGGCTCTACTTGAGAACATGTGCACTATTACTCCTGCTAGAACTGCACATCTTAGGACATTTGTCATTGCTTCTAGCTAAAATAATAGGAAGAAGAGATATGCTTACGTATAAGAGTTGAGGAAATATGTTTCACTTAACAAAGACCTCATCAGGAGCCTAGTGAAGATTCATGATTACTTTTTAGTGAAAAGTTGTGTTCTAGATGGAGCTACTTTCACCTGTTGAACACAGAAGTATTTTTCACCCCTTGTTTTTTCAAAGAAAGCAGCACTACCATTTCTTGCAGTCATACAGGGAAAGCATAGCAGAGTTCTGCTCTCCTGCAATGAATCTGCCATGTTAAAACTGGGTAGGTTCAACATGTCAATCAACTTATGCCATTTCTTTGTTAAGGACACTTTAATGACTTTCCTTTCCCCACAGAGCAAACTCCAGATTTTTCCACATGGCTGATAGGCCTGTAAATGACTCCAAACCTGCCTGTTTCCTCTGTATCATTTTTGCCACCTCTGACATTGCCTACTTTGTGCCAGCCTGACTATTGTCACTGTTGCTGTTGCTCTAGGTCATCTCAGGGTTTTCACTTGCTTTTTCTATGACTGAGGGTGTCCTCTCACATACTTAGACAGCTGGGTCAGTTCCATTGCTTACATTTCAGTTCAGATGCTAGTTCCTTCAACAGTCCTCACTCCTCAGCATCACTCCCTGTGTCTAACACTATATCTAACCATTTTATCTATTTATGGTTTATTTTCTTCCTTCACTAGAATGTAAACTGCACAAAGGAGAAACTGTGTCTGTCCTATGCATTGCTGTGTCTCCTAAGTCCAAAACAGGGTCTGCCCCTGGAGTATGTATGTACTCAGAATGTGTTGATGAAAAAAAATGCAAAAAAAAAAAAAAAAGCATTCTTTCTAAATGCTTTTCTTAAGGAGGAAAAGAGGAATCTGTTTAAATGATTCAAGATAACTGAAAAAAAATAGAACTGTAAAGATTTACCTATCTTTTGAAACCCTTTCAGAGTTCTTTTGAGACATTTATTGACATCCCTGAGTCTTTTATTTTATTTTTATTTTTTTGAGATGGAGTCTCACTCTGTTGCCCAGGCTGGAGTGATCTCAGCTCACTGCAACCTCCGCCTCCCAGGTTCAAGTGGTTCTCCCTGCCTCAGCCTCCCAAGTAGCTGGGATTACAGGCGCCCACCACCACGCTCAGCTAATTTTTTGTATTTTTAGTAGAGACGGGGTTTTGCCAAGTTGGCCAGGCTGGTCTCGAACTCCAGACCTCAGGTGATCTGCCCACCTCGGCCTCCCAAAATGCTGGGCTTACAGGGGTGAGCCACCACATCCGGCCACCTCTGAGTCTTTTGAAAGATATTTTATGCATTGCCTTTAATAATGCATTTCTGTTGGAAAACTGATCTGCACCATGTTTGTAAGTGTTGACTGATAACCACCTGCAGTGAATGGCTGCATTGGTATTCATTCAAGGAGCAGACAGCAATGGGAACCAATTTAACTCTCAGGATTCTGTTCATGGAGAAAAAAAGGTTAGTTGGAGGGCTGTTCTTGAGCTCTCTGTGCCAAGACAGACCACCAGAGGGGAAGTAGCTCCCAGGGCACTCAGTGCAGAAGGTTCTCTTGCAGAGGCTCAACTTGCTGCCAGATTCTGCTGGCTAGTTGGATTTTCTCATCTTTATTTTCCATGGATATTGCCCTCTCTTGGTCTGCACCCATTAACTGCTGTGTTTGCTCTTTTCAGACCATTGATCTACACAACTACTTATATTTACATGCAAAATAGAGAACAAATCACAATTGCCTAGTTTACATAGAATTTAAAAACTTGTGGGCCTTATTTTTACTCAGAAAATGATGATTCCAATACCTGGTATAATGAATGCTCCTCATAAAGCATTAGAAAGTAAATCAATGACTGTAATCCCAACACGTTGGGAGACTGAGGCAGGCAGATCACAAAGTCAGGAGATCGAGACCATCCTGGCTAACACAGTGAAACCCTGTCTCTACTAAAAATACAAAAAAATTAGCCAGACATGGTGGCATGCGCCTGTAGTCCCAGCTACTCGGGAGGCTGAGGCAGGAGAATCACTTGAACCCAGGAGGCAGAGGTTGCAGTGAGCTGAGATTGCACCACTGCACTCCAGCCTGGGTGACAGAGCAAGACTCTGTCTCAAAAATAAAATAAAATAAATCAATGATGGCCCATTTCAGTTTCATTCCTGATCAGAAAGTCTAGTTAGAGAGAATAGCTGAAGTTAGACAAAGGACTAAGGCTAGATCTAATCCTGCAGCCTATGTTTTCTACTGGTCAAAGGCAGTTCACCGCACTTACAGTTTGGTCTTGGTCTCTGTGGGGCTTTACTCTGTTTATTCTCTTGCCTCAATATTCGTTTGCATCTTCTCTTCTTTTTGCCACCTGAATGCGTGCCCTACTTAGGATTTGGTTGTCACCCTGTGCTTCCTTTTCTTTGTTCTTCATCTCAGGATCTTGTTGATTTGCACAGCTTCAAATCAACTCTAGGACTCACATCCATGTCTTCTGCCCTCAATTCCAATCTTGTCTTTTATATATTTTTCTACATTTTAGTATTCATCATTTATTCTGCAAAATCATCTGCCTGTTCTATTAGGGTTTTTTGTTTGTTTTTTTGGTTGGTTTGTTGGTTGTTTTTGAGAAAGTCTCACTCTGTCACCCAGGCTGGAATGCAGTGGTGTGATCTCGGCTAACTGCAACCTCCGCCTCCCGGGTTCAAGCAATTCTCCAGTTTCAGCCTCCCAAGTAGCTGGGAATACAGGCGTGCACCACCATGTCAGGCTATTTTTTTTTTTTTTTTGTATTTTTAATGGAAATGGGGTTTCATTATGTTGACCAGGCTGGTCTCAAACTCCTGACCTCAGGTGATCCACCTGCCTTGGCCTCCCAAAGTGCTGGGATAACAGGTGTGAGCCACCATGCCTGGCCTCTATTAGTTTTTATTACAACTTCACATACAATAAACTCATTTTTGTATGACCTCAGATCTCTAAATTTCAGGGCTTATATGTATGAAGAGACTGTCTAACAGTTCCACCTACCACACCACAGCCCTGACAATGCCTAGTTTGCAAACTTATTAATATATACATTTGTTTACATCACTTAGCTGAAGAATTAGCAATGGGTTCACAACTGCCAGGGCCAAATGAAAAGACAATATTTCTACAAGTAAGTAAGCTTACACAAATGGTTTTACAACAAAAACTCTTTTCACTTTTAATAATTATTAAATTAATATAATTAATAAGAAATAAGTTATTTCTTAAAAATAAGAAATTTTTAAGCATGATGTCAAACATTTTCGAGTTTTAGCAATTGGATGCCAGACACACAAATGGATGCCAGACACACACCTTCAGCCACCTAAACAAATACTTCATTGTTTCAAAAATTAATGTATTGCTGTTCTATAGTGTGATGTCCTCAGCAACTTTCTTTCTTCAATCTCTTCTCCCTCCTTTTATTTTCCTGTTTCCTTTCTTTCTTTCCCTTTCTTCCCTCTTTTATTAATAAATCTAAGAAGTTTGCTCAGATCTTTCTGTTTACATAACAAGTCATTTTAAATGATCAATTTCTTTAAGTGGTATTTTGACCAAGTCATCTAAACATGGCTGATTTGGGAAATCAGGCCTTAAACATTCCAGTTTCCAAGTAATTTTTTTAAAAACTCTTTTTTTTTTTTTTTTGGCTAAAATGTATTATTTAAGAACATGAATTCTGAAGCTTTTAAGAACACAGTATAAACCTATTTTTCTACTTTCTCATTTGATCTATGAATATCAATTAGGTCAAACTATAAGCAATATTTAATAAATAATTTTTATAAAAAACATAAATTCATGAATCTGTCATAAAAATCCTTGAATAACTGTAAAATATCACCATTTAAACAGTGCTGTATCTATGTTACTTCAACTTTATGTGAAGTTTCCTAGCTATTAGTTTATAGAGTATCTGTGGTTTGGAATATCTACCTTCTAAAAATTGCTTGAATATCTAAAAACAATACTCATCTTCTTTCTGGAGTAACATTAATCTGGTCAACTCTTGTAATTTAACATTAATTTAATGGATGACAAACCAACTTGGCAAAAGAGTTTCTACCAAGGTGTCAAACTCAGTCTTACTAGTCTGTCATGGCACTTCAGGAGATTAAACAGAGAACCCGTCTTCTGCTGCCATGTCATCTGATAGTTTCTAATGATAAATACATCTCACTGATACTTCTGCCTCTGTTTTTATTTATGTGTCACTTCTATCTTTTTTAGTATCAATTGGTTTCTAGTGTTTTTGGATTTAATAGTTCAGTAAAATTTCAAAACAAAAAATTAGGATGTCAACACAAGATTATTCCATTTTTAAAGCCAGAATACTAAAATTTAAATTCAATTCCTCTCACCTAATATTACAAAGTCAAAATCTACTGTCTATCCTTACTTTCCTAATTTTACTATTGATGGGAAGACAATTGTTTTTCCTAGGAAGAGAGGAACATATTTGCTTCCTTTTACATTTGTAATTTTTTGTTTTCTTTCTCACTAGCTTATTCTTGTTTATTCTTTTTCTAGCAAACAATGCCTCACATTCACTCTTCCATGAGAATTTTTTTCTATCTTAACAGTTTGCAGACTACCTCCCCACAGTGCCTCTCATAGCTGCAGTTAAACAGCTTTCGCAAATAAACAATCTTAACTGAAATTAACTTGTTACTGTTTAAGTGAGAAATTTTTGGTATTTCTGAAACATATAGCATAGCCAAAATTAATGTAAAATAGGTAACAAAGAAAACTGATAGAATGCAATTTTCCAGAAATATTCATTTTGGGGGGGATTAAAATGTCACCGTCTTTATATTCAGAATATGCTGTATATTCAGAGGAATAAGAATGGAAGTTCCAGTCAGTCCGATTTTCTTTAGTCCATATTTTAAAAGACCAGTGTGTCAAGACTTGTGGGTTTGTTATATATGCAGACTAGCAAGTTCAGTTAGCCAAATATTGAGTAACTTCAAACTATCTCCAGTTGTACTGAGATCACCCATGCTAGAGAAACATTGATATTTTAATCTATTCTTCAATACTGAAAAAATTAAGGGAAAGCTTATATGTTTTTCATAATATTATTTACCAAACTAATAATATAAACTTCCATACTTACCTTGTCTCTGCCTTTATAGCCCATGAGTTGCCTTTTAGCAAACCATGCTAGAATGATATAGAGTTACTTACATCTTAGACCTATCAAAAGAGCCTCAGACATTTCATTCAGTTTGATTGATGGGAGAACATTTATCTAAGTATTTCAAAAATATTTATTGTGCACACATCTACCCCAAACATGTTACTATATGCTGGAAACAAATAGGTAAATAAGGTAGTTATGATGGCTATATTGGTCAAGTTTATATTTTAGAGAGGGAGATATGTAATACATAAGGAAACAATTAGAAGAAAATAAATACAATATTTGCTGCTTGTACTGAGATATTTTAATCAAATAGATAGATCGGCCTAATTTCTGTTGGTTGGTCAAAGACAGCCTCTTTGCAGTGCAGACTTGTGAGCTGAGAGGTGATGGAGAGAGGAAGCCAGAGAAGCTGCTTCCCACTTACTTCCCAGGCACTGCCTCTAAAGGTGATGTTTTATGTTTATACATATAGCATTCTATGATTTCATTCCATTCTGGAATGGTACTGAGTAATATAGGAGGGAGGAAATTCTAGGTCTGTGCCCTTACAATAGGCTGCGGTACTGAAAACCTCTGCTGGGGAATACTGTATGTATACATGAATATTTCCATAAACACGCTCATATCATCATGTATGTGTGTGTGTTTATTTATCTATCTATATCTGTCTATATTCATACAGAGTCACACTATAGAAAATAGAAGTATTGGTAGATGGAGGCAGTGAAAATAATATAAAAAGAAACTTCCATACATGTGAAGACCTATCTGCCCTATAAGCCATATCCACAATAGTACACAAATAAAGGTACACTCTGACATACATCCTGCTGCATTTCATATATACTAGGAAACCATTCATTTTTGTTGCTCTTCTGTGAGTAGAAAAACGTATTAAGGCCAAAGCATCATTCATTGCAAGATCGATGTTAATCCTTCCTCCTCTGGTGAGCACCAGGCCAGAGATGAACCAGCCCCAGTCCAAAGGCCCTCGCCCAAATCTGAGAATGCCGACTTCTTCTCTTCAGGCTTTTCATCAGGACAGGAGCTTTATTTTTTTTCTATAAATGTGTGATGTAGGAATACACTCTTGTCGTTAATTTTTGCTGGCTGGAGAAAGGTCTTTTTGGTTATGGGAAGAGAAGCCTAGATATATTCCCTGAAAATAGACTGTTGTACTGAGAGCAAATGTTAGGGTGCATGGTACCTGGGCAAAAGGCAACAGGCCAGGGTCAACATGCACTCTAGGGCCAAAACTGGCTGTATCGGTCAGGCCAATTGTTCTTTTTGTCAAAGGCTTTACCCACTGATGTTAGCCAGCTCTTCCCAGTCCTAGCTGAATGGACAGAACCCCACTGGGCTGGTTTCCTGAGCCCTTGAATTAAAAACACCTGGGTGCCAGGTAACACGGACTTTGTCACAGGTAGGAGAATGGAGTATGGTGTGTGGCTTGGATTAGATTCACCTGTAGTGAGCTAATTGGCTGATTGGATTCACTTGGGCTGGAGCAGCTGAAATGAGAGATGACCACTGACCTAGTTTTTTTATGGGGCTTTCTTTTGTATATAGATAGGCACATAAGTAAACGCACACATACAGCATTATATGAGTATGTCTATGTAATGTTCATTTGTAAGTATGTCTGTGTAAAAAATCCCCAAATAAAATCTAGATTAAAGGTCATTTCAGATTACAGCCCCTGCAGCCCAGGTGAGTCAAATCAGCCAGTTAGCTCAGGCCAGGTGAGTCCAGTAAGCCAATGAGGTGACTCGGGACTGCTGAAGCATCAAGCGAAGCCAACAAGAATGGATGCGAAGAACACAGACATCCCTCGAGAAGGAGTGTAGGGCCCTGAGGTGCTGAGTGGGACATGACGCCTTATATGGCAGCACAGCTTGCTCACTTCCTGGACCTTTTGCCTGAAGGTGAAGCTTTATCTTTATATGGACAACATTCTATGGTTGTGTTCCATCCTGGAATGGTATTGAACCATATAGGAGGGAAGAAAGACAAGATCTATGCCCTTACGATAGGCTGGAGTATTGAAAACATCTGTTGGGAAATATTGAATGTACACTGAATATTTCCAAAGGCATCTCATATAATACTCTATGCCTGTGTTTATCTACCTGTCTATACCTATATCCATATATGTATATATCGATATTCATACAGAGTAAAAGATATACAAGGTAAAAGTATTGCTAGGTATTAAAATAATAATATTAAAAAAGTTTCCATACATGTAAAGACCTATGTGCTCTATAAATGATATCTACATAGGACACAAATGAACATATACTCTAAATACATCCTGATGCATTCAATGTATACTAAGGAATGATTGATCCTTTCTGCTCACTTCTGTGAGCAGTAAATTCCCTAAGGCCATGGGAGTCATTCACTGCCAGGTCAGTCATGACCCTTTTCTTTCCAGTAGACACCAAGCCAGAGATTAATCAGACCTAGTTCCAAAGGCCTTCACCCAATTTTGTTTGCTCATTTGTTTTTTGAGATGGAGTCTCATTCTGTCACCCAGGCTGGAGTGCAATAGCATGATCTCGGCTCACTGCAACCTCTGCCTCCTGGACTTAAGCGATTCTCTTGCCTCAACCTCCCAAGTAGCTGGGATTACAGGCACACACCACCACGCCTGGCTAATTTTTTGTATTTTTAGTAGAGACAGGGTTTCATCATGTTGGCCAGGCTGGTCTCAAACTCCTGACCTCAGGTGATCCACCCACCTTGGCCTCCCATAGTGCTGAGATTACAGGCATGTGCCACTGCACCCGGCCTGACAAGTACACTCTTGTTGTTCAGGGTTGGTTGTGGAGAAGGGTCTATTTGGGCAAAGAAAAAAACTCTAGGTCTGTTTCCTGAAGATAAACTGCAGCACTGAAAGCATATGTGAGAAAGCATGGTTCCTGGGCAAAAGGCAACTAGATTAGAGTGAACATGTGCCCAAGTGCCAAAGGCGGCCCTACTGGCCAGTCCAAAGGCTCTGTGTGTCAAAGACTACACCTACTGGTGTCTGCTATTTCTTAACGGTCCTAGCTGGATGGCCATAACACCACTGGGCAGGTTGGAGGAGCTCCTGAATTAAAGAAAACCTCAGGTGCCAAATAACAAAGGCTTTTTTACAGGTACAAGAACAGGAAGTGGTGTGTGGCTCAAATTGAGTTCACTTGGACTGAGCTAATTATCTGATTAGATACATCTAGGATGGAGGGGATGGAAACAAAAAAGACCTCTGACCTAGTTTTCTTTTGGAGCTTTTCTTGTAGATATTTATATAAGTAGAAAGACCCATAAACACACACACAGGATTATATGATTATGTCTTTGTAATGTCCATTTTGTGAGTATGTCTATGTATAAAAGCCCAAATGAAAACTAGGTGAAAGTTTCTTCCATTTGCATCCCTCCAGTCCAGGTGAGTCTAATCAGCCAATTTGCCCAGCCCAGGTGAATCTGTTCAATTAGCTCAGCCTAGGTGAATCCAATCAGCATATAAGCTGAATTGGAACTGCTTAACAATCAAGGCAGGCCCACAGTGGTGGATATGAAGAATGCAGGCCTACATCAAGAAGGGAATCAGGGCCCTGAACTGTTAAGGTGGACAAAAAACCTTAAGTGGAGGCCAGGTGCGGTGGCTCATGGCTGTAATCCCAGCACTTTGGGAGGCCAAGGCAGGTGGATCATCTGAGGTCAAGAGTTTGAGACTAGACTGTCCAACATGATGAAACCCCATCTCTACTAAAAATACAAAAATTAGCTGGGCGTGGTGGCAGGCACTGGTAATCCCAGCTACTTGGAAAGCTAAGGCAGGAAAATCGCTTGAACCCAGGAGGCTGAGGTTGCAGTGAGCAGAGATTGTGCCACTGCACTCCAGCTTGGGCAGAAAGAGCAAAACTCCATCTCAAGAAAAAACAAAAATAAAAACCTTAAGTGGCAGTAGCAGTACCGCCAGGTTACCTGCCAGGACTTGCTCTTAAAATGAAACTTTATGTTAATACATACAATGTTCTATGGCTGTTTTTCATTCTAAGATGGTATTGAGCCCTATAGGAAGGAAGAAAGACTAAGTCTGCACCCTTAGGATTGTCAGGATTACTGAAAATGTCTGTTGGCAAGTATCAATGTATACATGCATATTTACACAGAAATACTCATATATTTCTGTATGTGTGTGTATTTATATACATATCTGTATCTTTCTATCTATGTATCTATATTCATACAAGATGTAGATATAGAAGGTAGAAGTATTGATATTTTTAGGTCCTGACAGTAATATCAAACGTCCATCCATGAAGAGGCCTATCTGCCCTATAAACTGTATCTATAATAGTAAGAAAATGGAAGCACACTGTGACATACATCCTGCTGCACTTAATGTATGCTAAGGAGCCATTGGTCCTTGTTGCTCCCTTCTGTCAGCAGAAATGCACTAAGGCCATGGGAGCCACTCACTGCTATGTCAATGTTGACTTTCCCCTTTCTTATGAACACCAGGTCAGAAATGAACCAGCCCCAGCCCAATGGCCCTAACACAAATTCAAAAATAATGACTCCTTACTAGGGCTCCCATCAAGACAGGAGCTCTTCTTTTTTTCTATGAACATGGAACATAAGAGTACAGTCTTGTCTTTTGGTTTTGGTGGCTGGAGAAGGGTCTTTTGGGGTAGGGCAAAGAAAGTATAGGTTTGTGCCCTGAAGGTAGACTGTGGTACTAAAAACAGATGTCAGGGAATGTGGTACTCAGGCAAAAGAAAACTAGGCCAGAGTCAAAGTGTGCTGTACTGCCAAAAGAGGCTCTTAAAGACCAGGCCAATGATTCCTTTTTCTGAAGTCTACACCCACCCTCTGGTGCCAGCCAGCTCTGGCCTGTCCTACCTGGGTAACAAGAACCCTACTGGGTGATCTGATGAGCACCTGAATTAAAAACACAAGTGTCAGATAACAATGACTTTTTCCACAGATACAAGAATGGGAAGTGGTGTGTGGCTTGGACTAGATTTATTTGGTCTGAGGTAATTGGCTGATTGGATTCTTCTGGGATGGAGGGGATAGAAGTGGAAGTGATCTCTGACCTAGTTTCTTTGGGGGCTTTTTGTTGTAGATATAGACATGAATAGAAACATAAACAATCACACATATACAGGGTTATATGAGTATGTCTATGTAATGTCCATTTGTGAGCATGGCTATGTAAAAGAAGCCCAAATAAAACCTAGGTAAAAGGCCATTTCTGTTTACATCCTCTCCAACCCAGGTACATGTAATTATTCAATTTGCTCAGCCCAGATGAATCTATTCAGCCAATAAGCTCAGCATAGGTGAATCCAATCAGCTCATTAGTCAAATTGGCAGTGCTGAAGGATCAAGACAGGATCTCAGCAGTGGAAATGAGCAGTGCAGGAATCTGCCAAGGAGAGCAGGGCCCTGTTGTCCTAAGCTGGGCCTGCCTTACATGGCAATACTGCCGGCTTACTTGCCAGGCATTGCCCCTAAAGGTGAAGCTTTGTTTATGTTTATACATACAACATTCCATGGTTGTGTTCTATTCTGAGATGGTATAGAGCCATATATGACAAAAGTCTAGTTCTACACGCTTAAGATAGGCAGAATTATTCAAAATGTATGTTGGTGAACATTGTATGTATACATGAATATTTACAGAGACATATAATCTTGTGTGTTTTTATCTACCTATCTCTACATCAGCCAATTATCGATATTTATATAGAGTCTAGGTAGAGAGGGTAGATGTATTGATATTTATTGGTACTGATGGTAATATAAAAAGAAACTTCCATACATGGTAAAGGCCTCTCTGCCCTATCACCTACACCTACAAATAAACTAATGGAGGTCCACTGTGGCATACATCCTGCTGCAGTCAATGTACACTAAGGAACCACTGGCCCTTGTTGCTCACTTCTGTGAGCAGAAAACGCAATAAGGCCATGGGAGTCATTCATTAGCAGGTCAGTGTTGACCCCTTCCATTCTGGTGAACACAAGGCAGAGATAAACCAGCCCCAGCACAAAGACTCTCACACAGATTTGAGAGTGCTCATTTTCATTAGGGCTCCCATCAAGACAGGGGCACTTCCTTTTTTCTATGAACATATGACATAGGAGTACACTTTTTTCAGTTTTGGTGGCTTGAGAAGTGTCCTTTTGTATAGGAGTAGAAAAGCCTACATCTGTTCTCTGAAACTAGACTTGGGCACTGAACATAAATGCCAGGGAATGTGATACCCAAGCAAAAGACAACCAGGCCAGAATCATCAGTCACTGAAGTACCAAAAGTGACACGTGTTGGCCAAGTCAAAGAATTATTGTGTTGAATGCTACACCCACTGGTGTCAGCCAGCTCTGCCCAGTCTTAGCTGGCTGGCCAGTACCCCACTGAGCTAATTTGATGAGCTCCTGATTTTAAAACACTTGGGTACCAGGTTGGGAGGATATTTTCACAGGTGCAAGAAAATTGGGAAGCCATGCATGGCTCTGATTTGATTTACTTTAACTGAACTAACTGGCTGAATTGATTCACCTGGGCTCAAGAGGAGTGACAGAAAAATGACTTCCAACCTAGGTTTTTTTCTGCTTGGCTGTTTTGGTAGATATATAGATATAGGTAGGTAGGTACATAAACACATACACATATGCACATACATGATTATATGAATGTCTATAATGTCCATTTGTAAATATTTCTATGTGAAAAAGTCACAAATGCAAATGAGGTAAAAGTTATTTCCATTTCCTCCAGCCCAAATGAGTCAAATCAGCCTTTCCATTGTGTTTGGGTGTGAGATTCAGAACCTCACCTGAATAGGCTGTGTCCTTGTGTGAGGGTGACAGTCCTAAGAGTTTGTTGGATGTGCATATCAGAGTCACAATCTCACCTGTGTGCTGGGTCCTGTTATGACACTCTCTGTACCACCCAAGAGCTTTATACAGTAGGCATGGGAGTCACAATTCTCTCTGTGGCCTTAGTACAGAAATGAGTCACCATTCCACCTGTGGACCAGATCCATGTATGAGTCACAATTGCAACTTTTGACTGCATCTGGATGTGAGATTAAAAACCTCAGCAGCAGGCTGTGTGCATATATGAGTGTGACAATACTAGCTGTTGGCTTGGTGTGCATAGAAGAGTTACACTCTGACCTATGAGGTAGGCCCTATTATGACACTGTGTACCACTTGAGGGCTTTATATAGTAGGTAAGTGAATCACAATTTTCTCTGATACTTTCATATAGCTATGAGACTCATGATCTTAACTGTGTTCCTAGTCCAGGTATGAGAATCAAAATCTCTCCTACTAGCTGGGTCCAGGTTTGAGAGTCATCATATGGCCAGTGAGCTGGGTTCAGAAATGAGTTACCATCTTCCCTGTGGGCTTTGCCCATGTATGAGGGTAAAATCACCTAGGTGCCAGGCCCAAGTATATGTCACAATCTCACCTTTGGGCATGGCCAAGGTAGAAGTCACCCAGGTGCTGGGCCCCTGTATATGTCATAATCCGACCTGTCAGCCAGGACCAGGTAGAAAGTCAAATAACCTAGGCCCTGCAACATTGCACCCAGGTAAGAGAGCCAAATCACCTAAGTGCTGGACCCAGGTAAGAGAGTCAAATCAAAGCTTTACTAAAAACAGTACATTTTCTCTCTGGAATACATGTCACATTCCTCTTTTGTAGTAATATAAAACTCCCAACCTTCTGCTTTTTGGACATACCAAAGACCACCCAATCTATACGTATGCTTCAAATTGCAATTCTTTCTTAACATTAAATTTAGAGATTCAGCTCTACATCTTTATTTTGATTTCAACAGCCCTTTGATTCACTGGCATGTATGTTGTGTCATGTGTGAGGTCAGCTCTAAATTGTTTTGGTTTGGTTCATGTTTTTGTATATAGATATCATTGGGAAAGGCACTTTGTGCAGGCAGTCTTTGGACCTCTGCTTTGCCAAATAATGTGTCTTGAGCCTGGAACATGTTCTTACCAAGAGATAAAGTGCTGGACTCACTACTTTGTGAAGGGATATCTTTCTCTGCTCTGAGCTTAAAGTAGACTTTTTTATTCTTAAGCACATGTGCTAATGGCCCTCAGGCAGCCCCAGATTTCTGTAATTAATGTTCCTTTCTGTCTCTGGTAATTTTATTTGCTTTATAAGTTTACCTTTTCCAGTTTATTTTTTTTCTTTTGAGACAAGTCTCACTCTGTTGCCCAGAATGGAGTGCAGTGCGGCGATCTCAGCTCACTGCAACCTCCGCCTCCCAGGTTCTAGCAATTCTCCTGCCTCAGTCTCCTGAGTAGCTGGGACTACAGGTGCACACTGCCATGCCCAGCTAATTTTTTGTCTTTTAGTAGAGATGGGGTTTCACCATGTTGCCCAGGCCGGTTGTGAACTCCTGAGCTCAGGCAATCCACCCACCTTGGCCTCCTAAAGTGCTGGGATTATAGGCGTAAGCCACCGCGCCTGGCCACCTTTTCCAGTTTTAATACACCCACTCCTGCTTTCTTTTGATTATTGTTTGCATAATATACATTTTTCACTCTTTTACTTTCGACCTACCTGTCATTGAATTTGAAGTGAGTTTTTGTAGACAGAATTTAGTTAGGTCATTTTCTAAAATAATCTTTGTTTCTCCCCACTACTCATACTTAACACACTGTCAATCTCTGCCTTTTGATCACTGTATGCATATTATTTACACTTAAGGCAATTCTTGATACCTTAGAGCTTAAGTATGCTATTTTATTATTTTCTGTTTGCTTCCTCTGGTTTTGTTCCTGTTTCTTTGTTGTTGTTTTTTTGCCTTCCTGTAGGTTAAACATTTTAAAAAAAAAATTCATTTTGATTTACTTATGGTGTTTTTAGAGAGGTACACACTTTAAGTATGTAGTTTTTGTAGTAGTCGCTGTGGATATTACAATATATCTCATTCTACTGATATATGACTTTGAAGTATGGAAATATTACTCCCATTTAAGTCCTTTTATTTTTTACACTTTTAAATATAATTGCTTTGAATATCAAGTGCTGTTATAATTTTTGTTTCAAGTATCAAGTATGACATATAAAACTCAAATGGGGATTGTCTATTAAAAACTTCCTTTAGCAAGTCTTTATAACTATGTCTACTAGTGACACATTCCTCAAGAGTGGTATCCCTAACTGCCATTAGGGGGTGTTAAACGACGACTCTTTCTGGCTACTTCCCGCTGAAAAGAAGTGTTGTGCTGGGAACAGCACTTAGGGCTCCTCCTGGGGTCGATCTATGGGTCCTCAGAAGAAAGGTGTGTCCGTAGGTGGTTCTGTCTGCAGCACCATTTGGAGTTTGCTTCTAGATGAAAAGAGATAAATTTTACAAGAAAGTTTAGAATATAGGGTTTGAATATAAGTATTAAGATTACCATTATTAGTGGGGGTACTATAGGCCATAACCATAACAGTAGAGTTTGATACCTGTTAGCTATTCTAATGGATTGTAATACTTGTTTGCCTCCACCAAATGTTGCTGTACTTTACCAGAAACGTTAAGATAAAAATAACATTCTTTAGCCAGACACAGTGGCTCATGCCTGTAATCCCAGCATTTTGGGAGGCCAAGGCAGGCAGACCACCTGAGGTCAGGAGTTCAAGACCAGCCTGGCCAACATGGTGAAACCCCGTTTCTACAAAAATACAAAAATCAGCCAAGCATGATGGTGGGTGCCTGTAATCCCAGCTACTCAGGAGGCTGAGGCAGGAGAATTGCTTGAATCGGGGAGTGAGCCAAGATTGAGCCATTGCACTCCAGCCTGAGCAACAGAGTGAGACTCCATCTCAAAAAAAAAAAAAAAAAAAACATTCTTTTTAGGATAAATGGCATTAAATTTGGGTGGCTAAAGTAACTTTAGTGTTAACCTTGGCTAAATTTTTCCAGCAATTATCAATCCTTTCACAATTTCCACAGACCATTTATGACATGCTTAAACTTTCTTAGTAGTCCTAAACACCCCTTTTTTAAACAACCAGTTATTTCCTTTTAGGACAAGAATTTACCATCCAAGATCCTTTCTTATATAAAATCTTTTTTTTTTTTTTTTTGAGATGGAGTCTCGCTCTGTCACCCAGGCTGGGGTGCAGTGGCACAATCTCGGGTAACTGCAAACTCAGTCTCCCAGGTTCAAGCAATTCTCTGCCTCAGCCTCTCAAGCAGCTGGGATTACAGGTGCCCACCACCACACCCAGAAATTTATGAAAAAAATTTGTATTTTTCATAAAGAGATGGGGTTTCACTATCTTGCCCAGCACTTTGGAAGGCCAAGGTGGATAGATCACCTGAGGTCAGGAGTTCAAGGCCAGTTTGACCAACATGGAGAAACCACATCTCTACTAAAAATACAAAATTAGCTGGGCATGGTGGCATATGCCTGTAATCCCAGCTACTCGGGACCATCTTGGTCAGGCTGGTCTTGAACTCCTGACCTTGTGATCCAGCCACCTTGGCCTCCCAAAGTGCTGAAATTACAGGCGTGAGCCACTGCACCCAGCCAAAATATCCTTCCTTTATGACCTTAATTGAATAGCTAGGGTGTGACATATTACCAAACCCAATAAGAAGTCCTAGCTAACTTAGTGATAGTAAAATTTTCATGTTTACTTCCTGTCAGTAACTATTATCCCTGCTATAAGGATAATAATTCCACAAAATATTACAGTAGTTGAGGCTCTTTATCCAATATTCCACTCTGGGGTTGCTACAATATATAATCCTTCTGTAAATAGTAGAGTGAGTATATAATTCTGCAAGGGTGGTGTAGTAGATAATTTCCATCAAAAAGTTTTACTTGCCAAGACATAGAATTTCTCTTTGGGGGTCTATGAAGTTATAAATGTAATCCCAAGGATAACTAAAATCTTTCTGCAAAAATGCATTAAAAAGAAGTTCTAATATCTGGTGGCAAATCTAAAGAGAAACATAAAAATGACAAAGTATTTGCTGAGGTAAAGGTGGGACTGAGTAAGATGAGTAGCTCTCACTTATCTTTTATGATTTGTAGCTTCAGATATCTTATTTCTTCACATTGATATTCAGGATGTTCCTCTGGGCTGTCAGGGGTTGCTCCCACAGCTTTCCAGGCTTTGACTCCAGTGTGATAAATCCAGTAGTTGACACCTGTAACTTTTACCACTGAGGGGGCTGAAAGAAAAACAGTGTGGGGCCCTTCCCAGCTTGGGCTCAGGACAAAGAGAGAGAAGGGAGAGCCTTCACCAATTCCAAATCTCCAGAGTTTGGAGCTGGGAGTTAAAGGCCAGCTTGACCAACATGGAGAAACCCCATCTCTACTAAAAATACAAAATTAGCTGGGCATGGTGGCACATGCCTGTAATCCCAGCTACTCGGGGGGCTGAAGAAGAATCGCTTGAACCTGGGAGGCAGAAGTTGCGGTGAGCCGAGATCGCACCATTGCACTCCAGCCTGGGCAACAAGAGTGAAACTACGTCTTAAAAAAAACAAAAACAAAACAGAAAAACAGCTTTATTACCTCGGAGGCCTTTTCTGTATGGGGTGGAAAGGTTTCTATGCAGTTAGTGAAAGTATCTATCCATGCCAGGTGGTGTTGAATGCCCTTCACCTTTGGCATGTGGGTGAAGTCTATCTGCCAGACCTCCCCTGGAAAGCTTCCCATCCTTTGGGTTTGAGGAGAAAGCTGCTGCCTTCACAAGCATTAACAACCTGTTTGACTGTTCTTAATAAATTCTTTCTTGAAAATTTTTGGGCACACTGGTAAGTTTTACTCTTTCCTAAATCAAATGCCTGGTGGATTTAAAAACTTTCCATTGGCTGGAGGCTGGCAAGTGGAGTTTGCCATCTTCTGACTGTAGCTGTTCTGAGGGCTGGAAAGTATATCCTCAAGAAGTGATGCATCCTATTTCTGCAGGGGAGTACTGAGGTTTAATTTCTCTTATGGAGCCTTTCCAAATTAGGGGGGCTTGAAGTATGTTGATGCGCTGAGGCTTCCTTGCCACTGACTTAGCTGCCTGATCAGCAAACGTATTTTCTTTGTCTGCTTTATCGGTTGTCTTTGATGTCCCTTTCAATGCATTCCTGCTATTTCTCATGGAAGGAAAAGTTGAGGATAATAACCAGTAATTTTGGGAGATGCATTAGCTGTAAGAAAAAATGGCTTTCTTTCCAAATGACAGCATGAGCATGGAGAACTAAGAAAGCATACTTCAAATTACTGTAAATGCTAGCTACCTTTCAATTGCTTAATTCAAGCACTCTTGTAAGAGCTATCAGTGCAGCTAATTGAGTGCTTGTGCCTGGAGAGAGAGAGACTTTCAATGATGTCACTTAGAGTGACTACTGCATATCATGCTTTATGGATCCCTTGCTCTACAAAGTAGCTCCCATCTTTGAAGAGGGTCCAATCTGGATTTTCTAGGGGAGTTTCCCTGAGATCTTCCCTGGCTGCATAGGTCTGTATTATAACTTGTTCAGAGTCATGTTCAGTTTCCCCAAGGAAAGTGGCTGGGTTTAGATGAGAACAAGTTTTTAACTGGATTGTGGAATCCTCTAACAGCAGAGCCTAATATTTAAGGAGCCAACTGTCTGTTAGCCAAAGGCTCCCCGCTAGAAGACAGTAATCCTGCCACATCATATGGGGTGTAAACAGTTAAGTCATTTCCCAGGTTAATTTGGTGGCTTTTAGGACCAGTAGGACCACCGTGGCAATGGCTTGGAGGCATTTGCAAATAATAGGTCCCCCCAAGTGCAACTAAGGGGTTGAGAAAAATATTAGAGTTTTTCCTGAGATGTCCCACATGGTGGTGCCACAAGAAGAGGGGAGGCCTGGATTAGAGAGAGGAGAGAGAGGCTGACTCCATTGTTTAGAAGGAGGTCTACCTGGCTGGATGCAGCAGCTCACGCCTGTAATCCTAGTACTTTGGGTGGCCAAGGTTGGCGGATCACAAGGTCAGGAGATTGAGACCATCCTGGCTAACACAGTGAAACCCTGTCTCTACTAAAAATACAAAAAAAATTAGCTAGACGTGGTGGTGGGCACCTGTAGTCCCACCTACTCTGGCGGCTGAAGGGGGGAGAATGGTGTGAATCCAGGAGGCAGAGCTTGCAGTGAGCCGAGATCGCGCCACTCCACTCCAGCCTGGGCGACAGAGCGAGACTGTCAGAAAAAAAAAAAGGAGGTCTACCTTTCTTCCTCCAATTTCCAGAATCACCTGGGGCTCCTAATGGCAGTTTGAGCCACTACAGCCAGGGGTTTGAGCTCCAGAACCCATCAGTCCTGTTGGACCATGTGTGAGACTGGTTCTGAACTCGGTGACCTCCATCTCCGGGGGCAGTCTGATCTGTAGTGGTCTTTGCCACAGGCTGGACAGGGTTGAGGTGACTTTTCCTTGCTGCCTGGGTACTCCTTCTTAAAGTGTCCTGACTTTCCACATCGATAGCCACTAGCAGACGCACCATGGGGATCCTGAACTTTGTAAGCCTGCAAAGCGGCTACTAGAGCCTCTGTCGTTTTCTTGTGCTTCCTCTCTTTCTGCTCGACCTCCTCCTGATCCCTATTATAAAAGACCGAAGTGTTCACCCTCAGGAGGTTTTCCAAGGTGCTATCTGCTCCTATAGCCTCCTTATGCAGCTTCCTTCTAATATCAGGATCTGCCTGTGTAATAAACTTGTCCTTTAGGATGAGCTGTCCTTCTACTGAATCAAGGGATAAGGAGGTGTGTTTTATTAGTGGCTCTCTCAGCCTTTCCATAAAGGCTGTGTGATTCTCATCTGGTTTTTGGTCTATCATGGACAGCTTAAAGTAATTAAGAGATTTGGTCCTAGTTCTTTGTAAGCCCTCTAATATGCACATTAAAAAGAGTTTCTCTTTCCATTCGTTTGTGGAGCTATCGGAGTTCCAATCAGGATTGTCAAGAGGAACTATTTCCCTTCCTGTTGGGAATGGCGTTTCCATTATTTCTTTGTGTTCTGTATTAGTCTGTTGTCACACTGCTGATAAAGACATACCCAAGACTGGGAAGAAAAAGAGGCTTAATTGGACTTACAGTTCCACATTGCTGGAAAGGCCTCAGAATCATGGCAGGAAGCAAAAGGCCCTTCTTACATGGTGGCAAAAGAAATGAGGAAGATGCAAAAGAGAAACCCCTGATAAAATCACCAGATCTCGTGAGACTTATTCACTACCACTAGAACAGTATGGGGGAAACCGCTCCCATGATTCAAATTATCTCCCACTGGGTCCCTCCCACAACTTTATGGGAATTATCGGAGTATAATTCAACATGAGATTTGGGTGGAGACACAGAGCCAAACCATATTCTGTCCCTGGTCCCTCCAAATCTCATGTCCTCACATTTCAAAACCAATCACACCTTCCCAACCGTCCCCCAAAGTCTTAACTCATTTAAGCATTACCTCAAAAGTCCACAGTCCAAAGTCTTATCTGAGACATGGCAAGTCCCTTCTGCCTATGAGCCTGTAAAATCAAAAGCAAGCTAGTTACCTCTTGGATACAATGGAAGTACAGGTATTGGGTAAATACAGCCATTCCACATGGGAGAAATTGGCCAAAACAAAGGGGTTACAGGGCCCATGCAAATCTGAAATTTAGCAGGGCTGTAAAATTTTAAAGCCCCCAAATAATCTCCTTTGACTCCAGGTCTCACTTTCAGGTCACGCTGATGCAAGAGATGGGTTCCCATGGTCTTGAGCAGCTCTGCCCCTGTGGCTTTGCAGAGTACAGCCTCCCTCCCAGCTGCTTCCATGGGCTGGCATTGAGTGTCTGTGACTTTTCCAGGCGAACAGTGCAAGCTGTCAGTGGATTTACCATTCTGGGGTCTGGAAGACTGTGGCCTTCTTCTCGCAGCTCCACTAGGTGGTGCCACAGTAGGGACTCTATATATGGGGTCTCTGACCCCACATTTTCCTTCTGTTATTGACCTAGCAGAGGTTCTCCATAAGCACCCTGCCCCTGCAGCAAACTTCTGCCTGAGCATCCGGTTGTTTCCATACATCTTCTGAAATCTAGGTGGAGGTTCCCAATCCCCAATTCTTGACTTCCGAGTACTCACAGGCTCCACACCATGTGGAAGCTGCCAAGTCTTGGGGCTTGCACCCTCTGAAGCCATGGACCAAGCTTTATGTTGGCCCCTTTCAGCCACAGCTGGAGTGGCTGGGATGCAGGGCACCAACTCCCTAGGCTGCACACAGCACGAGGACCCTGGGCCCAGTCCACAAAACCATTTTCTCCTAGGCCTCCTGGCCTGTGATGGGAGGGACTGCTATGAAGACCTCTGACTTGCCCTGGAGACATTTTCCCCATTATCTTGAAGATTAACATTCAGCTTATTAGTTACGCAAATTTCTGCAGCTGGCTTGAATTTCTCCTGAGAAAATGGGTTTTTCTTTTCTATCACATTGTCAGGCTGCAAATTTTCCAAACTTTCATGCTCTGCTTTCCTTATAAAACTGAATCCCTTTAACAGCACCCACATCACCTCTTGAATGCTTTGCTGCTTAGAAATTTCTTCTGCCAGATAACCTATATCATCTCTCTCAAGTTCAAAGTTCCACAAATCTCTAGGGCAGGGGAGAAATGCCACCAGTCTCTTTGCTAAAATATAAGGAGAGTCACCTTTGCTCCAGTTCCCAAGTTCCTCATCTCCATCTGAGACCA
Source organism: Homo sapiens (assembly GCF_000001405.40). Classification (NCBI taxonomy): domain Eukaryota; kingdom Metazoa; phylum Chordata; class Mammalia; order Primates; family Hominidae; genus Homo; species Homo sapiens. The sequence continues at coordinate 47,011,879 of NC_000008.11, forward strand.
CCTCAGGCTGGACCTTATGGTCTATATTGCTACCAGGCTTTTGGTCAAAGCCATTCAGCAAGTCTCTAGAAAAGTTTCAAACTTTCCCATGTTTTCTGTCTTCTTCTGAGCCCTGCAAACTGTTACCCAATTCCAAAGTCACCTCCACATTTTCAGGTATCTTTTCAGCAACACCCACTCTACTGGTACCAATTTATTGTATTAGTCCATTTCACGCTGCTGATAAATACATACCCAAGACTGAGAAGCAAAAGAGGTTTAATTGAACTTTACAGTTCCACATGGCTGGGGAGGCCTCAGAATCATGGCAGGAGGTGAAAGGCAATTCTTATATAGCGGCGGCAAGAAAAAATGAGAAAGATGCTAAAGCAGAAACCCCTGATAAAACCACCAGATCTCATGAGACTTATTCACTACCATGAGAATATGGGGGAAATCACCCCCATGATTCAAATTATGTTACACGACGTCCCTCCCACAACACATAAAAATTATGGGAGTACAATTCAAGATGAGATTTGGGTGGAAACAGAGCCAAAACATATCACCTTCCCTATCTCCTTTTTTCCTTTTTGACCTACTATAGGAGATATATTGCTCATCTCCAAAATTTTCTACTGCCTACAAAGCTGCCTGTTTTTCAGCAGCAGTGAGGGTTTGGCTTAGGAGCAGCATAACCTCCCTCCATGTGAGGTTAAACATCTGAGTTAAATTTTGGAAAGCTTCCTATCAGAGTTGTCAGAAAATTGGCCTAAGTCTCCCTTTATTTGCCTAAGGTCCTGTAATGAGAAGGGAACTTAAAGGGGTCCCAAATAAGGGGGATCCTCAGATGGTTTCTCTATAATTTACTTCTTTAATACTGGGGAATCATTCTCTATACACCTGCCTGATATGACTGCTGAAAGAGCTGGGTTGATTTTGCAGTGCTTGCAAAGGTCTAGTAAGAATGTCATCCCCTTGTGCAAAGAAAAATGAACTGCTTTTTTCTTCAAAGTTTTGCAGTTAAAGGAGTCCCAATCTCTCAGAATACACTTGAGAGGAGTGCAGGCTGAAAACGGTCTGATACCGATCTAGAAAGAGAAGTGAGAAAAAAAGGATCTTTTCCTTGGGATGGTCCAAGGTGGCGGGGAAGACACTGGGGGCGTTCCCCCTACTGTTTCCTCTCCTTGGTTCCTGGGGTCCTGGCACCTTGTTAAACATGCCACCCAGGGTTGCCAGCATGACCCCCAAGCCATGGAACCAGAGGAACTAAGTGATGAGTTTAGTCATGTGTACCCATGCAGCCCTAGTTCTGTTTGTGATTCCCCTTTCACTTCCTAGATTTGTATGATCTGCATGGCTCCCTGAAAGACAGATCTCAGGAAAGACTATGTAATAGTTGCATTTGGCCAAGGCCCCTTTAATGGAGGGGGTGTACTAGATTGAACTCTATATCCTGCAATTATGGCCTGTGCTAAAGCATTTACCCTTAGAGAATGGTTCTGGTTAGCTTCTGGACTTACAATCCCCTTACTATTTAAGTACCATTTTAACTACAAGCAGGATAGATGCCTTACAAGAAAATAGTGATTAAATGATGGTTTTCCTGCTGATGGACAGTTTTGAGACTAAAATTTGGTTTCAGAGGACATTTTCCTTCTGATCATTGATGGCATAGTTTTTCTTATTCACAGAAGAGGCATAAAGCCTGGACTCTAATAGAGGGGTGCAAAAAGGGAGGAGAATTGGGAAGCTAGAGTGTCTCAGCAAAGGACCAACAATGTGCCTCATGGAATGAACTTCTATTCCACTAAGTGATGCTGTTGACCTAGAAATACCATGTGCTTGCCAGAGGAAGGGTAGAAACACTCACTTGGGGAGACCTTCTGCTCCTAGAAAATTACAAAAACGGCATTCCCTTGAGCTACACTCCCAGTTACTATAGCATTTTCTGATCTTTCATAACAGGACTATTTCCCTGAACTGTAAAAATTCCCACAGCATTGCACAGAGAGAGAGAGGATAGGAGACATGATGGTCGTGGATAGGAAAGGAGAACATTTGCAATTAAAAAAGCTGGAGATACTGTTGCCAATCCGATTGGGCAGTTGGAGGCTGGGGTCAGTCCAGAAGCCTTTGAATGACACCAGGGTGTAGCCCTGGCCAGAAATCCTCAGTTGCTCCAGGACCTCTTCCAGCCCCAAGAGTATGGCTAGGTCTTCCATGAAGAGAAACCGGTTTGAAACATAGACAAAATGCCCAGCAATCTGAGCGCACTGGGGGATTCGCCATGTTCTCTCCAAAAAGCCTGTCATGAGACTTGAGAACCACAGCTCACCCTAGAGGCATCTAGATGGCCATCAGACACACAATATATGGTCTGATTTGATTTTAAAATGGAGGCCAAGGGCCAGGTGTGGCGGCTCACACATAATTCCAGCACTTTGGGAGGCCGAGGTGGGCAGCTCACTTAAGGCCAGGAGTTTGAGGCCAGCCTGACCAATATGGCAAAACCCCATCTCTACTAAAGAATACAAAAATTAGCTGGGTGTGGTGGCACATGCCTGTAATTCTAGCTACATAGGAGGCTGAGCAACGAGAATAACTTGAACCTGGGAAACAGAGGTTGCAGTGAACCAAGATCATGACACTGCACTCCAACCTGAGTGTTATAGTGAGATTCTGTCACAAAAATAAATAAATAAATAAATAAAAATAATAAATAAAATGGAGGCGGAGAGCCCTGAAATGAAAGGACAGAGTTGAGGTCCACTCCTACCTATACTCACCCTCTTGATAATCCCAGACAAGCTCCCACAGTGAAGCTGTGTCATTTGTCTGGGGTAGTACCCAAGGTTCACTGCCTCACGCTAAGGAAATCAAGGACACAGACACACACACAAGGAGTGGGTTTAATAGCAGAAGTTTAATAGGAAAAAGAAAGAAGAGCGCTTTCTTATGCAAAGAGTTCCCAAACGGTTTTCGGGTTCACAGTGAGATGTAGTTGGTTTACAGATGAGCTTGAGGAAGTGGTGTCTGATTTACATAGGGCACAGAGGATTGGTTAAACGAGGTGTGCCATTTACATAGTGCACAAAGAGGCTGGCCATCCCACCCTGATCTTTTATTATGCAAATTCGGTCTCTAACAGGCTGGCACCATGTTGCCTGCTTCGTGCTGCACACGTGGTGACAAAAAAAAAAAAAAAAAAAAAAAAAAAAAAAAAAAAAAAAAAAACAGAAAAAGGGAACTTCCATGTTGACTATACCTGGCTTCCAGGTATCCCTTTCCTATTGGCACAGCTGCCAGCATTTATCTATGCAAGTTGTCTATGCTTGCAGCTTGATTTTTCAGGCTGCTTTTTGTTAGGAAAAAAAAATTATTTGGGGGCTGCTTTTTATTGAAAGGAAAACCTTACTGAGGACTTTTACCCTATCTACCTAAATAATATCTTTTTAGTTCCTGTATCAGAATGATGCCAGTATTCCCTGGGCAGCCCCAGCTGGTGTCTAAGTAGATCATGTTTCCCCACCCCGCCCCCAACCAGTCCACTGTAGTCCACTGTCTCTGGGCCTAGTTCAGCACTAGGACTTGCCTAGGCATTGTAGTCCTTATGGTCTAAACTGCCTTTCAAGTTTACTGGGAGACAGAGTGTTGTAGTCCTCAGTAGTGAGGTTTGTGAGAACACAAGTTCTGACCACTGAGATCAGCAATTCCCCTCCGGCTAGGGCTGGTTTAAATGCTCCCTCTGTGGGCAGGCATCAGCTGAGTTGGGTCTGGTTTTCCTTTCTACTCTAACAGAAAAGCACTGAGTTCAATGCCTAACAATTACTGTGTTCTCCCTCCCCTAGTGCCCAGAGATAATCTCCATACCATGATGCTGCTGCTGGGGGCAGGAGAAGAGTGACGTCAATAACTCAGGACTGTTTTTTATCTGTCTCTTCAGTGCCTCTTTCAGTGATATAAAGTTAAAACCAGGTACTATGAGTGCTCACCTGATTTTTGGTTATGGCATTTTTTCATGTAGTTTTAAAATTGGTGTCCTTGCAGAAGGACGGTCAGTGGAGCATTTCATTTCACCATCTTGCTCTGCCTCCTCTTGTGGACTTTTCTTATTCATATAGTTTCCTTATTTATCTATTCTCCAGTAGTATACTGAGCTTATCTATCTGTTCTCTAGTAGCTTACTGAGCTTATCTATCTCTTCTCTAGTAGTTCACTGAACATCTTTAAGATGATTGTTTTCAGTTCTATTTCAAGTAATTTATAGATGTCTATTTAGGGTCAGTTTTTGGAGCTCTGTTAGTTTTCTTTTGTAGTTTGTAATCTTTGTATTCTTACATTGGTGGTTCATTTGAAGGAGGAGCCACCTCTTCTAGTCTTTACAAGCTGGCTTTTCCAGGGGAAAACCCTTCACTAGTCAGCCTCTCCTGAGATGCTGGCAAGCCAGATGGTTGCATCTGTGAATGGATAGGCCTTCTGTCAGTGTCTCCAGAGTCTGTGGTCAGAAGAAGCTTGCTGCTTCTGCTTTGCAGTAGTGTGGGCCCAGCTGGCTTGGCTCCTGAACAGGTGAGGCCAGAGAGAGGGGCTTCAGTCAGGCCAGGCCAATGACTGTGGCTGTGGACTACTGCCAAGATCCATGCACCCTAGCCACCGAAAGATGCCACCATCTTTCTTTGTTCCTAGCTGTCCCCAGGTGGCCTAGCCATGCTTGCTTCCTCGGTGTTCTGTTTGAGGTGAGACAGAAGTGGGCCTCTTGGGAAGGGCCCCAAATGCTGGGGAAGCTGAACACCCACCTTGGTCTCTCTTTAACCCACTGGAGAAATCAGAGTGAGGACATCTTTCTTGGCACTAGAGATATGAATAAAATGGAAATTTTTAAATTGTGCTTTTTAATGTAGTTTTCCTGGGCTTTTGTGCACTACTGGGGTGCTCAACCCCTGGGTTCTGGAACTCCTACAAAGGTGCTCTCATTCGTAGATATTGTTAAATTGGTGTTTCAGTAAGAAAACCAGGGTAAGAACCTTCTATTCTGCCATCTTGCTGACATCGCCACTGTCTGGCTGACTTCTTATAGACTCCTTCTGCGGCTCAGTCCACATAGCCTCCTTTGGATGAGGTTTCTTTGCCCTGTGGAGAGGAACCTGTCCAGATCACTCAAGCCTAGGTCTTCTCTGAAATATCTACTTGATCCATGTGATCCCCTCATTACCTTCCACATAATGTAAATTCTGTGCCCCTTACTCCTTGCCTTGCTAGTGGATAAGTCCCACCAAAGCCCTGTTGTCAGAATTCTTAAGGTAATAATCATGCAATTATCTCCTCTGGTTAACATATGGCATATTCCTTCAAGAATCTTCTCTCTCTCAGCTCTAGCAGCATGGGGCTGACTCACCAAGTTTCTACATCTTGGCCAGCATTCAGGTAGGGAGTGAGGTAACAGGCTTTTCACTTGAAGATCTTCATAGTCTCTATGACTGCTTTATTTTGCAGGGAGGAGAAGGTAGCTTACCCTCATTTGTATTCTGGGTAAGGGTGAGAAGGCACCAAGAGGTGAAGAGAGGAAAAGCCATAGCATTCACTAAACTTTGCATTCCCTTCAAATAATACTTCAATAAATATCTAACCTTATTCTTTTAGACTGTTGTAGATGACCGTCACTAAACCTCATGGATAAAACAAGGCTTCTCTCATTCATTGTCCTCAGTTTTCTAGTTTCATTTGAATTTCTGTGAAAACAGGGTAAGCCTCACTCCTATTTTGTTTTACATATCTTTGAATTATTGGAAAATAAATTCAAGATTTTTAATTCATTATACACAAAGTAAGAACTTCTTAGAATATATCCACTATTATAGAGTAAAGAACACTGGACAAGTAAGAACACTGAAATTTGCATACCACCTCCATATCTTTCAAATTGTGCATCAAGGTGAGAGTGTCTTTACCTCAATAAACTTCTAGTTACCAATCTATAAAATGAAAACACACAAAACACACACCTGGAATATTGAGAACAGAATAAAATAGAATATCTAGAACAATTATCTACAGTCTCGGGTGACTGCATGAAACTGAATGTTATAAATTATAACGTTTTATAAGAAAGACATTACTAAATTATCAGCTCCTCAAGTTCAGGGACCATGTCCTGTTTGTATTTCTATAAAAGCATTCAAATATTTATTGGATGCATAAAGCTTTGAATAAACCTAAAATGAAAGTAGTAAAATGGAAAAATGAAGACAACAGGGGTATCTGTGATAGGCAGAATAATGGTCCCCCAAAGAGGTCCACATGCTTACTCCTGGAACCTGTGAATATATTATGTTACATGGCTTAGGGCAATTAAGGTTGCAGACAAATTAAAATTTTTAATCAGCTCACCTTAAAACGGAAAGAGAATCCTAGATTATCAAGATGAGTCCAATGCAATCACCAACCTCTTCAAGGTGGAAGAGGAAGACAGAAGATGGAGAAACAGAGATGGCAGCATGAGGAAGACTACTTGATGTTGCTTCTTTTGAAGACTGAAGAGTGAGGCCAAGAGCCAAGGAATGCAGGTGGCCTCTAGGGGTTCAAAAAGGAAGAGAAACAGATTCTCCCGAGTGTCCAGAAGAAATGCCATCCTGCCGAAACCTTGATTTTAGCCAAGTGAGACCCATTTCAGACTTCTAAATTTCAGAAAAGGAAGGTAATAAATCGGAGTTGTTTTAATCCACCAATTAAACTAAAATAGTGTATAACACTAACAGTACATAAAGGTTGGTCTGCAAGAGAACAGTGAAAAAAAAATATGTCAGGTACAAGCCCAAGCTAACATGAGCTCGACAAACTATCCATAAAAGGAGGGAGGAGGAGCCAAGATGGCCGAATAGGAACAGCTCTGGTCTACAGCTCCCAGTGTGAGCGACGCAGAAGACGGGTGATATCTGCATTTCCACCTGAGGTACCAGGTTCATCTCACTAGGGAGTGCCAGACAGTGGGCGCAGGTCAGTGGGTGCATGCACCATTCACGAGCTGAAGCAGGGCGAGGCATTGCCTCACTCTGGAAGCGCAAGGGGTCAGGGAGTTCCCTTTCCTAGTCAAAGAAAGTGGTGACAGACAGCACCTGGAAAATCGGGTCACTCCCACCCGAATACCGCGCTTTTCCAATGGGCTCCTGGTGCGCTTTTCAGCCAGGCTTAAAAAACGGTGCACCAGGAGATTACATCCGGCACCTGGCTCGGAGGGTCCTATGCCCACGGAGTCTCGCTGATTGCTAGCACAGCAGTCTGAGATCAAACTGCAAGGTGGCAGCGAGGCTGGGGGAGGGGCGCCCACCATTGCCCAGGCTTGCTTAGGTAAACAAAGCAGCTGGGAAGCTCCAACTGGGTGGATCCCACCACAGCTCAAGGACGCCTGCCTGCCTCTGTAGGCTCCACCTCTGGGGGCAGGGCACAGACAAACAAAAAGACAGCAGTAACCTCTGCAGACTTAAATATCCCTGTCTGACAGCTTTGAAGAGAGCAGTGGTTCTCCCAGCACGCAGCTGCAGATCTCAGAACAGGCAGATTGCTTCCTCAAGTGGGTCCCTGACCCCTGACCCCCGAGCAGCCTAACTGGGAGGCATCCCCCAGCAGGGGCAGACTGACACCTCACACGGCCTGGTACTCCAACAGACCTGCAGCTGAGGGTCCTGTCTGTTAGAAGGAAAACTAACAAACAGAAAGGACATCCACCCAAAAACCCATCTGTACATCACCATCATCAAAGACCAAAAGTAGATAAAACCACAAAGATGGGGAAAAAACAGAGCAGAAAAACTGGAAACTCTAAAAAGCAGAGCGCCTCTCCTCCTCCAAAGGAACGCAGCTCCTCACCAGCAACGGAACAAAGCTGGATGGAGAGTGACTTTGACAAGCTGAGAGAAGGCTTCAGACGATCAAATTACTCCGAGCTATGGGAGGACATTCAAACCAAAGGCAAAGAAGTTGAAAACTTTGAAAAAAAATTTAAAAGAATGTATAACTAGAATAACCAATACAGAGAAGTGCTTAAAGGAGCTGATGGAGCTGAAAACCAAGGCTCGAGAACTATGTGAAGAATGCAAAAGCCTCAGGAGCCGATGTGATCAACTGGAAGAAAGGGTATCAGCGATGGAAGATGAAATGAATGAAATGAAGCAAGAAGGGAAGTTTAGAGAAAAAAGAATAAAAAGAAACGAGCAAAGCCTCCAAGAAATATGGGACTATGTGAAAAGACCAAATCTACGTCTCATTGGTGTACCTGAAAGTGACGGGGAGAATGGAACCAAGTTGGAAAACACTCTGCAGGATATTATCCAGGAGAACTTCCCCAATCTAGCAAGGCAGGCCAACGTTCAGATTCAGGAAATACAGAGAACGCCACAAAGATACTCCTCGAGAAGAGCAACTCCAAGACATATAATTGTCAGATTCACCAAAGTTGAAATGAAGGAAAAAATGTTAAGTGCAGCCACAGAGAAAGGTTGGGTTACCCACAAAGGGAAGCCCATCAGACTAACAGCAGATCTCTCAGCAGAAACTCTACAAGCCAGAAGAGAGTGGGGGCCAATATTCAACATTCTTAAAGAATTTTCAACCCAGAATTTCATATCCAGCCAAAATAAGCTTCATAAGTGAAGGAGAAATAAAATACTTTACAGACAAGGAAATGCTGAGAGATTTTGTCACCACCAGTCCTGCCCTAAAAGACCTCCTGAAGGAAGCGCTAAACATGGAAAGGAACAACCAGTACCAGCCACTGCAAAATCATGCCAAAATGTAAAGACCATCAAGACTAGGAAGAAACCGCATCAACTAATGAGCAAAATAACCAGCTAACATCATAATGACAGGATAAAATTCACACACAACAATATTAACTTTAAATGTAAATGGACTAAATGCGCCAATTAAAAGACACAGACTGGCAAATTGGATAAAGAGTCAAGACCCATCAGTGTGCTGTATTCAGGAAACCCATCTCATGTGCAGAGACACACATAGGCTCAAAATAAAAGGATGGAGGAAGATCTACCAAGCAAATGGAAAATAAAAAAAGACAGGGGTTGCAATCCTAGTCTCTGATAAAACAGACTTTAAACCAACAAAGATCAAAAGAGAAAAAGAAGGCCATTATTTAATGGTAAAGGGATCAATTCAACAAGAAGAGCTAACTATCCTAAATGTATATGCACCCAATACAGGAGCACCCAGATTCATAAAGCAAGTCCTGAGTGACCTACAAAGAGACTTAGACTCCCACATATTAATAATGGGAGACTTTAACACCCCACTGTCAACATTAGACAGATCAACGAGACAGAAAGTCAACAAGGATACCCAGGAATTGAACTCAGCTCTGCACCAAGACGACCTAATAGACATCTACAGAACTCTCCACCCCAAATCAACAGAATATACATTTTTTTCAGCACCACACCACACCTATTCCAAAATTGACCACATAGTTGGAAGTAAAGCTCTCCTCAGCAAATGTAAAAGAACAGAAATTATAACAAACTCTCTCTCAGACCACAGCACAATCAAACTAGAACTCAGGATTAAGAATCTCACTCAAAACCGCTCAACTACATGGAAACTGAACAACCTGCTCCTGAATGACTACTGGGTACATAACAAAATGAAGGCAGAAATAAAGATGTTCTTTGAAACCAATGAGAACAAAGACACAACATACCAGAATCTCTGGGACGCATTCAAAGCAGTGTGTTAGAAGGAAATTCATAGCACTAAATGCCCACAAGAGAAAGCAGGAAAGATCCAAAATTGACACCTTAACATCACAATTAAAAGAACTAGAAAAGCAAGAGCAAACACATTCGAAAGCTAGCAGAAGGCAAGAAATAACTAAAATCAGAGCAGAACTGAAGGAAATAGAGACAAAAAAAAACCTTCAAAAAATTAACGAATCCAGGAGCTGGTTTTTTGAAAGGATCAACAAAATTGATAGAACACTAGCAAGACTAATAAAGAAAAAAAGAGAGAAGAATCAAATAGATGCAATAAAAAATGATAAAGGGGATATCACCACCAATCCCACAGAAATACAAACTACCATCAGAGAATACCAAAAACACCTCTACGCAAATAAACTAGAAAATCTAGAAGAAATGGATAAATTCCTCGACACATACACTCTCCCAAGACTAAACCAGGAAGAAGTTGAATCTCTGAATAGACCAATAACAGGAGCTGAAATTGTGGCAATAATCAATAGCTTACCAATGAAAAAGAGTCCAGGACCAGATGGATTCACAGCCGAATTCTACCAGAGGTACAAGGAGGAACTGGCACCATTCCTTCTGAAACTATTCCTATCAATAGAAAAACAGGGAATCCTCCCTAACTCATTTTATGAGGCCAGCATCATCCTGATACCAAAGCCAGGCAGAGACACAACCAAAAAAGAGAATTTTAGACCAATATCCTTGATGAACATTGATGCAAAAATCCTCAATAAAATACTGGCAAACCGAATCCAGCAACACATCAAAAAGCTTATCCACCATGATCAAGTGGGCTTCATCCCTGGGATGCAAGGCTGGTTCAATATACGCAAATCTATAAGTGTAATCCAGCATACAAACAGAACCAAAGACAAAAACCACATGATTATCTCAATAGATGCAGAAAAGGCCTTTGACAAAATTCAACAACCCTTCATGCTAAAAACTCTCAGTAAATTAGGTATTGATGGGATGTATCTCAAAATAATAAGAGCTATTTATGACAAACCCACAGCCAATATCATACTGAATGGGCAAAAACTGGAAGCATTCCCTTTGAAAACTGGCACAAGACAGGGATGCCCTCTCTCACCACTCCTATTCAACACAGTGTTGGAAGTTCTGGCCAGGGCAATTAGGCAGGAGAAGGAAATAAAGGGTATTCAATTAGGAAAAGAGGAAGTCAAATTGTCCCTGTTTGCAGACGACACGATTGTATACCTAGATAACCCCATTGTGTCAGCCCAAAATCTCCTTAAGCTGATAAGCAACTTCAGCAAAGTCTCAGGATACAAAATCAATTTGCAAAAATCACAAGTATTCCTATACACCAACAACAGACAAACAGAGAGCCAAATCATGAGTGAACTCCCATTCACAACTGCTTCAAAGAGAATAAAATACCTAGGAATCCAACTTACAAGGGATGTGAAGGACCTCTTCAAGGAGAACTACAAACCACTGCTCAATGAAATGAAAGAGGATGCAAACAAATGGAAGAACATTCCATGCTCATGGATAGGAAGAATCAATATCATGAAAATGGCCATAATGCCCAAGGTAATTTATAGATTCAATGCCGTCCCCATCAAGCTACCAATGACTTTCTTCACAGAATTGCAAAAAACTACTTTAAAGTTCATATGGAACCAAAAAAGAGCCTGCATCACCAAGTCAGTCCTGAGCCAAAAGAACAAAGCTGGAGGCATCACACTACCTGACTTCAAACTATACCACAAGGCTACAGTAACCAAAACAGCATGGTACTGGTACCAAAACAGAGATATAGATCAATGGAACAGAACAGAGCCCTCAGAAATAATGCCGCATATCTACAACTATCTGATCTTTGAGAAACCTGAGAAAAACAAGCAATGGGGAAAGGATTCCCTATTTAATAAATGGTGCTGGGCAAACTGGCTAGCCGTATGTAGAAAGCTGAAACTGGATCCCTTCCTTACACCTTATACAAAAATTAATTCAAGATGGATTAAAGACTTAAATGTTAGACCTAAAACCATAAAAACCCTAGAAGAAAACCTAGGCATTACCATTCAGGACATAGGCATGGGCAAGGACTTCATGTCTAAAACACCAAAAGCAATGGCAACAAAAGACAAAATTGACAAACGGGATCTAATTAAACTAAAGAGCTTCTGCACAGCAAAAGAAACTACCATCAGAGTGAACAGGCAACCTACAAAATGGGAGAAAATTTTTGCAACCTGCTCATCTGACAAAGGGCTAATATGCAGAATCTACAATGAACTCCAACAAATTTACAAGAAAAAAACAAACAACCCCATCAAAAGGTGGGCAAAGGACATAACAGACACTTCTCAAAAGAGGACATTTATGCAGCCAAAAAACACATAAAAAATGCTCACCATCACTGGCCATCAGAGAAATGCAAATCAAAACCACAGTGAGATACCATTTCACACCAGTTAGAATGGCAATCATTAAAAAGTCAGGAAACAACAGGTGCTGGAGAGGATGTGGAGAAATAGGAACACTTTTACACTGTTGGTGGGACTGTAATCTAGTTCAACCATTGTGGAAGTCAGTGTGGTGATTCCTCAGGGATCTAGAACTAGACATACCATTTGACCCAGCCATCCCATTACTGGGTATATACCCAAAGGACTATAAATCATGCTGCTATAAAGACACATGTACACGTATGTTTTTTGCGGCATTATTCACAATAGCAAAGACTTGGAACCAACCCAAATGTCCAACAATGATAGACTGGATTAAGAAAATGTGGCACATATACACCATGGAATACTATGCAGCCATAAAAAATGATGAGTTCATGTCCTTTGTAGGGACATGGATGAAATTGGAAACCATCATTCTAAGTAAACTATCGCAAGGACAAAAAACCAAACACCGCATATTCTCACTCATAGGTGGGAATTGAACTATGAGAACACTTGGACTAAGGAAGGGGAACATCACACTCTGGGACTGTTGTGGGGTCGGGAGAGGGGGGAGGGATAGCATTGGGAGATATACCTAATGCTAGATGATGAGTTAGTGGGTGCAGCGCACCAGCATGGCACATGTATACATATGTAACTAACCTGCACATTGTGCACGTGTACCCTAAAACTTAAAGTATAATAAAAAAAAAATTAACCAACATTAGATGTGAAGAGATCTTAAATATCACCTAGCCCTGCTCCCTCATTACATAGGCAACAAAACTTGGGCCCAAGGGAAAAAATATGTCGTAATTTCTAACCAAGAAAAATTTGCAAATGTGATGGCAATAGGCCAATTGCAGAAATGTGCTCAATGCCAAAGGACCAATGGCCTAACAGAGTTATTGTCTATCATAATAAATCTAATGAAAATATGTAATCATGTTATATTATATTATATTATATATTGATCACAACAAGTAATAGTACTGATGAACAACACTCTAATAAAAATGGCAGTCAAATTAGGAAGCCCTTGGTTATGTGTGAGAGGGGAAAATCTTTGATAGAATGATTAGTAATTATGATTATAGAAAACATTTCTAATATGGTAACAAATTAATTAAAAATTAATGTGTTTATTTTAACAAATTATAAAATGACTTTTACGATTCATTTCAGAAAATAAGCACCACTAATTTTGGTGATTGACTAAGATGAAGGAGCTTAGGATTGATAATGTCTTCTCAATAAGAAATTACAGCTAACCGATAGGGCATTATAATATAGGAGTCAATCAGGAAACTGCAACATTTACCAGAGAAATAAAACCATGAGATGTAATTTATAACAATATTTCAATTTATGCCACAAATAATAATACCAGATTCTGTTTGACAGCTTACAGAAAATGATCTGAAAAGAAATTTATAGTTTTAATACATCTTTAAATATAAATATATTTTCTTATTAATAGTATTCATTAGTGTACTCTGTATGGTATTTAATATGAGATATTATGAAGAATACTATTAATATATTCAACTAATACTTCTTTCCTTCATGAGAAATATTCTTTATCTTGTCTCTAACCCCTATTTATAAAACCAAACTCATCCACATCATCTCCAACCAACTCCTCCTCCAAACTTCCATAATGTTACTGAAGATTTAGCTTTATCTCAGACTATTCAAGTGCAGTCACTTGGAGTCATCTTTTATTTTTCCTTTATCTGTATTGCGTAAGTATTGAAGAGTCTATCTCCAAATTTTTCTGTTATGTTTATCCTTTTGATTTTTACACTAATTTAGACCCAATTACTTCTAATGTCTTATCCTGTATCCGTTCCTTCTATACTTCCTTCTTTTCTCAGAGTCATATGCTTGAAAAGTCAGAAAGCTCTAGGGGCCACATAATCTCTTTCCAAGTGAGAAAATCCACACAAATCTATGGAGTACCTACTGAACATCAGGCATTTACTAGGTTTAGAGATCTATAGTGGGCCATAGGAATTGCTTTACTCAACTCCAGTACATCTCTCTTTATGCAACTCAACCACTCTCCTTTCACTCTTTGTCTCTTTGTACTTTTGCTAATGACTTCTGCTAATGTACTTCTCTCTGACTTCTGAGTCATTTGCTCAATACTTTTTCCACATTTCAAGTTTCATTTCCTGATATTATCTCGCTGGCCTGGTCATTATTTTTCCCCCTTGCTCAGAGTTTTGCACCAGCCTTCCTTGCAGACAACTGCTTAGCACATAGACCAGCTGCCCTTAGGTCAAATGGCTGCTGGTTTCATGCCCTATGAAAAGAGAAGGGGGTTGCAAAGCTTAGAAGATGGTCTCCTATGCTTATTGAATTGCTTTAATAAATATTTTATTAGATCAATTTCCTTCATTGTACAAAGAGTATGTTTAATAAGGTACCCACTTTCATAACAGAAAAATGATAGTATCACTAAATCTAGAGAAGAAGCAAGTTGCAACATGTTAATTTTGGGGTATTTGGGGGTATTTGAGATGAGACACCTGTTAAGTAGTTGGAAACATGGATGTAGATCTTAGGAGACGGGTTTAGTCATTCAAACTAGAGAAACACATTTGAGAGTTATCAGGATGTATGTTGATGGCATCACACATAAAGGAGATTAGTCTACGTGACCATAGAGAATGTCTTGAATGTTGGGTCAAGGATAAAACTCAGGGAACATCAGAAGAACAACTCAGTAAGAAGATTGAAAGAGTCAGTCAGAGGAGTATGAGAAAATCAAAATTTATGTTTACCATGAGAGTGCAGGAGTTTCCAACCTATATTTCTATCTTCTTTTTCCTGTTCCATATATATAAATATATGTATATATTCCAATGTTTTAGTCAGTTAGACCTCCAACTCTTACCTAATAATTTCTCATGCTTCATACAACCTATTCTTTCCTTGTGCTCACAATTCTCTTCTTCAAATCTCTACCTATCAAAATTAATTTTATCTTTCAAGATACATTCTGTATATTTTTTTAGTTTATTTTACATTTTTAACATACACACATTTATATACTTTTCTCCTCCTTTTACTGGATTTTAGGCTTTTGAGAACCTAGATAGTGTTTTTCTTATTGCATCTCTTCTGATGGTACTTATAAGGCATATGAGAAATAAAGTTTTTATTCTAGCAGTGTCATTGATTCTGCCTACATCACTATTTGCTTCTCCTGCCATTTTGCTTTCCTCTTACTGGCCTGACTCCCAGCAGGAAAAAAAAAATATATTTGAAATGTAAACATATTAGCACTTTTTCCGGAAAGAGATAGTAAAAGAAAAAAATTACAAAAAGAAAAACAGGGTTCTTAGGCTGATGTTTGACAGTAATAGAAGAGGTGGTATTTTGTTTTCTCATATACATTAAATTGCTGTAAGATTTGGCAAGAACAATAAAAAATTTCCAAGCTCCTTCTAAAAAAAAAAATTATCCATAAAAAAGAACACAAGTGTAGGATGAAGAACTGAATACCTGTGATATTACTAATGGAAAGATTCAATGTCTCTTTTGGTTTACACAGCCATGGAAGTAGGTGGTGTCTAGATTTCTTTTGACTACATTCTATGCAACATGTAAGAGGGAAGTAATCATGATATAAAGAGAGTAAGGATCTTCACGAGTTGTATTTATTAAGATGGGAATGAAATATTATAATAGTTGGCCTTTGCAATCAACAGGAAAACATGAGTTACTCAATGAAAATATTGGGGCAATCTGCTAATAATTAAGTACATTCCAAAATATTTATTACAGAACAAATTTCACAAGATTAAAGATTACATTTTTAAATCAAGCTATAGAAACACAAAAGTAAACACAGATATTTGTATATCCTTGCAATGGAAACTGATTTTCTAAATATTTGTATAACCTTGCAATGAAAACTGATTTTCTAAATACTGATAAAAGGAAAGCAGAAACCATGAGTGAAAGACTGATTGACTCTATCACTTTAAACTCACAGAGCCTTGTCATGCCATACTTCAGGACTAATTGATGGCTTGTCAATCTCATCTTTTTCCAAATGAAAGAAAATATGTTTCATGGCAAATTTTCAATAGTCTCCTTGAAGATCATTGAAAGGTCTCCTGGAATAATTGAATCTCAGCTTAGCAAGGCCCAGTGATAGGGGTTGAGGACATAGAGAATGGCTCAGAGGGGAGTAAGCAGCCTATCACACTGAATGATGGTAAGAGCTTAAGAAAATGAGGCAGAGACACTGCAATGGATCAAACCACTCAGAAGTAACCAGTGACTTCAGTGAAAGGTATTCAGAATAGGCAGACGATAAATGGGAATGGATTAAGCAGTAAGTGGGAGGTGAGGAAATGGTGCTATGAGCTCAAATAATTTTTCAAAAAGTGTGGAGAAAATACAGAAGGGTAACTGGAGTGCTATGTGAGAACCAAAGTAGTTATTTTTGATGAAAGAGTCTTTAACATGTTTAAAATATAAAAGAAGGAGGCAGTCAGAAATAAAAATTACAAAATTGAGAAGGGATTATTAATAATGTAAGGTACTAGAGAAGGAAGAGGAAAATGGGATCCAAAATACTAGTGGAGGGATTCATTATTGAGAAAATGAGAAATCTCAGGTGGAAATGCTAAAAAGGGAGAGCAGATGCACTGGAAGAAAGTAAAGCATGAGTTGTCCATCAGCACCAGTGGGCTTGAGAATGGTGGGAAGTGATAATCGCGTGGTCTTGAATGATGGGAGGTTGTAGTCAGTAGGCAGAATGCTAATTTTTGTGACTTTGGAGGTGAAGTTGTGGATAATGGCAAGATGCAAGGTGCAATCCTGAGAGTGACTCCCGAGGTGAAGTGAAGGACACTTTGTGTAAGGAAGTTCAGGACCTGAGGGGCTGGCATCATTAATTTTACCAATATTCAGTTGTTGAAACTTCAAATAATGTGAAGATTATGTGTCTGATTTACAGATGCCTGATCTTCAAGGAATATTTTTCTAATGTCCGTAGTTGTTTTTGTAATCGTCTGTCCTATTTTCTAATTGTATGAGATGGAAATTTAAATTTCTAATATTTCAAACTTCTCAGCTATCTCTCCTCCTTACCCACCAGGAATGGATTACTGTCTATCCTACTTCCCCAAAAGAGAATTAACAGCATAGAAATTATGCCTAAAAGCCAGGTATTTATATACCAGGTGAGTATGAAATACTTTCTTGGTATCTGATGCATATTTACTTAGTAAGATAGGACCCCAGCCTTGCTACCAAAGTAAATGTTAAATATGCTTGAGAATGCTGTCCAAAACTTGGGTAAGAAGTATCAATGTAAGGCTATAATAAACCAAATTTGATTCTCTCAAAAGTAAAAGTAATAGGATTTTCATAACAGGAGAGAAACATATCACTAGTCTATTTCTCAAGACCAAAGAAAAGTATGCTCACTGTGTCAATCAATATAATGGCCTTGATCTTTAAAGAAAGTTCAATTGGAAATGCTAAAATCATGCATATAAGTAAACTTCACAGTACACTGTTGAGCTAGCTCTATAATAGGTTTCAATACTTGGCATCAAGATTTTTTTTTACCCAGAACTCCTTTCTTCTTATATTCTTCTCCACATCTTCCCAGGTGCTCGCTATAGAAGACTCAGTATACTTGGCAAGAAGGAAATTAATGAAAGTCAAAAATTAGCTACATCTAGAGATTTCACTATCAGCAAAATTATATGACCACATATTAGTATTATGAGCAAGCATCCTCAGACCCAACTGTGAGCATGAGCACAGTAATTTTAGTCCCAAGATTTCTGTTGAATGCCTCCATTTCAGGCTTTCGAGCAACCAATGTATGCAATAGGTAAACAGAAATCCAGTCATATTTGGAGAGAGAGAAGGGAGGAAGAAGGAGAGAAAGGAGAGGTGGGGTGGGGGGAGAGAGGGAGGGAGGGGGGAGGGGGGAGAGACAGAGAGAGACATACACAGAGAGAGAGAGAGAGAGAGAGATCTTTCTGAGGTCAAACTGCCCACCCTAAAGCTTAGCCATAGGAGTATAAATGAAATGAAATACAGATGGGAACAACAGGTCAGGCATGCAATTAGCCCAACTGAGACTTAAGTTGAAGATCTGTAGACTGTAGATCTAGTCCTTATCTATAATTATTATGTGGTACACTTTCACTGCACTAAGTAGGGGAGTTCTTACTGCAGCTAGAACATTGGCCTGAGGCAATGCTGCAGTCCAGATACTTTCAAGGAAGATGTAACGAGCAAGGGTTACATTTTAAATATGCCCAAAGATCTTTTCTTTTGACAAGCACACTACATGTGGGCCATGTGATTCTTACGGAGCTGTCAGTCAAGTGGGCATGTAATCCAGACCAATCAATTAAGGTCCTTTACAGGAATATTAGAAAAGACTGATGACTTTTCACCGCATCGACAGATGGTAGCTGGGGGTTGGGGGGAGTGGAATGAAAAAAACAGGGAAAAGAAGAGCAAAGAGTGGAGCAACTATATGTGATTGAAGCCATTCCAACCTGAAATTTTTAAATTTTACAAGTTAATAAATTCCCTTTTCCTTATGCTGGTTTCCTAATACAGAGGAGGAAAGTAGGTGACAAAGAGAGAGTGAGCAGAGGCAACTCTCACGGCTGTGATTAGAAAACAGCATTTATGACAGGAGTCAGCTGGTTCCCAACTCATTTCCTTCATTCATCATCTGAAGGCCCAAGACGGTCTGCCAAACCAGAATATGTTCACAGAATCAGACCACAGCTGAGAAGTCAGTGGAATTGTCTTCTATATTTTTGTTTCTACCTTGGGCATACTTGAGCCTTGGAGATGGAGGCTGCAGTAAGCAGACATCCCGCAACTGCACTCCAGCCTGGGGGACAGGAGTGAGATCCTCTCTCAAAAACAAAACAAATAAACAAACAAAAAACACCAAAAAATGCAAAACTTTGCAAGCTAAGGAATATATAATAAAGGAATGATGATGACCCTTATACACATTTAGACAGCATGTCTCCTCTTCTAAGCCTTTTGAAAAAATTACAGGTAATATTTGATATTTCTTATCCTCAATCAGACATTATCTAAATTGATCCACACACATTCTCATTAACCCAATCATACTTAGTTTAGAACTACTCATACTTCACTTGAATAGCACTCCACTCTATGAGGCATGGACCATTACATGCCCACATTTTATAGTAATCCCAGTAAATAACATTTCACATATGCAGCCTTCACTTTACATGGCACAAGCTATTAGTTTTACTCTAATCCAGAGAAAAGAAAACTCAGGCTGGGCTGGTGGCTCAAGCCTGTAATCCCAGCACTTTGGGCGGCCAAGGCAGGCACATCACGAGGTCAGGAGTTGGAGACCAGTCTGGCCAACATGCTGAAATCCTGTTTCTACTAAAAATACAAAAATTAGCTGGTTGTGGTGGCGGGTGCCTGTAATCCCAGCTACTCGGGAGGCTGAGGCAGGAGAATCGCTTGAAACTGGAAGGAAGAGGTTGCAGTGAGCTGAGATCACGCCATTGCACTCCAACCTGGGTGAAAGAGTAAAATTCCATCTCAAAAAAAAAAAAAACAGAAAGCTCATAGATGAACACACACTGTTCTCTGTCAGATTATTTTTGAATGTGTAGTGAACAGCTAATGTTGTTCCCAAATATCTCTATGAAATGAATGGAAGAATTTTTAAAAAGGCTTAACATGAGACAGATAAGGAGATACAATTTGATATCAAAGCGATACTTTCAGCAGTAGCTTTCCCATAGGGGCTATAATATTGGCATGAACCACCATGTGTAACAATATTTTAAGAGCTATGATTAGGCAGGCTGGTTAGGAATTCTTTGTCAGAATAGGCAAATGTTTACAGGTTCTGAAAAGCAGATTGCTGGTACCATCTACCTTAAGTTTCAAATCTTTGTTACTTCTTTATTCATTTTTTCCAATATCTATTGAGATAGGGGTTGGTGAATTCTTATCCATTCTGCCATTCTGTATCTTTCAAGTGGAGCATTTAGGCCATTTACATTCAACATTAGTAATGAGATGTGAAGTACTATTCTATTCATCGTGCTATTTGTTGCCTGAATACCTTGTTTTGTTTTTTCATTGTGTTATTGTTATATAGGTCCTGTGAGATTTATGCTTTAAGGAGATTCTATTTTGGTGTATTTTGAGGATTTGTTTCAAGATTTAGAGCTCCGTTTAGCCGTTCTTGTAGTGACAGCTTGGTAGTGGTGAATCCTCTCACATTTGTTTGTCTGAAATAGATGGTATCTTTCCTTCATTTATGAAGCTTAGTTTTGCTGGATACAAACTTCTTGGCTGATAATTGTTTTGTTTAAAGAGGCTAAAGATAAGACCTCAATTCCTTCTAGTGTGTAGGGTTTCTGCTGAGAAATGTGCTGTTACTCTGATAGGTTTTCCTTTATAGGTTACCTCATGCTTTTGCCTCACAACTCTTAAGATTCTTTCCATCATCTCGACTTTAAATAACCTGATGACAGTGTGCCTAGGTGATGATCTTATTGCGATTAATTTCCTATATGTTCTTTGAGCTTTTTGTATTTGTATGTCTATATCTCCAGCAAGACTGGGGAAGTTTTCATTAATTATTCCCTCAAATATTCTTTCCAGACTTTTAGATTCTCTTCTTCCCTGGGAACACCAATTATTCTTAGGTTTGGATCCTTAACATAGTCCCAAGCTTCTTGGAGGTTTTGTTCAGTTTTTAAAATTCTTTTTTGTCTTTGATGGATTGGGTTAATTCACAAACCTTGTCTTTGAGTTCTAAAGTTCTTTCTTCTGCTTGTCTGACTCTACTGCTGAGACTTCCCAAGGCATTTTGCATTTCTCTAAGTGTGTCCTTGATTTCAAGAAGTTGCGATCATTTTTTATTTGTGCTATTTCACTGAAGATTTTTCCTTTCATATCCTGTATCATGTTTTTAATTTAAGTTAGAGTTCACCTTTCTCTGGTGCTTCCTTTATTAGCTTAATAATCAACCTTTGAATTCTTTTTCTGGCAATTCAGAGATTTCATCTTGGTTTGGATCCATTGCTAGTGAGCTGATGTGATCTTTTGGGGGTGTTAAAGAACCTTGTTTTGTCCTATTACCAAAAGTGTTGTTCTCATTTGGGTAGACTATGTCAGAGGGAAGATCTGGGAACTCAAAGGCTGCTGTTCAGATTCTTTTGTCCCATGGGGTGCTCCCTTGATGTGCTGTTCTCCCCCTTCCTCTAGGAATGGGGCTGCCTAAGAGCCAAACCACAGTGATTGTTTTTGGTCTTCTGGGGTTAGCCACCCAGTGGAGCTACTGGGCTCTGGGCTGGTACTGGGGAGTGTCTGCAAAGAGTCCTGTGATGTGATTCATCTTCAGGTCTCTCAGATGTGGATACCAGCATCTGCTCCAGTGGAGGTAGAATGACAAGTGAAGTGGACTCTGTGAGGGTCCTTGGTTGTGTTTTTTAGTGTGGGGGTTTTGTGTTGGTTGGCCTCCAGCTAGGAGGTGGCACTTTCATGACTGCATCAGCTGCAGTACTATAGGGAGAAAGTAAACTTGCCCTAGGGTCACCTGGGCAAAACCTAAGTATTCAGGTTTTTCAGGTGGTGGGCAGGGCCATAGAGCTCCCAAGAGATTATGACCTTTGTCTTTGACTACCAGGGTGGGTAGAGAAAGACCACCAGGAATGCCAGCAGTCACAGGCCTCGTGCCATTCCCACCCAGCCCCTAAGACCAGTCTGACTCCCACAATGCCCTCCACAGCTAGTGAGCAGGGCAAGAACTTGCCCTAGACCACCAGTCACTGCACTGAGAAAGTAACAGACACAGTTTTCCACCACCTCGGGGAGGCTGTAGCAGCAATCCAGTTTCTTCAAAGGGTCTGTGAATTCTCTCAGCTTTCCTGCTATGTTGCTGTGGTAGATCTTGAAGCAAAAGTTCATAATGTGAGTCTCCACATGCTGCTGTATCCAAGTGGGAGCTGCAAGCTAGTCCTGCCTCCTGTACACCATCTTAATCCTCTGTCCAAAGTTTTTAAAATAGTCATTCAAAAAATAATGTGGTAAGAAGTCGAAAGAGCCCCTGTGAACCCAGCACTCTTTATGCTTAGGCTCAGGAATATATAAAACTTTTCTACAGTAAGATCCTTTTGCCCCATCAATTCTCATATAACTCCCCTCACCCAATTTTAACTTGGAGATTGTTCCTCCTTCAATCTAGTGTATGTGTTTTGGGTGAGCTCTACCCCTGCTCCAAAGGTGCACAACATGTGTCACGTGCAAGCCAGTAAGCATATTATATTCCCCTGGCCTTGGTGCTTGTGGACACAGAGTGATTCCCCTGCAAGTAAAAGGGCTCACTGTTTCCCACTGGGCTTCACTCTTGTGCTCATCTGAGCCTAAAACTGCTGCAGTCATCTTCTCATCAAGCAAAGAGAGCCTAGGAATTTTATAAGTTATATGGAGAACTTTCATATGAAGCCAATGCAGTGGGAGGCAGACAGGAGAAGCAGAGAAAGAAAGGAAGGGAAGAAGGGAGGAAGGGAGGAAGGAAGGGAGGAAGGGAGGGAAGGAGGGAGGGAGGAAGGAAAGAAGAAAAGGGAAAGACCTCTGTTTGAGTCCAGAATCCAGCTTTACAAGAAGCTAGGCTACCAGTAGACATTTTGAGTTGAATGGGAAAATAAATGTCATCTTTGCCTCCAGTCCTTTGGTATAGGCATTCTAACACTTGTAGACTAATATAGAAAAAAAAATTAACTCTAACAGACATGTTTAATCTGATGCCATCACATCATTTCCAGGTCCTACTCAAAACTTATGAGAGTTTAGAGCCTCAGAGCTATAAAACCAACATAGAAGGATTTCACAATCTCAAGTCACTTTAAAACCAACATCATAGAAAATGTGATCATGGAAATGTTTAGCCAAATTCTATTTTGTGGGCATTTTGGGAAATGCAAATTCCATTTCTAACATAATAGAAAATTAGTAATTAGATACAATCTGCATTGTGAACAAAATTACTAAACATTCTACCTTATAATCATTAGAGCCCTGATATAAGCAATGAAAATTAGAAATCTTATTCCCCCTATGGATTCTTGTTTAGTGCAGTAATACTAGTTTTATATTCCATGAGTCCATATTTGAGGAAAGGTTGTAACCATACCTCCCCTAACAGTTTAAAATCTTGAAAAAAATATGTAAAAGAACAATGTGTTAAAATTTTAAAATGGGAAATTAGTGTCATCTTGTATTTTGAAGATGTAAAAGTAAAAACTTTTTTTTTAAAGTAAAAACTTTATCTCCCCTTCTTCATATGTTAAAGAATCATTGACTAAATCAGGCCCACTTTATTTCCTTTGGTGTTCTGAAATCATCAAGTAAACCCTCTTTATTCCTCCTTTAGAATGTTGTTAAAGTGTAAACTCCTTCCCTTGACAGTCAGGCTCAATGCTGTTTCAGCCAGGAAATTCTAATTTCTTGAAAAAATCATATCCATGATTATACTTTGGTTATTGGATCAAAGTCAGGACTTAATTCTGAACACTAATGTGATATATTCATAAAAAACTTTAGTTTTTAAGCATTAACGTGGTAATCAGCAAATGTCCTTGAGAGATGGCCCAGATATTGGAAACAGCAGTAACCTGACTTTCAAGCATCCATGAAAGTACAGATTGACTTCCAAAAAACACAAAGCTTTAGGAAGAGATGTGAAACATCTTCCCAGAAATTATTGGATTAAAAAAAAAAACCACCCAGATGAATATGAGTCAAAATGTCATCCAAAATGGCTCAAATTTTGTAGAACTTCTACATTAAAGAGTAAATAGGACCAGATTGGAGGAAAATGCCAAGAAGTCATTCATATGCATTATTTCTATGAATACAAAATTGTGTCACAGAAAAACAGAAGCAGGCTTTTCTCTGCAGTATACAGTCTGGTAAGTCCATGGGCAGATAAGCTCATGAAAATTAGATGAATTTCCTCCAAAACAATGTTTGTGTGACTTGTATTTATACTTTCAGTCTAAACTAAAGTAGTAATTTTTAAGTTAATAACATGCCTCAATATTTAATAAAAAATTCTTACTCGTAAGAATAAACATACAAATTTGTACTACTTGCTTGGCAGTTATTGGTAGAAAAGATAAAAATGAAAATGGTATAGGACTTGGAGGATGACTATGTAGTTGGCCACAGCAAGTGGAAAGAGAAAGATGAAGAATGAGAGTGAGGTGGGAGGAGAGCAAGTGAAAGAGAAAGACCAAGAGGCATTATACAAGCACAGGGTGAAATCGTGTGCCTTAGGTTATAGCTGGCTGAACAGAATAAAAGAGTAGTAACAATAAAAGCCAACATTTGTTGGATACTCATCATATGCGTGGTGGAATGTTAAGTGCTGATTATGTGATTATGTAACATTTCATTTAATCCTCTTTGAAAAAAGAAAAAAATATGCAGTTTCCCTACAACTACTAAAATTTGATACCTAGATGAGATTTTTTCAGATTTTCTTCCTGCAACTAAATGTCTAGAGATAACTTTTAATATACATGGCATTCTTTTTCAGTACCTACCATGGTGCCAATTCATTGACCAAATAAACATGCTAGACATTTTTAAAGGAGAAGCTGAAACATTCTAAAAAACTAGAATACTATAGAACAAAATGGCCAGGTAACTGCAGATTCTTCAAACTTCTTTTCCCTTTAAGTGAGTTATGCAATCTAAAAATTAAAAAAATAAAAAAATAAAAAAACATGAAGAGCATGTCTTCCACACTGAGGCTACAAACAGGTCTAACCTTATGCCACAAACCTTGCCCCAAATTAAAATAAAATCTCTGCAATGTACTAGTTATTCATTTTCCAGAGACAAGTATGCAAAGTAGCAGCAAGTGAGGGAAATTCTGGAAAGCCTCAGTACAGACAGTTCAGAGGGCATAAAAAGCATACTTGATTTCCAGCCTCTTTCCCAGGGCCTATGCTCGAAGAGCTGCCAAACTAAGTCTTTACTTTGATCTAAGAAAAAAACACAAAAGGGCCAAAGTCTGATCACCACTTTTTCACACCTGGCAATGGAAGCAGCAAACAAGATTCAGCTAAAAGACAAAAATCATAAACTTTTTTTTTTAACATTTCAATGTTTATAGGACCAAGCTGCTTAAAAAATCTAGAGCAAAATAAACTTTCCATGTTTCAGATGAAGACTAAGTGCTAACATAATGATCACTTTCTGTACTTTTGCCATTACCTTTGAATAAAAAAATTATTTTTTGTTACACTTTTAAAAACTTTAGTCTAAGCGTGTTTCTGTAATTATTTAAATGTCCTCTAAGATTACTCCACGAGGCATCATTAGAACAGAATGTATCATATATACATTCACCATAATAAAGAAATGTTTGTTATAAGAAAATAACTGCCATTCCATACTCTTTTGTGGATCTTCCTGGGATTTCCTGGGATATTTCTTTCTACTGAAAGAATTTAGTTTTGCTCTTGGCTTTGAAATGAAACCGAATGGTATGTTAATTGAAAGATCTTAATGACCATTCTGAATTTAAAGCTGAAATTTCACTTCTGTTCTGTTTCCTATCTTAAATTGTATCCAGCCATATTGCCTAGTATAGCCTCTCAAAGCTTCTGCAATGAGGTTCAATGACCATAAAATAGTTCAATAATCATATGCCAACATTTATTGATACTCCAAAATTAAATATAATTTCCCTCTCATTAATAATTTCCCAATAGATATAATTAAATTCAAAGATTAAAATCTTTCCAAAAAATCCAAATTCTTACCTTAAAATCCGTAAAAGCTAAAGTCTGAAAAATTCCTGCTGTCTTTGTTGAGCAGTATGAATCCAAAGAAAGTAAAGCCTCAAATCCCAACTTAAATTCCAAACGTATTCTCTCCAACTTCTCATTCTGTTCAGTTTCAGTTAGATGAATTCTCTATATCTGCATTTCTTTCAGCAGCTACAGCCTGACTCTTTCTTGGGAATGGGTGCAGTTCTTTCAGGGCCTCAGAAATTGTGTTTGTTCGCTCCTAAGTCAACTCAGGAGCCTCACTTTTAAGGATCCAAAGCATTAATAGAGAATACAAAAGTGCACATCATGGTTTTCCAAACCCGCACGTTTTAGAAAATAAAGCAATCCCCATTTACTAGCAATGTTATCCTAAACATAATTATATTCTAGAATCCAGTACATACTGTTGTCAAAGGTCATTATAGAAACTCAAACGTGTCTGAAAAAGAAATACTAGTTTCAACTTTACTAAACTGCTGATCAGCCCATCCCTGTATGATAAAAACCCTTAACAAAGTAGGCATCAAAGAAACATACCTCAAAATATGAAGAGCCATCTGTGACAGACCTGAGGCTGACATCATACTGAAGGGGAAAATTTAGAAACCTTCCCTCTTGGCACTGGAATAAGACAAGGATGTCCACTTACACCACTCCTATTCAACATAGTACTAGGAATCCTAACCACAGCAATCAGCCAAGAGAAAGAAATAAAAGGCATCCAAATAGAAAAAGAAGAAGTCACACTATCTCTCTTCACTGAAAATATAATTCTATACCTAGAAAACCCCAAGGATTCCTCCAAAAGACTCCTAGATTTGATAAATGATGTGGTAAAGTTTCAGGATACAAAATCTACATATAAATATCAGTATTATTTCCATATACAATCAACATTCAAGCTGAGAACCAAATCAAGAATGCAATCTCACTTATAGTGAAAACAAAAAGAAAACAAACAAAAACCTAGGAATACATCTTCCCAAGGAGATAAAAGAACTCTATAGGAGATGCTTGTCTGGGGTACATGAGAATTACCCTAAAAATCTATTAGAGTTGGATAGAAATGTTCATAGCAGCATTATGCATAATTGCTAAAATCCTGAAGCAACTTAATGCCCATCAACTGATGAATTAATGAACAAAATGTGGTATATTTCCAAAACATGTTCAGACATAAAAAGGAATAAGTATTGCTACATGATATAATATAGATGAATCTTGAAAACACTGTGCTAATGGAAAGAAGCCAGTCACAAAAGGCTACAATATGGCTTGATTCCACTGACATGAATTATCCAAACTGCGTAAATTTGTAGAGACAAAAACTAGATTTCTGGTTGTCAGGAGATGAGAGAAGGGAAGAATTGGGACTCACTGCTAATCAGTAAAGGGTTTCTTTTTGGGGTGGCAGAGATAATCAAGAGTGAGACACTAGTGATGGTCACAATACATAGTTAATATACTAAAAATCACTGAATTATATGCTTTTAAACAGTGGATTTTATGTTATATAGATTATATCACAATAAAAAATAAATTGAGAGAAACCTCTCATAAGAGATTAAATTTGACTCTATGGGATTCATCCTAACTGTGGGACCAGAGTGGGTTAAGGGCTGAGATTCACTTATCTTCTTTCTGAGTTATTGTCATCTGAGATATTCCTGGCCTTTTAATCTCTAAAATTTGCAGTGGAAGCATCCCCCACCTCACCCACTGGGCATCAGGTCCTAAGAAGTTCTTCTGATTCAGTATTTTCTCAGCCTTTTAGTCTCAACTTCCCCACTGAGTGCCATTCTAATGCTATAGTAAGTGTGGACCTAGCCATGTAGCCAACACTGTATCCTAGGAGCTGATAGTTTTGGTCCTGAGACACAATGGCTGCTGTCACTCACTACAGAATTGCTTAGGCCTGTGAAACCTGGCTCCCAGTGAAGATTCTCCTGCCCCTCAGTCCCCAGAACTTTTCCAGCTGGAGAGCAATTCTCGGGAATTTCCCATTCCCGAGAAAGAGTCAGGCTGTAGCTGCTGAAAGAAATGCAGATATAGAGAATTCATCTAACTGAAACTGAACAGAATGAGAAGTTGGAGAGAATAAGTTTGGAATTTAAGTTGGGATTTGAGGCTTTACTTTCTTTGGATTCATACTGCTCAACAAAGACAGCAGGAATTTTTCAGACTTTAGCTTTTATGGACTTTAAGGTAAGAATTTGGATTTCTTATTTAAGCAAGTTCCTTAAATAAAGCTGCTTCTGGTGAACTGCATTCCTTGCAGCCTCATGGAAAAAAATCTCTCATGATTACTCCCCAAGAGATGATGTTTCCTCTGGTTTAGGATGCTACAGGCTCTGAACATTTTCTGTCTGTCATGTCTTTTATGATATACGTCTCA
This sequence comes from Homo sapiens, assembly GCF_000001405.40. NCBI lineage: Eukaryota > Metazoa > Chordata > Mammalia > Primates > Hominidae > Homo > Homo sapiens. The sequence continues at coordinate 47,040,287 of NC_000008.11, forward strand.
AGTGTTTTCATTTTCTCCACTAGTAGTTTCAGGAAGACTGAGCTGATTAACCTACCTGAGAGGTTTCTTTTCTTCTGCCAAGTAGGATCATGATGTTGGCAGGATCTGAGTTCTTTCTGTTTACGTTTCCATTGCTCTCAGGCCCAGACATTTTACTAGTATATTCTGCTAGATTGTGGTTAATAGAGTTTTCCATGGTGAGATATATGAAAATAGCAGGTTCTGGGTCTGTCGAAAATAGCAGGTTCTGGGTCTGTCAAAAATATCTGCTGTTCAAACATATTTTGTCTACAGTCAAGCTTCCTGGGAAGATGATCCATCCCAGAAGATACCCCTCCATCACCCAACATCTATAATGCGCTCAGTACATATTATAGTTCTTCTGTCCACACCCCTCCAATATAAATGATCTTTTCTGTGCCTTACCTCGAGTCCTAACCAAAAATTGCTTGGGGATGTTTCTTCAGGGAACGGTGTATAATACATCATCACCTTAAGTCACCTCCTTTTTTTTAGTTTTTTATGCTGCTCTGCCCCACGTTTGCCCTCAAATTTGTTCTAATATTGTGTAACCAAGTCATACAGTTGTCTCAATATTTGCTTGGAGAGTTGGTTTCTCCTAACACTTATGAGACAGTTTGCAGCATTTGGACGCACCCTCTCAGAAATTACTCTAGTCTACTGAGATCCTGCCTTGCTTCCTCTCTAAATTTTGTCAGGCTCCAGTTACTCTTTTTGATATAGCAACAGTGAAAGCACAACCCCTTTTCTGAAACCTTCTGAGAACAGGTAGACCATCTACCTTTGTCTCTCCTTACAGGTCTTGTTTCCCCTTTACATCTATTGATCCAAACCAATAAAACCGCAACCTTTCTCATAAGGAAATCCTTTGTTTCCTTCAGGTAAATATTCCTAAATTTCTTTATTCTTGTTATTCTGATGCACTTACTCTTATACTAAGTTTGAAGCATACTCTTAAACCCATGGCTTCCTGAGCAAAGCTGATTCTTGAGACGCAGTCCTCCAAACACAGGCTTCCTAGACTTCGGTGTCATAATAGCTTCATTGAGGTATTTTTTTACGTCAACCCAAAAAGGGGCCATTTTTTATAAGAAGGCTCATGTCTTTTTGCACATTTGTTAATAAAACTCTACTACCCTTCTGTGGGCAAGGATGCCTTTTAGGTCTCAAAATGGTCTAATACCGAGATCACAGTTTATTTTGATTAACAAATCCATGACTAACTTAAAACTACAGTGTGGGGACTGGCTTTTAAAAGCCTATGTGGAAGCCATGTATATCCATGAATTAGCCCATCTTTAGACGCTGAATTCAGCCTAAAATAGTGCAAAAAGTGAATGCCAACCTACATCTGCACACATAACATAAAGCTCACTTACACACTAGTTCTTTAGTTTATACATAAAATTTAGTTGCACTAAATTCCTGGCCTGCAACCCTGGTTGACAAATTGTAAAAGGTGGGGTCAATAATTACCTTGACCTCTCCCAACCCATGATGCTCTTGTACTTAGCATTAGGAGATATACCTAATGTAAATGACGAGTTAATGGGTGCAGCACACCAACATGGCACATATATGCAACCTGCATGTAACAAACCTGCACGTTGTGCACATGTACCCTAGAACTTAAAGTATAATTTAAAAATATATATATATGTGTGTGTGTGTGTGTGTGTCTGTGTGTGAATCTTTCCCTCAGCTGCACTCTTTATGGAGGCCCTACATGCCCATCATCTGCTGATGCTCCATGTTCTTCAAAACAAAACTGTAGCAATTCATATTCTAAATCCAGCCCACACTGGGTGCCATAACCCACCCACCTTTAGCTTAAGACCAACAGCTATAACATTGGCTGCATAAAAACCTGTGGGAAAAGGGGCCATAAATTAAGGGACTCATCGATGTCACATAGCACATTGTCTAAGGCTGAAAGCTGTTTGCCAAAGAACAAGAGAGAATAGGTAAAACAAAACAAAAAACAATCACCATAATCACACTGCACTATATAGGCCACTGCTAACTTCTAAGGCATGGCCACCATGCCTGGCCAAACATTTCTTTAAGAACTGTAAGTAGAACTATCATACAATCCAGCAATCCCACTATTGGGTATTTATCCAAAAGAGAAGAAATCAGTATATCGAAGAGATACCAGCACTCACATGTTTATAGCACTCTTCACAATAGCAAACCTATGAAATCAACCAAAGTGTCAATAAAACATAAAGAAAATGTTGTATATATGCACAGTGGAATGTTTTCAGTCTTTGAAAAGTTAAATGTCATTTACAATGACATGGATGGATCTGGAGGTTATTATGCTAAGTAAAACATGCCAGGCGAGAAAGATAAATATTGTATGTTCTGATTCATTTGTGGGACCTAAAAAAGTTGACCTCATGAAGATAGAAAATAGAATTATAACTACCAGAGGCTGGGAAGGTGTGAGAGTGGAAGGGGGGATGAATAGAGGTTGGTTAATGGAGAAATAAATTCTAATGTTTGATAGCAGAGTGTGGTGACTACAGATAGCACAGTATATTTCAAAGTAGCTAGAAGAGAGGACTTGAAATGTTACCAACACAAAAAAATTATAAATAAGCTGATTGATACTTCAAATACTCATGACTTTATTCTACATTCTACGCATGTAATAAATAATCACATGTACCTCATAAATATGTAAAAGGTCATGAATAAATAAAATAAAAAAGCATTCTCAATACAAGTAAATGAAATCTGAGCAGGTCAGACATTAAACAGGTGTTTTCTGTATGGTGAGGTCTCTATATTTTAAACTTTAAGAATATTTGCCTGAACCAAATCAACTCCTAGCATGATAAAAAAACAAAACATGTTGATGTATATAAGTACAGCCCCTCTATCCCTCTGCTGACAATGTTTATAAATGTATGCATTTAAATAAAAAGTGAAAGACTTCCATGTCCTGGGCAGCTGCAGCAAAGCATAATATTGTTGCCCATCCTTGATGGCTTTGCATCATACCTTGATGCTGTTGCCTGTCAGGCCAGGGAATGAGTGGGGCCCAAGGCACTCTCTTGCTCTCTAAACAGGTTCCACCACCATTGCTGTAGGACTGAGGAACATTCAAGCCACACACCCCATGCTTTCCAGTTCCTCCAAAGACTGCCTGCCTGACCATTCTCACAGGGAGTTGAGACATGTGGCATAGTTGCAGTTGCCCTACCTGAGTGTTCCGTTGGTGGCCTGGAAGCAGTTTACCCCTTCTGATCACAACAGGTGCTAAAGCCTGAGTGGCCAAAGGACAAAACTACTGGGCTTATCCCAGTTCCCCAGGACTCAACACAATCACCCAGGGGCATGGAGATGAGATTTATGATGTGACCTCCAGCAGGGGAGGAATTCCCACTGTCAGAACACAGAGAATACTATGGTATGAATGTATGCTGTGTCATAGTAACTGGGCCCCCACTTTGGTCACGAGACTAAACCTAAAAGGGTGTGGTCACAGAGCCACAGTTTCTGGAACTGTTCAACAATCTGAATGTAGACTGTTTGGGACCACCCTAAACATTCTGGCCTGCTGGCAGCAGGTGGACTCTGGAGGGAGACCTGCCAGGTCAGGGGTGTGGGAGTTGGGCGGATCCCACTGCCACCTGCTATGCTGAACACTCTGGGCCACTCTCTTCTTCTTCTCAGTGGGCTCTGTGGTGGAGAGACACCTCTATTCCTCCCTGAAGGGTTGCGCCAGCAGCCTGGGAGCTGTGCCTAGACTGCTGCAACAGCTGGTACTTACGCCTGCCTTGAAGAGCCTGCTCACTGATATACCAACCCATATATGGCTAGCATTGCCCACTCTAGCCACCTTGGCAGCAGAAAACTGGAGAGGGACCCCAGGAGCTCCACAGCCCTGCCCATCACTAAGATACCCTGGCACTTCTCTTGGTTTTAAAAGGCCAGGTAAAAATCTCACTGCCACCACTGAAGCTGCCTCTTTCTGGCAAGTACAGCCTACTGACTTTGATACCAATCTGCAAAAACCATTACAACTTATGCTGACATGACTGCACAGCATTCAGCTAGCTCTTACAAGTGCCACCTACTGGTCTATAGGATGGACGGCAAAATTCAAAATGATTCCTGCTGACAGAGTGCACACTGCTGTGAAAAACTATGAGCCTCCTCCCCATCTCTGCAAAAGACAGCAAGCCTATTCACATGCACAGTACACCACTACTACATACTACAAAAAACCAGCATTTGAGAACACCACTACACAAAGGTTATCTACAACCAAGCAATTTATAGAAAGCTTAGCCCCCTAATAGCACAAAGAAGCAAAGCCAAAGAAATGCTACTTGACATATGAAATAGTCACACCCTTGGGAGGGTAAAATCCCATCTGAACAAAAGTGAATTCAAAAATAATAAATGACAGCTTCTCCAGATTAAAAAAAAAAATCAGAATAAGAACTTTAGCACCATGAAAAACAGAGTGTTATAACACCCATAAGGATCACACTAGTGGTCTAGAAATGGGTCCTAAACAAAATAAAAATTCTGAAATGACAAATAAAGAAAATAACTTATGGCTTGTAAGGAAGCTTAATGAGATCCGAGAGCATTGAAAACCACCACAAAGAAATCGGATAAACAATTTGGAAAGGGAGCCCCCACCCCCAGCCAAGAAAAGCAGTGAGTCAATGTGTGACCCCAGGGAAACCACATTTCTCCCCTGGATCTTTGTAACTCTCCAATCAGGACATCACCCTGTGAGTCCACACCACAGGGGCCTTGGGTCCAACACACAAGAGCTGTGTGGAGTCTCAGCAGAGCAGCTGCTCAGGCACGCAGAGAGACCCAGGAACTTTACAGACTCTGAGCCCAGGATCCCTGACAAAGATGACTGCAACTCAGGCAAGGTCGAAGGTCCATACATATCCCTAGGAAGGGGGCTGAATCGAGGGAGCTGAGCAGCATCAGTCTGCAGGCCCCACTTCCATGGCACCTCGCAAGATTGTGGGCCCCACTTCAATGGCACCTCACAAGATAAGACCCATTGGCTTGGAATTCCAGCCAGCCACTAAAAACAGGGTGGAGCCTGCCTGAGACAGGATGGAGCCCCCAAGGGAGGGGCGCACTATCATCTTTTCTGTTTGATGAACTCAGCTGTTCCAGCCTGCAGGCTGTGGAGAATACCAAAAGTCCAGATAAGAAAAAGTACCCTCAGCGCAGCACAGCTGCTTTGCCACAACATGGTCAGACTGCTTCTTTAAGTGGGACTCCAATCCATTCCTCCTCACTGGATGGGACTTCCCAACTGGGGCTTTCAGCCACCCCCACCCTCCAGCCACCCCCTCCCACCCATATTCTATAGACAGAGTTCTGATCTCTCCTTGGGATGGGCTGCCACCTTGGTTATTTGGACATCTCAGCCATTGCAGCCGTAGACCTATGGAGAGTCCATACCCAAAGGGGCGGAGGTGGTTTTGAAGCCTGGCATGATTGTTTTCTTGAGGTGTGGCCAAACTGCTTCTTTAAATGGGTCCCTGATCCACTCCTCCAGCCGCACCCACCTGTATATTACAGGCAGGGTTCTGATAGCTCTGAGAAAAAATGCTTGTGGGAAGGAGTGCGTCATCGTCTTTGCTGTTTGGGTGACTCGGCCATTCAAGCCTGGGGGCTTTGGTGAGTCTAAGCAGACCAGGCCAAAAGTAATTACCCAGTATAGTATGACTGTTTTGTTGAGGCATGGCCAGACTGCTTCTTTAAACAGGACCGAAATCCATTCCTCCTTGCTGGATCTCTCAGCCAAAGCCTCTAGCCACTCCTGTTCATGTTCTATGGCAAACAAAGTTATAATTTCTCCCTCGGATGGAGTGCCTAAGGAGTGAAGCAGGCCACCACCTTTGCTCTTTGGGCATCTCAGCTGGTCCAACCTGTGGGCCTTAAAGAGTCCAAACCAATTGGGAGGCTGAAGGGATCCCCAATATAGCACAGCTGCTCTACAAAATATAGCCAGACTACTTCTTTAAGTTGGTCCCCGATCCCTTTCCTTCTGACTGGGTGAGATGTTCCAACCCAGGTCTCCAGTCACCTCCTACAGGTGCATTCAGGCTGGAAAAAGATCAGTAACCCCCGGGGATGAAGCTACCAGAGGAAGAAACAGGATGCCATCTTTGCTATTTCACAGGCTTCACTGGTGATACCTTCAGGTACCGGAAAAACTGAGGCAACAAGGGTCTAGAATAGAACCCCAGCAAACTGCAGCAGCCCTACCAAATAGTGGCCAGCCTGTTAAAAGAAAAACAGACAACCAGATAAACAACAACAAAAACACAAAACCCCCAAAGATCAGGAACCTCAAATATCGAAGGTAGGTAAGTCCACAAAGATGAGAAAGAATCAGTGCAAAAATAATAAAAGCTCAAAAAGCCAGAGTGCCCCTCTCCTTCAAAATGACAACACCTCTCCAGCAAGGATTCAGAACTTGGCTGAGGCTCAGATAGCTAAAATGACACACGTAGGCTTCATTCACAATGTGGATGAAAATGAACGTCACTGAGCTAAAAAAGCAAGTTGTAACCCATTGTAAGGAAGCTAAGAATCATGATAAACCAATGCAGGAGCTGACAGCCAAAATAGCCAGTACAAAGAGGAACATAACTGACCTGATAGAGCTGAAAAACACACTACAAGAAATTCACAATGCAATCACAAGTATTAGTAGCAGAATACACCAAGCAAAGGAAAGAATCTCAGAGCTTGAAGACTGGCATTCTGAAATAGGCAGGCAAGAAGACATAACAAAGAATAAAAAGGAATGAACAAAACCTCAAAGAAATATGGGATTATACAGAGACTGAATCTATGACTAACTGGAGTACATGAAACAGACAGGGATAACAAAAACAATTTGGAAAACATATTTCAGGACATCACCGAGAAGAACTTCCCCAGTCTACCTAGACAGGCCAACATTCAAATTCAGGAAATGCAGAGACCCCAGTAAGATAATCCACAGAAGATCGTCCCCAAGACACATAATCATCAGATTCTGCAAGGTCCAAATGAAGGAAACATATTAAGGGCAGCCAGAAAGAAAGGACACATCATCTACAGAGGGAAGCCCATCAGATGAATAGTGGAACTCTCAGCAGAAACCCTACAAGACAGAATAGATTGAAGGCCAATGTTCAGCTTTCTTAAAGAAAAGAAATTCCAATCCAGAATTTCATACATGGCCAAACTAACCTTCATAAGCAAAGAAGATATAAGATCCTTTGCAGACAAGCAAATGCTACAGGAATTCATTACCATCAGACCTGACTTGCAAGAGCTCATGAAGAAAGCACTGAATATGGAAGAGTAAAACTATTACCAGCCACTACAAAAACACACTGAAGTACACAGATCAGTGTCACTATGAAGCAACCACATAAACAAGTCTACAAAATAATCAGGCAGCATCATGATGACAGGATCAAATTTACACCTAATAATTTTTTTTTTTGGAGACAGTCTTGCTCTGTCGCCAGGCTGGAGTGCAGTGGCATGATCTTGGCTCACTGAAACCTCCAACTCCCTGGTTCAAGTGATTCTCTTGCCTCAGCCTCCCAAGTAGCTGGGATTATATGCATGCACCACCACACCCAGCTAATTTTTGTATTTTTAGTAGAGACGGGGTTTCACCATGTTGACCAGGCTGGTCTCGAACGCCTGACCTCGTGATCCACCTGCCTTGGCCTCCCAAAGTGCTGGGATTACAGGTGTGAACCACCGCGCCCAGCCTACACATAATATTTTTAACCTTAAATGTAAACGGGCTAAATGCCCCAATTAAAAGACACACATTGGCAGGCCGGATAAAAAATCAAGACCCATTGGTACGCAGTCTTTAAGAGAGCCATCTCATGTGCAAAGACACAAATAGGCTCAAAATAAAGGGATGGAGGAAAATTTACCAAGCAAATAAAAAGTTGAAAAAAGCAGGGGTTGCCATCCTAGTTTCTGAAAAAAACAGACTTAAAACCAAAAAAAGACAAAAAAGGGCATTACATAATGGTAAATGGCTCAATTCAACAAGTGCTAACTATCCAAAATATGTATGAACCCAATACAGGAGCACCCAGATTCATAAAACAAGTTCTTAGAGACCTAGAAAGAGACTTAGACTCCCACACAATAATAGTGGGAGACTTTAACACCCCACTGAAAATATTAGACAGATCATTGAGACAGAAAATTAACAAAGATATTCAGGAACTGAACTCAGCTCTAAATCAAGTGAACCTAATAGATATGTACAGAACTCTCCACCCCAAAACAGAATATACATCCTTCTCATCGCCACATGGCACTTATTGTAAAACTGACCACATTATTGGAAGTAAAACACTCCTCAGCAAATCCAAAGAACTGAAATAACAATAAACAGTCTCTCAGACAACAGCACAATCAAATTAGAACTCAGGATTAAGAATTTCACTCAAAACCATATTACTACATGGAAGGTGAACCACCTGCTTCTGAAAGGGTAAATAATGCACTTAAGGGAGAAATCAAGAAGTTCTTTCAAACTAATGAGAACAAATATACAATACACCTGGGAATCTCTGGGACACAGCTAAAGGAGTGTTAGAGGGAAATTTACAGCACTAAATGCCCACATCAAAAAGCCAGAAAGATCTCAAGTCAACAACCTAAATAACAACTAAAAGAATGAGAGAACCAAGAGCAAACAAACCCCAAAGCTGGAAGAAGGCAAGAAATAATCAAAATCAGGGCTGAACTAAAAAAGATAGAGACACGAAAAACCCTTTTAAAAATCAACATATGCAGGAGCTGGTTTTTTGAAAAAATTATTAAAATAGACCACTAGCTAGACTAATGAAGAAGAAAAGAGAGAAGATTCAAATAGACAAAACCAGAAATAATAAGAAGGATATCACCACTGACCCCACAGAAATACAAACAACTATCAGGGAATACTATAAACACCCCTATGCACATAAACTAGAAAATCTAGAAGAAACAGATAAAATCCTGGATACATACAACCTTCCAAGACTGAACCAGGAAGAAACTGAATCCCTGAATAGACCAATAATGAGTTCTGAACTTGAGGCAGTAATAAATGCCTACAAACAAACAAAAAAAAAAAGCCCAGGACCAGATGAATTCACAGCTGAATACTACCAGAGGTACAAAGAAGAGCTGGTACCATCTGGAACTATTCCAAACAGCTAAACTCAATCTATGAGGCCAGTACACCAAAACCTGGCAGAGACATAACAAAAGAAAACTTCACTCCAATATTCTTGAAGAAGATTGATGCCAAAATCTTCAACAAAATACTGGCAAACTGAATCCACCAGCACTGCAAAAATGCTTATCCACCACAGCAAAAAGCTTATCCATCACAATCAAGCTGACTTCATTCCCAGGATGCAAAGCTGATTCAACACACACAAATCAAATGTGATTCATCACATACACCGAACTAGGTACAAAAACCACATGATTATGTGAACAGATGCAGAAAATGCCTTTGATAAAATTCAACATGCTTTCATGTTAAAAACTCTCAGTAAACCAGGTATTAAAAGAACGTACCTCAAAATAAAAGCTTATATGACAAACTCACAGCCACTATTATAGTGAATAGGCAAAAGATAAAAGCATTCCCCTTGAAAACCAGCACAAGAGAAAGCTGCCCTCTCTCACCACTCCTATTCAACATAGTATTGGAAGTTCTGACCAGGGCAATCAGGCAAGAGAAAGAAATAAAGGGTATTCAAATATAAAGAGAAGTCAAACTATCTTTGTTTGCAGATGACATGATTCTATTTCAATAGAACCCCGTCATCCCAGCCCAACAGCTTCACAGAAAAAGCTCATAAGCAACTTTAGCAAAGTCTCAGAACATAAAAGCAATCTGCAAAAATCACCAGCATTCCCATACAACAACAGGCAAGCCAAGAGCCAAATCATAAATTAAATCTCATTCACAACTGCCACAAAAATAAAATCACTTTTGCTATGCTTTAGCAGAGACTGGCAGCATTTTTCCCCTAAACTAGAGAACTATGGATCTTGGAACTTCAGAGAGATTATTTGGAGTATCTTTGCAGAAGAATTTTTTTTTTTTTTTTTTTTTCTGAGAGACTTTTGCTCTGTCACCCAGGCTAGAGTGCCATGGTGTGATCTCATCTCACTGCAATCTCCGCTTCCTGGGTTCAAGCAATTCTCATATCTCAGCCTCCTGCATAACTGGAAATACAGGCATATGCCACCACACCCAGCTAATTTTTGTACGTTTTGTAGAGATACCGTTTCCCCATGTTGGTCAGGCTGGTCTCAAACTCCTGACCTCAAGTGATCCAACCACCTCAACCTCCAAAACTGTTGGGATTACAGGCAAGCGCCACCGTGCCCATCCCAGAAGAAATTTCTAAGCAGCAAATCATTCAAGATATAACCTGGCTGTTTATTTATTTGAGACTGCGTATAGCTCTGTCACCCAAACTGGAGTGCAGTGGCGTGATCTTGGCTCACTGCAACCTCCACCTCTCAGGTTCAAATGATTTTCCTGCCTCAGTCTCCTGAGTAGCTAGGATTACAGGCACGTGCCACCACACCCAGCTAATTTTTGTGTTTTCAGTAGAAACGGGGTTTCACCATGTTAGCCAGGCTGGTCCCGAACACCTGATCTCGTGATCCACCCATTTCGGCCTTCGAAAGTGCTGGGATTACAGGCGTGAGCCACCACACCCGGCCATGACCTGACTGTTTCTTAACGTGTATAGTCATGTGTCTTCACAAAGAGATGGTCTGAAATTGGAATTTACATTTTAAAAAAAAAACAGAGCATAAAAATTTGGAAAACTTGCAGCCTGACCATGTGTTGGGGAAAAAATGCACTTTCTGGGGAGATATTCAAGATAGTGGCTGTAGAAATTTGCATAAGAGAAGGTGAATGTTAATAACCAAGACAATGGGAAAAAATGTCTTCAGGGCATTTCAAGATCTTCATGGCAGCCCCTCCCATCAAAGGCCTGAAGGCCTAAGAGAAAAAAAATAGTTTTCTTGACTGTGCCCAGGATCTCACTGCTTTGTGCAGCTTTGGGACATGGAGCCCTGTGTCCCAGCTGCTCCAGCTCCAGCTGTGGCTAAAAGAGGCCAAGGTACAGCTCAGACACTGGCTTCAGAGGGTGCAAGTCCCAAGCTTTGGTGGCTTCTACATGCTGTTAAGCCTGTGGGTGCATAGAAGGCAACAATTTAGGAGCCTCTACCTAGATTTCAGAGGATATATGGAGGTGCCTGGATGTCCAGGCAGAAGTCTGCTGCAGGGACAAAGCTCTCATGGAGAAGCTCTACTAGGGCAGTGCAGACGGGAAATGTGGGGTTGGAGATGTCACAGACAGTCCCCACTGGAGCACTGCCTCATGGAGCTGTGAGAAGAGGGCCACCATATTCCAGACCCCAGAATGGTAGATCCACTGACAGTTTGCACCATAAACTGGAAAAGCCGAAGGCACTCAGTGCTAGTCCCAGTAAGCAGCAACAGGGGCTGTACCCTGCAGAGCCACTGGGGTGAAGCTGTCCAAGGCATTGGGAGGCCATGCCTTGTGTCAGTGTGGCATGGAGTCAAAGGAGATTATTTTGGAGCTTTAAGATTTAATGACTGCCCTGTTGGGTTCTCCAATTGCATGGGGCCTGTAACCTCTTTGTTTTGGCCAATTTCTCACATTTGGAATGGGAGCATTTACCCAATGCCTGTACTTCCATCATATCTAAGAAATAACTAACTTGTTTTTTTATTTTACATGCTCATAGGTGAAAGGAACTTGCCTAGTCTCACATGAGACTTTGGACTTGGATGTTTGAGTTAATGCTGGAATGAATTAAGAGTTTGGGGGACTGTTGGGAAGGTGTGATTATTTTCAAATGTGAGGAGGACCTGAGATTTGGGAGAATCCAGGAGTGGAATAAGGTTTTGCTCTGTGTCCCCACCCAAATCTCATGTCAAATTGTAATTCCCACATGTCAGGAAAGAGACCTAGTGGGACATAACTGGATCATGAAGGTGGTTTTCCCCATGCTGTTCTCATGATAAGTGAGTTGTAATGAGGTCTAATGGTTCAAACGTGTGTGGCAGTTCCCCCTTTACTCTCTATCTCCTGCCACCAGGTAAGATGTGCCTTGCTTCCCCTTCACCTTCTGCCATAATTGTAGGTCTCCTGAGGCCTTCCAAGCCATGCATAATTGTGAGTCAATTAATCCTCTTTTCTTTAAAAATTACTTGGTCTCAGGTATTCTTTATACACATGTGTAAACAGAATAACATGTTGCCCAAAGCAATTAATCAATTCAATGCTATTCCCATTAAATTACCACTGACATTCTTCACAGAATTAGAAACAAACTATTTTAAAATTCATATGAAACCAAAAAGAGCCCAAATAGCCAAGGCAATCCCAAGCAAAAAGACAAATAAAAGCTGGAGGCATCACACTACTTGACTTTATACTACAGGGCTATAAAAACAAAAATAGCATGGTACTGGTACAAGAACAGACACACAGACAAATAGAACAGAATAGAGAACCCAGAAATAAGACCACACAACTACCACCATCTGATCTTTGACACACTTACGAAGAATGAGCAATGGGGAAAGGATTCCCTATTTAACAAATGGTGCTAGGAGAACTGGCTAGCCATATGCAGAAAATTGAAACTGGAAACCTTCCTTACACCATATACAAAAACCAACTCCAGATAGATTAAAGATTTAAATGTAAAACCCAAAAACTGTAAAAACTCTAGAAGAAACCCTAGGCAATACCATTCAGGACACAGGCATAGGCAAAGATTTCATGATGAAGACCAACTGCAACAAAAGCAAAAGCAGATGAATAAGATCTAATTAAATTAAAGAGCTTCTGCACAGCGAAAGAAACTATCAACAGAGTAAACAGAAAAGCTACAAAATGGGAAAAAAACTTTTTCAATCTACCCATCTGACAAAGGGTCTAATATCCAGCACTGGATAGTGCTCCCAGTACTAATATCCAGCACACTAGAACCTGTAGGACGGAAGGAGGTGGGAAAAGGGAAAGGATCAGGAAGAATAGCTAATGGGTGCTAGACTTAATACCTGGGTTATGAGATGATCTGTGCAACAAATCAACATGGCATATGTTGATCTATGTAACAAACCTGAATATCCTGCACATGTACCCCTGAATTTAAAATAAAAGTTAAAAATTAAACACAATGAAACACCAAAAAACAATTTAAAATGTGAAAGGAAAGACAGATTTTAAAAAACAGAACTTCTGAAAATGCATGCAAAGTTAAACAGAGTCAAAAGTTTTCACAACATCCTAGACCAAGCAGAAGAATTTTAGAATATAAAGGCTGATCTTTCAAATTCACCTACTCACACAAAAATTTTTTTAAAAAAGTATTTTTAAAAATGAACAAAGCCTTTGGGCCAGGCACATTGGCTCATGCCTGTAATCCCAGCACTTTGGGAGGCCGAGGTGGGCCAATCACCTGAGGTCAGGAGTTCAAGACCAGCCTGACCAATATGCAGAAACCCCGTCTCTGCTGAAAACACAAAATTAGCCAGGCATGGTGGTGCACACCTGTAACCCCAGCTACTCAGTAGGCTGAGGCAGGAGAATCACTTGAACCCAGGAGGCGGAGGTTGCGGTGAGCTGAGATCACGCCATTGCACTCCAGCCTGGGCAACAAGTTCAAAACTCCATCTCAACAACAATAATAAAGATGAACAAAGCCTTTGAAAAATATGGGATTACGTAAAGCGACCAAACCCACCAGTTATAGGCATGCCTGAGGGAGAAAAAAGTTAAAGTCTTGGAAAACATTTTAGGAAATGCTTCAGGAAATTTTTCATGGTCTTGATAGAGATGTAGATATGCAAATGCAAGATGCTCAGGGAACAACTAGAAGTTACTTTACAGGTGAATATCACCAAGGCATGTAGTCATCAGCCTATCCAAAGTCAACATGAAGAAAAAATCATAAGAGCACCTAAAGAAAAGCATCAAATCATCTATAAAGTAAATGCCGTCAGACTAACAGCAGACTTCTCAGCAGAAATCTTACAGACCAGGAGATTAAAGACCTATTTAAGCCTTCTTAAAACAAAAATACCAGCCCCAAATTTTATATCCTGCCAAATAAAACAGAGACAAAGTCTTTCAAAGACAAGCAAATGCTAAGGAAATTTGTCACCACTAGACCAGCCCTGCAAGAAATGCTCAAAGAAGTTCTAAACATGGAAACAAAAGAATCATACCATTATAAAAACACATGCAAGTGGCCAAGAAATATATAAAAAAAACTGCTCAGCATCAGTAATCATAAGAGAAATCCAAATCAAAACCAAATAAGATACTGTCACACCAGTCAGAATGGCTATTATCAAAAAGTCAAAAAAAACAACAGATGCTGGTGAGGCTGTGGAGAAAAGAGAATATTTATGCACTGTTGGTGGGGAAAGCAGTTTTGTAATATCTCAAGGAACTTAAAACAGATCAACCATTAGACCCAGCAATCCTATTACTGGGAATATGCTCAAAAGAAAATAAATCAATAAACCAAAAGACACATGCACTTGTATGTTTATTACTGTGCTATTTACAACAACAAAGGCATGGAAAGTCAACCCAGCTGCCCCTCAACAGTAGATTGGACAAAGAAAATGTGATACATATACACCATAGAATACTACACAGCCAAAAGAAGAATAAAATCATGTTCTTTTAAGCAACATGGATAAAGCTGGAGGCTATAATCCTAACCAAATTAACACAGAAACAGAAAATACTACATGTTCTCACTTATAAGTGGAAGCTAAATATTCAGCACACTGAGACATAAACATGGGAACAACAGACACTGTAAACTACTAGATTGGGGAGGAAGAAAGGGGGGTATGGGTTGATAAACTACCTACTGCATAATATTCTTACTAACTGGGTACAATATACCCTTGCAGCAATCAATCACATGTACCTCTGCATCAAAAATAATTGTTAGCCAGGCATGGTGGCTCACACCTGTAATTCCAGCACTCTGCAAGGCCAAGGTGAGTGGAACACTTGAGGTCAGGAGTTTGAGACCAGCCTGGCCAACATGGTGAAACCCCATCTCTATTAAAAATAGAAAAAATAAGGTGGGTGTGACAGCATGGGCCTGTAATCCCAGCTACTCAGGAGGTTGAGACAGGAGAATCACTTGAACCTGGGAGGTAGAGGTTGTAGTGAGCTGAGACTGCACCACTGCACACCAGCCTAGGTGACACAGCAAGATCCTGTCTCAAAATAAATAAACAAATAATCATTAAAGTTAAAAAATATATACAAATACAAACCTCACAGATCTTATGAAGCAATCACAATTGAGACTCCAAAGAAACTAGATAACAATATTATGACAGGAATAAAATTTCATATATCAATATAAACCTTTAATGTACATGGCCTAAGTGCTCCACTTAAGAGATAGAGAATGGCAAATTGAATTTAAGACAACAAGATTCAGCCATTTGCTGCCAAGAGGAAACCCACCTAATGAATCAACACACTCAGACTCAAAGTTAAGTGGTGGATAAAGGTGTACCATGCAAACAGAAAACAAAAATGAGCAGGAGCAATTGTACTTTTATCAGATAATACAGACATTAAATTAACAACAACAAAAAAAGAGGTTATTATATAAAGAATTCAATTTAACAAGAAGATATAACTATTCTTAAAATACATACACCCCAAACTGGAAACCAAGGTTCATTAACCAAATATGAGTAGACTGAATGAAAGACACAGACAGCAATATAGTAATAGCAGGGTGCTTCAACACCCCACTGACAGCAGTAGACAAATCATCAAGGATAAAAATCCACAATGAAACTCTGAACTTAAAATGATCTTTAAACCAAATGGATCAAATAGACACCTACAGAACAGAACATCCTACTCAACAACTACAAAATGTATATTTTTCTCATCTGCACATGGAACATTCTCAAAAGTACTCCATATGTTTTACCATAAGAAAGTCTCAATAAATGTAAAAAGATCAAAATAATATCAAGTATCTTCTCAGACCACGGTAATCCTATTGTAATTTTGAATAAAATTAGAAATCAATACCAAGAGGAAATCTCAAAACTACACAAATACATGGAAACTAAACACTGTTCTTGAATGATCTTCGGGTAAACCAAAAAATTAATGCAGAAATCAAAAAATTTTTGAAAAGAATAAAAATAGAGACAAAAAAATACCCAAACCTCTGGGATACAACAAAAGGAATGCTAATATGAATGTTTACAGCATTAATTATGTCAAAATGACAGAAATAGCTCAAAATAACGACCCATGTCACACCTCAAGGAACTAGAGAAATAAAAACAAACCAAACCCAAGGCCAGCATAACAACAAAAAATGCAAACATCGCAGCCCAAGGAAAAGAGACTGAAATGAAAAAAGATACAAAGGATCAACAAAATGAAAAGTTGGCTCTTTGAACAAACAAAATTAACAAACTGGTAGCTAGGTCAAACAAAAAAAAGCAAAAACATTCAAATAAGCACAATCAAAAAGAGTAAAGTTGACATTTCAACTGATACTGACATGGCTCTGTTGTTTGGGGAAACACCCAGGGTCCTTGGTCTTGTACAAAGAAAATTAGTGACATGGACACATGTGGAGTGGATTAAGGAGCAGAAAGTTTAATAGGCAAGAAAGAAGAGAACAGCTCCCCCATACAGATGGAGGGAAAGCAGTTGCTTATATTGGGAGATTCAAGGAGGTGATGTCTGATTTGCATAGGGTCCAGGGGATTGGTTTGACCAGGTATGTCATTCGCATAACCTGCAATAAAACTGGCCTTTTATTATGCAAATTCAGCCATCTAGCTGATTGCCATGACACCTGTACAGGTGGCCTCTACCTGACTCCCCACCATGATGTCCGTACATGTGGCAACAAAGAAAAAGTAGTGGGAACCACCATATTGGGTGGACCTGGCTCTTAGCTACCTGCATTTACATATGCAAACCTGTAGCTTGCATATCAATGCTTGCAACTATGGTTTTTCAGGCCACTTTATTTTAAAAAAGAAATGTTTGGGGGGCTGCTTTTTTATTAAAAGATAAAGCCTTACTGAGGACTCTTTTACCCTTTCTGGCTACCTAAAATAATTTAATAACTCCTGTAATAATACCAAAAAAATACAAAAGATTATTAGAGACTACTATGAGCATATGCTCAAAAACTAGAGAATCTACAGAACATAAATTCCTGGATACATACAACCTCAGAAGACTGAAACAGGAAACTATAAAATTCCTGAGCAGACAAATAATAGGTAATTAATTTGACACAGTAATTTAGAAAATCTCCCAACTAGAAAGAGCCCAGGGCCATACAGATTCACAGCTGAATGTTACCAGACATAAGTAAAACAGCACATCAAAAAGGTAATACATCACATACAAGTGGGTTTTATTCAAAGGATGCAAGGATGGTTCAACATAAGGAAATCAACAAATGTAATTCAACATAAGGAAATCAACAAATGTAATTCAACACAAACAGAACTATGAAGAAAAACCCTATGATCATCTCAACAGATGCAGAAAAAGTATTGGATAAAATCCAATATCCCCTCATGATAAAAAAAATTCCTCAACAAATGAGGCATTGAAGGAACATTCCTCAAAATAAAAAAAGTCATGTATGCTAAATCCACAGCCTACATCATACAGAACGGGCAAAAGTTGAAAGTATTCTCCCTAAGAACTGGAACACAACATGGATACCCAATTTTATCACCTATATTCAAGAAACTACTTGAAGTCCTAGACTGAGCAAGTAAGCAAGAGAAAGAAATGAAAGGCATCCAAACTGGAAAAGAGAAAGTCAGATGATCTCTGTTTGCTTATTGATCTTATACCTGGTAAACCCTAAAGACTCGTACAAGAAACTTCTAGACTTTATAAATGACTTCAGTAATGTTTCAGGATACAAAATCAATGTGCAAAAAGCAGTATCATTTCTAAACACCAATAATGTTCAAGGTGAAAACCCAATCAAGAACTCAATCCTATTTACAATAGTCACACAAACATGAAATACCTAGATGTTCATTTTAGTCAAGGAGGTAGAAGACCTGTGTTAGGAAAACTACACTCTGAGTAAAGACAAAACACTGATGAAAGAAATCATAGATGAAACAAACATATAAAAAAATCCTATAACCACGTATTTGGTAGAATCAATGTCTTTTAAATGACCATACTGCCCAAGGAAATAAAACAAATTCAATGCATTCTGGTCAAACTATTACCATCATTTTTCAAGGAATTAGTAAAACAATTCTAAGATTCACATAGAACAAAAAAAGCCCAAACAGCCAAAGCAATTCTAAGCAAAAGTAACACAGTTGGAAGCATCATATTACCTGACTTCATATTATACTATAAGACTGTAATAACCAAAACAGCATGATGACGGTACAGAATTATACCAACTGGCTAATGGAACAGAACAGGACCCTTACACCTACAACCACGTAATCTTCAACACGGTCAACAAAAATACACAATGAGGAAAAAACAACCTATTCAATAAATTGTCCTAAAAAAATTAAACAGCCACGAGTAGAAGAATAAAACAGGACCCCTATCACTCACCATATATAAAAATTAACAGAAAATGGATTAAAGACTTAAATTTAAGACTGGAAACTATAAAAACTCTAGAATAAAAGCCAAAAAAACCTCTTCTGGACACTGGTCTTTGCAAAGAATTTATAACTAAGTCAATGCAACAAAAGCAAAAAATACACAAATCAGATTATATTAAACCAAAGAGCTTCTGCACAGCAAAAGAAATAATCAACAGAGCAAACAGACTACCTAAAGAATGGGAGAATATACTTGCAAATTATGCATTTGACAAAGTAGTAATATCCAAAATCTATAAGGAACTCAAGCAACTCAACAACAACAAAAAACATTAAAAAGCAAACAAAGGATGTAATAAGATATTTATCAAAAGAAAACATACAAGTGGCCAGCAAGCTTACGAAAAGATGCTCATCACTAATCATCAGAGAAGTGCAAATTCAAGCTGCAGTGAGATACCATCTCACACCAGTCAGAATGGCTACTATTAAAAAGTAAAAAAAAAAAAAAAGAAAGAAAGAAAGAAAAGAAAAAGAAAAAAGTGAATGCATATACAATGTAAATTAGTACAACCTAGTTGGAATAAACTTCAGTTAAGGGGGAAGGTTGCAGAAGCCAAGGTTCTTGTCATGTAGATGAAGCCTCTAGATAGCAGGTTTCAGAAAGAATATATGTGAATGTTCTCATCATAGGTGTCAGAATTTCAGGAGAGGACAAGTAAGGGAGGGAGATTCTTTACAGAATGTGCATTTTATCAAGAGACAGATTTGCAGGCCCATTTCAAAATATGTCAAAAAATATATTTTGAGGTAAAATACTTTGATTTTCTTTTAAGGCATACTTTGATTTTCTTTTAAGTCCTGTTATTTGTCATGTGAAGTTATGCCACAGTCAGGTTGGAGTTGGTCTTCTTGTTACAAAGAGGCTGTTTTGTCAGTTATAATTATAATGTTAATGCTGTTCACTTGTGCCTCAACTCCAAGGATAAAAGTGTACAATGAGACATGTCTGACCCCACTTACCATCATGGCCTGAACTAGTTTTTCAGGTTTGTTTGGTCCTCCTTGACTGAGAAATCTAGTAGTTGGGGGACTTAGAATTTTATTTGTGCTTTACATCCTGCTCTTTCTGGCAAACGTTTGCAAGGCAACATCAATAATGAAACTTTGGCTGGGCTTGGTGACTCATGTCGGTAATCCCAGCACTTCAGGAGACTGAGGTGGGCGGATCACTTGAGGCCAGGAGTTCAAAACCAGCCTGACCAACATGACGAAACCCCATCTCTACAAAAAAATGCAAAAATTAGCCAGGTGTGGTGGTGCATGCCTGTAATCCCAGCTGCTTGGGAGGCTGAGGCAAAAGAATCATTTGAACCCAGGAGGCAGAGTTTGCAGTGATCTGAGATCATGCCACTGCACTCCAGCCTAACCAACAGACTAAGACTCTGTCTCAAAAAAAAAAAAAAAAAAAAAAAAAAAAAGTCAAACTTTAATTTTTTCCCTGTTGCAAGAGTGGTGAACCTACCTGCCCTGGATTCTGTTCCTTGACGGGGCCCCTATGGCCAACAGACTTAAAGCCAAAAGACTTACAGCCAATTTAAATGTTTGAGGACTAAACTCTGGTTTTTTTTTTTTATCTTGCCCACGTTCCTATCTAAGGGGTCTGGAGAGCCATGCCCTACAAATCATAAATTCTCATCAGAAGGGTTTTATTTAACCCTATATATCATGACATATTTTCCAACCTGCCTCTGGCATAACATTATGAGACAAGGAAGAAAATCAAAATATTTTACCCCAAAACATGTTTATTTGCCATATCTTGAAATGGCCCTACAAAGCTGTTATTTGTGGGGGAGAATTTGCATCTGTAAACAATCTCCATTATCATAGCTGGAATTTTTTCTTCAAGACCCTCCCAATCCTAAAGAGATGTAACTAAAATCTGAATCGGAAACATTTGTCATCTACTGTCTCTAAGGGCAGCCACTATAACACTTCAAAAGAACTTGGATCTCCACAATTTTTACCTTAACCAGAACATTCCCTTTCTATGAATCCAAGATCTTTAAACAAACTCAACCAATTATCAACCAGAAAATTTTTAATTCACCTATAGCCTGGAAGCCCCCCCACTTTGAGTTGTCCTGCCTCTCTAGACCAAACCAATGTATTTCTTAAATGTATTTGATGTCTCATGCCTCTCTAAAATGTATAAAACCAAGCTGCACCCCGACCACCTTGGGCATATGTTCTCAGGACCTTCTACAGGCTGCATCATGGGCCATGGTCGCTCAAATTTGTCTCAGAATAAATCTCTTCAAATATTTTACAAAGTTTGACTCTTTTCTTTGACATATTCTAGGCCAGACAGGAATAGGGGTGGGCAGGCATTCTTCAACTCTTAAAAATTTTAAAGCAACATAAAAGCCAAAAACCAAAAGCCAAAGATAACAAAATTGACTTGTATAACTTTGTTAAATCAGGTTTAGCCTAAAGCTGCCTCTTTACATATTTTAAGTTCAGCCTAAAGGCTTCCCTGTATAACAAGTGGACATGTAAACAGACCACAGCCTACACTTGTGCCAACAACAGACTATTGGCCATATACAGCCAACCGTTCAAACTCTGTTCAAATAAGGCAAATTCCTAGCTGTAACCAATCCAGCTGTTTCTATACCTCACTACTATATTTTTTATGTAACTTCCCTTTTTATGTACATAAATCTTCTTCCACCATGTTGGCTGCACTGGAGTCCCTGAGCTTACTCTGGCTCAGGAGGCTGCTTGACTCATGAATCTTTTATTCCTCAATTAAAGTCTTTTAAATTTAATTTGGCTAAAGTTTTTCTTTTAACAGATGGCATCAGAAGTGGGATCTGAAGCAGAGCTTCTAATGACTCCCAGGAGTGCTGAGTGACCAAGCAAGGTACCTGCCGGGCCCACAGTGCCCACTGCTTTCTCGCAGCAACTGGGGATCATGGAAAGTTCTCAGATTTTGAAGTTCCACGGATTTGTGTTTTGAGCGCTCCAAGTTTCTTTGAGCAAATTTCTGATCCAAACTGGGTTTGGAAGTCGTGACCAAAACTGGACTGGGTCAAGGATAGAATATGGTAATTAACTGTCTTGGATCCAGTTAGAGGCCTCTTACATCTGACGGGGTCAAAAAGAACCCAGGTAAATGGCAATATTGCAGGGGGCATAAAATTTGGCTTTTGGAAATTTGCAGGGATTTTTGTGTTCTACTCCTTTGTTTCATTTTTCTTGTGCACTTAGGTAGGAAAAAAATCACTGGCTAAGCTGATCAAGGGAACCTGATGGCAAAGCCAATATTTGTGGTAAAAATGGCATCCTTAATTTCTGAAGAATTGAGTTCCGGCTTACACACGCATAAGTATTAAGCCCCGGAAGCAGCAAAGTCTTACAGAAATGGCAAAATCTTAACTAAAGATAACTTACAGTGGAACATTTTAAATGAACAACACTGCACTGAAGTGATTTGAAAATAAGGGTTCTTACATCAGTCTCATTGAAGGATGTCTATTGATGTGCAAAAGCTTCTAAAAATACTTCAGTATTTTAAAGACTTTACAGAAAAACAAACAGCTTAAAAGACTGATTAAAGAAATTAAATCTGCCTTGCACTCTGCTGATGGCTGTGGATGACAGGATTCGGCATGTAAAGGATCATGGGACATGGGGAACTGTTTTTCTCCTGAAATAGGGAAACGAGAGCTGATGGTACTCCTAAAAAAGATCCCTTCACGACTGATAAGCAGCCCCCTGAACTTTAATTCACTGTTACTGCAATGGGTAGGTCCTTCTCTGGCCTCCCTGAGCTCTTTGCCTTCCCCACCCCGCCACAGACAATATTTTTCTCTTTTCCCTTTTCTAGCTTTTCTGTTACTCAGGGCAACTGTCTGCTCTTTCATCTTGCCCAGAGTCCACATATTGAAATTCCTGGTTGGAAGCTCATTCCATCTCACTTTCAGTGGATGACAGGGCCCAACCTGAGGCAAGTCTGACCCTTGCCGGTTCGATATTGGGCACTAAGCAGAGTTTTGTCACATGTATTTTGCATTGGCCAGAATAGAAAATGTTAATTTGGTTACCCCATGCAACCTCTTGTAAGCATCTTGCAAAACTGAAAGGCTTTTGCCTATGGTTTTAAGAAACAGAAATAGGTTTTATGAAATAGAAAAAGGTAATTTTCCTTTGTAATGTGGCTTGGCCAAGGCTATGGGCAGCAAGCAGGGTTGCGAAGATCACTAAGGGAAAGGGAACCTAGAAGCTTGACATGCCTCCAAAAGGGTCAGACTTCTTGCCTCAGACTTCTTGCCTCAGACTTCTTGCCTCTCTCTGTGGAAACTAGCTGTAGAAATGGTAAAAATCACTATCTCCTCTGCAAAGTTTTCATTAATGAAAAAAAGGATTTGTGAGACTAGTCTTAAACTGTAGCAAATCTGGTGTACTTTGTGCCATGAACTGGGATCATTTTGTCATAAAAATGGGTACTACAGGATAGAATGCAGGCCTAGGGCCCCCATAAGCTCACTGTTCAAGCCAGTCCAGTAAACTGGTCAATTACAAACTTTGCTGCAGGTGTCTGAAACATTAAAAAAAAAAAAAATGGATGGGGATTCCCTCTCATCTAGTTTTATGTCCTTGGGAGCTTGTTACCAAATGGTAGTACTTTCTCTTGGTCTCCACCATCTGGAGGACAGGAATTGTGGAGTTCATGTCATAGTACTAAAAATTATCTTGAGCAGTTAAAAGCCTTTGCAAGTTCAAAACTGGCTGCTCTAGGCTCCTTCTGTGAAGAGCAATGGAAATTACCTAATGCTATAGCTTAGTGGCTAAGACTTTGCCTTTTTACAGTGGCAGCCTGGTTTCAATTCTTGGCTCAGAGAATGAGTCCTTTCTGGTTTGATATCTGTGTGATCTTTGCCATTTATTCTCTTTCCCTCCATGAACAACTTCCGACATCCATCTTGAATTTTTCCTTCTCTGGGCTACCTGTGGAGAGTCTAGATTTTGTAAAAATTGCTTACTACCGCTTTGAAAATACCACAGACACTCGTGGTTAAGTCATAACCTTAGTTAAGGCTTATTGGTTTCACCTGGGAGATTACTTTTGTAATAGTTAAAAAGCCAGAAATATTGGCTGTTTGACCTAGCTTAAGTCAGGTTAATATGAGTTTAAAATGGCTTTTTTTTTAAAGTGCACTATAGGTAAAAGCCAGCTTAATTAAAATAGAATATCCAAGATATAGGTATATTTAAGTCCTTTTTGATTTTTTCTCTTCTTCGATCTTATTTTTCCATTAAAAAAAAAGGAAAAAAAAGGTATTTTCTTTTCAGTTAACTTAATTGTTTTTCTCCATTTTGTCTTCTTGCTTTTCTTGATGCACACACGAGGTTAACTGTGCATGCATCAGTTACTAAGATAACTTCTAACAGCCTGGAACTCCTTGGGAAAAACAGAGGAGGCACCACAGACCTGGTTTTGGGAAAAACCTCTGTTTTCCTCACGAAACCCCAGGAATTGAAAGCAGATAGATTCCTCACAAAATCTAAGGCTATATTTTTGGGGATGGCAAATGGCAGTTATGGGGGGGGGATACTCAGCTCTTTGCACGTTTCAATCAGAGAAACATGTTCTTGGTCACCTAGAAAGTATGGAAATGTCCTCACTCCCCACTGAGAAATAAGGCTCCCATAAGGGATGGGCTGATCACAAAATGAACTAATTGGTTTTGGATTGCTCTGCACCAAATACATGGTAAGGATCATTGCACTGTCTTGTTCCAGATCATTTCTTTTTTGGGGATCCAGTATAAACTGGGACCCTAAATTTTGGGGGATCTGTTTTGCCTTTCAGCTGTGCCTGTTTATTAGGTCCTAAAAACCGCATATTTTCCTAGCCCTCTTCCACAAAGGACTCCATCCTGAAGCCAGTAATCCAATTAAGACAAAACTGACAAAAACTGGCAAATGAAAAAATCTTACAACTACTGGATCTACTTCTGTCTGTATTTTTATATGTTGTGTGTGATGTTTATAAATGAAAAAGCTCTAATTGGTTTAAAAATCAATGAGTGCTTAAATCAAATATTTTTTTCAGAAAAATAAAAACTGTTATGCCTTTTAGTTCATCTGACTTTAGTAAACTTTGGGAAATAAAGACAGTTTTAAAGTTTATTGGTAAAATAAAGGCATTTGGTCTAAATTAGGCAGGTCAGATATTAGATTTATAAAATGCTTTAAATAAACTGCTTCTTTGACTTCTAAAATTTGTTCAACTTACCTGTTTTGGAGCCACCAGGAAAGGCCTGGGGACATGTGGAATTAGCCATGCCCCCTGGCTATGCTTGAAATAGTCAGACTTTATCTGCACTTCTGATGTCCTAGGCTCCAGACCTAGTACATAATTAAAATCAGTTACTTGCCAGGTTTTTCAACAAAAATAAAAATTGCTAAGAGTTAACACTGTAACATGTAATTGAGACTACTGAAAAAGATTTCACATGGAAGCTGTGTGAGCAAAGTGAAATGTGCTTTTAGTAAAAGATTATAAGAAGGCATTGGAATGTAAATTTTTGCCTAGTTTAGAGGGTTAAAGGATTGTTTTAATTTAGATAGGATAAAGCTAAAGGTTTGAACAAGTTGTGGAAGATTTCTGAAAAATTAATCTTGTAAAAGAAACTGTGTGTGTGAACATATTGGCTAAATTTAAAGTAGCATTATTCAGTTTTTCCATAAATTGAACATTGGAATAAAAGCACAAAAGGGTTTTATTAGAGCACTGAACTGCTTTTTAATACAAATTTGTAAAAGGTTATCAAAAGTTTATGAGAATCTCACCTTATGGTCAAAATGATAAAGACTGAATTTGTCTATAAGGTTTTATTAAAAATTGGGGTTGACATTAATAGTACATTAACGCAAAGATGAAATCTGGCATTCTCTCTTGAATAAGATTTTCATGTAATATTACAGAATAATAAAAGTTTTGTTTCCCCTCCAAATAAACTACAGAAAAAGAAGAGAAAGACACAGATTATTTGAAAAGCTAAGTCTTCTATCAATGAGTCAAATTTTTACCTTTAAAAATTTTTTGAGTTATTTTGGCTAAATGACTTATTGTGACCTCGAAGTCCATTTTATAATATCAAGTGTTTTAAACCTTTAATATATTTGATAGCCTTCCCAAAATCAAATTTCAGCTTCAAAATTAAGTCTTTTTTGACTTCTAACTTTGGGATGCTACAGAGGCCCCTGAAGCATCCAAAAGATGGGTAAACAGGATTATATGACATGTTAAGTTACATGGGAATCACTGTCAAAATAAGAAATGTCTAACCTTCTTCAGGTTATATTCTAATGAATGTTAAACTATGTTACAACATTGTATGGGATTTCTAAAATTCTAATATGTCTAAATACATGCTATCAATCATAATTACAGTTATAATAAATTGTAGACCACAGAAATAACCAAATTTACTTGTCAATTGTGTAACTATGACTATTTTAACGTCATTTCCACAGTTAACTGCTTAATACTGATGCAGTTTCTGAAAACTTCACAAGCACAAAATATCCTAGAATATGGTGTCTTTTAGGTTCCTGAAAGGATGGGAAGGACCACGAAAAGAGCTCTTGAATACAGGTTTCTGGAAACTTTAGAATCATATCATTTGGATGTGTAAGAATTCCTGAAACTTGGCAAAATGTGGTGGCTCACACCTGTAATCCCAGCTCTTTGGGAGGCCGAGGCAGGCAGATCACAAGGTCAGGAGTTTGGGACCAGCCTGGCCAACATGGTGAAACTCTGTCTCTACTAAAAATACAAAAAAAAAAAAAAAAAAAAATTAGCCAGGCGTGGTGGCAGGGACCTGTAATCCCAACTACTTGAGAGGCTGAGGCAGGAAAATTGCTTGGAGATTGCAGTGAGCCAAGACTGTGCCACTGCACTCCAGCCTGGGCAACAGAGCGAGACTCCATCTCAAAAAAAAAAAAAAAAAAAAAAAGAATTCTTGTAACTTTAATGAAAAGACTTACTTGTTTTTAAAACTCCTACTCACGAAGAACAAAAATTAATTGAATAACAAGAAAACACTTTGTCAGAACTTCATGCTAAATAAGCCAATACTGAAATTGTTTAGATATACAATTCAATGAATTCCATGTTCTAAGTCAAATTACCTATGAAAACCCATCTGTTATTAGTGCTATGAACCTAAATTGGAGAAACAACTGGTATTCAAGAGGGCATAAGTTCAATGTTAAGCATGGACTCATGGAGAACAGGACAGCTGCCTTGTCTTTCCTGAGTCCATCCATAAAACTTTCATTATTAAAATTTCTGCATTCCATGACTCATCATAGAAAAGATAAAATAATCCAAGTTAAATATATATTGGCGTGGTGAATTCTAAATTGCTAAAATAGTTTATGACCAATGTTTGTTTGTCAAACTCATATTCCTGGAAAGACAATCAAAGCTTCAGATACATTCCACTACCTGATAGGCCATTTCAACATTTATAAAGGGATTTCATTGAATTATCATTTTCAATGCATGTTTTCTGGTTGTATAAAAGCTGTCCCATGAAAAAGACCTGATGTTATAACAGTAGATTATTATGTCACACTGTATTTTCACCACATAAAAGAAAGCTTTTTATGATTCACTGACTGAGAATAATCAACACCCCTTCACAATCTGGAGCCTGAAGATTGGATCTTCTGAGAACATCAGAGAAAGACTGCCTTTAACATCCACACTGCAGCAAAGCACCACAAAGAAGGGTCCCTCCACAGTCTTGGAACTGTACACCCACTGGAACCCTTAAAGTAAAGCTAACCAGAGAAGTTTCTCCCAGAAGATGGCATACTTGATGTGAACACCTTTTCCCAAGATCACAGATCAAGACTTTTCTATCATGAGACTCTGAATATTTTTGCCCTTGCTAATGCCTCTATAAACAATAGACATGAAAAGGGGGATCTGTTGTGCACACTCATGGGGTATACTTTTATCTGTGAAAGATTTTGTAGCCAGTCTTATATATATATAAAAC
The DNA here is from genome assembly GCF_000001405.40 of Homo sapiens. Classification (NCBI taxonomy): domain Eukaryota; kingdom Metazoa; phylum Chordata; class Mammalia; order Primates; family Hominidae; genus Homo; species Homo sapiens. The sequence continues at coordinate 47,068,109 of NC_000008.11, forward strand.
CTTAAACCTTGGGAGCTTGTTTGGAGGTTCTAGCAGAGGACTGCAGCTAGTCATATACCCTTGACCAAAAAATGGTCCTCCTATGCAGCTTCAAAAGGGATGCACATGGAGTAGTGAGAGAGGAAGGGGACACCTGCCTAGCTAGCCAAATCAGCCAAATCAAACCTGGAGATCAATGAGGTAAGAGATGTCAGAGCCATATCGCCCTCACATCTGGATAACTTTATACCTTGATGGATGGAAGATGAAGGCCAAATGTGAGAAATTTTAATGGTACATATGTTGCCTCATAATCAGTTGGAAACAGACATTTATTCACTCCTCTTAACCTACATCATGGGTTAAAGAGAATATTGCCAGGAAGCCTTCACTCTTCTAGGAGGGCATCATTTGTTAGGTCCTATTTTTCCCATGGTTTAAAGTAAAAGAGGCAATGATTTCAAATGTATCTCTCATGATAGGTTCTATAGCACATTCTACTGTAAAGGCTAAAGTTACAAAACAGACTTTAAATTCCCTTGGGAAAGCTAAGCTAAATAATAGAATTGCTCTAGATGACTTACTGGCTAAACAGAGAAGTAACTGTGCAGCTGCTGGCACGTGTGGCCTATGAAGAAATACATCACAATAGGTATTATATTCAGCTGTCGGACATTAATGAAGAGACTGCTTACTTAAGTGAGCAAACTCTTTAGCCCATTCTTTGGATTTTAGGTGGTTTGGTTTATGAGGACCTTAAGTAACTAACTACTCCAAACTCTTGTTATTATCTTTCTGATACACTATAGTCTTCCTGGCACACTGTATTCTCCTTAAAATTTTAAATGCTTCCATGCAGCCAACTCTATAATGTCAAATGGTCTCTCTTCAACTGGAATGACAAGAGCTGAAAAAAGTGTGTGACCATGAGGACACTGTAACCTATAAGTAACATGTTGAGACCAGAAACCCAAAGTGATGGTAACTGAGAGTAGCACTAAGACCCTAAGTTTTGGCCACAGTGTCAATCACCTAAGTGAGAACCTGACCAAAATGGGGGAATTTTTAAACAAAATTATGAGAGGCTATTGTTTTAGACTGAGTTCATGCATTATGCCCCAACAGACCAGATTGAACCAAACCAAAATTGAGTCACTCATGCTAAATATGACATAATCAAACTAAAACTTTAAGGAAAAACACACATCCTAGAACAGACTAGGTTTTGTTTTTTGTTTTTGTTTTTTTTTCCTCCTATAAAAAGGATGTTCCAGCATAAGGAGGTACCCTCTACTCAAACCCTTACAAAAAAATCAAATAATCTGAAGTCCCTGTTTCCACCTTACAAAACCCACTGTTCTACTACTTCCCAATGGGTTTCAAGATCAAATAAGTACACACACAATAGTAATAGGAACATCAATGACTAAAATATGACCAATCTCTCAAAATTGAGAAGATGACCAAAAGAGGGAAACTGTTAAAGTTTAGCCTAAAGCTTCCTCCTTACAAATGTTAAGTTTGGCCTAAAGGTTAAGGTCAAAGGTTTCCCTGTACTTGAACTATAACAAGTAAAAGTATAAACAGACTACACCCTACATTTGTGCCAATCACTGAGATTAGGCCAATCAAATGTAGACAACTGTTCAAATCATGTTCAAATAAGGCAAACATTGAGCTGTAACCAATCCAGCTGTTTCTGTACCTAACTTCAATTTTCTGTATATCACTTTCCTTTTTCTGTCCATAAACATTCTTCCACCATGTGGCTGCACTGAGCCTGAGTCTACTCTGGCTCAGGAGGCAGACCAATTCGCAAATCATTCATTGCTCCAGTAAATTTTTAAGTTTAATTCAGCTGAAGTTTTTCTTTTAATTTCTATGTGATGAGCTAGCATAATTTTGGTTTTAGTTACACACTGTAGTAATTAGCTATGTGAAACACAATCATATTAAGACTTTTGTTATGCCACAAAGATTTTTGTGTGGTCTTTTTAGTAATTTATACTAAGATGGCTGATTTTAAAAGAGCTTTCTGTATTTATCTGTATAAGTTTCATAACTTGGAGCATTCTACCCATTAGACTTTGTCACTAAGTATCTTAATATCCCCCTCTCAGTAATTTTCTTTCAATTTTATGGAGAGTAGAAAATTCTTTATAGTTGGGATGGATGGAAAGAACCCAGGAGGCAGTTTCTCATTTTGTCAGCTGTTTAGGCATGGGCGCCTGTCCTTTATTTGAAGAAGCTAAACTAATTTTATCCCTCAAAACTGGTCCTTAAAGTCCCATATGCTCAACTTTTCTACAAGAGTACTTGCACGTTTGAGAAAAGGTGTTTATATAGTTTTAGCAATGGAACATTAGCAATAAAAATGGATTGGGCCCAGTGGGATTTATAATAGTTTTAAATTTTGGAGATAACACGTAGAGAAAGGTAATTTTTGTTGTTTTACCCAATTTTATAAGCTATATATAGAATTGACTTTTTTTTTTGACAGTTTCACTCTGTCACCCAGGCTGGAGTGAAGTGGGATGATCTCAGCTCCCTGGAACTTCCGCCTCCCAGGTTCAAGTAATCCTCCTACCTCTCATCCCAAAAGCTAGGACTACAGGCACATGCCACTACATCCAGCTAATTTTTGTATTTTTAGTAGAGACAGGATTTCACCACATTGACCAGGCTGGCCTCGAACTCCTACCTCAAGTAGTCTACCTGTCTTGGCCTCCCAAAGCTGGGATTACAGATGTGAGCCACCGTGTCTGGCCCAGAATTCAAAATATTTAAACACAAAGGACATAAGCCCTGCTAGCTCTGACAATGACAGAAAAAGAACTCACAGGTAGCTAAACATTTAAATTATCTAGTATTAAGGCATAGAACAAATTATATTAAGATAGAGAAAAAATAATTTAGTATTTATGTGTTTATATACAGGTCTAGCCCAGTATCACATGAAAGCATTTTTGTTTTTTGTTTTTTGTTTTGAGACAGGGTCTCACTTTGTTACCCAGGCTGGAGTGCCATGGCACCATCCCCACTCACTGCAGCCTCGACCTCCTGGGCTAAAGCAATCCTACTGCCTTGGCCCCCAAGTAGCTGGGACTACAGGTACATGCCAACAAACCAAATTACTTTGAACTATTTGCAGAGAAGGGGTATTGCCATATTGCCCACAGGCTGATTTTGAACTCCTGAGCTCAGGCGATCCACTTGCCTTGGTCTCCCAAAGAGGACTGCATCCTCTCCCTCTTACACTCCCAGAGGAAATGAAGAATTATCATCAATGGCAAATGGCAGTTGCAGAAAAGCAACACCAAAAGCTGCACACATACACCCTCCCAAGACTAAACCAGGAAGATGTCGAATCCCTGAATAGACCAATAACAAATTCTGAAATGGAGGCAGTAATAGCCTACCAACCAAAAAAAGCCCAGGACCAGACAGATTGACAGCTGAATTCTACCAGAGGTACAAAGAGGAGCTGGTATCATTCCTTCTGAAACTATTCCAAACAATAGAAAAAGAGGAACTCCTCCCTAACTCATTTTATGAGACCAGCATTATCCTGATACCAAAACCTGGCAGATACACAACAAAAAAAGAATTTCAGGCCAATATCCCTGATGAGCATCGATGTGAAAATCCTCAATGAAATACTGGCAAACCAAATCCAGCAATATATCAAAAAGCTTATCTACCACGATCAAGTTTGCTTCATCCCTGATATGCAAGGCTGGTCCAACATATGTAAATCAATAAATGTAATCCATCTTATAAACAGAACCAATGACAAAAACCACATGATTTTCTCAATAGATGCAAAAAAGGCCTTCAATAAAATTCAACATCCCTTCATGCTAAAAACTCTCAATAAACTAGGTATTGATGGAACCTATCTCAAAATAATAAAAGCTATTTATAACAAACCCACAGCCAATATCATACCGAATGGGCAAAAGCTAGAAGCATTCCCTTTGAAAACCGACACAAGAAAATGATGTCCTCTCTCACCACTCCTATTCAACATATTATTGGAAGTCCTGGCTACGACAATCAGGCAAGAGAAAGAAATAAAGAGTATTCAAATAGGAAAAGAGGATGTAAAATTGTCTCTGCAGATGACATGATTGTATATTTAGAAAAACCCATCATCTCAGCTCAGAATCTCCTTAAGCTGATAAGCAACTTTAACAAAGTCTCACGATACAAAATCAATGTGCAAAAATCACAAGCATTCCTATACACCAATAATAGATGAACAGAGAGCCAAATCATGAATGAACTCCCATTCACAATTGCTACAAAGAGAATAAAATACCTAGGATTACAACTTACAAATAGTGGGAAGGACCTCTTCAAGGAGAACTACAACCCACTGCTCAAGGAAATAAAAGGGGACACAAACAAACAGAAAAACATTTCATGTTCATGCATAAAAAGAATCAATATTGTGAAAATGGCAATACTGCCCAAAGTAATTTATATATTCAATGCAATCCCCATCAAGCTACTATTGACTTTCTTCACAGAATTACAAAAACCACTTTAAATTTCATATGAAACCAAAAAATATCCCATATAGCCAAGACAATCCTAAGCAAAAAGAACAAAGCTGGAGACATCACGCTACCTGATTTCAAACTACACTACAAGGCTACAGCAACAAAAACACCATGGTACTGGTACCAAAATAGATATATAGACCAATGGAACAGAACAGGGGCCTCAGAAATAATGCCAAACATCTACAAATCATCTGATCATTGAAAAACCTGACAAAAACAGGCAATGGGGAGAGGATTTCCTATTTAATAAATAGTGCTGGGGAAACTGGCTAGCCATATGCAGAAAACTGAAACTGGATCCCTTCCTTACACCTTATACAAAAATTAACTCAAGATGGACTAAAGACTTAATAAGACCTAAAACCATAAAAACCCTAGAAGAAAACCTAGGCAATACCATTCAGGACACAGGCATGGGCAAAGACTTCATGACTAAAACACCAAAAGCAATGGCAACAAAAGCCAAAATTTACAAATGGGCTCAACTAAAAAGCTGCCACAAAGCAAAAGAAACTATCAGACTGAACAGGCAACCTACAGAATGGGAGAAAAATTTTGCAATTTATCCATCTGATAAAGTGCTAATATCCAGAATCTATAAAGAACTTAAACAAATTTACAATAAAAAAAAAAACCATCAATAAGTGGGTGAAGGATATGAACAGACACTTCTCAAAAGAAGACATTTATGCAGCCAACAAATATATGAAAAAAAGCTCATCATCACTGGTCATTAGAGAAATGCAAATCAAAATCACAATGAGATACCATCTCACGTCAGTTAGAATGGTTATCATTAAAAAGTCAGAAAACAACATATGCTGGAGAGGATGTGGATAAACAGAAATGCTTTTATACTGTTGGTGGGAGTGTAAATTAGTTCAACCACTGTGGAAGACAGTGTGGCGACTCCTCAAGGATCTAGAACCAGAAATACCATTTGACCCAGCAATCCCATTACTGGGTGTGTACCCAAAAAATTATAAATAATTCTACTATAAACACACATGTACATGTATGTTTATTGCAGCACTGTTCACAATAGCAAAGACTTGGAACCAACCCAAATGCCCATCAATGATAGACTATATAAAGAAAATGTGACACACACACACCATGGAATACTATGCAGCCATAAAAAAGGATGAGTTCATGTCCTTTGCAGGGACATGGATGAAGCTGGAAACCATCATTCTCTGCAAACTAATACAGGAACAAAAAACCAAACACTGCATGTTCTCACTCATAAGTGGGAGCTGAACAATGAGAACACATGGACTTAGGGAGGGCAACATCGCAAACCAGGGCATCTCGAGGGGTGGGGGGTTAGAGGAGGGATAGCATTAGGAGAAATACCTAATGTAGATGACAGGTTGATGGGTGCAGCAAACCACCATGGCATTTGTATACCTATGTAACAAACCTGCAGGTTCTGCACATGTATCCCAGAACTTACAGTATAATAATAAAAAAACAAAGTCCAATTTTTTAGAAAGGTTATTATGAATAATTTCCTTTCCATTCTAGCCAACAGAATTGCATACACAATTTTAAAATAAATTCTTTTTTTAATGAAGCTTATTACACAGACCAATTATAACACACTTGGACTTTCTGTTTTGTCCTAAACATACTCTTTCTTAAATAACCAGCCATTTCATTTTAGGATAAAAATCTATCATACAAGATTCTTTTTCTTTTTCTTCTCTTTTTTTTTTATTATACTTTAAGTTTTAGAGTACATGTGCACATTGTGCAGGTTAGTTACATATGTATACATGTGCCATGCTGGTGTGCTGCACCCACTAACTCATCATCTAGCATTACGTATATCTCCCAATGCTATCCCTCCCCCCTCCCCCCACCCCACCACAGTCCCCACAGTGTGATATTCCCCTTCCTGTGTCCATGTGATCTCATTGTTCAATTCCCACCTATGAGTGAGAATATGCGGTGTTTGGTTTTTTGTTCTTGCGACAGTTTACTGAGAATGAAAATTATTTTCCTTTTAATCTTTGTTAACAAAAATACCTCTTTATAACTTAACTTTCTTTAAATCTCTCTCTTAATGGTTTCCTTTATCTTGTTATATAAGAAATCTTTTAATAAACTTTGAATTGGACAATTACTTTCATTTTATTTCTTATCATTTCTTAATTTCATTTTTTCCTACAATTTTTCTTGTTTCATTGGAATACTTCTTATTTTGGCACACTTTATATGTAAAATCACAAATTAATTAAAATTTTGATTTTTTGTAATAATTTTTTGTGAAAACCTAGGAAGCAGGAAATCTTTAATTGTCACATCAGCACTTTATAAGGGTGTATAATCTTTTTTTTTTTTTTTCTTGAGACGGAGGTTTGCTTTGTCCCCAGGCAGGGGTGCAATGGCACAATCTTGGATCACTGCAACCTCTGCCTCCTGGGTTCAAGCAATTCTCCTGCCTTAGCCTCCTGAGTAGCTGGGAATACAGGCATGTACCACCACTCCCAGCTAATTTTTATATTTTTAGTAGAGATGGGATTTCACCATATTTGTAAGGTTGGTCTCAAATTCCTGACCTCATGATCTGCCTCCCAAAGTTCTGGGATCACATATGTGAGCCACCATGCCTGGACAGTGAGAAACATCTTATAATTATTTTGAAAATGTTTTTAATGATGTAATTTAACAATTGATAATGACCCAGACATTTAATATCTATTATTTGATACAACATTAAGATTTAACTTATATGACATGTTCATTTATAAGCTTTCATTCTATTACATTTACCTAATTTCTTATTAATAGGTTTCTCTTACTGATAACTCTGGATTGAGTTGTTTCCATTAAATCAACAATATTAAATGTCTTGGGGTGGAGCCAAGATGGCCAAATAAGAACAGCTCCAGTCTACAACTCCCAGCATGAGCGACGCAGAAGACGGGTGATTTCTGCATTTCCAACTGAGGTACTGGGTTCATCTTACTGGGAAGTGTTGGACAGTGGGTGCAGGACAGTGGATGCAGTGCACCGAGCATGAGCCAAAGCAGGGTGAGGCATCGCTACACCCAGGAAGCGCAAGGGGTCAGGGAATTCCCTTTCCTAGCCAAGCAAAGCTGTGACAGACGGTACCTAGAAAATCGGGTCACTCCCAGCTCAATACTGCATTTTCCAATAGTCTTAACAAACGGCACACCAGGAGATTATATCCCGCTCCTGGCTCAGAGGGTCCTACGCCCACAGAGCCTCGCTCATTGCTAGCACAACAGACTGAGATCAAACTGCAAGGCGGCAGCAAGTCTGGGGGAGGGGCACCTGCCATTGCTGAGGCTTGAGTAGGTAAACAAAGCAGCCAGGAAGCTTGAACTGGGTGGAGCCCACTGCAGCTCAAGGAGGCCTGACTGCCTCTGTAGACTCCACCTCTGGGGGCAGGGCATAGAGAAACAAAAGGCAGCAGAAACCTCTGCAGACTTAAATGTTCCTGTGTGACAGCTTTGAAGAGCATAGTGGTTCTCCCAACACCCAGCTTGAGATCTGAGAATGGACAGACTGCCTCCTCAACTGGGTCCCTGACCCCCGAGAAGCCTAACTGGGAGTCACCCCCAGTAGAGGCACACTGACACCTCACACGGCCGGGTACTCCTCTGAGACAAAGCTTCCAGAGGAACGATCAGGCAGCAGCATTTGTGGTTCACCAATATCTGCTGTTCTGCAGCCGCTGCTGCTGATACCCAGGCAAACAGGGTCTGGAGTGGACCTCCAGCAAACTCCAACAGACCTGCAGCTGAGGGTCCTGACTGTTAGAAGGAAAACTGACAAACAGAAAGGACATCCACACCAAAACCCCATCTGTATGTCACCATCATCGAAGACCAAAGGTAGATAAAACCACAAAGATGGGGAAAAAACAGAGCAGAAAAACTGGAAACTCTAAAAATCAGAGCACCTCTCCTCCTCCAAAGGAACGCAGCTCCTCACCAGCAATGGAACAAAGCTGGATGGAGAATGACTTTGATGAGTCAAGAGAAGAAGGCTTGAGACAATCAAATTACACCGAGCTAAAGGAGGAAGTTCGAACCTATGACTAAGAACCTAAAAACCCTGAAAAAAAAATTAGATGAACGGCTAACTAGAATAACCCATGCAGAGAAGTCCTTAAAGGACCAGATGGAGCTAAAACCCATGGCACGAGAACTACATGACGAATCCACAAGCCTCAGTAGCTGATTCGATCAACTGGAAGAAAGGGTATCAGTGATGGAAGATCAAATGAATGAAATGAAGGGAGAAGAGAAGTTTAGAGAAAAAAGAATAAAAAGAAATGAGCAAAGCCTCCAAGAAATATGAGACTATGTGAAAAGACCAAATCTACGTCTCATTGGTGTACCTGAAAGTGACGGGGAGAATGGAACCAGACTGGAAAATACTCTGCAGCATATTATCCAGGAGAACTTCCCCAATCTAGCAAGGCAGACCAACATTCAAATTTAGGAAATACAGACAACGCCACAAAGATACTCCTTGAGAAGAGCAACTCCAAGACACATAATTGTCAGATTCACCAAAGTTGAAATGAAGGAAAAAATGTTAAGGGCAGCCACAGAGAAATGTCGGGGCACCCACAAAAGGAAGCCCATCAGTCTAACAGCGGATCTCTCGGCAAAAACTCTATAAGCCAGAAGAGAGTGGGGGCCAATATTCAACATTCTTAAAGAAACGATTTTTCAACCCAGAATTTCATATCCAGCCAAACTAAGCTTCATAAGTGAAGGAAAAATAAAATCCTTTACAGACCAGCAAAAGCTGAGAGATTTTGTCACCATCAGGCCTGCCCTACAAGAGCTCCTGAAGGAAGCACTAAACATGGAAAGGAACAAATGATGCCAGCCACTGCAAAAACATGCCAAATAGTAAAGACCATCGAGGCTAGGAAGAAACTGCATCAACTAACGAGCAAAATAACCAGCTAACGTCAAAATGACAGGATCAAATGCACACATAACAATATTAACCTTAAATGTAAATGGGCTAAATCCTCCAATTAAAAGACACAAGACTGGCAAATTGGATAAAGAGTCAAGACCCATCAGTGTGCTGTATTCAGGAAACCCATCTCACATGCAGAGACACACATAGGCTCAAAATAAAGGGATGCAGGAAGATCTACCAAGCAAATGGAAAACAAAAAAGGCAGGGGTTGCAATCCTAGTTTCTGATAAAACAGACTTTAAGCCAACAAAGATCAAAAGAGACAAAGAAGGTCATTACATAATGGTAAAGGGATCAATCCAACAAGAAGAGCTAACTATCCTAAATATATATGCACCCAACACAGGAGCACCCAGATTCATAAAGCAAGTCCTTAGAGACCCAGAAAGAGACTTACCCTCCCACAAAATAATAATGGGAGACTTTAACACCCCACTGTCAACATTAGACAGATCAACGAGACAGAAAGTTAACAAGGATATCCAGGAATTGAACTCAGCTCTGCACCAAGCAGACCTAATAGACATCCACAGAACTCTCCACCATAAATCAACAGAATATACATTCTTTTCAGCACCAAAACACACCTATTCCAAAATTGACCACATAGTTGGAAGTAAAGCACTCCCCAGCGAATGTAAAAGAACAGAAATTATAACAAACTGTCTCTCAGACCACACTGCAATCAAACTAGAACTCAGAATTAAGAATCTCACTCAAAACCGCTCAACTACATGGAAACTGAACAACCTGCTCCTGAATGACTACTGGGTACATAACGAAATGAAGGCAGAAATAAAGATGTTCTTTGAAACCAATGAAAACAAAGACACAACATACCAGAATCTCTGGGACGCATTCAAAGCAGTGTGTAAAGGGAAATTGATAGCACTAAATGCCCACAAGAGAAAGCAGGAAAGATCTAAAATTGACACACTAACATCACAATTAAAAGAACTAGAAAAGCAAGAGCAAACACATTCAAAAGCTAGCAGAAGGCAAGAAATAGCAAAGATCAGAGCAAAACTGAAGGAAATAGAGACACGAAAAGCCCTTCAAAACATCAATGAATCCAGGAGCTGGTTTTTTGAAAAGATCAACAAAATTGATAGACTGCTAGCAGACTAATAAAGAAGAAAAGAGAGAAGAATCAAATAGATGCAATTAAAAATTACAAAGGAGTTATCACCACCGATCCCACAGAAATACAAACTACCATCAGAGAATACTGTAAACACCTCTACACAAATAAACTAGAAAATCTAGAAGAAATGGATAAATTCCTCGACACATACACTCTCCCAAGACTAAACCAGGAAGAAGTTGAATCTCTGAATAGACCAATAACAGGCTCTGAAATTGAGGCAATAATTGATAGCTTACCAAACAAAAAAAGTCCAGCACCAGATAGATTCACAGCCAAATTCTACCACAGGTACAAGGAGGAGCTGGTACCATTCCTTCTGAAACTATTCAAATCAATAGAAACAGAGGGAATCCTCCCTAACTCATTTTATGAGGCCAGCATCATCCTGATACCAAAGCCTGGCAGAGACACAACAAAAAAAGAGAATTTCAGACCAATATCCTTGATGAACATTGATGCAAAAATCCTCAATAAAATACTGGCAAACCGAATGCAGCAGCACGTCAAAAAGCTTATCCACCATGATCAAGTGGGCTTCATCCCTGGGATGCAAGGCTGGTTCAACATATGCAAATCAATAAATGTAATCCAGCATATAAACAGAACCAAAGACAAAAACCACATGATTATCTCAATAGATGCAGAAAAGGGCTTTGACAAAATTCAACAACCTTCATGCTAAGAACTCTCAATAAATTAGGTATTGATGGGACGTATCTCAAAATAATAAGAACTATCTATGACAAACCCACAGCCAATATCATACTGAATTGGCAAAAACTGGAAGCATTCCCTTTGAAAACTGGCACAAGACAGGGATGCCCTCTCTCACCACTCCTATTCAACATAGTGTTGGAAGTTCTGGCCAGGGCAATCAGGCAGGAGAAGGAAATAAAGGGCAATCAACTAGGAAAAAGGAAGTCAAATTGACCCTGTTTGCAGATGACATGATTGTGTATCTAGAAAACCCCATCATCTCAGCCCAAAGTCTCCTCAAGCTGATAAGCAACTTCAGCAAAGTCTCAGGATACAAAATCAATGTACAAAAATCACAAGCATTCTTATACACCAACAACAAACAGAGAGCCAAATCATGAGTGAACTCCCATTCACAATTGCTTCAAAGAGAATAAAATACCTAGGAATCCAACTTACAAGGGATGTGAAGGACCTCTTCAAGGAGAACTACAAATCACTGCTCAATGAAATAAAAGAGGATACAAACAAATGGAAGAACATTTCATGCTCATGGGTAGGAAGAATCAATATCGTGAAAATGGCCATACTGCCCAACGTAATTTATAGATTCAATGCCATCCCCATCAAGCTACCAATGACTTTCTTCACAGAATTGGAAAAAACTAAAGTTCATATGTAACCAAAAAAGAGCCCACATTGCCAAGTCAATCCTAAGCCGAAAGAACAAAGCTGGAGGCATCATGCTACCTGACTTCAAACTATACTACAAGACTACAGTAACCAAAACAGCATGGTACTGGTACCAAAACAGAGATATAGATCAATGGAACAGAACAGAGCCCTCAGAAATAATGCTGCATATCTACAACTATCTGATCTTTGACAAACCTGAGAAAAACAAGCAATCGGGAAAGGATTCCCTATTTAATAAATGGTGCTGGGAAAACTGGCTAGCCATATGTAGAAAGCTGAACCTGGATCCCTCCCTTACACCTTATACAAAAATTAATTCAGGAAACAACAGGTGCTGGAGAGGATGTGGAGAAATAGGAACACTTTTACACTGTTGGTGGGACTGTAAACTAGTTCAACCATTGTGGAAGTCAGTGTGGTGATTCCTCAGGGATCTAGTACTAGAAACACCATTTGACCCAGCCATCCCATTACTGGGTATATACCCAAAGGACTATAAATCATGCTGCTATAAAGACACATGCACACATATGTTTATAGTGGCACTATTCACAATAGCAAAGACTTGAAACCAACCCAAATGTCCAACAATGATAGACTGGATTAAGAAAATGTGGCACATATTCACCATGGAATACTATGCAGCCATAAAAAATGATGAGTTCATGTCCTTTGTGGGGACATAGATGAAACTGGAAACCATCATTCTCAGCAAACTATCGCAAGGACAAAAAAACCAAACAACGCATTATCTCACTCATGGGTGGGAATTGAACAATGAGAACACATGGACACAGGAAGGGGAACATCACACACCAGGAACTGTTGTGGGGTAGGGGTAGGGGGTAGGGATAGCATTAGGAGATATACCTAATGCTAAATGACGAGTTAATGGGTGCAGCACACCAACATGGCACATGTACACATATGTAAGAAACCTGCACGTTGTGCACATGTACCCTAAAACTTAAAGTATAATAATAATAAAATTTAAAACAAAAAGTTAAAAAAAAAGAGTCAGGAAACAATAGGTGCTGGAGAGGATGTGGAGAATAAGGAGAACTTTTACACTGTTGGTGGGACTGTAAATTAGCTCAACCATTGTGGAAGTCAGTGTGGCAATTCCTCAGGGATCTAGAACTAGAAATACCATTTGACCCAGCCATCCCATTACTGGGTATATACCCAAAGGATTATAAATCATGCTGCTGCTATAAAGACACATGCACATGTATGTTTACTGTGGCACTATTCACAATAGCAAAGACTTGGCACCAACCCAAATGTCCAACAATGATAGACTGGATTAAGAAAATGTGGCACATATACACCATGGAATACTATGCAGCCATAAAAAAGGATGAGTTCATGTCCTTTGTAGGGACATGGATGAAGCTGGAAACCATCATTCTCAGCAAACTATCGCAAGGACAAAAAAACAAACAGCACATGTTCTCACTCATAGGTGAGAATTGAACAATGAGAACACATGGACACAGGAAGGGAACATCACAAACCAGGGCCTGTTGTGGGGTGGGGGGAGGGGGGAGGGATAGCATTAGGAGATATACCTAATGTTAAGTGATAAGTTAATGGGTGCAGCACACCAACATGGCACATGTATACATATGTAAGTAACCTGCACATTGTGCACATGTACCCTAAAACTTAAAGTATAATAAAAAATATATTAAATGCCTTATTTATCAAAAATTACATGAACAAAAATCCTTGTTTTCTGCTGGGTTTATAATTTATAACCTTTGTGCCAAATTTTGACATCTTATAGTTGCTGAGATGAATACAAAACCACTTGACAAGAAAATTTAAAAAAAGAAAAACGAAAAAAACTACTTGACCAATACATCTAAACCACAATGTATGCTGACAATTGTGAAGACATTTTGAATTTTCTTTTTACCAATGAATTTAAAGACAGCTTATAGGCTAAAATTCTACTTAAGTCACATGAACTTGAAAAAGTACTTGGGTATAAGTTTCTAATCTTCTGATAAAATATTTAAGAACTTTTTAAAAGCCAATTAGAGCCCTTTTATATATTTTTGGTACTCAATCATTATATACATTTGTCATATAAACATTTAGACATATAGACACACAGAAGTAGATCTTAGGGATTCATAAGATTTTTCATTTACTGGCTTTAGGGTGGAGCTTTTTAAGAAACAGGGCCAAGGAATCATGCAGTTTCTAGGGCCTAACATGCAGGCAGAGCTGTAAGGCAGAACAGATATCTAAAAATCAAGGACTACATTTTTACAGAAAATCCTCAGGACCTCAAAAGAGGAAAACATTATGAGATGAGACAATGCCATGTTTTTACCATGCATTTCACTACAAGTACATTTCCCCTGAGGTTGGTGGCCAACAAAAGCCAATTAGCCCATTCAATAATCAGCTCATATCCCATGGCAGTATCACTATTCAGTAGGGGGTTGGGATGTTTCCATACCTTCCAGGTGGCCAAAAGCATACTATCTCTTCCAATAAGCTGCCCTAAAAAATATATCTCTTACCTAGCTATTACACACACCAAAGTCAAAAACTTTCCCATTGTGCAAAGTGATTTTTGACACCCTCAAAAGCCATTACGATCCAGCAATGCAATTTAAAAAGTGAGCAGTTTAATATCTGCAAAAAACTTGTCTGTTTACAACTCATGGGATTTGATAAACAAAAATAGTGGTTCCTCCCAAAAAGAAGTCTGGTGCCTTCTTTTGTAAGCAATCAGGCTATCAGAAATTATTTTAGATCTTTTATGTGGGCATCAAGGGTGGCAAGAGAAAAAAGGGACAGACATAAGTAAAATGGAGAGTTATAATTCAGTTGAATGAGAAGAAAAACAAATATTTTTCAAAAAACAAGATCCACAGAAAGGCCTTTTAGATACACACACACACAAATATATGTATATGTAATAGAAAAATAATGATATATAAACACATATTTCTAACATACATATGTGTATTTGTTTATATATAAATATATGTATATATTTAGAACATATATGTAATTATGTTTAAATATAATTATATACATATTAGAAATTTGCTTTTAATTAAGTTGACTTCTAATCAAGGAGTTCTTAAAAAAAATCCTTTTAAATATTTTACTACCATATCATAGCTAGGACAAACTGCTGGTATTTTTAAAGTAACACAAATACCAAACCAGAAAGAACTAGACTTAGGAACCAAACTGAGGTTGCTGTGGTGAACAGGGCAGAATCTTAGCATTGGGTGGCCACCACTGCTCTTTCAGTTTGGCCTTGGCTAGCAAAAGATGGCCTTGTTACATAGATGAAACCTCATAGGTTAAAAAAAAAAAAAGTTTTAAAAAGTCCTTTCTGCTAACTGGATTTTTTTTTCTTTTTGCAGCTACCGGAGTTTTAGCCAATTCAGATGCTTTGTTCCCCACAATTTGGAACATTCCTTTGGATGTGACCAAGTCAGGAAAAGATGGTCATACTTCATGGGAGAAATGTGAAACAACAAAACCCCAAACATAAACAAAAACAGTTTAGCAAAACAAACAAATTCATATGAATACCAAGTGTTCTAACAGTAAGGAGAAATTAAAACCAGCTGGTTGGTAATCTTAACTTTTAGTCATTAAGGAACATTTTTAAGACAAAACTCTAATTCAGCTACTTACCTGGAAATAAAGCTCAGGCTGATGATCGCTCTCTACCATCATAGAGAGGCAGGAAAAAACTCACACTCACCTTCTCTGTCAGAAGCAAGTTGAAACTCAAGAAAGAAGGTGCCTGCTCTCCATCGTCATGGAAGCAGGAAAACTTGCCTTCCTTGTTGGAAATGAGTAAAACTTCAGAAAAGGAGTTGTACAGCAAAATAACTTCAAATAGCAACCAAATTTTGGGAGATCAGGGACTCTCTGGAGGGGAGAAGCTCCCCAAGCTCCACAAATTAGCCTATTGGCTTGAGAAATAAAGATAACCCAGGTTGGTATCAAGCAAAAATAAAAGATTTATCAAAGGTCAGGGCCATCTTTGTAATGTCCTTCTCTGCCTTTTTTTTAATCTTTATTGGTATAAAGTTTGTTTTGTCAGGATAGGATTGCAACACCTGCTTTCTCCTGTTTTCCATTTGCTTGAAAGATTTTTCTCCATTCCTTTATTTTGAGCCTATGTGTGGCATCGCATGTGTGATGGGTCTCTTGAAAACAGAATACTCAAATGGGTCTTGGTTCTTTATCCAGCTTGCCCCTCTGTCTTTCATTTGGAGCATTTAGCCCATTTACATTTAAGGTTAGTAATGATATGTGTGGATTTCATCCTGTCATCATGCTGTTGGCTGCTTATTCTGCAGACTTGTCTGTGGTTTTTAGCATCACTGGTCTGTGTACTTCAGTGCGTTTTTGTAGTGGCTGGTGATAGTCTTTTCTTTCTGTAGTTAGTGCTTCCTTCAGGAGCTGTTTTAAGGCAGGTCTGGTGGTAATGAATTCCCTCAGCATTTGCTTCTCTGAAAAGGATCCTATTTCTTCATTTATGAAGCTTAGTTTGGCTGGACATGAAATTCTGGGTTGAAACTTCTTTTAATAAGTTCAATATTGGGCCCTACAATCTCTTCTGGCTTGTAGGGTTTGAGCTGAGAAGTCTGCTGTAAGTCTGTTGGGATTCCCTTTGTAGGTGACCTCACCTTTCTCCCTAGCTGCTTTTAACATTTTTTTCTTTCATTTTGACCCTGGAGAATCTGATGATTAAGTGTCTTGGGGATGATCTTCTCATGGCATATCTTACTGGGGTTCTCTGGATTTCCTGAATTTGAATGTTGGCCTGTCTGGCTGGGTTGGGAATATTCTCATGAATGATATTCTGAAATATTTTTCCAAGTTGGTTCCATTCTCATCTTTCAGATATATTAATCAGTAATAGATTTGGTCTCTTTACATAATCCCATATTTCTCAAAGATTTTGTTCATTCCTTTTCATTCTTTTTTCCCCCATTCTTGTCTGCATGTTTTATTTCAAAAAGCCAGTTTTCAAGCTCTGAGATTCTTTTTTCTTCTTGTTCTATTCTGCTAGTTGGTCTTGCACATGAGATGGGGCTGGTCTGACCTCAGCACTCCTTAGTCTGCTTGCCTCTCCCAGGGCCCCAGCCTGGCCACACCTGCTTACAGGGCACTCTTGGGTGCCCACACACACTAAAAGAATTTTCATAATGCAATCACACACAATCACCATGTGACTGCGTTATCAAAATTCTTGTAGTTTGCTTTTCAGCTCTATCAGGTTGGTTATGTTCTTCTTTATACTGGCTATTTTGTCTGTTAGCTCCTGCAATGTTTTACAATGATTTTTAGCTCCCTTGCATTGGATTACAACATACTTCTTTCACTCAGTGAACTTTGTTCCTACCCATATTCTGAATTCTACTTGTATCATTTCAGACATCTCAGCCTTAGCCCAGTTCTGAACACTTGCTGGAGAGTTGACACAGTCATTTGGAGGAAAGAAGGCATGCTGACTTTTTGAGTTTTCAGTGTTCTTGCACAGATTCTTTCTCATCATTATGGGCTTACCACACCTTCAACTTTTGAGGTTGCTGACCTTTGGACAGGGTATTTTTTTTTATCATATTTGATGACTTTGAGAGTTTGATTGTGGTGTAAGGTGGATTCAGCCAACTGGCTTTGTTTCTGGAGGATTTTAGGGGGCCAACACTCAGCTCCCAATTCCTGGACTGTGTGCTTTAACATGGGGAACTTGTATTGGGCCCCAACTTTGTTCCCTGCCTCCTCCAGGTTTGAAGTCCCCACTGTACTGGGGGACCAAAGCGCAGCAGCTGCAGCAGAGTGCTAACAGATGCAAAAGTGCCTGCCTCCCTGCAGGCATTCACCCAGTAGTGGAAGCAAGACAGCTGGGGTGGGGGGGCCAGGGGGGCCCTGCTGACTGTGTGTGCTGTTGCACTGGAGGAGGTATTGGTTTGGGGTGGGGTGCTGGCAAGTGCAGGTCTGGGTGCCTTCTCTGTGCCCACCAAGCAACAGCAGTTGCTTAGGGTATAAGAGGGTCCCCTTTTCTCTGTACAGCATTAGCTCAAGGGCAAGGTGCTGGCAGGGTGGGCATTTTTGGCTCTGTGCCCACCATAGCTCCATCGTCAATAGCAGTTGACATGTGTTGGGGTGTGTGGCTGCACTCCCGTGTGCTGGTAGGGCAAGTACAGCAAAACCCACCTGTGTAGACACACACCAGCAAAGTGATATAGGAAGTTTCCATATAAAGAAGAGCTGCAGTATGGAGAGGCAATGTGCAGGCTGGTGCATGCCTGTAGGGGCCACATTGCTGAGCTCTCCACTGGTCAAGCACAGTCCACTGGCACAGAAGCTATGGTGTGGGCACCCAAGAGTGCCCTGTAAGCAAGTGTGGCCAGGCTGGGGCCCTGGGAGAGGCAAGCAGACTAAGGATTGCTCAGGTCAGACCTGCCCCATCTCATGTACAAGACTGCCCAGCAGATATCAGGTCTGAGAGGAGAACTCTCTCAAAAGTAAAGACCCAGCACAGCAAAGCTGCTCTACGGAAATGTGGCCAGACTTCTTTTTTAAGCAAGTCCCCTTTATTAAGAAGCGAACTCTCAGACCTGATCTCTGCTGGGCAATCTTAACACGTGAGATGTGGTTGGTCTGACCTCAGCACTCCTAAAGTGCTGGGGTAAAGTGTCTCAGAAGAGCAAGTGGAGCTTAGATAGCTGTCCCTGACCTCCAGGCTCCACATGAGCTGGCTTGCTGCTCCACCACTTTGCTTGCCTCCTGGTGGCTCTACCCCAGAGAGATGTGAGTTAGCAATTACTAAGTGCAATCAGCCAGGTTGGAGGGTCTGTGCCGCGGGCCAAGCCAGGGTTCGCTGTCTGGTAATGAGCAGTGGAGGGTGTGTGGGACCCGTGGAAGATGGGCTGACATGCTCCTTGAGCCAACTTCAGCTTATGGGAGGTGTCGATACAGCACTTAAAGTCTTTGCTTCCTTGATATTCTGAGGGTAGCAAGGACAGTTCCACTTCAGAGGCAGTGGCAGAGAGGATTTCAGTTGCTCCTGGAAGCACTGTCCAGGGAACTGCCAAGTTGCTACTGGCTTGATAGCTTCGGTCGGGGGTTGTCTAGAGACTCAGGCCAGGAGGACCTGCCCATCAAGGAGATATGGAAACTGGCACCCACGTAACTGTCTGGCCACTTTTCCATAGGGCTGCTGTGGCATGCTGGGAGTCCACTTCAGTCCCTAGCTGCCTCAGATTTTCCAGTGCCTGATGCTATCACCAGTGAAGCCTGCGAAAAGGCAAAGACGACAGCCTGCCCCTTCCTCTGGGAGTTCTGTACCACTGAGGTACGAACCTGTTGCCAATTTGAACACACCTATAGGAGGTGGCTGGAGGCAAGTTGAGAAGTCTTGCCTAGACAGGAGGAACAAGAACAGGGACTTGCTTAAAAAAGAGGTCTGCTCAACTGACAAAGGGCTAATCCAGAATCTACAATGAACTCAAACAAATTTACAAGAAAAAAACAAACAATCCCATCAAAAAGTGAGCAAAGGACATGAACAGAAACTTCTCAAAAGAAGACATTTATGCAGCCAAAAAACACATGAAAAAATGCTCACCATCACTGGCCATCAGAGAAATGCAAATCAAAACCACAATGAGATACCATCTCACACCAGTTAGAAAGGCGATCATTAAAAAGTCAGGAAACAACAGGTGCTGGAGAGGATGTGGAGAAATAGGAACACTTTTACACTGTTGGTGGGACTGTAAACTGGTTCAACCATTGTGGAAGTCAGTGTGGCAATTCCTCAGGGATCTAGAACTAGAAATACCATTTGACCCAGCCATCCCATTGCTGGGTATATACCCAAATGACTATAAATCATGCTGCTATAAAGAAACATGCACATGTATGTTTATTGTGGCATTATTCACAATAGCAAAGACTTGGAACCAACCCAAATGTCCAACAATGATAGACTGGATTAAGAAAATGTGGCACATATACACCATGGAATACTATGCAGCCATAAAAATGATGAGTTCATGTCCTTTGTAGGGACATGGATGAAACTGGAAATCATCATTCTCAGTAAACTATCGCAAGAACAAGAAACCAAACACCGCATATTCTCACTCATAGGTGGGAATTGAACAATGAGACCACATGGACACAGGAAGGGGAACATCACACTCTGGGGACTGTTGTGGGGTGGGGGGAGGGGGGAGGGATAGCATTGGGAGATATACCCAATGCTAGATGACGAGTTAGTGGGTGCAGCGCACCAGCATGGTACATGTATACATATGTAACTAACCTGCATATTGTGCACATGCTCCCTAAAACTTAAAGTATAATAATAATAATAAATAATTTAAAAAAAAAAGGTCTGGCCACATTTTTGCAGAGCAGCTGTGCTGTGCTGGGGGTTTACTTCAGCCCCTGGTCGCCTCAGACACTCTGAAGCCCTAAGGCTGAAATGGCTAAGTCACCCAAACAGCAAAGATGACAGTCTGGTCCTCCCGCTGGGAGCTCTGACCCAGGGGGCCTGAAACCTCTGTCAGCCAGAGAACAGCAGTGAAGGTAGCCAGAGACCCTGGTTGAAAGGCTCCACCCAGTGATGAGAAACGTGGTCAGGGACTGACTTAAAAAAGAGGCTGGCTATGTTTTCGTAGGGTGGCTGTGCTGTGCTGGGGTACTACTTCCACCCGGGTCAGCTTGGGCTCTCCAAAGCCTGAAGGCCAGAACGGCTAGTCCCCCAAACTTCAAAGGTGGTGGCTGCCCCTCTCCTCTGGTAACTCTGTCCTAGTGGGGGTTTCAAATCTCTGTTGGCTGGAGAATACTGGTGGGGGTAGCTGGAGGACCCAGTTGGGAGGTCCTGTCCAGTGAGGAGGAACAGCATCAGGGGCCTGCTTACAGAAGCAATCTGGCCATGATTTGGTAAAGCAGCTGTGCTGTGCTGCGGGATCTCTTCTGCCCCTGGTCAGTTTGTACTCTCCAAAGCCAGCAGGCTGGAATGGCTAAGTTGCCCAAACAGGAAAGATGGTAGCCTGCCCCATCTTTTCTCTCAGAGTTTATCTTGTGTGATGGGGCTTAATTTTTAGGGTGTTAATTTTACTGTCAGCATTAGAGAGTTGTTCAGAAAGAATCTCACTGTTATCTTTTAGGTTAGACATATGAAAATTCACTGTCTCCTATAAATAAACCCATTCATGTCTTGTTCTCTGGAAAGACTCTCTTTCTGCTATCTGACTTTGGTCACAATCATGTAAAGCAGCAACCAGTCTATCATGAAATGATTGAATTTCTGTTTCCAGTCATTCCTTGTTGTGTTTTACATTCTTCAGTTCAGAACTGAGCATTTTATTCTCAGTTGTCAAAATGCTAAGCTGTCCATTGTACTGAAATACTGTTTTTGCTAATGCTTCCTCATTCAATGTTATAGCCTTTAGAAGATTATCATGCTCTTCTTTCACACTTTCAATGTCCTCAAAATATTTCTTTTCCTTTATCTCATTCTGATGTTTTATTGTATCCAGTTCCAGTCTTAGCATGGCAATTTCTTCCTGCAACATGCTATTTTCATGCAAGAGACCTTTTTCTTTCTTATGGCTAAGAGAAATCTAAGTAAACAAAGGAAACTTTTAGTTAGTACTCAATAGAATGGCATGTTATAATTTCTTCTGAAATTAAAGAGTAACCTGTATATTTGTATAATGAAAGAATTCCCACAGTGAATATTTAACTGGAAAAAACGTTGGACAAAACTTCAAACCTAAGAGAGTGTAAATTCCCAAAAGTTTAAATATCTATTTAAAGACCATGAAAAATAAATCACTAGAGGATTTTTAAGAATCTCAGAATTGGAAAAGCCTTTCTCTGAATTACAAAAAAACCCAGAGGCATAAAATATAAGATTAATACATTTGACTATATTTTTAAAATTGGGTATACCCTCTTGATAACCACCTATAATCTATAAACCACACCACTGTAAGAGCCTTAGCTATGCATATATTTGGATAGATGCAATTTCTCAAAGTTCTTTAATTTCCTTTTTGTGAATCAGCTGACTTTTCTGAATAAATTTTCTGAATGAATTTTTTCTGAATAAACTTTCTGTATAAACTTTTTCTGAACAAACCTTCCTTTTATGAATAAACTGACTTCTCCATTAATATGTTAAGAAGATGAACTAATGTCCAAAAACTAGAAAATCTGTTGTTAGTAGTAAAACTTATTTTGGAAATTGTAAATTGAAAAATATCAAATGCTTCTCCTTTGGATTGAGGCCATTGTAAACGTCACCATTCGACCGCTGCAGGCAAATGGAGCTGAATTAAGAACATAGCTTTATCTTATATATACATGTATAGATATATGATAAAGAATATATAGAATATATATATATATACACATGTATATATACATACTTGTATGTGTGTGTATATATATATGATTTAAAAATCCTTTATACTTTCCAAAATACATAGTTGGTTTTTCAAATATATACAGATATAGAAACATTTGAAAATGGCTAAGAAAAATATCTCAGAATTCATTTTCTTTTCAGCCACTTTTATCTGCTTTTGTTTGTTAGTCAGTATCTCATCTAGTAATATTCTAGCATTATATTCTTCGGAAAGTTGCTTCTGGGTATCATTTCATTCCTGCACAAACTACAGATACAGTACATTTTTGGTTTAATAGGACTGAAAAACAAAGTCTAAAAGAGCAGAACCTCTATTATAAAACTGTTAAAAGAAAGTAGCCTATTAAAACACAAAAATTTTTAACCCTCAAGAATCATTCAAATTTTAATTGCATACATGAGAGCTAAATTTCTCTACGAGGAGAAACACTTCTTACCTATATAAAGATACAGTATTGTGTAATAAAATTTCTTTCAAAACATTTAACACATTTTAGTTTGAAAGCTATTTAGCCTGTATTTTAATATAAAAATCCATAAATGAGCATTTATGTTAGTGATTAAACTCAACTTATCCTCCATTTCTTTATTCTGAAAACACAGATTGAGATCCCAAGGTTTACAATAAAATAATTGTAACTATAAATGTCATAGCTCATTATAAAAATTAGATAACAGTTTTGGTGTGTTTACACCTAAATAACATACTACATTAAATCAAAGGAATATAAGTAATATTGATGAAATATAAAGTTGGAAATATAAAGTTTTCATCAGAAATTTACCTGATCCAAATTCTTTCTTACTGTCCTCAATTCCATGGCTCGTGTTTTCAGAGTCCGTTTCAGTTGTTGGTTAATTTCAACATCTTTCCCATATTCCTCTTCTTTTCTTTTTAACTCTTCACTACCTTTTTTATACAACATATCAGCATCCTTTCTCTTTTCTTCTTCTTGTTTTAAGGTCAATCTATACAGTTAAATATAGTTACATTAAAATTAATTTTGTTAGAAAATAAAAAAGTTTATTTTGTGATGTGGCTCTTCCTGAATAGGTTTATTATACAAATAAAATTTCTGTGTTCTTGACTATTTTTTCTTTCCAGTTCTCATGCTTTTAATTTCTTCCTTCAATCTTTTCCAAGGGACAAATACTTGAAATGTAGTGAGGAAAGAACAACTTGCTAATTGATGAGTTTCTGTTACTAGTAATTCCAATAAACATTATGAAAAAGGATATTAGAAATTATTCAGTTAACTTACAAGTTGAAAATTATCTCTTTTCACACAGCCATAGGAACTTCTCAATTATGACAGATCATTTCAAATTAACTAATTAAAAAGAACATAGTACTTAAACAAGTTTATAAATTCACTAGAAGAAATTTTATTTTCATGAAATACTGGAGGTATCCCTAAAATGATTTACAGGGCAAGATGGCACCATCAGATGTCATTCACAGAATGTATATCTGCAGATTAATCCAAGACAAGGCAAAGGGGTCTCACATCTGTTAATCCAGCTGTCCCCAACCATGTTGGCACCAGGGACTGGCTCTTTGGAAGATAATTTTTCCTCGGACCTGAGGTGGGGGGATGATTCCAGGATGATTCAAGCACGTTACATTTATTGTGTACTTTATTTCTATTATTACTGATTGTAATATATAATGAAATAATTATATAACTCACCATAACGTAGAATCAGTGGGAACCTTGAGCTTGTTTTCCTGCAACTACATGGTCCCATCTAGGAGTGACAGGAGACAGTGACAGATCATCAGGCATTAGATTCTCATAAGGAGTGCACAACCTAGATCCCCTGCATGAGCAGCTTACTACAGGGTTCAGGTCACACTTCTTGACAATCTATTGCCACCGCTGATCTGACGGGAGGAAGAGCTCAGGTGGTAATGCAAGTGATGGGGAGTGGCTGTAAACACAGATAAAGCTTCGCTTACTCACCTGCCCCTAACCTTCTGCTGTGTGGTCCAATTCCTAACAGGCCAGGGACTGGTACTGGTCCTTGTCCTGGGGATTGGGAACCCCTGTGTTAACCCATACTTTTTATGTTTACTTTCTGGAAACACTTTCCATTTATATTCTTGATTCCTATATGTTTTATAAACAACTTAGAAATTCCTTTTGGAACAAGGCATGGTCTAGTATTTAAACAATGAAGAATAACATGTGTTTTTAACATAGAACTTTGAATTAATTTTATCTGTGTATGAAAGATGTGAAATAAACTAATCCCTTTCCATTTTACTTTTCATTTCATGAATATTAAGAATAAAACTGGGAAGTCCTAGGCAGAGAAATTGGGCAAAAGAAATAAAGGGCATCCAAATTGGAAAAGAGGAAGTCAAACTATCTCTTCAGCAATGATATGCTCTTATACCTAGAAAACTCTAAAGACTCCTACAAAACACTCCTAGATTTGATAAATGAATTCAGTAAAGTCTCAGAGGTTACAAAATAAATGAATACCAATCAGTATCACCACTATACACCAACTACAACAAAGCTGAGATAATATGAAGAACTCAAACCCTTTTACAATGGCTGCAAAACTGTAAAATACCTAGGAATATACTTAATGAAGGAGGTGAGTGATCTATATAAGGATAAATGGAAAACATCACTGAAGAAAATAATAGATGACACAAATGAAAATACATCCTATGTTCATGGGTTGAAAGAATTGATATTGTGAAAATGACCATAGTGCCCAAAACAGTCTACAGGTTTGATACAATTCCTATCAAAATACCAATGTCATTCTTCATAGAATTATTTAAAAAAACTGCTGACATTTATGTAGAACCACAAAAGAGCCTGAATAGCAACAGACATATCAAGCAAAAGGAACAAATATGTTGGCATCACATTACCTGACTTCAAATTACACTCTAAGGCTACAGTAACAAAAACAGCATGGTACTGGTATAAAAGTAGATACATAGATCAATGGAACAGAATAGACAAGCCAGAAAAAAAAGCCACTTACAAGTAAATGATCTTTGAGAAAGGATACAAAAACATACACTGGAGAAAGTACACATTATTTAATAAATGGTGCTGGGAGAAAAAGCCACATGTAGAAGAATGAAACTGGATCTCTATCTCTAACCAGACCCAAAAATTAATTCAAGGTGGATTAAAGGCCTAAACCTAAGACCTGAAAACACTGGCTTAGGCAATGAATTTATGATGAAGACCCTAAAAGCAAATGCAACAAAAATGAAAATAAATAAATAAATATGGCCTAATTAAACTAAAAACTTCAGCACAGCAAAAGAAATAGTCCATCAGAGTAAACCAACAACCCATAGAATGGGAAAAATATTTGTAAATTATGAATCTAACAAAGGATGAATATCCATAATCTACAAGAAATTCAAACAAAGCAGCAGGAAAAATACAAATAATTCCATCAAAAAGTGTGCACATGACATGAATAGACATTTCTCAAAAGAAGATGTATGAATAGTGAAAAAGCACATAAAAACATGCTAAACATCACTTATCATCAGGGAAATGTAAAATAAAACAACAGTAAGATATCACCTCACTGTAGCCAGAATGGCCATTATTAAAAATCAAAAAACAACAGACAGTGGTGTGGATGTGGCAAAAAGAGAACAGATACACACTGCTGGTAGGAATGCAAATGAGTACAAAATATATGGAAAACAGTATGGCAATTTCTCAAAGAACTAAAAGTAGATCGTATCATTCTATTCAGCATTCTCATTTCTGGGTATCTAAGAAATCATTAAATCGAAAAGACACCTGCATATGTGTGTTTACTGCAGCACAATTCACAATATGCAAAGATATGGAATCAACCAGTGTCCATTAACTGGTGAGTGGAATAAAGAAAATGTGATATATACATATATATATGTGAGTGTGTATATATATGTATATATACATATCCATACCACAGAATACTACTCAGCCATAAAGAAGAATGAAATAATCCTTTTTGCAGCAAACTGGATGGAGCTATAGGCCCTTATTCTAAGTGAAGTAACTCAGGAATGGAACAATACCACATGTTCTCATTTATAAGTGGGAGCTGTGCTATGGGTATGTAAAGGTAGGCAGAGTGGTATAATGATATTGGAGACTCAGAAGAAGAAAGGGTAGAAGAAAGGTGAGCAATGAAAACTACCTATTGTTGATGGGTACACTAAAATCCAGAGTTCACCACTATACAATTCATCCATGTAACCAAATACCACTTGTACCCCAACAGCTATTGAAATATAAATAAATAAATTTAAACAGGGAGAAAAAAAGAATAAAACTGTATAAAGTTTTAAAGAAGTATTGTGGCTTGAAACAAATGGCCACTTCATGCTCTGTTAGTTGAACTGTAAATTAATATAAATGGTTTTTTTTATTTTAATTTCCAGAGTACATGTGCAGAATGCATAGATTTGTTTCATAGGTAAACATAGGTAAACATATCTCCCAATGCTATCCCTCCCCCCTCCCCCCACCCCACCACAGTCCCCAGAGTGTGATATTCCCCTTCCTGTGTCCATGTGATCTCATTGTTCAATTCCCACCTATGAGTGAGAATATGCGGTGTTCGGTTTCTTGTTCTTGCGATAGTTTACTGAGAATGATGATTTCCAGTTTCATCCATGTCCCTACAAAGGACATGAACTCATCATTTTTATGGCTGCATAGTATTCCATGGTGTATATGTGCCACATTTTCTTAATCCAGTCTATCGTTGTTGGACATTTGGGTTGGTTCCAAGTCTTTGCTATTGTGAATAATGCTGCAATAAACATACGTGTGCATGTGTCTTTATGGCAGCATGATTTATAGTCCTTTGGGTATATACCCAGTAACGGGATGGCTGGGTCAAATGGTATTTCTACTTCTAGATCCCTGAGGAATTGCCACACTGACTTCCACAATGGTTGAACCAGTTTACAGTCCTACCAACAGTGTAAAAGTGTTCCTATTTCTCCACATCCTCTCCAGCACCTATTGTTTCCTGACTTTTTAATGATTGCCATTCTAACTGGTGTGAGATGGTATCTCATTGTGGTTTTGATTTGCATTTCTCTGATGGCCAGTGATGATGAGCATTTTTTCATGTGTTTTTTGGCTGCATAAATGTCTTCTTTTGAGAAGTGTCTGTTCATGTCCTTTGCCCACTTTTTGATGGGGTTGTTTGTTTTTTTCTTGTAAATTTGTTTGAGTTCATTGTAGACTCTGGATATTAGCCCTTTGTCAGATGAGTAGGTTGCGAAAATTTTCTCCCATTTTGTAGGTTGCCTGTTCACTCTGATGATAGTTTCCTTTGCTGTGCAGAAGCTCTTTAGTTTAATTAGATCCCGTTTGTCAATTTTGTCTTTTGTTGCCATTGCTTTTGGTGTTTTAGACATGAAGTCCTTGCCCATGCCTATGTCCTGAATGGTAATGCCTAGGTTTTCTTCTAGGGTTTTTATGGTTTTAGGTCTAATGTTTAAGTCTTTAATCCATCTTGAATTGATTTTTGTATAAGGTGTAAGGAAGGGATCCAGTTTCAGCTTTCTACATATGGCTAGCCAGTTTTCCCAGCACCATTTATTAAATAGGGAATTCTTTCCCCATTTCTTGTTTTTCTCAGGTTTGTCAAAGATCAGATAGTTGTAGATATGCGGTGTTATTTCTGAGGGCTCTGTTCTGTTCCATTGATCTATATCTCTGTTTTGGTACCAGTACCATGCTGTTTTGGTTACTGTAGCCTTGTAGTATAGTTTGAAGTCAGGTAGTGTGATGCCTCCAGCTTTGTTCTTTTGGCTTAGGATTACCTTGGCGATGCGGGCTCTTTTTTGCTTCCATATGAACTTTAAAGTAGTTTTTTCCAATTCTGTGCAGGAAGTCATTGGTAGCTTGATGGGGATGGCATTGAATCTGTAAATTACCTTGGGCAGTATGGCCATTTTCACGATATTGATTCTTCCTACCCATGAGCATGGAATGTTCTTCCATTTGTTTGTATCCTCTTTTATTTCATTGAGCAGTGGTTTGTAGTTCTCCTTGAAGAGGTCCTTCACATCCCTTGTAAGTTGGATTCCTAGGTATTTTGCTCTCTTTGAAACAATTGTGAATGGGAGTTCACTCATGATTTCGCTCTCTGTTTGTCTGTTGTTGGTGTATAAGAATGCTTGTGATTTTTGTACATTGATTTTGTATCCTGAGACTTTGCTGAAGTTGCTTATCAGCTTAAGGAGATTTGGGGCTGAGATGATGGGGTTTTCTAGATATACAATCATGTCGTCTGCAAACAGGGACAATTTGACTTCCTCTTTTCCTAATTGAATACCCTTTATTTCCTTCTCCTGCCTAATTAACCTGGCCAGAACTTCCAACACTATGTTGAATAGGAGTGGTGAGAGAGGGCATCCCTGTCTTGTGCCAGTTTTCAAAGGGAATGCTTCCAGTTTTTGCCCATTTAGTATGATATTGGCTGTGGGTTTGTCATAGACAGCTCTTATTATTTTGAAATACGTCCCATCAATACCTAATTTATTGAGTTTTTAGCATGAAGGTTGTTGAATTTTGTCAAAGGCCTTTTCTGCATCTATTGAGGTAATCATGTGGTTTTTGTCTTTGGCTCTGTTTATATGCTGAATTACATTTATTGATTTGCGTATATTGAACCAGCCTTGCATCCCAGGGATGAAGCCCACTTGATCATGGTGGATAAACTTTTTGATGTGCTGCTGGATTCGGTTTGCCAGTATTTTATTGAGGATTTTTGCATCAATGTTCATCAAGAATAATGGTCTGAAATTCTCTTTTTTGGTTGTGTCTCTGCCCAGCTTTGGTATCAGAATGATGCTGGCCTCATAAAATGACTTAGGGAGGATTCCCTCTTTTTCTATTGATTGGAATAGTTTCAGAAGGAATGGTACCAGTTCCTCCTTGTACCTCTGGTAGAATTCGGCTGTGAATCCATCTGGTCCTGGACTCTTTTTGGTTGGTAAACTATTGATTATTGCCACAAGTTTAGCTCCTGTTATTGGTCTATTCAGAGATTCAACTTCTTCCTGGTTTAGTCTTGGGAGAGTGTAGGTGTCGAGGAATTTATCCATTTCTTCTAGATTTTCTAGTTTATTTGTGTAGAGGTGTTTGTAGTATTCTCTGATGGTAGTTTGTATTTCTGTGGGATCGGTGGTGATATCCCCTTTAACATTTTTTATTGTGTCTATTTGATTCTTCTCTCTTTTTTTCTTTATTAGTCTTGCTAGCGGTCTATCAATTTTGTTGATCCTTTCAAAAAACCAGCTCCTGGATTCATTAATTTTTTGAGGGGTTTTTTGTGTCTCTATTTCCTTCAGTTCTGCTCTGATTTTAGTTATTTCTTGCCTTCTGCTAGCTTTTGGATGTGTTTGCTCTTGCTTTTCTAGTTCTTTTAATTGTGATGTTAGGGTGTCAATTTTAGATCTTTCCTGCTTTCTCTTGTGGGCATTTAGTGCTATCAATTTCCCTCTAACACACTGCTTTGAATGTGTCCCAGAGATTCTGGTATGTTGTGTCTTTGTTCTCAGTGGTTTCAAAGAACATCTTTATTTCTGCCTTGATTTCGTTATGTATCCAGTAGTCATTCAGGAGCAGGTTGTTCAGTTTCCATGTAGTTGAGCAGTTTTGAGTGAGATTCTTAATTCTGAGTTCTAGTTTGATTGGACTGTGGTCTGAGAGATAGTTTGTTATAATCTCTATTCTTTTACATTTGCTGAGGAGAGCTTTACTTCCAACTATGTGGTCAATTTTGGAATAGGTGTGGTGCTGAAAAAAATGTATATTCTGTTGATTTGGGGTGGAGAGTTCTGTAGATGTCTATTAGGTCTGCTTGGTGCAGAGCTGAGTTCAATTCCTGGGTATCCTTGTTGACTTTCTGTCTCGTTGATCTGTCTAATGTTGACAGTGGGGTGTTAAAGTCTCCCATTATTAATGTGTGGGAGTCTAAGTCTCTTTGTAGGTCACTCAGGACCTGCTTTATGAATCTGGGTGCTCCTGTATTGGGTGCATATATATTTAGGATAGTTAGCCCTTCTTGTTGAATTGATCCCTTTACCATTATGTAATGACCTTCTTTGTCTCTTTTGATCTTTGTTGGTTTAAAGTCTGTTTTATCAGAGACTAGGATTGCAACCCGTGCCTTTTTTTGTTTTCCATTTGCTTGGTAGATCTTCCTCCATCCTTTTATTTTGAGCCTATGTGTGTCTCTGCACATGAGATGGGTTTCCTGAATACAGCACACTGATGGGTCTTGACTCTTTATCCAATTTGCCAGTCTGTGTCTTTTAATTGGAGCATTTAGTCCATTTACATTTAAAGTTAGTATTGTTATGTGTGAATTTGATCCTGTGATTATGATGTTAGCTGGTGATTTTGCTCGTTAGTTGATGCAGTTTCTTCCTAGTCTCGATGGTCTTTACATTTTGGCATGATTTTGCAGTGGCTTGTACCGGTTGTTCCTTTCCATGTTTAGCGCTTCCTTCAGCTCTTTTAGGGCAGGCCTGGTGGTGACAAAATCTCTCAGCATTTGCTTGTCTCTAAAGTATTTTATTTCTCCTTCACTTATGAAGCTTAGTTTGGCTGGATATGAAATTCTGGGTTGAAAATTCTTTTAAGAATGTTGAATATTGGCCCCCACTCTCTTCTGGCTTGTAGGGTTTCTGCCAAGAGATCCGCTGTTAGTCTGATGGGCTTCCCTTTGAGGGTAACCCGACCTTTCTCTCTGGCTGCCCTTAACATTTTTTCCTTCATTTCAACTTTGGTGAATCTGACAATTATGTGTCTTGGAGTTGCTCTTCTTGAGGAGTATCTTTGTGGCGTTCTCTGTATTTCCTGAATCTGAACGTTGGCCTGCCTTGCTAGATTGGGGAAGTTCTCCTGGATAATATCCTGCAGAGTGTTTTCCAACTTGGTTCCATTCTCCCCATCACTTTCAGGTACACCGATCAGACGTAGACTTGGTCTTTTCACATAGTCCCATATTTCTTGGAGGCTTTGCTCATTTCTTTTTATTCTTTTTTCTCTAAACTTCCCTTCTCACTTCATTTCATTCATTTCATCTTCCATTGCTGATACCCTTTCTTCCAGTTGATCGCATCGGCTCCTGAGGCTTCTGCATTCTTCACGTAGTTCTCGAGCCTTGGTTTTCAGCTCCATCAGCTCCTTTAAGCACTTCTCTGTATTGGTTATTCTGGTCATACATTCCTAAGTTTTTTTCAAAGTTTTCAACTTCTTTGCCTTTGGTTTGAATGTCCTCCCGTAGCTCGGAGTAATTTGATCATCTGAAGCCTTCTTCTCTCAGCTCGTCAAAGTCATTCTCCGTCCAGCTTTGTTCCGTTGCTGGTGAGGAACTGCGTTCCTTTGGAGGAGGAGAGGCGCTCTGCTTTTTAGAGTTTCCCATTTTTCTGTTCTGTTTTTTCCCCATCTTTGTGGTTTTATCTACTTTTGGTCTTTGATGATGGTGATGTACAGATGGGTTTTTGGTGTGGATGTCCTTTCTGTTTGTTAGTTTTCCTTCTAACAGACAGGACCCTCAGCTGCAGGTCTGTTGGAATACCCTGCCGCGTGAGGTGTCAGTGTGCCCCTGCTGGGGGGTGCCTCCCAGTTAGGCTGCTCAGGGGTCAGGGGTCAGGGACCCACTTGAGGAGGCAGTCTGCCGGTTCTCAGATCTGCAGCTGTGTGCTGGGAGAACCACTGCTCTCTTCAAAGCTGTCAGACAGGGACATTTAAGTCTGCAGAGGTTACTGCTGTCTTTTTGTTTGTCTGTGCCCTGCCCCCAGAGGTGGAGCCTACAGAGGCAAGCAGGCCTCCTTGAGGTGTGGTGGGCTCCACCCAGTTCGAGCTTCCCAGCTGCTTTGTTTACCTAAGCAAGCCTGGGCAATGGCGGGCGCCCCTCCCCCAGCCTTGCTGCCGCCTTGCAGTTTGATCTCAGACTGCTGTGCTAGCAATCAGCGAGACTCCGTGGGCGTAGGACCCTCCCAGCTATGTGCGGGATATAATCTCGTGGTGCGCCGTTTTTTAAGCCGGTCGGAGAAGCGCAATATTCGGGTGGGAGTGACCCAACTTTCCAGGTGAGTCCGTCACCCCTTTCTTTGACTCGGAAAGGGAACTCCCTGACCCCTTGCGCTTCCCAAGTGAGGCAATGCCTTGCCCTGCTTCGGCTCACGCACGGTGCTCGCACCCAGTGACCTGTGCCCACTGTCTGGCACTCCCTTGTGAGATGAACCCGGTACCTCAGATGGAAATGCAGAAATCACCCATCTTCTGCATCACTCACACTGGGAGCTGTAGACCGGAGCTGTTCCTATTCGGCCATCTTGGCTCCTCCCCCCAAAGTGGAGAGTTCTTGCTCCCATTCATCTTTTTCATGTTCTAACTGTAATTGTGTTTCTTTTGTTTCAGACAGCTTCTTTTGTAGTACATGAATCATATTTTCCATTTGTTCAATTTCTATTGTAAGTTGTTCACAGTGATTACTTTTAAGTTCTAGTAAGTGTTCATCTGAAAGAACTGCATCCTGGATTTTTGATAGGCTAGCAGAATCTGCATTGGGGGAAAACAAGGTGGAAATAAAATATATGAGTACTTTTTGGATATAAAGTCCTGTGCATTTTAACATTCACCCATCCATACACCAAACAAATATGCACTGAGTTCCTACCATGTGGAAGACATTCTACTGAGCTCTGCAGATAAAACAAACAGTAACTCTGTTCTTGTTTAGCTTTAGGTGTAGTGAAAAACAAATACTAAATTACAAATTCAGATAGATGCTGCAAGAAAACAGTTCTATGATAACACAGAATTTGATCTATACTGGGCTCAGGAAGATTTCCCTGGGGAAGAGATGGCTACACTGAGTAATGAAGGGTGAGAAGGAAGCAGTTAAGTAAAGGGAGTAGAAAAGCATTCTAGCTAGTCTACGGCATGTGCTGAAGCTCTGCTGCAGTCTGCTTCTGGCCACAATGGAGCAGCAGATACTGATTTACCTTCTTGCCTGAAACAAAAACAAGAAAGACAAAATACACAATACAATGATTTTCAAGAACATGGACTGCAGGTAATGAAGACGATGATCCCTGTAAGACAGGAAACAAATGAAGTAAGATTTACAAACACCCCAGCAAACTGACTGGACAAAGTTTCCAGGCCATGACAACAGGAGAAAATAAAATTGAGGTAGAGTCCGCCAGATTCCCTGAATTGGAACAACGAAGCTGAGAGGCTCAAAAAAACATCAAGGCAGACAGAAATCACAAAACAGAACACTGGAAACGAGAGAACAGTATAGGAGAAGAACAATAAAGATCTGCAAAAATACCCTCTTGGGTATTTATTTAACAGAGTAATGAACAGTATATGTGTGCTAGGAAACTACTTGAGACCAGGTCGAAAAAAATCCTTAAAAAATTAAAAGAAACAGTGCCTGTTGCTCACATAATATACCAGGAAGAGTGTCCATTCCTATGACTGATACTGGAAAAACTTCACAGGGCAAAGAATAGCGTTATTAGAAACACCTTGTCTCGAGTGGAAAGTTAGACCAAATCATAAAGCAAGACCAGAAAGATCAAGTTGTTTATAAGTAAGTCAACTGTGTCCCCAAATAAATCTCAAGTAGAGGCAAAGAAGATATTTCTTGAAAGCAAATTGCACTAGTAGGAATTAAAATTAAAATGTTAGGACTGGGCCAGGTACAGTGGCTCATACCTGTAATGCCAGCACTTTGGGAGGCCGAGGCGGGCAGATCACTTAAGATCAGGAGTTCGAGACCAGCCTGGCCCACATGGTGAAACCCCATCTCTACTGAAAATACAAAGAATTTAGGTGGCCATCGTAACAGGCACCTATAACCCCAGCTACTCAGGAGGCTGAGGCAGGAGAATGGCTTGAACCCGGGAGGCGAAGGTTGTAGTGAGTGGTGATCAAGCCACTGCACTCCAGCCTGGGTG
The DNA here is from genome assembly GCF_000001405.40 of Homo sapiens. Lineage (NCBI taxonomy): Eukaryota > Metazoa > Chordata > Mammalia > Primates > Hominidae > Homo > Homo sapiens. The sequence continues at coordinate 47,102,602 of NC_000008.11, forward strand.
ACAGAGCAAGACTTGGTCTCAAAAAAAAAAGTTAGGACTGAAAACAACACTGGATGGAAGTAAATACAGACTAGATATCACAAAAAATAAAATTCATAAATTTGAGACATCAGAGAACTATGAGAAAATTTTAAGCAACAATATATAAGTCCCCAAAGAGGGAGGAAGACAGAAAGACAAAAACATAAAGATAGTGGCCAGAAACTTTCTAAACGTAATAAAAACTATAATCCTACAAATCCAGGAAGAATCTGGCTGGGAGAGAGAAAATGAAAGTATACTACTCTAATTTTCTTATGCCATATATGATATTATATAATATTGCCTGAAGGTGAGCTATGATAAGTTAAAATCATACAGTACAAATTGTAATGCAACCACTAACACAGCAAAAAAAGAGTTATAGACAATAAGCCAAAAAAAGATAAAACTAAATCATAAAAATTACATAACTAATTGAAAAGAAAGCAGGAAAAGAAAGGAACAAAGAACAGCTGGAACTAATGAAAATCAAACAGCATGACAGATAAACTTAACTATTAATATATCAATAATCACATTATAAATAAAACTGGCCTAAAAACCTAAAAGACAGATTGTCAAACTGTATAAAAAGCAAGATCCTACTCCATGCTACCTATAAGAAACACACTTTAAATGTAAAGATGCAAATTAAAAGGATGAAAAATATAGACCACACAGTTGACAAAAGAAAGCTAAGCAGGAATGATTATGTTAATACAAAAGTAGATTTCACAGCAAAAAAATATTACTAGCTATAAACAACATCATTTCATGATAAATGTTCAATTAATCAAGAACATATAACCCTAAATGTTTATGTACCTAGTAACATAACAGCTTTGAAATACATGAGGAAAATACTGATAGAACAAATTGACAAATTCACAGGTATAGTCTGAGTTTTCAGTATTGCTTACTCAATATGTGATAGAACAAGGAGGCAGAAAATCAGCAAGATGAGAGTAGACTTGAAGAACACAATGCTTCTCAACTACCCTTGGAACACTTAGTAAAACAGACCATATTCTAGGCTATACAATAAATCTTCATAAAAGAATTAAGTCAAAGGATTTAAGTCATAGAAAGTATGATCCCTGACCACAAAGGAATCAAATTAAAATCACTAACAAAATATCTCATCAAAATACTCAAAAATTTAGAAACAAAGTAACACCCATCTAAATAACCCTAGGTCAAAGACATAATGCAAAGAGAAATTAGAAACTATTTTGAAGTGAATAAAAATGAAAATAGTCCATATCAGAATTTGTGGACTAAAGCTACAACGCATTTAAAAAGTTAGCACTGAATGTCTATACTGGAAGACTCTCAAATCAATGGCCTTGACTTCTATCTTATGAAAGTAAAAAAGAAGAAACTACAAAAAGAAAAAAAAGAGAGAGAGAGAGAGCAAATTAAACCCAAAAGAAGCAGAGGAAATAATATAATAAATATCTGCTATGGTCTGAACATTTGTGTCCTCCCAAAACTCATATGCTGAAACTTAATCAAAGAAGTGATGTTATTAGGAACTGCAGCTTTGTGGAGGCAATTGGCTCATGGAATCCAAGCCCTCATGAATGGGATTAGTGCCCTTATCTGAGACACCAGAGAGCTCATTCACCCCTTCTGTCATATGAAGCACACAGGGGAGAAAAGGGAAAGTAGGAACCAGGAATTGATCCCTCACCAGACATTCAATTTTCTGGCACCTTGATCTTGGATTTTGCAGCCTCCAGGAATATAAGAAATCAGTTTCTGTTGTTTATAAGCTACCCAGTCTATGGTATTTTGTGACAGCAGGCCAAACAGATGATGACATCAAAGATAAAACCAATAAAACAGAAAAGGGAAAATCAATAAAACCAAACAGTTCGAGGTCAATGAAAGTGATAAACCTCGATCTAGCCAGGCTGATAATAAAAAAGATAACAAATTACTAATTTCAGAAATAAGTAATGTGACTTTTTTTTTTTTTTTGGAGATACAATCTCGCTCTGTTGTCTAGGCTGGAGTGCAGTGGCACAATCTCAGCTCACTGCAACGTCCACCTCCTGGGTTCAAGAGATTCTCCTGCCTCAGCTTCCTGAGTAGCTGGGATTACAGGTGCCTGCCACCAAGCCCAGCTAACGTTTGCATTTTTAGTAGACGTGAGGGGTCTCACCATGTTGGCCAGGCTGGTCTCGAACTCCTGACCTCAGGTGATACACCCTTTTTGGCTTCCCAAAGTGCTGGAATTACAGACATGAGCCACGGTGCCCGGCCCAATGTGACATTTTTATACATTCTACAGATATTAAAAGAATGGCAAGATAATAATGTGAGCTTTATGTAACTAACCATGACAACTTAAATTAAATGGACACATTCCTTGAAAAATAAAAATTACCAAAGCTCAATCAAGAAGAAATAGATAACCCAAATCCCCTTATATCCACAAAAGAAAATAAAGTTGAGAAAACTCCAAGCTCAGACAGCTGTGCTGGTGAATTCTATCAAACATTTTAGGAAGATGTAATATAATTTTACACAACCTCTCCCCCAAAAAATAAAGTGGGGAAATACAACACAACTCATTCTATAATGCTAGCATTACCCTGAACCAAACAGTGATATTACAAAAAAGAAAACTCCCTCATGAACGTTGACAAAAAATTTAACCAATTTCTGAAGCAACCAAGATATCCTCCAATAGGTGAGTGAACAACCTCTAGCACAGTCATATAATGAACTATTAGTCAATGCTAAACAAAAATAAGCTATCATGTCATAAGACATGGTGGAAACATAAATGCATATTACTAAGTGAAAGATGCCAATCTGAAGGATATGCACTGTATGATTTCAACTATATGACATTCTAGAAAAGGCAAAACTATGGATACAGTAAAAAGATCAGTGGTTGCCTGGGGTTGAGGAGGGAAGGAAAGGCAGACAGGTGAAACACAAAGGAATTTTAGAGCAGTAAAAATAATTTGTACAATACTATAATGATGAATATATGTCCTTTCCAAACCCACATATTGTAGAATGCCAGGAGTGCACACTAATATAATCTATGAACTTCGGATGATTATGACGTGCCATTTTGGTTCATCAATCATATCAACTGTACCACTCTAGTGAGGGATACTGATAATGGGAAAGGCTATGCATGTCTGGGGACAGGAACTACACAGACAATCTCTGTACCTCTCAATGTTGCTGTGAACCTAAAACTACATTAAAATAGTCTTTTAAAATTTCTAAACAAAATTTTGGCAAACTGGATACAAATAAATACAGGGTCTAACTTTGTTGCCCAGGTTGGTCTCGAACTCCAGCTTCAAGCAATCCTCCTGCTCTGACCTCCCAAAGTGCTGAAACTACAGGCATGAGCCACCGTGTCCAGCGCCAATGATATACTATTTTTAAAAAGCCTACATCCTAAGCAAATGGGTTTTATTCTAAAATGCAAGGTTGGTTTAACATTAAAATATTAGTTATTCAACTAATTAAAAAACTAAAACAGAAGAACCTTATGATTATCTCAGTAGATAAAGGCATTTGATAAAATTCAATTTCATTCTTGATTAAAAAAAAAACCCTCTCAGCAATCTAAGAATACAAATGAACTTCATCAGCATGACACAAAGCATCTATGACAAACCTACAGCTAACGTGTATCACAATGACACACTGAATGCTTTCCCCATATCAGGAACAACACAGGAATGTCTGCTTTCAAATCTTTAGTAAGCTTTATGCTAAAGATTCTAGCCAGTGGTGTCAGACAAGAAAAAGAAATAAAAGGTATCCAGGTTGGAAAGAAGAAGTAAAACTGTCTTTATTCACAACCATGATCACATAATAGGGGCAGATAAACTACAACCTGTGGGCCAGCTTCTTGTTTTATTGGAACACAGCTGTGTTCATTAATGTATGTATTCTCCCTGGCTGCTCTCATACTACAATGGCAGAGTTGATTAGCTGCAACAGAGACTGTTCTGCCGCAAGTCTGAAAGATTTCCTATCTTTAGTAAAACAGTAGTTTGAGAATGAAAATATTTGATGATCATTGTTGTATGTATAAAATATGATCAAATATACCAAAAAAGTTACTAGAACTAATAATAAGTAAGTTTAGCAAGGCTGGAGGATACAAAAATCAACATACAAAAATCAGCTGTATTCCTATATACTAGCAATAAACAATTAACTTGAAATTTAAAAAAATATCGTAACTTCATTTAAAAAATGAGATACTGATGAATCAGATAAAATATGGAAACACCAAGGCTGGGTGCAGTGGCTCACACCTATAATCCCAACACTTTGGGAAGCCAAGCCTGGAGGATCACTTGAGGTCAGGAGTTCAAGACCAGTCTGGCCAACATAATAAAACCCCATCTCTACTAAAAATAAAAAAGTTAGTTGGGTACGGTGTCTCATGCCTATAATCCCAGCTACTCAGGAGGCTGAGGCAGGAGAATCATTTGAACCCAGGATGCAGAGGTTGCAGTGAGCCAAGATTGCACCACTGCACTCCAGCCTGGGTGACAGAGTGACACTCTGTCTCAAAAAAAAAAAGAAACACATATTTAAAAAACTACAAAATATTACTGAGAAAATTAAATTTGTCCTATATAAATAGGAACAATTTCATAGGAGAGGAACAATTTCATAGGAGTGGAACAATGCATTATCATTAAAATGTCAATCCTCCCCCAATTAATGTATAGATTGAATACAAACTCAGTGTAATTCCCAGAAAGACAGCAGGCTTTTTTTTTTTTTGAGATAGAGTTTCACTCTTGTTGCCCAGGCTGAAGTGCAATGGCACAATCTCGGCTCACTGCAACCTCTGCCTCCTCAGTTCAAGTGATTCTCTCCTGCCTCAGCCTCCTGAGTAGCTGGGATTACAGACATGCGCCACCACACCTGGCTAATTTTGTATTTTTAGTAGAGATGGGGTTTCTCCATTTTGGTCAGGCTGGTCTCAAACTCCTGACCTCGTGATCTGCCTGCCTCAGCCTCCCAAAGTGCTGGGATTACAGATGTGAGCCACCGCACCCGGCTGACAGCAGGCTTTTAAAAAAAAAAATAACAATCTGATTCCAAAACTCATGTGGAAATGCAAAAGATCCAGCATAGTCAAAATAACCCTTAAAAAAGAAGAAAACCAAAGGGCTGATGTCAAGATTTAGTATAAATTTACAGTAATGAAAACAGTGTGTTACTATTACAGGTGGAATAGCTCTCAAAGTGTGTGGTACCAAAAGTGTTTTGGGTTTTGGAATATTTGCATATATATAATCAGATATCTCGAGGGTGGAACCCAAGTCTAAACACAAAATACACTTATGTTATATACACCTTATACGTAGAGCTTAAATGTAATTTTATGGAATACTTTTAGTAAATTTAGTTTGTGTACTTGAGGTCTAGTGTGAAATTTTCTACTTGTGGCATCATGTTGGCACTCAAAAAGTTTTGGATTTTGGAGCATTTCTGATTTTGGATTTTGGTATTAGGGATGCTAGACCTACATAAAGAAAGCCAGAAACCAATTTAAGATGGTTCTACTTAGAATTTTTCAACTGTACGATGGGTTTATTGGGGTATTTTTTTTTTGAGACGGAGTCTCGCTCCGTCACCCAGGCTGGAGTGCAGTAGTGCTATCTTGGCTCACTGCAAGCTCCACCTCCCAGGTTCACACCATTCTCCTGCCTCAGCCTCCCGAGTAGCTGGGAATATATGCGCCTGCCACCACACCTGGCTAATTTTTTTCTATTTTTACTAGAGATGAGGTTTCACCGTGTTAGCCAGGACAGGATGGTCTCGGTCTCCTGATCTCGTGATCCGCCCATCTCAGCCTCCCAAAGTGCTGGGATTACAGGAGTGATCCCAGCCTACTGGGGTATTAAATGGATTTTCAACTTATGATTGGTTTATCAGTGTAACTCTAGAAGAATATGTAGATCAATGGAACACAACAAACAGTCCAGAAATAGACCCACACACATACAGCCAACTTATTTTTCACAAATGCACGATAGCAATGTAGTGGAGAAAAGAGAAAGCCTTTTCAACATATGTGGCTGGAACAATTAGATATCCACATCCATAAAATGAACTTGCATCCACACCTCACTCCATAAGCAAAAATGTACACAATGTGGATCACAGATATAAATGTAAGACCTAAATCTATAAAAATTCTTCAAGAAAGCAGAGGAGAAAATCTTTGGGACCTTGTGCTGGACAAATACTTTTTTAGATATGACACAAAAAGCAAAATCCATAATTAAATGAACACATATATCAGACTTCATCAAAATGAAAAACTTCTTCTCTTTAAAATATATTAAGAAAACAAAAGGTCAAGCCACAAACTGGGAAAAAAAATCCTTCCAAAAAGCATAATAAAGGAATAATATCCAGAATCTATTAAAAAAAAAACTCTTAAAACTCAAGAAATAAGAATAAAAACTATCTAATTTTTAATTCTTTTTTTTTTTTTTTTTTTTTTTTTTGAGACAGAGTCTCGCTCTGTCGCCCAGGTCGGACTGTGGACTGCAGTGGCACAATCTCGGCTCACTGCAAGCTCCGCTTCCCGGGTTCACGCCATTCTCCTGCCTCAGCCTCCCAAGTAGCTGGGACTACAGGCGCCCGCCACCGCGCCCGGCTAATTTTTTGTATTTTTAGTAGAGACGGGGTTTCACCTTGTTAGCCAGGATGGTCTCGATCTCCTGACCTCATGATCCACCGGCCTCGGCCTCCCAAAGTGCTGGGATTATAGGCGTGAGCCACCGCGCCCGGCCCTAATTTTTAATTCTTTATAAGCTCTCCATTTCACTAAAGAAGATATACAGGTGGCAAATAAAGCACTCGGGAACATGTTCAACATTCTTAGTCCTTAGGGTAATGCACATTCACACCATAGTGACACGCACAACATGCACCCATTGGAATGGCTAAAAACTTAAAACTAATAAACAGCAGTACTAAGAGCTCATGACGATATGGAACAAGGAGAATTATCATATACTGCTGATAGGAATGGAAAATAGCACAAATACTTAAACATTTAGTAGTTTCTTAATAAGGGAATACAAAGGGACAGGAAGAGACTTTTATGGATGATGGGTATGTTATCGGTCTTGATTATGGTGATGGTTTTGCATGTGCATACATATGCCAAAACTTATCAAATTTTACGTTTTATATATGTGCTGTCTATCGTATATCAGTTATGCCTCACTAAAGCTGTCAGTTGCAGGAATAAACATCTAAGACAATAGCTAGGACAAAGAGGAAAAAAGTATATTAAATGATGCAGGAGAGAGCTCAAGTATTCAAATCTTAACCTTATAGCAATGGCAAGTGGTAAGCTGAGGTATAAGCAAGAGATAACATCAGATCTGAATTTTTAAAAATTAATAATTATAGTTTCAGAGTAGACCATGGTCTCAGGAAATGGGGTAGCAAGAAAAACAGTTCTAAGGTTATTGCAGTATCCCGAGTGGGAGAGAATGGTAACCTGATCTGAGAATAAGGCATATAAGAGAAGAAGAGTCAACAAAAATGCTGAGACTGCCCTTCATACTGAGAAAGGCACCGTGGAGTTATCATAGCTTTGGTATACAATATACATTATTTCTCAGTCTACTTTAACGTTAAACATATTTCTGAGATAAGCAACACTATAACACGTTAGTGCTCTATGGTGCAACGCTAAGCAATGTGTGCAAATATTACTGTAGGATACATAAAAAGTCATTCTACTTATGCAATGGTCCTACCGTTAAAATCCATTTTGATTTGTTCAGTGAGCAACATAAAAGTCTCATAATTAGGGTAAGGCAAATCGTAATCCTCTGAGGCTATTTCAGATGGCCACGTTATGTCATCAAGGTCATCCACTGAATGTATTTCACTTTTGACCTGTGAGTTAAATAATACTGCTTCAAATGTCCTCAAAATATTTACAGAATATTCTAGATGTACAGAAGTGGTATTTATTCATCTTTTTATATGAGCAAAACCACAGGCACTTCTTAAAACAACAGATTTTTCTTAAAAGGGTACCATTATCAATGGCTAGGCTACTCTTTCTTAAGCCCTTTTTTCTTTTCCTAAGCACTTTTTTTTTTTTTTTTTTTTTTTTTTTTTTACAGAGTCTCACTCTATTACCCAAGCTGGAGTGCAACGGCGCCATCTCGGCTCACTACAACCTCCGTTTCCCAAGTTCAAGCAATTCTTCTGCCTCAGCATGCCGAGTAGCTGGGATTATAGGAATATGCCACCACACCCGGCTAATTTTTGTATTTTTAGCAGAGACGGGGTTTCACCATGTTGTGCAGGCTGGTCTCAAACTCCTGACCTTGTGATCTGCCTGCCTGGGCCTCCCAAAGTGCTGGGATTACAGGCATGAAACACCACGCCCGACCAAGCCCTTTCTTCCTCACTACATGTCTTTATAACCAAAGATTCTCACTTAACCTTTTATAATGTGTTTTTTTCTTAACAATAATGTTTTAGATAATTTAATTTTACAATACCGTGTTCTTTTCATTAAATTTCTTTTCAGGCCTGAAAAAAGAAACAATTCCTTTTAGACAAATGGTAAACACATAAAATACAAAGAATGTCCAAAACTATTATTTTATTATATAAAATCTCTGCATTTATAAGTTGTTTCTTCTTTTCATTAAGTGTTCAGGTCATTTTTAACAGGTAATGTAAATATAATTATTTTCCATAAGGGGAATTAAACTATAAACAGAAAGAGTAACATTAAGGGAGACAAAATATGGTAATAATATCATTACAAAGAATTAAATTTAGATCAAGCTTTCTGACAGTCAAGACAAAAGGAAAAACACATTACTTGTATTATGTGATAGAAATAAATATACCAGAACTTCTCACTGTTGTCCTTTACAATAAAAACAAGCTTCTACTAACACTAAAACCTATTTGGAACATATTACTTATGTTCTTATATGAGGGGAACCCTTTTTAATGATAATATTCACTTTTTCAGGACTTGTTATGCAGGTACTATGCATCATTCTAAGCACTGTGCATTTGTCAAGCTCATTTTAATTATCATAACAATTCTGTGAGGTAGGTAACATATTAGAGATTCTATAAAGGGAGAAACTAGGCACGGAAAGGCCATATAAATTTCCCCAGCCCACAGAGCTGGTCAGTAGTCTACACAGCATTGAAACTCAAGAATTCTGCCTCTAAAACGTGTGTTTTGCAATATCCTGTGAAGGTAATATTTATTTCCAAGTGTTTTTAAGAGATATGATAGCAGATGAATCCATATTATCATTACATTTTTGGCTATAATTATAACTAATAATTTCTGAATCTTGCACTTTTAAAAAAAATAAAAAGACTTTATACGGAGGCAAGTTTGGAAACCTACTACTTTCAAAACACTAAAAATTTATTTTTTAAAAGAAATTAATCAATGGCATTCATTCATCTCTTCAACTGTTTATTCATGCATTCAACAAATACTCGTTGGGCACACAACACATGCTGATGACACTGTTGTCCAAGGGAAACATGGTTTTGATGCTTTCAAACTTTACAATCCTGAAGTAATAATCTGCAATAGTTTGTCAATAGTTTGCTTTTCTCAAGTTCATGAACAAAATCCTTCCCTACTCCCCAGAATCTAAACAACTGTAAAGTTGATACACCTGATATTTTAGAGTAAGTAACTCAGCAAATCATGGCTACTGTCAAAGGTACTGCAATATGTACAATTATGATGAAATATTTAAGTTCTATTCATCATGGCATAAGTGTGTGGATGTTTATTATAATTATTTTTAAAAATCTGTGTATGATAGCTTAAGATTTAGGTCATCATCTGCATGTTCAGTTACACTAATGTTACACTTCTAAACCAATTCTGAAAAAAACAACTCTAATCATAAAACTATACATGAATAGGCTGGGTGCGGTGGCTCACCCCTGTAATCCTAGCACTTTGGGAGGCCGAGGTGGGCAGTTCACTTGAGGTCAGGAGTTCAAGACCAGCCTGGTCAACGTGGTGAAACCCCGTCTCTACTAAAAATACAAAAATTAGCTAGGCGTGGTGGCACATGCCTGTAATCCCAGCTACTTGGGAGGCTGAGGCAGGAGAATTGCTTGAACCTGGGAGGCAGAGGTTGCAGTGCGCCAAGATCGCGCCACTGCACTCCAGCCTGGGTGACAGTGCAAGACTCTGTCTCAAAAACAAAACAAAACAAAACAAAAACTATACATGAATAGAAGTTCTAAGGACAATTAGTTTGCTAAACACCCATAAAAATAATGAATCAAGCTAATGCTGAGACATGCAACCAAGTAAACAAAATAACATTTCATAAACATGTTCTTCTACTATGGATCACTCCCAAAAGTAAAAAAAAAAAAACTCTAAAAATTTCTGTTTTGAAATACCAAAAGAGAGAAAACTCCCTCAAATCCTCAAATCCCACATTCTTTTTCAGTTACTGCCCATTTCTCTATTGCCTTTCTCAGTAAAGTTCCTCTCAAGAGTTGTCTACGTTCATCTACTACAGAGTTCCATGGCTACCATTTATTGACACTGCTCCTAGTCAAAGTCACTAATCCTTATTGTAATCAATCTTTCAACAGCATTGATATAGTTGAGTACTCTCCAGCTTTGAGAGACTACATTATTCTATTTCCAAAAATAAAAGTAATCAGTGTTAACATTCCTTCCCGGAGATTTCTTTCTTTTTTTTTTTTTTTTTTTTTTTCCAGACGAAGTTCTGTTCTTGTTGCCCAGGCTGGAGTGCAATGGTGTGATCTCAGCTCACCACAACCTCCACCTCCCAGGTTGAAGCAATTCTCCTGCCTCAGCCTCCCAAGTAGCAATGGCGCAATCCCAGCTCACCACAACCTCCGCCTCCTGGGTTCGAGCAATTCTGCCTCAGCCTCCCGAGTAGCTGGGATTACAGGCATGTGCCACCATGTCTGGCAAATTTTGTATTTTTAGTAGAGATGGGGTTTCACCATATCGATGAGGCTGGTCTCAAACTCCAGACCTCAGGTGATCTGCCTGTCTCGGGCTCCCAAAGTGCTGGGATTACAGGTGTGAGCCACCGCGCCTGGCCTACCTTTTTTTTTTTTTTAAGTTCTGGGATACATGTGCAAAACGTGCAGGTTTGTTACATAGGTATACATGTGCCATGGTGATTTGCTGCGCCTATCAACACATCATCTAGGTTTTAAGTCCCACATACATTAAGTATTTTTCCTGTTATCCCTCACCTTGCCCGACAGACCCCAGTGTGTGAAGTTCCCTCCCTGTGTCCATGTGTTATTGTTCAACTCCCACTAATGAGTGAGAACATGCAGTGTTTGGTTTTCTGTTCCTGTGTTAGTTTGCTGAGAATGATATTTCCAGCTGCCTCCATGTCCCAGCAAAGGACATGAACTCATCCTTTTTTGTGGCTGCATAGTACTCCATGGTGTAAATGTGCCACATTTTCTTTATCCAGTCTATCATTGATGGGCATTTGGGTTGGTTCCAAGTCTCTGCTATTGTAAATAGTGCTGCAATAAACATATGTGTGCATGTGTCTTTACAGCAGAATGATTTATAATCTTTTGGGTATTTACCATGTAATGGGATTGCTGGGTCAAATGTTATTTCTGGTTCTAGATCCCTGAGGAGTTGCCACACTGTCTTCCACAATGGTTGAACTAGTTTACGTTCCCACTAACAGTGTAAAACCATTCCTATTTCTCAACATCCTCTCCAGCATCTGTTGTTTCCTGACTTTTTAATGATCGCCATTCTAACTGGCATGAGATGGTATCTCATTGTGGTTTTGATTTGCATTTCTCTAATGACCAGTGATAATGAACTTTTTTTCATATGTTTGTTGGCTGTGTAAATGTCTTCTTTTGAGAAGTGTCTGTTCATATCCTTTGCCCACTTTTTGATGGGGTATTCCTAGAGATTTCTTATAAAGGACTTGTAAATTTTACCTTCTTTCATCCTCATCTATTTCACTTAAACTGCTGTCATCATTTATTTGTAGCAGACCGTGAGTTAGTAAATTGACCTTCTCAAACATGGGTGTAATCACAGATTATTTTGAGGTCCGTTTTTTATTTTCATGTTTCTTTACTTTCTTCACATGCAAGGCAAACCACTATTTTAAAAAATCTATAAAAAGCCAATGTTTTCCAATAACCCTATTGACAATGAACAAAAAAAAAAATTTTGTAAAACTCCAACTCTTCTCCATCTCAATCCACTTATTAATTTAAAAAATGGTTATAAAGTGCAAACAACATAAAAGGAAATGTGCATTCCCTGCTTCAAAAACAAGGTAATATACAATTATGATACAATGTGTTATGTAAAAGTTGATATATAAAAAGTTATATTTTAGCACAGGGAAGGCTTTAGAGAAGAGGTAAAATATAAGAGGAGCCCAATTAGGAAAAATCATTAAGAGAAAACCATTCTAGTTAAAAAACAGAATGTGAGCACAAAGATTAAGCATACGAAGTCTAGATGCTTACTAAAAACTTGAAAGGAAAAGTGTAAAATACTTGGAAGCTAAGAATAGATGAATGCTACACGGATTTGAATGCTACATTAAAAAGCTGGAGTCCACTGAATACAGGCAATGACTGTTAAACATGAAAATCATAATTAGATTTGAGCTATATTTCTGTTTCTATTATTCACTATAATAATGTTTACCTTTAAATGAAGTTTTGAAAATAGCTGTGGCACATGTAACATGAAAGATTAAGTCAGGAAAATGTCCTGAGAGAGAGTGTATTAGTCCACTTTCACACTGCTAAAAAGAAATACTGAGGACCGGGTAATTCATAAAGGCTAAGCTGCACCTTGGCCCCTTTTAGCCACAGCTGGACCTGTAGCAGCTGAACACAGGGCACCAGGTCCTGAGGCTGCACACAGTAGCAGGGCCCTGGGTCCAACCCATGAAACCACTTGTTCCTTCTAGGCCTCTGGGTCTATGATGGGGGTGGCTGCCATGAAGATCTCTGACATGCCCTGGAGATACTTTCCCCAGGCCAGCTTGCATTCCTCCCCAGAAAATGGGCTGTTTTTCTTTTCTACCCCATGGTCAGGCTACAAATTTTCCAAATTTATGCCCTGCTTCCTTTTTAAACATAAGTTCCAACTTAAAACCATCTCTTTGTGAATGCATAAAGCTGAATGCTTTCAGAATCAACCAGGTCACCACTTGGAATGCATTGCTGCTTAGAAATTTCTTCCACCAGATACCTGAAATCATCTCTCTCAAGTTCAAAGTTTCACAGATTTCTACGGAAGGGGCAAAATGTCGTGAGTCTCTTTACTAAAACATAGCAAGAGTCACCTTTGTTCCAGTTCCCAAAAAGCTCCTTATCTCTATCTAAGACCACCTCAGCCTGGACTTCATTGTCCCTATCACTATCAACATTTTGGTAAAAAAAAAAAAAAAAAAACCATTCAACAAGTCTGTAGGAAGTTCCAAACTTTCCCGCGTCTTCCTGTCTTCTTTTGAGCCCTCCAAACTGTTACAACCTCTTTCTGTTACTCAGTTCCATAGTTGCTTCAACATTTTCAGGTTATCTTTATAGCAGTATCCCACTATCCCTGGTACCAATTCTTTGTATTAGTCTGTTTTCACACTGCTATAAAGAAATACCTGAGACTGGGTAATTCACAAAGGAAAGAGGCTTAATTGATTCACAGTTACACATGGCTGAGGAGGCCTCAGGAAATGTACAATCATGGCTGAAGGGGAAGGGGAAGCAGGCACCTTCTTCACAAGGTAGCAGGAGAGAGATAAGTGAAGGGGAAAGAGCCCCTTATGAAACCATCAGCTCTTGTGAGAACTTCCTACCACGAGAACAGCATGGGGGAAACTGACCCCATGATCCAATCACCTCCCACCAGGTCTTTCTCTCAACACCCGGAAATTACCATTTGACATGAGATTTGGGTGGGGACACAAAGCGAAACTATATTGGGGGGTATCCTTAGAAATATCTAATTTCTAAATTTCACTATTTATATTTCAAAAATAGCAGTTTTTGATTAGTTATGATTTTGTTGGAAAATAAAATGATCTGGTAAATTTTCTTCATTTAGCCTAGTATTTAGTCAAAATATAAAAAGCCAGATTTGCCAGCAGAAAATTGTAATTACTTTTTAATGAGGTAAACATGCATAAGAATATTACTATTATTGTACAGAGAAGAGAGTAAACAAGAAAAGGAATTTAAAAAGAGAGAATATCAGTACCATATACATACATGAACTGACAAAGAGACTAAATTCTCCCACTGGAAATTATTTTAGGACTTGAGTAAAAACTTCTAAAAATACCAAAAACAGAAACAAAACACTTGTTTTTAAGATATAAATTATGCAGAGAACTCTTCTGGTTAAGACAAGATTATATATCAAAAAAAAGAAGACCTTCCTGAGAGCTTTCATTAACCAATTCAACTTGACCAAAACTTTAAAATTAAGTCTACAATTCTGGAATATAAAATACTTTCATTTTGAAAACAGTTAATGGAAGGCAACTTTTAAATAGAAAATTTCTGGTTAAAGTTGACTCAAACTCAGGAAAAAACTGACTTGTAGCCATGGTAACAAGAAGCCACTCAAAGGTTCATAATCCCTTGGAAAGAATTTGTAAGTCCATTAAATTTGCCACTCAAAATTTTTTAGATAAAATACCAGTAAAATTTGCAATTCCTCTGACTCATTTTGCCATAATTACAATTATCATGATTACCAGTAAAAGAATAAATAGTGAATAACCACAATATTGGGCTTTTCTCCCTAAATGAAGGAATATTAATATAAAGAATGTAGCTCATTATAAAGAGCCAAAAGAATAAAAAAATGCATATAATTACCAGGCAAAATTGTTAGAATGAACCATGTCAAACATTTTTTAAGTGAGAATCAATCAAACAATATACCCAGGATAAACTCCATTCACTCATTTAATAAGTATTTATGGCCGGGCACGGTGGCTCACGCCTGTAATCCCAGCACTTCGGGAGGCAGAGGTGGGTGGATCACGAGGTCAGGAGATCGCGATCATTCTGAGAAACATGGTGAAACCCCAACTCTACTAAAAGTATAAAAAAAATAGCCGGGCGTGGTGGTGGACACCTGTAGTCCCAGCTACTTGGGAGGCTGAGGCAGGAGAATGGCATGAACTTGGGAGGTGGAGCTTGCGGTAAGCCGAGATCATGCCACTGCACTCCAGCCTGGGCAACAGAGTGAGACTCTGTCTCAAAAAAAAAAAAAAGTATTTACTAGGTAGCTACATACAATATGTTAGGCCTTTTTCTAGGCAGTGAGGATATGGTAGTGAACAATAAAAATCCTATTCATGAGAATGAGATAAACACACAACAATAGATAAGGCAAAATATACAGTATGTTAGAGGAGAAAAACTAAATCAGGAAAATGAAATGTTTATGTGTTTAAGGGGAAGAGTGGTGGGAAAGTTGGGATGGCCAGAAAAGTCCCTGCTGAGAAAGGGTATTTTAATTAAAGAACTGAAGGAATGGGAAGAGTAAGCAGGGAGGATATCTGGGGGAAAAGTATCCCAGACAAAAGGAACTGCCAAGTACAGAGGTGTGCCTGGAGTCTTTAAACAATAGGGATATATAAGGAAAAGCAAGAAGTTCAGTGTGGTTGAAGCAGAGCAAAGGAGATAAGAAATAGAAGTTTAAGTGGGAGGGATAATATGCCAGATGGTGTACTGTCTTTTAGTTATTAGGAGGAACTTTGATGCATACTCAGAGTGAAATGGGAGGCAATCAGAAGGGCTGGGGCAGAGGAATGACACAATTTGATTTATGTTTTAAATACATCCACTGAGTTAAGAATTGATTTAAAGGGATTTTTTTTTTAAACCAGAACTATCAATTACCAGTCTATGACTCTCATCTAGACTACAGACGATGGTCACTCAGATGTACAATATATGACTGGCTTCTGGATATATTCTTCAAGTATACTTGATAAGATATGCTGATAGATTAGATGTGAGGCATCAGAGAGAGAGAAAGATGAGTCAAGAATGACATGAAGGTTTTTGGCAAAGCAAATGGAAGAGTTGCCATTTACCAAAGTAGGAAAGACTACATGAGGTGTAGATTTCAGGAAGGACATCAGTAGCCCAATTTTGGGCTGACAAGTGTGTGCTACCCAATAGCTAACCAAAGAGAGATGTCAAGTAGGCAGGTTGATATAGAGATCTGGAATTAAGGAGAGAGAACCGAGCTGGAGACATACATTTGGAAATCACTAGCATATACACAGTAGAAAAAGTCACAAGGGTCCGGGGGCAGTGGCTCACACCTGTAATCTCAGCACTTTGGGAGGCCGCGGTGGGTGGATCACCTGAGATCAGGAGTTTGAGACCAGCCTGGCCAACATGGGGAAACCCTGTCTCTACTAAAAATACAAAAATTAGCCGGGTATGGTGGCATGCATCTGTAATTCCAGCTACTCAGGAGGCTGAAGCAGGAGAATTGCTTGAACCCAGGAGGTGGAGGTTGCAGTGAGCTGAGATCGTGCCACTGAACTCCAGTCTGGGCAACAGAGTGAGACTCTGTCTCAAACAAACAAAAAAAGGAACGAAAGAAAGAAAGAGCCATGAGAAATAGGATTTGGGACTGAGACCTGGGAAACAACAATGTACAAAAGGTGAAATCTGAGGAGGAGCAAGTGAAACAGACCATGATGAACAGAGTAGAAAGACAGGATGAAAAGCCTGAGGGAGTGAAGTCCTGAAAGCCAAGCGAAGACGCTGTTAGGGAGAAGATGTCCTCCAACGGGTCAAATATTGCTGACAAATTAAATAAAATGAGGTGTAAGAAAAAATGCCTAGATTTATTACAGAAAAAATTAGTGATAACCTTGAGAAAAACAATTTTGGAGGAGTGCTGAAGTTGAAGACTACTGGCATGAGATCAAGAGTGAATGGAAAGAAAATTTGAGTTTGTGAGTGTAGACAGTTCTTTTAAGGACATCACACTTAGGAGTCATGACTGTGAATAATGTAATTTGCTTCCACAGTCATGAATAGTGATAGATAAGAAACAGTAGTTTTCAAACTTTATGTAAATGGTGCAGTTTTCAAATTTTATATAATTACATATTTTAAAGGTTATAAAAATTATACAATATGGTATTTAAAAATGCCAGACCAACATATTACATTCTTAAAATTATAGAACTAAAAGCCCCCTTGAACATTTCTAGATTACATAAGCTCATTATCATTTTGTTCATGCTTATAAATAGACTAATACTAAAAGTTTCAAGGGAAGTATTTCTTGCTTCATAAAAACCAGGCAATTCTAGGACAGTTGATACTCATCAAGTATACAAAGTAATTGATCACAGTAAAATACTGAGTTCTATTAACAGAAATAAAACAGGAAAATGCAGAAAATAATCTTATTTTATCAATGAAATTTTGAAAATTATATGAAGTATAATTATATGAATTATATGAATATAAAAATTATATGAAGTCACCGTTGAAAACTATGGTGCGGTGAATACAGAAATATATTCTGTTTTCAAAGGAAGAATAATGTCATGTGTGCAGGGCACTTTTACAAATAAAAGTCACTGTATTAGCAGCACCTTCCTTTTAGCACAAGAGTCAGCGAATTAGCACTTGTGGGCCAAATCCAGCCCACTGCCTGTTTTTGTAAATAAAGTATGTTGGAACACAGCCATGCTTATTCACTTTCTAGTCCATAGAGTCAATTAGCTAGGTGTGATGTTGCACACCTGTGGTCCTAGCTAGTAGAGAGGCTGAGGTGGGAGGATCACTAGAGCCCAAAAAGTCGAGGGTGCAGTGAGCCATGATCATGCAACTGTACCCCAGCCTGGGCAACAGAGCGAGACCCTGTCTCATAAGAATAAATATATATAGTCCACAAAGCCTAAAATATTTACTAACTGGCTCTTTGCAGAAAAAGCTGGCCAACTCCTGGTTTAGTAGATCAAAGATCCTTTGATGCATTTTAACAAGTTTTACCCAATATACTGAAATGTTTATATGAAATATAGATCCCCATGTGCAATCCCTTGGCAATATTCAGATTGAGGTTTCAATATTTCAGCACTCAGGCACTGACAACTAAAATTTAATAACTAGCAATCTTGTTGCTGACAAGTTACAGTGTCAACATAGCATGTAGCTTCCATTTGCAACATAGCAGATATTACAAGAATTCTAACAAAATTGTCTTAAGATGTGTCATCAAACTAAATGTTTTAAATACACGTTTATTGTGAAATAATCAGTACACTCTGGATCTAACCTCATTTTTTAAAAAATGGTTGCATACTGGATGGGCACGGTGGCTCATGCCTGTAATCCCAGCACTTTAAGAGCCCAAGACGGGCAGATTACCCGAGGTCAGGAGTTCAAGACCAGCCTGGCCAACATGGTGAAACCCCGTCTCTACTAAAAATACAAAAATTAGCCGGGCATGGTGGCACACACCTGTAATCCCAGCTACTCGGGAGGCTGAGGCAGGAGAATTGCCTGAGCCTGGGAGGCGGAGGTTGCAGTGAACTGAGATCATGCCACTGCATTCCAGCCTGGCCGACAGAATGAGACTGTCTCAAAAAAAAAAAAAAAAAAAAAAAAAAGGCTGCGTACTACATTATTTTCTGGGTTTGAAAATTCAGTTATTTCCTATTGATAAGGACTTACAGTAACTCCAGCTTGTTGATATAATAATGCTGTAATAAATGTCCTTATACATAAGTATATATGTAACGAGTATATATGTATATAAATGTATATAATGTATATAAGTGTATATAAATATGTATACACATATATACACAAATATCTTTAACATACATATATTATATATCCTTACTATATGTGTGTGTGTGAATATGCTACTAAATTAACACTCAAAATGTATTTACCAACAGGGTATGAGAATGACTTTTTCAATGAGACCATTTCCATTACAGTAACACCGATGGAGCTGGTGGCCATTATCCTAAGCAAACTAACGCAGGAACAGAAAATCCGATGCCACATATTCTTACTCATTAGTGGAAACTAAACAATGAGAACACATGAACACAAAGAGGAGAAGAAGACACCAGGGCCTACTTGAGGGTGGAGGGCAGCAGGAGGGAGAGCACCAAAAAACTACCTATCTGGTATTTTGCTTATTATCTGGCTGATGAAATAATCTGTAGCCCAAATCTCCATGATATAGTTTACCTATATAACAAACCTGCACATGTACCCTTAAAACTAAAATTAAAGTCCACTAAAAAGAAAAGAAAATGCCTTTTCCCTCACATTTGCCAATACTGGTTATTTTTCAAATAAATTAATGACTGGAAAAAATGGTAACACATTGTTTGCTGATTTTCATTCTTCTGATTACCAGACAAGGCTGCATATCCTAGTAAAAGTATAAAATTTGTTCATCATGAATATTAGCCCAAATTAGGATTAGTTTGAATGCACATAGTTATCTCCTGTTAAATGTTGCCATAGGCTTACCTATGATATTCTTCATTCTCTGTGCTAGGAAATTGCTGATTTTCAGGCTTTCTGCTCTTTCTTTGTGGAATTAATCCATCATCACCATTGCCAGCAGTGGCACCATCAGTCAGGTTTTCTGATATTCCCACGTTATTACTTCTGTGCCTCTGCATTTCTTCTTCAACCTTGAGTGGAAGTTTGATATTAAGGATGGTTATTGCTTTATTGAATAAAAAGAACCTTTTAATTTTAATTGATTTTATCACTTGACTCAGTTTGTTACTTTAGTTATTAAAAATATTTCACACTTAAATTTAATCATATATACAGAACTGTTACCATACAATTTTAAGATGCAATTATTATATCATTAGTATAACACTGAAATTTTTGTAAAGTTTCCTTCATTTCTGTTTGAATGAATAAGATAATTTTCAAAAATTTCAAAAAGGGACCTCCTTCATTTTGTGCTTTTATTCCCAACCACTCTTCAGAATCTAATATAAATAGTCACCCCATCTGACTTGTGGGAGCACACAAATAAAAATACAAAGATGCAAAATGTGTCTTCTTCCATCTTTACCACCTGGATTTTCCATTAAACAGTCAGATTTAGAGGATGAGACACTGTGGGGCTTCAGGAATAGAAAGGAATATTGCCCTTTTCCACACTACGATATTCTTCTCCCCCGCTGCCTTTGATTATTCTTTTTTCATTTGGTTCCTGGGATATCAAAAATATAAAGGTGCTCACTGCAACATGGGAACCAAAGTTTGCCACAACACAAGGAGGAGAATAAAACTGCTGAGGTGCTAGCATGGAATTCCAGAAAATGAGATGCTCCCCAAATTTCACATTCAATAGCCATAAAATTTTCTAGCTGGAGGATATACAAAATAAGAGATTATCTTCTTTAGCCACATTATCTATTGATAATCAGACTAAAACCAAGAGATAAAATGATTGATCCAAAGCTCCTAAAGTGGCATTACCTACCATTTTATGGCACCATTCAGGATTATTCCATAATGATGAAGAATATCTCTACGGTTTGTCTCTAAAACTCAATGTACAGAACTTAGCGTTCTGAGTTAAATACTAAATTTTTCACTGATGATTTATGCTATTTACATGATAGAATCATACATGCCTAAACTTACTACACTTTGTTAAACAACATAATGTAAAAATCTAATTCAACAGAAATATTTGAATATAAAGGTATACCTCTCTATCACAATCCTTATTTATGTCTGGTTCTTGAGACATTTTCTGCAGATGCAAAAATAGAAGGTTAATTTGCTTGCTGTATTGCTCAGATGTCTGCTCTTTTGAAGTACATGCTTTTAAAATAATTTTACTCTTAAGTAATCAAGTATGGACAATGAAAAATTAGAAAATAATTAAAATTAAAATTTACCTGCTAAAGTAAATAAATAATTAAAATTAAGAATTAACTTTTTAATCTATGTTAAGCTACTGTCACATCACTGGCTTCTGAGTAACACTTGAAAAATAATTTATCTTAGCCAAAGGGAGAAGAAAAACATGAACCAGCAAACGTAACTGTGTCACCATTTGTTTGGATTAAACTTAATTCATTATGTGTTAAATCTACCAAAAATGAATTAGCAGATGATTTGTAGTGTTGCAAAGACTTCCTCATTGAAAAGATTTTACTTCACCATACCCTAACTAGTGAGTCCCTACAGTGCATTTAAGTGCTTTTTTAAAAGATTACTAACTGGAGTGTAGACACACTTTAAATTATTAGGAGCTGAAATCAACATCAAACAGAAAGAAATGCAAATTCTTAAATTTTAATTTAAATTATATACAGTAATATGATAGTGTTATGCATCTACACTATCTGCTTAAGTCCAAGTCTAATATATTCTAATGTGTACTAATGACAGTGGATAAAAATTTTTAAATAATATGTACTGATTTTCTGCAATTGAAATAAGTTAGAATGTTACTGTGATTTTACACTAACATCAAAGGTCCCATTCTGCAAAATATGATTCTTGTAATAGGCAGTTGGGTTGCTTTTATGATCTGGTTCTCTCCCTGAACAGAAACCCTGAGATCAATGACAGACCACAAGGCAGAATGCATCTTTAACCTTGGCATCAGTGACTGGCAATATGAAACTGCAGATTTTCAATCACTGGCCATGATTACTTCTTTACCATGAATCCAGCTCAGGGACCAACACTGTTACACTGTTCATAATTTCAATTGCTTAATAATATTATCCAATAATTGATGTTACTTTATCATGTTAAGGTGTTGTAAAAATAAAAGAACAAAGTTCTGGAATTTATTTTGCCTCTCTTCCAAAGGGAAAGATTAGCTATAAGCTAATCAAGAAAGCAGGTAAGAATATTTTAAATAAGAATATTTTAAATTTAATAGTGAGTCATAATGTTTAAGTTAAATAGCAAATATTAACTTAGAATCTATTGATTCTTCTGCTAATGAGGTTGCTAAATTTATTAAGGTAAACTTTAAGAATTTATTAAAAGATTCTTTAAAAAAAGAATCTATTGATTCTCAAAGCCTAGTCTGAAAGGTAATTTTATTTGGACAATCTAATATTATTAAAATACAGAAAACAACATTAAACCAGAAATCGACATTTAAAATTTTACATGCCTCATGCTGGCTATTTTCACTTCCTTTAAGCCTTTGTGGCTCTTCCTCTGATGTCAGCTTTAAGTCTTGCTCTGAAGAGAAATCCATACATTCAATTAAAATGAACCACTTAGAACAATTAAAAACTATTGCCTTTATAAAAATAGATTTAAGACATTTCATTTTATTTCATAAATTGAGCATTTAAATGAAGCTTAATCTTTCATGAAATAGTTACTTAAGAAATAATTCTCCAAAACTTCAACAAACCACTTGGGGAGACACCAGATGTCACCAGATTGAAGACATACAAACATGTCAGACATTCACTCACAAATTCATCCACCAAACATAAATGAACAAAACCACCAGAAACACAACTTTAAAATACAGTAGAAACATATAAGGTAACACAGTATATTGTTCTCCACTTCCTAATAGTACCTTATAAATGATTTCCAAAATCACTGCTGATACCTTTATTAGTGTACAATGTCTTCCTAATATCTAAAATGTTTCCCTCCACTATTCTGACAATTTTTTTTTCATCTTTTAAAACAATCCTATGTGGAGTCTTTCTTGACTCTACATGTCTTTCCCCAGATAAACAGGTACCTCTTTCCTTGAGGCTGCCTTTGTACTTTACTGATTTTTCTACTGCATCTTTACCACCTGAACTGTACATTATTGTTCCACATGTCTGTCCCCTCTGCTCCAAGACTGTAGGGGACAGTTTTGCACATCACCTTTGAATAAACAGTCTTTATTTTACTCAGCAATGTTTTATTGAGTCCTGCTACATACATACCAGGCACTAGGGTTTAAAAAGAATGAAAATAAAGCATGTCAGGGATGGCTTTTCTAGAAATCATGCCCAAGCAGAGACTTAAATATTGAGGCTAGCCAGATTAAAAGGGGCAGGGGGCAGGAAAGGGTGACAGTATGCCAGGAAGCAACAAGATAGGGAGTAAGGCCTGCAAGAGTGAATGTGTATTTGCCTACAATAGAAGGATGAGTGAGTAGGGCATTACCAGCAGTTCAGTAATGCCAGAGAAAGGGCACACAGGGAAAACAGCTAAAGATAGAGGCTGGGGCAGAAGTCAGATTATGAAAGCCTTATGTGTAATTTTAAGATGCTTGGACATTAATGTTCAAGAATGGTCTCTGGTTCTATCTGCATTAGATATAAATCACTTTAAATGCCAAAACCAATATTCCTAGTGAACCATTATTCATTAACACAAGGTAATAGATAGCTCATGTGGACACAGCTGGGATGATACTATGTAGAAAACTCTCAAAAATTGTTATGAATACTTGGAAAGTCAATTCTATAATAAAGTCATAGAAACTATAAGAAATCACTTAATATTTGTTTGAGAAGGTGCTTTCTAAAGTTATAATGCATATAAATATAACTAATAGTTGTGAATTCAGAGCTGTGAAAATAAAGCAAAGAAACCACATTGCGTTTGAGTCAGCAATCTTTAGATTTCTATATAGTTTTCCCATCTAGTCCCTAAATTCTAAATATAATCCTAGTACTCACTCTCAAATTTACTTTAAATACTAGCCTATACAAAAAATGCTCTTTCTCTTACTTTTGTTATTTTTATGTTGCTTTTGTTAAAGGAAGAACACAAAAATGCCCCACTAAAAGGGATTCTGTTTGGTTGCAGGCTGCAAGAGAGGAGGAAACACAAAGCACATTTTGCCAGAAAATGATTTTTTAGAAGTCAGAATATAATATGAAGTCAAACAGAGGCACTCTAGAACTGAATTTGCTGTGCTTCTTTAATATGTTCCTTTCTCTCTTTGTTTTCTGGCAGCTGTGACTCACGCAGGTCATGGAGAGTATCATTCCCTAAGGAAAATACAACTCCAATATACATCTTTATCTATTAAGTTCATCTGTCCCAATTCTGTGGATGCTGACTGACTTTCAGTTACTGATGGTGATACACATGGACACTTATCATCAACTTTCAGATTCTTGAATCTGTGACAATTCTTATTACTGAGAGACAAACTAGTAGGATGCCAGCTATAAATGCTGATTATCCAATTATCTACTCAAAATACAAGAATATCCCATTAAACATGCACAGAAAAAAAAAAGCAGTCATTCCTGCTGACCTGCTGCTCTTTGCTATTCTGTATTCACCAGAAAATTTCCCACTCCTTCCTCATGTCGAGGTTAAATGCTAGTGTACACCTGGAAACCTCTGAATCATCTGAGATTTCTCTCTATCCCCCAAATCTTTTTCATTCAATCATCACTAAATCATATTGACTATACCTCTCTTCTGCCTCTGCTTTATATTCTCACCGCCACTGGGAACATAAACATTTATCAAATGGCTTTTGTTTAAAAAAAACCCGCCAACTATTAATGTTATTTCTTACATGAAAAAAGAACTTAAGCAAAACAAATGAAAAAGGCATAACACCAAAAAAGGCCAACATTTTAAAATGAATAACTGAGATTCCTAACTTTATTTCACCATAGATGGGTGAAAACCTTAAATACATTGATACTAGTCCAAGGATGTATGACAAGGAAACTATAGCTGACTACTGCAAAAGCTTCCTTTGTCTCCTGGTTTCTTTACTAAAATGGTTACCTTCCATCAACCTCCATGAGGGGTCACAAACTATAGGCCACAGGCCAAATCCAGTCTGTCTTATGGTTTTTTAAATAAAATTTTATTGGATCTCAGTCATGCCTATTTGCTTACATATTATCCATAGTTGCTTTCTCACTGTGACAGCAGGGTTAAGTAGATATGACAGAGACCACATAGTCTAAAATATTTCCCACACGGTCCTTTACAGAAAAAGCCTGACGACCCCTATTTTACACCATAGCCAGAATGCCTTAACACTCCAATTTAATCTCCTGACTCCCCTGCTCAAATTTCTCCAATGAGTCCGTGCATCAGCCATTGCTGGCTCCCTACCAATAGCCATTCCTAATTCTTTCTTGCAGAAGAAACACAAATCTATTGGGATACTTATTATCCCAATATTCTTCCCCAGCTACAGAAAGAGAAACAATTATTCTAAGCTAATCACATAATTACATTTGCTTTCCCAGTGTCCAGTATGGGGATGCGCATGTGGTGTGACCCAGCCAATGAAATGTTACAGGAAGTCCACTGCATGCTTCTAAGTTTTCTCCCTATTTAAAGAAACGTGAAGAAAAGCAGCCCTTGCAACGTTGTGTTCTGAGAACAAGATGTTTGGAGCTGTTGCAGATTAGCCAGCCATGAAAGGAGATTTGAAGAAGACACTGCCAACAGCACAGCTGAAAGAGGGACAAGTGGGATTCTAGGATATCACTGAACAATCAAAACAACTCTAGTTCCTACTGTTTTAACCACTCCTCATCTAGTATTTGCAGTCCAAAGCATTCTACCTGGTAAATTTCCCATGGCCCACGGGATAAGAGCTACTCATTTCTATAGTATTAAAAATTCTATCATAAACTTGCCTTAGCTTAGTATTCACCTCATTCCCAACCTCTCATATCTCACACTTTTTGTACTAGCAAAAGTGAACTGCTCGTTAACCCTGCAAAGTTCACTCAAGCATCTTGTCTTTTGCACTTGCTGCTCTTCCTCCCATACAGGCAATCTCATTAGATGTTCCTTCTGCCAAACACACAATCTCCTTACGTGTTCTTTCTGCCAAACATCATTCTTCTGCTACTTTACCTAGAAAAAAATCTACTCACTCTGCATGCTTACCTTAAATCCTACCTACTTTTTTTTTAAAGCCTTCATTCCTAAACACATGTGTCTGGCACATAATCAATATAATATAAAACCATAAATATAAACTTCCAGTGGGCATCTAGCACACAGTAAGCTCTGAATAAAGTAGCAAAATAATAAAAATGACAATGACAACAACAAGCTCCTGTCTGTATTTTTAACTGTGTTCTGTAGCATTAAAAAAATGCTTAGTATCTAAAAGACATTTGATAGCTATTTGTTAAATAGATAGGTGAAAACATAAATAAAAATGTTTCCTTGTAAATTCTATTGAAAAAGTATAGAAATGAAATAGACACAGCTCTATTCTATTATGAGCACCTTAAAGATCAAAACTACATCTAGTCCATCTTTGTCTCCTGCAACGTACAAAACCTAACTTACAGAAGCTCTTTGATAAACATATGGCTAGGCCGGGCGCGGTGGCTCAAGCCTGTAATCCCAGCACTTTGGGAGGCCAAGGCGGGCGGATCACGAGGTCAGGAGATAGAGACCATCCTGGCTAACACGGTGAAACCCCATCTCTACTAAAAAAAATACAAAAAAATTAGCCGGGCCTGGTGGCGGGTGCCTGTAGTCCCAGCTACTCGGGAGGCTGAGGCAGGAGAATGGCGTGAACTCGGGAGGCGGAGCTTGCAGTGAGCCGAGATCGCGCCACTGCACTCCAGCCTGGGGGACAGAGAGAGAGAGACTCCGTCTCAAAAAAAAAAAAAAAAAAGATAAACATATGGTTAAATTAAAGGTGTTCTCACACAGTTTGAATTGTACAATATACTAGGTGTCCACATCCAGGTAGCATACTAGCATTTTTGTTATTATGAAACATTTTTGTACTTTTATTATAATCTGCTGAGCCTAGAGTTGGGCAATTTGTATATTTATTATGACAATCTTTTGGCGAATGGTAGCAGAGCATCTTGTTTTAACAAAATTATTGTTATCACGACAATTAGCCAGCAGGTACAAGAATACATCTTGTTCCAACAAAGTAAATATATCTCTTTCAATTTCAAATTAAAAGGAATAAAGTCAGTAACAGTGAGACCTTGCTGGTACAAGCATATGTAACATGACCTGTGCTTTGCTGTTCATGATCAAAACTTCCTTACTTTTACTTTTTATCTATGGTAGGACCACCCAGAGCAGGTATCCACAACTCCCAGGCCACAGACTGGTACCAGTCCATGGCCTTTTTGGAACCACGCCACACAGGAGGAGGTGAGCATCAGGCAAGCCAGAGAAGCTTCATCTGTATTTATAGCCATGCCCCATGGCTCATATTACCACCTAAGCTCCGCCTCCTGTCAGATCAGTGGTAGCATTAGATACTCATGGGAGCGTGAACCCTGTTGTTAACTGCCCATGCGAGGGATCTAGGTTGTGTGCTTCTTATGAGAATCTAATGCCTGATGGTCTGTCACTGTCTCCCTTTGCCCCCAGATGGGACCATTTAATTGCAGGAAAACAAGCTCAGAGATTCCACTCATTCTACATTATGGTAAGTTGTATAATTATTTCATTATATATTACAATGTAATAATAATATAAAGTAGCACAATAAATGCAATGTGCTTGAATAATTCTGAAACCATCCACACCTTCCCCTAGTCCAAGGAAAAACTGTCTTTCACAAAACCGATCCCTGGTGCCAAAAAAGCAAAAAGGTTGGGGACAATTGACCTAAAGTAATTCACTATAAGAAGTCTTACCTGGATTGCTGTTTTCAGAACAGTTTTTTGGCATCTGTTTTTCCTTATAGTCAGAAAATAATTGGCAAATTCTATGTATAAAAATGTAATAAATAAAATTATTTTAATACTGATATAAAAATACTTACCAAATGAAAAATTCTTAGAGTATTTCAAATATCAGAATATCAGAAAACAAGATTATCCCATCCACTTATGTGTACATCCTACAAACTTTTCATTAAGCTTCTAATTAAAAAAGAAAAAAGTAAGGTGAAATACTCATAAACTGAGGGCACCATGACTCAATAAATTAACTTGCATTCGCTTGACATAATAGAAAGTCCCAACTCTGAAGAAGTCCTAGCTCCATAATGAACAGCTATTTGTTCTTGGAAAATTTACTTCTCTTAGGCTCAATGTCTTCTTCTACAAAGTGAGGAATTTGCTGCCTTATTTCACTAAGCTATAAAGATTTAACAAGATAAATTTTTAAATGCTCACAGAAATAGTAAAGCAATGGAATAACCTGTTCCTAAACTTTATGACTGAAATTATCTTCGAATCCCAAATAAAACCCAATGTGTAGCTAGGCGCAGTGGCTCACACCTGTAATCCCAGCACTTTGGGAGGCCAAGGCAGGCAGATCACGAGGTCAAGAGATCGAGACCATCGTGGCCAACATGGTGAAACCCCGTCTCTACTAAAAATACAAAAAATTAGGTGGGCATGGTGGCATGCGCCTGTAGTCCCAGCTACTTGGGAGGCTGAGCCAGGAGAATCGCCTGAACCTGGGAGGCAGAGGTTGCAGTGTGCCAAGGTCGCACCACTGCACTCCAGCCTGGCAACAGAGCAAGACTCAGTCTAAAAACCTAAAGTGTATTTTGTTCATAGGTCCTAATATGCAAATGTTGTAGCTTTCAGGAAATGTTATTGTCTTTTGTTTATTAGTTGTCCTACTCTTTATGGCTTATAACTCACAGCATCTCAACTATTTCAGAGTTTATAATTAAATTTATTCATAAATATCTCATTAAAGTAGGTAACATGATTGTCCACTATTATGGAGTTTATCAATCACAACAAGGGCAGAAAACCAATGGATGGATGTCAAAACCTGGCTTGGACCAATGATCCTTCTCTACAGACTCACACTCTGAACCCGCAGATGTTTGTTAGGATAATGCTTCATATCCATGTTCATCTCCAGCTGACATGGGAGACCAAAATCCTATTTTTATTTGTTTTAGGTTCCATGAAGAAGTTGCAAATTCATTCTCTAATTTTTGAGACACATACTAACGATATATTTTGCACACAACACTCTACACATTATTCAGCTCCGGGGACATCTCATAGGCCACCTTACATGAATATTTTTGTAGCGAAAATCACAATTTCAATATTTAGATGGCACCCATTTTGCTTTGATTCACACTGTTTCCTTAGAGTTAGTGAGCAAATAGTCAAATGACCTTCCAGTGACTGTGCAAAATATGGAATGCTTCAAAAATTTGTGCAGCGTCCCTATGCAGGGGCCATGCTAATTTTCTCTGTATTGTTCCAATTTTAGGATATGTGCAGCCGAAGCAAGCACAAAGCCCCACTTTTACACATGGACAGTGATGAGTCACGAACAAGATTTGGCTCTCAGTCTAACTAACCTACTTGAGATCTCGAGAATTATCTCCAAAGGTTTCCTGTGAGGTAGAATTAGAAAATATTTTTAAATCTTGAGGAAGAGATGCAAGTAGCTTGGGAGATTTTCATTATCATGGAAAATAGATCACTCAAGGGGCCAACCACAACTGGGTGCCCACTGCTCTAGGGAAGGTTAACATGGGGCTTTCTACTGCCTAAGGTACTATACAGGATATAAAGGTGCCTCAGTGTATGTATCTGGTAGCAAAGAAGAAGAAACAAACACTGATGTCTTTCTGCCACATTATTTGAACCTCTCTGACAGTTTAGAACAAGCCCAACTAATATCTGCTAGAGAAAAGACCAACACAGGACTCAAAAGATCTCTTAACATGAAGTTCTCAGTTAAGTCTAGGATAAGATGTGGGTTCCACATCAGGTTTTGAATGTGGGGGGAATTGAAAAACTGATGGTAGGAAGGAAAAGGTATTATTCTGTAAGCTGATAGATACTGCCAATAATATTCATTTTAATGTCCCAATCACAGAGATAAAAGTCAAATTAGGCCAGGCGTGGTGTCACACCTGTAATCCCAGCATTTTGAGAGGCTGAGGTGGAATTGCTTGAGCCCAGGAGTTCAAGACCAGCCTGGGAAACATGGCAAAAACCCCATCTCTACTAAAAAAAAAAAAAAAAACTTTAAGCCAAAGGAAACTTGGGGTTCAAATGAATAGGTATTGCTCATTTTTTCAATACTTAGATTTATAGAATATATGTAAATCAGATATTTCCAATGATAAATACTAGGATTTGAAAGGCCACACCCACCTGGGGAAATTCCACTCCCACCCGGCGGGGGGAAGCCCACACCCACCCCACGCCCACCCAGGGAAGCCCACGCCCACCTGGGGAAAGGCCAAGCCCCTCCACCCACCCGCCAAGGAAACCCCCAGCCCAGCCAGGGGAATGCCAAGCCCAGCCAAGAAAAGGTCAAGCCCAGCAAAGGAATGCACAGGGAGGAAATGCCAATCCACGCGAGGACCACGAAGCGAAGCGACCAACGCCAAGCCAAGCATGGAACGCCAAGTCAAGAGACCAACACCAAGCCAAGCGACGAACGCCAAGCCAAGCCGTTACATACGCATGCGCAGAACACCAAGCCAAGCTGCTGCGGCGTGCGCGTGCGGCGTACCTCAGATGGCAAGTTACTGCACGTGGCAGTGTCCGACGTGTGCAACCCGCGTGCTTGTAAGTTCTGGTGCCACAAATGTCAGTGACAGCCTTGTGTTCCCGCCAGACCTCGTGGAAACTGGCCAAGCTTCAGGCCATTGATAAGGAGAGGCAGCCCGTGGGAAAAGGCGTCTACAAGCAGGACTGGGGCCAGAGCGCCTGGTACTTGAGGATGCTGACTGTCTCCTCTGAAGAAAGCCCCGAAGACACTCGTGGCGGTGCTGTGCCCAGGTGGCCGCGGCTGCAGGGGAGGGGCAGCCTGGCGGAACTCGCTGCAAATGGCCTCAAAATCGTGGAACATAAGCCGCCCACGGTCTCCAGGCCCTGCTGAGCGGGGGGAGGAGCACGAGCACCTACCACTGACGGTGAGATGCAGAAAGGCATCCCTATGTGCAGATCCTGGGAACAGGATGCTTTAAGCCCCAGGGAGCCAGATCAGGCAACCCTGTCAGCACAGTTGAGCTGGACCCGGGCAGTGGCTCTGTGACCCTCCTGCAGGGACCCTCCTGCTACACAGCTCCACGTGGCCAGGCTCCAGGGTGCTCACCCAAACAGCAAGCGCTTTGGTGTGGGATGAAAAATGGATTCCGAACCTAGGACACAGACCTGCTCTTGCCAACAAAAGTAGAGAGGAAGACAATTAGGAGTGCAAAAAGAATGTATTCTTTTGTAACTCAAGTCTTGCCTGATCTGGAGGGTTAAGCTAAGGCTCCTCTTGCTTGATACTAAATGAACTTTTGAATGAAATAGAGAAAAAGAAAGAAGACACACACACTAAATCGCCTTGTCCCACTGTGATCCCCTGAGCCAGCAAGCAAGGGGAGGCCTGGCCTCCTGGGCCCTCTCCCCACCTGAGGGCAGAGCAGTTTCCTCCAGGGTTGCAGGGAGCAGCTGGGCTCCGTGGGCTGGGCCACCCTTCCTTCGTTTATGGGCATCCCCACACCTGCACTCCCCCACGCAGAGTTCCATGATCTGGGTTCAAATCCCAGCTCCGACCCTCAGCACCTGTGCCACCTGGCAAATGCCTTACCCCCACGCACTTGCTGTGTCCTTCTCGACAGGAGGGATGGGAGCCGGTGTCCCTGGCATGCAGCGTTGTGACAGTCAAACACAAGCGGGAGCAGGCAGACACGTGGACAGGGGCCTGGCTGCTGGGGGTGCTCACCAGAGGGCATCAACCCATCTGCCCAGGTGGTCTTGCAAGTCTCAGCACTTATTAGGCACCTGACTATGGTAGACAGCTGAACAAAGCCCTGAGCTGCCCTGGGGAATATGACCAGGGTGATGGACCAGGAAGGACAGTTGGGGTGCTTGGCATGAGTAAGGAGGGGCCAGAGAAATGCCAGTCTCTCCCCACCAGCTATGGGTCATGGATCATCTGTATGGGGCACCCTCAGTGGGCTGAGAACCCAGAGATGCCACAAGGTTTGGCCGCATCCTAGGCTTCCTGAATTCCAGCCCAGCCATGGCCCAGGCTTGGGGGTACTTTGGGCTCTTAGTTGGGATGAGGAGGGGCCAGGTGACACTCCTCATATGTCCCAGGATCTGATCAAGAAAGTGGTGCCCTGTCACTGCCTGGGACCATCTGGTCTCAGTGAAACAATTAGGGCAGGAAGACCCTAGCACCCACCTTCTGGGCCACGAACACCCAGGTCCACAGTGTGGCCACCTGAGTCAGCACCACTTGCCTTGGGAGCCAGAGCATGAAGGCCCAGACAAGACTAGCATGGTGGAGCAGTGGATGCAGGTACGCAGGATGTGCTGTGCGGATCCAAAGGGCCCCTCTCTGGAGACTTGGGCATAACCTCTCTATCTTAAAAAAATCATTGCCTGTAATCCCAGCACTTTGGGAGGCTGAGGTGGGCGGATCATGAGGTCGGGAGATCGAGACTATCCTGGCTAACACGGTGAAACCCCGTCTCTACTGAAAATACAAAAAATTAGCCGGGTGTGGTGGCGGGCACCTGTAGTCCCAGCTACTTAGGAGGCTGAGGCAGGAGAATGACGTGAACCCAGCAGGCAGAGTTTGCAGTGAGCTGAGATCGTGCCACTGCACTCCAGCCTGGGTGACAGAGCAAGACTCCATCTCAAAAAAAAAAAAATCATTGACACCCATAATATTTTACCTATTTACCTATTTTACTCATTTATAGGGTACATACGAGTGTTTGTTACATGCAGTGAATGTGTATTCTGGCTACTTTGAAATATTGTGGCTTAGCTACCCTAGTCTGCTGTCAAACATTACACCTTATTTCTTCTAACTGTATGTTTGCACCCAATAGCCACCCTCTCTTCATTCTCACTTCCACACACCCGGTCTTCCCGGACTCTAGTATCTGCCATTGTATTCTCTGTGTCCATGAGATCAAGTTTTTTTAGCTCCCACATGTGAGTGAGAACCTGCAGTATCTGTCTTTCTGTGCCTGGCTTATTTCACTTAACATAATGACTTCCAGATCTATCCATGTTTTTGCAAATGATATGATTTCATTATTTTTTATTGCCAAATAGTATTCTATTGTATACATTTTGCACATTTTACTTAGCTATTCATTTGTTGATGGACACTTGGGTTGATTCTGTATCTTTGCTATTGTGAATAGTGCTGTGATAAACATGACAATGCAGGTATCCCTTTGCTACACTAAATTTTTATTTATTTATTTATTTATTTTTTAGAAAGAATCTCACTCTGTCACCCAGTCCGGAGTTGAGTGGTGCAATCTCGCCTCACCGCAAGCTCCACTTCCTGGGTTCAAGTGATTCTCCTGCCTCAGCCTCCCCAGGTAGCTGGGATTACAGGTGTGCACCACAACGCCTGGCTAATTATTTTTTGTATTTTTAGTGGAGATGGGGTTTCTCCATGTTATCCAGGCTGGTCTCAAACTCCTGACCTCAAGTGATATACCTGCCTTAGCCTCCCAAAGTGCTGGGATTACAGGCATGAGCCACCACGCCCGGCCTGAACTCTTTCCTTTGGATAAATACCCAGTAGTGGAAACGTTGGACCATACAGTACTTCTATGTTTAAGTTTTTTAGAATTCTCCATACTGGTTTCCATCGTGGTTATACTGATTTGCATTCCTACTGACAGTATAACAGAGTTTCCATTTCTCTGCATTCTCACCAGCATCTGTTATTTTTTGTCTTTTTAATAATAGCCATTCTGAGGTGAGATGATACCTCATTGTGGTTTTGATTTGCATTTCCCTGATCAATGATGTTGAGAATTTTCTCATATACCTGTTAGCCATTTGTAAGTCTTTTGAGAAATGTCTATTCCTGTCCTTGGCCCATTTTCAATGGGATTGTTTTGTTACTTTTGAGGAATTTGAGTTCCTTGTATACTCTGCATATTAGTCCCCCGTCAGATGAGTAATTTGCAGTTATTTTCTCCCATTCAAGAGGCTGTCTCTTCATGTGTTGTTTCTTTTCCTGTGCAGAAGCTATATCCCAGTCATCTATTTTTGCTTTTGTTGCCTGTGCTTTTGAGATCTCAGCCATAAATTATTTGCTAAACCAATGTCCTGAAGAGTTTTCCCTATGTTTTTTTCTAGCAGTTTCATAGTTCCAGGTCTTACATTTAAGTCTTTAATCTATCTTGAGCTGGCTTGTATCTTCTACCTGAGAAATGGAAGAAGTTCAGAATGATTATGCTGAGATAGTAAGAAGACTGTGCATAGCTAGAAATAATGGTCAGGAGAAAGCCATTGTGTGTTAATAAGGGGGCATTTTTTGTTTGTTTTTGAGATGGAGTCTCACTGTGTCACCAGGCTGGAGTGCAGTGGTGCGATCTTGGCTCACTGCAACCTCTGCCTCCTAGGTTCAAGCAATTCTCCTGCTTCAGCCTCCCGAGTAGCTGGGACTACAGGTGTGCACCACCACACCTAGCTAATTTTTGTATTTTTAGTAGAGACGGGGTTTCACCATGTTGGCCAGGATGGTCTAGATCTCTTGACCTTGTGATCTGCCTGCCTTGGCCTCCCAAAGTGCTGGGATTACAGACATGAGCCACTGCCCCTGGCCAATAAGGGGGTATTTTTGTATATTTCTTTCTCAGAAACAAAGAGGCCAATTCCACATCGAAATTAAATGTATGATTTTCAAAAAGGACGCCTTGAGAATCTAACCAAATCTAACCCTTATTTAAAATTACTTGGTAAACTATGTCACTTTAGGTAGAGGAAGATAAGAATTACAGGAAGTTGAATTCTTGAAAAATCCACAAAAATGTACTGTGCTTGGTGAGAAACTTGTAAAAGTGATTGCCCCTTTACCATGATTTGATATGAAAAATACTGTAATATGCCTGCCTGCTTGCCTTCCTTTCTTTTTCTTTCTTTAGTTCTTTCTTTCTTTCTACAGTCTCCCTCTGTTGCCGAGGCTGGACTGTACTGCCGTGATCTCGGCTAGCTGCAACCTCCCTGCCTCGGGCTCCCGTGATTCTCCTGCCTCGGCCTGCTGACTGCCTGGGATTGCAAGCACGTGCCGCCACTCCTGACTGGTTTTTGTATTTTTGGTGGAGAGGGGGTTTCGCCGTGTTGGCAGGGCTGGTCTCCAGCTCCTGACCTCGAGTGATCTGCCCGCCTCAGCCTCCCGAGGTGCTGGGATTGCAGACGGAGTCTCGCTCACTCAATGCTCAATGTTGCCCAGGCTGGAATGCAGTGGTGTGATCTCGCTACAACCTCCACCTCCCAGCCGCCTGCCTTGGCCTCCCAAAGTGCTAAGACTACAGCCTCTGCCCGGCCACCACCCCGTCTAGGAAGTGAGGAGCGTCTCTGCCTGGCCGCCCATCGTCTGGGATGTGAGGAGCCCCTCTGCCTGGCCACCCCGTCTGGGAAGTCAGGAGCGCCTCTGCCCAGCCGCCGCCCCATCTAGGAAGTGAGGAGCGTCTCTGCCTGGCCGCCCATCGTATGGGATGTGAGGAGCGCCTCTGCCCAGCGGCCCCCTCTGGGATGTGAGGAGCACCTCTGCCAGGCCGCCCCGTCTGGGAAGTGTACCCAACAGCTCTGAAGAGACAGCGACCATGGAGAATGGGCCATGATGACGATGGCGGTTTTGTCTAAAAGAAAAAGGGGGAATGTGGGGAAAAGAGAGATCAGATTGTTACTGTGTCTGTGTAGAAAGAAGTAGACATAGGAGACTCCATTTTGTTCTGTACTAAGAAAAATTCTTCTGCCTTGGGATGCTGTTAATCTATAACCTAACCCCCAACGCCGTGCTCTCTGAAACATGTGCTGTGTCAACTCAGGGTTAAATGGATTAAGGGCGGTGCAAGATGTGCTTTGTTAAACAGATGCTTGAAGGCAGCATGCTCATTAAGAGTCATCACCACTCCCTCATCTCAAGCACCCAGGGACACAAACACTGCGGAAGGCCGCAGGGACCTCTGCCTAGGAAAACCAGAGACCTTTGTTCACGTGTTTATCTGCTGACCTTCTCTCCACTATTATCCTATGACCCTGCCACATCCCCCTCTCCGAGAAACACCCAAGAATGATCAATAAATACTAAAAAAAAGAAAAGAAAAGAAAAGAAAAATACTGTAATATATCACTACTTTTATTTGATAAGATTTTAGCTGATTAAAGTTTTGGTCTTAATTGCTATTTTACAAAATAGATGCTCACTCTGAGCATACACTTCTACAATCAGTTTTAGGAACTTAAAATTTTTATATAATTTCATATGTTGTTACAAGAATAGTACCAAGAATGCTCCTTCTTCTCTTAATCGGGACTCACCAATTTCTAACATTTTGTTCCATTTTGTATCATTTGTCTATTTACATACCTTTTTTTTAGTAATTTGAGAGGAAATTATGGACATAATCACCCCTAGGTGTGTATTTCCTAAGAATAAGGGTATTTTTTTTTTTTTTTTTTTGAGATGGAGTCTACCTCTGTCACCCAGGCTGGAGTGCAGTAGTGCGATCTCTACTCACTGCAAGCTCCGCCTCCCAGGTTCCTGCCATTCTCCTGCCTCAGCCTCCAGAGTAGCTGGGACTACAGGTGCCCGCCACTACATCCGGCTAATTTTGTATAGTTTTAGTAGAGACAAGGTTTCACCTGTGTTAGCCAGGATGATCTTGATCTCCTGACCTCGTGATCTGCCCACCTCGGCCTCCCAAAGTGCTAGGATTACAGGCGTGAGCCACCACACCCAGCCAGAATAAGGGTATTCTTTTACCCAACTCCAGAATAATTATTAAAATTGTGATTTTTTGGGGGGAGGGGGGATGAGGTGTTGCTCAGTCTGGAGTGCAGTGGCACGATCTTGACTCACTGCAGCCAGTGAGCTACCTCAGCCTCTGGAGTTGCTGGGACTATACGTTTGTGCCACCATGCCCCGCTAATTTTTGTATTTTTGGTAAAGATGGAAGGGGGGGAATCTCACCATGTTGCCCAGGCTGGTCTCCAACTCCTGGCCTCAAGCAATCCTCCCACCTCACGCTCCCAAAATGCTAGGATTACAGGCCTGAGCCACCATACCTGGCCTGATCCCAGTTTTAGAAAAACCCTGTATCTAAGTGTACGGATATGTTGGGTAATCACTATCAAATTTTGGAAACTTTGCTTTTTTATATAATCAGAAGGATTCCATAAATGTACTTTGACTTGAAATAATATTTTCTTGAAGCCAGATATACATAGCTGTGACCTGGACTAGTTCATCTCATCACCTCCCCTCCCCACACCCTGCAGGTCCTGAGGTCAGTGGCCTTCCTGCCTGAGTCTTGGCTGCCTATGCTGCTGGCCATGGGTGAGAGGACAGCCTGCCCAATGAATGTCAGTGTGCTTGTTGTTTGTGTGCTTCTGTTGCATTTCCTGTATCTCGTTTTTTGCTTTTCCCATCTCTGTTTCTCCCTTTCCTCCCTGAGGCCTGCACTGGCAGTGCACTACCCACCTCTGAGTGGAGGGCAAGCCAGGCCCATGGCCATATGATCCACTCCCTCAGAAACACTCAGTTATACCTATTTGAATTAATGACTGGAAGCCCATGTGTTTAGAAATTTCACTTTCAATAATAGACTCTGCCCTACCACCCTATTGCAGGCATGGCAAATTATTGCAAGGAATGCACATACTACATCCAGTCCTATCAGCAACTGACTAAAGCCTTTCCCATAATAGCATCCTAAACAACCTTTTAATGACATTCTGTCAGCAGATTTTTTCTATTGGAGAAAACACTAGAGAAAAACTGCTTGAGTTTTGTTGGAAGAGACTGTATCTGGAACGGTGAGCAACAAATACAGCATTAAAACCAAGACGTCAATACTTGGGTTCATATTTCACAACTAAAAAAGAAATTCAGAATTCCACACAATTGGAAGACTACTCAAATAGAAAATCTCAAAGTGAGGATTCTCAGAGATCCTCCAGGAGCAACTGATCTGCACAAGCAGACAACTGACCCAACACCTTCAGAATAAGCAATGACAGTGGACGGTGGATAGCTTCTGTCTAACACATCAGACCAAGACTCCTAATTCCTGTTTTGGTTTTTACCTGCTTGCTTATAACCATCCTTCTCATTTTCTATAGACCCCTTTTTGTCATTCATTCAGAATGACTCTTTTGCTCTTTTTTCCATCTTTATTATAAGAGTTAGGTCAGAACATACTCATTCTAATGCCATTCTTAGATAATCCCAAAGAGTAGCCACTGTCCTCAATCCTCCTGACTGCTAGATATGCTGGATAAACTTCTGGCAATTCTGGTTTCATCAGATGGGACCACAGGCATCATAGCGAATGGCATTTTCACTTGCACCTACATTGACAGTTAACCCTAAAAAAGTCAACCTGTGACTTGCTAGAGTCCCTTTCTTCCAGAAAGATAATGACTAATATCAATGCCAATGATTGGTCATTTTGCCAATAAGAATAATTGGTTATCTTACCATTTGTTACAATCTATTGATCAGACCCTCAGTAACTATAAATTTGAATTCACCAGACTTTGTAGGGCAATAGGCCAAATACCTGCCACAGAGAAGAGACTAACAGAGTTCCAACTATATAACCTAGCTGGTGTAAGGCCTTAGTTTTTACACTGTGAACAACTTATCTCCCTGGTTTCTGTGTACGCCTGCTAAATACTTCCTTTGTGGCCAGAACAGATGGTCCTATTTGCCTCAGACTAACACTTTATCCACTTTGGTAGAAAGAGTACTTCGAGAATTGTCTATATATACACAGACCCTAAATATATAATGGGCAAGACTGGAAATCCAACTCAGATATGAGCTCCAAAATGAGTCCACTCAACTATTCAGAGCTACTACCTGGAGAAATTACTGACTCATTGTTTATGTGAACAATGAGGGCAGTGTTCCCAGTGGTGGGAGTCACACAAATAGTAACGAGAGTAAAAAACCTATTACTAACTGTAGACGTTACTGATGACAGCACCTCTGCCCAAGATGAGGTAGAGCTAGACAATCACAGTGCTCTGGAGTTCTTGTCGCCTTCATGACAGCGTCTGTGCCATTAACACTTCTTGTGTTTGATCGATGAAAGAGGCAAGGTGGAGTCTGCTTTCAGGGTAGCAAACTCTGAATAAA
This sequence comes from Homo sapiens, assembly GCF_000001405.40. Lineage (NCBI taxonomy): Eukaryota > Metazoa > Chordata > Mammalia > Primates > Hominidae > Homo > Homo sapiens. The sequence goes on from NC_000008.11 coordinate 47,141,734, forward strand.
TGGGCTTTCCTTTTCTCATTTGGGTGGTCTTTATTTCCACAAACAGTCCATAAAATGAAAGGTTCTGTGCTATTTTAGAAGAATGTCTAGGAGTAACTGTGATAATCCCCTTCCCACACCCCCAGCTTTCCAGCCATGGACAGGAGCTTTTTCCTCTCTGTGGACTCAGCTTCAAGTCATCATGAAGCCACTGCAATGCCTCCTGCAGTGGAACCTGAGAAAACGAAGCTCTTGGCCTTATTCTGGAGGTGGCACCCAAGTCTCGAGAACAACACGCATGTGTGCCAGGCAGCAAAAGAAAGGGCAAGTTCTCATCCCCTGCAGGCTGCAGGGTGCAGCACAGGATGCTCAGAGCTCACTATTCAGTGTATGTCTGCTAACCACTGCCTGCCTCTTGCTATACTGCTGAAATTCTCAATGCCTTGGTCTTTCTGCTTTCTTGGCTGTCACATTGGCACATTCTGTGGTTCTATGAAATGACTCAAAAGGATCTCTCTCAATCATGTCTGAGTAGCAAAACTGACTTCAAGTATCCTGAAAACAGAGGAGGTGAAAATCCAGAAGACAGGGCCACCTATTTCCTCCGTCTGATGATCTAGCCTGTCTTAAACCAGAGGACCACAGTGCATCTTGTGATCTCAGCCTCCTGGATCAGTCATTGTCTAGCTTTGATCATAACCATGAGAAACTGGAGCAGAAGATGAATGTGGAGAATGCTCTGGCTTGTCCTTATCCTGGAAAATTATTGTCCAGCAAATATGTAGCTGTCTAAAGCAGTAGAAGACAGCTGGTGTACCTCGTCATAGGAAGCACTGAAGAGTGCTTTTTCTTTCATCTAGCAAGTCTCAATTCTTGTTTATATTCTAAATCAGAACATAAAATCATGGGCCAGGACTGTATAGAGCAAACATAAATTCTATACACATATACATGGCCAGGACTCACTTAAATGGCTATATATAGGAGCAAAGAGGCTGGGAAGCAACGGCCAACACAGTTAACACACAGCCTACAGGAGGGGAGAAAATGTGCCCAAACTGTGCGTCTCCACCAAGTCCTAGTAGCTAGAATCTACAAGGACCTTACATAAATCATAACAGCAGCATTTCACGCCAGTCAGAACAGCCACTAGTCCAAAGTCAAAAGAGAACATGCTGGAGAGGTAGCGGAGGAAACGAAACTCTGTTACACTCTTGGTGGGAATGCAAAATTGACCTCATACTGCAGAAAGCAGTTTGAAGACTTCTCAATAATAGAGAAAAAATAAATAAATAAATAAATAAATGGATGGAAAGCAACTACCCTCCAACCAAGCAATCCTGGGTATCCTTTGGGTATCTACCCAAAGGAAAATAAATGTTTCTATCAAGAAGGACACACACCCTCGCACGTTCACAGGAGTGCTATTCCCAAGTGGGAAGATGTGGAAATAACCTAGGTGCCCACCAAGAGTAAATAAGATTTGAAAAAATGTGATACCTTTGCTAAAAGGCCAGCAAGGATGATCAAACACAAACAAAATCATGCCCCCGGCAGCAACATGGATGGAATTGGAGGCCACTAGGCTGGGTGAACTAAGGCAAGAACAAAAAACCAAGTAATGCAGGTTCTCACTGACAAGCAGAAGCTAAACACCAAATACGCCCGAACATAAAGATGAAATCAACAGGTGCTGGGGATGACCAGACAGGAAAAGGATGGAAACAGAAAGCCCTGGAGGAAGAACAACCCCACTGGTACTGTCTCCACAGCCCAGGTGACAGGTGCGTTGGGATCCCAAGCTTCAGCATCCTGCTGTATAGCCACGTAGCTGGCCTGCAGGTGTACCCCTTGATCACAATAAAAGTAGCTGTTGTTTTAGAAAATCCAGGTTTGGAACTAAAAATAGGAAAAAGTAAATAAAACAAGAAAACGCACACGAAGCAAAACAAAACAAAGCCTATAGTAACCTAACCCACACATTAGTGGCATAAACTTAGGAAGATAACCGACTGGACAAAACAAGGGGCCATATAATCAACCCAAAATTACAGACAGTGAACACATTTCTCACCCTCCCCACCTCACCCTGGGAAGCATGCCAAAGGCACAGTGGTTGAAAAAACCAGGTATTCATGTGCAGAGGACTGAAATAAACCCTTCTGTTGCACAAGATCCAAAAAGCAACATAAAGTCCACCAAACATGTAAGTGCAATCCTGAAACCAAAAAACTCCAAGGAAAATGCACAGGGTGAGCATCAATTTTGGGGAAACTTGAATCCCTACACCTAAGCTGCAAACAGGAAAGGAAAACATAGGAGCCAAATACCCACAGACCGTACAATGGCTTCGCCATCTCCCTTCTCAATAGGACACAGAAATCACTGCTAACGAAAGCAAATATAACCACGTGGGGCTAAGGACAACTAACTTCCCAGAGAGAAAACAGCAAACCCAAACTGAAGCCATCCTACAGACTGGGAAAAAATTATGGAAAAATCATGGAAGAGCCTGTTATCTAACATACTTCAGAAACTAATGGTTCTAAATGGGCAAAACATAAAAACCCATACACAAGCTGAAAATGCCCAGAGGACCTGCGTGGACATTTCTTAAAAGAAGACCTTACGTTGACTCTTGGGTAACAGAAAAATTTCTTCACATCAGCAATCATCCCCCAAATGTAAATCCCAACCACCCACACTCACATACTGTCCAACTTCCCTGGAGGATGAGTATGACCAGAAAGAGCAATAAATTTTTCTGAAGGCAAGGGCTAGTGTATGTAGACTTGCAGACACAGGAACTCTTATCTCCTATTGGTGGTAATGTAAACTCCCATAAACACTAGGAAAAACATCTGGAGGTTTCTGAAAGAATCAGCAGTACAACTACCAGTTCTTCATCTAGCCATCCCAACACTGGGTATACCTGTAAAGCAGAAGAAATTCATACCTTAAGGAGATACCTGCCTTCCCATGTTTCATGAGGCACTAGAGACAATAATCAAGGTACGGAGTCAACCTACCTGTCCATCCACAGATGAAGACATGCAGAAACTGAAGGATATATGCACAAGAGAATACTCTTCAGCCATCAAACTTCTGGACATCAGGTCACTTCCAGCAAGGTGAAGAAACCTGGAGGACATTAAGTTAAATGAAATAAGCCAAGCAGAGGAAGGCAAACACAAATTCTGCATGATCTCCCCAACATGAGAATCTGACAAAGTCAATCTTCTCACAGAGGTATCCATGTCAATAGTGGGTACCAGAGGCTGGGGGGAGGACTGGAAACAGCTACAAAGTGACACTTAGATGAGAGGCAGGAATTCTGGTGTTCTACAGCACAGCAGGGTGACTAGGCTTAATAATATCCTAGCATAATATCCCACAGAGTGGGCAGGGAGGATTCGGAATGCTCTCCCCACCAAGAAATCATGTCTGTAGCATGAAACAGAAATGAGCTAGGTCCTGCAGGTTGATCATGACACTAGTGGTACATATGTCAGAAGGTCCCCTGCACCCTTTAAGTACACACATAGACCATGTGGAAATTCTTGTTTTCACAACAGGATCACAACACCCTACTAAAAATCCTGCGGGACAATGAAACGCCCTGCATCCCCAAAGCAGTTCCTACACATACAAACTTGGTAGAGTGCATCACATGCCTCCATTTTAAATTACTTTGCAAAGCCTTAGCTACCCAAACTATATATGTGATTGGCATTAACAGGGTAACACAGGCCAACGGACACGATGAGGGTGCCAAGGGGCAAACCCAAATTGATGTGGAGTGAGCACATGTTGGAAAAGAATCCCAAAAGTCACCACAGGAAGGGAGAGCCTGTTCATCGCATCATTCTGAAAATGCGAGATCCCTAGTAAAATAACAAAAAGGGGTTCCTACTGTGTGAAATTCACAATAATCCATTCAACATGGACGTAAGACCTACACACAAAACTGGAAGCCATCACTCTCCTAGGAGAAAGCGTCTGGTATGCAGATACCTGGGTCAACCTGGATCTGTGCTTATGCTTTGCAAAAAGGAAAACAAAAAATATAGGGGAAAGAAAAGAATACAAACAATCAAAACTCACTGACAATGGATTGGTATGCTAGTGGATTGCTTTTACTTCACCAGTCACCAAGGGAAAATCAAAACTTTGCACACATGTGAAACCACATCAGATTGTATGGCTTGTGTGCAAGAAAGAATAAAAACAGTGAATGAAAAGAAAAAAACATCTAAAGGATGATAGGAGAATTCTGAGGAAAAACACAGCTATTGAGGCATTTTTTGGAAAACATATAAGTAACTAACACTACTAAAACAATGAATGAAAAGGAAAAACATCTGAAGGATAAGAGAATTTGAAGGGAAAACACAGCTATTGATGCATTTTTTGGAAAATGTGTAAGTAACACTACTAATTAGCAGAAAACAACAGAAAAGAGAAAGTAATTACTGAGCCAAAACTGAGCAAAGAACCTGAATAGCCTTTTCTGCAAAGAACACAAAAAATTGAAAACAAGTTTACCAACACTTAGTTAACATCACTAATCATGGGAAAAAAATGAAAATCAGAACAAGATCAGATACCCTGTCCTTCTCGGTGGAATGAATATTACAAAGGCCTTCATATATTTTAAAACAAGGGAAACCACAAACACTTGTGTGAATCTCCAGAACAGGGAGCTCTCTTATCCATAATTGTTGACAAAGTAAATTAGTATGCAAACTACAGAGACCAGTTGGAGGTTCCACAGAAAACTAAAAATACAACTACCATTTCCTTTAGCTTTGCTACTGCTGGGTGTGCAGTGGAAGCACTTGAAACCAGTACATGGAAGTGGTATCTGCCTTCCCATACTGACTGTGGCACCAGTCACAAAAGACAAGATAAGGAATCAACCTACCTGTCCACCCACAGAGAATGAGATCCAGAAACCGCAGTACCCATTCACAAATAAATACTCTTCAGCTAGACATGCATACTGAAATCATGTCATTCACAGCAACATAGTGGAACCTGGAGGACATTATCGTAAATGAAACACATTAGGCCAAGAAAGGCAAACCTCACATCATCATCATCTCACTCATGAGGACTACAAGACACTTTATCTCACATAGACCTAGAAAGCACCATAGTGCTTGCCAGGGTTGGAGTGGAAGGTGGGGCATGGGCAGGGATAGGAAATGGGTACATAGTGACAAGTTCCATAAGAGGAATGAAACCTGCTGTTCTATTCCTCAGCAGAGTGACTAGGGCTAACATTATCAGAGGGTAGTTTCCAAGACAGCCAGAAAGGAGGGTTCTGGCCGTCCTCACCTCAAAGACATGATAACTCTACAAGGCAAAAATAGATGCTAAATACCCTGATTTCATCACTATGCAATGCATGCATGGACCCAAATGTCCCACTCTAACCTCTATTTGTACACATTTATGTATGGGCCAATTTTGTTTTTTGAAAGCAATGTAAAGAAACAATGATAAAATTCCTGTGGGACCACAAAACTCCCTGAAACTGCAAAGCCAAGCTGGAAGATCCAGACAACGTCAGATGGACCACACTCCCTGATTTCAAATTTCATGACAGAGATATAGACCTGCCTCCACCTGGACAGAATAGAGAACCTGGAAGTAATCCCACACACCTACAACCATCTGACCTTTGAAAAGACTCAAAACTCAGCAATGGAGAAAGGACTCCCTGTGCAATGAATGGTACTAGGAAAGGCAGCTAGACACATGCAAAAGATTAACACTGGAGCCCTACCTGTCACCATATGCAAAAATTGACTCAAGGTGAGCAAAAGATTTCAGAAGAAGACCTCAAACTATAAAAGTCCTAGAAGAAAACCTAGGAAATACCTTTCTCAACATAGGCTTTGGTAAAGCATTTAGATAACTTAGTCCCTAAAAGCAACAGCAAGAAAAACCAAAATAAAAAGGTTGGGCCTAAGAAACTGAAAGACTGCCAGATAGCAAAAGAAATCACCAGCACAGTAAATGCCTATATAGCCTACAGGATGGGAGAAAATGTTCCCAAACTATGCTTCTGACCAAGGTCTAATAGCCAGACTGTAACATGACCTTAAAAAAATCAAGAGTCAGAAAAACAAATAATCCAATCAAACAATGGGCAAAGGACATGATGTACAAGCAGCCAACAGAAGAAAAAATGCTCAACATCACTAATCGTCAGAGAAATGCAACTCATGCACACACTGAAATACCATCTTACACTACTCAGAATGGCCATTTGTCCTAAGTCCAAACATTAACATGGTGGCGAGGCAGCAGAGGAAAGCGAACACTGCTACGCTCTTGGTGGGAATAAAAACCAGCTGTCACACTGTGAGAAGTGGTTTGAAGTTTACTCAAAGAACTTAAAACAGAACTACCATCTGAATAGAGCAATCCCACAACTGAGTATCTACACAAAGGGAAATAAAGCCTTCTTTCAAAATGACACATACACTGGTATGTTCTTGGAAGTGCTATTCATAAGAAAAAACAAAACAAAATAAAATCAACCTATGTGCCCATTAACAGTTGATGATTAGGTTTTTACACTTGCAGTACATGGACACCAAAAACTCCTACACAGCTTAAAAAATTTTCTTGTCCTCAACAGCAACAAGGATGGACCTGGAGGCCACTATGCTAAGCAAAGTAATGCAAGAACAGAAAATCAAATACCACATGTTCTCATTTATACACTGAAGCTAAACACCGAACACACCCACAGATACTGGGGACTACCAGACAGAGAACGGAGGGAGACAGTAAATGTTGGTGGAAGAACCATCTGATTGGTACTGTGCTCACTGCCTGGGTGATGGGGTTCCTTCGGAACCCAAGCTTCACTATCCTGCCATATACCCATGTGGCCAACCTGCAAGGTGCACCCTTTAATCAAAATACAAGTAGGTATTATTTTAGAAATCAAGATTAGGAGCTGAAAAAAAAATTATTAAGGAAGAGGAAACCTAGAGTGATCCAAACGATCTGCTACTGGCACACACACAGAAAAACAACTGAATGAACAAAATGAGGAAGCCAAATAAGCAACCCAAAATTATATATAGTTAAAATATTTTGCAAAAGCTCACCAAAGGCATAACAGTTGAGAAAACTGGATATTCCTGTGCAAAAGACTGAAACAGTTCTCTTATGCTGCACAATATGCAAAAACATAAAATCAATTGAACACCCAAATCCAATTCTGAAACCAAAAACTCCAAGGAAAAAACACAGGGTCAGTGTATATTTTGGGGAAACTTGAATCTGTGCACACAGGTTGCAAAGGAGAAATTTTAAAAAACAAAAGGAAAAATTAGGGGGAAAATACCCATAGACAATACAATGATTTGCCATCTTTTTTTCGTGATGGAACACAGAAATCACTGCTGACAAAACCAAATATAAACATGTGAGACAAACACTTTAGAGCTTCTGCATGGGACAGAAAACAATGAACCCAAAGAGACAGCATCCTACCTTGGGAGAAAGACTGACTGGAGGAAAACTGTGGAAAATCATAAATTTGAAAGCGGTTGTTATCCAACATATTCAAACACTAAAGCTACTAAGTGGGGAAAAGATTTTAAAAAATACACAAGCTAAAAATGTGCAAAGGGCCAGCACAGCCACTTCTTCAAGGAAGACATGAAACTGATTCACAAGTGAAACAAAAGTTTCTCCACATCACTAATCACTCCAAACATGTATGTCAGAATCACACTCAGATACCATCAAACTTCACCGAGAATGAATATGACCATAAACAGCAATAAAATTTTTGGAAGGCAGCAGTGTAGACTTGAAAAAGGGAAACTCAGCCGGGCGCGATGGCTCACGCCTGTAATCCCAGCACTTTGGGAGGCCGAGACGGGAGGATCACGAGGTCAGGAGATCAAGACCATCCTGGCTAACATGGTGAAACCCCATCTCTACTAAAAATACAGAAAAAGAATTAGCCGGGTGTAGTGGCGGGTACTTGTTGTCCCAGGTACTCGGGAAGCTGAGGCAGGAGAATGGCGTGAACCCGGGAGACAGAGCCTGCAGTGAGCTGAGATCGCACCACTGCACTCCAGCCTGGGCGACTGAGCAAGACTCCATCTCAAAAAAAATAAATAAATAAAAAGAAAAAGGGAAACTCTTACACGCTATTGGTCGCAATGTAAATTAGTGTATATAATACTGTGAAAAAAGCTGGAGTTTCCTCAACAAATTAAAAATACAATTACTAGTTCTTCTAGTCATCCCCACACTGGGTATGCATTTAACGCAAAGGATATCCATTTCTTAAGGAGTTATTTGCCTTCCCATGTTTCATGAAGCACTATTCACAATATCCAAGATGTGGAATCAACCTACCTGGCCATCCACAGATGAAGGGATAAAGAAACTGCAGTATATCTGCACAATGCAATGCACTCCTTGAGAAGAAAATGTCATTTTCATTTGGAGCCATACAGATGAACCTGGAAAATATGTTAAATAAAATAATCCAGGCATAGAAAGATAAGCACAGAATCATCTCACTTATATGAAATTCAAAAAAACTTCACGTTCAATCAGTAGAAGGTACAGTACTAGTCTTCTGAGAAGAGTGGAAGGAGGGGTTGGGAGTGATTGGTTATGGAAACAAAGTTGCAGTTAGTTAAGACAAACACATTCTTGTGTTCTATACCACAGCTGGATGACTCTGGTTAACAAAAAAAAAAAAGTTTTTTTCAAAAAAAGCTAGAAGGGAGCAATTTGAATGTTCTCACAACAGAGAAATAATACCTTCATGAAGGAATGGATATGCTAAGTACCGTGATGTGATCACTACTAAAAACATACATGTATCAAAATGTCCCAGAGGAAACAAAAAGTACCAGCATACCCTCTAATTACATATTTTATTATACACAGAAATTTAAGAAATACGAATACACAATGCTAATGTTCATATGGAACCACAAATGGTCCTGAATATCTAAGGAATCCTGAGAAATACAAACCAACTTGGAGGATTCACAATCCCTGATATCAAAATTATATTGCAAAGCTGTAAGTATCCAAAATACCTGCTACTGTGACATGAAATGCCACTGTGCTCCAGCCTGGGTGAGAGAATGAGACTCAGTCTCAAAAAATACATACTGTTAGAAAATTTCAGGGAATCATGAGTGATAACTGTGTACATGTACCAAACATGTACACAGAGAAAAAAATACTAAGTAGCATCAAAATACAGATCCAAACTAATTGGGCAAAGACCCTGAATAGACGTGAATAAACATCTCTGCAAAGATGATACAAAACTGACCAACAAGTAAGAGAAAAGGTCAACATCACTACTCATCAGAAAAAAAACGAACTCCAAAACCACATTCAGGTTGGTCACGGTGGTTCATGCCTGTAATCTCAGCACTTTGGGAGGCTGAGGTGGGCGGATCCACTTGAGGTCAGGAGTTCAAGACCAGCCTGGCCGTGGTGAAACCCTGTCTCTACTAAAAATACAAAAAAACTAGCCAGGCATCATGGTGCACGCCTGTAATCCCAGCTACTAAGGAGGCTAAGGCATGATAATTGCTTGAACTCAGGAGGCTGAGGCTGCAGGGAGCCGAGATCTCATCAATGCACTCCAGCCTGCGTGACAGAGCAAGCCTCAGTCTCCAAAAAAAAATTAAAAAACCACACACACATTCAGATGCCATTTCACTTACTGGAATGAATGTTACTAAAAATATTTTTAAAAACTTTTTTTGAGACAGGGACTCACTCTGTCACCCAGGCTGGAGTGCAGTGGCATGGATCATGACTCACTGCAGTCTTAACCTCTGGGGCACAAGTGATCCTTCCACCTCAGCCTCCTGAGTACCTGGAACTACAGGCACGCACCCACCACACCTGGCTAATACTTTTTTATTTTTGGTACAGATAAAGTTTTGCCATGTTGCCTAGGCTGGTCTCGAATTCTTAGGCTCAAGTGATCCTACCCACCTCGGCCTCCCAAAGTGCTTGGATTATAGGCATGAGCCACCATTCCTAGCCACACACACAAAAAAAAATCTAAAAAAGAAGAATGCTGGTATGGATTTGAAGAAAAGGGAACTCTTTTTTCCAGTTGGGGGAAAGATAAATTAGTATATACATTACGGTAAAGAGCTGGAGTTCCCTCAAAATTTGAAAGTACAACTACCAGGAGGCCAATGTGGGCAGATTGCTTGAGCTCAAGAGTTCACGACCAGCCCAGGTAACAGGCAAAACTCTCTATCTACAAAAGTTAGGCAGGCATGGTGACACATGCCTGTGGTACCAGGTACACAGAGGCTGAGGTGGGAAAATTTCTTGAGCCTGAGATGTGGAGGCTGCAGTAAGCCAAGACTGTTCCACTGCACCCCAGCATGGACAACAGAGTGAGACCCTGTCTCAAAAAAAAAGAAAGAAAATACAACTACCATATAATCTAACATTCCCACTACTGGGTATGCCTCCAAAGCAAGTGAAATCAGCATCAGAGATTAGAAAGAGACAATGGGGAGAGAGATTTTCTTCATCAAACTCTTTTGGGAAAACCAATATCCATATGCAAAGAATGAAACAGGACCCTTCTGTTACACAATGCACAAAAATCAACTCAAAATGGATTCAAAACCTCAACACAAGACCTGAAACCATGAAACATCATAAAATTCCTATAAGAAAAGACAGGAAGCTTACTTTCAGGGCAATTTGAAGCCATACTCACAGGTTGCAAGGAGTGGGGAAAAAAAAGAACAGAAACAAAAGAAAAAACGGAATACACAGGGGTACAGTCTCATTGAGAATGGAATCATTTGTGAAATATCTTAATTGGGCACCAAAATTCCAAGCAACAGAAGCAAAAATAGACATGCATAGCTCCATGAAAGTGAGAAGTTTTTGCAAGGCAAAGGAAACAATGAACCCAATGAGAAAGGCTGGGAGAAAATTTCAAGGCATTACATATCTGCTAATGGGTTGTTATGGAAAATATGCAACACATTAACAATACTAGGTAGTGGTCCAGTTCCAAGATGGCCGAATAGGAATAGCTCCGGTCTGCAGCTCCCAGCGTGCTCAACACAGAAGATGGGTGATTTCTGCACTTTCAACTGAGGTACCTGGTTCATCTCATTGGGACCAGTTGGGCAGTGGCTGCAGCCCACGGAGGGTTAGCCAAAGCAGGGTGGGGCATCGCCTCACCCAGGAAGCACAAGGGGTCTGGTTATTTCCCTTTCCTAGCCAAGGGAAGCCATGATAGACTGTACCGGGAAAATCGGGACACTGCCACCTAAATACTGCGCTTTTCCAACAGTCTCAGCAAACGGCACACCAGGAGATTATATCCCATGCCTGGCTCAGTGGGTCCCATGCCTGGCTCAATGGGTCCCATGCCTTGCTCACTGCTAGCACAGCAGTCCAAGATCAAACTGTGAGGTGGTAGCCCTGCTTGGGGAGGGGTGTCCACCATTGCTGAGGCTTGAGTAGGTAAACAAAGCAGCTGGGAAGCTCGAACTGGGTGGAGCCCACCACAGCCCAAGGAGGCCTGCCTGCCTCTGTAAACTCCACCTCTGGGGGCAGGGCATAGCTGAACAAAATGCAGCAGAAACTTCTGTAGACTTAAACGTCCCTGTCTGACAACTCTGAAGACAGCAGTGGTTCTCCCAGCACGGTGTTTGAGCTCTGAGAACGGACAGACTGCCTCCTCCAGTGGGTCCCTGACCCCCATGTGGCCAAACTGGGAGACACCTCATACAGCCGGGTGCCCTTCTGAGATGAAGCTTCCAGAGGAAGGATCAGGCAACAATACTTACTGTTCTGCAATATTTGCTGTTCTGCAGCCTCTGCTGGTGATACCCAGGCAAACAGGGTCTGGAGTGGACCTCCAGCAAACTCCAACAGACCTGCAGCTGAGGGACCTGACTGTTGGAAGGAAAACTAACAGGAAGGAATAGCATCAACATCAACAAAAAGGACATCCACGCCAAAACCCCATCTGTAGGTCACCATCATCAAAGACCAAAGGTAGATAAAACCACAAAGATGGGGAGAAACCGGAGCAGAATAGCTGAAAATTCTAAAAACCAGAGCGCCTTTTCTCCTCCAAAGGATCAGAGCTCCTCGCCAGCAACGGAACAAAGCTGGACGGAGAATGACTTTGACAAGTTGACAGAAATAGGCTTCAGAAGGTCAGTAATAACAAACTTATCTGACCTAAAGGAGGATGTTCGAACCCTTCACGAGGAAGCTAAAAACCTTGAAAAAACATTAGATGAGTGGCTAACTAGAATAAACAGTGTAGAGAAGACCTTAAATGACCTGATGAAGCTGAAAACCATGGCACTAGAACTACGTGACACATGTACAAGCTTCAGTAGCCGATTCGATCAAGTGGAAGAAAGGGTATCAGTGATTGAAGATCAAATTAATGAAATTAAACAGAGAAGTTTAGAGAAAAACAAGTAAAAAGAAATGAAAACCTACAAAGAGACTTAGACTCCCACACAATAATAATGGAAGATTTTAACACCCCACTGTCAATATTACACAGATCAATGAGACAGAAGGTTAACAAGGATATCCAGGATTTGAACTCAGCTCTGCACCAAGCAGACCTAATAGACATCTACAGAACTCTCCACCCTAAATCAACAGATTATACATTCTTCTCAGCACCACATCGCACTTATTCCAAAATTGACCACATAGTTGGAAGTAAAGCACTCCTCAGCAAATGTAAAAGAACAGAAATCACAACAAACTGTCTCTCAGACCACAGTGCAATCAAATTAGAACTCAGGATTAAGAAACTCACTCAAAAACGCACAACTACATGGAAACTGAACAACCTGCTCCTGAATGACTACTGGGTAAATAACAAAATGAAGGCAGAAAAAAGATGTTCTTTGAAACCAATGAGAACAAAGACAATGTACCAGAATCTCTGGGACACATTTAAAGCAGTGTGTACAGGGAAATTTATAGCACTAAATGCCCACAAGAGAAAGCAGGAGAAATCTAAAATCGACACCCTAACATCACAGTTAAAAGAACTAGACAAGCAAGAGCAAACAAATTCAAAAGCTAGCAGAAGGCAAGAAATAACTAAGATCAGAGCAGAACTGAAGGAGATAGAGACACAAAAAAACCCTTCAAAAAATCAATGAATCCAGGAGCTGCTTTTTTGAAAAGATCAACAAAATTGATAGACTGGTAGCAAGACAAAGAAGAAAAGACAAAGAAGAAAAGAGAGAAGAATCAAATAAACGGAATAAAAAATGATAAAGGGGTTATCACCACCAATCCCACAGAAATACAAACTACCATCAGAGAACACTATAAACACCTCTATGCAAATAAACTGGAAAATCTAGAAGAAATGAATAAATTCCTGCACACATACACCCTCCCAAGACTAAACCAGAAAGAAGCTGAATCCCTGCATAGACCAAAAACAGGCTCTGAAATTGAGGCAATAATTAATAGCCTACCAACCAAAAAACGTCCAGGACCAGACGGATTCACAGCCGAATTCTACCAGAGGTACAAAGAGGAGCTGGTACCATTCCTTCTGAAACTATTCCTATCAATAGAAAAAGAGGGAATCCTCCCTAACTCGTTTTATGAAGCCAGCATCATCCTGATACCAAAGCCTGGCAGAGACACAACAAAAAGAGAATTTTAGACCAATATCCCTGATGAATATTGATGCGAAAATCCTCAATAAAATACTGGCAAACCAAATCCAGCAGCACATCGAAAAGCTTATCCACCATGATCAAGTTGGCTTCATCCCTGGGATGCAAGCCTGGTTCAACATACACAAATCAATAAATGTAATCCATCACATAAACAGAACCAAAGACAAAAACCACGTGATTATCTTAATAGATGCAGAAAAGGCCACTGACAAAATTCAACAGCCGTTCATGCTAAAAACTGTCAATAAACTAGGTATTGATGGAATGTATCTCCAAATAATAATTTATGATAAACCCACAGCCAATATCATACTGAATGTGCAAAAGCTGGAAGCATTCCCTTTGAAAACTGGCACAAGACAGGGATGCCCTCTCTCACCACTCCTATTCAACATAGTGTTGGAAGTTCTAGCCAGGGCAATCAGGCAAGAGAAAGAAATAAAGGGTATTCAATTAGGAAAAGAGGAAGTCAAATTGTCCCTGTTTGCAGATGCCATGATTGTATATTTAGAAATCCCCATCGTCTCAGCCTAAAATCTCCTTAAGCTAATAAGCAACTTCAGCAAAGTCTCAGGGTACAAAATAAATGTGCAAAAGTCACAAGCATTCCTATACACCAATAACAGACAAACAGAGAGCCAAATCATGAGTGAACTCCCATTCACAATTGCTACAAAGAGAATAAATTACCTAGGAATCCAACTTACAAGGGATGTGAAGGACCTCTTCAAGGAGAACTACAAACCACTGCTCAACGAAATAAACAAGGACACAAACAAATGGAAGAACATTCCATGCTCAAAGATAGGAAGAATCAGTATCATGAAAATGGCCATACTGCCCAAGGTAATTTATAGATTCAATGCCATTCCCATCAAGCTACCAATGACTTTCTTCACAGAATTGGAAAAGACTAAAGTTCCTATGGAACCAAAAAAGAGCCCACATTGCCAAGACAATCCTAAGCAAAAAGAACAAAGCTGGAGGCATCATGCTACCTGACTTCAAACTATACTACAAGGCTACAGTAACAAAAACACCATGGTACTGGTACCAAAACAGAGATATAGACCAATGGAACAGAACAGAGGCCTCAGAAATAACATCACACATCTACAACCATCTGATCTTTGACAAACCTGACAAAAACAAGAAAAGGGGAAAGGATTTCCTACTTAATAAATGGTGCTGGGAAAACTGGCTAGCCATATGTACAAAGCTGAAACTGGATCCCTTCCTTACACCTTATACAAAAATTAATTCAAGATGGATCAAAGACTTAAATGTTAGACCTAAAACCATAAAAACCCTAGAAGAAAACCTAGGCAATTCCATTCAGGACACAGGCATGGGCAAAGACTTCATGACTAAAAAACACCAAAAGCAATGGCAACAAAAGCCAAAATAGACAAATGGGATCTAATTAAACCAAAGAGCTTCTGCACAGAAAGAAACTACCATCAAAGTGAACAGGCAAACTACAGAATGGGAGAAAATTTTTGCAATCTACCCATCTGACAAAGGGCTAATATCCAGAATCTACAAAGAACTTACACAAATGTACAAGAAAAAAACAAACAACCCCATCAAAAAGTGGGCAAAGGATATGAACAGACATGTCTCAAAAGAAGACATTTGCTCTTTTCCGGTTAGCGTGGCGGGAGAAGCCATGAGCAGCAAAGTCTCTTGCGACACCCTGTACAAGGCGGTGCGGGAAGTCCTGCATGGGAACCAGTGCAAGCGCCACAAGTTCCTGGAGACGATGGAGTTGCACATCAGCTTGAAGAACTATGACCCCCAGAAGGACAAGCGCTTCTCGGGCACCGTCAGGCTTAAGTCCACTCCCCACCCCAAGTTCTCTGTGTGTGTCCTGGGGGACCAGCAGCACTGTGACGAGGCTAAGGCCATAGATATCCCCCACATGGACATCAAGACGCTGAAAAACCTCAACAAGAATAAAAAACTGGTCAAGAAGCTGGTCAAGAAGTATGATGCGTTTTTGGCCTCAGAGTCTCTGATCAAGCAGATTCCACGAATCCTCAGCCCAGGTCTAAATAAGGCAGGAAAGTTCCCTTCACTGCTCACACAAAATGAAAATATGGTGGCCAAAGTGGATGAGGTGAAGTCGACAATCAAGTTCCAAATGAAGAAGGTGTTATGTCTGGCTGTAGCTGTTGGTCACGTGAAGATGACAGACGATGAGCTTGTGTATAACACTCACCTGGCTGTCAACTTCTTGGGGTCATTGCTCAAGAAAAACTGGCAGAATGTCCGGGCCTTATATATCAAGAGCACCATGGGCAAGCCCCAGCGCCTATATTAAGGCACAATTTGAATAAATTCTATTACCAATTAAAAAAAAAAAATGAAGACAGTTATGCAGCCAACAGACACAGGAAAAAATGCTCATCATCACTGGTCATCAGAGAAATGCAAATCAAAACCACATTGAGATACCATCTCACACCAGTTAGAATGGCAGTTATTAAAAAGTCAGGAAACAACAGGTGCTGAAGAGGATGTGGAGAAATAGGAACACTTTTACACTGTTGGTGGGAGTGCAAACTAGTTCAACCATTGTGGAAGACAGTGTGGCGACTCCTCAAGGATCTAGAACTAGAAATACCATTTGACCCAGCAATCCCATTACTGGATATATGTCCAAAGGATTATAAATCATGCTACTATAAAGACACATGTACAAGTATGTTTATTGTGGCACTATTCACAATAGCAAAGACTTGGAACCAACCCAAATTTCCATCAATGATAGACTAGATTTAGAAAATGTGGCACATATACACCATGGAATACTATGCAGCCATAAAAAAGGATGAGTTCAAGTGTGAGCGACACAGAAGATGGGTGATTTCTGCATTTCCATCTGAGGTACCAGGTTCATCTCACTAGGGAGTGCCAGACAGTGGGCGCAGGTCAGTGGGTGTGTGCATCATGCACCAGCCGAAGCAGGGCGAGGCACTGCCTCACTCGGGAAGCACAAGGGGTCAGGGAGTTCCCTTTCCTAGTCAAAGAAAGGGGTGACAGACAGCACCTGAAAATCGGGTCACTCCCACCCGAATACTGCGCTTTTCCGACGGGCTTAAAAGATGGCGCACCGGGAGACTATATCCCGCACCTGGCTCGGAGGGTCCTACGCCCACGGAGTCTCACTGATTGCTAGCACAGCAGTCAGATCAAACTGCAAGGCGGCAGCAAGGCTGGGGGAGGGGCGCCCGCCATTGCCCAGGCTTGCTTAGGTAAACAAAGCAGCAGGGAAGCTTGAACTGGGTGGAGCCCACCACAGCTCAAGGAGGCCTGCCTGCCTCTATAGGCTCCACCTCTCGGGGCAGGGCACAGACAAACAAAAAGACAGCAGTAACCTCTGCAGACTTAAATGTCCCTGTCTGACAGCTTTGAAGAGAGCAGTGGTTCTCCCAGCACGCAGCTGCAGATCTGAGAACCGGCAGACTGCCTCCTCAAGTGGGTCCCTGACCCCTGACCCCCGAGCAGCCTAACTGGGAGGCACCCCCCAGCAGGGGCACACTGACACTTCACACGGCCTGGTACTCCAACAGACCTGCAGCTGAGGGTCCTGTCTGTTAGAAGGAAAACTAACAAACAGAAAGGACATCCACACCAAAAACCCATCTGTACATCACCATCATCAAAGACCAAAAGTAGATAAAACCACAAAGATGGGGAAAAAACAGAGCAAAAAAACTGGAAACTCTAAAAAGCAGAGTGCCTCTCCTCCTCCAAAGGAACGCAGTTCCTCACCAGCAACGGAATAAAGCTGGACAGAGAATGACTTTGACGAGCTGAGAGAAGAAGGCCTCAGACGATCAAATTACTCCGAGCTACGGGAGGAAATTCAAACCAAAGGCAAAGAAGTTGAAAACTTTGAAAAAAGTTTAGAAGAATGTATAACTAGAATAACCAATACAGAGAAGTGCTTAAAGGAGCTGATGGAGCTGAAAACCAAGGCTCTAGAACTACGTGAAGAATGCAGAAGCCTCAGGAGCCAATGTGATCAACTGGAAGAAAGGGTATCAGCCATGGAAGATGAAGTGAATGAAATGAAGCGAGAAGGGAAGTTTAGAGAAAAAAGAATAAAAAGAAACGAGCAAAGCCTCCAAGAAATATGGGACTATGTGAAAACACCAAATCTACGTCTGATTGGTGTACATGAAAGTGACGGGGAGAATGGAACCAAGTTAGAAAACACTCTGCAGGATATTATCCAGGAGAACTTCCCCAATCTAGCAAGGCAGGCCAACATTCAGATTCAGGAAATACAGAGAACGCCACAAAGATACTCCTCGAGAAGAGCAACTCCAAGACACATAATTGTCAGATTCACCAAAGTCGAAATGAAGGAAAAAATGTTAAGGGCAGCCAGAGAGAAAGGTCCGGTTACCCACAAAGGGAAGCCCATCAGACTAACAGTGGATCTCTTGGCAGAAACTCTACAAGCCAGAAGAGAGTGGGGGCCAATATTCAACATTCTTAAAGACAAGAATTTTCAACCCAGAATTTCATATCCAGCCAAAATAAGCTTCATAGGTGAAGGAGAAATAAAACACTTTACAGACAAACAAATGCTGAGAGATTTTGTCACCACCAGGCCTGCCCTACAAGAGCTCCTTGAAGGAAGCGCTAAACATGGAAAGGAACAACCAGTACCAGCCACTGCAAAATCATGCCAAAATGTAAAGACCATCGAGACTAGGAAGAAACTGCATCAACTAACGAGCAAAATAACCAGCTAACATCATAATGACAGGATCAAATCCACACCTAACAATATTAACTTTAAATGTAAATGGACTAAATGCTCCAATTAAAAGACACAGACTGGCAAATTGGATAAAGAGTCAAGACCCATCAGTGTGCTGTATTCAGGAAACCCATCTCATGTGCAGAGACACACATAGGCTCAAAATAAAAGGATGGAGGAAGATCTACCAAGCAAATGGAAAACAAAAAAAGGCACGGGTTGCAATCCTAGTCTCTGATAAAACAGACTTTAAACCAACAAAGATCAAAAGAGACAAAGAAGGTCATTACATAATGGTAAAGGGATCAATTCAACAAGAAGAGCTAACTATCCTAAATATATATGCACCTAATGCAGGAGCACCCAGATTCATAAAGCAAGTCCTGAGTGACCTACAAAGAGACTTAGACTCCCACACATTAATAATGGGATACTTTAACACCCCACTGTCAACATTAGACAGATCAACGAGACAGAAAGTCAACGAGGATTCCCAGGAATTGAACTCAGCTCTGCACCAAGCAGAACTAATAGACATCTACAGAACTCTCCACCCAAAATCAACAGAATATACATTTTTTTCAGCACCACACCACACCTGTTCCAAAATTGACCACATAGTTGGAAGTAAAGCTCTCCTCAGCAAATGTAAAAGAACAGAAATTATAACAAACTGTCTCTCAGACCACAGTGCAATCAAACTAGAACTAAGGATTAAGAATCTCACTCAAAACCACTCAACTACATGGAAACTGAACAACCTACTCCTGAATGACTACTGGGTACATAACAAAATGAAGGCAGAAATAAAGATGTTCTTTGAAACCAACGAGAACAAAGACACAACATACCAGAATCTCTGGGACGCATTCAAAGCAGTGTGTTAGAGGGAAATTGATAGCACTAAATGCCCACAAGAGAAAGCAGGAAAGATCCAAAATTTACACCTTAACATCACAATTAAAAGAACTAGAAAAGCAAGAGCAAACACATTCAAAAGCTAGCAGAAGGCAAGAAATAACTAAAATCAGAGCAGAACTGAAGGAATTAGAGACACAAAAAACCCTTCAAAAAATTAATGAATCCAGGAGCTGGTTTTTTGAAAGGATCAACAAAATTGATAGACCACTAGCAAGACTAATAAAGAAAAAAAGAGAGAAGAATCAAATAGACTCAATAAAAAATGATAAAGGGGATATCCCCACCAATCCCACAGAAATACAAACTACCATCAGAGAACACTACAAACACCTTTACGCAAATAAACTAGAAAATCTAGAAGAAATGGATAAATTCCTCGACACATACACTCTCCCAAGACTAAACCAGGAAGAAGTTGAATCTCTGAATAGACCAATAACAGGAGCTGAAATTGTGGCAATAATCAATAGCTTACCAATGAAAAAGAGTCCAGGACCAGATGGATTCACAGCCGATTTCTACCAGAGGTACAAGAATGAACTGGTACCATTCCTTCTGAAACTATTCCTATCAATAGAAAAAGAGGGAATCCTCCCTAACTCATTTTATGAGGCCAGCATCATCCTGATACCAAAGCCGGGCAGAGACACAACCAAAAAAGAGAATTTTAGACCAATATCCTTGATGAACATTGATGCAAAAATCCTCAATAAAATACTGGCAAAACGAATCCAGCAGCACATCAAAAAGCTTATCCACCATGATCAAGTGGGCTTCATCCCTGGGATGCAAGGCTGGTTCAATATACACAAATCAATAAATGTAATCCAGCATATAAACAGAACCAAAGACAAAAACCACATGATTATCTCAATAGATGCAGAAAAGGCCTTTGACAAAATTCAACAACGCTTCATGCTAAAAACTCTCAATAAATTAGGTATTGATGGGACGTATTTCAAAATAATAAGAGCTATCTATGACAAACCCACAGCCAATATCATACTGAATGGGCAAAAACTGGAAGCATTCCCTTTGAAAACGGGCACAAGACAGGGATGCCCTCTCTCACCACTCCTATTCAACATAGTGTTGGAAGTTCTGGCCAGGGCAATTAGGCAGGAGAAGGAAATAAAGGGTATTCAATTAGGAAAAGAGGAAGTCAAATTGTCCCTGTTTGCAGATGACATGATTGTATATCTAGAAAATCCCATTGTCTCAGCCCAAAATCTCCTTAAGCTAATAAGCAACTTCAGCAAAGTCTCAGGATACAAAATCAATGTACAAAAATCACAAGCATTCTTAAACACCAACAACAGATAAACGGAGAGCCAAATCATGAGTGAACTCCCATTCACAATTGCTTCAAAGAGAATAAAATACCTAGGAATCCAACTTACAAGGGATGTGAAGGACCTCTTCAAGGAGAACTACAAACCACTGCTCAATGAAATAAAAGAGGATACAAACAAATGGAAGAACATTCCATGCTCATGGGTAGGAAGAATCAATATCGTGAAAATGGCCATACTGCCCAAGGTAATTTACAGATTCAATGCCATCCCCATCAAGCTACCAATGACTTCCTGCACAGAATTGGAAAAAGCTACTTTAAAGTTCATATGGAACCAAAAATAGCCCGCATTGCCAAGACAATCCTAAGCCAAAAGAACAAAGCTGGAGGCATTACACAACCTGACTTCAAACTATACTACAAGGCTACAGTAACCAAAACAGCATGGTACTGGTACCAAAACAGAGATATAGATCAATGGAACAGAACAGAGCCCTCAGAAATAACACCACATCTCTACAACTATCTGATCTTTGACAAACCTGAGAAAAACAAGCAATGGGGAAAGGATTCCCTATTTAATAAAGGGTGCTGGGAAAACTGGCTAGCCTTATGTAGAAAGCTGAAACTGGATCCCTTCCTTACACCTTATACAAAAATTAATTCAACATGGATTAAAGACTTAAACGTTAGACCTAAAACCATAAAAACCCTAGAAGAAAACCTAGGCATTACCATTCAGGACATAGGCATGGGCAAGGACTTCATGTCTAAAACACCAATAGCAATGGCAACAAAAGCCAGAATTGACAAATGGGATCTAATTAAACGAAAGAGCTTCTGCACAGCAAAAGAAACTACTACCATCAGAGTGAACAGGCAACCTACAAAATGGGAGAAAATTTTCACAACCTACTTATCTGACAAAGGGCTAATATCCAGAATCTACAATGAACTCAAACAAATTACAAGAAAAAAACAAACAGCCTCATCAAAAAGTGGGCAAAGGACATGAACAGACACTTCTCAAAAGAAGACATTTATGCAGCCAAAAAACACATGAAAAAATGCTCACCATCACTGGCCATCAGAGAAATGCAAATCAAAACCATAATGAGATACCATCTCACACCAGTTAGAATGGCAATCATTAAAAAGTCAGGAAACAACAGGTGCTGGAGAGGATGTGGAGAAATAGGAACACTTTTACACTGTTGGTAGGACTATAAACTAGTTCAACCATTGTGGAAGTCAGTGTGGCGATTCCTCAGGGATCTAGAACTAGAAATACCATTTGACCCAGCCATCCCATTACTGGGTATATACCCAAAGGACTATAAATCATGCTGCTATAAAGACACATGCACACGTATGTTTATTGCGGCATTATTCACAATAGCAAAGACTTGGAACCAACCCAAATGTCCAACAATGATAGACTGGATTAAGAAAATGTGGCACATATACACCATGGAATACTATGCAGCCATAAAAAATGATGAGTTCACATCCTTTGTAGGGACATGGATGAAATTGGAAATCATCATTCTCAGTAAACTATGGCAAGAACAAAAAACCAAACACCGCATGTTCTCACTCATAGGTGGGCATTGAACAATGAGAACACATGGACACAGGAAGGGGAACATCACACTCTGGGGACTGTTGTGGGGTTGGAGGAGGCAGGGAGGGATAGCATTGGGAGATATACCTAATGCTAGATGACGAGTTAGTGGCTGCAGCGCACCAGCATGACACATGCATACATATGTAACTAACCTGCACATTGTGCACATGTACCCTAAAACTTAAAGTATAATAATAATAAATTAAAAAAAAAAAGGATGAGTTCATGTCCTTTGTAGGGACATGGATGAAGCTGGAAACAATCATTCTGAGCAAACTGTCACAAGGACAGATAACCAAACACCACATGTTCTCACTCATAGGTGGGAACTGAACAAAGAGAACGCTTGGACACAGGGCAGGGAACATCACACACCAGGGCCTGTCATGGGGTGGGGGGATGGGGGAGGGATAGCATTAGGAGAAATACCTAATGTAAATGATGATTTAATAGTTGCAGCACACCAACATGGCACATGTATATACATATGTAACAAACCTGCACGTTGTGCACATGTACCCGAGAACTTAAAGCATCATTTTTTAAAAAAGGGAGAAAAAAAAAACAATACTAGGTAGCAACAATAAAATGTATGATCCACCCAAAATTGGGCAGAGACCCTGAATAGATATTTCTCCAAAAAGGGCATTAAACAGCATGGAAGTTCCCTTCCCCTGGTTAGGTGGCTATGACTGGAGGGACAGAGGGGACACGTGCTGCAGAGGATGGAGAAAAGTGGCCCCTGTGCAGTGGGAATCCAGATTTTAAAAAAAAAATTCAGGTCATCGACTCGTCGGCACTGTCATGGCGGTGTGCTGAAGAAGACCACTGGCCTTGTGGGATTGGCTGTATGCAATACTCCACACGAGAGGCTAAGAATATTGTACACAAGGATTCTTGATGCTCTTGAGGAAATCCCTAAAAATGCAGCATATAGAAAGTATACAGAAGAGATTAGAAATGAGAAGCTGGCTATGGTTAAAGCGGAACCAGAAGTTAAAAAATTAGAAGACCAACTTCAAGGCAGTCAATTAGAAGAAGTGATTCTTTTTTTATTTTTATTTTTTGAGACGGAGTCTCGCTCTGTCGCCCAGGCTGGAGTGCAGTGGCGGGATCTCGGCTCACTGCAAGCTCCGCCTCCCGGGTTCACGCCATTCTCCTGCCTCAGCCTCCCAAGTAGCTGGGACTACAGGCGCCCGCCACTACACCCGGCTAATTTTTTGTATTTTTAGTAGAGACGGGGTTTCACCGTTTTAGCCGGGATGGTCTCGATCTCCTGACCTCGTGATCCGCCCGCCTCGGCCTCCCAAAGTGCTGGGATTACAGGCGTGAGCCACCGCGCCCGGCCGAAGTGATTCTTTAGGCTGAACATGAACTAAATCTGGCAAGAAAAATGAGGGAGTGGAAACCATGGGAGTCATCAGTGGAAGAGCCTCCTGCTGATCAGTGGAAATGGCCAATGTAATTATTAAGTGACTTTGGTGTGTTGATGGGAAACTGATGTAATTAAATATTCTGTTATATTAAGAGCATGTTCATATTACTGACATTTTATAATCAAGAAAAGTGATATAGAAAATATGTAGGAGACTGTTAAAATTGGTAATTATGGTAATATGGTCATGTGAATCCATTTTTGATTTATAAAGTGTTCACACAAGTTATTTCAAAGATGATATTTCTATGAACAGAGAGGTCATGGGAAGATTTGCAAATTATTAAAGAAAAATTCTTCAATGCAGAGACCATAATCAAAAAGTAAAGTTTCTTTAGTAGTATGGTCAATACATCATTTAATTTTTCAAGTTATCCTGAAGAAGAAAAGGTCCTTAATTATCATAGTCTAAACAAATTTATAGATCACTGTTTAAAGTAAATAATACGAGTGAATATTTTCAAATGTGATAAAATAGCACAAGTGGCTGGTGATAAAATTTGACATTATGGTTAACCTCCTTAGCTGTGATCTTATGTATGTAAAGTAAAATTTAAATATGTAATTATAGGTTGATTACAAATCCATAATGTCATTTTATTTTATTCATTATTTGAATTATACCATTTACTCTGTTTTCTCATAGTCTTAATTTTATTATATTTTGTTGTTACTGTATTATATTTGAAAACCTTCAAATTAGAATACATTGTACAGTTGAAGAAATTCACTTGGTACTTAAAAGAAAGATTTCCCATTGCATAGAGGTTACTGGAGAAACTTTTCCTTTTGTTGCATTTGTGGAAATTAGTTTTCTGGCCCATGGCCTTTAATTTTCTTAATCAACCTAATTACATCAGGATAGAGGTAGAGTTTCTGTAAAAGAAGAGACATTAAGAGTTCCTGAAATTTATATCTGGCATATGGATAGGCTTATATTCAAAATATCTTAGTCATACGACTATAAGTTCAAAGTGGAATCACTAAATAGTTTGCAGTACGTTTCTAATATAAGTGTAGGTGGGTATCAAAACAAGACAAATGCTGTTCAGGGAAAGAAGTTGGCAAGCTTAATGTTAAACAAAAATAAAATTACATGTGTTTTCGCCTTTAAAAAAAAAATTCAGCAGGCCAGGTGCAGTAGTTCACACCTATAATCCCAGCACTTTGGGAAGCCAAGGCGGGAGGACTGCTTTGAGTTCAGGAGTTTGAGACCAGCCTGGGTGCCATGGCAAAACTCCATCTCTACAACAAAATAAAAAAAAAAATTAGCTGGGCATGGTGGCACAGGCCCAGTCACTCAGGAGGCTGAGGCTGGAGAATCCCTTGATTCCAGGAAGTAGAGGTTGCAGTGAGCTGAGATCCACCACTGCACTCCAGCCTGGCCAACAGAGCCAGACCCTGTCTCAAAAAAAATAAAAATCAGCAAACTCTGGAGGTGGCTGGGATTCTTTTCCTTCCACCTGAGGCTTGGATGCAGCACAATCAAGCAGGGTGTGGCTCCGACACCCATCCTGGGCCAGGCTTCCCCTTCCTCCCACAGACAGTTTCCCTCTCTCTCAATCTACATAGGAGTTTCCCTCAGAAAAAGTCCTAAAGCCTAAAATTCTACAGCCTCCTATGCTGCCACCCTCAAAAGCCCTAGGGGAATGAATACTACTGTAAAATACACACTAAAATACTAACAGAAAAAGAGGAAAATGAGTGAGAACCTGATGGGAATAACAGAACATTCCACAAAATGAAAGCTTCTATACTCACAATGAAGAAAAAACAGCTGAGGAGCTGCGCTGAGGCGAAACTGCAAGGAAGCTCCCTCCTCAGCAGTCAGCACAGTGGATAGGAGCTGTCTCTTCCCAAGGGCGCAGTCCCAAGTCATCCCAAAGCTGCCGCAGTGTCCCGTCCAGCAAGTCCTGAGGGACCTGGAGTGCTTCACTTTCTCCTCACTGTGGACGCCACACCTGCCACACGGTGCCTGCAGGTAGAACACCCATGTGCACCATTAAGGGCAGAAAAGGCAGTTTGAACGCCCCTGCTGGTCACAGTGTGCAACGCAGGATGGTTCCACCTCATGGTCATGGCCCCAGTGCTGTGAAATTAGAACTGGTGACATACATCTGGGAAATAACTGTCTTGTAACAAGACTGTTGTCATTTAACTACCAGTTTTGTTATCCTGTAACTTCTTGTGGGATGAAGAAAATTGTGTTCCAAAGAAATGATGTTTGCCATATTATTGGAGATCAGTTGTAAAACAATGTTGGATACTTCCTACGAATTACCAGTGGTTTGCTTTGTGAAGAGGTTTAAATTCCCATCTCTGGTGCATTTTGGAACAAGTGGCTTTGAGGTCAACACCTTGAAAGGTAGCCCTCAAAAGAACAAGAGTCTTCAGTTCCCACACAAAGTAAAAAATGTGAACTTAATTTTAGCATTGTTAATAGGGAACAACTATCCATGAATCCCTGCATCAAAATGCCTATGTTATAACATCCTCTCTTCCTAAGGCACAGGAGCAAGTGGTACATACTTGTCTGGCAACCAGTTTCATTAATGCTGTTGTTGTATCTGTCCAAAGATGAGAAGTAGTTTGTTACCAGTTTCACTACCTTTTGGAGTTTTAGATAACATATATCCACACTGTGATATTTACACTTTTTAATGACTCCCTTTTAAATAAAATTACCACTTTATGTGAAATCCAGTTCATGCATAATAAAGCTTGCCTGTACATATATGGTGTTGGGCATACACCATACATTCGTACATAATGCCAGCCATGCCTTAATCATGGGATAAGAATGGCCAGACACTTCCCACATTTCTGCGACAGCAAATTGAGCGCTCACACAGGGCTCCTGGCTGGAGAACAGGTGAGACCCAGACCTGCCCATGACTCTCCTCCCTCAGTGGTCCATCATTCAATTATTTAGGCACCTCTGGGGACAGACACCAGGCTCTCTGAGGCTTCAGATGCCCCAGAAAGCCTGCTCTCCTAAAAACAGTGGCCTTGGATGGAGACATTCTTGCTGCATTTCTCCTTAAATATACTCAATTTGTGTGTGTGTGTGTGTGTGTGTGTGTGTGTGTGTGTGTGTTTGAATCAACACAATTGTCCCACAGAAACTTCTAAGGGCCTAATAAATATGTGCATAGAATTTTGATGGGATAGTTTTTTAACTATATAAAAAGATATAAATAATATGTAATTTTAAAAAAATGGTGCAGTGGCTCATACCTGTAATCCCAGCACTTTGGGAGGCCAAAGCAGGTGGATCACCTGAGTCCAGGAATTCAAGACCACCTTGGGCAACACGGAGGAACTCTGTCTCTACAAAAAAAAAAAATACAAAAACTAGCTGGCCATAGTAGTGCGCACCTGTAGTCCCAGCTGCTTGGGAGGCTGAGGTGGGAGGATGACCTGAGCCAGGGAGGTCAAGGTTGCAGTCAGCCGAAATTGCACCACTGCACTCCAGCCTAGACAACAGAGACATTGTATCAATAAAAAATAAAGAAATGTCTGACAGATAATCCTTCAGCGTTTTTATCTAGTAGTTATCTCAGCACTCCCAGGACTGCTGTGAGCAATCAATGAAATCTGTCACAGCAGAGACTCTTTGGGGTCTCCCAGCCAAGGCCATGTGGAGCACATAGAGGCAGGATCAGGGAATCTGAGCATCTGCCTAGGGCCTCTCCCTGCTTCCTCACCCTCTGCCATATTCTTCTCCACATCTGACTCTGTGAAGCCACATCATCTGTTTCCTGACTCCTTTTCTACCAGTGACAAACTCCCACTCTGCTGGTGTCTGGCCATAAATCTCCAAATACAGAATTCCCTCAAGCCACATGTGTTTCCCTGAATTAGAACACAAAGTTTCAGCATAACTGTCATTTATCCCATCATTCTCCAGAGCTCCCCATCTCCCCATCCCCAGGATGCTCCCCAAGTCTCCACAGCCAGCCCTCTCCTCATTCCTCCATGGAGCCCTGGCACAAAATACTGACCCATACTGCCCTTCCCAGGGCTTAGAGGTGCCAAGTTATGAGCCAAGACCGCCAGGTGCAACAGGAAGCTCCACTGGAGATAAGCTTCCCACCTCTTTTGTATTATCTACTGCGCAACTCATATTTTATTTTATATTTTACTATATTTTATTATTTTATATTTTATCTTTTGAGACAAGGTCTCTGTTGCCCAGCCTGGAGCACAGTGGCATGATCACAGCTCACTGCAGCCTCCATCTCTTTGGCTCAAGCAATCCTCCTGCCTCAGCCTCCTGAGTAGCTGGGACTACAGGCATGCACCACCATGCTTGGCTAATTTATCTTATTTTTTGAAAGACGGGAGTCTCACTATGTTGCTCAGGCTGGCCTTGAACTCCTTGGCTCAAGTGATCTTCCCACGTTAGTCTCACAAAGTGTTGGGATTAGAGGCATAAGCCGCCGTGCCCAGCCTGTTGAGAGTTTTTATCATGAAGGGGTGTTAAGATTTTATCAAAAGATTTTTCTGCGTCTATTGAGATAATCATATGGTTTTTGCTTTTAATCTGTTTATACAGGGAATCACACTTACCGATTGCAGATGTTGAACCAACATCCCTGGAATAAAGTCTATTTGATCAAGGTGAATTAGTTTTTCAATGTGCTGCTGGATTCAGTTTGCTAGTATTTTGTTGAGGATTTCTTCTTCTATGCTCATTGGGATATTGGCCTGAAATTTTTTTTCTTTGTCATGTCTCTGCCAGATTTTAGTGTTAGGCTGATGCTCGTTTCATAGAATGAATTAAGGAGGAGTCTCTCCTCCTCGACTTTTTAGAGTAGTTTCAGAAAGGCTTTGAATTCAGAATTTGGCTTTGAATCCATCAGGTCCAGGGACTTTTTTCATTGCTAGGTTTTATATTACTGTTTCAATCAGGGTTCAGTATTGGTCTACTCAAGGTTCCAATCTCTTCCTGATTTAATCTTAGGAGACTGTATATTTCCAGGAATGTATCCATTTCCTCCAGATTTTCTAATTTGTTTGTATAGAATTGTTCATAGTATTCTGAGGGTCCCTTTCATCTCTGTAAGAACAGTTGTAATGCCATCTTTGTCATTTCCAATTCTACTTATTTGGATCTTTAATCCAGCTAGCAGTGCATCAATATTGTTTATTTTTCTCAGAGAAGCAACTCTTGGTTTCATTAACCTTTTGTATAGATTTTTGCATCTCAATTTCATTAAGTTCTTCTCTGATTTTAGGTATTTATGTGTTTCTTACAAGCTTTGGGGTTGGTTGGTTCTTCGGTTCCCAAGTTCTTTTAGGTGCCCAGTTAATTGTCAATTTGAGATCTTTCTGACTTTTTGATGAAGGCATTTAGAGGTATAAACTTCCTCTTCACACTGCTTTACTTGTGTGAAGAGAAATCCCAGAAATCTCTGGTAAGCTATGTGCCTATTTTAATTAATTTCAAAGTTTTTTTATTTCTGCCTTAATTTCAATGTTCACCCAGGATTTATTCAGGAACAAGTTGTTTAATTTCCATGTATTTGTGTTGTTTTAAGAGATCTTAACTGCTATTGGTTTATATTTTTATTGCACTGTGGTCTCACAGTGTGCTTTGTACAATTTCAGGGTTTTTTTAATTATTTATTGAGACTTGCTTTATGGCTGAGCATATGGTTCATCTTAAAATACGTTCCACATACAGATAAGAAGAATGTGTATTCTGTGGTTGTTGAGTGGAGGATTCTGTAGAAGACTATTAGGTCTAATTGGTCAAGTTTTGAGTTTAAGTCCCACATTTCTTTGTTAATTTTCTGCCTTAATGATCCGACTAACGCTTCCGTGGGGAGGTGAAGTCTCCCACTACTATTGTGTGGTTGTCTATGTCATTTTGTAGGACAAGAAAAACTTGTGCTATGAATTTGGGTGCTTCAGTGTTGGGTGCACATATATTTAGGATAGTTAAGTCTTCTTGTTAGCCTTTATCATTATGTAATACTGCCTTCCTTGTCCTACCTAATTTTATTGGTTTAAAGTCTGTTTTATCTGATATAAGAATTGCAACTCCCGGCCGGGCACGGTGGCTCACACCTGTAATCCCAGCACTTTGGGAGGCCGAGGTGGGTGGATCACTTGAGGTCAGGAGTTCGAAACCAGCCTTGCCAGCATGGCAAAACCCCATCTCTACTAAAAATACAAAAATTAACTGGGCGTGGTGGCACCCACCTATAGTCCCAGCTACTCGAGAGGCTGAGGCAGAAGAATCGCTTGAACCTGGGAGGCAGAGGTTGCAGTGAGCCGAGATCGCACCACTGCACTCCAGCCTGGGTGGCAGAGCAAGACTCTATCTCAAAATAAATAAATGAATAAATAAATAAATAAAGAATTGCAACTTCTAGTCCAGATGCAGTCACTAATGCCTATAATCCAGGCACTTTGTGAGGCCAAGGCAGGTGGATTGTTTGAACTCAAGAGCTGGAGACCAGCCTGGGCAACATGGCAAAACACCATCTCTACAAAAATTAGCCAGGCGTGGTGGCAGATGCCTATAGTCCCAGCTACTTGGAGGCTGAGGTGGGAGGATCACTTAAGCCTCAGAGGTTGAGGCTGCAGTGAGCCGTAATCACAACACTACACTCAAGCCTGGGTAACAGAGACCCTATCTCAAAAAAAAAAAAAAAAAAAGAACAGCGACTCTTACCTGGTTGACATTTCTCCACCCCTTTACTTTGAGCCTGTGGATACTGTTACATGTGAGATTAATCTCTTGATGATGGTTGGGTCTTGTCTTTATATCTAGCTTTATATCTATCTTGCCACTGGATCAAAGATTTAAGTGTAAGACTTTAATAGTTAAGTCTTCTTGTTAGCCTTTATCATTATGTAATAATGCCCTTCCTTGTCCTACCTAATTTTATTGGTTTAAAGTCTGTTTTATCTGATATAAGAATTGCAACTCCCAGCCGGGAAACTCTAGAAGAAAACCTAGGAAATACCATTCAGGACATCAGCCTTGGGAAAGAATTTATGACTAGAGGCCGGGCACGGTGGCTCACACCTGTAATCCTAGCACTTTGGGAGTGCTGAGGTGGGCGGATCACCTGAGGTCAGGAGTTCGAGACCAGCCTGACCAACATGGTGAAACCGTCTCTACTAAAATTACAAAAAATTACCCTGGCATGGGGGTACGCACCTGTAATCCCAGCTTCTTGGGAGGCTGAGGCACGAGAATTGCTTGAACCCAGGAGACAGAAGTTGTAGTGAGCCAAGACTGTACCACTGCACTCCAGCCTGGTCAATAGAGTGAGACTCTGTCTCAAATTGAAAAAAAAAAAAAAAAGAATTTATGACTAGGTTCTCAATAGCAGTTGCAATAAAAACAAAAATTGACAAGTGGGACCTAATTAAACTAAAGAACTTCTTCACAACAAAAGTAACTATCAACAGAATAAACAGAAAACCTACAGAATGGAAGAAAATATTCACAAAAGTCTAATATCTAGCATCTATAAGAAACTTAAATCAATATGCAAAATACGAATAATCCCATTAAAAAGTGGGCAAAAGGCTAGGCACAATGGCTCATGCCTGTAATCCCAGGACTTTGGGAGGCCGAGGCAGGCAGATCACCTGAGGTCAGTAGTTCAAGACCAGCCTGGCCAACATGGTGAAACCCTGTCTCTACTAAAAATACAAAAATTAGCTGGGCATGGTGGCAGGTGCCTGTAATCCCAGCTATTCAGGTGGCTGAGGGAGGAGAATCGCTTGAAGCTGGGAGGCAGAGGTTGCAGTAAGCTGAGATCATGCCACTGCATTCCAGCTTGGGCAACAGAGCAAGGCTCTGTCTCAAAAAAAAAAAAAAAAAAGAAGAAGAAGAAGAAAAAAAAGGTGGGCAAAAGATGTAAACAGACACTTCTGAAAAGAAGACATACGAAGCCAACAAACATATCAAAATGTTCAACATTGTAGTTTCCCAGGCAACAAGCGCAGATAGGACCACTGTGGGTGGGGGGGATGAAAACAAGAAAAAACACTGCAGCATTTCCATTAGGCTTAAGAAATGCATTTTAACTGTCAAAATGTCACAGACAATAATATTGAAAGTCACTTCGCTGGAAATGATTCAAAGCAGAATGTCACTTTCATTATGGAAAGCAAGGTGTGAAAAACAGAAAAATGCATAGAAATAGGTGATCAATATTATTTGATTTTACAAAATTTATCTACATTACTGTGGATTTTTAATATGCCTCCTTACCTTTCTCTGCAAATATAACCTTGCATTAATTCAACATAAAAAGGAGAGTCATCCAGGATGATGGGGCATCATAGAATAGAGTGTATGCCTGAACACCATTTGGAACAATGATAAGCTCTTACCTGCTCAGATCTTCATTCAAATGGTAAACCACACATTCCAAAACTGAGATTCAAACATAACAGGGCCGTTCATATTCATGTGTGGCTCCAGTTTCCTCATTCATAACAACAACAAAAAAAGCTTAGATTCAATCTTAAAAACCTTTCTGACTCTAACAGCTTTTGATTTTTAGAAATAAAGTTTAGAAGGTCCCTTTTGTCTAGAAACACTGCTTATAAAATAAAGACTACATTATAGGACATTTAAAAACTTTTTCTTTATAGGACCTAATTGTTAACAGTCAACCTTTAGAAAATAATACTTGAAATCCCCTACTACACAACTATTAAAGTGTCTAAATTTTGCACCAAGTTTTGTAACACTGATGGCATTTACTTTTTTTTTTTTTTTTTTTTTTGATGGAGTCTCGCTCTGTTGCCCAGGCTGGAGTGCAGCGGCATGATCTCGGCTCACTGCAAGCTCCACCTCCTGGGTTCACGCCATTCTCCTGCCTCAGCCTCCCAAGTAGCTGGGACTACCGGCGCCGGCCACCATGCCTGGCTAATTTTTTGTATTTTTAGTAGAGACGGGGTTTCACCATGTTAGCCAGGATGGTGTCGATCTCCTGACCTCACGATCTGCCTGCCTTGGCCTCCCAAAGTGCTGAGCTTACAGATGTGAGCCACCACGCCCGGCTGAATGGCATTTACTCTTATATCCATGTAGAAACATATAATTGGATTAACAGAAATGTGTTGAGTGCCCTTAATCTACATTTTCACACAATATGTCACTATAATATTGTGAAATAGTCTATATTTTCTTCCAAAGAATCTTTTCAGTCAAATGTTTAGTCAATTTAGGAAGTTAGGTTAACTGACTAATTCAGTCAAAACTAGCAATGTAGTAGCTGCAGACAAATACTACTAAAGTGTTTTTTTAATAATTCACCTCTCAATGATTGGTAAATAAGAAAATGAAAAGCAAAATGAGAAGGTGAAAAGCAGTCACATGTTCACCGTTTTCCTTTCTACCTTGAATACCCAACAAATCAAGATTAACGTTTATAATAATTAATTCATCTGAGCCAATCACCTGTTATTAAACTTTATCAGATCAATGTTAATGCCTCAGTGAATCAGCTGCATTACTGGCGTGCCCTTGAATATCTAGTTGCACTTGTGTATGTTTCCCTTTTGTATACACACTTACTCTCATATGAAAGCTAGTATAATAAAAACATCCCAGTTATAAGCGACTAAGTCAATAATTCAAAGGCACAGTAAATTCCAAGAAATGGCAGCACATATACACGTTGACTTATTCCAATGTCTGCAATCAATGCAAAACAATGTGACCTGTCTGTGCTTGACACAAGGGATCTCTAGTCCTGGCTTATATCACTGAATGAGACCAGGTTATTAAATTTTCAGGAATTTTTGAGAGTTAATTGTTAAATAAAGTCATTATTAAAATGCATTATATAAACTTCCAACTAAATTATATTAAAACAATACCTACAACTCCTCATATTCTAATTATTTTACTATATTTTATTATCTATGCTCATGATGCATCTACTGCATCTATATGGCAGAAATATCATATGATGGTGTGCTACCATGCATCTCATCCCAACTCATCATTCAGTGACATCAGCTTGGTAGCTTGAATCTGACCATGACAATCCTATTTACAACACAGAAATGTGCAAATACTACCAGCCATGTTTTTGTGTTTTTCAGAGAGTCAGATGTTACACATTTACCAGCACACCACTGGATCTACAGAACCCAGACAAGTTCCCCACTCTCTTGTAGTCACCAAAAATACAAGATACTATGGGACTAGGTAGTAAGTCTATGGGATCAGAAAAGGCCTACCAGAGAAAATGTTACTTAAGCAGAGTCCTGGGGAATGAGTCAAGGTTAGACAGGTGGGCAATGAGGACACAGAAGAAGTTTTGCCGAGCAAGGGGAAAATAGCTTGCAGGAATGAGACTCATCCAAGAAATTCAAAGAAGCCAAGGGTGCTAGTTATGGGGTAGAAAGAACTCAGGCAAAAAAAAAAAATTATTACTCACGATAGCAAAACACACTTGGCCAGGGCATGGTGGCTCACATCTGTAATCCCAGCACTTTGGGAGGCTGAGGTGGGTGGGTCACTTGAGGTCAGGAGATCGAGAATGTAGGGGTGGGTTGCCCCTCCACACCTGTGGGTGTTTCTCATAAGGTGGAACGAGAGACTTAGGAAAGAAAAAGACACAGAGACAAAGTATAGAGAAAGAAATAAGGGGACCCGGGGAACCAGCGTTCAGCATATGGAGGATCCCGCCAGCCTCTGAGTTCCCTTAGTATTTATTGATCATTTGTGGGTGTTTCTCGAAGAGGGGGATGTGTCAGGGTCACAAGACAATTGTGGGGAGAGGGTCAGCAGACAAACACGTGAACAAAGGTCTTTGCATCATAGACAATGTAAAGGATTAAGTGCTGTGCTTTTAGATATGCATACACATAAACATCTCAATGCTTTACAAAGCAGTATTGCTGCCCGCAGGTCCCACCTCCAGCCCTAAGGCAGTTTTTCCCTATCTCAGTAGATGGAGCATACAATCGGGTTTTATACCGAGACATTCCATTGCCCAGGGACAGGCAGGAGACAGATGTCTTCCTCTTGTCTCAACTGCAAGAAGCATTCCTTCCTCTTTTACTAATCCTCCTCAGCACAGACCCTTTACGGGTGTCGGGCTGGGGGACGGTCAGGTCTTTCCCTTCCCACGAGGCCATATTTCAGACTGTCACATGGGGAGAAACCTTGGACAATACCTGGCTTTCCTAGGCAGAGGTCCCTGCGGCCTTCCGCAGTGTTTGTGTCCTTGAGATTAGGGAGTGGTGATGACTCTTAAGGAGCATGCTGCCTTCAAGCATCTGTTTAACAAAGCACATCTTGCACCGCCCTTAATCCATTCAACTCTGAGTTGACACAGCACATGTTTCAGAGAGCACGGGGTTGCGGGTAAGGTTATAGATTAACAGAATCTCAAGGCAGAAGAATTTTTCTTAGTACAGAACAAAATGGAGTCTCCTATGTCTACTTCTTTCTACACAGACACAGTAACAATCTGATCTCTCTTGCTTTTCCCCACAGAGAACATCCTGGCTAACATAGTGAAACCCCGTCTCTACTAAATATGCACAAAAAATTAGCCAGGCGTGGTGGCAGGCACCTGTAGTCCCAGCTACCCAGGAGGCTGAGGCAGGAGAATGGTGTGAACCCAGGAGGCGGAGCTTGCAGTGAGCCGAGATCACGCCACTGCACTCCAGCCTGGGCGACTGAGCAAGACTCCGTCTCAAAAAAAAAAAAATTAGCTGGGCACGATGGCATGCGCCTATAACCCTAGCTACTCGGGAGGCTGAGGCAAGAGAATCACTTGAACCTGGGAGGCGGAGGTTGCAGTGAGCAGAGATCGCACCACTGCACTCCAGCCTGGGCAAGAGACTCCATCTCAAAAAAAAAAAAAAAACAACACTCAAATTCATAACTATTTAAAAACACTGTGAAGCTACTAAAGGCTTTTAAGCATGGGGGTAGAAGGAAGAGAGGTGAGAATTGTTAAACAATCACACTTGACTGAACTGGAGAACGGACAAAAAGAGTGTCCAAGAAAAGATGCAGAGAAAAGTGACTAGAAGGCAGTCCCAGCGACTCCAAGCTTTCCTAATAACATACCACTAACAGCAAAATCTTTCTTAGCATGCAACCATATTGCATTTTTATTTAATGATCATTTAAGTGCTCTGCTCCACTAATAGAGATATTATTATACACATACAAGGAAAAGGAAATTTTTAAATGTGAGATAAAGTATAGATATATGTAAAGTTCTGATCTCTATTTCCACACTTCAGTGGTTCTGCAGCCCACTTCACAGACCACTGACAAAGCCAGCTTTGGGAGATGGAACCTAGGATGTATAGGCAACAGGACTTGGTGAGGGCCACATGGAGCTGGGGCCAGATGCCACTCTCAGGGAAGACCTAGCTCATGCTGAGACACCCACAGTAGGAAAAACCTCTTCAAAACTTGGCACCATGGCTGTGACGAAATTTCCCCCAGTTTGCCTACCAAAGACATCACAATGGTTGGGCAAAATTTTCTAGCACTCTATTTCACCAGGGGCAAACAGAAAATGTTAATGTGTGTATGTCAGTGTGTTCATGTGAGTGTGTGTGTGTGCCTGTGCATGTACATGTGAGTATGTGTGAGAACACAAGTGTGCACATGAGCATGTACGTGCATACACATGTGCATTTGTGTATATGTGTGCATGTGAATATATGTGTATCTTGAGTATGTGAGCATGTATCTATGTTTGCACATGAATGTGCATGTGTGTTTGCACTCACCAATCTGGGTGCTGGTTCATGAGTGGGAAGACCCACTGGTGTCACTCAAGGCTTTTGATAACAAAGAACATTTTTTTCTTCCCAGTAAAAACAGAACCCAGCCCTCCAGAGGTGAGTCACACCCTCTCAACCTCTCTCCACCCCCTCGTTGTTTCCCCTATCTGATCTGCCCCTCCTTCTCTCTCCTTCAGAATGTTTTCTATGTGCAGTGTTTTCTCACCTTAGATTGCTCTCTCCTTCTTTCAGCCTTCTAATCATCTTGTCCATTCTTTCTGTTTCTCACTCATATTTGTCTCTTGTCATCACTCTCCTCTCCTCTCTCCTCTGTCTCTCTCCCCTTTCCCTCTCTTTTCTTTTCTCCTCTCCTCTCCCCCACCCTCATTCATCCTGTGGAGTCTGAAGCCGTCACACCACAGATTTTCCATGTGAGCAGAAAATGGAGACACACGAACAACACACCTCTTCACAGATTCCATGGATGGGCCACAGAGGTAATGGTAAGCTGCAGAACACCGAGTCCCCTTCTCACCACGCCTCCTCAACTGGGGCTGTGGGGCCTGCAGGTGGTTCCTCTGTCCCAGGTGCCTTTCCAGAAAGACACAAGGGGATAAGAGATTTTCTTCATTCATGGTTTTAAGGAAACCGATATCCATATGCAACAGAATGAAATAGGACCCTTCTGTTACACAACAAAAAATCAACTCCAAATGGGCTTAAAACCTCAATACGGCTGGGCACGGTGGCTCACGCCTGTAATCTCAGCACTTTGGGAGGCCAAGGCAGGCAGGTCACGAGGTCAGGAATTCAAGACCAACCTGGCCAATATGGCGAAACCCGGTCTCTACTAAAACTACAAAAATTAGCCAGGTG
Source organism: Homo sapiens (assembly GCF_000001405.40). Classification (NCBI taxonomy): domain Eukaryota; kingdom Metazoa; phylum Chordata; class Mammalia; order Primates; family Hominidae; genus Homo; species Homo sapiens. The sequence continues at coordinate 47,179,123 of NC_000008.11, forward strand.
TGGTGGTGTGCACCTGTAGTCCCAGCTACACCGGAGGCTGAGGCAGCAGAATCACTTGAACCTGGGAGGCAGAAATTGCAGTGAACTGAGATTGTGCCACTGCACTCCAGCCTGGCCAACAGAGCAAGACTCAGTCTCAAAAAAATAAAAACCCTCAACACAAGACCTGAAACCATGAATCATCGTAAAACTGTAAGAAACTACAGGGGGAGCTTACTTCCAGGACAACTTGAATCCAAGCTCACAGGGTGGAAAGGAGAGAGAGAGAGAGAGAGAGAGGAGAGAGAGAGAGAGAGAGGAGAGAGAGAGAGAGAGAGGAGAGAGAGAGACAGAGGAGAGGAGAGAGACAGAGGGGGGAGGGCAGAGAAGAGAAGAGAAAGTAAAACAGGGTAAGATCTCATTTTAAAACTGGGCACCAAAATCATAAGCAACAAAATCAAAAATCGACGTGCAGGGGCTACAGTAAACTGAAAAGCTGCTGCACCGCAAAACCCATGAACTCCCTGCGTCAAGTGGGGGTGACGAGAGGGACAGGAGGGGACACGCGCTGCCGGGGGTGGAGAAAAGTGGCCCTTGTGCCCCAAAGGTGGGAACTCAGATAAAAAAATCAGCAAACCCTGGAGGTGACTAGGATCCTTTTTCTTCCGTCTGAGGCTTGGACCCAGCGCAGCCAAACTCCGACCCTGGCCTGGGCGGCTTCCCCTTCCTCCCAAGGCCGGAGCTTCCCTCTCTCTGTCTACACGGGGGAGTTTCCCTCAGAAAGAGTCCTAACGTCCTGAAGTATCACAGCCTCCTATGCTGCCACCCTCCAAAGCCCTCAGGGAATGAGAACTACTGTAAAATAAATACTAAAATGCTACCAGATTAAGATGAAAAGGAGAACCTAACAGGAAGAAACAGAACATTCTAGAAAACGAAAGCTTCTGTACTCACCATGAAGGAAAAAACGCCCGGGAGAAACCCGCAACACGAAGAAGCCACACCGAAGTTCCGTCTTCAGCAGTCAGCTACTGACAGGAGCTGTTTCTTCCCCAGGGCGCAGCCACAAGTCGTCCCGAACCTGCTGCAGTGCCGGAGAGTCCTCAGGGAACTGGAGCGCTACTTCTCCACAGTACAGACGCCACGCTGCACATCACACCACTGACACCATGCACACCACGCACACCACACATACCACGCTGCATCTGCGCAGAGAACACGCATGCATACCACATGGGGGGCAGAAAAGGCGGTTTGGCGATCCCTGCCGGTCACATTGCGCAGTGCAGGCTGATTCCACCTCAAGGTCTCCATCAGCCCAGGCCATGGCCCCAACCTTTGGTTTTTGACCTTGGAATTACTGCTAACGGGGAGAGGAAGGCTGACAGTGTTTTCCACACAAATTATTTCTCCTGCACGTCCTCATTACAGAAGCAGCTACAATAACGTCCACTGGCACACACAGGCCACTACCCTCTGTGATGGGCCAGTGTTGGGGGCAGTGATCAGGTTTTGGGGATGGGATGTCGAGGCAGCAGAGCGACACTGGGAAGGGTCCATGGATCTCGGCCCAGCTCAGAGGCTGGCGGCGGGAGGCCTGTGGCTGAGCAGCAATGGACCATATGGTTGACTTTGGAAGCCACGGGCACTGTCCTGGCTAAGGGACGTTGAGAAGGGGATGCAGGTGGGAAGCAAGGCCTCAACTCCCTCCCTCTCATCTGGATTTAACTGATCTTTGGCTGGTTCCATTAGGTGCGTGCTTGCAACCAATACCTCCCCGGGGGCCTGCTGAGCTGCAGCCTAGGAGACACTGGGCAGCCAGGAGGCTGCTTGGCAGCAACCCTGGTCTGCAGGGGCTGGGAGACCTTCCCTTGGCTCCTCTCCCCTCCAGCAGGGGGTGGAGAAAAGTGGCCCTTGTGCCCCAAAGGTGGGAACTCAGGTGGGAGAAAGCCAAGCAGTGCTCCCTTGGCTTTCTGGGGGCCCCATGGTACTGGATTCCCACCAACCTTGGGTTTTGGAGATTCCAATCCCCATGTGTTTGGTGGCATTTCCCCTTTTCTCTCTTGTTTTCAAGGCCTTTACCACGAGCGGCCCTTTATCCATGTTGTTCACCAGGCCTGCCCCACCCCAGCTCCCTAGCCAGCACAGGAGCTGCCGGAGACCAAGCCCTGAAACACCCCCATCCCCACCCCCTTGCAGCCTTCTCCACACTGTTCCCACTGGCCTGATGCCTGGGGAGTTCCTCAGTTATGCCTCCCCAAACCCCAGTCTAGTGGGCTGAGGCAATACTTCCTCCTCGAAGTGGCCCAGCTGAGAACGAATGATGCCCTCCAGTGCGCAGTCAGGCTGAAATGGGCTCTTTGCATCCACAGTGGAAACCTAGAGGTAAGTAAGTTCGTGGGGAAGCAGAGTTCTAGGTCTTCTATGCCCTGAAAGGTTTATTTTCAAGACGGCTGAGCAATCCAGCTTTCTACAGAATGAAGGAGCCAGGTATCCAGCATTCGAGACCCATGGAGAATGAGAGGAGGTAAGAGAGGATGATCTTTCAGCTGTGGAATGCTCTTTGGCACAACCTTTATGGGAGGGGATCAGTTCTGGTTCTGCCATAGCCCCAGCTGCCCCTCTCCCCAAGCCCCTGCCAGTGAGGCTGACCCTTTGAGCTTACTTCATAACAGTAATTAACCCTGCCATACTCATGGACTTTGTCGTCTTGGTTCTCCCATCTCCCTTTCTCCTGTGACAGGTCCATTGCTGGCAGTGGACTGGTGAAGTCCTCACTCCAGCCTCCTTTCAGCTCTGCCCCCCACTCCCCAAGGGGAAGGGTCCATTAGAAAGTGGCTCATCCCATGGTACATGGTTTCTTCATAGCCACACTGGGACCCTTAGGTAGAAATTAACCTTCCCCCTTTATGGATCATTAAAAAATGGTAATAGCACCTGTGGAGAGAATGTCCTCTTCCCTGCTGGCTGCCCCACCCAGACCATGCAGATAGCAACACCCAGGGTACAGGCTGGGGCAGGGTATAGTGGGATGGGCAGCAATGGTCCCCTAGGTCTGGAGAAAAGTCTGCAGACTGTGCCTTTGGCAGGATCTTTCTGCAGTTAGCTCTGTCCAGGGAAGAATGAAAGGCATTTCCCAGCCTGTCTCCTGGGCAGGCGCCTCAAATCCAGGGATGAGCTACATTCTGAAGGGGCCAGCCCTCTTTTTGATTTTATTGTGTCCCCAAATCCAGGGCTTTTGGGGGTGACAGGGAATCAGGCTTCCAGTGGGGATATATTGCTTTTTATCTATAGGTGGAGAAGATTCCAGAAGAAGAATATTGTCTGACTTCCCTGTTCTCTCTGGGCAATTGGTTCCTTGGTTCTCTCCCCAGCTCCATGTTGTCTCAGTCTCCTGTACCCCAGCACCCCTCCAGGCCTTCCATGTGGGCCCCTAGATCACGCTACTCACCTTCACACACCCACAACTGAATTCATTGACTAGCTTGCTGATACCTCATAATTCTCAGCCAGAGCAAGCCCTCGGATGACCCACCAGGCCTTGCCACTCCAGATGTTACCTTGTGGGCATTCCTGGCACCATTTTCCCTCTGGGTCCTATAAGCTCCCAAATGCAAGAGGTCCTGGAGTACACCTGTGTGCCTGGCAACATCCAGCTCTGTGTTTCTGCTCCATTGAGGTGTCTCATTGCTTCCATTGCCCCTCGTAGGGCACCAAGCCTCTAGCAAAGGGAGGCAGCAACCCCCGGCCTGACCACTGGATCTGCAGGTTCAGATCTCACCAGGGATAGCCCAGACTTCAGCTTGCTTTTTTGAGTATCAGGGCCCCAGTCCCTTAGTGCCCAGGGACTCAGAGTTTGGAGTAATCCTAGCCCTGACAAGAAGTAGGGGTGCTGGTGGGGAGTATCTGTTGGCTGTTCATGAACCTCTGGTTTCCCAGGCCTCTCTCCACTGGACATGGCAGCATCTCTGAATTACAGATTGCAATGTGCTGCCCTGCACGGTTGAACCATTTCTGATGCTTACTAGGCATTCTTTCCCATGTGCCCTGTCTCCTTTTCAATGCCAGTGACTTCCAATGGCCTATGCTTATTCACAGCAATAGTACCTAGGGAGTGCCCATGAAGCCCTTTTGTCCTGGTCCCTTGGTCTGCATGGGTTCCCTGGGGAGGCAGCTGCTGAGTGGGTCGGTTCCTGGGAACCTGCATTTAGGAAGCTCTGGGCTGTGCAGGCATCACCCTGGGATTCAGACAGGTGAGAGGCCCAGCCCTTAGAGGAGCTATGTCAGGGAGAGTGCCTTCCACCCTGAAGCCACCCTAGACCTGGAGGAGCTGCAGTCCCCTCCTCTGCTAAAGGGCCTTTGAGGAGAGTGGGGCTGACTCCCAACTGGGCAGCTCTTGAGAAGGACAAACGGCTGGTTTGTGCACCCATTGTCTGCTCTGTGTCTCCGTTGGTCCCTCTGTCTCTTCCTTTTCACATTTCTGCACATAAAATATACTGGCGTTTGTGTTCCACAAGGCAAATGTCCACTCTTTGCCTTGTAGACACTCAGCGGTTCATTTGCTCCTCAGATATTTTTTAACTCAGTGCTGGCTCATTGGCAACATGACCTTAGCCTTGCCTCCCTATGATTCGTGCTCCCAGAGCTTCCGGTTGATCCTCTACAACACACATACCGAGCCCCTGCTCCTCTACCCCAACCCTCTCCCATCCTTCAGTGGCTCTCACTGTCCTACAGCAGGGGTGGCAAATCTCTAGTGCCCACCCAGTACACTCTAGTGGAGTGTACTGCTCCACCCCTGCAGTACAGGGGACATTGCTAACTGATCTGTCACTTTTTGCCCTGATGCCACCTCGGAATCTTTTTCTTTTTTTTTGAGATGGAGTCTCACTCTGTCTCCCAGGCTGGAGTGCAGTGGCGCAATCTCAGCTGACTGCAAGCTCCGCCTCCGGGGTTCACGCCAATCTCCTGCCTCAGCCTCCCGAGTAGGTGGGACTACAGGCGCCCGCCACCATGCCGAACAAATTTTTTTTTTGTATTTTTAGTAGAGATGGGGTTTCACCATGTTAGCCAGGATGAGTCTCGATCTCCTGACCTCGTCATCCACCCACCTCAGCCTCCCAAAGTGCTGGGATTACAGGCATGAGCCACCGTGCCTGGCCCCACCTCGGAATCCTTCTTAACACATGCTCTGAAATTAGCACACTAGCAATGAAATGAAGATGACTTATGAAATAAAACCCACAGGTCATCCTCTGTACTGCAAGGTGGAACTCAATCTCTGGAGAGTGGCATTCCAGGCTTTTCATGACCCCTCCAGCCATTTCCCTTCTGCCCTCTCCAGGCTCTCTAGTCCCCATTCCATGCCTTTGCTCCTCCTTTTCCATCTGTCTAGAATGTTCTTCATCCCCTATCTCCTGGCAAACTACTCCTCATGCTTCAAGACCTCTGTGAAGCCTCTTCCCCTCCCCCAGCACTCATGTGCTCTCTCTGACTCTGTCTCTCTCTCTCTCTCTCTCTCTCTCTATATATATACACACACACATATACACATACGTACATCCATATACCTACACATGCACCTATTACTGACTATCAAACCCCAGGAAAGCTTACTAGCAAGGTCACTGAGAGTAAGGATGCTGCCTCACTCAGTGACCAGCAGTGACTCATATGTGCATGTGGAATCACCGTACAAAGAAAATGTAGGTTCTGTGCTTGCAAATGGCCCTGACCTTCATGGCACTACAGGGTGGATGATTAGCTACTCACAACACAGATGCAGAAAAGGGTCCATCTTTACCTGCCCCAGTATCGAGAAAAAGCAGTATGCATTCATTAACTGCACCTTTCAAAGTACTGTCCCGCCACATAGAGTTTCTGCTCCCTATCTTCCTTCAATAAATTCCCTCTTTTTTGGTTAACTTGTCTCTTGGCTGAAATCTTTTTCCCAATACAAACAAAGGGCTGAGGATTTCTGCACTTCCTAGTACCACTAATATAGCCACAGAAACTTTCTGTAAATGGTTTCATGGTATGTTTTTTCCATCCTGTTATTTTTAAGGGTTTTTTTTTTCTTTTTTTTTTTTTTGAGTCGGAGTCTCGCTCTGTTGCCAGGCTGGAGTGCAGTGGCGCAATCTCGGCTTACTGCAACCTCCGCCTCCTGGTTCAAATGATTCTCCTGCCTCAGCCTCCCAAGTAGCTGGGTGTCTGCCACCACGCCCAGTTAATTTTTTGTACTTTTAGTAGAGAAAGGGTTTCACCATGTTGGCCGGGATGATCTCGATCTCTTGGCCTCGTGATCCACCGCCTCGGCCTCTCAAAGTGCTGGGATTACAGGCGTGAGCCACCGCACCTGGCCTTTTTTTTCCATTTTAATAAGTACACTTAACATGAGATCTCTTAACATGAAATCTACCCTCTTAACAAAATTTTAAGTACATTATACAGCATTGTTAACTGTAAGCACAGTGTTGCACAGCACATCTCTAGAACTTACTTATCTTGCATAACTGAAGCTTCATAGCCCTTGAGCAGTGACTCCCCATTTCCTTCTCCCTCTGCCCCTGGCATTCTACTCCACTGCTGTTAGGCTGACTATGATAGAGACCTCACACAAATGGAGCCAGGCAGCATTTTTTCTCCTGTGACTGACTTATTTCACTCAGCATAATGTGCTCCAGTGTTATCCATGTTGTAGCATATGGCAAGATTTAATTCTCTATGAATTTGAATAGTATCCCATTGCATCTATACACCACATTTTCTGTAAACATTCATTGATCAGTGGACCTTACATTGCCTCCCTGTCTTTGAAACTGTGATTAATACTGCAATGAATAAGAGTGTATCGATATTTCTGCAAGATCCTAACTTCCATTCTTTCGGATGCATACTCAGATGTGTTCTTTGTTTTAAGGGTATATATTTTTATTTAGTTTGTCAATCCAAGTGAGAGCCTGGCAGGGCTCTATCACTTCAGTCACAAGAAACTGAGACCTGCCCCTCATCTCTGATTTTCATAGGTTTTGTCTCACCTCTCAGCTTCCTGCCTCCTGTGGATTGGGATTCCATATCTGTCATAACAGGGATTAGTGTGGGCTAGAAATCCTCGGTCTCCTGTTTCTTTTCCATCCCTGTGATATCATAAATTATGAATTTGGTCTTTGACCCCATTTCCCATCATACAACTCATAAAACGTTTAGAATTACTGAAGTGATGCCTTTTTGTATGCCACTGAGATGACTGATGGCCAGCAGTCCCTAGGTAGCTTCAGGATAGGGGCCAGTCACCAGAAAGACCAAGGCAGGGTTAGAGGATAGGGACTTCCAGCCTTGTCTCCCAACCTCCATGGAGGGAAGAGGGGCTGCAGGTTAATCACCAGTGGTCAGTAGTTTACTCCATCAAGCTTGTGTGATGAGGCCTCCATAAAAACCCAAAGGGGGCTGGATTGGGAGAGCTTCTCGGGGACTGAACACATGAAGGTTACTGGATGGTTGTGCACCTCTTCCCATACCTCACCCTATGCACCTTTTCATCTGTGTCGGTTATATCCTTTATAATAAACCAGTGAATTTAAGTAAGTGTTCTCCTGAGTTCCGCAAGGCATTCTAGCAAATTAATTGAAGCCAAGGAGGAGTTGTGGGATCCTCAGTTTATAGGTCTTTGGTCAGAAGCACAGATGAAGCAACCTGGGCTTGTGATTGGCATAAGAAGTGGGGCACAGTCTTCGTGAAAGAGCCCTCAAGCTGTAAGATCAGACCCCATCTTCATGTAGATAGTGTCAGAACTGAGTTGAGTTAGAGGACACCCAGGTGGGGTCCACTACAAAACTGATGGCTTGCTTTGTGGGAGCGAGAAATCCCCACACATTTGGTCACGGAAGCCTTCTGTGCTGATTGTTGTGGTGACAGCAGAGCAAAGGCAGTCTGTGCTCTTTCCACTCAGCCCCGAAGACACTGAATGACACTCATAGCGCTTTCAGCGTCCTAGGGCATGGGCAGGTGTACTTTCACTGTGTAGCCTGTCTTTTCCTTTGTGGCGTCCCAGTCGTCCATCCTGGGGCATGTTACCGATCCACTTGCAGACAGTCTCAGAACCTGCAGACTTCACAGGCTGCCTTATAGATAAAGAGCACTAATGTGCATGAGTTTCCTCTTTGACTCCACAAACCTCAACACCTTTCCCCTGGGCCACATGCTGACTACTCCCCTAACCCAAAACTTGTCCTGAGACATGGGCACAAACACACATCAAGGTCACATGCCCAGACACATGGGATGACCAGAGTATTTTCCACCTGAGCTTCCTGCCTTTGTGGCAATGACTGGGCTGAGATGATTTATCTTAATAGTTAAGCATAAATATCGGGGGGATAAAAGGTTACCAATTCAGTGAAGGTCTCAGATCGTTGCTCCAGCAAGGAGAAGTGCCTGCGTTTCCCTTATTCTGGCCTTAGTGACAAGAGGAGAGAAGGGATCTAGGGGTCCTAGAGGAGATCAGACAAGAGGCTTGGGCCTCGTTTCCCTGGGGGTAGGGGCCCTGGGCTGCACTGGGCTCTGTTCACCTCCTGAATGGGAATGCTCACCCTCAGCCTCAGACAGGAGGCCAGAGTAGTAAGGGAGGCCACCAGGCCAGACCTGGAACAAGAGCTCCCACAGAGACCCCTGAGCGCTGTGGGAAACAGCAGGCGTCACTGTATGGGGCTTCTCCTAGGAGCTGGGGACCCAGGCCACAGTGTCCACAGGACTCTGCTGCTTGCTCCAGTGCAGAAGGAGATGACCCTCAGTTCTAGAAGATGGGGCTGGCTGAGTGAGTGCAGAGTGCGGGCAGGACCCTAAAAGGGCACCAGGGCCACCTCTGCCAGCACAGAGGCTGACACAGGGAGGGCGCAGCCACCCCTGCATGGTGACAGTGACTGGTGTTTCACATTTACCAATCCCTGCTTCTGGCATCTGAGGGTCCTGTGCTGTCTCCTCTGCTGACACCCACCTGCGCACCATCTCAAGGGAAAACACATACAAACACACAATAATAAAATAATGAAATGGCCCACAGAACCTATCTACTCGTTGTTGAAATTTTTATTACTTTCCTCAGGTTAGAAAATATTTCACCATTTGCTAACCTGCACAATGTGCACATGTACCCTAAAACTTAAAGTATAATAAAAAAAAAAGAAAAAAAAAGAAAATATTTCACCATTTGTTCAAATTACCTCCTGTATTATTTGCTGAGTTTTGTGGTTGTTTTCTTTTAGATACATTGGAAGTTTATCATTTTAATGAGAGTAGAATAATAAACAGTCTGAAATTTTAAGGAGTTACATAAAAAGCAATATAGCCTTTTCCTCTTTCGCTTGCTGTCTCCCCTTCCCCTCCTTCTTTCTCCAAATGGAGGGAGTTCTTTTTTTCTTCTTCCATCTCATCTACTCAATAACGGAGCCGCTGCAGCCGCTGCACGCTGCACACACACGGCACAGTCCCTGGGTCCGGGAGCCAGAGCAGCGCCACTCGGAGACGGGATGGTTCCGTGGGTTGTGTAGGAGCACAGGAAAGCGGAGGCCGGGCCACACAGCACCGCGAACCCAGCAGCCCAAGCCCAGCGGACCAAGCAGCCACCCCCGGGAGCCGCCACTGCCTGGAGCAGTCACCGGCGGGAGCCTCCATTTCCAGGAGCCGCCACCGCTGGGAGCTGCCACAGCCGGGAGCCGCCACCGCCAGAAGCCTCCATCTCCCGGGAGCCGCCATCGCTGGGAGCCGCCACCTCCAGGAGCCGCCACGGCCACCGGGAGCCGTCACCGCAGGGAACCTCCATCTCCTGGAGCCACCACCGCTGGGAGCTGCCACCTCAGGAGCAGCGGCAGCACTGGGACCCGCCGGGCCCCCTCGCACCCAGCGGCTCTGCAGGTGCCCTACACCCGGGAGGGGCCGAGGGAGCCCACGCCGCCGGCGGGACCGCAGGGATTTGCTGGCTCTTTCTGCGCTGAGGGGTCGCGGCGCGGGGCGGAGGTCGGGTGGGGAAAGCTGGAGCCGCAGGGAACGCGCAGGACAGGCTCGCTGGGTGTCGACTCTAGCCCTCTGTCAGAGACCTTGGGACCCGCGCAATGTGGCAGTGGAAGGCGCAGGGTCTGACCCCGGCCGCGGCCGCCGCAGCAGCTGATCTGTCAACCCCGGCCAGAGCCGAGCCGCCTGAGGCCTGCAGTGTTCTCCATCACCACTGTGATGGCATCCGCTTCCGTGACTGTCACTGTGCACCCTCCGCCTGTCCTGGGCCCACGCAGGACCCCCAAGCGGGGCTCTGCACAGGCCAGGAGGGCTACCCAGGGACTGACCACGGGTTGTTCATGGGTCCTCACCTGCTTTTCCAGGTCCAGGGTGAGAGGACGAATTTGAAGGTAGAAGTCACAGAGTTGCAGGATGTGGAGTGCGAGGAGTGGCCCCGGGGAAGCAGCTCCAACTGAGGGTGATTAAAATCTGAAGCAGGCCGGGCGCAGTGGCTCACATCTGTAATCCCAGCACTTTTGGAGGCCGAGGCAGGTGGATCACCTGACGTCAGGAGTTCGAGACCAGCCTGGGCAACATGGTGAAACCCCGTCTCTGCTAAAAATACAAAGTTAGCCAGGCATGATGGCGAGCGCCTGTAATCCCAGCTACTAGGGAGGCTGAGGCACGAGAATCGCTTGAACCTGGGAGGGGGAGGTTGCAGTCACCTGAGATTGGACCATTGCACTCCAGCCTGGGCAACAAGAGCGAAACTCCATCTCAGAAAAAAAAAAAAAAAAAAAAAATCTAAAGTAAAGAGGTCAAAGATCGGAAACCCCTGCCCCTACACCTTTCAAGAACTGCTTGGTAAGAACTGCTCGTAGTTACGGTAAAGATGCCTTGAGCCAGGATAGCAGTACATTGTTGCTGTAGCTGGTTGTATTATTTTGTTAAACATTTCCATAAAGATTTAAGAGGTGTACACATGTGTAATATAGGAAGGAAGGATGTAAAGTAGTATGATCTGGGGCTTCTCCACTCCTGCCCCAGATTGTGGAGGCTGCAGTGGGGCCTCTCCTTATTTTTGCATTGGTCTCTGTGCCACAACCAAGCTTCACTTCGTCTTGAATGTCAGCATATGTTGCTGCTGCTTAAATATTTTATAATTTCAAAAAATTAGCTGGGCGTGGTGGTGGGCGCCAGTAGTCCCAGCTACTCGGGAGGCTGAGGCAGGAGAATGGCCGTTAACCTGGGAGGTGGAGCTTGCAGTGAGCCGAGATTGCGCCACCGCACTCCAGCCTGGGTGAAAGAGCAAGACTCCGTCTCAAGAAAAATAATAAAATAAAATAAAATAAAATATATTGTATAATTTACTTGTATAATTCTATGTGAATGTTGCTTATGTAATAGGATTATTTTGTAAAGCTTTCTGTTTAAATATTTTAAATTTGCATATCACAACCCTGTGGTAGTATGAAATGTTACTGGTTTTTTTTTTTCTTTTTTCTTTTTTCTTTTTATTTTTTATATTATTATTATACTTTAAGTTCTAGGGTACATGTGCACAACGTGCAGTTTTGTTACATAGGTATACATGTGCCATATTGGTTTGCTGCACCCATCAACTCGTCCTTTACATTAGGTATTTCTCCCAATGCTATCCCTCCCCCAGCCCCCCACCCGAAATGTTACTGTTAACTTTCAATCATGTTATGCATCATAACGTTTTTTGTTTAATGAACAGATATGAGCAAAGGACGTTAATCCCGGTATCTTCTCTAGTTGTAGTTGTGTGTGGTTCTCGAGTGGCTGCGCATGTGAACACGTGTGATTTCTCAGTGTACTGTACTGTGATTTGTTTTTATTGCTTGTTTTGTTTCCCCTCAGTGTCTGTAACCCTTAGCAGGCTCTGACCTAGTCAGGCTAGAAGAAGCATAAGGATCTTTTATTGCTTTGTGCTGGGTGAGGGCTGGCCCTAAACATCTGCCTAATCCTTTCAACGGGCCCAGGAAAAGCCAGACTGGCATCATGTCCACAGCATCGCTTAATATCGTTGGTTGTCATCCAGACACCTCAACTTGTGCTGCAGAGGAAATAAGTTCCTTCTCACGGATCATCATGATGGATATTGAAACCTCAGGGTGCAGAACTAACACCTGTTCATCATCGTGGATGTTAAAGAATTGGGTAACATGCCAAGCGGTAAGCCTTGGATGGGCCATGAGAATATCCTCTAAAAAGCACGCAGTATTGTGCCCCTCTCACAACCAACACACACATGACCTGTCCCCTGGCACCCCCAAATTTAAGAGTGGATTGCAAATCTTTTGGAGACCATGGCCCTGCTACATGTAGAAAAACCTGTTCTGCTATTCCTGGGCCCACAATAAACCCAGAAATTATGTTTTGAGTTACTGTGATTTAAACTCCCTCTCTTCTTAAATGGAACAGCTCATTGGGGCTTTCTGGATCTGTTTCCATTTTTCTTTAAAAATAAATTGTGAGCATGCATTGTGGTGATGCAGAGGCAGGCATTCTGTGAGATACAAGCTCCAGAAGGATTCTCCTCAATGTGTCAGTGTTGGGATGCACACTTCCTAAATAAATCATCATTGTCTCCGTCTTCTCCATTAATAGCGCTCTTTCAGTGTGACATGGAAAAGCAGGATGGCATACACCCCACTGAAGGATGTAGGCGGAGGCAGATCTCTCAACCAGGCATATTGCTTCTGTACTGCTCTTCTTTTGCTCTAAGGTATGGGTTCCCTCAACCTCTTAGCTAGAGACCAGCAAATGTCAGGGAAGCACCCGGTGTCTGGCTCCCCTTCCAAATCAACACCAGTGTCTTGTTACAGACAAGAAGTCAGAGGAAAGGGCGGGGTCCCAGCAGGGCAGAAGCCTAAGCTACTATGAGGCACTCACAAGTGGCAGCTCCTGTTACTCCCTCTTAAATTATGTGGGAAATCTTAACGGAAGGGCAATGGGCCCCAGGAATACCTGCAGCGTAGTGACCTCAGATCCTGATACTCACCATGAAACTCTAAGATACTGATTGGAAGCGACTTGTGGCTGCTGGCTGTGTGTGTGACTCTGCCGGGGACCCTGGCAGCCCCCCTGTAGCTGTCTTGATGCCTCTCTGTCACCCACATCATCTGCCTACTTAACGCCCAGCTCTGCTCAGAAAACGTTATGTCCTGTGTCGAGGAGAGACGACGCAAAATTCTGAAGTCCATTTCCCTCTGGCTCCTGGCATACCCTCGCTCCTTTTCTGAGCCCAGCTCGTGGTGTGCCAGAGCCTGTGTGGTCCCCTGACTTCTGCACAGTGTAGAACTTTCTCCAATAGTCACAATGGCAAAGGGAGAACTGGGGGGCTGGCAGGTAATTAGAATTTCTCTCCCTCTCTCTTTTAATACTTTCATTTTGAATGTCTTATTTGTTCATGTGTATGTTTTAACTTAAAAAATTCTTTCTGATATTTTTAATTTTGTGTCATAAGAATGTTTTCCTCTACAGTATTTGTCATACCAGTTTATAACCACAGAAATGCAGAGATTTTATTTCTATTGGAAACATTACTACAGCTATGTTTTACTTTTGAACAGAATTTTTACTTGTATAGGGTGCTTACTAATGTTAAATAGTTTGGAGTATATAACATTTACATTAAGGACTCATGGTAGGTTAAAACCCTAAAGGGTAAGGGGTTTAAAGGAAATAAATATTCAAACTGAGTCTTATTGCCAATTTTGGTGTAAATGAGTTTGTGTCATTTCAATTACAAAGATAAAAGTATGCCATATAATTTATGTAAAATTTGTTTTTGTGGTGTACATAATAGTTATCAAGTCTGTTGACAGAAGTATATTTTAAAAGAATATACATGTGATGAATCCATAATATCTGAAACTTTGCTGAGATATGAGTGGGGCACACTTCATTGTAAATTACAGCAAGGAAAGAAATTAAGGAAAGAAGTTAAGAGAGTGAGAGTGAGTGGATATTCACACAATTGTGAAATGTTTATTAGTTACCTTTTGTGATGTAGTGTGGTTCTCATTTTAAACCTTGGAAGGTGAAAATGTACAAACTATAAATATGAATGTTCAAACACTGACAGAAATTCTAATATGAATTAAAAAATAACGAAAAAACAACAATATATTTTATCTTACTAATTATGAACTTGGTTATTCTATTATTCATTCTAATGAATATTTTAAGTGATGGTTTAATTTTATTCACATATAGTTGCCATTAAAAGGTTAACTCTCTCATAAAAACATTTTTTCTATTTTAACATTCTTTGCCTCTCATTTTTTCCTTTCTTGCACGACAGAGTCTTTACTTTTAAATTATTTTCAGTACACCAAGTAATAACATGAATTCTATCACATAGTAATTTTGATTAAGAGAAACTAACAGCAGCCTAAGCAATTACAGCAGTAGTCACTGTTCTAAGCCTTGGAAGGAATGGACTCCTTTAAGGCTGGCTGCTGCTTCACACAGGTTACATATAACTATTTACCACTTTTTCATTGACCTTCAAGAAAGTATTAGAGGAAAAATACTTAATCCCTTCCTTTCTTCAAAGATTGTTTTGTTGTTGTTGTTTTACTAGATCTAAAAAAGAAAAAGTCAACATTGCTATATGTTACTTGAGCCAAAAGGCATAGGAAAACAGACAGCACATAACCATTAAATTCCTAAGAAACATGAAGTAAAAGGATGACACATTTAGTTCTATGTCTGCACAAGAAACTGGATTTGCTGCTCTCCATAAAGTGAAGGGACCAACTATACAACATACAGAAATAATTAAATGCCTTCTCATTAGAATATAACTAGAGCTTGCTAAAGTTTCTTATTTCATGAGGGCAGCTAAAATGCCAGTCCATGGAACAGGCGCTTCTCCTCCTATCCATTTATGCCGTAGTTTTCATGAATTTCTGGCTGGATGCCGCAAAGGCCAAGAGGTTATCCACACCCTCTTCCCTGTTCCGCTGAAAGTAGGTCTGGAGGATGGTCATTTTATCCTGGGTCTCCTCCACTTCCGTGCTGCAGCTGCCTTGGGGTCCCAGTGCCACAGCTTCCTTGGCCTTGAACTCTTTCTCCCTCTGCAGGTGGCACTATTCAATTTCAGCCTGAACTGCCACTTTGGCCTGCTTCAGCCTCTGGTTCTTTTGGCTGCAGGCCTCTGACACCTTCTCAACGGCCTGCTTCTCAACCTGCAGCAGCTGCTGGATGCCCTGTGACTGACTGGCTATGACAGTGGTGATTCTGAGACCAAGGCAAGTGGCCTAAATCAGTTCAAAGGACCCTGGGGTCAGCTGACCCACCCAACCACAGTCTGCACCTGCGCCCTGCCACCTCTCATTTCTTACAAGTAAGTCACCACCACACAGCAGAAATTTTATAAGTTATAGCACAAAGTGAGCACATTAAGTATTTTTAAAATCTTTAAAATATGTCTTATAAGTAATCTTACACAGTGTGTTACCTATTCATATGTTACATCTTAACAGATGTATTTGGACAATCAGATTTCCTTCACATTAAAGATGGTGTTGATATTTTTCCAAGAAGGTATTTTAAACCTGTTAGGGAAGTTTCTATAGTGTGGAACAATTCTTCTTTATAAAGTGATATTTTATGCATGTTATTAAAATATCAAATCAGAAACTAGATCAAGCTCTGGGAAAACACTTCATTTACTTTTATATTATTTATATCTGATGCCTACTATAAATTATTTGCTGTATCTGTGCAGATACTCTTAACTCATAGAAACAGATATTTCTGAATATACATTAAAACAGATTATCTTTGTACGCTAACATTTATTTTAATAAAAGAAATTGGTAAGAACAACATGTTACATGTTGGCAAATCTAAGAGCGCTCAGTTTGACTCTCCATCATAGCACTCACAGAATTTACTCCTGTGCTCACTAGACACAATTTCTATAAGGAGAAAGTCTGTTTTATTCACCAACAAATAGCCAGCATCTGACACAGGAGTACGTGGCACAGAGCAGGTGTTCAGTAAATATTTGTCAATAATTGAACAAACATTTTCTCCAGCAAGTCAAAAAAAAGTGACCTTAAATAAATGGAACGAGAATAGCAACTGTTTTATTATACAACAAAAGGAGCTTTTTGCAAACATTCTAGGATTACTTATCATAAGTAGGTGAAGAGTGCAACAAAAGTAATTTCCTCCAAAAATAAATAAATTCTCATAATGGGAAAAAAAAAGATAAACAGTGACACTTTATTCTACAAGCCTAGTAAGTAATATTTACAATATAAACTAATTTTAAACCACCAGAATGCTAAGTAAGGCAATTCCAAAACTATTGTTTCACAAATTTACTACAGAACGCATTCTCGTTCTGACAACACTCCTAACCTTAGATGAATATACTTTTTAACAACGTTACTGAACTCATAATATAAAACGTCTGATCAATTTATCATTTTTATCCTTGAATCTATGTTAGAGAGTTTTAAAGATAAAAGAAACGTATTAGATTCAAGTCATTTTAAAAAATTGTGTGACTTAAAACAGCTATTACATAATTAATACATTTGGAACAGCATTGATTGTTTTCGGATATATGTATTTCACATAGCATTGTTGGAATGGTGGCCACAACCTGCCAGCTCACACGGCTTTATCTGCCCCAGATGCTGATGGCCACCACAGTCACCACTGGGCCATGCAGGGGAAACTCCAGTGCCTGGGTTTCACAGTGCCACTGCCAGACCACCTGCATGTGAGGATGGCTGACAAGGAGAAAGCCTTGGTAAGGTCATCCTTGGCCCAGCCAATGCCACAGGCTCAGGCTCCTGCCTCTGCTCCCCGCTTCTACCCCGAGGAGTGTGGGACATGGATGCTGCCCCAACCTGTAACATCACACCACCCAAGAAGGCAGGGACATCAGTGGTCCATGCCATGAAGGAAACTTCTAATGAATTTGTAGTAAAATCTCTTATCTTCTAGGTAGAATATGTGACATTCTTAAATTAAACAAATGAATCTTCATTTTGAAATATCGTTATTCTTTTTGTTATTTCTACTATGATTTGACAGTATTCCAGGTTAAATTTGTTCTTAACAGCTCTGTCAGCAGCCGTCATGGGTGGTTCTAGATTAACATAGAAACAGTCCTAGTATCTCACCTTGAGGACTAATGCTTTTCTCTATTCCTTAGTTGTTTTTAATGGCTCATGGTTCTGGATGCCTCCTTCCCCCCATTTGAGCAGCACAGCAGAAAGAAAAAAAAAAGGCTGCTGGATACCTCCTTTCCAGTGGCCCACAAGGGTGTGGATGAAAGTATAAGGCAGGGGACAGAGTGCAGGGCCTGGCTGGGTAGGGCTGACCCAGGAGGCTGATCCAGGGGTGGGGCACCCCATCTAGGTTAAAGACGCACTGTCATTAAGACACTAGGGAATTATAATCTATTTCATTAATTTTATATTTATTTTTATGAAGACATTGACTGAAATTAATGGGAAGTTTCTTCAGCATTTATTGAAATGCTTATTTAATATTTTTATATTTGAATATTTTGCAGATGAGGTCAATGCTTCAGTGACCCCATCCCCCTACTGCTCTCCAGCCTGAGCAATGAAGCAAGATCTCAACTCTAAAAAAAAAAGGAAAATATTGCAACGGGAAAGGGTTAATAAAAAGGCCTTGAGGTGGCTGGGTGCAGTGGCTCACGTCTGTAATCCCAGCACTTTGGGAGGCTGAAGTGGGCAGACTATCTGAGGTCAGGAGTTCAAGACCAGCCTGGCCAACATGGTGAAACCCCATCTCTACTAAAAATACAAAAATTAGCCAGGTGTGGTGGTGGGCACCTGTAATCCCAGCTACTTGGGAGGCTGAGGCAGGAGAATCACTTGAACCCAGTAGGTGGAGGTTGTGGTGAGCCAAGATCACACCGCTGCACTCCAGCCTGAGCGACAGAGCAAAACTCCATTGCAAAAAAAAAAAAAAAAAAGGCCTTGAGGTAAATCCACTGTTTCCACCCTTATGACTTACCCTGTCTTTAAATAAAGGTATTATATTATTCTTAACTTATTATAAACATTTAATTTTATTTATTTTGGCTCTGTTAATTTATTTTTATCACTGATCTTCATGTTTGAGTCCCAACACCTGCTAGGCAACATGACATACTCCCCCATTTCCAGCATCTTCCAGGAAACCCACAGAGCCAAGGCTGGTGCCTTCACTGAGTCATGAAGAAATGAGGATGCTTGTCTTATTTTCCCACCTAAAATGTCTTAGATTTATCCCACACCTTGGCAATCTCACATGGTCAGGGGCTCAAGGTCATGAGCAGCACTAATGACTGGGTCCACTGGTGTCTGGCTCCCCTCTCTGCCCTCCAGCCAAGTTTATTTCTGTGACTCTTAGAGCAGCCTCACCCCATGGTTTTCTGTTCCTCCAGGAAGATTATTTTAAAATGAGTGATGGTTCATCGCTAATATAGAGAATAGAGCTCTCTCCTGCATGCGGGTGCTGTATCCAGGGCCCAGACTGACGCCCTCTGAGCAGAAGCATCTCCATATCACTCCTGGACCCTGAGCTGGGCATGGCCTGAACCAGCCTCTTTGGGCCTCCTCCAAAGTCTCCACTGAGAGATTTTTAGCTTTAAACAAAACATTTCTTCCTGAATAACCATGAACAGAGTGAAAAGAAATGAGAAGTGAACTGATTTAAAAGTTAAACTGAAGAAAATGGTACCACATTGTCAGATCCATTTGGGAAAATCAGTTGCTATTTAAAGATCTGACAACAGAAGTCACCCCCTGAGCTGGACTTGGTCAGAACCACTAGCGGGGTGACTGCGCCAGGCAAGGGGAAAAGAGAGTAGGTTAGCGCCTCACTTCCCCATGGGTCTGGGGCACTGTGTAAGCCTGCAAGCTGCTACAACAATAATAGTAAGCCTTGTCCTCAGGCTGCAGCCCAAGGATGTGCAGAATCCCTGCATTGGCTGAGGCATCTTTGGATCCAGAGAAGCAGATGGGACCCCAGAGCCCTGTAGCTTACTAGAGTTTGAGGAGTATCTCAAGAGAAACCTGGGAGGACTCCCTGGCCTCTGCTGGAAGCAGTACATTGCAGTCACCAACACTGAAGCCCCACTGCTCAGGGTGCAGGTGAGTGTGGCTGATGCTCCAGGCAATGCAGTGAGGGAGGGCGCTGAGTCAGCACAGGCTGGGAGAAAGAACTGCAGACGCAGACTCACATGGGGGCTGGGGCGGGGCCAGGGTGAAGTCCCTTGGGGGTCTGAGCCAGAGGGGCTGACAAGCTAAGGAGCTCACCCTGGACAACCAAATTCTGTCCTCACCTGTGCAATAATGGTGGAGCATGAAGAAGACAGTTGTCCAGGCCACAGTGGACACAGTACTCTTGCCTGT
The DNA here is from genome assembly GCF_000001405.40 of Homo sapiens. Taxonomy (NCBI): domain Eukaryota; kingdom Metazoa; phylum Chordata; class Mammalia; order Primates; family Hominidae; genus Homo; species Homo sapiens. The sequence goes on from NC_000008.11 coordinate 47,198,514, forward strand.
AATGAAGGCTGCTGGTTCAGGCCTCTTTTTATCTTTGTTGCTCTGAAAGAGGAGGAGATGTTTATACAAGTGTGTTCTCCTCCTGGTGATCTCTGTTCCACCTGAGAAGACAGCTGCAGTCTGACATTTATTCTTTAGACACAGGAGGCTGGTGGGTGAGATGCAAAGTTTGTCCCATGGGAGGATCAGACAGGAAGCAGATACTAGAACCCTCTACAGACTCTGCCCCTCTCAGGGAGGACACAGTGCTGAGTCGTCATAGCAACACAGGCACCAATGCCCAGCCCTTGGGAGTTTGGAGGGTAGCACAGATGGCATGCAGGACCCTGAAGGGGGCACATGGGGCCCATCACTGCTGGCACAGAGCCTGACACAGGGAGGGTATAGCCGCCTGTGCATGGCGACAAGTGACTGGCATTTTCCATTTACCATAGATCCCTGTTTCTGATATCTAAGGGGGCTGCGCTATCTCCTCTGCTAACACCCTCCGTCCACCTTCTCAGAGGAAAACCTACACAAGCAAACAATGATAAAAATAATAACAATGCATTTACATCACCAATCTACTTGCTGAATTTTTGTTTTGTTTTGTTTTTTGAGCACCATGTTGCCCATGCTGTGGTGCAGTGGCAGGATCTCAGCTCACAGCAGGAAGCCTCGACCTTCCAGGCTTGAGCAATCCTCCAATCTCAGCCTCCTTAGTAGCTGGGACTACAGGCACAGCCCAGCATGCCTGGCTAATTTTAATTATTTTTAATTAAATAATTTTAGTTACATTTAAATTTAATAATTTTCACTGGAGATTAGATCTCACTATGTTGCCCTGGGTGGTACTGAACTCCTGGGATCAAGAGATCCTACCACCTTGACCTCGTAAAGTAGTTGGGATTACAGGTGTGAGCCACTGCATCTGGCCTGAATTTTTTTTATTTGATGTCCTCAGATAAAAGAAAATGTTTTACCAATTTTTTTTTTTGAGACAGAATCTTGCTGTGTTGCCCAGGCTGGAGTGCAGTGGCATAATCTCGGCTCACTGCAAAGTGTGCCTCCCAGGTTCAAGCGATTCTCCTGCCTCAGCCTCCCAAGTAGCTGGGATTACAGGTGCTCACCATCACACCCGGCTAATTTTTGTATTTTTAATAGAGATGGGGTTTCACCAGGTTGGACAGGCTGGTCTCAAACTCCTGACCTCAGGAGATCTGCCCGCCTAGGCCTCCCAAAGTGCTGGGATTCACAGGCCTGAGCCACCACACCTGGCCTGTTGTACCATTTGTTCAAATTTTCTTTTATATAATTTACTAAATTTACTAGTTATTTTCTAATAGATAAATTCAATGTTTATTTTTGTCTACTGAGACCAAAAAATAAGGATTTTGAACTCTTTATAATACATTTTATTTCATTAGTTGCAAATTTGGCAATTCTAAAATTCATTCTAATAAATTTTCAGTACCATGTATTCTATTCTTGGTAGATATTCATAGCATTCAAAACTTTTAAAATAAATGAATTCTGTCTTTATAATATTCATATCCATTTTTATTGCCTCTGTTATTGAATTGGCAGAAATTCCAGGTTAAAATCTTGCACAATAGCTGTATCTGTAGCCATCATGTAGGATCCCAGATTAAAATGCAAACAATCCTAGTAGTTTTCCTTTAGAAGTAATGATTTCCTCTAGTCTAAAAATACACAATCTGTAAGAAATTACAGAAGTATATTTCATTTCTTACTTTCTAGGTTATTTTCATTAAGGCAAGAAAGATAATTAAACTTAATGGGAAGCCTCATAAGCATTTATTAGGAAAATCATGTGTGTATTTCAATTTGAATCTTTTGCAATGAGAAAGAAGCCAACAAAATGACCTTAAGAAATCCCCATCTCCCACCCTCTCAACTGATCCCACCTTTATCTCTCTGGGTCACCATGAGGTGTCTTCTCCACTGATCCTCATGTTTGAGCTCCAACACCTTCTAAGTAACCTTGACCCTCTCCTTCCAGGATTCTTCCAGGGCACTGACAAATCAAATCAAAGGCCAGTGTCTTTTTTTTTTTTTTTTTTTTTTTTGAGACAGACTTTCACTCTTGTTGCCCAGGCTGGGGTGCAGTGGCACAATCTCGGCTCACTGCAACCTCTGCCTCCCGGGTTCAAGCGATTCTCGTGCCTCAGCTTCCCAAGTAGCTGGGATTACAGGAGCCCGCCACAGTGCCTGACTAATTTTTTGTATTTTTAGTAGAGATGGAGTTTCATCATGTTGGCCAAGCTGGTCTTGAACTCCTGACCTCAGGTGATCCACCCACCTCGGCCTCCCAAAGTAGGCCAGTGTCTTAATTGTGTGATAAGTACACGGGGTAGTTGTTTTCTTTGTCCTCATAAACTGTCATGGATTTCTCCTGACCTGGATAATAAACCGCACATTTGCAATCTCAACACAGCCATGAGACCAGGGAGTCAGGACTAAAAACTCAGGTGCCAGACACAGGTAGGGCTGGTTGGTTTCTTTTCACAGGGCTTCCTGTGCAGGACAGTCTTGAAATTTGCCCTCAGGTGTGTTAGATCCCCCACAGCACCTCCTTTATCTCACTGAGAGGTTCTCTGAGGTGACCCCAGAACCCAGGCAAGTAGAGGAAGCTCCTGGATCTAGGGTGGCCAGGAGACAGACTCAGGGGAGGGGAGCAGGGAGGGAGCCTGAGGTCGGCTCAGCAAAGCTCAGCCGTGCAGTCACAGGTCATCCCCAGGTGGCTCCAAGTCTTTGTCACCGCTCAGTCCTCCTCATCTTGCCAGCGTCATGTTAAGAGACACTGTTCAGGACAAGTATATATATGTTCTGAGTGGATCTCAGTGGAACTGTGATCCGCTGGGATAATCTGTGATAAGATGTAGAGGATGGGGAAGGCTGATCCCTATGTCTTACAAAGATCCTAAGAACCAGAGCTGCAGGTAGGTCAGCTCAGTGAGAGGGAGAAGAGATTCTGGAGCCAATCCTACAGGAGATGGTCTCTAATAACAGAAATATTCATATGAGCTACTAAATGTACCCTAAGAAAACTTATGGTCTTGGAAATTCCTAAAGGGGCTTATGTCTTTTTTTTTTTTTTTTTTGTAGTGATGGAATCTCACTATGTGGAAGAGGATGGTCTCAAACTCTTGGCCTCAAGCAATCCTCGTGCCTCAGCCTCCCAAAGTATTAGTTATTATAGGCATGAGTCACCACACCTGGCACCTAAGAACGTATGTTTTTGGAAATTCCTCCCATCTCTGTCTGCAGAAATAAAGTTATAAATTTGTCCATGGCTTGAGATTTTAAGTCTGTTTCTGAGCATTCTGGAGGTTTTGAATGGGAATTTAGGAGAGGGGGGTCATGGAATATTACCTGAGATCATTTTAAACAGAGATTCCCCAGGAATAATTTCATAATAATAAAAGTAGGCTCTTCCCAAATATTAATGCTAACAAAAATCTCATGTACATCTTGTTAAATACAAATTACTAGGCACCAACACAAATTTCTGATTCAGTAGGTCTAGGTTGGAGAATTGCATTTTTAACAAGGCACTTGGCAAGGCCCTTACTTCAGTAATAAATGAAATACTAAATTGGTCTCCATGGACAAATTAATGAATGAGCATATGTCAGTTGATTCTCTTTGAATAAGAAGAGTCTTCCTGGAGCACAGGCGTCTCTGTGACTCACCGTGAGTTTACATATTCATGGAAGCGTCACACTGGGGAGATGGACACACCTTGGGAGAGACTAGATAAGGCACCTGGCAGTGAACCCTTGCACAGGACACTGGGGCAAGGAGGTTCCCAGCTCATGGTGTTGACATTCCCACCCTCTCAACTTCTCTCTTGCTTCTAAGGGCTGAATCTTTCTGAGTATGTAAAGAGGTTTTAGTTGCACCTCCTCATGGGTTTAAATCACTGTGGAATTGCCACTACCCATGTACAGCACACAGTAATGATCAGAGTCATCATCTACTGAGTCCCCGTGATGGTGAGGGCAGCTTTGTTCCCAAGGATGGAGCCAGAGAAGCGACCAGGGACCCCAGAAGGGCAGGTGTTTGGGCTGCAGATGAGCATGTGTGGAGCCTGGCCTGGGGTCTGCTGGTACCACCTGGGGTAGTGACTGGTAGAGACTGAGCCAGAGCTCAGGGCACAGGTGAGTGTGACCGTCCCTCCAGGAGACCCTGAGAGTGATGGCTCCTGGGTCACCACAGACTGAGAATCCACCCCTAAAACCAACAAGAGAGACAGAGTTATGGTCATGGGGATAAGGGTAACCTGGATCCTGCTTTGTGTGGTCCCTCCAGGGATGCAGAGTCCCTTTCCCTGACCTGACCCATAAGCAAGGAGCCCAAGGAGAAGCATCATGCAGGCCATGGTGGGGACAGTCACGTGGGCCAGGCTTCTCCGCTGGGGTTTGTTGTCCTCATGGCCTTTTCATGGCTCTACAGACCCAACAGGGGAAAAAGTTATTTATGCAAATCAGCTTCCCCTCCCTTCCTGCAGCAGTTTTCACCCTGCTGTCCCCTAAGAGAGACCTTGAGAGAGGCAGATGCTGAGACCTCACACAGACCCACGACCACACAGGGCTGAGACACTGAGGAATGAGTGTTGATGCCTCTCCCCAAATCAGCTCTTCCAAGCCCTTGGTGACCTCAATCCAACTTTCCTTCTCTGGAAAGCTCAAGGGCTGAAGGAGGGAGATAGGTGTTTTCTCCTTCCTGCCACATAATCTTGTTTATGGCAAACCTAACCCCATCCTTGGGAGCATTTTCTTCCCTCCCCAGTGAAATGATTGCTACTTTCTTTGGGAGTGAGTAGCAGGGCCTCCTTCCTCCAGCAGAGGGCACACTGGGAATCCACAGAGCCGTGTCTGGGGTGGGCTCTCTAACCACGTCCCAAAGCAGGGTCTGACTCTGTCCCAGGCGTTGTCTTCAGTAACCTCAGTGTGGGGCCCAGGGCTGAGGGGACCTAGGCACGGAGCAGCACTGCCAGGCTGGGGGTGAACTCTCTCACACACTAAGAAGCCATCAATGGTAAGGAGGACCTCCAGCAGAATTGCAGATTTTGAGGAGAAAGATGATAAATTTACCATTATATTATGGGATTTATCCCAACATCAAAAATAGCAAACTAGGAAAACACGCATCACATAACCGGAAATAGAAATGGCACTGTGTGTGAACAAGTTAGTGTGAGCATCACGGAGCAGCTTAAAACACCTGATGCCGTGAATCCCTCAGCAGTTCCTCCATCAGCAGAGTTTTCTTTCTTAAAATGAGTGTCGGAGAGAAGGGATAAATTGGTGGCACACAGGATTTTTATGTGAGAACTATTCTGTAGGGCACATAATGGTAGATACGAGACACTATGCCTTTCTCAGAACTCTCAGAGTGCATAATGCAAAGCTGAAGCCTAATGTAGGTTATAGATTTTAGTTAATAACTATTATTATTTGTCAATAATAATTATTATTATTTGTCAATTATAATAATTATTATTTGTCAATTATAACAAACATACCACACCAATGCAAGATGTTAACAATAAGAGAAACTGGGTGACCACAGTCTAAGAATGCTTAGAAACTATGTGTGCTCTCCGCTGAATTTCTGTAAGCTTAAAACTTCTCTAAAAATAGTCTATTAATTAAAAAGATTGAGTGTTCACTTTTCCATCAATTATAAAAATTACCATGAAATCAAATGGTCTTTCTTTGACAATATTTGCAGAGTCAAATTCAGTTGAATTTTGCCTTGAAAGAGGGTTTCCTTTTAAAAGACATATTAAATCCATTAATGTGCACACACACAGACACACACAGTCACACATACACATATACACACACAGAGACGCACATGCACATATACACAGATACGCACACACACACACATGCCCAGGCACACAGGCACGTACACACACATATAGACAGATATGCACCATCACACATACACACGTGCACACATGTAGAGTCACACAAGCACACATACACAGATGCACACTCACACACATGTCCTCACATGATTCCAAAACAGAGCAATGTCCTGCATGTGTCCAGTCAGGCTTCCTCCCACAGCACAATAGGGTCAGTGGGGAAGCCCCTTTGCTTCTTCCTCTCATTCCACCAAAGCACTGTTGGGTGCAGGGGCCATGGCCGTGCTTACAAGAACCCCACAGGCCAGCCAGGTGCGGTGGCTCATGCCTGTAATCCCAGCACTTTGGGAGGCTTAGGCAGGCAGATCATCTGAGGTCAGGAGTTCGAAACCAGCCTGGCCAACATGATGAAACCCCGTCTCTAATTTAAAAAAAAAAGTACAAAAATTAGTCAGGCATGGTACCGGGTGCCTGTAATCCCAGCTAGTTGAGAGGCTGAGGCAGGAGAATCGCTTGAACCCAGGAGGCGGAGGTTGCAGTGAGCTGAGATTGCACCACTGCACTCCAGCCTGGGTGACAGAGCGAGACTCTGTCTCAAAAAAAAAAAAAAAAAGAACCCCACAGGCCAAAGCTGAACCGGCTCAGGAGGTGGTACTATGGAACCATCTGAAAGACACGCTGGGTCAGGAATGTTGAGCTCGCCTCTATTTTCACCACAGAAAACAGGAGTCATGTGTGCACAGCCTCCTAAATGGGCCAATGGTCCTCAATCTTGCATGTCTCAAGATAATCTGTGGAGCTTCATAAATGTATAGCTCCTTGGGTGAAAATTCTGATTCAGGAGGTCAGGTGAGGTATAGATTTCCATAGTACAGAAAATAAAAGTTCCTCGGATGGTTCTGATGTTGAGCCAAGATGTATAAATCACTAAAATAAGCCATTGGAAAACATGATTGATTGTAAGGATATGGGTATGGATAAGGATTTAGGAGATGCCCTGAGGTCCTCTCTCTTCCAGAACCTTATTCTTTTCTTCATAGGCATGTGCCATGCTTGGTAATTTCACATTAACTTGTTTTGTGTCTGTCTCCCTCACTAGAATGTCAGCTTCTTAAGGGCAGGCACTGTGGCTGCTGTATTCACACCAATACTCCCGGTACCAGTATCTGGGAAGGCCTAGTGCTCAATAAATATTCACTGAATGAATGACAAGGAGCTGACTTTATGTACTTTTCATTGTCTTATATTTCAGATAGTGACTATATTTTTTTTTCTGTAAAAAATACAAGCATCCAAGTATGGTGGGAAAATCTACAAACACTATCACACACACAGAGACAAGAGCACACATACAGCAGTGACTGATGAAAGCTTAGGTGAGCTCTTAGTTCTCAAGGCTGTAGACTGAGGGAAGGGAGAGGAAGCAGGTTGGGGGCGTGTGTGTGCAACCCTTTTCCTCACTGAGTTGCAGGTAGGGGCATTGTGAGGCCAGCACCTCCAGCCTGGAACACTGATCCAGGACCCCCTAGTGTCTGGGGCTTGAGGCCCCACCCTGTCTTCTCAGGACTCTAAGCACATCTATTTCCAGGTATTTTCAGCTGCCACAGCCAGGAGGAACAGAATTGTTCCCCTCCCTTTCTGAGGCTCACTTTTAAAGCACTGGACTTGTGGAATCCAAGGCTCTCCCTGAAACACCAGTTCTGAGTGGATTTAAGAGGGTGGGGAGGGGAAGGGATCCTCCCCAACTAAATTTCACAGCTGCCCTCCTCATGCAATACAGGCCACGGCCTGCAGATGGGCAACAGTGATGGAGAGAAGCAGGAGTAGTACAGAATGAATTTGTGAAGACATGCACACACATGCACACACACACACATTTGCACATGCATGCACATGCACACATACCCCACTGCAAGAGAAAGGAATGTGACCCGTGGGCTGGTCTCTGGGCTGGGAGGCCCTGAGGCTGAGCCTATGGGAATCAGTCAGGAGGTTCTGCTGTTGCTCAGGCTTCTGCCTAGAAGCACCTTCTGCAAGATTGATGCTCCCCAGAGACTGGGGAAGAATCAGTAACTACCTCCTCCCCTGGCTGCCTGAGAACACCCAGGGCTTGTTATAGAATCTAACTGGGGTCCACTCACCCAGCGCAGTAAAACCAGATATCTAAACTGAGGGTTTTGCAGTGAATAGAAAGGAAGGCATTTATTGCAGGGCACCAAGCAAGGAGAATCTGGCGGGCTCCTGCTTAAAATCTGAACTCCCCGGTGGCTTGCAGATAAGGGTTTTTAAAACTAGTAGTACATTTCAGGAAAGCAGAAGCTACAGGCAAAATCACAAATCAATACACAGAAGTTACATGTTGTTTTTGGCCCCAAAGGGTGGGATATCTTGAAGCAGGGGCTTACAGGTCATAGGTAGATTCAAAGATCTTCTGATTTGCAGTTGACTAAAATAGAGAAGCTTTGTTTAAACATTTGGGGTCAGTAGAAGAATGTTAACTGGTTATGAGGAATGACTTTCTCTAAACCCCTTGGGAAGAAACTTAGAACCAAAAATCGTTTAAAGTTTAGTCTTCACTTCCCCTTTATCTGGGGGAATATGTCAGTGGATCCTTTCTGTGGGGTCCTCAGTGGGGATCCAAGCCTCTGAAAGACAACTCAGGGACATAAGCTAAGAGATTATCATTGGTTTCTGTAGGGAAAGCTAATATCTCTGGGACTCTAACCTCTTTAGCTATTGTTTTAGCCTACTGTTGTCTTCTTAACAAGTCACTTATTTACTTGTTGGGGATTGCGAAGTGCCTGGAATTGCCCTCAGAGGAACTCAGGATTTTCCTTTATTTCTGTGCTTGGGGTCTGCAGGCCCCTTAAAAAGGGGGTTCTTGCTTTCTCTCACATCCCTTACCCCAGGTTAACATAGTCAAGAATCTGAGAAAAAGGCAATGAAAATAAAACCTCTGTGTGTCTCACTTGGGAAGAATCAACTGTGCAGCTCCAGAAGTCACAGCTGCTCTCAGGTGAGCCTCCTTCCTAAGCTCTCTCCCAGGGCTGCTCCAGGGCAGCTGTCCCCATCCAGATGACTAGAATCCCACCCCATGAGACACACCAAGCCACTTGCTAATTCCTTGGGAGGTCTTGCATTTCCCCCGCAGGCCTCATCTCTGGAAACTCTCCCCTTATCCCACCCTCTCTCAAAGTGCCCTCTGCCCCAACCACGTGGCCAGTTGCTCTTCCTCTATACTGGATCCACTGAAGTCTCAATGAACTGCTCCTTTGCCCACACACCTCTCACTTCTGCTGTCACACTGAGCCCCCTCTAGGGCCCCCTGTGTGGCTGTGAATATTCCACCAGACTGAGTCTGGTTGAAGTCCACTGTGAGATTCTGCCCCTTCTCCCTGAGCCTGGCTCAGCAATGGCTGCATGGCAGACACCATCTATCCACCCATCAGAAAGGGGTCCTGATCCAGATACCAAGAGAGGGTTCTTGGATCTTGCACAAGAAAGAATTCAGGGAGAGTCCACAGAGTAACGTGAAAGCAAGTTTATTAAGAAAGTAAAGGAATGAAAGAATGGCTACTCCATAGGCAGAGCAGGGCATTTCCAAAAGCAAGAGGAGGAACATGCCCACCTTAGGTACAATGCCTTTTTATGTACAAGAGAGCAAAGCAAAAAAAATCATGGGGGAGATGTGCTCCACTACAAGGGCTCATGACAAAACAGTGTTCATCTTGTGTAACTACTGTCTTCCATAAGAATCTGTATTTTTATCTTTAAAGCAAAATATTCTTAAACTAAGAACTAAGAGGGCTCTTGTTCTTAAGATACTAGGACATCAGGACATTTCCTGAGTCTGTTAAGTCCTGCATCTGTTTAGTAAGTATTATTAATCTGTTCCCTTAACTACAAACATCTTGTGACTAAGAATGCCTGACCCCTTGAGAATGCACCCCAGCAGGTCTCAGCCTCATTTTACCCAGCCCGTATTCAAGATGGAGTCACTCTGGTTCCAACATCTCTGACAAATCAACCCCCAACCCTCAGCTGCTTCCTCCCCAGTTCCCAGAGCTCAAGGAGAAGCACAGGGGATTAATCCCCTCACACCATTGGGTCTTCCCTCCACACAATCTTCCTATAGTCTCAGAACAAGTTAGTTTATTAAAGGACTCAGAGATCCACATCCTAGGTGGTTCCGTTTACAGCCTGATAACTATAAAGTAAAACTTTAAGCCTTCCAATTGACTGATGGACCCTCCTCTTGGCCAAGGGCATTCCAAAGTTAACCAGAAAAACGAGTTCAGGCCATGATGGGAAGCTGGAGTTGAACACGGCTTATTATGCCTTCCTTCCTTTTGGAATTCAGGCACAGCTGACCAGCATGAACACTAACACAGAGACCTTAAGACTGATAGAACAGACTCTTTAAGTCTGATGAGAAACATTTACAATCCATTCTCTCTGAAGTCAGTTATCTGCAGGCTTCATCTGCATAAAACCTTGGTCTCCAAAACTCTTATCTTAACCTAGACATTCCTTTATTTTGATTCCAGGTCTTTAAATAATGACTTAACCAATGGCCAGTCAGAAAATCCTCAAATCCACCTATGACCTGGAAGTCACTCCCCACCTTTCCAGTTGTCCCACCTTTCCAGATAGAACCAATGCACATCTTACATGTACTGATTGATGTCTCAAGTTTCCCTAAAGTGTATAAAACCACACTGCAGGTTGGGCGCAGTGGCTCACACCTGTAATCTCAGCACTTTGGGAGGCCGAGGCAGGTGGATCACCTGAGGTCAGGAGTTCGAGATCAGCCTGGCCAACGTGGTGAAACCCGGTCTCTACTAAAAATACAAAACTTAGCTGGGCATGGTGGGCACCTGTAATCCCAGCTACTCGGGAGGCTGAGGTAGGAGAATCGCATGAATCCAGGAGGCAGAGGTTGCAGTGAGCTGAGATGACGCCATTGTACTCTAGCTTGGGTGACAAGAGTGAAACTCCATCTCAAAAAATAAAATAAAATAAAATAAAATACCACACTGCATCCCAACTACCTTGGGTGCTTTTTCTCAGGATCTCCTGGGGCTGTGTCACAGGCCATTGGTCACTCATATTTGGCTCAGAATAAACTCTTTAAATACTTTACAGAGCTTGACTCTTTTCATGGACAGGACTAAACTCTTTTTTTTCTTGCCCAAATTCCTATCTAAGGGACCTACAAACCATAACATCTAGTTAGGCAGATTTGTATTAATCTGGTACAATGTGACTTACTTTCCAACCTGACTCTGGTATAGCATCACATGACAGATAGCAGACCCTGAAGGAAATAAAAATATATAACCCCAAAATATATTTTTCCTGTATTTTGAAATGGCCCTGCAAACTGTTTTTGTGGGAAATTTGCATCTTTTAAGAATCTCCATTCATGCAGCCAGGCCTTCCCTTTCTAGGCCTTTCATGGATCTAGGAGAGAGCCCGACATATTTTAAGGTCTGAAAAGAGACATTCACCATTTATCCTCTCTGAGGGATGCCACCTATGAGGCTTCATCTACATAACAAGAACCTTGGCTCCATAACCCACTAATCTTAACTCAGGTGTTCCTTTCTAGTAACTTCAAGTCTTTAGATAATAGCTTAACTCTCTCAATGAACTGTCCACTAAAGAATCCTCAAAACCCACCTATGACTCGAAAGCACTGCCCCTGTCCCCCAGTAGGAGATATTCTGCCTTTTTTAAATGAACCTATGCATACCTTCCATGTATTTATTTATGACTTTACATGCAATTCCTGTCTCCCTGAAATGTATAAAGCAAACTGTAATCTCACCACCTTAGGCATGCTTTTTCAGGACCTCGTGAGATTGTGTAACCCCAGGCTGCAGTCACTCATATTGGCTCAGAATAAACCTCTTTAAATGTATTTTGACATAAATTACTTTTTTCCTTGAGCTCAGCTACACAGAGGCATAGATATCTCTTGCTACCTGATCTAGTGATTTTGGCAAGTTTTTCTCTTTGTAGCTCCTCTGTGACAGCAGGAAGGCTTGTCCTGAAGAAGCCTCAGATTTATCTGTGCTTGCAAGTATCTCTATGAGTTGGGTGAATTCCTCTCCTCTTGAGGTCCCAAGATAACTGGAGGTTCCTGGGCCTGTCAGAAAGTGACATTCTTTATTTACCACAGGTCAGGAACACTGTACAGGTACTGCATAGATAAGGTATGTGGCCAGTTTTTCTAAAGGGCTTTCATTGGCCTTATATGTCAACCTTGATTCCATAAAGCAGTCTGTTTATACTCAAAAGCATGCCATTCCAGTCAAAGCCTTGGTAAAATAACTACTGTCCTATTACAAAAGAAAACAGATTTCTATTGCACTTATGCAAATAACTATATTGCTATAAGTTAAGAGTACTCATAAATGGTTTTCAAATTCTAGATAAATTAGGTAGACAGAAAGAAATATGCTCCAAATTTTGCTCACAGGACTGTAATTTATTCAATTGCTAAAAGCTGTAAATAGCTCAAAAGAAAAAGAAGTTTTCTTGACTCCAAAAAACAACAAAAGGGATCAGAAACATTCAAAGCACAAAACATCACAAAAGATTACATGTTTTTATTAGTTTAGTCTATGCTATTAACTCTTTATAGCATGGATATTGAGCCAGCAGTCCTTATGAATATATTAGCTTTCTACAACAGTCCTAGAAGTTTTTTCTTCTGTTTCAATGGCACCATTTTTAAATTTAATTTTATTTTTTCTTTATTTTTCTTTTTTGTTGGAGACAGGGTCCCACTCATGTTGCCCAGGCTCAAGTGCAGTGGCGTGATCTCAGCTCACTGCAACTTCTGCATTCCAGGCTCAAACGATCCTCCCACCTCAGCCTCATGAGTAGCTGGGACTACAGGCATGTGCCACCACACCTGGCTAATTTTTGTATTTTTTGTAGAGACAGGGTTTCGCCATGTTGCCAAGGCTGATCTGGAATTCCTAAGCTCAAGCTGTCTGCCTGCCTTGGCCTCTCAAAGTGCTGAGAATACAGGCATGAGCCACCACGCCTGGCTCAATGGCATAATTTTTAAAGCTATCAGAGATCTGTATTTAACAGTACCCATCAGGGTCCTATAGCTGATTCTAAACCACCTTTTGAAAAGGATTACAACAAGACAACAACTTCCTGTGGATAACAAAAGTCTTAGGACAGCCACAATTAAAGACTCAATTGATAAGGAAATTTGGTGATTTTTGTGTTACACAACAATTTAACTTAACAATTATAATTATTTCTGCTAATATATACTGAGACATATCAGAATTATAGAAATTTTATGTAATTTTGTAACATACTAAAACATATTTATATGAACATAACTCAAAGAAAGTTAAATACCATTTTATATTTGACAATGCTTCATGCATAATTTTAATATATCAAATAAGCTGAATATGTCTTTTTTGGAAATTGGAAAATCTAATATCAAAAGGGATTAATCAGGTCAAAAAAACATAATTTAGAATTTGATTTTGAAAAGTTTGGCAAATATCAATTGTTTAAAACATTTAATATTATAAAATAAAATCCCAGGTCACTATAATTTGTTTATTTAGCCAAAATGATCATGCAGATTTCAAAAAGATAAAAACCTTTACTTACTGATAGAGGGGAGACTCAGCTTTCCAAGCAACAAGATACAATAAAGATAGCACAAGCCTATCTGAATCTGTCCTGTTTCACTCCATTTTTGTTTTAGTTCATTTAAAAGGCAAAATAACTTTTATTGTCTCTCAATATTTTTTTTTTTTTTGAGATGGAGTCTCACTCTGTTGCCCAGGCTGGAGTACGGTGGCACGATCTTGGCTTACTACAACTTCCACCACCCAGGTTCAAGCGATTCTCCTGCCTCAGCCTCCTGAGTAGCTGAGATTACAGGTGCCCACCACCATGCCCACCTAATTCTTTTGTATTTTTAGTAGAGACGGGGTCTCACCATGTTGGCCAGGCTGGTCTTGACCTCCTGACCTCAGGTGATCCCCCTGCCTCGGCCTCCCAAAGTGCTGGGATTACAGGCATGAGCCACCACACCCGGCTGTCTCTCAATATTATACAGTAATCTTGTTCAAAAGAAAAAACAAATTCTACATTTGCGTTAGTGCCTCATTAATGCTAAAACTAATTTTAAATAAAATCTTATAAACAAACCTATTTGATTTTAATTGGCTTGATGATATGCTAAGATTTCCATAAACCTTTTATAACCCTTTATAATTTTATGTTAAAAAGCAGATTAATGTGCAAAAAAAACACACTGTTATTCTGACATATGGGATCAGATTCTGGCCCTGAATCAGTGTGCTTTTATTTTAATATCCAATTTATGAAAAAACTATATAATACCCTTTTATTTTTAGTCAACTTGCTGACACACAGAATTCTTTACAAGGTTAATTTTTCACAAACCTTCTACAACTTGCTTAAACCTTCAGTTTTTCCTATTTGTTTAACTTAAAACAATTATTAAACCATCTAAATTAAACAAAATTACTTTATTTTATTTTATTTTTTTGAGATGGAGTATCGCTCTGTTACCAGGCTGGAATGCAGTGGCCAATCTTGGATCACTGCAATCTCCACCTCCTAGGTTCAAGTGATTCTCCTGCCTCAGCCTCCCGAGTAGCTGGGATTATAGGCTCGCACCACCACACCCAGCTAATTTTTGTATTTTTAATAGAAATGGGGTTTCACCATGTTGGCCAGGATGGTCTCAATCTCCTGACCTCATGATCCACCTGCCTTGGCCTCCCAAAGTGCTGGGATTACAGGCGTGAGCCACCATGTCAGGCCTACTTTATTTTTAAAACCACATTCTCATGCCTTTTTTCCCAAGAACATATAATTTTTATTTTTTTAGCATGAGCAATTGTAATTATGTACCAAGTGAAAAGCCTAGGATACAGCACAGAACCGCAGATAGCCTGATGCTTTCCAGTATAGCCATGGGGCATGGCTAATTCCACACATCCTTAGGCCTTGTCTAGAATCTAATGGCTCTAAAGCAGGCCAGTGGAACAATTATCAAAAGTCACAGAAGGCTGGGTGTGGTAGCTCATGCCTGTAATCTCAGCACTTTGGGAGGCCGAAGCAGGCGGATAACCTGAGGTCAGGAGTTCAAGAGCAGCCTGGCCAACATGATGAAACCCTGCCTCTACCAACAATACAAAAATTAGCCGGGCATGGTGGCGGGTGCCTGTAATCCCAGCTACTTGGGAGGCTGAGGCAGAAGAATCACTTGAACCCAGCAGGCAGAGGTTGCAGTGAGCAGAGATCATTCCATTGCACTCCAGCCTGGGTGACATGAGCAAAATTTCATCTCAAAAAAAAAAAGTCATAAAAGCAGTTTCTGATCTTAAAGCATTTAGCAAACCTAATATGTGATCTGCCTAATTTTGACCAAATATCTAAATTTTGAAGAATGTTTTACCAGCAATTTTAAAATGTCTTTTCTTAAAAAAAAAAAAAAAAGCTTATGAGTCATGTGAACTAAAAGGCATTTTTAAAATTTTTCTGGCAAAATATTTAAGTGCTTTTTAAAAGCCAATTAATTATAGCTCTTTTATATATTTTGGTAGTGAAACATTACACACACAACACATATAGACAGACAGATGTAGATCTGGTAGGGTGATAAGGCTTTCTATTTGCCCGTTTTTAAGTTTTCCTTTTTAATTTTAAACCAACAGTCTCTTGATTATCTCTTCCCTTGCCCTAAACAACTGTCAGTCAGGCAGTTCCAAATATACATTTTTAAAGGAATAATTTTTGGTGAAAAAATGGTGTCAGTGAAAGTTTAGTCAAGATGGGCAAGAAAAGCAGACATACTGACACATGGAGATTTTCTTAAAGATGTAAATTTCTTAATTACTGGCTTTAGGGTGAAGCGTTTTCAGGAACAAAGCCAAGAAAACATGTAGTTTTTAGGGCCTAATAGGTGGGCACAGCTGGAAGTCAAAACAGATCTCCACAGGTAAAAAAATCCCATTTTTATACCTTATCCTGGGTCATCCCAAAAAAGGAAACACCATGGATGAGACAGTGCAATGCTTTTACTGTGCATTTTTTTGCAAGGGCATTTCCCCAAGGCTGGTGGGCAACTCAAAACCAATTAGTCCAGTCAATAATTAGCCCACCTCCCAAGGGAGTCTCACCTCTCAGTGGGATTGGGATGCTTCCATATCTTCCAAGTGGCCAAAAGCATGCTTTTCTTATACAAATATGCAAAGAGCAGAGTATTTCACCCTCGTAACTGCTACTAGCCATCCCCAAAGGTATATTTTCTAGCTTTCAATTATATGCTAAGGCTAAAAGTTTTTTCATAAGGCAATTTGTGATGCCCCCAAAAGTCAAAAGGTCATGTAACACAATGCAAAATAGATCAAAGACTTAGATTTTGAGAAGGATCTACCTGCTTACAATTTCTGGGTTTCCATGAGGAAAACAGAGGTTTTTCTCCAAACAGGGTCTGTGGTGCCTCCTCTGTTTTTCTCAGAGTCCCAGACTCTCAGAAATTTTTTTTTTTTTTTTGAGACGGAGTCTTGCTCTGTCACCCAGGCTGAAGTGCAGTGGCACCATCTCCATTCACTACAAGCTCCGCCTCCCAGGTTCATGCCATTCTCCCGCCTCAGCCTCCCGAGTAGCTGGGACTACAGGCACCCGCCACCACGCCCAGATAATTTTTTGTGTTTTCAGTAGAGACAGGGTTTCACCGTGTTAGCCAGGATGGTCTCGATCTCCTAACCTCGTGATCCGCCTGCCTTGGCCTCCCAAAGTGCTAGGATTACAGGTGTGAGCCACCGTGCCTGGCCCAACTCTCAGAAATTACATAAGGTCCTTTCATACAGACATTAGGGTGGCAAGAAGACAGACTGGAGAAATAATATAGACAACTTAGAAGAAAAACCAAAAGAAACCCACATTTTCTCCAAAAAACCCAAAATCCAAAAATAGAAAAACCTTTTAAATAAAAAGCCTTTTAAATATATATAGCTTGGATCTTCATTTTTAATTAAGCTGACTTTTAACCATAGAGCTCTTTTTTAAAAACATTATTTTAAATCTCTTAATACCAGACTCTATCCAGGACAAAGAGCTGAAACCTCTGGCTTTTAAACAGTTTTCTTCCCGCACAGGTATTTCCCCAGGTGAAACCAATAAGCCTTAACTAAGGTTACAACTTAACCATGGACACATGAGTTGCCTCCAAAGAGCTGGTGAGTGATTTTTACTGTATCTAGAATCACCCCTAAGGTAGCTCGAAGAAAATTGAAGTCAGGAAATCAGACTTGGTTAATTAGGCTAATTGGCTTTGTGTTGCCCACCATCCTTGGGGGAATGCCCTTGAAATAAGTTGGCCATGGGAGGAAAAAGAATAAATAAATGGCAAAAGTCCCACAAGTATCAAACCAGAAATAACTCATTCCCTAAGCCAGGAATTGAACCCCAGCCACCACCATGAAAGACCAAAGCCTTAGCTACTCAGTTACAGCATGAGGTGAGTGCCATATTTGTTTTCCCAGGAGGAATCTAGAGTAGTCATTTTTGAGCTTGCAAAAGATGTAACCTTTCAAGGTAAAAGGAACAGATATAAATATGAGAAGCCTTAAAAGGAAACAGATTTTATAATTGTCAATATTTCTTGCAATTTTACTGAAAGCAAACCAATACTTACAAGAAACAACTCTTTAAATATAGAGAACCAAAATTTAGATAGACTATTATAAATAAATTTTCTTTCAGTTATGGCTAATTATAAAATTGTTAATAAATTCCCTTTTATGAACCTTATCATAACTTACACAGACCATCTATGACAGGTTTGGACTTTCTGATTTGTCCTGTATTTCCCTCTTTCCTAAATAATCAATCATTCTACTTTGGGACAAGAACATGCTATGTAAGATTCTTTCTCATATAAAATTTCTTTTCTTTATTACCTTCCTTACCAAAAATACATCTTCATATTCATAACTCTCTTCACATCTCTCTCCCCTACTTACTGTTTTTTTTCTTTTTTTCTACTTTCTTTCTATTACCTTCCTAAATCCACATTTAAAACCCCCACTTTAAATAACGTTTGAATTGGTCTAATTTTTTTTCAATAAGAGGATATCTTCTTTGGCACATTTTATATACAGAATTACATATGAATTTTCAGTAATCCTAAATTTTAGTGAACTTAAGTCACATTAACTTGAAAAATACTTATTTATTGAACTTATGAGTGCTCTTTTATTTATAAGCCAATTTGGTACTCCATACACACAATACATAACATAATAAATGTACATATACATAAACACATCTAGGCATGTATACACACACATAAACAAAGATGTGCCATTGTCTAACAAGGATCTCTACTAAACACAAAAGTTTTTCTCAGTGTAGCAAGAGCCCAGTTATTTTCCCCTGCAAATTCTCATCTCCTGTACCAAAGTGTTAACGTGACATTAAGCAAAGAAAACACTTTAGAGAAAATGATAACTTTAGGGTAGAATACAAAATGCAAGACCAAGATTCCCCTAGGAAAGGACTCTAATCCACAATCCTAGAAGGAATGCCAATGCCTAACATCCCAGAGCATCCAGGGGGTGGCCAACAGTTCCAAATGCTGAAAAAAACTGAGTACCCAGGTATCAGCCAATAAGAGTCTCCATCTAAAATGTTGACAAACCCCAGAGCATCCAGAGGGTGGTTATCAGTGAACCTCAGCACCTTTGCCTTCTCCCTTTCAGAACCTGAGATGGCCTATATGACCAGCAGCAAGGCAGTTTAATGATATTTAAGTCCATTTCCAGACAGGCTGCAAAACTTAACACATCTCTAAAAAACGAAGTGGGAAAATAATTGTTTTTATAGTCTCATTAGTTTTCCTCTATCATAAAAAAACTCACTTCACACAGAAGGATTTTTCTTGAATGATGAATAGTTCAAATACGTCCCTCTATGGAGAAAACAACTTTAATGGTTACAGTCTATCAAGATCATTAATAATCAGTATTGTTGATTAATGAACTGAGGGTACAGAGGAAAGACAAATGGAATGAGATGTGGTTAGGTTAAGCAGTCGAACTACACAAATGTTTAGGGCCAGAGTTAAAAAAAAAAAAAAGCAGAGGGGTGCAGAAAGGCCGGGATGTGGGGAGCACAGAATACCAAACACATTTGGGACCACAGAATAAAGTGACCCCGGCATCCCAGGGTCAGCACAATGGGGGATCTATCAAAATAACAAAAGAAAAAAATTCAAACAACCAAGGAAAGTGCCCTGCCTCACATAGAGTAGAGACAACTGCCCAAACCAGAGACTACAAATGTAACAATGGAATAAACGTGCACATGCATTTCAGCACTAAAAGCAGAAAAGTAAAACAGCCGATCTTTACAAACTACAGAGGGAGGGTACAAGAGAAGGGGCAACCAGGTGGGTTACAAAAGACGTGGCCAGCCAGGCGGGCTCCTGTCCAGGGCACCAGACAATGGGAGACTGCAGTCAGGCTGCCACAGCAGAGGTCTCATGGTTACTTCTCGAACTTTAAATAAACAGCATATGAAAGAACAGAGCAGCCAAAATTGAAGGGGAAAGAAAGGTAGGGAGTTGAATCTGGACAGAGGAGACCGACCCACCTGTCAGGTCCAAATGGTACTGATAGGTCTTAATTTGTGGTCCAGAGAGAGGTCTCCATCATCCCTTAATGATCACCAGAAAAGATATCACAGGGTGAATCCCAAATTTGAAGTGCAGCCTTGGAGGTCACATGGGTTCTTGGCTTCACACAGGAAGGAATTCAAAAGTGAGCTGACAGAGTAAAATGAAAGCAGGTTTATTAAGAAAGTAAAGGAATAACAGGGTGGCTACTCCATAGGCAGAGCAGCCTCAAGGGCTGATAGTTGGCTATTTTTATGGTTATTTATTGATCATATGGTAAATACGGGGTGGATTATTCATGAATTGTCCTGGAATTCCCAGGAAATTCCAAGGCTGGGAAATTCCCAGAACTGAGGGTTCCTCCCACTTCCAGACCATATGGGGTAGCTTCTGGGCATTGCCACAGCATTTGTAAACTGTCATGGTGCTACTGGGAGTGTCTCTTAGCATGCTAATGTACTGTAATTAGTATATAATGAGCAGTGAGGACAGCCAGAGGTCACTTCCATTGCCATCTTGGTTTTGGCAGATTTTGGCCAGCTTCTTTACCTGTTTTATCAGCGAGGTCTTTGTGACCTGTATCTGGTGAAACCAGTCTTGCTGAACTCCTGTTTTACTGTGAGTTCTAAGATGTCAGGGTGTCAGCTCAAAGCCCCAGGCCAGGGTTTTCATGAGGCTAGGGGTGGATGACCCTAAGTAGGTCTGAGCTGAGATCTGCTCCACCTCCTACTTTTCCAAAATTTGCAAGCCATGCAATAATGCCTAGTATCCTGGTCTGTTTGGAAAATAAATAAATAAATAGAAGTAAAAACAAAAAGCAAAAGCTGCAAATGAAAGTCAGAACCCCAAGCTGAGCCATTTCCTAATTCTCCCAATAAAGGGGCTCTCATTCTGTCTCTCCCTGCTTTGATTGTTCAAACCGACATATTGACGCCCGCTTAAGAAGATTAAAAGAGGACAGAATGTGGGAGTCCCTGGGGGAGGTATCTAGGCACCTACTTCTTCTGCAGGGGCCTCTGTGGACTCTTTGCACTAGGATGCCTGGAGCTGCGGGGCTTTCTGTCTCCAGGACCCGGACGCAGCAAGAACTGCCAACACCTTCCAGCTGCCTCAGGAGTGGGGCTGACTTTTCTTGCCATGCAACTTTCTGAAGCCCTTTTCTCGCCTGTCAGAAGGGACACAGCATCCTCCTTGGCATTGCCTTTGCGCCACTCGACCTGTCCAAGACTGTGTGGCCTGGAAAGCCTGGCCCCAGCAGCCTGAGCAGAGGGGTGCTCAGGGTGGGTCAGCAGGTGGTGGCCCTGGGTGTTGGTGATTATAATGATGCTGGGATGGTGATGATGGTGCTGGTGATGGTGCTGCACAGAAACCACTCTCTTGGTTTGCTGGGGACAGGGCAAGTCGGGGAGGAAGATATAGAACAGAGGTCAAGGTCCTTCCTCACTCTCTAGGCCTTCCCGCACCCCCATATCTTTCATATTTTGCTCTTAGACTTGGAACTCGGCCAACAGATAGACACAGAAGAATGGGGCTTTCATGCCACTCTCATGAGGATCATTAGTCTGTGGGGGCCCTGAAAGCTTTCATGTGTTTATTTACTTTGCATTGGATTTTCCCCCCAAGCATTTCATTTTGTGGTTACTATAAGAAATGTACATCTTCATTTTTTGTTTGTTTGTTTGTTTGTTTGTTTTTGAGATGGAGTCTCGCTCTGTCGCCAGGCTGGAGTGCAGTGGTGCAATCTCGGTTCACTGGAACCTCCACCTCCTGGGTTCAAGTGATTCTCCTGCCTCAGCCTCCCGAGTAGCTGGGACTACAGGCACACGCCACCATGCCCAGCTAATTTTTGTATTTTTAGTAGAGACGGGGTTTCACCATGTTGGCCAGGATGGTCTTGATCTCTTGACCTCGTGATCCACCCGCCTCAGCCTCCCAAAGTGCTGGTTCATTTTTAAAATATAAGAAAATTTAGATAATCAAATGAAATAACATTTTTCCAATAAGCCCACTTCTCTCACCACTTTTATCATGTTGATATGTAGCTTTATAGAACATTTATTTCATATAAATTACCACCTTTTAAAGTATACACTAAATTACAGATACCGTGATGTAGGATTTTTTCTTTGCTTTTTAGTGGATAGAGATAAAGAAATGAAAGCTTGAAATGATCAGATGGAGATGGGATCTTCACCCCTGTTAATGGAAAAAACAAACTGTAACATACTTTAACGGGGTTTATCTTGAGCCAATGTGAGTGACCATGGCCCAGGGTATAGTCTCAACAGATCCTGAGAAAATGTGCCCAAGGCGGTTGGGTTATAGTTTGGGTTTATACATTTTAGGGTGACAAGAATTGTAGGTAACATCATAAATCGAAATATGGAAAGTGACCATTGGTTCCATCTGAAAAGGTGAGATATCTTGAAGTGGGTGGCTTACAGGGTATAGGTGGATTTAAAGATTTTTCTAATTGGCAGTTGGTTGAGAGGCTTAAGCTTTGTCTAAAGACTTGATGTCAGTAGGAAGGAATGCTTGAGTTAAAGTGAGGGGGTTGTGGGGCCAAGGTTCTTGTTACATAGATGAAGTCTCATAGGTAGCAGCCACCAGAGAGGATAGATGGTGAGTCTCTTCTCAGATCTTAGAGGTGTCAGGGTCTCAGTTAATCTCTCCTAGATTTGGGAAAGGCCTAGAGAGGGAGGCCTGGCTGCATGAATGGAGATTCTCTACTGATGCAAATTTCTCCCACAAAAGACAGCTTTACTGGGCCATTTCAAAATATACTGAAGTATATTTTAGGGTAAAATATTTTTATTTCCTTCAGGGTCTGCCATCTGCCATGTGATGCTGCTATACAAGAACCAGGTTGGAGTTTGGTATCTCATTGCCAAAAAACCTCTGTTCTGTCAGTCTCATGATCTCTATTTTAATGTTAATGCTGGCCAGTTGTGCCTAAACTCCAAAAGAGAGGGGGTGTAATGAGGTGTGTCCAACCTCTCTTCCCATAATGGCCAGGAATTCAGTTTTTCAAGTCCTCCTTGGCCCAGAGGGAGTAAGTTCAGTCAACTGGGGGGCTTAGGATTTTATTTTTGGTTGACACTCGATATAAGGGGCTCCCCCAGTTTGCACAATGAGACCAAGGTGGGTTATACCTTGATGGGGAGGTGTGGTGGGCTTGGGTTACAGGGTGACCACTGACCTCAGCCACTGTCCATGCAACCTCAGTGCTGCAGGAAGAAGGTCCTTCAGTGAACAAGGTTGGAAAACATTTCATCTGAAATAGTGAGACATTAATACCTGCTTCTTAGTACTGCTGTGAGGAAGAAATGAGACAATGCCTGCAGAGAGCTCACTGCAGGCCCTATCACAGCGTATCCACTCCATAAATAGTGTTTTCACTATTGCACTGTTGCTGTATTATTCTCACCAACATCTTCACTATCAGCAACACCATCACCATCAGCAACACCATCACTATCAACAACATCATAACGATCACCAGCATTATCACCATCACCAACACCATCATCATCACCATCCCCAGTATCAGCACCATCACCATCCCCAGCATCCTCACCAACCCCAGCATCATCATAATCACCAACACCATCACCATCACCAACATTATCACAACCCCAGCATCATCACCATCCACAGCATCATCACCATCACCAGCGTCATCACCATCCTCACCATCCTCAGCATCATCACCATCACCAGCATCAACACCATCACCAGCACCATCACCATCACCAACATCATCACCATCACCCATCACCAGCATCATCACCATCCCCAGCATCATCACCATCACCAGCATCATCACCATCCCCGGCATCATCACCACCCCTAGCATCATCACCATCTTCAGCATCATCACCATCACCAACATCATCACCATCATGAGCATCATCACCATCACCAGCATCATCACCATCACCAGTGTCATCACCATCATCAGCATCATCACCATCACCAACACCATCACACCATCACCAATATCATCACCATTCCCAGCGTCATCACCATTACCAACATTGTCACCATCACTAACACCATCACCATCCCCAAGGTCATCATCACCAACATCATCACCATCACCATCCCCAGCATCATCACCATCCCCAGCATCATCACCATCCCTGGCATCATCACAATCCCTGCCATCATCACCATCACCGGCATCATCACCATCCCTGGCATTATCACCATCACCGGCATCATCACCATCACCGGCATCATCACTATCACCGGCATCATCACCATTATCATCCGCAGCATCATCACCATCCCCAGCATCATCACCATTACCAGCATCCTCACCATCCCCAGCGTCATCACCGTCACCAGCATTATCACCATCCCCAGTATCATCACCATCTTCAGCCTCATCGCCATCTCCATCATCATCACCATCACCAGTATCATCACCATCACCATCCCCAGCATCATCACCATCCTCAGCATCATCACCATCCTCAGCCTCATCACCATCACCAGCATCATCACCATCACCATCCCCAGCATCATCACCATCCTCAGCATCATCACCATCCTCAGCCTCATCACCATCACCAGCATCATCACCATAACCAACATCATCACCATCACCAACACCATCGCCATCCCCAGCATTATCACCACCCTCAGCATCTTCACCACCACCAGCATCATCACCATCACCAACATCATCATCATCACTAGCATCATCATTATTATTATCATAATAATATTACTGAGTCTAACAAATGTCCTATAAGGCAGAGAAGGCATTATCATCCCCATTTTTAAGGTAAAAATTGAACCTCATCAAGTCTATTAGGAAATACCTGATTATTCCAATGTAACTTATTATGCAGAGTTGCCTTTTCTGATAAATGAAAGCTGCTTCCATAAGCAGAATTGTTAACAGAAGGGTTTTCAGCAGGCAAACAATCCCAGCTTGGAACCTGCCTATGGCTCTTATTTCTCAGCATAATATACCATTAGGGACAGACTCAGGAAAAATGCCCAATAAGTCCAAATCCTGTGTCCTGTGTCCATCAGGCCAGACTGTATAATCCTGAGCATTCAGCCAGCATTATTTATATTCTATAATCATTTAGATCTACTCTCCTATTGGATCCTCAACATCTCTGTTCAGGACAGCCACCTAGTGTGCAGAGCCCTGTCAGTATAAACAATTTCATTAAATGACACATTGCACAATTTTTGCACTCATGTGATTTAGAGGGAATAATCAAGAAGAATTTAGAATAAGGCAGAGAAAAGATACTTGCATATTTGCTTAATGTCTTATGCATATGAAGATTCTAGTAGAGCATGGCACAATCTCTTCCTTTCAGTTATCTTCTTTCTTGTCAGATGCGCCATTCCTGGATAATTTCATATCTCCCAGTGGCAGAAAAGGCAGCAACACAGTTTTTACTCACAGTGCCATGGCTCTTCAGAACCTATTTGCATGGAAATGACACCAGTCACCTTGCCTCTGCAGTCTCCTAATGCAATTTATCTGATGCTGGGTCTGTCTCACTCATGATGCTGTGTCACCTGCCATGCTGCCGTGAACACTGGATGCCAGTGACTCTCCCAAGAGTTACTGTTGTGCTTCATTCACAGTGACCATAGATTCAAGTGTATCCAGAGTGTGCAGAATGTGAACAATAATTTAATTTCTGCCCCATTAACTTAACTCTCAGAATTTTACAACACACGTGGAGAACAACACATTTTTCTCTTGACTTCCTCGGGTCATAACCACGGTGCTGCTAGACATGATCTCTTCCAATGTTGGTTTTGCTCCTGCCTGCCACTCAGTACCAGCAGGGAGAAGAGGCAGGGGCTTGTGGAGGAGTGAGAGCTGTGGACCCACTCACACATGGGATGCCTGTTTCTGGCCCAGGCAGGGTTTGGGAGCAACCTGGGAGAGAGTAAGTTTACCATAGCAATGAGAAACAAGGGAGAATGTTGATCAGAAGATCGGAAGGACCAATAAGTATTATGTGACCACAACCTGCAAAGTCCTCTGAGGGGGTAGCCTAGAGGACTGCCTGGCATTTGAGTTGGGGTCTCTGTGTAGAGGTTGATGTCCCTGGATACTAGAGGCAGAGGCTACATAGGGTAAAGAATGCCTGCCACTGGCCCTGCCACCCTCACAGCTATAGTCCAGAGGTGGTACTGTAGTCAGAATATGGACAGGCCAGAGCACACTCATGTGCCCCCACTTGGCTCAAGCCCAAGTACTAGAGGTGGGGCCTCCACAGCTGGAGCCCTGAACTAACTCATCCTGTGCCCAATGTGAGAGTCACCCAAAATTAGCATGTTACCATTCTAGTAGCCCAGTCTTGTGTGATTCTTTGAGACAAATTCTAATCCACCCAATGAGAGAAATCTACCTCCTGGATCTGGGGACCTGGGATGACCCCACTGAACAAGTCCTAGAGCTGCTCCTTGAGGCATCTGATCAACCCCATGTGTGGGCTACAGGGTCGGAGCATGCCCTGACATGGGGGAAGTGGGTTCTGGTATGAGTTCAGGGCATCCTGTTCAGATGGCACTGTCAGCCCTGGCTGGGCCTAACTACAGGAAGAAGATTTATAAAATTTTGCTTAAGGCAGTTCCAGGCCAGGACCCCTGAGGCATGGAGTTCTGGGCCAGGACCCCACTTGCTTAGGTCTAAGGAGGTGCCCTCCCTGTGAAGCTATCAGGGCAGACCTGATTCTGTTTGACAAATGAGAACCGGAGGTGCAGAAGGTTTATGAGCCCTGCCCAAGTCGCCCAGCAGACCCACTCCATTATAGAGCTGAGACTGGAGCCTGGGTCTTCAGCCTCCTGCTCAGTGTCTCCCTCTACTGTGCTGAAGCTCTGAGCCACTGCCCTTTAACATGCATGGACTCCTGCCCAGTTTCACTGTGTGGTAGTGGGTGTGTGTGCAGGTGGGAGTGATTTCTTTCCAGAAGTAGCTTGCTATAGTAAATAGACCAGGGCTGATAATCAAAGAAGTGGGTTCTAACCTTATCCCTGATATTCATGTTCACAGCTTTTGAATATCTACCTTGAGTCAGGTGCTATGTTTATATGCTTCCTATTGATTCTTCACAGCAACACAATGAATTAGATACTATTATGACTGCCTTACAGGTGAGGAAAGTTAGCTTCAGAGAGAAGGGATTTGTTCAAAGTCATAGACTGGCAAGTGGTGGAGTCAGGAAAAGTCACTCTGTCTCATGGGCCTCTGCAGCCTCACCTGAGTGGTGAGTGGGGGCCTTGGGTGCCCACTTGGGCACCCAAGGATGCAACATCCTGTATTTCTGGGTGCACAGCAGAGTGGGGCACTGTGCAGGAGGCTGAAGACCGCGGCTGCAGTCTCAACTCCTGTTCTGCCTTTCATTCCCTGGAGGAAGTAATAGAAGTGACCATAAAGTCTGGCAAATGTCGGCTGGACGCAGTGGCTCACGCCTGTAATCCCAGCACTTTGGGAGGTCGAGATGGGCGGATCACGAGGTCAGGAGATCCAGACCATCCTGGCTAACACGGTGAAACCCCATCTCTACTAAAAATACAAAAAAATTAGCCGGGCGTAGTGGCAGGTGCGTGTAGTCCCAGCTACTCGGGAGGCTGAGGCAGGAGAATGGTGTGAACCTGGGAGGCGGAGCTTGCAGTGAGCCGAGATCGCGCCACTGCACTCCAGCCTGGGTGACTACTGAGCGAGACTCCGTCTCAAAAAGAAGGCTGGCAAATGTCTGCTTCAGGTACAGGTACACCAGTGGGGAAAGCAGCAGTGAAGTCTGGGCTGTGGGGGAAATGAGTGATGTCTGGACTTGGGCATGGCTTGTAACATCCTCTGAACTTGTTTCACCCTATGAAACGCAGAAACCAAATAATGATGTTGCAATTCTTGTTACCCCAACTTTCACTCTCTGAAGCCAAAGCCAAATTGATCCAAATAGTGAGGGATACATCTATAAAAGTGTTTGGAGACTCAAAAAGTACTAAATACTATTATTTAAGCAATCAGTCAAAATATATTTACTGAGCTTCTACTGTTTGTCAAATGCTGCACTAGGAGCTGGGGATGCAACTGCTTTGAACAACATTTCTCTCTCTCTCTCTCTCTCTCTCTCTCTCTCCCTCTCCCTATCTGTCTCTTGCTCTCACTCTACAGACCTTATGTAAGTGGAATCATACGGTCTTTTTGTATCTTTCTTATTTCACTTAGCATAATGTCCTTAAAATTCATCCATGTAATAGCATATGTCGGAATTCTTTTCCTTTTTAAGGCTGAATAATATTCCTTTGTATGTATATACAACATTTTGATTATCCACTCATCTGTTGATGGACACTTGAGTGGCTTCTATCTTTTGGCTATTGGGAGTAACACTACAATGAACATGGGTGTATTAATATCTCTTCAAGATTCTACTTTTTGGCTGGGCATGGTGGCTCATGCCTGTAATCTCAGCACTTTGGGAGGCTGAGGTGGGAGGATCACTTGAGGTCAAGAGTTCGAGACCAGCCTGGCCAACATGGTGAAACCCCATCTCTACTAAAAATACAAAAAGATATTAGCTGGGTGTGGTGGCACATGTCTGTAGTCACAGCTACTTGAGAGGCTGAGGCAGGAGAATTGCTTGAACCCAGGAGGCTGAGATTGCACCACTGCACTCTACCCTGGGTGATAGAGTAAGACTGTTTCAAAAAAAAAAAAGAAAAAGATTCTACTTTGAATTCCTTTGGATATATATTCCTTTGGATATATACCCAGAAGTAGAATTGCTGGCTTATGGCAATTCTATGTTTAATTTTTTGAGGAATGGTCATACTGTTTTTCACAGTGGCTATACCATTTTACATTCTCATTAAGTGTATAAGGGTTTCAAAATCTTCTTATCCTCACCAACACTTATTTTCTGGGGTTGTTATTTTTTTTCCACAGTAGCCCATGGGTGTCCAATATTTTGGCTTCCCTGGACCACATTGGAAGGATTGTCTTGGGCCACACATAAAATAAACTAACACTAACAATAGCTGATGAGCTTTAAAAAATCACAGGAAAAAAACTCATAATTTTTAAAGAAAGTTTATGGGCCAGGCGTGGTGGCTCACGCCTGTAATCCCAGCACTTTTGGAGGCCGACGTGGGCGGATCACGAGGTCAGGAGATCGAGACCATGGTGAAACCCCGTCTCTACTAAAAATACAAAAAATTAGCTGGGCACGGTGGCGGGTGCCTGTAGTCCCAGCTACTCGGGAGGCTGAGGCAGGAGAAAGGCGTGAACCCAGAAGGCGGAGCTTGCAGTGAGCTTAGATTGCACCACTGCACTCCAGCCTGGGCAACAGAGCGAGACTCCATCTCAAAAAAAAAAAAAAAAAAAAAGTTTATGGATTTGTGTTGAGCCGCATTCAAAGCCGTCCTGGGTTGCATGTGGCCTATGGACCGCGGGTTGGAGAAGCACTTTGGGAAGTTGGGGCAAGAGGATTGTTTGAGCCCAGGAGTTTAAGAACAGCCTGGGCAACATAGGGACCCTCCCCTTCATCTCTACAAAACAATTTTAAAATTAGCTGGGTGTGGTGGCTCATGGCTGTAGTCCCAGCTACCTGGGAGGCTGAGGCAAAAGGATTGCTTGAGTTCAGGTGGTTAAGGCTGCAGTGAGCCATGTTCTTGCCACTGTACTCCAGCCTGTGTGACAGTGAAATCCTGTCTCAAAAAACAAAAACAAACAAACAAACAAAAACTACAAGAGCTATAGGACAATTGCAAAAGGTGTGACTACATGTAATAAAAATATCAGAAGGAGAAGAGAAAAAGGAACAAAAGAAACATTTGAAACAATAATGACTGAGAACTTCCCTCAAATTAATCTCAGACAATAAATCAAAGATCCAAGAAGTTCAAACTGGATAAATGGCCAAAAAACCCTACACCTAGGCATATCATTTTCAAACTACAGAAAATCCAAATAAAGTCCTGAAAGAAGCCAGAGGGAAAAAGCGTCTTACCAAAGCAAGGGCAAAGATAAGAATTACATCTAACCAACTTCTCAGAAACCATGCAAGCAAGAAGAAAGTAGAGTGAAGTATTTTAAATACTGAGAGGAAAAAAAAACCACACCTAGAATTCTATACTCCATAATAGTATCCTTTGAAAGTGAAGAAGAAATGCTTTCTCAAAATCGAGGAAATTTATTGCCAGTAGATCTGCCTTGTAGGAAATGTTAAAAGAAATTCTTCAGAAAAAAGGAAAATGATATAGGTCAGAATTTTAGACTACAAAAAGAAGGGAGGAGCATCAGAGAAGAAATAAGTGATGGAAAAATAAAAACTTTTTTTTTTTTGAGACAGAGTCTCACACTGTCGACAAGCTGGAGTACGGTGGCGTGATCTCAGCTCACTGCAACCTCGCCTCCCGGGTTCAAGTGATTCTCCTGCCTCGCCTCCTGAGTAGCTGGGACTACAGGCACGTGCCACTATGCCTAGCTAATTTTTGTATTTTTAGTAGAGACGAGGTTTCACCATGAGGCCAGGATGGTCTGGATCTCCTGACCTCATGATCTGCCCGCCTCGGCCTCCCAAAGTGCTGGGATTACAGGCGTGAGCCACCGCGCCCGGCACTATTTTTCTTATTCTTAATTGATACAGTTTGTTAAAAGTAATAAAAGCAATAATGCTATTCAATTACTTATGCTTATGAATATATACTATATATGTTTATATATAAGTGATATGAATGACAGTAATGATATAAGGATTGGGAGGGAGAAATTAGGATTATTTTGTTATTGGAAGGTACATAAACTACCTGTGAAGTAGTATAGTGTTATTTGAAAGTGAGATTTGATTAGTTGTAAATGTATATTGCAAACTCTAGGGCAACCTGTGAAAAAAGAAGTATAAATGAATATGCTAAGAAAAGGAAAAAAAGAATCATATACAATGCTCAATTAAAACCAAAGAAGGCAGAAAAAGAGTAGAAGACAAAAATAAGAACAAAGACAACAAATATAAAAATAGTAATAAATATGGTAGATACTACTAGTCTAACTATATCAATAATCATGTTGAATGTCAGTGGTCTTAAATGCACCAATCAAAAGATTGTCAGAGTGATTTTAAAAACCTGCTTTAAATGTAAAGACACACATAGATTAAAAGTAAATGGATATCGGCCGGGCGTGGTGGCTCACGCCTGTAATCCCAGCACTTTGGGAGGCCGAGGCGGGTGGATCACAACGTCAGGAGATCGAGACCATCCTGGCTAACATGGTGAAACCCCGTCTCTACTAAAAATACAAAAAAATTAGCCGGTCATGGTGGGAGGCGCCTGCAGTCCCAGCTACTCAGGAGGCTGAGGCAGGAGAATGGCGTGAATACACGAGGTGGAGCGTGCAGTGAGCTGACATTGCGCCACTGCACTCCAGCCTGGGAGACAGAGCGAGACTTCGCCTAAAAAAAAAAAAAAAGTAAATGGCTATCATGCTAACACCAATCAAATGAAAGCAAGAGTAGCTATACTAATTGCAGGCAGAATAGACTTCAGAGCTAGAAGAGCTA
Organism: Homo sapiens; assembly: GCF_000001405.40. Taxonomy (NCBI): domain Eukaryota; kingdom Metazoa; phylum Chordata; class Mammalia; order Primates; family Hominidae; genus Homo; species Homo sapiens. The sequence goes on from NC_000008.11 coordinate 47,229,649, forward strand.
TCAAGGATAAAGAGGGGTACTACATCCAGCACTTTGGGAGGCTGAGGCGGGCGGATCACCTGAGGTCAGGAGGGCAAGACCAGCCTGGCCAACACGGTGAAACCCCGTCTCTACTAAAAATACAAAAATTAGCCAGGAATGGTGGTGGGCACCTGTAATCCTAGCTACTCAGGAGGCTGAGACAGGAGAATCACTTGAACCTGTGAGGCAGAGGTTGCAGTGCACCGAGATCGTGCCACTGCACTCCAGTCTGGGCAACAAAGAGTGAAACTCCGTCTCAAAAAAAAAAAAAAAAAAAAAAAAAAAAAGAGGTGTATTACATAATGATGAATAGATCAGTTCTCCAAAATGACATAACACTTCTTAAAATGTATGTACCTGACAACGAAGTGTGGAAATACGTAAAGCAAAAACTGATAGAACTGCAAGGAGAAATAGATGAATCCACTGCTATAGATTGATATTTCAACTTCATAGTTTGATATTTCAACTTCAACACCTGTCTATCAGAAATGGAAGGATATAGCAGGCAGTTAGGGCATAGGTGAAAATTAGTAAGGACATAGGCGAACTCAATTCAATGTTATCAACCAACTGGATATAACTGACATCTATAGACTACTTCATCCAAGCTCAGAAGAATGCACTTTCTTCTCAAGCTCATATGGGACATTTGCCAAGATAGCTCACATTCTGGGCCATAAAACATACCTTAACACATTTAAAAGAATAGAAATCATACAACATCTGCTCTCAGACCACAATGAAATTAAACTAAAAATCGATAATAGAAAGATAGATGGAAAATCTCAATTTTTTTTTTTTTGAGATGGAGTCTCACTGTGTTGCCCAGGCTGAAGTGCAGCAGTGCGATCTTGGCTCACTGAAAACTCTGCCTCCTGGATTCAAGCAATTCTCCTGCCTCAGCCTCCTGAGTAGCTGGGACTACAGGCACGTGCCACCATGTCCAGCTAATTTTTGTATTTTTAGTAGAGATGGGTTTCACCATGTTGGCCAGGCTGGTCTCAAACTCCTGGCCTCAAGTGATCTGCACGCATCAGCCTTCCAAAGTGCTGGGATTATAGGCATGAGCCACCGTGCCCAGAGGAAAATCTCAAAATATTTGAAGATTACACAAGACAGTTCTAAATAACACAAAGAAGAAAAGAAGAAAGATTTCAAAGAATAAATCTCAGGAGAAATTAGAAAATATTTTGAACTAGATGCAGTGGCTCATATCTGTAATCCCAGCACTTTGGGAGGCTAAGGCAGGCAGATCGTTTGAGGTCAGGAGCTTGAGACCAGCCTGGACAACATGGTGAAACACCGTCTCTACTAAAAATACAAAAATTATCCAGGAGTGGTGGTGCACACCTGTAATCCCAGCTACTTGGGAGGCTGAGGCAGGATAATCGCTTGAACCCAGGAGACGGAGGCTGCAGTGAGCCAATATTGCACTACTGCATTCCAGCCTGAGTGACACAGTGAGGCTCCATCTCAAAAAAAAAAAAAAAAAAAAAAGAAAGAAAGAAAAAGAAAAAGGAAATGTGGTGAACTGGATGAAAACAAAACACAACTTAACAAAATTTGTGAGATGCAGTGAAAGCTGACCTAGAGGAAAATTTATAGCATTAAATGCATAGATCAGAAAAGGAGAAAGATCTGATATTAACAATATAAGCTTCCACCTTAAAAAACTGGGAAAAGAAAATCAAATTAAATCCAAATTTAGAAGAAGAAAATAGGCCAGGCATGGTGGCTCATGCCCATAATCCCAGCACTTTGGCAGGCCAAGGCAGGTGGATCGCCTGAGGTCAGGAGTTTGAGACCAGCCTGGCCAAGATGGCAAAACCCCGTCTCTACTAAAAATACAAAAATTAGCCAAGGCATGGTGTCACATGCCTGTAATCCTAGCTACTCAGGAGGCTGAGGCAGGAGAATCGCTTGAACCTCAGAGGCAGAGGTTGCAGTGAGCCAAGATCGCACCATTGCACTCCAGCCTGGGCAACAGAGCGAGAATTCGTCACAAAAAAAGGAAGAAGAAGGAGAAGGAGAAGAAGAAAATAATTATTATTAGTATTCATGAGACAAGATCTCTCTGTTGCCCAAGCTGGTCTCAAACTCCTGGAATCAAGGCATCCTCTCACCTTGGCCTCCCAAAGGGCTGGAATTACAGGCATGACTCACTACACCTAAGAATTATAGGAATTACAGGCATGACCCACTACACCTAAGAAAAAATATTATATATTAATAATAAAAATATTATTAAGTAAAGGTCTTATTAAGCAGAAATCAATGAAATTGAAAACAGAAAATAGAGAAAATCAACAAAACTAAAAGCTGGTTATTTGAAAAAAAAGATCAATACATTGATAAGCCTCTAGTCAGGCTAACTAAGAAAAAAGAGAAGACACTAATTATTAATAACAGAAATGAAACACAGGGCCGGGCACAGTGACTCATGGCTGCAATCCCAGCACTTTGGGAGGCTGAGGCAGGCTGATCACCTGAGGTCAGGAGTTCGAGACCAGCCTGGCCAATATGGCAAATCTCCATCTCTAGTAAAAATACAAAAATGAGCCAGGCGTGGTCGTGTGTGCCTGTAATCCCAGCTACTGGAGAGGCTGAGACACAAGAATCGCTTGAACCTGGGAAGCAGAGGTTGCAGTGAGCCGAGATCACGCCACTGCACCCCAGTTTGGGTGGCAGAGCAAGACTCAAAAAAAAAAAAAAGAAAGAGAGAGAAAGGAAGGAAGGAAGAAAGGAAGGGAAGAGGACACTACATAAATCTGACAGACATCAAAAGGATAATAGGCCAGGCGCAGTGGCTCATGCCTGTAATCCCAGCACTTTGGGAGGCCGAGGTGGGCAGATCACGAGGTCAGGAGTGCAAGACCAGCCTGACCAATATGGTGAAACCCTGTCTCTACTAAAAATACAAAAATTAGCCGGGCGTGGTGACATACACCTGTAATCCCAGCTACTTGGGAGGCTGAGGCAGGAGAATTGCTTGAACCCAGGAGGCGGAGGTTGCAGTGAGTTAAGATTGCATCACTGTACTCCAGCCTGAGTAACAGAGCAAGACTCTGTCTCAAAAAAAAAAAAAAAGGATAATAAAGGAATACTACCAATATCTCTATGCCCACTAATTTGATAACCTAGTGAAAATGGACCAATTCCTTGAAAGACACAATATGCCACAAGTCACCCAAGAAGAAATACACAATTTGAATAGGCCTATATCTATTAAGAAAATCAGATCAATATTTAAGCTTTCCAACACAGAAAGAACCAAGCCCAGATGTGTTCACAGATGATATCTATCAAACATTTAAAGAAGAAATTATAAAAATTCTCTACAACCTCTTTCAGAAGGTAGAAGTAGAGGGAATATTTCCTAACTCATTCTATGAGGCTGATATTATCTTAATGCCAAGATAAGAAAAGGACCTTACAAGGAAAAATAACTAAAGACTAATATCTCTCATGAACATTGATATAAAACCTCAACAAAACTTAGCAAATCAAATCCAACTGTGTAGAAAAAGAATTATATACCACAACCAAGTGGGATTTATCCCAGGTTTGCAAGGCTGGCTCAACATTTGAAAATCAGTTAACATAACCCATCACATCAACAAATTAAAGAAGAAAAATAATATCATATCAGTAGATGCAGAAATAGCATTTGACAAAATTCAGCACTCGCTCGTGATCAAAACTCCCAGTAAACTAGGAATGGGGAGGAACTTCCTCAACCTGATAAAGAATAACAACCAAAAAAATCCCTACAGCTAACATTATACTTAAAGATGAGAAAGCAGAAACATTCCCACTAAGATCAGGAACATGGCAAGGATGTCCCCTCTCACCATTCCTTTTCAACCACATACTGGCAGTCCTAGGTAATGCAATAAGATAAGAAAAGGAAATAAAAGGTACACTGATTAGGAAGAAAAAAATAAAACTGTCTTTGTTCACAGATAACATGGTCCTCTAGGTAGAACATCCAAAAAGTGACAAAAACACTCCTGGAATAATAAGCACTTATAACGTGGTTGCAGGATACAAGGTTAATATACAAAATACAATTACTTTCATGTATGCCATCGATGAACAAGTCGAATTTGAAATTAAAAACACAATACTGGCCAGGCATGGTGGTTCACACCTGCAATCTCAGCACTTTGGGAAGCTGAGGTGGGGGAATCGCTTGAACCCAGTAGTTCAAGACCAGTAGGAGCAACATGGCAAAACCTCATCTCTTCAAAAACATACAAAAATTAGATAGATCTGGTGGCATGCACTTGCAGTCCCAGCTACTTGGAGGCTGAGGTAAGAGGATCACTTGAGCCTGGGAGGGTGAGGCTGCAGAGCCATGATTGCACCACTTAGATTCAATAAAATCCCAATGAAAATCTTAATAAGTTACTCTGTCAATATTGACAAACTGATTCTATAGTTTATACTGAGAGTCAAAAGACCCAGAATAGCCAATATAATTTTGATGAGAAAAATGTTGGGGAACTGACATTACCAGACTCTGAGTCTTACTATAATCCTTCAATAATCAAGACAGTGTGGTACTGGCAAAACAATAAACAAATAGATTAATGGAACAGAAAGCAAGCTCAGAAATAGATCCACCTATATATAGTCAACTGATCTTTCACAAAGAAGCAAAGGCAATACAATGTAGCAAAGTTGGTCTTTTCGACAAGTGGTGCTGAGACAACTGGACATCCACCTGCAAAAGAAAAATGAATGTAGACATAGACCTTATTCATTTTATAAGAATTAACTCAAAATGGATGACGGACCTAAGTCTAAAACTGAGAAGTATAAGACTCCTAGAATATAACATAGGGGAAAACTTAGATGACTTTGGGTTTGGTGATGACCTTTTAGACAGAACACTAAAGCCATGATCCATAAAAGAAAAATTGATAACTGGGTCATATTGAAATTAGAAACATCTGCTTCGTGAAATACACTATCAAGAGAATTAAAAAGCCACAGACTGCAGCCAAAAAACACATGAAAAAATGCTCATCATTACTGGCCATCAGAGAAATGCAAATCAAAACCACAATGAGATACCATCTCACACCAGTTAGAATGGCAATCATTAAAAAGTCAGGAAACAACAGGTGCTGGAGAGGATGTGGAGAAATAGGAACACTTTTTCACTGTTGGTGGGACTGTAAACTAGTTCAACCATTGTGGAAGTCAGTGTGGCGATTCCTCAGGGATCTAGAACTGGAAATACCATTTGACCCAGCCATCCCATTACTGGGTATATACCCAAAGGACTATAAATCATGCTGCTATAAAGACACATGCACATGTATGTTTATTGTGGCATTATTCACAATAGCAAAGACTTGGAACCAACCCAAATGTCCAACAATGATAGACTGGATTAAGAAAATGTGGCACATATACACCATGGAATACTATGCAGCCATAAAAAATGATGAGTTCATGTCCTTTGTAGGGACATGGATGAAATTGGAAATCATCATTCTCAGTAAACTATCACAAGAACAAAAAACCAAACACCGCATATTCTCACTCATAGGTGGGAACTGAACAATGAGATCACATGGACACAGGAAGGGGAATATCACACTCTGGGGACTGTTGTGGGGTGGGGGGAGGGGGGAGGGATAGCATCGGGAGATATACCTAATGCTAGATGACGAGTTAGTGGGTGCAGCGCACCAGCATGGCACATGTATACATATGTAACTAACCTGCACAATGTGCACATGTACCCTAAAACTTAAAGTATAATAATAAAAAAAAACTATGAAAGAAAAAAAAAGCCACAGACTGGCAGAAAATATTTGCGGAAGACTTATCTGTTAAAGAACTGTTATTGAAAATATACAAAGAAGTCTCACAATTCAACAATAGGAAAATTAGCCCATTTAAAATTAGTCAGAAAACCTTAACAGACACCTCGTCAAAGAAGATATACAAATGGCAGACAGGTATACGAAAGATGCTCCACATCATATGTCATCAAGAAAATGCAAATTTAAACAAAAATAAGATATCAGTACATGTGAATTAGAATGACCCAGATCAGAACACTGACAGCACCAAATGCTGGTGAGGATGTGGAGCAACGGGAACTCTCATTCATTGCTGGTGGGGATGCAAAATGTTGCAGCCACTTTGGAAGATAGTTTGGTAGTTTCTTACAAAATTAAATATACTTGTACCATGTGATCCAGCAACTGTGCTCTTTGGCATTTACCCAGAAGAACTGAAAACTTATGTTCACACAAAACTTGCATACATATGTTTATAGCAGCTTTTGCCAAAACCTGAAAGCAACCAACATGTCCTTCAGTAGGAGAATGGATAAATAAACTGTGGTTAATCCAGACAATGGAGTATTTTCAGCCCTGAAATGAAGTGGGTATCAAGTCATGAAAAAACATGGAGAAAAAAATGCATATTACAAAGTGAAAGAATGCAATCTGAAAAGGTCTGTATACTGTCTGAATCCAACTATATGAAATTCTGGAAAAGGCAAAACCAAAGAAACAGTAGAAAGATCAGTGGTTGCCAGTGGTTAAGGAAGAGGGAGGGATGAGTAGGTACAGCACTGAGGATCTGGGGGCACTGAAACTACTCCATGATGCTATAATGGTGGATAAATGTCATTATACATTTGTTAAAACCAATAGAATACATAACACTAAGAGTGAACCCTAATGTAAACCATGGACTCTGGGTGATAAGAGTACGTTAATATAGGTGCATCAATTGTAACAATCAAAGGTGTTATTCTGGTGGGGATGTTGATAATGGGGAGGCTATGCATGTATGGGCAGAAGGTACATGGGAAATCTCTGTACCTTCACTCAACTTTTCTGTGAACCTAAAACTGTTCTAAAAACTGAGGTCTATTAGAAAAGAAAAGAAGCAGAAACGAAATCACTAAACAAAGTAATACATGCACTACACACTGTTAATAGTGTTGACTTGGTAATGCATACACATAGCTGTGTTTTAAAATATTTTCCCAGTCAAAATAGTAAAAGCACATAAACTCACGGAGTGAGCATACAAACACTGCTAAGCATACTTTTTTTTTTTTTTTTGAGATGGAGTCTTGCTCTGTTGCCAAGGCTGGAGTGCAGTGGCGTGATCTCGGCTCACTGCAACCTCCGCCTCGCAGGTTCAAGCAATTCTCCTGTCTCCACCTCCCAAGTAGCTGGAATTACAGGCATACACCACCATGCCCGGCTAATTTTTGTATTTTTAGTAGAGATGGGGTTTCCTGATGTTGGTCAGGCTGGTCTCAAACTCCTGACCTCAGGTGATCCGCCCGCCTCAGCCTCCCAAAGTGCTAGGATTACAGGCATGAGCCACTGCACCCGGCCCACATTTTTTATCCCATAAACACACAAACACACACACACACACACACACACACACACACATACACACACCTCCCTAGCTTAGCAGTGGTTCGTATATATCACTAAACACAGAGGTTCAGTATATATCACTAAAGTGTGAAGGATGTGCATCCATATGGTTAACATACTCTTTCACAAATATTATTTTCTGTATCACATGAACCACCTGTATTAAACAAGTTCCAACGTATATTATTAAACCAAGCAGAACATGCACCCCACATGTTAAACCCAATGTCCCACACATATATCACAATGTTGGTTACACACAATAAACTCATTAACACACATACAGAACTCTGTTAAACACAGTTTCAACTTACGTCACTAAACCACATGTATACGCATAACACACTTCTACACACATTTCACACATATCACTCTACTCAATTAAACAGGCACTTAGCTAAGATAAATACAGTTTTTCAGCATAAATCTCTAAGTAAAGTAGTATATGCACTCCACACTGCTAAACACAGTGTTTCCTGTGTATATTCCAATCCTCAAGATGGTATGCACCTAGTCCTGTAAGCACAGTGTTCTAACATTTCCCAAAACAAAGCAGTACCTGCACCACACACACCTCTCTTTTAAAAACTGCACATTTGGTAGGTGCTACTAACTTACCCCATATTTCATATATCCCTTATATCACTATATGCAGGCAACACATGCACCTCTCCTAAATGCAGTTTCAAAATGTCACTAAACAAAATAGTGCACACACCTCACACTGCTAGCACAATGTTTCACATATATATCACTACATACAGGAACACACAACACTATCTTTGTGGGTTTTTTGTTTGTTTGTTTTTTGTTGTTTTTTGGTTTTGGTTTTGGTTTTTTTTTTTTTTTTTTTTTTTTTTTTTTGAGACGGAGTCTCACTCTGTTGCCAGGCTGGAGTGCAGTGGTGTGATCTCGGCTTCCTGCAACCTCTGACTCCCCGGTTCAAGCAATTCTCCTGCCTCAGCCCCCCAAGTAACTGGGATACATGCCACCACATCTGGCTAACTTTTGTATTTTTAGTAGAGACGGGGTTTCACTGTGTTGGCCAGACTGGTCTCGAACTCCTGACCTCATGATCCGCCCACCTCGGCCTCCCAAAGTGCTGGGATTACAGGCGTGAGCCACTGCGCCCAGCCAACACTATCTTCGTTAAACACAAAGTCCTACATGCCTCACACAGTGTAAACTCAACTGTTTTTCATGTGTATCATTATACTCAGTAACACTGGGCTCTGTAAACAGTGTTTCAATATATGTCACAGATAACAGCACATGTACTGCACACTGCTAAACAGGATGTTTCAAACATACATAATAATACACTTACCCACCACTCTTAAATATATTATGGCATATCATTTAACAAAGTAACATACACACATATTAACCCCATGTTTTTGTTTGTTTTGTATATATTCATGGGATACAAATGCAATTTTGCTACATTGCTACATTGCATTGTGGTGAAGTCAGCCTATCCATCACTGGAGTAATACACATTGCACCCAGCAAGCAACTTCCCATCATCCACCCCTCTCTTACTCCCACTTCAAGTCTCCTGTCCATCATTCCACACTTGGCTTAAATGCAGTGTTTCTAACACATATCTCAATACAGGGTAGCATGCTCACCTAACACTATTAAACATGCTGTTTCACATAAATCATTAAAAATGTAAGGGTCAGACTGAGGCACAAGGTACAGGTCAGGGCCAGGACAGGTTCAGGATCATGGTGAGGTTGGCTCAGGGTAAGGGTCAGGGTTAGGACAATGTTCAGCATGATTCAGGGTCATGGGATCTTCATGATGAAAATAAATGAAAGAATTCATGTCAGGGTTCATATCAGGATGAGGGTCAAGTTCAGAGTCAGCGTCAAAGTTATGAAGAAGGTTATATTCAATATCAGGGTGATTGCAGGACAGGGGGTGGTCAAGGTCTAGCTCTAAGTGAATGTGAGGGCACAGGGTAGAAGCAGCTCAGGGTGAGGGACACAGAATGTTCAGGATAATGGTGAGGGTCAGGCTCAGGGTCATGGTGAGGGCCAGGATAAAGTCCAGCTTCGGGTGAGTGGCCGTGTCAGGGCTGGGGCCAGGAGGAGAGTCAGTGTCAGGCTAAGGCCAAAGGAAATGTCAGACGCCCTGTCATAGTGAAGGTCAGGGTGTTTATTCATTTCCTAGGGTTGAATAACAAATTGACACAAACAGAATGACTTAAGACAACGGAAATTATTATCTTGTGGTTGTGCGGATCAGTCTAAAATCCAGGTGTGGGCAGGACCACACCCTCCAAAAGCTCTAGGGAAGAATCCTTCCTTACCTCTGAGGCTTCTGCAGGCTCCTAGAGTGCCTTTTCTTCTGAGCATCACTCCAATGTCTGCCTCTGTCTCCACATGGCCATCTTCCTGTGCATCTCCTCGAAGTCAGTCTCCTCCTTCTCTGTGTTTCAACATATATTCCTAAACAAATGTACACATTCAATCCACTATGAAGCAGTGTTACACACTCCCATCTCAAGGTTCTTAATTACTTCTGCAAAGACTCAATTACCAAATCACATTCATAGACATCAAGAGTTAAGACATGGACGTACCTTTTTGAGGTCACTGTTCAACCCAGTGCAGAGTCAAGGTCAGATACAGTCGAATCAGAGTCAAGGTCAAGTTTCATAGTCAGCTTTAGGGTAGTGTCAAAGTAAAGATAAGGGGTTAGGTCAAGGTCAAGAGCAGGGTGAACTGCAGGTTCAGATTAACAGATGAAGGGGAAAGTGATGGTCATGACCAATGTCATGATGAGGGTCACAGAGAAGTCCAGGTCAGCATATGGGTGGGTGCCAAGTTTAGAGTTAAGGTCTGAGTGAGGGTAGTATTAGAGTCAGGGTCAATATCAGGGTTAGGTGCTAGCTCACAGTGTGGTTAAGGTCAGAGCAATGCCATGGTAAGGAGAAGTGTGAGGTGGGGCATCTGAGGATCTGTGTCACGATCAGACTCAGTGTAGGCATATTCAGGTCACAGCCAGCATCAGGGTGAAAAGGCCTTTCACGGATCAGCATCCAAGTCAATGTCAGGTTCAGACTCATGATGAGGGTCAGAGTCAGGGTCATATGAAAGGCAGATGGAAGGTAAATAAGGTTTATTGCCATGGTCAGCAGTAGAGTGAGGTTCCGGGTTAGGATCTGTGGCGTTCAGGAGTACAATGAGGCTAGGGGTTATGGTCAGGACCAAGATCATAGTGAAGATCAGGGTCAGAATGAGGATACAGGTCAGGCTTGGGTGAGGGTAAGTTCAGATATTATTATGGGGATATTATCTTGGATTATCCAGGTGGGCCGAGTCCAATCACATGAGTCCTTAAAGGCAGAGGACCTCTCCCGGCTATAGTTATAAAGCGAGATGTGACTAGGAAAGGAAGGCCACAGAAATGCAGCATTACTGGCTTTGAGGATGGAGGGAAAGACCATAAGCCAAGGAATGCGGAAGCCTCTAGAAAGTTAAAAGGTGAAGAAATAGATTCTCCTTTAGAGCCTCCAGCAAGGAATTTCAGGCCAGTGAGGTCTGTACCAGACTTACAAAAGCTACAGAACTATAATGTAACATTACAAATTTGCATCCACTTAAGCCACTAGGTTAAGGTGACTTGTTATGTTCTACATAACAAATTATGTTATGTAGAAAACTAATATAGTTAGGATCATGTTGTCTGTTAAGTTTAGGGTCCATGTGAGTGTCAGCAGGGGGTCAGGGTCATACCAAAGGTCAAGGGCAGGTTTGGGATCAGAATGAGGGTCAGAGACAATGTGATGGTCAGGGTAAGAGTGAATTTGATGGTCAAGGTCAGATTCAGTGTCAGAGTTCAAGTAGAAATGAGGTTCAAGGTCAGAGCAAAGGCAAGAATCAGAAATAGTGTTAGGTGAACATCAGAGTCAAAGGGTGAGGGCCAGGGTCATGTCAAGGGTTAGAATCTACTTGAGAGTCACAAACAGTGTCAGGGACAAAGTAAGTGTCAGAGACCAGGTCAGGAGAGAACCAGATGTGGGTCAAGGTGATGATGAGGCTAGGAGCCAATGTCAAGTTCAAGGTGAGTGTCATGGTCAGGGGTAGGGTGAGAGTCACCATCAGGGTGAGATTCAGGTTCCGGGTAATGGTTAGAGTTAATGATCAATGTCAGAGTGAGCAAAATGTTGGGAGTCAGAGTCAGGGTGAGGGTCAGGGTCAGAGTGGGGGGGGGGGTCTGTTATGGGGTCAAAGTCAAAGTCAAGATCAGGATCAGCATTAGGGTCTGGCTGGGTCATGGTGGTCATCACAAGCAGTGTCAGAGTGAATGTCAGGATCAGACTGTGGGTGAGTGTGAGATCCATAGGTAGGGTCATAGTCAGTGTGATGTCAGGGTCAAAGTGAAGGTCACCTTAAAATAAGGATGTCAAAGTGAAGGTCACCTTAAAATAAGGATGTCAGAGGGAAGATCAGCATCAGAGTCAGTTCCAGGGTCAAGGCTAGGTTCAAGGTAAGAAAGAAAAGATAGTCAAGCTCTGGGTTGAGTGTGAGAGTCAAGGTCATGGTCAGGTTTAGGCTCACAGCAGGGGTGAGGTTTAGGATCAGGGACAGAGTCAGGATCAGGCTGAAGGTGAGGGTCAGATAATTTTCAGGATGGGTGTCAGGATCAAAAATAGAGTGAGAGTCAGGTGAGGGCCAGTGTGATGGTCAGGGTCAAGGTCAGGTTCTCAGTAAGAGTAAATTAAGGATGTAGGTTAAGGCTGGAGCAAAGCCCAGGTCTATGCAGCAGGAGGGTTATAGTCTTTCAGTGTCAACTTCATGGTCAGGCTGGGTGTCAGGGTCAGGCGACTGTCAGGGTCTTGGTGGCTCCATATCAGTCATGGTGAAGGGTCAGTTAAGTTCAGGGTCAGTTAAGTTCAAGATCAGGTGCAAGCTACTGTGGAAAATTGAGAAAGTTCATAGCTGTGACTTTCACTAACATTTGTTAACTACATTTTTTCCCCTAGAGAGTGCAAATTGACCTATTTATTCCAGGCAGAGAAAAAAAGGCAGAAAAGCCCAGGTGCTATGAGAAAGCAATTAAGAAGGGCATAGACCCCCCCCCCCGCCAACTAGGTCAGCGTTAAATCACAGCCCACCTGAGCCTAAGCACCCCCCCAAAGAGAAAGGCGTCTAAACCACAAAATGCAGACAAGTTCCCTGCCTACTGATGATTAATAACTTGAGCACAGCCTCAAGAAACTAAAAAAGCAATGGATGTTGGAGCCAGACTTGGTCAAAGCAGGGGCCACACCAGAAGCTGTGGAGTCGGCTTGGCTGCGTTTGAACAGGGCTGTGCCACTTACTGGCCCTAGGCCCTCTGCTAACCATACTACTACCGTCCTTGGGCCTCAGTTTCCCCATATGTAAACAGGAACATCCTATCCCCCAGGGAGCTGTTGTGAGAATAAATGAGATGAGGCCAAATAAACAAATAAACTGCAGCTTTTGCTATTCTTATTTCTTACTATGGTAGATTATTTTAACAGAGGCTCAGGAGTTAGGTACGATAAATGAACACTTCCCCAGGGGACAAAGTAGATGCAGGCCCCTGAGAGCCTGGGTCAGAAGTCCAGAAGGCCAGCATCCTCTTGGTCCACACTCTGATAACTAGCCACCACCCCTCCTCCCACCCACACTGCGGTTCACCAGTGCACTAGGCAGAGGCTGCCATGCAAGTCTCAGCCTTCTCTCAATGCCATGCAGGTGCACTCTCCTTGGTCCATGGTGCTTCCAGCCCCTGCCACGTGCCAGCCTGCACAAACTCAACTTTCTTTTTTGTTTGTTTGTTTGTTTTTGAGACAGGGTCTCTTTCTGTCACCCAGGCTGGAGTGCAGTGGCGTGATCTCGGCTTATAGCAAGCTCCACCTCCCGGGTTCAAGGAAGTCTCCCACCTCAGCCTCCTGAGTAGCTGGCACTACAGTCATGCGCCACCACACCCAGCTAATTTTTGCATTTTTTGGTAGAGACAGGGTTTCACCATGTTGGCCAGGCTAGTCTTGAACTCCTGACCTCAAGTGATCTGCCCACCTGGCCCTCCCAGAGTGCTGAGATTACAGGTGTGCACCCTGTAGCCAGGCCTCAAGTTTCTTTAGAAAGGACAGGTGGTCACCTTACCTCCAGGTCCTTCTCTACCCTGGGGGAGAAAGGGGATTGTAATATCCCTCAGCCCATCTCTATGTGTAACTGGGCAGCTTAACTTCAAAATGCATTTTAAAACTTCTTTCCCTTTCTCTTGGGTTTCAAGATATAACCTTGAAGCAACTGTAGAAACCTTTTCCTTAGCCTTAAAATAGCTTCCACATCCCCCCCTTTCTCACCATAAACTCCTTTCACATTTCTCTAATTGTATGCTAATATCTAATTATGTGTCTTTTTAAAAGTTCCAGGGGCTAATCTTGAGACAGACAAGCAGACCTAGCCTGGAGACCCAGCTGCAAAATTCCAGAAATTACTTCAAGTCAGCTAGTCAACCACCTGGGCCAGTGTTGAGATGATCCTGGCCCATGCTCCAGGTGGACTGCGACCCAACATAGCCACAGAAACAAGACACACAGACCTTGTACTCAGTACAACTCCCGCATGCCTCCCATATCATGTCCCCCTTTTTTAAACCATTGCCTTCTCCCCAGAAACTCAAATTGGTTGCTTCAGATGGGAATATGGCCACTTCCCCATTACGTTTTGGTTAATAAAATCTCTTTCTACCAGACCTCTTTCTTGTTAATTGGACTCTGCAAGTGGCAAGCAACTGAATCTGTCTCTGGTTACATATATCCTCTACGTCCTTCTCCAGTGAACCAGGTCAGATCACAAGTTTTGACGCTCTCAATTTTTCTTCTTAAATTGAGGTGAAATAAACATACAATAAAATGAAGAGTTTTAGAGGCTGGACACGGTGGCTCATGCCTATAATCCCAGCACTCTGGGAGGCCAAGGCAGGTGGATCCCTTGAGGTCAGGAGTTTGAGACCAGCCTCACCAATATGGTGAAACCCCGTCTCTAATACAAATACAAAAAGAAAAAAAATTACCTGAGCGCGCTGTAATCCCAGCTACTTGGGAGGCTGAGGCAGGAGAATCTCTTGAACTCAGGAGGCGAAGTTTGCAGTGAGCCGAGAGCACGCCAATGGCACTCCAGCCTGGGTGACAGCGAGACTCCGTCTAAAAAAAAAAGTTTTAGAGAGTATCATTCAGCGGTATTTTGGACATTCACTAGGTGGTCCATCCACCACCTACCTCTAGTGCTAAAACATTGTCAGAAAACACTATACCCATTAGCAATCTCCCCTCCCCACAGCAATGGCAACCACCAACTTTTTTTTCTGTTTCTATGGGTTTGTTATAGATTTTTCATATGACCTTTATGTCTGGCTTCTTTGTTTTGTTTTGTTTTTTGGAGACAGAGTCTTGCTTTGTTGCCCAGGCTGGAGTGCAGTGGTATAATCTCAGCTTCCCTCCCGGGTTCAAGCGATTCTCCTGCCTCAGCCTCCCAAGTAGCTGGGATTACAGGTGTGTGCCACCACACCCAGCTAATTTTTGTATTTTTGGTAGAGACGGGGTTTTACCATGTTAGCCAGGCTGGACTCAAACTCCTGACCTCAGGTGATCCACCCACCTCGGCCTCCCAAAGTGCTGGGATTACAGACGTGAGCCACCGCACCTGGCTTTGGCTTCTTTGTTTTCAAGGTTCATCCACGTTGTAACGTGTGTGAGTATTTAATTTCATTTGGTGGTGAATTCCATCATATGTATAGACCATATTTTGTTCATCCATTCATGCACTGATGGACATTTGCGTTATTTCTGCCTTTTGGCTATTGTCAATATTATGAATATTTGTGTCCAAATATTTGTTTGAGTACCTGTTTTCAATTGTTTTGACTATATACCTGGAAATGAAATTACTGAGTCAATTTTTTTTAAATAGACATTGAGTGGTTGTAAAGTGATATCTCCTTGTGGTTTTGGTTCACATTATCCTCATGATGAATAATATTAAGCATCTTTTCACATGCCTATATCTTGGCTATATCTTCTTCAGAGAAATGTCTATTCATGTCCTTTGTCATTTAAAAAGTAGGTCGTTTGGGTTTTAAAAGTTAGGTTGTTATGAGTTCTTTTTATATTCTGGCTATGAGACCTTTATCAGATATATGATTTAAAAACATTTTCTCTCATTCTGTACATTGTCTTTTCACTTTCTTGATAATGTTCTTGGTTACACAAGTGTTTCGTTGCCATTAAATCCATCTGACCTATCATTTCTTTTGTTCCTCCTGCTTTGGTGGCATACCTAAGAATCCATTACCAAATCCAAAGTCAGAAAGACATAACTGTATGTTTTCTTCTAAGGGTTTTATAGTTTTAGATTTTTTATTTAGGTTGTTGATCCATTTTGAGTTTATTTTTTGTAAATGGTGGGAAGTAGGGATCCAACTCCATTCCTTTTCATGTGGATATCTGATTGCCCAGTATCATTTGTTGAAGAGACTGTGTTTTCTATATTGAACAATCTTGGTTCCCTTGTTGAAAATCAATTACTCATAAATATATGGGTTTATTTCTGGATTCTCAATCCTGTTCTATTGGTCTATATGTCTGTCTTTATGTGAGTACCACACTATTTTGATTAGTATAGCTTTGTAATACATTTTTTCTGTTATTATTTTAATTGACAAAAAATTGCAAATATATTGCAAGAATAAATATATGCAAATATAATAAATATGTACACGTTGTTTTGAAATATGTATACATTGTAGAATGGCTTAATTAACCTGAAATAAGTTTTAAAATCAGGAAGTTTGAGTCTACCAAGTTTGTGCTTCTTTTTAGATTGTGTAGGCTTTTTGGGATACTTGCAGCTCCTTCTGAATTGCAGAACTGACTTTTCCACTTCTAGAAAACTGGCCATTGGAATTTTAATAGGGATTGCATAGAATCTTTAGATCATTTCATATATTAATATCCCAACAACATTCAGTTCTCCAAAATATGAACATAGGATGTTTTTCCATTTATTTGGTTGCAATTTATTTATTTCAGCAATATTTTGGTGTTTTCATTGTGCAAACTTTCCACTTCCTTTTTTTCTTTTTTATCTTTTTCTTTTTTTGAGAAAGAGTCTCACTCTGTTGCCCAGGCTGGAGTGCAGTGGTGCCATCTTCGCTCACTGCAACCTTGGCCTCCCAGGTTCAAGTGATTCTCACGCCTCAGTCTCCCGAGTAGCTGGGATTACGGATGTGCACCACCACGCCCGGCTAATTTTTTGTATTTTTAGTAGAGACGGGGTTTCATCATGTTGGCCACACTGGTCTCAAACTCCCAACCACAGGTGATCTGCCCACCTCAGCCTCCCAAAGTGCTGGAATTACACGCGTAAGCCACCACACCCAGCCTCCAATTTTATTATTTTAGGTGCTATTATAAATAAATTATTCTCTTAATCTTCTTTCTGGGTTGTATAGAAGTATAAATGACATTTGTATGTTGATCTTATAGCTTACAACTTTCTGAATTTGTTTATTAGTGCTAACAGGTTTCTTTGTGGATTTTTAGGATTTTCTATTTATAAAATAATGTCATTGGTGAATGGAGATAGTTTTACTCTATTTATTTGTTATTTATTTCTTTTTCTTCTCTAACTGCCCTGACTAGAACTTCCAGTATTACATCTAATAGAAGTGGAAAAAGCAGGCATCCTTGTCCTGTTCCCAGTTTCTGAGGGAAAGCTCTTACTATTTCACCACTAAGTATGCTATTAGCTTTGGGTTTTTCATAACTCCTATATCCAGCTGGGGAAGTTTCCTACCAGTTTGTTGCATGTTTTGTTTTGTTTCTCCGTAAAAGGGTGCTAGATTTTGTTAAATCCTTTCTCTGCATCAATCGAAATGATCATGTGGTTTTTCTCCTTCATTCCACTAATATGATGTATTACACTGATTGATTTTCATATTTGAACTATCCTTGCATTTCTGTGATAAATCCCATTTGGTTGGGCATGTAGTCCTCTTAATATGCTGCTACACTCAGATTGTTAGTATTTTGTTGAGGACCTTTGCATCTGTATTTACAAGGGATATTAATCTGTAGTTTTTCTTTTTTTTTGGCAGTTGGGGGAAATGGAGTTTTGCTCTTGTTGCCTAGACTGGAGTGTAATGGCGTGATCTCGGCTTACTGCAACCTCCACCTCCTGGGTTTAAGGGATTCTCCTGCTTCAGCCTCCCGAGTAGCTGGGATTACAGGAGTCCACCACCACGCCCGGCTAATTTTTTTGAATTTTTAGTAGAGATGGGGTTTCGTCATGTTGGCCAGGCTTGTCCTGAACTCCTGACCTCAGATGATCCACTCACCTCGACCTCCCAAAGTGTTGGGATTACAGGCATGAGCCACCGCGCCTGGCCAGTTTTTCTTTTTTAAAGGAATTTTGTTATGTATATTTAAGGTATACAACATGATGTTATGGGACACATATAGATAATAAAAATGTTACTATAATGAAGCAAATTAACACATCCATCATATCACAGTTACCCATTTGTGTGTGTGTTTTTAACAAGAGCAGCTAAAATCTCACTTAGCATGAATACCAAATACAATACAACTTTATTACCTGTAGTCCTCATGTTGTACATTAGATTTTTAGACTTGTTCATCCTACATATCTGCTACTTTGTGTCTTCTCACATCTCCCCATTTCCTCCCTGCCTCCTCCTGGTAAGCACTGTTTTGTTCTCTAGCTCTGTATATTTGTTTTTTTCTTTTTAAAAAAAAAGATTTTATATAAGATCATGCAATATTTTTTTCCTATGTCTGGCTTATTTCACTTAGCATAATGTCCTCCAGGCTCATGCATGTTGTGGCATATGGCAAGGTCTCATTCTTTTTTAAAGCTGAATAATATTTTAGCTTTAAATATACTGCAGTTTCTTTATCCATTCATCCACTGACAGACACTTAAGTTGTTTCCATATCTTGGCTATTGTGAATAATGGTGCAATGAACATGAGAGTGAAGATGTTTTTACAAGGGTATATTTCCCTTGGGTAGATGTCCAGGAGAGGGATTGCTGGGTCATATTGTAGTTCTATTTTTAATTTACTTAGAAACCTCCATACTGTTTCCATAATGGCAGTATCAATCTACATGCTTACAACAGTGTACAAGAGTTCCCTTTTCTCCACACCCTCACCAACACTTGTTATCTTTTGATTTTCTTATAATAGCCATCCTAATGGGTATGAGGTGGTATCTCACTGTGGTTTTTATTTGCATTTCTCTGATTATTAATGATGTTGAGCACCTGTTTATATACCCATTGGCCACTTTTATGTCTTCTTCAGAGAAATGTCTATTCAGGTCTTTTGTCCATTTTTAATTGGGTTATTTGCTTTTCTACTATTGAGTTGTATGAGTTGCCTGAATATAACCCCTCATTAAATGCGTGGTTTGCAAATACTTTTTCCCAATCCACTGACACTTTGTTGATTGTGTTCTTTGTTGTACAGAAGCTTTTCATTTGATGTAGTCCCATTTATTTATTTCAGCTTTTGTGGGCTGAGCTTTTGTGTGATATCCAAAAAAATCATTGTCAAGGCCAATCTCCAGCAGCTTTCAACATGTAACCTTTTAGGGGTTTTATAGCTTCTGATCTTACATTTAGGTCTTTATTCATTTGAGTTTAATTTTGTGTCTGATGTAAGATGTGTCCAATTTCAGTCTTTCAGATGTGGAAATCCATTTTTCCATGAACCATTTATTGAAGAGACTATCCTTTCTCCATTGTGTCCTCTTGGTGCTCGTCAAAAATTAGTTGAACACATAATTGGATTTATTTCTGGGCTCTCAATTCTGTTCCACTGATCTATATGTCTGTTTTAATGCAGACATATAGTAACATGCAGTTTTGTTTTTTTTGTTTTGTTTTGTTTTTGTTTTTGTTTTGAGATGGAGTCTTGCTCTGTCGCCCAGGCTGGAGTGCAGCGGTGCAATCTTGGCTCACTGCAATCTCTGCCTCCCAGGTACATGCAATTCTCCTGCCTCAGCCTCCTGAGTAGCTGGGACTACAGACGCATGCCACCATGCCAGGCTAATTTTTTGTATTTTAGTAGAGACAGGGTTTCACCATGTTGCCCAAGCTGGTCTCGAACTCCTGGGCACAGGCAATCTGCCCTCCTTGGCCTTCCAAAATGCTAGGATTACAGGCATGAGCCACTGCGCCTGGCCTGCAGTTTTTATTACTATAGCTTTGTAATATAATTCTAAATCAGGAAATATGATGCCTCCAATTTTGTTTTTCTTTCTCAGAATTGTTTTGGCTATTTGAGGTCTTTTATGTTTACATATGAATTCAAAGTTTTTTTTTTTTTTCTGTAAAGAATGCCATTGGGATTTTTTTTTATTATTATACTTTAAGTTTTAGGGTACATGTGCACAACATGCAGGTTAGCTACATATGTATACATGTGCCATGTTGGTGTGCTGCACCCATTAACTCCTCATTTAACATTAGGTATATCTCCTAATGCTATCCCTCCCCCTGGGATTTTGATAGGCATCGCATTGAATGCATATATTGCTTTTGGTAGAATGGTAGTAATATTGTTAAAATTAACCATATTAATCCTTCTTTGTGTTTTATCTGTGTTGGGGATCCTTTGAGCTTCATGGATGTTGATGCTCATATCTCTCCCAAGGCTTGAGAAGTTTTCAGGAATTATTTCATTAAATAACCTTTCTGTTCCTTTCTCAGTCTTGTCTCTTTCTTTAAAATCCACAATGCTTTCTTTAAAATCCTAACAGTGTCCCACAAGCCCCATAGGCTGTCTACACTTTTTTTCATTTTTTTCCCTTTTTCTGAGTCATTTCAAAAAACCTGTCCTCGGCCGGGCGCGGTGGCTTACGCCTGTAATCCCAGCACTTTGGGAGGCCGAGGCGGGCGGATCACGAGGTCAGGAGATCGAGACCATCCCGGCTAAAATGGTGAAACCCCGTCTCTACTAAAAATACAAAAAATTAGCCGGGCGTAGTGGCGGGCGCCTGTAGTCCCAGCTACTTGGGAGGCTGAGGCAGGAGAATGGCGTGAACCCGGGAGGCGGAGCTTGCAGTGAGCCGAGATCCCGCCACTGCACTCCAGCCTGGGCGACAGAGCGAGACTCCGTCTCAAAAAAAAAAAAAAAAAAACAACAAAAAAAAAACCTGTCCTCAAGTTCAGAGATTCCTTCTTCTGCTTGATCTAGTCTGCTATTGAAGTTCTGTAATAAATTTTTTAGCTTCTTCAGCTCTAGGATTTCTGATTCTTTTTGATGCTACCTATCTCTTTGCTGAATTTATCATTTAAATCATAAATAGTTTTTCTAATTTCATTGACTTGTCTATTTGTATTCCCTTGCATCTCTTGGAGTTTCTTTTCTTTTCTTTTCTTTTTTTTTTTTTAGAGACAGAATCTCACTATGTTGCCCAGGCATGTCTCAAACTCCTGGCCTCAAGTGATCCTCCTACCTCAGCCTTCCAAAGTGCTGGGATTACAGGTGTTAAGTCACCACACCCAGCCTAAAGTTTCCTTAAGATCATTAATTTGAATTCCTTTTCAGGCAATTTGTAAATTTCTGTTCTTTGGGGTCAGTTACTAAAGAACTATTGTGTTCTTTTGGTGGTGTCCTGTTTCTTTGCTTTTTCATGTTCTTGTGTCCCTGTGTTAATGTGTGTGCGTCTGGTGGTGCAGTTACTTCTTCTAAACCTTTCAGATTGGCTTTTGTAGGGGAAGACTTTCTCCTATATATGGGCCAGAGGGTGTTGGTTAAGCAGGGTGCAGTGGCTCTGTTTCTGTGTCGGTGCATTGGTGTAGTCTGCATGCAGTTTCTTCAGTTGTGACGAATGTCAGCAATGACTGCAGTGCCTGGGTGGTCTAGGTTGCAGAAGTTTGTGGAAGTGACAATGGCTGTGTAGGTTATTAGGGCAAGGGCCTTAGGGATCCATCTATTCCTGTCTTACCCACAGTGGAGAGTCTTCACTAAAGGGATCTCTCTTGGTGTAGAGTCTGACACAACCCACTGGCAGCCACAGTGGCACTGGGATTCAGGGCATAGGTGCATAGGTGTTCAGAGCAGCTGCGAAGCTGGGTTCCTGGGCTCAGGATTTGAGGTACTGGTTCAATTTCCAAGGCACAAGTAGAGGCAGTTCTCTTGCTAAGATAGGGTCTTTTGCTGAGGCACACTCCAGCAGTTTGGGCCGAGGGGGCTGGGATGTAGCTATAGTTCTGACCCTGAGGGCAGGGTGAAGCCCTGACACAGCTATGGAGTAAAGAGGTGCTCTGGAGGCTTAGGTCCTGGGGAGCAGGACACAGCTACAATTTGGAACACAGAACCAAGAGGCTACAAAAAGAGCTTAGGTTCTGGGAGATGAGGTACCAAACAGTGGTCACTCTGGACCCTGGGATGGTGGGACATGGCAGTAGCCAAGGCTCTATGAGTCTAGGGGCAGCAACAGCAAGGACTTGGACATGGCAAGATGCCCCTGTGCTTGGGAACTGGGGGGAATAGAGCAGCACAGCAATGACTCCACTCTCCAAAGAGGTAGAGCACCTCAGCAGCTCAGACTTTGAGGGACTAGTCCAGTTCCAGGTAGGGGGGGCACTGTGGATGTTTAGCCTGGAGGTTGACATGACCCAGCTCAGGCAAAACTCTGATTCCCTGGGGTGTAAGGTGCAGCTAAAACCCAGAAAGCATGGCTACATGGGTCAGTGGAGGCTCAGTTCCCTAGGGCATGGTTCTATATCAGCTGTGGCACCGGTGGGTGCAACTGCTCCAATGTGCCAGAGGCTCAGAGCCCCGGGGCAAAGTGCTGCCTCACCTTTGGCTCTGGAGTGCCAAAGACATAAGGTCCCTGGGGAGCAGGGCATGCCTCATCATGGTACCAGGATTGTGTCTGCTATGGTTTGTAGGATGCTTGAGGTCCCTGGGAGGTGGGGAGTCACTTCAGCTCAACCATAAGGGGAGGGTGCACCAGTGTCTCACATGGGGGTGATGGAGCTTGGCCCTAGGGGATAGAGCTTGGAACAGCCTGTTTTGGGGATGACGTGCTACTGGGTAAGATGGTTTTAGTGTTGGCAAAGCCACAGGGATGAAGGGGTACATAGCTGCACACTCCCAGAGCACAACACACTCTAGCAGTGGCTCTGGTTCCAAGATGGTGCAGTGCAGCAGCAGCACAGACCATGGGGGAGGGCACAGTATCAGCTCTTTCTCTTAGATAGCTCAGCATATGAACTCTGGGGAGCTCCCTCAGTTGGGCTCAGAGCTTGTGAGGACTGTGGGAGCCTCTGGTAATGAAGATTGCATGTGTCCACGGTGGTGATGGGGTTTGCCGGGGTCCTCCTGCTCACCTTTTCCCTGCAGGAAGAAGGCTCTCCTGGTTCCAAGCTGATCCTGAGTGGATAGGGTGGCAGAGATGAGGTGTATCCTTTCCTTCCCTGTGCATCCATCCTGGGTTTCCATACTCTACAGAGTTTCTGCTGTTTCTTTATTGTTCTCCAGAGCTCTCCTTTAGTTATTTTGATTGAAATATAGTTGTTTCTTCACTATATTTTGATTTTTTGTTGGAGTTGGGGATGAACCTAGGAGCTTCCAGTCAGTCAACCATCTTGTGACATCCAAGAATTACTTTCTATTTTTCTTTTTGTATGGTATCTTTGCCTGGCATTGGTATCAGGGTAATACGGGCCTCACAGAATGAATTGGGAAGTGTTCCTTCATATTTTATTTTTTAAAAGAGATTGAGAATAACTGGTGTTAATTCTTCCTTTTTACTTTCTTTTTTTTTTTTTTTTTTTAGACAGGGTCTCACTCTGTCACTCTGTTACCCAGGCTGGAGTGCAGTGCTGCAATCATGGCTCACCGCAACCTCAAACTCCTCACCTCAAGCAATCCTCCCACCTTAGCCCTCCCAAGTAACTGGGACTACAGGCATGTGCCACTATGTCTGGCTAATTTTTTTTTAAATTTTTTTGTGGGCCGGGTGCAGTGGCTCACGCCTGTAATCCCAACACTTTGGGAGGCCAAGGTGGGCGGATAACGAGGTCAAGAGATTGAGACCATCCCGGCCAACATGGTGAAACCCTGTCTCTACTAAAAATACAAAAAAATTAGCTGGGCGTGGTGGCACGCGCCTGTAGTCCCAGCTACTCGGAAGGCTGAGGCAGGAAAATTGCTTGGACCCAGGCAGTGGATGTTGCAGTGAGCCAAGGTCACGCCACTGCACTCCAGACTGGGGACAGAGTGAGACTCCGTCTCAAAAAAAAAAAAAAATTGTGGACATAGGGTCTCACTATGTTGCCCAGGCTGGTCTCAAACTCCTGGGCTCAAGCAATCCTCCTGCCTCAGTTTCTCAAAGTCCTGGGATTACAGGGTGTTAATTCTTCTTAAATGTTTGGTAGACTTTACCAGTGAAGCCACCTGGTCCTGAATTTTTCTTCGTTGAGACTTCTTGTTAATAGGGTCTCTAAAGTGCATTTGTAAATTCCCAGTAATTTAAGCCTAATTTTGTGTCACTAAAGCAAATGATAATGTGCTGTAAAGTTGTGGTGAGTGATTTTCATTTAAAAGTTCATTTTAGAAATTTAAAAAAAAATTTATTGTACCACTTTGCCTCAATAAAGCAAGTTTGGTACACCCCAGATACGTGTTAGCCAGTAATAACTCCAGGCAAAACAATAAAAACTCTTAAACTCCCAACCAAAACAAAGGCAACCCATTTTAAAAATGGGCAACTGATTTGAATAGATATTTCTCCAAAGAAGATAGAGAAATGGCCAAAAAGCACATGAAAAGATGCTTAACATCATTAATCATTATGGAAATACAAGTCAAAGTCAGTAAGATACCATTTCACAGCCACTAGCATGGTTAAAATATTTTTTAAAGGGGAAAATTATAAGTATTGGCAAGGATGCCCTCTAACATGGCTGTAGGGAATATAAAATGGTGCAGCTTCTGTGGAAAAGAGTTTTGTGGTTCTTCAGAAAGTTAAACCTAAAACTGTAAATATAATCTAGTCATTCCCCTCCTGCATATATACCCCCAAGTGAAAACAGGTGTTCAAACAAAACTTGTCCACAAATGTTCAGCGTAGCATTATTCATAATAGGCAAAACGTGGAAACAACACAAAGGTTCATCAATTGATTAATGGATAAACAAAATAGTAATCCACCCAATGGAATATTATGCAGCCATTAAAAAGGAATGTAAATTAATATAGCCATTAAGGAAAAACAGTATGGACATTGCTAAGAAAACTGAAAAATAAAACTACTATGTGATCCTGCAATCTCACTGCTGAGTATATACCCAAAGGAACTGAAATCTGTGTGTCAAAGAGACATCTGCACTGCCATGTTCATTGCAGCATTACTCATAATAGCCAAGATATGGAATCAACCTGTGTCCATCAACACGTGAATGGATAAGGAAAATGTGGCATATATACACAATGGAATACTATTCAGTTTTAAAAAAAGGAAATCCTGTCATTTGCCACATGTATGAAGCTGGTGGACATTATGTTAAGTGAAATAAGCCAGACACAGAAATACAGATACTGCTGATCTCACATGTGGAATCTAAAAAAGTCAAACTCATAGAAGCAGAGAGTAGAATGATGGTTATCAGGGGTTGGGGTGAGAGATGGGTAGGATAGGCCACATTTCAGTTAGATGGAGAAATAAGTTCAAGAGATCTATCTATTGTACAAGATGGTGACAGTAGTTAATAACAATGTATTGGGTGGGCACACTGACTCATGCCTGTAATTCCAACACTTTAGGAGGCTGAGGCAGCAGGATCGCTTGAAGCCAGGAGTTTGAGACCAGCCTGGGCAGCATGGTGAAACCCTGTCTCTACAAAATTAAAAAAAAAAAAAAAAAAGTCAAGTGTGTTGGCATGCGCCTGTGGTTCCAGCTACTTGGAAGACTAAGGCAGAGGATCTCTTGAGCCCAGGAGGCTGAGGATGCAGTGAGCCGTGACTGCATCATCGCACTCCAGCCTGGGCAACAGAGTGAGACCCTGTCTCAAACAAACAAACAAAATGTATCATATACTTGGAAATTGCTAAGAGTAGATTTTAAGTGTTTTCAACCACAAAAAACCTAAGTATGTGAGGTAATGCATGTTTTAATTGGCTTGATTTAGCCATTCCACAATGTATACATATTTCAAAACATGTTGTACAACATAAATATATACAATTTTTGTCAATTAAAAGATAAGTTTAAAAAGAGAAAGTGGGACTTTTGGCAGTGAGTAGGTAATGAGGGTAAATCCCTCATGAATAGGGTGAATGCCTTTAAAGAGACCCCAAAGGGATAACTAGCCCCTTCCACCATGTGAGTGAGAACACACTAGAAGTGCCATCTATGAGGAATGGGCCCTTACCAGACACTGTATCTGCCAGAGCCTTGATCTTGGACTTCTTAGCCTCCAGAACTTTGAGAAATAAATTTCTATTCTTTTTTTTCTTTTCTTGAGACGGAGTCTCGCACTGTCGCCTGGGCTGGTGTGCAGTTGTGCAATCTCGGCTCACTGCAACCTCCGCCTCCCGGGTTCAAGCGATTCTCTTGACTCAGCCTCCCAAGTAACTAGGATTACAGGGGCCCCACTACCACGCCTGGCTAATGTTTTTGTATTTTTAGTGGGGACAGGGTTTCACTATGTTGGCCAGGCTGGTCTTGAACTCCTGACCTCGTGATCTGCCCACCTTGGCCTCCCAAAGTGCTGGGATTACAGGTGTGAGCGACTGTGCTTGGCCTAAATTTCTATTCTTTTTAAGCTATGCAGTTATGGGTTGTTAGTTGATGGGTTGTTATAGTAACCCAAATTGACTAAGAAAACCAACTAAGGCCTAAGGCCTAACATAGGCCTGGCACATAGTAAACTTCAATATTTGTTTGTTGAATGAATGAATGCACATTCCTTGAATAATCTGCATTTGACTCTATTTTCCACTCCTACTTTTTATATATATATATATAAACCATTTGTATACTTTTGAGAACCTAGATCCATGGTTCTCAAAGTGTGATCAGGAAAAAGAGATAAAGTGAGATTCACCAAAGTTGAAAACCTCTGTGCTTTGGGCTTTACCACTTATTGGGTTTGTGGCTTTTTGCAAGTTATATAACATGTCTGTGGTGCAATTATCTCATATGTAATCATAATTGTACTTCACACAATTGTCATAGAGATTTTCTGAGATAAATGATAATAATAATTGCTAACACTTCCTGGGCACTTACTATGTATCTGCTGTGTTCTAACCCATCAGGTGAGGCACTATTTTCATTTCATATAAAGGGATTAACATTGCCTGCACATATAAATGTCATATTATTATTATTAACATTATTGTAGTCAATGATTAAAGAAAAGGCTGACAAGGCCTTTTCTTCCCACCCTGAGTGCACGGATCTCCTAGTCGGATGTTTTGTGGGAGACCACTGTGCAACAGCCTGTTACTCCGTGCAATTGCATCCAGTCCAGTGCTTCTCACAGGTGAGCATGCATCAGAGTCAGTTGAAGGGCTTGTCAAAACAGATTGCCAGGCCTTGTCCACCAGGTTTCTGATTCAATTGGTCTAGTATGGAGTCCAAGAATTTGCATTTCTGACAATTTCTCAGATGCTGCTGATGCTACCAGCCCCTCACCAAACATTTTTA
Organism: Homo sapiens; assembly: GCF_000001405.40. Classification (NCBI taxonomy): domain Eukaryota; kingdom Metazoa; phylum Chordata; class Mammalia; order Primates; family Hominidae; genus Homo; species Homo sapiens. Next base: position 47,256,838 of record NC_000008.11, read on the forward strand.
AAATAATTATTTTATTGAAATATAATTCAAATACCATAAAATCACCCTTTAAAGTGTACCATTCAGTGATTTGTTACAATATTCACAGTTGTACAACCATCATCACTCTAGAACAAAGTACACATTTTTCTTAATTTTTCAATCTGTTTTAAAAATAGGTATACAAAACAACATAAAAAAGTAGAGATGGAGAAGTCCTCCTCCCCTCATCCCAATCACTTGGTTCCTCCCCTCCACCAGGTAACCCCTTTTATTTCCTATACATCTATTTCGATGTAGCATTTCTTCAAGCAGATATAAGCAATATATGGTCTTTTCCTGTTTTCTTGCACTAGAGAGGCAGCACACTATGAATCATATTCTGTCAATTGTTTTTTTCATTTAGTAAAGCTGGAGATCATTATGAAGGTATTACCATGGCACATTTAACAGTCTCCTTACTCTCCAAGTAAACAAATATATCAATTTTTTCTAGTCTTTTGCTATTGCAAACTATGCTGCAAAAAATACCCTTACATACATATCATTTCACATGTGTTATCATTTCATATGTGTATCCTCTAAAATTCAGGTGTTGCCAAATAGGCCATGAAGGCTCCTCCATCACTAATAGGATTAAGGCCCTTATAAGAGGCTTCACGCAGCATTCAGCTAGCTTGCTTTCTTGCCCTTCTGCCTTCTGCCATGTGAAGATGCAGCAGGAAGGCCCACACCAGACACCAAATGCCAGCTCCTTGATCTCAGATTTCTCAGAGTGAGAAAGTAAGTATCTGTTCTTTGTAAACTACCCAGTCTCAGATATTCTGTTATAGCAGCACAAAACAGACTAAGACAATATGTGTGCAGGTGTATGTGTAGGATTAGTTTCCAGAAGTAGGACTGCTAGCTTAAAGAGTAAATACACTTATAATTTTGAAGCATATTTGATAGGAGTTGCATAATTTTGTACTTTTGTTAGCAATACATTAGAGGGCCCTTACCCCAATATGTGTTGTCCAGGACTTAGATTTTAGCCAATATGGTAGGTGTGCAGTTTAAATTTGCATTTCTCTTGTCATGAGTGAGACAGTACATTTTTCATATGTATAAAAGCCATTTGTGTTCCTTTCTCTGTGAACTGCCCTTGTCCTTTGCCCATTTTCTACTGGGTTTCCCCCAAGGAATACTCTTGCTTACTCCTCCAAGAGTAATTTATACTTTAGGGGGCTGTTTCTATATAACATCAATATGAACTATTCTTTAATTTTGCCATTTGTCTTTGCCTACTGTGTTTTTTTTGCCATGCATAAATTAGGGTTTTTATGTAGTTGAATCGATCAATCTTTCCTATTACGACTAGGACATTTTGAGTCATAGTTGGAAAGACTTTCTCCCCTTTCCCCCACTCTAAGATTATAAAGGAATCTGGTCATGTTTTATTCTAATACCTTGACATTTTTTCACGTTTAAATCTTGGATTCATTTATAGCCTAGAGCACTGTCATCTACCAGACTAAAAAAGAATATGGATGAGTAGATTCTAAACATTTCTCCCCATATTAGATCTTTCTTTAAATACAATCTTGCCCCATATATAAGACAGATGGAAGAGAGCTGCCCTGAAGGTGCAGCAGAGACCCTCCTGTGAGTCACACCCTCCCCAGACTCCATGGATCTCCATGGAATCCTTAGGATGGCTGTAAGCAGAGTGAAGACCACAGATATCTGCAGAACAGCAACTAGGCCAAAAAGTTTGATGAGAAAAAAGTTAAAAGAAGGACTTTCTGGTTTGTCTTGATGTTTGCCATTGAGTGTTTGCTGAGGAGGAAATGAGGCAAGACTGGAGAGGACTTAAGAGACCCTTTCTGCAGGGGCTCATCTTTATTATCAACAGTTCCCTTTTGCTGAGTTCATATGTTCAAGTGAAAAATTCCTCATGATTCTACTATGATCTGATTGGTGTAGTGGAGAATGCATCGACCTTGGTATCACATATGAGTTCTAATCCTGAACAGTTACTAGCTGTGCAGCCTCTGGCAAGTCATTTCTGTTTCACAATTAGCAGTTCATCCATAGTAAATAACTGAGTACTTTGTATATGGAAGACGCTGTGCTAACTGATAGAGATACAAAAACGGAGAAGATAGAAATGGTATTACCTTACAGCATGGAGGTGGAACCACATGGTAAACAAATAACTTTCGTAATTATTTAGATTCTAATTGTTATAACATCTTCAACAGAGCATGAGGTCCTGCGGACATGGAAGAGCAGGGAGGTTCAGGCTTGCTAGTTTAGGGAAGCTGGCCACCAGGTTCAGGTTTGACAGGCGCATAGGAAATGGCATGGCAGAGGGAGGCCAGAGCCTTTTAGGCAAAAGGAAGAGCAAATGCTTATTAGACCCCAAGGCTGCAGGAGCTAGGCACGTTTGACCACCGAAAGGGAAGGCCAGTATAGACAGCATAAACCTCACTGTGGTGTCTGTGTTGAGAATGGATTGTATGTGTGTGCTGTGTGAGGGGCAAGAGTGGATTAGGGGACATGGGTTAAGAGCTACTAGCAGTCTGGGCAAAAGATACTAGTGGCCTGGGAAACAGTGGTAGTGGAGAGTGGACACATTAGTAAGACACACAAACGTGTTCACAAAAATTCCTAGGTTTCTGCGTGAGCTGTGGCCAGGTGGATGTCCATGCCACTACTGAGATGGCGAATTCTGAACAGGAGGAAGTTTGGAGAAAAACCCCAACATTTCGGCAGGACAGCACCTCCTGGTGGAGATGACAAGCGGGAGCCTCACCACAGGCCTGGTTGTGGGAGTGAAAGGGGGACTCCGGGCGCGGTCGGGTGCACTTACTGTGCTAAGACAGCAAGGCCCGGCGGAGGTGGCAATGGCAGACCTGGTTTCTCGGCGGAGTCCCAGTGGGAGGCCCGGTGTCCAAAATCCTCAACTAGATTGGGCATGCCGTTTATCTTGTTCCAACTGTTGACAGTAATGGCACTAGCAATAATGTCCTTCCCAGGCAAAGATGGTTTTTCTTCCGTGTTTTCAGCCACTGCAGAGTGGACATCTACTATGAACCAAGTATCTGCGGCTTTAGGTACCAGATTCAAACACAGAATGGTGGCAGAACAGGGACTAGGACGGAGAGAAAACCTGAAGATGGATCAACCAGGAAGCAATGCATTCTCACAGAGGCACAAAAAAATGCCTCTGAAACAGAAGATTCACCTCCACTTCTGCGTCCTTTTGAGGCAACTTTCTGAGCATCCTTTCCTCCTCCCCAGGCCAACGCTTTTCCACCTTGTTAAACTACCCGGTAGCTTTCTCCATGGGAGGCGCCTTCTTCACAGTACTCGGACCCAGTTACACTTGTGGCCTTCCCCGGCTTCTGCTGGGCCGGCTATGGTCGACGCCGCACCGTCTCAGGCCCACTTCTCCTGCGGGAGCGGCGGCCCCAGCGGAGCCCCTGTGCGCCACGGCGAACGTGATAGGAATGCAATCTTCCGCCCCTTCAGACTCTGGCACCCCGTAGCCTTTCCTCAGGCTCCACGAGTTCTCCCGGTGATGTGATGACCGACATGGCGTCTGGGCTCTGAACACAGACTTTACTCCTTCCCCCCGGCCCCGAAACATGGGGAAACCACACCCTCTCTGCTCCAGTCACCAGCAGCCACTCCCATTCCTTAAGTATCCATTATTGCATGTGTAGCCTATTGCATGTGTAGCCTACTTCTGGTTTTCATTTTTATTTAAGGTCAGTTGTTGCCTGACAACACAGACGACAGTAACTTAATTCGAAAGACAATACTTGGAGGCGGCCCCCGCTCCAGGCACCAGCCCAGCAGCTCCCCCGAACTCCCCAGGAGCTCGCGGGCGAGCAACGCCACAGCCCAGAGCGAGCTCCGCGGAACCCCCAGCCCCGGGGAAGGAAGCTCGACTCTCCGCGGGGCACTCCTTCCGGGCTCCGGGCCCGACTAGGCCATCCGGGAGGCCCTGGAGCGCCGGGGCCGGAGAAGCCCTGCCCCCCGCCGAAGCCCCGCCCTGCGCCCGAGCGCCCGCCAATGGCAGGGCGCGGTGCGGCGCGCCGAGGTGGGACGGCGGCGCGCTGAGGAGGCGGTGCGCTCAGGCGGCGCTCCCGGAGATGCCCCGCGGCAGCCGCGCTCGGGGCTCTAAGGTAGGCTCTGGGGCGGGAGTGGGCGCCGCGCCGTTTCCCGCGTTGCGGGGAAGCGGCGGGCCGGCGCGGGGCTGGCCCCGTTGTGCTGGGGTGAGAGAGGGTGGGCGTTGGGGGTGAAGGGCTAGGTGGTGGCGGGTCCCGTCTGCGCGCGTGGAGCAAGCCCGCGCAGTGGGGTACCGCCCCCAGGTCCGGCTCCGGTCCAGGCGTGCGGGCCGGGCCCTCAGCGGCGGTACGGAAAGCGAGGGGTGGGACCGCCGAGGGACGCAGCGGGCGGGAGCATATGTCCGCCTCGGGGGTACTTGGCCTTACTCTTGTCTCTTTTTGATTCTGGTGTAATGTACCAAACCGCAGGGAATCCTGGCGTGGTTTTACCCGTCTCCGCGGATAATCCACTGTCAACTCTGTCTCTCTTCCTGCCGCACTCGGAGGGGACTGTGCGGCTGACTGCCCAATCCGTGGGCACCGCGCTGCCTCGGGTTCCAGAACGGGAGCGGGTGCCTAGGAATCGTTGCTTGAATGGTGTTTGATTGCACCTGTATCCGCGAGTGCATCCTTTTTTGTTCTGCTAATTGTGCTTGTCATGGCATGTGTCCTTTATCGTTTTAAAGTTTCTTCTAACTTCCTTGCTTTCAAATACGTTTGTCTCATAGTAAAACGGTTTTTAAAAAGCAAACACAGGACCTCCTTTCTTGACTCTTGCCTTTACTTGAAAACTTCCTGGAAAAAATAGACCACATATACTGGTTCAACTTCTTTACCACTACCATGCTTTCTCGCTTCTCAAATACCATTGATTATCAGCCCACACTATCAGTTTTGTGACTGGCTTTAGGGAATAAAGAAATTCATTTCAGGCACCTCTTGATTATAAGATACAGTCTGATTTCTGAAGCATTAATGTGTGAAAAAAATCAAGGAAATATATAAATTTGCTAAATCCAGTGTAAGTTGTTTACTTGATCATTGGAGCGTTTGACACATTCACCACCTGCTTTTATTTCTTTTGGAACATCCATGATTGTTTTCCTGTCTTGCAACAGCTCATTTTCTTCTCTTTACTGTGTTCGTGCCATGTTCTAATTTTTGACCTTGTGCTTTTTCACATGTTCCATATTTGCTTTGGACAATGTCATACATTGAAGTTAACTATATAGATGACTTTCAGATCTATATTAGATCTTTCCCTAGAGCTCAAACTTAGTGCATCACATAATCATCATCTCACCCTTAGTCCTCCAGGCCCTAACAGTTTCTCTTGACTTAGAAATCTTAGTATTTTTGAATTGACGTTCACTTCTGGTCTCTTCATCTTGTCATTTTTCAAGACTCTTTTTTTTTACTCAATTTTTTTTAGTAGTCGTACAGTTGTCTATTGTGTAATACGTTGCTGAAAACTGAAGCAGTTCATAACAAATGTTTATTATATCATAGAGTTTCTGAGACTCAGGAATCTGAGAACGGCTCAACTAAGTGGTTGTAGTTCAGGATCTCCCACAAGGCTGCAGTCAAATAAAGGGTCGTTGGAGCTGGAGAATCCAGTTCCAAGCTCACTCACGTGGTTGTTTCTTGACAGCTGCATAGGGCAGCTCACAACAGGGTCCTGGCTTTCCCAAGAGCAAGAGAGAGAGCAACAAGATATCGGTCCCCGTGTCTTTTATAGCCTAAACTCAGAAGTGACATCCCATCTCCTGTCTATTCATTACATGGACCAACCCGGTACAATGTATGAGGAGACTATAGAGGGTCCCCAGGAGGTGGGGATCACAGGGGCCACCTTGGAGGCTGGCTTCCACAGTATTTCCCAGGAATTTATTTTTTGTTTCTGTCTCCCTCGGTCAGTCTCAAAAGTACTTAATGGTTGGAGTGTTGATGTGTAGTGCCGGCTAGCATGCTCCCATTCCATCTTCAGAGGTGACTTTCCCTTAGGCACTACTTTGATTATATTGTTAGTCCTCTATCTAAATCTCATTTTACTTCTTATTGGCTACATCATAATTTACTGCAGAACTTATCCTGTGTTTAGTGCTTTATATGTATTAACTAATTTAATTATTTTAACAGTCCTGTGAGGTAGATACCATTAGTCTCATTTTATGGATGAGGAAACTGAGGCTCAGCAGAGAGGCTAAGTAATTTGCCTAAGGTCACACAGCAGTTAAGGGAAGAAGCTAGGATTTGTATCCAGGTAGTCTGCCCCAGACCTTGCTTTTGTTCAGGCTCTCAGCCTGTTATTCACAGCCTCCATAATATCTGTGTCTTATTCCTTTACAGCTTTGCTCATTATTTATCTTATAGGTAAACTAGACTACTGCGTCACTGTACTTGCTTGCCCCTTGGTGGTAATTGCGTATGTTCTTGGTTTGGAATAATGCCAGTTCTCCCATTTCTGCTGATTGAAACCTTTTTTTTTTGAGACGCAGTCTCGCTCTGTCGCCCAGGCTGGAGTGCAGTGGCGCGATCTCGGTACAGGCGCCAGCCTCCACACCGGGCTAATTTTTTTTAAATTTTTATTAGAGACAGGGTTTCACCGTGTTAGCCAGGATGGTCTCGATCTCCTGACGTCGTGATCCGCCCGCCTCGGCCTCCCAAAGTGCTGGGATTACAGGCGTGAGCCACTGCGCCCGGCCATGAAATCTTAATCATCCATTGAGGCCTACTTCAAATCCCACCTTCTCCCAAATTATCCCAGCTATAAATGAACTTTCTTCTGTATGTTCTTGGTTTGGAATAATGCCAGTTCTCCCATTTCTGCTGATTGGAATCTTAGTCATCCATTGAGGCCCACCCCAAATTTCACCTCCCAAATTATCCCAGCTGTAAATGAACTTTCTTCTGTAGTCTGTGGAATTTTATGTAAATAACTCTTACTATTCCATGTCTTACATTAGGTTTATTTGTGTCTACACCTTTATTCCCTTATATTCTAGACATTTAAGATTAGGGACTATTTCTTCAGCCCATATTCCCCAGAATACCTGTCATATCCCTTGTATGTACTAGATATCTGATGAATTAATGAAAGGAGAACTAGTTTAGAAGATTTGCAAGTATTCCAGGTGTGAAGAAACAGGAGGAAATACCCTAGTCCGAAGACTCGGATATCTGCCTCAGCAGTACAGCTGAATGATTTTGCAGTTTTGGACAAGCCACACAGATATATCACGACTCTTAAGATGAAAGGTGGTGTGGTTATGGACTAAGGTGGTGGAATTAGGAATAGAATAGAAAGGACTGGGTTGACAGACTACAAATGGAAGGTGAGATTTAGGCAACTGCAATTGAAAGAGGAAGAGGAGGAAACCCATGGTGATTCAGAAAGTCGAACCTATGAGAAGTGAGAAAGTTGTTTGCCTCTTAACTGATGTTAGGATATATAGATATATCCTATATATCACATATATAGATATGTGGTATTTAAGTCCCAGGGAGATTAGGGCAGTCAGTTGCTCAAAGGCTGGGGTATCTTAGTTCTTTCCTCACTCCCCTCTCCTCCATGAGTTTCTCCTGCCCTAGCCCCTCACTATCCCTTAACATGCTGTGATTCTTCCCTTTGTGCCTTGTGTTCTCCCTTTCCTTATGAAGTAGCCAAGGACGACCACATATACTCCTGTTCTTGGGCAGCAGCTTGCCTTTTGAGATTTTCTTTTTTTTTTTTTGAGATGGAGTCTTGCTCAGCCACCCAGGCTGGAGTGCAGTGGCCCGATCTCGGCTCACTGCAACCACTGTCTCCTGGGTTCAAGTTCTCTGAATAGGGCAATATACCTAACATTGAGTTGTCGTTTCTTTATAAAATGGGGTTAATACCTATATTGCTGGGTTGATGTGAGGATTAAATTATGAGAATGCATGCGATGATATACCGAGCATATAAACACTCAATAAATGTTGGTGATAATGAAAGCAATTAATAATGAAACACCATGATAATTAAAGAAATCATATGAGGACAAAGATATTGTACATCCTCTACTGCTTTGTCTCTAGATTTCCCTGGAATTGCTGTCTTTCAGCTTCTTGAACAAGAAATAGGAAAAAGGCTCATTTTCAAGTTTTTCAGTGATGGCAGGAAATTCTCATAGTTATCTTGGTAGGAGTACCTCATGGTTCCAGTTTAAGGCCTTGATAGTCTCATTGAATGATTTACTGGTGGCTCTACATCTCAGAATTAGACTACTTAGTATTGACATCTCAGTTGTCTTTTTTTTTTTTTTTTTTTTTGAGACAGTCTTACTCTGTCGCCCAGGCTGGGGTGCAGGGGTGCTATCATGGCTCACTGCAGTCTTGAGCTCCTGGGCTCAAGTGATCCTCCCATTTCGGCCTCCTGAGTAGCTGGGACCACAGGCCATGCCACTGTGCCTGGCTAATATTTAAATTTATTTTGTAGAGATAGAGTCTTGCTGTGTTGCCGAGGCTGGTCTCGAATTCCTGACCTCAAGCCGTTCTTTCTCCTTGGCCTCCCAAAGTGCTGGGGTTACAGCGTGAACCACTGTGCCTGGCCTAGAGGTTGTCTTATTCCTCAAACCAAAGGGAAAGAGAGGAAAGAGAGCTTTTATTGAAAGCTTTCTATATGTCAAGCACTTTGCATAGAGTACCTCATTTAAGGGAAAACATGTTTTCTTTTTAGTCAAAATAATACATGTTCATAGGTAAGGTAAAATAGTACAAAAAAAGTTTGTTGTAAAACTCAGCAGTCCCTTGCACATCTCATTCCATTTATTTTTATTGAGATAACTGTAAATTCACAGACAATTGTGAGTAATATAGAGAATAATTGTTTTATAAACTAAATCTGGAGGCTGGGCCTTGCTAGATCAAAGTGTTGACAGATTTCATGTCTGGTGAGGGCCTGCTTTCTGGTTCACAGACAGCCATATTCTTACCATGTCTTTATATGGTGGAAGAGGTAAAGGAGCTCTCCAAGGTCTCTTTTATAAGGGCATCAATCCCGTAACTTCTAATCACCTGCCAAAGGCCCCACCTCCTAATACCATCAGGTGATCTGCCCGCATCGACATCCCAAAGTGCTGGGATGACAGGCGTGAGCCACCATGCCCGGTCTGAAGTTTTTTTTTTTTTAATACAACATAAAACTCTCATGATTTATCGAAGTTGTTGTGCATATCAGTAGTTTCTTTGTCTTTTTTTTTTTTTTTTTTGAGTTGGAGTCTCACTCTCTTGCCCAGGCTGGAGTGCAATAGCGCGATCTCGGCTCACTGCAACTTTCCGCCTCCCCAGTTCAAACAATTCTCCTGCGTCAGCCTCCCAAGTAGCTGGTACTACAGGCACCTGCTGCCATGCCTGGCTAATCTTTTGTATTTTAGTAGAGACAGGGTTTCACCGTGTTGCCCAGGCTGGTCTTGAACTCCTGAGCTCAGGCAATGCAATCCACCCACCTCGGCCTCTCAAAGTGTTAGGATTACAGGCATGAGCCACTGTGCCTGGCCAATAGTTTCTTTGTTTTAATTGCTGAGTAGTGTTCCATATAATGGATATACCAGAGTTTGGATTAACATTTATTATTGAAGGACCTCTAGGCTGTTTTCAGGTTTTGGTTATTGCAAATAAAACTGCTATAAACATTTGTGTACAGGTTTTTGTGTGAACATAAGTTTTCATTTCTCTGAGATAAATGCCTAAGTATGTAATTGCCAGAACCTATGGTAATTTGATGTTTAACTCTATAAGAAACTGACAAACTTTTCCAAAGTGGTTATATCTGTATAATTTTGCAGTCCCATTGGCAATGTTGTTATTCAGTTTTATAGATAATAAAATCTACCCTTTTAAAGTGGAAAATCCAGTGGTTTCTAGTATATTTACAGAGTTGTACAAATGTTCCTAATTGTAGAATATTTTCATGACCCCAAAAAGAAACCCCATAGCTATTACTAGTCAGTCACTCCCCATTCTCTCTTCCCTCATCCATTGGCAACCACTAAGCTACTTTCGGTGTGTATGGATTTGCCTATTCTGGACATTTCATATAAAGTGTGGTCATTTTGTGACTGGCTTCTTTCATTAAAAATAATGTTTTCCAGGTTTATACATGTTGTTGCATGTATCAGTACTTCATTCCTATTTATTTTGAATAAATTTTTTATTGCATGGACATACTGCATTTGAAAAATCCATTTATTAGTTGATAGACATTTGGATTATTTCCACCTTTGGGCTGTTAAGAATAATGTTGCTTTGAACTTTTTTTTTTAATTGAGATCCGGTCTCATTATATTGCCCAGGCTGGTCTCAAACTCCTGGCTGGGCTCAAGAGATCCTCCCATCTCAGCTTCTCAAGGTGTTGGGATTACATCCGTGAGCCATCGCACCTGGCCTGCGTTGAACATTTGTATATGCATTTTTATGTAGACCTAAGTTTTTCTTTCTCTAGCAGTGGAATTTTTGGGTCACATAATAACTGTATGTTTACATTTTGGATAACTGTTAGAATTTTCCAAAGTGGTTGCACCTTTTACAGTCTCACCAGCAAGGAATGAACATTCTAATTTTGCCACATTCTTGCTAACACTTGCCATTGCCTGTCTTTTACTTTTAGTCATCCTAATGGTTATGAAGTGTTACCTCACTGTGATTTGGTTTGCAGTTCCCTAATGAGATTGAGCATCTTTTCATGTACTTATTGGGCATTTCTGTATCTTCTTGAAGAAATGTTTATTCAGCTTATTTGGCTGCGTTTTCATTGGGTTATTTGCTGTTTTATTGTGGAATCACGAGTTCTTTAAAATTCTGTATACTGTTCCCCTATAAGATGTATGATTGCAGATATTTTCTCTCATTCTTTGGGTTTTCTTTTCATTTTCTTATTGAAGTACAAATGTTTTTAATAATTTTGATGAGGTCCAATTTGTTTTTTCTTTTGTTTCTTGTGCTTTTCGGTGTCATGTCTAATAAATCATTGCCTAAACCAAGGTCACAAAGATTTATTCCTATGTTTTCTTCCAAGAGTTACAGTTTTAGCTCTTACATTTAGGTCTGTGATTCATTTGGAGTTAATTTTTCTACACACTGTGAGGTAGGGGTACAACTTCATTCTTTTCGATGTGGATACCCAGTTGTTTCAACACTGTTTGTTGAAAAAATTGTTCTTTCTCCTTGAATTGTCTTGGCACTTTTTTGTTTTAATTGAAAATCAGTTGACCATAAAAGTAAAGGTTTGTTTCTGGTCTATGAATTCTATTCCACTGATCTCCATGTCTGCCTTTATTCTAGTACCATACTGTTTTAATTACTGTAACTTGGCAGTGTTGAAATTAGAAGTGTGAGTTTCTGACTTGTTTTCTGTTTTGAGATTTTTTTAACTGTTTTGGGTTCATTACATTTCCATATGAATAATAGCAGCTTGTCAATTTCTGCAGAAAGCCATCTGGGATTTTGATTTTGTTGAATATATAGACAAATTGGAGAGTATTATCATCTTAACAATATTATTTCCCATGAGCATGGGTTGTCTTTTCATTTATTTAGATCTTCTTTAATTTCTATCTATGTTTTACAGTTTTCAGTGAAAAAGTCCTGCACTTCTTTGGTTAAATTTATTCCTAAGAGTTTTATTCTTTTTGATGCTATTTTGAATGCAGTTCTACTGGCACATGCTGCTGCACGTGGCTAATATTTTTTGTTAATTTTTTGGTAGAGATGGAGTCTCGCTGTGTTGCCCAGGCTGGTCTCAAATTCCTGGGCTCAAGGGATGCTCCTGTTTTGGCCTCCCAAAGCTCTGGGATTATAGGCATGAGCCAGCCGCACCCAGCTCCATTGATTTTTTTAAATATTGAGATTGTATCCTGCAACTTTGCTGAACTCATTTATTGGTTCTAATAATTTTTTGGGTTTTCTGAAGTGTGGATTCCTTAGGATTTCCTGTGTACAAGGTCATGCAGCTAGGCATGGTGGCTCACACCAGTAATCCCAGCACTTTGGGAGGCTGAGGCGGGTGGATCACTTCAGCCTAGGAGTTCGAGACCAGCCTGGGCAACATGGTAAAACTGAGTCTCTACAAAAAACACAAAAATTAGCAGGATGTGGTGGCTCATGCCTGTGGTCCCAGCTACTCGGGAGGCTGAGGCAAGAGGATTGCTTGAGCCGAGGAGGTGGAAGCTTCAGTGAGCCATGATTGTGCTACTGCACTCCAGCCTGGGCAACAGAGTGAGACCCTCTCCTTTTTTTTTTTTTTTTTTTTTTTTAAAGGAGGTAGAAGCTTCAGTGATCCATGATCGTGCTACTGCACTCCAGCCTGGGCAACAGAGTGAGACCATCTTTTTTTCCCCCCAAGACAGAATCTTGCGCTGTCACCCAGGCTGGAGTGCAGTGGTACCATCTCAGCTCGCTGCAACCTCTGCCTCCTGGGTTCAAGCTATTCTTCTGCCTCAGCCTCCTGAGTAGTTGGGATTAGAGGCGTGTGCCACCATGCCTGGCTAATTTTTGTATTTTTAGTAGAAACGGGCTTTCACCATGTTGGCCGGGCTGGTATTGAACTCCTGACCTCATGATCCGCCCACCTTGGCCTCCCAAAGTTCTGGGATTACAGGCGTGAGCCACTACACCTGGCCAACCATGTCTCTTAAAAAAAAAAAAAAAAAGAAAGAAAACAAAATACCATGCTGTCTGTCAGTAGAGATGAATTTACTACTTCCAATTTAGACATCTTTTATTTCTTCTCCTTGCCATGGCTAGAACCTCCAGTCAAATATTGAATGTAAGTGGGAAGAGTTGACATCCTTTCTTTTTCCTTCTTTTAGGGATAAAGCATCCAGTATTTAACTATTCTGTATGATGTTAGCTGTGGGTTCTTTGTATATACATTTTTATCAGGTTGAGGAAATAACCTTCTATATCTAGTTTGTTGAGTTTTTACTGTGGAATAGTTGTTGGCCTTTGTCAGTTGCTTTTCCTACATCTAATTGAGACAATACTGTGGTTTTTATCCTTTATTTTGTTAATATATGACATTGATTGAATTTTCAATATTACATTAACTTTGTATTCCTGGGAAAAATCTCTCTTGGTTATGGTGTATAACTCTTTGTATATGTTGCTGGATTCAGTTTGCTAGTATTTTGTTGAGGATTTTTGCATCTATATTCATAAACAGTTTTGCTCTGTGCTTCGTTGTTATGTTTTGGTTTTATCAGGGTAATACTGGTTTCATGGTGTGAATTAGGAAGTATTTCCTCTTCTGTATTTTGGAAGAGTTTGTGAAGGATAGATACTGTTTCTTAAAATGTTTGGTATAAATCACCGTTGTACTCTGAGCCTCAGCTTTTCTTTGTAGGAAGTTTTAAAGTTATGACTCAATCTCTTTGTTTGTTACAGCTCTCTGATCAGTTTTTTATTTCTGAGTCGGTTTTGCTAGTTTGTCTTTCTCGGAATTTGTTCATTTTATTTTAGTTATTTAATTTGTTGGTATGTAGTTCATATTATTTCCTTATAATGTTCTCTGTAATCTTTTGGGTTTCTGCAAAATTGGTAGTGCTTCCTCACTTTCTTCTATTCCTGAGTTTTGTAGTTTAAATCTTCTCTTCCCCGCCCCCAAACCTCCTTGGTCAGCCTAGCTTGTCAATTTTGTTGATCTTTTTGAGGAACTAACTTTTTTTTTTATATTCTTTGTTGTTTTTCTATTCTCTCTGTCATTTATTTCTGCCAGATGGAAGTTTTATTGACTAAAGATTTTTCTTCTTTTTAAATGTAGTCATTTACAGCTACAGATTTCTCAGTAAGTACTGCTTTAGCTGCATCTATAGGTTTTAGTGTATATTGTTTTCATTCCTTTTAAAGTTATCTTCTAATTTTCTCATGATTTCTTTTTTTGATCTATTGGCTGTTTAGGAGTGTGTTTAATTTTTGCATACTTGTGAATTTTCATTTTATTTTTATTGTAAGGTTTAAATTTCATTCTATTATTGTCTAAGAACAGTATTACTATGATTTCACTCCTTTTAAATTTATCGAAGCTTGAGTTATGGCCTAACATGGTCTGTCGGAGAATGTTTCATGTTTACATTAGAATAATGTGTATTCTGCTGTTCCTCAGGGTAGGGGGGTGTCTTCATGGTTTCTGTCAAGAATGCAGCTGTTAACACTTATTGAGGATCCTTTGTATATGATGAGTTTTGTACATGACGTATATTTTCTTTTGCTACTTTCATAGTTTTTTCTCTGTTTTTCACCAGTTGACATGGTATGTTTAGGGTGGATCTCTTTAGATTTTATGCTATTTGGAGTTTTTAAGCTTCTTGGTTGTATGTTTCATTAAATTGAGGAAGCATTTTGGGCTTTGTTTCTTCAAATATTCTTTTTACCTCTGTCTCTCCTTCCTTCTGAGACTCTTATTATGCATATATTTGTGTGTCTGATGGTGTCCCACAGGTCTCTGAGGCTCTGTTCATTTTTCTTTACACTCTTTTTTTCCTGTTTCTCAGCTTGGATAATCTCATTTGTCTGATTTAAAGTTTGTGAATTCCTTTTTTTGCCAGGCCAAATCTGCTGTTGAGCTCCTCTGGTGCATTCTTCATTTCAGTTACTATAGTTTTCAACTCCTGAATTTCTGTTTGGTTCTGTCTTTTTATAATTTCTGTGTCTTTATTGATATTCGCTATTTGGTGAGGCATTTTTATAATTTTCTTCACTTTTTGGATATAGTTTCCTTTATTTCTTTGAATATATTTATAGTAAGTGATTTAAAGTCATTGTCTAGTGAGTCCAACTTCTGGCTCCTCTCAGGGACATTTTCTTTTGACTACATTTTTTCCTTATCATGCTTTCCTGTTTCTTCATGTGTGTTATAATTATTATTATTTTTTGAGACAGAGTCTCACCACGATGCCCAGGCTGGAGTGCAATGACATGATCTCAGCTCACTGCAGCCTCCACCTCCCGGGTTCAAGCTATTCACCTGCCTCAGCCTCCTGCCTCAGCCTCCTGAGTAGCTGGGATTACAAGCAGGCACCACCACGCTGGGCTAATTTTTGTATTTTTTTTTCTTTTTTTGAGATGGAGTCTCTCTCTGTTGCTCAGGCTGTAGTGCAATGGCACGATCTCGGTTCACTGCAACTTCTGCCTCCTGGGTTCAAGCGAGTCTCAGCCTCCTGAGTAGCTGGGATTACAGGTGCGCGCCACCACACCCGGCTAGTTTTTGTATTTTTAGTGAGATGAGCTTTCACCATGTTGGCCAGGCTGGTCTTGAACTCGTGGCCTCGGGTGATACACCTGCCTTGGCCTCCCAAAGTGCTGGGGTTATAGGCATGAGCCACGTCGCCTGGCCTATAATTTTTGCTTGAAAACTGGACGTTTTAAATAGTATGATTTGAAGTAATTCATATTAATTTCTGGATATTAAATTCTCCCATCCCCTCCCCAGGGTTTCTGTTTGTTGTTGGTGCTATAATTTTGTTTAATGATTTTCCTGGATGAATTTAATAAAGTTTGTGTTGCCTGTCGTGTGTAGCTAATGAAGACATTATGTGGTTAGTTTAGTTGTCTGTGGATTATTGGATAGAGATTACCCTAAATGCTTTGAGCCAGTAAGTCTGTCATCTTTTACGGAGGGACTCTGTTGAGACATATGCTTTGGCAATTTGTAATGCCAGTTTAACCTTCATTTCCTCCTTGGGCAGCGCCTCGAGATGATCCAGAGTTCAGAGGTTAGGGCCTTTTTCAGTTTTTTCCTGGGCACGTGCGTAGTGATGCAGGGTTTTTTGCTCCTTAGTTCAGCTAAAATCTGGGTTCTTATCTCACGATTAGGAGAAATTAGGCATGCGGACACATTGAAAGGTGAGGACAGCAGTATTTATGAAATCCCAAAGTGCTGGGATTATAGGCATGAGCCACCATGCCCATTTTAGTTTTCTTAATGGCTTCTTTAGGTATTATAATATACATATGTAACTTACCACAGTCTACATATGCAACATTTTACCACTTCAAATGAGTTACAGAAACTTGACTTTTCACTTAGGTACCCATAAAAAGGAAAAACAAACTGTTTTCCCCTCTTCTCTCATGCTTAACACAGTACACTTCTATGCCCAGATGTGTGGGGTGTTTTATCCTGACACCAAGCATCCAGTAGACACCAAGTGGGTATCCTATAATTTAATCCAATTTTGATGCTCTCTACCTGGAGATGGTGTGAGATCACGCAGGTTCAGGGCTCAGTCCCACGAGACTGGCCCCACTTCAGAGGTCAATTGCAAGTAGTAGGTTGTCACTCATATTTTTGATCAATTGAATATAAATAGGGATTCCCAAACCTTCCTCCTTAGGTTCGATTAATTTGCTATGTTGGCTCACATAAGTAAGGGAAATACTTACCTTTACTGATTTTTTATAAAGGTATTCAGTAGAAGCAGATGAACAGCCAGATGAAGAGATGGATAGAGCAAGACATGGACATTATAAAGGAATTCAATAGAAGCACATGAACGGCCAGATGAAGAGATGGATAGAGTAAGACATGAACAGGTTGAGGGCAGGTGGCGTGCTTGAAGCTTCCACGCCCTCTCTGGGCGAACCACCCTCCCAGTACCTCTGTATGTTCAGCAACTGAGAAGCTCATCGAATCTTGTTAAAGAGTTGTTTTTTTTTTTTAATTGTTCATTTTTTTTTTTGAGATACAGTCTTGCTCTGTCACCCAGGCTGGAGTGCAGTAGCTTGACCTTGACTTACCGCAGCTTTGACCTCCCAGGCTCAGGTTATCCTCCTACCGCAGCCTCCTGAGCAGCTGGGACCACAGGTTCATGCCACCACATCTGGCTAATTTTTGTATTTTTTGTAGAAATGAGGTCTTGCTGTGTTGCACAGGCTGGTCTCAAATTCAGGCTCAAGAGATCCTCCATCCTCGACCTCCCTAAGTGTTGGGATTAAAGGAGTAAGCCATGGTTCTGGCTGTTAAAGTGTTTTTATAAAGCTTGATCTCCAGCCTCCTCCTTTCTCAGAGGTTACTGAGTGGAGCTGAAAATACCAACCCACTAATCCTCTAATCACTTGGCCTTTTTGCTAAGTGACCCCATTCTCAAGTTATCTAGGGGCCCCACCCTAAGTGACCTCAGTAGGATAAACTTAGGAGTTATCAAAGGAATTCTTTATAAATAACAAAAGATATTCCTATCACTTAGGAAATTGCAAGAGTTGTAGGAGTTCTATGGCAGGAACCTGGGATAATGACCAGATATATTTCATGTTATAGCACAGTATCTTTACCTTCCCTATTTAAAAATACTGTATTGTCAAATGATTTTACAATTTTTTCTTCAATCATTGATTATGATTTATTTATAAAGTTCATGAGGAACATTTTTGTTGCACCAGAGTAAATAATTGCTACATATTTTCCTTTGCATTGTTCTCCATCTCCCTGTACTTAAATTTTTAAATTCTATGTTCATTACTAGTCAGATAAGATGTCTTCTTTCCTTCTCGTTGAGATACATTCTCCAGTATCTTCCTAATAAAGGAATCACGAGAAGTAAAATTGTAAAGTTCCTGCACGTTTTAAAAATATCTTTTATTTTTTCCCCTTGATTGATAGTTTGGCCGGGAATAGAAGTCTAGATTGGAATTCAGTTTTCCTCAGAATTTTTTTTTTTTTTCCCGAGATGGAGTCTCGCTCTATCACCCATGCTAGAGTCCAGTTGCGCGATTTTGGCTCACTGCAACCTCCGCCTCCTGGGTTCAAGCAATTTTCTGCCTCAGCCTCCTGAGTAGCTGTGATTACAGGCACCGCGACCACACCCGGCTAATTTTTGTATTTTTAGTAGAGACGGGTTTTCACCAGATTGGCCAGGCTGGCCTTGAACTCCTGACCTTGTGATCCACCCACCTCAGCCTCCCAAAGTGCTGGGATTACAGGCATGAGCCACCGCGCCCGGCCTAGAACAGTTTTAAACAATTGTTCTCATTACTAATCATAAAAATAATACACAGCTATTGTGGAGCTGCTAGAAAATAAAGACTACAATAGAAAATACCCCCATAGGCCCAGCGCGGTGGCTCACGCCTGTAATCCCAGCACTTTGGGAGGCCGAGGCGGGTGGATCACGAGGTCAGGAGATCGAGACCATCCTGGCTAACATGGTGAAACCCGGTCTCTACTGAAAATACAAAAAATTAGCCGCGCGTGGTGGGGGGCGCCTGTAGTCCCAGCTACTTGGGAGGCTGAGGCAGGAGAATGGTGTGAACCCGGGAGGTGGAGCTTGCAGTGAGCCCAGATTGCGCCACTGCACTCCAGCCTGGGGGAGAGAGCGAGACTCAGTCTCAAAAAAAAAAGAAAAAAGAAAATATCCCCCATAAATCTATAAAACCTATAATCAGCATAACATAAGCATTTTGATAATATAAGCATTTGGATCTGTTTCCTGCCCGTTTTTATACAACTGCTTATATATATTTAAAAATTTGTACATTATTTTTTTTAAATTTAATGTCATTAGTTTTACATGGGTGTGTTGTTTGAAAAATAGGTAAGAATAATATTTTCCATTCTGATAAAATCAAAAGCAGATTATGTATTCTTATGTGTAAATAAGATTTCCATTGGCGTTGCATATATTTTTTAGTTTCCATTCTTAAAATGAGTGGAACCTCTGTGTAAAGAAAATATTTTATTATTTTAAATAAAAGCAGAATACAACACTGTCTATTTTACAGTTATAACTGGAAGATAATGTCTAATCAGAAGACTCTAATAGGGTAGGAAAACATTAAAATAGTTATGTCACGTTGGTAGCTGGGTACCCCATACGTAATTTTGTATTTAGTAAATATTTTTGGAATGTGGATGAATAGACCATGATGACTTTTTTCTATTTATTTTTTTAAATTTTCTGTGCGTGTGTTTTTTGTTTTTGTTTTTGTTTTTTGTTGGTTTGTTTGAGACTGGAACTTATTTCTGTTGCCCCAGCTGGAGTGCAGTGGTGCGATCACAGCTCACTGCAGCCTGGGTCTCCTGTGCTCAAGCAATCCTCTTGCCTCAGACCCCTGAGTAGCTGGGACTACAGGAACACGCCACCAGGCCTGGCTAATTTTTGTATTTCTTTTTTAGACAGATGGAGTTTTGCCATGTTCCCCAGGCTGGTCTCAAACTCCGGGGCTCAAGTGATCTGCCTGCGTTGGCCTCCCAAAGTGCTGGGGTTACAGGCATGAGCCACCATGCCTTGCCTGTTATAATGTTAAGAGAATAAATAAGGTGTAATTTCTGTAAATATTTAGACACACATGAATAATTTATTTGAAAGTTACCTGTCCAGTTTGTATAGCTCTAGATATATTCTGTACTTGTTAAATGCTATGACCAAAGAAAAGCAGTATACAATATCGCTTGTCCAAGTGCTAGTTTATTTATGGAAAAAAGCGAAACCTACTTTGTGCCTGAGTTTTGTATGTACTTTTACCAAGATCTTGAAAATATTTCTCTTTGTACATTACCCTGTAAGAACTTCCTTATTTCAAACCAGTTTATTGAATTTCATGTTCAGTTGTCATTTACATATTATTAAAATGTAGGTAACAAATATACTTGTACATCTATAATGTGGACAAATACAGTAACCAAGGGGAAACAAAATAAAAAACTGAAGAAAAAAATAATCAAAGGGAAAACAATTTTGATGGAAAGGCTAGTAAAGAATTTGCAGTGGTTGGAAAAATAAATAAGATATTCAAATGGATAACTCTATAAGGCTGCTGGAGAAGGGAGTGAGCAAGCTAGATGGCGTCAAGGTGAGGGAGAGATTTTTATGGTGTGTAGTGTTAGAGACTTGAACATGATTGAATGGTGGACTTAATGATAGAACTGGTTAAAGTGGAGGGGATTGGAATCCTGATTGCTGTGTCTCATGATCAGCACCCTCTTCTTCTGTTCAGGATTTCCTTTTTACAGCTTCAAACCACTGGAATGTAAGGCATTATGAGTTTCTTCCTCAGCCTTTTTTTTTTTTTTTTTTCGAGACAGAGTTTCACTCTTGTTTCCCAGGCTGGAGTGCAATGGCACAATCTTGGCTCACCGCAACTGCCGCCTCCCAGGTTCAAGCGATTCTCCTGCCTCAGCCTCCCGAGTAGCTGGGATTACAGGCATGCGCCACCACGCCTGGCTAATTTTGTATTTTTAGTAGAGACGGGGTTTCTCCATGTTGGTCAGGCTGGTCTCGAACTCCCGATCTCAGGTGATCTGTCCACCTTGGCCTCCCAAAGTGCTGGGATTACAGGCGTGAGCCACCGCGCCTGGCCCTGTTTTAGTTTTGGGTATATACCGAGCAGTGGCATTGCTAGATCTTGGTGGTTTTATTTTATTTTATTTTAATTTATGTTATGTTTGTTATGTTATGTTATGTTATGTTATGTTATGTTATGTTATGTTATGTTATGTTATGTTATGTTATTTTAGAGACAGAGTCTTGCTGTGTTGCCCAGGCTTCAGAACTGTGGCGTGATTATAGCTTACTGCAGCCTCAAACTCCTGGGCTCAAGCGATTGTCTCGCTTCAGCCTCCTGAGTAGCTGGGACCACAGATGAACATTCCCACCCCTGCTAATTTTTTTTTTTTTAGGGACTTGCTATGTTTCCCAGACTGGTCTTGAACTCCTGGGCTCAAGTAGTCCTCCTGCCTTGGTCTCCTAAAGTGCTGGGATTACAGGTGTGACCCATTGTGCCCTACCCTGTGTTTAACCTCTTTTTTTTTTTTTTTTTTTTTTGAGACAGAGTCTCGCCTTGTTGCCCAGGCTGGAGTGCAAGTGGCTCAAACTTGGCTCACTGCAACCTCCGCCTCCTGGGTTCAAGCAATTCTCCTGCCTCAGCCTCCCGAGTAGCTGGGACTACAGGCGCACACCACCATTCCCGGCTAATTTTTTGCATTTTTGGTAGAGATAGGTTTTCACCATGTTGGTCAGGCTGGTCTTAACTCCTGACTTTGTGATTCGCCCGCCTTGGCCTCCCAGAGTGCTGGGATTACAGGCATGAGCCACCGTGCCCAGCTGTGTTTAACTTTTGAGGCTCTACCAAATAATTTTTAACAACTGCAACGTTTTACTTTTCCACCAGCCATGCACAAAAGTTATAATTGCTACACATCCTTGGCAGTGCTTGTCATTTTCTTTCTCTTTTTTTTTTTTTTTTTATTAATAGCCATTCTGGTGGGTGTGAAGTGGCATATCATTGTAGTTTCTTGCTTTTTGTTTTTGGAGATAGGATCTCACTCTGCCACTGAGGCTGGAATTCAGTGGCACAATCAGTGATGCAGCCTTGACCTTCCAGGCTCAAGTGATCCTCCCACCCCAGCCTCTTGAATAGCTGGGACTATAGGCACATGCCACCACACCCAGCTATTTTTTTTTTTTTTCAAAGACAGGATCTTGCTCTGTCACCCAGGCTGGAATGCAGTGGTGCAATCATGGCTCACTGCAGCCTTGACCTCCTGGGCTCAAGCAATCCTCCTACCACAGCCTCCCAAGTTGCTGGAACTACAGGCACATGCCACCATGCCTGGCTAATTCTAAAAAAAATTTGTAGACATGGGGTCTCACGACGTTGCCTAGGCTGCTGACTAATTTTTCTAAGGACAGTAATCACATTTGTGGGGCCTCTGGTTTCATGTTCTAGTCACCTCCAAAGGCCTCATCTCTTTTTTTTTGAGATAGAGTCTTGCTCTGTCACCAGGCTGGAGTGCAGTGGCAGGCTCTCGGCTCATTGCAACCTTTGCCTTCCGGGGTCAAGCGATTGTCCTGCCCCAGCTTCCTGAGTAGCTAGGACTACAGGTGCATGCCACCACGCCTAGCTAATTGTTTTTCCCTAATAATAATTATACGGCATTTAGCTTTTATACCTTCCTGTTGCTTATTTTTATGTCTGTGTCTTCTGAAATGATAGAAGGAAGCAGGATTCAGGATAGCTTTTATTTTTCTTTTTTTAAGGACGTGGCCTCTCACTGTGTTGCCCGGCTTGAAGTGCAGTGGTGCAGTCAGCTCACTGCAGCCTCAAACTCCTGGGCTCAAGCGATCCTCCTGGTTCAGCCTCCTGAGTAGCTGGAACTACAGTCGTGTGCCACCATGCCCAGCTCACTAAAAAGTTTTTTTTTTTTTTTTAGAAATGGGGTCTTGCTATGTTGCCCAGGCTGGTCTTGAACCTCTGGGCTCATGGAATCCTCCTGCCTTGGCCTCCCAAAGTGTTGGGATTACAGGTGTGAGCCATGGCACCCGGCCCAGCATAGCTTTTATACCTTGTGTTGTTTTCATGGGTCTTGTAAAAATATGGCCACTTGTGTATTTGTCTTGTAGATTCTCCCTGACTCTGCTCATCTGGACCTTTTCTGTGTGTCTGCCACCCCTGTGCTGCTGAGTGGATTCCACTTCCAGTACTTTCTCAGTGACGGGTCCAGAAGGGAGTCCAGGGTGACCAGTTTCAGGTGGCCCAGGCTGCTCTCATCTCTTCACATCTTCTTACGGTAGAGCCCCTGCTCTCACCTAGTTTCAGGCGCTCTTCTCAGTTCTATCAGACACTGTTCTCAGATCTGTTGCTTGCTTTGCTTCCTAGTGAGCACTGATGTCTAGGTTCTCAGGGGGCCTCCTTGACTCTCTTACTTTCCTTGGCTTCTTTCCTTTCAGGTACTGATACCATGCCAGACTTTGGAGGGTTGGTGGTTTGTCTTTACCCACTTGTGTTTGGAGTTTGCTGATTAATTGTGTTTCTATGTTTTTGGCTTTGCTGTCCGGTTGCTCTTTATGTGAAGATTTAGAGACATTCAAAAACTATACCTTTACTGATGCCACTTCTAGGTTTTCAGATTGTAAATTGTGAACTGAATGTCTATTTAATGAAGTTGATTTTGTTTTTTTGTTTCGATTTTTCTTTTAAAAATCATCTCCACAGAGAAAAAGGAGTTGGAATACAGAATGCCCATCCTTTCCAGGAGAAAGACCACTGCAGGTCAGAAGAGCAGGTCTCAGGACAGCAGGGGCAGCTGCCTCTCTCTCTGAAGCATGGCTCAGGTGTGGAGAAGGGTTTCAGAACACTTCTGGGAATCCGGTAAAGTATCTGTAGAATTGTTTTCCCTGAATGCCAAAGAGGAAATCCTGAGTGTTCAGAACATTGTAATTACATTTCATTGTAATTCCCTTTCTTATTCTTTCAGAACACTGTAACTGGTACACTCCTTTTCTTGCCTTTCATTCCTTGAATTCCTTTAATAATTGTGGCAAGTTAGTAAGTTAGTATTCACCTTTTTATTTTTTATTTTTTTTTTATTTTATTTATTTATTTATTTTTTTTGGAGACAGAGTCTCACTTTGTTGCCCAGGCTGGAGTACAGTGGCGCAATCATAGCTCATGGCATCCTTCAGGCTATCTTGCCTCAGCGTGTCAAATAGCTGGGACTACAGGTATGTGCCGCCGTGCCTGGCTAATTTTTTTTTTTTTTTGGAGACGGAGTCTCACTTTGTCACCCAGGCTGGAGTGCAGTGAGGCTATGTTGGCTCGCTGCAACCTCCGCCTCCCGGGTTCAAGCAATTCTCCTGCCTCAGCCTCTCGAATAGCTTGGATTACAGGTGCGTGCCACCACACTCGGCTGATTTTTGTATTTTTTGTAGAGACTGGGTTTCACCATGTTGGCCAGGCTGGTTTGGAACTCCTGACCTCAGGTAATCCACCCACCTTGGCCTCCAAAGTGCTGGGATTACAGGCGTGAGCCACTGTGCCCGGCTGCCTGGCTAATTTTTAAAAATCTTTCTGTAGAGACAGGGTCTTGCTGTGTTGCCTAGGCTGGTCTCTAACCCCTGGCTGCAAGTGATCCTCCCACCTCCGCCTCCCAGAGTGCCGGGATTATAGGTGTGAGCCCCCATGCCCAGCTCACACCTGAACCTCTTTAATCCATGCAGAACCTTTCTACTTCTTTGTTTGTAAATGAAGGATATTTACTAAGAATGTTCTCAGAAGATGAAACCATTGAGCATACTACTCTTCACAAGAAATGCATGTTTACTCTGGAGGCGTACTCTGGAGATATTGCAGGTTTGGTTCAGGACCAACACAATAAAGTGAATATTGCAATAAAGTGATCACATGAATTCTTTGGTTTCCCAGTGCCTATAAAAGTTATGTTTATATTATAATGTAGTCTGTTAAGTGCAATAGTATTATGTCTAAAAAAGCAATGTATATACCCTAATTTAAAAATACTTTGTTGCTAAAAAAAATGCTAACAATCATAGGAGCCTTCACCAAGGTATAATCTTTTTGCTGGGGGAGAGTCTTGCCTTGATGCTGATGGCTGCTGACTGATCAGATGGTTGGTGGTTGAAGATTGGGGTGGCTGTGGCAGTTTCCTAAAATAAGGCAAAAGTGAAGTTTACCACATCTATTTACTATTCCTTTCATGAAAGATTACTGAGTAGCGTGTGATGCTGGTAACATTTGACCAGTAATAGAACTTCTTTCAAAATTGGACTCAATCCTTCCAAAGCCTGACACTGCTTTATCAACTAAGTTTATAGGATATTCTAAATTACTTGTTATCACTTCAACAATGTTCACAGCATTTTCACCAGGAGTAGATTTTATCTCCAGAAACTACTTTATTTGTTCATTGGTAAGAAGTAACTCTTCATCCATTCAACTCGTAGGAAATTGCAGCAATTCAGTCATATCTTCAGGTTCTACTTCTAATTCTAGTTCTCTTGCTGTTTCTATCACATCAGTTTTTCTGCTGAAGTCTTGAACCCCTCAGTCATGCACAAGGGTTGGAATCAACTTCTTCCAAACTCCTGTTAATGCTGTATTTTGACCTTCTGTCATGAATCATGAATGTTCCTAATGGCACATAGAATGGTGAATATTTTTCTGAAAGTTTTCAGTTTACTTTGCCCAGATCCATCAGAGGAGTCACTATCTGTGGCAGCTACAGCCATATGACATGTATTTCTGAAATAATAAGATTTGAAAGTCAGAATCACCCCATGATCCATAGTCTGCAGAATGGAAGTGGTGTTAGCAGGTATGAAAACAGCATTCATCTCCTTGTACTTCTCCATCATAGCTCTTGGGTGACCAGGTGCATTGTCAATCAGCAGTAATAGTTTGAAAGAAATCTTTTTCTTCTGAGCAGATCTCAACAGTGGGCTTAAAGTATTACAGTAAAGAATGCTGTAAAGAGATGTGCTGTCATCCAGGCTTTGTTGTTACATTTATAGAGCACAGGCAGAGTAGATTTATCATAAGGGCGCTAGGATTTTCAGAATGATACATGAGCATTGGCTTCAACTTAATGTTACCAGTTGCATTAGCCCCTAATATGAGTATCAGTCTGTTCTTTGAAGCTTTGATGCCAAGCATTGACTTCTCTCTAGCTACGAAAGTCTTAAAGGGCATCATCTTCTAATATAAGGCTCTTTCATCTATATTGAAAGTCTGTTTTTTAGCGTAGCTACCTTCATCAGTGATCTTAACTAGATCTTCTGGATCACTTCCTGCATTACCTTGTACTTTTATGTTATGGAGATGATTTCTTAAACTTCATGAACCAACCTCTGCTAGCTTCAGACTTTTCTTCTCCAGCTTCTTCACCTCTCTCAGCCTTCATAGAATTGAAGAGAGTTAGGACCTTGCTCTGGATTCTGCTCTGGCTTAAGGGAATGTTATAGCTGATTCAATTTTCTATCCAGATTGCTAAAACTTTCTATTAGCAATAATGCTGTCTTACTTTCTTATCATTTGTGTATTCACTGGAGTAGCACTTTCAATTTCGTTCAAGAGCTTCCCTTTGTATTCACAACTGGCTTAACGGTTTGGCTCAAGAGGTCTAGCTTTTAGCCTATCTTAGTTTTTGTCATGCCTTCCTACCTAAGCTTAATCATTTCCAGCTTCTTTTTTCTTTTTCTTTTTTTTTTTGAGAGGGAGTCTGTCTCTGTCGCTCGGGGTGGAGTGCAATGGTGCGATATTGGCTCACTGCAACCTCCACCTCCCAGGTTCAGGTGATTCTCCTGCCTCAGCCTCCCGAGTAGCTGGGATTACAGGTGCCCGCCACCACGCCCAGCTAATTTTTGTATTTTTGGTAGAGATGGGGTTTCACCATGTGGGTCAGGCTGGTCTCGAACTCCTGATCTCAGGTGATTTACTTGCGTTGGCCTCCCAGAGTTCTGGGATTACAGGCGTGAGCCACTGTGCTCGGCCATTTCCAGCTTTTGATTTAAGGTGTGAGACATTCAGCTCTTCCTTTGCTTGAGCACTTTGAGGCGATTGTAAGGTTATTAAATTGACTTAATTTTAATATTGGTGTGTTGCAGAGAATAGGAGGCCTAAGGAGAAGGCAAGAGATGGAGGAACAGCTGGTTGGTGGAGCAGTCAGAACACACACAGCATTTATTAATTTTGCTCTCTTATATTGGTTTTGACTGTGGCACCCCAAATCAGTTACAGTAGTAATACCAGAGATCACTGATCACAGACCATCATAGCAGATTTAATAATAATGGTAAAGTTTGAAATCTTGGAATAATTATCAAAATATGACACAGAGACACAAGTTTATAGGTGAGCAGATGCTGTTGGAAAAATGGCATACAGAATTGCTTGACACAGGATTGCCAGAAATTTTCAATTTGTAAAAAAATGCTTTATCTATGAAGCACAATAAAACAAGGTATGCCTTTATATTCAGAATCTTTTGGCAATGAGATATTCTGGATAATTTTTGTGTTTGTGGTAACTTACAGAGTAATGCTATTACAAATTCAAGATAATTTGGGTATGAGTAGTAATGAGTACCTCATAGGCAGTTGGAGTCACATGTATGAGCAGATATTACACTGAATGTTAATGGGAAACGTTTTGGTCAGTCAGATCTCTTTAGATTCAGGAAAAATAGAATGAATTTATAAATATATAAGGAGTACATGCTTTGGGATTACTGAAATTGGTGAATTGGTAAAGGAAATCAGAGAAGAATATGTTAAGGAGAGTGTAGTTTAAGATTTTGAATATTTTATAAAAGTTTTTTTTTAGCATTTGTCACATAAATTCCATGATTATTATTTTGCCTACAGTCATTAACAGCTGAAGAGAAGACGATTACAGAAAAGCACCTTGAATTATGCCCTAGACCCAAGCAAGGTAACTATTTTGTTGATTTCTTGACAGAGAAGATATAAGACTAATAAATCCTTCTGTGATTATTTTAAAAATTTGCTGTTTTAAAAAAGTGACATGGTTTGGGTAGACTATATTCATAGTTAAAAAACATCAAGATAAGGTAAAAAGATATTTTTGAGAACTTTGTCTGTCATCGCTGTCACCGTCTACCCCATTTCTCCTGCCTGCCTACAGATAACTAACATTTTTTGTGTGTCCTTCCTAAGTTCATTTTTATCACAGAGCCCAGTAGGTTAGCTCATGCTCATAGCTCCAGGGTTTTGTTTGTTTGTTTGTTTGTTTGTTTGTTTTTAATCTGATTTGGGAAAGAAATGTGACCTATGCCATAAGAACTATACTGCTTCAGGCTCTGAAATTCTTTCTTGATGAATTAGGGAACTTTCAATAAGTAGTAGAAAACTCTGTTCAAACACTAGAGTATTTGAATAAATGAGGTTGAATTTGTCTCCTGCAGCAGGACATCCACAGGGCTAGATTCTTTCTGAATTCTGTAGCCTGAGTGTGGAATTGGTTCTCATGGTCAGGAGGTGTTGGCTGAATTCCACAGGCTGAATTCTTGGAAGAGTGTAGGTGCTGAGGATTTTCGCCAAGTCAGCTTTGCCTTTCCTTTGGGAAGGAATGCGCTTCCCAGTACCTCTACCTTTGACTAGAACCTGTTACAAACGGTCACCTCCACTAAAGATACTTTAGTGAAATTAAGGATTTTTAGATAGGTATGTTGCTGCTAAAGAAAACTGGGGTTATTAGTAATGAAGAAGGGGTGGATATCAGGTAGGCCGCTGGTTCTCCTGCCATAGGCAGTCAGCCCCGCTGTGGGTGTGTAGGAAGAGTGAGGGCTTGTGACTTCCGGGATCTTGCTGTGTCCTGGCTCTCTAATCTTTGAAAACTAAGCTAAACATTCGCAGTCTGTTTTGTATCTGGAGAATGGGCATAATCATTGGGTTATCATGAATATTAAGTGAGCTAAAAATAGTAGATTAAATGCCTAATTAAAGGTGCTTCAGTAGGTACTTGATTGATGACAGCAGTTGCTCATATGTCTGATGACAGAAGGAGCTATGTGAAAGCCTATTCAGAGTTCTACAGAGTGAACTAACTTCCTGTGACATTCTAAACCATGTTACTATTTCAAGTGACATGGAAGAGGTTCTATGCAAATGAAAAATAAAATTTGCCAAAATGTTTCTTTAAAATTTATAAAGTGTTGCTTTATGAAGTAAACTAGTACACATCTTTTAAATTCTATAATCTTCTGATGGAATTGCAGAAGCTGTTGGCAGAGACAAGCCTCTGACCTTAGGCACACATTACAAAAGCATGTTCCTGATTCTGCTTCCCAGCTGTCATAAAAATACTACTTCCTCACCCAAAATGTAGTATAGAATTTTTATCTTGGAATTTTTGTTAATAGGATGTCTTAAACTAATACTTCAGTATCTGTTCTAGACCTCTCTCCTTGGCTTGTAGATGATTGCCTTCTTCCTCTCTCTCTTCCCCAGGTCTCTTCACATTGTCTTCTCTGTGCATGTCTGTCTTTGTGTCCAGATTTCACCTTATAAGGATTTCAGTCATCTTGGATTAAGGCCCACCCTAATGACCTTATTTGAATTTGATTACCTCTTTGAAGACCATGTCTTCAAATAAAGTCACATTCTGAGGTACAGAAGGTTAGGACTTCAACATTTGAATTTTGGTGGGGGGGGACACAGTTCAGCTCATAACACCAGGTGCTAGGACAGTGCCTAGCACACAGTGGGCACCCAGAAATGTTCAGTGTGGCTAATATTTATCCTACGGTTCCATTGGAATGAGCCTTGATATCAAGGACACCCTCTTTACAGCAAGTGAAATGAGTTACTAATCAATTCCTGGTAGTGATTTTAACTACCTAGTTGTGCAGTCAGGTGCCTATAATTCATGGGTTTATAAATCTAGAGTCCTGGTCTCTGAGGTTTTGAATGACATAACTAATGATTATCCTGTCTTTTAAATTAGATGGTACAGAAGCACCAGACAGTTACATATTTTCTTAGATACTCACACTAAACTAATGGTGAAAGCAACTGCAGGTCTCTCTGACTTGAGAGCTACGCATAATGGTTAAGAACATGGACTCAGAAGCTCACCTGCCTGGGTGTGCGTCTCAGGCACCACAGCTGCTGGCTGAAAAAAGGCATTACATTTGGGAAGTCCTTTCCAATGAATGACTCATAACATAGAAACTGTATGAATAAAGCTGGTAAATTCACCTAAACATAAAGGGAAAAACAGCATGGCCAAAATTACATATATAAGTCTGATAGGGTGGCATACGTCTGTAGTCCCAGTTACTTGGGAGGCTGTGGCAGGAAGATCACTTGAGCCCAGGAGTTTGGGGCTGCAGTGTGCTGTGATCATGCCTGTGTACAGCTGCTGCAGTCCATCCTGGGTGACATAGCAAGACCACATCGCTTACAAAAAATTACATGTACATACACAAAATTTAAAATTCAGAAAAACCAGGGAAAATACTGTGGCTCATGTCACAGACCAAGGCTGATCTTTCTAATAAAGAACCATCAGAACTTAATCTAGGGGGAAAAAGATAACTATTGCAAAAATAACGATTATGGAGGAACTGCTTTCAAAAAAGGAAATATAAATGATTTTCAAACCTATGAAAAGATGCTCAGCCTCAAGGCAGTGAGAGGTCATTTTTTTCTGATCAGATCATCCAGAATCTTAGTATATATCTTTCTGTTTGTTCTTTCATGTTCTTTTGAAGTCTTCTAAAAACATGTACTTTGGTTTTACATGTCTCTTAAGTATTGGGGGAACCCGCCCCCAATATTTCAACGTAGGTTCTTTGTATTTTCCCTAAGTGTCGGCCAGCTGAGAAATAAAGAGAAAGAGTACAAGGAGAGGAATTTTACAGCTGGGCCTCCAGGGGTGACATCACATAACAGTAGGACCGTGATGCCCACCTGAGCCACAAAACCAGCAGGTTTTTATTAAGGACTTCAAAAGGGGAGGGGGTGTACGAACAGGGAGTAGGTCACAAAGATCACATGCTTCAAAGGGCAAAAAGGAGAACAAAGATCACATGCTTCTGAGGCCAATAAAGATCACAAGGCAAAGGGCAAAGCAAAGATCACAAGGCAAAGGGCAAAGCAAAGATCACAAGGCAAAGGGCGAAATCAAAAACTCCTGATAAGGGTCTATGTTCAGCTGTGCACATATTGTCTTGATAAACATCTTAAACAACAGAAAACAGGGTTGGAGAGCAGAGAACTGGTCTGACCTCAAATTCACCAGGGTGGATTTTTTTTCCCCACCCTAATAAACCTGAGGGTACTGCAGGAGACCAGGGTGTATTTCAGTTCTTATCCCAACCGCATAAGACAGACACTCCCAGAGTGGCCGTTTATAGACCTCCCCCCAGGAATGCATTCCTTCCCCAGGGTATTAATTATTAATATTCCTTGCTGGGAAAAGAATTTAGCAATATCTTCCCTACTTGCATGTCCGTTTATAGGCTCTCTGCAAGAAGAAAAATATGGCTGTATTCTGCCTGACCCCAAAGGCCATCAGACCTTATGGTTGTTTTCCCTTGTTCCCTGAAAATCGCTGTTATTCTGTTCTTTTTCAAGGTGCACTGATTTCATATTGTTCAAACACACATTTTACAATCAATTTGTACAGTTTAACACGATAGTGGTCCTGAGGTGATGTACATTCTCAGTTTATGAAGATAACAGGATTAAGAGAGTAAAGACAGGCATAAGAAATTATAAAAGTATTATTTGGGGAATGATAAAGGTCCATATTAAAATGAAATCTTCACAATTTATGTTCAGAGATTGAAGTAAAGAACTTGTAAAAGTATTAATTTTGGGAACTGATATATGTCCATATTAAAATGAAATCTACATAATTTATGTTCCTCTGCGGTGGCTCCAGCTCGTCCCTCTGTTCGGGGTCCCTGACTTCCTGCAACACTTAAGTTTCTTGTAGGTATTTTATTGGTTTTTGCTACTGCTTTAAATTTGATTTCTGTATTGTAGTTTGTACCTTGCCACCTTTATTGGACTTCCTTATTAACGGTAGTAATTTTTCAGTTGGTTTCTTGACTTTTCCATGAATTCATTTCATAATTTGCAAATAGTGATAACTTCCTTCTTTTTTTTTTTTGAGATAATGTCTCACTCTGTCACCCAGGCTAGAGTACAGTGGTGTGATCTCTGCTCACTGCAACCTCTGCCTCCTGGGTTCAAGCAATTCTCTGCCTCAGTCTCCCGAGTAGCTGGGATTACAGGTGCCCACAACCATGCCTGGCTAATTTTTTGTATTTTTAGTAGAGATGGGGTTTCACCATCTTGGCCAGGCTGGTCTTGAACTTCTGACCTCGTGATCCACCCACCTCGGCCTCCCGAAGTCTAGGATTACAGGCGTGAGCCACCGCTCCCTGCTGATAACTTCCTTCTTGACTTATTTTTCAGATGCATAATAATGATAGAGATTGATAATGTCTTTTGCAAGTACTCAGTTTATTTTATTAGCTATTTAGATAGATATAGATTCTTAGAATATTCTGAATAGTTTATTTTTCCTTTTATAACGTGAACAATAGGCCACTTCAGTAATTCTAGATGTTTGTGGCACAAAGTAGTAAGTGTTCAGTAAATGTTGACTATTCCATGTTTTTGTGCCTTTGTAAGTACTGTTTTTTCAGACATCATCTTGTCAGTGAATCCTCTTTTCCTGATCGATGCAAAGTGGAACATTCCATTTTTTTTGTGCCACCATTATTCCATGACATACATCTGGTATATTGTTAGTTTTTTTCATGATTAGTGTTTCTTCCAGACCACACATATTCCTTGTGGGAAGGAGCTTTCTTTTCTTTTCTTTTTTAGAGATGGGATCTTACCCTGTCACTCGGGATGGAGTGCTGTGGTGCAGTCATAGCTCACTGCAGCCTCAAACATTTGCTCTTAAACTCGTCCTCCTGCTTCAGACTCCCAAGTAGCTGGGACTACAGGCATGTACCACTGTGCCCAGCTAATTTTTTAACTTTTTGTAGAGATTGGGTCTCACTGTGTTGCCTAGGCTGGAGTTTTTTTTGTTTCCTCATGGTTTACTGTATCAGAGGGGTTCTGTAAATATGTATCTAATGAAGCCTAGGTTTATTTTTTGTAAAACATGAATTTTATAAATATCTAATCTCTTAATTTCATAGTGTATTAAAATGTGCTTTGAAATATATCAAATACCATACTGCATAGGATAAGATATATATGTACATATATATGTTTTAGCATTATATTTACAATTATGAATATAAACAGAATAATTGATTTTTATTAGGTATATATTCCTTTTCTGACCAATATCAGAAAAGTTTGCTGTTGACTTTTGATTCTGCCAAGATGAAATAGCCCCATTCTGTCAGGTTTTCCACCTATCAGAATGGCTACAATGAAAAATAGTGACAATACAAAATGCTGGTGAGGTTGTGGAGAGACTGGATCACCAGTACATTGCAGGTGTGTAGTAAAATGGTACAGCCACTCTGGAGAACAGTCTGGCAGTTTCTTAAAGACTAAACATGCAATTACCATATAACCCAGCAAGTGCACCCTTAGGCATTTGTCCCAGAGAATGAAAATTAAATTCACATAACATCTTATACACAGATGTTCATAAGCAGCTTTGTTCATAATAGCCCCAAACTAGAAACAACACAGATGTCTTTCAGTAGGTGAATGATTAAACAAACTATGGTGCATAGTACCATGGTGTACTATTCAGTAATAAAAAGAAAATAAATGTTGATACACACAACTTAGATGAATATCTAGGAAATTATTCTGAGTGAAAAAAGCCAATTCTAAAAAGTTACATAGTGATTTTATTTATATAACCTTTTTGTGTGTGTGTGTGTGAGATGGAGTTTCACTCTTGTTGCCCAGGCTGGAGTGCAGTGGCTCGATCTCAGCTCACTGCAACCTCTGCCTCCTGGGTTCAAGCGATTCTCCTGCCTCAGCCCCCCCTGAGTAGCTGGGATTACAGGCACCCGCAACCACGCCTGGCTAATTTTTTGTATTTTTAGTAGAGACAGGGTTTCACCATGTTGGCCAGGCTGGTCTCGATTATATAACATTTTTAAAATGACAAAATTACAGAAATGCAAAACTGAGTAGTGGTTGACAGAGTTCAGGGATTGGTATGGGGCCAGGAGATGGTGTAGCTATAAAAAGGTAATAAAGGCATCCTGTGGTGATAGAATTGATCTGTATCTTGACTGGATCAGTGTCAGTATCCTGGTTGTGTTATACTACAGTTTTGCAAGATATTACCATTGGAGGGACTGGGTGAAGGATACAAGAGTTTTCTCTTATTTCTTACAACTATATATGAATCTAATATTATCTCAAAATAAAAAGTTTAATTAAATACAAGGTTTGGTCTTAAGTGTTTTAAGCACCCTGCTACCAGAGCTCTTAGCATGGCAAAGGAAGCACACAGAAGCATTCCTGTTACTCATAAGTTTTGACTTTGTGTTTTGCATTTTAAAAAATTTTTTGTTTTCATCAAATACCCCAGAAAGTTATACTTTTATAAATGTTATTTCAAGTCTTATTTTTCCGGTTTTCATTTGTGCTCTAGTCACTTTCCTTTTTTTGTATAACTTAACCAGTTCTACTTCTTTTTCTTCTTGGAACTTGGCTTCGAACTCAGAGAATGTTAGTGAGATTGTACGTAGAACTTTAGGTAGGAAGATTTGACATAGACATTGCTTTTCCTATCACAGAGTTTTGTGTATTTGTGACTTTGGCAAAATTACATGCATAAAATTGTATTCTGATAAATGACCATATAAGGAGATCATATTTATGTGCTTTCTTTTCCTTCAACAGAAACCACCACATCTAAAAGCACCAGTGGGCTTACAGACATAACATGGAGCTCCAGTGGAAGTGATTTGTCGGATGAAGATAAGACACTTTCTCAGTTACAGAGAGGTAATGGACATTGCTCTAGAATAGACAGATTTTGTAACAGGAACATATTGTGTCCAGAAGATCAGAGTAATGAAGGTAAATTGATAATTTTGTTAGGAATCCAGTTTCTGTTAAATATTGGATTTAATATTGGAAGAAACTTACATTCCTTTCTAGTATTTATCATTAACATTCCACCTATCAGAATGGCTACAATAAAAAGTAGTGACAGTACAAAATGCTGGTGAGGTTGTGGAGAAACTGGATCACCAGTACATTGCAGGTGTACAGTAAAATGGTATAGCCACTCTGGAAAACAGTCTGGCGGTTTCTTAAAGACTAAACATGCAATTACCATATAGCCCAGCAACTGCACCTTTAGGCATTTGTCCCAGAGAATGAAAATTAAATTCCTTTCTAATAGTTAGGATTTTACTGAGTCCCACCCTCTATGCTAAACACTTCAGAAACATTTTCTTGTTTAATATTTCTCAAAACAACTCTAAGAAACTCTAAGAGATAGGTATTACAGATATTATTTTTACAGTTAACAACTTAAGCTTGGACTGATGAGAATGGATTGGGATTCCATTTTAGGTCTCTGCTCCATAGCCAGTTCTTTCAACGTCTACACAGTGCCACACCCACACTGCCTTCTTCCCAACCTGTTCGGTAAATACTGTGACAACCAGTGTGTGGTAGAGGTGTAACGTACTGACAAATTTCTATTCAGATGGCGTTTTATATTGTGTCATGTTTTAGACAATTGAAAGCAGAGTTTCTCATCCTTGACACTCTTGACATTTTGGGCCAGATGATTCTTTGCTATGGGGAGTAACACCTTCCTATGCCTGTAGGATATTCTGCCGTGTCCCTTGCCTTTACCTGCCGGGTCACAGTAGAATCCCAGCCACAGTGATGATAACCAAAGATGTCTCCAGATGTTGTCAAGGGTCCCATGAAGGACAAAAATCAC
Organism: Homo sapiens; assembly: GCF_000001405.40. NCBI lineage: Eukaryota > Metazoa > Chordata > Mammalia > Primates > Hominidae > Homo > Homo sapiens. The sequence goes on from NC_000008.11 coordinate 47,292,093, forward strand.
CCCTAGTTGATAACCACAGATGTTGAATTATGGAAATCATGTCCTTTTAGAATTTTTAAAATATACAAATCATCTATAGAGTATTTCAGTGTCTTAATGTTTTCAAAATAAGCTTATGACTTTTAACTCTTGACGGTTCATGTTAGTTACCTAGGGTTCAGTTTGTACAGACAGCTTCTCGGGAGGGTAGTTAAATTCTTTTGACCACTTTGTATTTCATTTTGGTAACTATTAATATCATTGACCTTTTAGTAGTTACCAGGTGAAGTGGTATTTTAAGATTGTATATAAGCTGATAGCAGTTCTATTATTGATTCAACCATATTAAATGAAATTTATTGTTACTTGGTTTGTCTTCATACATTTCAGAATACAAAGTTTATAAAAATGGGTAAATAGTATGGTTTGTGCCTCCCAAAGTGCTGGGATTACACATGTGAGCTGTCGCGCCCAGCCTCCCTTCCATTTGGTTTTTACCAATTGTCTAAAAGTTTTTATAACTTTTGGAAAATCTCTTAAATTATTGTAGACCCAATTTCCTCATCTGTAAAATGCAAATTTAAGTGTAATAGTAGCAGTCTTCCTGCTTTTTAAAAGTTTTGTGACCACAAAAGTTTTGTGACGAAAGCCCCCGTTATTTCATAGCATGCATCACATTGCAATATGTATTAATTTGTGGGCTACTTCAGGCTAGGAATGGTGCTGTTTTCTCTATTGTATTTATTTTGTATTGTGAGTATCTCGAATGGTGTGATGGGCTCTTTTTAGGCATTTGCTTTGTCTAATGAATGAAGGAGTGAATGAATGAATGAGTGCTGCACAGATGTGTGATACCGGCAGCGGCTCTGAGGGCACTTGTGTTTTTCCCTTGTCTCTCCCTGGCTTCCTGTTGAGAAGGTTCAGCAACCTGGAAAATCTCTAATGTGTTCCCCTGCCTGGCTTCCGTGACTAAATTTGATGTTAATGTGGGAAGCCGTTGCCATTATGCATCTGCTTCTCTCAGTGGTGGTCTGACCTTCGGTCTGTTATGATCATTATAGTGGCTGTTTTTTTTAAGAGATGAGGTCATGCTCTGTCACCCAGGCTGGAGTGCAGTGGATCATAGCTCACCGCAGTTTCAAACTCCTGGGCTCGAGCGATCCTACTACATCCTCTTAATTATGTTTAGTGAAAAAGTCTAGCTGTGTAAGAAAGGAGGAAAAAAATAACAATACATAGTTTATTTGCTTAAACATGCTGGAGAAACTCTACAAAGATACAGAAACACCTAATAAAAGTAGTTAACTTAAAATTGGGGTTGGGATAAGATTTGGGAGAAACAGTGATTTGAGATAAGAGTAGAAATATACTTTTCACTGTCTAAATTTTTTTTGAGACAGAGTCTCGTTCTGTTGCCCAGGCTGGAGTTCAGTGGCAAGATCTCGGCTCACTACAACCTCCACCTCTCGGGTTCAAGCGATTCTGGTGCCTCAGCCACCTGAGTAGCTGGGACTATAGGTGTGTGCCACCGTGTCCAGCTAATTTTTTGTATTTTTAATAGAGACAGCATTTCATCTTGTTGGCCAGGCTAGTCTTGAACTGCTGAGTTTTGGCATTCTGCCCACCCTGGCCTCCCAAAGCGCTAGGATTACAGGCATGAGCTATTGTGCCTGGCCCTAAATATATTTTTTAAAATTATTGAGTGACATGGATATATTAACTGCTAAGAATAAAAGAGATATAAAAGTGAAAGATTAAGGAGATAATTAAGCAAGTTAAAAATTATATTTTTTAGATGAATTACAGTTTATCGACTGGGAGATTGACAGTGACAGGGCAGAGGCTAGTGACTGTGATGAATTTGAAGATGACGAGGGTGCTGTGGAAATCTCAGACTGTGCTTCTTGTGCAAGTAATCAGTCTTTGACAAGTGATGAGAAGCTGTCGGAGCTTCCCAAGGTAAGAATGAAGTATTTCAAAACTTTTATTCACTTTATAACATTTGCTAATCATAGTTGTCATTTTTTTTTTTGTTTTTTTTTTCCTGTCCTTCCTCGAGAACAACCACTTTTGACTCTTAGGGGATTCTTTTGTTCTTTACTCACTTATCTCTAAATAACATGCTTGTGCTGTACTTCTCAACATGGATAAATATTGATCTCACTTCTCTTTCACTTCCCACCCTCACTGCACACCGAATGTTTTTTATCCTGCTATTCTTCCAGTGCAGATATATCAAAGTGCTGGAATTGCACATGTCAGCCACCATACCTGGGCAAAAAGATACAAATTTAAATCAGCTGTCTTCCACGAGTCCTCTCCCAGTGGAGTCACACAGTATATGCTTAATTCTTCCAGCAAAATGTTTAGACAACATGTGTGAAGTGTTATGTACCAGGGAACTCATTAGAGACTCAGTGCCCAGGGTTTGTATTAGGGGCTAGTAACATAGGCACCCTCTCCCTAGAAGGTTCAGCAGTGGACTAGGAGGATACACAGGACTTAGCATATAGTCGTACTCGTGGCCATCGTTTATTACACTGAAAGGATAGAAATCTATTTTTATTTATTTATTTAGAGACAGGGTCTTGCTGTGTCACCCAGGCTAGAACGCAATGGTGCGATCGTAGCTCACTGTAGCCTTGATCTCCTGGGCTCAAGTGATCCTCTCACCTCAGCCTCCAGAGTAGCTGGTCCTACAGGCATGTGCCACCACGTCTGGCTAATTGTTGTATTTTTTGTATGTTAACTCTTTTCTGCATGTATGTGAGTTTGTAGTTTTCATCACATTTGGTAAGTTTTTGGCTTTTACTTCTTAATTTTTTTTCTGACTCCCCTTTTCGTTTCCTCCTGTGACTCCAATTACATGTATATTAATTAGGCTGCTTAGTGTTGCGTCATGTCTCATTTTTGCTGTCATTGTTTTTTCCCCTTCATTTCATTTTGGGTGGTTTCTGTTGCTACATCTTCTAGTTTAATAACTTTTTAAAAATTCTTCAGTATATTCTGCAGCTAATACTATCCAGTGTATTGGTCATCTCTGACATTGTATTTTTCATTTCTGGAAGTTTGATGTGAGTCTTTATATTGTCCATGTCTTTTCTTAACATGACATACTTTCTTCTATATTTTGAACATACAGAGTATATTTATAATAGCTGTTTTTAATGGCTGTTTTGGTAAATCTGTCTGTGTCATTTCTGTGTCTATTTGTCCTCCTTATGAGTTGTATTTTTCTGCTTTTTTGCATGCCTATAAATTTTAAAAAATTGTAAAATACAATGCACTATTATTATAGTCTTCATTCTGTGTATTAGATTACTAAAGCATATTACTTCTGTCTAAATGAAATTTTGTATCCTTTAGTCAGCATCTTCCCTTTCTCCATCCACTTTTCTCTCCCAGCCTCTGGTAATCAACATTCTACCACAATTCTGTGAGTTCTACTTTTTTAGATTCCCCATGTAAGTAAGATCATGCTGTATTTGTCTTTGTGTGCCTGGCTTATCTGAGTTAACGTAATGTCCTCCAGGTTCATTCATGTTGCAAATGATAGAATTTCCTTCTTTATCAAGACTGGATAGTATTCCATTGGTGTATATATACTATATTTACTTTATGCATTCGTCTAGACACCTAGATTGCTTCCAAATCTTAGCTATTGTGAATAGCACTGCAGTTAACATGGGAGTGCAGATATTTTTTTAGCATACTGATTTCAATCCTTTGGCCCAGAAGTGGGATTACTAGATTATATGGTAGTTCTATTTTTAGTTTTTTGAGAGACCTTCATACTGTTCTCCATAATAGCTGTGATAATTTACATTCCCACCAACAATGTACAAGTTCCCTTTTTGCTACACACTCACCAACGCTTGTTATCTTTCATCTTTTTGATAGTCTTTCTAACAGGTGTGAGGTGATCCCTCATTGTGGCTTTAATCTGCATTTCCCTGGTGAGTGGTGATGATGAGCATTTTAATATATATCTGTTGGCCATTTGTACATCTTTTGAGCAATGTTTAGGTCCTCTGCACATTTTTAAATTGGGTTCTTTGTTTTCTTGCTATTGAGTTGAGTTCTTTGTCTATTTTAGATATTAGCGCCTTATCAGATATGTAGTTTGTAGATATTTTCTCTCAATCCATGGCACATCTTTTGCTCTGTTGTTTCTTTGCTGTGTATAATCTTTTCAGTTAGATGCAATCTCATATGTTTTTGCTTTTGTTGTCAGTGCTTTTAGGGTAATATTTAAGAAATCTTTGCCCAGACCAGTGTTATGGAGCATTTTCCCTATGTTTTATTTCAGTAGCTTTACAGTTTCAGGTTTTATGTTTAAGTCATTAGTCCATTTTTAGTTGATTTTGGTGTATGGTGTGAGATAAGGGTCTAATTTCTTTCTTTTGCATGTGGTTAACCTGTTTTCCCAGCACAATTTATTGAGGATTGTCCTCTTTCCATTGTATATTCTTGGCACGTTTGTTGTAAATAATTGACCACAAATGTGTGGGTTTACTTCTGGGCTCTCTACCCTGTTTGATTGGTTAGTTGGTCGGTTTTTATGCTGTGCTGTTTTGGTTACATTAGCTTTGTAACAGGTTTTAAAATCAAGTACTGTGATACCTCTAGGTTTGTTCTTTTCGCTTTGGCCATTTGGGGTTTTTTGTGGTTCCATATGAGTTTTAGGATTGTTTTATTCTGTGAAGAATGACATTGGAATTTCGTTAGGCATTGCATTGAATCTGAATATCACTTTGGGAAGTATGAATAGTTTAACAATATTCTTGCATTCCATGAATATGGATAGCTTTCCATGTGTTTGTGTCATCTACTATATCTTTCATCAGTGTTTTGTATTTTCTAGTATATACATCTATTGCCTCCTTAAATTTACTTCTAAGTTGCTTTTTCTCGATGCTACTGTAAACGGGATTGAGTTCTTAATTTCTTTTTCAGGTACTTCATTCTTAGAATAGAGAAACACTGTAGATTTTGTATCCTGCAACTTTACTGAATTTGTTTATCAGACTTAATGGTTTTTTGGTGAAGTTGTTAGCATTTTCTATATGTGAGACCATGACATCAGCAAACAGATGATTTCTCTTCTTCCTCTGATATGGATGCCTTTATTTCTTTCTCTTGCCTAATCGCTCTTGCCAGGACATCTAACTCTGTTGAATAGCAGTGGCAAGAGCGGGCATTCTTATCTTGTTTTTGATCATAGAGGAAAAGCTTTTACCTTTTTCCAGGGAGCATGGCAGCTGTGGGCTTGTTACATATGGCCTTTATTGTGTATAAACACAATATATTCCTTCTATACATAATGTGTTGACAGTTTTTATCATGAAATAATTTTGAGTTGTGTCACATGCTTTTTCCATATCTATTTTTTTTTATTATTATACTTTAAGTTTTAGGGTACATGTGCAAAACGTGCAGGTTTGTTACATATGTATACATGTGCCATGTCGGTGTGCTGCACCCATTAACTCGTCATTTAACATCAGGTATATCTCCTAATGCTATCCCTCCCCACCTCCCCCACCCCACGACAGGCGCCGGTGTGTGATGTTCCCCTTCCTGTGTCCATCTGTTCTCATTGTTCACTTCCCACCTGTGAGTGAGAACATGCGCTGTTTGGTTTTTTGTCCTTGTGATAGTTTGCTGAGAATGATGGTTTCCAGCTTCATCCATGTCCCTACAAAGGACATGAACTCATCATTTTTTATGGCTGCATAGTATTCCATGGTGAATATGTGCCACATTTTCTTAATCCAGTCTATCATTGTTGGACATTTGGGTTGCTTCCAAGTCTTTGCTATTGTGAATAGTGCCGCAATAATCGTACGTGGGCATGTGTCTTCATAGCAGCATATTTTGTAATCCTTTTGGTATATACCCAGTAATGGGATGGCTGGGTCAAATGGTATTTCTAGTTCTAGATCCCTGAGGAATCGCCACACTGACTTCCACAATGGTTGAACTAGTTTACACTCCCACCAACAGTGTAAAAGTGTTCCTGTTTCTCCACATCCTCTCCAGTACCTGTTGTTTCCTGACTTTTTAATGATTGCCATTCTAACTGGTGTGAGATGGTATCTCACCGTGGTTTTGATTTGCATTTCTCTGATGGCCAGTGATGATGAGCATCTTTTCACGTGTCTTTTGGCGGTATAAATGTCTTCTTTTGAGAAGTGTCTGTTCATATCCTTTGCCCACTTTTTGATGGGGTTGTTTTTTTCTTGTAAATTTGTTTGAGTTCATTGTAGATTCTGGATATTAGCCCTTTGTCAGATGAGTAGATTGCAAAAATTTTCTCCCATTCTTTAGGTTGCTGTTCACTCTGATGGTAGTTTCTTTTGTTGTGCAGAAGCTCTTTAGTTTAATTAGATGGCGTTTGTCAATTTTGGCTTTTGTTGCCATTGCTTTTGGTGTTTTAGACATGAAGTCCTTGCCCATGCCTGTGTCCTGAATGGTATTGCCTAGGTTTTCTTCTAGGGTTTTTATGGTTTTAGGTCTAACATGTAAGTCTTTAATCCATCTTGAATTAATTTTTGTATAAGGTGTAAGGAAGGGATCTGGTTTCAGCTTTCTACATATGGCTAGCCAGTTTTCCCAGCACCATTTGTAAAATAGGGAATCCTTTCCCCATTTCTTGTTTTTGTCAGGTTTGTCAAAGATCAGATAGTTGTAGATATGCGGCATTATTTCTGAGGGCTCTGTTCTGTTCCATTGGTCTATATCTCTGTTTTGGTACCAGTACCATGGTGTTTTGGTTACTGTAGCCTTGTAGTATAGTTTGAAGTCAGGTAGCGTGATGCCTCCAGCTTTGTTCTTATGGCTTAGGATTGACTTGGCAATGCAGGCTCCTTTTTGGTTCCATATGAACTTTAAAGTAGTTTTTTCCAATTCTGTGCAGAAAGTCATTGGTAGCTTGATGGGGATGGCATTGAATCTATAAATTACCTTGGGCAGTGTGGCCATTTTCACGATATTGACTCTTCCTACCCATGAGCATGGAATGTTCTTCCATTTGTTTGTATCCTCTTTTATTTCATTGAGCAGTGGTTTGTAGTTCTCCTTGAAGAGGTCCTTCACGTCTCTTGTAAGTTGGAATCCTAGGTATTTTATTCTCTTTGAAGCAATTGTGAATGGGAGTTCACTCATGATTTGGCTCTCTGTCTGTTATTGGTGTATAAGAATGCTTGTGATTTTTGCACATTGATTTTGTATCCTGAGACTTTGCTGAAGTTGCCTGTCAGCTTAAGGAGATTTTGGGCTGAGGCAATGGGGTTTTCTAGATATACAATCATGTCATCTGCAAACAGGGACAATTTGACTTCCTCTTTTCCTAATTGAATACCCTTTATTTCCTTCTCCTGCCTGATTGCCCTGGCCAGAACTTCCAACACTATGTTGAATAGGAGTGGTGAGAGAGGGCATCCCTGTCTTGTGCCCGTTTTCAAAGGGAATGCTTCCAGTTTTTGCCCATTCAGTATGATATTGGCTGTGGGTTTGTCATAAATAGCTCTTATTATTTTGAGATACGTCCCATCAATACCTAATTTATTGAGAGTTTTTAGCATGAAGGGTTGTTGAATTTTGTCAAAGGCCTTTTCTGCATCTATTGAGATAATTATGTGGTTTTACTCGTTGGTTCTGTTTATATGATGGATTACATTTATTGATTTCTGTATGTTGAACCAGCCTTGCATCCCAGGGATGAAGCCCACTTGATCATGGTGGATAAGGTTTTTGATGTGCTGCTGGATTCGGTGTGCCAGTGTTTTATTGAGGATTTTTGCATCGATGTTCATCAGGGATATTGGTCTAAAATTCTCTTTTTTGGTTGTGTCTCTGCCAGGCTTTGGTATCAGGATGATGCTGGCCTCATAAAATGCGTTAGGGAGGATTTCCTCTTTTTCTATTCATTGGAATAGTTTCAGAAGGAATGGTACCAGCTCCTCTTTGTACCTCTGGTAGAATTTGGCTGTGAATCCGTCTGGTCCTGGACTTTTTTTGTTTGGTAAGCTATTAATTATTGCCTCAATTTCAGAGCCTGTTATTGGTCCATTCAGAGATTCAGCTTCTTGCTGGTTTAGTCTTGGGAGGGTGTATGTGTCCAGGAATTTACCCGTTTCTCCTAGATTTTCTAATTTATTTGTGTAAAGGTGTTTATAGTATTCTCTGATGGTAGTTTGTATATCTGTGGGATTGGTGGTGATATCCCCTTTATCATTTTTTATTCCGTCTATCTGATTCTTCTCTCTTTTCTTCTTTATTAGTCTTGCTAGCAGTCTATCAGTTTTGTTGATCTTTTCAAAAAGCCAGCTCCTGGATTCATTGATTTTTTTGAAGGGTTTTTTGTGTCTCTATTTCCTTCAGTTCTACTCTGATCTTATTTCTTGCCTCTGCTAGCTTTTGAATGTGTTTGCTCTTGCTTCTCCAGTTCTTTTAATTGGGATGTTAGGGTGTCAATTTTAGATCTTTCCTGCTTTCTCTTGTGGGCATTTAGTGCTACAAATTTCCCTCTACACACTGCTTTGAATGTGTCCCAGAGATTCTGGTATGTTGTGTCTTTGTTCTTGTTGGTTTCCAAGAACATCTTTATTTCTGCCTTCATTTCGTTATGTACCCAGCAGTCATTCAGGAGCAGATTGTCCAGTTTCCATGTAGTTGAGCGGTTTTGAGTGAGTTTCTTAATCCTGAGTTCTAGTTTGATTGCACTGTGGTCTGAGAGACAGTTTGTTATAATTTCTGTTCTTTTACATATGCTGAGGAGTGCTTTACTTCCAAATATGTGGTCAATTTGGAATAGGTGTGGTGTGGTACTGAGAAGAATGTGTATTCTGTTGATTGGGGGTGGAGAGTTCTGTAGATGTCTATTAGGTCCGCTTGGTCCAGAGCTGAGTTCAGTGCCTGGATATCCTTGTTAACTTTCTGTCTCACTGATCTGTCTAATGTTGATAGTGGGGTGTTAAAGTCTCCCATTATTATTGTGTGGGAGTCTAAGTATCTTTGTAGGTCTCTAAGGACTTGCTTTATGAATCTGGGTGCTCCCGTATTGGGTGCATATATATTTAGGATAGTTAGCTCTTCTTGTTGAATGATCCCTTTACCATTATGAAATGGCCTTCTTTGTCTCTTCTGATCTTTGTTGGCTTAAAGTCTGTTTTATCAGAGACTAGGATTGAAACCCCTGCCTTTTTTTGTTTTCCATTTCCTTGTAGATCTTCCTTCATCCTTTATTTTGAGCCTATGTGTGTCTCTGCACGTGAGATGGGTTTCCTGAATACCGCACACTGATGGGTCTTGACTCTTTATCCAATTTGCCAGTCTGTGTCTTTTTATTGGAGCATTTAGCCCATTTACATTTAAGGTTACTACTGTTATGTGTGAATTTGATCCTGTCATTATGATGTTAGCTGGTTATTTTGCTCATTAGTTGATGCAGTTTCTTCCTAGCCTTGATGGTCTTTGCAGTTTGGCATGTTTTTGCAGTGGCTGGTACTGGTTGTTCCTTTCCATGTTCAGTGCTTCCTTCAGGAGCTCTTTTAGGGCAGGCCTGGTGGTGACCAAATCTCTCAGCATTTGCTTATCTGTAAAGGATTTTATTTCTCCTTCACTCATGAAGCTTAGTTTGGCTGGATATGAAATTCTGGGTTGAAAATTCTTGTCTTTAAGAATGTTGAATATTGGCCCCCACTCTCTTCTGGCTTGTAGAGTTTCTGCCGAGAGATCCGCTGTTAGTCTGATGGGCTTCCCTTTGTGGGTAACCCGACCTTTCTCTCTGGCTGCCCTTAACATTTTTTCCTTCATTTCAACTTTGGTGAATCTGAGAATTATGTGTCTTGGAGTTGCTCTTCTCGACGAGTATCTTTGTGGCGTTCTCTGTATTTCCTGAATTTGAATGTTGGCCTGCCTTGCTAGATTGGGGAAGTTCTCCTGGATAATATCCTGCAGAGTGTTTTCCAACTTGGTTCCATTCTCCCTGTCACTTTCAGGTACACCAATGAGACGTAGATTTGGTCTTTTCACATAGTCCTATATTTCTTGGAGGCTTTGTTCGTTTCTTTTAATTCTTTTTTCTCTAAACTTCTCTTCTCACTTCATTTCATTCATTTCATCTTCCATCACTGATACCCTTTCTTCCAGTTGATCGAATCGGCTACTGAGGCTTGTGCATTCGTCACGTAGTTCTCGTGCTGTGGTTTTCAGCTCCATGAGGTCCTTTAAGGACTTCTCTGCATTGGTTATTCTAGTTAGCCATTTGTCTCGTTTTTTTCCAAGATTTTTAACTTCTTTGCCATGGGTTCGAAGTTCCTCCTTTAGCTCGGAGTAGTTTGATCGTCTGAAGCCTTCTTCTCTCAACTCGTCAAAGTCACTCTCCGTCCAGCTTTGTTCCGTTGCTGGTGAGGAGCTGTGTTCCTTTGGAGGAGGAGAGGCACTCTGATTTTTAGAGTTTCCAGTTTTTCTGCTCTGTTTTTTCCCCATCTTTGTAGTTTTATGTACCTTTGGTCTTTGATGATGGTGACGTACAGATGGGGTTTTGGTGTGCATGTCCTTTGTGTTTGTTAGTTTTCCTTCTAACAGTCAGGACCCTCAGCTGCAGGTCTGTTGGAGTTTGGTGGAGGTCCACTCCAGACCTTGTTTGCCTGGGTATCAGCAGCGGAGGCTGCAGAACAGCCAATATTGGTTTATACCAAATGTTGCTGCCTGATCATTCCTCTGGAAGTTTTTGTCTCAGAGGAGTACCTGGCCATGTGAGGTGTCAGTCTGCCCCTACTGGGGGGTCCCTCCCAGTTAGGCTACTCGAGGGTCAGGGACCCACTTGAGGAGGCAGTGTGTCCGTTCTCAGATCTCCAGCTGCATGCTGGGAGAACCACTACTCTCTTCAAAGCTGTCAGACAGGTACATTTAATTCTGCAGAGATTTCTGCTGCGTTTTGTTTGGTTATGCCCTGCCCCCAGAGGTGAGTCTACAGAGGCAGGCAGGCCTCCTTGAGCTGTGGTGCGCTCCACCCAGTTCCAGCTTCCCTGTGGCTTTGTTTACCTACTCAAGCCTTGGCAATGGTGGCTGCCCCTCCCGCAGCCTGGCTGCTGCCTTGCAGTTTGATCTCAGACTGCTGTGCTAGCAATGAGCGAGGCTCCGTGGGCGTAGGACTCTCCGAACCAGTTGTGGGATATAATCTCCTGGTGTGCCATTTGCTAAGACCGTTAGAAAAGCGCAGTATTAGGGTTGGAGTGACCCGATTTTCCAGGTGCTGTCTGTCACTCCTTTCTGTGACTAGGAAAGGGAATTCCATGACCCCTTGCACTTCCCGGGTGAGGTGATGCCTCGCCCTGCTTCGGCTTACGCTGGGTGCACTGCACCCAGTGTGCTGCACCCTCTGTCCAACACTCCCCAGTGAGATGAACCCAATACCTCAGTTGGAAATGCAGAAATCACCCGTCTTCTGCGTCACTCACGCTGGGAGCTGTAGACTGGAGCTGTTCCTGTTTGGCCATCTTGGCTCCACCCCTTTCCATATCTATTCAGGTGATCATATGGATTTTGTCTTCCATTCTATTAACGTGGTGTATCACATTTATTTATTTGCATATGTTGAACCATCTTTGCATCCCAAGGGTAAATCCCACTTGATCATGTGAATGATCCTTTTAATGTGCTGTTGAATTCAGTTTATTAGTATATTGGTGATTTTTGCATCCTTGTTCATCAAAGATGACATGGTAGCTTGGATTACAGGCGCCCGTCACCATGCCCAACTAATTTTTGTATTTTTAGTAGAGACAGGGTTTCACCGTATTGGCCAGGCTGGTCTTGAACTCCTGACCTCAGTTGATCCACCCACCTCGGCCTCCCAAAGTGCTGAGATTACAGGTGTGAGCCACTGCACCTGGCCTGCGGTATTTTCTTTTAGGACATTTAACAGATGTATTTGATTACTGATAAGACTTTCCATATTAAGTTGATAGTACTTTTTATTCTTGTCTGGGTTTTTATAATTTATTTTATTGGTATCTTCCAAGAAGCATTTGCTATGGTTTGAATGTCCTCTCCAAAACTCTTGTTGAAATTTAATTACCATGGTGACAGTATTAAAATAGGGGACTAATATAGTTTGAGTCTGTGTCCCCGCCCAAATCTCATGTTGAATTGTAATTTCCATTGTTGGAAATGGGGCCTGGTGGAAGGTGACTGGATTATGGGAGTGGATTTCTCATGAATGGTTTAGCACCAAAACCCTTGGTACTGTCCTCACAATAGTGAGTGAGTTCTTATGTGAGCTGATAATTTAAAAGTGTGTAGTGGTCAGGCACTGTGTCTCCTGCCTGTAACCCCAGCACTTTGGGAGGCCAAGATGGGAGGATCAGTTGAGCCCAGGAGTTTGAGACCGACCTGGCCAACATAGCAAGACCTCGTCTCTATTAAAAAAAATTAAAATAAATAAATACGTAAAAGTGTGTAGTACTGCCCACTTTGCTCTCTTGCTTTCACCATGTGAAGTGTCTGCTTCCTCCTCCCCCTGCTTTCACCATGTGAAGTGCCTGCACCCACTTTGCCTCCCACCATGAGTGAAAGCTCCCTGAGGTGTCCCCAGAAGCATATGCCACCATTCTTCCTGTACAGCCTGCAGAACTGTGAGCCAGTTAAACCTCGTCTTTTATAAATTACCCAGTCTCAGGTATATCTTTATACCAATGTGAGAATGGTATACATTAAAAGAATGGTATATATTAAAAGAACCTTTTAATGGTTCCTGTATTAGGATTAGGCCATGAGGGCCTTGCCCTCATGAATAGATTAATATCATTATCACAGTAGTGGGTTTGTTACCACAAGAATGTGTTGTTATAAAAATTTTCTGTCCCTTGCTCTCACCCTCACTTGTCGTTCTGCTTTCTGCCATGGGAAGGTGTAGGACAAAGGTCCTCACCAGGAGCCAGCACCTTGATATTGGAATTTTCAGCCTCCATAACTATGAGAAATAAACTTCTTTTCTTTGTAAGTTACCTATCTTGTGGTATTCTGTTAAAGCAAAGCAAAGTGGACTAAGACACCATACCTACAGAGGGCAGCAGAGACATAGCAGTGAATTCTCATAACCTAATTTTTCAGGAAGTGTGAAGGAAATTGGATTTAGGTGAACTTTGTTATGTCATTCTTATATACTTTATGTAGTGACTCCTATGCAAATACAGGCTAATAGACATAATCAATGTAAAGTAATGTGAGTGAGACTCAGGCACATTTGTGAGAAGGTAAACAACAAGCTGGCTGGCACAGATAAGAGATCTGAAAGTAGTTCATGTAGTTTTAAAGGAAAAGTAAATGTGGCTTTCAAATTTGAAATACGGATTCATTTTTATGAAACAGATATTTTGTTTGTATTCTTATCAGTAAGGGTAGAAAAAATGATTCAGTAACTCATAGAAGATGGAATTACGGAAAAGTTTAAAAAAACAGGAATAAACAAAATTTTGTACTACATGGGAGTGTATTATAATCTTGCAGAAAGTGATCTGACAAACCTTTAAAAACATTTCTAAATTTAATGTGCATATGTATAATTTTCTGTATTTTTACTTATTTATATAAATTTTTGAAAATCAGTTTTGCTTTTAATCGGTTTTAATAGTGAGTTAGAATAAAATGATATGACTAGATGTGTACTAATTGTTAATGCCTAAGAACTGCCCATTGTTTTCATCTTTTTTCCCAATGTTTTACATTTTAAAATACACATAACATAAAATTTACTATTTTGACCATTTTAAAATGTGCAATTCAGTGGTATTGAGTATCTTCATAATGTTGTGTAACTACCATCACCACCTTCTATCTCCAGAACTCTTTTCATCTTGTAAAATTGAAATTCTGTACTCATTAAACAGTAACTCCTCCTTCTGTCTTTCCCTAGCTCCTGGCAACCACCATTCTACTTTGTGTATGATTTTGACTACTGTAATTACCTCATATGAATAGAATCATACAGTATTTGTTTTTCTGTGACTGGTTTATTTCACTTAGCATAATATCCTTAAGGTTAATCCATGTTGTTAGAATTTTTTATTTTTATTTTTTGAGATGGAGTCTCACTCTGTTGGCCAGGCTGGAGTGCAGTGGTGCGATCTTGACTCACTGCAACCTCCGCCTCCTGGGTTCAAGTGATTGTTGTGCCTTGGCCTCCTAGTATCTGGGATTATAGGCGCACGCCACCACGCCTAGCTAATTTTTGTATTTTTACTAGAGACAGGGCTTCACTATGTTGGCCAGGCTGGTCTTGAACTCTTGACCTCAAGTGATCCGCCCACCTCAGCCTCACAAAGTGCTGGGGTTACAGGCATGAGCCACCGAGCCCGGCTAGAATTTCCTTCTTTTTAAAGGCTGAATAATATTCCATTGTATGTTTATACCACATTTTTTACTTAATTTGTGACCTAACATATGGTCTATCCTGGAAAATGTTCTATATTCACTTGAGAAGAATATGTATGCTATTGTTGGGTACAGTGTTGTGTATATGTCTGTCAGATCTAGTTGGTTATTGTCTGAGGTCCTCTGTTTCCTTACTTATCTTCGATCTGGTTATTCTATCCACTATTGAAAGTAGGGTATTGATTTAATCATCTGTTATTTAGAAAGGTCTGTTTCTCCCTTCAGTTGTCTGTTTTTCCTTCATGTATTTTTGAGGTCTTTTAATTGGTGCATAAATGTTTATAATTTTTGTCTTCTTGTTGTATCAAATCATGTATTCATATATAATGTCCTTTGTCTCTTGTAACCTTTTTTGATTTAGACTGTTTTCTCTGTTGTTAGTATAGCCACCTCTACTCTGTTCTGGTTAGTATTTGCATGGAATATCTTTTTCTGTCTTTTAATTTTCAAACTGTGTCTGTCAGTCTAAAGTAAGTCTAGTATAGGCAACATATGGTTGAATCCTCCTCCATTCTGTCAATCTCTGTCTTTTGATTGGAGAGTTTAATCCATTTGAATTTAAATTATTTGTACAGAAGGATTTCTGTCATTTTGTTGTTTGTTGTTTACATAACTTACTGCTTTTTGTGGGGGCCCTCATTTCCTGCATTACTGTCTTCTTTTGTGTTTACTTGATTTTTTTCATGAAATGTTTAAATTCCTTTCTTCTTTCTTTCTTCTTTTTTTTTTTTAATGGAGTCTCTATCGCCCAGGCTGGAGTGCAGTGGCATGATCTTGGCTCACTGCAACCTCTGCCTCCTGGGTTCAAGCAGTTATCCTGCCTCAGCCTCCTGAGGCTGGGATTACAGGCATGTGCCACCACGCCTGGCTCATTTTTGTATGTTTAGTAGAGATGGGGTTCCACAATGTTGGCCCAGCTGGACTCGAACTCCTGACCTCAGGTGATCCACCCACCTTGGCCTCCCAAAATGCTGGGATTACAGGTGTGAGCCACCGCACCCAGCCTCTTTTCTCATTTCGTTTTTTTTTTTTTTTTTTTTTTTGAGACAGAGTCTCACTCTGTCACCCGAGCTGGAGTGCAGTGGCACAGTCTCAACTCACTACAACCTCTGCCTCCCGGGTTCAAGCGATTCTCATGCCTCAGCCTCCCTAGTAGCTGAGATTACAGGCGTGTGCCACCATGCCCGGCTAATTTTTGTATTTTTAGTAGAGATGGGGTTTTGCCATGTTGGCCAGGCTGGTCTCAAACTGCCAACCTCAGGTGATCTTCCCGCCTTGGCCTTCCATAGTGCTGGGATTACAGTCATGAGCCACTGTGCCCGCCCTAGTACTTTGAACAACTTTAAAACAGTTGTCATAAAGTCTTTCTCTGGAAGGTCTGCCATCAGGTCTTTTTCAAGGACAGTTGTGTTGTTTTATTTTTTTTTCTTTTGAATGTGTCATACTTTCCTGTATATCTTGTTATTTTTTTGTTGAAAACAGGGCATTTGAATATAATGATGTGGTAAGTCTGGAAATTAGATTCTCCCTCTTCCCCAGCATTTGCTGTTTGTTTTGTTTTGTTTTGAGGCAGAGTCTCACTCTGTTGCCCAGGCTGGAGTGCAGTGGTGTGATCTCGGCTCACTGCAACCTCTACCTCCTGGGTTCAGCCGATTCTCCTGCCTCAGCCTCCCAAGTAGCTGGGATTACAGGTGTGTGCCACCATGCCCAGCTAATTTTTGTGCTTCTTAGTAGAGATGGGGTTTCGCCATGTTGCCCAGGCTCGTCTCAAACTCCTGACCTCAGGTGATCTGCCCACCTCAGCCTCCCAAAGTGCTGAGATTATAGGCATGAGCTACCATGCCCGGCCTGCTGTTTTTTTTTTTTTTTTCTAATGTTACTGTTTTTGTTTATTTTTATTGTTTGAGGCTTGTCTGTATGTGAAGGATCAGCCTGAGGTGTAAGCTTAAGATTCTCTGAGTCTTTTCTAAGCCTGAGTTTTTCTCCAGGAATGTGCAGGAAGTTTCTAATTTTTCCCTTATATACAGTTGCTTTCAAATGCCGTAGTCTTTAACATCTGACTCCCAAAAGGGAAAAAGAGAAAAACTAAATCCTTTAAATCCCCAGCAGTTACTTTGTGGGTGGGGGTGGGGATGGGGGTGGGAGAGGGCTTGTAACAGTGAGTGGAGATGAAGCAACAATGTGTGTCCACCTCTTTGTCCCATTTCTGTGATCAGAAGTAGCATTCAGTGATCAGGGCACACATGCCCTATATTTGGAAGAGAGGGTCCTTTTTGCCTGTCCTTGGTTCCTGTAAGCTGCGCGCAAGCTGCTCCTTGGAATGCATGCACAACTGCCTGCCTTGGGGCTGAGGGTGGCAAATGGATAGCTGCTACTGTGCTAGTGCTAATACCTGCAAGTGATTAAAATTATATTCAGGCCTTCCCCTGGACATTAACAAGCCTTCAGTAGATTCCAGAGTTTCAAAATAGTTAAATAGAACAGATTCTGCCAGTGCAATGATCTTCTAGGTGGAGCAACACATGCGTGGTGCTTCCTACTCCACCATCTTCCCAGAATCCTCTGATTGCGTATAAGTTACCTATAGTTGAAAGAGTTTAATTCTGATCATCATACATTTTAGAAACCTCTCATATATGCTTATATAAAAACTGATAAAATTTAGTGCTTGTAAAGGGAAATCTGGAGTTCTTAGTCAAGCTTTTTGTATGATTATATTTTAAAGATTTAATTATAGAAACATTGTACTGAAGTCTATATTCCAGTGTGTTCTTATGGTAAAAAGAAAAGGTTGGAGATTTTATTGAGGAGTCTGTATTTTTTTACTGTTATTTTATATTATAACTCATGTATTATATACTGTATCTGTTCATTATCTTAGTATAGCATTTTCGGGCTTTTATTCTCTTTATGAAAGTGAGTAACTGTAGGTACCAATATCAATTGTTGCATCTGTGCCAGAAATTATATTTTATCTTTTCATCATCTCCCTTCTTGTATAGCTGAACTTTAGCTTAAAAGATGCCAGGACAAGGAGTTTGTCAGATTGTTCCTTTTCTTTGCATGAACCTTCTTCCCCTTTCAGTATCACTGGGTCATCTTATTTCCCTTCATTCCCCTCTTTCTTCTCCATCTTTTCATTTCCCAAATACTTCTGTTTTCTGATATAAGAAGGACTATAACAGAAAATGATTGCTTTAGGAAATATTGTTACAACTGTGTAATGTTAAAAAGTAGTAAGTTGGCCAGGCACAGTGGCTCACGCCTGTAATCCCAGCACTTTGGGAGGCTGAAGTGGGCGGATCACGAGGTCAGGAGGTCAAGACCATTCTGGCTAACACAGTGAAACCCTGTCTCTAAAGAATACCAAAAAAAATTAGCCGGACATGGTGGCGGGCGCCTGTAGTCCCAGCTACTCAGGAGGCTGAGGCAGGAGAATGGCGTGAACCCGGGAGGCAGAGCTTGCTGTGAGCCGGGATTGCACCACTGCACTCCAGCCTGGGCGACAGACTCTGTCTCAAAAAACAAAGTAATAAGTCGGCCAGCGCTGTGGCTCACGCCTGTAATCCCAGCACTTTGGGAGGCCGAGGCAGGCAGATCACGAGGTCAGGAGATTTGAGACCATCCTGGCTAACACAGTGAAACCCCGTCTCTACTAAAAATACAAAAAATTAGCCGGGCGTGTTGGTGGGCGCCTGTAGTCCCAGCTACTCGGGAGGCTGAGGCAGAAGAATGGTGTGAACCCAGGAGGTGGAGGTCGCAGTGAGCTGAGATCGCGCCGCTGCACTCCAGCCTGGGTGACAGAACGAGACTCCATCTCAAAAAAAAAAAAAAAAAAAAGTCACTATGGATGTCACTTTTGTAGTCTTCTGGTATTATAAACAATTCTTTGGAGTTGTGCTTTTAATAATTACAGAGGGGCACATGTCGGACTACCTTTCCTGAAAATAACAATGACAACTTTTGGACAAAATATAAAAAAAGTATGTGAAAGCACAGTAGGAGGACAGAAAGTAGGAAGAAACTGAAGGATGTTGACATTTGGAAGATAGAATGGTATAAGATGAGCATTTCATTTTTTGTGGATGTTTCCCAGAGGACAGAACTCGGTCATTGGTTGTGTAGGTGACGGAAGCTTGAATAAAAACCACAAGACAGAGTTAGGGGTGACTCTAGCAGCTAGAAAGTTAGTGAGTATAAAGTAGTCTTTCATAAAGAAGGGTGTCCCAAATTCTGCATAAAAGTCTTAGGCTAAAATAACTAAAGATATTTCATTTGCACAAGAAAGAGTTCAGAGGTGTATAGCCAACTTACCTACCTATTAAGCAAAAAAAAACTAAATAGTCTTCAGAAGAACATAATCAAATCCAGAGTTTCTAAAAATGTACTATGCACAGTGTCCAGAATACAATCCATATTCAGTAGACACACACATACACAAACAGAAAAATGTGACCCATACTTAAGTGAAAAGCCAATTAATTGAGACTGGCCTTGATATGACTCCTATGTTAGAATTAGCAGCTGTTATAACTCTTCTTAAGGTTATATAAAGAAAATATGTACACCATGAATAAACAGATAAGAAACCTCAGCTGAAAAATGGAAACTAGGTAAAAGGACTAAATGAAAATTCTATAGGTAAAAAATACAATATTTCAAATGAAAACTGATTAGAGATTACAGAAGATTAGGAAAAGAAAAGGAGTCATTGAAGTTGTTGGATTCATAGAAGTTATTCTTTCTTAAAAAGTGAAAAAGAGATTTCAAAAAATGAAGCTAGCCTCAGTGGCTGGTAGGACAATATCAAAAGGTCTAACACTTGGAGTCCTAGAAATAGAGGCCAGGGGAAATTGGGTCAAAAAATTCTGGAGAAATTATGGCTGGAAATTTCCCTAAATTGGTAAAAAACATGAATTTACATGTTGAAGAAGTTCAGTGAATTCCAAACAAGATAAATACAATAAAATAACACTTAAGTACATTATAGTGAAGCTGTTGAAAATAATAGACAAAAAATCCTGCCTAGTTGCAGTGGCTTATGCCTGTAATGCCAACACTTGGGGAGGCCAAAGAGGGGTATTGCTTGAGCTAAGGAGTTTGAGACCAGCCTGGGAAACGAAGTGAGACTTCATCTCTACAAAAAGAAAAAAATCTTGAAAGCACCCTGAGAAATGCTAATGAATGGTAGCTGACTTCTTTTTTTTTTTATATTATTATTATACTTTAAGTTTTAGGGTACATGTGCACAATGTGCGGGTTTGTTACATATGTATACATGTGCCATGTTGGTGTGCTGCACCCATTAACTCATCATTTAACATTAGGTATACCTCCTAATGCTATCCCTCCCCACTTCCCCCATCCCACAACAGTCCCCGGAGTGTGATGTTCCCCTTCCTGTGTCCAAGTGTTCTCATTGTTCAGTTCCCACCTATGAGTGAGAACATGCGGTGTTTGGTTTTTTGTCCTTGCGATAGTTTGCTGAGAATGATGGTTTCCAGTTTGATCCATGTCCCTACAAAGGACATGAACTCTTCATTTTTTATGGCTGCATAGTATTCCATGGTGGATATGTGCCACATTTTCTTAATCCAGTCTATCATTGTTGGACATTTGGGTTGGTTCCAAGTCTTTGCTATTGTGAATAGTGCCGCAGTAAACATAGGTGTGCGTGTGTCTTTATAGCAGCATGATTTATAGTCCTTTGGGTATATACCCAGTAATGGGATGGCTGGGTCAAATGGTATTTCTAGTTCTAGATCCCTGAGGAATCGCCACACTGACTTCCACAATGGTTGAACTAGTTTACACTCCCACCAACAGTGTAAAAGTGTTCCTGTTTCTCCACATCCTCTCCAGCACCTGTTGTTTCCTGACTTTTTAATGATCACCATTCTAACTGGTGTGAGATGGTATCTCATTATGGTTTTGATTTGCATTTCTCTGATGGCCAGTGATGGTGAGCATTTTTTCATGTGTTTTTTGGCTGCATAAATGTCTTCTTTTGAGAAGTGTCTGTTCATATCCTTCACCCACTTTTTGATGGGGTTGTTTGTTTTTTTCTTGTAAATTTGTTTGAGTTCATTGTAGATTCTGGATATTAGCCCTTTGTCAGATGAGGTAGGTTGCGAAAATTTTCTCCCATTTTGTAGGTTGCCTGTTCACTCTGATGGTAGTTTCTTGTGCTGTGCAGAAGCTCTTTAGTTTAATTAGATCCCATTTGTCAATTTTGGCTTTTGTTGCCATTGCTTTTGGTGTTGTAGACATGAAGTCCTTCCCCATGCCTATGTCCTGAATGGTATTGCCTAGGTTTTCTTCTAGGGTTTTTATGGTTTTAGGTCTAACATTTAAGTCTTTAATCCATCTTGAATTAATTTGTGTATAAGGTGTAAGGAAGGGATCCAGTTTCAGCTTTCTACATATGGCTAGCCAGTTTTCCCAGCACCATTTATTAAATAGGGAATCCTTTCCCGAAAACTGGCACAAGACAGGGATGCCCTCTCTCACCACTCCTATTCAACATAGTGTTGGAAGTTCTGGCCAGGGCAGTCAGGCAGGAGAAGGAAATAAAGGGTATTCAATTAGGAAAAGAGGAAGTCAAATTGTCTCTGTTTGCAGATGACATGATTGCATATCTAGAAAACACCATCATCTCAGCCCAAAATCTCCTTAAGCTGATAAGCAACTTCAGCAAAGTCTCAGGATACAAAATCAATTTGCAAAAATCACAAGCATTCTTCTAGACCAATAACAGACAAACAGAGAGCCAAATCATGAGTGAACTCCCATTCACAATTGCTTCAAAGAGAATAAAATACCTAGGAATCCAAACTTACAAGGGACGTGAAGGACCTCTTCAAGGAGAACTACAAACCACTGCTCAATGAAATAAAAGAGGATACAAACAAATGGAAGAACATTCCGTGCTCATGGGTAGAAAGAATCAATGTCGTGAAAATGGCCATACTGCCCAAGGTAATTTATAGATTCAATGCCATCCCCATCAAGCTACCAATGACTCTCTTCACAGAATTGGAAAAAACTACTTTAAAGTTCATATGGAACCAAAAAAGAGCCCGCATTGCCGAGTCAATCCTAAGCCAAAAGAACAAAGCCGGAGGCATCACGCTACCTGACTTCAAACTATACTACAAGGCTACAGTAACCAAAACTGCATGGTACTGGTACCAAAACAGAGATATAGATCAGTGGAACAGAACAGAGCCCTCAGAAATAATGCCACATATCTACAACCATCTGATCTTTGACAGACCTGACTTCTTATCAGAAATAATGCAGGCCAGCAGGCTATAAACACCTTTAAAGTACTGGGAAAATAAAAATCAACTCAGAATTCTGTAGCCAAATAAGAAAACATACTTTCTAGCTAAGAAAATCTTTATACTACAAGAAATGTTTAAGGAGATACTTCAAGCTGAAGGAAAGTGTTACCAGCTGAAACTCAGAACTTCAGGAATGAAGAGCACTGCAATTGGTAAAAATGTAAGTCTTCCCCACTCCATTAAGAAATATACAGTTGTGACTGTTTAAAGCAGAAATTATAATGTTACAATATGGCATTTATATATGACTGCTGTGTATAAAGGATGAGTCTAGGTTGATGGAGCTGTGTGCTTACTGTGGTCTTTATTTTATGAAGGGGTAGAATTAGCTTTAAGTACACTGCAAAGTTAAAGATATACATTATAATTCCTAGAACAAACACTGGAAAAGAAAAAAATGCAAAGAGGTGATAACTAAAAAACAAGAGAAGTCAAAATGGAATTCTGAAATGTATTTAGAGAAAATGAAAAAAGGTATAAAGGAAGGAACAGCAGAATATAAAACAAATGAGATGTGTGTCAGTCTGTTCTCATACTGCTAATAAAGACATACTCGAAACTGGGTAATTTATGAAGGAAAGAGGTTTAATTGACCCAGTTCAGCATGGCTGGGGAGGCCTCAGGAAACTTACAATCATGGAGGAAGGGGAAGCAAACATGTCCTTCACAGGGTGGCAGCAAGGAACAGAATGAGAGCAAAGTTGGGGGAAAGCCCCTTATAAAACCATCAGATCTCCTTAGAACTCACTCATTATCACGAGAATAGCATGAGGGTAACTGCTCCATGATGCAGTTACCTCCCACCAGGTCCCTTCCACGACGTGTGAGGATTATGGGAACTACAATTCAAGATGAGATTTGGGTGGAGACACAGCCAAACCATATCAGGATGTAAAGAAAACAAATAGCAAACTTACAAACCTAGGTCAGGTCTATGAATAATTACCTTAATTGAAAATAGATTAAGTGTTTTATTTGAAGGTAGAGATTCATACATTGGATAGAAAACAAGACTTCCTGTATTCTGTCTACCAGAGATGCATTTTAAAAATAATGACACAGATAGATTGAAAGTAAATGTATGAGGAAAGGTGTAGCATGCAAACAGTAAGTATAAGATGGAGTTGTTATATTAATATTAGATAAGTAGACTTCAAGACAGTACTGGAGATAAAGAAGGGCATTTCATAGTGATAAAACTCATTAGAAATACATAGTAATCATAAATTTGTATATACCTAATAAGATCTACAGTCATAGGTGGAAATTTTAACACTACTCTGTAACTTATAGAAAACCTAGACAAAAAATCAGTTAGAATATAGAAGATCTGTAAAAATACTTCAGCCACCTTGACCTAACTGACATTTGTAGAATATCATGGGCAACTAAAATAGAGTGTACATTCTATTCAAGTACACATGATATGCATACCGAGATAAATAATATATGGGTCCTAAAACATGTCTCACTACATTTCAAAAGTTTGAAATCCTAAAGAGTATACTCTGTAACTACAGTAGAATTTAAAGTAGAAACCAATAGCAATAAGATATTCAGGAAAAATCTGAATATTTGGAAGTTAAACAGCACAGTTATCCCTAGTCGATCTATGAATTTAATGTGGTTCAAATCATTTTCTTAGCAGGACTTTTCTCTTTTGGTAGAAATTGACAAGCTGATTATAACGTTTATATGAAGATAGAAAGGACCTATGTTATACAAAGCAATCCTGATGATTTACAAGGTGGAAAACTTAAATTTCCTTATTTCAAGATTTACTCTAATAATACAGTAATGAAGACTGTGATATCAGCATAAGGATATAAAAGCATATAAATGGAGCAGAACAGATAACTGATAAATTATTTTTAACAAAGACAGCTATCCAATGAGGGAAAAGAAAGGCTTTTAAATAAAAAGTGCTGGAACAACTAGACATCTGTATGGATGAAAGTTCACCTTGACTCCCTACCTCACATGGTACCCAAAAGATAAATCAAGATGAATCATAGATCTATATGTTGAAGCTAAAGTATAAAGCTTTTAGAATAAACAAAGAACAGGCAAAGGTTTCCTTGATAGGATACAGAAAGCAGCAACTGTTTTAAAGAAAACACCTAACACTCTATAAACTTCTTCAAAATAAAAAACTTCTGCTCATTAAGAGACATGAAGAAAATAATAGCAAAACCTGTATCTGTAAAGGACTTGTATTAAGACTATGTAAAGAAATTCTACAACTGAACAATGAAAATACAACTTGATTAATTGGAGAAGGATTAGTACACACACTTCATAAATGATGCTATATTGAATGGCCAGTGAACACATGAAAATGTTACTAAACATCGTCAATTATTAAGGAAATACAAAAGTAAACTGCAAGGAGGTGCTGCTTTACTTGTCCCATTAGCTTAAAGAGTAATACTACCATATATGTAGAGCAATGAGAACTCTTATAAAATTAAGAGTTTTTCTACCCTAACCCATGACTTAGCAATTCTACTCCTAGTTATTTACTTAATAGAAAAAGAAAACACATCTACAAGATTTGTTCAAAAGTGTTTATAATAGGCCGAAACTGGACACAGCTCATATACCCACCAGTTGGAGACTGGATCAACAAATAGGTATAGTCATAAATGGAATACAACTTAGCAATGATAAGGAACACTGTCTTGGTACATCAACAACATAATGAATTTCAAATACATGGTAGGTGAAAGAAACCTTACACAAAAGAGTACATTCTGTATTCCATTTACATCGAGTTCTAGAACAGGCAAAATTGATACATAATGGAAGAAAAAGCAGTGCTGTCTTCGATAGTGGGGTGGGGATTAATTGCGAAAAGTCTTAGAGGAACTTGCTGGGTGATAGGAAGTATTTTATTTCTTGTTTGGAGTTTGAGTTCAGTGCTATATGTATATGTTAAAACTTATCAAATGGTGTGTCTTTTATTGTATATAAAACCTACTGAAAAAAGTAAATACATATTAATAGAAATATACATTGAATTCTTGTTATTGATGTTCATGCTGAGATATAATGGGATGATGTGTACTGTCATCTGCAACTTTGAAATGCATCGAAAAGTAAGATGGATTGGTGGAGCCAAGATGGCTGAATGGGAACAGCTCCAGTCTAGAGCTCCCAGCTTGAGCGACGTAGAAGACGAGTGATTTCTGCATTTCCAACTAAGGTACTGGGTTCATCTCACTGGGGAGTGTCGGAAAGTTGGTGCAGGACAGTGGGTACAGTGCACCCAGCGTGAGCCGAAGCAGGGCGAGGCATCACCTCACCCAGGAAGCGCAAGGGGTCAGGGAATTCCCTTTCCTAGATGGAGAAAGGGATGACAGATGGCACCTGGAAAATTGGGTCACTCCCACCCTAATACTGCGCTTTTCCAATGGTCTTAGCAGATGGCACACCAGGAGATTGTATCCCACGCCTGGCTCGGAGGGTCCTACACCTGCGGAGCCTCGCTCATTGCTAGCACAGCAGTCTGAGATCAAACTGCAAGGCAGCAGCGAGGCTGGGGGAGGGGCGCCCACCATTGCCAAGGCTTGAGTAGGTAAACAAAGCCACAGGGAAGCTGGAACTGGATGGAGCCCACCACAGTTCAAGGAGGCCTGCCTGCCTCTGTAGACTCCACCTCTGGAGGCAGGGAATAACCAAGCAAAAGGCAGCAGAATCCTCTGTAGACTTAAATGTCTGCAGCTTCGAAGAGAGTAGTGGTTCTCCCAGCACGCAGCTGGAGGTCTGAGAACAGAAAGACTGCCTCCTCAAGTGGGTCCCTGACCCCCCCGAGTAGCTTAACTGGGAGGCACCCCCTAGTAGGGGCAGACTAACACCTCACATGGCCGGGTACTCCTCTGAGACAAAACTTCCAGAGGAACAATCAGGCAGCAACATTTCCTGCTCACCGGTATCCGCTGTTCTGCAGCCTCCACTGCTGATACTCAGGGAAACAGGGTGTGGAGTGGACCTCCAGCAAACTCCAGCAGACCTGCAACTGAGGGTCCTGACTGTTAGAAGGAAAACTAACAGAAAGGATATCCACTCCAAAACCCCATCTGTACGTCACTATCATCAAAGACCCAAAGGTAGATAAAACCACAAAGATGGAGAAAAAACAGAGCAGAAAAACTGGAAACTCTAAAAATCAGAGTGCCTCTCCTCCTCCAAAGGAACACAGCTCCTCACCAGCAACGGAACAAAGCTGGACGGAGAGTGACTTTGACGAGTTGAGAGAAGAAGGCTTCAGACGATCAAACTACTCCGAGCTAAAGGAGGAAGTTCGAACCCATGGCAAAGAAGTTAAAAACCTTGGAAAAAAACGAGACAAATGGCTAACTAGAATAACCAATGCAGAGAAGTCCTTAAAGGACCTCATGGAGCTGAAAACCACAGCATGAGAACTACGTGACGAATGCACAAGCCTCAGTAGCCGATTCGATCAACTGGAAGAAAGGGTATCAGTGATGGAAGATGAAATGAATGAAATGAAGTGAGAAGAGAAGTTTAGAGAAAAAAGAATTAAAAGAAACGAACAAAGCCTCCAAGAAATATAGGACTATGTGAAAAGACCAAATCTACGTCTCATTGGTGTACCTGAAAGTGACAGGGAGAATGGAACCAAGTTGGAAAACACTCTGCAGGATATTATCCAGGAGAACTTCCCCAATCTAGCAAGGCAGGCCAACATTCAAATTCAGGAAATACAGAGAACGCCACAAAGATACTCGTCGAGAAGAGCAACTCCAAGACACGTAATTCTCAGATTCACCAAAGTTGAAATGAAGGAAAAAATGTTAAGGGCAGCCAGAGAGAAAGGTCGGGTTACCCACAAAGGGAAGCCCATCAGACTAACAGCGGATCTCTCGGCAGAAACTCTACAAGCCAGAAGAGAGTGGGGGCCAATATTCAACATTCTTAAAGACAAGAATTTTCAACCCAGAATTTCATATCCAGCCAAACTAAGCTTCATGAGTGAAGGAGAAATAAAATCCTTTACAGATAAGCAAATGCTGAGAGATTTGGTCACCACCAGGCCTGCCCTAAAAGAGCTCCTGAAGGAAGCACTGAACATGGAAAGGAACAACCAGTACCAGCCACTGCAAAAACATGCCAAACTGCAAAGACCATCAAGGCTAGGAAGAAACTGCATCAACTAATGAGCAAAATAACCAGCTAACATCATAATGACAGGATCAAATTCACACATAACAATATTAACCTTAAATGTAAATGGGCTAAATGCTCCAATAAAAAGACACAGACTGGCAAATTGGATAAAGAGTCAAGACCCATCAGTGTGCGGTATTCAGGAAACCCATCTCATGTGCAGAAGACACACACAGGCTCAAAATAAAGGATGGAGGAAGATCTACCAAGGAAATGGAAAACAAAAAAAGGCAGGGGTTTCAATCCTAGTCTCTGATAAAACAGACTTTAAACCAACAAAGATCAAAAGAGACAAAGCAGGCCATTATGTAATGGTAAAGGGATCAATTCAACAAGAAGAGCTAGCTAGCCTAAATATATATGCACCCAATACGGGAGCACCCAGATTCATAAAGCAAGTCCTTAGAGACCTACAAAGATACTTAGACTCCCACACAATAATAATGGGAGACTTTAACACCCCACTATCAACATTAGACAGATCAGTGAGACAGAAAGTTAACAAGGATATCCAGGTATTGTACTCAACTCTGCACCAAGCGGACCTAATAGACATCTACAGAACCCTCCACCCCAAATGAACAGAATATACATTCTTCTCAGCACCACACCGCACTTATTCCAAAATTGACCACATAGTTGGAAGTAAAGCACTCCTCAGCAAATGTTAAAAGAACAGAAATTATAACAAACTGTCTCTCAGACCACAGTGCAATCAAACTAGAACTCAGGATTAAGAAACTCACTCAAAACTGCTCAACTACATGGAAACTGAACAACCTGCTCCTGAATGACTACTGGGTACATAACGAAATGAAAGCAGAAATAAAGATGTTCTTGGAAACCAACGAGAGCAAAGACACAACATAACCAGAATCTCTGGGACACATTCAAAGCAGTGTGTAGAGGGAAATTTATAGCACTAAATGCCCACAAGAGAAAGCAGGAAAGATCTAAAATTGACACCCTAACATCACAATTAAAAGAACTAGAGAAGCAAGAGCAAACACATTCAAAAGCTAGCAGAAGGCAAGAAATAACTAAGATCAGAGCAGAACTGAAGGAAATAGAGACATAAAAAACCCTTCAAAAAATCAGTGAATCCAGGAGCTGGTCTTTTGAAAAGATCAACAAACTTGATAGGCTGCTAGAAAGATTACTAAAAGAGAAAAGAGAGAAGAATCAAATAGATGCAATAAAAAATGATAAAGGAGATATCACCACTAATCCCACAGAAATACAAACTACCATCAGAGAATACTATAAACACCTCTACGCAAATAAACTAGAAAATCTAGAAGAAATGGATACATTCCTGGACACATACACCCTCCCAAGACTAAACCAGAAAGAAGTTGAATCTCTGAACGGACCAATAACAGGCTCTGAAATTGAGGCGATAATAATAGCTTACCAAACAAAAAAAGTCCAGGACTGGATGAATTTACAGCCGAATTCTACCAGAGGTACAAGGAGGAGCTGGTACCATTCCTTCTGAAACTATTCCAATCAATAGAAAAAGAGGGAATCCTCCCTAACTCATTTTATGAGGCCAGCATCAGCCTGATACCAAAGCCTGGCAGAGACACAGCAAAAAAAGAGAATTTTAGACCAATATCCCTGATGAACATGGATGCAAAAATCCTCAATAAAATACTGGCAAACCAAATCCAGCATCACATGGAAAAGCTTATCCACCATGATCAAGTGGGCTTCATCCCTGGGATGCAAGGCAGGTTCAACATATGCAAATCAATAAACATAATCCATCATATAAACAGAACCAACGAGTAAAACCACATGATTATCTCAATAGATGCAGAAAAGGCCTTTGACAAAATTTAACAACCCTTCATGCTAAAAACTCTCAATAAATTAGGTATTGATGGGACGTATCTCAAAATAGTAAGAGATATCTATGACAAACCCACAGCCAATATCATAATGGGCAAAAACTGGAAGCATTCCCTTTGAAAACTGGCACAAGACAGGGATGCCCTCTCTCACCGCTCCTATTCAACATGGTGTTGGAAGTTCTGGCCAGGGCAATCAGGCAGGAGAAGGAAATAAAGGGTATTCAATTAGGAAAAGAGGAAGTCAAATTGTCCCTGTTTGCAGATGATACGATTGTATATTTATAAAACCCCATCGTCTCAGCCCAAAATCTCCTTAAGCTGATAGGCAACTTCAGCAAAGTCTCAGGATACAAAATCAATGTGCAAAAATCACAAGCATTCTTATACACCAATAACAGAGAAAGAGAGAGCCAAATTATGAGTGAACTCCCATTCACAATTGCTTCAAAGAGAATAAAACACCTAGGAATCCAACTTATAAGGGATTTGAAGGACTTCTTCAAGGAGAACTACAAACCACTGCTCAATGAAATAAAAGAGGATACAAACAAACAGAAGAACATTCCATGCTCATGGACAGGAAGAATCAGTATCATGAAAATGGCCATACTGCCCAAGGTAATTTATAGATTCAGTGCGATCCCCATCAAGCTACCAATGACTTTCTGCACAGAATTGGAAAAAACTACTTTAAAGTTCATATGGAACCAAAAAAGAGCCGGTATTGCCAAGTCAATCCTAAGGTGAAAGAACAAAGCTGGAGGCATCGTGCTACCTGACTTCAAACTATACTACAAGGCTGCAGTAACCAAAACTGCATGGTACTGGTACCGAAACAGAGATATAGAACAATGGAACAGAACAGAGCCCTCAGAAATAATGCCACATATCTACAACCATCTGATCTTTGACAAACCTGACAAAAACAAGAAATGGGAAAACGATTCCCTATTTAATAAATGGTGCTGGGAAAAGTGGCTAGCCATATGTAGAAAAGTGAAACTGGATCCCTTCCTTACACCTTATACTAAAATTAATTCAAGATGGATTAAAGACTTAAATGTTAGACCTGAAACCATAAAAACCCAAGAAGAAAACCTAGGCAATACCATTCAGGACATGGGCATGGGCAAGGACTTCGTGTCTAAAACACCAAAAGCAATGGCAACGAAAGCCAAAATTGACAACTAGGATCTAATTAAACGAAAGAGCTTCTGCACAGCAAAAGAAACTACCATCTGAGTGAACAGCAACCTACAGAATGGGAGAAAATTTTTACAGTCTGCTCATCTGACAAAGGGCTAATATCCAGAATCTACAATGAGCTCCAACAAATTTTCAAGAAAAAAACGCCATCAGAAAGTGGTCGAAGGATATGAGCAGACACTTCTCAAAAGAAGACATTTATGCAGCCAAAAGACACTTGAAAAGATGCTCATCATCCCTGGCCATCAGAGAAATGCAAATCGAAACCACAATGAGATACCATCTCACACCAGTTAGAATGGCAGTCATTAAGAAGTCAGGAAACAACAGGTGCTGGAGAGGATGTGGAGAAATAGGAACACTTTTACACCGTTGGTGGGACTGTAAACTAGTTCAACTATTGTGGAAGTCAGTGTGGCGATTCCTCAGGGATCTAGAACTAGAAATACCATTTGACCCAGCCATCCCATTACTGGGTATATACCCAAAGGATTATAAATCATGCTGCTATAAAGACACATGCACACGTATGTTTATTGGGGGACTATTCACAATCGCAGAGACTTGGAGCCAAGCCAGATGTCCAACAATGATAGACTGGATTAAGAAAATGTGGCACATATACACCATGGAATACTATGCAGCCATAAAAAAGGATGAGTTCATGTCCTTTGTAGGGACATGGATGAAGGTGGAAACCATCATTCTCAGCAAACTATCAGAAGGACAAAAAACCAAACAGCGCATGTTCTCACTCATAG
This sequence comes from Homo sapiens, assembly GCF_000001405.40. Taxonomy (NCBI): domain Eukaryota; kingdom Metazoa; phylum Chordata; class Mammalia; order Primates; family Hominidae; genus Homo; species Homo sapiens. The sequence continues at coordinate 47,322,873 of NC_000008.11, forward strand.
GTGGGAATTGAAAAGTGAGAACACGGGGGCACAAGAAGGGGAACATCATACGCCGGGGCCTGTTGTCGGGTGGGGGCAGGGTGGAGGGATAGCATTAGGAGGTATACCTAATGTTAAATGACGAGTTACTGTGTGCAGCAGACCAACATGGCACATGTATACATATGTAACTAACCTGCACATTGTGCGCATGTACCCGAAAACGTAAAGTATAATAAAAAAAGAAGAAGAAGAGAAAAAAAAAAGAAAAGTAAGGTGGATTAATGGATAGAGAAATGTGATAAACTGTCATAGCTAAATAATAACAATTGTAAAGCCTTGGTGATGTATATATTGGTTTTTGCTAGTATCTCTAAAAAATTTCTGGTCGAAATTTGCATAATATTCTGTGTGAAAAATCTTCTCAGGGAACATAGACCTGTGTTATTGTATTTATGTAAGTAGTTGTCATATAATTCTTTTATCTTAGAGAATCTGAAGTTTCCAATGTGAGTGTACAGTGTCTCACCACCACCTGAGTTTATTTCTGGTTGTTGTAATGCAGTACAATTGATAATGAAATTTTTTTGATGTTTTTGCCGTAGACATGGAATGTATAGTGCTCTAGCTTTTACTTTTTGAGAGACAGAAAAAGGCCCTGAGCATTGGTGTTGTGTCAGTCATCCTAGGCTCAGATCTCCATTCTACCTCTCACTGAATGCTTGGCCTTAAGCAGGTATTTAACTTTTTTTTAGATCCAATTGGTTTGTCTGTTAAATGCCTTCAGTAACGTATTCCTCACATAGTTGCTTTGAAGATTGGTGAGTCATGGCACAGCACACAGCTGAACATAGAAGACATTCAAGCAATGCCAGATTCCTTTAGGGTGCAGGTAGACATTCCTAGGGTTTGTAATAGATTTAGAAGTAGAATTAGTCTTCTACTTCTTCAGATCTCCTTTGAGGTCTGAGTGACTACAGAACCCATGGACACCTTTATTTACGAAATGCTGTGTTTCTGGTGTCTAAGGCCTGATTGCATCTTGATTGGAAACTATTAGTTAAACATTTATAAGAAATAATACTGTAACTTTTGTTTAAGCTAAAAATTATTTTCTTGAATTTTAGTTTATTGGTCTTAGTTAATACTATAACCTTTACAGTGCTAAAAAGTTATAATCCAATTGTGTTCTCTGGTGACATTAACTGAAATACATGTTCTTTTCTAGAGACCTTATTCTGTAAATCATAATAAAAAATTTCTTATGAAATTAAGTCTTTATAGATACCTCATTTAATTCTTACCATTCTATTAATAAAATACATTTTTATATTACTTATATGTATTGAGTATCTTGTCTGAAATCACACAACTAGAAAGTAGAAAGTTGTCATTTGAACACAACTCTGTGTGATTCTTAACCTTGTTTTCTTAGCCATTTTGCTGAATGGCCTTTCCTTCTTTCCCCTATCCCCCATCCCCCATCCCCCATTTCCATGTATGTGTCTGTTGTCATTCTCTACTAGCTTTTTCTTCTTATGTACAAATAGGTCAGATGTCTACATTTAAATAAACAGCATCTTTAACCCTGCTGCTCCCATACTCAAGACAAATTGACAAGTATGTTATTATCTGTGCTGTGAAGTGAAATTAGATCTTTTGATTTCAACATCAAAACCTTATAAGATGTTTTATCTTTTTTAGAAGTCCTTAATCACAAGTTAGAGCAATTAACACCTATATTACTAATAATATTTCCAGTAGTATGGATGCTTTGGTTATGGTTAAATGGTTCTGAAATCTACACCTGAGATGCTTCCCTTAAAGGGGCTCTTTGGCCAGTTCACCAATTACTTGGAAGAGGAAGAGGAAGTCTAGGTTGATTATATTGCTTTGAGTTAGAATATCTGAGAAAGTGGTACTTATATTAGTTTGCTAGTGCTGCGATGATAAAGTACTACATACTGGATGGCTTCAATAACAGAACTTTATTTTCTCACAGTCCTAGAGGCTGGAAGATCGTCTGGGACAAGTCCAGGTGCTGGCAGGGTTGATTTCTCCTGAGGCCTCTCTCTGTGGCTTGCAAGGTGGCTGTGTCTTGACATGGCCTCTTCTCTGTGTGTCCCTCCCCCTTCTTATAAGGATGTCAGTCAGATTGGATTAGGGCCCACCCTAACGGCAGCATTTTAACATTCACTTATTTAAAGACCTTATCTCTAAGAACATTACATTCTGAGGACCTGAGACTTTCAGTGTATAAATTTGGGAGGACACAATTTAGCCTATAATAGTGCTATAAAGAGAAGTTCAAAAATGAAGATGGAGATTTTATTTTTTAAGCAAAAAAATAAGTTTGCTTTTAGAGTGTTAAATTGGGAATGTACACTAGATAGTTGATGTTGTCACTTGGGATTTGGAAGAGAACACAAGGTTGGTTGCTTGATTTGGAAAGCATTTGCTTAGAGGTAGTATATTAAAATTAGAGCAACATAAGGAAATTGATTTTTCTCCACATTTCTGGGACAAGAGGAAAAAGTAGTATAAGTAATCGTAAAAAATTCTTAGAAAGTATGAAGAAAGGAGCCCACAAGAGAAATTTGAAGGATAAGATTTGTTTCTCATGGACTTATTTCAGTTGGTCAGTCTATTTTCCTTTTTTTAAATGCCAGAAAATTTAAAACATCAATTGTAATGAAAATGTTTTTCAGATTAGAAATATTTTGGAAGGAATTTACTTAAAACAAGTTACTGATCTAACCAACTTCTTGAGTTCCAAAGCCATGGAGACATCTTATGGTGCTCCAGACAATCTATCCCTTTTTCTGTCCCTGGCAGCTGTAGCTTCAACATTCGAGACAGAGTTATGTGAGATTTGTGCTCTTTCTTTGAGAGTGGAGGACTCTTCTGGGCATGGGTGCCTGATGTCCTGAGGTGGGATCATTGCCTCCTCTTTCTGTTTTCCCCAAATGCCTCTGCAATGACTAGGTTGTTGAAATTTTCCTGGCCCTAAGCACTATTTTAGGGGATCTAAGAGGAAGAAAGAAGTCTTCCAGCACACCTAAAGGTGACAGGAAGATAATGGCAACTTGACTGTCCTTTCTTTTGACCATCTCTATCTTTTTCCAAAATAAGCTTCATCCATGCTTTTTTTTTCTTTTAAGACAGGGTCTGGCTTTGTTTCTCACAATGGACTGCAGTGGTGTGATCTCACAGCTCACTGCAGCCTCCACCTCCCCAGTCTCAGGTGATCCTCCCACCTCTGCCTCCGAAGTAGCTAAGACTAGTGGTGCATGCCACCACGTCCTGCTCGTTTCTGTATTTATTTATTTATTTTATTTTTTTCTAGAGAGGCAAGGTTTTGCCATGTTGCCCAGACTGGTCTGAAATTCTTGAGCTCAAGCCATCTGCCTGTCTCAGCCTCCCAAAGTGCTGGGATTTCAGGCATGAGCCACCACACCTAATTTCTTTTATGTAATAATGGAAAATGCAACTCTTTTCTTTAAAGAATGTTTGCTTTCAGCCTTGCCACGTACATACACATCTTTAGCAACATCCAGTTTGTTACCAGGTCTCTCAGTTTACTTTTTAAAAATTTTACTTTATTGAGGTGAAATTCACATAGCATCAAATTAACATTCAAAAGTGAATAATTCAGTGGCACTTGGTGGATTCACAAAGTTTTGCAACTAATACCTGTATCTCATTCTAAAACATTTCATCACTCTGCAAGGAGACACTATACTATTAAGCATCCATTCCGTATTCCCCACCTCATCTCAGTCCTTGGTAACACCAGTCTGCTTTCTGTCTCTGTAGTTTTACCTGTTCTGTTATTTCACATAAATGGAAATCATATAGCATGTGACCTTTTGTGTCTGGCTTCTTAACAAAATGTTTTTGAGGTTCCTCCACATTGTAGCATGTATCAGTACTTCATTCCTTTTTATAGCTGGATAATGTTCCATTGAATGTATATGCCACACGTTGTTTAGCCATTCATCCACTGATGTGTATTTATTTCCTCCCTTTGGCTACTGTGAATAGAGCTGCTAGAACCCTGGTTTACACATTTCGGAGTACCTGTTTTCAGTTCTCTTGGATATATATGAAGGAGTGAAATTGCTGGACTATATGGTAATTTTATGTTACTCTTTGAAAAACTACCTGTTTTCTGCAATGACTGAACCATTTTACATTCCTGTTAGCAACGCACAAAGGTTTCAGTTTCTCCACATCCCTTGCCAGCACTTACATTATGGTCTCTTCTACCCACTTAAAAAAAAAATCCTAGTGGCTGTGAAATGATACCTTATTAAGGTTTTGGTTTGCAATTCTCTAATAGCTAATGATGATGAGCACTGTTTCATGTGGTGGTTGGTGATCTGAATATCTTCTTGGAAAAAATATCTATTCAAGTTTTTTGTTGATTTCTTTTTCTGGTTGTGTTATAAGAGAATGATCTATATATTCTGGATACTAGACCCTTGTCAAATATATGACTGGCAAATGTTTTCTCATATTCAGTAGGTGGTTTTTTCACTTTTTTTTTTTTTTTTTTGAGACAGGGTTTTAATTTTGTTGCCCAGCTAGAGTGCACTGGCACAATCATGGCTCACTATAGCACTACAGCCCCAACTTCCCCAGGCTCAGGTAATTCTCCCACCTCAGCCTCTCGAGTAGCTGGGACTACAGGCACGCACCAGCACACTTGGCTAATTTTTTCCCCCTCGAGGCAGAGTCCTGTTCTGTTGCCCAGGTTGGAGTGGAGTGGCGCAATCTTGGCTCATTACAACCTCCACCTCCTGTGTTTAAGTGATTCTCCTGTCTCAGCCTCCCAAGTAGCTGGGATTACAGGCACGTGCCACCATGCCTGGCTAATTTTTGTATTTTTAGTAGACACGGGGTTTCACCATGTTGGCCAGGCTGATCTCAAACTCCAGACCTCAGGTGATCCACTTGTCTTGGCCTCCCAAAGTGCTGGGATTATAGGCATAAGCCACTACACCTGACCTGATTTTTGTATTTTTGTAGAGATAGGGTTTCGCCATGTTGCTCAGGCTTGTCTTGAACCCCTGAGCTGAAGCGATCCACCCACCTTGGCCTTCGAAAGTGCTGGGATTACAGGCATGAGCCACGACCCCTGGCCGTGTTTTTTTTTTGGTTTTTTTTTTTCACTTTTTTGACAATATTCTTGGATGCACAATAGTTTTTAGTTTTGAAAAAAGTTCAGTTTATCTATTATTTCTTCTGTTGCTCATAATCTTGGTGTCATATCTAAGAAACAATTGCCAAATCCACGATCATGAAGATCTATTATCTATGTTTTCTTAGGTTTTTGCTCTTCTATTTAGGCCATTGATGTATTTTGAATTAATTTTTGTGTATGGTGTGAGGCAGGTGGTCCAACTACATTTTTTTTTTTAAAGAGATAAAGTCTTGCTCTGTCACTCAGGCTGGAGTGCAGTGGCATTATCATAGCTTACTGCAGCCTTGAACCTCTGGGCCCAAGTGATCCGCTCACCTCGACCTCTCAAATAGCTAAGACTTCACCAAGACTGGCTAATTATTTTTTTTTTTTTTTTCAGAGATGGGGTCTTGCTATGTTATCCAGGTTGTTCTCAAACTCCTGGCTTCAAGTGATCCTCCCACCTAAGCCTCCCAAAGTGTTGGTGATAACAAGCGTGAGCCACCACGTTGGGTACCAACTTCATTTTTTTGAATATGGAAATCCGGTTGTCCCAGCACCATTTGTTGAAAAGATTATTCTTTCCTTACTGGCAGGTCGTGACACCCTTGTTTAGTGTATTGTATCTCTTATGCAGAGCATACAGTGGAATCTTCACTTTTTTATCCTGCATGACAGTCTCTACCTTTGGCTGGGTTAATTTATGTACATTTAATGTTATTGTTGATATAGTTGCATCTATGTACACCAGTTTACTTTTTCTTTTTCTAAATGTTTCAGGGTTTTTTTTCTCAAGTCTTTCCTCATTTCTTTTACTTTAAAGCAGTATTTTCTTTGGCAATATTTAGTTCTTCTAATGTCATTTTCACAATTTTTTTTTTCTTTTTGGAAACAGCATCTTGCTCTGTTGCACAGGCTAGAGTGCAGTGGCAGAATGTTGGCTCATGGCAAACTCCACTTCCTGGGTTCAAGCAATTCTCGTGCCTCAGTCTCCTGAGTAGCTGGGATTACAGGCATGCGCCACCATGCCTAGCTAATTTTTTTTTTTTTTTGAGATGGAGTCTCACTCTGTCGCCCAGGCTGGAGTGCAGTGGTGTAATCTCAGCTCACTGCAACCTCCGCCTCCTGGGTTCACGCCATTCTCCTGCCTCAGCCTCCCGAGTAGCTGGGACTACAGGCACCCGCCACCACGCCCGGCTGATTTTTTTGTATTTTTAGTAGAGATGGGGTTTCACCGTGTTAGCCAGGATGGTCTCGATCTCCTGACCTCATGATCCGCCCGCCTCAGCCTCCCAAAGTGCTGGGATTACAGGCGTGAGCCACCGCGCCCGACCCAATTTTTGTATTTTTTTGTAGAGACAGGGTTTCACCATGTTGGCCAGGCTGGTCTCTAACTCCTAGCCTCAAGTGGTCTGTCCACCTTGGCCTCGCAACGTGTTGTATTACAGGTGTGAGCCACTGTACCCAGCCTACAATATGTTTTTGAGTGAGATTTCATGGGTTGCTTTAGTGCTTATCAGGTACATCTCAACCAAATCTTCCTTAGATTTGTTACTAGTTTTATGCCAGTCACGCATAGAAACATTACCACTATATGGCTCTACTTTCTCTTCCTCCTTTTTATGCTATTATTGTTATACATATTGTATCTGTTATAATTATTAGTATAATTTTGTCTTTTATAGAAGGGAAAAGAAAGGAGAGCAAGTATACGTTTATAGTGTTAGATGACCCTTCTTATTTACCATTTTTTGTTCTCTTCATTGGTTCCTATGGAATCCTGTTACCATCTGGTGGTGTTTCCTTAGTTTGGTAAAGCTTTGTTCCCACCCACCACTCTTCTGTTACTCACAGATATATGACATTTCTATATGTTATAGGTACAATAGTACAATTACGTACATATTTTGTGCAGTTTTTTAAAATCAGCTAAGAAAACAAATACGCACATATGCTGAGTTTTAATTAGATAATTACTTTTACTGACACCCAGATTTTTCATGTGGACTTGTGTGGATTCTTAGGTCACTTTCCTTCAGCCTTAAGAAATTCTGTGTGTATATTTTATCAGGTGGGTCTGCAAGCAATAATCAGTTTTTGTTTATCTAAAAATGTATTTATCATGCCTTCATTTTTTTGGTGGTGGTGCTTTTCTTAAGGTGCTTTTTTTTTTTAAAGCATCTTTAGTTTTACAGAAAAACTGAAAGGAAGGTACAGAGGTATCCCATAATTCCCTCCCCCACATATGCATAGCTTTCCTATTATCAACATATCCCCCACCAGAATGGTATATTTGTTACAGTTGATGAACCCGTGTATACACATCTTTCTTACGCAAAGTCACTAGTTTCTATCAGGGTTAATTCTTGGCGTTGTATATTCTGTGAGTTTGAACAAATGTATAAAAATATATGTCTACCATTATGTCATACAGAGCAGTGACACTGCACTAAAAATCCTCTGTGCTCTGCCTAGTAATCATTCTCTCCACCCTAATCTCTCGAAACCACTGATCTTTTTACCATCTCTATAGTTTTGCCTTATCCAGAATGTCATACAGTTGGAATCATATAGTATGGCTTTTTTGGAGTGCCTTCTTTCACTTAGTAATATGTATTGAACTTTCCTCCATGTCTTTTCATAGCTTGATAACTTATTTCTTTTCAGCACTGAATTATGTTCCATTGTCTGGATATAACACTTTATCCATTCATCTACCAAGAGACATCTGGGTTGCTTCTAGGTTTTGGCAATTATGATTGAAGGTGCTATAAACATACATTTGGAAGTTTCCGTGTGGAGATAAACTTTCAACTCCTTTGAGTAGATACCAAGCAGAGCAACTATTGGATTGTATTGGTAAGAGTATTTTTAGTTTTATAAGAAACTGCCAAACTGTCTTCCAAAGTGGCTGTAACATTTTGCATTCCCACCAGCAAAAGAGTTCCTGTTGCTCCATATTCTTGTCAGCATTTGGTGGTGTCAGTGTTAGGAATTTTAGCCATTCTAGTAAGTATGTCATGATATCTCAGTGTTGTTTAAATTTGCATTTCTCTGGTAATATATGATGTGGAGCATCTTTTCTTGTACTTATTTGCCATCTGTATCTGTATCTTCTTTGGAGAGATATCTGTTAAGGCTTTTGGCCAATTATTAGTTTCTAAGGTAAAGCTTAGATTATTGATTTTGATCATTTTTCTTTTTTAAAGCAGTCAGATGTCATTTAGTGATCAGAATACATCCTGAAGAAATGTGTCATTATTAGGTGATTTTGTCCTTGTGCGAACATCATAGAGTGTTCTTACTCAAACCTAGGTGGTTTAGTCTACTACACACCTACACTATATGGTTAAGCCTATATCTAGGCTGCAAACCTTTATAGCATTTTACTGTACTGGATACTGTAGACAATTGGAACACAAAGGTAGTTATTTATGTATCTAAGCATAGAAAAGGTACATTATAATATGGCATAAAAGATAAACAGTGGTATACATGTATAGGGCACTTACCATGAATGGAGCTTGTAGAACTGAAAGGTGCTCTGGGTGAGTCAGTGAGTGAGTGTTGAGTGAATGTGAAGGCCTAGGACATTACCATACACTACTATCAACTTTATAAACATAGTACACTTAGACTACACTAAACTTATTTTTAAAAATTTTCTTTCTTCAATAATAAATTAATCTTAGCTTACTGTAACGTTTTTACTTCTTCTTCATTTTTTTCACTTTTTGACTCTTTAGTAATACCACTTTGTAATAGCTCTTTTGTAATAACACTTAGCTTAAAACATAAACATATTGTTCAGCTGTACAGAAGTATTTTTTTTTGAGAGAGAGTCTCTGTTGTCCAGGCTGGAGTGCAGTGGCGTGATCTCAGCTTATATATTCTGTCAGCTTTTTTCTATTTAAAAAATTTTTTTAAACTTTTTTTTTTTTTTTTTTTTTCTCTTTTTTTTTTTTTTTTTTTTTTATTATACTCTAAGTTTTAGGGTACATGTGCACATTGTGCAGGTTAGTTACATATGTATACATGTGCCATGCTGGTGCGCTGCACCCACTAATGTGTCATCTAGCATTAGGTATATCTCCCAATGCTATCCCTCCCCCCTCCCCCGACCCCACCACAGTCCCCAGAGTGTGATATTCCCCTTCCTGTGTCCATGTGATCTCATTGTTCAATTCCCACCTATGAGTGAGAATATGCGGTGTTTGGTTTTTTGTTCTTGCGATAGTTTACTGAGAATGATGGTTTCCAATTTCATCCATGTCCCTACAAAGGATATGAACTCATCATTTTTTATGGCTGCATAGTATTCCATGGTGTATATGTGCCACATTTTCTTAATCCAGTCTATCATTGTTGGACATTTGGGTTGGTTCCAAGTCTTTGCTATTGTGAATAATGCCGCAATAAACATACGTGTGCATGTGTCTTTATAGCAGCATGATTTATACTCATTTGGGTATATACCCAGTAATGGGATGGCTGGGTCAAATGGTATTTCTAGTTCTAGATCCCTGAGGAATCGCCACACTGACTTCCACAATGGTTGAACTAGTTTACAGTCCCACCAACAGTGTAAAAGTGTTCCTATTTCTCCACATCCTCTCCAGCACCTGTTGTTTCCTGACTTTTTAATGATTGCCATTCTAAATGGTGTGAGATGATATCTCATAGTGGTTTTGATTTGCATTTCTCTGATGGCCAGTGATGATGAGCATTTCTTCATGTGTTTTTTGGCTGCATAAATGTCTTCTTTTGAGAAGTGTCTGTTCATGTCCTTCGCCCACTTTTTGATGGGGTTGTTTGTTTTTTTCTTGTAAATTTGTTTGAGTTCATTGTAGATTCTGGATATTAGCCCTTTGTCAGATGAGTAGGTTGCAAAAATTTTCTCCCATGTTGTAGGTTGCCTGTTCACTCTGATGGTAGTTTCTTTTGCTGTGCAGAAGCTCTTTAGTTTAATTAGATCCCATTTGTCAATTTTGTCTTTTGTTGCCATTGCTTTTGTTAAAAACTAAGGCACAGACACACACATTAGCCTAGGTCTACACAGGGTCAGGATCATCAGTATCACTGTCTTCCACCTCCGTATCTTATTCCACTGAAAGGTCTTCAGGGGCAGTAACACTCATGGAGCTGTCATCTTGTATGATATCAGTGCCTTCTTCTGGAATACCTCCTGAAGGGATCTGCTTGAGGATCTTGAGGATGTTTTACAGTTAACTTAAGAAAAATAAGTGAAAGGAGCATACTTTATTATTATTGTTATTATTTTTTTAGATGGAGTCTTGCTCTGTAACCCAGTCTGGAATGCAGTGGTGCAATCTTGGCTCACTGCAACCTCGGCCTCCTGGGTTCAAGCAATTCTCCTGTCTCAGCCTCCCGAGTAGCTGGGATTACAGGCATGCACCACTACACCTGGCTAATTTTTTTGTATTTTTAGTAGAGACAGGGTTTCACCATGTTGGCCAGGCTGGTCTCAAACTCCTGACCTCAGGTGATCCCCACCTCAGCCTCCCAAAGTTCTGGGATTACAGGCATGAGCCACCACACCTGGCCATGGAATATACTTCAAAATAATGATAAAAAGTATAGTATAGTAAATACATAGATTAGTACCATAGTCATTATCAAACACATACATAATTATATGTGCTATAGTTTTATACAGCTGGCAGCATACAGTAAGTCTGTTTACAACAGCTTCACCATGAACATGTGAAAAATGCATTGCACTATAAGGTTACAACTGCCATGACATCATTAGGTAATAGGAATTTCAGCTCCATTGTAATCTTACAAGACCAGCGTTGTATATGAGGTGTGTTCATTGACAAAAACATCATTATGTGGCATGTGACTGTATATGCGTTTAGTGCTATAAATTTCTCCTCTAAGCATTGCTTTCACTACATCCCACAAATTTTGGTAAGTTGTGTATTATTTTCATATAGTTGAAAACGTTTATAAATTTCTCATCAGATTTCTTCTTTGACCCATGTGTATTTAGAAGTATTTTGTTTAGTTTTCACATATTTTGGGATGTTCCATGTATCTTTCTGTTAATTGATCTTTATTTTGATCTTAGAGAAGATGTTATATAATTTCTGTTTTTAAAAATTTGTTAACATGTATTTTATGGCCTAGAATGTTATCTGTTTTGATGAATGTTCCATGTAATCTAGAGGATATGTATTCTGCTATTGTTGGATGAAGTGGTCTATAAATGTCAATTATATCCAGTTGATAGGTGGTGTTATTGTGTTCAAATATATCTTTATGGATTTTCTGCCTGCTAAATCTGTCCATTTCTGTGAGAGATCTTGAAGTCTCGGATTATGATAGTGGACTAATTTATTTCACTTTGCAGTTTGTTTTTACTTTATGTTAACACTCTGTTGATAGGTATATACATGTAAAGGATTGTTGTGTCTTCTTGGACAATTGAATCCTTTATCATTGGGTAATGCCCCTCTTTATCCTTGATAACTTTCCTTGCTTTAAGTGTATTCTGCCTGAAATTAATAGGCTACTCCTGCTTTTCTTTGGTTAATGTTAGCATGATATATCTTTCTTCAATCCATTTACTTTTAGTTTATATGTATCTTTACATATGAAGTGAGTTTCTTGTAGACAACATGCAGTTGGCTCTTGTTTTTTATTGCATTTTGACAATTTGTCTTTTAATTGGTGTGTTGACTTTTAAAATCATCATTGGTATAATTGGATTAATATCTACCATATTTGTTACTGGTTTCTATTTGTTGTTCTTGTCCTTTGTTCTTATTTTTATTTTCCACTCTTTGAGCATTTTATATGATTCTATTTTTTTCTCATTTTCTTAGTATATCCCTTACACTTCTTTCTTAGCTTTTAAAATGGTTGCCTTAGAGTTTGCAGTATACATTTACAACTAATGCAAGCCAACTTTCCAATAACACTGTTACACATTTACAGATAATGTGGAGTATAATAGCAAAATTATCCTAATTTCTCCTTCTGTTCCTGGCATTCATTTTACTTACATGTAAGCATACATAAATACATATAAGAGCATACATAATTGAATACATGTTGCTGTTACTATTTTGACCAAACCATTATCTGTTAGGTCAATTAAGAATAAAAAAATAAAATTTTACTGTCTAATTTATTCCTTCATCAGCTCTTCCTTTCTTTATGTAGAACTGAATTTCCGACCTATATTATTTTCTTTCTTCTGTAGAACTTCTTTTAATACTTCTTGCAAGGCAGTTTTTTTGGCAACAAAGTGACTCAATTTTTGTTCATCTGACAAGATATTTTTCCTTCAGTTTTGAAGTATGATTTTACTCACTACAGAATTCTAGATTGGTAATTTTTTTTCTCACAACAGTTCATTCTTTGTTTATGTGGTTTTTTGTTTGTTTGTTTTGGTTTCTTTTTGAAATGGGAGTCTCGTTCTCTTGCCCAGGCTGGAGTGCAGTGGTGCAATCTCAGCTTACTGCAACCTCCACCTCCCAGGTTCAAGTGATTCTCTTGCCTCAGCCTCCCGAGTAGCTAGGATTACAGGTGTGCACCACCATATCTGGCTAATTTTTATATTTTTAGTAAAGACGGGGTTTTGCCATGGTGGCCAGGCTGGTCTTGAACTCCTGGCCTCAAGTGATACACCCACGTCGGCCTCCCAAAGTGGGGATTACAGGCGTGAGCCACCATGCCCAGGCCTCTCACAACAGTTTAAACATTTCAGTCTACTCTTGCTTGCACTGTTTCTGAGAAGAAGTTGTTATCTTTGCTTCTCTGTAAATAAGGTGTTTTCACCCCCTTCAACTTCCTTCAGAAATTTGTTTTTGTTAGATTTTTCTGTAGTTGAAAAATGATATGCCTAAGTTTTTGCTTTTTTTTTTTTAATTCTGCATTTGTCTAGCTTGCTGTTCTTAGTTTCTCGGATCTGTGTGTGGTTTGGTGTGTAACAGTAATTTGGGGAGATTCTCAGTCATTGTTGTTTCAAATATTTCTAATGTCCCTTTTTCTCTGCTTCTGGTATTCCCATTAAGTGTACATTTTATTATAGTTTTCCCACACTTCTTAGATACTCTATTTTTTTCAGTCTCTTCCCTGTTTGCTTTTCGGTTTTGGAGGTTAGTAGTAGTCCATTGTATAGATGTAGCACATTTTAAAAATCTGTTCACCACTTGTTTTATGTTTGGTGTTTTTACACTTTTTGGCTGTTATGAATACTGTTGCTCTGAAATTGATCCACAAGTTTTTCTGTGAACATACTGTTACTGAAACACCAGGGGTTTGGTCTAGGTCCTGTTGCTTGCCGCACAGAAAGCCAGTGACTGAGACAAAGAGTATTGCCAAAGAAGAAGGCTTTAATTGGGTGCTATGGCTGGGGAGATGGGAGCTCAGTCTTAAATCCCTCTCCCTGACCAACTAAAATTAGGGGTTTAGGTAGCAGGAAAAAATGTAACAATGTGTAACAAAACAGGAGCTAGGGAGGGGCAAGGAAGCAATCATGATGAAGCTTCCAGCATCTCATTGTTTGGATGTGGTGATCTGGTGAATTTCAGTTCTTTGATATTTTTTGAGAGCAGAAGGTCATTTCCTGAGGAAGAAACTCAGAGCAGAAGGTTGTTCCCTGAGGAAGGAACTCAGATAAATATAAGTTTTAAGCTTAAAATAATTTCTATGTTTGTATTAAAAAACTGTGGGACTGTTGGAGTTGGTTTCAATATGTGTGCAGTTCTCTTGTATATATACCTAGAAGTCAAATTGTTAGATCATGTTATCTTTGTATTTCACTTTTTAAGGAACTGACATTTTTCTCTGAAGTGGCTGCACTGTTCTGCATTCCCACTAGAAATGTTTGAGGGTCTGCAGTTTCTCCATATTCTTATCAACACAGCCCTTCACCTCACTTTTCATTATAGCATTCTAAGTGGGTGTGGAATGGTATCTTTTTTGTTTTGATTTGCATTTCTCTAATGGCTAAGGATATTTTCATGTGCTTATTGGCCATTTGTATATGTTCTTTGGAGAAACGTCTATTTAAATTCTTTGCCCATTTTTCAATTGGCTTGTGTGTGTGTGTTTTGTTTGGTTTTGCTTCTTTTTTGAGACAGAGTCTTGCTCTATCACCCAGGCTGGAGTGCAGGGGTCTGATGATAACTTACGACAGCCTCGACCTCCTGGGTTCAACCTGACCTTCCACCTCTGCCTCCTGAGTAACTGGGACTACAGAGGGGCCTACCACCACCTCTGGCTAATTGTTTAATTTTTTTGTAGAGACAAGGTTCTGCTGTGTTGCCCAGGCTTGTCTTGAACTTCTGGACTCAAGTGATCTTCCTGCCTCAGCCTCCCAAAGTGCTGGGATTATAAGCATGAGCCACCACACCTGGCCTTTATTTGTGTTTTTATTATTGACTTGTCAGAGTTCCGTATGTATTCGGTGTACAAGTCTTTTTTTTTCCCAGATGTATGATTTGTAAATATTTTTTCCCATCATTGGGTTTTATTTTCACCTCCTTAATACCATCTTTTTTTCCATAAAAGTTTTTGTTTTTAGTATGTTTTTGGTTGCTGCTGCTTTTTGTGTCACATGTAAGAAACCATTGTTTAAAAAAAAAAAAAAAGGTCATGAAGATTTATACCTGTGTTTTCTTCTAAGATCTTTATAGTTTCAGCTTTTCAATTAGGTGTATGGTCCGTTTTGAATTAACTTTTTTGGTAGTGTGTTAGGTAGGTGTCCAGATTTATTACTTTGCATGTGAATATTCAGCTGTTGTAGCACCATGTTTTAAGCAGAGTGTTCTTTTAGTATTTCAAGGTCATGGCACCCTTGTGAAAAATTAGTTTACTGTAGGTGTATAGGTTTATTTCTGGATTTTCTATTCAGTTCCATTGGTCTATATGTCTATCCTCATGTCAGTTTCACCTTACCTTAATTAATGTAATTTTATAATAGGTTTTAAAATTGGAAAGTGAGAGTCCTATAACTTTGATTTCTTTTTCAAGGTTGTTTTGGTTCTTCTTATTCTTTTGTGTCTCTATATGAAGTTTAGAGTAAGCTTTTCCATTTCTGTACTCTTATCCCCAGCCTGTAGGTCTCTTGCCTGTCCCTTTCCTGGTGGTGGTGTGTGGGAGGCCACAGGTGCATTCCAAATGGAAAGAGATTACATTCTTGTAATGATCTAGTGGTAAGCTTGGCCTGAAGATTTCAAGATGGGACATGGTTAAAAGATATGTTGTTCTACTTTTATGGTATGAAATTCCCCATATAAATTTAACATGACCAGAAAGTTTGAAATTGTCAAATGAAACACAATAACTACCTTTGAGAGAGTCATTGGAAGTTTGTATTCGTATATATTACAGTGGAAGATGCAGCATCATTAGTAATGATTGAACCAGCATTAAATAAATGGCATTAATGAACTGCAGCAGATATATGTTGTTTCAATACTAACATGTCATGGGAGCCATGGCATTGTGAGCAATACTAGTGTTGTTGCCTTTTTCTTGGGTGAAAGTTAGGAAATCAGCCAGGAAAAGCAGATAGAACAATGAAGAACTTAGAGATGGTGCCTGGACACTTTGAAGAAAGTTCTTGTGCATGATTGAACAATAAATAAATACTTAAGAGTATCTATTTTCTATCTAATGTTCTAAAACTTTATTGAAAAATCATTCTAGTGTCCATTGGCCCATCATTTTGTAATATACTTTAAAATCAAATTATTTATACATAAAGAGGCCTCACAAAAAATTATTTGCCCAGGGCTTCCACGTATCCTAAGGGTAGTCCTGCTCAAATTTATGTTAGTAGATACCATCCCAGCTGTTGTGGGGGGGTCAGCCTTGACGTCTTTCAGCCTAAATGGCTTAATGTAGGTGAGAATAGGGAATTACTTTTAAGAGTAAAGGACAAAATGAATAAAATCAATTGAGCTTGCATTGTTGTAGTTTAGATAAAAGTACTACTTAGAGTGAACCTTCATGAGCAAGAGGTCACTATTAACTAGATCTTTGAATTTGTCTTAGTACAACTGCTCAGAGGGATTTTAAATATTTAACATTTCCGTTTTAAATATCATCTTTCAGAAATGATTCACCATTCAAGAATTAAGATTTAACACAGAATCATGGGATTAGATTTTTGGAAGTTTAGCGATTTTCTGCCTTTTTTAGAAAAAACAAACTGAAAATGTTCTAGGTTGTGCTTTGATAAGATTGCCCCTTCTGTTTAATTTACTGTGTTTCTACTGAGAACGAATTTACTATGATCCTACTATTTTTCTATGGAGAACTAACCTAACATGCTCCTATTAAAAACTAATTCCCCATGTGTGTGTGATTGTAGCCAGAGAAAAATATTTGAAGATGAAAATTTATTTACCATTCTTTTTATGTAATTAACCTATATCTTAATAATTTCCATGTTTTTTTCGCTTACCTGGAGAAGATCAGTAGATGAGAGTGAACTAAGTACTGGGGCTTGTGAAAATGGGTATTTATTTAAAAAACCCACAAGATAAGGATATTCTTTGCATTTAGAGGACTGTTTAGAGTGAAAAGGAAAACTCACTTTTTTATTTAAAACAAAAACTTTAAGCTGAATACATGTTGAGCATAACATAACTGTTTACAATCTTTTTTTTTTTTTTTTTTGAGGTGGAGTCTCGCACTGTCGCCTGGACTGGAGTGCAATGGTGTGATCTCGGCTCACTGCAACCTTTGCCTCCCAGGTTCAAGCAAGTCTCCTGCCTCAGCCTCCCAAGTAGCTGGGATTATAGGCACCCACCACCACAGCTGCCTAATTTTTTGTATTTTTAGTATAGACGGGGTTTCACTATGTTGGGCAGGCTGGTCTGGAACTCATGACCTCGTGATCCACCTGCCTCGGCCTCCCAAACTGCTGGGATTACAGGCGTGAGCCACCGCGCCTGGACTGTTTACATTCTTCTATTGCTGCTTTCATTTCTATCCATAAGTGTAAATGTAGTCTTTCCATAAATGTATTATAGATGTAGTATAATTTTGTGGGGCTTTTCCAGTTTTTCATGTTTATTATTTTTAGTGGCTGTTATGATTTTATATTATGCCTTCTTTCTTCACCTTCCAAGTAGATGAAGTTTCTAACACAAAAGAGGTTATGGGCTTTATCAATAAATGTGTGCTTTAGGGGCATTTTGTCCTTTATGGCTACGAGTTCCCAAGGGGAGATATAACCGTGGGACTCGAAGTTTAAGTTCGGTTTCTGGCTTTTTCTCAACACGTACAATAAACGTGAATAGGCCAGGTGCAGTGGCTCATGCTTGTAATCCCAGCACTTTGGGAGGCCGAGGTGGGTAGATCACTTGAGGTCAGGAGTTTGAGATGAGGCTGGCTAACATGGCGAAACCCCGTCTCTACTAAAAATACAAAAACTGTCTGGACATGGTGGCACCCTGTAGTCTCAGCTACTCAGGAGTCTGAGGTGGGAGAATCACTTGAACCCAGGAGGCGAAGGTTGCAGTGAGCCGACATTGCGCCACTGCACTCCAGTCTGGGTGACAGAGTGAGACCGTGTGTGAAAAAACAAAACAACAACAACCAAAAAAACCCCAAAAATCCTTGGAGTGTCTTTGTTGCGTAATTAGGTGGAGATCTCTGAAGGTTCATCACTAGAAATACCAAACACATGTTTAGAAGGCTGGGCCTTCAGCCACCTGAACTCTAGGGAGGTCACTGATGTAATCAATCATTCCTGCATAATGAAACTTAAAATTCTGGATACTAAAGCTCAGTGGCTCTTCCTGGTTAGCAAACACATCAGTGTCTGGAGACTGATGCATCCTGGCTCCACATCATGGAGTTAGGAGAGGTTATGGAAGCTCTGTGTCTGGGACCTTCCCAAACCTCACCCTGTGTGTATCTTTTATAGTTAAACTAGTTGTAAGTGTAGCACTTTTCCTGAGTTCTATGAGTTGTAGTGAATTATTAAACCTGAATGGACTGTGGGAGCCCCTCTGTAGCCAGTCAGCTTGGGGGGGATGCCCGTTCCTGAGACTGACATATCAGAAGTGAGGGCAGCCTTGTGGAGGACTTTACCCTTCACCTGTGGGGTCTGTGCTAACTCAGGTAGTTAATGTCAGAATTGAATTGCAGTACACTCAGTTGGCATTAGAAAAATTGGAGTTGAAACAGTGTACTGATAGATAACCTTTCCTGACATATTTGTCTATGCCATTTAATTTTCACAGCAAGGCTATGAGGTAGTATGATATTCCCTTTCCATATGTAAGAATATGTTCTTAAAAATGTCTCATAGCAGAAGAATTTCTGTGTAAGTAACTTAAAACCTATGGGAAGAATAATACCAGCAGGACTTTGGTTGCAGGTCAGGGCCTTTAGAGATAAATAAACATGCATGGTTTTTGTTTGTTTAAAAAAAAAATTGGGAACTAAAAAGTATTCCACACATTTAAATTAGTAATAATAGGTTAGTAAATACTAAATTCCATTTTCTGTTCCATTTTCAATTTTTTTTCTCAGTTTAATGTTTTACTTTGTTGCAGATAATTCTTATGCAAAACAGAACTTTTTTTTCCCTACACCTGGATCTCCACCCCTGTGTTTGCTGTTGTCTAAGTTTTACATTGTTGATACCCACTTCCTAAGTTTTGGTTTCCAGAGCCACTAGTAACATTTGTCGCTCATGGTGGAAAAACATATGGGAATATTCCTGTGTGCATCCAGGAGCATTTTTCAGATTCCTTTGCTAGACCTTTATTGCCATCTATTATAACTTCTCATCACAGCACATAGAAAGCAGCAGCACTATCTGGCTTGGCATTCTCAGCAGCTCCTACAGAATCTTCCCCTCTGCAGTCCCTGCCAAAACCACACAGGACGTGTTTCTCGGAGTTGCGCATGGAGAATACCACCAATGTATTTGCTGCAGCTCTGCCTTCTATCGGGCTTTTTTCCATTCTTCACCTTTTTATTACTATTTCTAGCGATCTCGAAAAAGATATTTTATGTGAAATTGTGTATTTAAGGAAACTGTTAAAGAAGTCTAACTATTTGTACTAAGATTTAGTATGGGAGGAGGATTTTGTCTAGTTTGGGAGACATTTCCATTTGTTTATCGTCATATGGAATTGTCTGAATTTTAGAGCTGGGAAAGCAGCCTAGGGCAGGCCTGACCTCCTGCATGGGCTCCCCCATGCCGCCCTACCTGTTTAGTTGTCATGGGAACACAAGGCAGATTCTCTTCCTCATATTTCTCACCCATCTTCTATTGTACTTTCAAAGGTCTTTTTTTTTTTTTTTTTTTTTTTTTTGAGATGGAGTCTTGCTCTGTCACCCAGGCTGGAGTGCAGTGGTGAGGTCTTGGCCCACTGCAGCCTCCGCCTCCCGGATTCAAGTGATTCTCCCACCTCAGGCTCCCGAGTAGCTAGGATTAGAAGTGCACGCCACCACACCCGGCTAATTTTTGTATTTTTCATAGAGAAGTGGTTTCACCATGTTGGCCAGGTTGGTTTCGAACTCTTGACCTCAGGTGATCCACCTGCCTCGTCCTCCCGAAGTTCTGGGATTACAGGTATGATCAAGTGCACCCGGCCTGAAATGTCTTATTTTTTATATTTATAAAGGTAGCTTTTAGCACACATTGTACACTCCTTTCTTATTATTTCCTTTCTTATCGACGCTGGTGTTTAAATATTTATGTACCTTTAGTGCAGATACCTCTCTTGGCTACCCTTTCTTTCTGACTTTAGGCTGTACTGTATTAATAGAGTCACTGGGAGCATTTTCCCAACATGTTCTTAAAACCAGACTAGTCATATTTATGAGCAGATATTTCAGAATATGTACATAATTTATAAAAACAAATCTCCCAGTCGCATCTAGGGTTCTGTTTGATTGGAAATTGTTGAGACACACACTCTCCAAGCTCATTATCTAGCTGTTCTAACTTTATTATACTAGTAAATTAATATTGTGTTTAGGTGGATGTCATATCATCCATGTTAACTCTTAGGAGAAGTTTTGAAGATTGTAGCCTTGTTTTGTTTATTGATGGTATTTTTTCTTTTTTAAATACCCAATAAAAATTCTAGTGTTTGAGAATACAGAGTGCCTTTAATATAAAACATTTATTTGGAATATAAAAATCTGATTGACAGTATTAAAATTAAGATGCAAAATAGGAAAACAAAGATTCCCTTTATCTGTACCATTTTTGACATCAGGTATCTGAAAGCTGGACTTTTGTGTTAGGGGAGAGACTCGAGTCTCTTCTTTAGGTTAATATTTCTCATTCCCAGTACCTAGCATAGAGGTTGACATGTGCTAGATACTCACTAAATGTTTGCTGAATCAATGAACTAATGAAGTGGAGGGTGTGAAACAGGGTCACTGTGCACTGGTTACCAACTTGTCCAAGTTCAGTGAGACAGAACTTACGGGAAGCTGCTTTATTACTTACAGACAGGTAGTGAGGGCCAGAAGAAGCCTGAGGATTTCTTGTGCGCCAGTCTCTCAAAGCTGAGGAAAGCTGCCTGGGGTGGATGGAGTCTCATCTGCGTGTGCTTCACTTTCAACACAGCTGCAGGACCTCAGAAAGCAGCGTGACATGGGTTTTATACTCTAGGGGCCACAGAACTGATGGGCTAAAGTGTGGAAGGACATCCTGTTTCGGGCAGGGATTTAAACAGAACCTGGGCTTCTCCTGCCAGTCCTTCCCTTTCTCAGGATGTTTCATTCCCAGAAGTTTCTACAGTTAATTCTTAAGAATACAGGGAGGATCAGGGAGAACTGGGTCCATCCAAGGTCACCTGGAGAATTGTCCTTCGGGGGGGAAAAGAAAATGCTTGTAGGACATTCTTACGTATTTAATCTTCTGTGGCAGACTCTACTGGGCCATTTTATGTATTTTGTTGGCTTTTTCTTTTTTTTTTTATTATTATTATACGTCAAGTTCTAGGGTACATGTGCACAACGTGAAGGTTTGTTACATGTGTATACATGTGCCATGTTGGTGTGCTGCACCCATTAACTCGTCATCTACATTAGGTATTTCTCCGAATGCTATCCCTACCCCCTCCCCCCACCCCACGACAAGTCCCGGTGTGTGATATTCCCCACGCTGTGTCCAAGTGTTCTCATTGTTCAATTCCCACCTATGAGTGAGAACATGCGGTGTTTGGTTTTCTGTCCTTGCGATAGTTTGTTCAGAATGATGGTTTCCACCTTCATCCATGTCCCTACAAAGGACATGAACTCATCCTTTTTTATGGCTGCATGGTATTCCATGGTGTATATGTGCCACATTTTCTTAATCCAGTCTATCATTGTTGGACATTTGGGTTGGTTCCAAGTCTTTGCTATTGTGAATAGTGCCGCAGTAAACATCCGTGTGTATGTGTCTTTATAATAGCATGATTTATAATCCTTTGGGTATATACCCAGTAATGGGATGGCTGGGTCAAATGGTATTTCTAGTTCTAGATCCTTGAGGAATCACCACACTGTCTTCCACAGTGGTTGAACCAGTTTACAGTCTCACCAACGGTGTAAAAGCATTCCTATCTCTCCACATCCTCTCCAGCATCTGTTGTTTCCTGACTTTTTAATGATTGCCATTCTCACTGGTGTGAGATGGTATCTCATTGTGGTTTTGATTTGTATTTCTCTGATGGCCAGTGATGATGAGCATTTTTTCATGTGTCTGTTGCTGCATAAGTGTCTTCTTTTGAGAAGTGTCTGTTCATGTCCTTTGCCCACTTTTTGATGGGGCTGTTTGATTTTTTCTTGTAAATTTGTTTAAGCTCTTTGTAGATTCTGGATATTAGCCCTTTTTCAGATGGATAGATTGCAAAAATTTTCTCCCATTCTATAGGTTGCCTGTTCACTCTGATGGTAGTTTCTTTTGCTGTGCAGAGCTCTTTAATTAGATCCCATTTGTCAATTTTGGCTTTTGTTGCCATTGCTTTTGGTGTTTTAGACATGAAGTCCTTGCCCATGCCTATGTCCTGAATGGTATTGCCTAGGTTTTCTTCTAGGGTTTTTATGGTTTCAGGTCTAACATTTAAGTCTTTAATCCATCTTGAAATAATTTTTATATAAGGTGTAAGGAAGGGATCCAGTTTCAGCTTTCTACATATGGCTAGCCAGTTTTCCCAGCACCATTTATTAAATAGGGAATCCTTTCCCCATTTCTTGTTTTTGTCAGATTTGTCAAAGATCACATGGTTATAGATGTGTGGTATTATTTCTGAGGGCTCTGTTTTGTTCCATAGGTCTATATCTCTGTTTTGGTACCAGTACCATGCTGTTTTGGTTACTGTAGCCTTGTAGTATAGTTTGAAGTCAGGTAGTGTGATGCCTCCAGCTTTGTTCTTTTGGCTTAGGATTGACTTGGCAATGCGGGCTCTTTTTCGGTTCCATATGAACGCTAAAACACTTTTTTTCAATTCTGTGAAGAAAGTCATTGGTAGCTTGTTGGGGATGGCATTGAATCTATAAATTACCTTGGGCATTATGGCCATTTTTACGATACTGATTCTTCCTATCCATGAGCATGGAATGTTCTTGCATTTGTTTGTGTCCTCTTTTATTTCATTGAGCAGTGGTTTGTAGTTCTCCTTGAAGAGGTCCTTCAAATCCCTTGTAAGTTGGATTGCTAGGTATTTTATTCTCTTTGAAGCAATTGTGAATGGGAGTTCACTCATGATTTGGCTGTCTGTTTGTCTCTTATTGGTGTATAGGAATGCTTGTGATTTTTGCACATTGATTTTGTATCCCGAGACTTTGCTGAAGTTACTTACCAGTTTAAGGAGATTTGGGGTTGAGACGATGGGGTTTTCTAAATATACAATGATGTCATCTGCAAACAGGGACAGTTTGACTTCCTCTTTTCCTAATTGAAAACCCTTTATTTCTTTCTCTTGCCTGATTGCCGTGGCCAGAATTTCTAACACTATGTTGAATACATGTGGTGAGAGAGGGCATGCCTGTCTTGTGCCAGTTTTCAAAGGGAATGCTTCTAGTTTTTGCCCATTCAGCATGACATTGGCTGTGGGTTTGTCATAAATAGCTCTTATTATTTTGAGATACAGTCCATCAATACCTAGTTTATTGAGAGTTTTTAGCATGAAGTACTGTTGAATTTTGTCAAAGGCCTTTTCTGCATCTATTGAGATAATCATGTGGTTTTTGTCGTTGGTTCTGTTTATGTGATGGATTACGTTTATTGATTTGCGTATATTGAATGAAGCAGCCTTGCATCCCAGGGATGAAGCCGACTTGTTCGTGGTGGATACGTTTTTTCATGTGCTGCTGCATTCAGTTTGCCAATATTTAATTGTGGATTTTTGCATTGATGTTCATCAGGATGTTGGTCTAAAACTCTCTTTTTTTGATGTGTCTCTGCCAGGCTTTGGTATCACGATGATGCTGGCCTCATAAAATGAATTAGGGAGGATTCCCTCTTTTTCTATTGATTGAAATAGTTTCAGAAGGAATGGTGCCAGCTCCTCTTTGTACCTCTGGTAGAATTTGGTTGTGAATCTGTCTGGTCCTGGACTTTTTTTGCTTGGTAGGCTATTGTCTCAATTTCAGAACCTGTTATTGGTCTATTCAGAGATTTAACTTCTTCCTGGTTTAGTCTTGGGAGGGTGTATGTTTGCAGGAATTTACCCATTTCTTCTAGATTTTCTAGTTTATTTGCGTAGAGGTGTTTATAGTATTCTCTGATGGTAGTTTGTATTTCTGTGGGATTGGTGGTGATATCCCCTTTATCATTTTTTATTGCATCTATTTGATTCTTCTCTCTTTTCTTCTTAGTCTCTCTAGTGGTCTATTTTGCTGATCTTTTCAAAAAAACAGCCCCTGGATTCATTGATTTTTTGAAGGGTTTTTTTGTGTCTCTGTCTCCTTCAGTTCTGCTCTGATCTTAGTTATTTCTTGCCTTCTGCTAGCTTTTGAAGGTGTTTGCTCTTGCTGCTCTAGTTCTGTTAATTGTGATGTTAGGGTGTCGATTTTAGATCTTTCCTCTTGTGGGCATTTAGAGCTATAAATTTCCCTCTACACACTGCTTTAAATGTGTCCCAGAGATTCTGGTATGTTGTGTCTTTGTTCTCACTGGTTTCAAAGAACACCTTTATTTTTGCCTTCATTTTGTTATTTACCCAGTAGTCATTCAGGAGCAGGTTGTTCAGTTTCCATGTAGTTGAGCAGTTTTGAGTGAGTTTCTTAATCCTGAGATCTAACTTGATTGCACTGTGGTCTGAGAGACAGTTTGTTATGATTTCTGTTCTTTTACATTTGCTGCGGAGTGCTTTACTTCCGACTATGTGGTGAATTTTGGAATAAGTGTGATGTGGTGCTGAGAAGAATGTATTTTCTGTTGATTTTGGGTGGAGAGTTCTGTAGATGTCTATTAGGTCCACTAGGTGCAGAGCTGAGTTCAATTCCTGGATATCCTTGTTAACTTTCTGTCTCGTTGATCTGTCTAATATTGACAGTGGGGTGTTAAAGTCTCCCATTATTATTGTGTAGTAGGAGTCTTTAAGTCTCTTTGTAGATCTGTAAGGACTTGCTTTATGAATCTGGGTGCTTCTTTATTGGGTGCATACATATTTAGGATAGTTAGCTCTTCTTGTTGATCCCTTTACCATTATGTAATGGCCTTCTTTGTCTCTTTTGATCTTTGTTGGTTTAAAGTCTGTTTTATCAGACTAGGATTGCAACCCCTGCTTTTTTTTGTTTGTTTTCCGTTTGCTTGGTAGATCTTCCTCCGTTCCTTTGTTTTGAGCCTATGTGTGTCTTTGCAGGTGAGTTGGGTCTCCTGAATACAGCACACTGATGGGTCCTGGCTCTATCCAATTTGCTCGTCTGTGTCTTTTAATTGGGGCATTTAGCCCATTTACATTTAAATTTAATATTGTTAGGTGTGAATTTGATCCCGTCATTATGATGTTAGCTGGTTATTTTGCTCGTTATTTGATGCAGTTTCTTCCTAGCCTCGATGGTCTTTACAATTTGGCATGTTTTTGCAGTGGCTGGTACTGGTTGTTCCTTTTCATGTTTAGTGCTTCCTTCAGGAGTTCTTTTAGGGCAGGCCTGGTGGTGACAAACTCTCTCAGCATTTGCTTTTCTATAAAGGATTTTATTTCTCCTTCACTTTTGAAGCTTAGTTTGGCTGGATGTGAAATTCTGGGTTGAAAATTCTTTTCTTTAAGAATGTTGAATATTGGCCCCCACTCTCTTCTGACTTGCAGAGTGTCTGCCGAGATATCCTCTGTTAGTCTGATGGGCTTCCCTTTGTGCGTAACCTGACCTTTCTCTCTGGCTGCCCTTAACATTTTTTCCTTCATTTCAACCTTGGTGAATCTGACAATTATGTGTCTTGGAGTTGCTCTTCTCGAGGAGTATCTTTGTGTCGTTCTCTGTATTTTCTGATTTTGAATGTTGACCTGCCTTGCGAAGTTGGGGAAGTTTTCCTGGATAATGGATAATATGCTGAAGAGTGTTTTCCATCTTGGTTCCATTCTCCCTGTAACTTTCAGGTACACCAATCAAACATAGATTTAGTGTTTTCACATAGTCTCATATTTCTTGGAGGGTTTGTTCGTTTCTTTTTACTCTTTTTTCTCTAAACTTCTCTTTTCGCTTCATTTCATTCATTTGATCTTCAGTCATCTGTCTTCCACTTCAATGAATCGGCTGCTGAAGCTTGTGCATGCGTCACGTAGTTCTCGTGCCGTGGCTTTCAGCTCCATCAGTTCATTTAAGGTCTTCTCTGCGCTATTTATCCTAGTTAGCCATTTGTCTAATCTTTTTTCAACGTTTTTAGCTTCCTTACGATGGGTTTAAACATCCTCCTTTAGCTTTGAGAAGTTTGTTATTACCGATATTCTGAAGCCTACTTCTGTCAACTTGTCAAAGTCATTCTCCGTCCAGCTTTATTTGATTGCTCGTGAGGAGCTGCGATCCTTTGGAGGGGAAGAGGCCCTCTGGTTTTTAGAATTTTCAGCTTTTCTGCTCTGGTTTCTCCCCAACTTTGTGGTTTTATCTACCTTTGGTCTTTGATGATGGTGACCTACAGATGGGGTTTTAGTGTGGATGTCCTTTTTGTTGATGTTGATGCTATTCCTGTCTCTTTGTTGGTTTTCCTTCTAACAGGACCCTCAGCTGCAGGTCTGTTGAAGTTTGTTGGAGGTCCACTCCAGACCCTGTTTGCCTGGGGATCACCAGTGGAGGCTGCAGAACAGCAAATATTGCAGAACAGCAAATGTTGCTGCCTGATCCTTCCTCTGGGAGCTTCGTCTCAGAGGGGCACCCGGCTGTATGAGGTGTCAGTCAGCCCCTACTGGGAGATGTCTCCCAGTTAGGCTGCTTGGGGGTCAGGGACCCCCTTGAGGAGGCAGTGTGTCTGTTCTCAGATCTCAAACTCCATTCTAGGAGAACCACTGCTTTCTTCAAAGCTGTCAGACAGGGATGTTTAAGTCTGCAGAAGTTTCTGCTGCCTTTTGTTCAGCTATGCCCTGCCCCCAGAGGTGGAGGCTACAGAGGCAGGCAGGCTTGTTGAGCTGCAGTGGGCTCCAGCCAGTTCGAGCTTCCTGGCCAGTTTGTTTACCTACTGAAGCCTCAGCAATGGCAGTCGCACCTCCCCCAGCATCGCTGCCACCTCGCAGTTCTATCTCGGACTGCTGTGCTACCAGTGAGCAAGGGTCCGTGGGCGTGGGACCCACTGAGCCCGGCGCGGGATGTAATGTCCTGGTGTGCTGTTTGCTAAGACCATTGGAAAAGCGCAGTATTAGGGCGGGAGTGTCCCGATTTTCCAGGGACCATCTGTCATGGCTTCCCTTGGCTAGGAAAGGGAATTCCCTGACCCTTTGTGCTTCCTGGGTGAGGCGATGCCCCGCCCTGCTTCGGCTCACACTCCGTGGGCTGCACCCACTGTCCAGCCAGTCCCAGTGAGATGAACCCGGTACCTCCTTTGGAAATGCAGAAATCACCCGTCTTCTGCGTCGCTCATGCTGGGAGCTTTAGACTGGAGCTGTTCCTATTCAGCCATCTTGGAATGATCGGGTTTTTCTTAATAATCCAACAAATTTGCTGTTATTGTAATCCCCATTTTAATGAAATTTGTATGAATGGAATTATGTAAATTATAACAAAGAATATTTGCAGATTCCCAAGAAAATGCTCTGAGCAGCTCTGAGTGTGATTGCTAAGATTAGCGATTTTAAACCTTTTTTTCCTTGACACGTGAAAGATGACACTTGTTATAATTTATGTGTCATAAATAAAAGATAGAGTCTCGCTCTGTCACCCATGCTGAAGTACAGTGGCGCAATCTCGGCCCACTGCAACCTCTACCTCCTGGGTTCAAGCGATTCTTCTGCCTTAGCCTCCCACTTAGCTGGGATTACAGGCGTGTGCCACCATGCCTGGCTAACTTTTGTATTTTTAGTAGAGATGGGGTTTCACCATGTTGTCCAGGTTGGTCTTGAACTCTTGACATTAAGTGATCTGCCTGCCTCGGCCTCCCAAAGTGCTGGGGTTACAGGCGTGTGCCACTGTGCCTGGCCTAATTTCTTAAATAAAGGAGCAAATGTAAACCTTATAGTACTTTATTATTTTGCGACCATATCTAACATCTTTTCCTAGCTGTTGACCACAGCCCTCATCATACTATGGTCAAGAATGGCTGGCTTAAATGAAAGTTTAAATTTGAAAGCAGTACTATAACATTTGAGAAACAACTTCTGTGTGATACACAGTAATCCCCCCTTTATCCACAGTTTGGTTTTCTGAGGCCTTAGTTACTTGTGATCAGCCATAATCTGAAAGTATTAAATGGAAAATTCTAGGAGTGATTAATTTTAGAGCACACCCACACCATTCTCAACTGCATGATGAAATCTCTTGTCACCCCATTCTGTCTCATCTGGGACATGAATCCCCTGTTTTGTCCCACCTGTCCATCCTGTAGATGCTCCTGCCTGTTAGTCTCTTCGTAGCTGGTCTGTTATCAGATTGACTATCACAACATCTCAGTGCTGTGTTCACGTCACTCTTACTTTACTTAATAGTGACCCCAAAATGCAAGAATAGTAATGCTGGCATGTTGTTACAATCGTTCTATTATTATGTTGTTAATCTCTTTACTGTGTCTGATTTATAAATTAAGCTTCATCATAGGCATGTATTCATGGGAAAATCTATGGTGAATATAGCGTTTGGTGCTATCCATGTTTTCAGACATCCACTGGGGGTCTTGAAACATATCCTCTCAGAATTGATTATTATTTTGAGGTCCCATGTTTTAAAAGCAGTGTGAAGAAGGTAGGTGAGTTCAGAAAGGAAACTGAGTTGGGTTTTGAAGACCGAGTGGGATTTACCACATTTAAAGTAGAAAATGTGGTAAAGAGCTGGGATGAAACAGGTGTGTTTAATACTCATTGCAGGCTGGAGTATGGGACCATAGGGTGGGGAAGATGATACCTAGAACTTAACTTTTTGAACACAAGTTAAACAAAATGATGTCTTAATTTTGAAAGCATAACTTTTAAAGTACAGTTAGCCCTCCATATCCATGGGATATGTGGATTCAATCAACCATGGACCAAAAATATTTGGAAAGACAAATTCTACAAAGTTCCAAAAAACAAAACTTGATTTTGCCACATTGAGTACTACACTGAATGAAGTGATACGTAGGCATTGTGTTAGGCATTATAACTAGTCTAGAGATGAATTAAAGTATACAGGAGGATGTATATAATGTTATATTCAAATACTACATCATTTTAGATCAGGAACTTGAGCATCCTTGGATTTTCTTGTCATCGGAGTGAGCAGGTCCTAGAAGCAATCCCCTATGCTTACTGAGGGATAACTGTATATTATAATTTTGAAAGAACAGATGTTCAGGATCCTTTAAACATTTTACTGTGTTAGAGGATAATTTGGGCTGGGCGCAGTGGCTCACGCCTGTAATCCCAGCACTTTGGGAGGCCGAGACAGGTGGATCACGAGGTCAAGAGATCGAGACTATCCTGGCCAACTTGATGAAACCCCGTCTCTACTAAAAATACAAAAATTATCCGGGCGTGATGGTGCGTGCCTGTAATCCCAGCTACTCGGGAGGCTGAGGCAGGAGAATCACTTGAACCCGGGAGGCGGAGGTCGCAGTGAGCCAAGATCGCGCTACTACACTCCAGCCTGGTGACAGAGCCAGACTCCATCTCAACAAAAAAAAAAAAAAGAAAGAAAGAAAATAATTTGACCGTGTACTTCTTGTTTTCATCTGGAGTCTAGGCTGTAAAATATAAACATTACAGTTAAAGGCTTTATATGTCTATGTGTCTTAGCCTAGACATTGGATATGTGTTGCTATGGGATGAGAGATCTGATTTATTTTAGCCACTAGCAGTAAATGTGGTGAAAAATTAAGACTGAAAACTACAATGTTGAGGGGTGAAAGGAAGGGCTAAACATTTTTCATTGTGGTGGATTCTGCCAGCGTAGACTGCTAAATGTTTGTGGTTTGGATCTTGTTCACTCTGAACGCTTTAGGCCTTGTGTAGGTTTTCCCCAGAGTATGAGGTGGTTGTGAACTGCTTTTGCTAATGGTGAGAATGAACTATCATGATGTTATATAACAAGGATGGCATTCTGGGAGACGCAAAATTTAAAGTAGGGGAAAAGGAGGATGGCAAAAACTAAGTAAAGTAACTTGAAAAGTTATTCTTTCTGCCAGGCGTGGTGGCTCACGCCTGTAATCTCAATGCTTTGGTAGGCCGAGTCGATGAGGTTGAGAGATCGAGACCATCCTGGCCAACGTGGTGAAACCCCATCTCTACTAAAAATACAAAAATTAGCTGGGCGTGGTGGCATGCACTTGTAGTCCCAGCTACTTGGGAGGCTGAGGCAGGAGAATTGCTTGAACCCAGGAGGCAAAGGTTGCAGTGAGCCAAGATCATGCCACTGCACTCCAGCCAGGCGACAGAGCGGGACTCTATCTCAAAAAAAAAAAAAAAAAAAAAAAGTTATTCTTTCCAAATATGATACAATTTTGTTCAACTTAATTTTGTTAAATTTTTATTCAAAAAGTTAAGTTCTAAATAGCATCAAACATGGTGGGAGTCAAAATAATTAAAATCGTATTTTTTCTGAAAGTGTGTAGACTGCCTGCATACTTATATATACGCCAGATTGTATTTTACTTACCTTCTCATTTGCATCTTACCCTTGTGGCCGAATTAGCAGGACCTGTGTGAGAATGACATAACTTCACCGCCTCTTACCTGCTCCAGCTGCAACGCGTGAGAGTGCTGAACTGTGGCCTAGATTTTTCTCTAGGGCTTTCCACGGAAGTGAGTCAACACATTGTTTCTGGCTTTTCTTGCTGTCCCTCCCTAATATGCAAGCTTAGGTTGCTTTGGAATTTTCCAGGTACAGTGTTGGAGAAGTTGTAACACAGGAGGAGGCCAGAGCGTAGGTTTAGTGTGGTGGGGAGAGGGTTGGAGCAATTGTTCAAGGGAAGATTGAAAGTGACCAAAATGGCATGAGGGTAAAAATGTTACCTGAATTAAATATGTACCAAACACTGAAAATCCCTTATTATATTTTAGTATCTTTTATCATTGTATTTTAAAATTGATTTAAATCTATACTGAGATTTTTTTTTTTTTTTTAGTGTGGATTTCAACACATTTTTTGTGCTTTTGCCAAGAACACAGTGTTCTGTTAAGTCATTCAGTGACGAAGATTGCTGGATTGCTGCCAGCCCGGGTCAAGTTCATTCACATAAGTTTCAGTGTAGATTCTGACTGAGTGAGGAATGTTCCTCTTGTCTTTGCATGTTAGGTGGGTCTGGGAAATCAGTTGTTTTAAAACAAGCTTATTAATACTTTTGTTTTTTTCAGGGTTATGGGGTTTTTTTGCTTTTAAGGCTTCATATACAGACAACGCTTTGATACTAGTATCACATTCTTGTCTATTTACTGATTTTCCATGCCTGATTTGGTGAAATAACAGCTCTCCTAACCATACCAGATTAGAATCTACCGTATAACGTATTGACTCTGCTGTATCATTTTAAGGTATTATTTTATATCTTTAAAGAAAATATATTCACAAAGTGCCTTTCTCAATCATATATGTGAATTAAAAAGTTGGGAAAGGTGACTTAGAAGCTACAAAAATATAGTGTTTGATAAGGTGTATATACCTATGAAGATATATTCATGTTTATGTATTTTATTCCTTCACTCATAGTTCTTCCTCAGTTTCTTTATTTCGTTTGCCATCTTTTTTTTTTTTCAGCCACAGAAGTGCATTTTTTTGCATTAAAAATGCAACCAGTATACAAAAAGCTAAGGATTGGAGCTTATTGATCACTCATTTGGCACTTATCAGTTTTGCCTGAGAATTACGCATATTTAAATAATTTTTTTTAAAAAATTTGATTTCTGAGTGAACAAACATATTCTGCCTTACAACTAGCTTACAAGACGTTCAGATGCTAATGTTTTTTCTGTTCATTGTAGTATTTAACCAAGGTAATAAATTTATGTTTATACTGATGACTGTTTTCATTTATTTATTTTAAATTTTTTATTTTTTTTTAGAAACAGGGTCTCACTCTGTTGCCCAGGCTGAAGTGCAGTGATGCAGTCATAGCACACTGCAGTCTTGAATTCTTGGGCTCAGGTGATCCTCCTGCCTCAGCCTCTTGAGTAGCTGGGACTGTAGGCACGTACCACCATGCCTGGCTAATTTTGAAATTTTTTGTAGAGATGGTGGTCTTGCTGTGTTGCCCAGGCTGCTCTCAAACTCCTGGACTCAAATGATCCTCCTGCCTCGGCCTCCCAGAGTGTTGGGATTACAGGCATGAGCTACCACACCAAGCCCTAATGAAGGTTTTTTGTTTTTCTTTTCTTGAGCTGGAGTTTCACTTTTGTCACCCAGGCTGGAGTGCAGTGAAGCGATCTCGGCTCACTGCAACCTCTGCTTCCCCAGTTCAAGTGATTCTCCTGCCTCAGCCTCTTGAGTAGCTCGGATTACAGGCACCCGCCACCACGCCTAAATAATTTTTGTATTTTAAGTAAAGACAGGGTTTCAGCACATTGGCCAGCTGGTCACTAAACTCCTGGCCTCAGGTGGTCCACCCACCTTGGCCTCCCAAAGTGCTGGGATTACAGGCGTGAGCCACCATGCCTGGCCGATGAAGGTTTTTTGTAAAAAAAAAAAAAAAAAAAAATACTGCCTTAGTATCTGTTGGAATGTGTGATTTTTTTTTTTTTTGCTCATGTCTGGTAATTAGCATTTTTGTGATCATTCATTATGTCCGTATTCATTAATGCCTTTCTAGAATCTGATAGAATGCCTAGCCTACAGTTGCTCACCAGGTACTTAAAACCTGAACAGTGAATGCGTAACAACCACAGCTCAGATTTGCGGTAACGGAGCATTTATGTCTGGGAACCTATTTGATATCACACATACATGAAAAATAAGTGAAGCAAATAAATCACAAGCATATGTTTTTACAGACATAGATTAAGTATTTAAAACCAAACATTATCAGAAAGCTATATTATAACCATTCCTTTGGGACATTTTTCTGCATGGGTTACATTGGCTGGGCTACTTTAATCAGAGTCCAGTGAAGTTCGAATGGAAGTTACATGTTTTCCCATTAAATCTTCCTTTGACAAAAATATTTATTCATTGTTCTTCCAAGGACCTCTAAACACTATTAAATATTTTTTAAATGTAGATTGAATGTGCATAGATTTCTCAGAAAACCTTTTCCTGTTAAATTCCGGAAGGAGTTTACTGCTTCCTCCCACTTCCCCGTGGTGGCTCTTTTGCAGTTGTTAGTCAAGAGCTGGGCTTGGGTATCACATCACAATAGTGCCAAGAGCCTTGGCATAGCTCTTGGTAATCATTGCCTTATTTACCTCTCTCCCCAAATAGGCTGCAGGTTCCTTGAGGGCCAGGATCATCATGAATGAGTGAGTGAATGAATGAATGTAGCAGACACAACACATGTGGACAAGTAGTGGCAGGGACTAAAACTGGTGGCAAAGACTTGTATGCTCATGAGCTAATGATTGAAATACCTGTATCTGTGATAACAGCGTAATAGATACAACTGTTTAAACATTAAGTCCTCGTGAAAATAGAATTGGTGATATTATACTTTTTGGTTTATACTTATTCCCTTAAATTTCTCTACTTTTATGAAACAGTTTTACTCCTGAAATGAAGGTGATGGGATAAAGTTAAGGGATCAGAGTCGCTGTCTTGGGAGCATAATTTCTCATTCAGTGAAGGCCCCCTCAGAGTGCTCATCAATATCGACGCATTCCTGTGGGAGCTGAGAGTATTTAACCAAATATGTCTCCTGATATAATCAAAATTTGCAACCATGGGAAGAATTAAGTGGAGAAAGATTCTGCACTTAATTAGGAAAAATAGTTAAAGAAAGGAGTGTCTAATGATCACATGGCTTGGTCATTTGAAAACCTATTACCAGGATTATATACGATAGTTAAATTTTAAGTAGACTGCTCATTAACAAAGCTGAAGTGTCCCATGGGTTGACTATGTGGCTATGATTGTATAACTTATATTTCCAGAAGAAATTTTAGTGGAAAACATGATTGCACAGACAGCACATTTGCAGTGGGTGGTAGCAGGGGATAGGGGGTGGTTTGCATCTGTTACCTAAAGTAAGACCAGTATGAACATAAAGTCCTAGAAAAATTTGGATACTGAACTTTGGTTTTTAAAATGCGTACAGTAAATGAAGCTGCTGTTCTGTGAGCACCTACCTACCATGTGGGGTGCTGCAGAATCTATTTTACACATATTTTCTCACTCAGTTTCCTCAATGACCCTGTTGAAATGGGGTTTATTTTGCATATGGGGTAACTTGGCTGTGTCTCAAATAAATTAAAAAGTTGCCTAGCATTACTTGCCAGGAAGGGGCAGAATGAGAACAACCAAGGGAATCTTAGAATTAGATCATAAGAGAAGAATCCCATTGTGTTCTACTAGTCAGTTTAAGTTGAGTGCTTGTGTAACATATTTTCTTAAATAGGTAGGAAATTAGGGGAAAGAGTGTGAATTTATTGGCTAGGCTTATAAGAGAACAGATAAGATTTCTATGCTAGCCTGCTTCTTGTTCATCTTTTACTAAGAGTCTGGCATCCAAATTTCTGGACCTTGGCACACTTTGGTATTTGGTATGAAGAAAGGAAAATCATTCCACCTGGTTCCCATGTCCCGACACCCACGCCATAACTACCTGTCAGAACTCGCTCTGCTTATCTGTCCTGCGTGGGAGATGGCAGCACTCTGCCCTGCTCAGTGTATGTCTCGTGGTTACTTGAGACATCCACCAGGCTTAGCTCTAGGATATCTGCCCGAAGAAAAGATGGAGTGGAGGGGCTTAGATGGCCAAGAGAAGAAATTCGCTCAAATCAAACTTCTTTATTTATCTTATTTTTCGTCCATCGTTTTACTCTGGTTATGGGTTACATTCTTTCTGTGGTATGATGGAGCAAGGTAGCATTTATTTTCCTCACCATATAATTTTTGGTTCTTTTGTTTCAATTGAATTGAACTTCTAAGAAGGCAAGCACAATGAGCATAGTACTCATTTCCATAAATATGTGCTTTTGTTTTGTTTTTCACTTTTAAGAAAGAAATTTGAAGTGTGGAAGTTGGAGTTCTGAAAAAAAATTAGGGAAGGAAATGGAGAGGATATAAGGAGAAAGGAAAGGAGATCTCATACATGTTAATCGTCTAGTGTTTAAGGCCACATGAAGGTCAGTAAATGATACTGGAGAGCATTAAATAAGAAGTACTCACCTGTGATTTCAGCAGGCTTGCATGTAGTCACGAATATATGTGTGGTTTACATTCACTCTGGCAGTCTTTCCTCTCCAACCTGGTGAGAATTAGCATCCTTGTTTTCCAGACCTGTTAACCAGTAAATGACTGTTCGGCAGACTATTTTATTTTTTATTTTTGTTTGCATATTCATTTGTTTTAGGTCTCGCTCTGTTGCCCACAGTGGAGTGCAGTGGCTGTTCACAGGTGTGATCATGGCTCACTGCAGCCTTGAACTCCTCCTGGGCTCAAGGAATCCTCTAGCCTCAGCCTCCTGATTAGCTGGGACTACAGACATGGCACACCACCGTAGCTAATTTTTATAAAAAGTTTTATAGAGATAGAGTTTCACTATGTTGCCCCAGCTGGTCTCAAACTCCTGGGCACAAGTGATTCTACCGCCTCAGCCTCCTGAGTTGCTAGGATCACAGATGTGAGCCTCCTTGCCTGGTCATTTATTTTTTTTAATTTTTAAAGAAATAAATATTGAGAGATTATCTTATTTTTTTCTCAAATACCTTATGTTAGAAATGATAAATTTACAATGTATACTCACTTCTGAGTTTGGCCTGTTTTCCTGAGGTGTCAGAAGACAGGATCTAACACTAGATTTTAAGATTAAGGTTTGAGGCTAAGATCTCTCTACAGCTTTCCCACAACAATCTTGTGAAGAAGAAATGATGAACTCAAGCCATGTCATTTCTCCCTGTTGCTATTTCTAAACATGGCATGGCATTGGCTTGGATTGTCTCATTAAAATTTGTTTTGCAGTTCAATTGCATTATCTGATCCCTATATTACTTCAGTAGCAGAATTTTAAACATTTTATGTCCATTTTCTGCTTTTATGGGCTTTAGTCCTGCCCATTGGT
Organism: Homo sapiens; assembly: GCF_000001405.40. NCBI lineage: Eukaryota > Metazoa > Chordata > Mammalia > Primates > Hominidae > Homo > Homo sapiens. The sequence goes on from NC_000008.11 coordinate 47,358,806, forward strand.
ATTTACATTTAGGAAGTTAGGACGTAGGATACATATATACAGACATACTCCTCCCACCCATTGCAGCACAAATAAATCTCAATTGATTTTTCTCTCTATTAATAAAATAACCTGTGATCACATAAATTTCTGGTAGTCTCTAGGTGGAGGCAATTGGAGTTAACATTTTTGTACAGTTTGTTTTCATGTTAAGACACTAACTCTAGCATGACTAGGATTTCAGAGACATCTGTTTATAGGATTGAGCACAGAGATCTGATTCCCTCCCACCAGTTAAAAAAATTGTTAAAAAAAAAAGTTTTTTTTTACGGGCGCCTGTAGTCCCAGCTACTCGGGAGGCTGAGGCAGGAGAATGGCGTGAACCCGGGAAGCGGAGCTTGCAGTGAGCCGAGATTGCGCCACTGCAGTCCGCAGTCCGGCCTGGGCGACAGAGCGAGACTCCGTCTCAAAAAAAAAAAAAAAAGTTTTTTTTTAACAAATTTTGTATAGTGTTGTTTTATAATATCCACCTTGGCACATTCGATGAAAGTTTCAAACTTCGAACTTCTCTTTTTTGGAAAGCACCATGGGTCAAGGGCCCTGTTTGTTTAGGAGTCCTGGGTCCCCTTTGTGTGTCAGAGCATGCAAAGGAACCTGGAACAGCCTTTCTTCTGGGCTGTCCTCAAAGGGGCAAAAAGGAAAAAAGAGTTGATGAATGCAAGATAGTGATTTTATGAGTCACCTTTTCTGCAGTGACATGCATGGGTAGAGGATGAATTTGTTTAAATTCTTTTTTCCCATATTTCTAGAAAATCAATTAACTACAGGTAGATGTTAAATGAGATTTTGATCACTCAGCATTGTGCCCTATAGAGTTTGTGATTATTCTATAGCGGGTAGAGAGCATCCTGTCTCTGAAGAAAGTATAGTCCTTGTTTCTGTGTGTTATGATTGTTTTTTGACTCAAGAATATATCATAATTAGTGGTTTTCATTTTGGAATGTGCTGCCAGCCTCTTTCTCTTAAAAAATGGGATACTTCGTAAGAACAAGCTATGATACTGTGATAAGTATTGGCTTCCATGCTGTATTTTCTACATATGTATGCATGTATGTCAAAGTGTTTGAAAGAGCCTGGAACAATTTATCACTCTCTCTCATTGAAATAGAGGGACTGGGCTGGGTGCAGTGGCTCACGCCTGTAATCCCAGTGCTTTGGGAGGCCGAGGCGGGCGGATCACAAGGTCAGGAGATTGAGACCATCCTGGCTAACATGATGAAAGCCCATCTCTACTAAAAATACAAAAAATTAGCTGGGCGTGGTGGCGGGCGCCTGTAGTCCCAGCTACTCGGGAGGCTGAGGCAGGACAATGGCATGAACCCGGGAGGCGGAGGTTGCAGTGAGCGGAGATCGCGCCACTGTGCTCCAGCCTGGGCAACAACAGAATGAGACTCCATCTCAAAAAAAAAAAAAAAAAAAAAAAAAAAGAAATAGAGGGACTGCCTTTCCCTGGAGAGAGGCAACAAGAATCAGGCTCTTCGTCTAATTGCTGTGTGGTTAGTGAATTTTCTACTATTTCTCGGTAGTCCCTAAGTAGCCAAACTGTATCATTCTTCTGTTTTAATTTGGTAAGCCAGGAGAAATTAATTTTGCTCAAGTTGTTTGTCATTGATCTATTTTAACTATATTACAGAATAAGCTCCAGGGCAGGAGCCTATGACTGCCTGTGGACCAGGCAGGTGGTGAAAACCCGTAGGCTTAGAGGGCTCTGTTTGACTGGAGAGGCTGCCATGGCTGAGCACCGGGGCTGTTGGTAAACTCCAGCCAGCTACGTGTGCCTTGAAAGGATGTGATTCCAGCGTTGTCAGGTCTTCTCAGTTTTAAGAGAGCTGGCTGTTGTCCAGATAAGTATGTGAAATCTCCCACTTTCTACATGTTGGCAGCTAGTTCAAATGAAAAACAAAACAAAACAAAAAACAGAAGTGAAAAAGTCTGTGGGGCAAAAATTTGTCTACTGGTCACCAGTTTGTGTCCAGTGCTTGAAGGTATCTGGTGGTGTTTTCAGCCTTCTTCTTGGACGTGCTGGACCACAGACACTGCTTTGGTGCTGTTTGTGTTCATGGTAGGATAAGACTTTGATTCAACCAGTACTTCTGGAGTGTATGGTGAGCATTCACATATTATTTCACACTTTTAAAAAATGCTCATGATTTTTTAATATTAAAAATAAATAAGTGATGCTGATAAAAGTGTAAAAAATGTTCAACTGATAAATGGATTACATGACCACAGTTACTTAAAAGAAGGTAGCAAAAGTCCCAGTGCTGTGATCTCAGGTACCTCTGACCTCAGTTTTATCATCTGTAAATTGGAAATGGTAATACCTACTTCTAGAACTTGTGGTGATGTTCATATGGAGCATCAGGAGGAGGAAAACTGCATTGTCAGCCACAAGGCAGTGCATGAATTTATCATGGGAATAAATCATTAATTTTTATAAGAATTCAGTTGAGCCTTCCATCCATCTGACCATTGGTTAGGAGGAGACAGGATGAGCACTCAGTGCTGCTGGTTTGTGGATCTGTGGCACACTGTGGCTCCCAGGAAGGGCCTGGGTGGGGATGGGCATCCCACTTGTGAATTGGGCAGTCCACAGTCCCAGAGCTAATGAGCTTAGGTTGGATGAGGCTGGGTTAGGCAGGTAGGAACCAAAACCAAATATTCACATATGAGTGCTAGTTAGAGCTGTGTTTCTCAAAGGATGCTCCTCCAACCACTGACTACAGCAGCTGGGAACTTGTCAGCAATGCACATTCTCAGACGCTTCTGCCACCTCTGAATCAAACTCTGGGGTGGGGCTCCACCCTCCTTGTTTTAACAGCTCTATAGGTGGATTCGCTGGTTTGAGAGTCACTGAGATCTCAGAGGGCCATGCTGAGCAGCAGGCTTGCAGGTCGGAGAACTACAGTTTAGGGGAGATGAGGAATGTAAGACAGATGAGGGCAGGCAAGGACAGGAGCACCAGCCTGAGGCCAGGCTTTATTTTAGTTGGCTCCATATGGTTTGAGAGAACAGGCCCTTCATGATGAAAGTTAGGGATGCAGGGACCCTTAGTTGTGAGGGACAGCACATGTGCTCCCAGACTGCCTTTTGGTATAATTGTCCAGACCAGAGGCTCCACGTGCTACACATTTTTTTCAGCCCTTGATAGTCAGAGGTAGACCTCGAAGTATCCACAGTGAGCCCAGCACAGCGTACTGGTGGCCAGAAGTGTGATCACAGGTGCCGAAGCTTGGCAGGTGTGGAACTGGGTGCTGCAGCAGTGGGTGTGCCACCTGTGTATTTGCATGCAAGTGTGGTACACTCATTTGAGGTCAGCTCAGTGGAGGCCAGCTGTGCTGTCCTAGACGTGGCCTATGGTGCCACAGCCTGAGAGATTCTGCTGAGAGTGTGACTGCCTTTTATAGTGCTGACAGAATCCATTGTATCGCTTTTAAAGACCTGTAATGATTGTGATTAGCCGCAGAGTTGAAAACTCCCTAAGTGCTATTGCTTACTACTGGGAGTCAGGACTAATGAGTCCTCCTATGCATCCTGTGGCTCGGAAGGCTGCCTTGAACACATCTCCCCTGGTATGAAGGGCCCGGACCCAGTGTCATCTCCAGCATTTCCTCCCCTTGCTCTTTGACCACACATCACTACACATTGGTATGCCAGATCTCTGCCAGTTTTAGAATGTATATTGATTGTGTCTTCCTCTGTCTTTGTTTTAAATGAAATAGATCAGGCACACAAAAGTGTAAAGAGAAAAAACAAAAAAATGTAAAGAGAAGGAATGAACACTCATATATGGTGTTTTTTGTTGGTTTGTTTTGTTTTGTTTTTCGAGACGGAGTCTGACTCTGTCACCCAGGCTGGAGTGCAGTGGCACAATCTCAGCTTACTGCAACCTCCACCTCCCAGGTTCAAGCAATTCTGCTTCAGCCTCCCGAGTAGCTGGGACTACAGGCATGTGCCACCATGCCCGGCTAATTTTTTTTGTATTTTTAGTAGAAACAGAGTTTCACCATGTTGGCCATGCTGGTCTTGAACTCCTAACTTCAAGTGATTCACCCGCTTTGGCTTCTCAAAGTGCTGGGATTACAGGCGTGAGCTACCACGCCCAGCCAGTGTTCTTTTTTCTGGCCAACATCGCCCATTAGACAACATACCTGTTCTCACCAAATCCTATTCCGCCTGCAGATGGTCAGCACAGATGTGTTGTCTCTACCTGGTAAATTGACAGGGCAGTAAGTTTCTCAGGGCTCACATTACAGTAAGCTCCACAGAGTCCCCTAGACGAGTTCATGTAGCAAAAGCATCTCTGAGGGAATTAAAAGGTATAGAAATTAAAGCTGTTTTTTTCTTTATCTCTCTTTTTTTTTTTTTTTTTTTTTTTTGAGACAGAGTCTTGCTCTGTCACCCAGGCTGGAGTGCAGTGGTGCAATCTCAGCTTGCTGCAAGCTGTGCCTCCCGGGTTCACACCATTCTCCTGCCTCAGCCTCCCAAGTAGCTGGGACTACAGGCGCCCGCCGCTACTCCCGGCTAATTTTTTTGTATTTTTAGTAGAGATGGGGTTTCACTGTGTTAGCCAGAATGGTCTCGATCTCCTGACCTCTAGATCCACCCACCTCAGCCTGAGATTACAGGCGTGAGCTACCACGCCCAACCTTTTTTAAAAAAAAAAAAAAAAAATTAGGTCAAAGAGTATTTCAGACTCTTCACTCTCCTAGTTTCCCTTCTTCCCGCCCCAGGCTCTGGCAGTGATCTCTGGGGAGGAAGCTTGTTGGATAGCTACTTTCCACAATGCTTATGTTTGGAACCGTAGTGAACAGTTATTTATGTTATCGAAATGATATTTTAAAAAAAATACTCCCTTTCTGATTTTGCCATCCATAGAACTGAACTGTGCTCTATACTACAGTTCAGTTTGGGGACCCCTGAGCTCACGTTCTAGTTAGGAGGGTGTGGTGGCCAGCTACCAGAGTGGTATCTAGGTGGTTTTTCTGTTCTGTAGGTTTTTTTTTTTTTTCTCTCTCTGTCTCTCTCTCTTTCATTTTGGTGGTAGGTAAGGAAAATCACATCACTCTCTTCTAGCAAGGTCTATGAGCTATTTTGGGGACATGAAGGAACGTGGTAGATACCCCTGTAGAGGGTCTACACTCATTTGAAGGTAGGATTCTTTGTTCTAAATACACTTGGATCATTGTTTCAGGAGAGAACATGGAGAATGGGAAAATAAGCTTTTTGTGCTCACTCATTGCTTCTGTAAAAGTATTAATTCTTCAGCTAAATAGGAAATAAAACGTTTGGTTCTTGATGAAAGTATTTTGTACATTTTGCCTAGAACAGTAACTGGTCACATTTAATCCTGTATAGGCTTGAAACTGACCTCAGCCTCTTCTAGACTCTCACAGGGCTTCTGCCTTCTTGGACAGCAAGCCAGGGTTACTATGAGTCGATGTTCCTTTGGTCCCTTCTGTGTCCTTGACCTGTATTCTGCAGCTGGAGCCTCCTGGTAGCTCCCAGCTGAAGTTCACCTGGAGAGTTACTGCCATCGTGTTGGCCTAATTTGGGTCAAAAGTAATCAAAAGAACCCTGGCTCTTGTTCCAAGAAGTGTTTTTGATGCAGAGCTTCAATGCAAGTTTTGTTTTTCAGTATGTAAGGTGTGACGAACCTACCCCAGAAGGAGGGAGTCATTCCACTAGTTGGTTCGGGGTGCGCAGTTGTTTAATTATCAGTTTGGCAGGCCCCAGTTTTTCTTCAGTTCACAAATAGAATTCTCATTTGGAATATATCCAATGTTCATTTGGTTTCTTTCAGTTGCAGCAAATCTTACTATGATTTGAGGTTTTTAAATACTATGTTTTTCAGGAAGTCTTTTCGGTGGCATTTTCTGATAATGCCAGCCTGATAATCCAAAAAAAAGTCTGTTAAAAAGCAGATTTGCCTGTAATCATTACCTTTTTTCTGAGTTTGTAATCAGACCTTGTCTTGAATCTGTAAATCCTGTGGAGTCTCAGGTGATTTTCCTGACTTTCCCTGCATGCATGGAGGCAGGTAGCAGATGGATGGGCCTTTATGCCCCGTCATGTGTGGGTGCCCTGGCAGAACCCTGCTGCTGCCCTCCGTCTTCCCCACAGCAAGCCTGTGGCCATTACAACTTGTGCTTCTCTGTGCATGTACAGCACAGCATCTGTAGCAAAAGGAGTCTGCAAGTATTTTGGAGAGTAAGACCTGCATGGCTTGTTTCCTTCTGCCAGAGAACCTAGAACAGGCAAAGACATACATGTGTTTTTCCTTTGGAGGCATCAAGCTCCTTCCTGGACATTGAACTTTATAACAATCTGTGGGTGAATCCGCCCTATTCCTGGACTTGCAGAGAGGGTCTCCCTGGCCACCTTCCACATTCACGTGGTCCAAGTGGCATGAGAAAGGATGGAAGCCTCCTCACACCTGTCCCCATTTACCTTTCCCTATCGGCAAACATCATTATTGTGTTCTTCCAGAGACTTAAATAAATGTTTTTGAAGATATGTTGCCTGCCCTTTATAGACACATGGCAGCAAGTTCCACAACTGCTCAGGAGACCCATGCACATCTTAGCATGCCTCGGGTCTTTCCGAGCAACATGGGAAGGTTTCTTTTTTAACCCCCATGGTGTGCAGCCTTGCATTGCATGGCAGTACCCTCATCTGTTTAGCTGTCCTCTCTAGGCGGACTTTCAGATTGTTTCCCATCTTTTGCATGTGAAAATGCACATTTTCCAAGTTCTGTTCCTTTTCCTGCATTAAAGCTTCTTGACCTTTTTCCTAGAATTTTTTGTTTACTCCTGTTTTAAGAGTTTTAAATTTTATTTAATTGAAACATGAAATAAATGTACTTTTCTATGCCTCTGGGCTGTTATTTATGCTGTTAATTCATTCATGCAGAGGCAAGGGTGGATGACCTATTTTATTAACCTCTATTCTAAAGACTTCTTCCAGGCAAGTAAAGATAAAGAGATTATAAAAATAGGTGAAAGGTCAGGACAGGAAGTGCAGATTGGATTGTGAGAAAAAAGAAAAGCAAAATGCATTTAATTTCTTGTGTGTGCTGCATAAATGCTATGGGATAAGAAAAAATATGTATGTTTACACATACATGCACAAGCACACACACACACACACACACAAACACACAGAGTTCCTGATACAGTGGGAAAGGTAAAATGTACCTATTAAAAAAAAGACATGAAGCCAAAGCAAGGTAAAGATAAAACCAGGTGGTATAGGTCAGAGGACAGCAAGTAAGTTGCAGATGAGAGTGATGAGACGTCTTTTTGGAGCTGACCGTTCCCTGCTTGGGTGTGTCTGCCTGAGAGAGCAGCTGAACAGAGGCTGAAGGTGGGGTCAGAAGGTGAGGCGTCCCAGGGACTGAGGGTGTGGTGTGGCATTGGATGACGGGGTTTGGAGTATGACTTTGGGGTCCAGGGGACACTGTTAGCCTTAAGTGCTGGGATGAGGAGCTTGGATAGCTGTGATTAGATTGTGGGGGCTGTGGTTCCTGAAGAGGAGAGCATGGAGCACAGTGTTAGGGACTTTCTTGGGAGATATGTGTAGGATAGGGCAAGGCTGTGCACAGACAGAAAGAACAGGAAAGAGAAGGGAGGTCAGTGCAGGAGACCAGTGTTTCTAATGATTCTGCTCTAGGTACGAAGTGTGTTTCAGAGTGGCGAGGAAGGGCAAGTTGTTAAGATTGGTTGTTGAATTAGTTTCTGTTTGATGTTAAAGATAACATAGAGTAAATGATAATCCCTCGAAAGTGGAGATCTTGGCAGGCTGGCGCCTGGTGGTATAGTAGAAATCTGAGAAAGGGGGAGGATATTAAGTCAGTTTTATCAGGTAAAGTTGAATGAAATAATCAAGTTTAAGTGCGTCTTGGGTATTTGCAAAGATGTATAGATTAAGGCTAAAAGGGTTGGAGAAATAGATTTGGGAGTTACCTATGATTTTTTTTGGTTATTCTGCTCTCAGGATTGAAAACTAAAGAATCTCAGAACTGCATTTCTAATTAGTGCCATAAAATTCTTTATTGATGCCAAGTTTTTGTTTTTTCCTTGTAAATTGTGGTAGGTAGAATTCTAAATGACCTCCAGTAGACCCACTACCAGTATATATTGCATAATCCATGGGACTGTGTGACTAGGGTGGCTTATACTCCTGTGATTATGTTTAATATATGGCACAGTTGACTTCGAGAAGGGAATTTATTGTCAGTGGGCTTGACCCATTTGCCAGAGCCCTTTAAACCTGTATTTAGAGGTCAGAAGCTGAGGAGGTAAGAGATTCGAAGCAGGAGAGGGGTTTATGTGCTGTTGCTGGCTTGGAGATGGAGAGGACTACCTGGCAAGGAATGCAGCAGTATCCAGGAGCCCAGAGCAAACCCCAGTTGATAGCCAACAAGGAAACAGGGACCTCAGTCCTATCACTGCAGGAGCTGAATTCTGCTAGTACAAAGAATGAGCTTGGAATTGGATTTTTCTCCAGAGCTCCCAGAGGAGAACTAAGCTCCACCACCACCTTGATTTCATCTTTGTGACACTCTGAGCAGGGGACCCAGTTAAAACATGGCCAGACTTCTGACTTCTGGAGCTGGGAGCTAATAAATGAGTGTTGCTTTAAGCCACTAAGTTTGCGGTAATTTGTTACACAGCAATAGGAAACTAACAAAGTTTTTGAACAACAGTTGAAAGTTACAGGTAGTATAGACCATTATATAAACTCACAAATTTAAGACAGTGGGAATATGGGACTAGAAAGAAGTTAAATGGTTGGTAAGAAATTCTACCACTTAGCCCACATTGCCACCCTTCCCATGGCCAGCCCACTCCACTCCTTTCATAGCACTTAGTGGAGTGTGTCCATAACCCGCCCAAGTCTTGCTCAGTGTTGTAGCAGCAGCATTGTAGCAGATACTTGGTTTTCAGCCTGAATGTATTCAGTGAACGAACGTAGGAAGGAATTGTGAAATGCTAGTTGGAGAAAATAAGCAGCTGGAGGAAAGAAGGCAAGCTGGAGATTATAGGAACAGTGATTCAAAGCCAAATTAGAAATTGTAGGACGATGCTTGTTATCCTAGTCCACTGGGGCTGCTGTACCAAAGTACCACAGATCGAGTGGCGTATAAACAATGGAAATGCATTTCTCACAGTTCTGGAGGCTGGGAAGTCCAAGGTCAGGGTGTCAGCAGATTTGGTGTCTGGTGAGGGCAGCTTCCTGGTTCATAGGTAGCCATCTTTTTGGTGTAACCTCACATGGTGGAAGGGACAAGGCAGCTCTCTGGGACCTTTTTAATAAGGGCACTAATCCCATTCCTGAGAGTTCCACCCCCTTAACCTGATTACCTCCCAAAAGTCCCACCTTCTCATACCACCACATTGGTGATTAGTTTCAATGTACAAGTTTTGGGGAGGACACAACATTCAGTCCATAGCATATGTCAGTGGTTGTTAACAGAGTCAGAAGGAGTTGAGAAGTCAAAAAAAAAAAAAAAAAAAAAAAAAAAAAAAAAAAAAAAAAGGATTTTGCTAGGGAGATCCCACTGCTGAGTGCAGATGGCTTTCTGTGAAATACTGAAAACTAAGATAAGATTTCAGTAATTAGAATTAAAAAGCAGATCCTTGGATCCTGGTGTCATCTTGCCAGCCATCTTGGTAAACATGCTGTGGTCTTGATGAGACAAGAAAATTGCCATGTATGGGCATGTTTTTCATGCTTGCCTTCAATGCGCATGTCTTTTCTGCGCAGAAGTGGTTAACATATGACTAACCTATGGAAAAGAAGATCATGTGTGATCTTTTATGAAAAATGATCAATAGTCTCCTTGTTAATATCACTAATAACTTTATACAGCCTATTGAGTGTAAAACATACATGCAATATTCAGTTTCCTGTTTAGTGATGGAAAAGGTCTGTTCTGTGAATGTTTATTAGCATCAAAGAATTCTGGGCACGATTTTTAAAAACTGAAAAGGGAAATAAATAGGTGAGATACGAAGTCCCCATATGGTTGAAATGTCTAGAGATGAAAGGGCTGGAAACAGCTTCTATCAGAGGTTTGTTAGAACTTATGAAAGTTGTAGTAAACTGCTGTGATGCCAGATAAATGACTGGTAATGTGTCTCTGTGTCCAGTATGTGTTTCATAGGCACGTGAGAACGAACAAACTTTAGAAGGTAGCCATTTATTACATAGAAACTAGAAGCTTATTGGGGAGTGGGTTTGTATATGAAGAGGACATTGCAGGATATCATAAAATGAAGAGAAATGTGACTAAGATTCTCACATTGTGCAGGAACAGGTGAGTGAGAGTGTTCTTCCCCTCTGTCCCTTTCAGTTGGTATCATTATCAGGTATTTTTTCAGAAAAGGTTTCTGCAAGGAGTAAGAGAGGCAGCTTCTAACAACAAAGGTTACACAGACATGATTTACCTTTTGTGGACTAGCTTTACCCCAAATTGCATTGTTAAAGTTTTGAATTTATAATTAATGACAGCGTGGACTACTTAGTATTTTAACTGTATTTGAGACCACAAGTAGTTTCTTCAATATTTTCTCAAGCCCTTGAGACACTTAATTCTCCCTCTTGACTTCCTCTTCATCTTAGAAACTGCAATTTCCTTTGTAGGAACAACTTCCTGCTGGGTACTGCCCTCTTTGGCCACTTCTGTCTTGGGTGCCTATGTTTTTATCTAAAGCCATAAGTGCATTGCAACACTAGCCATTTCATCATCATGTGAATTGAGAAAGTCTAGCAGGAAGTCACAAGTTGATTGTCCCCAATACAAGCCCAAATGTTTCTTGGTTGCTGTGTCATAATAGGCAGTTGGTGTTCTGAATGGCAGTTATGAAGAGGATACTTTGTAGAAAGGACTTCTTTTCTAGAGATATATTTAAGAGCCTGATCATTGGAGAACAAAATGCATGCGGAAAGGAAATATTTTAACCACAGTCTAAAAAAGATCTTATGGTCCAGTGCTGTTTTCCCTTATAGTCCTATTAAATTCATTAATTTCCAATGGTGACTTTCTTGGTTTGTCTGGATTTTTTTTTGTTTTTTAAGGGTTCCCTACCCCCCATTTTAAGGGAGAGTCTTTTCCTTTAACACAATGTAAAGAAATCTCTTTTTTTTTTTTCATCTTCCATTTTCTTTATTTTCTGCACTGTAAGTCTCTTCTGTTAGTTTCATCTTTCTTTTCAGGACCTGGCTTCATGATTGTCTCCGAAAAAGATGGTCTTGTAGGCACAACGATAGGTCAGCAGTAATTAACCTATGAAGTGAGTGGTGATTACAAATGTGGTCGTGGACTCTGGAGTGTCTTTTCCTGTGTGTAACATCTTATGGAGAAAGAAATCTGTCTCCTTAGAAGGCAGAAGGGACCTCTTTAGTTGCCTTCTGTATCAACTGCATAGGAGGCGCAATGTTGATTTTCTCTGTGTTGCTATTCATATAGAGCAGTTGTCTCTAGGGCTCCCAACACATAAGAAACAGTATATCACACACAAAAATATTTTTCTGCTGTTGTTATTTAGAGATCAGATAAGCAGAAGCTTTCAGTAAGTGAAGAGGTCAAGATTTTTTTTTTTTTTTTTTTTTTTTTGAGACGGAGTTTTGCGCTGTCGCCCAGGCTGGAATGCAATGGTGCGATCTGGGCTCACTGCAACCTCTGCCTCCTGGGTTCAAGCGATTCTCCTGCCTCAGCCTCCCGAGCATCAGGGATTACAGGTGCGCGCCATCATGTCTGGCTAATTTTTTTTTTATCTTTAATAGAGACAGGGTTTCACCATGTTGGTGAAAGGCTGGTCTCAAACTCCTGACCTTGGGATCCACCCACCTCAGCCTCCCAAAGTGCTGTGATTACAGGCATGAGCCACCGTGCCTGGCCAACATTTATTTATTTTATATTCTCTCGCATAGTAGATTTTTAAAAATCTAGTAACTGGCCACTGAATATGAAAAAAAAATTTTAAGTTAAAAAAATAACCTCACCTTTTTCAACCACAGTTCCCTGTAGCCCCTGCCACATTTCCTGCTCCTGCTTAACAAACCCTGTTGAGATAGTTGTCTAGGTTTGCTGTCTCTAGTGTCTCCTCTCCCATCCCCCCATGCTAACTGCAGTCCAGCTTCTGCCTCTGACCTCCACTGTGCTGGTCACCAAGGACCTACACAAGGTAGAATCCAAAGGCAGACTGTCTAGCCTACATGGCTTACAAGCAGCAGTGGGACTGTTGATCACTTGTGCCTCCTTGGATAACACAAGCAGGTTTTTTTTTTTTTTTTTAAGGAAAAAAAAAAGAAAACCATTAAAGTATAGATGCCACTACATGAAACTGTTGTTTCAATTACTGACACTTCTGTCTTTCCAGGTGAAATGTGTGTTGTGGTCCAAAGAAGTTTGAAAAAAAATTGAAAACCCTTATGTAGATCACAGGGATTAAGAGCATGGACAACCTGGGCTCAGACAGCCAGGTTGGAGCCCACTGGTCACTAACTGTGCCTGGAGCAACTTACTTAACCTTTTTGAGTCTCAGCTTCTTAGGTGGCTTATAAACAACAGAAATTTCTCAGTTTTAGGGGCTGGAAGTCAGAGCTCAGGGTGCCAGCATGGTCTGGTTCTGGTGAGGGCCCTTTTCCAGGTTGCAGTCTGCCAACTTCTCATATGCTCACATGGCAGAAAGAACAAGCTAGCTCTTTGAACTCTGCTTATAAAGCTCCACTCTCATGACCTACTCACCTCCCAAAGGCCTCACCTCCACGTTTTGGATTAGATTTCAACATAGGAATCTTGGGGGGAGACACATTCAGTGTAATGGTTTACTTCTCTGTAAAATGGGTATAATAATTTCTATCTCATAGGGCTGTAGTAAGAATCAAAAGAGGTCATGAAATAAAGCCTCTGTCACATAGTGCATTGCTTCAAAAAATTAATAGGAAGTAACTGGCTAGATTCCACCAGGTAAGACAGAAATCTTCTGCTTGGAGCTTTCTGTGATGTGTTAATCTCCTTTCAGCCTAACCGCTCATATTATTTGTCCCCTGGTTCTGCCGTATTGACTACATGGTGACTCTCCAAACATGGTGGACTATTCAAGTGTTCATTCCTCCATCTCTGTTCTCCTGCTATTGCTTTGCAGGAGCACCCTTCTCTTCCCAGTCTTGGCCCCAGCCTATGAAACATTTACTCATTTTCAAGTCACCTCTTCTGGGAAGACTTCCCCATCAACTTCCATGCCTAGAAACTCAAGTCCACCCATGTCCCTGATCTATTACAGCACCTGTGACTCTGATGTTTTTGATGTATTTGCCTTTCTGATCCTTCTTCTGTACTTTGAGTTTCTGAGGTCAAGAAAAATGTTTTATTTATCGTTTGTCCCCAGCCTAGGACATTGTCAGGCTCATAGTAAACATGTAATTAGTGTTTGATGGGTGAGTAACGATAGGAAGGCTTATCTTTGCATAGCCGGTGCTAGGCATTAGGGAGACAAGCTACTATCCCTGTCCTTAAGAATTTTAACTTTGGGAGTCTGAGGTGGGCGGATCACCTGAGGTGAGGAGTTCGAGACCAGCCTGACCAACATGGTGAAACCCCATCTCTACTAAAAATACAAAAAATTAGCCAGGTGTGGTGGTGCATGCCTGTAATCCCAGCTACTTGGGAAGCTGAGGCAGGAGAATCGCTTGAACCTGGGAGGGGGAAGTTGCAATGAGCCTAGATTGTGCCACTGCACTCCAGCCTGGGTGACAGAGCGAGACTCCGTCTCAAAAATAATGATAATAATAATAATAATATAATAATTTTATAATGTCTTTCATTTAATCCTCATGATGATTTTGTGGAATAGGTATTATTCTTTTACAACTTTTTAAATTTTTAGATTCATAGGGTACATGTGCATGTTTGTTACATGGGTATATTGCATACTAATGGTGATTGGGCTTCTAGTGTACCCATTACCCAAATAATGAACATTGTACCTGATAGGTATTTATTATTCTTTCTCTGAAGTTGGAGACAGTAAGGCTCAGAGACTTTGCAAAACCAGGTTACACCCCTAACAGAACACTATGCCTGAAATTCTTAGCAGGGGTTAGGTACTGTGCTAGTCGTGAGGGCAATGAAAAGGAAGAGATGATAAGGCTAGGATTAGGATCTCCAAGAATGTATTTCTTAATTATGAACCTTGTGATCTAACTGGAAATTGGAGATACACCTGAAAATATTCAGTACACTACTGTGGAATGTATTCCTGGAATGATAGTATAAAATTATTAAAAATCTTCAGTTCACCAGAGAAGTAGTATTTCAGATAGGAGTCTCCTATTTCCTAATTGAAAAGCATAAATTTAAAAAAATCACATTTGTTAAAAATTCCATAGACTAATTTCCTAACTTGCCAATTTTTATTTCAAAAGAATTAGAGACTATCATTGTGTCACTCTTATTTAGGGTATATTAAACATTTCTGATCCAAGCAAAGTTTTACTTATAGTGTGGAGAAAATTGGGCATATGGTTGGTACACATTAGTACTTTGTGTGGTGTTTGGCAATTTGAGGGAGATGTGCATTCAAAGTACTTGAAATTTCAAGGTTTAAAATGTGGCAGTAGTTTAGGTGGGATTTTTTTTCTTTTTTTTTTAATTTTTATTTTTGTTATTATACTTTAAGTTCTGGGGTACATGTGCAGAACATGCAGTTTTGTTACGTAGGTATAAAAGTCAGTGCTTTTCATTATGTGGGTGTGAAGTATATGCTCTAGCCATATTGCTTCGGTGATTTTCAGTAGATTAAGTCATCCATCGTCTTTGCAAATCAAGGAGGGTGTTAGTGGTAGGCCCAAACTGCTATTATTTAAAACTTCTGTAGAACTCACATTAATATTTGATTGTGTTGAAATGCAGTTTTCTGGCTTAAAATCAATTTTTTAAAATTCCAAATTAAAAAGATAAATCAAATGTGAATGGTAATGATTTTCAGTTATTAATAAATATACAAGGGCACAGGCCTAGGAGAAATAAGTTGTGGTAAGTACTTACCCCTGAGGTTTACTTTTTAAAGTGCTACATACAGTCAGCCCTGGTAGGCATGTGTTTCTGTTTTATTTGTTCTTGTAAAGAAAGTTGAGCTGTTTTTGACCTGTTGGTGTGTGCTGTTTTAGGTTCGTTTGTTTTATTCATTCTAGGTGTGGTGATGGTTTCTACTGAGACGTCTTTTTTTCTCTTATTCATCTGGAAAATTTAAAAGCTAGGATTAGGGACAGATTTGGAGAAAGTCTATCAAAAGGGATTTTAGAAGAAAATAAATAGATAAACCTGACATTTCTCTAGAAGTTAAAACAGGATAATAGTAAGCAGTTCCATTAAAACTTTTTTTGCTGGCCAGGCATGGTGGCTCATGCCTGTAATCCTAACACTTTGGGAGGCTGAGATAGAAGGATCACTTGAGCCGAGGAGTTCGAGACCAGCCTGGGCAACATAGTGAGACCCTGTCTCTTAGGGAAAAAGAAATTATTTGCTTTATATCCTGAGTTACTCATTTAAACTTGTAAAATAAAGACTGTATCTATTCAAAAGTAATTAAACTTTATTGCCTAGAAATATAAATTGTCCCATTTTGGTTATATTTTCAAATTATTTAGGCTAAATTATTTTGTCTTGCATATGTAGTTTTAAGTCTAAATATCCAGTCAGGTGGACTTTTGGTTTACTTCATGTCTGTCAGAAGAGAATATCTTCCTGTTTGTCTCCATCCCAGGGCTCTTCATGAATTTAGTTTTAGATGTTTTCTTCATTTTTAGCTAAGTTTTAATCTTCTAATTTGTTATGGACAGCTTGGCTTTCAGTTATACCTAATTTAATCAAGGAGACAAAGCCTTCTGTTTCAAGAATGTGATTTTAAAACACACGTTTAGGTGGGGCATTGTGTCTCATGCCTGTAATCCCAGCACTTTGAGAGGCCAAGATGGGCAGATCACTTGAAGTTAGGAAGTTTGAGACCAGCCTGGCCAACATGGTGAAACCCTGTTTCTACTAAAAATAAAAAATTAGCCAAGTGTGGTGGCGGAGACCTGTAGTCCCAGCTACTCAGGAGGCTGAGGCAGGAGATCACTTGAACCCGGGCAGTGGAGGTTGCAGTGAGCCGAGATCGCACCACTGCACTCCAGCCTGGGCAACAGAGCAAGACTTGGTCCACCTCTTCCCCCAAAAAACCCCAGACATTTAATTATAACAGACAAGGCCAGAGAGATGTGTAGCCAAGGTTGATGGACAGTTTTCAAGGGATAAGATTTTCTTACTTTGCTTTGTCTAGTTTAAAAGTTTTATTCTTTTGAGGGGCAGTGGGGAATAGATTGAGTTAAGAGTTAATAGGCTTTTTTTTTTTTTTTTTTTTTTTTTTGAGCCAGAGTCGCACTCTGTTGCCCAGGCTGGAGTGCAGTGGTTCAATCGTGGCTCACCACAACCTCCACCTCCCAGCTTCAAGCAGTTCTCCTGCTTCAACCTTCCAAGTAGCTGGAATTACAGGCGCACACCACCGTGCCCAGCTAATTTTTGTATTTTTAGTAGAGACGGGGTTTCACTATGTTGGCCAAGCTGGTCTCGAACTCCTGACCTCATGATCTGCCCGCCTCGGCCTCCCAAAGTGCTGGCATTACAGGCATGAGCCACTGCGCCGGCTGTTAATAGCTATTAAGAAAACAAAAATAACAATTGTTTTCTAAAGCACGGCCTTCAAAGAAATAGGTTTAATTGTTCCATGTTCTCAAGCTACTAGAAAAATTTTTTTAAAGAGGCAGTGTCTGGCTGTGTTGCATAGGCTGGCCTCGAATTCCTGGGCTCAGGGGATCTCCCTGAGTAGCTGAGACTACAGGTGCGCACCACTGTGCCCAGAAATGTCTTGTTTTGTTCAGTTTCTTTTAATACAGTTGTCATTAAATCAGTAAGTTGTAGATGTTGAAGAAAGGAATTTGAATACATTTGGGGCTCTTAGAAGCATTATTAAGAATCTAGCACA
The DNA here is from genome assembly GCF_000001405.40 of Homo sapiens. NCBI lineage: Eukaryota > Metazoa > Chordata > Mammalia > Primates > Hominidae > Homo > Homo sapiens. Next base: position 47,375,875 of record NC_000008.11, read on the forward strand.
ATAGAAAAGCTTTTTAAGTTTGACTTAATTCAAAGTTCTACATTACCTGAATGCTTAAGATTATGTTAATGCTGAGACAGTGTTCCCAGGAAGTTTGTTATTAATCCCAGGAAATCCATCATTTTACATGACCTTAGGATAGAATTATTTCTAAGAAAAAAATCATTTCAAAATCATCTCTCACTGTGCCTTTTTAGGGACTTTGATTGTGTTAGACACACTTTGAGGTCTCTGAGCAACACTGAATCTAGGTAAATTAAACCTTTTTGTTGTAAGAGCCAGTTACAGGAACTGAGCAGGAATTGAAGAGCAAAAAGATTATTTATTTCTGGCTAGCTTTAAACATGGATGAGATCACGTGCCAAGTAATGTGAGCAGCCTTTTGAAGTTGAGAGCAGCCTCAATTGCTTGCAAGGAAACAGGGACCCCAGTGTGGAAGGAACTGAATCACACCCCAAGCAGGTGTGATTGGAAGAGGATCCTGAGCTCCAGATGACAAGGGACCCCAGCCAGGACCTTGCTTTTGGCCTTGGGAAGCCCTGTATATAGAACCCGGTCATGTCATGCCCAGCCTTCTGTTTACCCAGATAAAGTTTGAACAGAGCTGTGAGCTGATAAATGGGTCGTGTTTTAAGTTGCTAAGTTTGTGGTGATTTGTTGTGAAGCATTAGAAAACCCATACAGGGCAACATTAACCAGTCTGGAATATCCCAGTGCCAGTGGCAGGATCCCATACATCAATGTCTCTTCAGAACATTTGATGTTGTACTAAGGTCATAGTAGGTTCCAATAAATAGTAAGTTGAATTTTCAAAATCACTATACTTGTAGTGTAGGTCATCTGAATTTTAGAGTTTTGTAGCATATCAAGGTACATTGAGTGATGAGGAAAAACATCTTGAGATTTTCCTTAAAAAAAAAAATTTTTTTTAACCTAGTAAAGAAATTGAGAAACATCATTTTTATTGAAGTGCATTTGTTCTGGATTGGGGTTGGCAAACTATAGCTTACAGGCCAAATCTGGCCTATCACCTGTCTCCATAAATAAAGTTTTATTGGAGTACAACCACACTCACTAGTTCATGTGTTATCTCTGGCTGCCGTCGCATTACAGTGGCAAGGTTGGGTATTTGTGACAGACACTGCATGGCCCACAAAACCTAAAATATTTACCATATAGTCCTTTATAGAAAAGCTTGCTGACCCCTGTTCTGGATGGTGATTTGCTTTCTAGCCACAGCCACATTCATTTAACCCTAAATGGCTTCCATCTCTGGGGACTGGTATTTCTTTTAAGTCCTTTAAGTTACTATTTTTAATGTATTTAGCTATACCTGATTACCACCAGGGTTGTATAGACTGGTTTTTACATCTCACTGTACTGAAATGATAGGAAATGTGATAAAATTAATACAATCCGATAAACTTTGTGTGTTTGGGGTCCCTAAGATTATCTCCAAGTTCAGTGCTTTGCTAGAAGGAGTCCTAGGACTTAGAAGTAGGTATACTCATGACTGCAGTTTATTACAGCAAAGGAAGCAAGTGGGAAAGATGTGTTGGGAGCAGTCTAGAGGAGACCAGGCACAAGCCTCCAAGTGTCCAGTTCCATGGGAGTTGCACAGGACACACTTAGTTCCTCTAGCAATGAATTATGGCAGTTCATTATGTGCAAATATTGTCACTTGGTCCTAACAGTTGAGGATTTTTATTCTGATTCAGTTTTGTAGATTCACAGGGCCTGTGTGACTGACCACAGCTACTGAAACTGCAGTCCCTCAGGAGGAAACAGCAGGTTTCACCATAAAGTATGTTGTTTGCACAGACTGTGTAGACAGAGTGGTCAAGGTTTCAAGCATGCAAACATTTCTATCAGAATATTCCAAGAACTCAGTTCCCAAGTGGCCGCGTCAAGGGCCAGTCACCTGAACAGGTTGGAGCAACTCAGCCTGCTAATTCATTCCCAAGCTCTCCATAATAAGAATCTCTAGTAGCATATATTTCAGAAACACAACATGTTCTGCTAGTTGTACTTATATTACAAAATGTCCTTTTAGTGCCTTGATTATTTTTATTCAGCAGTATCTTATCTTCATTTAAGAAACACTTATATGATTCTATAAATCAAGCCCAGGATAACTTTATAGTACTTAAAGTTATGGGTAAAGTTACACCAAGATAAACATTGTTTTGTTTGAATTCATAACTTAAACCAAGTGTCTTCCCAAGAGTGGGGTTTCCAGCACTACCTTTGACATTTCTAGTTTTTCTTAGGGACTGAGAGTACCTGGCACTTTTTCCCATAGTTCATGTTCTTGCATGAATATCAAAGAGTAATTATTTTCAGAGATGACTTATGTCTATAATATTGTTTTAGCTCATTGTGGCCAATAAAATTCCCAACAGTATATTAAAGACTATCTTTTCACTATTGAAATAATGATGAAACAAGCATTATGAAACATGACACCTTTCAAATTCCTTAATACTAAAGTCCTTGGGAAATCACACTTGTTGAATGTCATGGTTATGGAAAAATACATAGGACAAATTTGTTCTTTAAAGAGAATTCATTTTGCCTTTCTTTGTAATTGCAGCTATCAAAGTTAAATGTTATCTACATACATATAGATTTTACTCTCTTATTCTTCTGGCTTCCATTATTTTCTAGACAGAGCCTGGTACATTGTGTATAAGATACTGTGTGGATAGTGGTGGTTCCTGAGATTTTTCTGTTAACTTGTGTGACTGTGAACAACTGCATATAATTCATTTAATCTTGTGTCAGTTTACCTCATTTGTCTTCTTTCACCCCAAAGTAATCTCATGAGGATTATTTTGCTCAAGTTTGATTATTTCAAAGAAGGATCATTATGTACACCTAAGATGGCAAGATGGCAAGGTGGCACTTGCCAAAAGTCCAGCCGGTGCCTTTGGAGCTAACCTTGGATCTTGAAGGGGGCCCTGGGACTCTGAAATAATTGCTAGTAGATTTGCTTTACAGTTGAGTGTTTTGAGCTCTCAGTGGCTCAGCTTAATTGTGAACAAGTAGCCAGATGTAAATCTCTAAAGAGCAGAACCTATATTTTATTCATCTTTATAGTCCTCCTAGTGTCCACATTGAGTCTTGCTGTTATCTGGCCCCTAAACCCAAGGCAAACTGGAAGGGGCTCGTGGCTTTGGCATCAGCCAGAAAAGGCTGTTAGGGCAGTATCCGGCACCCTAGGAGTGGGGCCAGCGAGCAGAGCAGCCTACATGTAGCCAGAGGGAAGGAAGCCCAGCCGGGAAGCAGAACTGCACTACCTCAGAGTCCAAAATAATGGCTTTCCACAGGAATGCCTGTGGGCTGTCATGAGATTATTCGCCTATATTCAACATATAATAAGAAGTTAGAAGAGGCTGGGCTTGGTGGCTCACGCCTGTAATCCTAGCACTTTAGGAGTGGGCGGATGGCTTGAGTCCAGGAGTTTGGGACCAGCCTGGGCAGCATGATGAAACCCCATCTCCACAAAAAATACAAAAATTAGCCAGGTGTGGTGGTGCACACCTGCAGTTCCAGCTACTCGGGAGGCTGTGGTACACCTGGGAGGCGGAGGTTGTAGTGAGCCAAGATAGCATCACTGCCCTCCAGCCTGGGTGAATTGGGTGAAAGAAGAAATCATGGAAAACTTCACTTGCAAGAGCTTTTCATTAAAATGATTAAAATATAAGATTTTAGAGAATTCAGCTCCATGAGGTACAGTGAAACACTGGTTAAATTGTGGCTAAAGGAGTTTAGGAAAGACTACTTACTGCAGACTCCTCGTAGAGGGCACAGTGCACACAAGCATATTCAAGGTTTCTGGGGCCTATGACAAGGCCTGTTTAACTTTATTCACCTGAGTGTATTCAAGCCCATGTGCCTGCGGAGCTCTGTGTCCCCTTGATCCCTGTTGCCTTTGCTCCTTGTGGAGCTTCTGGGTGAGGAGCACCCCCTGGGCCCACAGCTCAGGGCTGTCCACTCACTGGTTACTGCTTTTGCTTTTCTTTATTGCTTTTGTTATCCTAGAACACTCACCTGGCTTGATTCCTCTGAAATTTGCTACCTTCTCAGGACTTCTCTCTCAATTTCTTCCATTTTCCCCACCCATTGTGTAGCATTTTAATTCTTTGCCTTGAATAAAAATAAAGCTTGGCTCATAACCAGAAGCAACCTGTCTTGCCTTGGGTCCAGGGGCATAAGTGAACAGATTTATTTTTAAAACATGCCATCGTGTTTGTTTCTACTAATTTTGAGGCCCAGGTTTTGAGTGTAGGTCTGAGTCGATGACCTCTCAGCCTGCACCACAGCAACGCGTGCTGCCCCTGCCTGGGCCTGGCAGAAGGCTCCCTTGCAGCAGCTCAGGACTCACACTCACTGAGCAGGTTTTAAAACACACAGAATGGCCAGACAGGTCGTATCACAGTTTGTGTCAGAATTCCACAGGTGTACACTATTTTTTTTTGGAGAAGGGGGTACTTTTCATCTGTGATCACTGCAGACAAGGTGCGTCAGGACCTCGGAGGACCGTGTTGCTGGGCGGGGCCTGCTGTTTGCTGTGGAGCCCCCTGGCCCTGGTCACTGCCGCCTTCTCCACCCTCCACTCCTGCTTGGTGAACTTTGACCCGGCAGGTGCCTTTCTTGAGCCTCGTGATTCCCCTCCCCTCTTGCCCCGCTGTCTGTCATTTCTCCTTGGGCTCCTCAGAGCAGGTGCCAGGCTGACGATAGGTGGAGGGGGCTTCTGTAAGCCAGTCCATAGGTTTGAGTTAAGTTCTCTCCTTCTCACTGAGCTGCAGCTGAGGTTGGAAACATGTATCTAGTTTAAGGAAGGCAAGCCAGGTGGTTTTCAGAGGTGTAACTATGGGTGTAGCTTGTTAAACCTGTTTACCTCAGAAAATATTTTTTTCCTTGAATGTATGAGAAAACCTGTAGCTTTTGTTTTGCCTCTCACTAGCTGGCTGATTTTCACGGATAAAGTTTCAGTCACAAAAAGCACACCATGTAAACAGTGAAAGGAGATCTCTTATTGGTGGCTTAAGCCTTTCTATTGTCTGGAATTGGTGTTGCTTTATTGGTTTTAATTCAATAGAAAATAAAATTTTGTTAGCAACTGGGAGTCCAATATACTCTTTATTTTGTGTTGTTTTGCTGTTCTTTTCCACACAACCAGTGAAGTTCTTAACGCGTAAACAGAGAGCATTCTACATGAATTAATGTGTGTATGTGTGCCATGGCTGCACTGGGGTAATAGACCTGTGGATAAAGACTTTGGGTCCCTCCCTCCTTCCCTCCCTCTGTACCCATTGTACCCAGAATGATTCCTGATACACAGGCACTCAGTTAATGTGTTACATGAATAAATTTCATTTTAGAAGTGAGAGTGGAAACGCAGGCATATGATAACCAAATCTATTGACCTGTCAGCCACCAGTACTCTTTCATTCCCCTCAGTGTGAAGAGCAGTCTTGGTTTTGATTATTTTACTTGCCATGGTGTATCTTCTGTAGCATTTTTGTTGTTGCTCTTACCATCCAACCTCCTTAAAACAGTGGTTTGTATGGGATTTAAAAGCTTCTAGGCAGCCAGGGCCTTCTGACTCTTTGTTCTTTCCTTATGGTGCTACTGACTGTGCTCGTTTGTAGTGTGACTTTAAGAAAGGGAGGCTGAACTCAGGATAGGCAGGGTGAACTTGGCATAACACTGCTCTGGGTGTTCTCAGAAGATCCTATTCGGGCAGGTCTGGGCCTGGTCAGTAATTGGGTGGGAGGCCTCAGAGAGCAGAAACCAGCGATTGGCAGGAAGTGGCATGGGCAGCTCACCTGGCCTGCGAGTCTGGGCTCAGCTGGACCTGCCCCACGTGGCACCAGGCGCACAAGGTGTCCTCACAGAGCCGCCCCGTGGCACGCCTTTGCATGTTGGCCAAGACCAAAGACTTGAGACTTTTGTTTTTGCATGAAATATGAGTCAAGTGAAGTTTTATTTCTTATGATTGGTTATCTCAAATAATGATATTAGTTTAGTTACCATCCTCCCTTTGTTCTACCAGCTGGGTAGCATTTAGCTACAAAGGTGTAATTTTAAAATAAGGATGTGATAATTTATTAGTGATATTCCATTATTGCTCTTGGTGTGACCTTTCTATAAATTTTAGAATCAAGAGCTTTAATTTCTGAACATTAAAGAATGGTGTTTCATCTGGCTAATTTGTTTCATACCAAAGAGGCACTGCTTCATCTTGAAATTAGACTTCAATGTCTTCCTGACTTGATAGCAGACACAGGTTTTCATCTAGGAGGACCCTACACGTGTAGACTGTCATACATGGACTTAGATTAAGATTTGATTGATAGGAACTGGGACACTGCAGTTCAAGGGTAGCACTTCAGGTATTCAGGGCAATCACAAGAAGTTTTTCTGAACATTTCATAAAGAAATGTGTAGGTAAGATTACAGGAAGTAACATTAGCTTAAAGAGTAGCAATTGAATTATATAAAGCATTGTGCTAATTAATTTTTAAATTTAAAGTTTTTTCTCTTTTTTTGAGATGGAATCTCGCTCTGTTGCCAGGCTGGAGTACAGTGATGCAATCTTAACTCACTGCAACCTCTGCCTCCTGGGTTCAAACGATTCTCCTGCCTCAGCCTCTGGAGTAGCTGGGACTACAGGAGTGCACCACCACACCCAGCCAATTTTTGTATTTTTAGTAGAGACGTGGTTTCACCATGTCGGCTAGGATGGTCTCGATCTCTTGACTTCGTGATCCACCCACCTCGGCCTCCCAAAGTGCTGGGATTAACAGGCATGAGCCACCAGGCCCAGCCTGAAGTTTGTTATTTTTTTTAAAGAAAAAGTGATACTGTTGAATATCCACCTCTTTAGAGAATTGTAGCATTTTAAAATTGTTTTTTCTGGTCAGCTCCTATAAGTATATGCCCGCATTTCTCCTTTTATGCACCACTTCCCCCCATTGCATACATTACCAAAAAACTGGAAGATTTCAAGTTAGAGAAGCAATAGGTCTTTTTCTTATCGTTTTGACTGCCCAGTATTACAGATTGTCAAAATAAAGAATCCCCAAAAGAAACGGAATTGTGGAGTCATTTTAACTCCTAGTATACAGCCTGTGGGAGGCTGTCTGTGGTGAGGCAAAGCTGTAGAAATGCCCCCGAACTGTTGGAAGCCCAGGAGTTAGGGCACTGCTGCATCCTCACCCTACCCACCACAGGGGCATCTCACTGGGATCTTTTCTTCTCCATGGTCTCTTTGCCAAACAGCTGCTTTTCCAGCCTCCTGCCAGGTGCTCTGTGTCTTTGTGCTGGTCCTCTTGAGCATTTAAAACTCCAAATAGTATTTTATTTCTTCTTTCTTTGCTCCCTAATATTTTATCTGTTTCAATTAATACCATTATCCTGGCTGGCATGAACTTTGGCCTCTTCTAGTATATCACTTGAACCAACTGACTCTTTCTCTGAAGTGTTTTCATTGGTACTATTTGGTTACTGAACTGTTTTAGAATAATAGTTATTAAAGTAATGGGCCGGAAATGAATCAGCACTTGCCAGTGTGCTGAATTACTACATTAAAATGCTGTATTAACTTAATTTGCCAGAGCATTTCATCAGTGGAGTTGGAGGTGGAGACAAGTCAGAATGCACAGACTTTACCACTGACCCCCAGACTCCAGTGTCTCAAAGCCCTATTTAATGAGTGTGGGTGAATTTGCCCAAGTTCATCATCATTCTAAGAAAATAGATTTAGAGCGTTGTCGCCACTGCTGATGGTTCTGTTGATTTATTTGCCTTTGTGCAAGAGGACCTGTGTGCTCTCTTTCTATACATCCACCTGCAGGCACACACTTGTATTTAATTTATGCTTTAGAAAATTATTTTTATAAGTAAAACTATATATTTGTGTTTTTTAACTATAATCTTTATAATTAGTAGAAAGGAGGCTTGGGCTTGCCATTTTGATTATTTGCTTTTATCTTTTTGACTCAAGGACAGAAATTCCAGGTAGTCTGTTCACCTTTTGCAGTGCAGGGTTTCAGTGAACTTGTTAGGCCTGAATACCACCAGGTATTATTAGTATAAAATGTTCATGTTTTGATATATGGTATTTAATTCTCGCAACTTACTGTTTTGGTAATGCATTCACAAAACTCTAAAACTGGAAAGAGAATTCACCTGAACAAAAATGACAACAGTTTATGAAGGATTCCATTTTTCCCTACTGAATTCTTAGGGCTACATTAGCATGTATTGGTTTGTTGAATTAATTAGTGAATGAGAGTTTACCACTCATTTTTAAGCCCACCCAGCCCCCTCAGTAAAGCAAAACATCAATGTTTCTGGTGAAACTACTCTCAAATCTTTGTTCTTGTGTAGTTGTATATGTACGTTTTTGTTAGCCTTTGAAAAAGTATAGCTTTACTGATACTTCTGGTTTTCTATTTACTTTGAAACTACTAAAATAAAGCTTTTGTGTTACGTAAGACTGATGAAACCTAGCATTGAAGAAAAGTTGGAAATATTATTAGAAATTACTTTTTCTTTTTTTTAGTACTTCAGCGTAATTTGTATAGAAACTGGTATCCGCAGGCTGTAGTGCCCTTATACCATGTTTAAAAACATTTTGTTTTTTCAGTTAGTGGCAAACATTTTACAATTAGGAAAATTCACTTAGGTTTCAGATTTCTTTATCTTCCCTTGAAGAAACTCTGCTAGTTATTGGGCAGATTGCCTGTATTGCGGGAGGCGGTTCGCTCTGAGCAGCAGCTGCCAGTTTAGACAGATGCGGGGCTTCCCTCACACCCCTGCCGTCCTCTCCTCCTCCTCCCTCTCACCCTCTGGGCTGGAGGCCATGAACTCAGATCCTCTGCTAAAAAATTCCATTGCCGACTCAAGTCAGTGGCCACTGATATATTTTTGTTTATCTAGATGGCCTAAGAAATATTTATTTATTTCTTGTTCTGCTCATTTTGAAGGGAGAACAAACATCCCTAGTTACTTAACAGATTGAAATAATGTGTCCTCTCCTACCCATGAGATCACTTCTTGCCAGTCTCTCTCTTTTGTTCCTTCTCCCTCCATTTTGTTTTGTTTTGTTTCCTCTTTTGTCACCTGAGTGTCTGGATCCTCTAGGTCCTTTTATACTCTCTACTTTTAATTTACTAAATTTTAAATATTTTTAAATAAAAAATACATACTTATGGAAAAAATTTCAATTAGAACAGTAGTTAAAGCAAAGAATAATAACCTCAGCTCCCAGAATTAATCATTGTTGTTTCTTGTGTAGTCTTCAAGAACTGTTCTGTGTATATAAGAATATCTGTATGTGTTCTTCTGTATTTTTTTGTTTTTCTCACCCGTAAGGTCTTCCTATATATACATTAGTTTTGTAATTTTCTGTATTCTTATCAAGACTTATGGATCTGTCACATTGTTTCTAATGGCTGCATGATATTTTCTTGTATAAATACCATAACCAGCACTTGATTAATGGATGATTCCAGTTTTTTGGTTTTGGGTGTTCTTTACATATAAAGTATGCTACGCTATGCCTTCATGTACATATGAGTCTGGACAGTTGAATGAATAGACCCTGTAAGAGAATTGATAGGTTAAAAGTATTTACATTTTAAGTTTTAACATACCTTGCTTTTAGTCTCCCAGCACAGTCACAGGAATTCACTCTTTCTGTCAGTGGCCAAGTGCTTCTGCCGGCCTGTGGTTCCCAGGGAGACTGATCATCTTGTATTGGTAGTTTGTATCACGTTTCCTTGGAATGCCTTTTTGCATATTTTGCTCATTTTTTCCATTGGGTTGGCTTCCCATTTCTTATTGATTCATGGGAGTTTTTTGTACATCAAAGAAAACAAACTGCTTGTTAATTGTGGCAGATTTTTTCTTTTTTGTCCTCTTTTGTTGTTGTTGTTTTACCAGTTTGCTCTCTTTTAAATGTTTCTACTTGGGGAAATTTTTGGACACAGTTAAATTTTTATGTGGTCTGTCATTTCTTCTATGGACTTTGTGTCATACTAGAAAAACCTTTCTCCAGTTTACAATTATTTTTAAAATGTATCCATATTTTGTTTTAGTTCTTTATAAAAATATTTTGATTTTTTGATCCTTTGGAAATTGATTTTGGTGTAAATAGAGAGGGATCCAGCTTTTTTTTTCTCTCTGGATAGGTAGTTATTCCCAAGTAAGTTTCTTTTGCACTCTTATTTTTATTATTTTTATATGCAATCTTATTTCTATGTAGGTATACTTAAGGAATATCAATTTGGGTATACTTCAGGAATATCAATCATTGGATAGTCTATTCCTGTGTTGGTACCAAGCTTTTAATAACTATAGTTCTACAGTATGATTTATTATTTGGTAAGTGTAGTTGCCCTTCATTTATTTTCTTTTTTAGAATTTTCCTTGCTTGAATGAAAAAAGCTTGAGGGAAATTCTTTAAATTTAATGGGGTAATTCTACTTGACGTAAGTATTCATATACTTTATATATGTATATTTTAAAATTTTTTGGTTACACTGAGGCTCCTAGTTATTAACTGTTGCTTTGAGATTCACTGAGGAAATCAGGTGTGTATGCCTGGAGAGGTGGAACAGCATTTTGGAAGAGTGGAGTCAGGAGTGGTAGGAAGTGGGCTGCTTCCTACCTCTGTTACTGGATTGCTGTGGGGGCTCGAGCAAGCCACTGAAGTGTCATCCCTCATGTGTTCCCATGTATAGGACAGCCTCTCCCAGTACAGTTACTGATATTTAGATATAATGAGTAGTTTTCCATCACTGTTTTTCATTCAGTTGTGAGAAATAAATGAGTTAATACATTTATAAATATTTCAAAACTGGTGGAGCCTAGTATAAGAACTTGATGATGATGATATTGTTGTGGTTATTTTTTCTGTTTTACTATAGTTGAAGGGAGCCTAATTTTCTCATGTTCCAGAAAATAAGGAGGAAGTGGGGGGACGAGGGGAGAGAGAGAGAGAAAGAGAGAGAGAGATATAGATATAGATATAGATATAGATATAGATATAGATATAGATATAGATATAGATATAGATACAGATATAGATTGAACTTACTGCTGTTGCCCCAGCCCCAGCACTCACCAATTTCTGCTAGGGTGCTGAAGGCAGACCTGTGTGATGAGGGGATATTTAAGCTGAAACCTTGAAACATGAGAAAGACTTAGGGAAAGATTTGGGGTGGGAATGAGGAAGCATATTCTAGGGCAGAAAGGGCTATGGCATCCACAGGCAGGGAAGAATATAGTGTAGAAACCTGAAAGCACGTCAGAAGCGCTGGGGAGCAGCGAGGAGGCAGACAGCTATGAATGGAGGCCTGGTGGGAGCAGGGGCCACCTGAGGGCTTAGAGACCACAGGGCAGGTGGGGGGCATTGAATGGCATCCTAGGTGTACTGGGAAGTTGTTTATAGGATCTTAAGAGCATGGAATGCTCTGACTTAGGTTGTTCTGATTGTGGTGTGTAGGGCAGACCCTGGCAGGAGGGCAGGAGTGGAGCAAGAGACCAGCTATGAGTCACAGCCATTGTGGTGCCAGGTGGGAATGGGTGGAGAGAAGGGGGCACATCCTTGTTAGTTTTAGAGGTAAAACTTAGTCATGAATTGAATATCAAGGGACTTCTGACTTGCACATAGGTGGCATGTGGTATTATTGATCCAGGTGATACTGAGGCAAACAACTGGTTTTGAGGAACATATCAGGAGTTTGATTTTGAACTTGTTGTATTGAGATATTTGTGAATATGTGAATTGAACCCTTTAAGGGAAGATGGGCAGCTCTGAAATGGAGAGAAGTTGGCCGGGATATTTACAGTAACTCACTGCATGAGCATTTCCCTTCTTCAAATACATCCCATTTGCAGTCTCCACAACAGTCTTCTCAACGTGTCTTCCAAGTTCATGCTCCTTGCCTACTTGGAAATCTTCAAAAGCTTTCTGCTTTCTTCAGTGATATCTAAACTGTTAAACCTGACATTCAAGATCCTCCACAGCTTGCTCCTCACCCAATCCATAGGATTATGTTTTTCACATCACTGTCTCTTGCCTCCCAGTATGAACTCTAAACTCTCAGTTGTCTAGACTCGTCTGTAGGTCATGAAGGTCATTGTACTTTCCTGCCTTAGGTGCTTTCTTCTCTCTTTCTGTATCTTTATCGGTTGAGAATTTTCTAATCCTCTGAGACCCAGTATAGGTTTTACCTCTTCCACTATGTCTGCTGGTTTTAGATCAACCAGAAATAAGGGCTCCATTTTTTGTCCATTTGGAGCACTAGTGTGAGCCATACTTATATCTGCTTTATTTTATTTCAAGCTCTTTATGGAAGTGTGTCTCATCATATTTTCTCTATTCCATAATACCTTGTACATGGTGTGTACTGAATAAATATTTATTTAATATTTTCTCTATTTGGAGATATTTTTCAGGTAAATATCCTTTTGGTTGCAAATAACAGGAACCAAATGTAGCTGGTTTTAAAAGAAGAGAAAATTCACTAGAACAGTACTGCAAATCTTGAGTAACTTAAGATGAAGTTGAAGGATGAACTGAACCTTGGGGCAGCCCTGGGAACCTCACCAGCATGAGCTCATGGACTTTTCGTCTAGAGGTTTGTCATTAGTGTAGCTTAACTTCCACTTCCCAGACTCTACGTCAGTTCAAAATCTGGAGGAAAAAAATCTGATTGGCTTAGCATTGGTCAGTTGTCTACCTGAGGCCAATCAGCTCTGACCCCTGACAGAAGTCTTATCCTAGACACATGGCCACTGAGATGTGAGATGTCCATAACCCCATGGCTGCCAGAGGTTGAAGGGTTTCCTTCTGTGGACAGAGACATATTTGTTCTCTGAAAAGAGGAGTCAGAAATAAATTGCAACAGATGTGTACTACAGCAGTATTGCTAACTTTGGAAACGGAGCCAGTATTGAATACTTTATGGTTTTGAGAAATTGTAGATGGCTTCAACCAAGGTCATGTTAGTATATTGCAATGGAAATAGGACCAGACTGTTGTCTTTGTTGACTGGCTTCATAAAAACTACTCCTTGCCTCATGCCAGTGTTGTTGTTTGTGATATTTACTCACTAAATCAGAAGACTCCTCCTCCCAAACTTGCTTACATCAAGGAGGAAAAAAAGTCCTGATGATAATAACTTTATTGTATTTAAACATTAGCAGATTATGATAATAGCTACATAGTCATTCTTTGCTCTGTGCATTTGACCATTGCAGATGTTTTAATGCTATAAAAGATCCTGACTTACTCATCTGTATTATTTCTGTAACTGGGCTATATATCTGAAGGAAGTAATCTGTGAAAGTTTCAAGAGGGCATCAGTTGGTTACCTTTGCAAAAATAGGAAAAATATGGAAAATGTAAGTGTTTTAAAAGAAAAACAAATTTAAATCTTTGTTCTTGAAATTCATCATTTGCGCAAAGTAATTTTTTTTGTAAGGATGATTTGGTAAAGGATAAAAGTTTCCGGCCGGGCACGGTGGCTCACACCTGTAATCCCAGCACTTTGGGAGGCCGAGGCGGGCAGATCACGAGGTCAGGAGATCAAGACCATCCTGGCTAACACGGTGAAACCCCGTCTGTACTAAAAATACAAAAAATTAGCTGGGCGTGGTGGTGGGCACCTGTAGTCCCAGCTATTCAGGAGGCTGAGGCAGGAGAATGGCGTGAACCCGGAAGGCAGAGCTTGCAGTGAGCTGAGATGGTGCCACTGCATTCCAGCCTGGGCGACAGAGCAAGACTCCATCTCAAAAAAAAAAAAAAAAAAAAAAAGTTTCCATGGAACAAAAATTTCGCCCAAGTACATTGGGTCACCATGTGGCAGCAGTAGGCAACCTATCAGGAATAACTGTGGTTAAGAAATGTGGTTGATGTTTTTAAGGTACTGGGAAAGATGTCAGTGGTGTATACCGGGTCTTTCTTCTGTCACTTTAAAATTTTAATAACAATTTTCTGACCACCTTCTCTCTATGGAACACATAGATCCAGATGATTGAAAAATTCATTTTCTCTCCTACTGGAGAAATGGTTAAAGGATATGAACACACAGGAAGAAATGTGAAGAGCCAATTAACAAGTGCAAAGAGGCTCAACCCTGTGAATGATCTGGGATGTGCACACTTAAGTAGGAGAGATAAAACATTTCACACCCATCAGATATGTATACATTTAAAAGTTTAAAATTACTCAGTGATGCTGATAATGTGCCACAGCTTTCAAACACTGCTGATGGGCATTTCTGTCAGCACAGGGTCTCTACAGAGCCATCTCCCAGTTGCCAGTGTAGTTGAGAATGGACTGTCCAAGAATCCACTGGGCTAGTGTATACCACTGAGAAGCTAGCATGTATGTGCCCAGTGAAACAAGTATAGTACACACATGTTACAGTTTTGTTTTAATGTGAAAATTTACAAAACTCTTAAGTGTCTACCAACAGTGAAATAGATAAGTAAAAAGTGGTATAGTCAGAATACTTTATAGCAATGAAAATTAATGATCTACAGCTGCTGTGTCCTTGCAAAATAGTTCATTTGTATGTGTGCTATTAAAAAAAAAAAGCAGATAATAATGAAATGCCAAATTCAGGAGAGAGTTGCCTCTAAGGAGAACAGGCATAGAAAGAGAAATATAGGACATATCAACCATACCATTAAAAAAAAAAAAAACTAAAGAAAAACTTGCATCGTGTTAAAATTTGACAGAAGGTGATGGGTACATCTACTTGTTATTTTTTTTTCCTACCTTTCTGTGCCGTTAAATATTTCATAATAAATAGTCATTATCTGTATCTTAAAATATTTCTCAAAGAATTTTTCCATTTTTGGATGATTAAGCTGGGAATGGGGGAGTCAACTTGTTCAAAGTAACAAAGTAATTAAACAGTTGAGCTGTGATCAAAAACAAATCTGTCTTGTTCCAAAACTTATGGCCCTCCTTTCTCGTTAGTCTGATTCTACAATGTAGAAAGGAAATATAAGCTTGAACCTATGAACCTGCAGTTGCCTTTGACCTATTTCTGACTATTCCCTCTCTCTTCCACCCTCTCTGGCACACACTTGTCTGTGCACACATGCACACCTGTACATATCCTTTCTGAAAGATCGTGTGTTTCTCACAGTCGGGCTTAGGCCAAGACAGCTGGTGTCCGGTGAGCCAGTAGGTCCTCTCTGTCCGTGGTATGAGAGTTCCTCCGTGTTCATCTGGGGTTATGGACGTGGGGGATATTCTAAAATACCATATGCTAAAATGATGGCTTCTAGTTATCCTTTCCTAAAGGTGTTCCTTCTGCCTTGGTTCCTGTTAGAAATGACTACATGGGCCGGGTGCAGCAGCTCACACCTGTAATCCCAGCACTTTGGGAGGCTGAGGTGGGAGGATGGCTTGAGCTCAGGAATTTGAGACCATCCTGGGCAACAAAGTGAGACCTTGTCTCTACAAAAAAAAATTTAAAAATAGCCAGGTATGGTGGCACACATCTGTAGCTTCAGCTACTTGAGAGGCTGAGGTGGGAGGATCACTCAATCCCAGGAGAGTCAAGGCTGCAGTGAGCTGTGTTCACGCCACCACACTTCAGCCTGGGCAACGGAGTGAGATCCTGTCTTAAAAAAACAAAAAACAAACAAAGTAAATAATTAATTAAAAAATGACTACACGAAGAATCCAGGATTTGCTCTGTGGGTTAAGACAGTATTTGTCTTTTTGGTTGTCTACAGAAGACATTCTTGGTGTTCCTCATTGTCTTTTGTATAGAAATCTTCTTAGAAACCAAGAAAAAAGGCCGGGCGTGGTGGCTCACGCCTGTAATCCCAGCACTTTGGGAGGCCAAGGCGGGCGGATCACGAGGTCAGGAGATCGAGACCATCCTGGCTAACATGGTGAAACCCCGTCTCTACTAAAAATACAAAAAATTAGCTGGGCGTAGTGGCGGGCGCCTGTAGTCCCAGCTACTCGGGAGGCTGAGGCAGGAGAACGGCGTGAACCTGGGAGGCGGAGCTTGCAGTGAGCCGAGATTGCGCCACTGCACTCCAGCCTCGGCGACAGAGCCAGACTCCGTCTCAAAAAAAAAAAAAAAAAAGAAAGAAAAGAAAAGAAACCAAGAAAAAAGTTTTAACAGAAAAATAAGTACAAATTTTAAAATATTAAATTTAAAACCAAACGACATGTAAACTATATGGGCTAAAAAGCATAGCTAACATTTGCTAAATGCTTATATGTTAGCATTTATTACTGCATCTCCAATTTGAAGATGGGGAAACAACCTCATCAAAGAAACTACCTTAGGGAAGTTAAATAAATTCCCTAAGGTAGCCCACTAGTAGGGAGTAGGGCTGAGACCACAACAGTGTTCGAGTCAGACACCACCTTTATGGGGAAGGACCTTCTAGGCTACTACCACTCCAAGTGGTCTTCTCCATTTCTACATCTGCTGTATGCAGGGTATGTTTGCTTTGTATTTTTAGTTTAGTTTTTCCTTCAGTTTTTAAATTGGGTATAAGGATGCAAGAGCAAGGATGGACTTGAAAATTTCTTTATACTGCTGTAGCAGCTAACATAGCATGTGGGTAGTTGGCATTCAGTATATTCTTAGATATTAGCTAATTCTCACTGAGGAAGCAATAGCTTAAGCCAAAGGTACCTAAAATTTGTTATGGGTTGATGCTGAGAATTTTGAAGTACTACCTGAGCTGCTAAGTCTTACCAGTCTTACTGATGTTAAATTCTTCACTGAGGAAATTCATTTGGACTTCATGGTTTTCATGATTTTAACTTAAGCATCGTCGTACCAGGTTGTTCACAGCTGAGCACATGTACCTTTTTATGCCATCCTTTCTGGGAAAGAAAATTAAATATGCCTATCCAAACTTTCTAAAACAAATTATCAGGTCTGCTGTTTTCATTTTATCTTCCGTTTATTCTTTAAGGCACATTCTTACCAAGGTCCCATGGATTTATTGTATCTGTACAATTTCTCTTTTGTCAAATGCAGAACACTTTTCAGTCTCTTGTCACCTGAAGACAGCATGAATGTTGTTGCTATTTCCAAGGTTCCAATTTGGACCTTCTCTTCTTCCTTTCACATAATTTTCCATAGATAGTCTTCTCCAGCCCTCGTGCCTTCACATCCTGATTCTCATGATTTCTGAAGTTGTGTTTCCATCCCACATCACTCTTAGAACTCCAGACCTGCAGAGCCACTGCCTGTTGACCAGTTTTTCCCCAGGTATCCCATAGGCACACAACATTCACACATCAAAACTAGCTTGAATATTAGCAACTCCTGCCTGAATGTATTTCCTGCTGTTGAATTTGGTCCTCAAGTGTTATTGCATCCTTTTCCTCATTTTCTTTTCAGTCCACCTCTCTATTCCCACTACCTCTCAGATCCTCTCAATGTCTTGCTTAGACTATGGAAAAGCCTTCTAGCTAGCTGCCCTCCCCCACACCAGCGTAGTTTCCTCCCTCTCTGTATCACCATTCAAATGTTGTTCGAATGGTCAATTCCACATTACCATCTGAGGTTGTTGGCTCCTGCGTCAAGCTGTCAGTGGCTCTCTCCTGCCTCAGAATCTTGGTCCTCCTCTTTCTTCTCCCTGGAATGTCCTTCCCTCCTCTCTCTGCCTAATTAATCCACACTTAGCATTGAACTTCAGGTGCCAGATTCTGGGAAGCAAACCTCTTTTCTTTTCTTTTTTTTTCTTTTCTTTTCTCTTTTCTCTTTTCTTTTCCCTTTCCTTTTTCCTTTCCTTTCCTTTCCTTTCCTTTCCTTTCCTTTCCTTTCCTTTCCTTTCCTTTCCTTCCTTTCATTCTTTCGTTCTCTTTCTTTCTGTCTTTCTTTTCTTTTCCTTCCCTTCCCCTTCTCCCTTCTTTTCCATCCTTTCTTTGTTTCTCTCTCTCTCTCCCTTTCCCTTCCTTCCTTCCTTCCGTCCTTCCGTCCTTTGTCCTTTGTCCTGTCTTTCGTCCTCCCCTCCCCTCCCATCCCCTGCTTCCTTTCTTCTCACTCTGTCACCCAGGCTGGAGTGCAGTGGTGTGATCTTAGCTCACTGCAACCTCCACCTCCCAGGGTCTAAAGCCATTCTCCTGCCTCAGCTTGCCCAATAGCTGGGACTACAGGTGTGTGCCACCACACCGGGCTAATTTTTGTATTTTTAGTAGAGACAGAGCTTCGCCATGTTGGCCAGGCTGCTTTCAAACTCCTGGCCTCAAGTGATCTGCCTGCCTTAGCCTTCCAAAGTGCTGGGATTACACCCACCCAGCCAGAAACAGACCTTTTCTGACACTTAACTCTTCTCTTTCCCTGTGCCCCTCTTGGCTTTGTTGCCCTTCTTATGTGTTCTCCTTGGAGCCCCAGCAGTACCTCCATGGCAGCATTCCTACCAGTGTTTCATAACTATCTGGGTCTGGCCTCCCCCATCCTCACAAGCAGCATGAATCCTCTTCATGGTTGCACGTGAGTCCCCAGCCCAAGCCGCCTGTGGTTGGTTATTTGTTGACTTATTTCTAGGATAGTGGTTCTCAACTGGGGGTGATTTTGCCCCCAGGGGACATTTGGCAACTTCCGGAGACCTTTTTGATTGTCCTGACTGGTGGGGCAGTGCTCCTGTCATCTAGCGGGGAGAGGCGAGGGTGCTGCCAAGCACCCCATTGCACACACGTCGGCCCACCTCATGGTCCAGTCCCAAATGTCAAGAGTGCCAAGGTTGAGAGACAGTGCTGTAGGACAAAGGGCAAAATTTTATGGTACTTAAGACATCTCATAACAGAAAAGATGAAGTTAATTAAATATGGAGTTCTTAAGTAATACGTAAAGGGTTTTAGTGTCAGCTTCATTTTCATTCTGAACTGCTCTGGATCTCTTGGTGGCCCAATTTGATTGTTTATTCACAATCTCTCTTGTGAGGCAGATCTGTGCCCCAATGGTTACTAATGGGTTAACAAGTACCTGGAGTGAGTTAGGCACAAAACTAAAATGGTGAGGACAGTAGAACTAAGCTCTGCATTTATTTTAGAAATTTAGACATTTACTTTTTCTTATTTTCAGTGTGCCTGATAGAAGGTGACTACCCAAGCAGTTTTTTTGACGAGGTATGGAGATGGATGGTTCCTTTTTTTGACTCTTAAAAAGAGTTTGGCTGGGGTTGGTGGTTCATGCCTGTTATCCCAGCACTTTGGGAGGCTGAGATGGGTGGATCACTTGAGGTCAGGAGTTCGAGACCAGCCTGGCCAACATGGTGAAACCCCGTCTCTACTAAATGTACAAAAATTAGCTGGGCATCGTGCTGGGCACCTGTAATCCCAGCTACTTGGGAGGCTGAGGCAGGAGAATCACTTCTACCCGAGAAGCAGAAGTAGCAATGAGCCGAGATCATGCCACTGCACTCCAGCCTGGGTGACAGAGTGAGACTCCATCTCAAAGAAAAAAGAAGAAAGAATTTAACCATATAATCCTCAGAAAAAAAGGCCTTTTGTTTTATGTAGATTTGCTAATGATGTAAATTCTAGTGCCACCTCCAATATTTAGGTAGTGAATTAGATGGGACTTTTAGTGCACTGGAAGTTAGAATATTGAAGGATGAATTGTTGCTGACACAGAATAACATGGGATTGACCTATACAATCAAGTAACAGGAAAATAAAATCCTATTGTGCTTTAAATTTGGCATGTGTCTTGGCAAAGACAGAAAACATCAGAAAAGGTTTTGATTTTTCCCTCCAGAATTAGCCATATAATTTTTTTTCTTTTTTATTGGCCATACGATATGAATTCTTGTTTTATAATTATACAGTTTTCAAAAAATTATTATTTTGAAAGTTTAGAAATCTGAGTTGGAGAAAGAAACATTTTAGGAAATCTTAGGAAAAGGAGACAATGACTCATATTCTTAAATAGTTCCTGTTGGTATTTGCAATTTCAAACTAGTCTCTGGAAAATAATTATATAATTGTATGGAGAGAGTCAAGTCTTTATCTTTACCCTTGGGGACTTCTTTTGGCAAATTAAATGATTTATACCTGAAGAGACAATTTAGCTTCATGTTAAATTTCAAAATCCAAGAAATACTTTCTTTCCAGTAGCTGTCAGATTGTAGTGACGATCATCAGCCTTTCAGATGAGTGTTATTAGTTCAGTTTTGGAGATTGCCTCTATGTGTGGTACTGTCTTGTAGTTTCCTGAAAGAAGATTGAAGTATTTGTACTTATTTTTGTGGGTTCTGTGAGATAAAGTCTGGCTTACAGTTGATTTAACCCCTTCTTATCTTTGTCTTGGTTACTTTTGGATTTTGTCAGAACAGAAGTTAAAGCTGCAGATACTGTATTCAAAAAGGTCCTTCAAGAGCTGTAACTGTAAGGGAATGGAATGATAGATGTATATAAATGTGGACTTGAATAAAGTATCCTTTGTATTTAAAAATATGCCTTTCTTTTAATTTTTTTTCAGCCAAGTTCTATAGAAATTTTAGAGTATTCATCAGATAGTGAAAAAGAAGATGATTTGGAAAATGTCCTACTCATTGATTCAGAATCCCCTCACAAATACCACGTGCAGTTTGCATCGGATGCAAGACAGATTATGGAGAGACTGATAGATCCAAGGACAAAATCAACAGAGACCATTTTGCATACACCTCAGAAACCCACAGCTAAGTTTCCCAGGACTCCAGAAAATTCAGCAAAGAAGAAGCTTTTAAGGTTAAATTATACCCTTTTAAATACTCTTTTTAAATTTTTCTCTTTCTTTAAAAACCCAAATATCTAAAATGTTAATTTTAAGATACTTGTATATGAAGTCCTAAATTCTGGAGCTGATTAATGGAATGTTCATCGAAGTTGAGGGTCATGGCTTTACTCATGCCCAGCAGATGTGACTGCCTTTCTTAATGGAGATTTATTTGGGTTATCAAATGTTATTGAGAGTCAGTGTTCTAGGTGCTGTGGAGACAAGTGTGTAATTGTTCTGTTCTTGAGTAACTTATAATGTAAAAAGGGAAATGGAAGTATGTGTAAATCGTGTCAGATTACTTTTATGAGAGAGATCTGCCAGGGCAACACTTGCAAGTGCAAAAAAGTATGAGAGAGCAGAACCCACAGATGAGACGTATCTGGTGTGCCATGAACTACAGTGTCAGTCAGGGGCTGGGCTGTGGCCATGGTGAGCAAAGCAGGAAAGATAACGTGAAGGAGCCTGTAGGGACCTTCCCCAACCCCGTGTAATACAAGGTGCTCTTTGTTGTTTGACCAAACAATGCCAAGCAAAGACTCAATGAAGGTAAGAAAGAGAGGCCGGGCGCGGTGGCTCACGCCTGTAATCCCAGCACTTTGGGAAGCCGAGGTGGGTGGATCACAAGGTCAGGAGTTCGAGACCAGCCTGGCCAACATGGTGAAACCCCATCTCTACTAAAAATACAAAAATTAGCTGGGCGTGGAGGTGCGCACCTGTAATCCCAGCTACACAGGAGGCCGAGGCAGGAGAATTGCTTGAATCTGGGAGGCGGAGGTTGCAGTGAGCTGAGATCGTGCCATTGCACTCCAGCCTGGGCAACAGGGCAAGACTCCGTCTCTAAAAACAACAACAAAAAAAAGAAAGAAAGAGAACCTGTAGGAAGCATTGCCACAAAAGCAAAAGTAATAGAGCATTTCAAAGCAAAGGAGTTTCAGTAGAAAGAGTAAATATGATCATGAAGAGCGTAGGTGTTGGATCCACGGATGATATTGTTACATCATAAGAAGACCAGCCTGGCATGCACTGAGGGGAGCCCAGGGTCTGTGGCTGAAGTAGCACACGGTTCAAGGAGTGACGACAGGGTCATGGCTCTTATGTGGGAACTGGGACCCAGGCAGGAGGGTTTCGATTACTCTCTTCCGTATTGCCAGTCACCTTGAAAAGATCCAGCCTCTAGAGAGGGTGCAGGGAATAGGAGAGACAGATTTTGAAAACAGTGGGGGTCCGAATAAACAGAGTTCGCACCATGGCTACATCAGCATCCTGGAGAAGAGGTAGGGAAGGAAGGTGGAGAGGAGAGCCCCAGCTTGAAGACACCAGTGGAGGAAAGAGCTTGAGGATGTGGCCGAGTTTAGTGGGATGGTCAGGGCACAGAGATCCATTTGTGCCTACTCACCACGAGACAGGAGGCCTTATGCCCAAAGCGAAGAAGTTGTGGCCTCAAAAAAAGAATGTAATTTGTAATAGTAGTAGAATGTAATTTGTAATAGAAGGTGGTTTGTAATAGTCTCTGGGAAGAAAGGGAGGGAAGCCCATTAAAGGAATTAGCATGTTTTTGTTGGTGAAGGTGATGCCATGCGATTACAGAAAGTCATGTCCCCAGCCCTGCTGAGGGCCGACCACTTGCCAAGCACTGTTCATGCACAGGAGCAAGCAAAGTGGAATGGTTGCTCATAACAGAGAGCAAAGGTGAATGGAGCCCCGCTTGTGTCGAGGGAAGGGCAATAAGGAGCCAAGAAGTAAAATAGATGTCAACTCAGAGAGAGAAATTTTATGGAGAAAAAGCAGAAAAGGGGGACAGAAAAGGGTCCAGAGGTGGGGGAGGACATTTCAGTTTGAAACAGACTCAGGGAAGCCCTGAGGAGATGCCTCATTGAGCAGCTGGAAGAATGGAGTGTGCAGTGGAGCAGGTGCTTTTGGTTTTGTATCTTTGGTTGACAATCATGAGGCTTTTGGCCATTTTCAGTTAGACATTATACATCTTAGTGGGACTATGGGTCTGCAGTCCACGGGCAGGCCTGGCGTTGGAGATGTGAATGCGTAGACTGCAGTGTCCAGATCTTTTGAAGCATGAGCTAGGTCAGGTCACAGGAGATCCAGTGCTGGGCGAGAGGAGAACCTGTCCAAGGCCTGAGTCCTGGGTGCTCTGCCAAAGTTGGGGTGTGGAGGGAGAGACTGCTGAGGGAGGAGCCAAAGCAAAGGGAGCATGGTGTGCTGAGGCAAGTGAGGAGAGAGGGTGACCCACTGTGACAGATGCTGCCAGGGCTGACCTCTGTGATTCCACGGTGAAAGGCAGGGTGTGCAGCCGTCTCAGCGGCGTGACCAGGCAAAGCAGACTGCCATGGACTCGAGAGAATGGAAAGAGAGAAACTGAAGACAGCACGATGGAACTCTGGAGAAGTTTTGCTTTAAGGAGAGCAGATCAAAGTGTGTTAGTTGAAAGTGAATGTGAGGGTCAAGGTTTCTTATTTTAAAGGTGATAGAAATTTCATCATGTTTGTATGTTGATAGGGAAGTCCAGGAGAAAACAGGAAACTGCTGAGGCAGGGGAGGGAGGGGACAACTGATGGAGTTGTCTCTGTCGTGGTGAAGGGAGGCACAAATGGGGGTGACCTTGTCAGGAGTTCAGAGTGTGCACCCATGGCCAGGGCGGGCAGCACCCATGCAGGTGCCAGGATGGACCTGGTGAGGAGCAGACAGGCCATCCACGGACAGCTGGGAAGGCAGAGTCCCTGCTGTTACAGGCACATGTATCTGGCTTGGGAACTAGTTCTTTCCGATCAATTCTATTCCAGTAAATAGGGCAGTCCTTCATTAGCTGACAGGGAGGATGAGAACGGAGTTGTGGAGGTCTGAGGAGAGAGAATCTGTGACACGGGCATGTAGTGGGGACAGATGAACTGGAGAAGGGCTCCAGGGCTGTCTGACAGGATCAGGCCCTGTTGGGAAGTCGTGGTCATGGACTGAGTTTGAGACCTATCAGCCAGTGTGGATTCGACCCTTGGGCTGCCCATGTGGGCAGAGCACAAGGATGGTCCAGGGGCACACTAAAAGGGGTTGACAGGAGTTCCGAGAGTAGCAATAATAATGACCCGTGAAGCCTAAGCTGGGTAAAGTGAGAATGAGAATGTGCAGGATGTGGAGCATGGTGAGTTGGGGTAGAACTCACTGATTGAGGACTGGGGAAAAGGTTGGTCAAACACTTACAGAGTAACGCTACTAGAGGTGATGAGCTGGGGCAGTAACGATGACGGGCGCCCAGAGTTGAGCCGCTGGAGGGAGGCAGTTCGGGACTTCAAGATTAGAGTGGCTGAGGCGAGTGGAGGACACCATCTTGGAGCTGGGCGGGCACTGACATCAGCAAGAATGGTGGCCATAACCCAGGAGATAAGGCCTCTAAGGGTGGCAGGTCAGTGCCAGTTGCCTTCCCTGGCATTGGGCAGGCTGAGTTGGAGCTGGAACGTAAGGGAGGCTACCAGATGGTCTTGAAGCTGCAGTGAAGAGCAAGGCCATCCTTCCTGGCCTTTCAGGCCCAGTGAGAGGGTAGGGGAGACAACACAGTGCTGTTTAAGGTCAGGTCACTGTCAGGGAGTCCTCAACAGAAGGTGGAGGGGACGTTCCTAGAAGTGGCTGAAGCTGCTCAAACAGCATGCAATTGATCATTTTCTTCTTGTGATTTCTAGGAACAACTAAATGAGGATGTCTGTTTTGAAGTTACTATGCTTAAATACTAAAAATGAGATTGATGTGCTTAGGGTTGTTAGTCTCAGGTCTTCAAACTGGAAGACTTCCTGTTTTACTGAGCTGACTAGAAAGGCCTGTGACTGCCTTGTCTGCTTTTGATGAAGGGATGGTGGTTTGTGGTGATTAAAAAGAACTTTTTTACCTGATAAAGACCAGGTAGCAAGGATTGAGAGAGGTAGTTGACATTTGAAGGATGGAGCACATTGGCCCTTCTCTTTCTGGTTTGCCCTGCAGGAAATGTCACTCAGTCTCTTTGGACTTCTTTTTCTTTCTTTCTTTTTTTTTTTTTTTTTAAATTTGTGGAACTATTCAAAGCATAAGTAACAAACACCAATGCAAAATTGTTAGATATTTAAGTGTGTTGGTAATAATAAAGCTATATATATCTCCCCAGTTTGATGGTCAAGTTGTTTTTCACAGTGCTTATTATATCTTGAAAAGACAAAATCTACGTCTGATTGGTGTACCTGAAAGTTACAGGGAGAATGGAACCATGTTGGAAAACACTCTTCAGGATATTATCCAGGAGAACTGCCCCAATCTAGCGAGGCAGGCCAACATTCAAATTCAGGAAATACAGAGAATGCCACCAAGATACTCCTCGAGAAGAGCAACTCCAAGACACATAATTGTCACATTCATCAAGGTTGAAATGGAGGAAGAAATGTTAAGGGCAGCCAGAGAGAAAGGTCGGGTTACTCACAAAGAGAAGCCCATCAGACTAACAGAGAATCTCTCGGCAGACACTCTAGAAGCCAGAATAGAGTGGGGGGCCAATATTCAACATTCTTAAAGAAAAGAATTTTCAACCCAGAATTTCATATCCAGCCAAACTACGCTTCATAAGTGAAGGAGAAATAAAATCCTTTGAAACAAATGCTGAGAGATTTTGTCACCACCAGACCTGCCTTACAAGAGCTCCTGAAGAAAGCACTAAACATGGAAAGGAGCAACTGGTACCAGCCACTGCAAAAACATGCCAAATTGTAAAGACCATTGAGGCTAGGAAGAAACTGCATCAACTAACGAGCAAAATAACCAGCTAACATCATAATGACAGGATCAAATTCACACATAACAATATAAACCTTAAATATAAATGGGCCAAACTCTCCAATTAAAAGACAGAGACTAGCAAACTGGATAAAGAGTCCAGACCCATCAGTGTGCTGTATTCAGGAAACCCATCTCACGTGCAGAGACACACATAGGCTCAAAATGAAGGGATGGAGAAAGATCTACCAAGCAAATGGAAAACAAAAAAAAAGCAGGGGTTGCAATCCTTGTCTCTGATAAAACAGACTTTAAGCCAACAAAGATCAAAAGAGACAAAGAAGGCCATTACATAATGGTAAAGGGATCAATTCAACAAGAAGAGCTAACTATCCTAAATATATGTGCACACAATACAAGAGCACCCAGATTCATAAAGCAAGTCCTTAGAGACCTACAAAGAGACTTAGACTCCCACACAGTAATAATGGGAGACTTGTACACCCCACTGTCAACATTAGACAGATCAATGAGACAGAAAGTTAACAAGGATATCCAGGAATTGAACTCAGCTCTGCACCTAGCAGACCTAATAGACATCTACAGAACTCTCCACCCCAAATCAAGAGAATATACATTCTTCTCAGCACCACATCGCACTTATTCCAAAATTCACCACATAGTTGGAAGTAAAGCATTCCTCAGCAAATGTAAAAGAACAGAAATTATAACAAAATGTCTCTGAGACCACAGTGCAATCAAATGGTACTGGTGTCCCACTACGAGAATCTCTGGGACACATTTAAAGCAGTGTGTAGAGGGAAATTTATAGCACTAAATGCCCACAAGAGAAAGCAGGAAAGATCTAAAATTAACACCCTAACATCACAATTAACAGAACTAGAGAAGCAAGAGCCAACACATTCAAAAGCTAGCAGAAGGCAAGAAATAACTAAGATCAGAGCAGAACTGAAGGAGATAGAGACAAAAAACCCTTCAAAAAATCAGTGAATCCAGGAGCTGGTTTTTTGAAAAGATGAACGAAATTGATAGACTGCTAGCAGGACTAATAAAGAAGAAAAGAGAGAAGAATCAAATAGACACAATAAAAAATGATAAAGGGAATATCACCACCAGTCCCACAGAAACACAAACTACCATCAGAGAATGCTATAAACACCTCTACGCAAATAAACTAGAAAATCTAGAAGAAATGGATAAATTCCAGCACACATACACCCTCACCAGACTAAACCAGGAAGAAGCTGAATCCCTGAATAGACCAATAACAGGTTCTGAAAATGAGGCAATAATTAATAGCCTACCAACAAAAAAAAGTCCAGGACCAGACGGATTCACAGCCGAATTCTACCAGAAGTACAAAGAGGAGCTGGTACCATTACTTCTGAAACTATTCCAATCAATAGAAAAAGAGAGAATGCTCTCTAATTCATTTTATGAGGCCAGCATCATCCTGATACCAAAGCCTGGCAGAGACACAACAAAAAAAGACAATTTTAGACCAATATCTCTGATGAACATCAATGCAAAAATCCTCAATAAAATACTGGCAAACTGAATGCAGCAGCACATGAAAAAGCTTATCCACCACAATCAAGTTGGCTTCATCCCTGGGATGCAAGGGTGGTTCAGCATACGCAAATCAGTAAACGTAATCCATTATATAAACAGAACAAAAGACAAAAACCACATGAATATCTCAATAGATGCAGAAAAGGCCTTTGACAAAATTGCAACAGCCCTTCATGCTAAAAACTCTCAATAAATTAGGTATATATCGGACATATCTCAAAATAATAAGAGGTATTTATGACAAACCCACAGCCAATATCATACTGAATGAGCAAAAACTGGAAGCATTTCCTTTGAAAACTGGCACAAGACAGGGATGCCCTCTCTCACCACTCCTATTCAACATAGCGTTGGAAGTTCTGGCCAGGGCAATCAGGCAAGAGAAAGAAATAAAGGGTGTTCAGTTAGGAAAAGAGGAAGTCAAATTGTCCCTGTTTGCAGATGACAGGATTGTACATTTAGAAAACCCCATCGTCTCAGCCCAAAATCTCCTTAAGCTGATAAGCAAATTCAGCAAAGTCTTGGGATACAAAATCAATGTGCAAAAATCACAAGCATTCTTATACACCAATAACAGACAAAACAGCCAAATTATGAGTGAACTCCCATTCACAATTGCTTCAAAAAGAATAAAATACCTAGGAATCCAACTTACAAGGGATGTGAAGGACCTCTTCAAGGAGAACTATAAACCACTCCTCAACGAAATAAAAGAGGAAACAAATAAATGGAAGAACATTTCATGCTCTTGGATAGGAAGAATCAATATTGGGAAAATGGCCATATTACCCAAGGTAATTTATAGATTCAATGCCATCCCCATCAAGCTACCAATGACTTTCTTCACAGAATTGGAAAAAAATACTTCAAAGTTCATATGGAACCAAAAAGAGCCGCATTGCCAAGACAATCCTAAGCCAAAAGAACAAAGCTGGAGGCATCACGCTACCTGACTTCAAACTATACTACAAAGCTACAGTAAGCAAAGCAGCATGGTACTGGTACCAAAACAGAGATACAGACCAATGGAACAAAACAGAGCCTTTGAAAATAATACCACACATCTAAAACCATCTGATCCTTGACAAACCTGACAGAAAGAAGAAATGGGGAAAGGATTCCCTATTTAATAAATGGTGCTGGGAAAACTGGCCAGCCATATGTAGAAAGCTGAAACTGGATCCCTTCCTTACACCTTATACAAAAATTAATTCAAGATGGATTAAAGCATTAAATGTTAAACCTAAATCTTAAAAACCCTAGAAGAAAACCTAGGCAATACCATTCAGGCCATAGGCAAGGGCAAGGACTTTATGTCTAAAACACCAAAAGCAATGGCAACAAAAGCCAAAATTGACAAGTGGGATCTAATTAAACTAAAGAGCTTCTGCACAGCAAAAGAAACTACCATCAGAGTGAACAGGCAACCTACAAAATGGGAGAAAATTTTTGCAGTCTACCCATCTGACAAAGGGCTAATATCCAGAATCTATAAAGAACTTAAACAAATTTACAAGAAAGAATCAAACAACCCAATCAAAAAGTGGGCAAGGGATATGAACAGACAGTTCTCAAGGGAGGACATTTATGCAGCCAATAGACACATGAAAAAATGCTCATCATCACTGGCCATCAGAGAAATGCAAATCAAAACCACAATGAGATACCATGTCACACCAGTTAGAATGGCGATCATTAAAAAGTCAGGAAACAACGGGTGCTGGAGAGGATGTGGAGAGAAATAGGAACACTTTTACACTGTTGGTGGGACTGTAAACTGGTTCAACCATTGTGGAAGACAGTGTGGCGATTCCTCAAGGATCTAGAACTAGAAATACCATTTGACCCAGCAATCCTATTACTGGATATATACCCAAAAGATTATAAATCATGCTGCTATAAAGACACATTGACACGTATGTTTATTGTGGCACTATTCACAATAGCCAAGACTTGGAACCAGCCCAAATGTCCTTCAGTGATAGAGTGGATTAAGAAAATATGGCACATATACTCCATGGAGTGCTATGCAGCTGTAAGAAAGGATGAGTTCATGTCCTTTGTTAGGGACATGGATGAAGCTGGAAACCATCATTCTGAGGAAACTGTCGCAGGGAAGGAGAACCAGACACCGCATGTTCTCACTCATATGTAGGAGTTGAACGGTGAGATCACTTGGACACAGGAAGGGGAACATCACACACCGGGGCCTGTCATGTGGTGGGGGGATGGGGGAGGGATAGCATTAGGAGAAATACCTAATGTAGATGACGAGTTAACGGGTGCAGCACACCAACATGGCACGTGTGTGTGTGTGTGTGTGTGTGTGTGTGTGTATATATGTGTGTGTGTATATATATATGTATATTTAACAAACCTGCACATTGTGCACATGTATTCCAGAACTTAAAGTATAATAAAAATAAACCAAAATTTTAAAATATTGTATTTACAGTCATTTTAATTGTTTATTCTTTACCTGGTTGTATAGCTTATTAAAAATATTTTGACTGTAAATCAGTTGGAATATTTTTGAATCTTTATCCTTCTTTACTTCTCCATATTGTTTTTATAGAAATGTTTACCAATGTCAAATTGATACCAGTCATCTTTTGAGATAGGTTACCAGTCTGTTAATTTTATAGAAAAGATAATTAGGATATCTTAACTTGCTGAGTGAATTCATCATATTTTTATTCCATCGGAGTTTGGCCTTTATAAATAACTTATCTGGCTACGTTCAAAAGAGTTAATTTGGATATAGATGGCAGGGCCTTCCTGAACTTTTGGTATGACTTAATTTTTTTTAACATGAGATATGTTTTTACTAGAAATAGGATTGTTGATTAGAGGACATGGTGTTTCCTAAGCTCAAGTTCTTAAGTTCAAGTGCATGTGACTGGAATTCCCTGCATAACAGGCCCTAATGGCCAAACTCAGGTGAGATGCAGATTTTTTCTGAGGGCTCCAGATACTGCTGTGTGTAGAGAGCGCCTGTGCATGTTTACTGTTGCTTTTACCTTTCATCCTGTAATCTGCACAGTTTTCTTACGAGGTTCTAGGCTTGACTTTAACCAGATAGTTTTTTCAGAGTTCATTTTGCCTTTTTTTTTTTTTTTCTGTAAGGTCACAGCATTGAAAAGCAACATTTGGCAAATAATGTTCTAGATAGTTGGGCAAAGAATACAGCATTTGCTTCTTGTATTTATTGTGCATATCATTTTAAATAATACTGTTTAAGAGGTGCTAGGTATATTATCAAGACTAAGAGTTTGAACTCTGGAACCAGACTGCCTAGGCGTGCATCCAGCTACACCACTCATTAGACATTTCACCTTGGACAGATGTTTAACATCTTGGTGCCTCAGTTTGTCATCTATAAAGTGGAATAATAATAGTACCTACTTCACGGTGTTGTGTAAAGGGGAAGCATAAACGAGTTACTTCATGTAAACAGAATGATATGAAGAAGGGCTTAATAGGAAGTAGAGGTTGACATGTAGAGGTGCTATGGCATATTTCTGAGCATAAGAGGTTTTAACTTTTTTTCTGTTACATGTACTACACGCAAGTATATTCAGAAATAGTAACCTATAGGAAAACATACTAGGTGTCTCTATAGGTATTAATACTAGCAATATTATGTATTTATTAAAATATTTCCATCATAATGGAAAGATCTGTATATAGGCTGCAAGTGAAAAACATAACAAAAACAGTTACACCAATCATGGGCATTTTTTGAAGGTTTACTAAATGCCACGTGCTGCACTAAGTCCATTCTGGTTTTAACAGCTAGTTCCTCATCTGGTTAGTTACGTAATGCTGGAGAAGTTTCTTAACCTCTCTCTAAATTCTGGTTTTATCATCTGTGCAGTGGGTACTGATATCTGTTCTTTCAGTCTCAAAGGGATATTATTTGAATAAAGGTAATGTAGTGAAATGATTAATGAATTGGTAACAAGATAATAAACTTATGAGATAATACATTGATACCCGATATAGCATGTAGCTATAGTGGTAATTAACAACTGATCTTAATTTTTCTTGAAATTATAGTTATGTTAGTAGTTGATAACTTCTCTTTCTCTCTACATATGCATGTATTTATTTACTTATAATTTACATACACCTATATATTTATAAGCATAAATATATCTCAGTAAGTATATGTGTTCATTGATAGGTTAATGCTCTTCTGCAGTGCCTGCATGTCTGTCGTTATAAATTGTCTTTCTGCTATACATGGAAGTTTTCTTTTTTATAACATTGGTATCTTTGCTGTGTGTTTGTGATTGATACTCAAATATCTCTGGAGTCCAAATAAGGGACCCATACCCAAGTGCTCTTATTTGAGTGTTCTATCAACAGTTGGCAAAGTTATTCTTGACTGGAACTCTGAGCCCACTTTACATTTCTTTGCTCCTATGTGCTGAGCTCATTGGGAGCTTTCCCACCTCCATGGCAGCACTCATAGCTGTCCTTGTGTCCCTGGTACCTAACGAAGTGCTAGGTGCCAGCATATAGCAGGTGGTAAGTAAGCAGTGCTTGTTTTAGGATTGAATAAATGAACTAAGAAAGAATAGAAAAATAGGTAAGCTGATATTTAGCTGTCATATTTCCAAGAATGTGATGTTTTTGGACATAATATTAGCCCATATTTCTAAGAATCAGAAAACCAAGCTTCTAAGAAAACAAAAAACTGACTTATGAGGATATGGCCTCTGGGAAGATAATGTGGTAACAAATATACGTTAAAATTTTGCATGTTTTATCTGTTTGTCTCTGGTTGGGGGGTATACAATATAAATGTTCCAGTGATTCTGAAGTTTTCCTTTTAACTAAACTTAATACATTATAATTCATTAAACAGAGGTGGACTAGCAGAAAGACTAAATGGACTGCAGAATCGAGAGAGATCTGCTATTTCTTTGTGGAGACATCAATGTATTTCTTACCAAAAGACACTTTCAGGTAAGGCTTGTGCAGGAATCTGAGACAATGTGTAAAAAAATATTTTAGTTAAAAGAATTCTTACATTAAAATATATGAAGTTAATTGTTAATATTTTCATGACTTTTTAAAAATTTTTTCCAACATTCTAATTTTAACATATAAAAACTATATATAGTAAATATATTTAACTTGATGAGTTTAAAAATAAGCATACTCTTATGAAAACATCACCACAATCTGTGCTATAAATCTACCCTTGACCTCCAAAAATTTTGTTCTATTCTTATCATTAAGAGCACTCTACCCTCTTAGCAAAATTTATTTTGTTTTATTTCATTATTTAGAGACAGGGTCTCACCGTTGCCCAGGCTGGAGTGTAGTGACATAATCATGTAGCCTCAAACTCTTGGGCTCAAGCAAATTCTCTCACTTCAGCCTCCCGACTGGCTAAGACCACAGGCTTTTTCCACCGTGCCCAGCTCCTCTTAGCAAAATTTTAAGAATACAATACAGTATGTTAACTATAGGCATGATTCTGTACTGCAGATCTCTAGGACTGGTTTAGCTTATATAATCAAAACGTTGTACCCTTTGACAAATACCTCTCTATTGGCAGCCACCATTGCAGTCTCTGCTTCTGTAGCCAGAGCACTATTAGTCAAGAAAAAGAGATAAAAGATATCCAAGTTGGAAAGCAAGAGGTAAAGCTGTCTCCGTTTGCAGATAACATGATCTTATATCTAGAAAACCCTATAAGACACCCTGCCCCTGCCAAAAAAAAGTTAGAACTAATAAATGAATTCAACATAGTAGCAGGATTAAAAATCAACATACCAAAATCAATTGCATTTCCATATAGTAACAATGAAATTTCTGTATATTAACAACGAGATATTTTCTTTTCTCTTGGAAATTAAGAAAGCAGTCTCATTTACAATAACATCAAAAAGAATGAAATTCGGGACCGGGCATGATGGCTCACGCCTGTAATCCCAGCACTTTAGGAGGCTGAGGCGGGCAGATCATGAGGTCAAGAGATCGAGACCATCCTGGCCAACATGGTGAAACCCCATCTCTACTAAAAATATAAAAATTAGCTGGGCGTGGTGGTGCACGCCTGTAGTCCCAGCTACACGGGAGGCTGAGGCAAGAGAATCGCTTGAACCCAGGAGGCGGAGTCTTCAGTGAGCCAAGGTTGTGCCACTGCACTCCAGCCTGGCGACAGAGTGAGACTCTGTCTCAAAAAGAAAAGAAAAAGAATGAAATACTTAGGAATAAACTTAATCATGGATGTCAAGGACTTGTACTCTGAAAACTGACTTTTTTTTTTTCAGGTGTCATATAGGTCTCAGAAATTATTCCAACAAATGAGTTTATTCCTCCAAGGTCTAATGACTGAAAACTCTTGTTTTTCAACAAATTGCTTGATATTGAAAAGATTCCACATGTCTAGAAAAGCCTCCTCTCCTCCTAAACAGTGCTGATTTGGTAGTTTTTTCCTGTGTGTTCCCTCCATCTAGAGTAGGGGATGGGTAGGTGTGGGCCCAGTCATGTATTCCAAACCAACTATTATTAGTCTTTCCTGAGGGATCATTGGGATATACATTTTAATAGGTTCCCAGGTGGTTTCTGCACATGCTAGAATTTAAGAAACATTATTCTTAGAGTTGATCTCCCCGTTCCCAATAATATATTCTTCTAAATAGATCACTCAACTGTTATGTTCTCAACTATTATATTACACATTTCTTTAGAAGACTTTTCAATTCTTATCTCATTTATTCCTTTTAAAATCCTTTCCGAGGCCAGGTGTGGTGGCTCATGCCTGTAATCTCCATCCTTTGGGAGGCCAAGACGGGAGGATCACTTGAGGCCAAGAGTTCAAGGCCAGCCTGAGCAATGTAGTGAAACCCATTCGCTGCAAAAATTTAAAAATTAACTGTACGTGGTGGCACACGTCTATAGTCCTAACTACTCGAGAGGCTGAGATGTGAGAATTGCTTGAGCCTAGGAGTTCTAGGTTACAGTGAGCTATGATCGCACCTCTGCACACCAGCCTGTGTGACACAGCAAGACCCTGTCTCTAAAAAAATACAAAAAACTCCTTTCCCAGCTGTCGCTTAGCAATTGCCTTCTCTCACATTCTTGCATTAAAGTACTATAATATGAAATACATATATATGTATCAGGATGACCTAATATATATGACCCAAGAATACTTTTTCTTTTTTTATTTTATTTTACCTTTTTTTTTTTGAGACAGCATCTCGCTCTGTCACCCAGGCTGGAGTGTAGTGGCAAGATCCTGACTCACTGCAACCTCCGTATCCTGAGTTCAAGCGATTCTCCTCCTCAACCCCCGGAGTAGCTGGGACTATAGGTGCCTGCCATCACGCCTGGCTAATTTTTGTATTTTTAGTTGAGATGGGGTTTCGCCATGCTGGGCAAGCTGATCTCGAACTCCTGACCTCAGGTGACGCACCCACCTCAGCCTCCCAAAGTGCTGGGATTACAGGTGTGAGCCATCATGCCCAGTCACTTTTTCTTCTATACATATCTGTGGGTCAATCCATTGTTATACTTACGACTTTGTTTCTTGGCGTTTTTTTATATTAATGATTATGACATTAAATAATAATCTTTACAACTCATTTGACCACCCTGAAGGCCAGGCAAACATAAAGTTTGCCTGGTCTTATTATTTAGAGAAGTCTTTTTTATTATTATTATTATATTTTAAGTTTTAGGGTACATGTGCACAACGTGCAGGTTTCTTACATATGTATATATGTGCCATGTTGGTGTGCTGCACCCATTAACTCGTCATTTAGCATTACATATATCTCCTAATGTTATCCCTCCCCGCTCCCCCAACCCCACAACAGGCCTCAGTGTGTGATGTTCCCCTTCCTGTGTCCATGTGTTCTCATTGTTCATTTCCCACCTATGAGTGAGAACACGTGGTGTTCGGTTTTTTGTCCTTGCGATAGTTTGCTGAGAATAATGGCTTCCAGCTTCATCCATGTCCCTACAAAGGACATGAACTCATCCTTTTTTATGGCTGCATAGTATTTCATGGTGTATATATGCCACATTTTCTTAATCCAGTCTATCATTATTGGACATTTGGGTTGGTTCCAAGTCTTTGCTATTGTGAATAGTGCCACAGTAAACATACGTGTGCATGTGTCTTTATAACAGCATGATTTATAATCCTTTGGGTATATACCCAGTAATGGGATGGCTGGGTCAAATGGTAATTCTAGATCTAGATCCCTGAGGAATCGCCACACTGACTTCCACAATGATTGAACTAGTTTACAGTCCCACCAACAGTGTAAAAGTGTTCCTATTTCTTCACATCCTCTCCAGCACCCGTTGTTTCCTGACTTTTTAATGATCACCATTCTAACTGGTGTGACATGGTATCTCATTGTGGTTTCGATTTGCATTTCTCTGATGGCCAGTGATGGTGAGCATTTTTTCATGTGTCTCTTGGCTGCATAAATGTCTTCTTGTGAGAAGTGTCTGTTCATATCCTTTGCCCACTTGTTGATGGGGTTGTTTTTTTCTTGTAAATTTGTTTGAGTTCATTGTAGATTCTGGATATTAGCTTTGTCAGATGAGTAGATTGCGAAAGTTTTCTCCCATTCTGTAGGTTGCCTGTTCACTCTGATGGTAGTTTCTTTTGCTGTGCAGAAGCTCTTTAGTTTAATTAGATCCCATTTGTCAATTTTGGCTTTTGTTGCCATTGCTTTTGGTGTTTTAGACATGAAGTCCTTGCCCATGCCCATGTCCTGAATGGTATTGCCTAGGTTTTCTTCTAGGGTTTTTATGGTTTTAGGTCTAACATTTAAGTCTTTAATTCATCTTGAATTAATTTTTGTATAAGGTGTAAGGAAGGGATCCAGTTTCAGCTTTCTACATATCGCTACCTAGTTTTCCCAGCACCATTTATTAAATAAGGATTCCTTTCCCCATTTCTTGTTTTTGTCAGCTTTGTCAAAGATCAGATAGTTGTAGATATGCAGCATTATTTCTGAGGCCTCTGTTCTGTTCCATTGGTCTATATCTCTGTTTTGGTACCAGTACCATGGTGTTTTTGTTACTGTAGCCTTGTAGCATAGTTTGAAGTCAGGTAGTGTGATGCCTCCAGCTTTGTTCTTTTGGCTTAGGATTGACTTGGCAATGCGGGCTCTTTTTTGGTTCCATATGAACTTTCAAGTAGTTTTTTCCAGTTCTGTGAAGAAAGTCATTGGTAGCTTGATGGGGATGGCATTGAATCTATAAATTACCTTGGACAGTATGGCCATTTTCACAATATTGATTCTTCCTACCCATGAGCATTTAATGTTCTTCCATTTGTTATTTAGAATTTAGGGAAGTCTTAATAGCACATTGGCTTAGACACAAAAAAAGAATTTAATGGGACTTGTAATTGAATGCCACAGGGACCATGCTTCAGGCATATTGGTTGGAAAGGCTGGCGGTCATTCTCTGTGTGGTAACTCTCCTCTTCAAGTCCGATAAAAAGAATGCTTTCTTTCCAATATTTTACCAGAAGTGCCCAAAATGACTTTCATTGGTCTGGTAGAGACAGGAATCCCTGCTTGAAATCATCCTAATCACTCTGGCCAACATGGGCTACAGTCAGTAACACACTACCATCCATATCCTTAACTTGTGATTATTTTATTTCCAGAGTTATTTAATAAAAATCAGCAGGAACTATTTGTAATTCTACAGTATGTTATCTCATTTTAGTCTTTCAGTGATTCTTCATGTTCTCCTATTTATAAGTATTTGCATGTGTATATTTAACCTCTCAAATGTGAATGACCTGGAACTGGAGTGACCACTGTTTCTTATAATCTACTTCCCTCCATCTCTAAATAGTTTCTGTTTAATTTGTGTGTCACTCATTGCTTTCAATTTAGTTTGTGGTTCTATGCATTATAAACTTCTTTTGTTCTGCTTGAACCAGAAAAATATTTCCTTGCCACTTAAATTCTCAAATGGCTCCTCCTTCTTTTGACTCCCTTCTTTTGAAGTAATGATATGAGAGAATGGCAAGCTTGAATTTCTTTCAACTGGATATAAATATTTGCATTATTGGGTTTCAGGAAGGCCACTTTGAGTTCTTAGTTACAACATTAGCTTTGTGTTGGGTTGTGGTGGATGGTGAACTATCAGATGGAAAAGAGGAGCATGGCACACAGGACTCTGGCTACTGGCGGCCTAAAAGGCCAGAACCTGAAGATATCATTTGCATACTGCGTTGACATTCATGCAGCGCTTTTGTTTCCTTTTTCCACATGAGGAGATGGAATGCTAATTCTGTGAGGACTCTTAGAGACATTCCAGTCCAAGCTCCTCTTTGGCAGATTGCCTAGAGGAGGGAGGTGACTTGCTCTGATTATCTAGCCAAGGAAGAGACAGGGCCAAAGCCAGGCCTCCTGGTTCCCAGTGCCATGCTCTTTCAAACCCTGCCACTCTTCTGCCATATGAAAATAATCATTTTAATCCTCTGCCAGTTTCCTCTTGATCTTGCTAGTGGAGAATAACCAAATAGTCCAAATTGGACTTTGCATGTTTAGTTCAGGTAGCTGTCTTGAATTTTGCTGATGTTATTATAGCATTGACAAATTGTAAATATCTTCCAAGTAGGAGCAAAACATGGGCGAACTTTGAATTGGATCATAAATTCTTAAATAGTTTGGGTTCTGTCTGTCCTGTTTCCCCCTTCAACATGATCCTCATTGTTGTATCACATTTGGAGGTTTGATGTTGGTGGGTACAATGCTGAAGGCTTACTACGTATTAAATCATTTCATATGCAAACTAATCTTCTAGAAGAGTTTGCTTTCCTTATTTTCCAGATAAAAAAAACTGTAGGTTGAGTATATGCTATAGATGACTAAGGCCAGATTTGAACTGTCAAGTCGAAGTTTGTTAATCTCTACAGACCTTCATTAGTTACTCTGTTTGGGCTGGAGAAAGTTAGGCTTAAGAAGACAAGGGATTGAGGAGTTAGCAAAATTAGAAGTATTAATACAAATGTTTTTCTTTTGAAAAAAATCTTACAAAATGTAGGTCTGTATCACATTCTTGAGACAGCACTAATTGGTGAAGCATAGGACATAGGTTTGAAGGTTGCAGAGACTGTGTAAATTGTGGAACTGTATAGGATGTCCTAAAGTCTTATGATTTTGATGGGAAGTGGCAGATTGTCTTCTTAATTATTGATATTAATACACATAGAATTCACTAGGCGTTGTCATCCCGGTTACTCACTATAGTGAATTGATCAAATTGTCAAGTATGTAGTTGACAGAGTGTCTTCTGCTTCTCTGGATAGAAAAATACCAAGTTAAACATGTATGACTGGTGGTCCAGAATGAAGGGAGAAAAAGGTGATTTTTTTTGTTTGGCTCAAAACAAAAACATAACTTACTTGAAATGTTCCTTACAATATCACTTCTTAAATTTTGTTCTAGATATTAAGTGTAGCATGTCAAACTAAGATTCTCCTTATTTATCTGCTTCAGAGATGAGAAATTATGGCTTACAAAATTGATCTGTCGATTATAATGATTTAGCTTGAGATCTTTCTTTCCACGTGTCTTCCATTTGGGGAGTATTTAATTACCCCACAGTTGAGAGGTCTGTTTTTGTCTGTATATTTATTCAAGTTGTTGTGTATGTCAGTATCCCACTCCCTTATATTGCTGGGTACTATTGCATGGTACGAATGTGCCACAGTTTGTTTAACTGTTCGTTGACTGAAGGGCCTTTGGGTCGTTTCCATATTTGAGTCATTACAAATAAAACGTGCTGTGAACATTTGTATACCAGTTTTTGAGTGAACATATGTTTTTATTTTTCTGGGATAAATGATCAAATGATTTAAAATGTTGGAATGTCTCTAACACATTATTCTGCCCGTTTTTGTTTTGTTTTGTTTTGTTTTTTTTCTTTGAGGCAGAGTCTCGCTCTGTTGCCCAGGCTGGAGTGCAGTGGCACCATCTCAGCTCACTGCAAGCTCCGCCTCCTGGGTTCACACCATTCTCCTGCCTCAGCCTCCCGAGTAGCTGGGACTACAGGCACCCGCCACCACGCCTGGCTAATTTTTTGTATTTTTAGTACAGATAGGGTTTCACCGTGTTAGCCAGGATGGTCTTGATCTCCTGACCTCGTGATCCTCCCGCCTCGGCCTCCCAGAGTGCTGGGATTACAGGTATGAGCCACCATGCCCGGCCTATTCTGCCCTTTTAAAACACTTTGTATTTAAAAATAATTGTAGATTGACATGCAGTTAGAAATAATACTGAGAGATCCCTTGTACCATGCCCCCAGTTTCCCCCGGTAATGACATCTTTTATAACTGTAGAATGACAGGACAGCCAGGATGATGATCTCCAATACAGTCCATTGACCCTGCTCAGATTTCACCAATTTTACATGCATTTATTTCTGTGTGTATTTTTTGTTTTATGTAATCTTATCACCTGTTACTGTGGTCTGAATTTTTGTATGCTCCCAAAATTCATGTTGAAACCTAATCACCAGTTTGTTGGTATTAGGAGGTAAGTAAGGCTTTTGGAAAGTGATTAGGTCATGAGGTGGAGCCCTCATGAAGGGAATTAGAAGAGACCGTAGAGAGCTAGCTCATCCTTCCACTGTGTGAGGAGGATACAGCAAGAAGAATCCAACTGTGAGAATGTAGGCTCTCACTAGGCACAGAGTCTGCCAGAGCGTTGATCTTGGACTTCCCAGCCTGCAGAACTGTGAGAAACAAATTTCTGTTGCTTCGAAGCCACACAGCTCTGGTTTTTTTGTTGTAACAGCCAAGATGGACTAAGATACTTGTTTAGATTCATGTGACTATCACATAGTCCAGACACAGAAGGGTCCATCACCCCAAGGATTCTCATGCCACCCTTTATAGCCACAGTCATCTCTTTCCCACTCTCCTCCCTGATGCCTTGCAGCCACTAATCTGTTAAACATTTCCATAGTTTGTTATCTAAAAATGCTCACACCTGTAATTCCAGCACTTTGGGAGACCAAGGCCGGCAGATCACAAGGTCAGGAGTTTGAGACCAGCCTGGCCAACATGGTGAAACCCTGCCTCTACTAAAAATACAAAAATTAGCCAGGTGTGGTGGCAGGCGCCTGTAATCTCAGCTACGCAGGAGGCTGAGGCAGAGAATTACTTGAACCCCGGAGGCAGAGTTTGCAGTGAGCCGAGATGGCGCCACTGCACTCCAGCCTGGGTGACAGAGCAAGACTCTGTTTCAAAAAATAAAATAAGTTATAGAAATGGAATAATATAGTTTATAACCTTTTGGGATTGAGATTTTTCACTTAGTTTAATTCCCCGGAGATTTATCCAAGTTGTTGTGTATGTCAATAACCCACTCCGTATTGCTCGGTAGTATTCCATGGTACAAATGTGCCACAGTTTGTTGAACTATTTGTTGATGAAGGGCCTTTGGGTTGTTTCCATATTTGAGTCATTAAAAATAAAAGGTGCTGTGAACATTTGTGTACCAGTTTTTGAGTGAACATGTTTTTATTTTTCTGGGATAAATGATCAAGATTGCGATTGTCAGGTGTTATGGTAAGGGCATGTTTTGTTTCATTAAAAAAGGCATAAGAATACCAAATATTTCAATGAATTCTTTTTTTTTATACTTTAAGTTTTAGGGTACATGTGCACAACATGCAGGTTTCTTACATATGTATATATGTGCCATGTTGGTGTGCTGCACCCATTAACTCGTCATTTAACATTAGGTATATCTCCTAATGCTATCCCTCCACCCTGCCCCCACCCCACCCACAACAGGCCCTGGTGTGTGATGTTCCCCTTCCTGTGTCCATGTGTTCTCATTGTTCAGTTCCCACCTATGAGTGAGAACACGCGGTGTTTGGTTTTTTGTCCTTGCGATAATTTGCTGAGAGTGATGGTTTCCAGCTTCATCCATGTCCCTACAAAGGACATGAACTCATCCTTTTTTTATGGCTGCATAGTATTCCATGGTGTATATGTGCCACATTTTCTTAATCCAGTCTATGATTTTTGGACATTTGGGTTGGTTCCAAGTCTTTGCTATTGTGAATAGTGCCACAATAAACATACATGTGCATGTGTCTTTATAGCAGCATGATTTATAATCCTTTGGGTATATACCCAGTAATGGGATGGCTGGGTCAAATGGTATTTCTAGTTCTAGATCCCTGAGGAATCGCCACACTGACTTCCACAATGATTGAACTAGTTTACAGTCCCACCAACAGCGTAAAAGTGTTCCTATTTCTTCACATCCTCTCCAGCACCTGTTGTTTCCTGACTTTTTAATGATCGCCATTCTAACTGGTGTGACATGGTATCTCATTGTGGTTTCGATTTGCATTTCTCTGATGGCCAGTGATGGTGAGCATTTTTTCATGTGTCTCTTGGCTGCATAAATGTCTTCTTGTGAGAAGTGTCTGTTCATATCCTTTGCCCACTTGTTGATGGGGTTGTTTTTTTCTTGTAAATTTGTTTGAGTTCATTGTAGATTCTGGATATTAGCCCTTTGTCAGATGGGTAGACTGCAAAAATTGTCTCCCATTCTATAGGTTGCCTGTTCACTCTGATGGTAGTTTCTTTTGCTCTGCAGAAGCTCTTTAGTTTAATTAGATCCCATTTGTCAATTTTGGCTTTTGTTGCCATTGCTTTTGGTGTTTTAGACGTGAAGTCCTTGCCCATACCTATGTCCTGAATGGTATTGCCTAGGTTTTCTTCTAGGGTTTTTATGGTTTTAGGTCTAACATGTAAGTCTTTAATCCATCTTGAATTAATTTTTGTATAAGGTGTAAGGAAGGGATCCAGTTTCAGCTTTCTACATATGGCTAGCCAGTTTTCCCAGCACCATTTATTAAATAGGGAATCCTTTCCCCATTTCTTGTTTTTGTCAGCTTTGTCAAAGATCAGATAGTTGTAGATATGTGGCATTATTTCCGAGGGCTCTGTTTTGTTCCATTGGTCTATGTCTCTGTTTTGGCACCAGTACCATGGTGTTTTTGTTACTGTAGCCTTGTAGTATAGTTTGAAGTCAGGTAGCGTGATGCCTCCAGCTTTGTTCTTTTGGCTTAGGATTGACCTGGCAATGCGGGCTCTTTTTGGTTCCATATGAACTTTAAAGTATTTTTTTCCAATTCTGTGATGAAAGTCATTGGTAGCTTGATGGGGATAGCACTGAATCCATAAATTACCTTGGACAGTATGCCCATTTTCCCAATATTGATTCTTCCTATCCATGAGCATGGAATGTTCTTCCATTTGTTTGTATCCTCTTTTATTTTGTTGAGCAGTGGTTTGTAGTTCTCCTTGAAGAGGTCCTTCCCATCCCTTGTAAGTTGGATTCCTAGGTATTTTATTCTCTTTGAAGCAATTGTGTATGGGAATTCACTCAGGATGTGGCTCTCTGTTTGTTATTGGTATATAAGAATGCTTGTGATTTTTGCAAATTGATTTTGTATCCTGAGACTTTGCTGAAGTTGCCTGTCAGCTTAAGGAGATTTTGGGCTGAGACGATGGGTTTTTCTAGATATACAATCATGTCATCTGCAAACAGGGACAATTTGACTTCCTGTTTTCCTAGTTGAATACCCTTTATTTCCTTCTCCTGCCTGATTGCCCTGGCCAGAACTTCCAACACTATGTTGAATAGGAGTGGTGAGAGAGGGCATCCCTGTCTTGTGCAGTTTTCAAAGGGAATGCTTCCAGTTTTTGCCCATTCAGCACGATACTGGCTGTGGGTTTGTCATAGATAGGTCTTACTGTTTTGAGATACGTCCCATCAATACCTAATTTGTTGAGAGTTTCTAGCATGAAGGTTGTTGAATTTTGTCAAAGGGCTTTTCTACATCTATTGAGATATTCATGTGGTTTTTGTCATTGGTTTTGTTTATATGCTGGGTTACGTTTATTGATTTGCATATGTTGAACCAGCCTTGCATCCCATGGATGAAGCCCACTTGATCATGGTAGATAAGCTTTTTGATGTGCTGCTGGATTCGGTGTGCCAGTGTTTTATTGAGGATTTTTGCATCGATGTTCCTCAGGGATATTGGTCTAAAATTCTCTTTTTTGGTTGTGTCTCTGCCAGGCTTTGGTATCAGGATGATGCTGGCCTGATAAAATGAGTGAGGGAGGATTCCCTCTTTTTCTGTTGATTGGAATAGTTTCAGAAGGAAAGATACCAGCTCCT
Organism: Homo sapiens; assembly: GCF_000001405.40. Taxonomy (NCBI): domain Eukaryota; kingdom Metazoa; phylum Chordata; class Mammalia; order Primates; family Hominidae; genus Homo; species Homo sapiens. The sequence continues at coordinate 47,419,205 of NC_000008.11, forward strand.
CCTTGTATCTCTGGTAGAATTCGGCTGTGAATCCATCTGGTCCTGGACTTTTTTTGTTTGGTAAGCTATTAATTATTGCCTCAATTTCAGAGCCTGTTATTGGTCTATTCAGGGATTCAACTTCTTCCTGGTTTAGTCTTGGAAGGGTGTATGTGTCCAGGAATTTATCCATTTCTTCTAGATTTTCTAGTTTATTTGCGTAGAGGTGTCTATATTATTCTCTGATGGTAGTTTGTATTTCTGTGGGATCGGTGGTGATATCCCCTTTATCAATTTTTATTGCGTCTATTTGATTCTTCTCTCTTTTCTTCTTTATTAGTCTTGCTAGTAGTCTATCAATTTTGTTGATCTTTTCAAAAAACCAGCTCCTGGATTCATTGATTTTTTTGAAGGGTTTTTGTGTCTCTATTTCCTTCAGTTCTGCTCTGATCTTAGTTATTTCTTGCCTTCTGCTAGCTGTTGAGTGTGTTTGCTCTTGCTTTTCTAGTTCTTTTAATTGTGATGTTAGGGTGTTAATTTTAGATCTTTCCTGCTTTCTCTTGTGGGCATTTAGTGCTATAAATTTCCCTCTACACACTGCTTTGAATATGTCCCAGAGATTCCGGTATGTTGCGTCTTTGTTCTCGTTGGTTTCAAAGAACATCTTTATTTCTGCCTTCATTTCGTTATGTACCCAGTAGTCATTCAGGAGCAGGTTGTTCAGTTTCCATGTAGTTGAGCAGTTTTGAGTGAGTTTCTTAATCCTGAGTTCTAGTTTGAACTGTGGTCTGAGAGACAGTTTGTTATAATTTCTGTTCTTTTACATTTCCTGAGGAGTGCTTTATTTCCAACTATGTGGTCAGTTTTGGAATAGGTGTGGTGTGGTGCTGAGAAGAATGTATATTCTGTTGATTTGGGGTGGAGAGTTCTGTAGATGTCTATTAGGTCCACTTGGTGCAGAGCTGAGTTCAATTCCTGGGTATCCTTGTTAACTTTGTGTCTCGTTGATCTGTCTAATGTTGACAGTGGGGTTTTAAAGCCTCCCATTATTATTGTGTGGGAGTCTAAGTCTCTTTTTAGGTCTCTAAGGACTTGCTTTATGAGTCTGGGTGCTCCTGTATTAGGTGCATATATATTTAGGATAGTTAGCTCTTCTTGTTGAATTGATCCCTTTACCATTATGTAATGGCCTTCTTTGTCTCTTTTGATCTTTGTTGGTTTAAAGTCTGTTTTATCAGAGACTAGGATTGCAACCCCTGCCTTTTTTTGTTTTCCATTTGCTTTTAGATCTTCCTCCATCCTTTTATTTTGAGCCTATGTGTGTCTCTGCAAATGAGATGGGTTTCCTGAATGCAGCACACTGATGGGTCTTGACTCTTTATCCAATTTGCCAGTCTGTGTCTTTTAATTGGCACATTTAGCCCATTTACATTTAAAGTTAATATTGTTAGGTGTGAATTTGATCCCGTCATTATGATGTTACCTGGTTATTTTGCTCATTAGTTGATGCAGTTTCTTCTTAGCCTCGATGGTCTTTACAATTTGTCATGTTTTTGCAATGCCTGGTACCAGTTATTCCTTTTCATGTTTAGTGCTTCCTTCAGGAGCTCTTTTAGGGCAGGCCTGGTGGTGACAAAATCTCCCAACATTTGTTTGAAACAATTTTATTTCTCCTTCACTTATGAAGCTTAGTTTGGCTGGATATGAAATTCTGGGTTGAAAATTATTTTCTTTAAGAATGTTGAATATTGGCCCCCATTATCTTCTGGCTTGCAGAGTTTCTGCAAAGATGTCAGCTGTTAGTCTGATGGGCTTCACTTTGTGGGTAACCCCACCTTTCTCTCTGGCTGCCCTTAACATTTTTTCCTCCATTTCAACTTTGGTGAATCTGACAATTATGTGTCTTGGAGTTGCTCTTCTTGAACAGTATCTTTGTGCTGTTCTCTGTATTTGCTGAATCTGAATTTTGGCCTGCCTTGCTAGATTGGGGAAGTTCTCCTGGATAATATCCTGCAGAGTGTTTTCCAACTTGGTTCCATTCTCCCTGTCACTTTCGGGTACACCAATCAGACGTAGATTTGGTCTTTTCACATAGTCCTATATTTCTTGGAGGCTTTGTTCATTTCTTTTAATTCTTTTTTCTCTAAACTTCTCTTCTCACTTCATTTCATTCATTTTATCTTCCATCACTGATACCCTTTCTTCCAGTTGATTGAATTGGCCACTGAGGCTTGTGGGTTCGTCCTGTCGTTCTCTTGTTGTGGTTTTTAGCTCCATGAGGTCCTGAAATGACTTCTCTGCATTGGTTATTCTAGTTAGCCATTCGTCTAATCTTTTTTCAAGGTTTTTAACTTCTTTGCCATGGGTTTGAACTTCCTGCTTTAGCTCGGAGTAGTTTGATCATCTGTAGCCTTCTTCTCTCAACTTGTGAAAGTCATTCTCCATCCAGCTTTGTTCCGTTCCTGGTGAGGAGTTGCGTTCCTTTGGAGGAGGAGAGGCTCTCTGCTTTTTAGAATTTTTAGTTTTTCTGCTCTGTTTTTTCCCCATCTTTGTGGTTTTATCTACCTTTGGTCTTTGACGATGGTGACGTACAGATGGGGTTTTGGTGTGGATTTCCTTTTCTGTTTGTTAATTTTCCTTCTAACAGTCAGGACCCTCAGCTGCAGGTCTGTTGGAGTTTGCTGGAGGTCCACTCCAGACCCTGATTGCCTGGGTATCAGCAGCGGAGGCTGCAGAACAGCCAATATTGGTGAACAGCAAATGTTGCAGCCTGATTGTTTCTGGAAGTTTTGTCTCAGAGGAGTACCTGGCTGTGTGAGGTGTCAGTCTGCCCCTACTCAGGGGTGCCTCACAGTTGGGCTACTCGGAGGTCAGGGCCCCACTTGAGGAGGCAGTGTGTCCGTTCTCAGATCTCCAGCTGCGTGCTGGGAGAACCACTACTCTCTTCAAAGCTGTCAGACAGGGACTTTTGAGTCAGCAGAGGTTTCTGCTGCCTTTTGTTTGGCTATGTCCTGCCCCCAGAGGTGGAGTCTACAGAGGCAGGCAGGCCTCCTTGAGCTCCAGTGGGCTCCACCCCGTTTGAGCTTCCTGGCTGCTTTGTTTACCTACTCAAGCCTCAGCAATGGCGGGCTCCCCTCCCCCAGCCTCACTGCCCCCTTGCAGTTTGATTTCAGACTGCTGTGCTAGCAATGAGCGAGGCTCTGTGGGCGTAGGACCCTCCGAGCCACGTGCGGGATACAATCTCCTGGTGTGCCATTTGCTAAGACCATTGGAAAAGCGCAGTATTAGGGTGGGAGTGACCCGATTTTCCAGGTGCCATCTGTCACCCCTTTCCTTAGCTAGGAAAGGGAATTCCCTGACCCCTTGTGCTTCCCGGGTGAGGCGATGTCTCGCCCTGCTTCGGCTCACGCTCTTTGTGCTGCAGCCACTGTCCTGCACCCACTGTCTGACCATCCCCAGTGAGGTGAACCCGGTACCTCAGTTGGAAATGCAGAAATCATATGTCTTTTGTGTCGCTCACGCTGGGAGATGTAGACTGGAGCTGTTCCTGTTGGGCCATCTTGGCTCCACCCCTCTGCAGTGAATTCTAATACATCTTTCTAGGCTTAAGAAATTTTTTTTTAACATCTTTGGTATGTGGATGTCAGTTTTTCCTTTGTTCCCTCCTGAGTAGCTGACTTTGCTGGGCTGTTTTATAACTCCTACTTGTAACTTTTAAGAATCAATGTTATCTTCCTTGTTGGTGGCTTCTAGTACATTTCAGTATAAAAGACATATATCTCAAGATTCTTTGTGATACACTGAGAAGGTATTGAGTTTGACTTTAAAAGAACAGCCAAAGGCCGGGTGTGGTGTCTCATGCTTATAATCCCAGCAATTTGGGAAGCCGAAGTGGGTGGATCACAAGGTCAGGAGTTCGAGACCAGCCTGGCCAACATGGTGAAACCCCGTCTCTTCTAAAAATGCAAAAATTGGCATGTTGTGGGCTCCTGTAATCCCAGCTACTCGGGAGGCTGTTACAGGAGAATCGCTTGAACTGGGAGGTGGAAGTTTCAGTGAGCCGAGATTACGCCACCACACTCCAGACTAGGTAACAGAGCGAGACTCTGTCTCAAAAAAAAAAAAAAAATAGAGCAGCAAGAGCCAGGCACAGTGGCTCATGTCTGTAATCCCAGCACTTTGGGAGGCTGAGGCAGGTGATCACTTGAGGCCAGGAGTTTGAGACCAGTCTCACCAATATGGCGAAAAAGTACTAAAAATACAGAAAAACTAGCCAGGTGTGGTGGTTCACGCCTACAATCCCAGCTATTCTGGAAGCTGAGGCATGAGAATCACTTGAACCTGGGAGGCAGAGGTTTTTGTGAGCCGAGATCACGCCACTGCACTGCTATCTGGGCAACAGAGCAAGACCCTGTCTGAAAAAAAAATAAAAATAAAAAAATAAAAGAGCAGCAAAAAGCACAGATGTTGCACCCAAAGGCCTTGCAGAGAATGCAGTTTGATGAAATGGCATGGGGTGGGCAGGGGAGCCCAGATCATGCAGGGCCTGGAGGCCTTGGCTGGGTTTCACTTCCAAGGTAGTGCCTTGGAAACCTGCACTTTAAAATGTAGCTGTGGCATAGAGAATGGACAGCTATAGAGGCAAGGGGAAAATACGTTCTATTTATCTTCACGAATCATTGTATTTTTCTTTTTTTAAAAGAGGAAACAGTTTCCAACATTGCTTTGCTCATTATCTGCATGATGGTGAACAGTGATTACTAAGTGATACTCAAAGCATTTTGCATGTATATTAATCACAATTACCCTTCCAGTTAGGTCCTGCTCTCCTTATTTTAGAGATGAGGACAATGCAGACACAGGAGAATATGGATGGGTACAGCCTTGTGTGCCTGCCAGTGGGTAGCAGAGCCAGATTTACATTGGGCAGCCTAACTTGGTGGCCCATGTTCATAGCCTACTTGTTTTAGGGGCAGGTCTGGGCAGAACTGAGTTCAGGAGATGTGAGTGCAGCAGTGGTTGCACCCTGGCTCCGTTGTTTGATCTCTGTTTAGTAACAGGGTGACAATTTTTTTCACAATATGTTTGATATCATAGTTTTTAAAACTAAAAGTAGTTACAAATGTTCTTTTATTTTTTTGAGTAGGGTCTCCCTCTGTTGCCCAGGCATGAGTACAGTGGCACCATCACAATTCACTGCAGCCTTAACCGCCTGGGCTCAAGGGCTCCTGCTACCTCAACCTCCAGAGTGGCTGGGACTACAGTCACATGCCACCACACCCAGCTGTTTAAAAAAAAATTTCTTTTTTTTCTCTACAGAAATGGAGTCTTCCTATGTTTTCCAGGCTGGTCTCGAACTCTTGGCCTCAAGGGAACCTCCCTTCTCAGTCTCCCAATGAATTGGAATTACAGGCGTTAGCCACCATACCCGGACCCTTAGATGTTCTTAAATGCAAAAAACCTTCTTTGTTATACAGGAAGAGAGTAAAGAAAAAAGAAGAACCAGTGATAACAAAGAAATTGATGGGCTTCAGATAAATTATTTTTCATGATGAAATTTTTTGGGGGAAAGGGAAAGGTCTTGCTCTGTTGTGCAGGCTGGAGTGCAGTGGCGCAGCCTTGGCTCACTGTAACCTCCGCCTCCTGGGTCCAGACAATTTTTGTGCCTTCTGAGTATGCTGGGATTACAGGCGCCTGCCACCACCCCTGGGTAATTTTTGTATTTTTAGTAGAGCCTGCCTCGGCCTCCCAAAGTGCTAGAATTACAGACATTAACCACCTTGCCCAGACTTTAACTGCCTATTCTTAAGCAAGATACTTTATTTTTGAAATTTAAGATCACTTCCGTTAGCTAATTTAAAAAAATGATTCTTATTTAAATTGTATTATAGAGGGTAAGCAACCAAGTAATATTCTCAGTGTTTTTCAATCATCCAGATGAAAATTTTATATATGCTCATATTTCTGTGTTTATTCTTGTTGTGTGAAGTAAATGCTTTACTGGTCACTATATCTGGTGGTGGAGATGGGATAGTGGGAAGTGAGGGTCACAGGTACCAAGCTGGCAGGTCACATTCATTTACTCAGCAGTTGCTCAGCAGGGGCCTCCAGTGTGCCAGGCTCCTTGCTGGGCTCTAAAGATACACTGTGAATAAGCAAGATCTGGTCACTGCACCCTTAGACCTTCTCTTTTAGTGGACTAGATGGATGACAAGCAGAGAGAGAAAATCGGGACAGGTTAGTAAAGTGCAGGGTCTGCATGGGCATGGTAGGAGCTGTGCAGGACAGGCTATGGAAGCGAGCTTCATATTTACAGTGGGTAAATACAACCTCTGTCTAGTTTCTCAGCCAGAATATCAATGTGAGGTGCCTAAACAGTTTTGGGATGGTGGAAGTTTTGCTATCTATTTGTTCTTGCTAGAAAAATTATATTTTGTGTAATAGATTTTAAATGTTCCATATTTTAAATATTTTTTCTTGTATAAAATTATTATATTTGAAAGATTTCTTTAGGTTATTATTGAAGTTCAGTAAGAAGCAGTTTATTTAGTATACATTATATTCACACAGTAAAAAGTGAGTACAACTTAAACCTTTGGAAAATTGAGGGTGGGACAAAATTTTGGTTTAGGAGTACCTTTGTCATGTTAATATTTGCTTTTATTGAATTATCATTTTGTATTGAAATATAAGAAACTACAGAAAACACAGATACACAGCTTAACAAGTGTTATATAGAAGGTACCCGTATTACTACCAGTACTTAAAGAATAGAAATAGGCTGGGCACGGTGACTCACGCCTGTAATCCCAGCACTTTGGGAGGCTGAGGCAGGCAGATCACGAGGTCAGGAGTTCAAGACCAGCCTGGCCAACATGGTGAAACCCTGCCTCTACTACGATACAAAAAAAAAAAAAAATTAACCAGCCATGGGGGCACACACTCCTGTAATCCCAGCTACTTGGGAGGCTGAGGCAGGAGAGTCACTTAAACCCGGGAGGCGGAGTTTGCAGTGAGCTGAGATCATGCCATTGCACTACAGCCTGGGCAACAGGGCGAGACACAGTCTCAAAAAAAACAAAGCAAAACAAAACAAAAAACCATAGAATAGAAATAGATGGTTTTCTATTCAGTATTTTTTAACTCACTACAGCAATATTGTAAATTGATGCCTTATGCCTTTTTATTCTTTCTTGCCAAATGGCTATAATATTTTGGCTTATCTTTTTTTTTTTTACTTTGTTCCTTACTACTTTCATTCAACATTTATTAAGCAACAAGTAGATTATCATCATTGATAGAACTGTCTGATTCCATCATAACATTATAATTCATTTTTCCTTGCTTCCTTTTGTAAGATATTAAAGTTTTATTCTTTAGAAGGAAACAAAACCATATTTTACACTTGAAGATGTTTTAATAACTGTCTTAGTCTGTTTTGTTTTGCCATAATAGAACACCACAGACTGGATAATTGATAAAGAAATTTATTTCTCACCTGCCTGGAGGCTGGGAAGCCTAATATCCGCCTCACCAGAAGGGAAAAGAAGTGTGAGAGAGGGAGAGGAAGGTGGTAGAACTCATCCTTTAATGAGGAACCAACTCCCATGATAATGACATTAATCCATAGAGGGCAGAGCCTCAGGATCTAGTCACCTCTTAAAGATCACCTTTCAACACTGCTGTGTTGGAGATTAAGCTTCCAGCACATTAACTTTGGGGGACACATTCAGACCATAGCAATAATCTGTAACTTTCCATTTATTGAAGTACGTTTTGAAGAATTAGAAGAGAGAAAGAAACAAAGCCTAAGAGAATAAAGTATTATTTCTTAGGATTTGTAAAGGAGAAAAACTCTGATGACTTATTCCTTGAATAATATTGTATTTATACAATTTCAAGAGAAACTGAAATCATATACTATTTCCATATTCTGATGATTATGATTAAATACTCAGGATAACACTCCTGGACACTTCTAATGCTTTTAGACTTTCTTCACATTATATAATGGGTTGGAAACATTCATAAATATTATAAATACTTTATAAATATTATAAATATAAAATAAATTGTCAGAAGCAGTTAACAAGGATTACCATTGGAAAAGGGTTGGGACAGGGTTTTTTTTTTTTAAATATGCCTTTTACAAAAAAAGAAATTTGTCAAAATCAAATATTGTTTTTACCATTATAGGGAGATAGATGTGAAGTGATAGAAAACTCCACCCTGAATTTTACTTATGAAGTACTAAAAAATTAATACTTCTATGTCAGGAAGTGAAAAATTCAATAACAAGACTGGTTTTTATAGTGCGGTAGTTTTCCAGAATGAGGAGTGTAGTGATCCTTTTTCCTTGGACAAGATTATCTGCCAACAGCCTGACAGGCTTGGTATGTAATCTCCAATACTTCTGCACCCTCCTTGTTACCTGTGTGAACCTTAGGTGAGCGTCTCTGTGCACCAGATGCAGGGGAACGGGGAGGCTGGGGCGTCCCTGACCGTCAGGCTACCTCAGGAGCAGTGGATGTGGTGCCCCACAGTGCAGCCCACAGAGTGGGGTTTCCTCGGTCTTGTCGCAAGCGTGTAGCCAGAAATCTGGTCCCCCACCTATTTCTTACTGCTTCCAGGAACTCCTCTGAGGCTGGGGGCCCCTGAGATGGGGTTGTGGTCCAGGGTCACCACTTGAGTGGCTGGGAGAAGAAGAATGAAAGTTGGGGTCGGCGATTTCTTTTTTCTTTTTTTCTTTTTGTTTTGAGACACAGTCTCACTCTGTCACCCCAGGCTGGAATGCAGTGGCACAATCTCAGCTCACTGTAACCTCTGCCTCCCGTGTTCAAGTGATTCTCCCGTCTCAGCCTCCTGAGTAGTTGGGATTACAGACGTGCGCCACGACGCCTGGCTAATTTTTGTATTTTTTTGTAGAGACGTGGTTTCACCACATTGGCCAGGCTGGTCTCGAACTTCTGACCTCAAGTGATCTATCTGCCTTGGCCTCCCAAAGTGCTGGGATTATAGGCATGAACTACCATGCCCAGCCTGGGATCAGCAATTTCTATACAGAAAGTGGTGTGAGCAGGAGGGTGAACAAAGAATCCTGTGTAGATACGTGGGTGTCTACAAGATTTCACTAATTTCTTTGATGCGGTATTTTCCAATAATTAAAGCCTAACTTGGGGTAGAAAATGGTAGACTGGTCATTCCTACCAAAGCAAGTCAGTTGGTAAAATAAGATCCCTTTATTTAATTAAAAAATAAGTGTTAGAAAATACATATGATCTAATCTAAGTCTCCTAGTATTATGTATTTAAACCCAGAAAAGGTAGGTGTATGGTGAGCTGCTTATTTAGCCAATTCTTGGCAATATTTTTTGCCTTTAAAATCTTTAGTTTCTCTGGGGATTTTTTTATGTAACATGAAACATTATTAAAAACAATTTGTTTTTTTAGATTTAAGAAATGCGAATAACACGGATTAAAGAAGGGTTGTTAATTTTGTAGGTCAGCATCTTTTAAAAAGTCATTTAAAATTTGTCCTTAAACTTCTTTGCTATGTTGTCTTCTCCCTCCCTGTGTTTCAGTTGAAGGGATACTGCCAGTGCCCACTCAGCGTGGGTCAGCTCTGATTTGGCCAGAGAGGTTTTGCTTCTGTTCCTTTTCTTATATCCCCTTTCCTCTGGGGTCAGGGGAGCTGACTCTGGATTATCTCCAGCTTCCCTCTGACCAATAAAACCACAAAGCCAACTAGTGTTCAGACTTTATTTTTCCCTCTGTTATATCCTTACCCACGTTTCAGTGCAGCAATGATATTTAGTATTGTTCTTTGTAGTCGTGAGCCAGAAGATTTTGCGTGAATACTGAGGCTGAACTATTCAAGTCAGGAAACAAACTGTGATACTAGTTTGTTCACTGTTAGAGGTAGGATTCCATGTCAGAAAATATCATAATTTCCAGTGACCATTTTAAGTTTGTATTAACGGAACAGTAAAGAGTTCTTACTAGAATTTAATAATGCCAAGTTATTTGATAATTTTATTAAAAATAATGGTGGGACCTAGAAATAGAGGAAGGGGTACTTAATACCATACCATACCTGTAAACTCTTTTGTGTGACATTCTTTGTCACACACTCAGCCCAGCTGCCTTGGACTCATTTCTCACTGCCCCCTTTCTGTGGCCCCCCACCTCCGTGTGCACAGCACGCAATATCTCCATGGGTCAAAGCCGTGGCTTTCATGGGATAAGCTGGGCACCAGGCCTAAGACATGCACTTTTATCTCTTAATGGTTTGTTTGTAACTATACTTCCAGTATCCTGTAGTTAATACAGTTAATTCCCCAAAATATAAGCAAATAAGAACTGCACAAAGAGCTACAAAGATGTATAGGGCATCCCTGAGCCATGCCCAGTAATTTAAAAATGTTACAACATGGCATCACAGAGTGCAGGAATAGCCCTCATCAGGCAGTGTTGGTTCTGGTCCAAACTTGGCCAGGGCTGAAGACCTATGTGGGTTACTTCATCTGCGCTGCAGTTTTTTTACTGACAAAGGGTGACTTTGTTAAACCTTGGGTTATTTCCACTTTTTTTTTTTTTCTGGTCTGTACTTTTCTGCAGCTTATATATATTTTTTTTATTTTATTTTATTATTATTATACTTTAAGTTTTAGGATACATGTGCACAATGTGCAGGTTAGTTACATATGTATACATGTGCCATGCTGGTGTGCTGCACCCATTAACTCGTCATTTAGCATTAGGTATATCTCCTAAAGCTATCCCTCCTATTTCCACTTTTTAAATTTGGTATTGCTGTTTTCCCCTGCCTTGTCTGTTATTCCCATGTGAAAGTCTCTCTCAGAGTGCTTTTTACTTTGTGTCTTTTAACTTTTGTGTCTTTTGTGTCTGACACTGGTGAGCCTTCCCAGCACTGGTGCTCCCTGGTCTTCTGCACACCTTTCAGGAGAGGCACTTCACGGTAATGGTCGCTCTGTGTTTTTGTTACTACATTACCTATTTTAATCCTTAAGCTAATTTCTCTTCTCCTTTTTCTTCTCTTCCCTACCCATTTGTTGAAATGCCATGGGAAGATGGCAGCAAGACACAAACACCTCCTTGTATCTAGGGGTTATGAATTTGCCATGCTCCATTTGGACATGCCTTATTCTGGCTCATCATAGGTTTTGCCTGTTTCCACCCAACTTAGGATGAATTAGAAGTTGTTCATTAGAATGTCCTTTATCGATAGTCATTATGGCAGGGGCCGGATTGATGTTGGAGTTTAAGAATCAAGGATAAAGTGACAGTGGGGACGCGCTGGACTCTGTCAGTTCATTAGTAAGCATATTTTCAACTCTCTGTGCTACAGAGATTCAGTGTGTTGGCCTCATGGTAGAGAGGCCGGATGCCCACGTGCTCCTGGCATTCCACAGGATGGTTTAAAGGTGGGTTTAGGAAGATTATAGTGACCACCCATAATTAGTAACTTGCTATTTTAACATTGGATTCTTGCAGTTTTTCCCAACACATTTGTTTCTCAGTTGATGCCACATTTATAAAAATAGAAATACTTAAATATCTAATTCTGTACTTTGTCATTAGCCATATGACCTTTTAAAAGTTGTTTTCAGTGTGATTACTGGACACCATTTTAATCCTATTTTCTGAGCCAAAATTATCATCTATAGTTGTATGAAATAAGGTGTTTTAAATGAAGAAGTTTTCAAGAAAGAAGAACTCGTATTCTCGATACTCAGAGTGGAAGGCATGGCTGGTCATCAGTGTCAGTGTGTGTGTTGGGCGGTCCTGTATGTATCGCATTGTCCCATCTCAGCTCAGGCTGCCATCACAAAATCCCACAGACTGTGACGTAAAGAGCAGACAGTTCTTTCTCACAGTGCTGGAGGCTGGTAGCCAGGGTGCAGCATGGTGGAGTCCTGGTGAGAGCCCTTTTACTGGTTTTAGGCAGTCGCCTTCTTGCTGTGTGCTCACAGAGCCTTTCCCGTGTGTGTGCATGGAAAGAACAAGTCCTCCAGTCTCTTACAAGGAGACTAAGCCTGTCAGATCAGGCTACCCTTATGACCTCATTTAACCTCAATTACTTCCTTGGAGCCCCCATCTCCAAATACAACCAGACTGAAGGTTAGGACTTCAACATAGGAATTTTGAGGGGACACCAACATTCAATCTGTAACACACCCCTGTTGTTTGGCTTAACTTCGCTTAGGGATCTGTTGCTTTTCTAGAGCCTTTGTATGCTTTATTCTCACGTGGAATTTCTTTTAAAATTGGACATTTCATTGCCCACTCACCTTCCGAACAAGCTATTCCTACGGAATGAGTCACAGCGACATGCCTAGTGGGAGGTGGGGTCACTGTGACACTGTGACCCTGGAGGCGGAGGTGCTCAGCTAGGCTTTGACTGCTCTCGTCACTGGGGATTGTGAAAACTTTTTGATCGCCTGGTCAGTCTTGTCTACTTTTTTGTTTTTGGGTTTTTTTTAAGAGTTGGGTTTCAGATTTCTGTTTCATGCTTAGAATAATTGTGGCTTTTGGAGAAGAATATTTTAAACTGGTGAAAAGGCAAAAAATGTGGAATCAAGAAGTGAAAGCACAATTGTTTACAGTTTAGTAAGCAGTTGTGGTAAAGAAATGTGTCTATTCATCATTGCCAGATGACTTAAAATTTTATGGGGGAGCATAAATTTTAAACAAAAATGAATTGTGCTCTTCATAGGATAAATGTGTGAATTTCTCCAGAATTTGTTTTTTTAGATATTATAATCAGGATCTCCTGCTTACAGCTTTATGAATTTTATCCTGAAGTTATCTGTGAAATGAATCGATGGCATCTTATAAGATTTACTCAGAATTAAAATTTTGATTTACCAATCATTAATAACACAATCAATACTTTAACAGGTATTTACTTACTGAATACTTATGGGAGCATATCAGTGCTATGTGTTTGAGAATCACTGGTAAAATTAGGTGTAGTTGTAACTTCTCAAAAGAAAAAACAATATAAACAAGTAAATACAATTAAGTTTTTAGTGCATGTTAATGAAAAAATGGTACAATACAGTGAATAGATAAAACGTCATTTGGATTTGATTTTGGAATGTTTTATTTGTTTTTCTCTTTGGAGCATCATTTGAGTCATAGTTTAATTTGTATTCTCTGGGTACACGCAAAGTGCAGTTGAGATGAAGGGGAGATGGGTCAGGAGCATCATGGTTAGCAGTGAAATCAAGACTGGAAACAGAGTCCCCCACATGCTTTACATCAGTTTGTATTAGGAGTCATTCATTTCTTACATATTTATTGGTACTGATCCAGGTGCAACACAGAGTTCATGGTTTAATAGATGAAATTGTTTACTTTTTTAAATCAGAGGTATAAACAAGAAGTACAGTGATAACATAAAGAGAAATGATAAACTGCAGAGTGGAAAGGAGAGTCATGCCCAGGGAGAAACTCACCAGGGAGACAGTGATGGAACTGTCTTAATGCACAATTGCTTATTTTTCACCTTGTCATAGAAATAATTTTAAATTGCTTGAAGGAAGCTACGGGATTTGAGGCTAGAGCAGTAAGAAGTAACAGGTAACAAAGGACTTTCCATACAATGGGAAGTAGTTTGGATTTAATCCAGTCAGGGTGGCTATCATTACATCTACATTTAAGAATACCATTCAGGTGGGCCTTATGAAGAGTAGGTTGGAAGAATCAGGTACTAGACTGGGGAGGTCAGTTAGTGCCAGACTATTGTAGTAACTAAGAGGCATCTCAGTCTTAATGTATTAAAAATTTATGTCTTGATACCAGTATTCTCATACTACCTGCACCTCCCAGAAAAGAAATATTTGTCTAGAAATCTTTACTGTCTCAGTAAATGTTAATTCTGTTCTTATTCTTGCTCAGGCCAAACCCACTGGAGTCATTCTTGTACTCTGTCTCATATTCACTCCTAGTCCATTAACAAGTTCTATTGGCTCTACCTTCAAAGAATATCTAGAATCTGAGCATTTCTTACCTCTCCTGTCACTCCCTAGATCCCAGACACCATCATCCATCCTGGATTGCTGCAGACCCTCCTAACTAGCTTCCCTACTTAATCCCTTGTCCTCTTCAGTCTGTTCTCAACACGGCTCATCATTTGACTTCCCTGCTGGCTTCCCATCACACCCAGAGGAAACACCCTGGTTCACACATCTGAAGATAGAAGACCTGTTTCTTCCCTGCTTCATCATTCTGAACTGATTCGATCTTCTTTTTCCCTGCCCAGGCTCCAGCCGACCACATTTAGTCTAGGCAGAACATGAATGGGCTGTTCTCTAAAAAGCTGTAGTGAACTTTTGGGGAAAGCTAAGACTACTAATGGGTATGCTGGGGCCGCCAGAATGATAGTCCTTTTTCTTTTGGCATTTGGAAGGCCTAAATGATCGTAAGAATTATTACAGTCAAATCATTTGACCTAAGTCTGAGATATTCTCATTTAAATGCAATCCTAAGACCCTGGTCAGATATTGAATTTTGTTTATATAATTGTGCTAATGTAAATTTGTTGATTATTTGTTAACTCTTGGAGTCAGACTATGGCTGGAGCATGGAGATTTGGCATAGGTTATAGGGTATACTGTGAACATTAACCTTGACAATGAAAGTGGAATTATGTTTAATTAAAATTGTGTAGCATGTTGGGGAGGAAAAACGTAGAGCAGGGTATACACCTTCTTCATTTTACAATGCTAGGAGCCCCAAAATGCTATGAGAAGTCAGTAAAATAGGGCATAGAGTTCGTTAAAGATACTAAACTTCACAAGTAACTAACAGAAACACCCCAAATAAAACCATTGTAGTAATGGATACATGTATTATTTTTGGGGGAAAGCTATAAAATACTATTTCAAAAATAGTAAAATGTACACTGAATATATAGCATGGTAGTTTGGAGTGAGTGCAGCAAGATGAATTATTATCATCACAGCTGGTGGTAACCAGTGTTAGAGTGTTTATTAAAGACAGAGGTCCTGTCCACATGGGAAGCAGATGGACTTTAAAACCCCCTGATGTCCATTCCTGACCCCTGCTGCTTGCTCATGATTCTCTGTGTGTGTATGTGTGTGTGTCTGCACACTCACATGCATGCTGGGTGAGAGAGAGAGGGAAAAGGAACGGTGGACACTTGATGAATTGACCTGAAGAAGACAAAAGTACCAATTTCAGGGAATACTAGAACATATGTTTTAGAGCAAGATAACTGGGCAGGCTAGCCTTTTGGGATATCTCTGAAGATAAAGAGAGACAGAGCGATAATGTAGGAGGAAAATTCCAAATTACCATGGGGTCAGTGTTTGGAAAATGGACAACTTAACATTAGTGGCAACAATTATGTTATGAAAAGTATTTCTGTTAGAAAGACTTACAGATGTTCCTGCCCTCTATTGGAGAATAATTTCAGTATCTCTCCCCTCATACTAACTTGCTTCACGGAGAATAATTTCAGTATCTCTCCCCTCATACTAACTTGCTTCACGGAGAATAGTTTCAGTATCTCTCCCCTCATACTAACTTGCTTCACTTTGTCCTTTCTTGTATAGTTATTTGTTATACTCATATATTAATTCAATATAACCTACTTAGGAAGACTTGAGTTGACGTGAGTATAATTGGACCCTGACTACCTGTATATTTCAACAACAACAAAAAAGGCATTTAACTCAGTAGTCACAGACATATTTTGTTATTCTATCATTTGCTCAATTTATTGTTTTGTGTTTCTTTTTTTCATTTTTTTTCTTTTTTTTGAGAGACAGGGTCTCACTCTGTGAGTCAGGTACTTGACTAGGGAGGCCAGTTAGTGCAGTGTTGTGATCATAGCTGACTATAACCTCAAATTCCTGGGCTCAAGATAACCTCCTGCCTCAGCCTCTCAAGTAGCTGAAACTACAGTATACTCCACTGTGCCTGACTCATTTTTATATTTTTATTTTTGTAAAGCTGGGGGGTCTCACTGTGCTGCTCAGGCTGGTCTTGAACTCCTGGCCTCGAGCTCCTGGCCTCAAGCTGTCCTCCCGCCCTGGCTTCCCAAAGTGCCGGGGTTACAGGTGTGAGCCACCATGCTCAGTCATTTGCTCAGATCTGTGTGTGTGTGTGTGTGTGTGTGTGTGGCCTCTTGGTTGTTTAAAACAAAAGACTTTTCAAAGAGCAGTTAGCTGATTAAATAACGAATTCATGCAGTTATTCAGCAAATGTTGTTATTCTTGAAGTTGAATACTGTCCATTTTTAACTAAGAATTATGTTTCATCTGCTAGGCATATGCATGGATAGAAATTACTAGATCTCTTGGTGTATCTTCTTCATTGAATCTTTCTGTTCCTGTTTCTTAATCGTTTAACATCTTTGCTATTGTATATTAGTATTTGTGGTCTCCATTTGATCTTTGTGGCACTTTCTCTTTGATGATTAGCACTTGACAAGTTATCTTCTTTTTCAGTGCAAGTTCTGTTGAAACCCTCACTGTGTCCAGCCACAGCAATAGGCCTCAGAGTCCGTTTCTCAACCTGAAACATTGTCTGTCTGTGCGTTTTAAACAAGCCCTATGTCTTAGCATAATGAAGTAGGGGGGAAACACCCCATCACTCACAATTTCCTATTCTTAACTGGCATTTATCTGAGAGACATTTTGGTCCTTGGCTTGTAAGGATATTTGATTACTGGGATTAGACCTGCCAGTCATCCTCTCTGTTCTTGAGAAAGTCACATGAGCAGCTAGCTTTATTTTTCAGTTTTCTCATCTGCCACAAAGGGAGATTAATATGTTCCTTACCTATTTCGTAGGGTTGTTGTGAATCGAGTATGAGAATGGCCTTGAAAATGCCTTGAAGAGCTGATGGCAGTGACAGTGGCTGCCATCCTTGCATGGCCAGGCACTTCGTGGTACATTTGCTGTGTTTGCACCTGTGATTGTAGTGCTCTTGGGGTAGCCGCTACTGTGTCCATTTAAAACGGAGGACACTCTTACAAGAGAGTTAAAGTATTTGGGGATTTTCAAGGGAAGGAATAGTTGCTTCTGGCTGGGATTCAGAAAACACTTCCTGGACAAGGTGATATTTTGGCTGTCTTGTAGCAGTTATGGAAAATGTTGCCTGGTAGCACTAAAATGGCCTTTTATGTACTAGTCATCTAATTGCAAAACATTGTCCTTTGTTTGTAAAATGAGTATATCCCCTGCTTGGATTAAAAGCTTGCTTCTGCCAGGCATGGTGGCTCACACCTGTAATCCCAGCACTTTGAGAGGCTGAGGCAGGAAGATCACTTGAGCCCAGGACTTCAAGACCAGCCTGGGCAATAAAGTGAGACCCTGTCTCTACAAAAAAATAAGAAAATTAGCTGGATGTTATGGTGGTGCGAGCCTGTCATCCCAGCTACTTGAGAGGCTGAGGTGGGAGGATCCCTTGAGCCCAGGTTATCGAGGCTGCAGTAAGCCAAGGTCATACCATTGTACTCCCGCCTGGGCGACAGAGCAAGACCCTGTCTCTAAAAATAAAATAAAAGCTTGCCTCAAGCACATTTTTGGTATAAGTCGTCCCTTGCTTTTTTCTCTCTCAGACAAGGAGGAGCTTACCCTGCTTTTTTTTCTCCTGGGAAGGAAGGCCCTGGAGGATGTTTTGTAGAAAGAGCTTTAGAATGCTCAGTGTAAAGGGTAGCCCTGTCCCTGACCTAGTGTCACAGCCATGGGAGCGCCGCTCAGTATTGCTTCCAAGGCCTATTTAGTCACCACATGAGCTGCTGTGTGCAGCACTGCAGTGATAGCCAACATCATAAAATGTTATTTTACAAGTTATTTGGTGCTATAGATCTTGATCAAAATTCATAGTTACTGGAATACTGTCAAGATTTATCATAGAAATCTTTTTTTTTTATACTTTAAGTTTTAGGGTACATGTGCACATTGTGCAGGTTAGTTACATATGTATACATGTGCCATGCTGGTGCGCTGCACCCGCTAACTCGTCATCTAGCATTAGGTATATTTCCCAATGCTATCCCTCCCCCTCCCCCCACCCCACCACAGTCCCCAGAGTGTGATATTCCCCTTCCTGTGTCCATGTGATCTCATCGTTCAATTCCCACCTGTGAGTGAGAATATGTGGTGTTTGGTTTTTTGTTCTTGCGATAGTTTACTGAGAATGATGCTTTCCAATTTCATCCATGTCCCTACAAAGGACATGAACTCATCATTTTTTATGGCTGCATAGTATTCCATGGTGTATATGTGCCACATTTTCTTAATCCAGTCTATCATTGTTGGACATTTGGGTTGGTTCCAAGTCTTTGCTATTGTGAATAATGCCGCAATAAAAAACAACCCCATCAAAAAGTGGGCAAAGGACATGAACAGACACTTCTCAAAAGAAGACATTTATGCAGCCAAAAAACACATGAAAAAATGCTCATCATCACTGGCCATCAGAGAAATGCAAATCAAAACCACAATGAGATACCATCTCACACCAGTTAGAATGGCAGTCATTAAAAAGTCAGGAAACAACAGGTGCTGGAGAGGATGTGGAGAAATAGGAACACTTTTACACTGTTGGTGGGACTGTAAACTAGTTCAACCATTGTGGAAGTCAGTGTGGTGATTCCTCAGGGATCTAGAACTAGAAATACCATTTGACCCAGCCATCCCATTACTGGATGTATACCCAAAGAACTCTAAATCATGCTGCTATAAAGTAATCTTTGAAGAAACTGTAGTCAGGCAGTATGATGCATCTTAGGTACATAAGTATTTCTTCTGTAATACTATTTATGTATTTCTGTAATAGCCTGCATTTATAAAATCTGTCAGGGTCTATGGGGACTTGAGCTGCCCAAGACAAGAATTAGTTTCTGAAGAGAGCTTGTGCTGCTTGGGCAGGCAGCTGAGCATGGCTGGGGGCTGCCACAGTGCGCAGAACCAAGAGCCTGTGCTCAGCTGGCACACTTGAACTTGAGCAGACCCCTGGGTGCTTGAGAGCAGAAGTGGCCATGGAGCCCTGACAGCTGCTGCTGTCAGTGGGAGACAGGGGAGGTTTCAGGCCTGTGCATTGCTGGGAATGAGCCCTGAGTTGAGTATAGGTACAAGTTTTAAAAATTCTTAAATTATGTCTCAAAATGCTCCTGTGGCCGCTGTAGCTCCTCAATCTAGGGCTTTTCCCTTTGCTTCTGAAGACTCTAATTCTGTACACACTGCTCTGGCTGCCCTGCTGAGGAAAAAAAGCTTTGTGGACTGAAGTGACTTCCACATTATCCTGATTTCTTTTCCAGTTTACCAATTGAAGATGAGCTACTTTTCATTAACAAAATGCCTGTTGTGGCGAAGCATCTGTGTGTTCACTTCTTAGTGCCTTTCTTTACAAGTTGGTTTCATTCCTCTGTTCCCTTCCCTAGAGTGACCAGCAGAAGCTCGTTATATGCTGCTTGTACATTGTGCTTATTCATATCCTTCCCCCATTCTGTTTTCTTGCCTTAAGAAATAGTTGTCCAAGACAGTGCCCAGAAATAGTTGCCTTAAGAAATAGTTGTCCAAGACAGTGCTTAGGGGAGGCAAGGTGGCCCAGGGCCCAGTATATGGACATGTGTCATGGACACCTACATAAAGGAAGGGATGAAAAATTTGGGGTTGAATGGGAAATGAATGAAAAAAAAGTGAGAGGGAGAAAGAAATAGATGATTAAAATCTTAGCACCGTCTAAATATTAATTTTTACTATTCACTATTAACCTAGTTGGCTGAAGTGGTAAAGAAACTCATATTAGTGAGTATCTGTTATTAACAAGGCAGTATGTTGTACCCTTCATTTTTGTTGTTCTCAGTTTATGTATTTTTTTATTTTTTTTAATTAAAAAGCACAGAGAATAATAGAAACACATAAGCATGCTCACTGCCTAGAATTAGTAACACATGTCAATCCTTTGTCTTTTTTTAGTTTCCCATAGTTTTATAATAGAAACAATATGACACATAAATTTGAAACCCTCTGGGTTCCCCTCCTGAGTCATACTCCTCTTTCTCTCTCCTTAGAGACAGTGGCTTTCATGACTTTTCTGTGAATCCTTCTATTTATGTTTTTATACTCATCTTGTATTCATAAACTATTGTATTGATTTCTGTGTTTTTTAAAATTACATTATAGGTGTCATACTCTGTATATCCTGTTTATCCCCTTTCATTTCTTGAGACCTCTCCATCTGATTCTTAGACGTCTACTTCACCTCATTTTAAGTGCCGTACAGTGTTCTGTTGTATGAACACACCATGGTTTACCCATCTTTCTGATTTATGCTGGGTGCAGTTTTCTACTCTTATAAACAACGCTGAGATGTGTATCCTTGTTTAGGTATATTGGTGCATCTGACAGTTTCTGGGTACCTACCTAAGATTTCTGGGGTATAGGCTATGCACACTATCAACTTCAGTTATCTCATTTAATCTGAACAAATGTTTCCTGGGGCAGGTGGCAGGATCTCCATTTTACACATAAGACAATTTAACAGTTGAATGCCATGGAACTTGGCCAACTTAATAAGGAAACCAGCACTTGAATCCAGATCAAATTCCACCCATTTCAATCTAGAGCTCTAATACCCAGCAGTCCACATAACTCTTCAACTGTTAGCCTTTCTGATCATTGGAACAGCTGCAGCCAGCTAGTAACATACATGATTTCAAAGCAGAGAATCAAAACAGATAATAAAGAGGAGGGTCCATCCTTAAGAAGAATCCACAGTGGCCATATTCTCCTTGTGGTCATCAAAGGATTTCAGACTTGGAGTAAAACGCATGCTCCTTAAAATGACGGGTCTAAGGTTTCTATTTGTACAGGACTATTTCTTCATGACAGAAGACTTTATTTTATGCTGCTTAAAATCCATGTATTAAATGCAACATGCAGGCCTATTTTGATTAAAGAAAAGTGTTATAGTGAGCATCGTAGTGTCTCTGTTTTACTTTGCAAAATGTGGAGACCATTTTCTCCAGGTGAAGAGTGCTATCTGCATGTGGATCTTTTTTTCATGACACTTTATTCACGCTTGAACCATCTGTCTTTTGATTTCATTTTTGCTTTGTTCTTTTCTTCAACTTCTAGGTAGAAAATCTGGTGTATTAACTGTGAAAATTTTAGAGCTGCATGAGGAATGTGCCATGCAAGTTGCCATGTGTGAGCAGTTATTGGGGTCACCAGCCACCAGCTCCTCCCAAAGTGTGGCTCCCAGGCCTGGAGCTGGCCTGAAAGTTCTCTTCACCAAGGAGACTGCAGGCTACCTCAGGGGCCGTCCCCAGGACACTGTCCGGATCTTCCCTCCCTGGTGAGTGCGCAGAACTTAATCCAGCAGTCACCAACTGTGAGTCAGCCTCGTAAGAAAAGACATTTTTATCAGTTACATTTTTGTCACTTTATCATAGAGCAATGCGAGAGGAAGAGAGCCAGGATTGGACGTGGGTTTTCTGTCAGAGAAGCACTGGATTGTCTCTGATAGCTCATTTCTAGTTCTGTCAGCATATTTCTGATAATTTGGGGTGAGAGGGTTGAGGAAACAACCATATTAAGACTCTTGCCCAAGTGATGTGTTATAAGATCTGGCTGTTTTTGTTTTTATATTTCTTAGAAAAATAATTTTGTTAACAGGCATTATGTGACAGTAGGATAACACACATTAATTAAATATTTCTTAGTCACTTGGGAGGATAAAAAGCATGAATTAAGATATACTAGTGTTTGAATTGCAGGAGCAAAAATGGTCATTATTGGATCAGAAATTATTTTAAAGGATACTATGTGTGCTGTCTTTTGCAGTGGGATATTGATTTTTACCATGAATAGAAGAAAATCATACTACTTTTGAGGAAAAGTTTGAGCAGCCTTGTTTTAAGAGCTAATTATTAATTTTTTCGTAATTTTTTATAAGTTTTCATTTTGTATGTATGAGGAAGGGCTATAGGATAAATTTTTATAAATATTATTGCTGGATCAGTGCTTCTTTAATTTTAGCAGACTTTGTCAAATGGCACCATTTTACGTTCCCACTGGCAATGCCTGAAGTGCCTTTTTCTTCTCCTTTACAAACCTACTTTGTTGATCTAGACCAAGTTAAAAATTGGAAATATGATGTTTATCATTTTAATTCATATTTCTCTTATATAAAATGGGCTTAGGCATTTTTCTACATGTTTTTAAGAACCACTTGAATTTCATTTTATGTCCATTGATAGCTTTTGACCTTTCTTCTCTTTGGTCACTTTGGTCCTGGTGATTTCTACCATCTTTTTATAAATGATTAAAAAAAAAAGTAGTGCCTTGTCAGTCATATACATTGCAGTTAGTTCGTTCCCCATTTACCATTTGACTTTTTACGTTTTTAGGGGGCAGGGGTTTGTTTTGTTGCTTTGTTTTTGATGAGCAGAACTTTTCTGTTTTTCTGTGGTTGATTTTAGCCATCTTTTATAGCTTCTGGGTTTTGTATCATAGATAGAAAGGTTTTCCTTACTATGAGGTGTAAAAGTTATTCTATGTTTTATTCTAAGACTTTCATCGATTTAAAAATTTTTACATTTAAATCTTTTGACACTCCTGGAATTTATCTTTATGGGTAATATGTGAGGTAGTGAATGCAATTTTATTTTTTTCCAAATGGCCACGAGGAGTCCCAACATTATTTATTGAACATTCTGTTTTTTCTTCATACAATTTTAATGCTGCCTTTATCATGTACTAAATACCTACATATATTTTGGGCTATTTACTCTTTTAATGTAACTGTATTTGCACATGCTAGTATTATACTATTTCAGTTACTATAGTTTTATATGGTGTTTTAATAACTGCTAGGACTACTCACATCTCATTAAGCTTAATTTTTAGAACTTTCCTCCTAATAATTGCTTCCTTTCTTTTTTACTTTAAATATTTGCCTTAAACATTTATTTTCAAGTATGCATTGTAAAAGTTAAAACAATTCAGAAATATATAACTTAGAAAGTGAATCCTCTTACCCTCACCTCTTCAATTAATCACACTCATTCTAGATGACTGCTGTTAATAATTTGGAGTATAATCTTCCAGGATTTTTAAATTCTTAAATATTCAATTATGTATTTAACACATCCCAGTGACTATACACAATCTATATGTAAGTTATGTAATCCTGCCTATTTTTCTATAATAAGTTTAGGTTTAACTTACTAGATTAAAAACAGATTGATAGGTTTTTTAGGGTAGGTTAATCTCTGCATTCACGGAGTAGGGCTTTAAAGGTAGTGTCTGGCAGGGTTCTGATGTGATGCTCCCCTCTCCGTGTTCATGGAGTGCACAGCAGCACAGGACTTCTGTCAGCATCTCTTACCTTGAACCTGTCTTCCCTCCTTCAGAAATCTGTCCTCATTTGGATCTTCTTTGTTCACCCCTTAGTTTTACTCCCTTGTGGAATTTAGCTCTTTCATTAGTGTCTAAGTTCATTTGTGGTGGCAGAGTCTTTTATTGTTATTATTTTTTAAAAAACTCCTCCCTCCTCAGCTTTTTAAATTCTTTTTTTCTTTTTCTATTTTTTGTAGAGACAGAGTCTTGCTATGTTGCCTAGGCTGGTCTCAAACGCCTGGCCTCAAGCAGTCCTCCCACATTGGCCTCCCAAAGTTCTGGGATTATAGGCCTGAGCCACCAGGCCTGTTCCCTTCTCAACTTCTCATTTTTTTGGCACACCTTTATATGTTTTAAAATGCATTTATTAAATGACCTTGTTTTTTTAATATCTAAATATGATTATTTTTCTTCAGGGAAG
Organism: Homo sapiens; assembly: GCF_000001405.40. NCBI lineage: Eukaryota > Metazoa > Chordata > Mammalia > Primates > Hominidae > Homo > Homo sapiens. The sequence goes on from NC_000008.11 coordinate 47,443,009, forward strand.
ATGTTTTAGAGGCTTTAAATGTAGGACATTTTCTTGGGCTTATGAGAAGTAAAATTAGATCAAGATTATCTACAAAGATTTATATGACCAAGAATTTCTAAATCCCACTGACTCCTTAGACTTTACAAGTAAATGAGTTATTATCATTAGACTTTGGAATGTTTGTAGGTCTGGATCTTACCAAACAACCCCTGGGTGTTACTCTCCACAGGAATGCCTGTGGGCTGTCAAGAGATTATTTGCCTATATTCAGCATATAATGCTTAAGAAAATAGAAGAGGCCGGGCGCATTAGTTCACGCCTATAATCCCAGCAGTTTAGGAGGCCAAGGCAGGTGGGTCATTTGAGGTCAGGAGTTCGAGACCAGCCTGGCCAACATGGCGAAACCCCATCTCTACTAAAAATACAAAAATTAGCTGGGTATGGGTGGTGCGTGCCTGTGGTCCCAGCTACTCGGGAGGCAAAGGTGAAAGAATCGCTTGAGCCCAGGAGGTGGGGGTTGCAGGGAGCCGAGATTGCACCACTGCATTCCAGCCTGGGCGACAGAGCAAGACCCTGTCGCCAAAAAAAAAAAAAAAAAAAACACCTCATACTTAACAAAACAAAACCAAAATAATTTTTTAAAGGACTAGTCTTTTTTTTTTTTATGGAAACTTGAGAAATAATAGTGAATATATTTTTCCTTGTGGACTGGCTGTCCTTTTCCCACTAGCACCCTTCTGTGTTCATTTAAACTGTTTTTTTTTTTTAACATGGGCACAGTTTTTTAAAAGAATCAATAGACTTTAGATACTCCTGTTGGTCCTGTAGTAATAAATATGAGTTTAGGTACAATGGCTGCTTACCCCGAGGAGCTCAGAGCCCTCTGTAGATATTACCTGGTAAACTCTCATTGGATTCCAGTGAGGTGTAATGCAGCTTTGCCTCTGGCAATCTGAAAATAAAGATAGAAGTAAAATGTCTTGCCTCCAATTAATTGCATTATGAAATAGTCATAGAATTATATAAGTCACCAACTTACAAAAAAATGCATTAATCTATATAATTTCAGACATGTAAAAATAAAATAGTATAATGAATCTCATGTCCCATAGTTTCAACATTTATTAACTAATGAATAAACAGCTTTTACTACTCAAGCAAACTGAAAGCTTTATAATGATTCCAAAGAAACATCTCACCACTTGAACACAGATATACTAGAAAAAACAAATGAAGGAATTTACTTTAATGATACTGGGGAGAGAGGAAGGTAGAAACCATCTGCCTGATTACATCCTGCCATGAAATCTAACTCCAGAATGAGGGCAGGTGAGAGGTTAAGTGTGTGAGAGTGTATCCAGAGACAACCAGGACACCTCTCATTCATTCAGAAGTATTTATTGGTATCCCCTGTGCCAGATACTTTGCTTCTCCTCAGAATACACATCCCAGTATGCTGGAAGAGCGAAGTCTGACTTTCCCTATTGTCATGAGTATACCCTTCCATCGGTCCATTCATATCGTCATCTTTTTAGTCACTACTTAGTATTCCACTATATGGACATGTGGTAATTTAAACATCCTCTTATTTAGAATTGTTAAGGTTGCTTTCTATTTTTAGCTGTTTTAAACACTGCTTGGGTGAAATATTTATCATTATACCTCCCTTCTGATTTGGTTCTTAGACTATTTCTAGAAGTAGAAATTATTGGTCATAGAATACCAGTGGGTTTTGAGCCTTTTGATATATGATTTCCATAGTAACCTGTAAAGGTTGAAGCTGTCTCAGCTGCTGCCAGTTTCTCATCACACCACACTCAACATTTTTTATGGCTGCACAGTGTGATATAGTTTTTAAAACACTTTCCATATTCTCAGGATGTGGTACATATTGGTTCTTTTACTATCATAAACAGCTATGTAGTAGATATTGTTATATATGTAGTTTGGTATGTACTTCAGATATTGTTTCAAAGTCGCTTTTAGGAACTGTTTTAGTATAGTAAAGGGTATGTGTTTCGTTTTTGCTGTTGCTGCTTTGACTCCTTGATATTGTTAAGTCATCTGTAAACCTCATAGTAGAGTCTCTGCAGCTGGTCACATCGAATATAGCCCACCTTATTTTACTATGCTTTTTTGCTTGTATAGCACTAAACACATGTTGCACTTTTTACAAATTGAAGGTTTGTCAACCCTGAATCCAACAAGTCTACCAGTGCCATTTTTCTAACAGCATGTGCTCACCTGTCTCTATATCACATTTGAATAATTATCCCAGTATTTCAGAGTTTTCATAATTATTATCTATTATGGTGATCCGTGATAAGTGATCTTTGATATCACTGTTGTAATTATTTCGAGATGCCATGAACCGTGGCCATATAGGATGGCAAACTTAATTGATAAATACTGTGTGTGCTCTAACTGCTCCATTGACCGGATGTTCCCCCATCTTACTTTCTCTCCTCAGACCTCCCTATTCCATGAGACACAACAGTATTGAAATCTGGCCAATTAATCGCCCTAATATGCCCTCTAAGTGTTCACATGAAAGGAAGAATTGCACATCTTTTACTTTAAACCAAAAGCTAGAAATGATTAAGCTTAGTGAGGAAAGCATGTCAAAAGGCAAGGTAGGCTAAAAGCTAGGCCTCTTGTGCCAGTTAGGCTTCTTGTGCCAGTTAGACAAGTTATGAATGAAAAGGAAAAGTTCTTGAAGGAAATAAAAAGTGCTATTCCAGTGAGCACACAAATATTGAGAAAGCAAAGCTGCCTTATTGCTAATATGGAGAAAGTTTGAGTTGTCTGGATAGGAGCTCAAACAAGCCATGACATTCCCTTAAACCAAGCCTAATCCAGAGCGAAACCCTAACCTTCTACAATTCTTTGAAGTCTGAGAGAGGTGAGGAAGCTTCAGAAGAAAAATTTGAAGCTAGCAGAAGTTGATTCATGAGATTTAAGAAACTCCCCCATAACATAAAATTACAAGATGAAGTAGCAAGTGCTGACAGAGAAACTGCAGCAAATTATCCAGAAGATATAGCTAAGATCATTAATGAAGGTGGCTACACTAAACAACAGATTTTCAGTGTAGGTGAAACAGCCTTATATTTGAAGAAGATATCACCTAGGACTTTCATAGCTGGCGAGGAAAAGTCAATGCCTGGCTTCAAAGCTTCCAAGGACAGGCTGACTCTTTTATTAAGGTCTAATACAGCTGGTGACTTTAAATTGAATCCAGTGTTCATTTACCATTTTGAAAATTCTAGGGTCTTTAAGAATTATGCTAAATCTACTCGCTTGTGCTCTATAAATGGAACAATAAAACCTGGATAACAGCACATCTGTTTACAGAATGGCTTAGTGAATACTTTAAGCCAAACTTTTGAGACCTACTACTGAGAAAAAAAATTTTCTTTTAAAATACTACCCCTCATTGACAATGCACCTAGTCAGCCAAGAGCTCTAGATGTACAAGGAGATGAACGTCGTTTTCATGACTGCTAACACAACATCCATTCTGTAACCTGTGGATCAAGGGGTAATTTTGACTTTTCAAGTCTTGCTTTTAACTGCCATAGATAATGATTCCTTTTTTTTTTTTTTTTTTAAATGAGATGGAGTCTCAGTCTGTTGCCCAGGCTGGAGTGCAGTGGTGCAATCTCAGCTTACTGCAACCTCCGCCTCCCAGGTTCAAGTGATTCTCCTGCCTCAGCCTCCTGAGTAGCTGGGATTACAGGTGTGCGCCACCACGCCTGGCTAATTTTTGTATTTTTAGTAGAGACAGGGTTTCACCATATTGGTCAGGCTGGTCTGGAACTCGTGACCTCGTGATCCACCCACTTCGGCTTCCCAAAGTGCTGGGATTACAGGTGTGAACTACCATGTCCAGCCACCTTTCAAGGGTCTGGGCAAAGTAAACTGAAAACCTTCCTGAAAGGACTCACCATTCTACCTCCCATTAAGAACATTCATGATTCATGGGAGGAGGTCAAAATATCAACATTATCAGGAGTATGGAAAGAGTTGATTCCAACCCTCTTCAGTGACTTCAGGGGTTTAAAACTTCAGTGGAGGAAATAACTGCACATGCGGTGGAAAAAGCAAGAGAACTCAAATTAGAAGTAAAGCCTGAAGATGGGACTGAATTGCTAAAATCTCCTAACTTTAATGGATGAGGAGTTGGTTCTTATGAATGAGCAAAGAAACTGTTTTTCTGTTTTGTTTTGTTTTGTTTTTTTGAGACAGAGTCTTGCTCTGTCAGCCAGGCTGAAGCGCAGTGGCACAGTCTCGGCTCACTGCAACCTCCGCCTCCCGGGCTCAAGCATTTCTTCTGCCTCAGCCTCCCTAGTAGCTGGGATTACAGGCGTGTGCCACCACACACGGCTAATTTTTGTATTTTTAGTAGAGATGGGGTTTCACCATGTTGGCCAGGCTGGTGTCGAACTCCTGACCTCAGGTAATCCGCCTGCCTCAGACTCCCAAAGTGCTGGGACTACAGGCGTGAGCCACCGCGCCTGGCCAGAAACGGGTTTCTTTAGATGGAATATAATCCTGGTGAAGATGCTGTGAACATTGTTGAGAGGACAACAAAGAATTTAGAGTATTCCATAAACTTGATTGATAAAGCAGCATCAGGTTTGAGAGGATTTACTGCAATTCTGAAAGAAGTTCCAGTAATGCCATCAAACAGTATCTCATGCTACAGAGAAATCTTTCTAGAAAGGAAGAGTCAGTTGATGCAGCAAACTTTATTGTTCTCTAAGAAATTGCCACAGCCACTCCAGCCTTCACACACCACCACCCCAATCAGTCAGTAGCAATCACCATCAAGGCAAGACCCTCTCTCAGCAAAAAGATTATGACTTACTGAAGGCTGCATTTTTTACCAATAAAGTGTTTTTGACTAAGGTATGCACTTTTTTTAGATACAATGCTGTTGCACACCTTATAGGCTATAATATAGTGTAAACATAACTTTTATATGCAATGGGAAACAAAAATTCATGTGACTTGCTTTATTGTGATAATAACTTTATTGGAGTGGTCTGCAGCTATACTTCCAGTATCTCCAAGATATGACTGTACTTTTTCTTGTATTTATTTACTGGTGACAGCTTTTCTTTTTATAGTTATATCACTTAGAATAATAATTTTGTTATTTCCTTCCCAATACTCATGCTTCTTTATCTGCTTAATGTCTTATTGCTTTGGCTAAAACATTCAATTCAAAAATTTTTTTACTACTGTATTCCCGTTGCCTAGAATAATGCTTGAAACATAGTAGGCACTCAGTAACTATATGATTAATATTGTATTAAATCATCATGAAGATGTTGTCAGCCTTGTTTATCCTCCCTAATTGAATGAGACTTTGTTGATTTGTACATTCATTTAAAAAGATTTACTGAATGTTTACTTACTTACTCTTTAATAAGCCTTGTACTAGAATTCCTGGGAATACAACATTCAACATGAATGTCAAATTGTTTCTGCCCTTAAGGAGCTCACAGTGTGGTGGAAGAGAAAAGTAATATAAACAAGTTATAAAAGACCACTGTAGGCGTAGTAATAGATATCTGTACAGAGGTTGCAAGAGGATTGAGGAGGTAAGCACAGCCAGTAGGTAGGTCAGTAGGGTGGGTGGTTATGTATGTGAGAGTATGTGTGTGTACCTGTGTTTATGTGTGTGTGTGTGCTTGGGGAGACTACAGACCGAGAGATAGGGTGTCAGGGGTAGCTTCCTGAAGTTGGTGATGCCCTATCTGAGCTAAAAGGGCTATGTTAGAAAGAAGCAGGGGAGGGACTATGAGGGCATTTGGAGTAGAGGAGACCACATGAGTAAAGACCAAAAAGTCAGAATGGCCTAGTGTAAGACGTATGCAGGGGTATATGTAGTGCTTTGTGTACGAAGTAGAAATTCCAAGGCAGTAGCAGCAGAAAGTGAATCTGGAGAACCTCCCTGTGTGCAGTGTTAACAAGCTGAGATTTACAGGAGAGACATTATGATCTGATTCACCCTTTAAAGTCTGTGGAGGATGACTGGGGGTGGAAGGGCAGAATAAATGCATCTCGGAGGCTGTGGGAGTAGCTCAAGTGTGGAAAAAGGTGGTGCTTTGGACTATGATGGTGAATAGTGGATTTGGAATATATTTTGGAGTTAGAGGCAACAGGGTTTGCTGATGGGTTTGATGTGGTATTTAAGTAAAGATAGGAAACAAGGAAGACAACTAAGTCTTTGGCTTGAGCAAACAAGTGAATGATCATGCCATGTACTGAAATGGGAGACTTGGGATTGATTTGTGGGGCCCAGTCAATGGTAGTTTTTTGGTGTCAGCAGTAATTAGAGCCTAGAGTAAAAACACAAGAGAGGTTATGATTCCAAAAGAGAAACTCTGTCAGCTCGTCTGGGTTTTTAGTATAACCCATGTGTGGTAATTGGTAGAGGACAGAGGTGGAGCCCATGGGCCTATTCACAACTGCTTTGGTTCCTGTTTTATATTTGCCACATGAGATTCTTTGAAATAAATAAATTGCTGGCTCCTATTGAAGAGACCAAAGCAGTACTAACGATGAAAACTTTGTTTACTGGGTGAGATTATCTTCTGTTGGGACAACAAGGAATTTAGTCTTTTCCGTCAAAATTACAGGGTGTCTTGAGAGGAAATAACTAGGAAAGAAAATTAATGCAGTATGAAAAGGGAAAAGATATAGACTATGAGGATAATCTGGATAATCTGAAAAACTGGAAGGAAGATAAGGAAGGCAGTCATTTATTCTACATGAGGAGGAAGTGAAGTTAGATGACGCTTTTCAATGGGGTGTATCTTAGTCTGTTTTGTGATGCTATAACAGAAAACCTGAGACTGCATAATTTATAAGCAATAGAAATTTGTCAGCCCAGTGCAGTGAATTATGTCTATAATGCCAACACTTTGGGAGGCCGAGGCAGGCAGTGGATTGCTTGAGTCCAGGAGTTCGTGAGCAGCCTGGGCAAACCCCATCTCTACAAAAAATACAAAAATTAGCCAGGCACGATGGTGCATGCATGTAGTCCCAGCTCCTTGGGAGGCTGAGGTGGGAGAATCACCTGAGCCCAAGGAGGTCAAGGCTGCATTGAGCCATGATCCCACTACTGCACTTCAGCCTGGGTAACAGAGTAAGACTCTGTCTCAAAAAAAGAAAAAAATTCATTTGTCTTATGGTTCTAGAAGCTGGGAAGTCCAAGAGCATAGCACCACTATTTGTTGAGGGCCTTCGTTTTTCATCTTCCCATGGCAGAAGGTGAAAGGGCAAGAGAGCACAAAAGCAAGAGGGAGCCAAACTTGCTTTTATAACAAGGCCATTCTTGTGATAGCTAGCCCACTCCTATGGTAATGACATAAATCCATTCAGGAAGGTAGCACCCTCATAATTTATTAGGTCCCACCTCCCAATACTGCTGCATTGGAAATTAGGTTTCCAATGCATGAACTTCAGGAAACACATTCAGACTATAGCAGGGTGTTCATAGAAATATGATTAAAGTGTTTTGTGCTCAAATAAGTTTGGAAAAGGCTCCTCAAATGTGTACCAGTTGTTGTATTGTAGGACTGCTCAGAGTCTCTCATATGCAAATGTATATTGTTGTTTCCAGTAGAGGGAAGCAGAAATGGCAACATTTGAACAAAATATTAGCAAACAAATTACCATGCTCTTCCTAATCTAAGATACTGAGTAAAGAGAGCAACTGAGAAGAGTGATGTCATGAAAATGGTGTAGAGTAGGAAGTTCCAGAAATCCATCCCTCTATCGAAATAACTACCAACCTGGAAGGAACCACATGAAGTGCCTGTTGTGGAATTCTACAGTCCAGTTGAACACTTACAGCAAATATTAAAGTATAATTTGGAAAAATCACAGATGGACAATTCCAGTCTTCAGCAGGTAAGATTCTGCGATCCCTGAGGAGTGGGATAATTAGATTCCCAGAGTTTTTATAAAGTACTACTCAAATGTCCAATTCTCAACAAAAAATTACAAAACACACAAACAGGAAAATATGGCCCAATACAGGAAAAACATAATTTTACATAGCCATCCTTGAGGAAATTGAGATATTGGAATTATTAGTCAAAAATGTGAAATCAGTTGTCTTAAATATGTTCAAGGAGTTAAAGGGAACCCATAGATAAATAACTAAGGGAAATCAGGAAAATGGTATCAAAACAAAATGAAAATATCAGTAAAGATACTGAAATTATTTAAAAACCAAAGAGAAATTCTGGAGCTGAAAGTACAATAATTTAAATTTCAAAAACACACTAGAGATTGGGTGTGGTGACTTAACGCCTGTAATCCCAGCAATTTGGGAGGCTGAGGTGAGTGGATTGCTTGAGTCCAGGAGTTCAAGACCAGCCTGCGCACCATGAAGAAACCCCATCTCTATAAAAAATGCAAAAATTACCTGGATATGGTGGTGCACTCCTGCAGTCCAGCTACTTGGGAGGCTGAGGCACAAGAATGGTTTGAACCTGGGAGGCGCAGGTTGCAGTGAGTTGAGATCACACCACTGCACTCCAGCCTAGGCGACATTGTGAAACCCTGCCAAAACACACACACACACACACACACACACACTAGAAAGATTCCACAGAAGATTTGAGGAGGCAGAACACAGGCTCATTGAACTTGAAGAAAAGAAAATTGAACTCCTTCTGTCTGAGAAGCAGAATGAAAAAAATGAACAGAGCCCGAAGCACCTGTGGGACACTATCAAATGTAGAACCCTGTGTATTATAGGAGTACCAGAAGGAGAAGAGAAGAGAGGGAGGAAACACCAGAAAAAATATTTGAAGAATAATGGCTGAGGAACAATGTCTGCCAGCTTTTGTGCCAGCCCCTCAGTGATCAAGCGCAGCAATTAGCAATCAAAACACATAATCAGCCCTGGTCCCAGCAATCTGAACCAGGATTGTGGAGCTAGGGAATGTGGCATGGTAATTGCTACCACTTGAAAGGCTAATTTGAAATTCTTGAAGAATAACATAACTCCTCAAATTTGATGAAAATCTTTAATGTACATACCCAAGAAGGCCAATGTACTTCAAGCATAATAAAGTCAAAGAGGTCCACACCAAGGCACATAGTAGTGAAGTTGATGAAACCCAAAGACAAAGATGGTGTATTGAAAGCAGCAAGAGAGAGGCAACTTGCTACGTATAAGGGATCCTCAATAATATTAACAGCTTATTTCTTATCAGAAACTGTGAGGTCCAAAATCGATCAATCAATGAGAAAACGAAACAAGCAAAAAAAAGAAACTATGGGGGCCAGAAAGCACTGGGATGATGTATTTAAAGACCTGAAAGAATCTTCCCTAACTCATTTTATGAGGCCAGCATCATCCTGATACCAAAGCCTGGCAGAGACACAACAAAAAAAGACAATTTTAGACCAATATCCCTGATGAACATCAATGCAGAAATCCTGAATCAAATACTGGCAAACCGAATCCAGCAGCACATCAAAAAGCTTATCCACCATGATCAAGTGGGCTTCATCCCTGGGATGCAAGGCTGGTTCAACATATGCAAATCAATAAACGTAATCCAGCATATAAACAGAACCAAAGACAAAAACCACATCATTATCTCAATAGATGCAGAAAAGGCCTTTGACAAAATTCAACAACCTTCATGCTAAAAACTCTCAATAAATTAGGTATTGATGGGACGTATCTCAAAATAATAAGAGCTATTTATGACAGACCCACAGCCAATATCATACTGAATGGGCAGAAACTGGAAGCATTCCCTTTGAAAACTGGCACAAGACAGGGATGCCCTCTCTCACCACTCCTATTCAACATAGTGTTGGAAGTTCTGGCCAGGGTAGTCAGGCAGGAGAAAGAAATAAAGGGTATTCAATTAGGAAAAGAGGAAGTCAAATTGTCCCTGTTTGTAGATGACATGAATATATAGTTAGAGGGCCCCATCATCGCAGCCCAAGATCTCCTCAAGCTGATAAGCAGCTTCAGCAAAGTCTCAGGATACAAAATCAATGTACAAAAATCACAAGCATTCTTATACACCAATAACAGACAAACAGAGAGCCAAATCATGAGTGAACTCCCACTCACAGTTGCTTCAAAGAGAATGAAATACCTGGGAATCCAACTTAGAAGGGATGTGAAGGACCTCTTCAAGGAGAACTACAAACCACTGCTCAATGAAATAAAAGAGGATACAGACAAATGGAGGAACAAACATTCCATGCTCATGGATAGGAAGAATCAGTGTTGTGAAAATGGCCATACTGCCCAGGGTAATTTATGGATTTAATGCCACCCTCATCGAGCTATGAATGACTTTCTTCACAGAGTTGGAGAGGGCTGCTTTGCAGTTCATATGGAACCAGAGGGGAGCCCGCATTGCCAAGAGAATTTTAAGCCAAAAGAGCAAAGCTGGAGGCATCACGCTGCCTGACTTCAAACTATACTACAAGGCTACAGTAACAAAAACACCATGGTACTGGTACCAAAACAGAGATACAGACCAATGGAACAGAACAGAGCCCTCAGAAATAATACCACACATCTACAACCATCTGATCTTTGACAAAAACAAGAAATGGGGAAAGGATTCCCTATTTAATAAATGGTGCTGGAAAAACTGGCTAGCCATATGTAGAAAGCTGAAACTGGATCCCTTCCTTACACCTTATACAAAAATAAATTCAAGATGGATTAAAGCCTTAAATGTTAGATCTAAAAGCATAAAAACCCTAGAAGAAAACCTAGGTTTCTTGTAAGAAAAAAACAGACAGCCCCATCAAAAACTGGGCAAAGGGTATGAACAGACACTTCTCAAAGGAAGACATTTATGCAGCCAACAGACACATGAAAAAATGCTCATTATCACTAGCTATCAGAGAAATGCAAATCAAAACCACAGTGAGATACCATCTTACACCAGTTAGAATGGTGATCATTAAAAAGTCAGGAAACAACAGGTGCTGGAGGATGTGGAGAAATAGGAACACTTTTACAGCATTGGTGGGACTGTAAACTGGTTCAACCATTGTGGAAGACAGTGCAGCAATTCCTCAAGGATCTAGAACTAGAATTACCATTTGACCCAGCCATCCCATTACTGGGTATATACCCAAAGGATTATAAATCATGCTGCTATAAAGACACATGCGCATGTACGTTTACTGTGGCACTATTCACAATAGCAAAGACTTGGAACCAACCCAAATGTCCATCAATAATATACTGGATTAAGAAAATGTGGCACATACACACCATGGAATACCATGCAGCCATAAAATAGGATGAGTTCATGTCCTTTGTAGGGATATGAATGAAGCTGGAAGCCATCATTCTCAGCAAACTATCACAGGGACAAAAAACCAAACACCGCATGTTCTCACTCTTAGGTGGGAAGTGGAAAATGAGAACACTTGGACACAGGAAGGGAAACATCACACACCAGGGCCTGTGGTGGGGTGCGGGGGTGGGGAAGCGGGGAAGGGATAGGATTAGGAGATATACCTAATGTAAACAGTGAGTTAATGGGTTCAGCACACCAACATGGCACATGTGTACATATGTAACAAACCTGCACATGGTATACATGTACCCTAGAACTTAAAGTATAATAAAAATAAAAATAAAAGACCTGAAAGAAACTGTCAACCAAGATTGTATATCTGAAAACAATATCTTTAAGAATAAAGGAGATGAAGCTGGGCATGGTGGCTTGCATCTATAGCCTCAATGACTTGGGAGACTGAGGGAGGAAGATTGCTGGAACCCAGGAACTTGAGGCTACAGTGTGCTATGAGCATGTGTGTGAACAGCCACTGCATTCCCTCCAGCCCAGACAACACATCAAACTGCTGTCTCAAAAAAAAATAATAATAATAAATAAGAATAAAGGAGAAATTAACACATTTCCAAATATTATAAAACCCTAAGTAGTTCATTACTGATAGACAAAAAATGCTACAGCAAGTCCTTCAGGCTGAAAGGAAGAAATACTAAACAGCAATTTGAAGCCAAAAGAAAAAAATAAAGAGTATTGGTCAAGGTAGTTGCATAGGTAAATGTAAAAGCCAATGTTACTGTGCTTTTGGTATTGTTTGTTATTTCTCTTTTTCCTATATAATTTTATGGGCAAGTGCATTTAATAATACTTACAAATCTATATTAGGATGCATATAACGTATAAAGATATAGTCTGTGACAATCAGAATAAAAAGGGAGGGGGTAGAGATGTAGAGGAGCAGAGTGCTTGTAGACCATTGAAACTTAGTTAGTATTATTCAAAGGATGTTGTTATTTAAGATATTGATTGTAATTTCCCAGAAAATTATTAAGAAAATAACTAATATAGAGAATGGGAGAAAAGAAGCAAATTAAAATGAAACACACACACAGACACACAAAAAAAACAGAAAAATATCTAGTAATGAAGTAATTGAAAAGCAAAAAGTATGTAAGGCATAAGAAAAAAGTGTATAAGGCATAAGGAAAAAGTGAATTTCTTCTCTATTGATAATCATGTAAATGAATGAAATGCAGTTCTTAAAAGGTAGCAATTGGTAGAAAAGATAAAACAAAACAAGAATCCACCTATAAGCCATCTACAAGAGAATCAAATTAAACATAAGGATACAAAATGGTTGATAGCGAAAGAATGAAAATGCTAAAAAAGAACAGGGGTGACTATATTATTATCAGACAAAATTGACTTGTTAAATCTAAAAAAGTTTACAAGGGATGCAGAGGACATTATAAATTGATAAAAGGTTTAACACAGCAAAAACATAAAATAATTTTAAATATATACACACTTAACAAAGGAGCCCCAAAATATATGAAGTAAAAATGGACAGAATTGAAAGGAGAAATAGATCTACGTTAATTGTTGAAGACTTTAATACCCACTTTCAATAATGGACAGAACAAACATGCAGGAGAGCCGTAAGGAAATAAAGGATTCAACAGCTGTATAAACCAATTAGACCTAACATGTGTAAAACATTCCATTCAAAAATATAATACCCATTCTTGAGTGCACGCATTACATTGTCTGGGTTAGACCATATGTTAAGCCACAAAACAAAGTGTTATGAATTGAATTTTGTTCCCCTGCAATTTATATGCTACAGTCCTAACTCCCATTACACCTCAGGCTATATGGAGATAGAGCCTTTAAAGAGGTAATTAAGGTTAGAGTGGGTCCTAATTTAATATGACTGGTGTGCTTATAACAAGGAGATGTATGCACCTAGAGAAAGTGCCATGTGGGGACACAGTGAGAGAGACAAGCCAAGGAGAGAGGCCTCAGAATAAACCAGGCCTACTTAACATCTTGATCTTGTACCTCCAGCATCCAGAAATGTGAGACAATACATTTTGGCTAAGTCACTCAGACTGATATTTTGTTACGATAGCTCTAGCAAACTAATACATTTTAAAACTTTCAAATTACCGAATATCTTTTCTGTTCACAATGGAATGAACCCTAGAAATCACTAACAGAAGGAAACTGTAAAATTAATAAACATGTGGAAATTAAACAACACAGCCTTATATAACCATTTGGTCCAAGGTTTTATTTTCTCTTTTTTAAATTAATTTATTTCCATAGGTTTTTGGGAAACAGGTGGCATTTGGTTACATGAGTAAGTTCTTTAGTGGCAATTTGTGAGACTTTGGTGCACCCATCACCCAAGCAGTATACACTGAACCCAATTTGTAGTCTTTTCCTCACCCACTTCCCACCCTTCCCCAACCCCCAAAGTCCACTGTATCATTCTTACGCCTTTGCATCCTCATAGCTTAGCTCCCACTTATGAGTGAGAACATACGATGTTTGTTTTTCCATACCTGAGTTATTTCACTTAGAATAAAAATCTCCAATCCCATCTAAGTTGCTGCGAATGACATTAATTCATTCCTTTTTATGGCTGAGTAGTATTCCATGGTGTGTATATACACCACAGTTTCTTTATTGACTCGTTGATTGGTGGGCATTTGGACTGGTTCCACATTTTTGCAATTGCAAATTGTGCCACTATAAACATGCATGTGCCAGTATTTTTTTCCTGTAACAACTTCTTTTCCTCTGGGTCAATACCCAGTAGTGGGATTGCTAGGTCAAATGGTAGTTCTACTTTTAGTTCTTTAAGGAATCTCCACACTGTTTTCCATAGTGGTTGTACTCATTTACATTCTCACCAGCAGTGTATTAGTGTTCCCTTTTCACCGCATCCACATCAACATCTATTATTTTTTGATGTTTTGATTATGGCCATTCTTGCAGGAAGTAAGGTGGTACCGCATTGTGGTGTTGACTTCCATTTCCGTGATCATTGGTGATGTTGAGCATTTTTTCATATGTTCATTGGCCATTTGTATATCTTCTTTTGAGAATTGTCTGTTCATATCCTTAACCCCCTTTTTGTTTGGATTGTTGCTAATTTGTTTGAGTTCCTTGTAGATTCTGGATATTAGTACTTTGTCAGATATATAGATTGTGAAGATTTTCTCCCGCTCTGTGAGTTGTCTGTTACTTTGCTGACTGTTGCTTTTGCCATGCAAAAGCTCTTTAGTTTAATTAAGTTCCACCTCTTTGTTTTTGTTGCATTTGCTTTTGGGTTCTTGGTCATGAAAACTTTGTCTAAGCCCATGTCTACTAGGGTTTTTCCGATGTTATCTTCTGGAAATTTTACAGTTTCAGGTCTTAGATTGAAGTCCTTGATCCATCTTGAGTTGATTTTTGTATAAGGTGACAGCTGAGGATCCAGTTTCTCATTGTCTTACATTTGGCTTGCCAGTTTCCCCAGCACCATTTGTGCTGAATAGGGTGTCCTTTCCCCACTTTATGTTTTTGTTTACTTTGTCAAAGATCAGTGGCTGTAAGTATTTGGGTTTATTTCTGGGTTCTCTATTCTGTTCCAGTGTTCTCTGTGCCTATTTTTATACCAGCACCATGCTGTTTTGGTGGCTATGGCCTTATAGTCTAGTTTGAAATCAGGTAATGTCATGCCTCCAGATTTATTCTTTTGGCTTAGTCTTGCTTTGGCTATGTGGGCTCTTTGGTAAATTTTAGGATTGTGTTTTCTAGTTCTGTGAAGAATGATGGTGGTATTTTGATGGGAATTGCATTGCATTTGTAGATTGCTTTTGGCAGTATGGTCATTTTCACAATATTGATTCTACCCATCCATGAGCATGGGATGTGTTTACATTTGTTTGTGTCATCTCTGACTTCTTTCAGCAGTGTTTTTTAGTTTTCCTTGCAGAGGCCTTTTACCTCTTTGGTTAAGCATATTCCTAAGTATTTTATTTTATTTTATTTTATTTTATTTTATTTTATTTTATTTTATTTTATTTTATTTTATTTTATTGCAGCTATTATAAAAGGGGTTGAGTTTTTTATTTGATTCTCAGCTTGGTCATTGATGCTGTGTAGCAGAGCTCCTGATTTGTGTACATTAATTTTGTATCCTAAAACTTTGCTGAATTCGTTTATCCATTCTAGGAGCTTTTCGGAGGAGTCTTTAGGGTTTTCTAGGTATGCAATCATATCATCAGCAAACAGTGACAGTCTGACTTCCTCTTTACTGATCTAGATGCCTTTTACTTCTTTCTCTTGTCTGATGGCTCTGGCTAGGACTTCTAGTACTATGTTGAATAGAAATGGTGAAAGTGGACATCCTTGTCGTATTCCAGTTCTCTGAGGGAATGCTTTCAACTTTTCCCCATTCAGTATTATGTTGGCTGTGGGTTTATTACATTGAGGTACATCCTTGTATGCTGATTTTGCTGAGGATTTTAATCAAAAAGGGATGCCAGATTTTGAGGGATGCCAGCTTTTGTGAAATGCTTTATTTAAACTGTGTCTGTTGAGGTGGTCATGTGATTTTTGTTTTTAATTCTTTTTATGTGGTGTATCACATTTATTGATTTGCATATGTTAAATTGTCCCTGCATCCCTGGTATGAAACACACTTGATCATGGTGGATTGTCTTTTTGATAGTTGGATGCGGTTAGCTAGTATTTTGTTAAGGGTTTTTGCTTCTGTTTTCATCAGGGTTATTGGTCTGTAGTTTTTTTGCATGTCTTATGTGCTTTCCTGGTTTTGTTATTAGGGTGATCCTGGCTTCATAGAATGATTTAGGGAGGATTGCCTCTTTCTCTATCTTGTGTAATAGTGTCAATAGGATTGGTACCAGTTCTTTGAATGTCTGGTAGAATTCAGCTGTGAATCTGTCTGGTCCTGGAAGTTTTTTTTCTTGGTAATTCTTTTATTACCGTTTCAACCTCGCTGCTTTTTATTGGTCTGTTCAGGGTTTCTAATTCTTCCTGATTTAAGCTTCCTGTATCTTTCCAGGAATTTATTCAGCATCCTCTAGGTTTTCTAGTTGATGTGCATAAAGGTGTTTATAGTAGCCTTAGATAATCTTTTGTATTTCTGTGGTGTCAGTCTTGATATCTCCCATTTCTTTTCTAATTGAGCTTATTTGGATCTTCTCTCTCCTTTTCTTGGTTAATCTTGCTAATGATCTGTCAGTTTATCTTTTCAAAGAACCAGCTTTTTGTTTCATTTATCGTTTGTATTTTTTTTGTTTCAATTTCATTTAGTTCTGTTTTGATCTTGGTTATTTCCTTTCTTCTGCTGGTTTGGGTTTGGTTTGTTGTTGTTTCTCTAGTTCCTTGAGGTGTTTCTCTAGTTCCTTAGATTGTCTGTTTGTACTGTTTCAGACTTTTTGTTGTGGGCATTTAAGGCTATGAAGTTTCCTCTTACCACCACCTTTGCCGTCTCCCAGGGCTTTTGATAGGTTGTGTCACTATTATCTTTCAGTTTGAATAATTTTTTAATTTCCATCTTGATTTCACTGTTGACCCAGTAATCATTCAGGAGCAGGTTATTTAATTTCCATGTATTTGCATGGTTTTGAAGGTTCCTTTTGGAGTTGATTTCCATTTTTATTCCACTGTGGTCTGAAAGAGTACTTGATATAATTTCAGTTTTCTTAAATTGATTGTGACTTGTTTTGTGGCCTATCATATGGTCTATCTTGGAGAAAGTTCCATACACTGATGAATAGAATGTATATTCTGTGTTTGTTGGGTAGAATATTTTGTAAATATGTTAAGTCCATTTGTTCCAGGGCATAGTTTAAATCCATTGTTTGTTTGTTGACTTTCTGTCTTGATGACCTGTCTAGTCCTATCAGTGGAGTGTTGAAGTCCTCCACTATTATTTTTGTTGCTGTCTATCTCGTTACTTATGTCTAGTAGTAATTGTTTTATAAATTTAGGAGCTCCAGTGTTAGGTGCATAGAATATTTAGGATTGTGATATTTTCGTTTTGGACAAGGCCTTTTATATTAGGTTGGTGCAAAAGTAATTGTGGTTTTTGCTATTTTTTTCTGTCCTTTTTAACTGCTGTTGCTTTAAAGTTTGTTTTGTCTGTTATAAAAATAGCTACTCCTGCTCAGTTTTGGTGTTCATTTGCGTGGGCTGTCTTTTTACACCCCTTTACCTTAAGTTTATCTGAGTCCTTATGTGTTAGGTAAGTCTCTTGAAAGCAGCAGATACTTCTTATCCATTCTGCTATTCTGTTTCTTTTAAGTGGAGCATTTAAGCCATTTACACTCAACATTAGTATTGAGATGTGAGGTACTGTTTCATTCATCATGCTATTTGTTGGCTGTATACCTTGGTGGCTTTTTTAATTATTATATTTTTGTTTTATAGGTCCTGTGAGACTTATGCTTTAAAGAGGTTCTGCTTTCATGTGTTTCCAGGATTTGTTTCAAGATTTAGACCTCCATTTAGCAGTTCTCATAGTGCTGGCTTGGTAGTGGCGAATTCTCTCAGCATTTGTTTTTCTGATAAAGACTGTATCTTTCCTTCATTTATGAAGCTTAGTTTCACTTGATACAAAGTTCTTGGCTGATAATTGTTTTGTTTAAGGAGGCTGAAGATAGGGCCCCAATCCCTTCTAACTTGTAGGGTGTCTGCTGAGAAATCTGCTGTTAATCTGATCAGTTTTTCTTTTTAGGTTACCTGGTGCTTTTGCCTCACAGCTCTTAAGATTCTTCATTTTGACTTAGATAACCTGATGACAGTATGCCTAGGCAATGATCTTTTGTGATGAATTTCCCAGATGTTCGTTCTTGTATTTGGATGTCTAGATCTCTAGCAAGGCCAGGGAAGTTTTTCTCAATTATTTCCCCAAATATGTTTTACAAATGTTTAGATTTTTCTTCTTCCTCAGGAACACCAGTTATTCTTAGGTTTGGTCATTTAACAGAATCCCAAACTTCTTGGAGGCTTTGTTCTTTGTTTTAGATGGAGTCTCGCTCTGTCACCAGGCTGGAGTGCAGTGGCACAATCTCGGCTCACTCCCGGATTCAAGCGATTCTCCTGCCTCAGCCTCCCAGGTATCTGGGACTACAGGCACCTGCCACCAGGTCCAGCTAATTTTTGTATTTCTAGTAGAGATGGGTTTTCACCATGTTGACCAAGATGGTCTCGATCTCTTGACCTCGTGATCTGCCCACCTTCACCTCCCAAAGTGCTGGGATTATAGGTGTGAGCCACTGCGCCCAGCCTGTTTGTTTTTTAATTATTTTTTCTTTCTCTTTGATGGATTGAGTTAATTCAAAAACCTTGTCTTTGAGCTCTGAGGTTGTTTCTTCTGCTTGTTCAGTTTTATTGCTGAGACTTCCCAGAACATTTTGCATTTCACTGTTTTATTTCCTGAAGTTGTGATTTTTTTTTAATTTATGCTATTTCACTGAAGATTTCTCCCCTCATTTCTTGTATCTTTTTTTTTATTTCCTTAAATTGGACTTTATCTTTCTCTGATGCCTCCTTGATTCGCATAATAATTGGTATTATGAATTCTTTTTTAGGTAAATCAGAGATTTCTTCTTGGTTTGGATCCCTTCCTGGTGAGCTGGTGTGATTTTTGGGGGGTGTTAAAGCACCTTGTTTTGTCATATTACCGGAATTGTTTTTCTGGTTTCTTCTTCTTTGCGTAGGCTATGTCAGAGGGAAGATCTGGCACTCAGGGCTAGTGTTCAGATTCTTTTGTCCCACAGGATGTTCCCTTGATGTAGTACTCTCTGCCTTTTCCTAGGGATGTGGCTTCCTGAGAGCCAAGCTGTAGTGATTATTATTTCTCTTCTGGATCTAGCCATTCAGCAGGGCTGCCAAGCCCTCGACTAGTACCGAGGGTTGTCTGCACAGAGTCCTGTAATGTGAACCGTCTTGAGGTTTCTCTGCCAACGATACCAACACAGTATTTAGGGTGTCTCTTGGGTCCTGAAGGAGCAATCTGCTTCCTTCAGAGGGTCTGTGGATTCTCTTGGCTTTCCTGGTATATTCCTGCAGTAGTTCTGGAGCCAAAGTTCATGATGCGAGTCTCTGTGAGCTGCTGTCTGTCCGGGTGAGGGCTGCAATCTAGTCCTGCCTCCTGTCTATCATTTTCCCCCCAAATCTCCAAGAAGAAACTATTGAGATGAATGAAAACGAAAACATAATGTACTAAAACTTACGGGATGACATGAAAGCATTATGAAGTTGGAAATTTATGGATGTAAGTACATATATTGAAGAAGAGAAAGATATTAAATCAATAACCTATCTGTACATGTTAAGGTACTAGAAAAAAAGAAGAGCAAACTAAATGCAATGCTAGCAGAAGGATGGAAAAAATAAAGATTAGAGTGGAGATGAAAGAGTACAAACATTAGAGAAAATCAGAGAGCATTTCTAAAGACATCACATCTTTGCAGAAGTCAGCAAAATAGACCAAACTTTAGCTAGATTGACCACGAAAAAACTGGTCAAATTACTAGAATCAAAACTGAAGAGACTATTACTGATTTTACAGAAATGAAAAGGATTATATGAGAATCCTATGAACAACTGAACACCAACAAATTGGGTAACCTAGATGAAATGTACAATTTTCTACAAAAACAGTGTGCAAGAACTGACTCATGAAGAAATAAAAAATCTGAATAGACCTATAACTGGTAAGGATATTAAATCGGTAATAAAAACCTTCCAATGGCCGGGCGCGGTGACTCACGCCTGTAATCCCAGCACTTTGGGAGGCTGAGGCAAGCGGATCATGAGGTCAGGAGATCAAGACCATCCTGGCTAACATGGTGAAACCCCATCTCTACTAAAAAATACAAAAAAAATTAGCTGGGCATGGTGGTGGGCGCCCGTAGTTTCAGCTACTCGGGAGGCTGAGGCAGGAGAATGCCATGAACCTGGGAGGTGGAGCTTGCAGTGAGCCGAGATCACACCACTACACTCCAGCCTGGGTGACAGAGCAAGACTCCGTCTCAAAAAAAAAAAAGGAAAAGAAAAAACCTTCCAATGAAGAAAGACTCGCTATCAGATGGATTCATGAGTAAATTCTACCAAACATTTAAAGAAGAATTAACACCAGTTGTTCTCAAATTCCTCCCAAAAATTGAAGGGAAAGGACCACTTCCTAACTCATTCCCTGAGGCTAGCATTACCCTGTTAAAAAAAAAATAGACAAAGATTTTACAAGAAAACTGGAGACCAGTATCCCTGATGAATATTGATGAAAAAATCCTCAACAACATTCTAGCAAATTGTATTGAGCAGCAGATTAAAAGAGTTATACCCCATTTCCAAAAGGGATTTCCCAGAATACAAGAATAGTTCACAAAAACCAATTCATGTAATATACCACATTAATGGAGTGAAGGAGAAAAACCATACAATTGTTTTAATTGATGCAGGAAAAGCATTTGACAGAATCCAGCACTTTGTGATAAAAACACTCAACAAACTGGGAACATAAGATTACTTCCTCAGCCTAACATACAGCAGTTATGAAAAACCCATAGCTAACATACCAAATGATGACAACTTAGAAGCTTTCCCTCTAAAATCAGAAACAAGGCAAAGATGGTTGCTTTCACCCTTCCATTTAAGATAGTATTAGAAGTTCTGACCAAAGCACTTAGGCAAGAAAAAGAAAAGAATCTAGATTGGAAAGAAAGAAAGAAAATTATCTCTATTCAGAGATGGCATGACCTTATATGTAGAAAACCCTAAAGATTATACACACACACACACACACACACACACACACACACACACACACAGAGCACGTTAGTAAATTGAGGAAAGTTGCACAATGCAGATTAATATACAAAAATTAGTTGGATTTTTATCAATAGCAGTGCATAATCTAAAAAATGAATTTAAGTAAACAGTATCGACTACAATAGTATTTTTTAAAAACCACTTAGGAAAATAAGTAGATGCCAGACTCTTACAATAAAAACTACAAAACAAATTTGGGCAAGATGGCCAGCTAGATGCAGTTAAGGTGGAACAGCTGTCACCAAGGAACCGGGAAGACCTGGTGCATTCCTAACAGATCTTCAGAGGGAAGGTACTGACAGTGGATGGAAGGAATAAACAGAAGCTGGGCTGAAGGGATAGGAAGCTGGGAACCCGACACAGGGCTACTGCATACTGGGACTCCTTCCTAGCCCCTGGTGACTCTGGGGGAATGGCTGAGTTGAACTGACAAGCAGCAACCTGCTCTCACCACAAGCCTCTGGAATCCCAGGAGGCAAAGAACCCTTTTGTCTTGTCTAGTCCTGTCCTGTCCTGTCCTGTCCTGTCCTCTCCCCTCCCCTCCCCTCCTGTCCCATCCCATCCCGTCCTTGCCTCGCCTCACCTTGCCTCATTTTTCTTTTGTTTTTTTCTATTTTGAGGAGGAATCTTGCTCTGTTGCTCTCTCTGTCACCCAGGCAGGAGTGTCTTGGCAAAGTTTTGCCTCACTGCAACCTCAGCCTCCCGGGTTCAAGTGATTCTCCTGCCTCAGCCTCCCAAGTAGCTGGGACTAGAGGCATGCACCACCACACCTGGCTAATTTTTGTATTTTTAGATGACGTTTCACCATGTTGGCCAGGCTGGTCTTGAACTCCTGACCTCAGGTGATCCACCTGCCTCGGCCTCCCAAAGTGCTAGGATTATGGGCATGAGCCACCGGGCCTGACCACTCAACATTCTTAAAGAAAGAAATTCCAACCAAGAATGTCATATCCAGCCAAACTAAGCCTCATAAGTGAAGGCAAATAGGATCCTTTTCAGACAAGCAAATGCTGAGGGAATTTGTTACTACCTGACCTGACTTACGCAAGCTTCTGAGGCAAGCACTAAGTATCTAAAGGAAAGACCATTATCAGCCACTACCATAAGTTACTTAAGTACACAGAGCAGTGACACTATAAAGCAACCAGACAAGTCTACATAATAACCAACTACCATCATGATGACAGGATCAGATCCACACATATCAATACGAACCTTGAATGGAAATAGGCTAAGTGCCCAAATTAAAAGGCACAGCGTGGCAAGCTGGATAAAGATTCAAGGCCCAATAGACGGCTGGGCACGTGGCTCAAGCCTGTAATCCCAGCACTTTGGGAGGTCAAGGCGGGCAGATCATTTGAGATCAGGAGTTTGAGACCAGCCTGGCCAACATGGTGAAACCCCATCTCTACTAAAAATACAAAAAAATTAGCTGGGCGTGGTGACATATGTCTGTAATCCCAGCTACTGAGGGAGGCTGAGGCAGGAGAATCACTTGAACCTGGGAGATGGAGGTTGCGCTGAGCCAGGATCACACCACTGCACTCCTGCCTGGGCAACAGAGCAAGACTCCATCAAAAAAAATACATAACAGACCCAGTAGTATGTTGTCTTCAAGAGACCCATCTCACATGCAGTGACACCCATAGGCTCAAAATAAAGGGATGAAAAGAAAAATCTACCAAGCAAATGGAAAACAAAAAGGCAGGGGTTGCAGTCCTCATTTCAGACAAAATGACTAAACCGACGAAGATCAAAAAAGACAAAGAATCACATTACATAATGGTAAAGGGTTCAATTCAACAAGAAGACATAACTCCCCTAAATATATATACACCCAACACAGGAGCACCTAGATCCGTAAAGCAAGTTCTTGGAAACCTTCAAAGAGACTTAAACTCCCACACAATAGTAGTGGGAGATTTCAACACCCCACTGACAATATTAAACAGATCATCAAGGCAGAAAATTAACAAAGATGTTCAGGACCTAAACTCAGCACTGGGTCAGATGGACCTGATAAACATATACAGAACTCTACCCAAAAGCTACAGAATATACATTCTTCTCATTATTACATAGCACATACTCTAAGATTGACCACATAATTGGACATAAAACACTCTTCTGCAAATGCAAAAGAAGTGAAATCATAACAGCCATTCTGTCAGACCACGGCACAATCAAATTAGAAATCAGGGCTAAGAAATTTGATCAAAACCGTACAATTACATGGAAATTGAGTAATCTGCTCCTGAATGATTTCTGGGTAAATAATAAAATTAGAGCTGAAATCAAGAAGTTCTTTGAAACTAGTGAGAACTAAGATACAGCATACCAGAATCTCTGGAACATAGCTAAGGCAGTGTTAAGACGGAAATTTGTGGCACTAAACACTCACATCAAAAAGTTAGAAAGATTGGCTAGGTGCAGTGGCTCACGCCTGTAATCCCAGCACTTTGGGAGGCCAAGGCAGGCGGATCACTTGAGGTCAGGAGTTCAAGACCAGCCTGGTCAACATGGTGAAACCCCGTCTCTACGAAAAATACAAAAAAAAAAAAGTTAGATTCCAATTTAACAACCTGGCATCACAACTAAAAGAACTAGAAAACCAAAAGCAAACCAACTCAGAAGCTAGCAGAACATAAGAAATAACCAAAGTCAGAGCTGGACTGAAGGTAATCAAGACATGAAAAACCTTTCAAAAGATCTAGGAGTTAGTTTTTTTTGAAAAAAAAAAAAAATATATATATATATAGATAGATAGATAGATAGATAGATAGATAGATAGATATAAAAAATAGACTGCTAGCTAGACTAAACAGAAGAAAAGAGAAGATCCAAATAAACACAATTAGAAATCACAAAGGTGATATCACCACTGACCCCACAGAAATACAAATAACCATCAGAGAATATTATGAACATCTCTATGCAAACAAACTAGAAAATGTAGAGGGAATGGATAAATTCCTGGATGCATGCACCCTCCCAGGATTGAACTAGGAAGAAATTGAATTTTTGAACAGACCAGTAATGAGCTCCAAAATCGAGTCAGTAATAAATACCCTGCCAACCAAAAAAAGCCCAGGACCAGACAGATTCACAGCTGAATTCTACCAGATGTACAAAGAAGAGCTGGTATCATTCCTACTGAAACTATTCCGAAAAATTGAGGAGGAGGGATTCACCCCATCTCATTCTATGAGGCCAGCATCATGCTAATATCAAAACCTGGCACAGACACAACAAAAAAGAAAACTTTAGGCCAATATTTTTGATAAACATCAATGCAAAAATCCTAAACAAAATACTGACAAACTGAGTCCGCAACACATCAAAAAGCTTATCCACCACGATCAAGTTGGCTTTATCCCTGGGATGCAAGATTGGTTCAACATATGCAAATCAATAAATGTGATCCATTACATAAACAGAACTAAAGACAAAAACCACATGATTATCTCAATAGATGCAGAAAACGCTCTTGATAAAATTCAAAACCCTTTCATGTTAAAACTCTGAATTACATATTGAAGGAACATACCTCAAAATAAGAAGAGCCATGTATAAAAAACCCACAGCCAACATCATACTGAATGGACAAAAATGGGAAGCATTCCCCTTGAAAACCAGCCCAAGACAAGGATGCCCTCTCTCACCACTCCTATTCAACATTGTATTGGAAGCCCTGGCCAGGACAGTCAGGCAATAGAAATAAATAAAAGGCATCTAAATAGGAATAGAGGAAATCAAATTATTCCTGTTTGCAGAAGACATGATCCTCTATCTAGAAAACCCCATAGTCTTGGGCCCAAAAGCTCCTTAAGCTGATAAACAGCTTCAACAAAGTCTCAGGATGCAAAATCAGTGCGCAAAATTCACTAGCATTTCTATACACCAGCCATCAAGCTGAGAGCCAAATCAGGAATGCAATCCCAATCACACTTGCCACAAAAAGAATAAAATACCTAGTAATAGAACTGACCAAGGAGGTGAAAGATCTCTACGAGTACTACAAAACACTGCTTAAAGAAATCGGAGATGACACAAATAAATGGAAAAATATTCCATGCTCATTAATAGGAAGAATCAATAGCATTAACATGACCATACTGCCAAAAGTAATTTACAGATTTCAATACTATTCCTATCAAACTACCAATGACATTTTTCACTTAACTAATAAAAACTATTTTCAAATTCACATGTATCCAAAAATGAGCCCAAATAGCCAAGGCAGTCCTGAGCAAAAAGAACAAAGCTGGAGGTGTTATGCTACCTGACTTCAATCTATACAACAGGGCTGCAGTAACAAAGACAGTATAGTACTGGTACAAAAACAGACACATAGACCAATGGAACAGAATAAACAACCCAAAAATAAGGCCGCACACCTACAGTCATCTGATCCTTGACAGTGCTGACAAAAACAAGCAATAGGAAAAGGACTCCATTCAATAAATGGTGTTGGGATAGCTGGCTAGCCACATGCAGAAGATTGAGCCTTGGACCCTTTGCTTATATAAAAATAACTCAAGATGGATCAAAAATGTAAAACTTAAAACTAAAAATGCTGCAAGACAACCCAGGCAGTACCGCTCTGGACATAAAATTTAGGCAAAGATTTCATTATGAAGACACCAGCAGCAATTGCAACAAAAGGAAAAATTGACATATGGGATCTAATTAAATCAAAGAGCCTCTGCACGGCAAAAGAAACTATCAACAGAGACAACTATCGACAGCCTACAGAAAGGGAGAAAAATTTTGCAGACTACACATCTGACAAAGGTCTAATATCCAGCATTTATAAGGAACTTAAACATATTTACAAGGAAAAAACAAAAAGCCTCTTTAAAAAGTAAGCAAATGACATGAACAGACACTTTTCAAAAGAAGACATTCATATGGCCAACAAGCACATGAAAAAAAGCTGAACATCACTTATCATTAGAGAAATGCAAATCAGAACCACAATGAGATACCATCTCACACCAATTAGAATGGCTATTATTAAAAAGTCAAAAAAATAACAGCTGCTGGCAAGGTTGTGGAGAAAAAGGAATGTTTGTACACTGTTGGTGGGAGTATAAATTCCTTCAACCATTGTGGAAAACAGTATTGCCATTCCTGTGGAAAACAGCATTGCCATTCCTCAAAGAGCTCAAATCAGAACTCTCATTTGACTCAGAAATCCCATTACTGGGTATATATACCCAAAGGAATATAAATCATTCTACCATAAAGACGCAGGCAAGCATATGTTTGTTGCAGCATTGTTGACAATAGCAAAAAAATGGAATCAACCTAAATGCCCATCAACGGTAGACTGAACAAAGAAAATGTGGTGTGTATATACTACAGAATACCATGCAGCCATAAAAAAAAAAATGAGGTCGTGATTTTACAGAAACATGAATGGAGCTAGAGACTATTATCCTAAACAAACTAATGTGTGAACAGGAAACCAAATACCACATGTTCTCACTTATAAGTGGGCACTAAATTATGAGAACACATTGACACACAGAGAGGAACAACAGACATGGGGGCCTACTGGAGGGTGGGCGGAAGGAGGGAGAGGATCAGGAAAAATAACTAATGAGTACTAGGCTTAATACCTGGGTGATGAAATAATCCGTACAACAAATTTCTATTATATGTTACCTATATAACAAACCTGTACATGTACCCCTGAACTTAAAAGGTAAAGAAGAAAACTACAAAACATTGCTGAAATAAATTAAGGAAGACATAAATAAATATAAGGACATCCCGTGTTCATGAATTTCAGGCTTTAATATTGTTAAGATGACAATATCCTACCAAGCAATCTACAGATTCAGTGCAATCCCTATCAAAATTCCAACAGCATTTTTGTAGAAAATCTATTCGAATATTCATATGGACTATCAGCAGACCTCAAGTAGCCAAAAAATTTTGAAAAGGAAGAGCAAATATGTAGGACTCACAATTCCTGATTTCAAATCTTAATATAAATCTACAGCAATTAAAACAGTAGGGTACTAGTATAAGGAGAGAGATAGAGATCAATGGCATAGAATAGAGGGCCCACAAATAAGAACTCTTACATATATGGTGAAGTGAGTTTTGTTTTTCGTTTTTGTTTTTGTTTTTTGTTTTTTGAGATGGAATCTTGCTCTGCCGTCCAGCCTGGAGTGCAGCGACACGATCTCGGCTCACCGCAACCTCCACCTCCCAGATTTAAGCAATTCTCCTACCTCAGCCTCCCAAGTAGCTGGAATTACAGGCGCCCACCACCACGCCCAGCTAATTTTTGTCTTTTTGGTAGAGACAGGGTTTCACCACGTTGCCCAGGCTCGAACTCCTAACCTCAGGTGATCTGCCCACCTCAGCCTCCCAAACTGCTGGTCAGTTACGAGCTACCACGCCTGACCATGAAGTGAGTTTTGACAAGGGCACTATGATCATTCAATATGAAGAACAGTCTTTTTCAACAAATGGGAAAATTGGAAATCCCTGTGCAAATTAATGACATTGAGCCCTTGTTTTACACCATATACAAAAATCAACTTAAAATACATTAAAAGACTAAAACTCTTTTTTTTTTGAGACGGAGTCTGGCTCTGTAGCCCAGGCTGGAGTGCAGTGGCGTGATCTCGGCTCACTGCAAGCTCTGCCTCCTGGGTTCCCGCCATTCTCCTGCCTCAGCCTCCCAAGCAGCTGGGACTACAGGTGCCCGCCACCACGCCCAGCTAATTTTTTGTATTTTTAGTAGAGACGGGGTTTCACCGTGTTAGCCAGGATGGTCTCGATCTCCTGACCTTGTGATCCGCCCGCCTTGGCCTCCCAAAGTGCTGGGATTACAGGCTTGAGCCACCATGCCCGGCCGACTGAAACTCTTAAGAGCCAAAACTATAAAACCATTAGATGAAAATATAGGGGAATGTCTTGATGACACTGCGTTTGGCAGTGATTTCTTGGATATGACACCAAAAGCACAGGCAACAAAGGAAAAAAATAGTTAAGTTGAACTCTATCAAAATTTGGAAGTTTCCTGCATCAAAGAACACTGTCAAAAGAGTGAAAAGTCAACCCATACAGTGTGAAAAGATTTTCAAATTGTATATCTGCTAATGGATTACTATCCAGAATATATAGGGAATTCCTATAATTCAATGTCAAAAAAAAAAAAAAAAACAGCCCAGTTCAAAAATGAGCAAAGGACTATAATGGACATTTATCCAAAAAAGATATACTAATTGCCAATAAACACATGAAAAACACTCCACATCATTAGTCTTTAGGGTAATGCAAATCAAAGCCGCAATGAAATACCACTTTTTGATCAAAGACCACTGAGAATAACAATTGTTGGCAAAGATGCAAAGAAATTGGAATGCTTTTGCACTTCTGCTGGAAATATAAGAAGGCACAATTACTAAGGAAAACAGTTCGGGAAATGAAAGTGTTCTGGAAGTAGATAATGTTGAAGGTTATATAACATCATGTATATACTTAATGCCTCAGAATAGTCCACTTAAAATGGTCAAAATGATAATATGTTTTATGACAATAAAAATGGATATAAAAAGAAGGGAGCAATTAAAAGTTATTATTGGCTACTTCTTCTCTGGTGTTTGTTTCAGTTCATAAATTAGTTTTCTAACCCAAATTCATACTTGTGTAGTAAATTTACAATTTATAATAAAATATTTAGTAAAACTTAGTTCTCATATTAGGAATGGGTATATTGAATTAAGGGCAATAATTCCTTTATTGTAATGTCTGTGAGCTCACAAGTTTCCAAAATTCCAGTTATGCCCCAACTGATTAATCATTAGACTTATAAATAGTATAAGAGTGGTGATTGCAGACTTTTACATTCATGTTCACTGTATGCCGGTACATTGCCCAATTCCTGAATCTCCTTTAACCTTGCAGTAACCCTCAGAGTTTTTCTGTATCTTCCCCATTTTCTATACAGTCTCCCTGAAAGTAGTAAATGCTGCACAGGAAGGCTGCAGTCAAGGCCTTGCTGTGTTGAACAAAGCTGTAGCTTGTTGCAGACGTCCCTGTGCTAGTCTGCTGCTCTGGGGCTAACCCCTCCTTCACATTGTCTCCTAGGAGAGATTGGGATGATGGCTGTCACCCTGCAAGGTCTGATCATGTAACTCAAGAAGTCTTGGTAGAGAGCTTGTGTCTGACTGACCTGAAGGGTGGACACTCTGTTGAGACCACTGATGAGGTGGCCACAGAGGGAGAAGTGATGACCAGCGTTCCAGGAGAGTGTTCTGGGTTAAGGGGCCAGTGGGTCACAGGAGAAATTCTTCAGAGAATTGTAACATAATATTTTGCAAAGTATTACAGGTGTTCAAGGGTCAAGTAAAACACTGCTGATATCACACATGTAGTGTAAACTAAGTGAAGTCATAGAGGTGAGATGTGCTATTTTGTTTCTGAAAGAATGTGAGTTATTGAGAGGATACTGTACTTTTTCTATCTAGAGCACAGTTTATTTACTTCAGAGAAGCTAGACATCACTGACCTCAAAATAAGTAATTTTCATGCAACAACCCAAGTAATTACCTGTCAGAGATATAAGATAGTTTTGATCTAGCTTTGAAGCCCTGGTTAAGGACTTTATAGTTAGAGCAATAAACTTATGGTTAAATATTAAACATTATTGAATGAATGGAATGCTTCATATCTAATGCAGCCTCTCAATGGGTCCATTTTTATTCTTTATCACAAAGGTAAAGACTGGAAAAGCAAACAATTTCACTGCTTAAGAAAATCTTTCCTTTCTGGCCGTGGTCTTCTGGGGGTCGGGTGTTAACCAGCACACCCATGAGTTTACTGGCCTCAGTACAACCTGCGATTGCCTGGATGGTCAGGCTGTGCCAGCCCCTGCACTCTCTCCAGGGCTGCCGCCTGGAAGAACACACCACTTAGCACACTCATGCTTTTGGACACATAACACACCCGTCAGGTTAATTATATACATGAACAAAATATTTTATAATTTAATACAGATTTATTCTAGCTTACAGGGTCTTGGAAGCAAGCATATTCTCTGTCTTCTGTGAGTTCACAGCTTAGAAGCATAACGTGTTATACCCACACATGTCCCAGCTAGAATGAAGAAGGTTTTCCTTACTTTTTCCAGCTTGTTTTCTTTTTTCAACATAATCTATAAGCTAAAGGCAAAGGATTAGGATAGAGATGGCCTTTGACTTGGCTTGTTCTCAAAATGATAGGGGCTTATTGTGATCACTGAGGGTTCCCATTGTGTCTCCCCGCTTTGTGGGCTCTGTGAATTCTTCCTGGAGTAACCTTTCCCACCCCTGGTCTGCCTGAAAAGCTCATAATTCTCCTGCTGCTTTCCTTTGTACCTTCACTGCCATCTTTTTCCCAACGCTGGACATACTTGGTCCCTCTATTGTGCATGACACCATGGTGCCTTCCACACGCGTCTATTTTAGCACATTCAATAGGATCTGTGGTTGTATTTCTGCCTTCTTTTCTACACTATGAGCTTCTGGAGTGCAGGCAAGTATGATTTGTGGCTTAAATGGAAATCTTGGCTTTGCAAGACCAGTGTAGCCATATAGTCTTCATGTTTTCTCACAGGATCTGGAAATTAGATCCCAACTGATTTGTGAGGAACCAGGAGGAGGATGGGAATTTGTATGCTAGTATTTGCAGCTATGAAAATACATGGTTCAGTGAATCATCCTACCCCAGCTAAGATACAAATGGTTGGAAAGTTTTTATTCTCATCCACACCTTATAGGCCAGAGGGCTTACAGTAGGAGAGGTAGGTGGTGTTCACCCAACAATAGTGCTTTCTTGCTAAATTGGTGCCAAGCAGACAAGGAGAACACGAGCAGGCATGATTGCTGGGCTTCCAGTTGTTCTCACGTAGGCGAGTTCTCTTTCCAACCTGTGTGATCATGCTATCTAGAATCCCTTCAGCATTCCTTATTGAGTGAAAAAAACTGACCAAAAGGAAAAATATCAAACCTGTCTGATGAATGATTGCTAAGTGGAGGTCCTGTCTTTCTATATATTTGACCGTGAATCCTCAGCATATTGTGGAGTATAGTTCTCATAAAATAGGTCTTTTAATTCTGTGTCGAATACCCATGTGTATTCTGAAAATTCAGAAGTAGTATTTTGAAAATGTCTTATTTATTGTAGGCTTAATAATTTTTCTCAATAAATATGCTGTCTTTAGCTGTTTGAGAGATACAATCTTGTGGGAATAATGCAAAGGGTATAAATGTGGGAATGCCAGTGCCTATTATTCTAGCCCCAGTCACAACATCTCACTCCCAGGAGTAATTCTGAGTGTTGGTTCTCTTTCTGGTGGGAGTGACGGGCAGCTCTTTGCCTTTAGGAGATCTGTGAACTGGTCAGGCTGCCGTCTGGCATATTTTCTCCTTCAGACAAATCAGTAATGTGAAAATGGAGTTCTCAATCTCTTCCCTTTTCAAAGTTGGCTTCAGATATTTTTCTGTGTCAACAAAAAAGATAAAACACCTGTTTGATTTATTCTGACATCTAGAATCCTAAGGGTTTTTTAAAGAATTGATTTAAGAAATGAGAATTCAGTCCAACACAGAGTTAATTTATTACCTGTTCTCTTTTGTAGAATGTCAGTAGAATTTGTTATTTTCATGTTGCAGAGAAGAGTACAGTTTTTAACTGTAATTGATTTGCTGAAAGCAGTTACATCTGTGGCTAAGCCATAAGTAACATTTAATTCTTTGGCTTTTAGGTCAGCTTGGATTTTATCTATTGTCATTTTTCCCAGTAGTTTCAAAAACACAAAGTTATGGAAAGCCAATTCTGTTATGTTGCTTTAAGCTCCTTTAGACCTCTGGTGAAGCAGCTTGATGTTCCTGGAAGTGTTTCATAGATTTTCTTCAACTACTAACATGACAGTGGACAAATAAGAGAGTGTGTTGGGAAAGGAAGCTTTTTATTTGTACCACTTGAAACAGCAATATTGTCCTCACATGCAGCTCAGAAGATGAATGTAGCTGAGTTCGTATACCTGCTGGTCCCTTCTCTCCTGGGTTAGCCGATCTGCTAGGAAGACAGGCTGTTAGCACACCCTGCCCTCAATTCACATTTCTCCCAGGGCATGCCCTGCCGGGCCCAGAGCATGCTCGGATTGGAGTGCAGTCATGAAAGATAGCAAAGATGTCTGGTCTGTTGTCTCATACTTACTTTATTTTTAACTTCTTTCCTACCTGTCATGTAAAGAAACAGATACTGAGGAATAGTTGTGTGTCAGACCATTATTTTGTAATTAAAATAATCCGAAGATCATGCAGTGATCTTTAAAGCCATGCACTAACTTAAAGAGTAATTTCTATTACAATAAAATTGCAAGTAAAATATCACTTTGATAATCTTTAGGTAATGGGTAGCCTTGTATGTACCTAAGCATTTGAATGTAACTCTTTTCTGTGAAAGAAAAATTATAATAAAAGGCTACATGTTTCTTGCCTTTTATGTCACTTGGAGAATGCAGTGCTGAGGAGAGGAAATAATAAGTGTATTGGTACTAGAGCCAAGAAGACACATATAAAATGATCCAAAAAGATAAGAAGTAAATGGTTAAGGTTTCTTTATCTAAACCAATACAGTATCCGCCCCCCGCACCCCTTTTTGTAAAGCCAGTCAAATTTAGCAGTGGAAGAGTTGTGGGAGGTTTGATACAATATTATAACTGGAAAAAGAAAAGTCTATTTTTTTGGTTATTGGTTTCTTTTTAATAAAAGACATAGCATTTAAGAAATGTTTATAGATCATTTAAGAGGAAATACAGTTGTTAGATTTACCTCTTTGAGGTTTTTCTTACAGAAATTGTTTCTAGCCTTCTGTGATGTGTGAATATCAGGCAGGACCAATTTAAGGGTAGCCATTGTAACACAAAAGTTAAAGCTTTTGTGTATTCATTAAGTTGGGTAGCCATTGTGTTACAGTGTCGAAGTGTGACAGTGTTCTTGGAGCTGTGAGTTTAGGCATTGCTTGACGGATGGTCTGTTGTGTCTACGCTCCAGGGGACTGCCATGAAATAACAGGGTTCAGCTACTGGAGGGCAGAGTTATAAGAGCACTGGCATTGGAGTGATGGCTCTTGAGTTTGTGATCGAGATTGGACAGGCTCCTTGATTGCCACGAATTCCCTTTTCCACAGCTGTGACACAGCATTTACAGCTACTTCATTAGGGTGATGAGGAGATATGAAAATACCATGTGAAAGCACCCAGCATGCGGCCAATAAGCAGCAGCAGTTCAATAAATGATAGTCCAGTTTGATTGCAGTTAAGTTGCAAGACACAGTCGTGCCATTGTGAGTCACACAGTTCCCCGCAGGTGGCCTTCTGTTCCTCCTGAGACACACCTTGCCCCTTTCTCACCTCACCACCTCCGAGACTCCCTTCACCCCTGCCTGGACCACCCCAACCCAGTCCTTCTGATTCTTCACCGAACTAAGGGTGTGTCTAAGTCACCAGTTCTCATTTATTTGCTTGTTTATTTTTCATCCTATCTTGTTTAAAAATTGATTTTAATTGGCTTAGAAAAATACCAGGATTCACAGAATGCACAAATCTGTATGCAAGAGAAGCAGCAGGCTGCGTTAAAGTAGGAGACTCGGTCAACACCAAGGCTCAGGGCTCTGCCCAAAAACAGATCTGTTAACAAGAAAAACAGCAATATCTGGTAGTGACACCTTAGAAAAATTTCCTTATGAGGAGGAAGCTATAATACAGAAATAAAATAATACAGGAGAACAAATATAACCTGTTTAAATGAGAACAATTTCTGTTAATATCTGTTAGTACAAGCTGCCAGAGTAACAGCTCAGTGAAATTGTATATTCTGTAGTATTTATTGGCCCTCTTATCATGGGAAAGTTTTAAGCATCTCTGAGCATAGTTTCCTAATGAGTAAAATGGAGATTAAAAACACTTCAGGGCCTATGAAACACTTAATGAAACGTGGAGTCTGGTACCAGAGTCTGTATATAGAAGATGCGCAATATATTTTTTTTTTTTGAGACAGAGTCTCGCTCTGTTGCCCAGGTTGGAGTGCAGTGGTGCTATCTCAGCTCACTGCAACCTCTGCCTCCAGGGTCCAAGCAGTTCTTCCTCAGCCCCCTGAGTAACTGGGATTACAGGCGCTTGGCGACCACGCCCAGCTAATTTTTGTATTTTGTAGAGACAGAGTTTTGCCATGTTGCCCAGGCTGGTCTTGAACTCCTGGCCTCAAGTGATCTGCCTGCCTTGGCCTCCCAAAGTGCTGAGATTACAGGCGTGAGCCACTGTACCTGGCCAATGCTCAATTAATTTTAACTATTTTATCATTCATAGTAATTTGTAATATTTCATATAGTAGAGGTAATTTTAGAAATCTAGTCCTGGAATATTCCTTAAGCTATCTAGAGGAGAGAGTAAAAGAGCCAAACTTTTAAGCTACTGCTCAATAAATGATGGCTTCTTGCAGATTGTCCCTCAATAAGTATTAAAGTGGCAGTGAGTTTAAAGTTATACTGCTGGCATACTTTCATCCTTTGTTTCATTCAGTGAATATCTTTAGTGTGGAGTGCTGAGGATGCAGCCATTTCAGGGTCTTGGTAGAAATGACCATCCTGTAAGTAGACAGTTGCCACACAGGGTGCAGGGGGAGCCTGCCAGGGCTCAGAGGGGAGCATGGGGAGGCAGAGCCCTAGGGGAGGCACCCCCAGGAAAGACAGCTGCGCTTAGCTGGGAAGGAGGAATTGGAGGGGCTGGCTGCAGGATTAGGGGCAGC
The DNA here is from genome assembly GCF_000001405.40 of Homo sapiens. Taxonomy (NCBI): domain Eukaryota; kingdom Metazoa; phylum Chordata; class Mammalia; order Primates; family Hominidae; genus Homo; species Homo sapiens. The sequence goes on from NC_000008.11 coordinate 47,477,972, forward strand.
AAGGGGCAGGGTAACTTGCCCAAGTGGAACATGTGAAGGGGAAGTGGTATGGTTGAAGCTAGAGTTGAAGGTTGAAGCTAGAGTGCTAGCAGCACCCAGGGCGTGAAGGGCTGACACTTCGTGTGAGGAAAAGATGCAGTATGGAAGGCACAAGGAGTACCAGAGGACACGCATCAGGTCTGTGTTTTAGAAAACCCGACAGAAATAATGTGAAGAATGAATTGAGGGTGGGCTGGGCATCCAGCCTGACGACAAACACACCTCTGAGGAAGCAAAAAGCAGTGAGAGGAGGAGCAACCAGCGGGGTGGTGACAGCGTGGTGGGGAGGATTAACCAGCAGCAAGAAGGGACAGACTTCTGAGAGTGCCAAGGATGAGGATTGGGGTTGTGCGTGACAGTTTCATCTTGGAAGTTTTAGGCTGCCATGACTGGGAGATGGTGGCACCTTCACAGAGACAGAAGAAGCAGGAAGGACAGACCTCGGTTATGTTTCATTTCTTGGTTGAGTGCAGATGAACTAACTGCTTTAAAAGTCAGCTGAGGTTGCAGAAAGTGAGGAGCCTAAGATCAGCATGTGCCGGAACACAGCACTGGGGAGCCCCTGCTGCAGAGCCACATTCATCCTAGCAAGGACAGTTTGGGTTCATATGAACACACAGTCACTGTGGTTTAAGTCTTCAAGATTCTTCTCCAAAAAGTGGCAGCATTTCTCAGTGTTCACAGATACTCATCTCTCCATCAAAAAGGAGATCCCAGTAAAATGCTCATAAAGTGTAATTGCTGTGAGACATCAGGTGGACCTTCCTAAATTGGCTATGAAGTGTGTAACTGAATGCTTTACCTACAATTATAGCTCTAAACCTGTTGAATGTAGGGAAATATTCACCACAGAAGATAACTTTGATTTCTGAGGAATTAATTGGAAGCCGTGTTTAATTAGCAGAGGCACTTACTCATCCAAGCCGTTCTTAGCTTGTTGTAATAATACATGATTTGCTTTTGAGTTGTTTTTTTCCATTTGTTCTTTGTTTTGGTTAGGAAGGTATTCATCTCATCCAAAAGTGATATAAAATCAGTGAAAAAAAAAATTTAAAGAAAGGGATGTGGGGCGGGGTGCAGTGGCTCACGCCTGTAATTCCAACACTGAGAGACTGAGGCAGGCAGATCACTTGAGGCCAGGAGTTCGAGATCAGCCTGGCCAACATGGTAAAACCCTGTCTCTACTAAAAATACAGAAAATTAGCTGGAGTGGTGGTGGGCGCCTGTAATCCCAGCTACTCAGGAGGCTGAAGCAGGAGAATTGCTTGAACCTGGGAGGCGGAGGCTGCAGTGAGCCGAGATTGCACCAGTGCACTCCAGCCTGGGCAACAGAGTGAGACTCTCTCAAAAAAAAAAAAAAAGAAAGAAAGGAAAGAAAAGAAAGACATGTGGAGCACAATTCTGTCTTACTTTGCTGGAAAGTATCTTATAAGAGAAGGTTTCCCCTGCTCTGACTCCCATAGCAGGTACAACTTCTGTCTCAAGGTCATAAACAGGCTCCTGTGGTGAGCTTAGCAGCACAGCCCACAGCGGAATTCCACTCCCCAAGTAAAGTGGGGCAGTAGGGGGGAATGCAGGGAGAGCTGCACCTGATCCTGTGGCTGAGGTTCTCCTTCAGGTGGTAAAGCAGCCATGAGCAGGGGCTGGGGAGTGGCCTGAAGCCAGCCTGCTCTTTTCAGACCAGGAAGGGAGGGGCTCAGGGCAACTTGTCAGAAAGGAATTTGCTACACATTCTAGTGGAAAGTTCTTGTAGACTAATAGAACTGTAAGTTTGGGGAAGTAAGGCTTATCAGTTTTAGAAAGCAGAATAGCTTGTGCCCAAGAACTGAACAGCAGCTAGGAACACTAACAGTTCAAGTCCATAGTGCTGTGAGAACTACAATAGCTTCTTCAGTGTTTAGCATCCAGTTTCTCTTAGTTTGTGCCTCATGATGTTTTGAGCTTTAAATGAATCACAGTAAAAAGATTTGACCACCAGCCAAAAAAGGTGAATTCATCTCATTTGAGGCTCAGGGTGAAAGAAAAAGTAAAATAATATCTTGGAGAACTTCTTCACCTATTTTACCAGTATTTTCCTGTTTAAAGTCTACCTAATGAAGAAAAATGTATCCATCCACTACTCATGAGAGCCTGCCTAAGTTCGAGACCAGCCTGGCCACAGTTGAATACTGTGCTGGGCACTGAAGATTTAGAGGTGAATATAAAGAAAAGGCAAGATGGATTTAATGTCTAAAGTAGAAGATTAGGAGGAAAGCAATTAAGCAGTTACCTGATTTAAAATGTTACCCTACAGTGTTCATGGAATTGTTTAAAAGCTATATCTTAGATACAAACATGTTTGTCTCTTAATGTGTGGGTTAAGTATTTGATTAGATGAGTATGTCCTAATTGAGTAATCCAGGAGGAAAGGTCCTAAATCCCTGAAAGTAATAGCATGTACTATTTTGTTAAAATGTAAGGTCTGTACTTGAAACTTTCCAGCTCTTAAAAATGAGGAAATTCCAAGCATTCTGCACTAATAGATAGTGTTAGTGGGTAGTTGGTGGATGACGTCAAATGTCAGAATGGTGAACAGCTTCGTTCATATAAACTGAAAGTGTACAATCTGGGATCAAGTGTTCTCGCTGCTCTCAGGGATCGGCGCACAGCCTGTGTGCTCCCATGTGGCCTGACTTGGATTTCAGAGTTTATATGAGGCACAGCTGAGAGTCTGGAAAAGGCACAGCATCTTCTCCTTCCTGTCCAGATGAGCCAAGTGAGCAGGAAGGGTCTCAGCATCTATTCCTGAGGCCCTATGAGAGGTTTCTTCATTCCTTTATAATGATTAAGCCCTACATTGGGAATGGGTTTGATTTGTCATTGTACAAACTTCAGAGGCTTTAATGGTAATTTTATTAACCTTGCTGGACCTTATGGAATGTTGATAAAAGCAACCACTCTTTGTTATGAAAGCAAAAAGAGACATTGAAAAGTTAGTTCAAGATAATTGGCAAAGCCAGCTGCCATGATGAGATTGTTGAATAGTGATGGTGGTAATGGCAGAAAAGGTGAAGGCTCTTTCTTGAAAGACAGCACAGGAATCACCGCTCTAATGCTATCTTTGTGATGTTACTGTTGAATATATGTGAGGTGCTGCTGTCTTCTGACTGACTTCTTGGTCACTATCACAGTGTTATGACTGCTATAAGGTGTAATGGTCTTTTCTCGTCATTACATTCTGTTTAGGTTTTGTATTGTATGAGAGAGATCTGGGGAAAGAGATATATAATTGGACATTTGTATATATAATGTTAAGTGAAAAACTGAGAGTTGTAATGCAGCTCTAAGTTCCAAGATTGATGGTTGGCCAGATGCGTTGGCTCATGCCTGTAATTCCAGCACATTGGGAGGCCGAGGTGGGCAGATCACTTGAGGCCAGGAGTTCGAGACCAGCCTGGCCAACATGGAGAAACTCCGTCTCTACTAAAAAAAGATAGAAAAATTAGCAAGGCAGGGTGGCACATGCCTGTAATCCCAGCTACTCTGGAGTCTGAGGCAGGAGAATCGCCTGAACCTGGGAGGCTCCATCAGGGCACTGCCTGTTTTGCTTACCACTGTATTTCTGGCCACTTCAGTGTTTGTGTTCAATGTGTATTTAATGACTATGGACAGAATGAATACAAAGGAAAAAAAAGAACTTGGAGGTAGGAAAACAATTGTGGGAGACCAGCCCATGTGAGTGACCAAGCTGATTATATGATTGACAAGGTTGACTCTACATAATTGAGTTTTAAAAAAGACTAGAAAGGACCACTTGAAGTCATTGAAGGGAACTCTCTGGAGATAGTGGAGTTCTTAGTCTCTGCCCTTTGTTCTTAAAATATTCAGCTGCATTTTAGGTAAGGTAGTGATCTGCCTTCAATTGCAAATAGTTGATAATATCACTTTTAATGTAGACTAAAGCCAACATTTTTCATGTATTGTTCTATTTGGAGTAAATAACACATTTTGGCATGGTTCTTCATGTCTTAGCATCTGTCAGTTTTCATGTGAGGACTCAGTTTACAGGTTATATACAGCACATGTTGAGCGTGGTCAGTGGGTATTTGTACCTGAAGTACGTACTTCCCTTCTGTTGCTGATATTGTCATGAGCAGTTCCACCCTCAGTGTTTACCTCTATGCTTTGAAATCTTCTCTCAAACGCATATTCATTCCTATTTTTTGTACCCTTTGGGATTCCTCAATCTCATATACATCTTTCCATTTCTGACCTAATCCCAGCACTTTGGGAGGCTGAGCCGAGCATAGTGGGGTGTGCCTATAGTCCCAGCTACTCAGGAGGCTGAGGTGGGAAGATCACCTGAGCCCGGGAGCTGGAGGTTTCAGTGAGCTCAGATGTGCCACTGCATTCCAGCCTGGGCTACAGAGCGAGGCCCTGTCTCAAAAAAAAAAGTCTCATGACTTCGTCTCCTAGATGAGACCATCTCTAGCTGATGCCTTTGCTTGCATTCTCATGTGCAGGGCCAGCAGATACTGATGGAGCAGATGTTCTCTGAGGCTGTAGGTGCTGGGGCACAGATCTTTTCCTCATCCTACTACCTAGTGAAGGGGAGAAATGACAAGCGAGGCAACTGCAGGTGAAAAGTGTTTGGAGAGAGGTTTCTATAGGGCTCCAGTCTATGCACTGAGCCCAGGCATAGACTTCAGAGATGCTTCCTGAAAAGAAGTTGGCAAGATATGAGGGAGGAGGGCGCAGCTCCTGATTCCTCTGACCTTTCTATTGTGGGTTTGATGCCCCCTCCCCACCTGAGTCCTCATGGGCAGCTGTGTTTTGTTTTTTTTTGTTTTGTTTTGTTTTGTTTGAGACAGAGTCTCGCACTGTCGCCCAAGCTGGAGTGCAGTGGTGCGATCTCAGCAGCTGTGTTTTTAAGAAGTGTTTCTACTCCTTTCCTTACTCAATCCTGACCCTGTAAAATTCCCACTTGCTGGCTGCCCCCTCCCCAAGGAAAGGCCGCCCCTCTGCCCCTCCACAGTGGGTGGTGCCCAGAGTCAGGGGACAGGTCTGGGCTTTCCTATTCTTGCTGACCCAGCTATAGAGACCGTGCTCTTTCCCATTCAGAGAGTCATAGCTACTTGGTTTTTTTTTGTTTGTTTTGTTTTGTTTTGTTTTGTTTTGTTTGTGTGTGTGTCTTTTATTTTACGCTTGGGGTTGTCTTTTTAAAACTTTCTTTTATTCTTTTATCTTGGGATAATTACTTATTTTAAAGTAAGCCTTGTTTGTTTTTGTCTGTTAAAAATCTTTACAGCCATCCAGCTTATATCAACTTTTTTATTTCCTGCCAGGCAAAAAGAATTAATAGAAAATGGCAGCCCAAGAGGTAAGATACGCAGTCTGTCCACACCCCAAACAGGGCAGGATAAATGCCTTTCTTGGTTCTAATAAGCCCTGAAGAGATACTCCCTGTAGCACCAAGTCATTTCCCTCTGCTGCCCCTTTGAGGTGACTGTATTCCCAAAAGTAGTCAGTGTAGAGGAATGGATGGCCCGTTTAGGATAGGTAGTTGCACAGATTATCTCTGAGGGAGGTGACTAAGAAGCTGAACTCCAAAGACAAGACAAAGGAATTGATGAACAGTATCATTCTCTTAACTCTGGGATAGGGATTCTGTGAAGGTTAATGTATGCTCTTTTTTCTAGGGAGAAGATCCCTTTATATTTGATTGTCATGGGGATCTGTGGCCCAGAGTAAAATCAGCAGTCCCAGCTGTATAGACTTTCAGGTTCATTATGGTTGTGATCTGAAAACCTTGGTCACCTCTGTGGTATGTGTCATTGGATTCTAGCTACTTGAGTGAAGTGGCTCCTGTGCATTCTTAGAAGCGAGTATGAGAGAGGATGGGGTGGAGTTCCAGTTTTACTAGAGAAAGCTCTCAAAAGAGAATTTTGATACCCAACTTGAAACCTGGAAAATTACCAAGTACAGCTTCGTGTTAAAAAAAAAAAAATGTCGATGCATCTTTATCAAGTTAGCAAACGATTTCTATGATTGTCTATTTCCAGAGTAATTTGATTGAACGGGTTCTCAGGTTTCCATAGCTGGGGTTGTAGGAGTATTCTCCACAAGCGAAGATAGACCAAGTGCTTGACACGTGACCTCACCGAAAGAAGTCACTTAATAAAGTGCGGAATGAGTGAAGGGAAGTTGCAGGTGTAATTTTCTTCACCAAAGTCAGGAACCCAATAGAAGCAATCATAGCAATGAAAATAGTAACTTTTGATGAGCGTTCACTTGTCTTTTAAGGGCTTTATACATATCAACCCTTTGAGAGCAGATCCCACTGCTCTTCGCATCTGCTGTGAATTTGTTGGTAAAGCCTAACAAGGTGGGCCATCTCACCTAGGGTGGGCTCAGCTGTCCTGGGCCAGGTCCTCCTCCTGAGGTCCTGGTGAACCTCATAGTCCTGTATGCAGCACCTCCTTGAAGGTAAATCCATCCTCCAGAGCAGAACATGGTGGCAGAGGCACAGTGACACTGGTCCCTTATCCTCCTCATGCAGTGGCTCATGCTGTTAGGTTTCCTGAGGCTCAGTTACTGCAGATGGGTGTATTTGGGGGAGATGGTCTCGTAGTTCTGGGCATATAAAAGCAACAGTAAAAACCAGGCATCAAAAAGCTGATACCAGACACAATTGTGATCCTGGATTAGAAAAGAATTGTTATAAAAGACATCATTGGGACCAGTAGTAATATTTGAACATGGATTGCGTCTTGGATTACAGTATTGTATCAATGTCACATTTCCTGAATGTGTTTACCACATTGTGGCGTTCAAAGGGAATGGCTGTGTTCTTAGAAACAGATCCAGACCCGGACGGCAGTTCCAAGACAGCTGAATAGGAACAGCTCCAGTCTACAGCTCCCAGCATAAGCGACACAGAAGATGGGTGATATCTGCATTTCCAACTGAGGTTCCGGGTTCATCTCACTTGGGCTTGTCGGACACTGGGTACAGGACAGTGGGTGCAGCCCACCAAGCGTGAGCTGAAGCAGGGCGAGGCATGGCCTCACCCGGGAAGTGCAAGGGGTCAGGGAATTCCCTTTCCTAGCCAAGGGAAGCTGTGATAGACGACGCCTGGAAAATCGGGTCACTCCCACCCTAACACAGTGGTTTTCCAATGGTCTTAGCAAATGGCACACCAGGAGATTATATCCCGTGCAAGGCTCGGAGGGTCCCACGCGCACGGAGCCTCGCTCATTGCTAATACAGCTAGTACAGTCTGAGATCAAACTGCAAGGCGGCAGCGAGGCTGGGGGAGGGGCGCCTGCCATTGCTGAGGCTTGAGTAGGTAAACAAAGCAGCCAGGAAGCTCGAACTGGGTGGAGCCCACGACAGCTCAAGGAGGCTTGCCTGCCTCTGTAAACTCCACCTCTGCGGGCAGGGCATAGCCAAACAAAAGGCAGCAGAAACCTCTGCAGACTTAAATGTCCCTGTCTGACAGCTTCGAGAGAGCAGTGGTTCTCCCAGCACAGAGTCTGAGATCTGAGAACGGACAGACTGCCTCCTCAAGTGGGTCCTTGACCCCCGAGTAGCCTAACTGGGAGGCACCCCCCAGTAGGGGGAGACTGACACCTAACACCTGACACTTCACCCCTCTGAGACAAAGCTTCCAGAGGAACGATCAGGCAGCAGCATTTGCCGTTCTGCAATATTGTCTGTTCTGCAGCCTCCGCTGCTGATACCCAGGCAAACAGGGTCTGGAGTGGACCTCCAGCAAACTCCAACAGACCTGCAGCAGAGGGTCCTGTTACAAGGAAAACTAACAAACAGCAAGGACATCCACACCAAAACCCCATCTATACATCATCATCATCAAAGACCAAAGGTAGATACAGCCACAAAGATGGGGAAAAAACAGAGCAGAAAAGCTGAAAATTCTACAAATCAGAGCGCCTGTCCCCCTCTAAAGGAATGCAGCTCCTCGCCAGCAACGGAACAAAGCTGGACAGAGAATGACGACTTTGACGAGTTGAGAGATGAAGGCTTCAGATGATCAAACTTCTCTGAGCTAAAGGAAGAAGTTTGAACCCATCGCAAAGCAGCTAAAAACCTTGAAAAAAGATTAGACGAATGGCTAACTAGAATAACCAGTGTAGAGAAGTCCTTAAATGACCTGATTGAGCTGAAAACCACGGCACAAGAACTATGTGACAAATGCACAAGCTTCAGAAGCCTATTTGATCAACTGAAAGAAAAGGTATCAGAGACTGGAGATCAAATGAATGAAATGAAGCAACAAAAGAAGTTTAGAGAAAAAAGAGCAAAAAGAAGCAAACAAAGCCTCCAAGAAATATGGGACTATGTGAAAAGACCAAATCTACGTCTGATTGGTGTACCTGAAAGTGACGGGGAGAATGGAACCAACCTGGAAAACACTCTGCGGATATTATCCAGGAGAACTTCCCCAACCTAGTGAGGCAGACCAACATTCAAATTCAGGAAATAGAGAACGCCACAAAGATACTCCTCGAGAAGAGCAACTCCAAGACACATAATTGTCACATTCACCAAGGTTGAAATGGAGGAAAAAATGTTAAGAGCACCCAGAGAGAAAGGTCGGGTTACCCACAAAGGGAAGCCCATCAGACTAACAGCGGATCTCTCGGCAGACACTCCGCAAGCCAGAAGAGAGTGGGGGCCGATATTCAACATTCTTAAAGAAAAGAATTTTCAACCCAGAATTTCATATCCAGCCAAACTACGCTTCATAAGTGAAGGAGAAATAAAATCCTTTACAGACAAGCAAATGCTGAGAGATTTTGTCACCACCAGGCCTGCCCTAAAAGAGCTCCTGAAGGAAGCACTAAACGCGGAAAGGAACAACTGGTAGCAGCCACTGCAAAAACATGCCAAATTGTAAAGACCATCAATGCTAGGAAGAAACTGCATTAACTAACGAGCAAAATAACCAGCTAACATCATAATGACAGGATCAAATTCACATATAACAATATTAACCTTAAATGTAAATGGGCTAAATGCTCCAATTAAAAGACACAGACTGGCAAATTGGATAAACAGTGAAGATCCATCAGTGTGCTGTATTCAGGAGACCCATCTGATGTGCAGAGACACACATAGGCTCAAAACAAAGGGATGGAGGAAGATCTACCAAGCAAATGGAAAACAAAACAAAACAAAAAGGGGTTGCAATCCTAGTCTCTCATGAAACAGACTTTAAACCAACAAAGATGAAAAGAGACAAAGTTGGCCATTACATAATGGTGAAGGGATCAATTCAACAAGAAGAGCTAACTAACCTAAATATATATGCACCCAGTACAGGAGCACCCAGACTCATAAAGCAAGTCCTTAGAGACCTACAAAGAGACTTAGACTCCCACACAATAATAATGGGAGACTTTAACACCCCACTGTCAACATTAGACAGATCAACGAGACAGAAAGTTAAAAAGGATATCCAGGAATTGAACTCAGCTCTGCACCTAGAGGACCTAATAGACATCTACAGAACTCTCCACCCAAAATCAACAGAATATACATTCTTCCCAGCACCACTTCGTACTTACTCCAAAATTGACCACATAGTTGGAAGTAAAGCACTCCTCAGCAAATGTATAAGAACAGAAATTATAACAAACTGTCTCTCAGACCACAGTGCACTCAAACTAGAACTCAGGATTAAGAAACTCACTCAAAACCACTCAACTACATGGAAACTGCACAACGTGCTCCTGAATGACTACTGGGTACATAACGAAATGAAGGCTGAAATAAAGATGTTCTTTGAAACCAACGAGAACAAAGACACAACATGCCAGAATCTCTGGGACACATTCAAAGCAGTGTGTAGAGGGAAATTTATCGCACTAAATGCCCACAAGAGAAAGCAGGAAAGATCTAAAATTGACACCCTAACATCACAATTAAAAGAACTAGATAAGCAAGAGCGAACACATTCAAAAGCTAGCAGAAGGCAAGAAATAACTAAGATCAGAGCAGAACTGAAGAAGACAGAGACACAAAAAACCCTTCAAAAAATCAATGAATCCACGAGCTGGTTTTTTGAAAGGATCAACAAATTGATAGACCACTAGCAAGACCTAATAAGAAAAGAGAGAAGAATCAGATAGACACAATAAAAAATGATAAAGGGGATATCACCACCGGTCCCACAGAAATGCAAACTACCATCAGAGAATACTATAAACACCTCTACGCAAATAAACTAGAAAATCTAGAAGAAATGGATAAATTCCTGGACACATACACCCTTCCAAGACTAAACCAGGAAGAAGTTGAATGCCTGAATAGACCAATAACAGGCTCTGAAATTGAGGCAATAATTAATAGCCTACCAACCAAAGAAAGTCCATGACCAGAAGGATTCACAGCTGAATTCTACCAGAGGTACAAGGAGGAGCTGGTACCATTCCTTCTGAAACTATTCCAATCAACAGAAAAAGAGGGAATCCTCCTTAACTTATTTTATGAGACCAGTATCATCCTGATACCAAAGCCTGGCAGAGACACACAAAAAAAGACAATTTTAGACCAATATCCCTGATGAACATTGATTCAAAAATCCTCAGTAAAATACTGGCAAACCGAATGCAGCAGCCCATCAAAAAGCTTATCCACCATGATCAAGTGGGCTTCATCCCGGGGATGCAAGGCAGGTTCAACATACGCAAATCAATAAATGTAATCCAGCATATAAACGGAACCAAAGACAAAAACCACATGATTATCTTAATAGATGCAGAAAAGACCTTTGACAAAATTCAACAGCCCTTCATGCTAAAAACTCTCAATAAATTAGGTATTGATGGGACGTATCTCAAAATAATAAGAGCTATCTATGACAAACCCACAGCCAATATCATACTGAATGGGCAAAAACTGGAAGCATTCCCTTTGAAAACTCGCACAAGACAGGGATGCCCTCTCTCACCACTCCTATTCAACATAGTGTTGGAAGTTCTGGCCAGGGCAGTCAGGCAGGAGAAAGAAATAAAGGGTATTCAATTAGGAAAAGAGGAAGTCAAATTGTCCCTGTTTGCAGATGACATGATTGTATATTTAGAAAACCCCATCGTCTCACCCCAAAATCTCCTTAAGCTGATAAGCAACTTCAGCAAAGTCTCAAGATACAAAATCAATGTGCAAAAATCACAAGCATTCTTATACACCAATAACAGACAAACAGAGAGCCAAATCATGAGTGAACTCCCATTCACAGTTGCTTCAAAAAGAATAAAATACCTGGGAATCCAACTTACAAGGGATGTGAAGGACCTCTTCAAGGAGAACTACAAACCACTGCTCAATGAAATAAAAGAGGACACAAACAAATGGAAGAACATTCCATCCTCGTGGATAGGAAGAATCAATATTGGGAAAATGGCCATACTGCCCAAGGTAATTTATAGATTCAGTGCCATCCCCATCAAGCTACCAATGACTTTCTTCACAGAATTGGAAAAAAATTCTTTAAAGTTCCTATGGAACCAAAAAAGAGCCACATTGCCAAGACAATCTTAAGCCAAAAGAACAAAGCTGGAAGCATCACACTATTTGACTTTAAACTATACTACAAGGCTACAGTAACCAAAACAGCATGGTACTGGTACCAAAACAGAGATACAGACCAATGGAACAGAACAGAGCCGTCAGAAATAATACCACACATCTACAACCATCTGATCTTTGGCAAACCTGACAAAAACAAGCAATGGGGAAAGGATTCCCTATTTAATAAATGGTGCTGGGAAAACTGGCTAGCCATATGTAGAAAGCTGAAACTGGATCCCTTCCTTACACCTTATACACCAATTAATTCAAGATGGATTAAAGACTTAAATGTTAGACCTAAAACCATAAAAACCCTAGAAGAAAACCTAGGCAATACCATTCAGGACATAGGCATGGGCAAGGACTCCATGACTAAAACACCCAAAGCAATGGCAACAAAAGCCAAAATTGACAAATGGGGTCTAATTAAACTAAAGAGCTTCTGCACAGCAAAAGAAACTACCATCAGAGTGAACAGGCAACCTACAGAATGGGAGAACATTTTTGCAATCTACTCATCTGAAAAAGGGCTAATATCCAGAATCTACAAAGAACTCAAACAAATTTACAGGAAAAAACAACCCCATCAAAAAGTGGGCGAAGGATATGAATAGACACTTTGCAGGGGAAGACATTTATGCAGTCAACAGACACATGAAAAATTGCTCATCATCACTGGCCATCAGAGAAATGCAAATCAAAACCACAATGAGATACCATGTCACACCAGTTAGAATGGCGATCATTAAAAAGTCAGGAAACAACAGGTGCTGGAGAGGATGTGGAGAAACAGGAACACTTTTACAGTGTTGGTGGGACTAAACTGGTTCAACCATTGTGGAAGACAGTGTGGCGATTCCTCAAGGATCTAGAACTAGAAATACCATTTGACCCAGCCATCCCATTACTGGGTATATACCGAAAGGATTATGAATCATGCTGCTGTAAAGACACATGCACATGTACGTTTATTGTGGCACTATTCACAGTAGCAAAGACTTGGAACCAACCCAAATGTCCAACAATGATAGACTGGATTAAGAAAATGTGGCACATATACACCATGGAATACTATGTAGCCATAAAAAAGGATGAGTTCATGTCCTTTGTAGGGACATGGGTGAAGCTGGAAACCATCATTCTCAGCAAACTATCGCAAGGACAAAAAACCAAACACCACATGTTCTCACTCATAGGTGAGAATTGGAAAATGAGAACACTTGGACACAGGAAGGGGAACATCACATACCAGGGCCTGTGCTAGGGTGCGGGGAGAGGGGAGGGATAGCATTATGAGATATACCTAATGTAAATGACGGTGAATGGGTGCAGCACACCAATGTGGCACATGTATACATATGTAACAAACCTGCACGTTGTGTACGTGTACCCTAGAACTTAAAGTATAATAATAAAATAAAATATAATCACTGAAAAAGACTTTCTACACGTGTCAAAAACATTTTTAGCCAAAACTTGTAACTACAAAAAGCATGCCTCACATTTCGTGGTACTTCAAACTTTAAAAAGACGTATTCAGAAATAAATCAACATGAATACAGAAGTTGTTAAAACAGTATTATAATCATAAATGGGTCGTTTAAGTTTTTTACTGAAGCAATAGTTTTCACTAAATTTTACCTAAATTGAAAAAATAGAATAAACACTGTCAGAATATATATTGAATTAAAAATGACTAAATATTTTTATGTTTCTGTCAGTATATGGAATTTTTCTTAAAGGCGGTCAATAAATAAAATTCTGTTTATTTAAAAGAAAAAAAGAAACAGATCCAGACCTATTTAGAATTAAACGGCCATGATATCTGCAGTTTATTATCTGTGGTTCAGCAATATAATAATATCAGTAGCCACAGTGACCACAACTATATATATATATATATAGTTCATGAATCTGGCATGTTTTCTATAAGTCTGAAAGAATTTCAAAAAAAAAATGTTGAGGCAGAGCAGCTACCTGAGGTAGCCACCAAACCTACGTGCAGAGATCAGAAGAACACAAATACAGTAAACGTGCTGAGGGCCAGGGGCAGCTGTTCAGAGTTGCTGTTCTCTGCTGTCTGCTTTGGTGTTCCAGAAGGGTGTGGCCCCAGTATTAGCTTGGCATGGTGGCGTACACCTGTAGTCCCAGCTGCTCCAAGAGGCTGAGGCAGGAAGATAGTTTGAGCCCATGAGTTCAAGGCTGTAGTGAAGTATGATCCTGCACTCCACTCCAGCCTGGGCAACATAGTGAGACCCTGTCTCTTAAAAAAAAGAAAAAGAAAACCAGCCAATATTGAACCTTTTGTTTTTACAGTGATCCTATGCCGAGGTCTCTAACCACACAGCAACCTACAATGATGTGAGAAGGAGCCAGGCCCCAGAAGGCCAGGCAGTACAGGAGGAACGAGGTGACGCTGTCTTATGGTTAACCATGTGACACTACCTGTGGATAGTGCCCAGGTCTCTCACTCCCCAACCTGAAAAGAGAAGCCTGCATAACTAGACCCCTGTGCATCAGATTCACCCCTTCCCTGTGCTACATGTGAAAAAGCTGGGTGGACATGATGTGCCAAGAATGGCCCAGGCTGTTCTCTAGTAGCAAACTCCCAACCTACATACCATGTCTTTAGTGCATGGTATGACTCTCCCCTGATTTCCATCTGCCAGACACAGACGTGGCCTGGACTGCACCTACACATAATTTTATTCTTCCCAAGGTATAAGACCAGTATCTGGCAAGCAGGCAGGCTTCTCACAAAGGCCATTTCCTCTACGGAGGGGTTGGTTTTGAAAATCAGCCAGGTCTCTCATCCCCAAGAAACAGATAAACCATGGTGCATTTTAGCCCTAATGAATTCACTTCTTGCACCCTGCTGATTGTAAATCAGTGATTAGCATGGAATACCAAATTATTAGTGACAAATGAGTGCCTTGTCATAGACTTCCTCCAGAATGACTCTTTGGTTCCTTTTCTTTTCCATTTTCACTGCTGCCCTTTTACCTCTTCTCTGAATCATTGCAATGGCCTTTAGCTGGTTACCTGCCTACTTCTGGGCCCTTCTTTTCTCAAGCCATTTTTGGTCCTCCTTTGTGTGTTGTCACAGCTATTATGTAAATTTAGGAAGCATACGTCTGGCCGTATTGCTCGTCTGTTCAGAAATCTTAGATGGTTCCTTGAGATGTATGTTAGAGCCCGCTTCTCAGTATACAAGTTTTCCTTCATGCAGCTTCTCCAAGTGCATTTTCTGTTGTTCTGCCATTCATTCTTTGGCCCAATTAATGAACTAACTCAATATTCCTGGTATTTCCACCCTCATTGTGCCTGGAGTATCTTGACTGTTCATTTAAGACATCTCAAATTCTACTTCCCAATGAAGTCTCTACTGATACCTTCCAGCTGGATGGGCTTTCTCTAGTGTTTGAGCCATTGGAGAGAGAGAGAGAGAGAGAGAGTGAGTGTGTGTGTGTGTGTGTGTGTGTGTGTGTGTGTGTTTAAATAGAACTTCGCAGATAGCACCTGTCATATTCTGCTAATGCAAGGGTTATACATAGGTTTGTTCTATCTTTCTGCTTTGGAGACTGCTAGCTCCTTAAGAGCAGAAACAATGAATATGGTATGGTGCCATACACAGGACAGATTTCCAGTAATAGAATTTGTTATAATTTGGAATGACATTGTGGAAAAACTCATATATTCCATATAGGTTTGATGTTATTATCGTTAAACCTGCTACCAATAAGAAACCCAGAGTTAATGCCACAAATACCATTATTATTTTAATATATTAAACAGGTTTTAAAATTTATTTTCCAGAAAACATTTAAGAAAGGAAATTAATGCTGTGGGACTCCAAAAATAGGATGTCTTTCAAGTATTGTGCTTTGTTTTTTAACACTTCAGGATCAAATATGAAAATGTTAAATGTAGATTTTTAAATTTTTAAAGCCTACTTATTTTTCAGTAACACCCTGAAAGAAGAATTGCAAACCCTGATGGCTGCTGTTGTCCTGGTGATCAGAGCAGAGGTCTGGAGCCTGGGAGAGGCCCAGCAGCCTGGAGTGGTAGCAGCAGGGCTTAGATGATGAGAAAATCTTACTGTTTTTTCTCGTTCTGTCATAGGACTTGAAAATGTTCCATCTAGTGACAATTCTTTAAGAATACTTTTGCATCCAGGAGTTGATAGATTTTGAAGGTTTTGGGTTTTTTATATTATTATTATAGTAAGACTCTGGTCCCTTAGGAGCTGGATATTTACTATCTAGAATGAATAAACGCTTCCCCCATCCCAAGTTAACACAAAGCTTTATTTTTTATTAAATAGAGCATCCCTTTAAAACAATTTTATGTTCCCTTCAAAAAGCATAAGGGGGAGAGCAAATTATGGAAGGTTTCATTGCCTCCTTCCCTCCCTCCTTCCTTCTTTTCTCCTTCCCCTCACCTCCCCAGGCTGGAATGCAGTGGCACAGTTATACCTCACTGCAGCCTCCAACTCCTGGGCTTAAGCGATCCTCCTGCCTCAGCCTCTTTTGTAGCTGGGACTCCACCCATGTGCCACCATGCCTGGCTAGTTTTTAAATTTTTCATGGAAATGGGGGTGTCTATGTTGCCCAGGCTGGTCTTGAACTCCTGGGCTCAAGTAATCCTCCTGCCTCAGCCTCCTAATTAGCTGGGACTACAAGTGTAAGCCACCATGCCTGGCCTAGAATTTTTTTTTTTTTTAAAGACAGGGTCTCACTCTGTTGCCCAGGCTGGAGTACAGTGGCACCATCACAGCTCACTGCAGCCTTGACCTCCCCAGGCTCAGACAATCCTCCCACCTCATTTTTGAGAAATAACATTTTTCAAATACAGTGTCAATGAAAATAGAAATAAATATTAGTGTAAATAAATATTTTAAAAATTACACTGAATGAACGGTTTGTTTATACTTTCAGATTTCATATTGATTGAATTTACAGGATTTATAAATCACAATGTAGTCTCTGATTTGATCAGAAACAATACGGCTTAGGATACTAGATTTTACAAGGCTTTTGTGAGGATCAAATGAGATTATATATCTGAAAGTCTTTCACAAACTGTGAAGTACAAGTGTTTCTAGTAAGTGGCATGCCACTTTGTATTGCTTTTACTATGGCTATTAGGATGTGAGATTGAGACCTTCCTCCTCCCCTCTTGAAAGCAAGGGAGACTTCCCATCTCTAAGGATTTCTTTCACTCTCACTCAGCTTGCCCTGCTAGTTCTTAGGAGTGAAGTGAGATACTTCTTATTTTTCAATCCATCTATGAAAAATTTATGCATCTTTTAGTAGGGTGTTCATTTGCATGATTTATTTATGTTTTCACCCCAGTGAAGGGGAAGTGGTATAGGGCTACAGGTGACTTTTGTAATGTTCTCCATTCATAAGACAGGGCCACCCCAGTGAGTCTTTTGAGTTGTAACCAACTCTATTTCAGTGACAGTATTTTTGTAAAGTTACTGTTTGGAAACTTATCTTGTTATCTTGTATGTGTATTGCATAGACCAAGAATCTGATTGAAATAACATGGCAACAATATTGCCACCAAGAACATGCATTTTAACCACAGCACCCTTCTATTGCATAGTGCACATGTCCAGGAATTGAGCTGGCTTTTACTAAATGAATATTTTGTTCACTTGTATCCAGATCACTTGGGACTGTGGGCACATTGGGAATTTCACCTCAGTCTTTGTCTCCTTGTCCTCTGAGATGGTACAAGTATCATCTAAAAGGATGTATAAAACAGGTATATGAGAGCTGCTTTACCCCCTCCCACCCAAAAAAAAAAAAAGATATAATTAACATAGTATACAATTCTTCATTTTAAAATGTATAGTTAAGTGGTTTTTTATATACTCACAGAGTTGTACAACCATGAGAATGTTTTCATTACCCCGAATAGAAACCCTGTACCCATTAGCTACTACTTTTCATTCCAGCTTATCTATTTTTTTATTTTTGTCACGTGTCCTTTTGGTATCATATCTAAGGAGCCATTGCCTGGTCCGAGGTTTCAAATATTTGCTCCAATTTTTTCTTTCAAGACTTTCATAGTTTTAGCTCTTCCTTTTAGATCTGTAATCTATTTTGAGTTAATTTTTGTGTATGATGTAAAAAGGGGTTCAAAATCATTCTTTTGCCTGAGAATATCCAGTTCTAGCACCATTTTTGAAAATATAACTTTCTTCTTCTTCAATTTTCTTGGCACTCTTGTTGAAAATCAATTCACTGTAAGTTCAAGGATCAATTCTTTCCCATTGATTTATATTTCTGTCCTTATGCCACTATTGACTTTAGGTCTATGTACCATCCCGTCAAGTGTTTTTTGATACTATTGTAAATGAAATTTTTGTTTTTAATTTCATTTTCATATTGTCTGATCATATAGAAATACAATTTAAATTTAAGATAAATACAATTAATTTTTGTATATTGATCTTGTATCATATAAACTTGTTAAACTCATTTATTACTCATAACAGTTTTTTTAAGATTCTTTATTATATACAAGATTACGTCATCTGCTAATAGGGAGTTTTACTTCTTGCTTTTCAATCAGGATGCCTTTATTTATTCCCCCCTTGCCTCATTTCCCTGACTGGAACCTCTAGTACAATGTCGAATAGAAGTGTCAGAGCAGACATCTTTGTCCTTTTGTGGATCTTAGGGGGAAAGTGTTCAGGGAAAGCATTCACCATTAAGTCTGATGTTAGTTGTAGGGCTTTTGTGGATGCTGTTTGTCAGTTTGAGGAAGTTGTCTTGTATTTCTGAAGTTCTTGAGTGTTTTCATCATGAACATGTATTAAATTTAGTAAAATGCTTTTTCTGTGTCTATTTAGATGATTATGTCACTTTTTTTCTTTAGTGAGATGATTCTGTTACATTAATTGAGTTTCAAGTGGTAAAGCAACCTATGATTCGTGGTATAAATCTCATTTAGTTGTGGTATATAATCCGTTTTATGTGTTGCTGGATTTGGTTTGCTCACATTTTGTGAGAGTTTTTGCATATATACTCATAAGAGATATGGGTCTGGAATTTTCTTGTGATGTCTTTTATTTTGGTGTGAGAGTAATACTATTGACCTCATAGAATGAATTCCCTACTCTTTTTTTTTTTTTTTTTTGAGTTTGTAAAAGATTGTTATGAATTTCTCTTTAAACATTTGGTAGAATTCACCACTGAAACTATCTGGGCCTATGTTTGTTTGTTTGTTTGTTTGTTTGTTTGTTTGTCAGAAGTTTTAAGTTACTGACTTAATTTCTTTATTTGTAATAGATTTATTCAGATTTTTAATTTCTACCTGTCAGTTTTGGGAGTTTGTGCCTTTCTAGAAGTTTGTCCATTTTACTTCCATTTTCTCATTTGTTGGCTTACGGTTGCTCAGTTTATTTCCTTTTAGTGTGCTATAGAATCCCTTTGCTTTCTGTAAGCTTGGTAGTGCTTCCTCTCTTTCGATTCTGATTTTCACAATTTGAGCCTTCTCTCATTTTTTCTTGGTCACCCTAGCTAATAGTTTGTTGATTTTGTTGGTCTTTTCAAACAACCATCTTTTGGTTTCATTGGTTTCCTTTATTGTTTTCTATTCTCTATTTCATGTATTTCTGCTTAATCTTTGTTATTTTCTTCCTGTGCGTGCTTTGGGTTTTGTTTTTTCTTATTTTTCTGGTTTCTTAAGATGAAAGTTTTTGTTGATTTGAGGTCTGTCTTTTTTAATACAGTCATTCACAAATATAAATACTCTTCTAAGCACTGCTTTAGCTTGATGTCATAAGTTGTGCTTTGTTGTATTTTCCTTTTCATTAATCTCAAAGTATTTTCTAATGTCCCTGTGATTGCTTCATTGGCCTATTGGTTATTTAGGGGTGTGTCATTTAAGTTCCACATCTTTGTGAATTTTCCAAATTTCTTAGTGCTGTTGATTTCAAATTTCATTTCGCCGTGGTCAAATAAGATACCTTGCATGACTTCCATCATTTTGAATTTACTGAGCATATGGTCTGTTTGGGAGAATGTCTATGTGCACTTAAAAGGAATAAGCTTTTTACAACTTTTCATTTAGCATAACCATAGCTTTTAATTTTGCTTGATTTTTTTTGGTAAGGCTTGATGGAATTATTAGTTCTACAAGGGTAAAGGGTTTAGTTTAAATTGACATTGCATGTAAATATAGTGTTTTAGAGGGCTTGGAGTATCTGTCTACAGTCCATCTGGTCTTTCGACAGCTGTTGTCAGGCATCACTCTAAAGACAGGCTAGCAAGGAAACTACCTAAGGCAGAGTCTTCATGTGGAGAGCCTGTTCATTATGTTAGTTTAACAAAGGGAATTGTGGCAGTTACATACAGTGCTTCGTTGCTGAAAGAAGGCATGCATTTGCACAGCAGAGTTATTTAGAGGTACCCAAAGAGGAGCGGGTAAGCAAGGTGAGCACTGCTTTCTTTTCTGAATTGACTATAACATCAATACAAACATAATGTCAAGAATTAACTGTAACTTTCAATGTTGAAACAAAGAAAAAGACCGATGTGTGTTTTCTTATAAGACTGGAGGACAGATGATGCCTCTCTCTCTCTGTCTCTCTTTCTCTCCCTTGTTTTGGCAGTGATAGGCCAAAGGGAAGCACATTGTTGGCCAGTTGATCTAAAAGTTCCTTTGCATCATTCTGGTAATGAGCAACAAAGGCACTTATTGGCAAACGTTCCATCTTGAATAACTGAGGTCAGCAGTTTCTTTATCAAAGCAACCCAGGTTAAATATGCTCTTTTATGATCTAACACACTGTAATAATCAAATCACCATTTTTAAAAGCAACCCAGAACATTATTGAAAAATAGCTTTTTTGTTTTAAAATAAAGCAGTAATACAAAACAATGCTTAAGTTATGAGTTACAATGAATGCTTTCAGTGTTTATGACCTTCCCAGATAGTCTCTAGGAAGATTGTCTGTATTCTGACTATAAAAATAGGACCAGGATGAAGTTTTTTTGACTGTTACTGCTGGTATATCCTAGATACTCTGTGCTATTTTCTGGGCTTTTCCTTTGCTGCCTAAGGGAGAGAATATCACATCTATCAGGTCAAGACTTGTACATTTGCCACACCAACTTAGACCTAACATGTTTGCATTTATGTTCAACCAGTCCATAGTGTATGATATACTCCATTGTCTTTGCTATAAAAGAAAGGCATAATGTTAAGAATATCTTTTATATCTATATTGAGTAATTGCCGTGCCCTTACTTAGCTGGTTCATTTTGATCCCAAATTCAGTGTTTCTTCATTTAGCTTTTTGATGACGTACTGAATAAACAGTGTCGCAATATGTACCTATTTTGCTCATTTAAGAAAATATTTGTAATCACTACCACGAGGGTTTTTCATTACCATCTAGAAGCAAAGACCTCTGTTTTCCTTCAGTTAACTTTCAGTATCAGAAATTCTAACTGTTTAGCAAAAGAAACCATAAAAACCATTTATGTGGATCAGTGAGCCTTTACTGCTGTCTGCCCAGGAGGAACTCAATAAATGCCTCTTGACTGATGGAAAATTGCTTTGGTAATACTAAGCAGAGAAAATATGAAGAGTACGTAACACATTGCTTGATGCATGGTTCTTGGCTGTACTGCACTGACATGTAACTAATGACAGAAGTTCATGCAAAGTCTATGACTGTCAGACTTTTAGAATATAGACTGGTATCATCCAAATGACGGATGTATGTTTGCACCAGTGTTGGCTCAGACAGTTTCTTAGAGCTTTGGGGTTTCCTCTAAAATATAGTTCCACCCCAGGCTCTCTCCTGTCAAGCAGACTTGAATCCCTGGAATGGCTCTAGAACCACTTTGGCTTCATTAAAACATTTGAACTACTTGTGGACAATTGAGCACCATGACTTTCAGAAGTAGAGACCATCAAATGATACGGCAGCATTTCTTTTTTTTTTTTTTTACCCTTGATTTTTGTTGTTTTATTTTGTTTACTAGACTCATTTAGCCATCTGTGGAAAATTTTTCCAGGAACACAGCCATAATTTTTTTTATTATACTTTTAAGTTTTAGGGTACATGTGCACAACGTGCAGGTTAGTTACATATGTATACATGTGCCATGTCGGTATGCTACACCCAGTAACTCGTCATTTAACATTAGGTATATCTCCTAATGCTATCCCTCCACCCTGCCCCCACCCCACCCACAACAGGCCCTGGTGTGTGATGTTCCCCTTCCTGTGTCCATGTGTTCTCATTGTTCAGTTCTCACCTATGAGTGAGAACATGCAGTGTTTGGTTTTTTGTCCTTGCGATAGTTTGCTGAGATTGATGGTTTCCAGCTTCATCCATATCCCTACAAAGGACATGAACTCATCCTTTTTTATGGCTGCATAGTATTCCATGGTGTATATGTGCCACATTTTCTTAATCCAGTCTATCATTGATGGACGTTTGGGTTGGTTCCAAGTCTTTGCTATTGTGAATAGTGCCACAATAAACATACATATGCATGTGTCTTTATAGCAGCATGATTTATAATCCTTTGGGTATATACCGAGTAATGGGCTGGCTGGGTCAAATGGTATTTCTAGTTCTAGATCCCTGAGGAATCGCCACACTGACTTCCACAATGGTTGAACTAGTTTACAGTCCCACCAACAGTGTAAAAGTGTTCCTATTTCTCTACATCCTCTCCAGCACCTGTTGTTTCCTGACTTTTTAATTATCACCATTCTAACTGGTGTAAGATGGTATCTCATTGTGGTTTTGATTTGTATTTCTCTGATGGCCAGTGATGATGAGCATTTTTTCATGTGTCTTTTGGCTGCATAAATGTCTTCTTTTGAGAAGTGTCTGTTCATATCCTTCACCCACTTGTTGATAGGGTTGTTTGTTTTTTTCTTGTAAATTTGTTTGAGTTCATTGTAGATTCTGGATATTAGCCCTTTGTCAGATGGGTAGATTGCAAAAATGTTCTCTCATTCTTAGGTTGCCTGTTCACTCTGATGGTAGTTTCTTTTGCCGTGCAGAAGCTCTTTAGTTTAATTGAATCCCATTTGTCAGTTTTGGCTTTTGTTGCCATTGCTTTTGGTGGTTTAGATGTGAAGTCCTTGCCCATGCCTATGTCCTGAATGGTATTGCCTAGGTTTTCTTCTAGGGTTTTTATGGTTTTAGGTCTAACATGTAAGTCTTTAATCCATCTTGAATTAATTTTTATATAAGGTGTAAGGAAGGGATCCAGTTTCAGCTTTCTACATATGGCTAGCCAGTTTTCCCAGCACCATTTATTAAATAGGGAATCCTTTCCCCATTGCTTGTTTTTGTCAGGTTTGTCAAAGATCTGATGGTTGTAGATATGCGGCATTATTTCTGAGGTCTCTGTTCTGTTCCATTGATCTATATCTCTGTTTTGGTACCAGTACCATGCTGTTTTGGTTACTGTGGCCTTGTAGTATAGTTTGAAGTCAGGTAGCGTGATGCTTCCAGCTTTGTTCTTTTGGCTTAGGATTGACTTGGGGATCCGGACTCTTTTTTGGTTCCATAGGAACTTTAAAGTAGTTTTTTCCAATTCTGTGAAGAAAGTCATTGGTAGCTTGATGGGGATGGCATTGAATCTATAAATTACCTTGGGCATCATGGCCATTTTCACAATATTGATTCTTCCTATCCATGAGCATGGAATGTTCTTCTGTTTGTTTGTATCCTCTTTTATTTCATTGAGCAGTGGTTTGTAGTTCTCCTTGAAGAGGTCCTTCACATCCCTTGTAAGTTGGATTCCTAGGTATTTTATTCTCTTTGAAGCAATTGTGAATGGGAGTTCACTCATGATTTGGCTCTCTGTTTGTCTGTTATTGGTGTATAAGAATGCTTGTGATTTTTGCACATTGATTTTGTATCCTGAGACTTTGCTGAAGTTGCCTGTCAGCTTAAGGAGATTTTGGGCTGAGATGATGGGGTTTTCTAGAAATATAATCATGTCATCTGCAAACAGGGACAATTTGACTTCCTCTTTTCCTAATTGAATACCCTTTATTTCTTTCTCCTGCCTGATTGCCCTGGCCAGAACTTCCAACACCATGTTGAATAGGAGTGGTGAGAGAGGGCATCCCTGTCTTGTGCGAGTTTTCAAAGGGAATGCTTCCAGTTTTTGCCCATTCAGTATGATATTGGCTGTGGGTTTGTCATAGATAGCTCTTATTATTTTGAGATACGTCCCATCAATACCTAATTTATTGAGAGTTTTTAGCATGAAGGGTTGTTGAATTTTGTCAAAGGCCTTTTCTGCCTCTATTCAGATAATCATATGGTTTTTGTCATTGGTTCTGTTTATATGCTGGATTATGTTTATTGATTTGTGTATGTTGAACCAGCCTTGCATCCCAGGGATGAAGCCCACTTGATCATGGTCGATAAGTTTTTTGATGTGATGCTGGATTCGGTTTGCCAGTATTTTATTGAGGATTCTGTCGATGTGCATCAAGGATATTGGTCTAAAATTGTCTTTTTTTGTTGTGTCTCTGCCAGGCTTTGGTATCAGGATGATGCTGGCCTCATAAAATGAGTTAGGGACGATTCCCTCTTTTTCTGTTGATTGGAATAGTTTCAGAAGGAATGGTACCAGCTCCTCCTTGTACCTCTGATAGAATTCGGCTGTGAATCCATCTGGTCCGGGGCTTTTTTGGTTGGTAAGCTATTAATTATTGCCTCAATTTCAGAGCCTGTTATTGGTCTATTCAGAGATTCAACTTCTTCCTGGTTTAGTCTTGGGAGGGTGTATGTGTGCAGGAATTTATCCATTTCTTCTAGATTTTCTAGTTTATTTGCGTAGAGGTGTTTATATTATTCTCTGATGGTAGTTTGTGTTTCTGTGGGATCGGTGGTGATACCTCCTTTATCATTTTTTATTGCGTCTATTTGATTCTTCTCTCTTTTCTTTATTAGTCTTGCTAGCAGTCTATGAATTTTGTTGATCTTTTCAAAACCCAGCTCCTGGATTCATTGATTTTTTGAAGGGTTTTTCGTGTCTCTATTTCCTTCGGTTCTGCTCTGATCTTAGTTATTTCTTGCCTTCTGCTAGCTTTTGAATGTGTTTGCTCTTGTTTCTCTAGTTCTTTTAATTTTGATGTTAGGGTGTCAATTTTAGATCTTTCCTGCTTTCTCTTATGGGCATTTAGTGCTATAAATTTCCCTCTACACACTGCTTTGAATATGTCCCAGAGATTCTGGTATGTTGTGTCTTTGTTCTCATTGGTTTCAAAGAACATCTTTATTTCAGCCTTCATTTCGTTATGTACTCAGTAGTCATTCAGGAGCACGTTGTGCAGTTTCCATGTAGTTGAGCAGTTTTGAGTGAGTTTCTTAATCCTGAGTTCTAGTTTGATTGCACTGTGGTCTGAGAGAGAGTTTGTTATAATTTCTCTTCTTTTACATTTGCTGAGGAGTGCTTTACTTCCAACTATGTGGTCAGTTTTGGAATAGGTGTGTTGTGGTGCTGAAAAGAATGTATATTCTGTTGATTTTGGGTGGAGAGTTCTGTAGATGCCTATTAGTTCCGCTTGGTGCAGAACTGAGTTCAATTCCTGAATATCCTTGTTAACTTTCTGTCTCGTTGATATATCTAATGTTGACAGTGGGGTGTTAAAGTCTCGCATTGTTACTGTGTGGGAGTCTAAGTCTCTCTGTAGGTCTCTAAGGACTTGCTTTATGAGTCTGGGTGCTCCTGTATTGGGTGCATATATATTTAGGATAGTTAGCTCTTCTTGTTGAATGATCCCTTTACCATTATGTAATGGCCTTCTTTGTCTCTTTTGATCTTTGTTGGTTTAAAGTCTGTTTTATCAGACACTAGGATTGCAACCCCTGCCGTTTTTTGTTTTCCATTTGCTTGGTAGATCTTCCTCCATCCGTTTATTTTGAGCCTATGTGTGTCTCTGCACGTGAGATGGGTTTCCTCAATACAGCACACTGATGGGTCTCGACTCTATCCAATTTGCCAGTCTGTGTCTTTTAATTGGCGCATTTAGCCCATTCACATTTAAGGTTAATATTGTTATGTGTGAATTTGATCCTGTCTTTATGATGTTAGGTGGTTATTTTGCTCATTAGTTAATGCATTTTCTTCCTACCATCTATAGTCTTTACAATTTGGCATGTTTTTGCAGTGGCTGGTACCGGTTGTTCCTTTCCATGTTTAGTGCTTCCTTCAGGAGCTCTTTTAGGGCAGGCCTGGTGGTGACAAAATCTCTCAGCATTTGTTTGTCTGTAAAGGATTTTATTTCTCCTTCACTCATGAAGCTTAGTTTGGCTGGATATGAAATTCTGGGTTGAAAATTCTTTTCTTTAAGAATGTTGAATATTGGCCCCCACTCTCTTCTGGCTTGTAGAGTTTCTGCCGAGAGACCAGCTGTTAGTCTGATGGGCTTCCCTTTGTGGGTAACCTCACCTTTCTCTCTGGGTGCTGTTAACGTTTTTTCCTCCATTTCAACCTTGGTGAATCTGACAATTATGTGTCTTGGAGTTGCTCTTCTCGAGGAGTGTCTTTGTGGCGTTCTCTGTATTTCCTGAATTTGAATGTTGGCCTGCCTTGCTAGATTGGGGAAGTTCTCCTGGATAATATCCTGCAGAGTGTTTTCCAGCTTGGTTCCATTCTCCTCGTCACTTTGAGGTACACCAGTCAGACATAGATTTGGTCTTTTCACATAGTCCCATATTTCTTGGAGGCTTTGTTCGTTTCTTTTTTTTCTTTTTTCTCTAAACTTCTCTTCTCACTTCATTTCATTCATTTGATCTTCTATCACTGATACCCTTTCTTCTAGTTGATCGAATCGGCTACTGAGGCTTGTGCATTTGTCACATAGTTCTCGTGCCTTGGTTTTCAGCTCCATGAGGTCCTTTAAGGACTTCTCTGCATTGGTTATTCTAGTTAGCCATTCGTCTAATCTTTTTTCAAGGTTTTTAACTTCTTTGCCATGGGTGCAAACTTCCTCCTTTAGCTCGGAGTAGTTTGATCATCTGAAGCCTTCTTCTCTCAACTCGTCAAAGTCATTCTCCGTCCAGCTTTGTTCCATTGCTGGTGAGGAGCTGTGTTCCTTTGGAGGAGGAGAGGCACTCTGATTTTTAGAGTTTCCAGTTTTTCTGCTCTGTTTTTTCTCCATCTTTGTGGTTTTATCTACCTTTGTGTCTTTGATGATAGTGACGTACAGATGGGGTTTTGGAGTGGATATCCTTTCTGTTAGTTTTCCTTCTAACAGTCAGGACCCTCAGCTGCAGGTCTGTTGGAGTTTGCCGGAGGTCCACTCCAGACCCTGTTTGCCTGGATATCAGCAGCAGACGCTGCAGAGTGGCTGATATTGGTGAACAGCAAATGTTGCTGCCTGATCGTTTCTCTGGAAGTTTTGTCTCAGCGGAGTACCCGGCCGTGTGAGGTGTCAGTCTGCCCCTACTGAAGGGTGCCTCCCAGTTAGGCTACTCAGGGGTCAGAGACCCACTTGAGGAGGCAGTCTGTCCATTCTCAGATCTCCATCTGAGTGCTGGGAGAACCACTACTCCCTTCAAGGCTGTCAGACAGGGACATTTCAGTCTGCAAAGGATTCTGCTGTCTTTTGTTTGGCTATGTCCTGCCCCCAGAGGTGGAGGCTACAGAGGCAGGCAGGCAGGCCTCCTTGAGCTGCGGTGGGCTCCACCCAGTTCGAGCTTCCCCGCCACTTTGTTTACCTACCCAAGCCTCAGCAATGGCGGGCGCCTCTCCCCAAGCCTCGCTGCCGCCTTGCAGCTTGATCTCAGACTGCTGTGCTAGCAATGAGCAGGGCTCTGTGGGCATAGGACCCTCCAAGCCATGTGCGGGATATAATCTCCTGGTGTGCCATATGCTATGACCATTGGAAAAGCGCAGTATTAGGGTGGGAGTGACCCAATTTTCCAGGTGCCATCTGTCACCCCTTTCTTTGACTAGGAAAGGGAATTCCCTGACCCCTTGCGCTTCCCGGGTGAGGCAGTGCCTCGCCCTGCTTCGGCTCATGCTCGGTCCGCTGCGCCCACTTTCCGATACTCCCCAGTGCGATACCTCAGTTGGAAATGCAGAAATCCCCGGTCTTCTGCGTTGGTCACGCTGGGAGCTGTAGACTGGAGCTGTTCCTATTCGGTACAGCAGCATTTCAACTGCACTGATCTGTGGTCATCTAGTGACAACACTAGCAGTGCCACCCGGGCTTCCCTACTAAGGATATTAGTGTTCACTCTCTCCGAACCGTTACCTTTTGTGAATTTTTTTCCGTCACTTCTCAACCATAAGTATACTTAGCCTATATCTTGGGCATAATTTCAGTGTATGTAATTCCATTATTTTTGAGTATTGCCCTCCTGGCACATTGAATGTATCTTCTGACTCATCATTTTCTGAATCTTAAACTATAAAATGGAAAATTATGCCTTCTGTAGATGTTTCTATACTTTCTCAAACCATTTCTGCATGTATAGTACCTCCTTTGTTTCTTGTAATGCTACAAGAGTTGAGAGCTCAGTTGCAGATGACAGAATCCAGGCGAGGCTTTCTAAGCAGAACATGTTTGGCTGCTTCCTACCCACCTGGAAGTAACACAGGGAGGAGGGCAGCTACTAGACAGTTCAGCACAAATGCTGCTATTTCAGCTGCATGTTTGTGTGTTCTGTGTCAACATAAACCCCCCTTACATTTCCAAACAACAGCAGCAACAATTTATTTACACCATCATACAGCTCTCCCGTATAGAAATAATGAGGGTCTCACTCTACCTAGAGGGCAGTCCCAAAATCTCGTTTGTTTCTGCAGTTGGTTCCACCAGTGCAGGTTCTCAGGGTGATCGTTCTTTCTTTCTCTAATTTAGGCAGTGTTCTGTCTTAGAATTCTGGGATCCTGTAACCTATAGAATGAATTGCAAGGCTAATATCACCAATAGACCCTATCTAAAACTGGGGAAATGGAGAAAGGAAATTAGTTAACATGCATAAATATATACTTGCCACACCGAGAGAGGAAGAAGTATGCATAATTATTAGACTTCTCATTTCTACAAGTGGTTACTACCCATTTTGTGGTCTACATGCCCTAAAGTATCCAAATGTATTACTTAGTGGGTTTACGGACATATGCAGTGTTACTGGCAGACAGTGAAGACAAAACCAAACCTGAGTAGGCATATCTTCTAGTGAGGATAAAATGGTATCCTGTCATGATAGAAGGGATTGAGTGTAATTAACCGGTTATTATGTAGCAGGCGGTCCCTCCAAATCGATTGTTGTTCCTAGCAAGTTGACACTCCACTGTGTTGGGAAATAGCTGAGCTCTGTGCAGGGAGGCTGCCCATGTTGTACTTCTACCACTGTGGTCACTTTGCTAATGAGCCCACTAAACAACCTCTGGGCTACTGTGGAGAGAGTGAGACAAGCATTCATAGGGTGATTTATCATGTCCACCTGGTTTTTGAGAGCCTTCTCTCCAGTAAGCATTCAGATGGACACCGTATCTGTCTTACTCCTGGTTCAAGAAATCCACCCATATGCCTCTTCCCAGCCACCTGCTGCCAGCTCCTCAGTCTTCTTCCTCCTTTGTCTGTGCTGGTCAATGTAAGTTCTGATTCTTTGTGAGTAGAGGCTTGTACTGCAAGCTGTCTTTCAGTTGGGTCAGATAGTCCATGATATGTGCCCATAAAGCGTCTTCCCAATGGTTTAGCTCAGTAGTTGCTGCTGCCCATGAATCAGTGTGATTGATACCTCATGCCATCTCTTCTGGGCAGACTGGACCCAAGACATGCCATGGGAAGCTCTGCTCCTCTGTCAGGGCCTTCTGTGAAGGAAGCTGCAAAGCTGTAACAGCCGATTTCAGCTGCTCATATCGTGTTGCTCCATCTGGATACGAGCTCCTCAGACAGCTGGTCATGCAGACTTTCCCATGAGCCCTGGTGGGGGGCTGAGGGAAGGATGGCAGGATGCAAGAGTAGGCACATCAGTAATATAAGCTTCTTGTTGACGGAACTTAATTTTGGATGCTATTCACACCTAAATATGCTATATATATATGACTTTTACTTGAGGACACAGTATCCTGGACATGTCCTTCTCTGTAGCCCCAATACCCAGTTCATGTGGGTCCCATGGCCATGTTTTCACAGTTAACTAACATGAAATGTCAGCTGTTCATTCTCCACTAGGAGCCAGTATTAAGCCAATCTGTGTGTATCAAAAGGAAAATAGTTACTTGCTATATAGAGTATTGTGTGACCCCAAAACCTTGGGACTTCCCACTCTTCTGTTTTGACTTCGAGTATCCCAGTTCATTGGCCACATGAGCAAGGGCAGAGTTGCTTGCCTTCCATCCTAGCCCATATGGAGGGCTTTTTCTTGGCCCACTCAATACTGGATTGAGTAATTATGGGTTACTCAGTAAATAGATCAAGGTAGTACTCAAAAGGCTACCCTGGGAGCAGACTGGAGGAATGTGTTCTCTGCCCTCCTGCAAATACTTGCCTTAACAAGCTATTCTCAGGTATTGTTACTTCTCACTAACAAATCCTATCAGCATGATGCCATCATGTCTTGTGGGCTGGTAGGATGATTGACGTTCCTATAGACTGAGTTATGGCACAGAACCAGAATTGACACAGTGCTCAGGCAAGATGGTGAAAGCAAGTAGCTTTCTGTTTTCCTGCTATTGGGATAGGAAAACACGTACATGCAAACACATACCACTTTTGTCATATCAGTAGCTGCACACCAGATAAGGGAATGCATTGACTTGATATACTGAGTTTGATTAACTGGAGTTTCTCCTTGATAAAGTTTGGTATAATCCACTGTCATTCTCAAAGACCTATGTGTCTTCTGCACAGGGCTGCACACACAAAAAGAGATGTGATAGGAGTCACCACCCTGAACCTTTCAAATCTTTGACAGTGGCATTAATTTTTGCAGTTCCTCTAAAAGATGCCGTGTTGCTTTCGGTTGCTATTGTGGCAGGGAAGAGAAGTTCAGAAGCTTTTCTTGAGCCCCTCGAATTCTAACAATGCTCACTGCATAGGTCAAGACACAACTGTGGAAATTCTCCCTGTGTGTAAGTGTAGATCCCATCTGTAAACCCAGGTTCTGGCAGGTAATAATACCACAGTCTCCATTTGTATCTGACCCCCACGCAGCTTCCACCCCACCATCAGGACACAGAGGTGTTGAGTCCTCCGGGAGAATGTCCAATAAGTGCTGAGAAGTCCGGTTGTTTCTTTTTCTCCTCAAAAGTAGCTGCACATCCTTTGGGAATGGGTAGAAGAAAGACTTGTTACATGATTATGTATTATGGAAGTGTCCTTCCATTTTATATATATATATGTATATAAAATGGAAGTGTTCTTTCTTAAAGGACCAGCCACTCCTTCAGTGAGAGGCTGTTGGACGAGAGAAGAGCGGCTATTGAGGCTGTCGTGCTGGATCCCTCTAGGCCTCTGTCACCTGCCTACAGATCAGATTAGAGTGTCTGAGGCTTTCCCACTACTCTGGCCCTACAGACCCTCTCATTAACTGTCCATTCCCAAATACCCAGCTAGCTTACACACACTTTGGCCCTTCGGCTTGTTATGTTAGCCAGATCCTCTTGCCTCTGGACACTTAGCTCTGCTACCTCAGCCATTCCTGTTCTTGTAGAAATCCGGAAGCCCTTGAGGCAGCATCTGCAATGCTGGCCGGAATTCCTGTCTGTAGCCTCTTGGGAGTGTAGTTACGAGGTGGGTAAGCAGGAGACATGGTAGATCCCCCTAAGTCTATATTTCTACATCTGTATTTTATCAAGACATTCCTGGCATCTAGCTATTCTAGTTTCTATTACAGGGGGCTGTTAAACTATGCAGAAGGTAGAAGTTTTAAGGTACTTGGTTTTAGGGCCCAGGAGAGTGCCACTTATAGACTGGCATTTTGGCAACTGTGATGAACTCCCAGTTTTATACCTTGGATATCTTTCTCTAGTAACATATTACAACATCTAACAGACAAAAAAGCAAGTCGCATAACTTTTCAGCCTACTTTCACATTTATTTTCTTACTTCCTCTTTAGATAACTGTATGGTATTCGTAAAACTAGATTCTTACAGATGAGGAAAGAAATTCAGAAAAGGTAATTAACTTTTCTGGGGCAGAACTAGGTCTACAACGTATATCTCTTGACTTCTTGTCCTCTTTTGTTACAACACAAATACCATGGTGGCACGTGGATGTGTGCATGCGTATAATATGATGCACTCACACATACGTGACACACACACCACACATCACATACCACTTATGCACATACCACACACATGCACACACACACACACGACACACACTTAACACACATCTGTACACCACACACACTCCCTATCCAGAAACTACAATTTGTGTCATGTCAAATGTTGATGCTCCTAAAAACAGCATGTATTATTAAGAAACTCAAATACAGCAATTTTTTTTGTTTGGATGAAGGTAAAATCTGCATTTCGATTTCAGCTATAATCATTACTTGCAATGTGGGGGTTTTTTTTCCTAAAAATTCTCACCTCAGAAGTTGCCCAAAACCCAACTCATGAAGGAATCTTCAGTCTCATTATTAATCAAAAAAAGTTAAATTAAAATATCTTGGCAAAATGTCTGTGTCAACTCTATGTGTAATTATGTGTGCACACACAAATGCTGACAGAGTTACAGTGCGGAGGCTGAAATGTGTAATTGTCTTACTGAGTACAGTTCTTTTGGAAATTAGCATAGCAATATGTAGCAAATGTCAAAAGAAATTGCATACTTAATCTAGATGTCCATGCCTGCAAGTTTATTCCAAGGAAATTGTTTAGCATAAAAAAATTATGTGCATAAAGCATTTTTTTTTGCAATAGAACTCTTCTCTCCCTCCCAAAAATTATTTTACAGTTTTAGAGTTTCATAAAGTATGAAAGATCATAATATATTAAATAGAATGGGGAAATATTCAGTAGAGTATTTGCAAAAAAAAAACAAAATGTTGTGTATAATGTAGTTGCACAAACAGTTAACAAATATACTTGTTGAATTGTTGATAGAGTCTAGGAAGTTACAAGTGAAAAATTGTATAAGAATTATGTGTATGTTTGGAATTTTTTGCAATAATTACAATCTTCAGTTTCTATGTCTATATAATATTTCTTTTTAGTGAAAATACATCCACTACTTGTTTTTGGTTATTTTTATTTTTTTCATTAAAGTCCATTGATCATCACAAAAACCCAGGAAATACAACTAAGGAGAAAACAAATGTTCAACCAACACCTAAGAACCTAGAGCTGTGGAGGAGATGTCACACTGGACTACTGGTGTGTACAAGGGGGCAGGAGGGATGATCCCCATGGGGCATGGCCACTGGCTGTGAGAAACACAGGAGAGAGGCCAGGCAGCTGCCTGGGCAGTTAGGTTCACCACTGCATGATGGCAGCATTGAGCAGGTTGGCTTCCTTCAGGGTCCAGCTCTCGTCAGCCAGCTCTTTGTTTGGGAAAGTAGTCATGAGGATAAAGCTGGTGGCAGCCATGGCTGGCCGGGCATCCACAATGAAGAGTTGGATGTTGCTGATCCTGTGGCTGTGGTTAAATTTCTGCACCAGCCTCCCACCGTCTGCAAGCCGAATTTGGATGTTTGTGGTAGTCTCTGATTCGACGATTAAGATGGAAGAGCTGGCTTTGGCTTCATTTTCTGCCAGTTGGACTGGAGAGATGGTACTCAACACCTAGGGGGCAGTGCTGCTCGGTGTCTGACCCTCGCCAGTGAAGGCTTTGAAGGCTTATTTGGACTTCATAAAGTCCTCGTCCTGATGTTCCTCCATATCCAAGTTCGCCTGTCCACTGTGAGCTAGCCTCCACAGCTCTGCTGGCACCTCCCTTCTGTGGATAGACTCCAGAAACTGGGCATCGGATGGGTCTCAGTAGCTTCTGAGTCCTCCATTATCCAGGCTGAATCCACTCTTGCAGAGTTTCAGTACTACATGAACATCTTGGTTGGAATGATGTCTCTTTTCTCCTGCCACATAAGCAGACTCTTCCTCTGGTGCTGCCCCAAGGCCATAGCCATCTCCGGCAAATGGTCTTGGTGTACTGGTCTCTCCAGGTCTGTTGGTCACTCGCTCCACAGCTACAGCTCCATGCTCTTTGGCACCTTTAAAGAGATCATCCACCAGCTCATTGGAACTTTTCTTTCTGGGAGGGCCAACAATCTGCTGTCCACTTCTCTCTGAGGCCCCGGCATAAAACCTCTGGCCTTCCTCCTCTTCCTCATCCTCATCTTGGTCATGAGTGAGATCTCTAAAGGATGTCACTCTATTATCACTAGGGGCTGTGCCTCTGGACACTGAACTGGGGGTTGCCTGTGAAATGGTTATGATGTCTTCTTCCCCTCTGTCCTCATAAAAGCTCGCTAGCGCAATCTGCAAGTCCCAGGTAGCCGACTCGAGGAAGAAGCAGGCCCGGTCCTGCTCAGTGCCCATCACCACCACGAACTCTCTCAGCGTCTTCTGTTGCTCCGCTGCCGTCTTCATCCCATGCGCCTCCCCACATCCACTACTTTCTTATCATTTCTAAAGCATCCTTGAGTGGGACTTTTGTCTTTCTCCTGAGAGGGAGCTTAGCGACTGGGTTGTTGAGGATGGTTTAATAGAGGGGGATGTGCTAGCTGAAACCCAAACTCTTGTGTTGTTCGTCTCACCCTGTCTACACACTGTTGCCTATGGTGATTGGTCCACTGAGGATTGTTGTTAATCAGTTTTTACTTGTTTTTCTCCTCCCCCAAGTCCAAAAGTGTTTTGAAGATAAACAGTAAATATGGCTTATAAAGCCAGCTCTGTTCCCCCTCTCTCTGTTTTGGGAGGAAGACATTGTGCATTTTTAGAGCATAACATGAAGGAGGTTTTAGTATAATATGATTTAGTGCAGGCCTCAGCTGCTATCTCTCCCAGTGGTTTTGCTGGAGGCTGGAGCTTCCCGACAGCCCTGACCACGGAGAGGTGGAATGTGGCGCTGACGTCACGGCTGCTCCTGGGAATGTTTTGCATTCCTCTTCCTGGCAGTGGTCAGGTGGCTTCCAGCAAGAATGAAGGACAGCAGCTTCCAAAGAAGAAAAAAAGAGAGGAGGAAAAGGACAGTTTATAATCAAAGTATTGCGGGGGAGGCACTTTTATTCTGAGCCAAAATTGAAATTAGAAACAGATGTCTTGCATTCCGATGCGGCACGAATGTTAAATAAATTTATTAATGACTGTAATAACTAAGCTATTTGGCTTTTTACTGAACTTAAGTCTTGAAACTCTGTAAGAATTATGGAAAAACGACTTCTTGTAGTTGACATTTTAACTATGAAAGCAGCTTTCTGACTGTAAAAGCAAGGACCCTGATGAAATAACCCTCTAGTTAATCTACAGGCTGTTTTAAGGTCTGTTAATATTCTGAAAGGTCACTTCTGAAACATAAAATCTCTGTAATCTATTAACATAATTTGTGCTGTTCAAACAAATTTAAGCCAATCATTGAGAGAGGTAAACTCTATTTTAGCATCTGCTGCAGAATGTCTTTTCTCAAAATATTTACACTTCCAATGTTATTTCTGTACATTACTGCTCAAACCAGATATTCAAAACAAAACAGATTCTTAACAAACAGGTTTTGCCCAAGTCTTACAACTCTGCAATAATATGTGTAATAGAAAAATAGACAGTAATTGAAAAGTTTGTGTTTTTCTTGTCTTCCAGCCACTAAAGTACCTCTGTTCAAAATCACTATACGGGTTTAGCTAATTACAATCTATACGTCTGTATTTTAAAATAAAATGTTATACTTTTTAAAAAAACAACTTGATGTCTTTCAGTAGATTTGGACTCATTTTGATATAACAGCAGTTACATTAACAACAGTTCTCCAGTTTAGGTGAAATCTGTTTGAATACTTCCTGTTATACATTGAAATGGAAAGTTGGCTTCCTCTTGTAGGTCATGTTGCTGGTGAGGAATTTCCAGAAATCTGGAGAAGTGCTGACTCATAGTATACAGTGGACTGATCCAGCAACAGTAGGACTTGAGGGGGTTTTTTGAGCTATTGGCTGAGGCAAGCAAAATATGTGGCTGTAATGTTTCATTTTATTTTTAGATATAAGGGTGAGGGAGGAGGAGAGACTATTGCTTGGCATGGGATCTATGTTAATAGCTTTAAAATGGCTACAAGTTCTAGGGTTAGAGGTGTGTCTAAATGTGTGTTTTCCTACAGTCTATTATTAGAATTTGGAAAACAGGTTGTTTTTGCTATAGTCACCCTACTGTTGTTCTCTCTGCCTCTTGCCCACAGGTGAACCATGTGCCTTCTTGGGCTGTGGTTGGTGACTCACCATGGGTTCTATAATGTGAAAGTCACATAGTACTTGCATTCAGGAGAGTGCTGCAGAAAAAGGTCCATGGCATTGCACCTTTTGTATCTGATCAAAAGTCCGTGAATCTAATAATAACAATTTAAGTATTAGCTGACAGGAGTACAGAGAAAAACTAGCATTTGTTGCCTTTAATATGCCTGCTTGTGTCCTGTATATTTTACATTCGTTAAATTGTCTGACTCTGAAGTTACTGATTGAGGTTTTTTTCATTCATTTGGTATAGAAATGACTGCTAGATTGGGTTTGGTACAGGGATTTCTAAAACAAAAACTCATCACCTAAACTCATCCCTGGTCTCATAAAGTTAATATATCCCAAATGCACTTGTCTATCAATTCTACAAACATGCACTCACTGCTCTGTGTTGGTGCTGATGACATGGAGAAAAGGAAAATGTGCTCCTTGTTACCTGTTTGAGGGGAGGGAGGCGCTGGGAGCCCACTGCAGGGGATGTGTCTACAGAAATATGTATAGTGTTACTTTTCAGTTACTATGGTAGAAATCTAAAGAAACAGTGAGGCATAAAAGAGGGGTATGCTCAAATCTGTGCTAAAGTCTGTGGAAGTGGTTTTTTGGATGTGATTCTGAGGCTGTCAGAGTTACTGATTGAAAGTAATTTGAATAGGCAATGTTAGGAGAGACATAAAAAATAGAAATCAGAATATGATGAGGGAGATAAGGGAAATATAAGTATTTAGGTGACTGATATTAAGATATCTGAAAAGGAAAAACAAATAAACAATATACTACAAGTTATATTTGTATGTGCTTTGAGGCCAACACCCAAAACAGCACACATGGTTTCACAAGCACCTCTGACTGCTTTCAAAGGCTGTAAAAGGCTATGCTTTTCAAAGACATTCATTCTACCCTTATGTTTCTGAGGTTTATATTTTTCATCATTTCTGAGGAATTTGAATGGCTATTTGTTAATCATAAGGATTCACAAAATCATAGAAATTATTTTAAACACGATTTCCTGTTTTCTTTAAAGTTCAGCAAAAGGAAGAGCATATGTCCTCCTTTTGAACAGAGGTCCCAGGGCAGGGTAGGGGATGGAAATGGGAGGCTGGGCCACACTGTGCTGTGGAGGCTTAACCTCCACATCTGACCCCCACTAGCCTTCAACTGATTCTAGTGTGCTTTCTGACAATAGCCCATTACTTAAATTTTCTATCTGCCAGTTTCTTCTGCTAAAAGATCTTCTGCTAAAGAAACCAGTGACCTATTTTGGTGCTTATGAGGAATTACTTACAGAATTAAGCTCATAGTTCAAAATATGAGGGATTGTTCTCTGCTTTTTTAAGTGTGTGTTCTCCAAACACTTAGCAAAGAAGAACCTTGTCAACATCTGCCTGATAATTCTGTCTTGAGAATCAACTGAATACTGTTATGTGGTTGTCCTGAGCTTTGATGTCCTCTGGTATAGAAAAGACTGAAAGTGATGAAGGTGGGGTATAATTAAGGCCTGCCACTGTCCCCAAGGATCCTTGGGAAGTGTCCCAATCCCCTTGGGAGGCTAATCTACAAATCTTAGGACCAGAATAGTGACATATATGGCTCTATAATAGCACTTACAGGACTTTATTGTATTTTGTCTCTCATTCCCAGTACTGTATGAAATTCTAGGTCTAAATTGTCTGACCTGTTTTTCTATGCAGATCTCATAAGCGTATAGATATTTAATCCATTTGTTGACTGAATAAATGAAATTGCTCTTCCTTGAGGCAGAAATACATTTCCTCTGTAAGCTTTTGTGTGTATACACATACAGTCCATGAAATGCCTTTTTTTCCTTTTTGAGACGGAGTCTCGCTCTGTCACCCAGGCTGGAGTGCAGTGGTGTGATCTTGGCTCACTGCAACCTCCACTCCCGGGTTCAAGCGATTCTCCTGCCTCAGCCTCCTGAGTAGCTGGGACTACAGGCGCTCACCACCACACCAGCCTAATTTTTTGTATTTTTAGTAGATACAGGGTTTCACCGTATTAGCCAGGATGGTCTCGATCTCCTGACCTCGTGATCCGCCCGCCTCGGCCTCCCGAAGTGCTGGGATTACAGGCGTGAGCCACTGCGCCCGGCCAGTGTCTGCTTTTTAAGACACAAAGTCTGCCTTCGTTGCCCAGGCTGGTCTTGAATGTCTGGGCTCAAGTAGTTAGTTCTTTGGCTCGGCCTCCCAAAGTGCTGGGATTGCAGGCATGAACCATCATACCCAGCCTCATGAAATGCTTTTAAAAAAAATTGTGGTAAAATATGCATAACATAAAAATTACCATTTTAACCATTTTTAGATGTATTTTCAGTGGTATTAACTACAATCATAATGTGGTGCAACCAACACCGCTCTTCATTTCCAGAACTTTTTCATCATCCCCGGCATGAACTCTGGTGCCTACTAAACACTAACTCCTTCTCCCCACAAGTCCCTAGCAACCTCTATTCTACTTTCTGCCTGTTTGAAGTTACCTATTCTAGGTAACTCTTAAGTGGAATCATACAATATTTGTTATTTTGTGTCTGGCTTATTTTACTTAGCATAATGTTTTCAAAGTTCATCCACGTTATGTGTCAGAATTTCCTTCCTTTTTTAAGGCTGAATAATATTCTATTGTATGTATATGCCACATTTTTTTTATCCATTCATCTGTTCATCCTGTGAAATATTAGGTTTGTTTTCACTTCTTGACTACTGTGTGAATAATGCTTCTGTGAACATAAGTATACAAGTATCTGCTTAGTTTCTGCTCTCAATTTTTTTTCGGCTATAGATCTAGGAGTGGAATTGCTGGATTTTATGGTTTGACTTCTTAAGGAACTACCATATTGTTTTCCACAGAGGTTGCATCATTTTATATTCCTACCAGCAATGCATGGGAGTTTCAGTTTCTCCACATTCTCACCAACACTTGTTATTTTCTTTTTTTGATAATTGCCATTCTAATGGGTGTGAAGTGGTATTTAATTGTGGTTTTGATTTGCATTTCCCTAATGACTTGTCGCCCAGGCTGGAGTACAGTGGCACGATCTCGGCTCACTGCAACCTCTGCCTCCCAGGTTCAAGCAATTCTCCTGCCTCAGCCTCCCAAGTAGCTGGGATTACAGGAACCTGCCACCACGCCCAGCTAATTTTTTGCATTTTTAATAGTGACAGATTTTCCCCAAGTTGGCCAGGCTAGTCTTGAACTTCTGACCTCAAGTGATCAACCCGTCTCGACCTCCCAAAGTTCTAGGATGACAGGTGTGAGCCACCGTGCCTGGCAGATACACCTTTAAATTCTGAAATACCCCCACTTAAAAAAATAATTATTACTATTACTTGCAAAATAAAAGTCTGCTACTAAGATACAGAGAGTTCCTCATCAATCCTTTATACTCTAATACCAACCCTCCCCATGCCCACAGACACTGGGTGCTTGATATGAGGTGCATATCCATGGCCACAGATGTCCCTGAGGCTGCTGATCCCTGAGGGCTCAGAAAAGAGTGGGCTTCTCCCTCATTAGCTAGTCTGTCTACACAATATTCTGTTGATATATTTGTGTCAAATTCATTAGGTATCCAAAATGATTATGTTCATCTATCCTGATTGTAGTTTTCTCAGAAAAAAACATACTTTTAACCTAAAGCTATCAATAGTATGTAGGCACTAAATAATTTGAAAAGAAATTTGTGAAATTATTCACAGTGAGAACATCTTGTAATCATGAAATCAATGAAAAATTTGCTAATTTTCGTGGTTTCATTATTCGTATTTAACTCTTTAATCCATCTGAAATTTATTTTGATGTATCATTTGAGGGTAGAGATTAATTTTAATTACTTTTCAAACAATTTTATCAGCACTACTTTCTGAATAATTTTCCCTCACTGATTTTAAATGCTTCTCCTATTGTATATTATATTCCTATACATCATAAGAGTTCTTGCCTCTGTATTCTATTTCATTGTGTTATAGCTTTTCTTTTTCATTCTAATCTCTTTCGTTAAGCTAATATACATTCTGTAGTTGGAGTTTTTACTTTAAATTCTAAGGTTGTTAATACTTTTAAAAAATATTTAAAGTAATTGTAGGCTATTCAGTGAGTATTCACAGATATTCTCCATGTGAAAGAGTGCATTGGTGGCAATTCATAGATACATTGGTCTGGCACAGCAGCCAGGCACTTTGTTAGTTCCACTTTCACCTCATGCTAGACATGCAGGCATCCTAAAAGTTCAGGTGTATTCTTGTGATGTGCTTATTATTATATTCAGGAACTTATTAATAGAAATTAAATTATAGAACCTGCTGCTCCATTTAATTGGCTACAACATTCTTGGAATGGTAAGTATTTTGCCTTGGGCTTCACCTAATTATCTCTGTTAGAAGTGTACAAATGTTTACAGCATTTCCTTTTTGAATATTTGGAACAAATATTTTTATTTGATTTATGATGCTTTTCTCTTTATTTGACCAAGAAATGTTATGGTGGTCCCATTATGTGTCTAGACGCTGTGCTGAAGGCATTGGGAAGCAGGAGCACACTCACACCAGAGCCTCACATCTAGTGACAGCCACTCGCTAGAACTGGGGTGATAGGGCATGTTGTTATATCACTGAAGTCTTCTGCTACTTTTTTTTTTTTTTTTGAGACGGAGTCTTGCTCTGTCGCCCAGGCTGGAATGC
Organism: Homo sapiens; assembly: GCF_000001405.40. NCBI lineage: Eukaryota > Metazoa > Chordata > Mammalia > Primates > Hominidae > Homo > Homo sapiens. Next base: position 47,518,692 of record NC_000008.11, read on the forward strand.
AGTGGCGCAATCTCGGCTCACTGCAAGCTCTGCCTCCCGAGTTCACGCCATTCTCCTGCCTCAGCCTCCCAAGTAGCTGGAACTACAGGCGCCTGCCACCACGCCTGGCTAGTTTTTGTATTTTTAGTAAAGACAGGGTTTCACTGTGTTAGCCAGGATGGTCTCGGTCTACTGACCTTGTGATCCGCCCGCCTTGGCCTCCCAAAGTGCTGGGATTACAGGCGTGATCCACCGTGCCTGGCCTCAAGTCTTATGCTACTTTTAAAGTCTTACGTTAGCAAAATGAAGAAATGTGAATAATTGGTGAAACCTTTGAAAGCCAAGCTCTAAGATTCCTGTAAAGAACTATAGGTTGGAAATAATTTAATAATGCCAAGTACATATGATCAAGAAAATGATAGAGTGGACAGTTCTCTGACCTGGCTATGTGTTTTGTTGTTGTTGTTGTTGTTGTTGTTGTTGTTGTTTTGGAGACAGAGTTTCGCTCTTGTTGCCCAGGCTGGAATGCAGTGGCGCGATCTCAGCTCACTGTAACCTCTGCCTCCTGGGTTCAAGCAATTCTCCTGCATCAGCCTCCTGAGTAGCTGGGATTACAGGCGCATGCCACCATGCCCAACTAATTTTTGTCTTTTTAGTAGAGGCGGGGTTTCATCATGTTAGCCAGGTTGGTCTCAAACTCCTGACCTCAGGTGACACACCTACCTCAGTCTCCCAAAATGCAGGGATTACAGAAGTGAGTCACTGTGCCTGGCCACCATGTGTTCTTTTAAGCCCCATAACAAAGTTTTTTAAAAGATGGCTTTGGTCAAGCGCAGTGGCTCACGCCTGTAATCCGAACACTTTTGGGAATCCAAAGTAAGGAGGGAAGATCACTTGAGACTGGGAGTTCAGAACTAGTCTGGGCAATATGGCGAGACCCTGTCTGTAGTAAAAAAAAATTTAAATTAGCCAGGCATGGTGGCACAGGCCTGCAGTCCCGACTACTTGGGAAGCTGAGGTGGCAGGATTGTTTTAGTCCAGGAGGTCAAGGCTGCACTGAGCTGTGATGGCACCACTGCACTCTAGCCTAAGTAACAGAGCAAGACCCTGCCTCAACAAACAAAAAAGATACTTTGATTATATGTTATAACAAGTTTCCAAAAAAAATAAAAAGATTAATTTATAAATACATATGCTTGATTGGAGACATGATCTTTAAAAATTTTTAAACAAGGTATATGATCAAAGACAACCGAATTAGTCAATGAGCATAGAGTGTGACAGATTTTAAAATTCTACCTCTCGTCATTATATTAAGCCCTTATACCAATTGGTATAGCACAAATTCATCCTGAATCCTGTGGGAGGAAAGGGGTTAGCTACCAATAATCTTATAGCCTGAACTTGACTATAGATAATATAGTTGTATTTGAATATGGAGTATCTGTTATTTGATTCCCACTTAGTTATCTTTAGTTTTCCTGAAAACTTATAAACAGGAATTTTAGGGACACGCCTCTTGTAACACAGAGAGGCAAATATTTTATAAGCTCTGTATACATTCCTGCATTGATCAGCTGGCTCATTAAATGATCCCCCAGCTTGTTAATGATCAGTTGAACGTGTGTAAGCCCCATAGATGAGAGGGACCTGTTCCATTCATCTTTTTTCTTCCTTTTGAAACTGGTATATGTTGAGTGTCTGATATGAATTGAACAAAAGTTGAATTGTTTAATTTTATGCTTGTATCAAGCAAGCTCCCAGAAGTCTGGCTAAAGAGTAGTTTGTTCATTTAAAAATCTAGCCTTGAGAATCTTTGTACCATGAATATTTTTCTCTCTCAGCCCCAGAGCCAATTCCCACCCCTTTCAGTCTAATCTTTGGCAGCACAAGACCGTGTGCTGGAAGTGGCATGAAAATTCTTAACTTATTCCTTTCAAAAAAGAAGCTAACTGTATTTAATGCTTTGTGTAGGCTATTTCTTTTCATCCTTAACACAAATGGAAGGGAGGTATTACTGTAAATTTGCAGATGGGGAAACTGAAGTCATCAAGGTTAAATAACTTGCTGAATTCCCACCACCAGTGGATCACAAAGCTGTGTGACACTGGACATGACTTCCCAAAAGAACCCCATCTTGCCATCCTATGATCTGTAGATGAAAGTAGGGTTTGCTGATGGCCCTGAGAAAATCTTAACAAACTGGATGAGGCTCAAAGACTTTTCCAGGGATATGGCTCCAGAACTGTGACCTTCCCTTTATGGGTCCAGCATGACATCGTCCTGCTGCTCCATATGGCATCAATGTAAGTATAGACATGGCCTTGCTCTGAAGAATAGTAAAAAGACTTCACTTCTTTAGAGGAAAATGCATGTGTACCATTTTGAGAATGAATGTTGGATCCAAGACGTCTGTCAATAGAGAGGCTCCGAAGAATGGGGTGATACGTCACAAAGATTGGATGGGATCCATGTATGCCTCTGAACCCTTCCTTGTTTCTAGGGAGCTGTTCCAAGGCAAAGTTGAGGTCAACCTCATTCAGTTTTACCAGAGATTTAATTGGACATGCTTTGGCTAATCAACTAGTAATAACTGTGTTTCACATTTCTTCCTTTCCTTACTGCTTTCTCCTTAAGAGCAAATAATTAATACCAGAAATTTCTGTCTTGGGTATTATGGGACGTGTGTGGCTATAAATGAAGAAATTACAGAACCTACATGGAAGATACCAGAAACAATACCCAGTCGTTTTGTTGTGATTTTTTTTTCTTTTTTTTTTTTTTGAGACCGAGTCTCACTCTGTCAGCACAATCTCGGCTCACTGTAACCTCCGCCTCCTGGGTCCCCATTCAAGCAATTCTCCTGCCTTAGCCTCCGGAGTAGCTGGGATTACAGGCACGCACCACCATGCCCAGCTAATTTTTGTGTTTTTAGTAGAGATGGGGTTTCACCATGTTGGCCAGGCTGGTCTTGAACTCCTGACCTCGTGATCCGCCCACCTCAGCCTCCCAAAGTGCTGGGATTACAGGCGTGAGCCACCGCGCCTGGCCACTCTTTATTTTTTTATTTTCCTCTACTCAAGACAGCTTAGAAGAGAGATCCATTTTGCATTTGGAATTCTTCCAGTTAGTTTTGAAATCTAATCAACAAGATTGGGGAGTGTTTTGTGTTAATGAAATATGTTCCTAGTTCTTAGAAATATATGAATGAGGCCAGGCACGATGGCTTATGCCTATAATCCCAGCACTTGGGGAGGCGGAGGCGGGTGGATCACTTGAGGTCAGGAGTTCGAGACCAGCCTGGCCAACATGGTGAAACCCCGTGTCTACTAAAAATACAAAAATTAGCCATGCATGGTGGCAGGTGCCTGTAATCCCAGCTACTGGGAAGGCTGAGGCAGGAGAATCGCTTGAACCTGAGAGACAGAGATTGCAGTGAGCCGAGATCGTGCCACTGTACTCCAGCCTGGCAGCTTGGGCGACAAGAGCGAGAGTCTGTCTCAAAAAAAAAAAAAAAAGAAAAGAAAAAAAGAAACATGAATGAGCAGGAGAAAAAGAACTGTGATACTGAAGGGGTCAGCCTCTCCTCCTGTGCGCCACTCTTCCCAATGGAGCATGTGCTTTGACTCTGGGGTTTCTGCAGCATCCACAATAAATATGTAACTGTATTTTGTATTTACCCACATGTGTTTTCCCTCCCATGGTGTCTTTCCCTAAATCTGTGAAGAAAATAACTGTTTTAAAATTCATTTATTTTCTCCATTTGGTTGTCAGCAGCAGGAAAGGCTGCTGAAGGATCCGAGCCAGTGTGGAAATGGGAAGGGCCTGTGAGCTCAGAGGGAAAGAGGAAGTCTCTATGTCCCGGTTACCAGCATGACCCCAGGTCAAATGACTCCCTCACCCTCTCCTCCTGCCAAGGTTGGTTAGGGTTCAAATGTGTTCCTACCCAAAATCACACAATGTCACTGTGTGGGATGCACAATATTCCATTGCTTTGCTCTGTTAAAAAAGACAGTTAAAAGTAAGAAGTATTTGTTGCAATTTTTAAAAACATGGTTTTTAAAGCTATCTTATTAGTTTTTAATGCTAAAAGCATTTTATTTACTGAAGATTCTTGGTTTTGGATAGGTTTTATTTTTTCATTAGGTGGTAGTACTCTGTTTCTGAGAAAGCTCTTTATTATGCATTATTTGTGAAATCTCTAGTAACCTGATGATGTTTCTGTCACATTGTTTTGAAAGGAATAGTTTAAAGATTTAAAGTGATCTTTTTTTGTTGTATGTGTGTGTGTGGTTTGCTTTCTTTCTTTCTATTTTTTATTTATTTATTTTATTTTATTTTATTTTTTGAGCGAGGGTCTCACCCTGTCCCCCAGGCTGGAGTACAGTGTCACAATCTCAGCTCACTGCAGCCTCGACCTCCCAGGCTCAGGCAATCCTCCCACCTCGAATTGTTGGGACTACAGGCATAGCGAGCCACCATGCATGGCTTTTCTTTTTTAATGCAAGTATTTCTTTTGGAATTTGAACTTTAATACTACTTTGGTGTGTTTTCACCTAAATTCCATTTTGTGAGCTTCTTAGTATTTGATTGAAAACCTATTTCGTTTTACTTGACCCTAACTAGATCAACAAGATAAGGATATTACCCAAAGGTCATTTCTAGTAGGATTGTGGCCACAAACGTCAATTCTGTAGCCAAGTATGGACTAATGTGGACTGAGAACTTGGCTTAGAGGAAAGACGCATTTCCACCTGTTCAGGGAGGTTTGAAGATTATCCATGTTTTGAGGGAAAAGGCCAGCTGAATGTGGAGAGTGCAAAGGTGTAACTGTCACTTGAGCTTTTCAGAAGTCCTTCGATGTAGCTGCCAACTTAAACCACCTCAAGTCCAGCCAGTACAGCAGCTCTGCTTTATCTTCAGTGTGAGTCTGTCTCCCTGCCGGCTGGTGATGGGGGTCAGGCTGGATCATGGATGCGACCACCCTGCACCCAGGCCTGCCTCTCTTTTCCCTGTTACATAGTGCTGGGCAGCCTCTGGGGGCCTCACAGATTTTTGTTTTTTAGTGGTAATAACAGCATGATCAGGCCGCAGCCTTCTCAATAAGAAGTGCTAACTTCCTCAGGAAAACAGAAGTGTGGTATGCACCATTACATAACCCAGTTTCTCTGGTGATACAATTTTACTTTTTGAGAGCTGTTTTGAAGTCTTCCCACAGAACTGCAGGCCTCTCTGTTTTCCCGTATGAGGTGAGGAGATGGCAGTTTTGTCCACACACCTATGAAAAAACACAATGACAGATTAAGTGTCCTGAAGTGTCGGAAGGATACCTGGTGTGGTAGCTTCTAAAATACCACCAAAAGTTATTTTAGAGATGAATTAATTAGAATTGACATCTGAGTTAGGTTACCAAATGAAATAAAGGGTGCCAGGTAAATGTAAACTTTAGATAAACTATCAGGCACATGTATGCTAAAAAAATTATTCATTGTTTATCTGAAATTTACATTTACCTGGGCATCCTGTATTTTATTAGGTAAATCAGGCGACTCTCCACCTGAAACTAGATTATGCAAACTAAGAATTAACATAAAAAGTACTGTCATTGTGTGGATGAGAAATCTCCTCCTCCTCTTCTCCTAAACCAGTTTAGGAAGCCTGTGCTTCGTCATTTCTCATATACTCTCCTCCCATGTACATCCAGATTAAAATGTGTGTATTTGGCATGTGGCTCACTGTTTCACATGCCTAACTGCAGCCCCTCTGGGATCCTATAGTCGCAGCACTATTTTGGTAGGTCAGCCATGGGCAGCAGGTCCTGTACTCTCCTGACCACCCCCGAGGAACTGCAGGCTCTCAGCATTTGCGTGTGTCCCTCCTCAGAGCCGTGGGACAACCCCAGCCAGCTAGAGGCAGAGAGACAGGCACGTAAACCTCCTGGCACGTCTTGCGGGTGCCTGGGCCAAAGTATGCGACTGTCCTGATTCTCTGAAGGTCTCAAAGCATTTTCATATTAAGTTATTCAAGTGACCCAGAGAACAAGAAAGGAGTTGCTACTGCATGATGTCAGAGAACACTCAGAGGTTGGAAGGGAATTGGGAGAACTAAGTAATTATTAATAAATTCTAAAAGTTTAATACTCAGTATTCAAAGGAGAAAGAGTGGAGCTAACACTTTGTACCAAGGGTGCTGGTCTTGGGAATTAAGATATCTCCTGCAAGAGATTTCTGATACAATTTAGTAAAATGTAGTTTTTAGGGGAGATCTTTTACAGAAGGAAGCTTTTATTTCCAAAGGACTTCATGAAAGGTGTAAAGGCCACACTATGAATTAGGGATGACACACCCTGTTTTGAATTGGATTTCCTGCTAGTTCTGATCCGAGGCATTCTTCCCGGACTAGGGTGAATTCAGTTCCAGTGTTTGCTTGAAAACTGAATCTGGTCATTGTATTTGCAGTTTGGCTTCCTGCCTGCTGTTAAAGTACAGAGCAAACTTCAGCTAGTTACTCCCTATGATTCTGTGTCCTCCTAAAGAGCAGGGAAAGAAGAGGGAAAAACCCAGGGGGTGACTGAGTTCATTTACATGTTGTGCCAAAGGGCAGCTGCTTGCTGCCTTGTCGTCACAAGATTCTGTGGAGAATCCTGATAGTCCATTTACCAGAATAGGAGCCTGGAAAACAAAAGGAAAAAAAGTATCTTTCTTTCTATGGTTCTAGCTTTGGCATTACTAACTGAATAACCTACTTTCTTTTTCTTTAACCAACATAGGTGAAAACTTAGAAAATTTTATGTTCTCCCTCTTTCCAAAGTTTTCTGTATGAAGAAAGAACTTATAAAAAGAGGTCACAGCTGGGCGCGGTGGCTCACGCCTGTAATCCCAGCATTTTGGGAGGCCAGGGTGGGCGGATCACCTGAGGTCAGGAGTTCGAGACCAGCCTGGCCAACATGGTGAAACCCCATCTCTACCAAAAATACAAAAATTAGCCAGACGTGGTGGCATACGCCTTTAGTCTCAACTACTCAGGCAGCTCAGGCAGGAGAATCGCTTGAGCCCAGAAGCCACTGCACTCCACCCTGGGTAGACAGAGTGAGACCCTGCCTCAAAAAAAAAAAAAAAAAAATCACAAGGCACGGTGGTAGCACTGCTGGCTAGTTGGACCTGGCTGTGCCTACTGAGTTGTCCTGAGAGAACACCAGGTTGTGTACATGCTGTCTGGATTTGTGGGAAGTGTGGGGGGCTTACCCCTTTTCCCTGCAGTTGTAGAAAATGTGATGCAATCTGCTCAGTGTAGTTCCAGCCACCCCTTAAGATACCTGGCAAAACTTAGCATAGTGTGGATCAGAAGGAATCCAGAAGCATATAGTGGCACCAGCCTATGTGTCCTTACGAATCTTGTATTCCCCTGAGTTAAACTTAGAGCCTCTGAATTTGCGGAAGGGACAGAAAGGAAAGATGTTCTGTTGTGGGGCTGTTCCCAGGCTCAGCTTCCTCACACTGAGGCAGTGCATCCAGTACTGAAATAAGGAACATTGCAATGATGCCTGGGGTCAGCAAGTGGCCTTGCTGACATCACAACATGTGCATTTCTCACTGTTCTTGGTTATTTAATTCTGGTCTGGTCCATTGGATTAGAGCCAGATTAAACATCAATAAATTTTGAGTTTACTATTAACAAAGAGCAGAGTCCTGCTACCTTACTGTTACTTTGCTAGGTGCTAAGAGAGAAATCAGAAAATTTAAGGCATGGATTTTGGTCACAGGGAGCAAAATCTAGTCTTCATTGGCTAAGAAGCCTTAAAAACCATGTAACTGTCACATAGTGGCAGACCACGAGCAAAAAGAAAAAAAATGAACCCTGCTTCTTCTTGGCTGTTTTATGGAGATGGTGCATTCAGCTGCCTGGTGTTTAGAGGAACCAAATGTACAGAAATGAAACCGTTCAGGAGATTCCCAGAGCTAACTGCAGGGTGCTGCAGGGATGTGGCAACTGAACATCCAGGAACTGTAACAAGACAGTGTTTAAATAGGTCAAAATGAAGCAGTCCAAAGCAGGAGTTCTGACTTCTGGTTTCTAGTCTGGCATATAAGGCAGGTGGAAGTTGTCATTCCTGTCTTCACAATAAGAAAAAGTTGAACAAACTAAAAATCAATGGTTTTTAGCTTCATCAGAGAATTGTCACAGAACAAACAGCTGCCCCCCAAATTGGAGCAAATGACAGGCAAATAAACAGAGAATCACAGCTTCCCAGAGCAAAAGACCTGAAGGGGACGTATCCAGCAGAACTCAGAAGCAGCCTAAGAAAACTTCAATTAATTCACACATTGCCAGAGGCTCGGTGTGGACAAGCTTGCAAGTTACACTCCAGGGGGTCCTGTCTTGGAGAGAGGGGGCACACTTTTGTTTTATGTTTTATGTTCTATGTCTAGGAACCCTGCTAGGTTCTCACTGTGAAGATCAGGGAACAACCCATTGTGCTTGTATCGGGGGAAGGGAAAGGTAGCCATTTAACAGTATACCGGAGCATTCAGCCCTCAAGAGAAACTGTTTTACCAGAGTCTGACCAATTGGAGTTTTATTGGAGCCCAGTTAACTTGGGGGGAAGGAAAAACGCCAACACCAACTCCAGATTTCCTCCAGCCTTCCTGTTTCTCTGGGGAGAAAAAAGCTTAGAAGCACCTGTCAAGATCTCAGCCCAGAGGCACAGGCTTACTAAAGACCTAGACCTCATCATAGGACTATAGAACACCTCCCATACCCTGACACCATACCACCACATCAGCAAGGCTCCTGTGTAGTAACAGAGGAATAAAATGGAAAGAACTGAGCATCTCAGACCTTATTTAAGAAGGCTGTAGAGAAACTCAAAGATAACAGGGGAGACAAAAACATGGACACCAGAGAAAATTTTAGCTTCGGAAAACACTCTAGCAAACAATAAAGACGGCCCATCATTAAAGTCGCCAGGTCAACCAGATGTAGCCTCTGTAGGTGTTGGCCTTGGCGACCAGCTTGGGATCAGTATGGTTCGCCAGATGGCCCCCACTGGCACCAGTCTTGGTTGGGTTCACCAGATGTTGCCTGTGGGCTACTGTTTTATTTTATTTTTCTATTTCCATCTTTGGACAGAGAGCTACTATTCTTTTAATGGACGTGAAATGGTGAAGGCACACAAGCATATTGCTGTCATTGTTTTCTTGCTTTCCTAAATTACTTTTACCAGTGGTATATCTTTTTTTAAAAGCTATCTACTTGGAGATGGTGTGTCTTGATTGACATCTCATGGAGAAGTGGATGGGGAAAATACTGGTTCTGTGGAAAGACTCTCTCCGTTAGTGGCTTGCTCATCCAGCTCTGATCTTTCTGTTCCAGGACTCTCCCTGTTTCAACAACAGCAACAACATGATAATAACAAACCTCACATATGTTGTTCCACTGGATAATTGTAATTTTTTAAAATAAATCGTTGTAAAACCAAGGACAGTTTCATCACTTTTTTCTATATAGCTGTTCACATGGGGCCAATCTGTCTTTGCAAAAAAGAAGTGAGAAAGGAATCCTTGATACTTTCCCCTAGAAGTCCAGCATCTGCTTGTTTAAATACATATCTCATGTAAAATGGGAAAGATAAAAAATATTGAAAAGTGAAGTTTTAAAACCTTATACTAAAGATCTTTATACTGCAGTCTGTCTCACACAATATATCATTGTCTGGCTTTCAACAACAAAAAATTACTAGGCGTTCTAAAAGACAAATAAGTCACAGTTTGAAGAAACAGAGCAAGCATTAGAACCAGACTCTGGTTTTGCAGAGGTGTTAGAATTAATCAGACTAGGATTTTTTTTAATTCCTAAGATTAATATGTTAGGGGCTCTAAAGGGAAGATTGGACAACAGGCAAGAACAGGTGGGTGAAGGAGAGAAATGGAAACCTTAGGAAAGATCAAAAGGAAATCCTAGAAACCGAAGGCACCATAACAGAAGTGAAGAATGCCTTCGATGGGCTCATCAGTAGACTGGACATGGCCACTGAAAGAATTAGTGAGCTTGAAGAAATGTCAACCAAGACTCCCAAAACTAAAATACAAAAAGAAAAAAGAGTGAAAAAAAAAAGGGAACATAATATTCAAGAACTCTGGGACATTTGCAAAGGGTATGGCATATGTGTAATGGGAATACCAGAGGAGAGGAAAGACAGGAAGTCAAAAAAAGAATTTTTCCAAATTAATGATAGGTTCCAAACCACAGATGCAGGAAGCTTAAACACCAACAGGATAAATAAAACAAAATCTACGCTTAAGCATATCATACTTAACCTGCAGAAAATTACAGACAAAGAAAAAACACCAGAGGGGAAGCTGGCAGAAACATACCACCTATAGCGGAAGAAGAATAAGAATTACATCAGACTTCCCTTCAGAAATCTTGCAAACAAAAAGATGTAGCACAATATTTAAAGTATTAAAGGAGGCCGGGCCCGGTGGCTCGGGCCTGTAATCCTAACACTTTGGGAGGCTGAGGCAGGAGGACCATGAGGTCAGGAGATCGAGACCATCCTGGTGATGGTGATACCCCATCTCTACTAAAAATACAAAAAATTAACCGGGCATGGTGACACGCACCTGTAATCCCAGCTACTTGGGAGGCTGAAGCAGGAGAATCGTTTGAGCCCAGGAGGTGGAGGTTGCAGTGAGCCGAGATCACATCACTGCACGCCTGGGCAACAGAGCGAGACTCCATCTCAAAAAATAAATAAATAAAATAAAAAATAAAAATAAAGTATTGAAGTAAAAAATTCACCAAGTTAGAATCCTATATCTAGCAAAAATATCCTTCAATGGTGACAAAAAAATAAAACACTAGCCCAGACAAAAACTGAGACAATTTGTCACTACTAAGGCTACCTTGCAAGAAATGTTAAAAGAAATTATTCAAAAGGAAGGAAAATAATATAGATCAGAAATTGAGATATACATAAAGAAAGGAGGATTATAAGTGAAGGAAAAAATGTAGGTAAAATAAAACCTCAATTGATCTAACACATAAGTTTCTTTAAAATAATAGCTAAAATGTATTCAGTGGTCATAGTTCATGTATAAATGAAATGAATGACAGCAATATTATAAGAGATACAAGGAGGAATTAGAAATATTTTGTTATTGTAAAGTACTTGTGCCACCCATGGAGTTGCATAGTGTTATTTAAAAGTGGACTTGAATTACTTTTAAATGCACATCAAACTCAAGAGGAACCACATAAAAAAGTAAAAAAGGAAGTACAATCATATATCACTTAATGATGGGGATATGTTCTGAGAAATGCATTATTAGGTGATTTCATCATTATGCAGACATCATAAGGGCACTTATACAAGCCTAGGTGATATAGCCTACTACACATCTAGGCTGTATGGTATAGCCTACTGCTCCTAGGCTACACACTTGTATAGCATGTAACTATACTGAACACCATGGAACATTGTAACAAAATGATAAATATTTGTGTGTCTAAACATATCTAAATGCAGTGGCTCATGTCTGTAATCCCAGCACTTTGGGAGGCTGAAGTAGGCAGATAACTTGAGGCCAGGAGTTCCAGACCAGCCTGGCCAAAATGGTGAAACCCCAGCTGGGTGTGGTGACACTCGCCTGTAATCCCAGCTACTCGGGAGGCTGAGGCACAAGAATCACTTGAACCTGGGAGGTGGAGGTTGCAGTGAGCTGAGATCGGGCCTGTGCACTCCAGCCTGGGTGACACTGCGAGACTCTGTGTCAAATACAAAACAAAACACCTTTAGAACCATGGTGTCAGAAAAAAAAAATATCTAAACATAGAAAACGTACAGTAAAACTATGGTATAAAGGTTAAAAATGGTGCCCCTCTATAGGGCACTTACCTGTCTGTAATGGAGCTTGCAGGACTGGAAGTTGTTCTGGGGTCAGGGGCCATCAGTGAGTGAGTGGTGAGTGAATGTGAAGGTATAGAACATTACTATGCACTACTGTAGACTTTATATAAACACTGAACACCTAGGCTACACTAAATTTATAAAAAAGCATTTCTTTCTTTAATAATAAATTAACCTTAGTTTACTGTAACTTTTTTACTTCATAAACAATTTTTCTTAATTTTTTATCCTTTTGTAGTAACACTTGGCTTATAACACATTGTACAGTTGTACAAAATTATTTCAAAAATATTTTTTATATCCCTATTCTAAAATTTTTTTCTATTAAAATTTTTTATAACTTTTTTTTTTTAAAGGCAAGGTTGTGCATCCCCCAGACTGGAGTGCAGTGGCGCAGTCATGGCTTACTGCAGCCTCAAACTCCTGGGCACAAGCGACCCTCCCACTTAAGCATTCCAAGTAGTTAGGACTCCAGGCATGCCACCATGCCCAGCTATTTTTTAAAAATGTTTCTCGCTATGTTGCGCAGGTTGGTCCCAAACTCCTAGCCACAAGTGTTCTTCCCACCTTGGCCTCCCAAAGGTATTACAGGCGTGAGTCACTGTACCCAACCTTTTTTAAAAACTTGTAAAGTTTTTTTGCTAAAAATGGAGATACACAAACATTAGCCTAGGCCTACATGGGGTCAGGATCATCAATGTCACACTGTCTTCTACCTCTACAACTTGTCCCACTGGCTGGCCTTCATGGGCAGTAATGTGAATGGAGCTGTCATTTCCCATGACAACAATGCCTTCTGGAAAATATCCTGAAGGACCTGCCTGAGGCTCTTCTTGAGGAGATGTCATTCCTTTTAGAAATATATCCATGGTAGATCACTTGGTTTGTTGCTTTATCATCATAGATTTGCTTATAAGCAGAGAATACACCGTGAACATTCCTCAACATTAATGAAAACCTTTTGGTACTGGGGTTTGTGTTTTCAGAAGACTTTTTAAGGAGCCTGTTGAGGTCTGTAAAAGCTTCTGCTAAACCCTTCAGTGAGAATTTTCTTGGGGATTCTACTTCTGTTTCTTCTCCTGCAGTTTCCTTTTCTCTTACCTCTTCTTCCGGTATGCATTTCTGTTCCAGTTCCAAGAAAGTCTTATTAGTCAATTTCTCAGGACAACATTACTAGGCAGTAAGAATCTTTCAGCTCCATGATAAACTTACGGGACCACTGTCATATATGCAGTCTGCCATTTACTGAACCACCATTATGTGGCATACGACAAAAATTATTACATTAAGAGAAGAAAAAAATAGAATCATATAAAATGGCCAATTAAAACTATAGGCAGAAAAAGAGTAGAATACAATAACAGAAAGACAAGGGCAAATAATAGAAGACAGTAACAAATAGTAGATATCAGTCCTGCTGTATCAATAATTGCTTTAAAGATCAGTGATCTGAACTCTAATTAAAAGACAAAGATTGTCAGAGTGGATTTTTTTTTTTTTTTTTTTTGAGACAGTGTTTGGTTATTTTGTTTCCCAGGCTGGAATGCAATGGCGCGATCTCGGCTCACTGCAACCTCCCCTCCCAGGTTCAAGCAATTCTCCTGCCTCAGCCTCCCACCTTGCTGGGATTACAGGCATGCACCACCATGCCTGGCTAATTTTATATTTTTAGTAGAGATGGGGTTTCTCCATGTTGATCAGGCTGGTCTCGAACTCCCGACCTCAGGTGATCCACCTGCCTTGGCCTCCCAAAGTGCTGGGATTATAGGCATGAGCCACCACGCCTGGCCCAGAGTGGATTTAAACAAAAATAAAACTCAACTACAAGTTGCCTATAAGAACCTCATTTTAAATATAAAAACACAGATAGGGATGCTAACATTGATCAACAGAAAGCTGGAGTACCTATATTAATTTCAAACAAAGCCAATTTTAGAGCAAGAAAAATTATCAAAGATAAAGAGGGAGTATTACATAATGAAAAAGGATCAGTTCTCCAAGATGGCGTAACAGCCCTTAATGTGTATTTATGTGACAACAGATTTAAAACACATAAGGCAAAAAACTGATAGAACTGCAAAGTAAAACAGACAAAACCACTATTACAGCTGGAGACTTCAACACTCTTTTATAAGTAATTGACAGATCCATCAGGCAGAACTCAATAAAGGCATTGTTGAACTGAACAACACAATCAACAGAATCTAATTTACATTTATAGAATACTTCATTCAACAGCAGCAGAATATACATTCTTCTCAAGCTCATGCAAAACATTCACCAAGGCAGACCAAATTCTGGACCATAAAACACATCTTAGCAAATTTAAATGATAGGATCATACAGAGTATGTTTCAGACCATAATGGAATTAAATTGGAACTCAGTAACAAAATACTTGGAAGTTAAACAGTACACTTCTAACACACATCAAGAAATCCCAAGAGAAATTTAAAATATTTTAACAAAGTGAAAATGAAAATACAACATAACCAAATTTGTAAGTTTCAGTGAAAGCAGTGTAAAGAAAATTTATAGCATTGAATGTACACAATAGAAAAGAAAAAATATTTAAATCAGTAAATCTAAACTTCCACTTTAGGAAACCAGAAAAAGAAGAGTGAATTAAATCATAAATAGAAGGAACAAAATAATTTTTACCAATAATTAATAAATAAGATAATAAAAATTCTCAACTCAAAGTGGATTAAAGAATTAAATGTAAAATCCCAAACTATAAAAACCCTGGAAGACAACTTAGGCAGTACCATCCTCGACATAGGAATGGGCAAAGATTTCATGACAAAGACACCAAAAGCAGTCACAACAAAAGCAAAAATTGACAAGTGGGATCTAACTAAACTAAAGAGCTTCTGCACAGCAAAAGAAACTAGAAGGAGTAAACAGCCTACGGAGTGGGAGAAAATATTTGCAAACTATGCATCTGACAAAGGTCTAATATCCAGCATCTATAAGGAACTTAAACAAATTTACAAGAGAAAACCCATTAAAAAGTGAGTAAAGGACATGAATGGACACTTCTCAAAAGAAGACATACATGTGGCCAACAAGCATATGGGGGAAAAAAAACCTCAACATCACTGATCATTAGAGAAATGCAAATCAAAACCACAATTACATACCATCTCACACCAGTCAGAATAGCTATTATTAAAACGTCAAAAAATAACAGTTGCTGGCGAGGCTGCAGAGAAAAGGGAACCCTAATACACTGTTGGTGGGAGTGTAAATTAGTTCAGCCATTGTGGAAAGCAGTATGGTGATTCCTCAAGGGGCTAAAAGCAGAACTGCCATTCAACCCAGTGATCCCATTACTGGGTGATAAGGTTTGGCTCTGTGTCCCCACCCAAATCTCACCTTGAATTGTAATAATCCCCACGTGTCAAGGGCGGGACCAGGTGGAGGTAATTGAATCATGGGGACCATTTTTCCTGTGCTGTTCTAGTGATAGTGAGTGAGTTCTCATGAGATCTGATGGTTTTGTGAGTGACTGGTATTTCCCCTGCTGGCACTCATTCTCTCTCCTGCTGCCCTGTGAAGAGGTGCCTTGCACCATGATTGTAAGTTTCCCGAGGCCATCCCAGCCATGCAGAACTGTGAGTCGATTAAACCTCTTCTCTTCATAAATTTCCGAGTCCTGGGTGTTTGTTCTTAGCAACATAAGAACAGACTAATACACTTGGTATATGCCTAGAGGAATATAAATCATTATACCATAAAGACACATCCATGTGAATGTTTATTGCAGCACTGTTCACAATAGCAAAGACATGGAATCAACCTAAATGCCCATCAACAGTAGACTGGACAAAGAAAATGTACATATACACCATGGAATACTATGCAGCCATAAAAATGAACAAGATCATGTCTTTTGCAGGAACATGGTTGGAGCTGGAGCCTATTATGCTTAGCAAAGTAACACAGGAACAGAAAGCCAAATACCACATGTTCTCACTTAAAAGTGGGAGCTAAATGATAAGAACTTAAGAACACAAAGAAGGAGACAGCAGACACTGAGGTCAACTTGAAGAGGGAGGGTGGGAGGAGGGAGAATAGCAGAAAAGATAACTGTTGGGTACTGGGCCTAATACCTGAGTGGTGAAATAATACATACAAAAAACCCCCATGACCCATGTTTACCTATGTAACAAACCTTCACATGTACTCTCAAACCTAAAATAAAGGTTAAAAAGAAAAATTAGGCAGAAATTAATGAAATCGAAAACAGGAAATTAGAGAAAATCAACAGAAAAAAAAAGCTGGTTCTTTGAACGATTAATAAAATTGATAAATGTGGAGCCAGATTAAGAAAAAAGGAAAAAAGACAGAAATTACTAATATCCACAGTGAAAGAGTGACCATTACTACTGATCCCATAGATACTAAAAGGATAATAAAGTAATATTTTGGAAAACTCTCTGCCCACAAATTCATTAACCTAGTTGAAATAGACCAATTACGTGAAAGACACACTCTACCAAAACTCGCACAAGGAGAAACAGATAATCTGAATAGACCTGCATTTATTAAAGAAAATCAGTAATAACCTTTCCAAGCAGAAAGCACTGCTGGGTTCACTGGTAAATTCTACCAAACATTTAGGGCAGAAATTATACCTATTTTCTGCAATCTCATCCAGAAAATAGAAGCAGAAGGAGTACTCTATAATCTTTCCCAGAAAATAGAAACTTAAGGAAACACTTAAGCACTAAGTGCAGGAGCAAGACAAGGAAGGATGCCCTTTTCACCACTCACAGATTGTGAGGGATGAAATAAAGCTGTCCTTATTTGCAGATAACAAATAACTAATTCTATGAGACCAGTATTAAAAATCAGGCAAAGACATTATAAGAAAGGGAAACTTAAGGATCAGTGCCTCTCATGAATGTAGATACATAAATAGTTAACAACATGTTGACAAATCAAATCTAACACATATAAAAAGAATTATCTACCCTGACCAAGTTTACCATTCAAAAAACAATTAATGTAATCCATCACACCAACAGGCTAAAGAAGAAAAATCAAATCTTATGAATAGATGGAAGAAAAGGATTCGACAAAATCCAACACCCATTTTTTGATGTTAAAAAAAAATAGTCAGCAAACTAGCAATAGAAGACACATCCTCAACTTGTTAAAGAACCTCTGCAAAGAAACCTGCAGCTGACATCATACTTAATGGTGAGAAACTAGATGTTTTCCCACTGAGAGCAGGAGCAAGACAAGGAAGGATGCCCTTTTCACCACTCACAGATTGTGAGGGATGAAATAAAGTTGTCCTTATTTGCAGATAACGTGATTGTGTATGTAGAAATTCCAGAGAATCACCAAAAAATTCCTGAACCTAGGATGTGATTATAGCAAGGCTGCAGAATATGTTAATATGTAATAGTCAGTTACTTATATACTAGCAATGAACAATTAGAGAATAAAAACAATGCCATTTACATTTGCATCAAAAAAATCAAACAGGTATAATCTAAAAATATATATATATATAAGATCTACATGAAGAAATGTACAAAATTCTGATGAAGAAATCAAAGAAGAGCTAAACAGGTATTCCACGTTCATAGATAAGAAGACTCAATGTTATTAAGATGTCAGTTCTTCCCAACTTGATTTGTAGATTCAGTGTAATTCCAATCAAAATGCCTATAAGTTATTTCATGGTTATCAACAAACTGATTCTAAAGTTTCTGTTGAAATGCAAAATACCTACAATAGCCGACTCAATACTGAAAGAGAACAAAGAGAAGTGACATTATCCAACTTCAAGAATTATGGTAAGTAATCAAGGCAGTGATACAGGAAAAAGAATAGCCAAATAGGTCAATGGAACAAAATATAGAACAAGAAATTGACATAAATATAGTCAACTGATCTTTGACAAAGAAGCAAAGGATATTTAATGGAAAAATAATCTTTTCAAGAAATTGTGCTGGAACACCTGAACATCTACATAAAAAAGAATGAATCTAGACACAGATCTTACACCAAAAAGTAACTCAAAATAGATCATAGACCTAAATGTAAAATGTGAAACTATAAAACTAGAATATAAGATAGAAGAGAATCTAGATGACTTTAAGTTTGGCAGTGACCAAAGGCACTATCTGTGAGAGAAAAAGTTTACAAGATGAACTTTGTTAAAATTTTTAAATTCTGCTCTGTGAAAGACACTGTTAAGACAATGAAGACAAGCCATGGACATATCTTGTAAAGAACTTGTACTCAGAATATACTAAGAACTTTTAAAACTCAGTAAGAAAACAGACAACCCAATTAAAAAATTAATAAAAGCTCTGAACAGACAACTCATTAAGGAGATGTACAGATGGCAGATAATCACATTAAAAGATGCTTGACATCATGTGTCATCAGGAATTGCAAATTGAAACAGCAATGAGATACCACTAGACATCTATTAGAATGGCTAACAGTCAAAACACACAACACCAAATGTAGGGAAGGATATGGAAGAACAGAACTATCATTCATTGCTGATGGAAGTGCAAATTGGAACAGCCACTTTGGAAGGCACTTCAGCACTTTGTTACAAAAATACACATATTCTTACCATATGATCCAGCAATTGCACTTTTTGATATTTATCCAAATAATTGTTGAAAGCATGCCTATACAAACATGAGCATAAATGCTTATAGCAGCTTTATTCATAATTACCAAAAACTTGGAAGTAACCGAGATGTCTCCAGTAGGTGAATGGATAAACATACTGGTGCATATTCATCCACACAATAGAATATTACTCAGTGACAAAATGAAATGAGCTGTCAAGCCATGAAAAAACATAGAGGAACCTTAAATGCATATTGCTAAGTGAAAGAAACCAATCTAAAAAGGCTGCATGCTGTATAATTCTAACTGACATTCTGGAAAAGGCAAAACTATGGAAATAGTAAAAAGATCCATGGGGTTTAGAGGGAGGGAGAGATGAATAGGTGGTGGACAGGGTATGTTTAGAGCAGTGAAACTTCTGTATGATACTGTAATGGTGGACACGTGTCATTATGCATTTGCCAAAACCCATAGACCTGTACAACACGAAGAGTGAACCCAATGTAAACTATGAACTTTACTCAATAAGGTGTCAATATTGGCTCACCAGCTGTAATAAATGTATCACATTAATGCAAGATGTTAATAGGGAAACTGAGATAGGTGAGAGGGTATATGGGAACTCTCAGTATTTCTGCTTCATTTCTTCATAAACCTAAAGCTACTCTAAAAATTAGTATATTAATTTTTTAAAGAATGAAAAAACAGGGCCAGACATGGTGGCTCACACCTGTAATCCCAACAGTTTGGGAGGCTGAGGCGGGCGGATCATTTGAGGTCAGGAGTTCGAGACCAGCCTGGAAAACGGTGAAACCCCATCTCTACTAAAAATACAAAAATTAGTCAGGCGTGGTGACTCGCGCATATAATCTCAGCTACTCAGGAGGCTGAGACAGGAGAATTGCTTGAACCTGGGAGGCAGAAGTTGCAGTGAGCCGGGATCGTGCCACTGTATTCCAGCCTGGGCAATAGAGCTAGACTCCGTCTCAAAATAAAAATAAAGAAAAAATAGGAGTTCCCAGAGGTTGCTGAGAAGATTAACTTTGGAAGGAGAAAATACTATGAAAATAAATTAAGGCTGGGCGTGGTGGTTCACGCCTGTAATCCCAGCACTTTGGAAGGCCAAGGCAATAGATCACCTGAGGTCAGGAGTTCGAGACCGGCCTGGCCAACATGGTGAAACCCCGTCTCTACTAAAATACAAAAATTAGCTAGGGTGTGGTGGTAGGTGCCTGTAGTCCCAGCTACTAGGGAGGCTGAGGCGAGAGAATTGCTTGAACCTGGGAGGTGGAGGTTGCAATGAGACGAGATCATGCCACTGCACCCCAACCTAGACAACAGAGTGAGACTCTGCCTCAAAAAAAAGAACAAAGTAAGTAAATTAATGTTCATTGTCAGACACTGCTGTTTTTCTTTCTCGGTTTTGAGCAGCTTTATTCTGGTCCAAGTAATTATATTTAATATTTGAGTTTTCAGGTTTTGCCTCTATAAATTTGATATAGCTCTCTGTCTTGCTTTATAAAATAGAGAGTAAACCAAAGCCTTCAAAAGGAAATTTATATAAATTGAATCATATTTTTCTCTTTATGAATAGATTTATTTGTTTCCAATAATAAGGGCAAGAAATGATTATTGTGGGATATTTGTTTTGGTTTTGCCTTTTTTCTTTTCTTTTTTTTTTTTTTTTTTTTTGAGACAGAGTCTCACTCTGTCACCCAGGCTGGAGTTCAGTGGCACGATCTCGGCTCACTGCAACCTCCGCTTCCCAGGTTCAAGTGATTCTCCTGCCCCAGCCTCCCAAGTAGCTGGGATTACAGGCACCTGCCACCACGCCCAGCTAATTTTTGTTTTTTTAGTAGAGACGTGGTTTCACCAGGTTGGCCAGGCTGGTCTCGAACTCCTGACCTCAGGTGATCCACCCGCTTCAGCCTCCCAAAGTGCTGGGATTACAGGCATGAGCCACCATGCCCGGCCTATTGTGGGATATTTGAAAAAAATGCTGAGAGATGTGATAGATAAAGAGACTAGAAACTACCCGTTACTGCACTAGCGGAGATTAACCTTTTTAAAAATGTATTAAGATTTTATATACTGGTAATTTTTTCCTTATCAGCACACCATCATATGTAAGTCCTTTCTTACATCATTAAAAGGCACAGAAGAGACGGTGGGTATGCAGTGCCCAGAGCGAGGCCACCTCCCTTAGCCAGACAAGGACCACACAGGGCCCATCCTACCTGGGGCTCAAGGCAGTGCTGAGACTTTTCAATGTTATTAATTGTTATTTTATTTCACTTTAGAAGATAAATGACATCTCATTTTAATTTGCATTTTTTAAATTAAAGAGATTGAACACTTTTTCAAGCATTTCATATGTCCTTTTTGGTGGTTTTTCTGGCCATGTCCTTTGGCCACTTGACTGTTATTCTGGTGTTTTTCTAATCCACTCATGTAAATGCTTTATAAATCAAGACTCGTGTCCAAGAGGGGACAGTATTCAGTCCTGGGAAGTGGGGTTTGGTGCATACCTGACAATCTTAAGGTCCTTCACTTTTCTTCTTAAAAAAAAAAAAAACCCTTTTCCCAAGGGATGCTATCAGGTGTTGGTTTGAGTGCTTGTTGTGAGACCTGCAGCCTTGTTAGGACTGTCTGCTAGCAGCTGGGTTCCTCTCTCTCCATGGTGGGAAGCTGGCCTGGCCTTTCTAGTGCATGGATTATGGATTGGACTGGCTTCCTTCTTATCCTAACCCAACTTTTAAAGAAAGAAGTAAAAATATTCTGTGGCCCTGAGAGACAGCAAATAAGAGGAAAAGGGAAGCACAGTTTTGCTGAATTTATTGCTCCAAGTTGACTGTATTATTCCCCCACATTATGCTTGATAGGAGGTAAATAAACCCTTGGAACTTGTGTAGTTCACAGTTTGAGGGACTCTGCTGAGACAAGGTTTGAATCCTAAACACTTTTTTGAATAATATCATAAGAAGGTTATAAGGCTAATTTAGGACCAAAACTTCCAATGAAACAGAAGCAATAAAATTGTTCTCGCGGTTTCTCCTTTGATGGAGAGTGTGTAGGCCAGCCTGAAGCATAGGGGAAAATAAATATTGATGTCATCCAAAAAGAATTTGCTAACTTTTTATATTCAAATAAGTGAAAAAGAAAGTAAAATTGGTTATTTTAACTTACTTTTGAATTTTATTTAAAAAGTATCCCTGTTACTACAGGATGATATTTTTTGAAAACTTATTTTACCAGGAAAAGCATTCAAAAAATATATAATTGCAAAATGACAATAAAATATTTTGACCCTCTTTTAGGCAGTCCCTAGCCCTCTTCTGCCCCTGTGGCCAGCCTACCAAGGCTGGGCATTGTCTCCTCTTAGGAACTTTCTCTAACTACATCTTTAGTTTAGAAGACTATCTTCCAAGGCATGCTTCTAATCTGAATGATTTACAGTATTGCCAGTACTACTTACCACCCTCTGTGGTCATTTTCTTCTTCGTTTTCTTCTTGTCTTTCCCCCCATTGCCCCTAGATAGGTAGTCAGCTTTAAGTCAGGGCCTGTTTTATGAAACTTTGTGACTGGGACATAGTAGGTATTCATGAAATAACTATTAAGTGAGTTAATGGATAATGGAATTTTTCTGATTTTACTTTATTGAAAAAACAGTGGTTTTAATTAACACTCTTGTTTTGAGCGTCTCACTCTGTTGCCTAGGCTGGAGTGCAGTGGCGCGGTCTCAGCTCACTACAACCTCTACTTCTCAGGTTCATGCGATTTTCCTGCCTCAGCCTCCCAAGTTGCTGGGAATACAGGTGTCTACCATCACACCTGGCTAATTTTTGTATTTTTAATAGAGGTGGGGTTTTACCATGTTGACCAGGCTGGTCTTGAACTCCTGACCTCAAGTGGTCCGCCTTCCTCGGCCTCCCAAAATGCTGGGATTACAGGCACGAGCCACTGCGCCCAACCAATTAACACTCTTAAAAGAACATACTACCAACCTGTCTTTGTACTGAATTATTTACATGAATTATCTTATTCAATCTTCACAATAATCCTAACAGTTAGAAATTGGAGCCATTTTTGTTTTACAGGTGAGGAAACTTGCTCATGTCTATACCACCAGTAAGATGCTGAGCTGGGGCTCCAGCCTGGGTCTTTCTGACTCAGACACTTGCTTTTCACCACAATAGTGTATATATCTTCCCATGGGAAGGGAAATACTTTTGAAACAGTTTAAAATATAGTGAATAGAAGAACTTTTAAAACTTACTGTATTTAGTAGGTGATTTTCCTTTATGTTAATGCTAGCAACACTCAGAATTAGGCCTGTGGCAATTCTTGCACATTTCACATAAAAGCTCAGAAATATAGTAGTTTTATCTTATTTTTACAGTAATTATCAATTATTAGAAGAAAATATGGGCTGGGCACAGTGACTCACACCTGGAATCCCAACACTTTGGGAGGCCAAGGCAGGTGGATCACCTGAGGTCAGGAGTTCAAGACCAGCCTAGCCAACCTGGTGAAACCCCATCTCTACTAAAAATACAAAAAAATTAGCTGAGTTTGGTGGTGCACACCTGTAGTCTCAGCTATTCGGGAGGCTGAGGTGGGAGAATTGCTTGAACTCGGGAGGCTGAGGTGGGAGAATTGCTTGAACCCGGGAGGCTGAGGCTGCAGTGAGCCGAGATTGCGCCACTGCACTCCAGCTTGGGCGACAGAATGAGACTCCATCTCAGAAAAATAAATATGTTTATACTATACTTACCTAATCCACATGCATACACATACTTCTATCTGATCTTTACTGAAAGTCCCCCAGGCACATTCTGGAAACCCCAGTCAAATCAGTTAAACACATGCACTTGCTGTCTCTCCTGATCAAATGAAGGTCTACAAAGTCTCAAGAAGAAACTACAGCAAAGTTAATTAAGGAAGAAGATTTCTGTAAGCAACGTCGTCTTAACTGTCATTTTCTTTTTTTTTTTTTTTAATCTTTGTCTAACATCCCCATGTACACCAGAGATTAACTTTCATTTTCTAATGACTAAGATTGTGAAAGAGAAAATTCTGGGCTGGGTGGGTGGTTGCCAACCATTTGTTACTTTATGGGTACCTGGATGAGGGTTGTGGTGAATGTAACCAGAGGCAAATCCGAGGAGACCCTGTGAATGCCCAGAGTTGCGTGAGTGACTGGAGAGTGATAAGGGATCAGAGCAGAGATTTCTGAAGGGGGAAAGCTGACGTTAAAGAAGACTTACCGCTCCCTTGGAATACCTGTCCCACTGGTTTCTAATTCAGATTCCACACAGTAGCTAAGGATTTTTTTTAAAAAAAGTAAATCAAAGCACTTCCCCTGCTTGAAAATCTTTCAGTTAATGTATACACCTGGAGCTGATGAGAGGCATCCAAGTGCAGAGATTTTTAATTAAACTTTTTATTTTGAGGTAATTGTAGATTCGCATGCAGTTGTGAAAAGTAATACAGAAAGATCCTATGTATCCTTTACCCAGTTTCCACTAAGGGTAATATCTTGCAGAACTGTCATACAATGTAAAAACCAGATCTTGTTATGAATGTAGTCAAGATATAATAGTTTCAACACCAAAGGATCCTTCCTGCCACTCTTCATAGGCATACTATTTTCTTCCACCCTGTCACCCTCCAGAACCCCTAGCAATTGCTAGTCTACTTTATGTTCTTATTATTTTGCATTTCAATAATGCTATGGAAATGGAATCATATAGTTTGTAACCTTTTGAAATTGGCTTTTTTCACTTGGGATAATTTTCTGGAGATTCATCCCAGTTGTTGCATGTATAAGTAGTTACTTTTTACTGCAGAGTGGACGTCCCTGGCATGGGGGTATATCAGTTTGTTTAACTATTCACCCATGGAAGGACGTCCAACTTTTATGAATAGTGCTGGTATGAACATTTGTCTACAGGTTTTTGTGTGAAGGTAAGTTTTCACTTTTCTGGGATAAATACCCAAGAGTGCAATTGCTGAGTCCTATTGTTGTTGCATGTTTAGTTGTTTAAGAAACTGCCAAACTGGTTTTTAGAGTGGCTATTTCATTTTACATTGCCACGAGTAATGTGTGAGTGATCCAGTTTCTCCATACCAGCATTTGATGTTGTCACTATTTTTAAATTTTTATTCTGATAGATAGATAGTGATATCTCATTGTGGTTTTAATGTGCATTTCCCTAATGCTTGTCAACTGAAGAATCATGAGGTTCAAAAATTTGGAAAGGAGAGCTTTATTTCTCATAAAGGGTGGCACACTGCTGGCTGGGAAATGCAGCCTTTGGCAAAAGCTGAGAACAAGCAATTTAAGAGAGGAAAGCCTAACACAGGTATTTATGCCCAATGGGTTGGCTAAGTATACATATTCAAATTTAGCTATAGAAGGAGTCATGAAGATTTATGAAAAAAGCACAACTGAGCTTCATGCCTCTTCATAGGTCACATGTTAAAAAAATGATGGCATTAGCATGATCCAGGGGTGGAATTTTTGGCCCTCTGGCATCAAAAGGTGAAACAGAGGACCTGAAAACCCTCATAGCACATCCTCTGCTAGTCAGTTAGAACTGGTCCAGAGATATGGTGGTCAGTTTTTAGGAAGGGATGCATTGTCAAGCTGGTGGGCTGTCACATCAAAACTTCAAAGAGGGAGAGGGAGCCTGGTTTTGGCCTCAGATAATTGGCTGAAGGCGATAAAGGAATGAATCATCTGTTTCTTGTTTTCTGGAGTTGGTTTCCGCTTACTCCTTAGGGAAGAATTCTGGTTAAAGGTTAATAAGGAAGGAGCATACTGAGGCGTAACCAACCTCTTATCCTGTCATGGCCCAGGACTTTGTTTTTTAGGGTTTCTCTGTGGTCCCTTTGGCCAAGAGGGTTCTGTTCAGTTGGTTGGGAGGCTTAGGGTTTTATTTTTATTTTGCATGCTAATGGCATCAAGCATCTTTTCATGTGCTCATTTGCCATTTATTTATTCTCTTCAGTGAAATATGTGTTCTTGTTTTTTGCTCATTTTCTAATTGGATTGTTTGCTATTTTATTGTGAAATTTTGAGGGTTCTTAATATATTCTGGATACTAGTCCTTAATTGCAATCTCTGGCTTATATTTTTCATATCTTCTCAACAAGGTCTACCAGAATAAGTTTTAATTTTAATGAAATTCAAATTACCAATTTTTCCTTTTATGAATTGTGTTTTTGATGTCACGTCTAAGAACTCTTCACGTAGCTGTAAATCCAAAAGATTTTCTCCTGTGTCATTTTGTATTTAACTCTATGATCTATTTTGAGTTACTTTTCATATAAGGTGTGAGACTTAGGTGGAAGGTTTTGGTTTTTCTGTTTTTTGCCTGTGGGTGTCCAATTTCTCCACCATTTGTTGAAAAGGACTTCTTCCCTTCAATGAATTGCTTTTTGCACCTTTGTCAAAAATCACATAGATCTATTTCTGGGTGTTCTGTTCCGTTGATCGTTGTGTGTGTTTCTTTGTACCATCACACAGTCATGACTACAGAAGCTGTATGTCTTGAAATCACGTTCATAGCACTGTATTCTTTTTCAAAATTGTTTTAGCTGTTCTAGTTCCTTTGCTTTGTCATATAAATTTTAGAGTAATTTTATCTCCACAAAAAAATCTTCTGGAACTTCAGTAGGAATTGTGTTAAATGTATATTATTTTGGAAAGAATTGAACTACTAATTATATGACATAATGAAGTCTTTCAGTTCATGAACACAGTATGACTCTTCATTTGTATGATTCTTCTTTTATTTCTTTCATTAGCATTTTGTAGCTTTAGCATACAGCTCTTACAGGTATTTTGTTAGATTTACACCAAAGTCTTTCTTTTTATCTTTTCTTTCTTTCTTTCTTTCTTTCTTTCTTTCTTTCTTTCTTTCTTTCTTTTTTTTTTTTTTTTGTTGAAACGGAGTCTCACTGTCTCGCCCAGGCTGGAGTGCAGTGGTGCGATCTCAGCTCACTGCAACCTCTGCCTCCTGGGTTCAAGCGATTTCCAGCCAATTTTTGTATTTTTAGTAGAGATGGGGTTTCACTATATTGGCCAGGCTGGTTTCGAATTCCTGACCTAAGTGATTCGCCCTCTTTGGCCTCCCAAAGTGCTAGGATTACAGGTGTGAGCCACTGTGCCCGGCCTTTTTTTCTTTCTTTTTCTAAAATTATAAAAAGTGTTGTTTTTTAAAATTTTGGTGTCCATGTATTCTAGTTTGCTAGTATATTGAAATATAATTGATTTTTGTGTGTTGATTTTTGTGCCCTGCAGTTTTGCTGAACTCATTTATTAGTTTTAGAAGTTTTTTGTAGATTCTTTCATAACTTCTCCATAGGCAATCATGTCATCTGTAAATAGGTTTAGTTTAATTCTTGTTCTCTGATCTGTATGCCCTTTCTTTCCTTTTCTTGCCTTATTGCACTGGCTAGAACTTCCGGTACTACACTGAATAGCAGAAGTGAGAATAGACATTCTGGCTTGTTCCTAATCTTAGAGGAAAGTTTTCAGTCTTTCCCCAATAAATATAATATTAACTATAGGTTTTTTATAGATGTTCTCTACCAAATTGAGGAAATTTCCCTCAATTTCTAGTTTTCTGAGAAGTTTTAACATGAGAGGGTGTTTATTTTTGTCAAGTGGTTTTTCTGTACTGATTTATGTGATCATATGATTTTTTCTTTATAATTTAATGTGGTAGATTACATAGATTGATTTTCAAATGTTGAACTAGCCTTGCATCCCTGGAATAAACTCATCTTTGTTATGATGTATATATATTTTTTACATATTACTGAATTTTATTTGCTAAGGATTTTTACATCTATATTCATAAAGCATATTGGCCTATAGTTTTTGTACTGTTTTGTTTTGATACCAGCGTAATTCTAGGTTCATAAAATGGATTGGGAAGTATTCCCTCCTCTTCTATTTCGTGAAAAAGATTATGGAGAATTGATACTAATTGTTTCTTAAGTGTTTGGTAGAATTCAATAATGAAGGTGTCTGAGCCTGGAGATACCTGTTTGGGAAATTTTGAAATCACAATACCAATTTACTTAGTAGTCATAGGGCTATTCAAATAATCAGTTTTATATTGGGTGACTTGTGGTAGTTTGTATTTTTTCAAGGAACTGGTTTATTTTACCTAACATGTCAAATTTTGTGTGCAGACTTGTCCATAGTATTCCCTTGTTATCCTTTTGATGTCTACATGGTCTATAGTGATATTCCCTTTTTCACTCCAGATATTGGTAATTCACATGTTCTCTGTTTCTTTGTCAGTCTTGCTAGACATTTGTCAATCTTACTGATCTTATCCATGAACCAGATTTGTTTCATGAATTTTCTTCATTTTTTATTTTCAGCTTCATTGATTTCTGCTCTAATCTATTATTTCCTTTTCTCAGCTTGCTGTGGGTTTATTTTGCTCTTGTTTTCCTAAGTTCCTGGAGAGGTAGCCTAGATTGTTGATTTGAACCTTTTCTCGTATACACATCTTTTTAAATTTATTTTTATTAATTATGCCACATTATTTTTAATTATGTACAAAGATCTAATTTGTCACCAAGAGACCATGTCACCTACTGCTGTGTTTGGCTGCCAGTCTCTTGTCTCCGTCTTCAGCAATGGTGAGGCGTATACGTTTCCTCAGGGAAGAGAAATTAATGGTTTGTTGCCCTTGCCAGTAACAAAAACGTTGGAAAGCCAGGTGGCAAAGCTGTTCCATTGGCATCTTTCACGTGAACCACATCAAAAGATCAAGGGTGCCTCTCTCTGTGGGTAATGACACCAGTTCTTCCCAAGTTAGCACCTCCAGTCACCATCCACAGGTTACCAGTGTCAAACTTGATGAAATCAGTGATCTTGCCAGTTTCCAAATCAATCTGAATGGGATCATTCACCTTGATGGAGGGGATCAGGGTAGCAGATGATGCGAGCATCATGAGTCACCAGATGAGGGATTCCTTTTGTGCCCACGAAGATTTTTCTCACTTTGCACAACTTGTACTTGGGCTCCTCAGGTGTAACACGATGTACAGCAAAGCAACCCTTGGTGTCATAGATGAGACGAAAATTCTCTCCCATCTAGTCAATGCCCATGACATCTATGAATCCAGCAGGGTGGGTTATATCAGTTCGAACGTTGCCATCAATCTTAATGAACCACTGCATGCAAATCTTCTCTTTTTTTGTATATTTTTAATTTATTTATTTATTTTTGAGATGGAGTCTCGCTCTGTCGCCAGGCTGGAATGCAGTGGCATGATCTTGGCTCACTGCAACCTCCGCCTCCTGGGTTTAAGCAATTCTCCTGGCTCAGCCTCGGCCTCCTGAGTAGCTGGGATTACAGGTGCCCACCACCACGCCCAGCTAATTTTTGTATTTTTGGTAGAGACACAGTTTCACCATGTTGGCTAGGATGGTCTTGATCTCTTGACCTCGTGATCCGCCCGCCTCAGCCTCCCAAAGTACTGGGATTACAGGCATGAGCTGCCACGGTGGGCCACAAATCTTCTTTATTTCACCTCCTGTCAAGGCATACTTAAGTCTGTTCCTTAGGAAAATGATGACGGGGAGACACTCTCTCAACTTGTGGGGACTGGGGGATGGACGATGAACAAACACACTGGACAATTTATCCAGCATCCAGTGATTTGGAGCTGCTACCCACTTTAGATGCTTCTTGGGACCACCAGCCATGGCTGCATTAGGCACGGAAAGAGCTCATATATGCATTTAGCCCTATAAAATTCCCTCTCAGCACTGCTTTCGCTTCATCCCACCAATTTTGATATGTAATCTTTTCATTTTCATTCAGTTTAATGTATTTTTTTTTAATTTCCTGAGACTTCCTGTTTGACTCATAGATATTTTGGAGTGTGTTGTTTAGTTTCCAAGTGTTTGGAAATGTTTCTGTCATTTTTCTATTGTTAATTAGAAGATAAGAAAAAGTAGCTTTTGCCTTAAACTAAAACTCAATAATTTATATGATAAAGTATGAATTCGTGGTACATGAATTATACAGACGAAGTGAATTGATAATTACATATGCAGTGATTAAGTCTGCTATGCACATTAACACAAAGAAGGGAAGAAAATAGAATAAATAGATGATATCTTAAGCTTTTTAAGTAAAAATTGGCTGAATGTGGTGGCTCACGCCTGTAATCCCATCACTTTGGGAGGCCGAGGCTGGTGGATCACCTGAGGTCAGGAGTTCGAGACCAGCCTGGCCAACATGGTGAAACCCTGTCTCTACTAAAAATACAAAAATTAGCTAGGTGTGGTGACGGGTGCCTCTAATCCCAGCTACTCGGGAGGCTGAGGCAGGAGAATCACTTGAACCTGGGAGGCTGAAGTTGCAGTCAGCTGCGATTGCACCACTGCACTCCGGCCTGGGCAACAGAGCGGAACTTCATCTCAAAAAACAGAACAAAAGGGAAAAAGTAAGAATGATGAAAGGACTAATGAAAAATCATTTTAGGAGACAACTGGAAATATTCTTTCTTGTGTGTTTGAATATCCTCATTCCTCTTTGTGTTTATTTATTTATTTTTATTATACTTTAAGTTCTAGGGTACATGTGCACAACGTGCAGGTTTGTTATATATGTATACATGTGCCATGTTGCTGTGCTGCACCCATTAATTCATCATTTACATTAGGTATATCTCCTAATGCTATCCCTCCCTTCTCCCCCTACCCCATGACATGTCCCAGTGTGTGATGTTCCCCACCCTGTGTGTAAGTGTTCTCATGGTTCACTTCCCACCTATAAGTGAGAACATGCGGTGTTTGGTTTTCTGTCCTTGTGATAGTTTGCTCAGAATGATGGTTTCCAGCTTCATCCATGTCCCTAACAAAGGACATGAACTCATCCTTTCTTATGGCTGCATAGTATTCCATGGTGTATATGTGCCAATTTTCTTAATCCAGTCTATCATTGATGGACATTTGGGTTGGTTCCAAGTCTTTGCTATTGTGAATATTGCTGCAATAAACATATGTGTGCATGTGTCTTTATAGCAGCATGATTTATAATCCTTTGGGTATATACCCAGTAATGGGCTCGTTGGGTCAAATGGTATTTCTAGTTCTAGATCCTAGAGGAGTCGTCACACTCTCTTCCACAATAGTTGAACTAGTTTACAGTCCCACCAACAGTGTAAAAGTGTTCCTATTTCTGCACATCCTGTCCAGCACCTGTTGTTTCCTGACTTTTTAATGATTGCCATTCTAACTGGTGTGAGATACTATCTCATTGTGGTTTTGATTTGCATTTCTCTGATGGCCAGTGATGATGAGCATGTTTTCATATGTCTGTTGGCTGCATAAATGTCTTCCCTTGAGAAGTGTCTGTTCATATCCTTCACCCACTTTTTGATGGGGTTGTTTTTTCTTGTAAATTTGTTTGAGTTCTTTGTAGATTCTGGATATTAGCCCTTTTTCAGATGAGTAGATTGCAAAAATGTTCTCCTATTCTGTAGGTTGCCTGTTCACTCTGATGGTAGTTTCTTTTGCCGTGCAGAAGCTCTTTAGTTTAATTAGACCCCATTTGTCAATTTTGGCTTTCGTTGCCATTGCTTTGGGTGTTTTAGTCATGGAGTCCTTGCCCATGCCTATGTCCTGAATGGTATTGCCTAGGTTTTCTTCTAGGGTTTTTATGGTTTTAGGTCTAACATTTAAGTCTTTAATCCATCTTGAATTAATTTTTGTATAAGGTGTAAAGAAGGGATCCAGTTTCAGCTTTCTACATATGGCTAGCCAGTTTTCCCAGCACCATTTATTAAATAGGGAATCCTTTCCCCATTTCTTGTTTTTGTCAGATTTGTCAAAGATCAGGTGGTTGTAGATGTGTGGTATTATTTCTGAGGGCTCTGTTCTATTCCATTGGTCTGTATCTCTGTTTTGGTACCAGTACCATCCTGTTTTTGTTACTGTAGCCTTGTAGTATAGTTTAAAGTCAAGTAGTGTGATACCTCCAGCTTTGGTGATTTTGCTTAGGATTGTCTTTGCTATGCAGGCTCCTTTTTGGTTCCATATGAACTTTAAAGTAGTTTTTTCCAATTCTGTGAAGAAAGTCATTGGTAGCTTGATGCGGATGGCATTGAATCTATAAATTACCTTGGGCAGTATGGCCATTTTCACGATATTGATTCTTCCTATCCATGAGCATGGAATGTTCTTCCATTTGTTTGTGTCCTCTTTTATTTCATTGAGTAGTGGTTTGTAGTTCTCCCTGAAGAGGTCCTTCACATCCCTAGTAAGTTGGATTCCTAGGTTTTTTATTCTCTTTGAAGCAGTTGTGAATGGCAGTTCACTCATGATTTGGCTCTCCCTTTGTCTGTTATTGGTGTATATAGGAATGCTTGTGATTTTTGCACATTGATTTTGTATCCTGAGACTTTGCTGCAGTTGCTTATCAGCTTAAGGATCTTTGGGGCTGAGACAATGGGGTTTTCTAAATATACAATCATGGCATCTGCAAACAGGAACAATTTGACTTCCTCATTTCCTAATTGAATACCCTTTATTTCTTTCTCTTTCCTGATTGCCCTGGCCAGAACTTCCAACACTATATTGAATAGAAGTCGTGAAGGAGGGCATCCCTGTCTTGTGCCGGTTTTCAAAAGGAATGCTTCCAGCTTTTGCCCATTCAGTATGATATTGGCTGTGGGTTTGTCATAAATAGCTCTTATTATTTTGAGATATGTTCCATCAGTACCTAATTTATTGAGAGTTTTTAGCATGAAGCGTTGTTGAATTTTGTCAAAGGCCTTTTCTGCATCTATTGAGATAATCATGTGGTTTTTGTCTTTGGTTTTGTTTAATGTGATGGATTACATTTATTGATTTGCGTATGTTGAACCAGCCTTGCATCCCAGGGATGAAGCCAACTTGCTCGTGGTGGATAAGCTTTTTGATGTGCTGCTGGATTTGGTTTGCCAGTATTTTATTGAGGATTTTCACATGGATGTTCATCAGGGATATTGGTCTAAAATTCTCCTTTTTTGTTGTGTCTCTGCCAGGCTTTGGTATCAGGATGATGCTGGCCTCATAATATGAGTTAGGGAGGATTCCCTCTTTTTCTATTGATGTGAATAGTTTCAGAACCAATGGTACCAGCTCCTCTTTGTTCCTCTGGTGGAATTTGGCTGTGAATCCATCTGGTCCTGAACTTTTTTTGGTTGGTAGACTATTAATTATTGCCTCAATTTCAGAGCCTGTTATCAGTCTATTGAGAGATTCAACTTCTTCCTGGTTTAGTCTTGGGAGGGTGTATGTGTCCAGGAATGTATCCATTTCTTCTAGATTTTCTAGTTTATTTGTGTAGAGGTGTTTATAGTATTCTCTGATGATAGTTTGTATTTCTGTGGGATCGGTGGTGATATCCTTTTTATTATTTTTTATTACGTCTATCTGATTCTTCTCTCTTTTCTTCTTTATCAGTCTTGCTAGCGGTCTATCAATTTTGTCGATCATTTCAAAAAACCAGCTCCTGGATTCATTAATTTTTTGAAGGGTTTTTTGTGTCTCTATCTCCTTCAGTTCTGCTCAGATCTTAGTTATTTCTTGCCTTCTGCTAGCTTTTGAATTTTTTTGCTCTTGCTTCTCTAGTTCTTTTAATTGTGATGTTAGGGTGTCAATTTTAGAACTTTCCTGCTTTCTTTTATGGGCATTTAATGCTGTAAGTTTCCCTCTACACACTGCTTTGAATGTGTCCCAGAGATTCTGTTAGGTTGTGCCTTTGTTCTCATTGGTTTCAGAGAACATCTTTATTTCTGCCTTCATTTCGTTATGTACCCAGTAGTCATTCAGGAGCAGGTTGTTCAGTTCCCATGTAGTAGAGTGGTTTTGAGTGAGTTTCTTAATCCTGAGTTCTAGTTTGATTGCACTGTGGTCTGAGAGACAGTTTGTTACAATTTTTGTTCTTTTACATTTGCTGAGGAGTGCTTTACTTCCAACTATGTGGTCAATTTTGGAATAAGTGCGATGTGGTGCTGAGAAGAATATATAATCTGTTGATTTTGGGTGGAGAGTTCTGTAGATGTCTATTAGGTCTGCTAGGTGCAGAGCTGAGTTCAAGACCTGGATATCCTTGTTTACTTTCTGTCACGTTGATCTGTCTAATATTTACAGTGGGGTGTTAAAGTCTCCCATTATTATTGTGTGGGAGTCTAAGTCTCTTTATAGGTCTCTAAGTACTTCCTTTATGAATCTGGGTGCTCCTGTATTGGGTGCATATATATTTAAGATAGTTAGCTCTTCTTGTTGAATTGATCCCTTTACCATTATGTAATGGCCTTCTTTGTCTCTTTTGATCTTTGTTGTTTTATTAGAGACTAGGATTGCAACCCCTGCTTTTTTTTTGTTTTCCATTTGCTTGGTAGATCTTCCTCCATCCCTTTGTTTTGAGCCTATTTGTGTCTCTGCATGTGAGATGGGTCTCCTGAACACAGCACACTGATGTGTCTTGACTCTTTATCCAATTTGCCAGTCTGTGTCTTTTAATTGGAGCATTTAGCCCATTTACATTTAAGGTTAATATTGTTATGTATGAATTTGGTGCTGTCATTTTGATGTTAGCTGGTTATTTTGCTCATTAGTTGATGCAGTTTCTTCCTAGCATTGATGGTCTTTACAATTTGGCATGTTTTTGCAGTGGCTGGTACCAGTTGTTCCTTTCCATGTTTAGTGCTTCCTTCAGGAGCTCTTGCATGGCAGGCCTGGTGGTGACAAAAATCTCTCAACATTTGTTTGTCTGTAAAGGATTTTGTTTCTCCTTCATTTATGAAGCTTAGTTTGGCTGGGTATGAAATTCTGGGTTGAAAATTCTTTTCTTTAAGAATGTTGAATATCGGCCCCCACTCTCTTCTGGCTTGTGGAGTGTCTGCCAAGAGATCCGCTGTTAGTCTGATGGGCTTCCCTTTGTGGGTAACTCGACCTTTCTCTCTGGCTGCCCTTAACATTTTTTCTTCCATTTCAACCTTGGTGAATCTGACAATTATGTGTCTTGGGGTTGCTCTTCTCGAGGAGTGTC
Source organism: Homo sapiens (assembly GCF_000001405.40). Taxonomy (NCBI): domain Eukaryota; kingdom Metazoa; phylum Chordata; class Mammalia; order Primates; family Hominidae; genus Homo; species Homo sapiens. The sequence goes on from NC_000008.11 coordinate 47,553,267, forward strand.
TTTGTGGCATTCTCTGTATTTCCTGAATTTGAATGTTGGGGAAGTTCTCCTGGATAATATCCTGAAGAGTGTTTTCCAACTTGGTTCCATTCTCCCCGTCACTTTCAGGTACACCAATCAGACATAGATTTGGTCTTTTCACATAGTCCCATATTTTTTGGAGGCATTGTTCGTTTCTTTTTACTCTTTTTTCTCTAAACTTCTCTTCTTGCTTCATTTCATTCATTTGGTCTTCAATCACTGATACCCTTTCTTCCAGTTGATTGAATCAGCTTCTGAAGCTTGTGTGTGCATCACGTAGTTCTCATGCCATGGTTTTCAGCTCCATCAGATCATGTAAGGTCTTCTCTACACTCTTTATTCTAGTTAGCCATTCGTCTAATCTTTTTTCAAGTTTTTTAGCTTCTTTGCGATGGGTTCGAACATCCTCCTTTAGCTCGGAGAAGTTTGTTGTTACGATCATCTGAAGCCTTCTTCTCTCAGTTTGTCAAAGTCATTCTCTGTCCAGCTTTGCTCTGTTGCTGGCAAGGAACTGTCTTCCTTTGGAGGAGAAGAGGCACTCTGATTTTTAGAATTTTCAGCTATTCTGCTTTGGTTTCTCCCCATCTTTGTGGTTTTAACTACTTTGGTCTTTGATGATGGTGATGTACCGATGGGGTTTTGGTGTGGATGTCCTTCCTGTTTGTTTGTTTTCCTTCCAACAATCAGGACCCTCAGCTGCAGGTCTGTTGGAGTTTGCTGGAGGTCCACTCCAGACCCTATTTGCCTTGGTATCATCAGCAGAGGCTGCAGAACAGCAAATACTGCAGAACGGCAAATGTTGCTGCCTGATCCTTCCTCTCAGATCTTCGTCTCAGTGGGGCACCTGGCTATATGAGGTTTCAGTCTGCCCCTACTGGGAGGTGTCTCCCAGTTAGGCTACTCGAGGGTCAGGGACCCACTTGAGGAGGCAGTCTGTCCGTTCTCAGATCTCAAACTCCGTGCTGGGAGAACCACTACTCTCTTCAAAGCTGTCAGACAGGTACGTTTAAGTCTGCAGAAATTGGCTGCTGCCTTTTGTTCAGCTATGCCCTGCCCCCAGAGGTGGAATCTGCATAAGCAGGCAGGCCTCCTTGAGCTGTGATAGGCTCCACCCAGTTTGAACTTCCCGGCACTTTGTTTACCTACTCAAGCCTCAGCAATGGCAGACGTCCCTCCCCCAGCCTCGCTGTCGCCTTGCAGTTCGATCTCAGACTGCTGTGCTAGCATTGAGCTAGGCTCCGTGGGCATGGAACCCTCTGAGCCATGCGCGGGATATAATCTCCTGGTGTGCCATTTGCTAAGACCATTTGGAAAAGTGCAGTATTAGGGTGGTAGTGTCCCGATTTTCTAGGTACTGTCTGTCACGGCTTCCCTTCCTAGGAAAGGGAATTCCCCGACCCCTTGCGCTTCCCGGGTGAGGCAGTGCCCCACCCTGCTTCGGCTCACACTTTGTGGGCTGCACCCACTGTCCGACAAGCCCCAGTGATATGAACCCTGTAACTCAGTTGGAAATGCAGAAATCACCTGTCTTCTGCGTCATTCACGCTTGGAGCTGTAGACTGGAGCTGTTCCTATTCAGCCATCTTGGAACCTCCTCTCTTCTTTGTGTTTAAATACATATTGCACAGTTAAATTTTCAAAAGCAGGTGGCCTGTAAGTTTGATCATTTGGAAATACCAGACTTTTATGCTTCCAGTTCTTGGTCTAGAAATTAATAGCAAATTTTTTTTCCTAAATCTTAGTCTTGATCTAACCTAGAGTACTTATGAGTAAACAAGTGGTATAAAGTGGTATAATCTGTTCCTTTCTATTCTGTCTTCTGTCTCTGTTTTGCTAGCCTTCCTCCCACTCTGTACTTATGATCATTATTTGACTTTCCCAAAGGGTAGATTTTAGAAGCTGTATATGGACTCCTAGAAATAAAGCAATTAGAATATGTTAGAAATGAATCCAGCCATGCCACTTTATTTCTATAAAATAACAATTCCAAGATAAGAATGACTTTCTCAAAGAATTGAGAAATATTCATTCCAGTATGTATCTCTTGGTGCCTAGGATGTGCCTAGTACTTGTTGCATACTGTAGAGATTCAATAAATAGAAGAGTCAACTCCAGTCCCTTGCATCACTAAAATCTCACTGGGGAAATAGACACGTTCTACAGAAGAAACTGGGAGATAGATACTTGTGTATAATAATATAATCTAGTAACTTTTAATTTGGTTCCTCAAAAATTGAGCAATAGAAGCAGTAATTTTTTAAAAATCTATAGTGTTAACAGCTGAAGTGTAATGGAACTCATGTTCCTTCCTGTGTATATTCCATTTTGATGGAGGTGCTAATAGTTGGAGCTAGGAGTGGGGTATGTGTATTCTTTGCACTGTATGATGTGGCTTCTTTGTGAAGGGAGACCTGTGATTTTCTGAATACATGGCCTGTATCCTCTCAATGGCCAGTGAGACATTCTCGAGGGGATGGGTATCAAGCCACTCTGTGAATGTGAGTTCTTACTCCATCTGGTAGAAATCACAGTAGCATGGAAATAATACCACACTGTAATTTCCAGCAAAGAAATTTTGGACAGTTATCAGAGCCTTACTTTTTCATTCATCAAGTCAGAATGTTGACAGTAGTCTGTCTGTCTGACAGGGTTGTTATGGGAACTAAATAAAATAATAGAAGCAAAAACTCTTAGTTTTCTAAGATTTTAAAGATGTTATAGGTATGTTAATGAGTTTTTATATGACCCTACACAGATGCCCAATTTCTGATGCTCCCTGAAGGCCATACCAACTCCTGTTACATTGTCTATTGTCAGCCAGGGACGATTTTCCATCTCTGCTAGGCCAAAGAGAAGCCAGCCAATGAGAATTAGCCTGTAGGCCTAGCAGTCTCAAGCATAGAACCACAACTGAGATCTGAAGATAGCTGGCTGATCTTAGATGGCCTCAGTGGGGCTGGCTGGCTGGATGTGCAATTTTTGTTCACTGGCTTAGCTTCCCTAATGATTGTTCCATACTGAATCTCAGCCTGCCTCCACCTCTTCCTTCCATTCATTGGCTTCATTCTACTCTAGAGACACTGGGTTTAATCTGGGGCTCTACCTGCAAAGTAAGCATTGCTTCCAAGCCAGAACTGTTTTAGCCCTAGGTACTTGGGCTTACTTGAGGAATGAAATCCTTTGGTTAGCCAGCAACCTATAATGCCTAAACTACATGTTGTAATTTAAATCTACAGGTGGATATTTAGGAGTAGAAGTTGTCACAGGTCATGGGATGAGGAGTAAAGCTTAGTAAGTTTATTTTCTTATTTTGTTTTTGTTTTTTATAGAGATGGGGTCTTGCTTTGTTTTGCCCAGAGTGGAGCATAGTGGCACAATCACGGCTTACTGCAGCCTCACACTCCTGGGCTGATGTGATCCTTCCACCTCAGCCTCCTGAGTAGCTGGGACTACAGGTACATGACACTCCCATTCCCAGATAATTTTTTAAATTTTTGATAGAGAAGGGGTGTTGCTATGTTGTCTAGGCTGGTCTTGAACTCCTGGCCTCAAGCAGCCCTCCCACTTCGGCCTCCCAAAATGCTGAGATTCCAGGCATGAACCACCGCGCCCAGCCAGCATAGTAAATATAAATTAAGGTGTTTTTATGTCCCCACTTTGCTACTTTTTGCTTTCTGATTTCAAAGGACACACCCTTAAGTATGAACAGGTTGTTTCCCAAAAGTTCTTTGCTTAGAACTTAGACTGCATTTTCCCAGAGAGCAGCAGTGGAAATCATAGCTGCATTCCCAGGCCAGCCCCCAAAAGTCTGTTTTATACTAATGCATTATAACATTTTACTGATAATGAGACTTCGGCTCCTCATAGCCACATTTATAATATTATTTCTCTGAGAAAAATAATTTTGAGTCAAGTTCAGATACTGTGGAAGTATGCCTCCATGAAGTGGAGAGAAGGAGAAGATGGAAAAAAGGGGGTGACCTTTGGGTAGTCAATGCGGCAGGCGTATCTGAATAAATTAGAAAAATATTCCTGAACCCTAGGAACCTACGTCTTGATGCTGTCTTAGAGAAGGCGCCTGTCCAGGCCAGTTGCTGCACCTCTGTTCTGAACTGATAACAAGAAGGGCAGTTGCAGGGAGATTATGAGCGTCATATGGCAAAGTCTTTCATGCTAATCTGTGTACCTTTTTGGTTATGTCCTAAACTGTTTGCAAGTCAGAAACTGATTATATAATATTTGGTGTATGTATTTCTTATTTTTAAAAAACATGCTAAGCTATGTCATTGTTACTGTATTAAAGTGTGAATAACCTGGAGGGCAAAAACAGGTGTTGGCTGAACCCTTCCTACACAGCCTGAAGACCACACTATGGTTGGCTATCTCTTAAATACTTAAATAATGTTGTTGGCCAACATTATGTATAAGTAGACTCATCTCATTTCTAAGTTCATGAACCTTTGGTATATCACTAAAGACAATTAAGACCTTTTGAGATACGCACAAGACTTTTGTGCTCTTTAATTTATTTAAGGAAGACAGTTTTCTACTTTAATGCTTCTGTGTAGAAATGGGCTTTACTGTTATTCACAATAGCAGCGACCTGGAATCAGCCTGGGTGCCCTATAGCAGTGGACTAGATTAAAAAAAATGTGGTACATACACACCATGGAATACTTTGCAGCCATAAAAAATGAAATCGATGGCCTTTGCAGGAACATGGATGCAGCTGGAGGCCATTATTCTAAGTGAATTAACGCAGAAACACAACCAAACACCACATTTAATCACTTGTTAGTAGAAGCTAACTACTGGGTACACATGTACATAAAGATAGGAATAATGGACACTGGAAACCCCAAAAGAGGGGAGGGAGGGAGCAGGGCAAGGTTGAAAAACTACTTACTTGGTACTATGTTCACTGTTGAGGTGACAGCATCAGTAGAAGCCCAAACATCAGCATCATGCAATGTGCTCATTTAACAAACCTGCATGTGTATCCCTTAAATCTAAAATAAAATAAAGAATCTAAAATAAAATAAAATTTGTTTTAAAAAAGAAAACAGCCAGGTTGGGTACACTGTTATATAGTAGTTCTAATGTATTTTTTTAAACAGAGCTCTTTTCTTGAGCTTTGATAGGAATATTTATATCATATAAATATAAATCATATATCTTGAGTCTTTTTGTAGCTCCGATTGAACACAAATTATTTGCCCCCAAAGAGGATAGGTTCTGCAGTGTTCCAGCAAGATGCCAGTAGATAATGGGTAAGTTAAGGTTACACTCAGCATTTGTGAATGGTGATTGTCTTCACAAACCCTGGATAAGTATCTAGCTTCACCTTTTTTTTTGTTTCTTTGTTTTTTTGAGAAGGAGTCTCGCTCTGTCGCCCAGGCTGGACTGCAGTGGCACGATCTCAGCTCAGTGCAAGCTCCGCCTCCTGGGTTCACACCATTCTCCTGCCTCAGCCTCCCAAGTAGCTCGGACTACAGGCGCCCACCACCACGCCCAGCTAATTTTTTTGTATTTTTAGTAGAGACAGGGTTTCACTGTGTTAGCCGGGATGAGTGTCGATCTGACCTCGTGATCCACCCGCCCTTGGCCTCCCAAAGTGCTGAGATTACAGGCGTGAGCCACCGCACCAGCCCAGCTTCACCGTTTTTTAAATGTAAGTTTGAATTCCAAATTAACCATGTAACAAGCCAGTGAAATAAGGCAGTGATGGATCTTGTGCTGTATCTGGCCCTTATCTGTAGATTTTAACATCCTTTGTGGTTGCTGGTTTTAGTCTTCGAAGAATGTTTGCTCTTGTTTCATTTCTCTAGTTTGTCACTAGTTCATTTTGGAGTGTTCCTTTAAACAGTCAACTGTATAATATAAAAGGAAAATAAAAACACTTTAGTTATACAGAGGTTAAAAAACTCACTTGCATAAATAGTGGACATTTTAAAGTAATATACTAACAATTGGAATAATAACAATTCAGTACTGAACAAATGTGTTACATTTAACCATCCATAAGTATATACCAGTGTGCCCTCTGACTAAAGCTGCTGTACCCTGCCTGGCTGTTACTGTCTTCCTTACATATGTGTGTTCCATTGGAAACAGAAGGTTTGCACAGTCCAGTTGACCAGATTGGAACACACAAGTGTCCCCCTTCCTCAGCCTCTGACCCCCTCCCCTGTGAGCTGGTCATCCAGTTACCCAGGCCTTTGCTTGCCTGTCTGCAAGTTCCATGGCAGCATAAAGAAACAATTGTATGTTCGTCTTTGTAGGGGTGATCCTGATAATTCGTGGGGCCTTTTTTAAATGCAAGTGTTGTTGAGAAGACAGGAGTCTCAGGTATGGCTTGACCCAGAAGTGTCCCCTATGCCTGTTGGAGTGGGTTTAAAGATGAGAACAAGGGGCAGTAGCATGTGGTACCATGTTCCTTGCTTCCTTTGTGAAGAACATGAAGTGAAATAAATTATGAAATAATTGGTAGGAAAGACTCTATGTGATTGCATCTTGTATCTTCCATTACCCAAATCCAAGTTTTCTCTTTCTGAGCAGGTTGACTTTAACAAACACAAACAGAAACTGATTGTTGGTCTCGCTTTTAAGTAATTTGTGAAAGACGACCTGCTGATAAGAATAACATTAACATAATGTTATCTGTTTAAAGTGAAATTCTTATTCCCTTTGGGAAAACAGACATAGATACCCTAAAATGGTAAAATTTCCTTGCTTATGTTGATAGGCCACACCTGACAGGTGTGCTTACATTGACAAGCCATACATCTTATCAAAAGTGGTCATTTTGTTGGCTGAACTAAAGAGCATTTCATCATTTTCCCTGATATTAACTCTTTGACTATGAGATGCAACTGTCAGTGTGAAACTTGGCATTTGCCCAGCTCTTCTGATAGGAATGGCTGTTCTCTCACCTTGTGGGATATTTTTACAATCTTGACTCTCTTTTCCAATATCACTTTCACATATAGTGCTGGTAGGCCAAGGGAAGACTTCTCCTCTCCACTGTACAGATTCTTGGGCCCAGCATCTTTTCTGGAATCCCCAAACTAGTCCCTCACCAGCTCCATCCTTGTGTCTTTGAGTACTGGGTAGCCTGGTGTGCCCTTTTCCCTTCGTCCCGCCTGCAGCTGTCCTCTTGCAGCTGGCTGTTGCTTCAAGTCCTCAGTTCCCTGAAAAGCCTTCCAGTTTCTGCTTATAAGTTCAGACTGTAGAAGCACTCCACCAGAATCTCCTGGGTTTGCTCAGGTACAAAAGTTCCAGAAACCCAGTGTGACTGCTTTTACATGTTCCCACAGAATTACATGTTCATTGTGCCTGTCTGGCTGATGATGATTTTTTCTTCTTTTACTTTTTTTATTTTTCTAAGTTATCTATAATGGCCATTTATGACTTTCATAATCAGAAAATACTTCTTTTGCCTTGCTGTTCTCCTATCCTTCCTTTATATGGATCGTAGGGTGATCTAGCCATTTTTAAGTCCATAGAGACTCCCACATTTTGCCACTTTAAGAGTTAGCATCTGTGTGTATTTTCCTCCAAAGACATACACAATTCACTTTAAATGGTCCCTTCTGTGCTCTGCTGCACAATGAAACTGTTTCATTCTTCGGTGACCCCAGGGCCTCCTTTCTGGGTGTAGCGTTAGATTACCTAAAGCAGAGGTAGTTCACACCTAGCTTCTTCATTCCAGTTTGCCAGGTTGTCAGCTTCCTCAGCTTCAAACTTGTGGTAATAATAGCATCTCCTTCACAGAGCCACCAGGATGCTCCACTGGATAAAGCAGCAGAGTGCCTGGCACAATGCCTGCCATCGAACATGAGTGGCCTAACATTTTTGCTGTTGTTTTAATGACTTAATGACTTCCTCCATGGCGCATATGTTCAAGTGAGACCCAGGCTGTACTGCCAGAGTCTATGAAGTATCATGTCTGTGTGGCAGCATAGCAGGTAGAAAAGTATTTCTCAATTAGAGTATTGTATTTCTTTTGGAGTTTCCACCTGGAGTCTCCAAGCAGAACTGATTTAACATTTAATCCCAAACCTGTTCAGTACCTTGCTCATTTGCTTCTTCCTCTGAACTGTGTCCCCTTAAGCCAGGCTTCAGGACGCCTCCCTCAACCACTTGAAGAAGCTGCCAGCAGCCTCTCTACACTGTGTCCAGATTTCACATACTTTTCTCAGCCCGCTGCAGTTGATCTTTAGCTGCTACTTCTCTGCTGAGATTGGCTGCTCAGCAGTCAGTCTCTGATCAACTGACTTTTAAATCCATTGGCTTTTTCCAGCTTGCATCCTTTTTGCCTCCTCTGTACCTTTGCCATTTCTGACTTGCTAGTCTAGCTGCAGTGCCCACCCCTGCCCCTCCTGGGATCCTCCCCCATCTCCCTCTGGCAGCTTTCTCACCCTCTTCCCTGGGTCCCTTGTACCATCTCTCCCACTAGCTGCCCTTCTTATGCCCATCCTATACGTAAGGGTTACTATGGGTCGACATATAGCCTTGTATAACATGTACGGTAACTGACACATTATATCTCGTACACTGATACAAAGAAGTGGTTTTGAAATAATACTGAGAAGTGGAATACTGAATTTTGTTTGTAAAGCATGACTACAAACCACAAAATATGTTCAAAGAAAGAGGTGAGGGAATTACACAAGTGTTCGGCTGTCTGCCTTGTGATTTTTTCCTCCTTTTCCAATCTTTCCAAGTTTTTATAATGTTCACTTCTTTTATAACCAGAAAAAGATTTGTTTCTCTTGTCTCTTTTATGCTTCCTTTATATGTATCTTAGAGTGATCACATCCACTTATAATAATTTCACCTAGTTAACAGCTATAGCCCTAGGCGTGATTTTCTTCTCCTCTTGCCATTTGGCATTATATAATGTAGATTTCCCCATTCCTTGGATGGTATTTGTGACCATCTTATTGATGTCATAACATTTCATTGGTTTAAAAAGGTATCTAATTTTAAATAGTTTTTGTTGATTTTAATATTACCTGTGTAACAGTTGGTCAGTGGTGGAGGTTGTGAATTCTCAGTTTTGAGGCTGAGGACATCAGAGTCCTTGGTTTCCTTCAGGGGTGAAATGAGAACAATGGACATGCTCTGGGGCACCGGACAGGGCATTGTCTGAAGGGCTTGCCTGGTCTTTGTGAAAGGATTTCTCTCTCCTCTGCACCCTCGGCCCCCATGGAGGCAAGGTTCACTGGTAGGACCAAACACACAGGGCGCTCCACCTCAAAGTCAGCGGAGAAAAGCTGAGAGATGTCATTGTCACCTGAGGTGACTGCCTTTGCTGACGCTGTTGCTGCTGGGTGTCAGAAGGCTGAAGACTGCGCGCAGTCCAGAATCAGCTGCCCTTGTGGTTGCCGCTGTTTCATTTTGGCAGCAAAGGACTTAGCTTTCCCCATTTGTGAATGTGTATAGATTTGTTTAAAGTTATAGGGTGTGGGAAGAAGGGAAGAGAACAGGGAAGAGACTTATTCCTACTCCTGTGCCACTGTCCCACCCTTCATCCCCGCCAAACTTCACCCCTCCAGCTTCTCTTACTCATCCAGCCTGAATGCACGTTCAGTCTAGCCTTTATCTCTCTCTTGAGAAAGTTGCTGAATGAAGGCTAGAAAGAATTTCTTAACTCTGTTTTGATGTATGACAATTTTTTTTGGCAAATATGCTTCCCAGTATTTAGAATCACTGGGCTAATTAGAAACAGTACTTTACTCTTTTCTCTTTTTTTTTTTTTTTTGTCAATGAAGGAAAGAAATAAGGTAGTCTTCATCAAGGACTACTACATGTTTTGTTCATTAAATTCTCACTAAAGCCCACTGAGGGAGTGAGGGAGGCAGCTCAGATCACACAGGCCCTCTTTTTTTCTTTTTTGAAACATGGTCACACCCTGTCGCCTAGGCTGAAGTGCAGTGGCCCCGTCAGGGCTCACTGCAGCCTCGAACTCCTAGGCTCAAGCGATCCTCCTGCCTCGGCTCACCAAGTAGCTGAGATTACCAGCGTGCACCATGACACCTGACTCATTTTTCTTTTTTTTTTAGTAGAGATGGGGTCTCCCTATGTTGCACAGGCTGATCTCAAATTCCAGGATTCAAGCTATTCTTCGCCTCAGCCTCCCAAAATGTTGGGATTATACAGGTGTGAGCCATCGCACCTGGCCCCACATGGGCCCTCTTGAAACCCAAATCTGTGGGATTCCAAATCCCATGTTCTCCACTTGGCCACATCACTTGTCACTGTGCCTCAGGTTGTCATGTACCATTGTGCCCCTATCGACTGTCACATGCGAGGATAAGCCTGGCTAGGTGCTAGTGGTTAAGAAAATAAGACTTAGAATCTGCAAGGGTCCAGATCGTTGGCATGCTATCAGCTTGGTAAGAATACTCCTAAAGATGGAACTGCTCATTGTCTCTAAGGTGATCTAAATTTTATTCTAATTCTGGGAGAAACTGGGCAAGTTTTCAGAAGTTTTTAAGTCAGGTATTTGAGTTATAGGACATCTGTGTGGGATTAATACCTATGAATAATTTTTTAGTTGCTCTTGTTGGAAGTAAGAGAGAGGAAATGTCTATTTAACACAATATCTGACCAGTCTTTCAGCTACTTGATTACTTTCCTGTTCAGTCTGAGGTTAAATGTCTTTTGATGTAGTAAAACTTATAAAGTGTGAAGAAGAACTTAAATCCCTTTCCTTATACTTAGCCATTATTTAGTCCCTTTGGGAAATCATATTTAAATATTTGCTTCTTTTTTCTTTTCTTTTTTTTTTTTTTTTTTTTTTTTTGAGGCGGAGTCTCGCTCTGTCACCAGGCTGGAGTGCAGTGGCACGATCTCAGTTCACTGCAACCTCCACCTCCCGGGTTCAAGCGACTCTCCTTCCTCAGCCTCCCGAGTAGCTGGGACTACAGGTGCATACCACCATGCCCAGCTAATTTTTATATTATTAGTAGAGACCGGGTTTCGCCATATTGGCCAGGATGGTCTCGATCTCTTGACTTTGTGATCTGCCCGGCTCAGCCTCCCAAAGTGCTGGGATTACAGGCATGAGCCACCACGCCCGACTTTTTACAGAATTTAGTAGTTAGGCTGGGTGCGGTGGCTCACGCCTGTAATCCCAACACTTTGGGAGGCCAAAGCGGGTGGATCACCTGAGGTTGGGAGTTCAAGACCAGCCCAGCTAACATGGTGAAACCCTGTCTCTACTACCAATTAAAAAATTAGCTGGGTGTGGTGGCACATGCCTGTAGTTCCAGCTATTCAGGAGGCTGAGGCAGGAGAATCTCTTGAACTCGGGAGGCAGAAGTTGCAGTGAGCAGAGATCACACCACTGCACTCCATTCTGGGCATCAGAGCAAGATTCCGTCTCCAAAAAGAAAAAAAAAAAAAAAGAATTCAGTAGTTAAGGAAATTTTCATCATTCATTATTACACTGCGCTTTTCTTTAAAAGTAGACTAGTTTTAAAAATAAAATAGTTTGATATATATAATACATCATTTCATCATTTTTCAGATAAACCTACTAAAAATATTTCCTTGTTCAACTTGAGCTTATTATTTTGCAGTTCCTTATTGCAAGAAGTATCAAGCAAAACTGGGCACAGATTTATTTTATTTTAGGCTTATTGCCTTTGTGTAAAAGAAATTCATTGACGGCCAGGCACACTCGCTCATGCCTGTAATGCCAGCACTTTGGGAGGCTGAGGCGGGCAGATCACCTGAGGTCAGTAGTTCAAGACCAGCCTGACCAACATGGAGAAACCCCATCTTTACTAAAAATACAAAATTAGCTGGGTGTGGTGGCACATGCCTGTAATCCCAGCTGCTTGGGAGGCCGAGGCAGAAGAATAGCTTGAACCTGGGAGGCAGAGGTTGCGGTGAACCAAGATCACGCCATTGCACTCCAGCCTGGACAAGAAGGGTGAAATTCCGTCTCAAAAAGAAAGAGGAGAAGAGAGAAGAGAGAGAAATTGAAGAAGGCTGACTTCCTGTTTGGGGGACATGCATGCATTGGGCAGTAAAGAGAAGCAACATTGAGTTAGAGTACAGAGTGATGTTTACACTGAGTTCTAAAGTATATCTAAGGAAATTCTTTTTATTTTAACATTTTAAAAGTGAAAATAAAGAACCTTGTACCATTCTAGGCTTTTAGAAACATTTTAAATAAGTTTAAATATTACCATTAAAATTTTATTTCTGTGGAATTCTTACAGATATGATACAGAAAAAAATAGTTTATACCTTTTAAAAATGTAAAATATCCCTAATTATCCCACTATTATATTTAATACAACTACAAATATTTAAAAATATTTTATAGTCTTTACTCATTTGTATTCTTTTTTTATTGTTGCAATTAAATTAGCCATGCCATTTTACATTATGCTTTTTTACTTAATATTTTATTAAACATTTATGCATGATTATATAGTCCTTATATACTATTCAAATATTTACATAATATTTCTTCATTTGCTGTCTCAAATTATTTAAACAATCCCATATTGTTTAACCTATATTAACAAGATTTTGATATTAAAGGTTTAAAAATAGAAAAAATAAGACAACAAAGGGGACATTCTACTATGTGGCTGAAAACTATATAACCACCATATACCAGGTATATTAATAGTTATGGATAAGAATGTGATATTTATACTCATATATATATATATATATATATTTTTTTTTTTTTTTTTTTTTTTTTTTTTTGAGATGGAGTTTCAGCTCTTGTTGCACAGGCTGGAGTGCAGTGGCACAATCTTGGCTCACCACAACCTCCGTCTCCCAGGTTCAAGCGATTCTCCTCCCTCAGCCTCCCAAGTAGCTGGGACTACAGGCATGAGCCACCATGCCCAGCTAGTTTTGTACTTTTAGTAGAGGTGGGGTTTCTCCATGTTGGTCAGGCTGGTCTTGAATTCCCGACCTCAGGTGATCTGCCCGCCTCAGCCTCCCAAAGTGCTGGGATTACAGGCGTGAGCCACCGTGCCTGGCATTTTTTTCTTTCTTAAACTTGAAATTTTTTCCCTCCTAACCTTAAATGATTTGTCTGAAATTCCATATTCAGTCACAGGTACAGATCTACTTCCCTTTTCTTCCAGTTGGCTAATAATGCAGCTTTAAGTGAGTAGTCATAGAATTGTAGGACTAGAAAGGACTTATAAAGTCCAGCTTCTTGCCTCCAGACAGTAGGGATACTCAGTCACTGAGTATCTTTTTTTATTTTTGAAGTTCTCCTGGGAAAGAGATTTCATAACTCTATCTGGAAGCACTGTTACTTTTTTATTTTTTTTATTTTTTGAGAAGGAGCCTCGCTCTGTCGCACAGGCTAGAGTGCAGTGACATGTAAATCAATCTTAAATGACATTTACTATAGTTTGAGCTCCTTTCACTCAGTCAGTAGTTACTGATCACCTGCTATGTGCAGGACACAACATTAGGCACCGAGAAGTACACAAATCAAGGTTTCAGTCCCAAAGAACAGGTGAGCCTCTTGTGGGGATTGAATGGCCTTGAATATCACTTTAAAATCTTTGGACTTTATTCTGAGCCATCACAGATATCTTAGTGTAGATGTGATACTGTGGAAGTGATATTTTAAGTAGAATTAATGTGTGGTTCTGGGAAGCAAGGTTTTATTTATCATTCATTCAGCAAATATTTGGTCAAACTCTAATATATATAAGTCATCAGGTTAAGGAATATGGAACAGATAAATAACTAGAAAACACAATTTGTTCTCTGGTTGGAAGATTTTAAATATGCAAGTACATAAGTAATCACAGTATAAGATAGGGAGTTCTGTGCAGATAATAGAGACAGGTGGGGAGGTCTTTTTTTCTGGTTGCATTTAATTCATGAGAGCAGGAAATGGGGATTACACTGGTTTTGGAGGATAAACTATATATATATATATATTTTTTTTCTTTTTTTAGTTTTGCTCTCGTTGCCCATGCTGGAGTGCAATGGTGCGATCTCGGCTCACCGCAACCTCTGCCTCCCGGGTTCAAGCAATTCTCCTGCCTCAGCCTCCCGAGTAGCTGGGATTACAGCCATGCGCCACCACGCCCGGCTAATTTTGTATTTTTAGTAGAGACGGGGTTTCTCCATGTTGGTCAGGCAGGTCTCGAACTCCCGACCTCAGTTGACCCACCTGCCTCGGCCTCCCAAAGTGCTGAGATTACAGGTGTGAGCCACCCCGCCCGGCCTGAGGATAAACAATATTTCTGAAGAATGTGAATTCTGGACTCTGCCATTGCATTCAAAGATCCTGCTACTAGAAAAACATTTTCATTCAGACTCCAAAAGCTCAGTTACTCAGAGAAGTGAGGTTAGTATGGTAGGAAGGGGCTGGCAATTAGGAGACAAACTTATCATCAGTGCTTTGCCATTAACAGACCGTATGTGTGACCTTTGGACAGTGCACTAACTTGAACTTTTGTTTTCTTCTTTTCTTTTCTTTTCTTTTTCTTTTTTTTTTTTTTTTTTTTTTTGAGACAGAGTCTTGCTTTGTCACCCAGGCTGAAGTGCAGAGGCATAATCACAGCTCACTGCAGCCTTGACTTCCTGGGCTCAAGCATCCTCCTGCCTCAGCCTCCCAAGTAGCTGGGACCATAGGCATGTGCCACCACACCTAGAAATGTTTAAATAATTTTTATGTAGAGATGGCGGTCTCATACTGGCTTTGAACTCCTGGGCTCAAGCAAACCTCCCCGCCAGCCTCCCAGAGTTCTGGGATTACAGGCATGAGACATCACTCCTGGCCTATTTTCTTATTTTCAAAATGTATAACATGCCTTGATGATTTTTTAAGGCATTTTCCCACTTTATAGAAATATATATTAATATATGGAGAGTTTGGTAGTTACGAGCATGAATCTACCTTGTTTGTGTCCTGGATCAACCATTCCTCATCTCTTTGATTAGGCTCATTAATCTACCTCGGTTTATCTGTAAAATGGAGATCTTCGTAATACACTTCTTTATAGGGCCAATATGAAGATGAAAAGTGTTAGAACAATACTTGGCACAGACTAAGTACTCAGTAAATATTAGTTGTTATTGGAATGGTATCAGGGTAGATGGCAGAGTAGAAAGCTCCAGGAAATTGTGCCTTCACCAAAACAATTGAATTAATTGTGTAAGGAACTGTGTGAGACAACTATTTTGGAACTCTGAGTATAGAAGAACACTTGTAGCATCCAGGGGCAAAGTCTCTGGTAAATTTCAGAAAATCATGGTCAAGTTCAGCTTTCACATTGTAGCAGCTACCATCTTCCACCCTCAACCTCATGGCAGGCAGCTGTCAGTCCACAAGCCTTCCTGGTGCAGCACACTGGAGCCAGGGTGAGCAAAGAGGATTTTCACGTATCAGAAGAGAAAGAGAAAGGGGCAGAAAAAATATTTAAAGAAATAATGGAGCAAAACATCCCCGCCAAAAGGAAAGAACTGAATATATGCCACCATGAGCTCAATGTACTCCAAGCAAGATAAACACTATGAGATTAATGCCAAGATATATTAGAGTCAAACTGTTAAAGCCCAAACATGGAGTGGAGAGCAGGCATAAATCCTTCTTTATCAGTAATCACATTGAATGTAAATGGATAACAATTAAAAATGGAAAAAATGTAAATGGATGAAATTCAACTATGAAAAGATAGAGATTAGAAGATTACATTTAAAAAAACAGGATTCATCTATATGCTGTCTACAAGAGACATACTTTACATATGAGGACAGAAGGGGTTGAAAGTTAAAAGATGGAAAAAGATATTCTATGCAAATATTAACTAAAAGAGAACCAAGATAGGTATATCATTGTAGATAAAATAAACTTTAAATCAAAAGCAGTTACAAGAGATAAAGGACACTATATATTAATTAAAAGGTTCAATACAGCAAGAAGAGATAACAGATATATATACACCTAACAAAGGTGCCCCAGAATATAAGAAGTAAAAATTGACAGAGTCAAAGGGAGAAATAGACAGTTCTAAAATAATAATTAGAGACTTAATTACTCCCACTTTCAATAGGGATTAGAACAACTAGAAAGAAGATCAGTAGGAAATATTGGACTTGAACAACACTGTAAAGCAATTAAACCTAACAGACGTGCAGAATATTCCCACCTAACAACATAATACCCATTCTTGTCAAGTGCACATGGAACATTTTCCAGGATAGATTATTTGTTAAACCATCAAACAAGTCTTAATAAGTTAAAATATTCAGGTCTTACAGAGTATATTTTCCAGTTACAATAGAATAAGAGAAGGATATCCATTTTTACCACTTCTGTTGAATATTGTACTGGAGTTTCTACCCAGGACAATTAGGCAAGAAAAGGAATTAAAAAGCTTCCATGTTGGAAAGGAAGAAGTGAAATTTTCTCTATTCACAGATGACATGATTTCAAATGTAGAAAATCCTAAGGAATTCACTAAAAAGAACTGATAGAAGTAATGAGCTTAGCAAGGTTGCAGGGTACAAGGTCAGTATAGAAAAATCAGCTGTATTTCTGTACAATGCAATGAACAATCTGAAAATGAAATTAAACCAATTTTATTTACAGTGGCACCAAAAGGAATAAAATACTTAGAAATAAATTTAATAAAACAAGTGTAATACACTCTGAAAACTACAAAACAATGTTGAAAGAGATTAATAGGGTTAAGAAGGCAATACTCACCAAATTGATCTGTAGATTCAACATGATTCCTATTAGAATCCCATCTGGCTTCTTTGTAGAATTAACAAGATGATCATGGGAATTCATATGTAAACCCAAGAGACCCAGAATAGCCAAAACAGCCTTGAAAAAGAAGAAAGTTATAGGACTCACCCTTTCCAATTTAAAAAAGTGCTACAAAGCTACAGTATTCAAGACAGTGTTGACATAAAGATAAACATGTCGACCAATGAAATGTATTAGAAAGCCCTCTAAACCCCTCTATGGTCAGTTGATTTTCAACAAAGGTACCAAGATCATTCAAGGGGGAAAGAATAATGGTCTTCCACAGATGGTGCTGGGACTACCAGATATCCACATGCAAAATAATAGAGATCTTTACCTTAAACATATACAAAAATTAACTCAAAATGAATCAGAGACCTAAATGTAAGAGCCAAAAGTATAAAACTCCTAGAATAAAACACAAGAAGAAATCTTCCTGACCTTGAATGTGGTGATGGATTCTTAGGTATGACACTAAAAGCATAAGCAATAAAAGGAAAAAAATATTGCACATCATCAAGATTAAGAACTTTTGTGCTTCAAAAGACACTATCAAGAAAGTGAAAAGTTAACCCACAGAATGGAGGGGAGTATATGCAGATCATATATTTGATAAGAGAGTTACATAGAGAATATATAAAAAATTCTTACCACTCAGTAATAAAAAGACAACCTAATTTTTAAAATGGGCAAAGAATCTGAAAAGATTCTTTCTGCAAAGAAGATATACAATAAGAGTAATGATTAAGATGAAAGGTTTTAGCCGGGTGTGGTGGCTCACGCCTATAATCCCAGCACTTTGGAAGGCCTAGGTGGGCGGATCACAAGGTCAGGAGTTCGAAACCAGCCTGGCCAATATGGTGAAACCCCGTCTCTACTAAAAATACAAAAATTAGCCAGGTGTAGTGGTGGGCGCCTGTAGTCCCAGCTACTCGGGAAGCTGAGACAGGAGAATTGCTTGAACCCGGGAGGCAGAAGTTGCAGTGAGCCGAGATCGCACCACGGCACTCCAGCTTGGGCTACGGAGCGAGACTCTGTCTCAAAAAAAAAAAAAGTTGAACTCGTAGAAACAGAGTAGAAGGGTGTACCAGGGCTTGAGGGTGGGAGAAATGGAGAGATATTAGTTAAGGGGTCCAAACTTTCATTTATAAGATGAGTAAGTTCTGGAGACCTAACGGACAGCATGGTATCTACAGTTAATGTATATTTGACATTTGCTGAGAGAGTGGATCTTAAGTATTGTAAGCATACACATAGAACATGTGAGTAGATGGAGATGTTAATGCTGTGGCAGTCATTTCACACTCTATACGTACTTCAGACATCACATTGTGTCCCTCTTATATGTATTTGATTTTTATTTGCCAATTTTATTTCAATAAAGCTCAGGGGGAGGAGGAAATAAAATAATAATGAAATAAAATGAAAAATAGAATCATATATATCCTACTTCCCTCCCAGAATTGTTACAAGAATCAAATGAGGTAACTTAAGGAAAGTAATTTATAAAATGCAAATTTAATTAATATATAAAATACAAACATTATAGCAATAAGCATAATTGCCATTATTAAACATTATACTAGTGCCGCCTTATTCAAGGAGGATATATTCCAATACCTCCAGTGGATACATAGTACTCAACCTTGTATAAACTGTTTTTGCCTATGCATACATACCTGTGATAAAGGTTAATTTATAAATAAGGCAAAGTAAAGATTAACAACAACAATAATAAAGTAGAACAATTATAACAATATACTGTGATAAAAATTATGTGAATGTGGTCTCCTAAAATATCTTATTGTACTGTGCTCACCTATTTTCGTACCTTGGTGTTCTGAGGATAACTGAAACCACAAAAAACAAAACCGTGGATGAGAGAACACTGTATTAAATAAATATAATAACATTATATTATGCTTTCCCTCTTCTAATAGATCAAGCTTACTTTTAAGTTGGTTCTGTTGTCATTTCTAACCATTGGTGTACCAAGTAATCTCTTGTATGTAGTGAGTGCTCAGTAAATGTACTAGAAAAAAATTTAACTGAAATAGTGTAATATTTGATATAATATAAAATATTTAGGTAGTATTTTGTTTTCCTGAGAGGGTACCACAGACTGTTTTGAATGTCATATCAATAATCTGTTTATTTTGATAAAGGTAACTTAGATAATCCTTACCATTGTATTTATAGCCCAGCACAGTGATAGTTTACAATCTTAACATACATCTATCTTTAACTATCAATTTTAGGAGGCCAAGAATTCAGTCGATAAGATATTATCAGTAATAAACTGGTCAAAAAAAGGTGTAAAAACTTGTATGAGGGCCGGGCACGGTGGCTCATGCCTGTAATCCCAGCACTTCGGGAGTTCGAGGCGGGTGGATCACAAGGTGAAAAGATCGAGACCATCCTGGCTAATGTGGTGAAACCCCATCTCTACTAAAAATACAAAAGTTAGCTGGGCATGGTGGCGGACACCTGTAGTCCCAGCTACTCGGGAGGCTGAGGCAGGAGAATCACTTGAACCCAGGAGGTGGAGGTTGCAGCGAGCTGAGATTGCGCCACTGCCACTCCTGCCTGGCGACAGAGCAAGACTCCATCTCAAAATTAAATTAAAATAAATAAATAAATAAATAAATAAATAAATAAATAACTTGTACGATTCCTGTATTGTTTCCTTTGAAGATGTGGTTTGCAATTGAGAAACATTTTTGAGACAGAAATAAAAGATGAAAAAGGCTTCCATCGGATGGGTCTGTTTCCCTCTTGAGCTCTCCCACACATTGACACAGCATCTCTCATGGACCAGGGGCAGTGCCGCTGCCTGTCCCCAAGGAAGCTCCCTAAGCCCAGTGCAGGAAGAGAAGCGTGCTAAATAAGATACCCTGCAGACAAGAGAATGACATCGTTGATGAAAACAAATTTTTCTATGTTTGTCTTTATTTTAACAAACAGCATTTTGGGTTTGTTAAGTAAAAACCCATTTACATTAATTTTTCAGGTAATAAGTTTAAGACAAATATACCTAAAGTATAAAATGACTTGAAGTTCTATTTAAAATGAGTTGTCTAAATTATAAATCAGAAAGTCTACACAGTGAAGTTACGAGTGAAAAGTCCACTTGGTGTTTGTCCTGATTGTTTTTCGGCAGGCTTAGCACAGTGAGCCCCTGGAGAGACTTGGAAGTGTGTGTGGGCACAGTAAGTGACTAGTTAAAAGTTTATGTTTCAAGTTAGTGTTACCAAACTTGGAGGATGAAGATTTGAAAGTATAATGGCCTAGTACTGACTTCTCTGTAGCCACACACTTTACCTTCAGGCAGGGCACACTCAGTAGTCCTCTGTGATAAGGCAGGAAGGTCAGAGTATATTGAGGGGTCTGTCATGAGCGCAGTAGCTGCCCAGCAGCCCTCAGGCCCTGCAAGATACCCCCCTGCTGAGCCATCACATTTGTAGGGGGCAACATGATGTCGGAGACCAGGGCCAGGTCTATGTTCCATCCTCATCAGCCTGGAGGAAGGTGACAGGAGTAAGTTGGAGGAGAAGCAAAGTCTGGGAGGCTTCATTCCTGCCCCGGATGTTTTCCTCTTTGGACTGCAGCCTCTGGTAGCTGTAGAGATGCAGTTTTCCTGCTCAGGCCACCAGTCTCACTTTTGGAAGACCAATAATTGTGCATATGTTTCTGACTCTGCTTATTGTAGTGTTTCTCGTAGGCAGGTAGTTGAATCTCACCTTAGGGTATTATTTTGATGTTAGCATATGATACACGCCCTGCTATAGTTCTGCTGTGCCTTGGTTGCTATGTGACATTCTGAGGTTTTTGCTGTCCTTGTTGCCCTAATTTCTTTGTTTGTGAAAATAAGCAGCGTCATTCAAGAGAAATTATGCTTCCTCTGTAAAACAGACTTTTAATCCAAGAATGTTCCTACTGCTTTAAGAATTCAAAGCATTGTCTTTTAACCAGCCTTGCACATTTATCTATTTTAGCTGAGGTTTGTTCTGTTTGAAGCTAAACTAAGCTTAGTGCTTGCCTCTATGTGGTAATAATTAAAGTTGGGCTTTATGATTTCTGAGGACAATATTTCTTGGTCTTACTTTGTTGATTCTTTTATGTTTGTAATGTCAGTTTCATCTTTCTTGTGGTCATTGTCTTCCAAAAATCCTTTTATTGCCAGTCAGTGTGAATCCTTTTGTTCTGAATGCCTACATAAATTTTTGACTGGAAGTTCAATTTAGGATATTTTGTGGATTTTAGAAAAACACTTTTCAATTCATTTGATTTGTTTTTTTCCCTTTTTATTCTCAGTTGCATTATTCAAATAATATAATCTGTTCTTATCTTGTGCCATCTCCAGTTTTACTTCTGCTTCTACAACCTTGTGACATCAAAACATCCAACCATTAAAACATGTTCTACAGGCCGGATGTGGTGGCTCACGCCTGTAATCTCAGCACTTTTGGAGGCTGAGGCGGGTGGATCACTTGAGGTCAGGAGCAAGACCAGCCAGGCCAACATGGCAAAACCCCATCTCTACTAAAAATACTAAAAAATAAAAATAAAAAAAAATAAAAACAAAAATTACTTGGGCGTAGTGGCAGGCACCTGTAATCCCAGCTCCTCTGGAGGCTGAGGCAGGAGAATTGCTTGAACCCGGGAGGCAGCCTGGGCGACAGAGTAAGACTCGATCTTGAGAAGAGGAGAGGGGAGGGGAGGGGAGGGGAGGAGAGGGAAAGTTTTACATATGAACAGTGTCAACTTTTATCAAGGCAATCTGTATTATGGTGACCATTACTAGAATTCCTTTTTATACCTTTTAAAGTACACTATTGGCTTTCTGCTTTTGCTGATTTGTGATGATCTGAATCTATTTACAGATTATTATTCATGTGAATAATTACTATGATGTTTCTTGATTTTTTTTTAACTTTGTCAGCATTTTCAGTTCAACTAGAATTTTTAAACCAGAAAACAAAACAGAACCCCTGAGCTGTTATTGCTGATGTGATTGGTTCTTCATCCTATCCTGAGTCAGGTTATTCTTCCCAGAACTCTAATAAAAATTAGCCTAAGTAGAAATCGAGTCATTTATTCTGACCCCTGCTTGTCTTGGGAATTGCCACTTCATCTTTTTGTTTCTAAGTGTCTTGTTTTCTTTGAAGGTGGTCCCCACCATTCAGGTTTGTGGTTATTGACATCCTAGAAATGAAGTTGGCTTTGTTACCTGTGTGTTTGGAAATTTATACATTTCTGATTTAAAAGAATACACTAAATATTTCTTAACTTCTGTAGTTAAGAAAAAAGCTGGCCGGGCGCGGTGGCTCACGCCTGTAATCCCAGCACTTTGGGAGGCCGAGGCGGGCGGATCACGAGGTCAGGAGATCGAGACCATCCTGGCTAACACGGTGAAACCCCGTCTCTACTAAAAATACAAAAAAAAAATTAGCCGGGCGTGGTAGTGGGCGCCTGTAGTCCCAGCTACTCAGGAGGCTGAGGCAGGAGAATGGCGTGAACCCGGGAGGCGGAGCTTGCAGTGAGCCGAGATCGCGCCACTGCACTCCAGCCTGGGCGACAGAGAGAGACTCCGTCTCAAAAAAAAAAAAAAAAAGAAAGAAAAAAGCTTCGGCCAGGCGCAGTGGCTCACACTTGTAATCCCAGCCCTTTGGGAGGCCAAGGCAGGTGGATCACAAGGTCAGGAGTTCGAGACCAGCCTGACCAACATGGTGAAACCCCGTCTCTACTGAAAATACAAAAATTAGCTGGGCATGGTGGTGCGCACCTATAATCCCAGCTACTTAGGAGGCTGAGGCAGGAGAATCACTTGAACCTGGCAGGCGGAGGTTGCAGTGAGCCGAGATCGCGCCACTGCTTTCCAGCCTGGGCGACAGAGCGAGATTCCTTTTAAAAAAAAAAAAAAGTTTCTTTTTTTTTTTGTTTATCTTTAATTTGTAGTTAAGTGATAATTTTAAACGATCTGTTATGTGAGAAATACTATTTTGAAAATTTTCTACAATAGGCATATTATAAATCGAATATCTTTGAAGAATAATAAACATTTTTTTGACAAGGTCTTTTTTATTATTTATTTATTTTTATTTTATTTATTTATTTATTTTGAGACGGAGTCTCACTCTTGCCCAGGCTGGAATGCAATGGCACAATTTCAGCTCACTGCAGCCTCCGCCTCCGGGGTTCAAGCAGTTCTCCTGCCTCAGCCTCCAGAGCAGCTAGGATTACAGGCACATGCCACCACACCCAGCTAATTATGTATTTTTAGTAGAGACGGGGTTTCCCCATGTTGGCCAGGCATGTCTCGAACTCCTGACCTCAGGTGATCCGTCCGCCTTGGCCTCCCAAAGTGCTGGGATTACAGGCATGAGCCACTGGACCCAGCCTGAGACAGGGTCTTACTCTATTGCCAAGGGTGGAGTGCAGTGGCACGATCTTGACTCATTGCAACCTGTGCCTCCCAGGTTCAAACTATCCTCGTGCTTCAGCCTCCCAAGTAGCTAGGATTACAGGTGTGGGCCAGGACACCTGGCTAATTTGTATATTTTTAGTACAGACAGGATTTCACCATGTTGACCAGGCCGGTCTCAAACTCCTGACCTCAGATGATCTGCCCACCTTGGCCTCCCAAAGTGCTGGGATTACAGGCATGAGCCACCACACCTGGCCATAAATATCATTTTTATAAAGCAGTCTAATGGATCAAATACCTTCATATCCATTATTGCCTTAAAATGCTCTAATATAAATATCGTTATACCTGTATACAAGATAAAATGGATTCCATTAGTTTAGGTGATATTATGGCTTGTATGTGACAAAACTGAGACTTGAATTCGTGTCTTTAGAATTCATGTTCTGTATTTGACCTGCCATACAACAGTACCACTCCAAATAGTTTTCACCTGGAGAAAAATGTGTAATGGTGAATTGGATGTTTATTATAAAATGTGCGTATTGTTGGCATGACTTATTGATTCCACAGATGAGATGCTTAGGAGCCTTTGTCAAATCAGTCAAGTGAAGAAAGATGTTCTTCAAATTGTGATTTTCTCTGCAGCAATTGAGCTGTGGGCCTAGAGACTTAAGTTATGATTTTTACATTTTTCTTCTATCTCATGGAGTGAGATCTTTATTGTTAGTTAGAAAGCTAGAAAGTTAAACTGTTCATGTCAACAAGTTCATGCATTAAAATCCTATAGCTGTCCTGAGTACAGAAATCAACCTGATGTCATGGAACACCAAGCAGTTCCTGCCAGGACTGGCAAAGTGGACAGGCTCCATAGAAAGGTTTCTTGTCATTTACCCTACATCCTATCCTGAGAGTTGAGTAGCTGTTTCATCAGCCAAAAAGGGTAAACTTGAGATGTGTGCTCGGTACAGTTGCATCTTAAACAACATGGATTTGAACTGTGTGGGTCCACTTGTACACAGATTTTTTTCAATAAATAAAGGTGGCCCACCGTATTGGTGGGTTCTGCATCCACAACCAAATGCAGATCAAAATACAGTATTCGCAGGCATCCTGTGTGTATGGAGGACCAGCTTGAGAAAGTGCAGATTTTTGTATCCGCGGGGATCCTGGAAGCAATCCCTTGTAGACATCTAGGAACAACTATACTTAAGTAAAATTAGGTAGAGGTAAATGGTCTTGTGTGGGTTTTTTTTAAGAGTAGTAATACTCAAAATGTGGTTGTGGGTCCAATAGCATCAACATAACCTTGGAACTTGTTAAAAATGCACATTAGGGGGCCCCACCCCAGACCTGCTGAATCAAAGTCTGGAGGTGGGACCCGGCAACCTGTTTCAACAAGGCTGTGATTCTGATTCCTGCAAACATTTGAAAATATCTGCTCTAGAGTCACACTGGGAGATATAAGGCTGTAAGATAAAGATTTATGGTTGGCCTGGGAAGAGTAGTGCTGGCAAGAGTGGGAATGTATTTAGATTTGTATTCAGGAGTTGCTTTATAACTCAGGGTTGGAATGATAACTTAAAGACTAATCATAACTGATACTAAGGTATTCAGTTTTCTTTCAAGACTACACTATGCACTTCACTTGTTAATACATACATTTGAATCTCATTATAAAGGTTGCTACTCATGATTTTCAAAAAACATAATCAGCCGGGTGCGGTGGCTCACGCCTGTAATCCCAGCACTTTGGGAGGCCGAGGCGGGCAGATCACGAGGTCAGGAGATTGAGATCATCCTGGCTAACACGGTGAAACCCTGTCTCTACTAAAAATACAAAAAATTAGCCGGGCATGGTGGCAGGCACCTGTAATCCCAGCTACTTGGGAGGCTGAGGCAGGAGAATGGCGTGAACCTGGGAGGCAGAGCTTGCAATGAGCAGAGATGGCGCCATTGCACTCCAGCCTGGGCAGCAGAGCGAGACTCCATCTCAAAAAAAAAATAATAATAATAATCAAATAGAACAAGTACAGTTCTTTACCCAGAAATCATATGTATGGAAACTCAGCCATAGCGCTATGCTACTACTGACCTAGTAACAAGGTGCTTCAATGAAGCCAAATGTCTGAAACTTGTTACTTTTGAGTGCTAGACTCATAAACCAAACCCTGTAGACAGATCCTACTGCCATAGTGTGAATCTAAATTAGAAAAAAATGCATTTATTTACTATATTGTTCACTTTCATACATGAATAAATCATATAAAATATGGTCTGTTCCTCAGTGTTGTATTTATTCTGATAAAAAGGGAATTAGACAAGTACACTTGGGGAATTTTAAAGTAGCACATACAATCATAAATGCCAGTCTTTTATAGTCAATATTTTTATCAGTTTCTTAGTTATATGTAACTGTCTGACTTGGGTAGGAAGGTAGAGAAACACCTTTGAATGAAGTCTTGTCAAATAAGAAGCTGAAAATAAAAGGAATATGAGGCTTAAACTTCTTATTTCTGAAATTATCTTTATGCTTCAGTTTAGAGTCATTTTCTAAGACTTGTATTTTTAAAGTTTTATTAGAGTAAATCTGATTTTTGGTGAGGAGGAGTGGTACCCAGTCACTAAATGGCTGGGAAGGTGGGCAGAATATTTTGCTATTTTAACAAATCCATTAGTAGCAAGCACTATTGACATTGCCTTGTCAGAGTCATATTTCATGCTGGTGTACTGATGCAGGTGTCCAAAGTCACAAACAGAGGTGGTGTCAAAGCCTGTGAATTTAGCACTGAAAGTCACTGAGATATCGTAGCCCTTTTCAAATCCAGTCAGTCAAAAAGAATTTACTAAGTAACTAGAATGTGATTTATTGTCTGTCTTGAGAACCAGAATTATGATAACCCCACAGAATTTTCTGCATTGATGGAAATGTTCTATTTTTTGTGCTGTCCACTATGGTAGTCACTAGCCACACTGAATACCAGAAATCTGGGTCATGCAACCCAGGAACTGCATTTTAAAATTATTTTATTTCATTTTACTTTATTTCATTTAAATATGATTAGCTACATGGCCCAGTGGCTACCTTACTGGCCAACACAATGTAGAAGGTGGCTTTCAAGGTTCTGTCACCACAGGGACCCTTGTACAGTACATATAAATCTTTCCATGGTAACTTGCCAAACTGCCTAACACTTGATAACTGTCAGCAGATAGAGAAGCATAGTTTCCTCTACCCCACCATCCCCACCCCCAACCCAATTTCATGCCTTCATGTGAGCCCCATCTAATCGTGTGCCTGGCTAGCCAACTGCCCCGTCAGTTTGTGTCCCTTCCCTTTCCCATATGTTGGTTCCTCCAGGGTTGATTGTGGCAGGATCTTCCTTACCCATATCCAAGTAGGGAGTCCTGTCCTCCCTCCTGGGAGATGGTCTGGTATCTTGGAAAGAGAACAGACTGGCTTTGAAGCCAGTTGGTTTGTATTACAGCCCTGTCATGGACTAGGACTAGTGGTATACAATTAGTTGGTTGTTATTTAACCTCCTCCGAAGATGGGAATAGTCATGTTTACCCTGTGGGGTTGTTGTGAAGAGGACTAAGAGCATAGCAAGTGAATTAAAGCCATCAGACTCTAACCAGCTAGTATGGGTAGCAAAGAAGGCTCAGTGTAAATGTTGTGTATATGAGCAGGTGATGGAAAAGTGATATCCACTGCTAATGATTGTGATTCTTTTTAATATTTAGGAGGATAAAGATAATAGGTTTTGAGTAAGTAACACTAAATAACCCTAGTTTTTGCTAAACAATAGACAACAACTAATTTGAAATTGCTGAAGGTATAATTCACAGTAGTGACAGCAGCAGTGCCGACCATCCTTCCCACTGAGCCCTTGCACGTGGGAAGCTCTTCTCGGAACTCTGCATCAATTCATTAATTTCATTTTCACAAGAAATCTGTGTAGTGCTTACATCTACTCTGAATGCTCCCGATTTATAAAAACCGAGTCACAAAGACATTAAATTTGTCCACAGCCACACAGCTTGTAAGTGGCAAAGCCAGGATTTAATTCCAGAGTTTTTAGGTCAAAAACCTATACGTCCTCTCCTTCCTCCCATGTCATCGTGTGCTGTGCATTAGATTCTCACGTGCTTGGTCACATGCCACCCAGCGTTTTTATTCTAAGCCTTTATTTTAAATTTATGCCATTCTTAGATGCCTACATTAAAACACCCGGGACTCAGTTGTTACAAGGTCTGGTTTATCTGTTTCAAATGTACTCTCCTGCCTTCCTCTATTCCCTGTAAATGTGAATGTGTGTTTATCCATTAATTTAGTAAACATCTGTTGAGACCCTTGCACATGTCAGATACTGTGAAGTACCTAATAAAAAAGAAAGGCAAAAAAAGAAACAGCTGTTGTATTCTAGAAGTTCAGTTTTTAGTTGTAGAGGCAGACCCTTGAACATGACAGTGTGGAAAGCACCATTGGAGCACAGAGAAAAGAGCAACTTTTCCCAGGAAACTGGAAGAAGGAATGACATTCATTCCAAAATCATTGATTTTCCAGGCACTGGTGAGCCACCCAGCCAAAGCCCCTTCTCTCACAGAGGCAACATTCTAGAAGGGACTTAATTAACATGATTAAGTCCATCTTCTGTCTCCCGTGTAGAAGGCCATATTCTTTCTATTGCAGCACCGGTAACCTACTGTGTTTTGTTGTTTCCTGGTATATGTCTCTCTATGAACTTGAAGCCCTCTCAGCTAGCCCCCACCCAGAGATCCTAGTTTATTTTTTATTTTCAGTAAATCTAGTGAAAAACCCAGTCATTTTCATTTTCAAAGTGATTTTAACTCATAGTCTAAATTGAAAAATAATGTTTTCCTAAGTAGATATTAGTAAGTTTGCAAAGCTAGAATTAAACGAGGGCTTTCTTTGATTCCCCAGTTATAAGTGGGGTCATGTTTTTGAGTGAAAGGCTGGGTTTTCTCCCCCAAATTAATGAGTCAGTTAAAAAATATACACCTGTAGCATGATCACCACAGTATCTCTCCCTGTATAAGGCGCTCCAGCATAGTAGCCCTGCTGGACAGACAGAAGATGCATCTACCATCCAGCTTCAGCCTTTGGCCAGTGGGTCCCAGAGTTGAAACTGAATTGTAAACGACATTATCCCAAGCATGCCTTCCATGAAAAGAAAAATGTAGATTATATTTTCTGACAACTTCAGTTCTCAATCTATCCCCCTTTAGATAGCTAACCATTAAAAGAGGGAAGGAAAAAAGGGAGGAGAAGGAAGGAAGAAAAAAATTTCTATTTGCCTTTGTTTTCTTTCTGTCACTGCATTAATACCTATTAATCCACTAATCCTCTTTGCCACTCTCCACAGACGAAAACACATTCTTCCTTGACAGTAAACAAGCAAATCGATCCTAATTTATGATTTGGAATAAATACTGTGACTGGGCATGGTGGCTCACTCCTGTAATCCCAGCACTTTGGGAGGCTGAAGTGGGTGGATCACCTGAGGTCAGGAGTTCGAGACCAGCCTGGCCAACATGGTGAAACCCTGTCTCTACTAAAAATACAAAAATTAGCCAGGCGTGGTGGCGGGTGCCTGTAATCTCAGCTACTCTGGAGTCTGAAGCAGGAGAATTGCTTGTACCTGGGAGGCATAGGTTGCGGTGAGCCGCCAAGATTGCAGCACTGCACTCCAGCCTGGGTGACAAGAGTGGGACTCCATCTCAAAAAAAAAAAAAACTGCTTGTTTTTTAAGGTAGTTATAGTAATCTACATGTTAGTTACATTGTCCCTATCTACATATTCAGTGTAAAATGTATTCTTGATTTAATTTGTTGCTAAGCACAGAAAAAAATCAAGAAAACCTAACTAGTAGGAAAATAAAAGTAAACATCTTTCGTGAAACTGGGAATTCCTAAAACAAGTTGCTAGGAGGGTATTTCACCGTTGACAGTGCTGATAGTGATAGAAAATGAAAAGATGTTTCACATGGTTTTCCTTCTTTGGTCTTTTAGTCTCAATTACTTTTTCTTAAGTCTATTAAATTGTTCCCTGTTTAATTGAGTTCCACGTATATAACATTCTCAGGTGAGAAGTGGAAATAGTTCTTAATGCAAAGCGTTTGTTTAGGCAGCCATTTCTGAGATGTAATCAGAAAACATTTTGACACATTGTCATTTTTATTGATCATACAATATTCTCTATTTTTTAAAAAAAGCAGCCAGGTGTGGTGACACATTCCTGTAATCCTAACACTTTCGGAGGCAGAGGCTGAAGGGTCACTTGTTGTCTGGGCAACATAGCAAGACTCCATTAAACAACAACAACAAATTACACACACACACACACACACACACACACACACACACACACACATATTTTTAAAAGCTTTCCACCAGACACACACACACACACGTATATTTTTAAAAGCTTTCCACCAGAAACTCTAGCACTTAGACTTCACTGAAGACTGTTATGTCTAGTTTTTTTTGTGTAGTTTATTTGTGTGTGTAACTCTTCCACATTTTAGCCTGTCCTACCACTATGGCCACCAACTTCTCAAGTATGCTCTGAGAATTTACTGGAAAGTAAATGCATATCCTCAAAAGTTTCTTGTAAGAATGCAACCCTGTCTCTACTAAAAATACAAAAAAAAAAAAAATTAGCCGGGCGTGGTGGCGGGCGCCTGTAGTCCCAGCTACTTGGGAGGCTGAGGCAGGAGAATTGCGTGAACCCAGGAGGCGGAGCGTGCAGTGAGCCAAGATCGCGCCACTGCACTCCAGCCTGGGTGACAGAGCGAGACTCCATCTCAAAAAAAAAAAAAAAAAAGTATCAGTGGGAGTCCAACATCATGATAATGTTCATTGGTAGTGTTGGGTATATGTGTGACTTATCACGTGAGATTTAACAACTTAGGTTTTGTTCTTAGTTTCAGTTCAATCTTCACAAAAGCTAAACATGCTGAATGTTCAGTCTCAATCTATACATGCTATATCAACGTGCTTTTTGTTTGTCATATAACATTTGTGACAATGAGATCTGTAGAGAGATTGTAAAGGCCACACCACGTGGTGTTGGATTGATTGCAGCATAAAAAGAAATGGAAAGTTCATGCTATCTAGATAGATAGCACTGGTACTATAGATATGAATGTTTAAAAGATGTGATTTCCTCTGCCTGCTAATAAAGGAAACAGAACATGAATTTTTTCTGCAGAAACTTGATGATGTGATAGTGTGGCATGCTGATTACATTGACTCCAAAGTGCAGTCCTTGTCCCTGGGCAGTGCCCATGTGCTCCCTTCCTCTCCCTTCACACACCCACAGCACACTTTGTCCTGCCTCTCCTGGGAAGCCTCCTAGCAGCTCCCAGAGGGGCCGCCCTTGGAGCATCACATCCGAGTCACAACCTTTTCCTTTACAGTGAAACTGTCCTCTTAGCAGCCTTGTTGTCCTGGACTGGATTCCCAGTCCCCTGTCACCGTGTCCGCTGTGTCACAAGTGGTCATTAAAGGGAGAGTGGAATGAACCAAATGGACCTGGAGATGGATTTCAAGATCTTTCCCATATCCATTTGCCTCACAAATCTATTTGATTTGTGCTATTATGTGACTTGATTTCCCAGATCATATAGATCATATCATATTTAGTCACGTTATATTTGTGACTAAAATTTCAGGCTTTTCACATTATGCTGAATCATACTTTAAACTCATTCAGATTCCCTAATTCAGAAACTATGATCTTTTGGATCTACTTAGATTAATGCTTACCTGTGTAGTTATCTTTGGGGGATAAAGGAGACTTGTGAGTATATGAGAAGAATGGACAAGATTTCAAATATATGTTTACCTTAAATTAGAGAATTAAGTATTTTCAATAACATTTCTGCAGAAACAGGTAATATGCTAATCAAAACTTGCTTGTATCTGTTTTAAGAGGCTTACTGTATTTTCTGTATCCTAAGGACCATCATTTTGTTACTTAATAAGGTTTAAAGCAACAAACTAAATTTCCTTATGAATAATTTCTGTTCTAGACTAATTTAATTTGAGTAACTTGAGTTGGGAAGAATGGCCTTAACACCTTGGACTGGGCAGAACATACATAGTTCTAATATTGGTATGTTTATCTGCAAACTAGGAGGTTCTAAATACACACATACACTTTACCTACTGCTTCCTTCTTCTTAGCTGTTAAAACAGTATTACTTTATCATATCTTTAAAAAATTAACTTGAATCAAAAAGCTAGAAGTTTATAACACCTTTCATCCACCTGACAGTGTGCATCAGATCTGCAGTCAGCCCCAGGCAGTGCCAGACACTGCACCCACCGTACCCTTTTATTCTCCTGTGGCTTTCTCTGCCTTTCCCCCTCCCACTCCATCTGCCCCTGCCCTTCCTTTCTCTCTTTCTCACAACTTTTTTCCTTATCTCTGGGTTACCATACCTATCGGCTATTGGCTTAAAATAATATTATGTCAAGTTTGTATTGGAAAAATTATATGGAAATTTATTAGGTATTAGATACTAAGAAAAAAATGTATCTAGGATAAATGACAATTAGAGAATGAGACTCTACCTCTTGAAAAGAAATCATGGGAGTATAAGCTTTACGTATAATTAATCATATGCCTCCGTGTTAGGCAAGTTGAGCCCAGAACATAGTACGTGAAGTTAAAAATAAGCATTTTATCTTCTATCAGGGAAATTTGAGTACTAGAAATTTTGCATAAAGCCAAAACTTAAGTTTGTGTAACTAGTACTGATAATTGGACAGAAATTAGATACTGACCATTGTTAATTGGTGTTTTTTCTTAATATATGGAAGTCTTAAAGACTGGAAAACTCATGAACATAAAATGACTAGTGGGATGATTGAGAGGAATGTTGTTTTAGATTGATTAATGTTATACAATGTCTATTTTTTATTAAATTTTTTATTTTTAGATAATTGTAGATTTACATTTAGTTGTACAAAATAATACAGACAGATCAACTTCCTTCTTTCTCCTTTCCCTACCCCCACCCCACAACCTAAACCCCTGGCAACCACTGTCTTATTTTCTGTTGCTTATAACAGAATACCTGAAACTGGGTAACTTATAAAGAAGAGGGATTTATTTCTTACACTTATGGAGCCTGAATTTATTTCTTACACTTATGGAGGTCGAGGGGTTGCATCTGGTGAGGGCCTTCTTGCTGGTGGAGACTCTGCAGAGTCTTGAGATGGCACCACCATTACATGGCAAGAGAGCTGAGCATGCTAGGTCAGGTCTCTCTACCTCTTGTAAAACCGCCAATCCCACTCCCATGATAACCCATTAGTCCATTAATTCATGAGTGGATTAATCCATTCATGAGAGCAGAGCCCTCATGACCCAGTCATCTCTTTAAGGCTCCACCTCTCAATACTGCCACATTGGGGATTAAGCTTCAACATGAGTTTTGGAGGGGCACATATTCAAACCATAGCAACCAAAATATGCTCTCCACTTCTTTAGGTATTGGCTTTTTTCACTTAGCATCATTCTCTGGAGATTAATACAAGTCATTGTCTGTATCAATAGTCTGTTTCTTTTTATTGCTGAATAGTATTCCATGATATGGATTTAACATTTTGTTTAACCATTCACCCATTGATAGACATTTAGGTTGTTGCCAGTTTGGGACTATTATTAATAAAGCTGCTAACATTCATATGTAGGTCTTCATATGAACATAAGTTTTCATTTCTCTGAGATAAATGCCCAGGAGTACAAATGCTAGGTTGTTTGGTAGTTGCGTGCTTAGTTTTGTGGGGTTTTTTTTCCAAAAGAAAAAAACTGCCAAACTTTTCCAGAGTAGTTATACAATTTTACATTTCTGCCAGCAGTATATGAGCAATGTAGTTTCTCCACATCCTTGCCAGCATTCAATGTTGATATTATGTTTTGTTTTAGCCATTTTGCCTCACTGTGGTTTTAATGTGCATTTTCTTAATGGCTAATGATGTAGAACATCTTTCCTTGTGCTAATGTGCCATTTATATAGCTTTTCAATGAAATGTCTGTTCATACCTGTTGTTTCTTAATTGGATTGTTCATTTTTTATACTGTGTGGTTTTCAGAATTCTCTATATGTTCTAAATACTAGTCCTTTCTTGGTATGTGGTTTGAAATTGAAATGATTTTCCCTATGTCTCTAGCTTGTCTTTCCATCCTCCAAAGGGGGTCTTTCTTAGAGCAAAAGTTTTCAGTTTTGATAAGTTCTAGTTTATCAAGTTTTTTTTGTTGTTGTTAGCTTGTTTTTGAGAGGGAGTCTCGCTCTGTCGACCAGGCTGGAGTGCAGTGGCAAGACCTCAGCTCACTGCAACCTCCGCCTCCTGGGTTCAAACAGTTCTCCTGCCTCACCCTCCCGAGTAGCTGGAACTACAGGCACGTGCCAGCACACCTGGCTAATTTTTGTATTTTTAGTAGAGACAGAGGTTTCACCATGTTGGCAAGGCTGGTCTCGAACTCCCGATCTCAGTTGATCCGTCAGCCTTGGCCTCCCAAAGTGCTGGGATTACAGACGTGAGCCACTGCGCTCGGCCTCAAGTTCATTTTAAACAGATCAAATTTTTTATCTTAAGTCTAAGTACTCTTTCCCTAGTCCTAGATCCTAAAGATTTTCTCTTAAATTTTTCCCTAACATTTTTCTCGTTTTATAGTTTACGTTTATATTCATCATCAATTTTGAGTTAAATGGTATATAAGTTGTGAGAATGAGG
Source organism: Homo sapiens (assembly GCF_000001405.40). Lineage (NCBI taxonomy): Eukaryota > Metazoa > Chordata > Mammalia > Primates > Hominidae > Homo > Homo sapiens. The sequence goes on from NC_000008.11 coordinate 47,587,247, forward strand.
TTAAAGCTTATATTTTTCTGCCTATGATTATCCAAAGTCTATCCTTCCTTAATTGAATTGCCTTGGCACTTTTGTCAAAAATCAGTTGGTAGGCTGCGCACAGGGGCCTATTTCTGGGAGGCAGAGACGAGAAGATTACTTGAGGTCAGGACTTCAAGGCCAGTCTGGCCAACATGGTGAAACCCCATCTCTACCAAAAAAATACAAAAAAAATAACGGGGCATGGTGGCGCACCTGCAGTCCCAGCTACCCGAGAGGCTGAGGTAGGAGAATCACTTGAACCTGGGAGGCAGACGGAGGTTGCTGTGAGCCGAGATGTTGCCATTGCACTCCAGCCTGGGCGACAGAGCAAGACCCTGCCTCAAAAAAAAAAAAAAAAAAAAAAATCAACTGGTGCTGAGCATGGTGGTGCACAGTGTATCTGTGGTCCCATCTAGTCAGGAAGCTAAAGCAGGAAGATCACCTGATCCCAGGAGTTTGAGGCTGGCCTGGGCAACATAGTGAGACCCTATCTCTAAAACAAAAACAAACAAAAATCACACTGTGGAGATCAATTTAAAAAAAAAATCAGTTGGGCATATTTGTGTAGTATATTTCTGGGTTCTTCTGTTTCATTGATCTATGTGTCTATCCCTTCAATAACACCATATAATATTGGTTATTATAGTTATAAAATAAGTCTTTAAATTAGGGAAAGTGATCTCCTTTACTTCATTCTTTTTCAAAATTGTTTTAGCTATGTTAGTTCCTTTGCCTTTCCTTGCAACTTTTAAAATTAGCATATATATATATATATATATATATATATATATATATATATATATATATATATATATATATACACGTATGTATCTGCAAACAAAATCATGCTGGAATTGATGGGAATTTCTTTAAGCCTATAGATCCATTTGGGGAGCTCCTTGATTTTGGCATCTTTATGATTTTGAGTTTTTCAATCCATAAATATGTCTTCCATTTGTTAAGATCTTTGATTTATTTTATCAGTGTTTTGTAGCTTCAGCATATAAGTCATTACATGTTTTGTGAGATTCACACTGACATGGGTTATTTTGGTCTTTTTTTTTTTTTAGTTTTACAATTTTAAATGGTATGTTTTTCCCATTTTGGTGTCCATGAATTCATTGACAATATGTAGAAATACACCTAATTTTTGTGTGTGTTGGTTTCTTCAACCTTGCTTAATAGTTCTAGGAGTTATTTTGTAGATTCCTTGCCATTTCCTGTGTAAGCAATCATGCCACCTTTAAATAAGGACATTTTTATTTATTCTTTTTAATCTGTATGCCTTTCCCCACCTATCTTGTCTTATTGCACTAGCTAGAACTTCTGGTACTATGTTGAATCAAAGTTGTGAGGGAGGAAATTTTTGCCTTGTTTTCCATCTTAGGTGGCAAGCATCTACTCTTTCATCATTAATTTTAATGCTAGTTGTGGGATTTCTGTTGATAATTCTTTATTAAGCTGTGGAAGTTCTCTTTCTGATTTCAGAGGTTTTTTAAAATTATTATTAAGGATGGACGTTGAATTATGTCAAGTGGTTTTTTCACATTGCTAATGTAATCATCTGATTTTTCTCCTTCAGCCTTCAACTTGGTGAAGGTGATTTTCAAATACCAAACAAGGCCATCTTGCCTGGAATTAACACCACTTGGTCATATTGCATAACTTCTTTTATACATTGCTAAATTCTATTTGCTAACATATTGTTAAAGAATTTTGTATCTGTGTTATTGAGGTATATTGGTTTATAGTTTGTTTTTTTTTTTTTTTTTTTTTGTACTGTCTTTGGTTTTAGTATCAGAGTAATACTTGCTTTATAAAAGGGATTGGAAGTGTTTCCTCCTCTTCTGTTTTCTAGAAGACAGTGTGTAGAATTGGTGCTAGTTCTTCTTTTCCCATTTGTTAGAATTCTCCAGTGAAAGTATCTGGACCTGGAGATACCACTTTTGGGAGTTTTAAAATTACAAATTTGGCCGGGCATGGTGGCTCACACCTATAATCCCAGCACTTTGGGAGGCCGAGGGCGGCGGATCACTAGGTTAGGGGTTTGAGACCAGCCTGGCTAGCATGGTGAAACCCCCATCTCTATTAAAAATGCAAAAAAATTTGCCGGGCATGGTGGCGCGCGCCTGTAGTCCCAGCTACTCGGGAGGCTGAGGCAGGAGAATTGCTTGAACCCAGCAGGCAGAGGAGGTTGCAGTGAACCGAGATCACACCACTGCACTGCAGCCTGGGCAACAGAGCATGACTCCATCTCAAAACAAAAAAAAAAAATTACATATTTATTTTCCTTAATAGTTATAGGCTATTCAAATAATCTGTTTCATATAGCATGAGTTGTGGTAGTTATTTTTGTTTCTTTTTGAGAAATTTGTCCATTTCATCTAAGTTGTGAGAATGTATGTAGACTTGTCCATTGTACTTTACCTAGCCTTGTGATATGTACAGGGCCTGTAGTGACAGCCTCCGTCTTATTCTTGATATTGGTAATTTGTATCTTCTGCCTTTTTTCATTTTTTAGTCAATTCATTGATCTTTTCAAATAACTCTATTGCATTGTTTTTTTCTCTGTTGTTTTTCTGTTCAATTTTATTTATTTCTGCTCTTTAATTATTTCCAGCTGGGTACGGTGACTCACCCCTGTAATCCCAGCACTTTGAGAGGCTGGGGTGGGTGGATCACCTGAGATCAGGAGTTTGAGACCATCCTGACCAACATGGTGAATGAAACCTGGTCTCTACTTTAAAAATATAAAAATTAGCCGGGACTGGTGGTGGGCACCTGTAATCCCAGCTACTCAGGAGGCTGAGGCAGGAGAATTGCTTGAACCCAGGTAGCGGAGATTGCAGTGAACCGAGATCGTGCCACTGCACTCCAGCCCAGGTGACAGAGCAAGACTCTGTCTCAAAAAAAAAAAAAAAAATTATTTCTTTTCACTTTCTCTGAGTTTATTTTGCTCTACTTTTTTCTAGGTTTTTGAGGTAAGAACTTAGATTATTGATTTGAGACTTTTTTCTTTTTTAATGTAAGCTTTAAGTTCTGTAAAATTTCCTCTCAGTATCACTTCAGCTGTTTCTCACAAGTTTTGATAGGTTAAATTTGTATTTTCATTTAGTTCAGTGTTTGTTTTTACATTTTCATTGAGACTTCCTCTTTGACCCTTGGATTATTTAGAAATATGTTGTTTAATTTCAAAGTGTTTGGAGAATTTCATGTTATCATTCTGTTATTGATTTTTAGTTTGATTGTACTGTGATTAGAGAATATACTCTATATGATTTCAGTTCTTTTAAATTTGTTTATATGTGTCTTATGGCACATGCATTTTGTGGGCACCTGAAAAAAATATGTATTCTGCTGTTGTTTGGTGGAGTATTCTATAATGTCAGCTAGAACCTGTTTATTGATGGTGGTGTTGTGCTCTTCTGTATTCTTTCTGATATTCTCTCTAGTTCTATCAAATGTTGAGGGAGAGATGTTGATGTCTGCAATTCTAATTGTGGATTTGTCTATTCTTTGAGTTTTATCAGTTTTTGCTTCATGTATTTTGAATCTATGTTGTTTGTTGCAGATACATTTAGGATTGCTATGTCTTCATGGTGGATTGATCTTTGTGTCATTATGTAATGTGCCTTTCTATATTTGGAGTTTTCTGTGCTCTGAAATCTACTTCATCTGATATTAATATAGCACTCCCACTATATTTTAATCAATGTTTACATGATGTATCTTTTCTCATTTTTTACTTTCATCCTACCTATATGTCTGTATTTGAAGTGAGTTTCTTGTAGACGGCATATAGATGGATCATAAATTTACTCTGCCAATCTCTGTCTTTTAATTGGTTTATTTAGACCATTTATCCTCAGTGTAATTATTGATACATTAGGGCTTAAGTGTACCTTTTTACTTTTTGTTTTCTTTGTTCTCTGGTTTTTTTTTTTGTTTTATTTTTCCTGGTTTCATATGGGTTACTTGAACATTAATTTTTTTAGAATTTTATTTATAACGTTTTGGTGTATATCTCTTTTTATAGATATTTTATTGCTTGCTCTGGGTATTACATATATGTAACTTAGCACAGTCTACTGGGTCAAAATTTTACCAGTTTCCGTGAAGTATAGAAACCATACCTCCCTTTATATCCCCTTTCCCTCCCTATTTATTTATTTATTTATTTATTTATTTATTTATCTTTTAGAATAACAAAAAACATTTTACTAAAACATAAGATTTGCAGAAATTTCCAGACAAGCCATACAAAATGGTCACAAGCTTTTTTTGAAGGGGGGAATCTACATTTGACAGCAGTGTTATTAGTGAGGGCTGTGATGTTTGTTTAATGTTCCCATTTTGGTTCAATCAATCAAGCTTGTCCATCTACAGCATCTAAATAAAGTTAGACTTGGCTAGAGAGCATATTCTAAAGACCTGGTTAGCTGCTTTTAACCAATGCAATTAGATCACCAAAAAAGGGGGAAAGGAACCCATAAAATTAAACTACCTCCCCCCTCAAAAAAAATAAAATAAAGAAAAACACGCACATCCCTGCAGCTAACCGGACAACTACCTTCATTCACAGTGCTTTATACTTAAACCAGGATGGGGGAAGTAAATAGAAACGGGGCGGGGGGGCACTGCTTTTAAACGTTTCACAACAATCCAGATGATACTTCTAGCTTCTGCTCATGCTTTATGACAGTGAATCAGGACAAGACATAGATTTGCTAATGTGCATTTAATCACCAAAGGACTGAAGATGTCTGGGCTTTTTTATTCAGTAATGTTTCTAAGACTGTGTCCATTAAATGCAAACAAAAAGGAGGAAGTCTTGGCAGAACAGGAGAAGTGATGCACACTTGATGATCGGATCAATTTAAATATTATTCATGGCATATAGCCTAGTTCATGCTCTAGCTGTTTCTATGGCTTGGGCTTTGTTGGTCTTCCACTGCTCTGCTACATCATTTGCTAATGGATCGTCTGGATTGGGAGCACATAACAAGGCCTGGGTTGATAGCAGAACTGTGTGCGGATCTGCAGTGCTGGGGACCAGTTACCTTTCAAAATATCGAAACATATTCTTCCCAACTTGTCTACATTAGGATGATAAATTTTGGTCATGAAACATACTGTAGGGGCTGCCATTGAGTATTCTTCTGGAAGGAATAGTTCAAGTTTAAAAGTCCCTCCCTCAAAGGGGGAAGGAATCCTGAGAGCCAGCAATGACCACATGAAAATAACAGGCATTGCTCTCATCTGGTTCTGCTTTGATGCCAGGAACTGGTTCTGCCAGCAAACCCTGGGTTTCCTTGATGATCCTGCGGGGCAGCCCTGCCATCTTATCAGAACCCGAGTTCGGCCTCTGGTCTAGTCTCCGGCTCCGCTTGCCTCACGCACGAGTAGAAGTCCTCCCTCCCTATTTATAATATGATTGTCTTTAATGTTTTATCTGCATACATTTAGAACCACCTCAGACAATGTTATAATTTTTGTTACAATAAAAATTTAGAAAACTCAAGAGGAGTAGGAAAGCCTCTTGTATGTACCTGTATTATTTTATCTATAGCCTTCCATTTCTATTTCTTTCTTCCCACAGGTCCTTGGTTCTGTTGGGGGTTTTTTGTTTGTTTTTTGAAGAGGAGTTTTGCTTTTGTTGCCCGGGTTGGAGTGCAATGGTGCGATCTTGGCTCACCACAACCTCCACCTCCCAGGTTCAAGCGATTCTCCTGCCTCAGCCTCCCGAGTAGCTGGGATTACAGCCATGCCCCACCACGCCCAGCTAATTATGTATTTTTTAGTAGAGATAGGGTTTCTTCATGTTGGTCAGGCTGGTCTCGAACTCCTGACCTCAGGTGATCGCCCGCCTCGGCCTCCCAAAACACTGGGATTACAGGCATGAGCCACCATGCCCAGCCAGGTTTTTTACTTTTTTTTTAAGTCTGTTTTCCCTTTATTATTTATATTGGGTAATTTTTATTATTTTTATCTTCGACTTTATTGATTCTTTTCTCTTTCTCCTCCTTTCTGCTGTTGAACCTATTCTTTTATTTTCACTATTTTTTTAGTTCTGAAACTTCCATTTTTAAGAAATATTTATTCTGTTTATTTGCTGAGACTATTTTTTTTCATTTGTCTCAAGTGCGTCAAGGTTGCTTATTAAAGCTTTTTTAAATGGCTGCTTTAGAATCTTTGCCAGATAATTCTAACCTTTATGTTATCTCAGTATTGACATCTATTAACTGTCTTTATTCATTCAAGTTGAGATTTTTCATGGTTCTTAGTATAACAAGTGATTTTTGATAGAAACATGGACATTTGGAGTATTATGTTTTGAGACTCTGGATCTTATTGAAACCTCTTTTAGGTAGCTTCATCTGACACTGCTCTGGTAGGAGAAAGTGAGGAGTGGAGTGGGTTGTTACTGCCACGTGGAGAGGGAAGTCCAGGTTCCTCAGTTGACAGTTGAGAGAGGGAGAGACTCCTTGTTCCTGCTGGGCAGGGGTATGAGTTCCAGCTCCCTGCTAAGCCTCTGCTGACACCACCCTGGCTGGGAGGGCCAGGGAAGCCTTGTTGCTGTTCCTCACATGCCTTCTGCTGAGGGGTAGGAGGGAAGGGTGGCCTCAGCACCACTGAGCAGCGGTGAAAATCCTGATTCTCTGCCACACTTCCTCTGGCACCACCCCAGAGGGGCAGGGAGTGTTGCTTGGTTACTACTGTCAGGAGGAGGTGAAGTCCAGGCCCCCAGGTAGTCTCTCCATTGTCACAATGAGGGGAGTACTCGTTGCAGGCCTGTGGGAGATCAAAGTCCTCCAGGCACGGTGGCTCACGCCTGTAATCCCAGCACTTTGGGAGGCCGAGGCGGGCAAATCACCTGAGGTCAGGAGTTTGAGACCAGCCTGGTCACCATGATGAAACCCAGTCTCTACAAAAAAAAAAAAAAAAAAAAAAAAAAGAATTAGCTGGACATGATGGTGGGCGCCTGTAGTCCCAGCTATTTGGGAGGCTGAGGTGGGAGAATCACTTGAACTTGGGAGGCAGAGGTTGCAGTGAGCTGAGATCGTGCCCCCAGCTGGGCGACAGAGTAAGACTCCATCTCAAAAAAAAGAAAAAGGAAAAGAAAGCTCCTTGGCCCACCTTCTCTGGTATCCCAGCTGGGATACTGGGGTGCTCTCATTACAGCCCAATGAGGGGGGAAGTCCAGGTCTTCACTTGGCCTGTGCTAGCATGCATAGGGACAAGTCATAGGTTTTTCATGATGTTTACCTAGAGTAGAGCAGTTACCATCTAAGAGTTTTCTGCCTTTCTAGGCTGCCCCTTCCTTGGTCCTTGGTTAAAGAGAGCAGGCTTTGGTAGAGCTTTTTGTCAGCACATGTTACTGTTTCCGGGTTGCTGGCTCCTTCAGCTCAAAACCTGAGATATAAGAGGCAAAAAGAAAACCCAGGGCCGGGCACAGTGGCTCACATCTGTAATCCTAGCACTTCGGGAGGCCAAGGTGGGTGGATCACTTGAAGTCAGGAGTTTGAGACCAATCTGGCCAACATGGCAAAACCTTCTCTCTACTAAAAAACTAAAAAAAAATACTGGGCATGGTGATTCATGCCTGTTATTCCAGCTACTCAGGAGGCTGAGGCACGAGAATTATTTGAATCCAGGAGGCAGAGGTTTCAGTGAGCTGAGACCATGCCACTGCACTCCAGCCTGGGCGACAGAGCCGAGACCATGTCTCAAAAAAAGAAAAAGAAAAGAAAAAGAAAACCCAGGAACTTGCCACTGCCTCATTCCTGAAGTCCTGAGGTCTCTAGGTTTTAGCCTGTTGGTCTCTTCTCTCCACCTCTCGGTGTCTTCTTATGTTTACTTTACATATAATATCAGGCATTTTAGTTGTACTTAATTAGAGGAATAGGGGAAAGTGTGATACTCCGTCCTCCCAGAATCAGAAGTCCCAAATTTTTAATATTAAGCAGCGCCATGTTTTAAGGAATAGGCATTAAAGTGTTTTCTCTTGTCCAAGGACTGAGAAGAACCAGGAGAATTTTGTCTGCTCTATTTCCTGACTCCTTTTCTATTAATACTTAAATGTGAGGTATTCAGCAACTATAGTCAGTTTGATAGCAAAGGTAGATGCTCCTTTGGCATTTAATGGTATGTTCTTTGAAAGAGCTATCAAAATTTCTGAAGGTTTTATTTGTACATTTTATTTCATTGTTTGGGCACTTTTTTGAGGCTGTGACAGTTTTTGTTTATCCTCCGTATTTCCCCCTGAGGGGTCTTGAGGCCATACTGGGAGGGCACAAGGGAGCCCAAGCCCAGGGACTTAGCCTTCTTCCATCCCTTCCTGACACAGGGCTTTCACTAGAACAGTGAAGTCAGACTACTGGTGGCCATGCTGGAGCATGAAGGACAGCTGTGCCTCTGTGGGTGGGCTTGGCTTTAGCTGTCCATAGCAGGCGAGTCATTGCTCTTTGCATTCCTGATTTAGCAAGAATATGAGGGGACCCCAATATTGCAAAGAAACTGTTGCATGTCTTTCTCTTTTCCAGGCAAAAACTGATTATTCCAAGTGGAAGTTGCCCTGTTATTCTGAATACTTACTTTTGTGAGAAAGTTGTTGCCAAAGAAGATTCAGAAAAAACTTGTGAAGTGTACTGTCCGGACATACCCCTTCCAAGAAGAAGCATCTCTTTGGCCCAGATGTTTGTAATTAAGGGTCTAACAAATAATTCACCTGAAATCCAGGTAAACTCCTATTGGCCTAAAGGTTTTATGCTTGTAATAATGTTAGTGACTGGATTTGGAAGGGCTTCAGTGTAAGTGAAGATGTTAGCCTTTTGTCTCCCTCCAAAAACCCCACCACAAGGATGTATGCTGCATGAACTTACTGTTACGCCTGAATATATTATAGTTCAGTTCAGCATTTAGTGGTGCTCTTGTTACAGTATTTCATCTTTCTAATTATGTGTCTTTAATCTTTATTCTAATTTATTAAAATAGAGTCATGCATCACTTAACAGGGATATGGTCTGAGAAATTTGTCATTAGGTGATTTTGTCATTGTGTGACCATCATAGCGTGCACTTACACAAACCTAGATGGTCCAGCCTACTACACACCTAGGCTATATGGTATGGCTGATTGCTTCTAGGCTACAAACCTGCATGGTGGCAAGTACTTGTGTATGTAAACGTATCTAAACATAGAAAAAGGATAGTAAAAATACAGTCCAAAAGATAAAAAATGGTGCACCTGTATAGGGTATTTACCATAAATGGAGCCCGTAGAACTGGAAGTTGCTCTCGATGAGTCAGTGAGTGAGTGGGGAGTGAATGTGAAGGCCTCGGACACTACTGTAGACTTTATAAACCCTGAACACTTGCACTACACTAAATTAAATTTTTTTCTTCAGTAATAAGTTAACCTTAATTTACTGTAACTTTCTAGCTTTATAAACTTTAAATTTTTCATTAACTTTTTTACTCTTTTATAGCAACACTTAGCTTACAACACAAATACATTGTACAGCTATAAAAAATATTTTTTCTTTATATCCTTTTTTCTATTTTTATTTTTATTTTTTTACTTTTAAAACTTTTTTTGTTGTAAACTAAAACACAAACATACACAATAGCCTAGATCTTCACAGGGTCAGGGCCATCAATATCACCATCTTCCACCTCCACATCTTGTCCCACTGGAATGTGTTGAGGGACAGTAACATGCATGAAGCTGTCATCTCCTTGGATAACAATGCCTTCTTCTGGATACCTTCTGAAGTACCTGTCTAAGGATGTTTTACAGATAACTTGTTTTTTAACAAGTAGAATACTCTAAAATAACAATAAAAAGTATAGTACAGTAAATACATAAGCCAGTAACATTGTTTATTATTATCAAATATTAGATACTGTACATAACAGGATGTGCTAGACTTTTATGCAACTGGCAACACACTACCTTTTTTTTTATACTTTAAGTTTTAGGGTACATGTGCACAACGTGCAGGTTTGTTACATATGTATACATGTTCCATGTTGGTGTGCTGCACCCATTAACTCGTCATTTAGCATTAGGTATATCTCCTAATGCTATCCCTACCCCTTTCCCCCACTCCACAACAGGCCCCAGTGTGTGATCTTCCCCTTCCTGTGTCCATGGGCAACACACTACTTTTGTTTACACCAGCATTACCACAAACATGTGAATACATCACTAGGCAACAGGAATTTTTCGTCTCCATCATAGTTTTATGAGACCACGGTCAAACATGCTGTCCATTGTTGACAGAAGCATCATTATACAGTGCATGCTGGTATTTGACAACGTTCATTTTCTCTATTCTTGTAATGTCTAAGAATTTTTAAAGCCCTCCTTTATTTATTTAAAAAATCATATTTTGCTTTTCCACAATATGTATTATCCCTTGGAATAAAAAGAACTGCATAAGCTTGAGTTTATATGCTGGAGTTGTTTTTTGGAATTTTACTGATCCTAAGCCATGATCATGTGCCAAGATGAATTTAGGGAACCACTAAAATTCACTTGCTGTGGGCATGAATGGCCCCTGGGACCACCCTAAGCACTGAATGTTTGTGTGGCTCCCAGTGCACTGGCCTCAAGATCTCTGGGTTATATAAGTTGTCGCTGAACAGAATGCTTCCTGAGACTGACAGATCAAGGGAGGAAGAATACGAAAGAAAAGTAGACAAACTTTCAGCCTCTTTTGTGCCAGCCAGTCAAGCAAAATCTCTCTTTGACTATCAAAAGAAGTATCTGGAGAGGATTATGCAAAAAGGAAGACTCTCGAATCAATTTAATTATAACATCAAAAATATGGCCCAGAGCACATTACTGTTTTAACATATAGTTTTAAACAGCTATGTAATATTAATCCCATGAGATTCATTTTTGTCCTGTGACAGTGATAATGAAACTACTTGTAGCATAATGGTTAAACGTGTGAACTTTGGAGCCAGATGACCTGGTTCAAATCCTGCCTCAGCCACTTCCTGCTGGGTCATCTTGGGCAAGATCTGTGGTCTCTATGTCTCAGTTTTCTTATCTGTAAAATGGAGGTGTGATATTATCTATCTTCTTGGGTGATTGTGTGAGGGTAAGCATGTTTAATATGTACATTTAAAAGCCTGGAATATAGGAAGCACTCTAGAAGTGTTGTTGTTTTATTATGACAGCTGATACTACGTAAGGGGTTGTTGGGAGAATATGTGAGCATGTAAAATGCTCAGCCTAGGAGATTGCACATACAAGAACTTAATAAAATGAAGCATTTGTATTATCCCTAGTCATTCTTTTATCTTCATTTTTAGTTTGTTCTGTTGGAATTCTTACCTCAAAAGAGAAAAATTTATTGAATTATCATGAATTATTTTATTAGCAGAACTTCCTGTGTGTTTTCAAAGACCTGCCTGGTATAGCAAACATCCTGCTGTGGTCCTTGTTCTTTCACTCGCCTTCAGCTTGCAGTCTTAGCCACCTGGCAGGCCCAGAGCCCCATGCCACAAGTTCCTTTATTTTCATCTTCATCATCACTTCAGTGTAGTGCAGATCCATTGGGTGGCTGCTTAAGGATGTCATTATTTGGTGTGCAGCATGTTGCTTGTTGTTAGCCGAACTGAAACTTTGTGAGTCTTGAAACTGTTCCCTTTATGTGTCTTGGCCAGGTTGTGTGTAGTGGTGTAGCCACTACAGGGACAGCCTGGACCCATGGGCACAAAGAAGCAAAACAGCGCATCCCAACCAGCACTCCCCTGAGGGATTCTCTCCTGGATGTGGTGGAAAGCCAGGGAGCTGCCTCGTGGCCAGGAGCTGGAGTCCGAGTGGTGGTGCAAAGAGTGTATTCTCTTCCCAGCAGAGACAGCACCAGGGGTCAGCAGGGGGCCAGCTCAGGACACACAGACCCAGCTGGAACTCGGTGAGTGCCAAGATGCTGGTGTGGGGCAGAGGTGAAGAGTCACTTAGACAGAGTGCTCTAGAAAGTGGAGCCTCTTCTCAGAGCACGTTCTTAGCTGCATTCACCATATACGTGAGCTGTTTTTGTTTTTCCTTGCATCAAAATTTGGGATACATGGCATGATGAAGGATTTTATCTATCTATTTAATTTTAAAGTCCTATTAAAAATTAAATTTGCTGCATTTTGTTTTACCTTTAATGGTTCATGTTCTTGAAAGTAATACAAATGCAAGAAATATTGGTATTATTCTGGAAAAGCCAAGACATGTGGTTGTCATACCTCAAAAGACCATTTGCAACATCCAGTTTTATATGTCTCGAAAACCTGAGTAAATAATGGCAATTGGTAAACCTGTGGCTTTCAGAGAGTACTGTATCAAACCATCTGCATCAGTACTGCCTAATACAACTTTCTGCAATGATGTAAATGTCGTCTGTCTGCACCATCCAATGCAGTTAAGTGCAGACAAATGTAGTAGAAGTGATGTTGTCTCTACTCAGATTTAGGCCCTTCCTGGTGTTGGTTCTTACAGATAGCTGTAGACGCATGATTGACAGAGAGGTTTGTTTGTTTACATCAGAGCCTCAGCATAGCCTTTTTTCTTTTTGCAATCTCTGCCTCTGGAGTTCAAGAGATTCTCGTGCCCAAGTAGCTGGGATTACAGGCTTGCACCACCATGCCTGGCTAATTTTTGTATTTTTAGTAGAGACAAGGTTTTGCTATGTTGGCCAGGCTGGTCTCAAACTCCTGGCCTCAAGTGATCCACCCGCCTCGGCCTCCCAAAGTGCTGGTATTACTGGCGTGAGCCACCACGCCCAGTCTGGCATAGCCTTTTGAAGTTATCTCTGGCAATGATAATTGCCCTCAAAGAAGTAACATGGATTTCCAACAGAATAGAAATTAAAAGTATAGATGCTACTTCATCAGTTTGGTTTTGTTTAACTATTAATAAGAAAACACGTAGTGAAGAAATAGTACTTAACAATCATCCTGGCCGGGCATGGTTGCTCACACATATAATCCCAGCACTTTGGGAGGAGCCCTAGGCAGGCAGGTCACTTGAGCCCAGGAGTTTGAGACCAGCCTGGGCAAAGCAAGAGAGCAAGACCCCATCTCTAATATAAAGACAATGCAATCATCCTATCATTATGCTGCCTTCTGATGCCAGAGAGAGAAACAGGATACCTATACTCCGGTGTGAATTATGAATCATCTTCAAGTGGAGGCACTTTATTTGAAAATACTATGAATTTGAGAAAGTCGTCTTGAGGTCTAGAGTTGGAGAATGTTTCTTTTGGAATTACAGAAAAAAGATTCTTTTTTGGAATATGTATGTTTGTAAAATCCATTAAATCAGTTTTAAGGTATTTATCATGGCTTGTAGATGTAGACCAGTCTTCTACCCTTTGCCCTAAATCTGTGGTAAATTTATATAGAATTTTCCAAGACAGTTACACATCAGACATAGGTTTTTGTTTTGTGTTTTTGTTTTGCTTGGCCTTTTTAATGACACATATCCAGTGTTAGGTTTTGAAGAAGGGGATACTAGTTACCTTGGCAATGAGGAACTTGGTAGAGCTTCCTCATCTCAGTACACAGACCACACACTCCAAGGGGACGAGGAAACAGAGACAGTGGGGAACTGAATCACCCTGACGAGAAAGAACGACAAAACTGACAGTGCGGTTGCTTCCTATGACTAATCACAACCAATGCACGTTATGAAGGCTGTCCCTCTAGGTCCTTCAGTGGTACTTGTTTTACTTGTTTAGCAAAGAGAGAAAAACTAGAAGCTAAAATCTGGTGAAATGCTACCGATGTGAGTTGCATTGTGAATGCTTTGGAGTTGTACTTTGGAATACATGTGGTGACATATCTAATGAGAATATCCTTGTGGTAGACTGAAAGAAGGCCAGGCATGAACTTCAAAAACAAGAAAACAACATCCAGTTATTCAGAGTTAATGAATATGCATTCTGTGTGATGCATTTTCTGTAGCACATCTGAGATTGCACAATATCGAGGCTAGACAATATTATTTCCACTTTGCAGATGAGGAAACACAGCCTCAAGGAGGATCTCACTGCTGACACAGGTAGACACAAAGAAAAATGAATGGGATATAGAATCCCAGATGGCATGGTTGTAGAGTGTTAGAGTTTAAAAGAAAAGGGAGAGGCTAGGCGCGGTGGCTCATGCCTGTAATCCCAGCACTTTGGGAGGCCGAGGCGGGCGGATCTCGAGGTCAGGGGATCGAGACCATCCTGGCCAACATGGTGAAACCCCGTCTCTACTAAAAATACGAAAATTAGTTGGGCATGGTGGTGCGTGCCTGCAGTCCCAGCTACTCTGGAGACTGAGGCAGAAGAATCGCTTAAACAGGGAGGCGGAGGTTGCAGTGAGCCAAGATCGTGCCACTGCACTCCAGCCTGGGGACAGATGAGACTTCCGTCTCAAAAAGAAAAGGGAGAAAATTGAGTTAGAACCAAGCCGTGTTTAGATTAAGGCTGACCCAGGGTCAAGTTGTCCAGGGCAGCAGAAGTGCAAGTGTTTTGCCCTGGGGAGACTTGGTTGGACTGTGTACAAAGATGAACTTTGGAACTAACGGCCGTAGTGCTAGCCTTGAGTTTGAGGACAGGGCTGCTGAGATGTCTTTGGGTACAAGAAGATCTGATCATTAATATTTTCTAGATTATTTTGCAGTGATAATGATCAGGCTCTCTAGTTTACATATCAAATTAATATAGAAGTAAAACTGTACTTTATTCACTACTAATTCTTTGCTAATATATTTAGAAAGAAAAACTTAGAGAATATATCTGCCTTCGAGACACATTTAGCAGTATGCATTCTAAGGCAGTTTTTTATACATGTACATGTAGCACGAATATTATTAGAAGATGCAGATGTGTAGCCTGGAAGATTTTCTGCCTGTGATTCCTGCTTTCAGCTTCCTGATCATAGATGACATATGGAATGCTCTGTGGGTCCCACAGGATGGACAAAGTTGGGCTCAGTTAGTACAGACTCATCAGCACAACACACACAGAAGAAGGAAAATTGCATAAGCAGTGACCCCTTTCAACTAAAGGCAGCTCTAAGTCTGGTCTCCTTGTCTTTCAGAATGGCTTTTCTTGAGCTCTTGTCATTATCTGCTCTACCCCAGAGATCTTTCAAACTATCCGTGAACTTAAAGACAACCTTGATTACTGTGTGTTTTCTGTGAAGTCCAGAAATTACCATGTCAGAAGAAATTAAGCCTGGGTGAAAAGAAACAGCGGTGTCTTATGGCAGATTTGTTTGCCACAATAGTTGCCCCTTCCCCACCCAGCCCAGGTCAGGTGGTTGCTGATGAAACCCTGTGGTAAATTTCTGTCTTAAGTTTACTTCACACCTTGATCGTAGGTGTCAATCTCAGTCTGTTCCCAGTCCTCGGTCAGTGTCACTTTTCTGATACCAGTAACAGCTTATCTTCTGAAAGCTGACAGCTCAATTAGTGCCAACCTCGAAATTAAAAGAAAATTTTTTGAAGCAGCTAGTCCTATTCAGGGTCAGATAGATTCTCTCAAAAGATTCATGTCCTCTGCACTGTGAAACATTATCAGAAATAGACTTTACATTTCAGAAATATAGTATGTTAGAGTCCCCTGTCCATTGTTCTTCTGGATGACTTCCTGTAACTTGAGCTATTAATGAAAACGTTTCTGTGAGGTTTCTCAAGGTGTTGTAGGTCAGAGTAACCAACGCAAACTTAAGTTTTATAAATCACTAAAATCAAAGGTAACAAAAAACTGATGCAGAAGGTGCTCCCTAACCACAGGGTAGGCAGTCTGTTCAGAGCCCAAACACACCTTTTTTATAGATAGACTACATGTTGAATGATCATTAGATAAATGCATGACTAATAAAGCCATAGGCTTTTTTTTTTTTAACAGAAAGGGAGCACTGGCCTTCGAGGTAACTTATAATGAAAACTGAGGCAAAGAGAGAAAGTGATGATTCCTTAGTGATTCTCTGTGTCCTGGTGGTGCAGGTCCAGACCATATTACCTCACTCCAAGCCCATGGTGATTGCCAGCAGACATCACCTTTCTTTCTCCCTTTCTAAAACATTCTCTTCCTTTCTTCTTGAGATATTTAACCTAGGGACCAGTAATTTATTTTTTTCTTTTTTTTGAAACATGGTCTTGCTCTGTTGCCTAGGCTGGAGTGCAGTGGAGCAATCATGGCTTACTGCAGCCTCAACCTCCTGGGCTCGAGCAGTCCTTCCACCTCAGCCTCCAAGTAGTTGGAACCACAGGCACGTGCCACCATACCCAGCTAATTTTTTTTTTTTTTTTTTGGTAGAGATAGGGTCTCACTCTGTTGCCCAGGCTGATCTCAAACTTGTAACCTCAAGCAATCCTCCTGCCTTGGCTTTCCAAAGTACTAGGACTACAGGCGTGAGCCACCATACCCGGCCAACTAATGTAATCTCTGTCCTTTAGAGATGCAAATTCTTTCTTGCCCTTCATTGCAGAAATATTTTAAAGTGGAGAGTTAGTCCTTTGCAAGAGGACAGAACGTGCTAAATAGTCGTGTCTTCAGACAAAAAGCTGGAGAAATTCACTGAGCTGAACTCAGAAGAAAAGCACATTTTCCTTTTTCCATACCTTGATGTTTTACTCCTCTTTTTGGTCTTTTGGCCTTTGCTTTATTCTCATGTTGTATATTTATTCCTTCTTTCCACTAAGGGAAAAAAAAATCCACCATGCCCTGGACCAGGTCCTGGGCCTGCAGTGGTTAACAAAACCAGACATTGTCTCTGTGCTCCTGGAGCATAGTTCTAGTGGGAGATCCCACACAAAATACTTTACAACAAATGCATTTATGATTACAAGTTGCAATAAGTACCCTGGTGAGAAAAAATAGGGCACAATGGAGAATGGACATAATTTAGTTTAGAGGGTTCAAAGATGGTGTTCTAAGGCAGTACTATTTAAGTTTAGGTGTTAGGTAAAGAGAAGATGAAAGAGAATTGCTCACAGAAGAGAGAATACCTTTGAAAAGCTCTTGGACAGGAGGGAGAAGCCAGCATGACCATGCTGCACAGGCCAGCAAGAGATCCCAGGCACGCAACCGGCCACAGCCTAGTGGACCATGTGCAGGAGCTGCAGTGTTTGCTGTGGCTGCCCACTGACCAAGAATGAGGTTGCCCTGCTTGAAAGTCAGCTTTAGCTACCAGGGGTTTAGTAAGATGGGCACATGGGGCAGGGCCTAGTGAAAGCAGAGAGACGCAGGAAGCAGCTACTGCCGTAGTCCAGGTCAGAGAGGACTGGTGGGTTCCTGAGTCTCCTGTGGCTTTGCCAGAGCTAGAGAAAAGATCCGTGGTCTAGATGTGTGTGATGGCTTCATAATGGATTGGTTGGGGGAGGAGCAAAGTAGAAGGGAATGTTCAGAGAGTGAGCCTCAGCTTGAGTTATTTAGTTGAAGGATGTTCCCATTTGCTGAGATGAGAAAAACTATAGTGAGAGCAGGTCTGGAAGAAAGCTTGAGAATGCAGTCTAGGCCTACTAAGTTTGAGATTCCTATGAGACATCGAAGAAGAGATGTCCTGTGAGAAAGCTGGACGTACATACCTTACGCCCAGAGGGTTTTAGATTGGACATGAATGTTTGGGAGCTCTCAGCCTATGTCTGGTCAGTATGTATCTTTGTATGTACATTCATTTTGTTTGCGGGTGTCAGCAGGTTATATTTGTTTATGGTGCCAAGCTCCAAAGGCACTAATGCGTGTGAGTGCAAGGCAGCAGTGTCCTGTCACAGCCAAGTCTACAGCCAGGGCTGTGGAGGAGGTCACTTTAGGGAAACAATAGAGACAAAGGAAAGAAGAAATGCAGGCATTGAACTCCAAGGTCCTCTTGCATTGGAAAGCAGGTAGAAGAGGAGCCCACTGAGGAGACAGAGGAGGCTGGGCTGGTGAAGCCAAGAGGAAACCAGAGCTCGTGGCAAGCGCTCAGGATGGTGCTTCCATGTGGGAGGGGACCCATAGTACTGCAAAGTCTAATAAAGTGAGCACTGAAAATCTGTGCCCCAGATTTGGGAGGAGTTGCTGGGTCACTTCACGAGCAGGAGGTGTAGGGAGCAGTGAGCACAGAAGCTCACTTAGCAGAGTAGAGTGGGTGGGATGCCAGAGGAGAAGCAAGCTTGGATAACAAATGTTTTGTTGATGCATACGAGGATGACAATGTCCAAATTTACATAGAACAAAAGAACTGCAATGAGGGCATTCTGTCTCTTGTTTCCTAATGTGTATGCAGGTACCATTTTTCTTTTAAATATGCATAGAGGCTGGTGGTTTAATGGAAAGAACAAAAAATCTGGAATCAGACTGGTGTGGGTTCACTGGTGACAGGACATTTAGCAGGGAGACTGGGGCAAATTGTGTTTCCTTGTCTGTGAAATTGGTATTATAATACTATAATGCAGACTGGTGGTGAGGACTGATTGGGATGATGTATGTGAAGTACTCAGCAGGATGCTTCCCATATGACAAGCACTCAGTAAAAAGCAGCTCACTCACTCTTTAACAGTAAGCATAGATGCTTAAAAAAAATAGTGGTAAAGAGCATTGCTACAATAATAGAAACCTGAACTAAGCAAAGACAAGCTATCGCATTACAAATCAGCACTCAGTGTTGGTACTGAGTCTGCCATCTGGCTGCTGAGGAAGCTTGCTTGAAGGTGATTTTTATTTCTATGCTTTTGGCCACCTCATTCCCCACCTCTACCCCTAGCACTCCCATCAACAAGGAGTTGATGCCCATTTACTTTGGAAAAGAAGCATTTGTGTAAATTTGTATGTGAAGTGTGACCACTGCTGTCTAAATGATGGAGATACGGAAGTTCCTCTGGAATAAACATATTGCAGAAAACTGCCCTAATGCTGGGGCCAGTGTTGAATGGTGCTGATACTGTGGTTGGAAATTTTTTTACTTTGTCCAGAGCATTAAACAAAGATCCCGGCTGGGCACAGTGGCTCATGCCTGTAATCCCAGCACTTTGGGAGGCCGAGGTGGGTGGATCACGAGGTCAAGAGATCGAGACCATCCTGGCTAACACGATGAAACCCCGTCTTTACTAAAAATACAAAAAAAAAAAAATTAGCTGGGCGTGGTGGTGGGCACCTGTAGTCCCAGCTACTAGGGAGGCTGAGGCAGGAGAATGGCGTGAACCCAGGAGGTGGAGCTTGCAGTGAGCCGAGATCGCACCACTGCACTCCAGCCTGGGCAACAGAGCGAGACTCCATCTCAAAAAAACAAACAAACAAACAAACAAAAAACAAGGATCCCAAACTCCTGATGGTGAGAATGGTTCAGATTAAGGCCGAATGAGGAACATGCACTAGTAGATCGTGGATGTGATGATTAGGGGCATTAGCCTTTGCATGTGTTTGGACAGTGGAGAAAGACTCTTGGATAAAGCTTACTAGACTCCTTTTGAAAAGCTGGTCAGCTGTGGCACACTGATTCCCCAGCTGTGTGCTCACCTGCTGTGTCCTGCTGGGTGAATACAGCTCTTCTCCCTGGTTGTGAACCGTTACTTTTCTTCCCACTAAACAGTTGGGAGATATTCTTGACTCTGCCTCCTTTTCTCTGTATGGAGACAGGGTGGCATACATTCCTTCGCTGTAACGGTGGCATATGCCTGTCTACAGTTAAAGAGCCTGAAGGGAAGACAGCTCCCTCGTCAACAACACAGGGGACCATTTCACCTGCTTTTCTTTTATGTACCACCACATACTGCCAGAGCTGGCAGAATGACTATTCATCCATCTGCTTAGCATCACATTTTCATAAGGTGGTTGTTGTCACTCATACTTTCTTTATTTCTGAAGTCTCTTTGCTTCTTCCTGTTGTAGAAAAGTTGGAATTGTTCCTTTTCAATGATTTGAATATTTTTTATTGTAATGTGAAAGATTGTGAGTGCAGAGTATCATTTTTTTTGCATGTCCTTGTAATTGATGCCATAGCCCATGCCTTAGGTTTGTTCTTACCTTTGCTCATTCAATAAATTTAAATCATCCCTTAATTAATTAGTTCTGTGTCCATGAGTCTTAAGTAAACCTTTTAATCTCAGCTGCCCATCTATTCTTAACCTTTGCTTGTTTCCTCTCTAAAACAGTTATTGGCAGTCCTTATGATATCCAAGGCCATTTGACATTGTTTCTTCTCAGCCCTGGCTCAATATTAAAGCCTAATGAGGAACATGCACTAGTAGATCATGGATGTGATGATTAGGGGCCTTAGCCTTTGTGTGTGTTTGGACAGTGGAAAAAGACTCTTGCATCAAGCTTACTAAATTTCTTTTGAAAAGGTAGTCAACCATTTTGACTCCCTGAAAATGTGGTCAGATATTTTCAAAAGAAATCTAGTAAGCTTGATCCAAGAGTCTTTCTCCACTGTCCAAACACACACAAAGGCTAATTCTAGTAGTAGAAGTAGTCTTACTACTGCTTATTTTACTAATTGACATCCAGACCCTTTATATTCTTTGCCATTCTTCCTGTCCACATGCCAACTTACTGTAAGAATAAAGACATATCAGAACCCATGGAATTACAGTCTAGTGTTTATGGTTCTGTCATGTATACATAGTTCCAATCTAGAAATTGGAACTTGACTCATGGGGACCTGAAGGAATCTATCTTATCTCTATCACATTTTTAAAGAGCTTTATTGATACATAATTCACATCCCATAAAATTCATTTATTTAAAGTGTACAATTCAATTGTGTTTATTGTAATTACAGACTTGTGCAATCATAACTATAATACGATATTAGAACTTTCTGCAACCTCAAAAAGAAACCCCATACCAATTGACTGCCAATTCCCAATTCTTCCCAGCCCCTGGCAACCACTCATCTACTTTTTGTCGCTACAGATTTGCTTATTCTGGATACTTCATATACATAAAATCACAAATCTTTCGTGACTGGCTTCTTTTACCTAGCATAATATTTTTAAGGTTTATCCATGTTGTGACATGTTTCAGTACTTCATTCCTTGTTATGGATGAATAATAATCCATTTTCTGTGAATATACCATATTTTATTTCTCTTTTGAGTTGATGCACATCTGAGTTGTTTCCACTTTATGATTAACATGAATAGTGCTACTATGAATATCTGCATACAAGTTTTTTGTGTGGATATATTTTCATTTCTCTTGAATATATACCTAGGCATGGAATTGCTGAGTCATAAGGTAACTCTATGTTTGATTTTCTGAGGGACTGCCACAGTATTTTCCAAAGTGGCTACACGATTTTACATTCCCATCAGCAATGTAAAATATACCAGGGTTCCACTTTCTCCACATCCACTCCAAAATTTGTTATTGTTGTCTTTCTTATTGTAGCCATCCATGTGTGTCTGAAGTGGGTATCTCATTGTGGCTTTGATTTGCATTTCCTGATGACTAACAATGTTGAGCATCTTTTCTTTTTTTTATTTTTTATTTTTTGAGATGGAGTCTCGCTCTGTCGCCAGGGCGGAGTGCAGTGGCACGATCTCAGCTCACTGCAACCTCGGCCTCCTGGTTCCAGGCGATTCTTCTGCCTCAGCCTCCCGAGTAGCTGGGACTACACGTGCGTGTGCGCTACCACGCCCAGCTAATTTTTTGTATTTTTAGTAGAGACGGGGTTTCACCATGTTGGCCTGGATGGTCTCTATCTCTCGACCTCATCATCTGCCTGCCTCGGCCTCCCAAAGTGTTGGGATTACAGGCGTGAGCCACCGCACCCGGCTGAGCATCTTTTCATAGGCTATTGGCCATTTGTATATCTTCTTTAGAGAAATGTCTTTCAAGTCCTTTGCCTATTTTTAAAGTTGGATTATTTTTTGTTGTTGAATTGTAAGAGTTCTCTGTATAAGTCCTTTATCATTTGCAAATATTTTTTCCCATTCTGTGGAGTTTTTCACTTTTTTGATAGTGTCCTTTGAAACACAAAGATTTATCATTTTAATGAGGTCCAATTTGTCATTTTTGTTATTATTATTGCTTGTGTTTTCAGGGTCATAGCTAAGAAACCATTGGTGAATCCAAGGTTATGCAAACATACTTCTGTGTTTTCTTCTAAGAATTTTATAGCTTTTGCCCTTATATTTTGGTCTGTGATCCATTTTGAGTTAATTTGTGTGTATGGTCCAACATTGTGGGTTGGACCCTCCTTGTAGTTAGAGATTATGTTTAGTACTAGTAGTAGTCTTTATATTTTATTTAAATGTATATCTTATTTTTGGCATTTGTTACAGTTTGCACTGTTACGTCTTTGTGTGCATAGCATTTCTTCCTTTGTAGGTGGCAGAAAATGGATCCATTTCTCCACCCTTTGTCTCTTTTAGCTTTTATCATTTTATTGATCTAGTGTTTGGTTACAGCTATCTGATTGAAAAAGTAATAGTTTCAGAGTAGAGTTAGAGGTGTAAATAATATGAAAGTAATATGTACACGCTCTTTAAACACTTGATAATACCAACCTGTATCATTTGACCCATGTTATCATTTATAGCTATACACATTGAATAACTTTCTTGGTGAACTTACGGATAATATGAAAACTGCTGTGAAAGTTTTCATGCTCTTTTTTCCTATATATTAAACCAGTGATAGACTTAAAGGGAAAAGTGAAATGGAATGGCAACAGCCTGGGGATGTGAGTACAGACAATTATGAAGTTTTGGTAATAGAATGAAAACAGCAAGAGTAATTTTCCAGATTATGCTATGTGTAACCACCATTCTAAGTTTGCGTCTTAACCTGGCCATGGTGATTTTCCAGCACCTGTCATCCATGAAGATCAAGAAGGATTTCAAGGTGGCCCTATATAAAAGCCATGGAATTTTTTCCTCCCTGTTTCTGACCTCCTTTCTCTGGAAACTTTTGTTCCTAAAAGAGACTGGAGACCTGGAACAGTCTCCCTACTCTTCCCACCGTACCCCCACCCCATTCCTGCAGCTGCAATCTGGAGCAGCACTGTGATCACACTAGATCACACTTTCCTGTGAGTCAGACTGCAGCTCTGGAATGTGCTTTGCTGAGATGACGGCACAGAGAAGAGCCATGGGAGACAGAGCACACAGCCTGGCAGAGTCTTCAGGGGTGGCCAGATGCAAGCACACAGTGCCACGTGCCTCTGTGGGCATGAAGCAGAGAAAGGATGAGATCAAGCCTGACCCAACTTGACTTCCTCCTCTAGCTGAGCCACCGCACCTTGCTGCCCCTCTCCTCCCCTTTTGCCTCTGTCAAATGACCTACTCTGCCCTCTCTCCCAGCTGCTGCTAGACCCAGAGCACTTGGTGCAGCCAGCTGGCGGGTTTGGTAGGCTCACCCTTGTTGTGCTGATTTCTTGGCTCCACAGTTCTCAATGGCTTGAGCCAGCTCAGCTCTTTCTCCACAGGGAACTGGAGCAAAAATCCTGTAGAGCAATTCTTGGGTTGGACACCCCCTTCCCACGAGAGAGGATTATACATGAACAGATGCCCTTGTTTCTTCCTCACTTGCTGCTCTGGCACTGGTATTATAAATGGTCTGAATTTTCACATTTATTTGCACAGATACAAAAGACAGTGACAGATGCTTGATTATATAGTGAGACTAACAACCAGGTATTAAACATTGCACTGATACTTGTCATTGCCTTCAAAATAAGCTCTACGTGTTTTCTTTACTTCAGTTGTCTCATTTAACCATAAATAAGTCCTCAGAGGTCAGGGGCTGTGACTCATCTGGTTTTGGTACTGGACCATGAATGCAGTAGACACCCAGCAAGTATGGGTTGATGGGAAACAGCAATGGCTGATTGAGCAGCTGAGAAGGTGGGGTGAGGTTGTGGCTCCCCTTCTCTTCTCAGGATGAACCAGTCCATGGAGTTGTGCTACAAATGTTGTTGTTTGTCTAAGGAGATTGATGAGAATGCCAGTGAGCTAGAAATTGCCAGGAATACTCTGCTTTGGGACAGAGGTGATGTCTAGTCTGTTCCAATCAGATAGAGGATGAGACACTGGGAACCAAGGTCCCTGAAGAATATTCAGTCAGTGTAAACAAACAGGGAACAGCACAAGGAGGGACACTTAGGAAAGTGGCAAGGGAGGAACAAGGGCAGCTCTTGGGTGAAGATGTTTATAAAGAAAATAGAGGCTGGGCCCGGTGTCTCACGCCTGTAATCCCAGCACTTTGGGAGGCCGAGACGGGCAGATCACGAGGTCAGGAGATCGAGACCATCCTGGCTAACACAGTGAAACCCCGTCTCTACTAAAAATACAAAAAATTAGCCAGGCATGGTGGCTGGTGCCTGTAGTCCCAGCTACTTGGGAGGCTGAGGCAGGAGAGTGGCGTCAACCCAGGAGGCGGAGCTTGCAGTGAGCCCAGATCACACCACTGCACTCCAGCCTGGGCAACAGAGCGAGACTCCATCTCAAAAAAAAAAGAAAATAGAGAATTCAGTCGATAATGATGTAAGGGTTTTAAAGCATTTATTACAATTAATATAGAACTGAAAGTTCAAGCAAAAATTAAGCAACCACAGGCAGATGATAGAAGAATTAAAATATGACATTTAACATTGAATGAAATAAAATTACCTGAGAGGAAGGAACTCATCATTTGAATTAAACAAAAAAGGAGAACTGAGCCGTCAAGAGGTAGCTTGTGGGGAGAGACTCCTCAGGCCTCTGGTAGTTGTATGTCAAGGCAACTGTGTGAGGCCTTCCACACGTACCTGGCCTGCCACCTGGTTTCCCATAAGCGCAAGACCACCCTTCCTTTCTTTGGTGTGGAATCTCAGTGCAGGTTGTCTACAGCTCCTAGAGGAGGGAACAAGAGAGGACTAGATTATATTTGCCTGCTATGGAGTGGGAAGAAGAGTGAAATAAATGTCAAAATCTTCTTGATGCCTCCCAATGAAATCAGACTTTTGGAAAACTTCAGAAGTGGCTTATTCAGCTTTGTACCTCGAGTCTTTGCACACAGGTAAGTTAAATAGAACGCTGACTACTCTGGAATCCCACAGACATTGAATGAGGAGAAGCTGAACATCTCTGAGGACCTATCTCCTCAAGAGCTATGGAAAAGTGGGAAACTGCAGTGACAGCAAGGATACCAGGAAATCTTGTCTTTAAAATTTTTGAACGTAATTCTGGCTTGTACTCAGCTCATGGTTGCATCATTCTCTCTTCAGAAAAGGCTAGAACAAGATTTCCTGAAATGATATATGTTCAAGAGCTACCACATATTTGGGAGAAAGTGTCATTCCTAATGGCAGACCATAAAAGCACTATCTGGTAATTTACTTTTATGTTTCAGTTTTGAACTTCTTCCAGGTGCTTCCTAAATATTAATATCTGGTCTCTGTTTTATGTTTGGGTGGAAAGTTGGGGAGAGTATAGCCCAAGGAGCTGAGGAGCAACGATGAAGCCACATACCTGTGAGCACTGTGACTTTTAGGCCTTGTGGCAACTATGACTCATCTGTCACCTCTGCCTGGACAGAGTGTGCTCTGTTAATATTGTGGTAAAAACAACACTAAGTATGCCCATTTACTTATATGCATTTATATGTGTCCGCTTTATACACTACCTGGAAGCTTCCATAAGAAGAGACTGTTTCCAGTCACTGCCGCCACGGAGGAAATGGATGCTATGCGGCAGGCTCCCTGAATGCCTGCTAGAACCATGTGAATTGTATGTGTATGTATGCATTAACTTATATTTATTTGTTTATTTACTGATATAAAATTAACATAAAATTGGCCATTTTAAAGTATGTAATTCAGTGGTAGCACATTCACAATGCTGTACTACCAACTCTATATCATTCCAAAACAGTTCAGTCACACCAAAGGAAATCCTGTACATATTAAGCAGTCCCTCCCCACTAACCCCTTCCCCAGCCCATTGCAACCACCAGTCTGCTTTCTGTTTCTGTGTATTTGTCTATTCTGAATATTTCATACAAATAGAATGATAACAGCATCTGACCTTTTGTGTCTGGCTTCTTAAACTTAGGATAATGTTTTCAAGGCTCATCCATGCTGTAGCATGTACCAGTATTTCATTTCTTTTTATGGCTGAATAATATTCTGTTGTATAGATATATCACATCTTATGCATTTATCAGTTTATGGACATTTGTGTTGTTTTCACTTTTTGGCTATTATGAATAATGTTGCTACGAACATCTGCACAGAAGTTTTTCTGTGGACATCTGTTTTCATTTCTCTTGGTGTAGATATGCTTAGGAGTAAGTTACTGGGTCATATGGTAATTATGTGTTTAACTTTTTGAGGAACCACCCTACTGTTTTCCACAGTGGCTACATCATTTTAAATTTTCACCAGTGGTGCAATTTCTCCACATCCTCGCCAGCACTTGCTATTTTCTTTTTGTAACAATAACCATCCTAATGGGTGTGAAGTGGTATCTCACTGTGGCTTTTATTCACATCTCTCTAATGACTGATGATGAGCTTCTTTTCATGTGCTCATTGTCCATTTGCATATCTACTATGGAGAAATGATTTTTCAAGTCTTTTTTTAAAATTATATTGTATTTTTATTGTTGAGTTGTAAGAGTTTTCTTATTTTATTTTATTTTATTTTAAGTTCCAGGTTACATGTGCAGGATGTGCAGCTTTGTTACATAGGTAAATGTGTGCCATGGTAGTTTGCTGCACCTATCAACCCATCACCTGGGTATTAAGCCCCACATGCATTAGCTATTTATCCTGAGGCTCTCCCTTTCCCCACTCCCTACCCCATACAGGCCCCAGTGTGTGTTGTTCCCTTCCCTGTGTCCATAAGTTCTCATTGTTCAGCTCCCCCTTGTAAGTGAGAACATGTAGCGTTTGGTTTTCTGTTCCTGTGATATTCTGCTGGGGATAACGGCTCCCAGCTCCATATCCACGTCCCTGCAAAGGACATGATCTCGTTCCTTCTTTTTTTTTTTATTTTTTAATTTTTTTAGATGGAGTCTCGCTGTGTTGCCAGGCTGGAGTGCAGTGGTGGCATGATCTCAGCTCACTGCAACCTCTGCCTCCTGGGTTCAAGCAGTTCTCCTGCCTCAGCCTCCCAGGTAGCTGGGACTACAGACGTGCACCACAATGCCTGGCTAATTTTTTTTGTATGTTAGTGGAGACGGGGTTTCACCCTGTTGGCCAGGATGGTCTTGATCTCCTGACCTCATGATCCGCCCACCTCGGCCTCCCAAAGTGCTGGAATTATAGGCGTAAGCCACCACGCCCAGCCGATCTTGTTCCTTTTATGGCTGCATAGTATTCCATGGTGTATATGTACCACATTTGCTTTATCCAGTCTATCATTGGTGGGCATTTGGGTTGATTCTGTCTTTGCTATTGTGAATAATGCTGCAGTGAACATATGCATGCATGTATCTTCATCATAGAATGAAGATACATTATATTCCTTTGGGTGTATACCCAGTAATGAGATTGCTGAGTCAAATGGTATTTCTGGTTCTAGGTCTTTGAGGAATCACCACACTGTCTTCCACAATGGTTAAACTAATTTATATTCCCATCAACAGTGTAACAGTGTTCCTATTTCTCCACAGCCTCACCAGCATCTGTTGTTTCTTGACTTTTTAATAATCACCATCCTGACTGACATGAGATGGTATCTCATTGTGGTTTTGATTTGCATTTCTGTAAGAGTTCTATTTTTATATATTGTAGATATAAGACCCCTATAATATACATGCTTTGCGAAATTTTCCTCCCATCCTGTAGGTTGTCTTTTTACTTTCTTGATAGTGTCCTTTGATACACAGAAGTTTTAATTTTTTTTTTTTTTAAAGAGACAGGGTCTTGCTCTGTCACCCAGGCTGGAGTGCAGTGGTGGGATTATAGCTCACTGCAGCCTCAAACTCTTGGACTCAGGCGAGCTTCTCAAAGTGCTGGGATTGTAAGGGTGAGTCACTATGCCCAGCCAAGTTTTATGTTTGATGACACTCAAATTGTCTATTTTTTCTTTTGTTGCTTGTGCTTTTGGTATCTTTTCTAAGAACTGTTATCAAATCCAAGGTCATGAAGATTTACTCCTGTGTTTTTGTTCAAGAATGTTACAGTTTTAGCCTGTGTATGCATTTAGGTATTGGGGACATTTTAAATTAATTTGGCTAGCTCATTGCAATTCCCCCTTAATCTTAGGATTGACATTTCTATTTCTGCGAAAATAGCCTTTTTTTTTTTTTTTTTTCGGCCAGAGTCTCACTCTGTCGCACAGGCTGGAATACAGTGGCACTATCTTGGCTCACTGCAACCTCCGCCTCTCGGGTTCCAGCAATTCTCCTGCCTCAGTCTCCCAAGTAGCTGGGAATACAGGTGCACACACTGTAATGGACATCTCCACTAAACCCCAGGCACTCCACCATGCCCGGCTAATTCTTGTATTTTTAGTGGAAAAGGAGTTTCGCCGTATTGGCCAGGCTGGTGAGCCTTATCAAAAACCATTGGTTTTTGATAAGGATTGCATTGAATCACTATATGGCAGTAGCTTAATAATATTCAGTTTTTCAGTTCATGAAGACAAGATGCCTTTCCATTTATTTAGGTCTTCTTTAATTTCTTTCAGAAATGTTTTGGAGTTTTCATTGTACAAGTCTTATATTTCCTTATTTACATTTCTATTTTATTATTTTGATGTTATTATAAACCAGTTTGTTTCTTAATTTTCTTTTCAGATTGTTCATTGCTAGTGTATAAAAAAAACAACTTATTTTTGTTTGTTGATCTTGTATCCTGCAACTTTGCTGAAGTTTTTAGCTGTAACAGATTTTTGTGGATTTTTAAAAAATTTTCTACATAAAAGATTGTCATCGCGAGTAAAGACAGTTTTACTTCTTCCTTTCCAATTTGTTTTTTATTTATTTCTTTTTCTTAATTGCTGTAGGTAGAATTTCCAGTACAGCGTTGAATGGAAGTAGCAAAAGCAGGAATCATTGTTTTGTTCCTGATCTTGGGGAGAGCTCTCATTCTTTCACCATTGAGTGTGTTAGCTGTGGAGTTTTCATCAATGCCCTATGCCAGGTTGAGGAAGTTCCTTCTTTTCCTGCTTTGTTGAGTCTTTTTTGTCCTGAAAGAATCTTGGATTTTGTCAAGTGCTTTTTCTGCACAGTATAATCACACTTTTTAAATTTTATATACTATATAGTTAGGAATCAGAGAAGTGTGTTACCTACAGTGATTCTTAGTAGAGAAGGTGTTTATAACCAAATTACTGAAATAATTGCTTTGAGTCATCAGGATATAGAACCAGTTCAATTCTACTGGATCCTTCTTTGCAGTGATATTCTCTATAGTGGGAATTTACAAATATGTACGTATCATTACTTTTTTATTTAATTACTTTTAACATGCTTCTCATTTTAAAATAGTTTTAGCTGTATAGAAAAGTTTGCGAAGATAATACAGAGCATTCCCAAATACAGAGTGTTCCCACGTACTCCATACCCAGTTTCCCCTGTTGTTACATCTTACATTATTATGACACATACATAACAATTAATTAAGCAGTATTGTCACAATATTATTCACTGAAGTTCATACTTTATTTAAATCTCCTTAGATTTTCCCTGATGTCCATTTTCTGTTGCAGCACCCCATTCGTGATAGCACATTACATCTCATTGTCATGTCTCCTTAGGCTCCTGTAGACTTTCTTAAATGCTTTTTGCTTTTTATTACCAGGACAATTTTGAGGATTACTGGACAGATATTTTGTAGAGGATCCCTTATTTTGTGTTTTTTTTATATATATTTAGACAGGTATGGATTTGGGAGAAAAAGATTGCCTACATAAAATTCCATTTTCATTACATCCTATCAAAGGTACATACTATCAACATGATGTATCTCTGCTGGCATTAATCATAGTTGCTGGCTCAGGTAGCAATCATGATTTGTCTGGTGTCTATGAAGTTACTTTTTAAGAAAATTAAGCTATTTTTAAACTCCCATTTTATAATGCCTGGGAGGTGAAGCTGGAGCATGCACTGTTACCTCCATTGGTACCTAAGATAGTCTGAAGCAAGAGCATTTGTGACATAGACAACAACATCAGAGAAGGCGTGGCATACAAGCTAAATTTCTGAGTAGTCTTTGAAGTCAACTGTTATTCATGTTTGTTTCAGGATTAATGGTATAGGATTGGGGGCACTTCTAAGACCTTAAACATAATTTTGCAGTGGATAAATATATCAGATTGTATCCATTCATCAGTTTATGGACATTAGGGCCATCAAAAGATGCAGCATCACCCTTCAGTGCTGTCAAATGGAAATAATAAGGCCTGTTGTAAGTTGCCTTTTGTTGCAAGTGTTAAATAGGATAATATATAAGAGATGTTGTTCCATTAATAGACCTTTGTCAAGTGCCTACTGTGTCACATCATCCTGCAGTGCAAACAGTGGCATGTACAAAAGAGAGAAAAAACAGCTCCTGTCCTAAAATATCTGTATGAATAAAAGCCACCTCCATAATAAGTTTTGTCCTGGATGATATGAGCTAATGTTTCCAAAATACTGACCTTAGATTACTTTATGCCATTTTGGGAGTGGGAAGTACTAACTTAAAATGAATATTGCTTCTCTGAGCCACATTGTTGGTGTTCAGCTGCTGCTCAGTTCTTGGGGTGCGCCAGAGACAAGCCCCAGTCTTCAGGGCAGTGACAATCATGTCATCAAGACTTGCCACAGCTTTGGGTACGCTATGTTCTAATAGATTTCCTTTAGGCCAAAAGATATCTTTAATGCCAGTAAGTGCACTGCAGAGGTTTAATGTATTGGGCAAGGATCTCTAAAGTCAGGAGACCAATGCAGAGTTAACACGCTTTTGTGTACGTGGTTTGTGTTTGAATCAGAATTCCTCTCGTGTCATTTTCTAGTTGGTTTGGCTGGATTTTTTTTTTAAGTAATATAATCTCATTCCTTTATCTTCTGCAAAAGAGATCCATCTATCGGTGTAAAGGCTTTTCCTGTCATCCTCTTCATTCTATACAGTCCGGCTATCATTATTCAGTCTTGAAGGAAAACCAAACTGAGTTTATTAAAATCTGATATGAATTAAAAAAAATTTTTCCCTTTAAGGTGCATACATTAACTCAAACTGTAATATAATATTACCAAGGGTGATAGATAGGTTGCACAGTAAACATTCTATAAATTTTAGCAGGAATTAATTTTTTTATTCAGCTATAGATTTTAATAATTTTATTTTCTAAATATAAATTTTGAAAACATGTCAGTGCATATTATACACGAAGGAGATAAACAATTGTGTTATTTTCTCAGAATTACCTGGCAAGTAATTTATTACTATATACAAGGCCTTAGTTTTAAAAACCCGCATATAATTGTTTTATATAATTAAAATAGTTTGTGTGTGTGTGTACTTTGAGGTAAGAACAGCTGAGCAACCAACTTTTAAAGTAATCGTTTTTTAGTTCCATTGGTCTTTTTAGCTTTATTTATGAGAACTTACAACTTAGTTTAGGAACAATATCAATGTCAAAAATGGGATACTATGCTGTCATCTAAAATTAAGGAATGTGAACAGTCTGTGTTAATATGGAATGATCACAAGGATTATTATAATAAATGAACAAGGTCCAAAACAAGCACAAAAGTGTGTTACCATTTGGTTAAAACAAAGTGCCATAGGCACTAATGTTCTTTCTATGCATGAAATATCTTTGGAAGATACACAAGAAGCTGGCAACTTTAATTGCCCCATGGGAGAATGAGGCAGTTAGGAATAGAAGGGAGAAGTTTGAATTTTGAACTATGTGAATGGGTTACCTGTGTTAAAAATTAGCCTTTTGTAATGAATAATCTAAAACAGAGTCCTGGCCAGCTTTAAGATTTGTTAATGATTAAGTTGGTTTTAGTCATGGAGTTGATCTTGTGTGCTCTGAGATATAATTCTACACAATGAATCTCTGCATATGTCTTTTTAGGTGGTAGGATTATTCAGCTTTAAATAATTTAGATGTTTGGGGTCTTGGTTTAAATGTCTTTTTGGTGTTAACAGAATCATGGAATCTTAAGAGTTCAATTGGCCCTTAAATACTAGTTACAAATTATTGATTTACTACTTCGTCTCAGCTGCACATTTGAGCACCTCCCATGGTGGCACATTGCTCTACTGCAGCCCCTGTGCAGCTCCCTTTCCTAGAAGGCTCTCTCCTATCTTGAGCTTGAACCTCTCTCCCTGGATCTTCTGCCCCTTGGAACTGACGCTTCCTCTCAGGGTCATGTAGGGTCACATAGGATCAGTCTGTTTGCTTTTTCTACATGATACTCTGAATATGCATATATGTATATTACCCTTTTTTTTTTTTTTAAGGGATGGGGTCTCACTCTGTTGCCTAGGCCCAGTCATGGCTCACTGCAGCCTCATCAACCTCCTGGGCTCAAGTGATTTTCCTGCTTCAGCCTCTTGAGTAGCTGGAACCACAAGTGCTAAGTCTTTATAGTGCTGAGCTTCACATTCTTTTCTCCTCTGGCTCTTTAATGTCTTTAAGAGCAACTCTATTAATATTAGTTACAAAATAATTTTAGCCACCTGCTCAGCACATGTATTCTATTTCCCCCACCGTGCTGCCTTTAAGGTGGTGTAGTTAAATGAAAAAAGGAATAAGGAGGAAAGGAAGGAAGAGAAGAAAGTTTATGCTAAAGATTGACCAGAGAATTCTATATCATGTCTGTGCTGAAGGAGCCCACTATCTTTTCAGGAAGATAGAGAGGATGTATTCATACACATGCATGTGTTCTATTCTAATAGAATGCAAGCTATTAATAGAAAGCGTACTAGCAGGATACAGATCAGAGAATTACAGCAGCTGCCAGGAGTAGTCAAGGAAGACATTTTGAAAGACAAAGTTCAGCCAGGTTTTGAGAAGGACAAGTTAGATCTCTCTGTGATGGTAACATGGGATCATTTGGTTTTGTTTTGATTATGAGATGAAACTCACCATTTAAACCTTTTTTTTTTTTTTTTTTTGAGACGGAGTCTCACTCTGTCACCGAGGCTGGAGTGCAGTGGCGTGATCTTGGCTCACTGCAACCTCTGCATCCCGGGTTCAAGCAGTTTTCCTGCCTCACCCTTCCAAGTAACTGGGATTACAGGCACCACACCTGGCTAATTTTTTTATTTTTAGTAGAGACGGGTTTTCGCCATGTTGGCCAGGCTGGTCTCGAACTCCTGACCCCAGGTGATCCACCCGCCTCAGCCTCCCAAAGTGCTGGGATTACAGGGATGAGCCACCGCACCCGGCCCATTTAAACCATTTTAAAGGGTATACACAATTCATCGGTTTTGTTTTTTTGTTTCTTTGGGGTTTTTTTGAGACAGAATCTCTCTCTGTCATCAGGCTGGAGTGCAGTGGCGTGATCTCGGCTAACTGCAATCTCCACCTCCCGGGTTCAAACGAGTTCCCTGCCTCAGCCTCCCGTGTAGCTGGGACTACAGGCACACATCACCACGCCCGGCTAATTTTTTGTATTTTAGTAGAGACGGGGTTTCACCATGTTGGCCAGGATGGTCTCAATCTCCTGACCCCAGGCGATCCACCCACCTCGGCCTCCCAAAGTGCTGTGATTACAGGCATTAGCTAGCATGCCTGGCCCATTTAAACCATTTTAAAGGGTATACAATTCTCACTGGGTTTTTGTTTTTGTTTTTTTGAGATGGAGTCTCACTCTGTCACCAGGCTGGAGTGCAGTGGCACAATCTCAGCTCACTGCAGTCTCCGCCTCCTGGGTTCAAGCAAGTCCCCAGCCTCAGCCTCCCAAGTAGCTGGGACTACAGGTGCACACCACCATGCCCAGCTAATTTTTTGTATTTTAGTAGAGACGGGGTTTCACCATGTTGGCCAGGATGGTCTCGATCTCCTGACCTTGTGATCCGCCCACCTTGGCCTCCCAAAGTGCTGGGATTACAGGCGTGAGCCACCACGCCCGGCCAATTCATATGGGTTTTAGTGTGTTCACAATGTTATTGTGACCATCACCACTATCTAATTCCAAATGTCTGGATCATTCCATTTTTTAATAATTCCTTACATGAATCATCTTGAAAGTGAAGCCCAAATGAATCATCTGGGCATGTCATGTAGTCTCACCCTGCCTTGGCTGCCTCGTCTGTAGATTGTAGATTTGGGTTATGTGATCTCTTCATCCTCTCATCTCTGTTCTCGCTTCTGTCTTATTGTGCGCGCCTCTCTCTTGATGACCTGAGCGTCTTTGAAGGAAGGGGCTCTGCCCTTTCTTGCCTGTGTGTGCACATATCCATTTGGCCCAGGCCTCTCAGTGCCGTCTGGCACAGAGCTGTGTGAATACAGGGCCCCCATAAATGTTTATTAGAGAAATCAAAGGTGTGCTCAGTTCTAAGTTGAGTGCCTAGACTACAGTCAGATTTTCAAACTTTAAAAGTTCAAGTATGGGAGGCCAAGGCAGGCAGATCACCTGAGGTCAGGAGTTCAATACCAGTCTGGCCAACATGGTGAAACCCTGTCTCTACAAAAATTAGCCAGGCATGATGGTGGGTGCCTGTAGTCCCAGCTACTCAGGAGGCTGAGGCGGGAGAATTGCTTGAACCCGGGAGGCGGAGGTTGCAGTGACTGGAGATCGTGCCATTGCACTCCAGCCTAGGCGACAGAGTGAGATGGAGGGAAGTCATTGCAAGATAAGACTGGAAAGGTAGATTGAGATCATGTTGCAGAGGGCTTGAGAATTATCTTATGGGCAAACTGCTGAGGCATTTGATATGATCCAAGTAGTGTCTTAGTGGCAGGCAGGAAGCAGAGTTCAGAGCTTGAATGTCCAGGGCGAGGTGCTCAGCCCTGTCAGCCCTGCAGGG
This sequence comes from Homo sapiens, assembly GCF_000001405.40. NCBI lineage: Eukaryota > Metazoa > Chordata > Mammalia > Primates > Hominidae > Homo > Homo sapiens. The sequence goes on from NC_000008.11 coordinate 47,622,150, forward strand.
AGGCCCAGCAGAGGAATGGATGCAAGAGAAGGGCTTCTTGAGTGATGAAAAAATCTGGATTCAGCAATGGTTAGGATTTGAGGAGTAAGGAAAACAAAAAGGTCTAAAGATGGCTTTGAAGTTTTCAACCTTGATAACTTGGAAAATAATAGGCCTGGGGAGAGGGCAGGAGAAGGTTTAGACTTGAAGTCAGAGACCCACCGCTTGGAGCAGCTGTACAGCCTGTGACGTTCCCTAAGCTTCTGGCCTCCTGGCCACAGGAGGCATAGTCCTCCAAGGGCTGATTAGAGGTAAGACTCGGCCTGAGTCAGGCCTATACTCAGGCACTGCTGACCTGACGCGGGTCTCCTTTGGTGCTCTGCCTCACCTGCTGCAGCCTCACAGCCAGCTAGGGGGTGCACAGAAGGTGGAGTTAATGACAGGATGTCATGGGAAGTAGGGGCTGGCGTCCCAGGAGGATGGGGGTGACTCGAGAGTTAGCATCTGTACTACAGATTAATGTCCCAGGCACAGCATCGGCCCTGCATGGATGAGGCGAAAACCCTTTCATCCACCAGGATAACTAATTGAATCACACTTTGAGCCTCTTCAAGAAAATGAAAAAATGTCAGGTCAACTCCCTAAATTTTCAGTTGACGTTGCAAGTAACCTCATACATTAAAAGGCTAGGTTAGGTCAAGCCCATAATATGAAATTATCCAGGCACCCTCTTTGGTTTATTCTTGGCCATGTTCACTTAGCCACATCTAGAATGAGATGGAGTAGAAAAACACTTGTGAGTGCCAGGACACCCATGTTCTTTTTGCCACTAAGCAGCGTGGCCCACAGCAGTCTCAGTATCCGCTACGCCCTAGTCTGTCCATCTGTGAGATGAAGATGAGAGAAATTGCCACAGGACCTTGTAGTGCACTAACAGCTTGGAGTTTTTTAGCCATGTAAAGAATTAAAATGAGGATCATCTCTTTATCATAAGATTGCCTCCTCTTGTAAAGTAAGTCACTGAATAAGAAATGATTTACCACAGACAAGCAAATGCTGAGAGATTTTGTCACCACCAGGCCTGCCCTAAAAGAGTTCCTGAAGGAAGCACTAAACATGGAAAGGAACATCTGGTACCAGCCACTGCAAAAACATGCCAAATTGTAAAGACCATCGAGGCTAGGAAGAAACTGCATCAACTAACAAGCAAAATAGCCAGCTGACATCATAATGAAAGGATCAAATTCACACATAACGATATTAACTTTGAATGTAAATGGGCTAAATGCTCCAATTAAAAGACACAGACTGGCAAATTGGATAAAGAGTCAAGACCCATCAGTGTGCTGAGACTGAGGAAACCCATCTCACGTGCAGAGACACATATAGGCCCAAAATGAAGGGATGGAGGAAGATCTACCAAGCAAATGGAAAACAGAAAAAGGCAGGGGTTGCAATCCTAGTCTCTGATAAAACAGACTTTAAACCAACAAAGATCAAAAGAGACAAAGAAGGCCATTACATAATGGTAAAGGGATCAATTAAACAAGAAGAACTAACTATCTGAAATATATATGCACCCAATACAGGAGCACCCAGATTCATAAAGCAAGTCCTGAGTGACTTACAGAGACTTAGACTCCCACACAATAATAATGGGAGACTTTAACACCCCACTGTCAACATTAGACAGATCAACGAGACAGAAAGTTAACAAGGATATTCAGGAATTGAACTCAGCTCTGCACCAAGTGGAACTAATAGACATCTACAGAACTGTCCATCCCAAATCAACAGAATATACATTCTTTTCAGCACCACAACACACCTATTCCAAAATTGACCACATAGTTGGAAGTAAAGCACTCCTCAGCAAATGTAAAAGAACAGAAATTATAACAAACTGTCTCTCAGACCACAGTGCAATCAAACTAGAACTCAGGATTAAGAAAGTCACTCAAAACTGCTCAACTACATGGAAACTGAACAACCTGCTCCTGAATGACTACTGGGTACATAACGAAATGAAGGCAGAAATAAAGATGTTCTTTGAAACCAATGAGAACAAAGACACAACATACCAGAATCTCTGGGACACATTCAAAGCAGTGTGTAGAGGGAAATTGATAGCACTAAATGCCCACAACACAAAGCAGGAAAGATCTAAAATTGACACCCTAACATCACAATTAAAAGAACTAGAAAAGCAAGAGCAAACACATTCAAAAGCTAGCAGAAGGCAAGAAATAACTAAGATCAGAGCAGAACTGAAGAAGACAGAGACACAAAAAACCCTTCAAAAAATTAATGAATCCAGGACCTGGTTTTTTGAAAAGATCAACAAAATTGATAGACCACTAGCAAGACTAATAAAGAAGAAAAGAGAGAAGAATCAAAGAGACGCAATAAAAAATGATAAAGGGGATATCACCACCGATCCCACAGAAATACAAACTACCATCAGAGAATACTATAAACACCTCTACGCAAATAAACTAGAAAATCTAGAAGAAATGGATACATTCCTCGACACATACATCCTCCCAAGACTAAACCAGGAAGAAGTTGAATCTCTGAATAGACCAATAACAGGCTCTGAAATTGAGGCAATAATCAATACCTTACCAACCAAAAAAAGTCCAGGACCATATGGATTCAAAGCCGAATTCTACCAGAGGTACAAGGAGGAGCTGGTACCATTCCTTCTGAAACTATTCCAATCAATAGAAAAAGAGGGAATCCTCCCTAACTCATTTTATGAGGCCGGCATCATCCTGATACCAAAGCCTGGCAGAGACACAACCAAAAAAGAGAATTTTAGACCAATGTCCTTGATGAACATTGATGCAAAAATCCTCAATAAAATACTGGCAAATCGAATCCAGCAGCACCTCAAAAAGCTTATCCACCATGATCAAGTGGGCTTCATCCCTGGGATGCAAGGCTGGTTCAACATACACAAATCAATAAATGTAATCCAGCATATAAACAGAACCAAAGACAAAAACTACATGATTATCTCAATAGAGGCACAAAAGGCCTTTGACAAAATTCAACAACCTTCATGCTAAAAACTCTCAATAAATTAGGTATTGATGAGACGTACCTCAAAATAATAAGAGCTATCTATGGCAAACCCACAGCCAATATCATACTGAATGGGCAAAAACTGGAAGCATTTCCTTTGAAAACTGGCACAAGACAGGGATGCCCTCTCTCACCACTCCTATTCAACATAGTGTTGGAAGTTCTGGCCAGGGCAGTCAGGCAGGAGAAGGAAATAAAGGGTATTCAGTTAGGAAAAGAGGAAGTCAAATTGTCCCTGTTTACAGATGACATGATTGCATATCTAGAAAACCCCATTGTTTCAGCCCAAAATCTCCTTAAGCTGATAAGCAACTTCAGCAAAGTCTCAGGATACAAAATCAATGTGCAAAAATCACAAGCATTCTTATACACCAATAACAGGCAAACAGAGAGCCAAATCATGAGTGAACTCCCATTCACAATTGCTTCAAAGAGAATAAAATACCTAGGAATCCAACTTACAAGGGACGTGAAGGACCTCTTCAAGGAGAACTACAAACCACTGCTCAATGAAATAAAAGAGGATACAAACAAATGGAAGAACATTCCATGCTCATGGGTAGGAAGAATCAATATCATGAAAATGGCCATACTGCCCAAGGTAATTTATAGATTCAGTGCCATCCCCATCAAGCTACCAGTGACTTTCTTCACAGAATTGGAAAAAACTACTTGAAAGTTCATATGGAACCAAAAAAGAGCCCGCATTGCCAAGTCAGTCCTAAGCCAAAAGAACAAAGCTGGAGGTATCACACTACCTGACTTCAAACTATACTACAAGGCTACAGTAACCAAAACAGCATGGTACTGGTACCAAAACAGAGATATAGACCAATGGAACAGAACAGAGCCCTCAGAAATAATGCCGCATATCTACAACTATCTGATCTTTGACAAACCTGAGAAAAACAAGCAATGGGGAAAGGATTCCCTATTTAATAAATGGTGCTGGGAAAACTGGCTAGCCATATGTAGAAAGCTGAAACTGGATACCTTCCTTACACCTTATACACAAATTAATTCAAGATGGATTAAAGACTTACATGTTAGACCTAAAACCATAAAAACCCTAGAAGAAAACCTAGGCAATACCATTCAGGAGATAGGCATGGGCAAGGACTCCATGACTAAAACACCCAAAGCAATGGCAACAAAAGCCAAAATTAACAAATGGGATCTAATTAAACTAAAGAGCTTCTGCACAGCAAAAGAAACTACCATCAGAGTGAACAGGCAACCTACAGAACGGGAGGAAATTTTCACAACCTACTCATCTGACAAAGGGCTAATATCCAGAATCTACAATGAACTCAAACAAATTTACAAGAAAAAAACAAACAACCCCATCAACAAATGGGCGAAGGATATGAACAGACACTCTCAAAAGAAGACATTTATGCAGCCAGAAAACACATGAAAAAATGCTCATCGTCACTGGCCATCAGAGAAATGCAAATCAAAACCACAATGAGATACCATCTCATGCCAGTTAGAATGGCAATCATTAAAAAGTCAGGAAACAACAGGTGCTGGGGAGGATGTGGAGAAATAGGAACACTTTTACACTGTTGGTGGGACTGTAAACTAGTTCAACCATTGTGGAAGTCAGTGTGGCGATTCCTCAGGGATCTAGAACTAGAAATACCATTTGACCCAGCCATCCCATTACTGGGTATATACCCAAAGGATTATAAATCATGCTGCTATAAAGACACATGCACACGTATGTTTATTGTGGCACTATTCACAATAGCAAAGACCAGGAACCAACCCATATGTCCAACAGCGATAGACTGGATTAAGCAAATGTGGCACATATACACCATGGAATACTATGCAGCCATAAAAAATGATGAGTTCACGTCCTTTGTAGGGACATGGATGAAGGTGGAAACCATCATTCTCAGCAAACTATCACAAGGACAAAAAACCGAACACCGCATGTTCTCACTCATAGGTGGGAATTGAACAATGAGAATACATGGACACAGGAAGGGGAAGATCACACTCTGGGGACTGTTGTGGGGTGGCGGGAGCGGGGAGGGATAGCATTAGGAGATATACCTAATGCTAAATGACAAGTTAATGGGTGCAGCACAGCAACATGGCACATGTATACATATGTAACAAACCTGCACGTTGTGCACATGTACCCTAAAACTTAAAGTATAATAATAATAAAAATTTAAAAAAAAAGAAATGATTTACCGCTAGTAGGAATTTCTGATGTCACAAAAAAAATGTTTCCCTTTACTTAAGAATTTTGAATATTTGATAAGGCATTAATTTATCTGTGATATATATTTTCATACGAAAACCAAAGTACCCTAAGTGTGTGTATGTGTTTAAGAAATTGCTCAGGATACTCTGTCTCTGCTTTTGAAAACTTTCTCTTCCTTCTATGTGTTATAGAACTAAATCCAAACGGGAAATTTGGCTTTGTGCACTGACAGATCATGTGATTCCTCCCCCCTCCCTGGCCCCCAGCACCCCCATCGGTGCTCAGCGAGTCCCCTGCACACTCTGTTCAGTAAACAAGTTTAGAGAACCAGACCCGCCGGTTCATTCACTGAGAGCATTTGGAAAGGGCTGTCTTTGTGCAGCCTTGACGTACTGGCCGGAGTGGAATGGAGAAGTTAGCATTTGTGTTTTCATTAGTTCTTTTTATAGCAGCGGACCAGCTGGAACTGGTTAACATTAGCCTGGGCTGCCTGGTAGTGCACAGGTCTCTTACGCAGGATGAAGGGCTTCTGATGAAAACAGATTTTGTTACTCATGATACCACTGACTGTGTTTACATGAACTCACTCATTCTGTCATGGGATGTGATTTAGAATGGCTTCCTTAAAATGCAGGAACTCCCTAGGTGCTATTCAGATCCATCCTTAAAAACAAACGAGAGACTCAAAAATATAGATGGCTTTCCCTATTAAACTAGCCATCCTTCCACAGAACATGCTTCCTGAGATAATGCTTTTAAAGAAAGCTAAATTTTGGCTACTTGGGATGTTTTCCCCATGGTGTTTTAAAAATTGGTTAGAGAAGGTTGTTTTTCCTCCAGTAACAGCAAGGAATCATCATCTTATGGGGATAGAGAATAATTTAACCAACCATTTCTGACAAAGTTCAACAGAATTGTTCCATGTTTTCATGGGTAGAATTCTGACTAAAGGCAAAAATTAACAATTTTAAGAATCATTAGTTTAGGATACATTAATATAAGTTGAGCATCCCTAAGCCAAAACTTGTTGAGCACCAGCATGAGTGGCTGAAATAGTGACACCTTTTCTTTCTTATGAGTCAGTGTACACAACTTTGTTTCATGTATAAAATAATTTAAAATAAAAATAAAATGCATAAAATTACCTTCAGGCTATCTGTATAAGGAATATATGAAACATAAATGAATGTCATGTTTAGACTTGGGTCCCATCCCCAAGATATCTTATTATGTCTATGCAAATATTTCAAATCTGAAAAAAAACTCCTGTCCCAAGCAATTTGGGTAGGGAATAGTCAACCTGTGTATCATGAATACACATATACTGACTTCTGTCTAACAAAATGGAAATGGGAGATAAAAAACATCGAATGGAGAATGTTTGTTGGTTTTTTGGTGTGGCTTGTTTTGGGATTAAAGTATAAACCAACTTAGCCAATATTCTCAAGTAGCTGAAAATCTGTAGGGCTCAGCTACTTTCTGGATCAGTCTCATTGAAAATGTATCCTCCATTTAAACTTAATTTATTTGCAAAAATGAGTTTAGGGCCTTTGAAAAGTGCTAAATGATTAAGTTGTAAAAATATAAGGACTGAGATTCTCCCTTTAAGGGTCACAGCAGCTGTTTGAAGAGATGCAGGCATCTCTCACAGTTTAGCTAGATGACTTAAGGAAAAGTTTCGTTTGATTCTTCCTGATGCTGTCTTTTCCCCTAGAATAGGGTAGACAGTATTAGGAGTTTAGTAATCATATGTGTTAGGATGGTAGTAGGGACACAATTGTCATCCACCTCACAGGAGATTGTTTAGTAGATTAAGTGAGATAACAAAGATGAGATGCTGGACACCCAGTAGGTCTGGGTTTTGGGGGTTTTATTTTATTTATACATAGCAGGTATTGGCAAGCATATTATTTTAGGCTTGGCGGGCCATACCACAGTCTGAAAGCATCAGTCTGAAACACTGAAAGCAGCCGCAGACAATAATATCTAGATAGATGGATGTGGCTGTGTGCCAGTAGAACTTTAGGTACAAAGGGCCAGGTGTGGTGGCTCATGCCTGTAATCCCAACACTTTGGGAGGCCGAGGCAGGTGGATCACCTGAGGTCAGGAGTTCGAGACCAGCCTGGCCAACATAGTGAAGCCCCTTCTCTACTAAAGATACAAAAATTAGCTGGGTGTGGCGGCATGAACCTGTAATCCCAGCTACTCAGGAGGCTGAAGCAAGAGAACCATTGAACCTAGGAGAGGTGGAGGTTGCAGTGAGCCGAGATCGTGCTACTGCACTCCAGCCTGGGTGACAGAACGATACTCTGTCTCAAAAAAAGAAACTTTATGTATAAAAATCGGGGACAGGCAAAATTTGGCCCACAGGCCATAATTTGCCAACCTCTAATCTATATAAATAGGTAAATTTCTTTATGTCTGGTATTTCCCTTGACTTTTCTTAAAGGGATAAAAGGGAATTTTCAGCCACTTTTTTACTATAGTTCCAAGTTCCCATACTGCACATCAAAATAATACTTGAAGGTACAAATATGTACTTATATATTTTGAACTATATGCAGAAAAAATGTAAAATTACAGTGCTGAATGTATTCATATGTTAATTTTTAGATAAAATAGCTTCTGTCACATGAGGTAAAATGATGTGACATTTTGAAATGTCAAGTTTTCTCACCATACTTTGTCTCAAATATGTTAAATTACAAAATAATACACGTAGCAAATTGAATTTTTGAACCAAGATAAAGTAAAAATTAAAACCCTTATAGGAGAATTTATTGTTCACAAGTGAAAGAAGGAATACTGGGGAAAATAGAAGAGCCTCAGAAGGAAAAACATGTAAAATATGATGAAAGCAATATTTAATGTAAACGTTGAAAAGAGCAGTAGAGAGGAGTGGAAAAGCATCCAGGATTTGTCATCAAAAGCTCAAAATTCCGGTGCCAGCTCTGGTCTCTACAGGTTTGTGACCTGGGGCAACTTACTTAATTGCTCTGAGCTTCAGTTTTCCCAGTACTGAGTGGACAGAATAATATACTTTATATACATTGTTTTAGAGTGTTAAAGAAATGTGTGAAGTGCTTTGCCCTAGAACTTTCCATTGCTATAAATACTACTGTTTACTGTCCACATAACAGATGCAGTTCCCTACATCCATCCTGGGTGATCTGAAACTGCCTTCTGAGAAGCGTAGTTGGCCTTTCCAGGGCAATAGGACTTAAGAGGACCTGTAGCTTGTCTCAGTTACCCACACATTGGCCTTGGCTGTCATCCCAGCCTTTACAGGTGTGCATAGGTCAAATGTTGTAACTCTTTACTCAGAAAATACCACGTGACCTATAGCCCCCTATGGTCTTCCCATGCACCTGTATGGCTGATCCGACGTTCCTGGTTCTTGTTCACATGGGATATAGACCACATCCATTTATTATGCCCTGTTGACTCAAGAAAGTAAAAGCTACAACCATGGGGCAGAAGGCACAGTACCCCTGTAACACGGAATCCCAGGCCTTCTTAAAGGGCAACCTACAGACTGTGAGAACAAGAACTCAACAACAGCCCCCAGCACCCTGAGGGAAGAGGCAGGCAGAGGCCAGGATGAGGGCGTCGGAGGGAGGGACGGAGAGAGACAGCGATGAAGAGGCTGAGGCCCTCATCTCTGACCACTCCCAAAGGTCACATAGGCACTGGATGGTAGAGGCAGAAAATAAGCCCTTTCTCTTTCCAAGTCTCTGCCCTGCCTCATGCAACCCATGGATCCTCTGACTCTGAAGTGGGCAGACGGGCACCCTAGACCCAAACTTGTGACTGCCCCAAGGCTTTGTAACCATGGGGAAAAGAAAGATTGCAGTCTTTAGTTGAAGACTTTGCATTCTCTGTGCCCTCGGTTATAACAATAGGTTTTTAGAAAAATCTGTCTTAGGGTCAATTTATAGTTCTTCAAAGTAAGAGCTGAGGCTTTTGTTGACAGTCAACTGGGTCTTACCTCCTGGTGGTTGCATATGGCATGCATTAATAAATGAATTCTAAAACCACACAAATATTACTGAATATGTTCAAACTAAAAAGCAACACAGAAAAGTACTGGATTTATGATTCATCACAATAAATTTATCAGAGAAAATGGTGAAAGAGGAAATGTGTGTCTCTAAAACAGATTTGGATTTTATTTATTTGGGACATATAAAAGAGGAAGGAAGAGTTGATAAAGAATTCTTATTTGACTCTTCAAAGTCACTGTTCACCAGAAATTCAGAGAATCAACATACAAATTACAATGGTAGTTTGTTTTCTGGAAGGCCAGTGAAATACAGCTCCTTAATTTATAATGAAATTTACTTTCTAACAAATTAAGTCTTTCTAATGAGACCAACATTGAGAATTCAGCCCTTACCTCGGGATGGTCTGAGAAAACCAAAAGGCCAACTGTTTTATTGCTTTAGATCAGTTAGGTGATGATAACTATGAGCATTTATAATAATATTTTAAATTGGCCCTGAGAGGCTTGAAGACATAGAACTGAATGTACTGCCAGATATTTTTGCAGGAGTCACAGATGTAAAAGAGAATTCTGCACACACATCCCCCTCCCCAGCACCCAAATGCAGCATATTTTCAGTTAAATCCTCTGGAATGGACTATTTTTAGAGAAATGGCAGGGGGAAGGGTGGCTAGGAAGCATGTTCTTCACAACCTTTTTCATTATGTACTACAAAAAATATTTACGTTTTAATTTAATCACGACATGTGCTGTACTGTGGTTCACCCTACTGAGAGTGAAATACCGAGTTGAACTACCATTTCATCTTCTTCAAGCAAACTGCAAAGTTTCGCCTACTCTGAAATTTGAGAGTTAACACATGGTACCCAGGCCTGGGCTAGGCTTGGCAAAATGCAAAATGCAAGCAACATTGCTCAACATCACACCCTTTCACTGCACTCACAGCCCATCTTGTGCATAAAATAATGTGACAGCCTGGTTCATTAGTATTTTTCATGTAATTTTAAGTACCATTATAGGTTTCAAAATTTGCAAAAATAGAAAAATTATTTTACTTCTACTCCCAGTATAATTATTTTACATATTATCTTCTAGTCTGTTTTATAATATTTATTTTAAATTGAAATCATAAAACTTTTTTTTGCTCTTAGCCAAAGAATGTCGGCAAACTCTAATGGTCCTCATTCCCACTGCACAGCATTTCAGTTTGACTTTACATACTCAGGGGAAAAGAAGGCAGCTTGGTTGAGAAACTGCAAGATCCCAAGTGCCTGTTTTTTGTCTTTTGTTTAGTCTTGTTTTTTTGTTTTTTGTTTTTTTGAGGAACTAATGAATAAAGCACACAAAATCTCCGAGCAGTAGCTGGCCTTTCAGGGGCACGCTGCACAGCAGTTCTGGAGAGGACAGTATCTCCAAGGGTGGGTGAGTTCCCCATTGCTCAGAGGAATCAGCCAAGGGGCCTGCAGCGGAAGCTCCCAGGCTGAGCTGGAACTTGAAACCAGGTCTGTCTGCCTCTGCACCTTCAAGCCAACAAGGGCATAAGGCAATTTGCCTCTATAAATGTAGCATCCAACTTATTTCACATTCTGTGCTCAGTAGAACAGTGACCATTTAGAAACACTGGTAACAGCATAAAAACAATTATTCTCATTCACTCTAACGGAAACTACCACTAGTACAGAATTGAAAAATACAAGTAATACTTTCATTTGAGGCATGAGCATTTATCTGTCAGCTTAACTTGTGAGAAACCTGGCTGTCATGATAAGTGTCTGTAATCAGGAGTTAGGCAAATTAATATTATTTGCATTTTTTTATGTCTAGAAAATATTTATAAACAAAAAGCCAGTCATCTGAGACTCTAATGAAGGAAGGAAGTCAAGACAAGGAAGTGTTTCCTTGTCTCCTCCTGCTTTTGTTGACTGTGTGGGTAGCCAGGAAAGGACTACAGTCTTCTTTATAGGAGGGGGATGGCAGCAGAAGCAACAGGACCATGAACCAAGGAGAATGTTCTCACCTGCTGCTGTTGGACCTCCAGGCCATGCCATCTGATGTGTATAAGAGGATATGGAAAGATTTAGGTTTTTTCTTTTTGAAGACTAGATATGCAAATGATTGAAAAAAAAAAAAAAACAAAAACCAAGCATGGTGGCTTTGGGAGGCCAGGGCAAGAGGATTGCTTGAGGTAAGGAGTTCAAGACCAACATGGGCAACCTGGGCAGACACTCAGGAAGTGGGGGTGGGAGATACTGTTTACTGACTGCATTCCTCATCACCCTCAGTTAATGTTTATTAGGTATACTCAAAGTACAGGGCAGTATTATGGCTTGAAAAAAGCATAATGAACTTAATAAGTTAAAAATAACCTTGAGGCTGAGCGTGGTGGCTCTCGCCTGTAATCTCAACACTTTGGGAGGCTGAGGTGGGCAGATTGCTTGAGCCCGGGGTTCAGAACCAGCCTGAGCAACATGGCAAAACCTGATCTCTACCAAAAATACAAAAATGTAGCTGAGTGTGGTGGTGCATGCCAATAGTCCCAGCTACTCTGGAGGCTGATGGCAGTTGGATGGATTGAGCCTAGGAGATTGAGGCTGCAGTGAGCCAAGATCGTGCCACTGCACCCCAGCCTGCGTGACAGAGTAAGACCCTGTCTCAAAAAAAAAAAAAAAAGAATTACCGTGACTCCTGTCTAGTTAGATCCTCAATGCAACTTTGAAAAACAACGAAAAAAGGGCCGGGCATGGTGGCTCATGCCTGTAATCCCAGCACTTTGGGAGGCCAGGGTGGATGGATCACGAGGTCAGAGTTCAAGACCAGCCTGGCCAAGATGGTGAAACCCCGTCTCTACTAAAAATACAAAAATTAGCCAGGCATGGTGGCGGGTGCCTGTAATCCCAGCTACTCAGCAGGCTGAGGCAGAGAATTGCTTGAACCCGGGAGGCAGAGGTTGTGGTGAGCCGAGATCATGCCACTGCCCAGAAGCCTGGGCGACAGAGCAAGAATCCATCTCAAAAAACAAATTAAAAAAAAAAATGAAAAAAGAACTTTTCCAAATACAAAAGTGAGAAAGGAAACTTAATATTCTGACTCACTGAATTCTTCCAGCGGAAAACCTCCACTCTATAGAGACCCTGAAATTAGTAAGGATGTTCATTAAAGCCATTGTGTTTTTTTAGCGTCATGCACTGCACTGCCCAAGAGCCAGAGGACACCCTGCTCACCTGGTCCAGGCCTGGCTGTGGTACCCCTGCCCACCATGGCTGAGTGGGAGGGCGAGCTGTCATTGAGCAGTGCAAACTACTCCCCTGGCTCAGAGCCTGTACCCACACCATCCTCTCACGCCTGGGCCAGGCAACCTTTGCTGACTTAGCTTCCACAGAACATTTGTTTTCTGCTTTGTAGTGTACTGCCTCCACAGAAATGAATGGAGAATTGAACAGCTGGAGAAAGTTTTTCACCATCCAGATTTCACCAGTGCATCTCATTTATCTGGCTGTAATGATCGATCACCTGGCCCCAGTAAAGCATTTGTATGATCAAGTAACACTTTTCTTGAAAATGGAGTCCTAAAGTTTGCTGTGTTGTCAGTTAAAAGAACTGTGGGTTGGGGGAAAGGGAGATGGTTAATGGGTCCAAAGATATAAAGATATAGTTATAGGCTGAGTGCGGTGGCTGACACCTATAATCACAGCACTGTGGGAGGCCGCCAACATGGTGAAACCCTGTCTCTACTTAAAAAAAAAAAATACAAAAATTAGCTGGACATGATGGCACATGCCTATAATCCCAGCTACTCGGGAGGCTGAGGCCCAAGAATCGCTTGAACCTGGGAGGTGGAGGTTGCAGTGAGCCGAGATTATGCCACTCCTCTCCAGCCTGGGTGACAGAGTGACTGTCTCAAAAAAATAAAATAAAATAACTAAAAGATTAAATTGGCTTATTTGTAAAACAATGAAAGGATAAATGCTTGAGGGATACCCCATCTACCCTGATGTGATTAAGTGTTGTATGCCTGTATCAAAATATCTCTTGTACCCCCATAAATATATACACGTACTATGTACCCTCAAAATTTAAAAAAAATAAATAAACTGTGGAAGAACTATAACCAAGCATCAAAAAACAGATTGCCCTGGCCAGGCGCAGTGGCACCTGTAGTCCCATCTATCAGGAGGCTGAGGTCAGAGAATCACTTGAAGCAAGAGTTTGAGTCTGTGGTATGCTATGATCATGCCTATGAATAGGCAGTGCACTCCAGCTGGGGCAACATAGCAAGACCCTGTCTCTAAAAAAAAAATTAAAAAAGAACAGATTACCCTAAGAAGAGGATATTTGGGTGAAGGTGCTTCTGACCTCTGGGAGGAAGGAGAAAGCTGACATGCTTACCTGCTTCCCAGTGGGTGAAAATTGGGCAGACATACATGTTGGCTTTCTGTGTAGCCTTGGATAAGGAGACCCACCCACAAAGGTAACTATTTCCTTATATGTAGAGAACTTTAGTCAGAAAAGCTTTGCAGTAATTTGTGAATGCTATACAGGCATGGCTCACTTTATTATGCTTCACTTTACTGCACTTTGCAGATAGAGCATTTATTTACTACTTGAGGGCTTGTGGCAACCCTGCATCAAGCAGTTCTATCAGTATCATTTTTCCAACAGCATGTGTTCACCTCATGTCTCTATCACATTTTGGCAATTCTCATAATATTTCAAATCCCTTCATTATTATTATCTGTTATGATGATCTGTGATCAGTGATCTTTTATGTTGGTATTGTAATTGTTTCAGGACACCACCAACCACACCTATATTGGATGCCAAATTTAATCAGCAAATGTGTGTGTTCTGGCTCCTCTACTAACTGGCTGTTCCTCCATCTCTTTCCCTCTTTTGTGACCTCCCTATTCCCTGAAACACAACAATATTGAAATTAGAGAAGTCAGTAAGCCTCCAGTGGCCTCGAAGTGTTCAGATGAAAGGAAGAGTTGCACATCTCTCACTGTAAATAAAAAACTGGAAGTGATTAAGCTTAGTGGGGAAGGCATGGCAAAAGCCAAGACAGATCAAAAGCTAGACCTTTGCATTAAACAGCCAAGTTGGCCAGGCGCGGTGGCTCATGCCTGTAATCCCAGCACTTTGGGAGGCCGAGGCTGGAGGATCACTTGAGCCCAGGAGTTCGAGACCAGCCTGGGCAACATAGTGAGCCCACATCTCTAAGAAAAAAATAATTAGCCAGGTGTAGTGTAGTGCCTGTAGTCCCTGCTACTTGGGAAGCTGAGGTGGAAGGATCACTTGAGCCTGGGAGTTCAAGGCTGCAGCGAGCCATGATCGTACCACTGCACTCCAGCCTAAGCAACAGAGCAAGACCCTATCTCAAAAAAAAAAAAAAAAGAGATTGTCTAAAATTGCAGCTATTTGGAAACATTTACTAGTGACAGAACAGTAAGATAATCATGCCTGTCGTGAGAGTACTGTTCCTTCTGAGGGTATTGATTACCAAATCTCAACCAGGAGCCTTGGCAGGAGGGTGAGGGGTCCTGGAATTGACAGACATTCACCATTGTCTTCGTAGACTCAAATAGTATGTCCAACACAAATATATTCTACTTTTGGAAAGCACATAGATGTGATTTTTTAATTAACTAAAGTATGTACTTTATTCGCATTTCCTTAGTGTTTACCTAGTGTTACCTAATTATGCTCCAGGATCCCATTCAGGACACCACATTATACTCAGTTGCCATGTCTCCTCAGGCTCCTCTTGGCTGTCACAACTTTTGAGACTTCTCTTTTATGACTTTAACAGTTTTGAGGAGTGTTAGGTATTTTGTAGAATGTCCTTAACTGTGCCCAATGCGGTGGCTTACGCCTGCAATCCCAGCACTTTGGGAGGCCAAGGTGGATGGATCACTTGAGGCCCACAGTTCAAGACCAGCCTGGCCAACATGGTGAAATCCCTTCTCTACTAAAAATACAAAAATTAGCTGGGCATGGTGGCACGCACCTGCAGTCCCAGCTACTCGGGAGGCTGAGGTGGGAGAATTGCTTAAACCCAGGAGGCAGAGGTTGCAATGAGCCGAGATGGTACCACTGCACTCAAGCCTGGGCGACAGAGCAAGACGTGCTCTCAAAAAAGAAAAAAATCTCCTTAACTGGAATTTGTCTGATTTATTACATATGATGAGATTGGAGTTATGTGAGTTACGTGTTCTTAGGAGGAAAACCACAGGATAAAGTACAGTTTTCATCATGTCGTATCCAGTGTACACTCTGTCAACATGAGTTCCTGCTGTTGATACTGACCTTGATCACCTCCCTGAGGTAGTACTTGTCAGGTTTCTGCACTATGAAGTTACTGTACTTTTTCCTCCTTTCCATCCTAAAGTCTTTGGAAGGAAGCCATCATGCACAATGCACACCTAAGGAACAGAGAGCTCCAATCCCCTTGTTTGATGGTGGAGCAGTTGTTTGGAATTCCTCTGCATGTGAGATTTGTCTCTTCTCTACTTTTTTTTTCAATTATTTATATCACTATGGACTTGTACATATTTATTTTACACTTTGAGTTATAATCCAATACTATTTTATTTATTTTGTTGTTCACATTGTTCCAGTTTTTTTCCCTTGGAGTTATTTCAATTGATATCTGTATCCCTTTGATATACTCCCATAATTTTGAGTGTTCTGTTTTGTTTTGTTTTGAGTACTTCTTTACTCCCTGTCACTGTAAGATGTGCTAGGCTTATCTTGTATATTTTCTGCCTTCATCCTGGAATCAGCCATTTTTCCAAGGAGACCTGGCTCCTTTTTTTCAAGAATGGTATTAGATACCAAGAGGTACAAGAAGATGAAGGAAATACAAGTGCAATTTATTTATTTATTTAAAAAAGAGACAGGGTCTCACTATTGCCCAGGCTGGTCTCAGACTCCTGAACTCAGGTGATTCCCTTCCCTCAGCCTCCCAAAGTGCTGGGATTACAGGCGTGAGCCACCATACCCGGCCCAAATGCATTTTATTGCATAGAGTTGATACTAGCATTGGTAGTCATGGCCAGATAGAGGCTTTAGAAGTATGAATGCTCGGTTGTGGAATGTTTGATATGTACCTCTTGCTACTGGGAGAGCTTCTATAGCCCCAGGAAAAGATCCTTTTCTCAAAACTGTTCTATAGATAGACTTTATTTAGTTGTTTACTAATTTGCTATTTCTTTCCTGTCGCTCATTTTTCAGTATCACTGGTATCCTATCTCCATAGACAATACTTTTATCATTTACTGCCTTCCTGAAGTATTTCTGGAGGAGATAGTGTGAGAATTTCTGTCAGCCTCAGTAACTCCCTGTGCCATTCCAGATCCCTGGTGGGCCTCACTTTTCCTTTATCTCCTCTCCAGGCTTCTTAACTACATGCCAGCATTATCACATACTCTAAATCATTTCAGGATATCATCGGCATGAACGGTTCCTATTCAAAATAAGGCTCTCTGAATGATTTACCATTCTTTTTATGAGTCTCTGGTGCCTAGATACCATGGTTTCTGTGATCTGTGATGATGGTATTGAAAGAATGTGCATTCTCAAATACTTCTTAAAATATTGTTTGGCTAGATAGGAACTAGGTATTTTAACTACCAATTGTCAAATAGTAAAAGCTTTCTTTTAGCCTCAGAATTTCTGTTTTTATAAAAGTTTGGTATGCTAGCTAAGGAGTGTTCTAGTTATGGTTGTCTTTGGTGAAATGACACTAACAGTACATGGGAGGGAAGGTGGAATCGTCCACGTGTGCTCCTTTGTTGTATGTGTGGCTCCCATGGAGAAGTTCTGTAGTTCTTCACACATTATAAAAAGTGTTTTGTTGCATAAGTCATAACAATGAATATATATTAAAATACCTCAGTGCAGCAAATTAATTAAGTCTGCTCTCTAGGGATTTCTAGACTAGGTAAGTGAAATGGTTCACTCCTTATTTCACTTGTCTCTCAGAGAGATACATTATTTCTGGACAAAAGTGGACACAAAATTGTTGGATTTGTTCATGATTTTGTTTTTGACTTTTAGTTGTAGTTGTTGATTTATCTAGGGAAGAGTGTATGGCGTTCCTTTACCCTATAACTTCACTTCCACGTATCAAATATTAGATGTGGAATCTTCATATTCGACTACATATTGAATGTTTCAGGCCCAGTGATGAATCTTTTCTATCCAACTTAAACAGAAGGAGATTTATTGGCCAGGTGCAGTGGCTCGCGCCTGTTATCCCAGCACTCTGGGAGGCCGAGGCGGGTGGGTCACTTGAGGTCAGGAGTTCAAGACCAGCCAGGCAAACATGGTGAAACCCCATCTCTACTAAAAATACAAAAATTAGCCGGGCTTGATGTTGCACATCTGTAGTCCCAGCTACACGGGAGGCCGAGGCAGGAGAATCGCTTGAACCCGGAGGCAGAGGTTGTAGTAAGCCGAGATCGCACCATTGCACTCCAGCCTGGGTGACAAAAAAAAAAAAAGAGAGATTTATTAATGGATTTTAAGTGGCTTTTAAGCAATACTGCCATGGAAGCTGCTGCCTCTTCTATTAGTACAACCAGAAATATGGCAAGTCAGCTCACGTGCATCCCCAGAGCCACAGCCGACAGCAGGGAACTGCATGACCCCCAGAGCTGTTGCCTTCCAGCTTTCGAACCACTTAGTGTGGGCTGCAAGCTGAATCAACACACTGGATGCCCCATTCCTGCCATTTAATGCTGCAGAGCTATTGGCCAACACCCTGAGATCTTTTGTTAATGTTATGCCTGCTGGCAGAAGTAGCACAGTTAGGCCCTCTGCTCTGATTGACAGGTCCCAAGTCACAGGGGAACCTGAGTTGGGTAGAGTTTGCTGACCGGCCTCTGGAGTTAGGAAGGCCCATAGAAGGCGATTGGACTCCTTCGTACCCACCAAAAGAGTTAGAAAGAACTCTTAGGAAGAGAGAAGTAAAAACATATGATCAAAGCAGACAATAACAACAAAGTCCCACAGTCCTAAAATTTCATTTTAGAATGCCATTAGCTGTAGAATGTAGCATATAAAAAGAGAGAGGGTGGCGTGAGGAAAAAATGTTTTGTCCTTTAACTTAATGTTCTATCTTTCTAAAAGAATTCAAAGTCCAAATATTTTTATATGTATTACTTGGTAGTAAGTATGAAAAGTATAAAATTTTATGCTATGGACTACAACCATTGAACTGTGATTTTTTGTTTGTTTTTTGTTGTTGTTGTTTTTGAGACGGAGCCTCGCTCTATCGCCCAGGCTGGAGTGCAGTGGCACGATCTCAGCTCTCTGCAACCTCCACTTCCTGGGTTCAAGCAGTTCTCCTGCCTCAGCCTCCCAAGTAGCTGGAACTACAGGTACACACTGCCACACCCAGCTTTTTTTTTTTTTTTTTTTTTTTTTTTTTTTTTTTTTTTTTTTTGTATTTTGGTAGAGACGGGGTTTCACCGTGTTGCCCAGGCTGGTCTCGAACTCCTGAGCTGAGGCAATCTGCCCATCTCGGCCTCCCAAAGCGCTAGGATTACAGGCGGGAGCCACTGCGCCTGGCTGAGCTGTGATTTTTAAAAGGAAATTTTTAATTAGATGCTGAAAAAGGGTATGCATATTTGAGGTACACTTTAAAATGTTTTTAAATAAGCAAATGTTAATGCAAATAGATATTGCAAACACTAAGAAATTAAATAAGACTAGGTAATTTTTAATTTAATTTTATTTAGAGACAGGATCTCACTGTCACGCAGACTGGAGTGCAGTGACATGATCATAGCTTACGGCACCCTCCAACCCCTGTCCTCAAGCCATACTCCAGCCTTGGCCTCCCAAAGCACTGGTGATACAGGTGTGAGCCACTGTGCCCAGCCAGACTAATCAATTTTGACTTTTCTCTGTACTACTTGCTATATCCAAGCATGAACTTGTGTTATTTTTGAATATTTTTTATTTCTGTGATGTAAGATTTGTTATAGATTCATTCCTGCTTTATATCTCAAGCAAGATTCAATTCGATGCATTTACTTAGTAGAGTGCCTACTATAGATGAGACGTTTTAAAACAGTATGGCCATTACAAATATATGTTTAATGATAGTGAGTAGTAAGTGCTTAAAGTAATAATGCTAAGCTTTAACAGTTCTTGAAATTTAAGTAAAAGGTAGTGGTACTAACACAAGCATGAAGGAATGCCACATGTGGCTGGAGTGCTGCTGGGCTCCCCTGCAGCCTCTCAAGGGAGGAGGATGAACACTCAAGGGATGGACCAACTGAAGCAGGGAAACTTGGCCACTTACTGCCTGACATAGAAGCCCAGCTGACTGCTGCATCTTACCCAGCCCACCATGTGTAAGAACTGGTTGAGACGACATTGAATTCCCTAAACTTCTGGGTGCTCAGTGGTGAACTGAGATGGAATACCTGCCAGCAGCTGGGCAGAGGAAAGAAAGCCAGCACTCTGGGAAGGTAGGCTTCACCTACTTACATCCTAATGGGGACTCACAGTGGCAGCAGAGCTGTGCAGAGCCTCGGGCCCTGGCATGGTATTCCAGCCAGAGTGGACTCTGCGCACGTGTGGGAGCAGCCCTGGCATTCAAGGATTTGCATTGAAGGCCTTGGTTGAGGATGCTGTGAAGGTGGCCACTGTGTGTATGGAGCAGTGACTTTATGGGTCAAGAATTCGACATGTGGCTGGGCACAGTGGCAGACACCTGTAATCCCAGCACTTTGGGAGGCCGAGGCAGGCGGATCACGAAGTAAGGAGATCAAGACCATCCTGGCTAACACGGTAAAACTAAACTAAAAATACAAAAGTTAGCCGGGTGTGGTGGTGGGCGCCTGTAGTCCCAGCTACTCGGGAGGCTGAGGCAGGTGAATGGTGTGAACCCAGGAGGTGGAGGTTGCTGTGAGCCAAGATCGTGCCACTGCACTCCAGCCTGGGCGACAGAGCGAGACTCCGTCTCAAAAAAAAAAAAAAAAAGAAAAAGAATTCGACATGTGCTTGCTATGTGAGGCCAGTGAGTGAACCCGCACTCTGAGGCTCAGCATTTATAGGTCAAGACAGCCCGCTGACTTCTTTGGGACCTGTCATAAACTCTTCTAAAGTGTTAATGTTTTTCGTATGCAAGAAAGCTCACCAATAAAAGAGGAAACTTTAGGGAAGGTTGAAAAGCAACTGTGGACTGGCCACGGTGATTTATCCCTTTAATCCCGGCACTTTGGGAGGCAGGAGGATTGCTTGAAGCCAGGAGTCTGAGACCAGCCTGGGCAACAAAGTGAGACCCCGTCTCTACTAAAAATTTAAAAATTAGCTGGGCATGATGGTGCACGCCTGTAGTCTTAGCTACTTGAGAGGCTGAGGCAAGAGGATCGTTTGAGGCCAGGAGCTCAAGGCTGCAGTGAGCCATGATGGCAGCAGAGTGAGACCCTGTCTCTAAATAAATAAATAAATGGAAAAACAATGGGATTTGATAGAAGGCAGGAACATGTACAAATATTGCAAATTTTTGCAAATTTGGGAAATTATGAAGATCTTAATCATACATATGGATTCTAGCATATGGACTGTTATTGATTGAATCTGGATTATTTTAGTTGGTTCTACTTTGTTCTACTGCATTGAAAATCATTGTTAGTATATTTAGTCTTCTCAGCTAACATCTTATACCTAGATAACTGTTGAGGTTTATAAAGGCCTTAAAACATGAATAATACTTACACAACTGTGGGATGCTTTTTTTTTAACTGAATGTATTGTAAGTCAAATTCAGTCCATATCTAAAGTCTGAAAATTTTAATATTCAGATGACTAATAGGTATAACTCTTTACCTTCTAGTCTGCATTCTGTAGTATTTGCCATACTTCTATAACTGCAACTTCTATTTTATTTATTTTAATTTTTTATTTGTTTGTTTTGAGACAGTCTTCCTCTCTTACCCAGGCTGGAGTGCAGTGGTGCAGTCACAGCTCACTGCAGCCTTAGTCTCCCATGCTCAAACAATCCTCCCACCTCAGCCTCCAGAGTAGCTGGGACTTAAGGCACATATCACCACACCTGGCTAGTGTTGTTGTTGTTGTTGTTGTTGTTGTTGTTTTCTAGAGACGGTTTCATCATCTTGCCCAGCCTGCTCTCAAACTCCTAGGCTCAAGTGATCCTCCCACCTTGACCTCCCAAAGTTCTGGGATTACAGGCGTGAGCCATTGTGCCTGACCGCAACTTCTATTTTAGAGAAAGCTGCAACTCAATAATTAGTGGAATATTTCCTATGTATATTATATACACAAAAAAGCATTTGCCATGAAAAACCTAAACTGTGTATTCAAAAGCTTTAATATAAACAGTATTATTCAAAATGGAAAGACTTTCATTCCTGCCCTCATGAAATAGAAATTCAGCTATATTTGATCATGACTGTAGAATATTACTAGAGATTGGGTTTTTTATGTTATGTTTTGTTCAAGTAGATACACCTTTTTGAGGTCATTCATATAGTTAGTGACATGTAAATGCTTTTTAACTACACTGTTTAAACAGTATCAACAGAGGCTTCGAGTGTGATGTTTACATTTCTGGAACTTACGGGCTGTACCCTCAGTCTGTCCTGGAACCTCTGCATTCCACCCTCAGTCTATCCTGGCTGCTGTGAAGATGGAGTGCTGGTGGCTGGTCGTTAGCAGTCACTCCACCTCACACCCAAGTTTAGCCACATGGCCAAGCCAGTCCTGTGGTGTTTATCAAGGAAGAAGGGCCCTGGAGATTGCAGGCTCCACTTTCTGCCTCCCCAGCCATCCCTTTACTTGCATACCTGGCAGGAAGGGTTAGGTAGGACAGCCAAGCACAGCATAAATCTGAACGGAAGCTGATGTCAGGTCTCTCTCCTTCTTAGCTGTGCCCCACAGCTGTGCCCCACTATCACGCAAGTTGTTTCATGTGGCACATTCTGTGATGATGACGTAATCGTGTTACCTTCATTTACTGAGTGCTTGCTAGGCATTACAAAATTATGAAGCACCTCCTCGTGTTGGGTTTAGGAATATAGAGCAATGAACAAAACAGACAAGGGGCCGGCTCTCCAGAATAAAGTAAATAAGATCATTTTCAATTGGTTTGTAGCCAGGTAACCTTGGACAAATTACCTTATACTTTACTTTTCTCATTTGTAAAATGGAGGTTATGATGGTATCTCCTTATGTGATTGATATATTAATGAGATAATACTCAAAAAGCACTTAGAACAGGTCCTAGTACATGGTGAATGCTAAGTGCTCAAAAAGCACTCCCAATTATTATGAGACATAATACTGTGTGCCATGATATGGAGTAACCTGGATAGGAGCATCAAGGTCACCTTGGAATGAGCAGTGAGGGGAAGCTGAAGAGGGAGAGCTTCAAGGTGAAACCTAACGGATGAAGTGGAGTCAGCCACGAAAAGCTCCAGGAGACACACTTTCCATGCAAAGACACCAGCTATTGCAAAGAAAAGGATGGACTTGCTGTGTTCTAGGAGCAGAAGAGAGGCCAGTGTACCTGGGATGTAGAGATGTACCCAGGGGCTGAGACAGATGATTAGCACACAGAAGAGCCAGGTGCCAGAAGTTTAGACTTCATTCCAAGGACAGTGAGAAGCCTTTAAGGTTTTCAGCATGAGATACATGTGATCCAATCTGTGCTTTGAAAAGATCACTCCAGCTGCTCCAGATCAAATGGAATGTGGAGGTACAAGAATAGGAACAGGAAACAAGTTAGGCTATTTCAAAAATCCAGCCAGGTCAGACTGACGACCTGGACCAGAGTGCTTATGGTGAAAAGCAGAAAGGCTCAGGGTCTGTTTTAGAGATATGGTTTACAGTAACAGCTAAAAATCAGATGTGGGATGATAGGAAGTGGGGGCTCAAGGATGACTGTGAGGTTGTTGGACTGGTGGTGGTGTGGTCATTGAGGTGAGGGGTGACTGGGGGAGGCCAGAATTCTAGTGATGGCCTTGTTGAGGTGGAGACCTCTAAGACACCAAGCTGAAGGAGTCAAATTGGATATGCGCTTACCGTGGAGGAGAGAGGTAAGCACGTGAAGGCCAGGCACTGGACCCGGGAAGGAATTATCTTCTCTAGTCTTTATAAAAACACTGTAAGATAAATAACATCTAGCTATGGGAAACAGAAATTAATGAAAGCCACTTTCTAAGGTTAATTTTAAGTTAAAGGATTTTTTTCACCTTAAAGTAGTAGATAAACCAGTGGAATAGAGAGTCCCAAATATATACAGGAACTTAGTTAATAATACATTTCAAATCAATAGGGAAAGATGAACCATTCAATAAATGGGTAAGGACAGTAGGTTAGCCATCTGGAAAAAGAAATGAATTCGATTTACACTTTAATCTTACACCAAGATAGGTTACAAATGAATCAAAGATTTAAAAACTGAAATCGTAAAAGTTCTAGAAGAAATAGTGGGAGAAGTATCTTGAGGTGGAAGTTTTTTCTTGATTTTTCAAGATTTTTCTTGATTCAACATCCATGGATCCAAAAGAAAAAATTAAGCCTACATGACAAAATTAAAAGTTAAATGGCAAATTGAGAATATATATGTATGATTTGTATTACAAAGAGCCACTCTTTCTAGTACATGAGGTACTCATAGAAATTAGTAGGGAAGACTGACAACTCAGTATAAAAATGGGCAAAGGGTATGAATACACAGTTCATAAAAGGAAAAGATGCTCAATGTCTCATGATAAAAAATATGAATTAAAATAACACTATTATTTTTCCCCTACCAATTTTGCAGAAATCTAAAATTTTAGTAACTTTTGTTTGGTGAGGCTGAGGGGCAATAAACACTCTTCCTTTGGTGGAGGGAGAGTACATTGTCACCACTCCAGAGAGAGCACCTTGGCATGTGTATATACAGATGTGTGTGTGTGAATTTTAAACAGGTCAGCTCTTTGACCCAGCACTTCTACTTCTTGGAATTTATCCAACAGATATACTTGTGTATATATGAAATACAAGCTTATTCCTTGCCCCATTCTTTGTGATAGCAAGTGGAAATGGCCTGAAGGTCAGCATTAGGAAATTAAAAATTATGGCACGTGCTCATAGTAGAATACTATGCAGCTCTCTATATGGCTACAAGAAGAATGAGGAAACAATGAACTGTCACAGAAAAATCTATGACATTGGTTACATTGAAGGAATGGTGGGATGCTTGAAATGGGCTATATTCCTTGAATATATAGAGAGAAACTTTTGAAGCATATGTGAGAAACAAGTAACAGTGATTATCTGTGAGGGGTAGCTGGGAACTAGAGGATGGAGGACGGGAGCTGGACAGAGGGAAATTTGTCACCATATACCTTTAAATTTTGAATTATATATATTACTCAGAAAAATGAAAGGACTTTATATATAGTTATTTATCTTGAAATGTTTAGACGTTATATATATTTTGGAAAGCAGTATATACAGCAATAATGTTATACTCTTTGACCCAATACTCCCTAGAAATTTAATTCATGAAAACTAAACAAAAACTACACATAAACGCTGTTCTTCTTCATGGTAGCAATACCTATAATAATGGGGAAAATAGAAGCAACCTAAATGTCAGTGTGGGGGATTATTTAGTTGAATAATATGACATACAGCTTGATATAATGTTAAGCAACTGTGTAATATAATTAAGAAGACCATGCTGAAACATTTATCCATTCAACAAATATTTATTGTGTGCCTACTGTGTTTCAAGCATTGTTCTAGGTGTTAGGGATACAGCAAGAAATAAGGGCCAAAATAAATAAATAAATCCATACACCATTGGAACTGCCATTATTTGGGGGAAGACTGGCCACAGACCAATAGATATAATGTAAGAAAGTAAGCCCAGGCGCAGTGGCTCACGCCTGTAATCCCAGCACTTTGGGAGGCCGAGGTGGGTGGATCCCCTGAGATCAGGAGTTCGAGACCAGCCTGGCCAGCATGGTGAAAACCTATCTCTACTAAAAATACAAAAATTAGCCAGGCGTGTTGGTGCACGCCTATAATCTCAGCTACTCAGGAGGCTGAGGCAGGAGAATCGCTTGAACTCAGGCGGCGGAGGTTGCAGGAGCCGAGATTGCGCCACTGCACTCTAGCCTGGGTGACAGAGTGAGACTCCATCTCGAAAGAGAGAGAGAGAGAGAGAGAGAGAGAGAGAGAGAGAGGGAGAGAGAGAGAGGGAGAGAGGGAGAGAGAGAGAGAGAGAGAAATGATGGTTACAACTTCAAATAAAGCAAGATAAGGGACAGTGAAGGTGGAGGGCTGCTATTTTTACATAAGACTCAAGGAAAGTCTCACTGACAAGTTAATACTTGAATGGAGATGGGTGAGTAAGTCATGTAAATGTGTAGGGAGAGCATCTCAGCAGGGAGATCTGGTACTTGAGGATGCAAGAAGGGATCTGTTTGGCATGTTTGTGGAATGACAAGGAGGCCAGTGTTTCTGTGCATCACATACATGAAGGTCAGAGAGGTAGAAAGGGTAGGGTTGGGACTCTGATCGTGAGGAGGTCTAGAAAGCCATGATAATAAGGCCTTTGGATTTTATTCCACGTGTGATACAAAGCCATTAGAAAATCTGGAACCCCTGTAGAAGTGATTCTAAATGACTGTGTGAGAAGCAAGAGAGTCTGAGTCCTCCATTAGGGCAAGCTGGTGGATAAAGACATGGTGCAGAACTGGAGATATCCAAGAGGTAGAAAGTTAATTCAACTTAGCACTCTGAATGATTGGATGTGGGAGGTGGAGAAAAGGGAGGGATCCAGAAGGATTCTAAGGTTTGGGCAACAAGATGAATGGTGATACCATTAAACGAGACAGAAAATTCAGGAGGGAGAACAGAGTTGGAGAGAGCTGAGATGATGGTTTTAAACATGTTGAGTTTGTTGAGGGACCTGTGAGTCACAAATACCAAAAGGGAGAAAAGTAAAATGAACCCTGTCATGTTTGATCAGAATTAGGGTAGTATAAACTCGTACTTTTCAAGATGGATGGGTGAATGAACAGAAGTCAGTGTCTGTTTGTGTGAGAGGGTGTATGTGTGCACACACTTCCCAGCTCTACTAAGAGGCTCTGGGACAGTGATACGTCAGTAGCAATGAGCACACCTAGTGCCAGATAGTAGCTTCTAAATACCTGAAGGGAATTGGCAAAGTGACTGATTCCAAGTTTGGATGAGATAAAATACAAGATGAGCCTTGAAATCTTGTTATGTTAGAAAGTAAGAATGTTCTCAAAGAATGATGGGGACATCAAAAAGAAAAAGGACACCGAAGCTAGCTTGAAAGAGTCCCCAACTAGCCAAATCTGGGGCAATTCATGCATCAAAATAAGGGATAGTTATAGATTATAAACCATTCAGTAAGACTCGATGAAAACAAATGAAAAATAATTTAAGAAAATGAATGAATTGGAAATTTGATAAGGAATAGGATATTAGACGGTTTCACAGTATCTCCTACACAATGTTTTTTAACTTCAAAAGGAAAAAGAGTAACTTATAGTTGAGAAGCCTGACGGACATCACCTTAAGTTTTAAAAAGTCAGCGTCATCAGTATTGGGACAAATTAAAATAATGTAATTATTTTAATACACAGAATGTAATTAGAAGCCGGCCCAGGATGCACACCTATAGTCCCAGCCACTCAGGACGCTGAGGTGAGAGGATCACTGGAGCCCAGGAGTTTGAGGTTGTAGTGCACAATGATCATTCCTGTGAATACCCACTATACTCTAGCCTAGGCAGCATAGAAAGAGCCTGTCAAGAAAAAGTGGGAAGAATGCAAAAAAAAAAAAGCACACAGCATCACTTCTGTGTTATTTTTACCAATGATAGATCAACTGAATCTCACAATGAGAAGAAATCAGACAAACCCAAAATGAGGGTTCATGCTGTACAGAATACCTGAACTGTTTCCTTCCAAAATGTCAGGGTTATGAAAGTCAAGGAAAGACTGAGGAACCATTCCAGACTGCAGAGTATTAAGAGACATGACAACTAAATGCAGCCCGATTCTGAACTATCTCCTTTTGCTATACAGGACATTACCAGGGCAATGGGTGAAACATGAGTGAGTAGGAAGATTAGGTGGAGGGAAGATCAGGGTTCATGTCCTCCTCTTATGGCTGTAGAGCGGCTATATGGGAAAAAGTCCTTATTTGTAGGAAAAACACACAAAAGTATTTGGGAATGAAGGGGTATCATGTCAAGAAGTTACCCTCAAATAATTCAGGGGAAAAAAACATGATTTTTACTGTATTTAGAACTTTTTAGTAAATTTGAGATTTAAAACTTTTTACAGGGATGGTTTAACATATACAGGTCAATAAATATGATACATCACATTAACAAAATAAAAAAACAAAAATCATATGATCATTTTAATAGATGCAGAAAAAGCATTCAATAAAATCCAGCATCCCTTTATGATAAAAACTCTCCACAAACCTGGCATAGAAGGGACATACCTCACAGTAATAAAAACCGTATATGACGAACCCACAGCCAACATCATACTGAATGGGGAAAAGCTGAAAGCATTCCCCTTGATAACTGGAACAAGACAAGGATGCCCACTGTCACCCTTCTATTCAACATAGTACTGGGAGTGCTAGCCAGAACAATCAGGCTACAGAATTAAAGGGCACCCAGATTGGAAAAGAGGAAGTCAAACTGTTACTGTCTGCCACTGATATGATTGTATACCTAGAAAACCCTAAAGACTCCTCCAAAAGACATCTAGATTTGATAAACAAATTCAGCAGAGTCTTAGAGTACAAAATCAATGTACAAAAATCAGTAGCACTGCTATACACCAACAATGACCAAGCGGGGAATCAAATCAAGAACCCAGTCTTTCTTAACAATAGCTGCAAAAATTAGAATAAAATACTTAGGAATATACTTAACCAAGGAGGTGAAAGATAAAGAGAACCGGAAAACACTGCTGGAAATGATCATAGATGACAGAAACAAATGTAAGCACGTCTCGTCTCATCTCATGGATTGGAAGAATGACCATCATGAAAATGGTCGTGCTGCCCAAAGCAACCTACAGATTTAATGCAATTCCTATCAAAATACCAACATCATTTTTCACAGAATTAGAAAAAACAGTCCTAAAATTCATAGGCACCAAAAAAGAGCCTGAATAGCCAAAGCAATAGTAAGCAAAAAGAATAAATCTGGAGGTGTCATGTTTCCTGACTTCAAATTATACTATAAGGCTATAGTTACCAAAACAGCGTGGTGCTGATATAAAAGTAGATACACAGACCACTGGAAAAGAATAGCCCAAGAAATAAGGCCAAATACTTACAGTTAATAGGTCTTCAACAAAGCATATAAAAACATAGATTAGGGGAAGGACACCCTATTTAATCATTGGTGATGGGAAAACTGAAAAGCCACATGGAGAGGAATGAAACTGGATCCTCATCTCTCACCTTATACAAAATAAACTCAAGATGGATCAAAGACTTAAATCTAAGACCTGAAACCATAAAAATTCTAGAAGATAACCCAGGAAAAACTCTTCTGGACATCCCCTAAGCAAAAAATTCATGGCTAAGAACCCAAAAGCAATTACAACAAAGACAAAAATAAATAAATGGGACCTAATTAAGAAGCTTCTGCACAGCAACAGAAATAATCATCAAACAGACAACTCACAGAATGAGAGAAAATATTTGTAAACTGTGCATCTGACAAAGGACTAATATCTAGAATCTACAAAGAACTCAAGCAAATCAGCAAGGAAAAAAGAGAAAGACAAGTAATCCCATCAAAAAGTAGGCAAATGACATGAATAGATATTTCTCAAAAGATGACTTACAAATGGCCAACAAACATGAAAAAATGCTCAACATCACTAATTATCAGGGAAATCCAAATTAAAACCGCAGTGAGATAGCACCTTACCCCCTCAAGAATGGACATTATTTTGAAAGTTAAGAAACAATAGATACTGGAACGGACGTGGTGAAAGGGGAACGCTTATACAGTACTGGTGGGAATGTAAATTAGTACAGGTCTATGGAAAACAGTATGGAGATTCCTTAAAGAGCTAAAAGTAGATCTGCCATTTGATTCAACATTTCCACTGCTGGGTATCTACCCAAAGGAAAGTAAATCATTATATAAAAAAAGACACCTATACACATATATTTATTGCAGCACAATTCACAATTACAAAGATAGGGAACCAACCTAAGTGACCATCCATCACACAATGAGTAGATAAAGAAAAATCACTATACACACCATGGAATACTTCTCAGCCATAAAAAAAAGAACAAAATAATGGCTTTTGCAGCAGCTTGGATGGAGCTGGAGGCCATTATTCTAAATGAAGTAACTCAGGAATGGAAAACCAAATACTGTATGTTCTCACTTACAAATGGGAGCTAAGCTGCCAGCACACAGAGGCATACAAAGTGATATAATGCACTACAGAGACTTAGATGGGGGAGAGTGGGAGAGGGTGAAGAATAAAAGACTACATATTGGGTACACTGTACACTACTCGGGTGATGGGTGCACTAAAACCTCAAAATCTCAGACTTCAACACTATACAATTCATCTGTGTAACCAAAAATCGCTTGTACCCCCAAAAGCTATTGAAATTTTTAAAAAATAAATAAGGGTCAGAAATTAAATAAAAACTTTTTAAAATGATCAGAAAAGTGAGTAGGAGGCAATCAAATGGAAATGTGAGGCCCACACTTTCTCAAAGGTTGGCAGGAAGGTTGGCAGGAAAGAGAGAGTGACATACGCTCCCAGCAGAGACTGCACTGAGCATTTGGAGCCAATGTGCAGAGAGAGAAGAGATACACCTAGGCTAGGTGGTGAGCACTGCAAAGCAAAGTCCTAGAGGCCGTGTTTTGCTGGGCACCCAGGTCCAGTGGAAAGGGCAGGCTGGGCAGGCAGCAGGAGGATGTCAGCTGGGCACGGCAGGCAGCTCCAAGGTGGGCGGGCTGGAAACAAAACTAATTCCTACCTGGGAACCTTCCTTCTCTCTGAGAAATAGAGTTGTCTTCTAAAAGTGGCCATTGTCTGCTGTCTTAAGTACAGTAAACTGAATATGGTTCGTCTTCAAATTTGAAATTACTTCACTGAAAAATGTATCAAAACAATTTAATATTTCTCAGTGATATTGTTTCTAAAACAGGTTTTCTTAGGATTGCAGAATTTACAAAATTACCATTGATATTTGAAAAAGAAGAAAGCCTTGTATGTATGCATTTGCCAAGGCAGTTTGATTTTTTTATTTGGTAGGGTCAGAGCAGGTAGAACATGTATGCATACTTCACAAAAAACAGGTGATTTATAAGCCATTGCATTAGACAGGACTGGTTTCCAAGCCAGTCAGTCAGCTTAGAATGTGAAACCCTGATTCAGAAGCGAATCACCTAAGGATGATTCAACACTGTGTTTCCTGTTGTGCTAGTAGGCCCACTACAGTAGCAGTTTACCCCCACCTCACCCAGTTCATTAGACTCTAATCTAGTCCCATACTGGAACTACAGAGCCTGAAGACTATATAAGCAACTGTCTTCTCATTCTCCTTAGACTGTCCATGACTGATGCCACTCACCAGGCACAGGAGGGATGCTAATCCATTCCATGGAATGGAGCCTCAGGGTTTACAGGCTTTATTCCCTCCAAGAACCCTGCCTCTGAAAGCCTGTGTGACTCTTGCGTGGGCCAACATGCCCTTTGATGGCTCAGGGGAAGCTGTAGGACACTAACTTACCCATGGCACCACCAAAACTTGCATCCCCAGGCCTGTGTCTTGTTCCTTACTCTATACCCAGTTACAAATCCTTGGCCTCTCAGGTTTCAGTGATGAATAGGCATGGGAAAGTAGGAATACCAAATGGCCTCTCATTTGGTAGTCGGTTGGGGAATGCATGAGAGAAAATAAGACCACAGTGTGCCCAGGGATGCTGAGCTGATGGCACATTTTGAGCAGTAAACTTTCTTAGTGTAGATCCCTCCTTCCTCGCTCCCTCTTTTCCTTCATTGTTCTTGTCCTAATTTACAACTTCACTAAGTTCTTCCTTTCCCACTTGTATACTTTGTAGCAATATATGTTTTGGTTTGTGAACTACCTCACATTGTCCCCAAGGGCAGGAACTATGTCTTATGTCCCTTTTCCCCAGGAGGGCTGAATAAATGCCTGTTGATTAACTCAACTTGGTGTAACAAACATATATTATCTATAATGCATAAGTCTCTGAGCTAAGGGCTCTGACATGTACATACGGAATAAGAAATAAGATTCCTGCCTTCAAGAAACTTCCAGGAGAGAGAAAAGAGCTCCTCAAGTTATTATAATACATAGTAAATGTGATGAGAACTAAAAGACAAAAAAAAAACAAACCACTTTTAATGCAAAGGAAAAAAAGGAAAAAGAATTGTTTACACTATGGGAATAAGAGAAGTCTTCATATAAGACATGGAGTTTCAGTTTGACTTTGAAAAATGATACTTAGATGAGTGGGAGTGGCAAGGACTATCAGATTCCATGAGGGGAACAGGCGGGAGCCAAGACAGATAGGGGCGTGGTAGCAGCATCTTGATCTTCTTAGGCCCCACCATGTGTGTACCAAGAGGCATGCAGGAGCCATTGGGATACTCCCAAAGTTCTCTGGCCAGGTGAGTGACATGATTAACTCTATTCGATAAGAAGGAGCACTGTAGCAGCAACCTGCAGGAGGGGTTAGAAGAAAGGAAAGAACAGGGTTTAAGAGACAGGTTGGGAAGCACCTGCCTAATCCATGTAGGTGGCAGGAAGGGCCACAAGCAAGGCAAGACCGTGACAATGGGGATGAGGAGGAGAATATTAAAAAGGTGATGCGGAGGGAAAATAGACAGGTTACAGCAACTGGATGTGAAAGGAAATAGAGTACTTCCAGGTTTTGAGACTCAGTGACTGGGAGAACAGTGGGGCATTCTTCAAGAGGGATCTCTGCATAATGATGGTAAAGTAACAGATCTAGAGAAAGAGAGATACTGGCCAGTTACATTAGCTCTGTATTCATTGGCCTAAATAAATGCAGCAGTGATTTTATTCTGTGTACCCTACGAAATATAGATGCACTCATATAACACTTTGCCAATGATAAACTAAAACTCTGGTTGATCCTCTTGAGAAGGTTTAGACTCTTTTCTTTCTTAAAGACCTACACTCATATAAGACATTATCTTTTAATACGACTGGCATGATATATATGTTCTTTTTTTATATATACTTTAAGTTTTAGGGTACATGTGCACAATGTGCAGGTTTGTTACATATGTATACACGTGCCATGTTGGTGTGCTGCACCCAGTAACTCGTCATTTAACATTAGGTATATCTCCTAATGCTATCCCTCCCCCCTCCTCCCACCCCACAACAGGCCCCGGTGTGTCATGTTCCCCTTCCTGTGTCCACGTGTTCTCATTGTTCAATTCCTACCTATGAGTGAGAACATGCGGTGTTTGGTTTTCTGTCCCTGTGATAGTTTGCTGAGAATGATGGTTTCCAGCTTCATCCATGTCCCTACAAAGGACATAAACTCATCCTTTTTTATGGCTGCATAGTGTTCCATGGTGTATATGTGCCACATTTTCTTAATCCAGTCTATTATTGTTGGACATATGGGTTGGTTCCAGGTCTTTGCTATTGTGAATGGTGCCACAATAAACATACATGTGCATGTGTCTTTATAGCAGCATGATTTATAATCCTTTGGGTATATACCCAGTAATGGGATGGCTGGGTCAAATGGTATCTCTAGTTCTAGATCCCTGAGGAATCGCCACACTGACTTCCACAATGGTTGAACTAGTCCACAGTCCCACCAACAGTAAAACTGTTCCTGTTTCTCCACATCCTCTCCAGCACCTGTTGTTTCCTGACTTTTTAATGATCACCATTCTAACTAGTGTGAGATGGTATCTCATTGTGGTTTTGATTTGTATTTCTCTGATGGCCAGTGATGATGAGCATTTTTTCATGTGTCTTTTGGCTGCATAAATGTCTTCTTTTGAGAAGTGTCTGTTCATATCCTTCGCCCACTTTTTGATGGGGTTGTTTGTTTTTTTCTTGTAAATTTGTTGGAGTTCATTGTAGATTCTGGATATTAGCCCTTTGTCAGATGAGTAGATTGCAAAAATTTTCTCCCATTCTGTAGGTTGCCTGTTCACTGTGATGGTAGTTTCTTTTGCTGTGCAGAAGCTCTTTAGTTTAATTAGATCGCATTTGTCAATTTTGGCTTTTGTTGCCATTGC
Organism: Homo sapiens; assembly: GCF_000001405.40. Classification (NCBI taxonomy): domain Eukaryota; kingdom Metazoa; phylum Chordata; class Mammalia; order Primates; family Hominidae; genus Homo; species Homo sapiens. The sequence goes on from NC_000008.11 coordinate 47,655,770, forward strand.
TTTTGGTGTTTTAGACATGAAGTCCTTGCCCATGCCTGTGTCCTGAATGGTATTGCCTAGGTTTTCTTCTCGGGTTTTTATGGTTTTGGGTCTAACATTTAAGTCTTTAAAGATATATATGTTCTTAAAAAGGCATAATGCCTTACATTTTTGGTCCATTGATTTTTGACATGGGTGTCAGGCAATTCAATGGAGAAAGAAGAGTCATTCCAATCAATGGTTTTGGAATGACTAGGTATCCACATATAAAAGAATTAAGGTGGACACCTGCCTCATACCATACACAAAAATTACTGCAAAATGAATCACAGATCTAATGTAAGAACTAAATTTCTCAGAAGATAATGTAGGACTGTATCTTCCTAACCGTACATATTAGGCAATGGTTTCTTAGATGTGACACCAAAATCATAAACAACAAAAGAAAAAATACATAAATGAGACTTCATCGAAATTAAAAACTTTAACGTCTCAAAAAACAAATTTGCAAATCACTAGTCTGATAGGGGACTTGTATCCAGAATATGTAAAGAACACTTACTACTCAACAATAAAAAGATACCCAAATAAAAGATGGTTAAAAAATTCAAATAGACATTTATTCAAAGATAATGCAAATGGACAGTAAGCACATGATGATCAACATCATTAGATACTAGGGAAATGCAAATAAAAACCACAGTGAGATACCACTTCACAGTCACTAGGATGGCAATAATAAAAAGAAGGACAATACCAAGTATGGATAAATTCAGGATGTGGAGAAGTTGGAATCTTGGCACACTACTAGTGAGAATGCAAAATGTTGCAGCCATTTTGAGAAACAGTCTGGCAGTTCCCCAAAAAGTTAAACATGGAATTACCATATAACCCAGAATTTTCACTCCTAGGTATATACTCTTGAGAATTGAAAACGTATATCCATGTAACTTCTACAGAGTCACTCCATGGCAACATTACTCACAATGCAAAAATGTCAAAACAACTGCAATATCTGTCAGCTGATAGAAGATAAATAAATGTGATATATCCATGTAATGGAATATCATTCAGCAACAAAAAGGAATGAAACACTGATCCATGCTATAACATGAGTGAACCTAGAAAACATCATGCTAAGTGAAAAGAAGTTAGACATAGAAGGCCACATATCATATGAGTCCATTTATGTGAAATAACTAGAACAGGCAAATCCATAGAGGCAGAAATCCAATCAATTGTTGCCAGGGACTCAGGGGAGGGGAGAATAGGAGTAATTGATGGATGGAGGTTTCCTTTTGGGATGATAAAAATATCCTGGAATTAGATAGTGCTGATGGTTGCAGAACATTGTGAATGTACTTAATGCCACTGTGGTACACTTTAAAAGGATTAAAATGGTAAATTTTATGTTATGTGTATTTTGCTACAATATAAACAGGTCCATTCTATGGCATGTGAATTATACCTCAGTAAAGCTGTTATAAAAATAAAAGGCATAATAGCTTGTTTTACTTACCAGGGAATTGTGCTGAGGAAAAAAAAAATCCAATCCCAAAAATTGTATACTGGATGATTCAATTTTTGTAACATTTTTGAAATGGCAAAAATTTTAGAAGAGAGGACAGATGAATGTTTTTCTGATGTTAGTCATGAGGGTTGGGAGATGGAAGGAGGTGGGTTATTAAAGGGCAGCCTGAGGGACCCTTATGGTGATGGAACTGTTCAGTATTTTGACTGTGGTAGAAGGTACAGGATCCTACACAGGTGATAAAACTGTATCAAACTAAATATGTGACACACATACAAGTAAAAGAGTGGCAGGTTTTAACAATGTCAATATCCTAGTTGTGGTATTGTACTATTGTTTACTAGTACATATAGTTTATACTATTGGGGTAACTGGGTGAAGTGTACAGGGGTTCTCTCTGTGGTATTTCTTAGGACTGCATGTGACTCTACAATTAACTCAATAAAAATTTCAATTAATAAAAAGGCAGGCTTGAAGCAATGGCTCTTGCCTCCAATCCCAGCACTTTGGGAAGCCAAAGCAGGAAGATCCCTTGAGCCCATGAGTTCCAGACCAGCCTGAGCAATATAGTGAGACCCCATTTCTACAAAAAATTTAAAAATTTAGCTGGACACGGTAGCACAGGCCTTAGTCCCAGCCGTTTGGGAGACTGCAGTGGAATGATCACTTGAGCCCAGGAGGTTGAGGCTGCACTGAGCCGTGATCATGCCACTGCACACCAGCCTGGGCAACAGATTGAGACCCTGTCTCAAAAAAAAAAAAAAAAAAAAGAAAAAGAAAAAGAAAAAAAAAGGCAAAAGAGGTATCTTTGAAAACGTGTTCCATGGGTAAATGTCTATCAAATTATACGACGTCTTGGCCGGGTGCCGTGGCTTACACCTGTAATCCCAGCACTTTGGGAGGCCGAGGCGGGCGGATCACCTGAGGTCGGAAGTTTGAGACCAGCCTGACCAACATGGAGAAACCCTGTCTCTACTAAAAATGCAAAATCAGCTGGGCATAGTGGCACATGCTTGTAGTCCCAGCTACTCGGGAGGCTGAGGTAGGAGAATCGCTTGAACCCAGGAGGCAGAGGTTGCAGTGAGCCGAGATTGCGCCATTGCACTCCAGCCTGGGCAACAAGAGAGAAACTCCATCTCAAAAAAAAAAAAATAGTTCGATATTCACCGGCAATAAACAAATCAAAGTCCAGACTGGCACCAGTTGTGTCAGCGGTTTTATTTGTGTCTTCCTTAAAGACCAAGCTTGCAGCAGGGTTTTGTTACTGTTGTTGTTGTTGTTGTTGTTGTTGTTGTTGTTGTTGTTGTTAATCTCAGCAGCACAATGTTTTTCTACAATAAAGATGGTGTGTGAGTATGGAAAAGGCCTTTCTCGGCCAGACTTGGTGGCTCACGCCTGTAATCCCAGCACTTTGGGAGGTCGAGGCCAGTGGATCGCCTGAGGTCAGGAGTTCGAGACCAGCCTGGCCAACGTAGCGAAACCCCATCTCTACTAAAAATACAAAAAATTAGCAGGGCGTGGTGGCAGGCACCTGTAATCCCAGCTACTCAGGAGGCTAAGGCAGGAGAATCGCTTGGACCGGCGAGGTGGAGATTGCAGTGAGCCAAGATAGCGCAATTGCATTCCAGCCTGATCAACAAGAGCAAAACTCCATCTCCATCTCAAAAAAAAAAAAAAAAAAGAAAAGACTCTTCTCAGCGCCGCACAGTGGCTTACACTTACAGTCCCAGCACATTGGGAGGCTGAGGCTGGTGGATCACTTGAGTCCAGGAGTTTGAGACCAGCCTGGGCAACATGGCCTAGCCCCGTCTCTACCAAAAATACAAAAATTAGCTGGGCGAGGTGGTGAGTGCGCCTGTGGTCCCAGCTACTCTGGAGGCTGAGGTGGGAGGACCAGTTGAGCCCAGGAGTTGAGGCTGCAGGGAGCCGAGATGACAGCACGGTACTCCAGCCTGGGAGACGGAGGGTGGCCTTGTCTCAGAAGGGGAAAAAGGCTGAGGTTTTTTTCCCTCTTCTTTTGGTTGTCACTTTTAGCAAAGTAAGATTGTTATTCCTTTCGGTTCATTGATATTTAAAAGTTTACATGTCACATTTTTATTTCAGCAAAGAGAAAATATGATTTTTAAATGAATAAAAAACATTTCTGTGCAGTAGAAGTCGTGCTAACATCTCATGTTAAAAAGATAAACAACAGGATTAACTGTTTACTTTGGGAGCGCAGAGGCTGGTTGTTTTTTGAGAAGAAGAACACAATGTCCTGCTGTCTCTGGTTTCCCGGTCGGCCCTCCTCCCAGGCGGCTACAGGAGTGGGCGAGGCCCCCGCCCCCAATGCGTCCCCGCCCCCACCCCGCCCCGCCCTCGCTCTGGCCCTTCTCGCCCCCGCCTTTTCTCAGCGGCTCCCTTGCGCTCAGGTTCCAGCCCTCTTCTGTCCCCATGCTCCCTTTTTTTCTCTCTCTCTTCTTATCACTTCATCCTCTGATTTCTTGGTTTTTTTCCTTGGGTTGAAGCTTCGTAAGAGATTATAAAGTGGAGGGCAGGTCTTTGTTGATCTTTAGAGGCTGCTTAAGTTGACAGTGACCTAGAATGAAACAGCCGGGCCTGACTCCGATTCCGGGAATTCTTGGTGGACTGCTAAGAACTGCTCCCATAACTCACGTAAACATCCCACATAGCCACTTAATCTGCCCTCTCAGCACATGCGTGCGCAGGCACACACGTTTGCTGTGCTCTCGCTGTCCTTCATTCGTGTAGCTATGAAACTGAGCCAGTGAATGAAAGAAAGGGAAAACACGTAGCTTTGGAAAGGAGGAAGGGACAGTTAAAACTTTTTTAAAAGAGAAATTAAATTGTACTCCCACAACTTCCCCTACAAAATTAAGAGTTTTATTTTTTTATTCCTTGTGATTTGTTCTGTTGCCTTTACAGATAAACAAGACGTATTTTTACAGTTTTTGAAATACTCTTTAATTGGCATAATGGACATTAAGTTGGTAAGAAAAGGAAAAAAAAATTCTTAAAGACAAATATTCACTTCATAATGGACTTTTATACTTCCAACGTGAACAGGGAACCTCTTATCTGTATTATTTTATGTTGCTGGGAATGCACTGTGGAATGTGGTTTCATCTGGCACCAGTTTTAATCGGCTCTTCCAACATGGTCCAGGCCTCACCCTCATGGCTCAGAAATGCACAGAATCAAAGTCCTGCGGAATGGCAGCTGATGGCTGAAACAGGTGATTCTGCTGCTACCCTGTTCCCCTGGAACCACTTTCTGACTGCTGCCTTGTTTTCCCAGTTGAGAGGGGTGAAGTGTGGGTGGCTAGGGGCAGGGACCCGCTGTAGACATGGTATTCTAATGGTTATGTATTGCTTTACCCACAGTGGAGCTTTACCTTACAAAGCAAAACAGCTGTAGCTGAATGATGAGGTCACCGTCATAAGGCCGCATCTATGTGAAATGGTATACCCTGTGCCACTCTCAAGCACCTTCCTGTGAGCCCCTTCCCATGAGATTAGGCCTTTTATAAAAATGCAGACACCTGGCTTCAGGACTTAGGAGAGCTGGCCCTTAATGAGAGGGAACCCTATTTTCTTGTCAGTTAACTGCATGTGTAACAATGCGCATTTGTCTGGTAGGTGAAGGAAACCAAGATTTTGAGCACAGAAGAGATGCAGGCACTTAACTGGGTGTGAAACAAATTCACATAATCTGGATTGTGCAGGTACCCAAACTCCTAGTGTCCGTGTCCATTCGTGTCATGTGGTGCCTGCTCCCCTGCACCACCGTCTTATAGTCATGAAAGTGGGGGTTATTGGGGTGTGTCTGTGGCAGAAGCATTGATCTTAAACATTAAATAAGTGGAATTCACTTGACGGACTGTTATTCCAAGAAGTTTTGAATGGCTCTCTGGCTGATGGAATCAGTGCAGTTGTGAGACTCTCATTCTAAACACACATGTCCTACTTCTCTGTGAGATATTTTATCATGGCTGTTCTAAGCACTTATCTAAGTTAATCACTCCTATAGATAGCAGCATCCCCTCACACCAGGTATAAGGGACCCACCAACCATGCTCAGTGCTGCATAGGGCAGAGAAGTCGCCTGCAGCCCAAGCCTTAGCTCAAGATCGCTAGCAGCGGAGAGTGTGGTGTACTGGATGCATACCTTTGCCTTGGCAGTGGGTATTCTATGGCAGGACAGCAAAGGAATGTACTCAACTGCTTCCCAAAGTGGAAGCTCCGTTTTATGAACATTAATCAGATAACTTTAAGATGTCAGATCTCTTGAGCCCGCCGTGGCCTGGCTAGCCACTGGTTCCCAATATTTCAGAGCTTACTAAGGATCGTGCTGGTGTCTGCTGGTTGTCTTGCAGAGCACAACCACACACAGTGAGCGTCTGCTCCTCAACTTGGGTGCTGGTGCCTGAGCTGCAGCTGCAGTTGCAGCCTTCTCTATAGATACACAAAGATTTAACGTTCCTTAAACAAAAATAACTGAAAGGACTTCTAGAGAATATCCACTTGTCTTATAAAAGGACTCTCAGCCCAGAGAGCTTCTGTGCCTTGTCGATAGTGGCAGAGCTGGGATCCCAATGCTTCTGCCCTGCTGGTTTGAGTCACATTCTCCATAGAGCAGTTTGCCCTTCCCAGTTCTGTGTTAGTCAGCCCCGTTCTCACTTGCATCCTGCCTCGAGTCACTTGAGCAGCCTCTGGGTTCTTCCACAGCTCCTTGTTCTCTGAAATGAGGCCCATCCTATGCCTGATGCCGAGGCTGCTCTTCACTCTCCACACCTACTCACCTCCTCCGAACCTCAGGCCAGTGCAGGCGCTCTGTCCCGCATCCCTTACTCACAACTGTGCTCTCCAGCCTCTGCCTTGAAATGTTTCTCGAATGCCTTCTCACATGCTGACAGAAGCCAAAGAGGCAAAGAGGGTGGCAGCATCTGAGGACTGGGACCAGGCGTGGAGGGGAGGGCACCAGGATGGACTCACAAGCCCATGCCTCATCCTGAGGCAGCCACTGTGGGTGTTGACCTAGTGCTACCGGGGTTGCAAGTTTCTCAAGATAACTAGAAAGTTGAATTTTATGTAAAGTCTTCCAGTTCTTAATTTTAGTTACTAGTTTCTGAAAACTTTTAACACTATATAAACAAAAGAAAACATACTAGCCAATGAGCACTACTTTGCACCTTCACTCCTTCCTCTCAGGCATTTGTCATTGATTAGGGCAGTGGACTCCCACTGGGTCTAAGGAGACTGTCTAAAAGTTCTCTCTTCAAGCAAACTCCCCACAAAACCCTTTCCCTCACCAGTGCCATTATTCCCTTCCTTCCAAGAGAAAATAATTTTTATCAAATTTTTAATTTTTCATAAATATGTTTAATTTTAAATTAAGAATAATGCAATAAATAGTCTTTCCTCTTATCCCTGCTTTCTCCTATTGCTATGGTCTGAATGTTTGCATCTCCCCCAAAATTCATATGTTGAAATCTTTACCCGCAAGGTATTAGGGGGTGGGGCCTTTGGGATTAACATCCTTATAAAAGAGGCCCAAGAGAGTCATTGACCCTTCCGCTATAGGAGGTTGCTTTGAAAAGACAGCTGTCTGTGAGGCAGCAGGCCCTCAACCAGATGCCAAACCTGCTGGTGCCTTGATCTGGGACTTCCCAGCCTCCAGAACTGTGAGCAATACATTTCTATTGTTTATGACCCACCCAGTCTGTGGTATTTTTGTTAGAGCAGCTCAAATGGACTAAGACACCTGTCTTGTCTTTCTTATTATCTTCTAGCCTCCTTCCAGTTTCTCAGCCACGGAAAACCTCTTTCCCGTCCTAGGGTTTCATACATGCTATGCTCTCTATTTTCAGTGTTCTCTCAGCCTTTGCATAACTGGTTGCTTCTCTCTCTTTAGGCTCGGCCTAAAGGTCACCTTCCTTTAAGAAGCCTTCCCTGACAAGCCTGACTAGACCATCCCACCACCCCAGTGCTATCTCTCACAGCACTCTTTATTTCCTTCCTATCACTCACACAGTCTGTAGTTGCACACTTGTGTGTGATTGGTCTCTCTTGCCAAGAAACACAGAGGGCAGGGACTGTTTGCCCACTACCCTGTACCTAGCACCTCACAGAGGGCCTATCCAGGAGGCAGTCCTGCTGTATTTAGCACATGAATGGATGGATCATTGATTTACTAGAAACCCTAAGAAGGCCAAGGCACTATTTTGGAGCACAATGACAAACCCCCAAGTGCTTTTGTTATTAAGGATCTTGTGACACTTACTTCATGGCTCTGCAGCCCTTCATGCCTCACTGCATGTGTTGCACTTCCATTATCTGGCTTGGCAATTTTGTACTTGGCTCATTTCTTGTGTTCAAGCAAATCAAGATGTCTCAAGAAATAACAGCTCACACTTGTGTACAAATTCAGAATGGATAGTTTCCAAATACTCTCAAGACTTATAAATAAGGGCTAAAGAGCCATTTTGTTTTCTCACACGACACATGCTAATCATCTAGAGAATCTTTATTTCCAATGGAAATAAATCAAAGAAACAGAAGACCAGCTTTCAGAATAGCAGAATGAGGACACAGTGGATTCTCTCTCCAACAAACATTTAGCTGGAGAAAATTATGAAAGACAAGCATTTAAAATCTCTAGAAATTGTCCTAAGGGCATACAGCAAATGGAGAAACATTCTATGAATGGAATCAAAAATAACTACTAAATCTAAGTGAGAACGGCAAGTGTGTGGCCTGTGAGCCACGACCCACTCCTCCACCATCCAAACTCACTTTCTAGAGACTAACCTGGGGCTCTACTCTAGGGGGTCCAGTCAAGAAGATGGTCCCCTCTTCCCCCAGCCCCCAGTGTAGGGTACATTTCACCCTTCATGGCCAGCCTCCAGCATCTCTCATCACCCAGCAAATGAGTCAGGCCAAGAATACGGACCTGACTGTCCCACTCCAGCTCACCCATAGGTTGGAGGCTTCATGCTAGAGAGGCAAGCCCGGAAGACTAGTGGGGGTAGGTGGGAAGCAGGCAATAGAAACTGCATTTGGAGAGGTCCAGATGTTTGATTTAGCCGACAAAAGATTTCAAACCAGCCATTATAACTATATTCAAAGAACTAAAGGAAACCATGTCTAAAGAATTAAAGGAACATATGTTAACAATGTCTAACCAAACAGAGTGTCAATAAAAAGATACAAACTATGAAAAGAACCAAATAGAAATTCTGTTGTTGAAAAGAACAACAACCAAAGTGAAAAATTCACCAGAAGGGCTCAATAGTAGGTTTGAGACAGCACAACAAAGAATTCGTGGACTTGAAATTAAGATAATGAGGCTGCGCATGGAAGCTCACACCTGTAATCCAAGCATTTTGGGAGGCCAAGGCTAGTGGATCACTTCAGCTCAGGAGTTTGAGACCAGCCTGGGCAACATGGAAAACCCCATCTCTACAAAAAAAAAAAAAAAAAAAAAAAATTAGCCAGGTGTGGTGGACTTGGGAGGCCGCAGTGGAAGCATCACTTGAGCCTGGGAGATCGAGGCTGCAGTGAGCCAAGATTGTGCCACTGCACTCCAGCCTGGGTGCAGAGTGAGACCCTGTCTCAAAAAAAAAAAAAGAAATTAAGATTATGCAATCTGAAAGGGAGAAAAGAATGGAGGAAACGAAAGAGAACCTCATAAAAATGTTGGACATGATTAAGTGCACCAAAATATGTGTAATGAGAGTGCGAGAGAGAGAGGATGATGCCGAAAATATTTGAAGAAATAATGGCTGAGCACTTATCAAATTTGATGCAAAATTTTAATAAGTTAAAATTTGTAACATATTACATACACCCAGACACCTCAAAGTCAAAATGTGGAAAACCAGAGATAAAGAGAAAATCTTGAAAACAACAAAGGAAACATGACTCATCATATATTAATACAAGGGAGCCCCAGTGACAGTCTAGCTGACTTCTCATCAGAAACAATGGAGGCCAGAAGGCACTGGGATATATCTTCAAAATGCTGAAAGAAACAAATTACTTACACCATACTTTCCTTCTGGCCTTTAATCCCTGAGGTTAGGTCAGTAGGATTGAACACTAATTGTTTTATCTTAGCTCACCTTTTCATTTTTATAGAAACCAAAGACCACTGTCGTTCATCTTCATTTTGAAGTATTCTAGCTTTTTACTTGTTTGGACTAGACCTAATTATTAGCTGCAGAACCCTAATTCTTACATAAAATTTCCTTCAGTCACAGAACCATGAGAAATTAGTTTGTACTATATAAATATCTTATAGCCACTACAAATTAAATAATGTCATACATATCTGTGGAAATGTTAAGACTAGTTGTCTTAAAATAGGCGATACATTCTTCTGCATATCACCTGCTAAATACTGCTGATACACAAGGTGAGGACCTAAAATCATGTCTTTCTGCATCAGGTGACCACTCAGGGATTCCCTGGCATTCTTGGGTGTAAAATATCATATTATCAAGGAGATTGAACACAGTAGTAATTATGTATGGTTTTGATATGTTAAAATACATTTCAGAGAAAATATTGCTAACATTTTGTTGATAGTGCTAATTTTTGAGAAACACCTATTAATACTCTGTGAATATTAGTGTTGGATAAAACATAAATTTTTTGCATTTTTTTATAGAACATAATTTGGAAAAGCTTTAAATTGAAGGCTATTTGAAATAACCTCTTATTTATTTATGCCGTGGTTTCCCTAGTCACTTTAAAAATTCATCACTTTTTAATTACTGTGTTTGAAAGGTTGATTAACCAATTTTTAAGTATTCATAGTTTTTGGTTCTTCCAGTTCTGTAGGCCTTTAAACTGTGCTGTCCAATAGGGTGGCTACTAGCCACATGTGATTATTTATATTTAAACTAATTAAAATTAAATAAAATTAAAAATGTAGTTCCTCAGTCACATCAGCCACATCTCAAGTGCTCAGTAGCCACATATGGCTAGTGGCTACCACATTAGACAACATAGACATAGAACATTTATTCCATCCTTGCAGAGAGTTCTCTTAGAACACAGTGCTTTAGACTGATGATCTATTCCTTATTGCTGACTACAGTGGTATATAAATCAATTTCACCTGCACTTGAATTCTGATGGAGGTTTAGCTCTGGAAATTAGGCTGGTATTTCCCCACTTTTATAAATTTAAAGAGATATTTATATCAAATATGCTTATATATCATTTCATTTTATTGTTAGTTTGCTTATTTAATGTTGTATGGTTTTTGGGCAAGATAGTAAACCTTTCTGATCTACAGTCTTCTATGTGCTAAATAGGGATAATAATAGCCTAGCTCCTAAGGGCCTTTTGAGGAGAAGAATGCAAATAGAACAGGATCTGGCACTAACTGACTGCTGTCAAGATGATGAACCTCTAACCCACATACACTATGAAAAAAATTAATGTTTGTATTTTAAGCTTCAAATTTGTGGGAGTAATGTGTATAGCAACATACAATGAATGCAATAAGAGTTAATAACAAAAACATATATTTAAAAATCCCTATAAAATTTGAAAAATACTTCCTGTTGGATCAAAAAAGAAATAATGACAATTTTAAAATATCTACAACTGATAATAAAAATACTAAATATTAAAATTTATGTGATGTCATTAACTTGATATTTAGAATAAATTTTAGTCAAATTAGCTCAACTTTAAAAAGAAGAAAGGGGCCAGGTGCAGTGGTTCACGCCTGTAATCCCAGCACTTTGGGAGGCCAAGGCAGGCAGATGACCTGAGGTCAGGAGTTCAAGACCAGCATGGCCAACATGGTGAAACCCCGTCTCTATTAAAACTACAAAAATTAGCCGGGTGTGGTGGTGCACGCCTGTAGTCCCAGCTACTTGGGAGGCTGAGGCACAAGAATCGCTTGAACCTGGGAGGCAGAGGTTGCAGTGACCCGAGATCATGCCATTGCACTCCAGCCTGGGCAACAGAGGGAGACTCGGTCTCAAATAAATAAATAAAAATAAACAAAAAGAAGAAAGGACTGGACACAGTGGCTCATGTTGATAATCCCAGCATTTTGAGAGTCCAAGGCAGAAGGATCGCAAGAGGCCAAAGTTTGAGACCAGCCCAGGCAGCATAGCAAGACCTCGTCTCTTCAAAAGGGAAAAAAAAAAAAAAAAAAAAAAAAAGCCAGGCACGGTGGCATGTGCCTGTAGTCCTAGCTACTCAGGAGGCTGAAGTAGGATAGCTTGAGAGAAAGGCTGCAAACTAATGATCTAAGCCTCCAACATAAGAAATAGGAAAGGCATAATAGAATAAGTCCAAAGAAAATGGAAAAAAAGATTATAAATGTGAGTAGAAATTAATGACATAAACAGTGACTAAACAAAAGCAAGAAATAATAATCCTGTGGTAAAACTGATAAAGAGAAGATAAATAATAGTAAAAAGGAAAATTAGGGATATCAGTCCCATCAGGAATTGGAAACATATATGTGCTCACTTTGGCAGCACGTATACTGTAATTGGAAAGCTACAGAGAAGATTAGCGTGGCCCCTGGGCAAGGATGACATGCAAATTCATGAAGCATTACATATTTTTTAGTAATATTAATAAAACTTGAAAAAAACAAATGTAAGAATACTGTAGCATCTTCATGCTATTAAGTTTGAAAATAGACAAGATGGAAAAATCCCTAGAAAAATATATTACCAAAATATCTTAAGAAAAAAATTAAAAAGTTCAAATAGTCCAGTTATCATTAGAGATGTTGAGCTGGTAGTTCAGAATCTTCTCAGGAAAGAAAACACTAAAGCTAAATGATTTTATTACCTAATTATTTCTAACTGTCAAAACACAGATTATGTGAGTCTTATACTTAGAATTTTTATCTAAAATTTTCAAAAGAAAAGGTAATCAACTTGTTCTGTGAAGCTGATATAAATGATCTTGATACCAAATGTAGTATGAAAAATAAAATTAAAGACCAATATCATTAATAGACCTAGAGACAAAATTTCTAAATAAGACATAGCAAATAGGATCTTGGCTTTACATCAAAAGTGAAAAACTACTTTAATACTCAGAAAGAATTTGAAATTGTCATTTGCCACATTAACGTGTTAAAGGGGGAAGCAATTATTTAAATTAATACAGATAAAGCATTTGATAAGCTCCAACATCCATTCATGATTTAAAAAAAAAAAAAATTCCTTGACAAACTAGGACTCCCTAACTGGGTGAAGGACATCTACAAAAAACCAAAAATGAAAAACTACCAACAATAAAAGCAAACATTAGTGACTATAAAACATTCAAGACTTTTTCTTTAAAGCTGGAACAAAATAAGGATGCCCAGTCACTGGCTTCTCCAGCATTGCCCTGAAGGTCCTAAAAGGCAGCCATAAAAGAAAATAAGAAGCAAAATTGGAATTATGAAATGATTGCATGAAAGTACACTAAACGGATTACAAATAGTAATTGATGGATTACAAAAGTTCAATATACAAGGCCATTGTATTTCTACACACCAGCAACACACAACAACAAACAAAACACCATTTAAAATAGAACACAAAACCATAGACAGTCTAGGCGTAGATCTAACAAAACATGTACAAGAGCTATATGGAGAAACTTACAAAATTTTATTATAAAAATTGACCTAAGTACCCCACCAAGAAAAGATTTATCTACCAGTCACTCTACCATGCCCTAAATCACTATATCATGTGAATGACTTCAATGCTCACAACAGCCCTCTGAATTAGATTCTCTTATTTTGTGTTAAAAATGAGTAAGTTCAAGCTCATACAGATAAGCAACTTTTGCAAGATCCAAAGTTATTAACATAATGCTGCCCCCCGGGAAGCCATTTGTGTTCCATTGAATATGATAAAATTTATGGTAAATACCTGGCAGTTCAGGAAAAACAAGTAAGTCATGGGGACACTTTTCTGCTCAGACCTGTCACACTAGCACTGATTTTAGGAGATAGCGTTTCACTGGGCAGAAAGCATTGACAAGTGGGTGGAATTCAGCGCAGGCTGCTGATAAGCTGACGCTGGTCTGGGCAGTCTGTGGAATGCCACAGTTCCAATCCAGTCGAACCAGGGGGGTGATGACTCCACCTCGGGCCTGAGCCAGCCTGCCTCTGAGCTGCAGCTGTGTGAGCAAAACAGAGTGGGAGAGCATGTGTGGTGGGTGTGAATACCAGGAGAAGAAGAGTGATAACTCGTCTCTAGGGCAAAAGAATAGACAGAAGCACCCTTCCTTGTTATTTGAGACAAAGGAAAACGTCAGGGCAAACTTAAAGGCAAAGGTAGTAGCCAGTTCCATACCTCTCCCTTCTCAACACAATCAAAAATATAGAAACTTTGTATTTGGATCTGTGGGGATTTTTGTGTTTGTCTTGACTTTTGCATAGGTTAAAAAAATAACACAGGCCGGGCACAGTGACTCACGCCTGTAATCCCAGCACTTTGGGAGGCCAAGGCGGGTGGATCACGAGGTCAAGAGATGGAGACCATCTTGGCCAACATGGTGAAACCCCGTCTCTACTAAAAATACAAAAATTAGCCGGGCGTGGTGGCATACACCTATAGTCCCAGCTACTCGGGAGGCTGAGGCAGGAGAATTGCTTGAACCCAGGAGGCGGAGGTTGCAGTGGGTCGAGATTACGCCACTGCACTCCAGCCTGGCAACAGAGTGAGACTCTGTTTCAAAAGAATTAATCAATAAAAATAAAATAACATTTAAAGCAAAGTCTTGGGGGTATCAGTAGGAGATGACCAGGCCTTAATGTAATCACATGTGGAGGGGTAGGGGCCACCATGGGTTGTTCTCTAACAGAAGAGCCTGGAGACTCCTCCTAGGAAATGCAGCCTGGTCCTACCTCCAGTTCCCCTACATGTCCTGGTCCCCAAGGCTTGGCCTGGACTTCCCTATTTAGTTATGGAATGGAGAAGCAAGTCACGTGAGGAGTTAACTAGGAGGTAAGGAGGCCTTTAAATGGTGTATATACCAAAAAAAAGACATTATAAATTCAACATCAAAACGTATACTTTTATACCTGCTCTCAGGTAGCATACTGGAAACTAAAAAAGACCTCAGACTTGGAGAGAAGAGAGGGAAACAAAACAAGATTAGACTATGAATGGAAAAATTAGTTCCCATCTAGAAATCTATACCCAGCCAAACTGCCCATAAAGTTTGTGGATCGATTACCAACAACTTTATTTTCTTGGCCATTTAATGTTTTTTCTTTGTGTTTTCCTATATTTCTCATTCCATTTTTTTTCCTCTAGTGATTAGGAGGTTATATTCCCTGTTTCTGTTCTTTGGTGATTATCCTTGAAATTGTACCGCATACACTATACTTAAGTTAATATCTTAACTCCAGGCTTAGAGTGATATGAGGACTTGGGAACATTTGAGCTCCAGTCACTGCCCGTTTGATTTCATTGCTATCCATTTTCAGTTTTTCAGCTCTACACCTTTAATATTATTAATTGTGTTGTTATTCTGTCCTGTGTTTATTTTGGGTTGTTTGTATTTTTGCTCATTAGTCCTTGTATCTCAGGCCTTTATTCCACAATAATTTCCTTATTCCTAGAGTACGTAATTTAGAAATCATTTTATTTGTTTTTTTGAGACAGGGTCTCACTGTGCCACCCAGGCTGGAGTGCAGTGGCACAGTCGTAGCTCATTGCAACCCTCAAACTCTTGGGCTCAAGGGATCCTCCCACCTCAGCCTTCTGAGTAGCTGAGACCACAACCGTGCACCACCATACCCAGCTAATTTTTTTATTTATTGTAGAGACAGGGTCTCACTTTGTTGCCCAGGCTAATCTCGAACTCCTAGACTCAAGTGATCCTCTCGCCTCAGCCTCCCAAAGTGCTGGGATTACAGGTGTCAACCACTGCACCTGGTCTAGAAATCATTTTAGTAATTAGTAAATCAGTAAATACGTCAGGTTCTGTAGGTAGAAAATGCTCCTAGTTTTTCTTTGTCTAAAAATGTCCCAGGCCAGGCGGGGTGGCTCACGCCTGTAATCCCAACACTTTGGGAGACCGAGGTAGGCAGATCACTTGAGGCCAGGAATTCGAGACCAGCCTGCCCAACATGGAGAAACCCCATCTCTACTAAAAATACAAAAATTAGCCAGGTGTGGCAGTGGGCTCCTGTAATCACAGCTACTCAGGAGGCTGAGGCAAGAGAATCACTTGAACACGGGAGATGGAGGTTGCGGTGAGCTGAGATTGCTCCACTGCACCCCAGCCTGGGCAGCAGAGCAAGACTCCATCTCAAAATAAATAAATAAATAAATAAATAAATAAATAAATACAAATAAAAAAATTAAAATGTCCTTATTTTACCATCATTCTTGAAAGGAGTTTTGCTGGTACAGTTCTGAGATGGCTTTCAGAATTCTGAAAATATTCCATGTCTTCTGGCGTCATTCATTGCTCTTTAGAAGGTTGATTTAAGTCAAATTTGTGTTCCTTTGCAGATGTACTATCTTCTAAATCTTCTCATTGTGTGTACTTTTAAAATCTTATTTGTGTGCTTCTTGCTTTTAACAGCTCATAGTCTTTGGTATTCTCTAGTTTCATTACAGTGAGTATATTAGTTGGATTTCCATTTCGTTGTCTTGCTTGGTATTTGTTTGGTCTTTTTCCCCCCTTTGTTTTTGTTTTGAGACAGGGTCTTGCTCTGTTGCCCAGGCTGGAGTGCAGTGACATGATGACAGCTCACTTAAGCCTCAACCTCCTGGGCTGAAGTGATCCTCCCACCTCAGCCCCTGAAGTAGTTGGGACTATGGGCGTTCGCCATCATACCCAGCTAAATTTTTTAAAATTTTTCCTAGAGACAAGATCTCAATACATTGTCCAGGCTGGTCTTAAACCCCTCAGTTCAAGTAATCCTCCCACCTTGGCCTACCAAAGTGCTGGGATTACAGGTGTGAGCCACTATGGCCAGCCCCACTTGGTATTTGTTTTTCTTCCTGTATCTTAAATCAGTTGGGAAAAATTCTCAATCACTGTAACTACATATTATTGCTTCCCCTCCTCTGTCTTGTTTTACTGAAATTCCTATTAGACGTGTTAGACCTTCTCACTCTCCTCTATTTCTGCACCTTCTCTCATGTTTTTTTCCTCTCACTTCTCAAGCTATATTCTGAGTAATTTATTCAGATTTATACCTCAGATCTCATATATACACTTTTCAGATGCATATAGCCATTTGTTACACCTACTCAGTGAATATTTTTATTTCAATAAATGTAGCTTTCCTTTTTGAAAATGTGATTTCATCCTTCTTCAAATCTATCAAGTCATTTTATGTAGTTTCTTGTCTCCTATTCATATTTTGGGGACCTTTTACCTCTTTAAAACAGTTATTCTATATTTTCTATTCATTAATTCTAATATCTCAAGTCCCCAGCAGGTCTGGTGTTACTTCTTTTGACTATTCCCACATGATGGTTTGTTTCTTTGTGTTTGATTTTTATTTGAGCACATCTTTGTTTGGTCTTATTCCATGGTGAACTAGCAATCCAAGTAAAGGTGCTTTTTTTCAGACAGGATATATTTCTGCTTCTCTTGCAAACCAGCTGGCCCTGTGGGCCTGGAAGACTTCATTAAGGAGTCTACAGTTCTTGACCCTTTTGCCAAGGCAGCACTTAAGGCTCCTGGCTTCATCTGTTCTCCTCCAACATGTGCTTTTTTCACATTCTTATCTTTAGAACAGTTTTTATGTCCATTTTGTGATGTTATTTACTGACTATAATTTCTTCAGGCTCCGTGAAATGTTTTCTGAGAATATGTCATTTTGTGATAAATAAGCTTCATTTACTTCAGTTACAAAATAAGAGGATTGGAAATTCAGTCATAAATAGGCTCTCATGAGTAACATCATCTAAACTTAAAAGCTGGGGGGAATCCCATCATGTCGCTGGCTGTCCATCATGGCTGTGTTGCTGCAAGCTGGGACACCAGGTTTTATCCTGCTGGGATATGCGTGTCTAAACGTGTACTGTCGCAGAGAATGCCTCTTATTGTTGTTCTTATCGTAATGTTATCCTGCAGCTTTTCTCAGTATCGAGCATCCACACAAAGCAAATATTTCTTTCATGGGAAACGGTAAAAATGGGAAAAGGACACTCTGTTTCTAGGTAATGTATTTGGTTTAAGAGAATGGTCATCTTGAGGTACTTTTCAGCCATATTTGGCTTAGGTTTTAGTTTCATGCCTGTGGATGGTGGTTCAAACACCTGCATGAACACATACAGAAAGGATATCTTGAATTCAACGTTTTTTTAATCCTGACTCACCCATTTAGGAAGATGACTACAGTGGATTTCTTTTTTTTTTCCCCCCTTGGTTTTTCTTTACTTTCTTTAAATTATATTGACCAGTCACAGCAGTATATAGTGGCTTTATAATGAAGAAGAGGGAAATCTTGATCTCTGTATTAATCCAAACTGCCTCCTCAAAGACAAATGTGAATGGTTTTTTACAGAGCCTGCCTTCTGGTACAAGATGCCTGTGGAATGTTCGGTGAAGTGCACTTGGAGTTCACCATGTCGAAGGCAAGACAGTTGGAAGGGAAGTCTTGCAGCCTGGTGGGAATGAAGGTTCTACAGAAAGTCACCAGAGGAAGGTGAGAACGTGCAGGAATGGCATCCAATTTGCTACAATTGTTGGTTCTTTTTCTTAGTCTTTTGTCTCTAATTTTATTTTTAAAATTAAAAGGCAATAAACCAGGATCCTAGAGTTTGCCCATAAAACAAGGCCAGGAGTTGAGTGGAATCTATAAAGTATCTTTAGGGGAAGAATTTCAATTGACAACGAAAAGAATTAGGCAGATTTCATGATTCATAATTTTATTAAAAGAAGATTAAAATGTTATGTATGTCTTTTAATTATGAAAATCTGTCTTTTGTAAGTGTTTTCTTCACTATAACAATAAAGCATCTTTGGGTGGTAGGTTGTGTAAATGAAAATCTAATTTAGTGAAAAGACATTTTGTGAGCTTTAAGCAAAATTCTTAAGTTGTCATGTCTTTGCACTTTCCAAAGTAAGCAAGCATTGTTCTCTGCCAGGTTTCATGGCACCTCGCCCTAAAATGTTGTTTTTGATAGGCAGAGGTGGAGTGTTACAAAGATCTGGCCTATCTGTGCCTGTTACATCTCCAGTAATCATTCTAATCTATGAATTAGGGGGAAAAAAAAAAGAAACATTTTTAATGGAACTATCCAGTCATACAGTGAATTGGGGGTTTTCTCAATCTTCTTGTTACATCTCTTTCTTTAAATGGTTTGTTATTTTAGCTCTCTTGTTGATGTTTATATTAAATTATAGTAACATCTGAGCTATAACAGTATCGGAAGGAGGAAAAGTCCAGTTCTGAGTGTATGATATTCTGCTTTTGGAACATTTATTGATAGTATCCTCCAGTAGTTTGCATCATGACCACTCTGGCTGTGGCCATTCTAAATGGTGAATGTTTAGTGAGCATTTCCTTGACTGAGCTCAGTAGGCATTTAGCTCTCCCACAGGCCTTGACTTTGAGTCCTGTCTCTCTTTCCTGTGGCACCGTACTGCTGAGTGACAGCTCTGCCCAAGAGCTTGTTTTCCTGGGAGACATATCCCCTGTAAGCCCTGAGTAGATAAGAGCACATTTTCATTGATCTGTATAGCTGTGTTTTGTTTTGGTTTGGTTTGGTTTTTGGTTTTTTTGTTTTTTGTTTTGTCTTGTTTTATTTTGTTTTTGAGACAGAGTTTCGCTCTTGTTACCCAGGCTGGAGTGCAATGGCGCCGTCTTGGCTCACTGCAACCTCTGCCTCCCAGATTCAAGCGATTCTCCTGCCTCAGCCTCCCAAGTAGCTGGAATTACAGGCATGCGCCACTACGCCCAGCTAATTTTCTGTATTTAGTAGAGACAGGGTTTCACCATGTTGGTCAGGCTGGTCTCAAACTCCTGACCTCAGGTGATCCACCCACCTCAGCCTCCCAAAGTGCTGGGATTACAGGCGTGAGCTACCACGCCCGGCCAGCTATGTTTTATAATAAATACTTCCTCTTGTTTGTAAACAGGCAGCTATATTATAATTTAATTGCATTATGTATTTGGGGAATGCAGTTCATCCAGATATTTGGAAAGCATGTCTAGATACGAGAAAAGCTTGGTTGGGTCACATGAGTCTTACCCTTATTAAGACTGAACCTCATTTTAGTCCTCATTAGAATATTCATTGTAGGCCAGGCACGGTGGCTCCTCACACTTTGGGAAGCCAAGGCAGGCTGATCACTTGAGGCCAGGAGTTTGAGACCAGCCTAGCCAACATGTCAAAACCCTATCTCTACTAAAAATAAAAAATAAAAATTAGCTGGGCATGGTGGCACATGCCTGTAGTCCCAGCTACTTAGGCTGAGGCATGAGAATTGCTTGAAACCTCGAGGCAGAGGTTGCAGTGAGCTGAGATTGCACCACTGCACTCCAGCCTGGGTGACAGAGCGACACTCTATCTCAAAAAGAAAAGAATATTCATTGTAAACATTTCAGACTCACAAGCATCTGAAGACTAAGTGTAGTTATGGTAACCATCAGGGTCGTTTAGAGGGGAGGGCTCTTTCACTCGGCTGCCACCCACCTGAGCCTGGCAAGGACACGAGGGGGCTCCCGCCACAGGATGTTCCAGCTGTGCTCCAGGCCAGAGGCAGCTGTTCTGGCTGGAGACTGCAGGACGTAGCATCTTACAGAAATACTGCTGGGGAAGGACACAGCCAGACAGGACCTGGGAATCTTTGTCTCTCTAAAGGTCCTGTTCTTTCACCATTCTTCTTTATAGCCATACATGTACCTAACATTTAATCTAGTTTTTGTGGTTGGCACTAGAAGCCTAACCGTCTGTAACATTTACATGGGAAATGTTTTTGCCATGGGAAATGCATTGAGTATTCCAACAAATTCATTTACTGATAAACTTTTGAACCTCCTTCCTTGTTAAAGTTGGTGACTAATATTTGATGCTTTTTTAGGTTGAGATTATTTTATATATTTAATTATATTTTGCCATGCAAAACATCCAAATAAATGTTTAGATTGTGTTCTTGTTCTTTTGGAAGCTATATTTCTTCAAAACAAATTATTAAATAGTTTTGGAATGTGGGATGTTATAATTGCTTATTAGTGACATCATCCATCCATGGCCCAGTAAACACAACATTCTCTCTCTTTTTTTTTTTCCAAATTATTGTGTTTCATAGCAATTCTCGTAAACTTTAACAAAATATGCTTCTCATAAACCTTAACAAAATATACTTCCCCAAATTCAAGCTAAAATGATTAATTTTATAATTTCAGTATCTAATACCGAAAATAACCTTTTCCCAATTGGAAGATAGTTGTATGTTTGGGCTAAGTCACAGAGCCTCTTAGATCTGGCCTACCAGATCTAAATTTCATCTGATCCACAGTTCTGGTGATGAAATATCACTCAGCCCTACCCGCTGTTGAATGGCTGTGTTGCAGGGAACTTGTGATCACAGAGCCACCAGGCAGGCACACATGCTGCCAGATGCCTATGCAGGGAGCACCGCTCCAGCCACCTGCTTTGGTCCAGAGGCTCGCAGAAAAACAGCATCATAGCTTTTGTTTCTCTGACGGACTAATTTTTTGGATTTGAGTGTCTATGTCGACTGGTCAGAGGAAGAAGAGTCAGAAAAACAGCCTGAGCTTCGGTTTAAAAACTGTACAGTTTTCACAACAGTGCCAGTCTGATGTATGCTCACCGCAGAACATGCAGCATGGCCTGTGCTTCCTTCCTCTCCGGGGCACACCTGCTATTCCTCAATGACTCTCTACTAAGGGCCACCCCCCAACCTGCCCCCGACCACCGACCTCTGTCCTCCCAAGTGGCCTGTGCGGCACTTTAGTAGGCCAAACAAGCTGAGAAGTCACGTGGCTTTGGTGTCATAATTCTGTGTGTGAACTTCATTTTTTGTTGCTGTTTATTATATGCTTTTATTTGTATTTGCCAGGGCAATACTGAGAAAAAGAAAAGAAATTCCCTGAAATATGTTAACCTATCATAGGTATAGAAACTATAGCTAACAAATTATTTTGTGGGGAGTGGGGAAAGGAGACCTCTTTCAGTTCAAAAATCTGGTATTTATTTCCCAACTTGTTAAAACAACCACAGAGTCCAAAATATATTATTAATTTATAGGTACTATTTTCTGTAGGCCTCTTGAAGGGCCGTTTTACAGTAGTGTACTGGAGAAGCTCTTACTGAAGAGCATTTTGTCAATACTCAGTGTCTACAGAGGGTGCTGTCTGAGTGTTGAGAATGACAAAGGAAGCAACTGACATGGTCTTTGACCTTGAATTGTGTCCCTTTCAACCCAAAACAGGACAGGCAGAAGTATTAGAGTAGTTGATGATTCAATTAACTAGATCTTAGCTGACTGATCTCAGAAGGTTTCATGAAAGAAGTGAGAACAAATGCTTTAAACATCTTGATCTAGCAGAAAGAAAAGTGTCTCTAAATTGGTGAGATGTTATCTGTGGAGACAAATGTAGGATTTAGAGAGAGAGATGCAAAAGGGGAAGTAAGAGGGTTTATTCAAGAGAGATTATGACTGGGTGCAGTGGCTCTTGCCTGTAACCTAGCACTTTGGGATGCCAAGACGGGCAGATCGCTTGAGCTCAGGAGTTCGAGACCAGCCAGGGCAACATAGTGAGACCTCCACCTCAAAAAAAAAAAAAAAGAAAAAGTTAATTCTCTCACTTATTCAGTAAATATTATTTAGTCCCTGTTTGTACTATGCTCCCAGCTAGTTGCCATGGCATTGAGCTGTGTGCCAGATTTGGGGGATTTATCACAAACCAGAATATACTGAGGTATAAAGTCTGCTAGATAAAGCCTAAATCCTATTATTAGGGATTTTGCATTGGTTCCAGAGAAATGAGGGTCGATATGAGTTTTTGAGTGAAGAAGAGAAGAGGTCATAAACACAAAAATGGAGTAAGACTGTCTACTCCTGTACCTGCAATAGATGGGAAATTGAGGGAGAGATTGGGATAGGGCCACAAGGCTGGAAACTTTTCCCACAGCTGAAGGAAGGGGAACAGAGAAGTGGTACATAGGGAGCTCTCAGGAGCTGTGGCACATGCCAGGAGCACAAAACAGCTCACTTCCTCCACACTCAGAGCAGCATGGAAGCCAAGGGGAGACTCAGAAGGATAGCTGGTGATGCAGCACCACCTAGCAAGCACCCACACAGAGAGCGGAGGCTCAGAGCACCCACTTTGGAGGGGGTGCAGAGGGTGGGGTAAGATGTAGGAGCTCTGGAGAGAACAGGAAAGGCATGGGCTAAGGGCTAAAATGGAAGGGAGAACAAGCTCCCAGGCCCACACAGCCATTTCATCCCCTGGGGAGTGAGGCAAGGCGAGGACCACTGCCCTGGTCAGTTTCCATGAAAAGGTGAGGGGAGGAAGTGCATTTCAGAGAATGAGCCAATTGAGAAGCTATTGTCTAAACACCAAATTTGATTTTTACGGCAGCAGATTAAGTGGTGATAAGCTTTATATCAGAAGCCAAGCTCAGTCAACATGCTCAGAAAAATAACCATCTGAGTCAGGATAGAAAGTTCCTTTGTAGCCCCCAGTGGGATTCCCAGCCCACTGCCCTGCTAGCCTCTGCACTAGTTTCCCAGGCTTTATTTAACCCCCTTTTCCCTCACAGGCCAGTCTCATGCTGCACCCTCATTAAGGGCCCAGCACTGCCTCCCTTGCCTCCTGCTGCAACCACCACCAGGGTGCCCTCTGGCACCATGGAGGTAACCTTGCAGCTCACTCTGGTGCCTGTGCCTAGGGCTGTGTGGGATGTCTGCTAGCCTGTGGCCCAACACAGACGCATGTTTTAATGTCAGTGAGCAGTGTCACTGGTATAGGTTTGAGTGTGCCCCTTTTTTGATGAATAATATGAGAACATCATGCCATTCATATGAGGAGCCCTCCAGTGCATCATAGATGCATCATACAAGGGCTGCTCTCCAGTGCTGGCCCATGGCACGTGCCTGCCTTCCCCATCCCCTCCAGTGCTGGCCTGTGCCAGGTCCCCACCTTCCCCCGCCCCCTCCAGTGCTGGCCTGTGCCAGGTGCCCACCTGCCCCCATCCGCTCCTGTGCTGGCCTGTGTCAGGTGCCTACCTCCCCCCACCCCTTCCAGTGCTGGCCTGTGCCAGGTGCCCACTTCCCCCATCCCCTCCAGTGCTGGCCTGTGCCATGTGCCCGCCTGCCTCCATCCCCTCCAGTGCTGGCCTGTGCCATGTGCCCGCCTGCCTCCATCCCCTCCAGTGCTGGCCTGTGCCATGTGCTGCGCCACTGGGCTCCAAGTCTAATGGACCTATGATGGCTTCATCATCATTACAACTGTTCCTTGTAGGGTGTCTGCACATAGACAGTCAGTGAAGGTGTGTCAATTGCATGCCCAGCCGCCATATTTCACAGTTGCCTGCTGGTTGGTAGGCTCCCTCAGGGCAGGTGCTGTTTCTCATTTA
This sequence comes from Homo sapiens, assembly GCF_000001405.40. NCBI lineage: Eukaryota > Metazoa > Chordata > Mammalia > Primates > Hominidae > Homo > Homo sapiens. The sequence goes on from NC_000008.11 coordinate 47,679,847, forward strand.
CCGTTATATTTTCTGTAGATAGCAGAATTTCTGACACATGATAAGCAAATAATTTGTATTTGTGGGATGCACATTAGGTGTTTTCTTGGGTTAATCTTAGAACTTTTGTCAGCAAGATTTAAATGTGTGTTTATACTTCATAATTATTGGAGCTCAATTTTAGCAGTAAGGGTGGCGACCCATTACTGTATGCGGTGCAGGTGACAGAGTCTGTGTGCGGTGCAGGTGACAACCACGCTAGCCATGTGCCTCTGGACACAGACCCTCGGTGTCCTCACTAATTTAAGGGAAAGTGAACATGGGCATGTGGTGAAAGCACTTTATCACGGATGGCAAGAGTGTGAGTGTTCATTATGAATTTTTCACAGGAAAAAAAGTTGTATGCATTGCACTTTCCCTTTTCCTTTTAGTCTTCACAAAAGTCAATTACAGAGGAGGAAGCTCAATGTCCACCCAGTCTTACAGAAGAGGGCCTGAGATAGAGGTGGGGTGACTGGCCCAGGGTCCACCAGCCAGCCCAGCTGTGACTGGGCAGGATGCTGGGGCCTTCAGTCTCCCGCAGAGCCCATCACGTTCCATCCAGCTGAGTGAGACTGGGGTACACCAAAGTGCTGGAGAGGGAACCCTTAGGAATCATTCCACACAAGTTTACTGGGCCGGGTTATGTATTGGAGAATCATTTCAGAGGCTCCTTTAACAGGAAATATGTAGTGGTAAGAGCTCTCCGTGGGTAAGAAACTTCAATAGTAATTTACTTCCTTTGATTTTCCTTCTTCAAAAAGGCCACCCTTTTAAAAAGCCACACACTTCCCTTGGGGTTTGAGGTCCAGAATCTCTTTCTTAATTGCTATGCTTAGAAACCCTGCTTCAAAGGACATTTCTAAGAATTCTTTCATGATTTTGAAAAATAAAATTGTTCCTGGTGACTTCACCGAAGTTTCTGAAAGGAGAATAAAGTACCACTTAAGATAGAGTGCTGGGCTGGGCTCAATGGCTCACACCTGTAATCCCAGCACTTTGGGAGGCCGAGAGGCAGATCACCTGAGGTCAGGAGTTTCTAGCCAGGCAGGCGTGCCACATAGTGGCATGCACCTCTAATCCCAGCTACTCAGGAGGCAGAGGTAGGCGAATCACTTGAACCGGGAGGCGGAGGTTGCAGTGAGCCGAGATCACGCCATTGCGCTCCAGCCTGGACGAAAGAGCAAGACTCCATCTCAAAAAACAAAAAGAGAGAGAGAGAGAATGCGAATCTTGAGACCAGGACTGCTCAGAGCAGCAACAGTAGACACCTTCTACCTGAGCAGCATGCTGTTACTTCAAGCCCTTCATCAGTTTAGGAGTATGTTTTGTGTTTTCCCTATAGTTTTTTTCTTTCTGCCAAATGTTACCTCCCACTAGTATTTTAAGTCAAAATTTAATTTTATTGTCCTTTAAGACTGGGGTTTTTTGGGCCAATATTTAACTATTGTAAAGTATCTCTTTGTAAGATCTTCTGCTAAAATAATGCATTCTAAGCATCCGGATTGCGATTTTTTTTTTAACATAGAGCATTTTAGAAGGTACAGTAAGCTCTACAAAACATTTTCTTTGGATTGGTTACATTTTAGGAAGATGAAGTCTGTTTTCCTGATTTTTGTTTAATCGCTTTATTTCTGAGTGTCTTTATTGTTACTGTAAACTGACAATTATTTTTACTAGTGAGTCTAATCCAAGATTAATAGAGATCGTGACTTATTTTAAAGGAAACATATTTTTTAAATCTAAGGTCTTAGTCCCAAGTCACACAAATCATTATTAGAATTTATAACTCTCTAAGGCTTCAACTGTTTCTTCACTTCCTTATATATTTGGTTGCTTTACTATGAACACATTAATTGATTCTTATACAAGGAGTCTTTATCTTAATAATCTGCTTAAAATAATTTTGATAATGTGTATTTTGCATAAGAACAATGAAGAAAATCAGAAGTTGAAAAGTTGAATCTTTAATTTACAAAGACTTATTTTCTCATTAGAATAATAAAGGAGTGTGTAGAAATACAGCAACCTGAGCAATATTATACTTCCAAGTTTTAGTTTCTTCATTTTAATTAGCAGCTAAACAGTCATGAATCTTCAGTGATTTAATTAAGGAGGGAAAAAAGGAGGAATTTATGTGCTTAGACCAGAAGAATATGGGATATAGCACCAATAATAAAATTCAAAAGTGATACAATTAAACCAAGGTGGTCGTTGTCCTAAAACATCACCCCAATGCAAACAGAGAGAACTGGAAGTAAAGGAAGGAAACATCTTTAAGAGAAGACATGAAATGGGCCATAAAAGAGGTTTTTATTACGTCCAAAGTGAACTAACTAAAAGGAGCATGCTACAACATGGAAGGACCTCAAAAACATGATGCTAAGTCCAAAAAAAAAAAAAAAAAAAAACCCAGACACAAAAGGTCTCATGCCTTGTGACTCCCGTATTGTGAAATGTCCAGACCAGGCAAATCTATGGAGACAGCAGATGGGCTGCCAGGGCCTGAGAGGAGAGGAAGTGGGAGTGACTGCTAATGGGGTTGGGGTCTACTTTGGGATATGGAAATATTCTGCAATTTAATAGAGGTAGTGTGTGCACAACATTCTGAATGTACTAAATACCACTGAATTGCATACTTTAACATGACTAATTTCATGAGGTTTTAATTTCCTTTAGTTATTTTCTTAGTATAATTTTATGTTATATTAATTTTACCTCAAGTTTAAAAAAGAAAACTGAATGTCTAGAAAGTGCTTATGCTGTTATGAAAATAACTACAACTATTTCATAAGTTCAGTTGGAAAATAATAGTTTCTCAATGGAACTTCTGGGCATAATTCCACATTTATCAAAAAGGTATAACATAAGGAATAGGGGCTCAAAAAGGAGGAAATGCCAGTTATTAACCTTGGCCAGTAAGGGTATTTTGGGGAAATAAGAACACGGATTTGTTTATTAAAATGGGCACCCCTCTAAACCAGCCATCACTTTTGTCTTTCAGTGGAAGATCTCTTATCCTTAAGATAAGAAACCTGATTTTATATCTACTGTATGTAATCTACTTTCACTATCAATGAGAGTGAAAATCAAGAGTGATTAAAGCATGCAAAGGGAAGACAAGGGACTGTGATCAGGCTTGGAACACCCATCTGTTTGATCACAGGAAGGAGGATGAATGAGAACCACAAACCGTCTGAGAGATTCTGTTTGAACTGTGTAGGCTAAGCATTAACAATTCCCAGCATTCCTGCCCTGAGTACCTACCCTTCTACTACTGAAGCTAAAACTATTTAAAACTTTTAGACTATATTTACCACTACTCAACAAAAATAAGCTCACATTATTGTCAATTAGATAAAAGTTCTGCTTTGACTACAGTCTTCTGTATGTTGCTATGGCTTCACTTATTCTTTCAGCAAACAGCACCTTAGCATGGGCTTGTGAAGTCATAGCTCCTGCCCTCAAGGCATTTACACTCCAGAGAGCAGCAGGTTAATAACACTTTTGCTGTAGTGGGTGAACATCCCCCTCATCTTCTTTGTTCAGCAGGGGAGGAGCCCTTTGGCTGGGACTCATAGGTTCTAGTTTCTAGGCAGAGGCCCGTGGGAAAGCGCTCAGAGTAAAATGACCTTACCCTCTACCCATAAACTTATTTTCCCAGTACAAGTTGAGCATCCCTTTTCTGAAATGCTTAGGACTAGGAGTGTTTCAAATTTCTGATTTTTATGAATTTTGAAATATGTGCATTATACTTACTGGTTGAGCATCCCTAATGGGAAAATATGAAATCCAAAATACTCCAAAGAGCATTTCCTTTGAGTGTCACATCAGTGCACAAAAGGTTTTGAATTTCAGATTAGGGATACTCAACTTTGGTCAGACCATCTTTTGACCAAAAATAGGCTGTTGTTCAGGGCCAAGTGTTATTTTTGTATCTTCTGTAGCAGTTAGCACAGTGTTCAATAAAAACCCAATTTGGCCGGGCATGGTGGCTCACACCTGTAATTCCAGCACTTTGGGTGGCTGAGGCGGGTGGATCACGAGGTCAGGAGATCGAGACCATCCTGGGTAACATGATGAAACCCCGTCTATACTAAAAATGCAAAAAATTAGCTTGGCATAGAGGCACGTGCCTGTACTCCCAGCTACTCAGTAGGCTGAGGCAGGGAGAATTACTTGAACCCAGGAAGCAGAGGTTGCAGTGAGCCAAGATCACACCACTGCACTCCAGCCTGGGTGACAGAACAAGACTCTGTCTCAAAAAAAAAAAAAAAAAAAAAAAAACCTGATTAATAAATGATGAAATCTGAACCTAACAAACTGTTAAAATTTTTTCTTGGCTATAAAAACAAATTTTTTAGAAGTGTTCTCAAAAGTGACTTTATTCTTCCTCCCTCACTCCACTACCTACTCCCACATAACCAAGGAACACAGTATAACCGAGTTAGCTCTGAATTATTTGACTGTGAGGGCCAAGCTTACTCAAGGGGACTTGCTGGTTAAAACAACAACAACAAAAACTTCTAGGAGCATCCTGATCACTGAGGGGAGAAGCTGTGATTCAGCACTGATTCACAGCTCTGGCTTTAGAATCCATATGTCTTGGTTAATACATTGGTTTTTAAATTTGCTGGTTGATTGGTACTAATCCCATCCTTAGTTATCAACAAGGATAAATCTACTTCCAAAAGTTGTTAGGAGGATTTAATGAGATCACATTCATAGAAGTACCTTGTGCAATGTAAACCACCATGTAAGAAGTTGCTTTTCCCTTCTTCCTCAGACTTTCTCTTTCTACTTAATTGAAAAAGTAGAAATCCAGCCAGCACTGACCCAAGACTTTGTTGTCTTGTTTTTACAAACAAAATGGGTAGAGGAAAGAAATCAGAAGTAATTTAGAAAAATGATACAGTTTGAAAGTGTTCCATGTTTTTCCCAAGGAAGAATATAAATCATCCAGTTGGACATTGCTAGGCATTGTCAATTACCCAATAATGGGAAGGAATGGAAATTAAGCCAGTGGGATTTGTACAGAGAGATCTAGTTAAAACAGGGATAAAAGAAACCAAATGGGCCGGGCGCCCATTACACCTGTAATCCCAGCACTTTGAGAGGCTGAGGCAGGTGGATCACCTGAGGTCAGAGGTTCGAGACCAGCCTGGCCAACATGGTGAAACCCTGTCTCTACTGAAAATATAGCCGGGCGTGGTGGCAGATGCCTGTAATCCCAGCTATTTGGGAGGCTGAGGCCGGAGAATCGCTTGAACCCTGGAGGCAGAGGTTGCAGTGAGCCAATCATGCCATTGCACTCCAGCCTGGGCAACAAGAGCAAAACTCCGTCTCAAAAAACAAACAAACAAACAAAAAACAAATGGAAGATCAGCTGATATGACAGCATAAAAACAAATACCACTTATCCCTCCAGGTTAGTAATTTAACTAGTTAATTTACCTTGCAGCACAGTAAGTCTAGAATTCAGTAAATGGGCAGGGTTTTGTTTTATTCTTTTTTTAAATCATTTCTTCTCTTAAAAATATTTCCCCCACCCTACCCTTCACTGTCCTTCTTACCACAGAAATTATAATTATCTACCAGTAGGAGGTCAGTGGTTTTATTTATTTATTTATTTATTTATTTATTTATTTATTTATTTTTTTGAGACAGTCTCTCTCTGTCGCCCAGGCTGGAGTGCATTGGCAGAGATCAGTGGTTTTAAGACTTTCAGTTTTTGTTTTTCTTTCTTTTTTTTTAATCTCTGCTCACTGCAACCTCCACCTCCCAGGTTCAAGCGATTCTCCTGTCTCAACCTCCCGAATAGCTGGGACTACAGGTGCACACCACCATGCCCAGCTAATTTTTGTATTTTTAGTAGAGACGGGGTTTCACCATGTTGCCAGTATGGTCTCAATCTCTTGACCTCATGATTTGCCCACCTCGGCCTCCCAAAGTGCTGGGATTACAGGTGTGAGCCACCGTACCTGGCCCTGTTTTTCTTTAATAGAAATCTGTTCAGGCACGATGGCTCATACCTGTAATCCCAGCACTTTGGGAGGCCAAGGCAAGAGGATCACTTGGGTGCAGGAGTTCAAGACCAGCCTCGGCAACATCTCGAGACCTGTCTATACACAAGGAAAGGGAGGGAGGGAAGGAAGGAAGCAAGGAGGAGAGAGAAGGGAAGGGGAAGGGGAAGCTTATAAAACAAATTATGTGAAGTTGTTTGTTCTGGAAGGTGGATGAGTTGGGCCACCATGGCTCCCCACCCAGCTCCTTAGGAGTCCAGCAGCATAGTCTGAAAGCATCTGTTGTGGATTAATTGCCCATATAAACATTTCACATGTTCCATAGTTCTTCTTTCTTCCTCTCGGGTTAATAGCTTGCGGCAGTAGTTGCTACCATGGGGACACTGGGTAGCAGTATGATTCAGAAGCAGAATAGAAATGTTCCTGTATTAATCTCAAATAAAAAATCCAAATATTTACTTTAAATATGCTATTATTAGCTGAATTCTCAAAATTGGAAAATCTTACAGATTTGAATTTTGGAAAAAATACTTAAATCTTTATAATTTGCCAAGAAAATCTCTGTTAATACGGGATGCTGAAAGTGGAAAGAAAAGAAAGCTTGAGTGTCACTAGAGTCACTCTATTTTTTCATTTTACCTTCAAACTAGCTAATAAATTAGATCATGGTATTTATTTTTTAGATAAGACCCTGAAGTTCACTGACATTAAGTAATTTGGATCCCTGTATGTGAGCTGGGTCTTAAGACAGGTGCACCAAATTCCAAAGTCTGATTTTCAGTACTACAGCTGACATTTAATTACTTCCAGTTTTAGGGGAATTCATTTCTATAAATTTCTCATTTGTTTTATATTTATAACCCCTGGCCCTCAAAATAAAAATCTGATTATTTCTTGTCAGTGATGTTGATATTAATTTAGATTCTTGGTATTTTCCACTGTTTTTGTTAAACAACAGCAATAAACTATCTATAGTAGGATTGTCTTGAGTAACTAGGAGTATTAAATCCATAGTAAATAATTACACTGCCTGCTTTTGGTTTAGTTAGGGTTCTTTTTTTTTTTCAAAGTTTACTTAGATACTTATTAACAAAAATAATTAGCTTTTAAAAAAGGTTAGTGCAAAAGTAATTGCAGTTTTTACCATTACTTTTAATATCATTACTTTTAGTAGTTTTCATTACTGTTAAATAAAAGCAAGATAATTTACTTCTCTTTCTCAAGCCACCAACAACGGAGTGGGTTGTGATGAAGCCATTGAACCTGGACCATACATTTGTAAAAGGCCTCAGATTAGGACTTTCAGTATGATCCATAAATGTGATAATAATATAGCCACTGTTTTGTTGGTTGTTGCTGTTAACAGAATTAACATAAATTATAACAACAATTTAATAATCTCTCTTTTACCTTTTACCCACTGGATATTTACCCCGGTAAGTAATCTTTCACATCTTTCTCCACGAATGTAGACATATCTATAAACAAAAAGATATGGTTTGCGTTTTTCACTTAATTTCACCAGGATGTCCCTCTCCTGATAGACATTCAGGTTGTTTCTGGTGTTTACCACTTCAAAGCAGTGCTGCAACACACTTCCTTGTATATCTCTGTCTGTATCTCCTGTATGTATTGAGCTTATATTTTAACCTTCTTTACTGTGAAATATAACAAGCATATGAAAGAGGGCATAATTGTAGATTGTAACAAATAATAAGTGAATAAATAAAGCTCACTCATTAAGCCACCACTGTAATTCAATAAACATGGTGGGTATCCAGAAGCCACCTGCTGCCCCTACCCTGATCCTAAAGATCTTCACACTTCTGAGAGTGTTTCCATGTTTTTCTTTACAGTTATACTACTTTTTGTACATCTTTAGAAATATATTTAGGCTGGGCACAGTGGCTCACGCCTGTAATTCCAGCACTTCGGGAGGCCAAGACAGAAGGATCACTTGAGGCCAGGAGTTTGAGACCAGCCTGGGCAACATAGTGAGGCCTTATCTCTACAAAAAGTAAAAAATTAGCCGAGTGTGGTGGTGCACACTTGTAGTCCTAGCTACTTGGGAGGCTGAGATGGGAGAATCACTGGGTGACAGATTGAGACCTGGCTGTCAAAAAAAAAAAGTGTGTGTGTGTGTGTGTGTGTGTGTGTGCATGCGTATAGGTTTACCTGTTTTTGAACTTTATGGAAACAGCATCATGCTTGTGCATTCTTTGTGTTTTGCTTTTTATTTTATTTTATTTATTTATTTTTTGAGACGGAGTCTCTCTCTGTTGCCCAGGCTGGAGTGCAGTGGTGCAATCTTGGCTCACTGCAAGCCCCGCCTCCTGGATTCACACCATTCTTAGTCTCCCTAGTAGCTGGGACTACAGGCGCCCGCCACCATGCCCGGCTAAGTTTTTGTATGTTCAGTAGAGACGGGCTTTTACTGTGTTAGTCAGGATGGTCTCGATCTCCTGACCTCGAGATCCGCCCGCCTCGGCCTCCCAAAGTGCTGGGATTACAGGCGTGAGCCACCACGCCCGGCCGTGTTTTGCTTTTTTTGCTCACTAGAGATGCCGCGGCCCCAGCTGCACACAAAAGGACCCTGGTGTGGGGGACCCTTACAAAAGAGGACGGAAACAACATAGTTTTAAACCAATAAACCTTGTAAGTTTCTTCTGTCTATTGCAGGTAGCTCCGGTTTATTCGTTTTCATTCCATTTTATGCATTTACCATAGTCTCTTTGTTCATGCAGTTGTTCTAGGCATTTCCGACCACTGCTGGCAGCGGCAGGAGCCCTTGCTGTGTATCCCCTAGGGCACAGGTGTGCACATCGTGGGGGTGGGGTGTTCCTCACCTTCAATGGATAGTGCTAAACTGTCTTCCAGGAGCGGAGTTCAGCCTCCATTTCTGTTAGCATAGTAGAGTTCCTGCTGCTCTGCTGTCTTTCCATTATTTGGTACACTTAGGTGTCTTTTTCATTATCTTTTTTCTGGCCTGCATTTTTTTCAAACTGGTAGATCTGTAGTGGAATTCACTGTGGTTTAAATTCCAGTTCCTGATTACCGCTGAGGCTGAGAGCCTTTTGCTGTGTATTTCCATTTGTGTTTCCACTTTGATGAAGTGCTGTTCAAGTCTTTTGTTTATTTTTCTTTTGGGGTGTTGAGCTTTATATATTCTGAGTAGTAGTCCTTCATTGGTTGTGTATAATTTATGTGTTGTAGGTGGCTTGTCTTTTTATCGGCAGAAGTACCAATTTTTGGAGGGGGAGCGGATAGCATTCCCAAAGTGGGACTGCCTGGCCAGAGTATGTAACTGGACTTGTTTTCATGACCCCCAGGCAGGGCCGCAGGAAGCATCAAGTGTTTTTGAAATGGCTTCTGGACCCATAGCTCTCCCGGGTTGGTTGGCTTACCTTTAACCAGAACACTCCCAGCAGAGGCTATGGGTCTGTGTCTCCTTCAGGTAAAATGAGATTAACTTGAGTACCAAGGGAAACAGTGAAGTGTAAAAGTCAAGAGCTACCGTTTATCGCAGGCCAATTAGGTCCGTTTTGTGTGATCTTCAAAATAAGTCTCAGAAGCAGATATTATTTTACCCACTTCACAGATGAGGAGCTTGAAGCTCATCAGGAATAAAGATTTTACTCTATGCCATACAACTGGAAAGTAGGAAAGTGGGGTTAAAGCTCACTTTCACATGGCTCCCAAGCAAATTCTGCATCCATTCTGGCAGCTTGAAGCATAGCCTAGCTTCATGGTACTGGGTACCTTGCAGAGGAGGCATGGGTAGAACAGAGTCCACACCAGATGTCTGACTGTGACATAAGCCACAGCCCCTTCTCGTCTGCAACTCTCCGTGACTGGGGGTGGCATGGGAGCTCTGATGAGGCACACTCCAATGCCGGTGTCCCACCCCTCCCCAAGGCCAGCCGTGGCACACTGCAGGCTGCTTACTGATCAGGTTGAAGCCTGGTCGCTTGATAAAGGGTATTTTGTTGTTTTCTTCTTCATTATTTGGCACGTCAATGTAAATTATTTTAATAGGACTCAACAGTTTCAGTCTTTGAAACATTATATGAGGGGAGGCTACTTGATGTGTGAATTCAAGATAATAAGATGAATTGTAAGGAGACAAGCATTTTTGTTAAGTATCAGAGCACACTTATAATATTTGGTTAAAAAAAAAAACTTACACGTGTCTATAAGAGATATGGGCTGACAGATTTTGTGTGGTAGTGTGGGTTTTTCCACCTCCACGCTGGTGAGCGAGTGGATCATGTGAGGCTTTTGGAATAATAAGTACCACCAGGACAGAAGAGAGAACTGTTTGCAGAGTTACAGATAGCAACATGTTTCAGGAGCTCTTCATTTCCTGTGAAGTTGAGAGAGTGTGTGGGGGGGGTGAGGGGTGCGCGTGCACGTGCGCCTGTGTGTGTAATTTCCCAATGAAGTAGAACAGAAGTGTGTAAAGAACATTTTTTTTTACAAAGTTACTAAATTATACTACTTGATAATTTTATGTCCCCAATCTTGAGTCAAGAGTTGATTAGGAGGATTTTTTCTTTATATATTATTATATTATTTTTATATAATTTATATACATATATTATTTTTAATGCCCTGTCTTTAACAAAAGACATTTTTAAATAAAACTAGCAGGCTGGGCACGGTGGCTCACGCCTGGAATCCCAGCACTTGCGGAGGCTGAGGTGGGCACATCACTTGAGGCCAAAAGTTCAAGACCAGCCTTGCCAACATGGAGAAACTCCATCTCTACTAAAAATACAAAAATTAACCAGGCATGGTGGCATGCGCCTGTAGTTGCAGCTGCTTTGGACGCTGAGGCAGGACAATCACTTGAACCCAGGAGGCGGAGGTTGCAGTGAGCCAAGATCGCACCATTGCACTCCAGCCTGGGTGACAAGGCGAGATTCCATCTCAAAAAATAAATAAAACTAGCAGATGTCCTGTAAAATGTGAGACATTCCAGAGTTACAAATTTATCTTATATAATTATATAAATTTAAGCAGAGATTCAAAGGAATAGTGCAAAGGGCTTAATTTCAGATGTGTGTTTTAATTTCCTTCTTTCAGTTTCTCCAACTAGCTACAATCTGAAAAATATCTTGCTGGCTGGGTGCAGTGGCTCATGCCTGTAATCCCAGCACTTTTGGAGGCCGAGGAGAGCAGATTGCTTGAGGTCAGGAGTTTGAGTCCATCCTGAGCAACATGGCAAAACCCCATCTCTACTAAAAATACAAAAATTAGCCCTGCATGGTGGTGCACGCCTGTAATCCCAGCTACTGGGAGCCCGAAACACGAGAATCACTTAAACCTAGGAGGCGGAGGTTGTGGTGAGCCAAGATTGCACCAGTGCACTTCAGCTTGGACAACAGAGCAAGACTCCGTCTCAAAAAAAAAAAAAAAAAAAAGAGAGAAAAGAAAAAGAAAAATATCTTCCTGAAATTCAGTGAACTTGCTTTGGAAATGTTTCGTAAGTTCCCACATCTATACGGTATTCATAGGCTATTCTTAGCGGAGATCAATCTCTGGAGTCAGAATGCCTGATCAGTTTCCCTTCCTGGCTGTCCCACCACGGTGGTTGAAGGGCTGCTCCAGGACACACCAGAAGTATTACTGAAATACTGCTTTATGGTGTGCATTTTACTGTTCTGCAATATCTTATGTCATAGAAGAGGGTTTAAGTATGAAATTCACATGGCCACAGTTTTATATAGTTGTGGAAACCCAAGGAAGTATTTTTCTTTGTATTCTAAGCCATGTTCTCTTGTGCTGCCACAAACCCTTGGCCCAGCACAGGTGCTGTCTCTGTCCTCTGAAGAGCCACAGTGCAGGGCTGTCCTGTCTGGTGCTCAAGACCCGCTCCTGTGGCTTAGCAGGACCGATGGGCACACCGGGGGTTACATGGAATTAGTATTCCGCTAGCTTGACTTAGGAAAAGGAAGCGCAACCACTCCAAAAGTAGAGTGCTGAAGCCACTGGGCTCGCTCCCAACCCTGTGCTGCTCCTGGGCTCTGTGTCAGCTTTCCAGTGAAGATAGCAGCACTACTCTTTTATTGCAGAAGTCCCCAGTTTTTCATTTCCTGGAAGCTTTGAGATTAGTTTTGAATGGGGGCTTTGAGGACAGAAGAAAGATAATGTTCGTAGGAAAATCATTAAGCAGAGTTCAAGAAAGTATAGCAATGGAAGTATTTCAGGTCAGGTTTAGTGGTCTCCTGATTAGTGGCCCCTGTCTTAAGTTAATGACACTTTTTAAGTAATAGCTTGACTGAGATGTAATTTACATACTAAAAATTTACCCTTTTTAAAGTGTACGAATCATTGGTTTTTATTTTACTCACAAAGTTGTGCAACCAGCACCCTAATTCTGGCACATTTTCATCACCTCAGAAAGAAACCTTGTACCTTCAGCAGGAGCTCCGCACTTTCTCTCCCCCAGCAGCCACTCCTCTGCTTTCCGTCTCTGTGGATTTGCCCGTTCTGGACGTTTCCTGTCAGTGGAACCATACAGATGTGACCTTTGGTGTCTTTCACTTTAGCAGAATGTTTTTAAGGTCCATCCATGATGTAACATGTATCAGAATTTCCTTTTTTTTTTTTTTTTTTTTTTTCTTTGAGACTGAGTTTCTTGCTTGTTGCCCAGGCTGGAGTGCAATGGTGCGATCTTGGCTCACTGCAACCTCTGCCTCCTGGGTTCAAGCGATTCTCCTGCCTCAGCCTCCAGAGTAGCTGGGATTACAGGTGCATGCCACCACACCCAGCTAATTCGAACTCCTGACCTCCGGTGACCGACCTGCCTCATCCTCCCAAAGTGCTGGGATTACAGGTGTGAGCCACCACACCCGGCCAGAATTTCATTCTTTTTATGGCTGAATAATATTTCATGACATAGATACATCAAATTTATTTATCCATTCAACAGTTGATGGACATTTGGGTTGTTTCTACTTTCTGGGTACCTTGAATAATCCTGCTGCAAACATTCATATGCAAGTTTCTGTGTGGATGTCAGTTCTCAGTTCTCTTGGATAGACAGCAAGGAGATGAATGGCTGGATTGCTGCCACGCAGCTTTCCAGAGCGATGGCCTCATTTTACCATCCCACCAGCCTAATGGTACATTTTAATCACTGCTATTCTAATCTTGTTAGAGTCTTAAGGTTTCCATGGCTCCTACCAGTTTGTTCATGATCTCTTGGGCTATTTGTTGCTGTCTGCCTAGCAGAACAAATCTTGTTGGAGGAAATCCATTTCAGTATGAAGGCAAAAGTTTAATTCACTCAAGTATTGTTTTTTTGTGTGTATAAGGGTGACATAAAAGTAGATAAGCTATCTTCTGGAAGGCATTATTTTTACTCCTTAATTATATACCTAAACTGTGTCACCAACTAGCCTAGAGTTTAATATTAAATGAATGAAATGAACAAGTGAATTTAGGTTAAAGAAATGTATCAGAAGCCATGGGTTTCTTACAGAAGAAATCAGGGCTCATGAAAAATTCTCATACTGAAGCGTTGAGGGACACTTGTGATATGTGACAGGTGCCGGCATTGCTGAAATGCCATGTGTCCTTACTGTGCAGTACTGGCCGGTGGGATTGAAGAGTCCTGCCGGCCCTGCTAGCTAGTATGCCAGATCCATGGCCTCGTGCCATGCCAGCGTTATGCGCCTCCCAGGCACCAGTCTGTCATCTAGGCACTGGGATTCCACAGAGAACAGACACATAGAGCCTGCCCTCAGGAGGTTCACATTCTCGTGAGGACACAAAACAGGCAGCACTAACTAAGCCAGAGGATCTCGGTGGTGACCAGCCCCGGAACACAGGGTGAGGTGGGGCAGAGGCGCCTCAGAGTGGCATCAGGGGTGACCTCTGTGCCTCTTCTCACCTATGTCCTTGTACAGAACCCAACAGTGATTCTTACAGGAATTGCCTCTTCAAGACTGCTCGGCCTTTGCTGTTCTCTTTGGCACTGATGTGACATTCATGCAGTGGGAGCCACAGCAGCGCTAAGAGCCCTTCTCAGAGGTGGTCCTCCAGGGTGGGAGTGTGGGAGCATGGCCCTAGCCCCAGGAGCCACATGAAGAGCTCCTTTCCGGTCCAGAGAGACTTCCTCAGTCTCCACAGGTCTTTCTCAACACTGCAGGTTGGCCTGCTCCTAAAACTACTATTTTTATGTCGAGTGTGGAGCCACAGGAAAGAATGGAGTTATAGGAAGTGTTACATTATTTATAAATAACCCACATGCATTGACCTAATTTTACAATGAATGGGAATTTACCTTTGTAACTCAAAATAGGATTCCTATCTAAGTTTATTGGACACTATTAATAATGATTCAGCAACAAATAGGAAATTGTTTCTTAGACTGCACTGAAATTATATCTTAAAATACAGCCTACCAGATATGTCTGAAAAGTCTGTTGTCTCTGGCACGTAGAGACCCTGCTGTGTGGGGGAAGATGTGTAGTGTGTGGCCAGCAGTGGGCAGGAAAGGGAGACAGACTGAGAGAGGGGAGACAATCTAAAGAACATGACCATGTAAAAGATAAGCGGGGAGGAAAGAAAAAAATAAAAATGAATGAGGACTGGCCAGGCATGATGGCTCACACCTGTAATCCTAGCACTTTGGGAGGCCAAGGCAGGAGGATCACTTGAGGCCAAACATTGGAGACCAGTCTGGGAAACATAGTGAAACCCCATCCTGTACGAAAAATTTTAAAAATTAGCCAGGAATGGTGGTGCACACCTGTAGTCCCAGCTACTTGGGAGGCTAAGGCCAGAGGATTGCTTGAGCCTAGGAGGTCACACCACTGCACTCCAGCCTGGGTGACAGAGCAAGACTCTATCTCCAAAAAATATATATATTTGGGGTGTGTGTATGTGTGTAATATAAAAAATGAGGGCCCAAAGAGGTTTTTTTAAAAAAAAATATGAGTTAATCAGTATTCACCTTATTAGAAATTAAAACTGAAAAAGATTTAACACATTAATTTACCTAAAAGCATCTATAATCAACCTATTAGATGACAACCTAAATAACATTTTTTATGAAAAATATTTCCTAAAACACAAAAACATATTTAGCAATGAGAGTCACATTGCCCTGTGTTTTGCAGGTCTCTTCACTGGTTGAACAGGAGATGATGGATTATCATCTGTGCTCTGCCTTCAGTCTGTTGTAATATCACACATCATGGGCCTCTAGAAAACACCACTGTACACTCATGAGAGAATGGAAGTGAGAAAGAAAAATAAAGACTTGGCAGAAAACAGTTTTGGCCTTGTAGGCTGCCTGAAAGGCTCTCGGAACCTCCAGCGACCCCCAGACCCCACTTTAAGAATGACTAGTCTAAAGTATTCCACTATCCAAATGAACTCTCTTGGAGAGGTATGAGTCCTACAGCAGTAACAGGTACAGAGAAATTAGCAGCAACATGACAAATTTTAAGAACATTTTATACCCAGAATACATGCTTGGTTAAAAAAAAAATGATTCCAAGCTCTCTGAGGGTGAGTCCATCATGGGCCAGGTGCTTCCTTGTTATCTTCCCGTTTTCTGTTGTCCACAGCACCATTGTGGCTTAAATCTCCTAGAGCAAATTCCACTCTATCCACACCCAAAAGAAAGTGGTTCAGGCAGTTTTAAATTGTCCTGTGAAGATTTGAGAGTTAGTTGGATGAGACAGTATCAGATGGAAAAAATAAGCCCTGAAATAACTAAGAGAATAGGCAAGCAAGCTGGTAATATCAGCTAATGTTCCGGTGTGCAAAGAAGACTTTCCATGTTTACTTTCTTCCAGTGGACTGGAGAGTGGAAATCTTGGTTGCCCTTACTTTGAATGGTTGGTTTTCCAAATGACATTTGTCATCTACCAATCAAGATAAATAACACCAGCTATAATGAGGCCAGAGGAGGTAGATCATTTGCTACACCAAAATATCCATAAAATGTGTGTAAAAATATGTAAATTTAGCATTGTTTCAATGGCAGTGAGGTGGGAACCCTGCTTCCTTCATCTATTGTATATTTCTGAGACTCCTCTTGGGCGTGGTGCCACTCCCACTCTCTTCTTGGTCCGCAGCTGATTTCTATTGCCCCAGGACTTGCCCCATCCTCACTTCTGAGCTCATGAGTGATGCTGGGGCTGCCTTTTTAGGAATTCAGGAAATGGAGGCACCCAGTTAAAGTTATCTGCACCTTACTCATTTCCATGCACCTTTCTTGTCGCACGATGGGAAACCTCAGCTCTAGTTTGTTTACTAAGGAGAAACATCTGTCCTTTGACATCACTTCCGACTCTTGAACTGAATTTGTAATTTTTTTCTGAAGATGGTCTCAAGTTGGTTCTCTTCCTTTGTGATTTGTTTTCTACTTAGATTTTGACAGCTTCCAAAATATGTTACCAACAACAAAATTCAGACAAGAAAATTGGTTTTTTTTCATTCTAAGAAGTTAACTTTGCTCCGTATAAATATCTCCATTTGTTTATTCCTAACCCTTTATAATGTTTAGAGTATTTTTTTCTCTCTCAAGGATCTGGTAATTACTAAAACAGCAAATTTGGAAATGTTTTTAAAATTAAAGTTAATGGCTCTGTCTTTGTAAATTTTTCTTTACAAATAGATTGGAAATGTTCAGGTGCAATTCTGCTTTGCACCAGAGAGCACTTTGTAACACAAAAAGTCTTCAGTCAGCCAAGCTCACCTGTCAGCCTGCAGAAGGCACTTATCACAGATGGCTGGTTGTTTCTAGCGCCCCATGCTGCCACACTCTCATAGAAAGGTGTCTGCTTCAGCACCCACACCTAGCACTGGAGACTTTGGAACTGTCTTTCCTCCTCAAACAGAGGCACATGTCAGCGAGGGATAGCAGCAGCACTAGGAATTAGAGAATCACAGAATCCTACAAGGGAGGAAGATGAAGCTGAGAGAGATTCAGAATTTCTGCCGTGGAAGGTGGACAGTGTCCTTTCTATCCCCAAGTCTGCAGCCAGCTTTCCTCTGAGCAAATGCACATCACCTGCAGCATCATGGGGTTGGAGTGTGCAGGCTCAGCCCTGGAGGACGTGAGTTGGCAGGACTCCTTCCGCGTGGCCCTCATCTCCAGTACAGCCCAGTCTCAGTCTCTCCATGGGGCCCTCATGAGATGTAAGTGATGTGGTGCCCCCATCCTTACTCTATCTCTCTTGAGGGGTGTCTCCAAGGGCTTTTTTATAAGTGAGAACATGTTCTCAGAAAGTGCCTCTTACATTTCATTGACTCGTGACATGTCGGGGTGGCCTTCCTTTAAAGAGTGTGGAAGACTTGAAAACAGCCGTAGGGTTGGCCTCAGTGAGCCATGATTGCTCCACTCCAGCCTGGATGACAGAGCGAGAGACCCTGTTAAAAAAAAAAAAGAAAGAAAAAAGATAAAAACAACACTTATATTTATTTTTATGGTAAATATAATTTTCATTGTGGTAAAATAACATACTATAAAATTTACAATTTTAACCATTTTAAGTATAACTTGGTAGATACAATTTTAACATGTGTATAGATCTTGATATCTTTCCACTTAAAAAATACACTGGTTACTATAATAAAAACATAGCACTGAAAGTCTTTCAGCTTCCTGAGCGTGACTTTAGGAAAGCACGCGTGGGCTCCTGCCAGGCCTCCTGCCTCCCTCCTCCCGCCTCCAGGAGCAGCTGCGTGTTCTGCAGCCTGTGCTGCAGGTGGGTCTGCCACAGCCCCCAAGTGAGTGCGCAGAGGAGGCTCCCAGGCTGTCCCTGTTCCCTGCCTATGCCATGTACCATGCTGTCTCCTTTCTTCTCCGCGTGTCCTGCACCACCCCCCAGCCTTCTTCTTGCCGCTCTTCAAATACAGCTGATTTTTAGAGGTCAGATGAACTGTGACTGAGTGTGATGGGAAACGTGGCTCTCCCTTCACTGATGGGTAGCTGACTTGACCTCCCCCCATGCTCTCTGGCAGTCTTGTGGGAGCTGCTGGGTGAGCTGCTGACTGCTGCAGAGCCTGCCAGACTAGGGACCTGGTGAGTAGGACAGCTGGCCCTGCTTCTCTCCTTGTCTGCTCCACAAACTTGTTGTCACAGATTAATGACCTGAATTTGTCTGCAGGCTCATTTTATGCAATCTATAAATTAAGGTATACCCCATGAAATTTATTCCAACATAATTAAGTTATCAAATCATAAGCATAATGAATTAATCTGTATGTCCCTTTTTTCTCTAATTAAACTTTATATTTTAAACTTTTTAAATAAAAATGTTTATTAATCTTTGAAAAGACAGACTAATGGTGGCCACTCCCCTGTCAGACTGTTTGTTGCTTAAACATATTTTTAAAGGATCACTTTTTTAAAAGAATGTTTCCTGTGTAACAAAATGAATAGTAAAGAATGAATTGCAGTGAGAGGAACAATACACTTTTTAACTGTGCCAAAAGTGAGCTTCTACACCAAGTCTATGCCCAGCAGAGGCGGGAGTCATTTAAATGAATGTGTCAGCTGCCCCCAGACAACTCTGCTTCACAAGGCAACAGTGGCCATCCAAACCATTATCTATTTTTAAAAATAGTTTTTAAAAACAGTGGAGAAGCTGATTTTTTATGAGACTAAGCATTTTATTTAACTCATAGCCATTCTTCAGCTAAGCATTGTGCATTAAATAAATGTATAATATGTCTAAACTTTTTTAATTAGCTGGTAGCATCCTCTAAATAAAAGTCATTAAATTCAAATAGAACTTTCCTATGGCTGTGTGCTTCTAGAACAGCATTTGTCAGAATTCCAAGGGAACGCTAGTTTCTCAGGACATTATTAGTAATGACACCAAAAAGGGTTTCATGGTTATAAATGGGAGAAGCTTTAGTTTAAAATAAAACAATATGTCACAGGTGCCTTTTACACGGGGCTCTCTAGGCCCTCTGCCATGTCCAGTCCCACTGTAGCATGTGAGGGTCCTGCCAGCCGCAGATGTGCCACACAGCAACAATGGCCGAACAGGGAGTTCTGTTCTCATGGGTTACACTTCGCAGAACACTTTTTGGGAAACTCCAAATTTTTAGGGAAATTGATAAGCACTCTGTCACTGTCTGGAAAGGGTTGTTTATTTTTCTATACTGTATAAAGAAATTTTTTTTACACTCATCTTTTATCATGCTCTTAATTTTACTCTGTTTCTTCACAAAGTAACACTAGGATTAAAATCCTGTCTTCAACTGGGCAGATTTTTTAGCAAAAAACAGCATAAAAGTTTATGGCTTTAGCAATGACAATACTGATAACTATAGTAACATCAAGTGGCTAATGTGTTGGACACTCACTCTGAGCGTAGAAACCTTAGTAGGTGCTGCACATACGTTCTTTACTTCCTTTACTCCTTGCAATAATGCCAGCAGCATCCCCCAGTTTCCCAGAAGGGCTGACACAAGGTCCAAGCATTTTCTCAAGGTCTCACAGTGTATAAAAGGCAGAGCTTAAGCAAGATGAGTTTCTTGACTCCAGGGGCCCTGCTGTTCCCCATCTCTGTTAACAAGGGGCTCAGGTAAAGGTTAGAGCCAGGTCTCGGAAGTGCAGTCAGATCTAAGGTGAGAACCATACAACTGAAATCATAACTGTTTGTCCTTTTGTGTCCCTCTATATATTTTACTTCAGATAACTTTTTTTTTTTGAGACGGAGTTTGGCTCTTGTCACCCAGCTGGACTGCAATGATGTGATCTCAGCTCACTGCAACCTCCGCCTCCCGGGTTCAAGCGATTTTCCTGCCTCAACCTCCCGAGTAGCTGGGATTACAGGCATCCGCCATCATGCCCGGCTAATTTTTGTATTTTTAGTGGAGACAGGGTTTCACCATGTTGGCCAGGCTGGTCCTGAACTGCTGACCTCAGGTGATCCATCCGCCTCAGCCTCCCAAAGTGCTGGGATTATAGGCATGAGCCACCGCACCCAGCCCAGATAACTTTTCTTACATAAGTAATACATATCTGTTTGGGGAAAATATACAAAATACCCAATCCACAGGAAGAAAGTAAATATCACCTCCAAACTCTACTCAGATAACCACTAAAAACATTCTTATAGGCTTCAGTCTTTTCCTTTGGCTTAATATATATAGATGCATGCATAGATACACATACATACACACACACACAGAGAGTGAGAGAGAGTTAATTTGTTGCCTGCTTTTTTCTTAGCAGGGTATCACAAACATGTTTCCATGTCCATAAGTATTTTCTTTGTAACCATTTCAGTGACCGTATACTATTTCACTGTGTGGATGGATCCTAATTTAGTGAGCAAGTTCCTGTTGTGCAGTTGGTTTCCCACAGTGTCTGTCCATCTGTCTGTGTGCCTTCTTCCCCCTCTGAATCGCCACACATCTCGAATTGTAGTTCCATGGCCTTAGGCATTAGAGTCTGTTAAGCATTCTACCAGCTCACTGGCCAAGTACTCAGTAAGGGATGTCTGATGATGAATACCTTTGACTTTTCTTGTTCCAGGACAGCGGGGATTTTCAGTTTGATTGACACCCTGTGGCCCCCAGCGATACCTCTGAAAACACCTGGCCGCGACCAGCCCTGTGAAGAGGTAAGCCCGGCACTGGAAAAACTTCCCCAGTCACAGACTACTCCATGCCAGGTGCCAAGCCAGGCGTCATCACTGTCACTCACATGGTCTGTGTCCCCTGCTCCAGTGGCAACAAGGAGCCCCCATGCAGTCAGTTCCTTTGTAGTGATGCATGAATATGAGCCAGGATTGGGATTCAGGTGCCTGGAGACCAAGCTCTGGCTGCCTTCCCTACTGTGCTGCACAGCATTTTCTTGAAGTTAACTTATGATGAATGCTTAAACCACAACCCTCACATACTGTTGGAACAGTTGGGGTCTCAGCCTTGTACTAAAGTAAACATATAGAATTTTTCCCACGAACTTCTAGTCATTCATAGAACCAACACTCAGTTACCAATTGGAGCAGGAACTCAATACAATCCATAGACATTCGTACAACGTCCTGGGTAGCCAGGAACTTCCATTGTCCTGCTTGTTTATGAGAGTGTCTCAGAAGCAGCAAAATGGATGGAAAGTGTTCCCTCCTCTCCCTCCTGAGCCTTTTCCAGCAGGCTAGCCAGCTGCTGCTTTGGGCCAGAGGTCCCAAAACAAAACTGGGGCTGTCTTCCTTAGGTTGTGGCTGACTTCTTAGTAGTGCTAAGTCTGTGACCCTGAACTGTGCTAAACAGCATAGTAGTTGTCAAAGCACACGGTGGCTCATGCCTGTAATCCCAGCACTTGGGAGGCCGAGGCAGGCAGATCACCTGAGGTCGGGAGTTCAAGATCAGCCTGACCAACATGGAGAAACCCCGTCTCTACTAAAAATACAAAGTTAGCTGGGCATTGTGGCTCATGGCTGTAATGCCAGCTACTCGGGAGGCTGAGGCAGGAGAATCGCTTGAACCCATGAGGCAGACGTTGTAGTGAGCCAAGATCGTGCCATTGCACTCCAGCCAACGAGAGTGCAACTCTGTCTCAAAAAAAAGCCATTTCTAGATTACTTAAGAGGAAGTAATTTCTAGATGATATTTTCAGTATACCCCGAAAGATTTCTAAAATGAAACCTTGAATTAATAGGTTCATAAGTATGGAAGTTCTTATAGTTGGTCCCAGAAGTAAACAATGCAATCCATTCCTTGTATAGCATTCCAGAGAGAGGATGCACCTGTAAGCAAATATGTATATATTAAAGAGGAGATTTTAATAATATCTCCTCTTTTTGAGTCTTTTAACAATACATTCACCTTCTACCTTTGTCTCATTTAAACAGATAAAAACTCATCTGCCTCCTCCAGCCTTGTGTTACATCCTCACAGCTCATCCAAATCTGGGACAAATTGATATAATTGACGAAGACCCCATTTATAAGCTTTACCAGCCTCCAGTTACCCGCTGCTTAAGAGACATTCTCCAGGTAATGTCTTTGTTTCTAACAGGTTTTTTAGGTATTGGCCACGTCTGTGTGCTTCGTGTAATGCTGCCAACCTTTTCTAATTCCTTTCCAGATGAATGATCTTGGTACCCGTTGCAGTTTCTATGCCACGGTGATTTACCAAAAACCACAGGTAATAATCTCTCTCAATCTCTCAATCTCTCAGCCTTTCTCTCTCTCTCTCTCTCTCTCTCTCTCTCTCTCTCTCTCTCTCTTACACACACACACACACACACACACACACACACACACACGGTGTTAGAGGTTTATTAAAGGGTAATCTCCTTTGGAAATTAATGCATTGCCAAAACAGAGAAGTGTTTTTAAAGTCCAGTTAAGCATGCCCCATATACTGAAGTGGCAGTAAATCCATTCCTTTTACAGATGCAGACTACCAGCCACTGTGCTAAGCACTGGGGTGTAAGACACCCAGGTACAACCCTGTCCCCAAAGCTTCTCAGCCCAGTAATGTTCATTCTTTCCCGACACTTAGGCAGGTTGAAGAAAGGAAAGAGATGGAGAAACCTCATTTATGTGGTAGAAGTGGGAATCTCAGGATCGAGCTCAGCTACTTCTGGGAACTTTTAGAGCCTTCAAAACTGAAAGCCCCCCCATCCCACCTCCATGGTCCCTGTGAGGCCTTGGGCTGTTCTAGGGAGCAGTGGCCTAGAGGAGCTTGCTATCAATCAACTAGGAGTAGAGGAGGGAAGGAGACCTGCTTGCCAGTTTGAATGCATGGACTACATTCTGCTAGAAACCTCTGCCAGCCCTTACCTTATGGAGGAATATCCATGTAGATCTAATCACCCAAGAGGGATTGAGAACATCCTGTTTGTTAAACTCTTGTCCACTCATGGGCAATGTGCACCGGGTGCATCTGCCATGGTGCAGGAGAGAGTGAGTGCCCCACACATTGCCTCCTTGAGGGTGTGTATGAGTGGAGCAAACCAGGCCCCAGATGCCTGCACTCACCTGGGCTGTCGGTGGATCACCAGCTACCAGCCAGGCCAGAATACTCAGGAATTGCCCAGCAAGCAGTCTCAAGGGAGGGCAGGAGGCTGGCACCTTGGCCAGCAACCTCGGCCAGGTGCCCCAGTGCACCACGAGTCGGGGGACAGTGGTGGGGGTGGCACCAGGGGCTGTCTTCTAATCATACTATGCCTGGTTATCAAGATCTGACACTCACACCCCTCACTTTTCTTTTTGTTGCTGAAGTATGCTAAAGCACACCCAGACCTCATGCCATTTCACCCCGACACGCTTGTTAGGAATCTCTTCAAAGCATTCATGGTTGCATACAACCCAATTCAGCTGCCTGGTTTTGGAGCCTTTCTCTTCCGCTTAAGTTATCCAGAGTTATTTTCTGTTGTGCATTTATTTTGAACAAATTCTTTGCATTTCTCTGATCATTCTTCGACAGTGGAAGAATAAGAGAGTGACTAAAAGAATATGTTTCATAACTTCTAGTCAAGTTCTTGATGAATTGCATATATACGAGTATCATTAAATCAGTGTTATCACAAGCATGTTAAATCAACTTCTCTTCCATCTGCATCAGGGGTAGTGGGCAGACTGTTTCTGTAAAGAGCCAGATAGTCAATATTTTAGGCTTCTTGGGTTGTATGGTTTTCATAGCAACTACTCAGCTCCACCTTGCAGTGCAAAAGCAGCCATGTTGTCATTCACAAATGAATGAGCAGGGCTGTGTTTCAGAAACCTTTATTTACAGACACCAAAATTTGAATTTAACTTAATTTTTACTTGTCACAAAATATTCTTACGGTTTTTTAACCATTTAAAAATGTAAGAACCTTGAATAAACATAAAAACCATACTTAGCTTACAGGCCTAGCCCACAGGCCATGGTTTGCTGACGTTCTTCAGGTGCTGAGCATGGCTGGAGGACACAGGAACTCTGACGCAGAAAGAAAAACAACCCAAGTGTCTCCTGGTGTCCCGTAGGTTGTACTGAATGCACAGTGCGGTGTGTGTCAGGGAGAGGAGACGGGGAGGGCCATCTACTGACGGCCACCGAGTAGGATGCAAGCTTGTTACCTAAGGATGCCATAGGTGCTGCGCAAGAACACAGCGCTGATACATATGATCGTCATATGAAAGTACTTTAAGGCTTTATCTCAATTTAATTTTTACATTTCAGATGTAAGGAGTGTGCTTTAGGTGATATGTTAGTAACTGTCAATTGCGTTTCCTTTCCTTCTCTGCAGAAAGTGTGTGTGTGTTTCTGCAGCTTAACCTGTGGATTAGCTAGTGCTTGCCAGCACATAGAGTCTTGCCCACAGAAAGGAAATCAGAGGGCTGAGTTGTGAATATAAACGAACCACATTTAGCTCTTTATTTTTTATTATCAATACTTCACCACCTTTAATTCTGTCAGAGATTTTTCAGATTTTCAAACCATTCTCATGTACATATCATTTTATCTCAGCAGCAATAGTGTCACTGTTCCTAATTCCAAGTGGAGAAGACCAAGGCTAGGCCTGGTTATCTGCTGTCTCTGATACACACAACCAAACCCTGGTGGAGCCTGGTGTGGGTTTCCTGACTCTTACTCAGCCCAGTGTCCCCTGGTGCTTCCTGGCTCCACGGTCCCTCAGTTACCTGGTGCCCTGGGGGTGGGGCAGGGACGCAACACACCCCCACCCCCAACCACATGCTGACTGAGCTTGTGCAGGTACTTCACCGCGTTGTCTCATGTCCTTGTCTGTCAAATGGGTGTAACATTCTCTCACCATATTGGATTGTTCTAGGATGAATTTAGGAGTTTTGAAATACCCTTTTTCCTTTGTTTTCTCTTCATCTGTTCCCCTTTTCATCATTTGACAGCTGATCAGTGCCTCTCATGAAGAAATGGAGAATGATTGGCATGAGTCCCTCAGTGGTGCTCCCTGTGAGCACCCCAGTGTCCGGCTCAGGAGATAGGAGGATAGGGCTCCCAGCAAGGACGAGGCAGGGCACGTGCTATGTCCCATACTTTCCAAGCCTGAGGAGACCTAAGACTGACTTCACGCTCCTCTGCCTACCTTGAGAGGGGTCAGTGTGTGTAGGGATGCCCCTGGCATCTGGCACATTCCTGCTCTTCTGGGTCATGGGCCAGGCGGTGGCTCTCTGTGCAGGTGCCTTTCACCCATAGGGAGAATGCTGTCCTCAGAGCAGCCACGTGGCAGTTGCAGCTAACACTCCTGCCCACGGCCCTCTGGCTGAGACCGAGGTTGAAAGTAAAGAAAGCAGGTGTCAAAATGCTTGCACCAAAGCCAGTTGGAGGGGAGCTCTGGGGCAGAGAAAGACCAAGAGTGAAGCAGGTCATCCACCTTGCCCTGTGAAGGGGTCCTCCCTCAGGGAGGTAGAGAAGATAATGTTAATCCCCTCCTATCCAAGAAACAGGCTCCCACCAGTGCCAAGTGCAGCTTTCAGTGAGCATGGCTTCCAGTGGGCATGTGTGCCTAGGAATCAGTAGTCCTATAGCCACAAAACAGTCAAAGACCTGGAACCCAATGGAACAGGTTCCATGATCCACTGAAATTCTGTCTGTCTCCTATAGTCTGCTTTTGTGTGTAAAAGAATCACCAGAAACCAGCTGTCTCAAGAAGGAATAGAAATAAGCTGACTCCTGGGGCCAGTCCGTAGTTAAGCCAGTGGCCTGCATCCTTGGCAGTGAGGGTTGACTTTCAGAATGGCACCATGAGTCATTGCTGGAACTCCAGTCATAAAAACAGACCCAGACTAGGCGTGGTGGCTCACGCCTGTCATCCTAGCACTTTGGGAGACTGAGGCTAGAGGATCTCTTGAGGCCAGGAGTTCCAGACCAACCTGGTCAACAAAGCACGACCCCGTCTCTACAAAAAAATTAAAAATTAGCCAGGCATGGTGCTGCATGCCTATCATCTCAGCTACTTGGGAGGCTGACATGGGAGGATCCCTTGAGCCCAGGAGGTTGCTGCAGTGAGCTGTGATTGCACCACTCCACTCCAGCCTGGCTGACAGAGTGAGACCCTGTCTCAAAAAAAAAAAAAGCAGATTCAGTTGTATTTCCGTTACACTAATGACTAAGTCATGAAGGTGAAAAAGATAGTTTTCATATTTAACTTTTATTTTGTAATAATTATAGTTTCACAGTAGATTGCAAAGAAATACACGGGGGGTCTGGTGCACCCCTCCACCCCCATGTCAATATCCCACACCCACAGTAACCACAGTAAAAACCAAAACCAGCTGGGCGCGGTGGCTCACACCTGTAATCCCAGAACTTTGGGAGGCCAAGGCGGGTGGATCACAAGGTCAGGAGATTGAGACCATCCTGGCTAACATGGTGAAACCCTGTCTCTACTAAAAATACAAAAAAATTAGCCGGGCGTGGTGGCAGGCGCCTGTAGTCCCAGCTACTTGGGAGGCTGGGGCGGGAGAATGGTGTGAACCTGGGAGGCGGAGCTTGCAGTGAGCCAAGACCACGCCACTGCACTCCAGCCTGGGCGACAGAGTGAGACTCTGTCTCAACAACAACAACAACAAAAAACAAGAAACTGACACAGGAACAATCCATGGAGCACATTCAGGTTTCAGCAGCCACGTGTGCACTCTGTGTGTTTGTGTGTGTATGTGTGCGTGCACTTCTTGCAGTTTTGTCACATGTACAGCCTTGCATCACTGTCACTGCAGTCAGAATCCTCCGCTGTGCCATCACCAACGATTCCTGTGTTCGCCTTTATAGCCACGTCGATCCTTTTTTCATCCCTAGCGCTGGCAACCACTCACATGTTCTCTGTCATTATAATTATGTTGTCTTATGGTTGTTACATGAATAGAACCATGCAGTATTTATCTGTATTAGTTTCCTACTAGGATTACCATATAAAGTTCCAAAAACTAGATAGCTTAAAACAATAGAAATGTATTCTCTCACACTTCCGGAGGCCAGAAGTCTGAAATCTTAGCAGTGGCCAGTCGCAGTGCCTCACACCTTTAATCTCAGCACTTTGGGAGGCTGAGGCAGGAGGATCACTTGAGGCCAGGAGCCCAAGACCACCTTGGCCAACATAGTGAGACTCCGTCTCTATTTAAATTTTGTTTTTAGGCCCAGTGCTGTGGCTCACACCTGTAATACCAGCACTTTGGGAGGCCGAGGCAGGTACATCATCTGAGGTCAGGAATTGGAGATGAGCCTGTCAAACGTGGTAAAACCCCATCTCTACTAAAACTACAAAAAATTAGCTGGGTATGGTGGTGCACGCCTGTAGTCCCAGCTACTTGGGAGGCTGAGGCAGGAGAATGGCTTGAACCTGGGAGGCAGAGGTTGAGTGAGCCAAGATCGCTCCATTGCACTCCAGCCTGGGTGACAGAGTGAGACTCTTTCTCAAAAAAAAAAAAAAAAAAATTCATTAAAGAAATATAAGGTGTCGGCCAACAGTATTGTCTAGAGATTCATCCAAAGGACTAATAATGTTGAACATCTTTTCATGTGTTTACTTGCCATCCATATGTCCTCTTTGGTAAAATCCCTGTTTACATCTTTTGCCTATTGTCTAATTGGGTTGCTTGTTTGTTGGTTTATTGTTGAGTCTTTAAAGTTATTTCTATTTTTTAAATACAAAACCTTTGTCAGATACAGGATTTGCAAATATTTTCTCAGGATCTCTAAATTCTATTTTTATCCTTTTAATGATTTTTCTTAACATAGTAGAAGTTTTTAATTTTGATGCAGTCAGATTTACCAGATTTTTCTCTTACAGATCACAGTTTTGTTGTCAAGTCTAAGAGAAGTCAAGTCTCTTTGCCTAGTCATAGGTCCCAAAGTTATTCTTTTGTGTTCTTTTCCAGAAGATTTAATTTTACACTTTACCTTCCAAGTCCATGATGCATTTGGAGTTGGGTTTTGTATAAGGTGTGTGGTTTAGGTCAAGGTTAATTTTTTCACCTTTGGATATCCATTCATTCCAGCACCATTTGTTGATATATCGTCCTTCCTCCATTAAATTGCTGTTGCACTTTTGTCAAAAATTAATTGGGCATATTTGTGTGGGAGAGATCTATTTTTTCCTGATAAATTTGCATTGGTAATATTTTTGCCTTATTACTAGCATTATAGGTGTCTATATCATCTATGCTTAAATACTTTTCCTGGGCCGGACACGGTGGCTTACGCCTGTAATCCCAGCACTTTGGGAGGCCGAGGCAGGTGGATCAGCTGAGGTCAGGAGTTTGAAACCAGCCTGGCCAATGTGGTGAAGCCCTGTCTCTACAAAAATACAAAAATTAGCCGGGCATGATGGCAGGTGCCTGTAATCCCAGCTACCCGGGAGTCTGAGGCTGGAGAATCACTTGAACCTGGGAGACAGAAGTTGCAGTGAGCCGAAATTGTGCCACTACACTCCAGCCTGGGCGACAGAGCGAGACTCCGTCTCAAAAACAAACAAACAAACAAAAAACTTTCCCTGATTACACAGGGCTATAAAAATTTTTATTAGACTTTTTTCTTTTAGAGCAGTTTTAGGTTCACAGCAAAATTGAGAGGAAGGTACAGAGATTTTCCATACACCTTCTACTCCCACACATGCACAGCCTCCCCATTATCAACATCCCTACCAGGACAGCACATTGCTCACAACTAATGAACCTGCATTGACACATCGTACTCACCCAGAGTCCACAGTTTACATGAGGGTTCACTCTTGGTGGTGTAATTTTATGGGTTTGCACAAATATGTAATGCCATGTATCTACGATCATAGTATCATATGGAGCAGTTTCAGTGACCTAAAAATCTGCTCCACGTGTTTATTCCCCCTCCCCACAAATCCCTGGCAAACATTCTTATTTTTACCATCTCCATAGTTTTGCCTTTTCAGAATATTGTATAAAGTTGGAATCTTAGAGTCTGTAGCCTTTCAGACGGACTTCTTTCACTTAATAATATGCATTTAAGTTTCTGTGACTTCATGGCTAGATAGCTCGTTTCCTTTTGAGTGCTGAATAATGTTCCATTGTCTGGATGTACCACATAGTTCAGTTTAGTTATTCATTCACATACTGAAGGACATCTTGGTTGTTTCCAGGTTTTGGCAATTATGAGTAAGAAGACTTTTTTTTTTTTTTTGAGATGGAATCTCACTCTGTTGCCCAGGTTGGAATGGAGTGACGCAATCTTGGCTCACTGCAACCTCTGCCTCCCGTGTTCAAGAGATTTTCTTGCCTTAGCCTCTCGAGTAGCTGGGATTACAGGCATCCGCCACTACACCCGGCTAATTTTTGTTTGTTTGTTTTTGAGATGGAGTCTCTCTCTGTCGCCCACGCTGGAGTGCAGTGGCATGACCTCGGCTCACTGCAACCTCCACCTCCCAGGTTCAAGCAATTCTCCTGTCTCCACCTCCCGAGTAGCTGGAATTACAGGCATGCACCACCACACCAGCTAATTTTTGTATTTTTAGTAGAGACAGGGTTTCACAATGTTAGCCAGGCTGGTCTCGAACTCCTGACCTCAGGTGATTCACCCGCCTCTGCCTCCCAAAGTGCTGGGATTACAGGCGTAAGCCACGGCGCCCAGCCTAATTTTGGTATTTTTAGTAGAGATGGGGTTTTACCATGTTGGCCAGGCTAGTCTCGAACTCCTGACCTCAAGTGATCCACCCACCTTGGCCTCCCAAAGTGCTGGGATTACAGGCGTGAGCCACCATGCCCGGCCAGAGAAGAAATCTATTTTTAATAAACTTTTAGCAATGTAGTGGTAGTACTAGTACTGCTTTCATTAGTTACTGATGTCTTTTTACAGATAATTTTATTGTTACTGACTTTGTTCATAACCCCAATAGTAGGACAATTTTATAGTTAATTTCAAAGGAGATTAGAACATTTTGGTATATTAATAGATTGAAAGAGAGACCACTGGCCAAATCCAGAGTATTTACAAAAGCATCTAAAATTTTTGGACATTTTCAGAACCTCCAACCTCAGATAATCTTACAGAAATCTTTGCCCTTCCTGAAATATTCACCAATTTTTTTTTTTTTTTGAGATGCTCTGTCAGTCAGGCTGGAGTTGCAGTGGTATGATCTCAGCACACTGCAACCTCCGCCTACTGGGTTCAAGCAATTCTCATGCCTCAGCCTCCAGAGGAGCAGGAATTACAGGCATGCACCATCACACCTAGCTAATTTTTATATTTTTAGTAGAGACAGGGTTTCACCATGTTGGCCAGGCTGCTCTCGAACTCCTGACCTCAAGTGATCCACCCGCCTTGGTCTCCCAATGTGCTGGGATTACCACGCCTGGCCAGAGAAGAAACCTATTTTTAATAAAATTTTAGCAGTGTAGTGGTAGTACTGCTTTAATTAGTTACTGATGTCTTTTTACAGTTGATTTGATTGTTACTGACTTTGTTCATAACCCCAATAGTAGAGATAATTTCATAATTAATTTCAAAGGAGATTAGAACATTTTGGTTCATTAATAGATTGAAAGAGAGACCACTGGCCAAATCCAAAGTATTTACAAAGAGCATATAAAATCTTTGGAGGTTGTCAGAACTCCCACCCACAGATAACCTTATAGAAAGCTTTGCCCTTCCTGAAATATTCACCTTTTTTTTTTTTTTTGAGACGGAGTTTCGCTCTTGTTGCCCAGGCTGGAATGCAATGGTGCAATCTCAGCTCACCGCAACCTCTGCCTCCTGGGTTCAAGCAATTCTCCTTCCTTAGCCTCCCGAGTAGCTGGGATTACATCCATGTGCCTCCACGCCTGGCTAATTTTGTGCTTTTAGTAGAGATGGGGTTTCTCCATGTTGGTCAGGCTGGTCTTGAACTCCCGACCTCAGGTTATCCGCCTGCCTCGGCCTCCCAAAGTGCTGAGATTACAGGCATGAGCCACCACGACTGGCCCACTAATTTTTTTAATTTTTTTTTTCTTTGAGAAGGCGGTCTTGTTCTGTCATCCGGGCTGTAGTGCAGTGGTACCATCACAGCTCACTGCAACATTGACCTCTTGGGCCCAAGCAATTCTCCTACCTCAGCCTCCCAAGTAGCTGGGACTACAGGCACTCGCCACCACACCCAGCTTTATTTTATTTTTTGTAGAGATGGGGTCTCACTATATTGGCCCAGCTGGGCTCAAGTAATCCTCCCGCCTCAGCCTCCCAACGTGCTGGGATTACAGGTATGAGCCACTGTGCCCAGCCCACTTATTAAATATCAGTATGGACCAATGAATTCATCTTTTATTCAGCAAGTTATATCTATTACTGTATTCATTTTGATGCTCAATTTTACCATATTTAAGCTGGTTCCTGTGTCCTTTGGACACATGCCCGTCATTCTTTGAGTACCTCCTTATTTTCTGACACAGTAAGATGCGTCAAACTCATCTTTTGCTTTCTGTGCTCTGGAGTCAGCCATCTTTTCAAGAAGCTCTGGTTGATTTTAATGGAGAATGGCTTTTTGGTTTTGGGGTTTTTTTAGTTTTAGTTTTAGTTTTTCAGAGATGGCATCTTGCTATGTTCACTACGCTGAAATGCAGTGGCTCTTCACAGGCATGATCTTGGTGCACCACAGCCTCAAACTCCTGAGCTCAAGCGATGCCCTCACCTCAGCCTCCCAAGTAGTTGAGACTGCTCCTGAGTCACTTGTGCCACTGTGGCTGGTTAAGAATGTTACTTAGAAGCCAAGATCCGGGTTCTAGGTGGGCTTCCTGCTATTGAGATATCATTGCCTCTCTGCCCTCTCAGTGGACAGAGGAAGGAAATGTGTGTGTATATTCATCCACATACACACACAACTATATCTACTTCTATATTTCTATCTATCTAAAATCATTATTTCATACCAATACTTCCAACTCTAGATCATTACCACAGAATTTATTCTAAGTTTTCTTATTTCTATATGTATAACTCGCTTCTCCAACAGTAAGAAGCTTGGCTTCATTTTCCTCAATATTACTTATTCATACTTCCTGTATATAATCAACCTCCTGACAATGTAGGCCACTTCCTTCACCCCAACCCTCAGCTACGCACCACACAAGTGACCTTCTCTGCCCAGTCCTGTTAACTGGCCATGTGGAATTCTCAGCCTGACCACACCGTCTGTGCCAGCAACACCAGCTGAACCTCCAACTGGCCACATCCTCAGGCCCTGGCCCTGCTGACCATCCTTGGCCCCATTTGCGTCTACTGAATCCTAAGCCCTGACCAAAAGGAAAGGGCAGAATACCAGTCTAATGGAACTTGAAAAGGCATTACAAGTTTTGAAGATAAGAAAAAAATGAAAAAATATAGAAGGAAAGAAGAAAAGAAAATAATAAAACCTGTTGCAGATGCAACAAATATGCGACACCAGCTTTATACCAAGGCCCTGTACAAAGTCTGAGGGCAAGTAAGATCTGTTCCTAACCCTCAGGAAACTTACAACTGGCTGGAAAGAATAATATGTATGTACTACACAGGAAACAATGTTGTAATTAACATTCTAAGTATATAAACAGAGGATCAGGAGGAAAAGAACAATGGATTCAGCCTGAGGATGTCAGTGGACAAATGGAATGCTGCCAGGGAAGGGTGGCCTGTTCCCAACCAAGGAAGCCTTTAACCAGGTGCAAAGTCGAGGCACCCAGGGCACATGGGGCTAGTGACCAAGATGTGCAAAGTCTAGTGTATGTTTTAAAGTGTTTTTGAAATAATATCTTAAATTGTTAGTATATGTATAACTTCTGCTTTTAAATGCTTTTAAAACATTTTTTGGTATAATAATTAATCTTTATTGTGTCTTCAAATTGTAGCTGAAGAGTCTGCTGCTTCTGGAGCAAAGGGAGATCTGGCTGCTAGTGACCGATGTCACTCTGCAAACGAAGGAGGAGAGAGACCCCAGGCTCCCCAAAACCCTGCTGGTCTATGTGGCCCCCTTGTGTGTGCTGGGCTCTGAAGTCCTGGAGGCACTCGCTGGGGCTGCCCCTCACAGCCTCTTCTTCAAGGACGCTCTCCGTGACCAGGGTGTGCTTGCGTCTCCACAGCTTTGATGCAGGGGCGACTGATCCGTGCCCATAGAATACCTCTTGTGGCCTCTGGATGCCTCCTTGTTGCTTGGACGCTGCCGGCACCTTCACGGAGCCCATCACAGACATGGCCCATGTACCAGCCTCCAGCCTTCACTGACCCTGTAGCAGCCACCTGGGCAGAACCAGCTCCATGGAGATGCTGTGCTCACTCCAGAATTGCCTGCTGGTGGCACCCCATACTGCTGCAGACTCCACAAACAAACCAAAAGCTAGAATATTATAAATGCGTATACTTAGATCAGCCAGCCCCTTTTTCCAGGGATCAAACTAAAATCCTGCCTCAGCTATCTTTTTTAATTTTTATTGAGTCATAATTCACATGCCACATAATTTACCCTGTGTGGATTGACTTGAATCTCACATTTGAGTGCTTTTTTAGCTTAGCTCATGGGGTTCAGGAGTGTGCACACACAATGAACGTGCTGCTGGACACAGTCCCATAACTGCACCTTCACCTGCATGACTCGAGGGGTAGCAAAGGAGACTGCCATTATGGGCACAATTCACTTTTTCTTCAAGGCTTCAATAACCTGAAGTGTCTCTGTCGGCAGGTCGGATTGTTTGTGCTGAACGAACTGTCCTCTTGCTTCAGAAGCCCCTTTTGAGTGTGGTCTCTGGTGCAAGTTCCTGTGAGCTGCCTGGCCCGGTGATGCTCGACAGCCTGGACTCTGCAACACCTGTCAACTCCATCTGCAGTGTTCAAGGTAGGCAGCCATCTCACAGGAATTGGTGCTTATACTTTCTTAACTGTTATACTTTATATTCATTTACTCATTTATTCAACAAGTATTTGTGGAGCACCCGCTAAGTTCCAGACACTGGATACATAAAGAACAAAAGCAGAAATTGTTCTTGGTATCAGACTCGAGTCTGCACAGAAAGATGTGAATCAGACGAACACAGACAGGCCTATCCTCAGGCTCTGAGTGCTCTAGCCGCTGATAACCTGGGCCCACGTCTTAGTGGGGAACTCAGGGAAGGCTTCCCAAAGACAGGAGCCTCAAGCTGAGCTCTGAAGCATAGATGAGACTACTTAGGTCAGGGATGGAGCAGGAGGAACATTCCTGGGAAGAGAGCAGGACTTCGTAAGGCCACTGGCATGAGAAAGTTGGTGAGCAGGGGTGTCTGGGAAGAGGCAGGACAGGCAGCCAGATGGAGGTGGGACCAAGCTGAGGCTGGTGGGCCCACCAGGCTGGTGGTGTCAGGAGTGTGTTCTGTCATTGGTACAGGCGGCCTGGTCTGATGTCCTCCCTGCAGAGCAGAGTGGAGGGACTGGGTGGCAGAGGTAGAGAAGGAAATCCAAGGATGGACTTAGGGAAATCGGCAGGTTGAGCGATGAATTGGGCATAGATGGAGGCAGAAGACATCTGACAACCTCCGAGCTCCTGGCTCAGTTGAGGTAACAGTGGTGCTGTTCATTAAGTAGGATGTGGCAGGCAAAGTCAGCTTTGAGGGGACCTGCTCAGTTCTGTCGGGAGAGTTTGCGTGTTTTACATACATCTGAGATGTTTCAGTAGCTGGTTAGATATGTGAGTCTGGAGCTGAAAATAGCATTATTATTTTCTCTTTTTTAACTTTATAAAACTTAGTAATAAAAGTCATACATGTCTAGTGGAACTAGTGAAAAATAAGAGAAAGTTAACAGCCCACCCTCTGTCCCCGGCTTCCTGCCTGTGCTGGCGCATCCAGGAGACACAGCTGCCCGCCTTGAGGGTGTATGCGTTCTTGCAAGTCAAATGATTTACTGCACATTATTCTGCCACTTGCTTCCCTCTAGGAGGGATGTCCGTCCAGGTGGGGGGAGAGGTCAAACTCAAGAGTTTAATAGTTGCATAGCATCCCCTCATATGAATAAACTCTTCCTCCACTCATGGACATCCAGGATCTCTCGTGTTTTTGCAATTATTAAACAAGGCTGTAATAAACATTCTTGGACATCAATCTCTACTGATTTCTGTAAAGGAGGATTTCAGCGGCTTGGGGTTTATGGACTTTTTAAACAACTTTATTGAGCTATAACTCAGTAATACCCTATAATTCACTCCTTTAAAGTGTTTTTAGTATTCACAGAATTGTGCAAAGATCACTACAATCTAATTTTAGAACAAAAACCCATACCCGTTATCATTCACGCCCCGTTACCACCCACCCTCCCACACCCTAGTCTTAGGAAACCACCAATCTACTGTTTGCTTCTATGAATTTGCCTGTTCTGCTTTTTGGGGGGGTTTTTTGTTTTTGTTTTTGTTTTTGTTTTGAGATGGAGTCTCGCTCTGTCACCCAGGCTGGAGTGCAGTGGTGTGATCTCTGCTCACTGCAACCTCTACCTCCTGGGATCAAGCAATTTTCCTGCCTCAGCCTCCCAAGTAGCTGGGATTACAGGCGTGCACCACCATGCCCGGCTAATTTTTTTATTTTTATTAGAGACAAGGTTTCACCATGTTGGCCAGGCTGGTCTCGAACTCCTGACCTCAGGTGATCTCCTCTCCTCGGCCTCCCAAAATGCTGGGATTACAGGTGTGAGCCACCGCCCCCAGCCTATTCTGGACACTTCATGTTAACTGGAATAATATTTAGGCTGGTGCAAAAATAATTGTGGTTTTTGCCATTAAAAGTAATGGAAAGAGCCGTGATTACTTTTGCACAAACCTAACATACTATGTGATCTTTCATGATTAGCATCTTTCAATCAGCATAAATGTTTTCAAGGTTCATCCACAATGCAGTGTGTATTTCTTTTATGGCATAATAACATTTCATTGCACAGATATGCCACATTTTGTTTATCCTTTCCTCAGTTGATGGACATTTCATTTGGGTTGTTTCTACTTTTTGGCTACTACGAATAAAGCTGCTATGAATATTCATGGACAAGGTTTTGTTTGAACGCCTGTTTTGAAATTTGGGGTATGAATCCAGGACTGGAATTGCTAAGTCATATGGTAACCCTGCATTTTTAACCTTTTTGAAGAACACCAGTGTTTTCCAAAGTGGCTACACTAGGGGTTTGTGCCTCTCTCTTTTTTCTTTTTTTTTTTTTTTTTTTGGAGACAGAGTCTGTCTGTCACCCAGGCTGGAGTGCAATGGCATGATCTCAGCTCACTGCAACCTCTGCCTACTGGGTTCAAGAGAATCTCCTGCCTCAGCCTCCCAAGTAGCTGGGACTACAGGCATGCACCACCACACCTGGCTACTTTTTGTATTTTTAATAGAGATTTTGCCGTGTTGGCCAGGCTGGTCTTGAACTCCTGACCTCAGGTGATCCACCCACCTCGGCCTCCCAAAGTTCTGGAATTACAGGTGTGAACCACGGCACCCAGCCGGTTCAAAGCATATCAAAATTCAGAATTCCGAGCGTAATGTCTAAGATGGCTGGTGTTCCTCACCCTTACCTATAACTAGTTCCTGACTTTTTATAATTGATAAACAGAAAACTCTTGTGATTCCATTGTTGCTTTCACATTCTTTTCACTGTGTTGAGGCCATTTGGATTTTCTCTTCTGTGCATCTCCTTTTGGGGTTAATGCTAACACATTACTGCAGTTATGGGGTGATGGGTCATATGGGGCCTCCATTTTCTCATCTGTAAAATAGGGCTAACGGAATCAGCCTCAAAACACTGTTGAGAATTAAATGAGATAATGCTCAGGAGGCTTTGGGGGCTTTGAAGCTCTGAGTCCAGTGGAGAAAACAGACATCTCAGTACTGGTACCAGGAGTCAGGAAGGGAGGGAGGGATGTCTGAGGGCTGCAGCCACTGACTGCAGAGGGTGGGTGGCCTTAGGACCATCAGGATTTGTCAAGTAGAGTTGGGCAAGGCTGTAAGAGCAGGTGGAAGGGCACATGGAAAACCCACAGAAGTGCTGGGAGCAGTTATAAACCCTCCCAAGTGATGGGAGAGGGGCAGGGACCAAGAAGGGCAGCAGGGGACCCAGTTGCTTGTGTATTGCTCTGCTTTCCCTGGCCATGTGGAGATTATATGGTCAGATTTTTTAATGAAGAAATTCTGCAGCCCCAGAGACTGTGATGCAAAGCAGGGAGAGATGATTGGCAGGAAGAAGAGGGTCTGCAGGGGTGGAGCAGACTGCCTGGCCCACGTGAGCCAGCGTGGAGCTGCTCTTTGGTGTACAGCAGCACTGTGTCCCTGAGCAGACCGGCTACAGGGACAGGGCATATGGTGCAGAGGGATGCAGCCTGGTCCCTGGGGCGCATGTGCTATTTGTGTGCCTTTGGCAGTGACCCATCGCTCGCTTCCAGGGCTTGCTGGTCTCCAGGCTCATGTATAAGGACATCCCTTCCACCTTCATTCTCTTCACTGGTTGCTACCTGTTCTTCTCCCACCCCCTCAGCTCTCCCAGAGGCCAGGATTAGTCAGGGGCTCAGGGAGAACATCCCACAGTGAAGGTCTCAGCTCTGGGTCTGAGAGTCACAGCCATGCCACAAACCAGTTAGGCTGCATGGGACCCTGTTATTTTATGACCAGAAGAATCGCCACCACCCATAGCAGTGTCTCATGAGAAAATGTGTACCTGAAGAACCCCAAGGAGGGTTTCCCTAACCCATTCCTAACTACGGCCAATGAGTGCCACAGGTGCACACAGAGGCAGATCCTCACCTTTTGTGCCTGTGGCAGTAGGCCTGCCTGTTGGTACACTGAGGGAACTTTGCTCTAGGTGGTCAGATGCAGCCTCATGTGACTTAGTGCAGTGACCTCCCTGTTGGGCATTAGCTGTGTTGGCAGCAGCTGGGAACACTGATGAGGCTCAGTCATCCTTAGGCCCCACCTTACTTAAACTGAACCTTCAAATGGGTGTTGAAAACTAAATATGTGTAATGTAATCAATAGGCAGTTTGATCTGTCACAAAGCTCTGTTCCTGGTAGCAAATTTAGGTGTTCTAGAGATCAGCAGTTCAGATTCTTAAGCACCTAACCACTGGAAGGAGAGCAGCACAAGATGCCATTCCTAACACTCGGCTGCTGCCTTCAGACCTCTGTGGGCTTTGCTGAGTGTAACACCTTTCTAAAATGAGAGCAGCCCTGGGGCACATGCTGTTGGCACCCTCCTTAATCAAAAACAGCTGCACAGGTCCAAGCCCAGTGTCCATATGCCAGACACATTGAAGGACTCTAGAGGCTGGGGTTCCCTGTATCCAGTCCACCCAAGCCACATTTCAAAGCTTGTAGCCGGGATCTGTGCTTTTATTCCAAGGTTTGAATGGACAGTAACAGTGGAGGCATGCACTACTAAAGCTACGTGCTTGCCTCCATGTGCAGTAGAGAGGGCATCATATCAGTCACATACGGAGATCAAACACACATTTGTCCTTTGCTCATCCAATGCTGTTCCCAACTAAAAGCAAAGAAGCAAGATTTCTAAACAGGGGAGGAAACATGCTCTGATTGGTTCATGTATTTTGCATGTATTAAGATGAAAATTATTTTTTTTTTCTGTGCCCTCATTTTACAAATTGGTGGGATCAACGTTTCTGACTAAGCCAGTTGTATTTAGGCAGTTTTTCCTTCTCAAATTCACTTAAGAAATATGCTTAAACTACTTATCTTTGGCTCTTTTTTTTTTTCATTTTTCTGTACCTCATTGGAGGCAAGGGCTCCTTTTTATTTTTTTAACATGAGCACTAGTCAGGAAGATGAATTACTATCCTCATGGTTTAAGTCACCTTTCATTTTTTCATTGCACGTTGATAAAACTTTATTTTATAAAGTGTAAACCACAGTGAGACATTCAGACATTACCTATAAACTTCATTTTCTTTTATAGAAATATTGAAGAATAGAAATACGGTCTTGGCCAAGCAATGGCAGGATTCTTTTTTTTTCCCCTCAACTTTTAAGTTCTGGGGTACATGTGCAGGACGTGCAGGTTTGTTAAATAGGTAGACGTGTGCCATGGTGGTTTGCTGCACAGATCAACCCATCACCCAGGTATTAAGCCCAGCATACATTAGCTATTCTTGATGCTCTCCCTTCCCCTACGCAGGGCTCCTTCTAAATAGAGAAAAGTTGGAAACCCTCACAGGTCTTCCCTGTGAGAGAGCTGTGGGTGAATACTGAGGTGAGGTGGTGAGCAGGAAGGGAGTGGGTACTGGGGGAGGTGGCCTGCATGGCACAGAGACAGCACTAAACACAGGCACCATTGGTTTGCCAATGAGAAGTTCTAGGCCTCTCAACGTCAGTTAGTAAATGTCCTAGGAACCTAAAGTCACTTTAGTGGCCTGAACAGGGAAGCAGCCCTGCCATCCTAAGCTTCATAGAAACGATGTAAGTACCAGGCTGGGCGTGGTGGTTCATGCCTGTAATCCCAGCACTTGGGGAGGCCGAGGCAGGCGGATCACGAGGTCAGGAGATCGAGACCATCCTGGCTAACACAGTGAAACCCTGTCTCTACTAAAAATACAAAAAAATTAGCTGGGCATGGTGGCAGGCACCTGTAGTCCCAGCTACTCGGGAGGCTGAGGCAGGAGAATGGCGTGAACCTGGGAGGCAGAGCTTGCAGTGAGCCGAGACTGCACCACTGCACTCCAGCCTGGGCGACAGAGCGAGACTCCGTATCAAAAAAAAAAAATAGAAAGCATATAAGCACCAGTTGTGTCTGGCCAGTCTGATTACGGCCAGCATTGCCAGCAGCTGGGAATTTGCCTTCTCCAAGCAGCTACAGCTGGCCCAGGCACTGGGCTAACAAGGGGTGAGTGCCCTAGGAGCCAGGCTGGAGGGACCAGGGGTTCCTACTCCTGGGAAAGCCAAGGGAGCCAGAGTCTCAATGCTCCTCACACCCAGGGAAGCCAGGGCCCCCACATCTCCCACACTGAAGGAAACCAGGGAAGCCAAGGCCCCCACATCTCCCACAGTCAACCCGCACTCAAGGAACCCAATGCTCCTTACATTTACAGGAGCCAGGGCTCCCATGCCCCCCCACACCCAGGGGAGCCAGCATTCTCTGTTTGTGTTGTACAGTTCTGTTGGTTTTGACAGATGTATAATACCATGTACTACCGTTACCATTAGTGTATCATACAGAATAGTTTCACCACCCTAAAAATCCTGTGCTCTGGCTCTTCATCCCTCCCTCCCCACTGACTACTGGCAGCCACTCTTCTTTGTACTGTCTCTGTAGTTTGGCCTTGTCCAGAATGTCATATAGTTGGAATCATGCAGTATGCAACCTTTTCAGATTAGCTTATTTCCGTTAGCAATATGCATTTAAGGTTCCTCCACATCTTTTCATGGCTTGATAGCGCATTTCTTTTTAGCACTGAATAGTATTCCATTGCATGGATGTACCACAGTTTTCTGGTTTGCTTCCAAGTTTTGGCAATTATTAATGAGGCTGCAATAGACGTTTGTGAAGGTTTTTGTGTGGGCATAAGTTTTCAACTCGTGGGTAAATACCAAGAAGTATGATTGCTGGATCATATGTTTAGTTTTCGAAGTAACTGCTAAGCCGTCTTCCAAAGTTGGCTGTATCATTTTGCATTCCCACCAGCAATGAATAAGAGCTCCTCTTGATCCACATCCTCACCAGCATTTGGTGTTACTAGTGTTTTGGATTTTTGCCATTCTAATAGATGTGTAGTAGTATCTCACTGCTGCTTCAATTTGCAATTCCTTAATGACATATGACATTTAGCATCTTTTCATATGGTTATTTGTCAACCTCTTTGATGATTTGTCTGTTCAAATCATTTGCCCATTTTTTAATTGGGTTGTTCATTTTCTTATTGTTGAGTTTTAAGTGTTAACAGTCCTTGATCAGATGTGTCTTTTGCAAATATTTTTCCCAGTTCATGGCTTGTCTTTTCATACTTTTTTTTTTCTTTTTTGAGATGGAGTCTCTCTCTGTTGCCCAGGCTGGAGTGCAGTGGTGCAGTCTTGGCTCACTGCAACTTCCACCCCGCTGGTTCAAGCAATTCTCCTCCCTTATCCTCCTGAGTAGCTGGGATTACAGGCGCCTGCCACCATGCCCAGCTAGTTTTTTTATGTTTAGTAGAGACTGGGTTTTGCCATGTTAGCCAGGCTGGTCTTGAACTCCTGACCTCAGGTGATCCACCCACCTAGGCCTCCCAAACTGCTGGGATTACAGGCATGAGCCACCGCTTCTGGCCCTTTTCATACTCTTAATAAGTCTTTTTGCAAACCATAAGTTTTAATTTTAATGAAGTCTCACATCAGTTGTTTCTTTCACGAATTGCATTTCTGGTGTTACATCTAAAAACTCATTGTAAAACCCATGATCATCTAGATTTTCTCCTGTTTTCTTTCTAGGAGTTTCGTGTTTTACATTTAAGTCTATGATCCATTTTGAATTAATTTTTGTAAAAGATGTAAGATCTATGTCTAGATTCATTTTTTTGCCTGTGGAAATCTAGTTGTTCTGGCACCATTTGTTGAAAAGACTGTTCTTTCTCCATTGAAATGTCTTTGTTCCTTTGTCAAAGATCAGGTGACTATATTTATGAGGGTCTGTGTTCCCTTGATCTATTTGTTCTTTTGCTACCAGTACACCATCTTAATTATTGAAACTTTTTTTTTTTTTTGAGACAGAGTCTTGCTCAGTTACCCAGGCTGGAGTGCAGTGGCACGATCTTGGCTCACTGCAAGCTCCGCCTCCCGGGTTCACGCCATTCTCCTGCCTCAGCCTCCCAAGTAGCTGGGACTACAGGCACCTGCCACCATGCCCGGCTAATTTTTTTTTTGTATTTTTAGTAGAGACGGGGTTTCACCATGTTAGCCAGGTTGGTCTCAATCTCCTGACCTCGTGATCCACCCACTTTGGCCTCCCAAAGTGCTGGGATTACAGGCGTGAGCCACCGCGCCCGGCCAATTACTGCGACTTTTAAGTCTTGAAGTCGGGTACTGTCAGTTTTCCAACTTTGTTCTTGTTCTTCAATATTGTCTTGGCTATTCTAGGTCATTTTGCCTCTCCATATAAACTTTAGAATCAGTTTGTTGATATCCACAAAATAACTTGATGAGATTTTGATTAGGATAGTGT
This sequence comes from Homo sapiens, assembly GCF_000001405.40. Classification (NCBI taxonomy): domain Eukaryota; kingdom Metazoa; phylum Chordata; class Mammalia; order Primates; family Hominidae; genus Homo; species Homo sapiens. The sequence goes on from NC_000008.11 coordinate 47,721,948, forward strand.
TGAGTCTGTAGATCAGGTGGGGAAAAAATGACATGTTGTAATACTAGAGCCTTCTTATCCATGAACATGGAATATCTTTGCATTTATTTATATCTTCTTTGATATCTTTCAGAAGAGTTTTTTAGTTTTCCTCATACAGATCTTGTACATATTTTGTTAGATTTATACCTAAGTATTTCATTTATTTTGTTGCTATTGTAAATAGTATTATTTTTAATTTCAAATTCCAATCGTTCATTGAGTTTCATAGGAAAACAATTAACTTTTTGATATTAACCCTGCAACTTTGCTGTAATCACTTAGTAGTTCCAGTGGTCTTTTGTTGTTTCTTTGAGATTTTCTCCATAGAATACTAGGTCATCTGTGAACAGTTTTCTTTCTTCCTTCTCAATCTGTGTATCTTTTATTTTATTTTCTTGTCTTACTGCATTAGCTAGGACTATCAGTACCATGTAGAATAGCAGTAGTGGGAACATCCTTGCCCTGTTCTTAATCTTAAGGGTTAACCATGTATTTTCTCACCATTGATTATGATGTTAGCCAGAGGGGTTTTGTTCTTCCATTTGCTGGAGATAGTATCACTTTGGAAGAAAATAATATTAGCTCTCCTTCCCTTCTTTTATTACACTCTTCTTTTCCATCTACCTACCTTTGCATCTGCACTTTATATTGTTAAGATTGGTAACATTCTGTTGTATAACTATAATTAAGCTTTGCACACATTTTCTACAGATTGATTCTCAAAGATGAAAATCATTCTATACAAGTTGAGTATCCCATATCCGAAATGCTTGGAACCAGAAATGTTTTGGATTTTTTATTGGTTTTTTCATCCTTTTTTTTTTTCTTGAGATGGGGTCTTGCTGTATTGTCCAGGCTGCTCTCAAACTCCTGGCCATATTTTGGTTTTAATATTTTTAAGACAGCATCATCCAGGCTGGAGTGCATTGGTGTGATCATAGCTAACTGCAACCTTGAACTCTTGAGCTAAAGCAATACTCCCACGTCAGCCTCCCGAGTAACTAGGACTACTGGGATGGCACACACCACCATGCCCAGTTAATTTTTGTTGTTGTTATTGTTGTTGTTGTTGTTGTTGTTGTTGACACAGAGTTTCACTGTGTTGCCCAGGCTGCTCTCAAACTCCTGACCTCAAGTGATCCCCCGGCCTTGGCCTTCCAAAGTGCTGTGATTACAAGTGTGAGCCATTGTGGCTAGCCATGTGTCTTTATATAAACAACATATAGTTGGTTCTTGTTTTTTGTTCACTCCGATAGTCTCTGTCATTTAATTTGTGTATTGAGACCATTCTCATTTAAAGTGATTATTCATATAACTGAGATAATATCAACTGTATTTATAACTGTTTTCTATTCATTGACCCACTTGTTTCTTTATCTTCCACTCTCTGCCTATTCTGATTTTTATTGAACATTATGATTCCATTTTCTCTTTTCTTTCAAAATATCAATTATACTTTTTTTTTTTTTTTTTTTTCTGGAGAAGGAGTCTCGCTCTGTCGCCCAGGCTGGAGTGCAGTGGTGCGATCTCAAGTCACTGCAAGCTCCGCCTCCCGGGTTCATGCCATTCTTCTGCCTCAGCCTCCTGAGTAGCTGGGACTACAGGCACCCGCCACCATGCCCGGCTAATTTTTAGTATTTTTAGTAGAGACAGGGTTTCACTGTGTTAGCCAGGATGGTCTCGATCTCCTGACCTCACGATCCTCCCACCTTGGCCTCCCAAAGTGCTGGGATTACAGGCGTGAGCCACCACGCCCAGCCCAATTATACTTATTTTTAAGTTTTTCTAGTGGTTACCCTGGAGTTTGCAATACACTTTACAGCCAATCAAGTCCACTTTCAAATAACACTGTCCTGCTTCACAGGTAATGCAGGTACCTTCTATCAGAGTGTTCCTGATTTCTTTTTTTTTTCCTTCCCATCCCTTGTAACACTCCTGTTATGCATTTCACTTACTCAAAAGGTATAATCATTGATTACATTATCATTATTATTTAAATAAACTATTATCTTTTCTATCAATTTAGAATTAGAAATGTAAAAGATTTTATTTTACCTTCATTTATTCCTTCTCTAGTATTCTTCCTTTCTTTATATAGATTCAAGTTTCTGACATTTCATTTTCCTCATATCTCGCCATTTTCATGTAGCATTCCCTGTGGGCCTCTTCTGCTTCCGGGCCTGTTCTACAGCTGCCCTGCAGGCCCTCATGTAGGGTTCAAGATTTGTAAACAGACTTATCACAGAGGCAGGGCTGAGTGCTGCCAGATCCTTTAATGAGAACCAGTCAACTAGGCATTAAGAGAAAACAAACCCCCAGCTGCAAAATAACAAAGATTATCCAAGCCTCACATGCAGGAATGTCCATAGCAAGGTAGCAGCTAGGCAGTGACCTACTCCTACACAGTCCTCAGCCTGCACACCCACCAGCCACAGGTCTGCCCACCTCCATCAGATCCAGGCAAGGCTGGAGTCCTCACTGCTGTTTGGCAATAGCAGTTGCCCCCATCTCAGCACCTCAGATTTGCTCTGTTCTGCTCTGCCCTGGTCCAGAAGATCTCAGTGATGACATGTCCGCTGCATGGCTCCAAGGGGACCCCTTCACATCTGCAGAGAGTTGGTGCTAGGGCTTGGGCAGCTCTCCCAGCAGCTGAACCAGCTGAGCATCTGGGTCTCAGATGGCTGAGTACTGAACATTTTCTCTGAGCAGAGTTTAAAAGGACCCTGAATATATTCTGAGCATGGAGCAGTCACTCACTGAGAGCTGGCAGCATCCCTCTGTCCATCCAGGTCTCAGTGATGGGGTGAGGGGGAGACACTCACTCCTTGCTGGTGTCACAAGGCCTCCTCGTCTCTATTCTCCCTGAGTGGCAGCTCTGGGGTGTGCGGAAATGTTTCTCTGCTGTGTCTTCTGGGGTGAAGTCGTTTGGCAGCGCTGGTTTTCCCTCCCTCACTCTGCTCACCACCTCTCTGTCCACCACTCACTAGCGATGGGACCTGGTGCAGGGCTGTAGGAAGGGATGCAGCAGGCTCACATCTCTGTGGAAAGAGGGGTGAAGTCCTATCTAAACCCAGGCTCCAGCTTCTAAATAGAAGACTTGTGAGCCCTGACTTCTTTCCATCAGGAGATAGGGAGGAAGAGGGTATAGCAGAGTTCAAGTTACTGAAGAAATGTGTGCACCAGGCGTGGTGAGCGCCAGACCCACCCATCCTGAGGACCCTTTGAAAGGACCTTTTTAAAAAGATGTGTTTGTAACTAAGCAATACACCTTTCCCAAACCTAATTACAAGACATTTCTGCACATAAGACAAGCAAACTAAAGACTTAATGGCAAACTGCTGGCAAGTTCATGAGTATGGTGTCCTCAACCCTGATGTAAACTATCTTTTTCTTTCTGATGCTCATTTAAGTGAATGTCTTTTGTTTTTGTTTTTGTTTTTTTGAGATAGAGTCTCTCTCTGTCACCAGGCTTGAGTATAGTGGCGTGATCTCGGCTGACTACAACCTCTGCCTCCTGGGTTCAAGCGATTCTCCTGCCTCAGCCTCCCGAGGAGCTGGGACTACAGGCGCGTGCCACCACGCCTGGCTAATTTTTGTATTTTCAGTAGAGACGGAGTTTCACTGTGTTGGCCAGGATGGTCTCGATCTCTTGACCTCGTGATCCTCCCACCTCGGCTGCCCAAAGTGCTGGAATTACAGGCATGAGCCACTGTGCCCAACCTTAAGTGAATGTTTAATCATACACTTCCCAGCCATCTCTTGAAATTTATTTAGGGTTGCCAGAAAAGATTTCCACAATGGCTTATGGACCTCAGATGAAATGTATTTCCTCAACTCTTGCCTTATTCTCTAATTGGAAGGAAATTGCTTAATCCCATATAAATGTAAATGCTATTAACACCCATGGATATCCTAGGATAAAAAGGAACTTTGGCTGGTAGCAGTCTACTTTTTATTAAGGTAGCAGTCATTTACCAAACATCAGTAAACCAGTGAGTGGGCCTTTGGTGGGCCTGCAGGCCCTGGGCAGGAGCCAGGCCACAGTGGCAGATGTGCTCTGGGGCTTGGGGATGCCCCGGCTCCTTTCTCCACTTGCACCTCCTCATGTGCCTGCCCATTGTGAATTAGTCAACACTGCTTTCCAGCTGCATTACGAGCCTTTATTGACTTTGCTTTTCATCCCTTTGACCCACTTTGACAATGTCATTAGCTAGGGCAGCCTTTTCAAAATCAAGATCTATTATTTTCATTTTTAAAAAGTCATTCAAGTATGCATTGCATGAATGCACTTTAATAAACCAAGCCTACTCATTCTCATACTTCTGTTTTATCCTCTAAAGATAAATTTTCTCCCAATGCTGGTTTTAGTGAGGAATGAAATTTTTTGTGCCAAGAGTGGAAAGGAAGACCTTTCTATTTTTCTAGAAACTCAGATTTTACTTTTTCTTCAAACATCTAATTTCACCGCTTTTCAACAAGGACATCTGCGATTTGGTGGTGTATCTAGATGATATCTACAATGCTTCACATCCAAGAAAATCAGACCATCCCAATCCCCAGCAAGCACTGACCAACTGTGCTCACCCGGCCTCAGCCCTGCCATGGTGTGCAGAGTTGGCTGAGGCCCCGTGTGGCCCGCCCTGGCTGTCTTGTGGACCCCCCTCACTCCCTTCCTCAGGAAGCCATGACCCTCTGGGATGCCCAGAGGTGTCTTTGACACACGTCTCAGGTGTCTTTTCCATTTGTCAATTCACCATTTATTTCATCTTTTTTTTGGGGAGTGGGGACAGGGTCTTGCCCTGTCACCCAGGCTGGAGTGCAGTGGCATAATCATAGCTCAAACACTCATTACTGTGTTAAGGAGTCTATATACTACTACTGTGCTACAGAAAAAGCACAGACCTAAATATGCAATATGGGGAATGTTTGAGGGACTGAGGGCCGGCTCAGCTGTGGCGATGTAACTACCTATGCATCTGGAAAAATATCCCAACAAAAATACTTCAGTTAGGTGGTAATATGCAGGCAAGTTTTAAAACGTACTTCTTATTGTTATAATTTTTCTTTGTACAATAAGTGGAAATTATAAAAATCTTAGGAACATGTATATAAACTCCCAAGTAAGGCAAAAATCACGAGGCCCCTCATGTTGTCCTCTGCACGTGGAGGAGCAGAGGAGTCAGAGAGGGCAGAGCCGCCTCTGAGGTGGGCTTTCCTTCTCTTGGGCCTAGGCACTGTGGTTGGCGTGGACGAGAGCACTGCTTTCTCATGGCCTGTGTGTGACATGTGTGGCAACGGGAGATTGGAACAGAGGCCGGAAGACAGGTAAGGGGACAGGAGCTGTCCTGAAAGCCCTAGAACTGAAAGGGCACAGAAGCAACCCAGCCCCAGAACCTGGGCCTTGCTACCTCAGGTGACTCCCTCGAGAGCTCAAGGGGCAACCTCTGCCTCTGCTGAGCAGCAAGGGAAGAGGCCTCTGGGGCCCAGTGGGTTTTCCTTACTGAGATTTCTGCTGTTTCTTGCAGCTGCTCCTGTTATGAGATAGATGTGCTGGGTTTTGTCCCCACCTCCTTTATTATCAGCCAGGAGAATTAAAAAAACAGGACAAACATGAATAAGTGAAAAAAACTTGGTGACTGTATAGCCTAGCTTTTGTGAAAGGTGCAGACGTTTACAGAGACCACTTTTACAGTGAGCAGCTACTGGACAGATGTCCCTGCCCACCCCACTATGCTGCCCTCCCTCAGGGTCTGGGCCAGTGTCAGTGCAGTCTGTCCCTATGAAGTCAGTCCTCCGGCCTCCCAAGTGCAGTGTCATGTGATAGAAAGGGACAGGCTCATTACTTTTCTGCTTCTTAAAAAGCAAAGAGACTGGGCATGGTGGCTCACGCCTGTAATCCCAGCACTTTGGGAGGCCAAGGCAGGCGGATCATAAGGTAAGGAGATCCAGACCATCCTGGCCAACATGGCAAAACCCAGTCTCTACTAAAAATACAAACATTAGCTGGGCATGGTGGCGCGTGCCTGTAATCCCAGCTGCTTGGGAGGCTGAGGCAGGAGAATCTCTCGAAACGGGGAGTCAGAGGTTGCAGTGAGCCGAGATCACACCACTGCACTCCAGCCTGGTGACAGAGTGAGACTCTGTCTCAAAAAGAAAAAGAGAAAAAAAAAAGCAAAGATCGGCCAGGTGCAGTGTCTCACGCCTGTAATCCCAATACTGTGGGAGGCCAAGTGGATCACTTGAGGTCAGGAGTTGAAGACCAGCCTGGCCAACACGGTGAAACCCCATCTCTATTATTAATTTTAAAAATACAAAAATTAGCCGGGCATGGTGGCACACACCTGTAGTCCCAGCTACTCCAGAGGCTGAAGTGGGAGAATCACTTGAACCAGGGGGAGGTGGAGGTTGCAGTGAGCCGAAATCGCACCACTGCACTCCAACCTGGGTAACAGAGAGAGAGCGAGACTCCATCTCAAAGAAAAGGAAAAAAAAAACACACACAAAGCAAAGAGCAAATGTCTCCTTGGCATATCTGGGCTGGTGGCCTTACACAAGCCATCACTGGACTGTGTGGAAGAGATGAGCACATGTGCAGGCATGCAGGGTAGCACACAACAGTGGCTGTGCTGGCAGCTGAGAGCAGACTTTCTCTTCCGGGCCAGGGGGCAGCCTGACCCCTGGCCTCCCAGGCCCTGACCTCCCTTCCTGGGAGGCTCAGCATCCCCTCCTCTGCTCCCCTCTTCGGCCTCCAGCCAGTGCTACTCGTGCTACTCGAAGCTAATGTTCATCCCTTGGACAGGCTGAGTCCAGGCAGCTGCAGGCCTCTCTCAGAAACTTGATTCTGAGAGTAAAGCCCCGTTTTCTAGCTCAGCAGACACTCATGTTTAAGAAAATGTCTCCCACTGGAGCTTTCCTGACTTGTGCCTCCCGGGGCCTTGTCTTTCCTTGGCTTTTCATATACCAGAGGCGCCTTTTCCTGTGGGGACTGCTCCCGGGTGGTCACATCTCCTGTTCTCAAGAGGCACCTGCAGGTCTTCCTGGACTGCCGCTCAAGACCGCAGTGCAGAGTGAAGGTCAAGGTAGGAGCCAGGCCAGAGCACGCACGCACTCCTAGCTCACTCCAACATAGCGAAGGTGAGACAGAGCTGAAGCAGGTGCACGTCCTCCTGTACGCCTGCAGAGGCGCTGGGACTCGGCTGGGATGGCTTGCATCTGGAACTCCCTCTAGGTCCTAGGAGCTTCCCTAGGAAAGGTGGGAGGATGCACCCTATGTGAACACAGTCTCTCCATGTTAAAACACATCTTTGACCTAAGGCCGTGAGACTGAAGCTCTGAAGACAGGTGGTTTGGATATAACATGTTAATTTTCGGGAATGAGTGATTTAACTTGAGCACTTACTGTGTTGGAGGGAGTTTAACCCAGCCCTGCTTCTGCTGTTGCAGCTGTTGCAGCGCAGCATTTCCTCCCTGCTGAGGTTTGCCGCCGGTGAAGATGGGGTAAGTGCAGGGGGCCCAGCCCAGGGGGCCGCACACTCAGTAGCCTGCATGAGCAACTCATCCCCAGAGGAAGCCCCCACTCCCAAATGTGTTCTATTACAACCCATCCCACTAGGAAGTGGTGTAGACACTCGAGAGTGAAATGCAGATATGTCTGCCATTCAGACTGATAGGTTCCTTTCCTCTGTGGAAATGAGGTTATTTTAGATCATTGTTGAGGTAGATGCAGGAATCTGTCCCCTGGCTTTTTTGTTTGTTTTTGTTTTTGTTTTTAGACAGAGTCTCATTCTCTGTCCAGGCTAGAGCACAGTGGCGTGATCTCAGCTCACTGCAACCTCCGCCTCCCAGGTTCAAGCGATTCTCCTGCCTCACCCTCCCGAGTAGCTGAGACTACAGGCATGAGCCACCACTCCCAGCTAATTTTTGTATTTTTAGTAGAGATGGGGTTTCACCATGCTGGCCAGGCTGGTCTCGAACTCTTGACCTCAGGTGATCCTCCAACCTTGGCCTCCCAAAGTGATGGGATTACAGGCATGAGCCGCTGCACCCAGCCTGCCCCCTGGCTTTGATTACAGCACCACAGTCTTCAGGTTGGAGTCCTACTGCCAAGGTGTCATGTTAATAGGATGGAATTCCCCAAGATGCTTTTTTTTTTCTTTTTTTAAACACTGGGTATTCCAGACTCTGAATAACTGGTAATGTGACTGTCCTGCCCTGAGAGTCACTGTGGTGAATCTTAGTAAAGCAGGGTGGCTCCTCCAAGAAAAGCCACCTAAATATATAATTGATGGGCCAAAGAGTTTCTGCTGTGTGAAATTTGACCCACATAAATGAGACATCTGTCCTAGAGATGCCACCTGTGTCTTGTGAAAGCCATTTAAAAGCACCACAAGTGGCTCATGGAATAGCCACAGAAGGGGACCAGCCACTCAGTGGCCCCTGGGCACAGCCCCAGTTCACAAGAGACATCTGGAACCAGAGTGGGCTCCACAACCAGGGAGCTGACTTGGGCCACGCTGGAAGGGAGTGTGGTGACTGGGGAGGCCGATCATGCCTGGAGCTCTGTGGTCAGTTAAATAAGGGGTCTTTGTCTAATGGGTCCCCATGGCCAGATTCTAGCCAGAATTTTTTTTTAGGCAGAGTCTTACTCTGTCATCCAGGCTGGAGTGCAGTGACACAACCATAAGCTCACTACAGCCTCGAACTCCTGGGCTCAAACGATCCCCCTGCCTCAGCCTCCCAAGTATCCAACCCACATTTGTGGTGACTTGACCTGTCCTATGGAGACTCCTCCCTGCCCCACTACCCCTGCCACCCTCTCACCCACTGCACCTCAGGAGGGGCCAGCAGCCCCGCAAGGCAGAGCAGCAGTTTGTCCTCTCTCATCTAAACCATGTCTGTCAGAGTTGGATTAAATTGGAACATGGATAAGTCTATGAGCGGGATCTTTGAGGATCACAAGTGACTATACACTAGAATTACCTGCAAGCTCTAAAGAGTTTCTGCTCTTGGCTGGGCATGGTGGCTCATGCCTGTAATCCCAGCACTTTGAGAGGCCGAGGCGGGCGGATCACCTGAGGTCAGGAGTTCGAGACCAGCCTGGCCAACATGGTGACACCCCATCTCTACTAAAAATACAAAAAAGCTGGGTGTGGTGGTGCGCATCTGTAACCCCAGCTACTCGGGAGGCTGAGGCAGGAGAATCACTGGAACTGGGGAGGTAGAGGTTGCAGTGAGCTGAGATTGTGCCATACTCCAGCCTGGGCGACAGAGCAAGACTCCGTCTCAGAAAAAAAAAAAAAAGGGCTTCTGCTCCCTCCTGGCACAACACCCACCAGCTTTAAAGCTCCTCAGTGACCCCGAGCTCCAGCTCGGAATTGTCCCCTGAGCTGCTGCACACAGGGACTGATGCTGAGGCCGGGCTGTGGAGGCTCATCAGCAAGTGTTCCCCAGTGGTGCAAAAGGTGAGTCATCACTACAGGCCAGGAACTGAGCCTCCCGCATTCTCACATTTCCCTGTTCAACCTCCCAATGTCCCAGCAAGGTAGAGCCCATATTTCCCTGCTAGGGGGATGAGTGCAGTGCCCAAGGCAAAGACATCCCACAGAGGGAAAGTCATCGTTACGCCACAGAGTGACCACCTGCAGAGTTGGGAGCCAGCCCAAGGAGCATAATGGGGAACAGCATATGTGCTTTTCTGTCCTTAAGGAAGTTTAAGTGTATAACAGGCAACCGACCACACAGCAGTGCCTGTCAGCCAATTCCTTGTCTCCTTGTCTGAGTCCTGGGGGTAGGGAGGAAGAAAGGAGGAGGCAGTGCCCAGAAAGGGGGGAACTGCCCACAGCTGACCAGGTAGAAGTTTGAGTAGGTGCTAAAGGTGGCAGATCTGAGTTTTCAGGGAACACATCTTGATGGAGAATGTTGGGAGAAAGCATTAGAAACGCCCCTGTTTGAGAACGCATGATAAAACGAACCAAAACCCACAACCTCAACAGATTCAACCAACTCTTGGGCATGGCACACAGCTCTCCAGCTGCTCCATGCTACTCAGAAGGGTGGGACGGTGCTGTGGCAGCAGCTGCCTGGCATCCCTGGTCACCATCCAGGAAGTCTCCAGCAATGGACAGTGCTTGACACCCGTTCCAATCCCCACCCCTCTTTAGAGATCCAGAGACCAGGAACCCTGGCAGAAATCCTCCTTCCTTCACTTGGTTTCCTTCTGGCTAAGGTGCTTGTTCCTCCTACACATTTAACTTGTCAACTAGAATATTCCCATAGGTAAAAGCCCTGCTTATAAAGAGCTCAAAGGTGTGTGTACCTGAGTGCACGTGTGTGCACATTTATGCAGTATGTGTGCATCAGAGCACCTTTGCCCATGCCCGTGTGCATGTGTATGTGTCCACTTGACTATGCTGTGTATGCACATATGCTGGACACATGCGTACATGTGTGTATGTGTGTGCATTGGGTGAGGGCCAGAGGGTGGCAGCAGCCTTAGTATCACCTTTTTGGGTGCTCTGGTTTCAGGGCCAATACCAGTGGACTGTGGGGTAAGTTCCAAGCCTGGAAGTAGACAACTTAGGAGGCTCTTTACTCCATGCCCAGCTCTATTCACAGTGGCTGATCAGGTCTTTACTGCGGATCTGGAAAGAAGCTGATAGAAGATGGGTGCCAGAGGGGCCTGGGTAGAGATGTTAGCTGAGAGATACCCAGTATGGATTCTGTCAGTTTTCTGGGTGAGCATACACATTCACCAAAATTCAGAGAATCAAATTGGGGCTTTCCACAAGAACTGTAAAACTCCATTCCCTGGGGCAAATGTACTGTTTCGGTTAAGATACTTGAGTGTTAAGTTTTATGCCTTTACTGTAATGTGGTCAAGCTGCAGATGTGAAAACAGTAGGATTGTCTGTAGTTGTGCATCTCATTTCTCAATAGTAACATTATTGTGGCATGGAACTTGAAGTTTGTTTCCTTAGCTTTCAGAAAAGTTAAAGGAACATATATAGTGATTTTTTAAAAGAGAGCACATTTTACACATATGCAGACACACATTCATATGAATAGTGCTTGGGAGTTTGCTAATATGGTTGTTTAAACCTCTCCATGTTAATTTCTCCCACACATAAAAGATTTATTACTTGGACACAGTGGCTGATGCCTGTAATCCCAGCACTTTGGGAGGCCCAGTCGGGCAGATCACCTGAGGTCAAGAGTTCCAGACCAGCCTGGCCAACATGGTGAAAACCCATCTCTATTAAAAATTAAAAAATTAGCCAGGCATGGTGGTGCGCACCTGTAATCCCAGCTACTTGGAAGGCTGAGGCAGGAGAACTGCTTGAACCCAGGAGGCAGAGGTTGCAGTGAGCCAAGCTCACACCACTCCATTCCAGCCTGGGTGACAGAGCAAGACTCAGTCTCAAAAAAAGTAATAAAAAATTTTAAACTCCATTTACAGGATAATATAGCCAAACCTAACATTTTACAAATAAATGATTTTTTGCTGGCTTTTTCCAAGTCAGAATTGCATACTTTTACTCCAGAAGACCATAGGGTCATCTGTTTCACACTTGCACAAACATGCAAGACTAACTGAAACTCTAAGACACCAGAAGGGTGTCCAGCGCATATGCCGCCTCCACCCTCCCTCCCCGTGCGGTGACCCTGCTTCTGCTTCTGTATCCCCTGGTGTCCCCTCCAGTCCAGCAGCCTGGAGACTGTCCTGCTCACTGCCATCTCTTCAGTGACGGGCCCACATGGGATCATAATAAACCCCATGTGTGAGCGAGTGAGCAGCTGCACTTGCCGTCCATGCCACCTCAGAGCCCTTGGGAAGGCCTCAGCTTCCATTACCAAGTTCCTTCTCTTTGCCTGTCTTGACCAGTGACACCCACTTCCCCCATCACTACATTAAACCATCCTGTTGACTTTATTCTTTTTCACCAAGGAAGCCAAAACTCTTGACAGAGCACACTGAATAGGCACCACGCCTGTCTTACAAATGGGAAAATCAAAGTCCCCCCACGAGTTGGCGTCAGTAGCGTTCACATCCCAGACTGATCCTGACATTTATTTTTACAAAACAAACCATCTCAAAACTTGGTGGCATCAATATTCATTCTGTGCACAGAACTCTTGTTTGGACAGGGCTTCATCCGGATAGCTCCACTGGGCATTAGCGGGTGCCCCCAAGGCCGGTGGGAGTCACAGAAGGCTCCTACGTCCAGGCCACAGCTCTGGCCGGACCCCCTCACAGCATGTGTGTGGATCCCACGGGCCAGCTGGAAGCTGGGCACCTTTCCTGACCAGGCGTGGAACATCACTTGGTGTCCCTTCCACCGCACTGTGTTCATGAGAAGCCAGACACTGAGGCCAGCTCAAACTCAGGGAAAGGCAGTGAGACTCACACCTTTGAAGGGAAGGGCACCAAGGAGCCACATTCTACCTGCTTTGGCCACGTTGTCTGGCTTCTCCAGCCTCAGTCTCTTTGGCCATGACACCATAACGATGGGAGGGGTGAGTTAATAGACACCAAACAGAACTGCTGTAGCAACTGCCAAATGCCTTGCACAGAGGAGGAGTGTGGGGTGCCCATGATATTACTCTGCAAGTGACATTGCCTTCTAGGGCTTTAATCTCCCAGAAAGCCAGAGATGGAATATCTCAGTGCTTCTGAGCCTTTATTTTCAGCCCTACCCGCAACAGCATTCTGCAGCTTGATCTATAATGGGGTGCACCACACCCTCTCAGCCTGGTCAGGGATGGGGGCCAAGGACTCCCTGTACCTGTCTCATCTGGAGACGAAACTCACCTGGGACTAACCAAAAAGAATTAGAAGAAAAAGCGAAGTCTCATTACAAAAACACAGAGGATTTTAGCCCAGTATAACTCTAGAAGAAATGGAATCCTATTAAGGAAGGAAGTTTGGGGCAAAGCACCAGGAAATCCCTCAACCGGAAGTGTTGCTAGATTGAGGAAGTGTCCTAAAGGAAGTGGGAGACAGCTGTGGGCACTGTGTGCCCAGCCCCGGCCTTCCCAGCAGAGTCTGTGTGCATCGTGTCCCAAGTAAAAACAATTCAGTTACCAGAATGGGGTAGTTCCTTCACTTGCTAAAATAAATGGGTGTGTGGGTGTGTGTGTGTGTGGGTGTGTGTGTGTGTGTGTGTGTGTAGTGGCTCTTCATTTGTTTCTCCTTCCTACCACTGTTCTCAGCCATTTGAGGAGTGGAAGGTCGTGGACTGGGGAAAGGGCCTTCCACTCTGGCTCTCTGGTTTTCCGTGTTGTTGGGAACAGTACGTCCCAGGCTGTTTGCTTTAACCAGCGTGCCTTTTATCACTGCAGAGCTACGAAGTGAAGAGTGTCCTCGGAAAGGAAGTGGGGTTGTTAAATTGTTTTGTCCAGTCCGTAACCGCCCACCCGACCAGCTGCATTGGATTGGAGGAAATCGAGCTTCTGAGTGCAGGAGGGGCCTCTGCAGAACACTAGCGGTTGCCGCAGGATCTGTGAACTTTGCAATGTGGCTGCAAGGGTGGTGGTGGTGGTGGTGATTTGGGGTAGTTATTTGTTAACTATGGACACAGTGAACGTAGTTTACGATCTTGAAATGAAACTTAGATTTTTCTGGGGAAATGTTCAGATACAGTTTTGTGAACTGTAAATCAAAATACCTTTTTCTACAGTTTATCTTTTATTTTCTGCAAATTTAGGAACATATTTACTCGTTTTCACATTGAATCTTAAGTTTAAGCTCTTCATTTGGTATTTAGGCAATATATGAGAAAAAAATTTTTTTTGTTCATTTGTAATTTTAACAAGTTGAACATTTTACCATGATTGAACATGTTTTTATTACAGTATTTAACATTCCCCCAAAGAATACCCTGCAAAGTGTAAACCTTTGTCCCATACTGTGATATTACTGTTCTGCTACAATAAATGTCAAACCTAAGCACTTTGCAGTTCACTACTTTTGGGAAAATGTTCTAGGGAACTGTATCACAGGTGAAACTGTTACCCATAAAGTGTAGCTCTCTGAACTGGTGTGATCGTGTCTCTGCTGAATGGTGGTGGGGATAGCTGGCTCCACCACACACACCTGTTTTAATTAGGCTGGGTAATGTGCACGGAGAGCAAAGATCACAGACTAAGGAGCAGTCAGTCGGATATTTGCTTTGCTGGCAAAGATTTAAACCAAGAATTAATTATCTTTGGACACTATAAAGATTTTGTTCCCTTCCTTATAGCAATATAATCATGACAGGCCATGGTTAACTACATCAGATACACGTAGCAGCCGTGACCAAGACATGGTGCCCTAATACCAAGTGTTCTTGGGTTAAAGGCAGGCGGCTTTTTAATTAAATCTTAAAGCACTGCAATTACTGGCAAGACAGCTGGTCTTAAGCAGTTTTGTGACTGCCCTTTTCATCCACTACATGACTATTCCGGCCTTTCTGGAGCACTTTTGAAAATCTACTTGACTCTGTCCACAAGACTGAGGAAAGTGAAAGCAAAGTCCCGGGAAAGCGGGAGATGATTCAGCCCGGGGTTCTGCCCCTCGCCCCTCCAGCAGCCTCTACAGTTAGGGAGCTCTTGAACTGTTCTCAGCAGGGGCCCCCAAAAAGTCAACCCTTCCCCAGGTCTGCGTTCTTCGGGAGAACACCTTCTGCTGGAAAGCTGCTAGCTTACCTGAGCTCAGCCGTGCTCCACCTAGCTTAGGCAAGTTAAATAAGGCCAGGAGAGAGCCTTTAATGCGTTTTAAAAGCGACAGACCCTCTCTCCTGAGTAGCTCGGGCCTGCGCCCCATCCCCCCGCCCCCCCCACACACACACCTGGCGCCCGGGCTCCCTGGTGCTCGCTGGCTGCGGGTCCGGAACGCACCCTTCCCGAGCCGGGTCCTGCGCCACCGGCGGGCGGGCGGGAGTCACTGCGAATATAGGAAGCAGGGGCGATTTCAAATGCTGCTTTATTCTTACAAATACTGTAAAAATTAATATAAAAAAGTGAGCATGCTCAGTCTTTTCCTCTTATCTACAATACAAAGGGTTTGTCTGAAAAGTCTGGTTTTTTTTCTTTTTACAAATGTACCTTAGCTGCATCAACAGGAGTAAGATGTAGAAAAAGCTACCATTACAAAAATAATTTAAGGGAAAATAAACACGTTTAGCTTCTCTCGCAGTTTAGTGGTGGTAAGTCCAGGCTGTAGCTTCTTTGCGCTCCTATGTCCCAAGAAACTGCAGCGGGCACCCGGCGGCTCTGGCTGCGCCAGGGCAGGGCGCGCTCCGCTCCGGGCCGTCGGGTCTGAGGTATGGGTCGTTGCTGAGTCTCTCCCGCCCCGGCCGCGCGTTACCGGCAGTCTGCTGTCCCGGCGGCCGGCAGGAAGGGCGGGCTGGGCAGCTGCTTGAAGAACTGCCGGAGGCCGGCCAGGTCCCGCGTGAGCTGCTCCACGCGCTGGTGCAGCTTCTCGTTCTCAGCCGACAGCTCCACCAACTTCTGCTGCATCTCCTGGTTGCGCCGCTTGGCCTTGTCGCGGCTCTTGCGCACGGCGATGTTGTTGCGCTCGCGCCGCTGCCGGTACTCGGGGCTGCCGCGGTCCGGGCCCCTCTTGCCGGCGCTCTTCTCCCGGGCGGGGCCGGGCGCGGGGGTCTGCCTGGGGCTGCTGCGCGGCGGCTCCGGCGACGTGGGCGGGGTGGGCTGCCCTGCGGCCGCCAAGCTCACCACGGTCTGTGCGCACGCGGCCACCTGCGCGGGCAACAGCGAGCCGGGCGCGTCGCCGTCGCCCCAGTCGGGCTCGCGCTTGAGCAGGCGGGGAGCGGCAGGGCCCGGGCCCAAGGGGCGCGCGGGGCCGCCGGGAAGAAGCTCCAGGGGCCCCGCGCCGCCCGCCTTGTGATTGCTGTTGAAGAGGTCGGCGAAGAGCTCGTCGTGGCACAGCTCCAGGGTGGGCACGGCGGCCATGGAGTCGATGTAGGCGCTGAAGTCGATGGCGCTCTCGTCGTCGTACATGGCGGGGGCGGCGGCGCCTGGCTCGCCTAGGGCCCCTGGCTCGGCCCCGCGGCCCGGCTTGCCCGCCCGGCCCGGTTCGTAGAAGGGCGCAGGCTCCGCAGGCCAGGGCGCGCCGCGCGCCGGGCCGTCCAGGCTGAAGAGCGCGGCGCTCATGGCGGCGTCGGGCCGGGCTCTGCGTCCAAGCGAGGCTGTCACCTCGCTGGGCCCAGCCCCGCCGCCTTTTCTAGCCCCGGCTGACGTGCACGCCCCGCCCCGACTCCGGCACCGCGGGGGCGCCCCGGGGCCGCGGGGGAAGGGGCGGGGGCGCCCTGGGAGCCCCCCGGAGCCGCCCCGAGCCTTCCCGGGGCGCGCCCCCTCTCAGTTCCTCCCCGGGGCCCCCTCCCCGGCCCTGGGGACCCCCAGCCCACGTTGCAGGAGGGTGCCCGCGCTGCTGCTCCCTCCCCGGCCCGGGCCGGCCTGCGCTGCGCTGCTGGGAATGACACTCCCTCTGCCAGCACTCCAGGGCCTTCTCTTCTTCCTGTTTGTGGGCTTGGAACCTCCTCGCTCCTCGGGGTTGGGAGTGAAATCAAAACCAGGACTTGGCCGCAGCGCGCGCGTCCCAGGCCGGCTCCTGTCGCCGGAGGGCGGGGGGTGGAGACCCGTGGGAGAGGACCCGCGCGTCCAAGGACGCCCCCCGACCGTGGGCACGCGCGTGAGGCCCTCGCCCCGCGCCTCCACCGTGGGACCAGATGCGGGAAGAGGCGTGGGGGACCAGACGTGGGGACAGCGGCGGCCTGGCAGGCGGGGAGGGCTGCCCGCACCGCACTCGGGCGCCTCGGGGAATCCGGGCCGGTTCTCGCTGCTCTCCTCGGAGGTCCCGGGTCCGGCCGGCCCTGGGGGTCGAGGCCCAGAGACGCGGCTGCTGCGTCCTGGCCGAAAGGCCGACGGGACGCTGTCGCCAAAAGCAGAGCAGATGGGGGAGACGCGGTCACGACACCGCGTCCTCCGCCGGCTCCTCGAGGTGCGGGCTCTCCGGCCGGACGCTACTCCCCGACCCCGCAGACCCGGGCGTCCGCCGCCAGCTCCCGCGCCCGCGTTTCTTCCAGGTCTACGGAAGCAGTGCCATCGTGTGGCGGCATCTTGCGTTAGACCTGTTTTTAGTTCCAGGCTCTTTCCCTGTTAAATATTCCAAAAAAGTGCCTTGAACCTAAAGTAGTTGGGTCCTTTTTGGGAAACAGGTAAGATCTACCAGTAGCTATAGCAGGGTGCAGATGGGCCTCGACTCACGATGGGGTTACATCCCGGTAGACCCATCGCACACTGAAAATGTCTTAAGTAAGAATGGGCTTTGTCATGTGTCCTGCAATTTGAGGCAGGCATTTCTGGTCAGACCCATTTATTATTTTAAATTAAAAATATGGTTTTTTTCAGCCGAGCACAGTGGCTCATGCCGGTAATCCCAGCATTTTGGGAGGCTGAGGTGGGCGGATCACTTGAGGTCAGGAGTTTGAAACCAGCCTGGTCAACATGGTGAAACCCCATTTCTACTAAAAATACAAAAATTAGCCAAGCGTAGTGGCGTGCGCCTGTAATCCCAGCTACTCGGGAGGCTGAGGCAGGAGAATCGCTTGAACCCGGGAGGCGGAGGTTGCAGTGAGCCGAGATCGTTCCATTGCACTCCAGCCTGGGCGACAGAGCGAGACTCCATCTCAAAAAAAAAATTGAGATGGGATCTCACAATATTGTCCAGGCTGGTTTCAAACTCCTGGGCTTAAGAGATTCGCCGGCCTCAGCCTCCCAAAGTGCTGGGATTACAGGCGTGAGCCACCATGTCGGGCCCAAATCCATTAAATCACTATCGCTAGTCACACCTGCTCCATGTCGAGTCTCTTCCTGCGCAGGCCTCTCACCAGATCTGCGTCGGAACACCAAGCTCTACTAACTGCTGTGCAGTTTCTGCAGTCAGTTCCAGAGGTCATTTCTAACGTTGCACTATGGGATATTTAATAGGTTTCCTAAAGAACAAACATATTTCTTTAGAGTTACTCAGAGGGTACACAATGATGATGTCACACAATTAATTACCTATTAAGACTGAAATCCAGCAATGCATAGAGTGTGGACTTACGCACATCCAGAAAAAGTTCTAGCACAAATTGTTTTGTTCTCATATATTTCAGAAGCCATAGAAACACTATTAAAGCCCTCCCTAATCACTTAGGGAATGCAAAATCAATATTTATAAGGGATAACCATATCCTCCTAAAAACAACTCAGAGACTATTTTCAGTGAGATGATTTACTGATTCCGATAGTCAATATAGTTACATTTTATTTTTATTTTTATCTTTATTTTTGAGACGGAGTCTTGCTCTGTCGCCAGGCTTGAGTGCAGTGGCGCGATCTCAGCTCACTGCAACGTCCGCTTCCCGGGTTCAAGCGATTCTCCTGCCTCAGCCTCCGGAGAAGCTGGGATTACAGGCCCGTGACACCACACCCGGCTAATTTTTTGTATTTTAAGTAGAGACGGGTTTCACCGTGTTAGCCAGGATGGTTTCGTTCTTCTGTCCTCGTGATCCACCCGCCTCTGCCTCCCAAAGCTACATTTATTAACACTAAGTTGAGTTTACATGACAGTGATGCATATTGAGGTGCTTTACAGGAAGCGGTTAGAAAGTTCTTGCCTAGGCCTGGTGCAGTAGCTCACGCTTGTAATCCCAGCACTTTGAGAGGCCGAGGTGGGCGGGTCACCTGAGTTCAAGAGTTCAAGACCAGCCTGGCCAACATCGTGAAACCCTGTCTCTACAAAAATACAAAAATTAGCCGGGCATGATGGCAGGTGCCTGTAACCCCAGCTAACTTGGGAGGCTGAGGCAGGAGAATCGCTTGAACCCTGGAGGCGGAGGTTGCAGTGAGCCGAGATCACACCATTGCACTCCAGCCTAGGCGACAGAGTGAAACTCCGTATCAAAAAAAAAAAAAAAAAAAAAAAAAAAAAGGCGGGACGCGGTGGCTCACGCCTGTAATCCCAGCACTTTGGGAGGCCGAGGCGGGCAGATCACAAAGTCAGGAAATCGAGACCATCCTGGCTAACAAGGTGAAACCCCGTGTCTACTAAAAACACAAAAAATTAGCCAGGCATGGTGGCAGGCGCCTCTAGTCCCAACTACTAGGGAGGCTGAGGCAGCAGAATGACGTGAACCAGGGAGGCGGAGGTTGCAGCGAGCCGAGATCCCGCCACTGCACTCCAGCCTGGGCGACAGAGCGAGACTCCGTCTCAAAAAAAAAAAAAAAAAAAGAAATTCAGGAGGTTGAAAACGGTTAAAATGTGTTTGAGTTAATATAAGCTGTTTGTTGGGGTCCAAAAGCCAATCTGGCTCCCCTTCATTCATAGGACGAAGTTGACCATAATTCAGCTCTCTCTCATCCTAGGGATCATATTTGGATAATTGAAATGGCAGAAGAGCAGTTCTGCTCCAAATTACAGTCTGAAAAAATAAAACGTTTTTGAGGAGTGCTCTCTAAACGTAAATATGAAATGAAGTTTCAAGAGGTGGGAAACTTTTTAGTGCTTTCTTCAGATTGTTATTCTCAGCTATCAGATTAGATGGTTTTGTTTCCCTTCTGCCTTCGGGCTATTTTAAATTTATGGCTTATTTTCCCGAGTTTTGGGTCACAATAGCGATTTTTTTTTTTTTTTAGATAGAGTCTCGCTCTGTTGGCCAGGCTGGAGTACAGTGGCACAATCTTGGCTCACTGCAACCTCCATGTCCCCGGCTCAAGCAATTCTCCTGCCTCAGCCTCCCGAGTAGCTGGGATTATAGGTGTGTGCCACCACGCCCAGTTAATTTTTGTATTTTTAGTAGAGACGAGGTTTCACCATGTTGGCCAGGCTGGTCTCCAGCTGCTGGCCTCAGGTAATCTGCCTGCCTTGGCCTCCCAAAGTGCTGGGATTACAGGCGTGAGCCACCGCACCCGGCCATGAAATTTTTATATGTTACATGTTTATATCCAAAAATACTGACTTTTCAGGATGAACCTTATTCGCAATGTGTGAGTTTGGAAAAGGAAAGACAGAGTCAAAGGAACAAAACCAGTGGTTGTTGGGGTCACGCACCCCTCATGCTGTTAAAGCTTGTGCATGTCATTGAAACCTGCTGTGATTGGTAACAATTTCTATGTGCACTTCAGCTTCTGGAATCTAAAAGGCTGAGTCCCCAGATTGTAAAGTAGCCAGAACTGACAACAAGAATTGGATTCTGTGGGTTGGGTGTCCCACCTGCCAAATACCTGCTCACATTCTCCTCAACAGAAAAGGAAAAGCAATTTGTCTTCCCAGCCTACATTTTTATCAGGTGGATTCATCCCTCCCTGGCCCACACCCAGTAGCCCCTCTGCCAGCCTCCTTGCACCCCAGGTCCCCAGCTGCCTCCTTGATGGCAGTGATGCTGCAGCTGCACCTGCTCCCCCAGGAAGGGTGCAGCAGGTCTGGACTCACAGCTTGCTCTCCCTTTCCAATCCATTCTCCAGATGGCCACCCAAGAGAGCCCGTCCCGTCACTGTGTTCCTTAGAATCTGCTGATGTTTTCTTGGCCTAGAGGATGGAGTTTCAGTTCTCAAGTGGGAGCCCTCCACTGCCCACTTCAAGAAGTCAATTTCCTCTCACAACAACTGGCACCTGACTCAACTCCAAATACCCAGGACCTGCCTGGTTTCCTGTGTGTGAAGCTGATGGTTCCACCGAGAGCTCTTTCTCCTCTGCACTACTCTGCTGGCAAGAGCAATGGTGCCTGCCTCGATGGTGCTTTCTGTGACTTACTTAATCACTTCCTCATCTGACTTCTCAGGAAAAATACATCCCACATCTTGTCAATTATTAAGTGCACTTTTTTTATATTTTATTGAAATTGGGATGCATGTGACAATCACTGTTGTCCAGAGTGTCAGTTAGGATATTTGTCTTTGTCCACATATGGGTGCCAGTGGCTGGGAGTGAATCCTGAGGATGATGGCGGAGAGCACTTTCTAAAGAAATGCTACATCGCTCGCTGTCTTGATGGAATGAAGAGCAGTGGTGTGTAAAAACCTGCAGGGCAATGACTCTGAAATGAAAAGTGATTCAGAGGAGACAGTGAGTGAACATGAAAACATTTGGGAACATCTTAAGCAATTTACTTATATTGTCCTTTTTACATGCACGTAAGAGTGATATATTATTAAAATCAATGTCTAAAAGAAATGAAGTTCTTTCTATGAGTACAAAATCAAAATTTTAAGAAATATGAGAGAAGCAACATCACCAAAAATGGCAGAGTAAAGAATTCCAGTGCTCCATCACTCCACAAATACAGCTGGCAAAAGCTGTCCTAATCAACTTTTACAGAACTCTGAAATCTAGCCACAAACTTACAGCAACTGGGGAAAGTATAATGAAGAAAGAAGCTGCTGCAATGTACTAAGAAAGCACTTTGGTGTTTTAAACTGCCTGCTTGCCATCCCTCCTTCTCCAGATTGTTGGTGGCCATGAAGATGGCAGCATGAACTCCTGATGCAGGCTGCTAGTGCCAGAGTGAACAACACAGACTCTGTTCTCAAAGAAACGGGAGTGTGCTTGGACCGGGCTGACAGCTCCCTGATGGACTAGAGCAAGGATAGCGTTTGCATTTGGGCATTTGCCAAGAGCAGCAAGGGCAAAAGTACTGGCTGTAGGAGCCTGAGACAAGCAATAGAAAGACCAAAAAGTCTAGGAAGGAAGAGCTTGAGGAAGAACATAAGTGGGGAATAAGGGCCATTAAAAGCTCTTGCGTGTACCAGGGAATTACGTGCATGCCCAGCGTGGGCGGAGTGCTCAGAAAAGGCCTGAGAAGACCTCAAGCCTCCACTTCTGGCTGACCTTCAAGATGTGCACATTCAAGAAGAGAAAGCTAAGACAGAATTATAAACAACCTGGCTAAGTGTTAAAGGAGTATGCCAACACAGAGCCAGTCTCTAAAGACTGGAAGAGTTTCTGTAGGTACTTTTTTTTTCTCTCTCTCTTTCTTTTATGGGTTGGGGGCTTTGGGCATTTAAGGTTACTCTGTTAAAAATACTAGCTGACCACTAAGCTAATGGAACACAGACTTCAGTGGCCTCACACAACAAACACAATACAGATGTTACAAAAGTAGTTTTGAAAAGTCAGTAACAAGTAACAACAGCCCACAACAAATAGCAACAACAAACCCTTGGCAGGGGTGGAGGGTGGGGGCGGAATCTACTTTGCAGAGTTGCCACATTGTAATTATCAAAATGCTGAGTTTTTGACAAACATTTATGAAGCATGCAAAGAAACAAGAAAGTATAAACCATTCACAAGCATACTCTGAAGAAATTAATAGAAACTATCCCTGAGGAAGCCAGACACTGGACTTACTTAGTGGACAAAAACTAAATCACATGTCTTTAAAATGCTCAGAGTTAGGGTAAACCATGTACAAAGGACTAAAGGAAGCCAGGAGCATGAAGTATCACCGAATAGAGAATATCAGTTAAGAGAGAGAAATTACCAAAAAGAACCAATTAGAAATTCTGGAGCTGAAATGAAATGAAAAATCACTAGGAGGTTACAACAACAAACAGGTTTAAACAGGCACCAGAAATAATCATCAGACTGGATGCAGTGGCCCACACCTGTAATCCCAGCACTTTGGGAGGCCGAGGCAGGCAGATCATTTGAGGTCAGGAGATTGAGACCAGGCTGACCAACTTGGTGAAACCCTGTCTCTAATAAAAATCCAAAGAAAATTAGCTGGGGATGGTGGCGCATGCCTGTAATGTCAGCTACTTGGGAGGCCAAGGCAGGAGAATCTGTTGAACCTGGGAGGCAGAGGTTGCAGTGAGCCGAGGTCGTGCCACTGCACTGCAGCCTGGGCAACAGAGCAAGACTCCATCAAAAGAAAGAAAGAGAAAGAGAGAGAGGGAGGGAGGGAGGAAGGGAAAGAAAGAAAGAGAGAGAGAGAAAGAAGGAAAGAAAGAAAGAAAAGAAAGAGAAAAGAGAGAGACAAAGAAAAAGAGAGGGAGGGAGGGAAAGGAGGGAAAGGAAGGAAAGGAAAGAAAAAGGAAAGAAAGAGAAAGAATCAGCAAACTTGAATATAGGACAATTGAAATTATGCAGCCCGGGAAGCACAAAAGAAAAGAATGAAGAAAAGTGAACCAAGCCTAAGGGACCTGTGGGATATCATCAAGTAGATCAACATATGCATAATGAGAGTCCCAGAAAGAGGAGACAAAGAGAAAGTAGCAGAAAGACTACCTAAATAAATAATAGGCCGGGCACAGTGGATCATGCCTGTAATCCCAGCACTTTGGGAGGCCAAGGTGGACGGATCACCTGAGGTCAGGAATTCAAGACCATCTCTACTAAAAATACAAAAATTAGCCAGACATGGTGGTGGGCACCTGTAATCTCAGCTACTAGGGAGGCTGAGGCAGGAGAATCACTTGAACCTGGGAGGCGAAGGTTGCAGTGAGCTGAGATTGTGCCACTGCACTCCAGCCTGGGGGACAGTGAGACTCCATTTCAAAAAAAAAAAAAGAAAGAAAGAATAGCCAAAATGTCCCATATTTTGTGAAATACATGAATTCTACGCATCCAAGAAGTTCAACAACACCAAGTAGAACAAACTCAAAGAGATCCATACTAAGAAACACTATAGTCAAATTATTGAACACCAAACAAAAAGAGACAATCTGGAAAGCTGCAAGAGCCAAGTGACTCATCACATACAAGAGATCCTGAATAAAATTAATAATCAGTTTTTCATCAAAACCATGGTGGTCAGGAGACAGTGGGATAAAAGGAAAAAAGTCAACCAGAAATACTATATCCAGCAAAAATTGAGACATTAAGACATTTCCAGCTAAACAAAAACTGATGTATTTCACCAATAGACCTGCTCTAGAAATCCTAAAGGAAGTCTTCCAGGCTGAAACAAAAGGACATCAAACAGTAACTCAAACACATGCAAAAATAAAGAACAATGGTAAATGTAGCTACATAGGTAAATATAAAAACACCCTTTGGTTTATAAGTTCCTTTTTCATTTTACTAAATAGTTTAAAAGACAAACCCCTGAAACAATAATTGTAAAGCTATGTTAACAGGCACACAATATATAAAGATGCAGTTTGTGATACTACAACATAAAGTGTGGGAAGAGGGGCACAACAGAGCTGTAAAGGAACAGAGTCTTTGTATGCTATGAAACTCAGTTGGTATTTAATTAAAACTTGGTTATTATAAAGTTAATCGTTATTCCCCAGAGTAAACGCTAACACAAAACCTAAAAATACATACGGAAATGGAAATAAGGGAATCAAAGTGGTGTACTAGAAGATGTCTTCTGGTAGGTGAATGGATAAACTGTGGTACACCCAGCTTCTAGCCGTGAAAAGACACGGAGGAAACTTAAATTCATATTAGCGAAAGAAACACATCTGAAAAGGCTACCTACATGCTGTATGATTCCAACTCTGTGATATCCAAGAAAAGGGAAAACTATGGACACAGTGAAAATATCACTGGTTGCCAGAGGTTGAGAGGGAAGGAGGGAGGGATGAGTAGGTAGAGCATAGGGAATTTTTAGGGCGCTGAAACCAGTCTGTATGATACTATAATAGTAGATACATGTCATTATACATTTGTTTAAACTCACAGGATGTACAACACCAAGAGTGAACACTAATGTAAACTATGGATACTGGTTGATAACAGTGTGTTAATGTTGGTTCATGGATTGTAGAAAATGCACCACGCTGGCTCAGATTGTTGGTGGTGAAGGAGGGGGTGTGCATTGGGATGGGAGCAAGGAGACCTATGGGCATTCTACCTTTCACTAAATTTTTCTGTGAACATAAAACTGCTCTAAACATAAAGTCTGTTTTTTTAAAGGAGCAAAATATCAAGTAAACTGGAGATTTAAATAAAAAGAAAACCTGGTCTCTCCTAATAGAATGCAAATACTGTGAGGTTAAGAGCTGCAACACTATTTTTCTCTAGTATCTCTCACTCTTTTAGGCACATATTTTGCACTCAGTAAGATTTTCTGAAATGAAGGGAATTTTGTGTATGACCTTAGGCAAGTCATTTCTCCCCTCCCTTTTTTTTTCTGGAGATGGAGTCTCGCTCTGTGCCCAGGATGGAGTGCAGTGGCGCGATCTCGGTTCACTGCAACCTCCGCCTCCCCGGTTCAAGCAATTCTCCTGCCTCAGCCTCCCAAGTAGCTGGGACTACAGGCACAGGCCACCACGCCTGGCTAACTTTTTGTACTTTAGTAGAGGCGGGGTTTCACCGTGTTGCCCAGACTGGTCTCGAACTCCTGAGCTCAGGCAATCCACCTGCCTTGGCCTCCCAAAATGCTAGGATTACAGGTGTGAGCCACCGCACCTGGCCAAGTCATTTCCCCTATCTTTTATTTGTTTGTTTGTTTGTTTGTTTGTTTGTTTATTTATTTATTTATTTATTTATTTTTTGAGATGGAGTCATTCTGTCACCCAGCCTGGAGTGCAATGGCACAGTCTCAGCTCACTGCAACCTCCACCTGCCAGGCTCAAGCGATTGTCCTGCCTCAGCCTCCTGAGTAGCTGGGACTACAGGCATGCACCAACACACCTGGCTAATTTTTGTATTTTTAGTAGAGACAGGGTTTCACCACATTGGCTGGGCTGATCTTGAACTCCTGACCTCGTGATCCACCCACATCTGCCTCCCAAAGTGCTAAGGGGTGAACCACCGCACCTGGCCCATTTCCCCTTTCTTTACCATATATTCTTTACATTAAATATAAGGGTAATAAGTGGCGGGAAATGGTATGGTAGAAAAAAATCAAACAAAAGAAGGCAATATTAGTTGAATTCAGGAACAAAAATAAAATGAAGCTTACAGGGGAAAAAAAGCAAAATGATAGAAGTGCTTTTTAATTAGTAGAAATGCAGATGGTAAAAAATGTGTTGAGGTGGATTATATGATATCAAACAAAATAGACTTTAAGTCAAAACTTGTTACAGGAGACAAAGACATTATATGTAGATAAAATGGTCAATCTATCAAGAAGATAAATCAGTTTTACAGATATACATATCAAAAAAAAGTCCCAAAATACATGAAGGAAAATTTGACAGAGGTGAGGGAAGAAATAGATAGTTTTATAATAATCGTTGGAGTTTAAATACCTCATTTTCAATATGAATAACAAAATAGAGTCCTTAAAGAACACTATATATACACCAACTAGACTTAATGGACATACATTGACTGTTTCACTCAGCAACAGCAGAATACACATTCTTCTGAATTGCAAATGGGACATTCTCTAGGACAGATAACATGTTAGGTCACAAACAAGTTTGACAGATTTAAAGGACTGAAATAAGACAAAGCATCTTCTCTGACTGCAATCTTTCTCTGGCTAGAAATCAAAAATAGAAGGAAAACTCAGTTTTCACAAATAATGTGGAACTTACACAACATACAATGGGCAAAAGAAAAACTTACAGCTGAAATTAGAAAATGCTTTTTTGGGATAAATCAACACAAAAATAGAACATATCCAAACTTATGAGACATAGTGAAAATGGTGTTCGGAGGGAGATTTATAGCAATATATGCCTACATTTTAAAAAGAGAAAAAGGAATCTCCCAGATCAATCATTTTACACATTAGGGAACCAGAAAAAAAAAAGAACAAGCTAAGCCCAAAGTTAGCAGAAGAAAGGATTAATAAAGATTACAGACAGAAAAAAAAAAGACAGAAAGAACAGAAAAATAATACAATCAATAAAACCAAAATTTGGCTCTTTTAACAAGATTAACAAAAAATGACAAACATTCAACTAGATTTAACTAGACTGAGCAGAGAAAAAGAAGAGTCAGATTATGAAAACCAATAAGAAACTAGGCCATCACTATAAACCTTATATAAATAAAAAGATCATGAGAATAATATGATAAATTATACACCAACAAATTAAATAACCTAGATGAACAAATTCCTAGAAACAAACTACTAAAACTAACTCAAGAAGAAATGGAAAATCTGAGCAAATTTATAACGTTTTTGAATTAGTAATCAAACATTATTTCAACAAAAATAAGCTCAGGGCAAGATGGCTTCACTGGTGAATTATAACAAACATTTAAAGAAAAATTGGCTGGGCATGGTGGCTCACGCCTGTAATCCCAGCACTTTGGGAGGCCAAGGTGGGCAGATCATTTGAGATCAGGAGTTCGAGACTAGCCTGACCAACATGGTGAAACCCCATCTCTACTAAAAATACAAAAATTAGCCAGTCGTGGTGGCATGTGCCTATAATCCCAGCTACTTAGGAGGCTGAGGCAGGAGAATCGCTTGAATCCAGGAGGCGTAGGTAGCGGTGAGCGGAGATCACACCACTGCACTCCAGCCTGGGCGACAGAGTGAGACTCCAGCTCAAAAAAAAAAAAAGAAAAAAGAAAAAGAAAAATTAACATCAATCCTTCTCAAAGCTTCCCAAAAAGAAGAAGAGGAGGGAACATTTTCTGACTCATTCTATAAAGCCATATAAATACTACCTGATGCCAAGGCCAAATGAAGATATCACAAGAGAAGAAAATTTGCGAACTGGCCAGGCATGGTCGCTTGAGCCCAGGAGGTTGAGGCTGCAGTGAGCCGTGATCGTGCCACTGCACTCCAGCCTGGGTGACAGAGTGAGCCCCCCACTTTTTTTTTTTTTTTGAGAGGGAGTCTCACTCTGTCAGCCAGGCTGGAGTGCAGTGGCATGATCTCTCCCCACTGCAACCTCCATCTCCTGGGTTCAAGTGATTCTCTTGCCTCAGTCTCCTGAATAGCTACTACAGGCTAATTTTTTGTATTTTTAGTAGAGACAGGGTTTCTCCATGTTGGCTGGCTGGCCTTGAACTCCTGACCTCAAGTGATCCACCCGCCTTGGCCTCCCAAAGTGCTGGGATTACAGGCGTGAGCCACTGCCCCAGCCCAAGACCCCGTCTTTAAAAAAAAAAAAGAAAGAAAGAAAAGAAAAGAAAAAAGGAAAGAAAATTTGCAGAACAACATCCCAGTGAATATACGGAATGCAGAAATCCTCAAAAAAATAAAATAAAAACTAAGAACCTACCAAAGCTTAGTCCAACTACCTTTTACACAGATTATACATATCAACCATGTAGGATTTATTCCAGAAATACATGGCAAATTGTGCATACAAAAAAAAGATCAGTCAATGCTACATTAATACAATGAAGGAAAAAAACCTATATGATTATCTCAATTAATGCAGAAAAAGCATTTGACAAAATCCAACACCATTTCTTGACAAAAACACTCAACAAAATAAGAATATAAGAGACTGTCATCAACAGAATAATTAGCACTTATGAAAAAGCCACAGCTAACATCATACTCAATAGGGAGAGACAAAAACTGTTTCTCTCTAAGATAAGAACAACAAGTGTACCTGCTTTCTACACACACCATATTAGAAATTCTAGCCAGAGCAATTAGGCAAGAAAAAGAAATCAATGGCAAACAAAATGGAAATGCAGAAGTAAAATTGTATCTGTTCCAGAGGACATTAAATTTATAGAAAACATTTTTTAATTCACAAAAATCTGTTAGAGCTAAATAAATAAAATTAGCAAAGATGCTGGGTACAAGATCAACGTGCAAATATCAGTTGTATTTTGGTACACTAGCAATGAACAATCTGAAAGAGAAATTAAAAAAAAACATTTTACTCATGGTAGCATTGAAAAGAATAAAATACTTAGGAATAAATTTAACCAAAGACCTGAAACATTAAGTGTCTTATACACTGAAAATTACAAAATATTGTAATGAAATGTAAATAATTGGAAAGAAATCCCATGTCATGGACTGAAAGACTTAATATTGTTATGATGACAAAATTGCCCAAAGCAATCTACAGATTCAGTGCATTTCCTATCAAACTCAAAATTGTCCTTTTTGCAAAACTAGAAAAGCTGATTCTCAGGTTCATATATATAATTGTAACAGATCTGAACCTCAACACAATCTTAGGGAAAAAAATAACAAATTTTGAGGGCCCACACTTTCCAATTTCAAAACTTACTACAAAATTATAGTAAACAACACAATATGGTGCTGCATAGACATATAGATCAATAGAATAGAATCATGAGTCAAGAAATAAACACATAAGACCATCCAATGAGGAAAGAATAGTCTCTTAAACAAATGCTGGGCCAGGTGTAGTGGCTCACGCCCATAATCCCAACACTTTGGGAGGCCGAGGCAGGTGGATCACATGAGGTCAGGTGTTCGAGACCAGCCTGACCAATGTGGTGAAACCCTGTCTCTACTAAAAATACATAAAAAAAAAAAAATTAGCCAGGAGTGGTGGCTCATGCCTGTAGTCCCAGCTGCTCAGGAAGCTGAGGCAGAAGAATTGCTTGAACCCAGGAAGTGGAGGTTTCAGTGAGCCAAGATTGTGCCACTGCACTCCAGCCTGGGCGACAGAGCGAGACTCAGTCTCAAAAAAAAAAAAATGCTGAAACAACAGGGCATATACAAGCAAAAGATTTAATTTTGGCTCCTACACCACACCACATAGGAAAATTAAATGAAAGTGGATCAAAGATATAAATGTAAGGGCTAAAACCATCAAACTCTGAAGAAAACATAGGAGTAAATCTTCATGACCTTCATTTTGTTGATGGATTCTTAGTAATGACATGAAAAGCACAATCAACAAAAGAAAAAAATAGATAAATTGGACGTCATCAAAATTAAAATGTTTGTGCACCAAAGGACACCATAGAGTGAAAAGTGAAGCCAGTGAATGGGAGAAAATATTTGCAGACCATTTTCTGATAAATGTCTAGTATCCAGAATATATAAAGAACTCTTAGAACTCAACAACAAAAAGACAACCCAGTTACAAGATAGGCAAAGAACTTGAATAGCCTTTTCTCCAAAGAAGACATACAAATGGCCAACAAGAAATGAAAAGCGCTCAGATAAAATTGGAGGGTGTTCTAAGATGGTCGAATAGGAACGGCTGCGTTCTGCAGCTCCCAGCGTTATTGACACAGAAGACAGGTGATTTCTGCATTTCCAACAGAGGTACGTGGTTCATCTCATTGGGACTGGTTAGACAGTGGGTACAGCCCACAGAGGGCAAGCTGAAGCAGGGCGGTGCGTTGCCTTACCCGGGAAGCACGAGGGGTTGGGGGATTTCCCTTTCCTAGCCAAGGGAAGCCATGACAGACTACCTGGAAAAACGGGGCACTCCCCGCCCAAATACTGGACTTTTCCCAAGGTCTTAGCAACCGGCGGACAAGGTGATTCTCTCCCGTGCCAGACTCAGCGGGTCTCATGCCCACAGAGCCTTGCTCACTGCTAGCACAGCAGTCTGAGAGGCGGCAGCCTGGCTGGGGGAGGGGCATCCACCATTGCTGAGGCTTGAGTAGGTAAACAAAGCTCAAACTGGGCGGGGCCCACCACAGCTCAACAAGGCCTACTGCCTCTAGACTCCACCTCTGTAGGCAGGGCATATCTGAATAAAACGCAGCAGACAACTTCTGCAGACTTAAATTCCCTGTCTGACAGCTCTGAAGAGAGCAGGGTTCTTTCAGCATGGTGTTTGAACTCAGAACAGACAGACTGCCTCCTCAAGTGGGTCCCTCAGCCCCGTGTAGCCTAACTGGGAGACACCTCCCAGTAGGGGCTGATAGACACCTCATATAGGCAGCTGCCTCTCTGGGACAAAGCTTCCAGAGGAAGGATCAGGCAGCAATATTTGCTTTTCTGCAATCTTTGCTGTTCTGCAGCCTCCGTTGGTGGTACCCAGGCAAACAGGGTCTGGAATGGAACTCCAGCAAACTCCAACAGACCTGCAACTGAGAGATCTGAGTGTTAGAAGGAAAACTAACAAACAGAAAGGAATAGGATCAACATCAACAAAACGGTCATCCACACCAAAACCCCATCTGTAGGTCACCAACATCAAAGACCAAAGGTAGATAAAACCACAAAGATGGGGAGAAACCAGAGCAGAAAAGCTGAAAATTCTAAAAATCAGAATGCCCCTTCTCCTCCAAAGGATCACGGCTGCTCACCAGCAACAGAACAAAGCTGGATGGAGAATGACTTTGACGAGTTGACAGAAGTAGGCTTCAGAAGGTCCGTAATAACAAACTTCTCTGAGCTAAAGGAGGATGTTTGAACCCATCGCAAGGAAACTAAAAACCTTGAAAAAAGATTAGATGAATGGCTAACTAGAATAAACAGTGTAGAGAAGACCTCAAATGACCTGATGGAGCTGAAAACCATGGCATGAGAACTATGTGATGCACATACAAGCTTCAATAGCTGATTCAATGAAGTGGAAGAAATGGTATCAGTGATTGAAGATCAAAGTAATGAAATAAAGCTAGAAAACAAGGTTAGAGAAAGAAGAGTAAAAAGAAATGAACAAAGTCTCCAAGAAATATGGGCCTATGTGAAAAGGTGAAACCTACGTTTGATTGGTGTACCTGAAAGTGATGGGGAGAATGGAACCAAGTTGGAAAACACTCTTCAGGATATTATCCAGGAGAACTTCCCCAACCTAGCAGGACAGGCCAACATTCAAATTCAGGAAATACAGAGAAGACTGCAAAGATACTCCTCAAGAAGAGCAACCCCAAGACACATAATTGTCACATTCACCAAGATTGAAATGAAGGAAAAAGTGTTAAGGGCAGCCAGAGAGAAAGGTCAGGTTACCCATAAAGGGAATCCCATCAGACTAACAGTGGATCTCTCTGCAGAAACCCTACAACCCAGAAGAGAGTTGAGGCAAATTTTCATCATTCTTCAAGAAAAGAATTTTCAACCCAGAATTTCACATCCAGCCAAACTAAGCTTCATAAGTGAAGGAGAAATAAAATCCTTTACAGACAAGCAAATGCTGAGAGATTTTGTAACCACCAGTCCTGCCCTACAAGAGCTCCTGAAGGAAGCAGTAAACATGGAAATAAACAACTGGTAATAGCCACTCCAAAAACATGCCAAATTGTAAAGACCATCAGTGCTATGAAGAAACTGCATCAATTAGTGGGCAAAATAACCAGTGAACATCAAAATGACAAGATCAAATTCACATATAACAACATTAACCTTAAATGTAAATTGGCTAAATGCCCCAATTAAAAGACACAGACTGGCAAATTGGATTAACAAATAGACCACTAGCAAGTCTAATAAAGAAGAAAAGAGAGAAGAATCAAACAGATGCAATCAAAAATGATAAAAGGGGTATCACCACCAATCCCACAGAAATACAAATTACCATCAGAGAATATTATAAACACCTCTACACAAATAAACTAGAAAATCTAGAGGAAATGGATAAATTCCTGGACACATACACCTATGACCGGTGATGATGAGCTTTTTTTCATATGTATGTTGGCCACATAAATGTCTTCTTTTGAGAAGTGTCTGTTCATATCCTTCACCCACTTTTTGATGGGGTTGTTTTTTTTTTCTTGTAAAGTTGTTTAAGTTCTTTGTAGATTCTGGATATTAGCCCTTTGTCAGATGAGTAGATTGCAAAAATGTTCTCCCATTCTGTAGGTTGCCTGTTCACTCTGATGATAGTTTCTTTTGCTGTGCAGAAGCTCTTTAGTTTAATTAGATCCCATTTGTTAATTTTGGCTTTTCTTCCCATTGCTTTTAGTGTTTTAGTCATGAAGTCATTTGCCCATGCCTACGTCCTGAATGGTATTGCCTAGGTTTTCTTCTAGGGTTTGTTTTTTGTTTGTTTGTTTTGTTTTGCTTTTTTGAGACAGAGTCTTACCCTGTCACCCAGGCTGGAGTGCAGTGGCGCAATCTTGGCTCATTGCAACCTCCGCCTCCCGGGTTCAAGTGATTCTCCTGCCTCAGCCTCCAGAGTAGTTGGGACTACAGGCCCGTGCCACCATGCCTGGATTTTTTTTGAATATTTAGTAGAGATGGGGTTTCACTATGTTAGCCAGGATGTCTCAATCTCCTGATCTCGTGATCAGCCTGCCTCGGGCTCCCAAAGTGCTGGGATTACAGGCATGAGCCACTGTGCCCAGCCTAGGATTTTTATGGTTTTAGGTCTTATGTTTAAGTCTTTAATCCATCTTGAGTTAATTTTTGTATAAGGTGTAAGGAAGGGGTCCAGTTTCAGTTTTCTGCATATGGCTAGCCAGTTTTCCTAACACCATTTATTAAATAGGGAATCATTTCCCCATTGCTTGTTTCTGGCAGGTTTGTCAAAGATCAGATGGTTGTAGATGTGTGGCATTATTTCTATGGCCTCTGTTCTATTCCATTTGTCTATATATCTGTTTTGGTACCAGCACCATGCTGATTTGGTTACTATAGCCTTGTAGTATAGTTTGAAGTCAGGTGGCATGATGCCTCCAGCTTTCTTCTTTTTGCTTAGGATTGTCTTGGCTATGTGGGCTCTTTTTTGGTTCCATATGAAATTTAAACTAATTTTTTAATTCTGTGAAGAAAGTGACTGGTAGCTTGATGGGGATGGCACTGAATCTATTAATTACTTTGGGCGGTATGGCCATTTTCACAATATTGATTCTTCCTATGCATGAACATGGAATGTTTTTCCATTTGTGTCCTGTCTTATTTCCTTGAGCAGTGGTTTGTAGTTCTCCTTGAAGAGGTCCTTCACATCCCTTGTAAGTTGTATTCCTAGGGATTTTATTCTCTTTGTAGCAATTGTGAATGGGAGTTCACTCATGATTTGGATCTCTGTTTGTTTATTGTTGGTGTATAGGAATGCTTGTGATTTTTGCATATTGATTTTGTGTCCTGAGACTTTGCTGAAGTTGCAAAATTATCAGCTTTAGGAGATTTTGCGCTGAGACAATGGGATTTTACAAATATACAATTATGTCATCTGGAAACAGAGACAATTTGAATTCCTCTCTTCCTATTTAAATACCCTTTATTTCTTTCTCTTGCCTGATTGCCCTGGCCAGAACTTCCAATACTATGTTCAATAGGAGTGGTGAGAGAAGGCATCCTTGTCTTATGCCCGTTTTCAATGAGAATGCTTCCAGCTTTTGCCCATTCAGTATGATATTGGCTGTGGGTTTGTCATAAATTGTTCTTATTATTTTGAGATACGTTCCATCAATACCTAGTTTAGTGAGAGTTTTTAGCATGAAGTGGTGTTGAATTACATCAAAGGCCTTTTCTGCATCTATCTAGATAATCATGTGGCTTTTGTGTCATTGGTTCTGTTTATGTGATGGATTACATTTATTAATTTGTGTATGTTGAAATAGCCTTGCATCCCAGGGATGAAGCAGATTTGATCGTGGTGGATAAGCTTTTTGATGTGCTGCCGGATTCGGTTTGCCAGTATTTTATTGAGGATTTTCACATAGATGTTCATCAGGGATATTGGCCTGAAATTTTCTTTTTTTGTTGTGTCTCTGCCATGTTTTGGTATCAGGATGATGCTGGCCTCATAAAATGAGTTAGGAAAGAGTCTCTCTTTTTCTGTTGTTTGAATTAGTTTCAGAAGGAATGGTACCAGCTTCTCTTTGTACCTCTGGTAGAATTCAGCTGTCAATCCATCTGGTCCTGCACTTTTTTTGGCTGGTAGGCTATTAATTACTGCCTCAATTTCAGAACTTGTTATTGGTCTATTCAGGGATTCGACTTCTTCCTGGTTTAGTCTTTGGAAGGTGTATGTGTCCAGGAATTTATCCATTTCTTCTAGATTTTCTAGTTTATTTGCATAGAGGTGTTTATAGTATTCCCTAATGGTAGTTTGTATTTCTGGAAGGTCAGTGGTGATATTCCCTTTATTATTTTTTATTGGCTAGTGGTCTATCTACTTTGTTAATCTTTTCAAAAAACCAGCTCCTGGATTCATTGATTTTTTTTTGTTTGTTTTTAGACGGAGTCTTGCTCTGTCGCCCAGGCTGGAGTGCAGTGGTGTGATCTCAGCTCACTGCAGCCTCTGCCTCCCGGGTTCCAGCAATTCTCCTGCCTCAGCCTCCTGGGTAGCTGGTATTACAGGTGTGCACCACCATGCCTGGCTAATTTTTGTATTTTTAGTAGAGATGGGGTTTCACCATGTTGGCCAAGCTGGTCTCGAATTCCTGACCTCAGGTGATCTGCCCGCTTTGGCCTACCAAAGTGCTGGGATTACAGGCATCAGCCACAGTGCCCGGCTGATTCATTGAATTTTTGAAGGGTTTTTTTCTGTCTCTATCTCCTTTTTTTCTGCTCTGATCTTAGTTATTTCTTGTCTTCTGCTAGCTTTTGAATTTGTTTGCTCTTGCTTCTCTAGTTCTTTTAACCATGATGTTAGGGTGTTGATTTTAGATCTTTTCCACTTTCTCCTGTGGGCATTTAGTGCTATAAATTTCCCTCTAAACATTGCTTTAGCTGTGTCCCAGAGATTCTGTTATGTTGTGTCTTTGTTTTCTTTGGTTTCAAAGAACTTACTTATTTCTGCCTTAATATCATTATTTACCCAGTAGTCATTCAGGAGCAGGTTATTCAATTTCCGTGTAGTTGTGCAGTTTTGATTGAGTTTCTTTTTTTTTCTTTTTTCTTTCTTTTTTTTTTTTTTTTTTTGAGATGGAGTCTCACTCTGTCGCCCAGGCTGGAGTGCAGTGGCGTGATCTTGGCTTACTGCAAGTTCCACCTCCCGGGTTCATGCCATTCTCCTGCCTCAGCTTCCCAAGTAGCTGGGACTACAAGTGCCCACCACCATGCCATGCCTGGCTAACTTTTTGTATTTTTAGTAGAGACAGGGTTTTACCATGTTAGCCAGGATGGTCTCGATCTCCTGACCTCATGATCTGCCCACCTCAGCCTCCCAAAGTGCTGGGATTACAGGCATGAGCCTCCATGCCGGGCCTTGAGTGAGTTTCTTAATCCTGAGTTCTAATTTGATTGCACTGTGTGGTCTGAGAGATTGTTTGTTATGATTTCCATTATTTTGCATTTGCTGAGGAATGTTTTACTTCCAATTATGTGGTCAATTTTAGAATAAGTGTGATGTGGTGCTGAAAAAAATGTATATTCTGTTGATTTGGGGTGGAGAGTTCTGTAGATGTCTATTGGGTCCACTTGGTCCAGAATTGAGTTCAAGTCCTGAATATCCTTGTTAACCTTCTGTCTCGTTGATCTGTCTAATATTGACAGTGGGGTGTTAAAGTCTCCCACTATTATTGTGTGGGAGTCTAAGTCTCTTTGTAGGTCTCTAAGAACTTGCTTTATGAATGTGGGTACTCCTGTATTGGGTGCATATATATTCAGGAGAGTTAGCTCTTCTGGTTGCATTGATCACTTTGCTGTTATGTAATGCCCTTCTTTGTCTTTGTTGATCTTTGTTGGCTTAAAGTCTGTTTTATCAAAGACTAGGATGGCAACCCCTCCTTTTTTTTTTTTTTTTTTTTTTTTGCTTTCTGTTTGCTTGGTAAATATTCCTCCATCCCTTTATTTTGAGCCAATGTGTATCTCTGCATGTGAGATGAGTCTCCTGAATACAGCACACAGATGGGTCTTGACTCTATCCAATTTGCCAGTCTGTGTCTTTTAATTGGGGGTATTAATACTGTTATGTGTGAATTTGATCCTGTCATTATGATGTTTGCTTGTTATTTTGCCCACTAATTGATGCAGCTTCTTCATAGTGTCAATGGTCTTGACAATTTGGCATGTGTTTGCAGTGTCTGGTACCAGTTTTTCCTTTCCATATTTAGTGCTTCCTTCAGGAGCTCAAACATAGGTTTGGTCTTCTTTTCACATAGACCCCTATTTCTTGGAGGCGTTGTTCATTCCTTTTCATTCTTTTTTCTCTAAGCTTGTCTTCATGATCTATTTCATTAAGTTGATCTTCAATCTCTGATATCCTTTCTTCCACTTGATCAATTTGGCAATTGATAACTTGTGTATGCTTCACAAAGTTCTTGTGCTGTGTTTTTTCAGCTCCATCAGGTCATTTATGTTCTTCTCTAAACTGGTTTTTCTAGTTAGCAATTCCTCTAACATTTTTTTCAAGGTTCTTAGCTTCCTTGCATTGGGTTAGAACATGCTCCTTTAGCTCGGAGGAGTTTGTTATTACCCACCTTCTGAAGCCTACTTCTGTCAATTTATCAAATTCATTCTCCATCCAGTTTTGTTCCCTTGCTGGCAAGGAGTTGTGATCATTTGGAGGAGAAGAGGCATTCTGGTTTTTGGAATTTTCAGCCTTTTTGTGCTGGATTTTCCTCATCTTCGTGGATTTATCTAACTTTGGTCTTTGATGTTGGTGACCTTTGGATGGGGTTTCTGTGTGGACGTCCTTTTTGTTGACGTTGATACTATTCCTTTCTGTTTGTTAGTTTTCCTTCTAACAGTCAGGCCCCTCTGCTGCAGGTCTGCTGGAGTTTGCTGGAGGTCCACTCCAGACCCCGTTTGCCTGGGTATCACCAGCGGAGGCTGCAGAACAGCAAAGATTGCAGAACAGCAAAGATTGCTGCTTGTTTCTTCCTCTGGAAGCTTCATCCCAGAGGGGCACCCACCAGATGCCAGCTGGAGCCCTCCTGTATGAGGTGTCTGCCCACCCCTGCTGGGAGATATCTCCCAGTCAGAAGGCACAGGGGTCAGGGACCCACTTGAGGAGGCAGTCTGTCCCTTAGCAGAGCTCGAGCACTGTGCTGGGAGATCCGCTCTTCTCTTCAGAGCCGGCAGGCAGGAATGTTTAAGTAGGCTGAAGCTGAGCCCGCAGCTGCCCCTTCCCCCAGGTACTCTGTCTCAGGGAGATGGAAGTTTTATCTATAAGCCCCTCACCAAGGCTGCTGCTTTTCTTTCAGAGATGCCCTGACCACATAGGAGGAATCTAGTGAGGCAGTCTGGCTACAGTGGCTTTGCTGAGCTGAGGTGGGCTCTGCCCAGTCTGAACTTCCCAGTGTCTTTGTTTACACTGTGAGGGGAGAACCGCCTACTCAAGCCTCAGTAATGGCAGACTGCCTCCCCCATCAAGCTCGAGCACCACAGGTTGATTTCAGACTGCTGTGCTGACAGTGACAATTTGAAGCCAGTGGATCTTAGCTTGCTGGGCTCTGTGGGTGTGGTATCTGCTGAGCAAGACCATTTGGCTCCCTGGCTTCAGCCCCCTTTCTAGGGGAGTGAACAGTTCTGTCTCCCTGGCGTTCCAGCTGCCACTGGGGTATGAAAAAACTCCTGCAGCTAGCTCAGTGTCTGCCCAAACGGCCACTCAGTTTTGTGCTTGAAACACAGGGCCCTGGCAGCATAGGCACCCGAAGGAATCTCCCGGTCTGCGGGGTTGTGAAGACCATGAGAAAGGCGTAGTATCTGGGCTGGAAGGCACTGTTCCTCACAGCATGGTCCCTCATGGCTTCCTTTGGATAGCGGAGGGAATTCCCTGACCCCTTGCACTTCCTGTGTGAGACAATGCCCCACTCTGCTTTGGCTTGCCCTCCATGGGCTGCACCCACTGTCTAATCAATCCCAATGAGAAGAACTAGGTACCTCAGTTGGAAATGTAGAAATCACCCACCTTCTGTGTTGATCTTACTGGGAGCTGCAGACTGGAGCTGTTCCTATTTGTCTATCTTGCCAGCCACCCAATAAAAGGTGTTTTTCAAGGATGTGGAGAAACTGGAGTCCTCACACATTACTGGTGTATACTGGGAATGTAAAATGGTGCAGTTGCTGTGGATAACAGTTTGGAAGAAGTTTCTCAAAAAGTTAAACATAGAATCACCATATGACCAACAAATTCTGCTACTGGTTATGTACCTCTGAAGAACTGAAAACAGGCATTCACACACCAATTTGTATATGAATGTTCATTATTCATAGTAGCCAAAAGGTGGAAACAACCTTTTGAACCCAACTGTCCAGCAACAGATGAATAAATAAAATGTGATGTATCAATAACATGGAATCTTATTCAGTCCTGAAAAGGAACATGTACTGATACATGTTACAACATGGATGAGCCTCAGAAACATTTGCCAAATGAAAAAAGCCAGACCCTAACAGGCACATGGTGTATGATTCTGTTTGTATAAACATCCAGAAGAGGCAAATCTGTACAGACAATCTGCTTCTATAGAAGCAGATTTTGGCTGCCAGGACCTGACGGTGGGGAGTGCCTGCTTAATGGGGAGGGGTTTCCTTTGGCTGTATTGAAAATTAGAACTAGATAGAAATATTGTATGCCCAACACTGTGAAAGTACTAAATGCCACTGGATTATACACTTTAAAATTATTTATTTATTTATTTATTTATTTATTTATTTATTTTTTTGAGACAGAGTCTTGCTCTGACGCCCAAGCTGGAGTGCAATGGCACAATCTCGGCTCATTGCAACCTCTGCTTCCCAGGTTCAAGCTATTCTCCTGCCTCAGCCTTCTGAGTAGCTGGGATTACAGGCACCCACCACCACACTTGGCTAATATATATATATTTTTTTCAGTAGAGACGGGATTTCACCATGTTAGCCAGGCTGGTCTTGAACTCCTGACCTCAAGTGATCCGCCCACTTGGGCTCCCAAAGTGCTGGAATTACAGGCATGAGCCACTGCGCCCAGCCACTAAAATGATTTAAATGGAGAGTGATATGTTGTGAATTTTATCTCAATAAAAGGATAAATATAAATAAATACGTAGGAGACTTTATAATTCACCAATTAAGGTAACGACAGGGAAAAAAGTCTTTAGGCAATACACAATCTACTTTTAAAAAGATATTTGGGGCCTGGCGCGGTGGCTTATGCCTGTAATCTCAGCACTTTAGGAAGCCGAGGCGGGCGGATCACCTGAGGTCAAGATCATCCTGGCCAACATGATGAAACTCCGTCTCTACTAAAAATACAAAATTAGCCGGGTGTGGTGGTGTACGCCTGTGATCCCAGCTACTTGAGGGGCTGAGGCAGGAGAATCGCTTGACCCTGGGAGGCAGAGGTTGCAGTGAGCCTAGATCTTCCCATTGCACT
This sequence comes from Homo sapiens, assembly GCF_000001405.40. Taxonomy (NCBI): domain Eukaryota; kingdom Metazoa; phylum Chordata; class Mammalia; order Primates; family Hominidae; genus Homo; species Homo sapiens. The sequence continues at coordinate 47,761,965 of NC_000008.11, forward strand.
CCAGCCTGGGCAACAAGAGTGGAATGAACAAATAAATAAATAAACAAATAAATAAATAAATAAATAGGTCGGGCGCGGTGGCTCACGCCTGTAATCCCAGCACTTTGGGAGGCCAAGGAGGGCAGATCATGAAGTCAGGAGTTCAAGACCAGCCTGACTAACATGGTGAAACACGGTCTCTACTAAAAATACAAAAATTAGCCGGGCGTGGTGGTGCGCGCCTGTAGTCCCCGCTACTCAGGAGGCTGAGACAGGAGAATCGCTTGAACTCAGGAGGCAGAGGTTGCCAAGAGCTGAGATTGTGCCACTGCGCTCCAGCCTGGGCAATAGAGTGAGCCTCTGTCTCAAAAAAAAAAAAAAGAAAAAATAATAATGATAATAAAAAGATAGATGGAAGCTTTGCGTCATTGCCCCCTTTTTTTTTTTTCTTTTTTTTAGGTGGAGTTTTGCTCTTTTTGCCCAGGCTGGAGTGCAATGGCACGATCTCGGCTCACCGCAACCTACGCCTCCCGGGTTCAAGCGATTCTCCTGCCTCAGCCTCCCGAGTAGCTGGGATTACAGGCATGTGCCACCACGCCCGGCTAGTTTTATATTTTTTAGTAGAGACGGGGTTTCACCACACTGGCCAGACTGGTAACTCCTGAATTCAGGTGATCCACCCACCTCGGCCTCTGAAAGTGCTGGGATTACAGGCGTGAGCCACCGCGCCCAGCCTGGGTCATTGTTTAAATGGAAGCATTTTTCTTTCTCCGTGGCACATAAAGTCTGGGTGCATCTTAGATTCAGGCACATCTCAAGTGAGCTGAAACGCAGTACTCAATTGTAGACTCATTTAGTTGTGTGCGCCTCTTTGCTGTATGTGACTTTTACTGTGTGAATGCTGTAGGACTGTAGCCTTGCTAAAAAAGCAAGCTCCTGTGTATTCGGTTTCATTTGGGGTAACAGGCAGTCCAAAATATCTGACTTAACAGGTCTAAAGGTTTTCTCTCTCATGTAAAAGAAGTCCAGGGGTGGGCGGTCAGGTCTGCGCTGCCTGAGCCAGGAAACTGCGCATGGTTGCTCCCTTCCCCTGCAGAGAAGCCTGTGCCCCGACCCCTTGGGAAGGCTTCCTCCAAGTTGCACGTGAGGCCGGGAATTAGCGTTTTAGTCTGTTCTGCTAACAATCGGTGTTTCTCAGTGCCAACCAGTCACAGCACGCGCGGCGCCCAGCCCCTGGTTTCTAAACCCCATTCTGTCGTCCCGGGACGAATGTCTTGGGATGTCTGGCTGGGTCCAGGGCAAACATCCTGCAGTGACAAAATGTGTGAAAGTGAAGTTGAGCAACAAGAGGAACAGCATAGCAGCAGATTGTAACCCAACAGATAAAGACATTGTCTGAGTCAATGCGTACAGACCCATTATTCTCCGTGAGGGAAGTGCGCGTCTTCCCTAGCCGCTACTGTCCTCTTTCTGCGCCGCCGGGCTGGGCTCAGTCCGCAGTGACCCAGTCTCGTGTAGGTGGGACCAGCATCTTCACCGGCCGAGGAGACGCCCCTGGACCACCTGCGTGGGCAGGATCCAGGCAGGCGACAGGGCTCAGGGCTGCAGCCAAGTCCCCCAGAAACAGTCCCCCTGGGACGGTGGCTTCACGCTGGCCCGAGAGGATTCAGACTGGCCCGGCCACGCCAGACCAAGTCTTCTAAGGCAGTTCCTTGCAATGAACCTCCTAGTGTGTGTGAGTGTGTGTGTCTGTGTGGTGTGTGTGATATGAGTGTGGGGTGTGTGTGGTGTGGTTTGATGTGTGTGGGGTAATTGTGTGTGGTGTGTATGATGCTGTGTGTGATGCTGTGTGGAGCCTGTGGTGTGGTGTGTGTGGTGTATATGTGTGTGTCATGGTGTGTGGTGTGGTTGTGTGGTGTGTGCGTGATGGTGTGTGTGGTTGTGTGATGGGGTGTGTGGTATGGTTGTGTGGTGTGATGGGGTGTGTGGTGTGGTGATGTGTGTGATGGGATGTGTGTGATGTGTGTGTGGTGTGTGTGTGATGGGGTGTGTGGTGTGGTTCTGTGTGGTGTGGTTGATGGCGTGTGTGATGTGTGTGTGGTTGTGCGTGTGGTGTGTGATGGGGTGTATTGTGGGTGTGTGTGGTGTATGATGGTGTGTGTGTAGTTGTGTGTGTTGTGTGTGTGATGGGATGTGTTTGGTGTGGTTGTGTGGTGTGCGATGGGGTGTGTGGTGTGGTTGTGTATCGTTTGTGTGGTGTGTGATGGGGTGTGTGTGGTGTGGTTGTGTGTGCCCCTCTCCCTTACCGCTGCCTGCTCTGGGCCTAGCCCCTGACGCTCTGCAGCGTTGAAAACGTTGTGTCTCGCCCTCCAGGCCGGGAGCTGGATCCCAAGCGGGCTGGACCCGATGCCTCCCTTCCCCAAGCGTGGAGAGCGGCTGGATCCGCGGTGGGAGGCGGTGCTGTGAGAAGGCCCGGGGACCCCGCGCACAGAGGCGCCTTCCACACCATCAAGGGCGTGGCGGACACCTGCAGGCCCGGGAGACGCAGCAGCTTCTGAAGACCGAGCGGCGCCAAGTCCGTCTGGCCGTCTCTGGGGAAACTCCGTCCCCATCAGGTCCCTGGCGCTGGGGTTTTATTCAGTTTTCCCAAAACAAGAGGGGTGTGGGTCTGGGGCTCACAACCCAGTGCTGCACCCTGAGGCTCTGGCGTCCCAGGTCAGCCGCAGGGGCTGGGTCGCAGCCAGGAGGAAAGGGCTCGCCCCTGCCCCCGGGGGCCCCTCTGATAAGCAGGGGTGCAGGCAAGGAGGGAGGCCCCGGCGACAGGGCCGCCCACGCGGACTTTCTGCCCGCAGAGGAGGGGGCACACGGGATGGCGGCTCCCACGGGTCTCCTCTCATAGCTCCGCTTCCCACCTACCCGCACCCTCCCTCGGGTCTGTTCCCCTTGGGTGCACTCCCCTTAGCGCGGCCTAGGCACCAAGGAGCTGCTCTCGGCAGTGTTCACGAGATACAATGAATTGACCAGATCTGTCATAACTGATGGCCGTTCCTTCAGAAGCTCATTCCAGTCGCCCCACTTCCCACTACTGCCTTTGGGTTCCCTCACCACTCCACTGGAGAGCCCAGGCCACTTGATCCTTTCGGTTTCTGTGGTCTCCAGGGACTTTGTACGTAAGGTTTCATTTTCTATCAATTTGACCAATTTTTTTTTCCTCCTTTGTCTCAGGTGAGCATAAATGCATTTATCATTAACTACTTTGTGTATCAGTAGAGTTCAGAGTGTTGCAGGAAGTCAGGGACCCTGAACAGAGGGACCGGCTGAAGCCACGGCAGAACATAAATTGTGATTTCATGGACATTTATCACTTCCCCGATCAATACTCTTACAACTTCCTATGCCTGTCTTTACTTTAATCTCTTAATCCCGTCATCTTTGTAAACTGAGGATGTATGTTGCCTCAGGACCCTGTAATGACTGTGTTAACTCCACAAATTGTAAAACGTGTGTTTGAACAATATGAAGTCTGGGCACCCTGAAAAAGAACAGGATAACAGCAATGTTCAGGGCAAGGGAGATAACCATAAGGTCTGACTGCCTGTGGGGCTGGACAGAACAGTCATATTTTTCTTATTGCAAAAAACGAGTAGGAAAAATATCGCTGAATTCTTTCCCCAGTGAGGAATAACCCTGGGAACGGAATGCATTCCTAGGGGAGGCCTATGGACGGCCACTCTGGGGGTGTCTGCCTTATGCAGTTGAAGATAGGGGATGAAATATGCCCTGGTCTCCTGCACTGCCCTCAGGCTTGCTAGGATTAGGAAATTCCAGCCTGGAGAATTCTAGTCAGACCGGTTCTCTGCTCTTGAACCCTGTTTCCTGTTAAGATGTTTACCAATGACAATGCATGCACAGCAGGACATGGAACCTCACTGGTAATTCTAATTTCACCCTGGCCTTGTGACCTTGCTCTGCCCTTCTGCCCTTGTGATCTTTTATTGCCATTTGAAGCATGTGATCTCTGTAACCCACTCCCTATTCATACCCCCCTCCCCTTTTGAAATCCCTAATAAAAACTTGCTGGTTTTGCAGCTCAGGTGGGCATCACGGAACCTGCCGACATGTGATGTCACCCCGGGAGGCCGAGCTGTAAAATTTCTCTTTTGTACTCTTTATTTCTCAGACCAGCCGACACTTAGGGAAAATAGAAAACATACGTTGAAATATTGGGGGTGGGTTCCCCCAATACAGAGGACTTTTGTTTATTGTTATAAAGTTAATGTGTGGGCTGGGCGCGGTGGCTCAAACCTGTAATCTCAGCACTTTGGGAGGCCAAGGTGGGCAGACTGTTTGAGTCCAGGAGTTCGAGACCAGCCTGGGCAACATGGTGAAACCCCATCTCTACTAAAAATACAAAACATTAGCCAGGCATCGTGGCGTGAGCCTGTAGTCTCAGCTACTCAGGAGGCTGAAGTGGGAGAATCACCTGAGCCCAGAAGGTCAAGGCTGCAGTGAGCCATGATAGCACCACTGCACTCCAGCCTGGGCAACAGACTGAGACCCTGTCTCAAAAACAAACAACAGAAGAGGACACAAAAAAAGTGAAAGATATTCCATGCTTATGGTCTTGAAGAATGAATATTGTTAAAATGACAATTCTGCCCCAAAGCAATTTACACATTCAATGCGATCCCTATCAAAATACCAATGACATTCTTCACAGAAATAGAAAAAAAAAAATCCTAAAATTTGTATGGAACTAAAAAAGATGCCGAATAGCCAAAGTAATCCTGAGCAAAAAGAACAAAGCTGGCATCACACAACCTTTCTTCAAAATTTATTACAAAGCTATAGTAACCAAAATAGCATGGAACTGGCATAAAAACAGACACATAGATCAATGAGACAGAATAGAAAATCCAGATATAAATCCACGCATTTATAACCAACTCATCTTCTACAAAGGCACCCAGAACTTACAATGGGGGAAACGACAGTTTTCAATAAATGGTGCTGGGAAAACTGGATATCCACATGCAGAATGTGGACACCCCTAACTCTCACTTTACACAAAAATCACAGAAATGGATTAAAGACTTGAATCTAAGACCTGAAACTGTGAAACTACTACAAGAAAATGTTGGTTTGGAAACTCTCCAGGACATTGGTCTGGGCAAAAATGTTTTGCATAAGGCCTCAAAAGCGCAGGCAACCGAAATGGACAGTTGGGATTACATCAAGCCAAAAAGCTGCACAGCAAAATAATCAACATAGTAAAAAACAACCCGCAGAATGGGAAAAAATATTTGCAAACTACCCATTTGATAATGGATTCATAACCTGAATATATAAGGAGCTCAAACAACTCAATAGCTAAGTTGTATCAATTCAAACTATATTCTTAGAAATTTAAGCTATTAATTATAATCACCAGGATAACCACTAAGATAAAACTTTAAAACATACAGAAAAGAAAACGAGGGAATTCAAATGGAATACTAGCAAAATCAATCAAATACAAAACACTATTGGAGGAATTTAGGGGAAAAAGATTGAAATTTATAGAAAACAAACAGCAAAGTGACAGAAGTTGTTCCTAATCAAAAATCATTTTGAATGTAAATGTATTTAATCCACCAACTGAAAGAGAGATTGGCAGAATGGATTTTAAAAACATGACCTAACTACATGCTATCTACAGGTGACTTAAATCCAAAGGCACAACGAGATTTACAGTGAAAGGATGGAAAAATATTTTCCATGCATTAGTAACCAACAGAAAGCTGGCATGGCTGAGATTGTGCCATTGCACTCCAGTCTGGGCAACAAGAGCAAAACTCTGTCTCAAAAAAAAAAAAAAAAAAAAAAAAGAAAGCTGGCGTGACTACTAATAACAGAAAATAAGACTTTATAAGACTTTAAGTCAAAACTTGTTACAAGAGATAAAAAAAAGGGACGTTAGATATTGATAAAAGGTCAGTCCATCAAAAACATTGTAAGAATTATAAAGACACAAACGCCAAACAGCAAATCTCCAAAACATATGAAGCAAACATTGAACTGAAGGGAGAAGAGACAGATCGAAAATAATAGTTGAAGGTTGGGCATGGTGGCTCACGCCTGTAATCCAGGCACTTTGGGAGGTCGAGGTGGGTGGATCGCTTGAGGTCAGGATTTCGGGATTGGCCTGGCCAACATGGCAAAACCCCGTCTCTACTAAAAAAAATACAAATACAAATACAAAACTCAGCTGGGCATGGTGGCAGGTGCCTGTAGTCCCAGCTACTCGGGAGGCTGAGGCAGGGGAATTGCTTGAACCCGGGAGGCGGAGGTTGCAGTGAGCTGAGACCATGCCACTGCACTCCAGTCTGGGAGATGGAATGAGACTCCACCTCAAAAAAATTAAAATAAAATAATAGTTGGAGACCTCAATACCCCATTGTCAATAATGGAACATCTAAACATAACAATAAGGAAATAGCAGACTTGAACAACACTATCAACCATCTAAACCTAAGGGACACAAATCAAATCTCAATCACTTGGGATCAGGAATTCAAGACCAGCCTGGCCACCATGGTGAAACCCTGTCTCTGCTAATAATACAAAAATGGCCAGGCGCGGTGGCTCATACCTGTAATCCCAGCACTTTGGGAGGCCGAGGCAGGTGGATCACCTGAGGTCAGCAGTTCGCGGCCAGCCTGGCCAACACGGTGAAACCCGGTCTCCACTAAAAATACAAAAATTAGCTGGATGTAGTGGCAGGTGCTTGTAATCTCAGCTACTCAGGAGGCTGAGGTAGGAGAATTGCTGGAAGCCAGGAGGCAAAGGTGGCAGTAAGCCAAGATTGCGCCATTGCACTCCAGCCCAGGGGACAACAGCAAGACTCCGTCTCGAAAAAATAAAAATAAAAATAAAATACAAAAACTAGCCGGGTGTGATGGTGGGTACCTGTGAAATCCCAGCTACTTGGGAGGCTAAAGCAGGAGAATCGCTTAAAACTGGGAGGTGGAGGTTGCAGTGAGCCGAGATCACGCCACTGCACTCTAGCCTTGGCAACAGAGAGAGACCCTGTCTCAAAAAAAAAAAAAAAAAAAGAAAGAAAGAAAAAAGAAAAAAAAAAGGGAAAAACAAAATCAACAAAACAAAGTTGGTTCTTTGAAGAGGCTAACAAAATTGACTCACCTTTACCTATAAAGCTAAAAATGATTAAGCTATATTAAGAAAAAGAAAAAACAAATAACTATCAGAAATGAACACAGGGACACTACCACTAACCTTACCGAAATAAATGCCAGTGCATTAGATAAACTGGATGAAATGGACAAATTCCTAGAAACACACAAATTACCAAAACTGACTCAAGAAAAAATAGAAAATGTGAACAGATCTATAACAAGCAGTGATTGAATCAGCGATGAAAAACCTCCAACGAAGACAAAACTAGCACCACATGCCTTCACTGTTGAATTCCACAAAACCTTTAAATAATTAATACCAAATCTTTCTCAAACTCTTCCAGTAAATATCAGAGGAAGGAAAACTTTCTAACCCATTTTATGAAGCCAACACTACCCTGATAACAAGGTCAGACAAAGGCACCACAAGAAAACTAGAGATTAATATCTCCTCTTGATGCAAAAATCCTCGATGAAATATTAGCAAACTAAAACCAACAATTATAAAGGATTATTCACCATGGCCAGGTAGAATTCATCCCAGCAAAGAAAGTGTGGTTCAATATACAAATATAAATCGATATAATACATGACATTTATAGACTAAAGGAGAAAAACCACAGGTTCATTTTGATGCCAAAAAAAAAAAAAAAACCACTTGGGAAAATTCACCATTTCATAATAAAAACACTTACCAAACTTAGAAGGAACTTCTTCAACATGATAAAGGGCATTTATGAAAACCCACAGCTGGCCGGGCACAGTGGCTCACACCTGTAATCCCAGCACTTTGGGAGGCCGAAGCGGGTGGATCACGAGATTAGGAGATCAGGACCATCCTGGCCAACACCATGAAACCCCATCTCTACTAAAAATACAAAAAGTTAGCCCGTGTGGTGGTGCACGCCTGTATCCCAGCTACTCAGGAGGCTGAGGCAGGAGAATCGCTTGAACCCGGGAGGCGGAGGTTGCAGACCACTGCACTCCAGCCTGGGTGACAGAGCAAGACTCCGTCTCAAAAAAAAAAAAAAAAGAAAAAAAAGAAAAGAAAACCCACAGCTAACATCACACTCAATGGTAAGAGATGAAAACTTTCTCCCTAAGACTAGGAACAAGAGAAGGATGCCCACTTTTACCACTGCTGCTCAGCATTGTGCTGAATGTTCTAGCCAGAACAATTAGGTAAGAAAAAAGAAAAGGTAGTCAAATTGGAAAAGAAATAAAACTGTCTCTACGCACAGAAGACATCATCCTATATACAGAAAATCCGAAATACAAAAAATAAATACTAAAGCTATTAAGTTAATTCAGCAAAGTTGCAGGAGAAAAGACCAACACACAAAATAAGCATTTGTATACACTAGCAATGAATAATCTGGAAACAAAGTTAGGAAAAACAATTCCATTTACAACAATATCCAAAAGAACAAAATAGCTAGGAATACATTTAACCAAGGAAACAAAACATTAGAAATATTTAAAACTACTGAAAATTGCAAACCATTGTTGAAAGAAACTAAACAAGATATAAATAAGTGGAAATGCATTCTGTGCTCGTGGATTGAAATACAGTATTGTTAAGATGGCAATTACCCAAAGCAATCTGCAGATTCAATGCAATTCCTATCAAAGCCCAATGGCCTTTTCACTTTTTGAAAAGCTGATCCTTAATTTCTTTTTTTGAGACACTGTCTCAAAAATAAGTGTGTCGCCCAGGCTGGAGTGCAGTGGCATGATCCCTAAATTCTTTACTTTCATAAAATATTCAAAAGCAACTTCATGCAACTCCAGAGCTGTATTTTCATTTTAATACAGACAACATTCTGAAGCTCAAAGAGTTTTTGGCAGGACAGGTGCAGTGGCTCACGCCTGTAATCCCAACACTTTGGGAGGCTGAGGCAGGCAGATCACCTGTCAGGAGTTTGAGACCAGCCTGGCCAACATGGTGAAACCCTATCTCTACTAAAAACACAAAATACAAAATTTAAAGTACAAAAATTAGCCGGGCGTGGTGGTGCGCGCCACTAGTCCTGGCTACTCGGGAGGCTGAGGCAGGAGAATCACTTGAACCCGGGAGGTGGAGGTTGCAGTGAGCTGAGAAAGCGCCAATGCACTCCAGCCTGGGCAACAGTGAATCTCAAAAAAAAAAAGTTACTGGTCATTAGTTAATAAACGGTGCTTTAAAAATTCTCGTCAGTGAAATAATTTTTATGTACTTATTTTTTTGAGACAGAGTCTCGCTTTGTCGCCCAGGCTGGAGTGCAGTGGCGCCATCTCAGCTCACTGCAAGCTCCGCCTCCCCGGTTCATGCCATTCTCCCGCCTCCTGAGTAGCTAGGACTATAGGCGCCTGCCACCACGCCTGGCTAATTTTTTCTATTTTTAGTAGAGACGGGGTTTCACCGTGTTAGCCAGGATGGTCTTGATTTCCTGACCTCGTGATCCACCGCCTCAGCCTCCCAAAGTGCTGGGATTATAGGCATGAGCCACCACGCCCAGCCAATAATTTATATTTCTTATAGTTTTTAAAAGTTGAATTCTTTACTAAATTATTCCTATGGCTTTGTTCTGTTGACTATCATGTGCCAGACTATTAGGTGTTGACAAGATAGTGATTAGGACACAGTACTTGTCCTAAAGGAGTTTATTATATACTTGGGTTTTTAGTCTGACAAACTACTAAAATAAATATTCATAAGCATGGGATCATTCAAGTCTTCATTAAGCTTAAATCGGAAACTTCCTGGGTTATTTTGGGGTTGAAGAACAAATGTTTCATATACAACCTGAATATCAAAATCTGTTTATAATGTAAATATTACCATTCATATCATTCATATTTCCTTGTAATTGTAATCAGTGTTAAGTGTTTTTTGTTTGGTTTCCAAATCAAATATTCTTATTCAGCAAGAATCACAAGTTAAAGTTTGAGCCCCAGTGATGATTCAGATGTGCAGTTCCTTCGTTGTGTAATGACCATTTAACATCTAGTGTAACTTTATGAATGTTTTCTGAATGCTGTACACAGCATGTTTCTTCTTACTGCATTCTCGTGAGCAATGATGAACTTTTTGAGCACACAGCTTTGAGACTGGAACCACACACACAACCTGTAACAATCTTTTTTTTTTTTTTTTTTTTTTTGAGACTGAGTTTTGCTCTTGTTGCCCAGGCTGGAGTGCAATGGCATGATCTTGGCTCACCGCAACCTCCGCCTCCTGGGTTCAAGCGATTCTCCTGCTTCAGCCTCCCGAGTAGCTGGGATTACAGGCATGCACCACCACGCCTGGCTAATTTTGTACTTTTAGTGCAGACGGGGTTTCTCCATGTTGGTCAGGCTGGTCTCGAACTCCCGACCTCAGGTGATCCACCCGCCTCGGCCTCCTAAAGTGCTGGAATTACAGGCGTGAGCTGCCACACCTGGCTGTAACAATCAACTTCTATTGATATGAAAAGTAGTCATTAAAAAAACAGGGTTTCCCACAATGTAGGTGATCCATTTAATGAATGTAGCCCGAATTATCAGGACTCAAGCAAGAATTATAGCTAATTAGTTGTTACAGAAAACAATATATTATCAACTTACTCCAAAGTGGGCTTACTTTGGTCATTTTTGTGCAAAAATATTTACTAGATCATGTGCACCAGATTTTTCACACACACGATTACTTATTTTTCTTTACAGATGAAATTTGGTTCAATAGGTGTCATTTGTTGAGAAGATAAATTTGTTATTTTTAAAAATAGACATGGGATCTCATTATGTTGCCCACGTTGGTCTTTAACTCCTGGGCTCAAGGAGTTCAAGCCTTGGCCTCCCAACATGCTTGGATCACAAGTGTACGCCATTGTGCCTGGCCATAAATGTTTATTTTAAATGCCATAATGCATTTAACCCGCATTTATCAGAACAAACTAGGCAAGTAATATAATAAACTATTTTGTAAGATGAATATTTTGCTCTTGAAACTGCATAAAAGAGATACACACTACTTTTGGAAAAAAACTTTATTAAACACTCAAGAGTATACTTCTCAAAATCACAGAAGAGCCTCCAAATACAAGTGTTAGAAGGAAAAAAAAAAACAACAAAAAGCTAAAAGCCAATCAGAAACAGTTTGGGTGTGGAGGACTGGCGGGGGGGGACAGGGACTGCACATGGGAAGGAGCCACTTTTGTATTCCATAATTTCATCTTGTTGTGCTAGAATGCATGCTTTTTTTCCTCCAAATGAGGAATTCATTTCAAATAGGAATTTCTTTTATTCTCCTGGAACTGAAATGCTTAGTACTATCCCTAACAACAACCATGGGATTTTTGAAGTTATCCCAAATTCAATGCAAAGCACTTTTATGTATCTTCCAGTTGTAGATTGGAATAGCAAAAGTGAATGCTATGACCAAAATTTTTGCCCTCCTAAATAAAGACGTTTCCTTCTAGAGAGCAAATCTATCATAAAATGTCAAAACTAGAAGAGAATAAAATGAAAGGAAAAAACCTAGAAAAATATCCTAAAATATCAAATGCAGTCATTTCTAAATATAAGCCATAATTATAGCTTTACCTATTGTTCTTATTGTTCCTATGCTGCTTCTACAATGTTACATCAACTATACTTAGCTTTACTCTCCCAAAATCTTGGTGATGAAGCCTTCTGAGTGTGCTTTCCAATGTGCCAGAACCAGAAGGGCATTCCAAGGCTTCCCCACATTTCCTCCATTTACGGAGACAGCTGTTTCACTAACTTGCAGCACTTGTAAATGCTTTGAAAGCTGATCACATATTATATTCTTGACTTAATACTTTGGTAAGCCTGGATATCTATCTTTCTATAAACCTCACCTAATCTTTGATGTTACTATAACCTTATCTTTGATTTAACCCATACACATTTACTCATCATAATCTTGATTTAAACTCATGCTACGAAACTGTAGCACAAAAGACATTTCTCTTTAGTGTTTCAGGAAAATCAGCTCATGGAATGCTGCCAACCAAAGTATAGTAGATTCTTTAAACAATGTAATGCTTTCTATCTGCAGACTCCCACAGACCTCACATCCAGGGCTCCCATCCTTCCCAGGTTCTGCCAAGGATGTTGGGGTCTGTTGCCTGGTCCATCAGGCACTTCACTTGAGTCTCTTCTGAAAGCCCACTCTCTGGTTCTTGGGCACGAATGTTGTGATCTTTGCTTCCTCGTGCCACAGCCACATAGTCTCTGAAGGCAGGGGCCTTCTCATGACCCAGGAGTAGCTCATCACTGGAAAAAAAACAAACACAGAAAACACAAAGCATGTGTCATTGTCCTTTGTTGCCTGCATCCCTAGTGATCCTATCCAAACACATTCCCCACGTCATCACTCACAGAGTATTTTCTGTGGCTTATAACCTTGAAGTCAAAGACTGGATTTGTAGGAAAACAGAACATGAATTATGCTGCTCAAGTTTTTGTGTGAATGTATGCCTTCACTTCTCCTGAGTGAATTCCTAGGATTCACCTAGGAGTGGCATTGATGGGTCCAATGGTAACTCTATGTTTAACTTTGTGAAGAACTGCCACTTTCCCACAGCAGCTGCACCTTTTCCCACTCCCACCAGCAGAGTATGAGGAGTCCACCTTCTCTACATCCTCAACACTTGTTAGATTCCTTTTTTTTTAATTAAAAAAAGAGAAAGTTTTAAAAATTTTTGGTAGAGACAGGGTCTTGCTATGTTGCCCAGGCTAGACTTGAACTCCCGGGCTCTAGTTATCCTCCTGCCTTGGCCTCCCAAAGTGCTGGGATTACAGGTGTGAGCCACTGCATTAGCCCCATTTTAAAATTATAGTCATCTGGCAAGGCGTGGTGGCTCGCCTGAGGTCAGGAGTTCAAGACCAGCCTGGCCAACATGGCGAAACCCCATTTCTACTAAAAATACAAAAATTACCAGGCGTGGTAGCATGAACCTATAATTCCAGCTACTCAGGAGGCTCGGACAGGAGGATCGCTTGAACCCAGGAGGTGGGGGTTGCAGTGAGTCCATATCGTGCCATTGCACTCCAGCCTGGGTGACAGAGCAAGACTTTGTCTCAAAAATAAATAAATAAATAAATAAATAAATTAATTAATTAATAGCCATCCTAGCAGGTGTGAGGTAGTATCTCACTTGGATTTCCCTGATGACTAGTGACGTTGAGCATTTTTGCATGCCGCTTATTGGCCATTTGTATATTTTCATTAAAGAAATGTCAGTTCAAGTCTTTTGACCATTTTTTTTTTTTTTTTTTTTTTTTTGAGACAGGGTCTTGCTCTGTCACCCAGGCCGGAGTGCAATGGCGTGATCTCGGCTCACTGCAACCTCTGCCTCCTGGGTTCAAGTGATTCTCCTGCCTCAGCCTCCCTAGTAGCTGGGATTACAGGTGTGAGCCACTGCGCCCAGCCCTGACCATTTTTAATTGGGTTATCTATCTACCTATTATTAGGCAATAAGAGTTTTTTTAATGTATTCTAGATACAAGTCCCATATCAGATACATGACTTGCAAATATTTTATCCCATTTGGAAGGCTGAAACACCTTCTTGATAGCACTCTGTGAAGCACAAAATTGTTTAATTTTGATGAAGTCCAATGTATATATTTGTTTCTTGCTTGTGCTTTCAGTGTCATACCTAAAAAATGGCAAGTATCACAACAAAATCCAAGGTCAGGATGATTTACTCCTATTCCTTTTTTTTTTTTTTTTCTGAGGCAGAGTCTCACTTTGTCGCCTAGGCTGGAGTACAGTGGTGCCATCTTGGCTCACTGCAACCTCCGCCTCCCCAGGTTCAAGTCATTCTCCTCCCTCAGCCTCCCTAGCAGCTGGGATTACAGGTGCGCACCACCATGCCCAGCTAATTTTTGTATTTTTAGTAGAGATGGGGTTTCACCTTGATGGCCAGGGTGGTCTCGAACTCCTGACCTCAAGTGATCCACTAGCCTTGGCCTCCCAAAGTGTTGAGGCGTGAGCCACCACGCCCAGCTGATTTACTCCTATTTCTAAGTGTTTTATAGTTTTGACTCTTACACTTAGCTCTCTGATCCATTCTGAATTAATTTTTCCACATGGTGTGAAACAAGGACCTAACTTCATTCTTTTGCCAGCGCTATTTGTTGGAAAGGTCACTGAATGGTCTTGGCACCCTTGTCAAAAATAAGTTGACAATAGATTGCCACTATTACTTAATTCTAAAGTCCAACTTTTTTCATTCCTATGAATCATCTCCATAAATTTCTATTTGCTTTAGACCTCAACAAGAGAAAACTTTAAGGCTAACCTAAAAGCCAACCCAAATTGAATTCTCATCTAACAAGCCCACACAGTGCTTTTCATACCTAGGTACTATATTCATCAGGGTCAAACGCCCTAAAAAGGACAAAAGCAAATTTAAAACCTAAGTCTCCTCATGCATGTAACAATATTCTGGCAACTGTCTAAGAGTGCACCTTCTGTTTCTCCAATTGGCGCCACTGTTCCAGGGACTGAGTTTAAACCTGAAGACAGTGCAGGGGTCACATACGTCAGAGTTGCAGGCCTTGCCCTGGCTTTGGGGAAGTCAGCCTCTCTAAGCCCTGCTTTCCTCCTCAATGAAAGCAGAGAAGTCATGCTAACAGAGTGTCAAGAGCTCAGCACTTTGTATATATGTTGGCTCCTCGAGAAACAGTAGCATGTCGGTAGTCCGTTAGTTTTTTCCACATATAAAAATCTTACCAAGTAATGACTGCTGGATTGGCACCTGCTAACTTTCTCTTAGCGTAACATATTTTCTGTCGGGGGTACCAATTTTTTTCAGCAACATTTATTTCTTGAATCCATGACCCTCCTTTTTTCAGCATTTTCTGTTCAAAATTCTAGAAGAAAAGAACATGATTTTCCCGGCTGATCATAATGGTATATACAATCATGCCCAAACAGATTAAATCTAGTAATGATCTTAAAGTAAACAAACATCTATAACCAGGAGCAGCCTTGCTTTCTACAGCTACAAAGCTGTTCATACAGACTCCATGGCACACACATCACGAGACGAGGGGCCTCAGCAGTCCCCTTATTTCTCCAAATAAAGGTTTTGCCTGTTAATTTTTTTTTTTTTGAGGCGGAGTTTCACTCTTGTCACCCAGGCTGGAGTGCAGTGGCGTGATCTCGGCTCACTGCAACCTCTGCCTCCTGGTTTCAAGCCATTCTCCTGCCTCAGCCTCCCAAGGAGCTGGGATTACAGGTGTGCGTTACCACGCCCAGCTAATTTCTGTATTTTTAGTAGAGACAGGGTTTTACCATGTTGGCCAGGCTGGTCTCCAACTCCTGACCTCAGGTGATCCTCCCGTCTCTGCCTCCCAAAGTTTTGGGATTATAGGTGTGAGCCACTGGGCCCAGCCTCTTAACTGGTTTTCAAGCAGACAATCCTAAATACTAACTTTGAGAAATGCTGTACAAAATAATGTAAATATTTTCATCAACATGACTCAATGCACTTCCATCATACACGAGAGATACCAGCTTGATCACGGGGACACTGTCACAAAAGTGAAAAGTGCACATGAAACAAAACCTACTTTCCAATCAAAGGAGGGCTCCTTGACAAACACATCCATGGTGTTGGTGAGCAGGCCAGGGTCTGAGCGGAAGGCCCGGAGTGCGTGTACCATGATGCTGTACATAAGGCCCGTTTCTTTCATTGGTAACATCAGATTGATAAACTGGCGAGTTAGCCGAAAAGGCATCAACTCAGGGACTGGCAGAAACTAAACAAGAAAAAAGGCAAGGAGCAGAATATGTAAGCCAGAACTCTCAAAGTACCGAGCACAAATGGCAGCATCCTCACATAGTTACTGTTCACATTTAGTAAAAATACAGACTCTGCTTCCCTTGAAATCAGCTACACAGATGTGAGTTCCTATGCTCGAGAGTAACCCCCTCGGCTTGAGTTATCCCTCAATGCAAAACCCACGTGCACAGGACACAGGGCCGCAGAGATTGAGAAGGATGATCCAAAACATTCAGAGGTTAACCAGAGAAAAGATCTGTATCACATTTTTGACCAGACATTTTTATTACGGGGCTTCCTAAAACTTTCTTAGAGTCTTCCTTTGATCTGCGAACACATTTAATTACCGGCTCTGATGATATCACTGATCACCATGACTTCTGTGACCTGACTGAATGAGGCTGAACTAAGTGATTATCCCTTTCTGCATTCAATGACCATGACAAAACGAATCTAACTAATATGTTGTTTTTCCTTAAAAACTGTCTATTTCTGGAGGTTGTTGAAAGTCCTATGATGACTCTCGCCTTGCCCAGGATCACGAGAGCACAGCAAGTGCACCTGTGTAGCGGATCCAAACGCATGCCCAAAGTCGATCCCGATCACGCCGCCAGTCTCCATGGCCACCATAAAGTTGTTCAGATGTCTGTCTCCAATCCCGAGGATCCAGTGGCTGATGCATATCAGAGCGTGAGAGCTGGCGAAGTGGGAGCGGAGCGCCAGGAAAGCCTCAGGGCTTGTACTCATCCTCACGAAGGCCCGCCTACAAAAGAGACACAGCTGTGCGGCTGCTGTGATCCCACTAAGGGTGAGGGCAGAAGGGTACTTACTTTAAGAGATCAGCAGGCACTTTACTTTCTCGTTTTCTAAAAGACGTGACTGTTTCAGTACGATTAGCGCCCCTATGATTTAATAATAGAAACATCTAATTAGAAAAAATTTCTCTGACTTAAAATTTAAATTTTAAAACTTTTTGTTTATATTGAGACTCAAATATCGAATAATCTTGATGATCTCTCTGAGGCAAAGCTAAGAATCAAAAGAAAACATGCAATTTGCAGAAGAATGAACTAACTAATACAAAGAAAAATCAAAACCAAACTTACTTATACATTAGCATGTAAGCTCCAACATCATGTTTTCCTGACATTTTTGTCAGCCAATCTTTATATTCACACGGCGGTGCCCTGGGATCACTAATGAGTGAGAAAAGGGGAATTGGAATTAGGAAGATTTTAGCATTATGTGATTTCAAAGGCAAAGATCACCAAGAATTCATTGAAAAATAGCAAAGAGGCAGGAAAAAATAATAAGACTTTTAACCATATTCAATATTAACATTGAACCCACATTACTCTGGATCTTGAATTTCAATATACCATTATTCATTCTTAATTACTCCTAAAGAAATCCAAGCTATTGCCTATGAAAAATTCAGGTACAAAACCATCAGATCCAACAAATTTCCCACTGACATAGAGAGGAATAAGATGAACTAAACATAACTGTTTATTAACCAGGCATGCAATTCTGAAACTTTGACCTAGAAAGAACCATAGCAAGAGGGCGACAGCACCACAGGCGGCTGCTGGAAGCCTCAGGCCATGTCACTACCATAGCCAAAAAGCCCGCACAGTTTTGCTAAAGATGGATTATGTCTGTTTTTATCTTTATTTAGACCACTTCCACATCTTTTTCTTTTGTTTTTTTGAGATGGGAGTCTAGCTCTGTCGCCAGGCTGGAGTGCAGTGGTGCGATCTTGGCCCACTGCAACCTCTGCCTCATGGATTCAAGTGATTCTCCTGCTTCAGCTTCCTGAGTAGCTGGGATTACAGGCAAATGCCACCATGCTCAGCTAATTTCTGTATTTTTAGTAGAGACGGGGTTTCACCACGTTGGCCAGGCTGGTCTCGAATGCCTGACCTCGTGATCCGCCCGCCTCGGCCTCCCAAAGTGCTGGGATTACAGGTGTGAGCCACCACGCCTGGCCTCTTTTTCTTTTGTTTTGTTTTGTCTTTTTTTTTTTTTTTTTTTTGAGACAGAGTCTTACTCTGTCGCCCAGGCTGGAGTGCATTGGTGCAATCTCGGCTTGCTACAACCTCTACCTCCTGGGTTCAAGCAATTCTCATGCCTCAGCCTCCTAAGTGGCTGGGATTACAGGCGCCCGCCACTACACCCAGCTAATTTTTCTATTTTCAGTAGAGACAGGGTTTTGCCATGTTGACCAGACTGGTCTCGAATTCCTGACCTCAGGCGATCCGCCCACCTTGGCCTCCCAAAGTGCTGGGATTACAGGCGTGAGCTACTGCGCCCAGCCAGTGCCACATCTTTCTTTATATTTCCAATAGGTAGATATACACACAATCCATAGTAAGTATGAGAAAATATTTTGTTTTTCTTTTTTCTTCCAATAAGGCTTCTGCACTCCTATGAGAAAATATTTTCTTAAATGACAATGGATGTTTAAGTGAACTTGAAAAGCTGTTTTCAGTGTTTCCTAGGAAAAAGGCAGTACCTGGGCAATGGGAAACAATGTGATACACGTATGTTTAAGTACTTTTGTGTGGAAAGCTTTAACAAGTTTTCCCGATAAAATCTAAAGACAGAACAGTTTCACGTGTGACTTAGCAATTCAATCACTTCAGGTGAAATCTTTTCTGAGTTGCTATTAAAGTTAGCTTTAAAAGTAGTCCACTCCATCTTAAAATTCTCTCCTCCTAGTTTAAACTGAGATGAAAATTCTTAGGTTATAAAACTGTAGGCCGGGCGCAGTGGCTCAGGCCTGTAATCCCAGTACTTTAGGAGGCCAATGGGGGCGGATCACGAGGTCAAGAGATCAAGATCATCCTGGCCAACATAGTGAAATCCCATCCCTACTAAAAATACAAAAATTAGCTGGGCATGGTGGTGCACGCCTGTAATCTCAGCTACTCGGAAGGCTGAGGCAGGAGAATTGCTGGAACCCGGGAAGCGGAGACCACAGTGAGCCGAGATCACGCCACTGCACTCCAGCCTGGTGATAGAGAGAGACTCTGTCTCAAAAAAACAAAACACTGTAACATGCTGAATTAAGAAAAAAAACAGCAAGGATTTAAATAATGGGTATTGGAAGTGCCCTGTAAAAAGGCAGTTGGAAATTATTTTCATAATTCCATTATGTAAGGTGCTTTCAACTCTCCTGGTACCTATGTTAATCCTGTGCGGTTCCACGCTACCATTCCATCCCACAAATGCAGGCAGGTACCACAGGAAAGGCGACACCTGCTTGGCACCTGCATTGTCAGGCAGAGCCTCAGTGCCAGGGCCAGATCTGCAATTTGTGAGACTCCAGGAAGCGTGCTCATCAGTTGCCCTGTCTTCCAGGGAAAGTAGAAACAATTCTAAGCAAAGGACTCAAATGTCTGGAACTAAAAGTTGGTGAACACTGCCCTGTAGAGTAATTATCACCTGGGAATATGAGTTTGATAAGAATATGTTTGATATTTTCAGAAATCTTTCCTGACTGAAGGGAACACTGCTCCTATTTAAAAACTTTTAAAAAAGAATCAGAGAACATCAAAGAGAAAGAAGCCCTGAAGCTGTTCCTTTATCCTACAGCTTGTCACCCAAACCTGTCAACTTTGGTTGTCAAAATCTGTCAACCCTCAAAATGTTTCTCATGTTGTCCTTGTTTTTCTTTACAAAAACAAAAAGGAAATAAAAAAAACCTTGTGGTTAAAATGTACATGTTAATTGTAGAAAACTTGGAAAATAGAGAAAAGGATACAGAAAAATAAAAAAGCATCCACATCATGACCTAGAATTACTAGTAATCCCAGCTACCCCACTTTACAGGCTAAGTGACACAGGACAGGTTACTTGACCTTTCTGGGCCTCAGCTTCCTCATCTGTATAGCAGTGATAATAATACTTACCTTGCAGGTTGTTGGTGAGAAGTAAATTGGTTCATACACGTTAAAAATTGAGAACAGTACCTAGCCCACAGAAAATGTTTTACTACATGTTATCTGATAATTTTATTATTATTTATTTCCTTCAACAATTTTTCTTCCCCCCACCCAAAGTTAATAAATATTTTGTATTACGGTAAAATATCTGCAACTACTGGTTAGCAGCCAGCACTCCATTTGGTTTATTGACCCAGCCAGCAGACTGCGGGGCAGGCAGTGTGGGCTCTCGAGCGCGCCTGTCACGGCCCCGACCTGCCACTGGAGAAGTGAGGGGAGGCGACTGCTGGGGGAGCAGGGCGTGTGGCCGCCCTTACCTCAGGTAAGCCGCCTTCTCCTCTTGGGACATGGTGTTCAAAAGAAGGTCCTTCAAGGTAACAGTATTTTCAAGCCACTCAATTAATCCTAACCTGAAAGGGAGAATAAAAGGTTAACGAGTAAACCCAAACTGCTCTTTCTTCACTAGAAAAACAGTCCCGTGGACGCCAAGCAATATGCAGCAGCCTACTGGCTGGGAGCAGCCTGGCAGTTACCTGGAGGTCATGGGCACAACGCTATAGGTCCTCAGCTGCAGGGCCCTCTGGCTGCAGGCGGAGTCTTGGGCCAGGATCCCATTCATGACCTGGAAGAGCTGCTCCACGCGCTGGTCCTGCCGCAGGTCCTCGCCACCCTTCACCAGGAAAGGGTGTTCCCTCTCGTCATGGCCACGGATGATGATGCGCTTGGGCCTTCGCAGAGACGCCATGACTGTCACCTTCAAAAATCAGAATGTCATCTCAGGGCACAGGCTAGCCACGTGTCAAACTCAGAGGGAAAAGCCAGAGTGGCTGTGAGCATTCCTCCGTGGGGCCGCCCTCTGAAGACAGTGCCAAAGAGCAGAGCGCCCAGGCCAGCAACGAATTTCTGCTACCTGCTTGTGCCTGACTGCTGTGCCCGCAGAAATGTTGTATTCCTGATTATAAATACTTGCTTATGAATGTGGATATCTTTAGCAAGCAGCAACAGCCAACATGCAAACTTTCTACAGTAGTAAGCTAATGCTACACATATTTTATAGTGGATACTCACACACAGCTTACTCTTTGAGTTTATGATATCTTAAATAGAACTGTTGTTCAAACACTGGAGACATAATATATTAAGAAACCCAGGGCCGGGAGCAGTGGCTTACGCCTGTAATCCCAGCACTTTGGAAGGATGGGGCAGGTAGATCACTTGAGCTCAGGAGTTCGAGACCAGTCTGGCCAACATGGTCAAACCTTGTCTCTACTAAAAATACAAAAATTAGCCAGGCATGGTGGCGCACACCTGTATCCCAGCTACTAGGGAGGCTGAGACATGGAGAATCGCCCGAACCCAGGGTGTGGAGGTTGCAACGAGCTGAGAATGGGCCACTGCACTCCAGCCTGGCTGACAGAATGAGACTCTTGTCTCAAAAAAAAAAAAGAAAAAAAAAAAAAAAGCCCGGGCATAGTGGCTCACACCTGTAATCCCAGCACTTTGCGGAGGCGGAGGTGGATGGATCATGAGGTCAGGAGTTCAAGACCAGCCTAGCCAACATGGTGAAACCCTGTCTCTACTAAAAATTCAAAAAACAGAGCTGGGCGTGATGGCGTGCGCCTGTAATCCCAGCTACTCGGGAGGCTGAGGCAGGAGAATCGTTTGAACCCGGGAGGCAGAGGTTGCAGTGAGCCGAGACCGTCCCATTGCACTCCAGCCCAGGCAACAGGGCAAGACTCCGTCTCAAAAAAAAAAAGAGGAATTCAGTAAATATGCTAAACTTGATATATCTGTGATCAACATGGGCCGTTGTCTCATATACTAAAGGCAAACAGATCATTCTCATCTGAAGAACGTTCATCAGGACAGGGACTGGGTCACACACCCTCACACCTACCCGCTCATCAAACCCGGCGATTCGCACGTGGTACTCTGGCAATGGCTTTCCCCTACCGTCATACTGACCTAAAACAAACCAGAACCTTGCTTAGGAACAGCTTGTTAGACAACCGCCTGTATTTTAAAACATGCCTCTTGATCTACTTTTTAAAAAGCCAATCTAACATGATAAAACCTTTTACTGAAAAGTTTTCACTTAAAGGGAACTGACTTTAAAAAAAATGTTATTTCTCGGCCGGGCACAGTGGCTCACGCCTGTAATCCCAGCACTTTGGGAGGCCAAGGCGAGCAGATCATGAGGTCAGGAGACAGAGACCATCCTGGCTTACATGGTGAAGCCCCGTCTCTACTAAAAATACAAAAAATTGGCCGGGTGTGGTGGTGGGCGCCTATAGTCCCAGCTACTCGGGAGGCTGAGGCAGGAGAATGGCGTGAACTCGGGAGGCAGAGCTTGCAGTGAGCCGAGACTGCGTCACTGCACTCCAGCCTGGGTGACACAGCAAGACTCCATCGCAAAAAAAAAAAAAAAGTTATTTCTCATTTTGACTGATTATGGAAGTTAGCACTCTATTCTAATAGCATGGACAAATCCTAAGTAGAAAAAATGATGCATTGACTAGAACACTGCATATTCTCAAGGCCAATCAAGCTGCATATGACAAGGCTGACATTTAAATGTTTTTCTTGAAATGAACCATATGCAACTGCATAGTCATTATTAATAACAAAGAAAAGTGTTTCTCCAAATATGTTTTTTCTTATACCCACTGAAATGAGAATATGAACAACCAGATTAAAACTTTTTTTCCTCTGGCAAATTCGGGGTGAGGAAAATGGAATGTACACAGGTTTCCTCTGAAAAAGTCACGCCTTGAAATCTGGCCAATTTGCTGTGCATCTCTATCCTTAATATTATGATCTTTTTTCCTGCAGGTCAGTGACTTATCATTAACTTGTCACTTTTTTTTTTTTTTAAAAACTTGTCACTTTAAATGGAACTGTGTACACATCCCAGGAAGTAATCTGCCTCTATACCTGTATATTTCTGAAGAAAAGTTATTCAGGAGCATAGCATGAATACATTCAGAGGAAATCTATGATTGCTGTTTACCATTATTACCAAATGAAAATCTGAACTTTTGTCAGAATCAGAAATATAAGAACTATAATCTCATTAAACATTTAGTAATGTGTGCTCATTCATAATTATGGATTTTCCTAATGATGAAAAATTCGGTGAATTTTAAAATTCTTTAAAAAAAGAAATAACTGTCAATATCCCAGTATCACTATTCCAGAAACCACGAGTTCTTATTACAGTGCTGTGCTCCTGACAGTACAGTTTTGTCACCCCTGGAGGTTAACTCACCGGGAATCTCCAGCTCATTTCTCAGGAACTCCACTTTGAAGTCGCTCATCCAGGGTGAACATTCTTTCAGATTCCCAGGGGGCTTTGAGTCTTTGTTCATTTTTAAAAGTAGCATGTTGGTAATGTCGTTGAAGTCACTGAGCTTCATTCTCAGTAGTTTAGAACCTCCTTTCCCAAAATGTTTATCAAATTCTTTTCCAAAAGTCTGAAATTAGTAAGAATTTACTATAAAGACTGATGTTTAGTTTGGACTTTGGAAAAGGCTCTAAGCTTATAAGTGTAATGAATGGAGTGCTCAATGGTATATGTTTCTTCTCTGCTTTTAAGATGTATAGTTTTGGTTGGGCATGGTGGCTCATGCCTGTAATCCCAGCACTTTGGGAGTCCAAGATAGTAGGATTACTTGAGCCAAGGAGTTTGAGACCAACCCGGGCAACATAGCAAGACCCCAACTCTACAAAAAATAAAAACATTAGCTGGGTGTGATGGCACATGCCTGTAGTTCCATCTACTCAGGAGGCTGAAGTGGGAGGATCGCTATTGAGCCCAGGAGTCTGAAGTGACAGTGAACTATGATGATGCCACTGCACTCCAGCCTGGGTATCCGAGTGAGACCGTGTCTCTAAAAAAAAAAAAAATTATAGTTTTGCTTTCCTTGAATATTTCAATACTCTAAAACATCCAGTCTGCCTTTTGTTTCTTGTGTTCCATTATAAGTGACACGGTTAATGCCTGTAATCCCAGCACTTTGGGAGGCCGAGGCAGGTGGATCACTTGAGCTCAGGAGTTCGAGACAAGCCTGGCCAACATTGTGAAACCCTGTACCCACTTAAAATACAAAAAATTAGTCGGGTGTGGTGGCTCATGCCTGTAATCCCAGCTACTCGGGAGGCTGAGGCAGGAGAATCACTTGAACCCGGGAGGCGGAGGTTGCAGTGAGCCGAGATCGCGCCACTGCACTCCAGCCTGGGTGATAGAGTGAGACTCCACCTCAAATAAATAAATAAATGACATGGTTGACCAGGCGCGGTGGCTCATGCCTGTAATCCCAGCACTTTGGGAGGCTGAGGTGGGTGGATCACGAGGTCAGGAGCTCAAGACCAGCCTGGCCAATATGGTGAAACCCCATCTCTACTAAAAATAAAAAAAATTAGCCAAGCGCGGTGGCACTCGCCTGTAGTCCCAGCTACTCAGGAGGCGGAGGCAGAATAATTGCTTGAATCCGGGAGGCGGAGGTTGCAGTGAGCCGAGATCATGCCACCGCACTCCAGCCTGGGCGACAGATCGAGACTCAGTCTCAAAAACAAAAAACAAAAACATGGTTAGTAGTGACTTTTAGTTATAAATCCTAATAAGGGCTTTAAAAACTTGGCGAAGTCATTTAACCTCTGTGCACTCATTGTCTAGTTAGTGGTCTACATCATTATGATGACACAAATAACTAGGAACAAAGTTAAAAACAACAAAATAAAGGAAGTAGTTCAATAGAAATAAATGGCTCATAATTTCTGATACCAGCTGAAGAGAAAAATTTAAGAATGCTACTTTCTTTATTAAGAGTCTTTCAAGCTATTATTTTGGGTAATAAACCAGAAAAAATATTATTTAATCTTTTTTTTTTTTTTTTTTTTTTTTGAGACAGAGTCTTGCTCTGTCACCCAGGCTAGAGTGCGGTGGTGCGATCTCGGCTCACTGCAACCTCTGCCTCCTGGGTTCAAGTGATTCTCTTGCCTCACCCTCCTGAGTAGCTGGGACTACAGGTGCACACCACCGTGCCTGGCTAATTTTTGTATTTTTAGTAAAGATGGGTTTCACCATGTTGGCCAGACTGGTCTCGAACTCCTGACCCAGTGATCCGCCCGCCTCGCGCTCCCAAAGTGCTGGGATTACAGGTGTGAGCCACCATGCCCAGCAGATATGTTTATTTCTAAAAGCAATTATTATAAGTACTCTACCTTAGAATATAGTAATTATCTCTTTGCATTAGCTTCTACTCAGATATTTACTTGAATTATAAATCTGATATCAAATAAAAAATAAATCTCAAGAGCATTACTAGCAGTTACTCAACAGTTGTCAAGATTTACCTGATCATCTCTAATTAGAAATGTTTTTACCAAATTTGTAACTAATGTCACAACATAAATCTGGTGTAAATCAAACGTGCTCTATTTTAAGACAATCCACTATAGGAAAATTGACATATATAAAACAGATTTCTTCTTTGATCTGTAAGTGGATGAAAAATGTAGAAAACAATTTTCAATTCTTAGAAAGATTAGCTATTTCCAAACATAATCAGCATCATCCTATCTGAAAGACATAATGCCCTTAAGGATCCTCTAAAGTGATATTTGAGGCACTTCGCTTTGGTAGATTATTCTTTGAACGAATGCAAGTTATTTTTGATTTGGTACAAGGTGGAAAAGTTCTGGATAGATTTTCTAAGGTACTAGAAATAAAACTCCAAACACATCTCCTGCCTGAAAGGAACAAGGGAGGCCTTTCTGCACCCTGCAGGCTTGGGCAGGATCAGGTGCTGCTGCAGGGGTAAGAACTGTGCTCCCCATGGACAGCCCTGCAGGGAAGTCTCAGGGCTTCCAGCAACAAAGTGGCCATGAATTCCGACACAACGTGCACACTGGCTGAGGTAGCAGTGTGCTGGGGGCAGGCTAGGCTGGAGGCTATGTGGAGGCCCTGCTGCTAATGGGTATGGGTTTCTTTTTTCTGGTGATGAAAATGTACTAAAATTGATATGGTGATGATTTCATGACTCTGTGAATATATGTAAAACTACTGCATTGTATGCTTTAAATGGATGACTTAAGGACCATGTGAATTATATAGTAACAAAGCAGTTATTTAAAAAGGATAAAGCTCTTCCTTTGCCCTATACATGGTGGAACTTGAGAACTCTGGCAACAAGAGTTCCAAGACTTATCTATGCCCTTAAATTTCTTGAGGTTTAATGAATAAAAGTAATTTTGACAAAAACTAGAAAGAAAAGTCAGTATGACCCATGCTAAACAGAGAGATTGTAAAGTAAGCTGTTTTAGGTGAGAGAGGAAGAACATTCGACTCTTCTGGAGATCCCTGCGTGGGGAGGGTTGGGAAAGGCTCTAAAGGAGAAATGATGCTGACGCCAAGCCCAAGGGCAAGTCTCCAGATGGAGGAGGGAGAGAAGGAGCCAAGCAGGCTGCAAAGGTGTAGCAACTGGGCTGACTGCAGTCTACTTGCTCCATCATTCTCATCAAATGATGGTGTGTTTCCCTTCCAACTCCAGCACCCTCTGAAAGATCTCACACTTACCACACTTGTCCTAGGCACAGCTCTTGGTGAGCAGTTTTGTCACATAACCCCTTTGTATTTGGGGACTGGATCTGTCTTCTCCATGTATCTCCTGAGCACCCAGAACTGTGCCCCGAACTAAGTGCTTGAAAATACTTATCAGCTTATTTAACACACAAATATTTTCTTGGCCCAATATTCAAGCCATTTGAAGAATTGGAAATCCCAATCTATATGTAACTTTCAGATCTAAAAATCTGAGCATGAACAACGTGTAATGAAACTCTGAGGTTTTACCTACTGACTCACCTGCTACCAGCCGACCTAAAAATGTTATCAATGTGTCACAGAAAGCATGAGACCTAAAGCATTCAACAGACATTTTAAATGCAGAACTGTTAAATTAATGATTACATTTAATACAAATATTATTACATTTAATAATGTAACTATTGACTGTCACAACGACTCTGCTATCAAAATAGCAGGCTGTGCCAGTCCATACCTGAATAAACTTCCTTCTAAAGGCCCCCAGGCCTGGAGCCTTTGGGTCACCCAAGGCTGCATACATTCTTTCATACATTTTTTCAATGTTTTTTTTATTTACAGGGGTTTTTGCTAGTTCAGCTCTTACATCATTGCTCCAATCCTGTCAGGGGAAAAAAAAAGTAAGAAAAAAATCAAGCTAGATTGCAATTAAGTTTTACCCAACTTATATGTTTTATGTGCCAGAAGCCGTTCTATCATTACCTTAAAGAGCAGTTCAGGATTAGAGAGCTGATCTAAGGCATTAATAAAATCTTGAATCACTCCTCCTTGATCCAACTTACTTTTAATCCTATTTAAAAAAATTTACAAAGTTTAGGCAATCAAATATCTTCCAAAAATCAATATATATTTTATATACCATACATATATAAGTTATATATTATACATATATAAAATAATGTATGTTATATATAACTAAGTATAATTTATACATATCATATATATATAACCAACTACATAGTAATTTAAAATTCCACCCAATGTTAAATGAAGCAAGAAGCATCTATTCTATCAAGAGATGAGGTTCTTAAAAAAGAATTAATACCGATCCTACTCAAACTATTCCAAAACACAAGGGAGGAGGGAATACGTCCAAACTCATTCTACAAGGCCAGTATTATCCTGATACCAAAACCAGGTAAAGACGTATCAAATAAAAGGAAAACTACAGGCCAATATCCCTGATGAACATTAATGCAAAAATCCTCAACAAAATACTTGCAAACCAAATTCAACAGCACATTAAAAAGATTATTCATCATGACCAAGTGGGACCTATTCTAGAGATGCAAGGATAGATCAAATCAATCAAGGATAGATCAAATACACAAATCAATCATATCTACACAACAGAATAAAGGACAAAAACCACTGATCATTTTAACGGATGTTGAAAAAGCATTTGATAAAATTCAACATCCCTTCATGATAAAAAAAACTCTCAAAAAATTAGGTATAGAAGGAACATATCTCAACACAATAAAAGCCATGTACAACACACTCACAGCTAGTGTCATACTGAACACTGAAAAACTGAAAACCTTTCTCTAAGATCTTGAACATGTTAAGGATGCCCACTGTTATTCCACATACTACTGGGAGTCTTAGCTAGAGCAAGCTGACAAGAGAAAGAAATAAAGGGTATCTATATTAGAAAGGAAGAAGTCAAATTATCCTTGCTTGCAGATGATACGATCTTATATTTGGAGGCACCTAAAGACTCCACCACAAAACCATCAGAACTGATAAATTCAGTAAAGCTGCAGATACAAAAATCAACATACAAAAATCAGTAGCATTTCTATATGCCAACAGTGAACAATCTGAAACAGAAATCATAGAAGTAATTCTATTTACAATAGCCACAAATAAAAGAAAATACTTAGGAATAAACTTCGCCAAAGAAATGAAAGATCTCTACAATGAAAACTGTAAAACATGGATGAAAGAAATTGAAGAGGACTCAAAGAAATGCAAAGTTACTTCATGTTCATGGATGGGAAGAATCAATACTGTTAAATCTGTCCACACTACCCAAAGCAATCTACAGAGTCAACACAATCCTTATCAAAATACCAATGACATTCTTCACAGACATAGGAAAAATAATCCTAAAATTTGTATGGAACCACAAAAGACCCAGAGCAAAAAGCCAAAGCCACCCTGAGCAAAAAGAATAAAACTGGCACAATCACATTATCTAACTTCAAATTATATTACAGAGCTATAGTAACCCAAACAGCATGACACTGGCATAAACACAGACACATAAGCCAATGGAACAGAATAGAGAACCCAGAAATAAATTCACACACCTGCAGTGAATCCATTTTTTCACAAATGTGCCAAGAACATACATCAGGGAAAGGACAGTCTCCAATAAATGGTCCTGGGAAAACTGGGTATCCATATGCAGAATAATGAAACTAGACCCCTATCTCTCACCACATACAAAAATCAAATCCAAATAGATTAAAGACTTAAACCTAAGATCTCAACCAATAAAACTACAAAAACAAAAACAAAAACAGGAAACTCTCCAGGACACTGGTCTGGGCACAAAGATTTCTTCAGTAATACCCCACAGGCACATGCAACCAAATTTAAAATGGACAAACAGGAGGATCACATCAAGTCAAAAAGCTTCTGCACAGCAAAGGAAACAATAAAGTGAAGGGACAACCCACAGAATGGGAGAAAACATTTGCAAACTACCCATCTGACAAGGAATTAATAAGCAAAATATGGCCGGGCGCAGTGGCTCATGTCTGTAATCCCAGCACTATGGGAGGCCAAGGTGGGCAGATCACGAGGTCAGGCGTTCGAGACCAGCCTGGCCAACATGGTGAAACCCTGTCCCTACTAAAAATACAAAAATTAGCGGGGCATGGTGGCGCCTGCCTGTAATCCCAGCTACTCAGGAGGCTGAGGCAGGAGAATCGCTTGAACCCGGGAGGCGCAGGTTGCAGTGAGCAGAGATTGCGCCACTGCACTCTACCCTGGGCAACAGAGCAATACACCGCCTCAAAAACAAACAAACAAAAAACAACCAAAATACATAACAAGCTCAAACAACTCAACAGGAAAAAAAAATCCAATCTCATTTTAAAATGGGGCAAAGGATCTGAATAGACATTTCTCAAAAGAAAACATACAAATGGTAAACAGGTATATAAAAACATGCTCAACATCAATGAACATCAGAGAAATGCAAATCAAAACCACAACGAGGTATCATCTCACCCCCAGCAATAACGAATGCTGGTAAGGATGTAGAGAGAGGAACCCTTGTATACTATTGGTGGGAATGTAAACTCATACAACCACTATGAAGAACACTATGGAGATTCCTAAAAAAACTACAACTAGAAGTACCATATAATCCAGAAATCCCACTACTGGATATATACCCAAAAGAAAGGATATCAGTATGATATCTGCACTCCCATGTTTATTGCAGCACTATTCACAACGGCCAAAATTTGGAAGCAACCTAAGTGTCCATCAACAGACAAATGAATGAAGAAAATGCAGTACATACATGCAATAGAGTACTATTTAGCCATAAAAAAGAATGAGATCCTGTCACTTGAAACAACATGGATGGAACTGAAGGACATTATGTGAAATAAGTCAGGCACAGAAAAACTTCACATGTTCTTACTCATTTGTGGAAGCTAAAAATTAAAACAACTGAACTCGTGGGGAGGGGAGGTGGAAAGCGGGGATGGTTAATGGGCACAAAAATATAGTTAGGAAAAACAGGATCTAGTATTTAGTGGCACAACAGGGTGACCACAGTAAAATTTTTTTTTTTTTTTTTTTGTTGAGACAGAGTTTTGCTCTGTCACCCAGGCTGGAGTGCAGTGGCTTGATCTCGGCTCACTGCAAGCTCCGCCTCCCGGGTTCACGCCATTCTCCTGCCTCAGCCTCCCAAGTAGCTGGGACTATAGGCACCTGCCACCATGCCCGGCTAATTTTTTGTATTTTTAGTAGAGATGGGGTTTCACCGCATTAGCCAGGATGGTCTCGATCTCCTGACCTCCTGATCCGCCCACTTCAGCCTCCCAAAGTGCTGGGATTACAGGCGTGAGCCACCGCACCCGGCCTGACTACAGTAAATTTTTATTGTACATTTAAAAATAACTAAAAGAGTATAACTGGAATGTTTATAACACAAAGAAATGATAAATCCTTGAAGTGATGGATACTCCACTTACCCTGATGTGATTGTTACACACTGTATGCCTGTATCAAAATATCCCATGTACCCCATAAACATAGACACCTACTATGTACCCATAAAAATTAAAAATTAAAATAAAAAAAGAGCTGCTCTTAGATAAAAGCAAATCTTGCAACTGATGTTGACGTTTTGACGTATATAACGCGATATATAGTTTCTGAAGTTACATTATGAAAGAAAAGGTCACTTTTTAAAAAACAGGTTCTCACTATGATGTCCAGGTTGGACTGCAGTGGCAACTCACAAGTTCAGTCATAGCTCACTGCAGCCTTGAATTCCTGTACTCAAGCAATTCTCCCACCTCAGCCTCCTAAGTAGTTGGAAGTACAGTCACGCACCACCATGCTTAGCTTATTTTTATTTTACTATTTTAGAGATGAGATCTCACTATGTTGCCAAGGCTGGTCATGAACTCTTGGCCTCAAGCGATTCTTCCACCTCGGCCTCCCAAGTAGTTGGTATTATAGGCACAGACCATCATGCCCAGCAAGGTCACTTTCTTGACACACTGTCTCTCACATCTTTTTCTCTTCTTTCATTTTTCAAGACAATAGCTGTCTGTTCAGAGAAACAGTATGGTGGGCAGGGCCTCAGTAGGGCAGGGGTGTGTTCACAGATAAGCCACCCATTAACTGCAACAGAAGCTGGGCCTCAGCTGGGCATGGTGGCTCACGCCTGTAATCCTAGCACTTTGGGAGGCCAAGGTGGGCGGATCACCTGAGGTCACCTGAGGTCAGGAGTTCGAGACCAGCCTGGCCAAGGTGGCAAAACCCTGTCGCTACTAAAAATACAAAAATTAGCTGGGCATGGTGGCACACGCTTGTAATCCCAGCTACTCAGGAGGCTGAGGCAGGGAGAACTGCTTAAACCTGGGAGGTGGAGGTTGCAGCCGAGATTGCACTGCACTAGGTGACAGCACAATACTCTGTCTCAAAAAAAAAATAAAAAATAAAGAAATAAAAATAAAAATAAATTAATTTAAAAAAACTAAAAAAAAAAAAAAAAAAAAAGATGCCAGCGCTTTTCTTCATCTTGTTGAAATCAATACATTCAAAATAATGAGGCAGATCTGCTCATAATTAAAAACAAACAAAAAACCCCAAAACCTCATGATGGAGAATGTCACTACAACACTACACAGTTTGTGTACAAAGCATCCTTGAAATAGTTGCGCACTACTGCTCACTCATCATCGGTCTCAACTCATAAATCCGTTTAAGAGTGGACAGGATGACACTTGAGGCCATCTACTGAGTCCTAATTAAAAGGAAGAGTCGTTCTGTGTATTTTAAATTACAGGACAATTTCAGGAGCTGATTTCAAAAATCATCTCATCTAGTCTATCCCAAGCAATCATGACCATATGAGCAGAATGTTTTGTTAGCAGTGTAAGATGAAAGTATTTAAAGGAGATACATCCTATAACAAGTAACATACCCAGAATAGATATATTCAACAAAGCGACGGCTAAGATTATTCTTCAATGACAACTCTAATTAATTTGAAAACAAATGTAGTGTCCACGTGTGTGCTTTAACCACATTTTTATAACCTATAGTATTTGATCAACCTATTCCTTCTGTAATATTACCTACCTTGCCACAAACTCCTTATTCTTATGACCAGTAGAAGTATCCTTGAAGGAATAGCTTTCGCTGCTTATGATGAAGGGATAAACAATAGCCTGCGGGTAGTTATCAGTGATTTCTTCCACAGAGTGCTGAACAGCAACGGCTTGGTCTTTGTCCAGTAAGGCCACCATGTGGCTGATCCAGCTGATGAACTGCCAGCAGGGAACGGAAGAGATCTAAAACAGAGAGCTGAAACTTAATGCTGAGTAAAACATCTCACATCATCTGTTATAAAAGTAACATATGTCCAAAATAAAGAAAACTCAGAAGTATAAAAACGCAAGTACAAAACAAGTCTTCCATCCCCTAGCTCTCTTCTGCTGCGGCAACCACTGGACTCTCCCAGGCACTTTCTGTGCAGGAGAACAGTCTTTTGTTGCAAGAATGGAATCACACGAGACAGCTGCTGCTGGTTGTTCTTAGACAGATGTATAGAAAAATCTTCTACTTCATTCCTCCTGGCGGCTATGTAGTATTCCATGTTGTTTACTGCTCTATAATGAATATTTCAATTTTTTATCACAGGTAATGCTGCAGTAGACATCCCTGTACACATAACTTTATTTATTTATTTATTTTTTTGAGATGGGGTCTCGCTCTGTCGCCAGGCTGGAGTGCAGTGGCATGATCTTGGCTCACTGCAACCTCCGCCTCCTGGGTTTAAGCAATCTTCCTGCCTCAGACTTCTGAGTAGCTGGGACTACAGGTGCGCCACCATGCCCAGCTAATTTTCGTATTTTTAGTAGAGATGGGGGTTTCACCATGTTGGCCAGGATGGTCTCAATCTCTTGACCTCGTGACCTGCCCACATCGGCCTCCCAAAGTGCTGGGACTATAGGCGTGAGCCACCGTGCCTGGCCAACTCTTTTTTTTTTTTTTTTCTTGAGACAGAGTCTCATTGTCACCCAGGCTGGAGTGCAGTGGTGTGATCTCGGCTCACTGCAAGCTCCGCCTCCCAGGTTTACGCCATTCTCCTACTTCAGCCTCCCGAGTAGCTGGGACTACAGGCGCCTGCCACCACGCCTGGCTAATTTTTTGTATTTTTAGTAGAGATGGGGTTTCACCATGTAAGCCAGGATGGTCTCAATCTCGTGACCTCGTGATCGGCCCACCTCGACCTCCCAAAGGGCTGGGATTACAGGCGTGAGCCACCGCACCCGGCCTTTTTTTTTTTTTTTTTCTTTTGAGATGGAGTCTCACTGTATCGCTCAGGCTGGAGTGCTGTGGCGTGATCTCAGCTCACTGCAACCTTTGCTTTCTGGGTTTTAGCAATTCTTTCTACCTCAGCCTTCCGAGTAGCTGGGATTACAAACACTCGTCACCATACCCAGCTAATTTTTGTACTTTTAGTAGAGACAAGTTTCGCCACGTTGGCCAGACTGGTCTTGAACTCCTGACCTCAGGTGATCCACCCGCTTCGGCCTCCCAAAGTGCTGGGATTACAGGCATGAGCCACCGCGCCTGGTCCCCTGTACACGTAACTCTTTGTGCTATATACCTGTAGGATAAATTCCTAGAACTAAAATTACAGTGTCAACTTTAAAAATTGTAATAAACATTGGTATGGAATTTTTTTTTTTTTTTATGAGACAAGAGTCTCACTGTGTCGCCCAGGCTGGAGTGCAGTGGCGCCATCTCGGCTCACTGCAACCTCCGCCTCCTGGGTTCAAGTGATTCTCCTGCCTCAGCCTCCCGAGTAGCTGGGACTACAGGCATGTGCCATCATGCCCAGCTAATTTTTGTATTTTTAGTAGAGACAGGGTTCCACTGTGTTAGCCAGGATGGTCTCAATCTCCTGACCTCATGATCCGCCCACCTCGGCCTCCCAAAGTGCTGGGATTACAGGCATGAGCCACGGTAAAGAATTTTTCAAATTTTCATTTCTGAAAGTATTAGACTGACTACTTTCTAAAGTCTTTACCAACACTGCACATAATCATCTTTTAAAATCACTGTCGAGCCGAGATCACGCCACTGCACTCCAGCCTGGGTGACAGCGAGACTCCGTCACCAAAAAAATAAAAAATAAATAAATAAATAAAAATAAAATCACTGTCAATCTGAGAAGTGAAAAACACCTAATTTAAATTTTCAACTTACATTATTAGTGAGGCTGTATGTTCCATGTTTATTTGCCTTACATCCTTTAATCACGCATGCATTTCCTCCCACCATTTTCTACTGGTCTATTGTGACCATTTATTTTGTAGATTGCCGAAGTCAGCTTTTTGTTTCTTATATGTGTTGCAAACGTTTTTCTTCATTTTTTTTTTTGTTGTTGTTGTTTTTTTTGAGACAGAGTCTTGCTCTGTCGTCTAGGCTAGAGTGCAGTGGCGCCACCTCGGCTCACTGCAACCTCCACCTCCTGGGTTCAAGTGATTTTCCTGCCTCAGCCTCCCGAGTAGCTGGGTTTACAGGTGCTCGCCACCACGCCCGGCTAATTTTTGTTTCTTTAGTAGGGTTTCACCGTGTTGGCCAGGCTGGTCTCGAACTGCTGACCTCGTGATCTGCCCACCTTGGCCTCCCAAAGTGGTGAGATTACAGGCGTGAGCCACTGCACCTGGCTTTTTATTTTTTTAACTTTGTATACGGTATTTTCTTTTTCTGTATAGAAGTCAAACTATTTTCCTTCATGGATTCTGGTTTTTGTCTCTTCATTCCAAGACCATTTAAAAAAATGTGTTCACATTTTCCTCTGATACTTTTAAGGTGTCTTTCTGAAGATAAAACCTGATGTGTCTGCAATGCTAGAGTGAGGCTTGAGTATGGGCAAGCTTCCTGAGTGCACGTGTGAGCTGAGGACAGCATGGCGTGTGAGGAAGGATCAGTCCACACAGCTCATGTAAGCTCACGAGAGAGGCTACTGGCTTCACTGCACGTGTCTACTGGGTGTTTTGACAACGTGGAGTGAATACTTCATGTCCTCACAAATTCAAATGCTGTTTTTATCATGTATAAATATTATATTGGAAAAAAATAAAATCATAATGAAGTTATTTGCTCACTTATCTTGAAGAAAAACACATACATGTTGCACTTCTGAATTTACCTTAACCTGTTTAATACCTACTGAGAAAGTCTACTATTCAGAATGCAGAAAAAGGTGGAAGGAGTGGTTAGGGCCCTAAAAGTCAAACTGGGTCCCCGCAGCCCAGAGATCAACATTATTTAAAAACTCACCATGCAAAGCTAATAGAGAACGAACCATGTAACCCTTTTTGAACTATTACATTTTCAACTCAAAGCTTGGCCCTATCTTCCAGTTACACGTCTATAAATGTCAACTACGAAGCCTTTCAGAGGCCCTACACTTTGCAAATGAAGTCAGTGGAACCCTCCTGCACACAGACAGAGCCCAAAGGACAGGAGTGCAGCTGGCAGTGCAGCCCTTGGTGGGGCCAAGGGGCAGGTCACATGGAAGGGTGCGGGTTCCTCCCATGTCCATACGCTGACCCCTCACTCATGCTCCCAGACCCCTCTGGACACCGTGCTGCTGGCAGATGCTGTGCTCCTGGGAGGTGGGATGCAAGCTGAACCTTGCTCACTCCCTTTGGGCTAAATGACAGGTGAGCACTGGGCACAGCAAATGTGACTGGCCACAGCCTCATCTGCAGGGGCAACAAGTTTCCCACACAAGATCCCGTTACCATCCCACACACCCCGTCTCCATCTCTCTGGATCCTTGTTCAGACACAGTGTTTTTATCAACACCCACAGAGGAAAATGGGTAAATGCGAAAACTCGTTTTTGCAGCTTTAAATTACCTATGTCCTCAGAATGTAGCAGAATTCACAGCTGGCTGGGAAAAGCTATAATACATGCACTGCACACACTAACGCGTTTGAATATAAATAAGCGTATCTTTAAGTTCTGTAAAGTTCCTTACCGCCAAGTAGAATAAAGACACCAACCTCTTTTGTCATGAGGCTCAAAGTCTCCTCTGGATACCGTTCTATAATCTGAAGTAATCTAGGAAACTTCAATCTGGCTTCATTGGAATTTAATTTTAAAGCTTTCAACATTTTCTCCACCACAAGTGCTGGATACGCCTGCAGTTCTGCAGAATCAATAACTATCAAGGACACCAAAGAAGAAAGCAATGGTCAATGTATCCCAATATCCATAAACTATGATGTTAAATGCTAACACTTTCCCTTTTTGGCTTGTATTTTGTAGTGTCATTGTTCTCTTCTTAACTACCACTTTACACCAACAAACACCAGGTACAGTTTTGTATCTATCCTGGAGCCAAATCCTTCCATTAGAGTGCCCATTCTGCATGAAGCACAGTTTGAATCCTGGGCTGGGAACATAAGGGGCAACTGGTGGTTATTGAATTTATTCCAGGAGCATGAAGCAGGCCACACGAGCCAGTAATATTGAAGCTGCAAGCAAAATATCAAAGTAGAAATTAAACAAATGGAAACAGAGGACCACTTGACTCCATTTAAATGTAGGTCATGTTGCTTAGAGAGGCCATTGTCTCTCTCTTTTTTTTTTTTGAGATGGAGTCTCGCTCTGTCACCCAGGCTGGTGTGCAGTAGTGGATATCGGCTCACTGCAACCTCTGCCTCCTGGGTTCAAGCAATTCTCCTGCCCCAGCCTCCTGAGTAGCTGGGACTACAGGCATGGGCCACCACGCCCAGCTAATTTTTTTGTATTCTTAGTAGAGTTGGGGTTTCACCACGTTGGCCAGGCTGGTCTTGAACTCCTGGCCTCAAGTGATCCACTGCACCCGGCTGCCATTGTCTCTTAAAAAGACAGTAGGATTTTCAAAATATTTGTAATTTGAAAACAAACAAAGAGGAGACCAAAGGTATGTACAAAATTCATAAGACTTTATGCTGACATAATGGAACACTAGCTTTTTAATTTTCAATTCACCTGATGCATTCTCTTCCTCCTTGCGCAGCTGTTGGTCACAGAAATCTGCCAGCGTCATGTAAGCATCAATCACCCCAGCTGCAGGCCCACAGCTCCAGGAGGGAGGCTGGGCCTCCTCCTCAGCCGCCTGCACAGCCTCAGAGAGGTGCTGGAATGCTCTCTGGTACAGACCCGCGATCACCTGGAATTCACAGAGACCTAAACCCATGAGCATGACTGAAGCTTTCTCAAAGAACTCTGCTTTCCATTTGTGACTCATGACACATAAATGGATCAACAGCTCCAAAATAACACTGAAGCTATGGAACTGGAAAAACAAGAGTCCACCCTGGCTGTGAAGGAGCAAGCAATTCCAGCAAGATCCTCAGCAGGTAACAACTGGCCAAACAAAAATGCAAGCCCAGCGCGGGCCAGATGGTGCACAAGCAACACAGAGCTGGGTCTGGTCAGTGGAGTGCGTGGCTGTCGGGAATATAAGAGGGAGATGGAAGTCGGCTCCTGCACTCAGTGTCCTGCACAGATGCTAGTAGCATCATGGAAGGAGAAGACAAGGCCCCACAACTGAGGTGAGGCAGGACATAGTGAATGAGACGGAAGCAGGTAACTATTGAAAAAAACAAAATAATCGGCAAGAAGCTAAGCAAAGCAGGCACTAAATAAAAATGCAGAAAAGGCTGATTTGTTCCATAAGCTGGTGGGACGTCTGAATGGTGATGGGTGGGGAAATTTAATTAACAAAAGTCATAAAAGAACGGTCTACAGTTCTTTTAATTCAAAAAAATTTAAAATTCATGATTTTTAATATTAAAAAATTTGTGTCATTCAAATAAATAGGAAGCACGGAGTATGTCAATTTTCCACATAAGAAAATTGGCTGTGCGTGCCATCCCATTACTGGGTATATACCCAAAGGACTATAAATCATGCTGCTATAAAGACACATGCACACGTATGTTTATTGCGGCACTATTCACAATAGCAAAGACTTGGAACCAACCCAAATGTCCAACAATGATAGACTGGATTAAGAAAATGTGGCACATATACACCATGGAATACTATGCAGCCATAAAAAATGATGAGTTCATGTCCTTTGTAGGGACATGGATGAAATTGGAAATCATCATTCTCAGTAAACTATCGCAAGGACAAAAAATCAAACACCACATGTTCTCACTCATAGGTGGGAACTGAACAATGAGAACACATGGACACAGGAAGGGGAACATCATACTCTGGGGACTGTTGTGGGGTGGGGGGAAGGGGGAGGGATAGCATTAGGAGATATACCTAATGCTAAATGATGAGTTAATGGGTGCAGCACACCAGCATGGCACATGTATACATATGTAACTAACCTGCACATTGTGCACATGTACCCTAAAACTTAAAGTATAATAATAATTTAGAAAATAAATAAATAAAAACAAATACATAAATAAAAAGAAAATTGGCTGTGCATAACTGTCAAATATATTTTAAAAACACAAAGCAACATCCTTATTATTACTTTCCTGTAGCCTGAACACTGCACATTGAAGACATACACAGCACACTAGCGTAAAACATTCCTCCAGTATTACCTTCTCTGAATCCTCTGAACTGGATCCAGAAAGCTCTAAGATTCTTCTAGCCTTGTCCTCCTCGATTTCAGCAAGGCAGGCTGGCTCACTGCTGAGAGCATTCGCTATGATCCTGTAAGTTGTACCCAAGAGAATGTTCTGGTCACGGAAAGCCAGAATATTTTTGCTTAAGTAGCTTGACACGTTGTTCTCATCTGTTGGATTAAAAAAACAAAACAAAACAAAATTTTGTATGTGTGTGTGGAATTAAAAAGAAGAAATTCATTGTCTATAGAAGTTTTCTTTTCTTTTGTTTTTGGGATAGGGTCTCGCTCTGTTACCCAGGCTGGAGTGCAACGACACGATTTTGGCTCACTGCAACCCCTGCCTACCAGGCTCAAGCGATCCTCCCACCTCAACCTCCCAATTAGCTGGGACTACAGGCTTGCACCACCATGCCCGGCTATTTTTTGTATTTTTGGTAGAGATGGGGTTTCGCCATGTTGCCCACGCTGGTCTCGAACTCCTGAGCTCTAGCAATCTGCCCACCTTGGCCTCCCAAAGCACTGAGATTACAAGTGTGAGCCAACATGCTTGGCCTAAAAGTTGTTTTCTATTAAGAAATTAATAAAAATAAATGTTGAAAGTATAAGAAACTGACTTCAAATACTGACTAGGGAATTTCTTGAACTCACATATTAATGAAAAATGTTCTTTGTTAGAAGTAACTGTATCAAAGCCCACAGAGGCTAAGCAATTGAAACTTTATGAATTAACTTTTTATTCAAGCATCATCATTCTGCAATTTTTCAAAGCACCTAATTCTGTTATAAAAAATAGGAAATGGGTACTAATGTGTTTGTACATATATTAATAATCCAGAGTAGATCTTTAAATTGGCACTGTGGCCCATAGCTAATGAAGCAACAGGCACTGCTACATTTAAAGTTCTAGTTCTGCTTTGACTGTGTGGTTCTGGGCAAGTAACTGAACCAGCGCTGGCTAAGTCTGCAGTGTCCAGAGGTGCGATAACAGTGTTGAAACTAGGAGGCCTGATCAACCACATGCCCTCCTTGCCCATGATGTGACAGTTCTCTGCCAAAGTTATCTCACATACAGGATCACAACTACTGGCCCTGCTTATCATGCAAGGCTGTTATGAACTACAACCATACTCTGTGTAATTATTATTATATGGGTATATGGATACTAATATTAACATCAGCAAACTCCTCCTCTTCCCCTCAAAAAAGCCCATATAATTATTTAGCAATCATAAGGATAATTTTCTTCTTCTTCTTCTTTTTTTAGAAACAGGGTCTCACTACACTGCCCAGGCCAGAATACAGTGGCTACTCACACAGGCACAATCATGGCTCACTGCAGCCTCGAACTCCTGATCTCAAGCCATCCTCCCGCCTCAGACTCCCCAGTAGCTGGGACTATGGGTGCGTGCCACCACATCCAACTAGGATGATCTTCTGCTCTTGGGATCAGTGTACAAAGAGTGCTTCTCCTCTAGACACCTTTATTGAGGCTGATGCTTAAGAGCTGGTCTGGGAACCAGCTGGATCATGCCTGATCAGAATGCTAGCACACACCCTCAGACACAGGGCAACAGAGCGGGGGACCAAACCCAAACCTGTACAAGAAAGCTTTCTTCCTTTAATGTAGTCTTAAAGACTAAACTATTTTGGGAGGAAATGGCTTTTTTTTTTTTTTTTTTGAGAGACGGAGTTTTGCTGTTGTCATCCAGGCTGGAGTGCAGTGGCGCGATTTTGGCTCGCTGCAACCTCCGCCTCCCAGGTTCATTCTCCTGCCTCAGCCTCCAGAGCAGCTTCGAAGACAGGCGCCTGCCACCACGCCCGGCTAGTTTTTGTAATTTTTTTTTTTCTTTTTGAGATGGAGTCTTTCTCTGTCGTCCAGGGTGGAGTGCAGTGGCGTGATCTCAGTTCACTGCAAGCTCTACCTCCCGGGTTCACACCATTCTCCTGCCTCAGCCTCCCGAGTAGCTGGGACTACAGGCGCCCACCACCATGCCTGGTTAATTTTTTTGTATTTTCAGTGGAGACGGGGTTTCACTGTGTTAGCCAGGATGGTCTCGATCTCCTGACCTCATGATCTGCCTGCCTCAGCCTCCCAAAGTGCTGGGATTACAGGCGTGAGCCACCATGCCCAGCCTAGTTTTTGTATTTTTAGTAGAGATGGGGTTTCATCACGTTGGCCAGGATGTTCTCGATCTCCTGACCTCGTGATCCACCCACCTCGGTCGCCCAAATTGCTCGGATTACAGGCGTGAGCCACTGCGCCCAGGCTGAAATGGCTTTTCATGTTTGTTTACATCTTATATGCAAACACAAAGTTTTCAAAATAATTAAACTATCATTCTCTGGCTCACTTTGCTATATTCCCTGAAATTACTGCAAAGATTTACCTCCCAAATGTCAGATGATGCAGCACAAAGAAGAGGAAGATACACAAGACAATATAACACAGCCCTTTAAGATATAAGTGGATAAAAGCGGTCAACTTACCCAACAAAGAGACTGTTTTCAGCACAGTGAGCACCTGCTCAGAGCAGCCCTGGGACCGGCTCCGGCAGTGGCTCAGGCGGCAGTAGCTCTGCACCCAGCTCACCAGCCAATCGTCTCTGGTTTTTGACTCTTTATGCAGCTCCTTCAGTAGTTTCATAGCAAGTGAGAAATTGTTCTGTATGAATACAATAAAAAGAGAGAAGGTGGTATGATGATACACAAGTGACAGAAGTTTCTAATTGGCCTGCTTCCCCCTTTGCACGACACAATCCACCTTAGAGTAGCGAATCCATTTCTTTAGCTTCAATTATGTCTCTAAATTTATCACTGGGATATAATTCATATTTAAAGAGTACAATTCAGGCCAGGTTTAGTGGCTCAGGCCTGTAATCCCAGCATTTTGGAAGGCCAAAGAGGGAGGATTACCTGAGTCTAGGAATTTGAAACCAGACTAGGCAACATGGTAAGACCCCGTCTCTAAAAAATTTAAAAAATTAGCCAGCACCATGGCACGTGCCTATAGTCCCAGCTACTCTGGACACTAAGGTAGTAGGATCACTTGAACCTGGGAGGTTGAGGCTGCAGTGAGCTGCTGTGTACTCCAGCCTGGGCAACAGAGCAAGTCTCCAAAAAAAAAAAAAAATTCCAGGGGGTGTGGCAGGGTGGGTACAATTCAGTATTTTTTAGTATATTTACAAAGCTGTACAACCACCACCCCTAATTCCAGAACATTTTCACTACCCCAAAAAGAAATTCACTGTCTGTTCAGAGTCACTACCCAGCCATTGGCAACAATAAATTCCCTTCCTGTCTCTATGGATTTGCCTACACCAGACATTCTGTAACAATGGTATCAGAAAATAAGTGGTGATTTTGTGTCTCGCATCTTTTACTTAGCATGATGTTTTCTAGGTTCATGCATGTTGCAGCACCTGTCAGCACTTCTTTCCTCCTTATGGCTGAATAATACTCCATTGCACGGACATGCCACTTTTTTTTTTTTTTTTTTTTGAGATGGAGTTTCACTCTTATTGCCCAGGCTGGAGTGCAATGGCACAATCTCGGCTCACTGCAACCTGTGCCTCCTGGGTTCAAACAATTCTCCTGCCTCAGTCTCCCAAGTACCTGGGATTACAAGTGTGTGCTACCACATCTGGCTAATTTTTGTATTTTTAGTAGAGATGGAGTTTCGCCATGTTGGCCAGACTGATCTCAAACTCCTGACGTCAAGTGATCCACCCGCCTTGGCCTCTCAAAGTGCTGGAATTACAGGCCTGAGCCACTGCACCCGGCTGGACATGCCACATCTTATTTGGGTTGTTTCCACCTTTCCAGCTATTTTGAATAATGCTCCTGTGAACATTTGTGTATGAATTTCCATGTGAGCTTAAGCTTTTGTTTCTCATGGGTCTGGGAGTGGAATTGTCGGGTCATATGGTACCTCTGTTCAACTGTTTTGTTTTGTTTTGTTTTTGAGGCAAAGTTTTGCTCTTGTCACCAGGCTGGAGCACAGTGGCACAATCTTGGCTCTCTGCAACCTCCACCTCCCAGGTTCAAGCGATTCTCCTGCCTCAGCCTCCCGAGTAGCTGGGATTACAGGCATGTGCCACCACATCCGGCTAATTTTTGTATTTTTAGTAGAGACGGGGTTTCACCGTGTTGGTCAGGCTGGTCTCGAACCCCTGACCTCAGGTGATCCACCTGTCTCGGCCTCCCAAAGTGCTGGGATTACAAGCGTGAGCCATCGCGCCCGGCCTCAACATTTTTTTTTTTTTAAGTATAGTCAAGTGAAGCATCAGAAGTGGAGAATCAACAAAGAAATCTTAAATGTTTGTGATCAATTAGTTGCAAAAACCACTGCACTTGGACTAGCCTCTACGTTTAACTTTTTGAGGAAATGCCAGACTGTTTTCCACAGCAGATGCACCATTTTACATTCCCACCAGCAGTGCAGAAGGGTTCCAGTTTCCCCCATCTTCTCCAAGCTTTGTTATCTGTGTATTTGCTTCCAGCCATCCCAGTGGGTGTGAAGCGGTCTCTCCTTGTGGATTTGATTTGCATTTCCCTCAAGCCTAGGGATACTGAGCATCTTTGCATGAGCTGGTTGGCCATTTGCCTATCTTCTTTGGATAAATGTCTATTCAAACACTTCATGCCCATTTCTTAATTGGGTTGTTTGACTCTTTGTTGTTCAGTTGTGAAGCATTCTTTATGAATTCTGGATACTAGACCCTTATCAGATATGTGATCAGGAAATAGTTTCTCCCATTACATGAGTTGTCTTTATACATTCTTCAGCTTCTCAGGTAAGGCACGACAGTTTTAATTCTGAATACAATTGACCCATTTTTTATTTAGTTGCTTATATGGATGTCTTTTTAAATCTACACCTCTAATTCTCTCTCAAGCTTCAAAAGACATTTTCATCAGACTTTGGTCTTCCTAATTACTGCCATTTCAACCGCCCAGGCTAGAAATCCGAGTTGTTTCTAGCCAGACACTCTCATCACTCCTGTCACCTCAGGTTCTCCTGGATCTCCTTACAGAGCACCTCTCTTGCCCTGCTCACTCCCACCCCACTCCCCTAGTGTGGAGCTTCCTGGTCTTTCTCTGCCTTTGCTTTCCCCAGAGCTGTCAATCTCCCACACAGCTTACAACTAGCCAGCATGCATGGAACCTTCAATGGCCTCCTGATCCCGGTAAGGATGCAGTCTCCCGCCCTCTGCAAACCCAGTGCCATCCCATGTCCAAATCCTTCCATGCCCATAAAGCCTACCCTAAATCACATCCCCCTTCCCCAGACACCTCCCTGTCCAAGGCAGAAGCTCTTCTCTTCCCTGCGCCCTCCAGGCTTTGCTGACATCTCTCTTCTTTGCCCACCAGTGCTGTTGTCATCATGTGTGCAGCCCCCACTCTTACTAGACAGTAACAATGGCAGGGAACATGTCTTTCCCCTCATCATGCCAGACAGTTTCCTAACTACACTGGGTCCTCTCCCCATGACCCCAACTCCCTCACCACTAAGTCCTTCAGTTCAGATCGCCCCTTCTGGCCACACCCTGCTTTTCTCTCATCCAGTTCCTGCTCTGCCTGCCTCTAATTGGATTTTCTGTTATTTGCAATATAAAAATTCTTACTTGATATTACACTCATCCAAAGAAAAATCTATAAATGAGCATTTAAAGCTACAAAAAAGAAGTATTATTTCTACTAGAATATCATCCTTTGCCTTGCAATAGCAATTGATAGAGGGTCATTAACATAGCAAGCTTCTGTAGTATGTTTAAAGATTATATACATTTAAATAGATTACATGCAATTTTTAAGCAATGTATACTTAATATCAAGAAGGGGTCCTAGTATTAAATGATAATTCCTACAAAGTAAACCTAAAAATAATTTGTAACTAACTGGTAAGGATTCATTTTGTTAACGATCAAACTTGACATTAGGTTTATCTGCTTTTCAAGTAACAGCTAACAATCATTTTGAAATGATTAACAGGAATATAATAAACTCTAGAGGCTTTCTGGAGAGTTTTGAATAAGTGCTCCTTCAAGTTTCCTTTTTCTCTGAGACAGGCTCTCATTCTGTTGCCCAAGCTGGTCTCTAATTTCTGGGCTCAAGTGATCCG
Organism: Homo sapiens; assembly: GCF_000001405.40. Taxonomy (NCBI): domain Eukaryota; kingdom Metazoa; phylum Chordata; class Mammalia; order Primates; family Hominidae; genus Homo; species Homo sapiens. The sequence goes on from NC_000008.11 coordinate 47,806,940, forward strand.
CCTGCCTTGGCCTCTCAAAATGCTGAGATTACAGGTGTGAGCCACTGCACCCGGCCAAGTTTACTTATAAAGAGAGAAAAAAAATAACACCTACCAATTATTTTAAGGTTCAGACTCTAAAGAAAAGCTAAAATTAGAGAAAAGCTAATTTAGCAAAATCCTGTGACACAGCAGGGAGGACAGACACGAGTACCCACCTGCTTCCGGGCACTGTCTATCATCTTCATTTTCATGGAAAACTTGCAACTCCTGATCAGGGAGCTGATATCTTCTTCCTGCTCTTGCACTTCCATCCTGTCACTGGGGTCTCCATCTTGATCCACATTCATACTATTATCTTCTGGAAGAGGGGTAAGCTTCTCCTCTATTTTGCTGAGAAAGAAACATCTACACAAAGAAAAATGAGACAATGTCACAGACTCAGGAATAGGAAGCTGCTGGATAGCAATTACAGGCAGAAATTCTAAACCTTAGTAAATGTTTGTTCTTTTTTTTTTGAGATGGAGTCTCACTCTGTTGCCCAGGCTGGAGTGCAGTGGCACCATCTAGGCTCACGGCATGCTCTGCCTCCCGGGTTCACGTCATTCTCCTGCCTCAGCCTCCTGAGTAGCTGGGACTACAGGCGCCTGCCACTACACCCGGCTAATTTTTTGTATTTTTAGTAGAGACGGGGTTTCACTGTGTTAGCCAGGATGGTCTCGATCTCCTGATCTCGTTATCTGGCCACCTTGGCCTCCCAAAGTGCTAGGATTACAGGCGTGAGCCACCGCACCCGGCCTACTTATTTTTTTTTTGAGATGGAGTCTCATTCTGTCGCCCAGGATGGAGTGCAGTGGCACGATCTCGACTTACTGCAACCTCCACCTTCTGGGTTCAAGCGATTCTCCTGCCTCAGCCTCCTGAGTAGCTGGGACTACAGGCGTGCACTACCACACCCAGATAATTTTTGTATTTTTAGTAGAGACGGGGTTTCACCATGTTGGCCAGGCTGGTCTTGAACTCCTGACCCTCAGGTGATCCTTGGGTCACCTGCCTTGGGCTCCCAAAGTGCTGGGATTACAGGAGTGAGCTATCATGTCTGGCCTAAATTTTATCTTTTGATGAATGGGTAACATACCCTGTGTTGAGCCATTTTGCTCCTTATATGTCCCAACTTAAGGTGATAAATACATAACAGTAAACAGTTTAAAATCACTGAAAATTTTCTTTTTTATTTTTTTGAGACAGGGTCTTGCTCTGTTGCCCATGTTGGAGTGTAGTGGTGCAATCACAGCTCACTGCAGCCTCGACCTCCTAAGCTCACACAATCCTCTTCCCTCAGCCTCCCAAATAGCCGGGGTTGGTTACAGGTGCGTGCTACCGCATCAAGCTAAGTTTTACACTTTTTTGTAGAAACGGAGGCTTGCTATGTTGCCAGGCTGGTCTCGAGCTCCTGGGCTCAAGGAATCCTTCTAAAGGCTGGGATTACAGATATGAGCCACCATGCCCAGCCATGAAAATTTAAAAGAGAAGTCTAGGTTGCTATTAAATTATTATTATTTTAGAGACAGGCCTCACTATATTGCCCAGCCTGTAGTGCAGTAGTTATTCACAGATGTAATCATAGCACACTACAGCCTTGAATTCCTGGGCTCAAGCAATCCTCCTGCCTCAGCCTCCCAAGAAGCTGAAACAATAGGCGTGTGCCACCATGCCCAACTTCAAAATTCTTTTTATTTGAATCATAATTTACATGTATGATTCTGTCCAAGTAATTTTATTTCTATTAATATTAGTAACACTGACAAAGGGCCCTAATATACAAAGCTCATCCCTGATCAACCATCAAGTAAATTTCTGTTGTTTTTCCAGGAACTCATTTCCAATTTCTTAGAAACAGTATGGCCAGGGAGTTCGAGAACACCCTGGGCAACATAGTGATACCTCATCTCGACAAAAAATGTAAAAATTAGCTGGGCATGGTGGCGTGAGCCTGTATTCCCAGCTACTCAGGAAGATCGCCTGAGCTCAGGAATTTGAGGCTGCAGTGAGCTATGACTGCACCACTGCACTCCAGCCTGGGTGGCACAGCAAGACCCTGTGCGTGGAAGGAAAGAAAGAAAGGAAAGAAGAAAAGGAAAGGAAAAAGAGGAAAAAAGGAGAGGAAAGGAGAGGGGAGGGGAGTGCAGGGGAGTAGAGGGGAAGGGAGGGTATGGGAGGGAGGGGGAGGGGAGGGGAGAAGGAAACACTGCAGGAAGATAAACCATCATGCTTCACATCTCTTTTTCCTTTTTCCTCTTTTTTTGTTACTCCCAAGATACAACCCTTGCTGGCCATTTCCTGTTCTCACCACACTGCTCTGGGCTCCTCATCCCCACACCAACCACAGTGCTGGCTCATTCCCTAAAGCTACCACTGATTTTAAGCTTTCACTGTTTTTAATCATAAAAATAAATACAAGTGGGTACTGGATTAACATTTCAATAAATAATGAATGACTGGATCCATAAATGTCTCCTACCAGTGTGAATAAAGTGCCTGGGATCTCAGGAAAGGGAGGTGGGAACGTCCACAGAATGAGACAGACTTCCTTGGGCTGTGAAGGGTGCATGCAATTTTAGGAGTGGAGTTGACAAGGGAGTCCCAGACAGAGGGAACAAATTAAACAAAGGCAGAGAAGAGTTACACTGCGTGACATGTTCTCACATCAAATCAGGGAGAATAAACCAAGAAGAGAACCATCTTTTCTAAAAACAAGAGTCTGGATCCGGTATGGCACTGTGAGCCCCTTGTGGCCTATCCTCTGCTGACAACAACTAGAAACTGGATAAAATACAACTCCCCAAGAACTCTGAGTGAATAAAAGATGGCAGACTGTATGTATGCGCAGGGAAATCAAAACTGGGAAGGTCTGCTATTGGGATGAGCTTCCTGTTTCCTCTCTGTCTTACTCTCTTTTGCCCCTGTGGAGTGTGGTGGCAATGTGACTGAGATCCTTAAGACAAGCCTGCTGCATTCTACCCAGGGGAACAGGAAAAGGAGTCCAGGCAGACAGGGGCTACAGGGAGAATCCTGGAGGGGAGAGAACCAGAGAAAAATCCTCTAGTTCTGCACATGAACCCACCAGGCTCAGGCTGCCCTGAAGTGTGCATGTGCAGACAGACTCAAAACAGCACAGGTTTGGACAGGAACTGAGGTTTCAACCAACAAAAGGAAAGACAGAGCCTACTATCTAAACAGATCACCAGCTACAGAATTATAAGCCAGCATCTACACAAGAGAATCCAGTAGTCCCCCTTATCTTACCTGCAGTTTTGCTTTCCCTGGCTTCAGTTACTGGAGATATAGTGCAATAAGATATTTTGAGAGAGACAGACCACACTCACATAACGTTTATTATAGTATACTGTTTGAATTATTCTACTTTATTATTGTTATTGCTGTTACTCTTACTGCCTAAGAGTACAAATTTACAAATTAAGCTTTATCATATGTGTGTATGTATAGGTAAAAACAGTATACATAAGGTTTGGTATTATCCATGGTTTCAGGATTCCACTGGGGATCTTTGAACTCCTACAGATAAGAAGCGACTACTATATTCACAAGTTACATTCAAAAATTAACTGATAAAAAGAATCAGGAGAATGTATCCATCTCAACAGAAAACAGATGCCAACTCTATGCTGACCCATATGCTGGAATGATCATACAAGGACCTTAAAGCAGCTATGTTAACTATGCTCCAGGAGGTCAAGAAAAACACACATGCAATAAATGAAAAGGTGCGCATCTCAGTAGAAAAAGAGAAAATATTTTTTAATAAACCAAATGGAAAGTTTACAACTGGAAAATACAATACCTAAGATAAAACAGTCACTAGACAGACTTACTAGAAGAACAAGTAAGACAAAAGAAAATAACAGTAAGATTGAAGACAAATCAATAGAAATGATCTAATCTGATGAATAAACAACAAAAAAAGACAATAAAAATGAACAGAGTCAGGGACCTATGGAACAATGTCAAAAGGCACGATGTATGTGTAACTGCATTCCCACAAAGAGACCAAGAGAAATTTGGACAAAAAGCATTTGAAGAAACACAATGACTGAAAACTCCCCAAATCTGGTGACAAAAAGGTACAGATTCAAGAAGGTAAGTGAACTTCAGATGGGATAAATTCAAAGAGAACCAGGCCTAGACACATCATAATCAAACTGCTGATAACCAATGATAAAGAAAAAAAATCTTGAATGCAGCCAGAAAAATATGACACATTACATGTGGGCCACAACGATGGGAATAACGAGGACATTATCTTCAGAGACACAGCAGCCAAAAGATACTACAAGGGGCAGGGAGAATCTACCCAGATTATACATTCTGAGAAAGTGTCCTTCAGGAATGACAGAGAAATAAAGATATCTTCAGAGAAGGAAAAAACTAACAAGAGTTCATCACAAGTAGACCTGCATTACAAGAACTGCTAAACGAAGATTTTTAGGCTAAAGGAAAATGACACAAGAGAAAAACTTGGGTCTTAGGAATAAATGATGAGTACAGTGTGGTAAGTATAATAAAGAACACATACTTATGTTCTAAAGAATATGTGAGGAAAACCACATATGTTCTTTAGAATATGTATGACTGTTGAAAGTACAGTGTTATCTAGTGGTGTTTTCATTATATGTTACTTCACAGATAAACACACATGAAATCCATCCACACACACATCAACATATCATTACTTCATAATGATAAAAGGAGTATTTTGGCAGGGCATGGTGGTTCACGCCTGTAATCCCAGCACTTTGGAAGGCTGAGGTGGGTGGATCACCTAAGGTCAGGAGTTCGAGACCAGCCTGACCAACATGGCGAAACCCTGTCTCTACTAAAAAATACAAAATTAGCTGGGCGTGGTGGCACATGCCTGTAAACCCGGCTACTCGGGAGGCTGAGGCAGGAGAATGGCTTGAACCTGGGTGATGCAGGTTGCAGTGAGCCAAGATCATGCCACTGCACTCCAGCCTGGGCAACTAGAGCAAAATTCCATCACAAAAAAAAAGTATTTCCACCGTGGCATGTGTATACCTATGTAACAAACCTGCACATTCTGCACATGTATCCCAGAACTTAATGTATAATAAAAATAATTTCATTAGGAAGACAGCAGTTATCCATATGTATGTACCTAATAACAGAATCAAAATACAGTACGTAAAAATACACAGAAGTAAAGGCAGAAACAGACAATTCTACAATCATAGGAGATTTTGACATCCTTTTCTCAGCAGTGATGGAACTACACAAACAAGCAGTAAAGACATGGAAGATCTGAAAAGTATCCCTGACTACCTTGATCTCATTGAAATTTATAAAACCTGATACCCAGGAACTGCAGAATATACAAAAATTTTCAAGTTTACATAGGTATTTACTAAAATAGACCATATGTTGGCACATAAAAGAAGTCTCAATAAAATTTAAAAGGATCAAAATCATACAGAGGGTGTTTTCTGACCACAGTGGAATTTAGAAATCACTAAGATAGCCAGAAAACCCAGGTATTTGGAAATTAAAACACTTAAATATTTAATGGATCAAGTCACATGAGAGTTAGAAAAATACGTTGAACTGAATGACATACCAAAATGTGCAGAATGCAGCTAAAGCAGTACTTTACAGGGACACAAATAACTTTAAATGCTTATATTAGGAGGAAGAAAAGGTATAAAATCAACAGTTTCCACCTAAAGAAACTAGAAAAAGAAAAGCAAATATAAGGTAAGAGGAAAAGAAAAAAATAGTAAAGACGATACTAGAAATCAATTAAATAGAAAACAGACAAATAATAAAGAAAATTAACAAAGTAAAAAACTGATCCTTTGAAAAAGCAAAACTGACACAAACCTTTACCCAGATGAATCAAGTGTTAAAAAAGAGAACACAAATAACCAATATCTGGAATGAAAAAGGGGGTTCCCTCCACAGACACTACAAATAATAAAAAGGATGAGAATAATGTGAACATTATACCAATAATTTGATGACTTTGATGAAATGGACAAATTTACTTTAAAAAACAAATAAAGAAGGCAGAAATTTAAAAAGAAAATGGACAAAGTGATTGAAAAATACAATTTAACAAAAATGACACAAAAATAGAATTTTATATTTATTTATTTATTTATTTATTTATTTATTTATTTATTTTGAGACAGAATCTTGCTCTGTCTCCCAGGCTGGAATGCAATGGCACGATCTCTGCTCACTGCAACCTCCACCTCCTGGGTTCAAGTGATTCTCCTACCTCAGCCTCCTGAGTAGCTGGGACTACAGGTGCCCACCACCACATTCAGCTAATTTTTGTATTTTTAGTAGAGGCAGGGCTTCACCATATTGGCCAGGCTGGTCTCCAACTCCTGACCTCAAATGATCCACCCACCTCGGCCTCCTAAAGTGCTGGGATTACAGGTGTAAGCCACCATGCCCAGCCAGAAATAGAAAGTTTAAATTCTCTATCAGTATTGACTAAGGAAATTATATACATTATCAAAAATCTTCCCCAAGGGAAAACCCATGCCCAAATAGGATAGGTTTCACTGGTAAATCCTATCAAATATTCAAGTATGAAATAATGAGGATCTTATATAATTTTTTTTTTTCCTTTGGAGACGGAGTTTTGCTCTTGTTGCCCAGGCTGGAGTGCAATGGTACGATCTTGCCTCACCGCAACCTCTGCCTCCCGGGTTCAAGCGATTCTCCTGCCTCAGCCTCCGAGTAGCTAGGATTACAGGCATGTGCCACCATGCTCGGCTAATTTTATATTTTTAGTAGAGACAGGTTTTGTCCATGTTTGTCAGGCTGGTCTTGAACTCCTGACCTCAGGTGATCCGCCCACCTTGGCCTCCCAAAGTGCTGGAATTAGAGGCATAAGCCACCACGCCTGGCCATAAACTTTTTTTAAAATAGAGAAGGGAACATGCCTTACTCATCTTATGAGGCCATGATAACCCTAATACCAAAACCTGATGAAGATATTACAAAAAAGAAAATTACACACCAATATCCCACTTGGATGTAGATGCTAAAATCCTTAAGGGATCATCATGACCGTATTGGGTTTACCCTAAGAATGCAAGATTGGCTTCATATTTAAAAAGCATCAAAGCTAATACTTCATAAACACAATAAAGGAGAAAAACAATATGATTAAGCTGTTGCAGAAAAAGTGTTTGATAAAATTCGACATTCATTCATGATAAAACAAAACTCTCAGAAAACCTGGAATAGAAGGGAATTTCCTCAATCTGATAAAAGGCATTTACAAAAAAATTATTTTTTAAAGCTGAGTGAGTGAACTATCTTCTCTAACATCAGGAATAAAACTAAGATGCTCATTTTAGCACGTATATTCAAGATTGTACTTGAGGTCCTCATGGTTTTAACAAAGCAGGAAAATGAAATAAATGGCATAAAGTTCAGAAAGAAAGAAAGGTGGCTCTATCGGCAGATGATATGATAGAAAATCCCAGAGAACCTGCAAAACAAGAACTAAAACTACCATGTTAGCAAAGATACAAAGTTAATATATAAAAAGCAATTACATTAGCAGCAAATAATTGGAAAATAATACAATTTTAAAAATAAATCCATCTATAACAGTGCCAAAAAACATAAAATACTTAGGAATAAATCACAAAAGACATCCAAGATCTCCATACTGAAAAAATACAAATCACTGAAATTAAAGATATCTAAATTAACAGAGATATGCCATATTAATGAACTCGATAACTCTATATTGTTAAGATAGCAACTCCCCAAATTAAACTATAGTCAATACAGTCCCAATCAAAATCTCAGCAGTTTTTCTTTATACAAATTGACAAGCAGATTCTAAAATGTAAATAGAAATGCAGATCAACTAAAATAAAGTAGTTTTCATAAAGAAAGTTGAGCCAGGTGCCATGGTTCATGCCTGTAATCCCAGCACACTGGGAGGCTGAGGTGGGCGTGTTGCTTGAGCCCAGGAGTTACATACCATCCTGGGCAACATAGTGAAACCCTGTCTCCACAAAAAAAGACAAAAAAATTAGCCAGGCATGGTGGCGCACGCCTGTGGTCCCAGCTACTTGAGAGGCTGAAGTGGGAGGACTGCTTAAACCTGGGAGGCTGAGACTGCAATGAGCCATTATCGGGTGACAGAGTAAGACCCTGTCTCAAAAAAAAGAAAAGTTCGAGAACTCATCCTGTCTGACTTCAAAACGTACTATAAAGTGATATAAATGAAGGCAGTTTGCTATTGTGAAAAAAACACAAAGCAAGGGCTACAATAGAGCATCCAGAAATAGACCCACACATATGTGGTCAATTGAGTTTCAAAAAAATTGCCAAGGTGACTCAATTATGAAAGACTTTTGAACAAATGCGGCTAGATAGATATCTATATGGAAAAAGTAAACACCTACCCCTACCTCACGCCATTTACAAAAATTTTCTTCCAGTGCATCAGAGACCTCAATGTAAGACCTAAAACCATAACATTTCTAAAAGAAAACAGTAGAAGACAGGTAAGATGAGCCTGATTTGTTAGCTTAAAGGGGAGCCTGTTGGCCAAATCTGAGATAATTGAACACAAAATAAATAAGGACAGTATAGGTTATATCCCACTAAATAAAATTTGAATCCCTGAGTCTTTATTGATAATCTTTAAAAAGTAAATAAGTAAGTAAACAGAAGGAAGGGTGCCTGCTTACAATAAGATGTAGACTAATATAAATGAATGGTAGAGTTGGAAATTATAATTTTGCAACCATTATTGTCAACACTGGTTTGGGCCAGGAGTCATCCACAAATGTGAAATACAGAGGGATAAGTCTTAGGAGAAGCAGGACATTTGTATGTCTCAAAGCAGCTCCTACATTTATTTGTTAGTTGCAAAAGAAAAGCAAAAAAATGGCATTATACAGTGGAGAGACCAAACAATCAAAATTATTATCACCAGGCTGGGCATGGTAAGTAATGCCTGTAATCCCATTACTTTGGGAGGCCAAGGCTCACTTGAGGATCACTTGAGGTCAGGAGTTCAAGACCAGCTTGGCCAACATGGTGAAACCCCATCTCTACTAAAAATACAAAATTTAGCCGGGCATGGTAGTGCGTGCCTGTAATCCCAGCTACTTGGGGGGTTGAGGCAGGAGAATCGCTTGAACCTGGGAGGCGGAGGTTGCAGTGAGCTGAGATTGTGCCACCGCACTCCAGCCTGGGCAAAAAGACTGCATCAAAAAAAAAAAAATTATCACCAGTAAAAGGCAGATGGACACTGTGCCCCACGTGTGATTTGCTAGCCTGAGAAGTATTCTGGCCAGAGACAGATCACCTGAGTCCCACCATGAGGAAACGTAAGACAAACCCAAACAGAGGAACATTCCTCAAAAGTGGCAGTATTAGGACACACAAAGCCTTTCAGGGGACTAAAAAGACACATCAGATAAATAGAGTCCATCATTCTGTACTGATCTTGTTGTAGAGGTAGAGAAAATGCCACAAAGGACATTACTGGGACAATTAACAAAACTGAAATTGGGCTGTAGAGGAAAAATGAAAGCACCAAGGTTCATCACTGAACAGTAGTTACATAAAGAAAAATTCTTTTTCTTAAGAAATGAACACTGATCTATAACGAGGCAAAGGTATGTATCCAGCTTACGCTCACAACCGGTTCAGAAAATAAATAATATGTAGGGTCTGGTAGAAAAGAAAAAAATACAAATACTAACATGGAAAAATGTTTAAAATGTTATTTAAAAAATCAGTGAATCTGGGTTAAAGAACCCAGGAGAGTACTACTTTTCTTGCAACTTTTCCACAAGAACTCATCTCAAAATAAAAAGTTTAAAAAAAAAAAAAAAGTAGTAGTGGAGGAAATAATGGGAGACCATGACACTTGGGGTCAGAGTCCTTAAGTCCTATTTCCTACACACATTTGTGTGCCATAAACCTCTCTGATTTTATTACATGGTTAGTACCTGCCCTATGGATTCCACAGGTTAGTTACAGGATGGAGAAGATGAGGACATGAACATGACCTGAGACCTGGGAAAGTGACACATGACTGTGTAATGGAGTTGGGAGGTAGGAGGCAAGAATGTCAAAAATCCTAGTTATAAAAAATAGGATAATAAAAATCATTATGTAGTCGTCTTCTTTGTTGTCATCTAACTACTTAACATTCCGTTGTGAGAGAAGCAAATGCACACTGACCCTGTCTCCCTTCCTGGAGGTGCAGGTTCAGGATCAGCCACCAGCACCTCCCGACAGCAGCGTCCCCACAGGGCAAGCGGGAAAGAGGACACTGCAGACACGGAGAGCTCTATCGGAACTACTTACATGGGAAACAGGAAGGATGGAAAACAGCTGTGCTAGGCTCAAATCCCACATTTCTCTAAACCATGGTTTGGAAGAAAAACCATTCCAACAATTTCAAAAAACAATCCACATTTGACTGAAAGGGACCACGTCTTACCGATTTGTGATGATGTCATCCCAGATGTTCATTGGGTCCATTTTAGCATCTGGATATCTGTTTGTCCAGGTGTTCAGAAGTCTCTTAAGGGGAACTTGAGATGATAAATTGCCTAAAAATAGTATTAGAGGGTGACTATACACACAGCTCAATTATAAGATCAAATGACAAAGGTCATTATCAGTAAATAGAAAATTCAAACTTCCTGCCCAAATTACAAAAAAGTCCTTTCTTTTACAAAAGGAACACAAAGTTACCATACTAAATTTAATATATTCTGACATTTAAACTCAATTGCTTAAGGACAGAGAATAAAGATGGAGAAATAAACATGCACAAATTCTTTTTACATTTATTACAGGTCTACAGTCCATCTGTAATATCAAAATCTAAAAAGCACTGATAACTAAAAAGATTTTCATGGGGTTGAAGCAAATTTTCTTGGCAAAAAAAATCTGATCTTCATTGGTATAGGGCTACTTAGTCTTTGTTTATGGCATCAATGTGAATATTCATAACTTAAGCTGTAGAGTTACAGAATACTGCCCTAGCCCCTGGCATGTACACAGGTAATATTTCTAGTGTCCAAAACATTCTGGCCTCAAAGGTCTCAGCAAAGAGATTCATAATAATCTTCACAAAACTGAAAATTCACATTGTTAATGTGTTTTTCTTTCTGTTGGGGGAAAACAGCAGTCAGGAACACAAGATTAGATGAGACAGTCCTGGGTTCAAAATTAAAATCTTTCACTTATTAGCTTAGGCAAGTCATTCAATCTCTATAAGCCTCTAAAAAATGAGGAGAAAAAAATCCATCTCATAAAGTTGTTATAAAGACTAGGTAATATTGGCCAGGCACGGTGGCTCATGCCTGTACCCCAGCACTTTGGGAGGCCGAGGCGGGCGGATCACGAGGTCAGGAGATCGAGACCATCCTGGCTAACATGGTGAAACCCCATCTCTACTAAAAATACAAAAAATTAGCCAGGCATGGTGGCGGGAGCCTATAGTCCCAGCTACTTGGGAGGCTGAGGCAGGAGAATGGCATGAACCCGGGAGGCAGAGCTTGCAGTGAGCCGAGATCCCGCCACTGCACTCCAGCCTGCGAAACAGAGTGAGACTCCGTCTCAAAAAAAAAAAAAAAAAAAAAAAAGACTAGGTAATATTGATAAAGAGATTAACATAGCTCCTGAAAGTAGAATGCACTTAATAAATGATACGTCATTAATATGATTAATATGTACTTGAAAAATAATTTTCCAAAATTAAAATAGAAAATAACTAGGTAGACATAAATATCAGTTTTTATCAGTATTCTGAAAGCATCTTTTGTAATTAATTTTAATTATTTAGGACAAAAATGAAATTCAGATTAACAAACAAAACATTTTACCTTTGCAAAGATGTACTCTTCCCCTTAGACTCTTGGGTGGCCTCCCATAGGCACTGGGATAAAACCCACTCATCAGCGATACAAAGGCCTTCCTGATGTGGGCCCTGCTGCCCGCAGCCTTCCTGCCCTCCCTTCAAGCCAGGGCACCCAGAGCCCTCAGCGTGCACCTCAGGGGCACCACAGCTTTCCGTCTGCAAGCCCCTGCCTCTTCCCCACTGCTCAGGACCCTCCTCCAGGAGTCCTGCACCCTCTCAGGCCAGGGTGGGCCCCACCATCCTTGTGGGCAGGTATCCTCTGGAGTCACCCCGCTACTCCAAAAGCTTCATTAAGGTAAGCAACATGTTTTCTTTCACTTTGCAGCCCTGATGCCTAGAACTCTGCCTGACCATTTTAAACATTTATTTCAATGATCTGAAAATAGGTATTTGTAGAGGAAATTCGATGGAGTTTCCAACCCATACATTAAGAAACATGCACTTTCACTAAGCAGAAAATAATTTAGATGCTAAAACTCTTCCACAATTAGAAATGAAAAAAAAAGACCGATGAAAAAAATTACCTTGTTTGCTTATAAAGCTGATGAACTCCTGAATTTCTGTTAAAGCCTGTACAGACTGCAATTTGGTGAGTCTACTTTGGTGTAAGAGGACATCAATACTAGAATAATTCTTAAAAAAAAAAAAAAAAAAAAAGGGCATTTACAAATGCCATGTTATAAATCAATCAAGCTGTGACTTTAAGTTTTTAACAGTACTCTAAATTATGAAATGTAGCAATTATTCTATAAATATGCCTCAGAATGGTTAATAATTAGATCACAGACAGTTAACAAATAGTTTAAATTTTAAAAAAAAATTTAAGGTTTCAATAACATTTTGGCTCAATGAAATCAATAAAACTGACATCACCAGGCTATCACTGCCTCGACTTGCCACCAAGTTTTAACAATCCTAACATCCTATAATGTAAAACTGCTGACTACAGAAGCCAATTCTTTTTTTGATAAACTTCCTCAAGAGTGCTAATCAACTTCAACACATTAAATAAAAATGAAAACAATGAATGAATATGCTTCTATGCTAAATGTCACTAACCTATACTAAATGTTATTAATAAACTTTATACAAGACATTCACTTACAAACAAACAACTGTCAGGAAAAGATTCGCAGAAAAGCAAAAAGGAAAGAAAGAGTGGCAGCAAACAATCAGGAAAGATCAACCCCTGCTCTTCTCTACAAAGCAACCAAACTTCCATTCCGCTACCCCAAATAGAAAAGTCTACTCTTGGTCAGGAGCGTTGGCTCACGTCTGTAATCCCAGCACTTTGGGAGACTGAGGCAGGTGAATCACCTGACGTCAGGAGTTCAAGACCAGCCTGGCCAACATGGTTAAACCTCGTCTCTACTAAAAATACTAAAATTAGCCGAGGGCCTGTAATCCCAGCTACCCGGGAGGCTGAGGCAGGAGAATCACTTGAACCAGATTGCGCCATTGCACTCCACTGTCTAGGCGACAAAAGAGAAACTTGGTCTCAAAAAACAAACAAACAAACAAAAAAACACCCTACTCTCAAGTGTTCTTTAAGAGTATGAGAAAGGTAACAAAAAGGAAAAAAAATGAAACCTTTCTAAAATAGAAAAAAAAGATTTAAAAAGGCATTAAGATAAAGGACAGAATGAACAGCATTATTGGAAGAACAGAAAGAAGGAAATAGGTGGTATGAAAATAGTACTTGAAAATTTTTGTTGATTTTTTTCATGAGTTTACTGAGTTTTAAAAATATCCTAAAAATAGTATATTTCAGATAGATCCACATTATAATATATATATACACTATATATATACAAGCATATATATATAATATATAGTATTACCTGCATAAAACTCTGAATGCCATTTTGAATGTAATATTTGGCTCTGTCAACATCATCTTGCAGGAGGTAAAGCAGACTCAGCTCTTGACTGTAATGAAGCTCTAGAATCGCCTTCTGGAGCTCCCCGTGCATAGCTTTGTCAATAAATGTCAGCAGGGACTGGTCAGCCTCTCCCTGGAGCAGCAGCTTCAGCTTGCTGCGGATCATGTAAGGTAGATATGTTTCCTAAGGAACATAAAAATATACTTGTAACTACAGAAGGCCAATTTGAGTATGTCTAATTATTTTATTTCTATTATATTCTTTGCTATACTTTCACAGGTCAAGATTTAAAGTCAAAGCGATGATGTTTGATGTCTGAAACAGTAAACCTCCAATTTTTAAAACAAATTCATCTAAAATAGCTTGTTTTGTAACCACAAAATATATAGGAACACGTTCTACAAAAAATGGGAACTACTTTTGGCTGGAAGATGATTTGGATGTTACGTACAAACTGAGGAATTTACAAGCACAGTCAGGATAGGTATGGTGTGGAGAAAAGCGGAGAGCCTCTTGTCACAGGAGCTGGGAGGCCTGTGTTTAGCCAGTGATCCGGGGCGACTTCTTGTAATATAAGAGACAACAGGAAATATGCTCCTATGTAGTCATACTAGGAATGTTAATATTTATTTTAAAATGCATTGCATTCACTTTGAAAAGATGATTAGCTAAAAGTGATAAGAGATTTAACAATACTATGGGGTTTGTAGGTGGACTCAGGTCATGCAATTCCCTAGTGCTTCACAAGTACTACCTGTTTTTGAAATGTTTTAAACAATTTTGTTAAGTAGAAAACACCTATCTAAAATAATTATTTCAATCACTTAAAATAATTTTACCCACCTGATAAAATGGTTCACTCCAGATTTTATTTAGGTCTGGGGGGTTCTCACTGTCTATACTGGCTGTAGAACAGTATTCAAGTGATTTCCACTCAGCAAGGTGGTTGTAACAGTCAAGGGATGCAAGTTCCCAAAAATCCTTCTCGGCTTCTGTGGGCTCACCATCTACCCAGTCTTGTTTATTGAGAGCCTAGTGGAGAAAAGTTAATAAAATTATTTTACAAAGTTGGAAAGAATACCAATGAGAACACGTAAAAAGGAGGAATGTAACAATCACACTAAAAACAATCCTTTTCAGATTTACGGAAAGGAGAGAGAAAAGAGAAGCTATTCAGAGTAACACTGAATGGAAGAAAAACCAAAAGGAATCCTACAGTACTAAATGAATAGAAAAACCCAGCTGGGCACGCTGGCTCACGCCTGTGATCCCACCACTGTGGGAGGCTAACGCACATGGATCACCTGAGCCCAGGAGTTTGAGACTAGCCTAGGCAACATGGCCTACAAAAAACGCAAAAACTCTCTACAAAAAACACAAAAACTAGCTAGGTACGATGGCAAGCACCTGCAGTCCCAGCTACTTGGGAGGCTGAGGTGAGAAGATCACTTGGGCCCAGGAGGTTGAGGCTGCAGTAAGCTGAGATTGTGTCACTGCACTGCAGCCTGGGTGACCCTGTTTTAAGAGAGAAAAAAAAAAAAAAGCCACAAAAATCCTAACTAGGAGGAAGCCATTTCTCTGAGAAACTTACCAATGAAACCAATTACTAAGACTGAAGACTTTCAATCACAATAACTTGATTTACATCTCTACTGGGGGTTATTTACCACGTAACAAGTTCTTAGAATAAAATTAGAATACAGGACATTTGTAGAAAATTGCAGAGGATTTTAAAACCTGGGCTGCTCGGCTGGGAGCGGTGGCTCAAGCCTGTAATCCCAGCACTTTGGGAGGCCGAGGCGGGCGGATCACAAGGTCAGGAGATCGAGACCATCCTGGCTAACACGGTGAAACCCCATCTCTACTAAAAATACAAAAAATTAGCCGGGCGTGGTGGCGGGCACCTGTAGTCCCAGCTACTCGGGAGGCTGAGGCAGGAGAATGGCGTGAACCCGGAAGGCAGAGCTTGCAGTGAGCCCAGATTGCGCCACTGCACTCCAGCGTGGGCGACAGAGTGAGACTCTCAAAAACAAACAAACAAACAAAACCTGGACTGCTCATTGAAGAGTCTCACAGGTCACAGACCCTGAATTTCAACACCTACACTTGAATAGCCACTGACGGAATGTACAAAACTGAACTTATATTCATCTTCCCAAATTCTTCTTTACCTCTGATGTAATTTGAATATGTGTCCCCACCTAAACCTCATGTTGAAATGTAATCCTCAATGTCAGAGGTGGGGCCTGGTGAGAGGTGTTTGGATCAATGGGGGGCAGATCCCTCATGAATGAAGTGGGCCATTCCCTTGGTGATGAGTGATCCTAGCACTTTGGGAGGCCCAGGCATGATGGCTTGAGCTCAGGAGTTCCCAACCAGCCTGGGCAACATAGTGACACCTCATCTCTACAAAAAAATTTCAAAAATTAGCCAGGCATGTTGGTGCATGCCTGAAGTCCCAGCTACTCAGGTGGCTGAGGTGGGAGGACCGCCGGAGCCTGGGAGCCATGATAGTGCCACTGCACTCCAGCCTGGGTGACAGAATGAGACTCTGCCTCTAAATAAATAAAAGTATATGGCACCCCCTCCCCAACTGTCTCTCTTTTGCTACTGCCTTTCACCATGTGAAATGCCTACTCCTGCTTCGCCTTCTACCAATGCATAAAAGCTTCCCAAGGCCTCCCCTGAAGCCAAGCAGAAGGCAGCACCATACTTCCTGTGCAGCCCGTGGAACCGTGAACCAATTAAACCTCTTTTCTTTATAAATTGCCCAGTGTCAGGTATTTCTCTACAGAAATGCAAGAACAGCCTAATACAATTTCTTTATAATTTTTTTTTTTAACTAACTGAAAGAAAACAACCTATTCAAACAGAAACTGTGTAAGAGCAGAGAAATAATATACAGTTTCATAGTATGGTAGGCCCTAACTTAAGTGAACAACCTATAAGGAAACCAATTTTCTTCCTCATCAACATTGTAACGAAAAGACATTGAACCAACAAGGATCTGCTGTACCTCGTTTTGCTTAAAGTCATAGTTCAGCAGAAAACAAAAGTGTTGAAGTAAATGTCATATTTTGCCAGAGATCAATTTTACCTCATCATACTGCTTAGCAGCTTCAGAATAATCACTTCTGGCTTCTGCTAATAATGCACTCTGAGTGATTTGCTTTGTTCCTATCTCACTGGTAAAAATCCCACGGAGGACGTCGTATTCTCCAATTGATCTATACAGCCTACAAAACAAATCAAAAAGGCCAAATCAATGAACACTCCAGTATTTTAAAAGTATTTATTCTAATGAAATGATAGTAAATCAAGTTGCCACACATTATATTAACAAGAGACATAAAGTGTTACTTTAATTTTGCTAAAAATATAAAATTTAAGAAACTATGAAGTTGCCCTTAGGTTTTATAACTTTAATCATACATAAGCCAGAAATTATTCAGATGTGCATTTAAAGTGGAATCTGGGACGGGCGTGGCGGCTCACCTGAGGTCAGGAGTTCAGATCAGCCTGGCCAACATGGTGAAACCCCGTCTCTACTAAAAATACAAAAAATTAGCTGGGCATGGTGGCGCATGCCTGTAGTCCCAGCTACTTGGGAGGCTGAGGCAGAGAACTGCTTGAACCCAGGAGGTGGAGGTTGCAGTGAACCAATCACCCTACTGCACTCCAGCCTGGGCAACAGCAAGACTCCGCCTCAAAAAAAAAAAAAAAAAAAAAAAAAGGTGGAATCTGAAAATATCAAAGGTTCACAGTGTATAAGATGTGTCATTACATAAGGTTCTCCAGTATTAATCCATTATAATATCTACAGGCGAACCATTTGGAATCCTTGTCTAGCTCCAAAAAACCCAGAAGCAAAAGAAAAAATAATCCTGACTACTGATGCCATGTTTAATCCATGTTCTATGGACCATCTCAATTTGTTGGAGCATTCATTCATCTCTTTACCTTAACAAAATTCTGGCTTGACCCTTTCAATCAAGCTTCCCAGTCCATGATATTCTCAAAGTGTTTATGGGGTTTGTTCCCTTCCTCCAGGAAATTTCTTTCCATCTTGCAGTCTCAACCCAAATGTTATTTCTTCCTAAACCAGCCAGCCAAGGACTGCTCCCTCCTTAGTTCTCCTGCTGTTCAGTTCCCTTCTGGGTACTAAGCCTCTTGCATTTACATCAAAAGAGCCCTACAGGTTCTCTCCTAGAGCTTATGAATTCTGAATTCAATAAAATCTAGTAGATGCAGCTCTCTTATTGCCCTGATTACAGAATGTTAGGGGTAATAAATCAGCAGTAAAGGTGGGTGGGTAGGTAGGTGATGGAGCAGCAGCTCATGGCCCCAGAGTCAGGGAAGAGGGAGAGCTACATTCTGCATAGACTCAGGAAAGAGATCACCTACATACCCCTATACTGGTTCCATTGTCCCTGGATTATGTTCACTATAACATGGTTAGAACAATGGCCATGACATATCAAAAAAAAGGCTAAGGCCGGGTGTGGTGGCTCATGGCTGCAATCCCAGCACTTTGGGAGGCCGGGGCGGGCGGATCCTGGCTAACACGGTGAAACCCCATCTCTACTAAAAATACAAAAATTAGCTGGGCGTGGTGGCAGGTGCCTGTAATCCCAGCTACTTGGGAGGCTGAGGCAGGAGAATCGCTTGAACCCGGGAGGTGGAGGTTGCAGTGAGCCAAGATTGTGCCACTGCACTCCAACTGGCGACAGAGCAAGACTGTCTCAAAAAAAAAAAAAAAAAAAAAAAAAAAAAGCTAAACTATGTTCACAATGCTCTGCAAGGAATGCAAAAATATCACAAAAGTATGAGAATGTACTTAATACAGTTAGAAAAAAATGTTTAAAGTTTAGGCCCTTAAAAGTTGTTTGCTTCACTTACTTAGCAAATACACATTATGTATGTTTACCACTCCTGGAAATAGTAAACATACAAGGTGTCACTTCCTGTTCACTTACACATCTGAAGCAACAGGAGAAAACGGTTCCTAGGTAAAATCAGCATAGCTCAGAGGCCCTCTCTGAATGGCCCTGGCATTTTATCTTGTCTCTCTCAGTGCTCACCACCTCCTACTTCAATTATGATTTATTTATGTGTAAAGTACATACATTTCCTACTAGATTGCTAGTTTTGTGAGTCTGTGATCAATGTCTAATCCAATTTCATGTCTCTTTGGTGCCTGGCACAGCACTTGTACACTCAGTGCTCAATCAGGACAGACATGAATTAACTACAAAACAGCACGAAGCACAAGGATCCCCTCCCTTACTTTTACTATCTTTTCTCTTAAAACCTAAAGCTCTAAAAATCTGCACTACAAAATGAAGTTCAAGTTAAATTTCAATCTTAACCTAACAACCTCCTCAGAATTAGGCTTTCATATGATGAGATCACAGAGAAGGGAAGAATCAGACATAATGGAAAATGGTATAACTAGAAAATGGAATCTGTTTATCCCAAATAAACTAACTGATTTAAACTCTTTCTAAAATCTTGAGTCCTGCTGAAAATACTAAATCTTCCTCCATTCAGTGTAGTGAAGCAGGAAATAACATAAAATATTAGGAACTATGATTCACAGCTACACTTTACAAGAAACTAAACTTGGTGAATAATACTGAGTCCAAAAAATCATATACTGAAAGAAATCAGCAGGTTTAAATAACGTTCTCTTTCCTTGAGCAAGACATTACTTGTTGTGGCAACTGTTCTTGCCTTTGAGAATGGTACTCAGCCTGAAAGACTTTTCTTTTAAATTTCACATTAGTGTTACTATCAACTTTATTAGCTCATTTTCTGCCAAATGAAGCCAAGTGTTTTCCGTATTGCTTTGGTCAAATCCAGTGTGCTCCCAAGAGCACCTGACCTCACACTTACTTAGCAAGCTCCACCCATCTGAGGACATCAGGAGGGAGGCGGGCCTTCCCACGGACTCGCTTGGCAGGCAGCTCAGCAGGCAGCAGGCGGAGCAGAGCCTCCTCTAGCAGGCGGATGCCCACGGGCTGCTGTAGGCTGGCCAGGCAACCAGCGCTAACAGCCGCTGGGTCGAGGCTCAGCAGGGCTGCGTGCTGACAGCTAATGTCCTGTGAAACCACACATACAACCAGCTGTTTAGCTTGTGGTACTTGGACCATGTCTTCACAAGGAGTAACATACTTTACTAAACATAAAAGGTACCCATGTGGGTAGTGATATCACCAGAAGTTTCTCTGTGTAATGCTATTAACACATTTTCCAACAATATTCAATTTGCTCAAAGGAGGAAATGACCTTTTAATTTTACGCTTCCATTCCAGGGATCAATTTAAAGCAAGAAAAGCACCTATCAAAATATGAAGATCACACACACACACACACACACACACACACACACACACACACACACACGTAAATTAGAAACCAATAAAAAACGGAGCTAATGTATAAAGAAATTTATACTGACAGTTTCTCGTTCCATCAAAAAGAATAAAACAAAAAACTAAGTATTTCATTTCAGAAAAGTATTAACCAATTCGTTTGTAAACCAATACTACCGATAAACAATATTGAAGAATATAAATTAGTAATTACTTCAGAAAAGGTCACTAGATACAAAAATACTAAAATGAATCAAAAAGATTTTCTACTAGGGAATTTTATATAATCCATACTTTGAATGGCACAGAAAACATTTCTTACATGAAAAATAATCTTCTGACAAACATATTTAAGTAGTAACTGAATATTAAATTAGATTTTCTGCTCAGGCTGTGTTGCCTTGGAAAGGACTTCTCTGACCACTGCATCTAGGCAAACACACCCTACCCCATCAAGAGGCACCTGCTTACCTGCTTCATTACTATCTTACACTGCTTTAACACTTCCCTATTACTCAAGTACTATGACACTTAACTACTACCTAATGTCCCTTTCTACATCTCCCTGTGGGTTGCCTATTACCCATCTATTAATGGGAATGTAAGGTCGGGAGGAAAGGAATTTTTGCCTCTTCATCAATGTGGCCCAGCCACCTAGAATAAAGCCAGGCGGGTACTCAGTCAACATCTTTTGACAGTAGTCAGGAAGCAGAAAGAATTTGGTGAAATACTACATAAGGAAAGACAACTAAATAAATGAAGGGTTTCATCAAAAACACTGAAGGGACTGGCTTATTACAAAATAAAACGTAACATGTTTGATTTCTGGTTATTCTGTCACATATCGGTTTTTCTGGGGGGAAAAAATAAATTACATCTACTCATTTGGGAAGTGGTAACCCAAATAGTACATCTTACTCTGTTAAACACCAGGTTATCAAGAGTCTCAACACGGGAAACATAGTGATGATGGAAAGGCCATGTGAAGCCACAGCAAACAATGTATATTTGATGAAGTGTGTGCAGACTTTACCTGAATACAAGAGACAAAGGGTGGAAAGAAAGAGAAGGTGGTATTAAGAAAACGATTGAAGTCTTGAAGCAACTTTTGAGTGATGTTGTTTTTTTCAGACAGTGTCTTAAATTTATCCATCTCTTTCAAAATTCCAGAAAACAAGCTGCTAAAGAGCTGTTTTGCAATTATTGGGTCCCTCTGTAAAAAATTCAAAACAAAGACAAATTAGGATCTGAAGCAAAAATGCTATAAATCACCAATACTATCAGAGCTTGGAAAATACAAACTGTTGCAAACACATCTATTATACCTCTCAATTCTATTTGGAAAGACTTAGCAGGCATTGACAAGGGGAGCATTTGGAATTTAACCAAATGTATCTGTTTGATGTATGTTATGGAAACATGGACTTTTGGCCCAGAGAGATACATTTAAAAGCTGGCTTAATCAATACATAATGACATAGCTTCTCTCCTGAGTTAAGTCTGGGTCTCCAATCTTTAAATGGGGGCTACCAGAACACATCACATTGGGCTGCGGGGAAGATTAGCCCAGATAAAGTGCAGCCAGTGCTTAGTGCAGCACTTCATAAAATCTCAGAGAAAGATTAAATGTTTAGGTATTTTTCTCCTATCAGCACCATGGTAAAGCTTAAAATAACTGATGAGCTTAAATAAAATGCCAGTGTTAATTTTCAAGGTCCCACCACCTGACCACTTTAAACTATTGAAACCATCAAAGGCTTCTTCTGAGCATCAGCTCCCGCAAATAGCACACTACCTAATCATTTACAGCCCTAACCCTCGCACACTTCATGGCCACAGTATACTCCCTTTATTTATTCATGCTGTGACATCAGCGCCAACAACAGTTCCTGGCATATAGTGTCTATTTTTGCTAAATGGAGGCATGAAAGCATGATAAATAAAGTTTAAAAATTACTTTGTGTAATCTTCTAGGGATCTTCCCTGTTAATAAGTTTTCTATCATATTATAATTGACAGGTCAATTCTGTTAATATCTTTTTGTTAATTTTGCTACACGTTTGCCTCTGAAGGAGGTGAGACTTGTGCTGCTTTTTGGGATCATGTTCTTTTTTCATGTCTAAGACCTATTTTAATTATGTTTACAATATAATGATAATCCATTTTTGATGTTTTATGAACAAATTACATTATTAAATGAATGTTCTTAAATCAAGTGTGATTTTTGCATATTGTTGAAAAGAACATTAAAAGCAATGGTTTACACTTAAGTTACTATAGCCAAAAATTAAATACTTGAAAAGTTTACTGTGAAATTCTACTGATTTAAGATTATACTTAATATTTAAAAAATAAATCTAATCATCAAATGCAAAAAATTACTTTGATAAAAGCTATGTATGACTAAAACATACAAATTTGATTTATTCCTTATTGTTTATTTTAAGTAATATATTTATCTTGTTATAAGAAGTTCTAGTGATTACTATATAAAATTTTAGAAAATATGGCTAAATCAAAAGCACAATCCCGTTTACAACAGCCACAGAAAGAATAAAATACCTAGGAATACACTTAACCAAGAAGGTGAAAGATCTTTACAAGGAGAACTAAAAAACACTGCCGAAAGAAATCATAAAAGAATGACACAAATAAAGGGAAACACATTCCATATTCACGGATTAGAAGCATCAATATCGTTAAAATGGCCATTCTGCTCAAGGCAATCTACAGAATCAATGCTAATTCTATCAAACTACCAACATCATTTATCACAGAACTAGAAAAAACTATTCTAAAATTCATATGGAACCAAAAAAGAGCCCGTATAGCCAAAGCAATCCTAAGCAAAAAGAACAAAACTAGAAGCACCGCACTACCCAACTTCAAACAATACTATAAGGCTGCAGTAACCAAAAAGCATGGTACTGGTACAAAAACAGACACACAGACCAATGGAACAGAATAGAGCACCCAGAAAATGTGGTTTAGGAAAAAAGAAAATAAGTATCGCCCATAATTATACCATAAAGAGATAAGTCACTGGCATGTGTCTTTTACTGGTGTGTACACTTTTACACCTGTTTGGTAACCTGCTGTTTTTATGTAACACGTGGTAGACAGGTTTCCATGTCTACAATCCACTGATTCCTGAGTGCTAGGTACAAATTCCTTCATTTATGCTCCCTTTGTTCAGACAAATGCAGTGGTAATCCTGATAAATAACGATAAATAACGTCTTCAGCACTGATGATCTCAGAGTCTCCGCATGTGTAAAGAAGTCATGGAACTAGGAAATGGCAGAGCCAGGACTTGGAGCAAGGTCTTTATACCAAGTCCACCGTTGAGGACAAACCAACACCTCATCTATGTTGCAGGACAGCCTCAGCCATGTTTCCTCACATAGGCAAACCCCTGAACTGGAAACAGATTTTAACCTGTCAACAGAAAACGCAGCGGCAAAAACTGACCTGGGCCACGGCCTGTAACGGGGTGATGAGGCTGCTGTGCTTGATCTGAATGTCAGGAAGGTCTCCGTGCCGGTAGCTTCTGTACAGAACGACCTGGGCATCCTGCTTCATTTTTAACTCACTCTTGATTTCCTATAAGCACCAGAACCAAAGAAGAAGATGAGCATTCTCATTGAAGGAAACTAGTCGTGCATGAGCTATGAGGCTGCCAGGATCCCCTGAACCATGAGGGCGAAGTGGTGGGAACTGATGCTCGCAGAGGCTCAGTCGCCGTACTTTACCGTCTAGGGCAAACACTGCATCCAAAATAAAATCACTACACAACAAGCAGTGGAAAGGCTTTAAACATTCCCTATAATCAGAATATTTATAAAATCGGAAAATTTGATTTAGAAGTATTTAAAAACCGGCTGGAGAGCTGCATCTCTGGAAAGTCTCACTGAGAACGAGGCCGGCAGCCGGTCCCCACTTCCGCCCCAAGGTCCTGCCCTCCGGCTGCCTCTGCTCCCAGGCAGCTGCAGAGCCCAAAGCTCCCCTCCGAGGGGGCAAAACAGTGCCCCGGGGGCGCAGCCCGGGAGGCCTCAGGCTCCACAAGCATGGCTGGGCGGCAGGGCTTGGGGAGGGGGCCGGCACAGCGCCCCACTTCCAGGGCTTCACACCCAGATGTGGATGGAGCCGCTCCTGTGGCGGCGGCGGCTGGCGCTGAACTGGAGCACCGCGAGGGATTTTTCTTAACGATCCGTCCTACCCCCTTCTTACAAATGCATCCTAATGACCCATTTCTAGGCGGAATGGACGCCGCGGCTACGGAGTCTCCACGCCACGGGAAGGCCCTCCTGGCCACCTGTCCTCGGGGCACCGTGGGTCCCAGCCCCCAGCTGCCCTCCCGCCGCATTGGTCCCTGAAGCGAGGGCCAGTGAAGTCCTGCCAGGGCGCGGGCCTTGAGGTAGGCCTGGGATCAGCCGGCTGATCCCAGGCCGGCCACACTTCCACCCGCGGAGAGAACTGGGCGCACTCCTGGACCCCCACCAGAGCGCCATGAGGGCTGCATCCCTGTGGGGGAGCCCCAGGAGGCTGGTTTGGAGCAGTCCCGCAACCTGGTTTGCAGGTGACATTGGAGGCAGTGTCTGGCAGGAAGCCTGTTCACTTCGTCTGTATCCTGTGACAGAAACTGCATCGTTCTGATCAAATTCTTGACAAGATACAAACCTTCTCTCGTTTTTGCTCAGCAACGCCTTTTCTGGCATACATCAAACTGAGCTTCTCCTGGTCCCTCATAAACCGTCTGCGCAGTCGTAGTAGGTCCGTCCGGCCGGCCGCACCTGGAGAGGGAAAGCAGGCCCAGTTACTCCCCGCCGCCCAGACACTTGGCTCTGCTGGTTCATTTTCACCTCGGGTTTCCTCAAAGACAAAACCTACAGGTGCCGCAGAGGCAGCGACCGGGAGCAGGAGTGCAGGGGCCACAGCTGCAACTGGAACTGCTCAGCAGTGGATTCAGCAGGCATGAGCGCTGAACGGGCCAGGCCCCTCCAGAGGGAGGCCCAGGGAGGGCACGCAGCCACCTTCTGAACCCCCGCCCAACTCGCCTGGCAGTGCTTTGCCTCTGGCTAACTGAACTAGAGAGGAG
Source organism: Homo sapiens (assembly GCF_000001405.40). Taxonomy (NCBI): domain Eukaryota; kingdom Metazoa; phylum Chordata; class Mammalia; order Primates; family Hominidae; genus Homo; species Homo sapiens. The sequence goes on from NC_000008.11 coordinate 47,832,232, forward strand.
CTGCCTCGGAGGCTTCAACACCTGGTGCAGACCAGCCTCCCTCGGGACTGTGGCAACCTGACCAGGGACAGGTGACCGCAACACTCCTAACCCGTATGATTCCAAATGCCTGTTTAGTACCCCACCAGGAGACACCAGCCTTAACCTCCAAATCACGACAGGTTCTAAGGAAAGTTTCAAATATGAACAACACAAGCCAAAGTAAGCAACAAGGAAAGAGCAACTGTTAAAAGCAGATCATGCAGGAAAAAATTTCAAAACATGATCATTTATCAGAAAGAGAAGAGTAGGAACTGAAGAAATGTTCAGAGCATGAAAAAAAGCTCATGGAAACTGAAACGTGTCATAACTTAAAAGCACAGGTTGAAAGATAAGGTTGAAGGGATTTCCCAGAAAAGAGGAAAAGGAAAAAATATGACACCTCAGAAGGACACTCACGCAGGTGAGATATCTAAGCACTAGGACTCCAAAAAGAGAAAACAGCAAACTGAGATGAAGAACTCAACAAAATCACCTGTGATGATGCTCCAGAACTGGAAGGTGAGAGTCAGCGGCCTGGAAGCTCCCGCCATATGCCCAGAAAAACAGACTGAAACGGATCTACGCCCAAGGACACTTGTGCGCAATGTCAGAACACTGGTTTAAAAGAGAAGATCCCGAGAGCATCCACAGAGAAAAGACCCACGTTCTCACAAAGCATCCCCAAGGAGGATGGCACCAGGCCTGGCGCCCGCAGCCCTGCAAAGCAGGGAGTCCAGGGGCCCCACGTATGGAGCTCCACAGCAGCACTCCCGCCAGACCACCAAGCCATCAGATCCCAGAGAAAGCTCCCTGCTGCTGACCCCATTCTCAGCACCCAGGTGGCTCCACCTGAACAACCGCCACCAGCACTCCTTCAACTCACAGCACATGCCAAAAGGTGGGCCACACTGACCTCTCCAGGTTCCATTTAGAGAACTGTGTGTGGGCCACAGGTTTGTGACTGAAAAGTATGAGAGAGTGGTGGAGTAAAGCAAGTTTTGTTGCCTGTGTTTCAGTTCCTACGATTAGATAAGAAGGCAGGGAGCTTTGCTTCTAAGTTCTTCTAAGTTTACTTCCACAGAGCTGAGCTTCCCTGCTGGCGCTCCCCCAGGGTTCTGTCATGGGCCCTTTCCTCTCTGCACATGTCCTTCCTCTGGGCCCTTGTTCCCTCCCAGAGCCTCACTTCTTTCTCACAAAAAGCTGCTTCCAGCCTCTCGGCACCCGTCTAGTTCTGGTCATCTGTTAGCCAAGACCAGGTCCTGGTGCCTGCCTCCAGTCCCCATCACTCCACTTCTGCCCCACACAAACCTCAGAGAAGGGCATTCAGTCCCCGTGCCTTCCTCTGCTCGGTGCGTTACAAGGCTGCTTCCTAAAGCTGAAGTTCGACATACACCCCCACACCCACAAGACTGTCCTCACAGCACCCTTTGCCGTTACTCTAGCATGCCCCGAAGCGTCCCTTCACCTGGACTGCAGAATCGATCTGAGCCTACCCACCCTGACACTTCTCCATCCCTGTCCTTTTCATCCTTTCCCTTCCTGCACCCCCAGCTCCAAGGCTCCTCTCAAATGCTCTTCCTCCACCCAGTCTTTTTGGACGCTCTCCTCATTCTCCACCTGTATTAAGCCCTCTAGCCCTAGACCATGCTTGCTAATTCCACCTCTTGTTACAATCACCCCTTTATAAATGCCTCACCCACTCTTACTGCTCCAGAAGATCACTCAACAATGGATCGAGTATAACTTACTGAAGGATTCTTCTGGAACTCCCAGAAAACAATTTCTTCAGCATGGTGAGTGCCTAGGCAACATTAACTGAATTTTAAAGGGCTTGATTACGAATGAGAAGGAAACATGGATACAGTCAGAAATGTCCCCAGACCTGAGCTCTGCAGTAATTTAGTGGGGAAGCTATTTTAAGCACACTCAGCAACCCAGCTTACCTTTCACTTTGTTATCCACCTCGTCCCCTGGAAGGCCCAGCCTTTTTTTCCCAAAATCAGGCCCCACTGACTTCAAGGGTGCTCTCTGTAACCTTTCACTCCTCTTGTGGGCAAACAGCAAGGAGTCAGATGAGGGACTGGTGTGGTCGACCAGCGGGTCAGTGCTGCTCCCGGTCAGCCAATCAAATGAGCTTCTTCCATCTGTGACATGCAATCAGAGAGGTCAGGCACTCAGCATCACCCAGCTCTGTGCACGGGGCAGGACCACCTGCCAGGACACACCTGGTGGCACCCTAGGCCTCCGTGCTCAACTCCAACCCTGGGCAGAGGCTCTGTCAGGTCCCAGGGTATGCCCCAAGGAAAACCAGGTACGTGCGCCTCAGTGCCCCTGGACCGCAGTGTCCCCATTTGTAAAGTAAGAAACACGCCACTTGCTCCCACCACAGGAATAACACTTTGTTATCTACTGAAAGGTGCTAAGAACCCCTGACTTTTTTTTTTTTTTTTTTTTTTGAGACGGAGTCTCGCTCTGTGGCCCAGGCTGGAGTGCAGTGGCGCGATCTCGGCTCACTGCAAGCTCCGCCTCCCGGGTTCACGCCATTCTCCTGCCTCAGCCTCCCGAGTAGCTGGGACTACAGGCGCCCGCTACCACGCCCGGCTAATTTTTTGTATTTTTAGTAGAGACGGGGTTTCACCGTGTTAGCCAGGATGGTCTCGATCTCCTGACCTCGTGATCCGCCCGCCTCGGCCGCCCAAAGTGCTGGGATTACAGGCGTGAGCCACAGCGCCCGGCCCCCTGACTTCTAATATTAGTGTCACAGAATTTCAATTGTGATTATTCATATTAGTCCCACTTCCAGAACCAACAAAATGTGCAAAAAAATTACACAAAGGAGAAACGTTAAAGAGTTTATATAAAAGGATTAAGATATGTTACTCTACAATTTGTACTTTGCTCATCAAAGGAAGCAGTTAAACCATCTGAGAAAGAACAGTTTAATAACTATAAATCTAGTAAATGAATTTGGTTTACCTCTACTCTGCTTTGGTGATAAGATGTCTTAAATTTGCTACACTATGTTTTTCTGTACCAAACCAAAACCAAAACATACATATACTGAAACTTTCCCTGATCTTTCTGGTCAGAAATAATCCATTTCTTTTTTAGAAAAATTGTAGCAAAACAGGCTGGGCGTGGTGGCTCACAAGGTCAGGATATCTAGACCATCTGGCCAATGTGGTGAAATCCCATCTCTACTAAAATACAAAAATTTAGCCAGGCGAGGTGGTGCGCGCCTGTAGTTCCAGCTACTCAGGAGGCTGAGGCAGAGGAATCGCTTGAACCCAGGAGGCAGAGGTTGCAGTGAGCCAAGATCGTGCCACTCACTCCAGCTCCAGCCTGGTGACAGAGCAGGACTCTGTCTCAAAAAAAAAAAAAAAAAAAAAAAAAAAAAGGAAAATATACATAAAATTTACCATTTCAATCATTCTTAGGTGCACAGTTCAATGGCATTAAGGACATTTACGCTGCTGTACAACCATCAACATCTTCCATGTCCAGAGTTGCTTTTTGGTTTTTTTTTTTGAGACAGGGCCTTGCTCTTTTGCCCAAGGCAGGGTGCAGTGGCGTGATCACAGATCACTGCAGCCTTGAACTTCTGGGCTCGAGCCATTCCCCGCCTCAGCTTCCCCCGTAGCTGGGACTAACTACAGGCGTGCGCCACCATGCCCAGCTAATTTGTAAAATTGTTTTGTAGAGATGGAGTCTTTCCATGTTGCCCAGGCTGGTGCGGAACTCCTGGGCTCAACTGATCCTCCTGCCCCAGCTGGAATAACAGGAATGAGTCACTGCACCCTGCCTCCACAGCACTTTTCCTCTTGCAAAACTGAAATTCTGTACCCATTAAACTATAAATCCCCATTCCTCCTCCCCAGACCCTGGCACCTGGCACTCTACTTTCTGTTTCCATGAGTTTGACTGTTATAGGAACCCCCTCTTTTGAATGACATCTTCCTTGGGTTCTTAACGCTTTTTGCTATTATCCCTTACTTCTCTCACAAAAGCCCAACACTGTTGTGACAGAAGCTGCCCACAGAGGTCAGGGTGCTGTATACATGGCCAGCGGGCAGGGTCACTGTTACCTGCAGTCTGTGTCAGTGTGAAGTCATGCTGCTGCTGGGTGGCCCTTATCTGCCCTGCCACTGGCCAGCGAGCTGAGAGGGACCCTTCCTGGGTACGGGTCTGGAGAGTGCCCTGGGAGGCCTGGGTCTCCACAAACATCGGAGTGAGAACAGTACTTCGGAAACGCCAATCAGAATCAATGGTATATTCCTGTACATAAGAAAGTTTCAAATGAAATAAAGTTTCAAATGAAATAATGCTCCTTTTTTAGGAACACTGATATATTTCTATTTAAAATCTAATGGTACCATCAGCATATTTGTACCATAACTTCATATGCAGCTGAAGAAGAACCTTCTCTAATTTAAAAGTTTTAACTGATTTGCCAACTAGAAAAACTAGTTAACTATCGAGTGAGAAAACCCAGCTTTCTTAATGTTTGCATAAAAAGGTTTGATATCATGCTCAGCACCACAACCCAAATGCAATGAGTCAAGCGACCCAGCTTGTCCACATACACACGTGCCACTGGGACAGATCCTGAGCTTGTGAGTGGGACAGGAGGGGCCCTACCCCAGGAGCTCCCTGCAACCTGCCCATCATCCCACTGTTTAGGCTGCTGCGAGACAGGACAAGCTCAGCATCCACTGTGGATTGGGAGGAATGAGGGGAGGGAAAGCAATGGCGATCCTGACAAGGGAAATCTAGTGGAGGCCAAGAGGGTGAGGCCAGTGGACCTCCAGGTGGCTGAAGCAGAGGCACGAGCCTTCCCTTTCCTTTTCAGAAAGGAATGTGTATTCTGAGAAGGCAAAGAGCCAGTCAAAGCTATTAAAAATGTTCATGAACAGGAAAAGCCTATAATATTCACTACTATGAGAGAGAAGACCACATTACCTGAAATTCGCATTCTGACAGAGGATGCTCGAACATGGGGTTTGGATAATCTGGGCTCATGCTGGTCATTTCGAGCAGAAAATTTGTTGCTAAACTTAAAAAGTGCACTTCTATCTTAGGAGAATATAAGGAATTTAGTGCCAGCAACCGGTCCAAGGTATTTGAAGGTAACCTAGTTTCATGGCTCCAGAAATTTCGAATAATTAATCTGAAAAGCAAAGAGAAAAAAGTATATTGCTTAGACAATGGCAAATGGGAAAGAATGTGCTGTACAGGGTGTCCTGTGGAGAAGGCACAGCTCTTCACCCACATGAAGCTTAACAGAGAGGGAAACCACCTTCAACTATATCAAAAATATAGTCTGAGTTATGAAACATATCCACTGAAGGAAGAGAATATTACAAAAAATGTAGCATATTTTTTATGCCACAGAGGGGAGGGGAGAAACTGGGTGATTTTATTCTCTTATCTCTATTCTCTGGGAAGTTTTCAACGATGAGTACATAATATTAACTATTTGAAACAAAAAAAAAAAATTTAAGAAATTACACAAAATCCTTCACTGCCTTGCCAAAACAATCCATTATAAAAATTACTGCCATAAAATACTCAAAACATATATTAATTAAATACCAAATTAGGGGTCAGGTGCAGTGGCTCAGGCGTGTAATCCCAGCACTTTGGGAGGCTGAGGTGGGTGGATCACCTGACTTCAGGAGTTCAAGACCAGCCTGACCAACATGGTGAAACCCCGTCTCTACTAAAAATACAAAAATTAGCTGGGCATGGTGGCACCCACCTGTAGTCCCAGCTACTCGGGAGGCTGAGGCAGGAGAATCGCTTGAACCTAGGAGGCGGAGGTTGCAATGAGCTGAAATCATGCTACTGCACTCCAGCCTGGGTGACAGAGTGAGACTCCATCTCAAAAAAATAAAATAAAATAAATGTATGTATGTAGTTGGTGCACATACATACATACATACCAAATTAGGTCTTATAATTTATGAATGCATATGAAATCCAAATACAATTTTAAGAAGCTCAATGAATTTAAAATTATAGCAGAATGGAAAAATAAGTAATATACAGAAACATATAAAAAGTATATGGCTTCTTATATTGAGGCTGGGTGCAGTGCTCACACTTAAAATCCCGGCACTTTGGCAAACCAAGTCAGGAGGATTGAGGCCAGGCATTGAAGCCTAACTTGGGTAACATAGCAAGACCCTATCTTTACAAAAAATAAAAAATCAGCCAAGCCTGTTGGCGTTATGCCTGTAGTCCCAGCTACTCAGGAGGCTGAGGGAGGAGGATCATACGAACCCAGGAGTCAGAGGCTACAGTGAGCTACAGTTACACTACTGCACTCCAGCCTGGGTGCCAGAGCAAGACCTCATCTCTAAAAAACATAATAATAATAAAAAGTTTACCCCTCTTCTTATATAATCAGTATTTGGTAAGAAACACATATAACTGACTTACTCAGGACAGGCATTTTAGAGGGTAACAATCATCATTCACACTTTCATATATAACTAATATTACAGTTTCCTCTCATTTCTAAAGTTTCAAACACTTTATTTTCAACATTAATACTTACAGCATGATCTCAACTATGTGTGTTAAATGGGAAACAGAAGAATTGTCATTACAGACTTTCTTTTCATTTTGAAACACTTTAACTCACTGCCCTACCATACAGCATTTGGTCCATATGACTTTTTCAAGAGTGTTATTTTTAAGTTGTCAGGATTGTAAAGCCTTACTCTTCATAATGTGCTTTAAAATACTCTTTTACTAAATATTGTGAAATGCAGAAAGCAGAGAAAATGCTAATACTGCAAATACATTTCTAAAACTCCTGAAAAATACTCTATGCTACCTTTGAAAGCAATACCCTTAACATTTAATTGTCCCAGCCCAGTTATTCACGTACTGAAGTCCAGGGTTCTCATCGATCAATCCTTGAATCAGCACATCTTTTGCCAACTTAAATATTTCCTGGGAGTCATTATCTGTCTCACTTTCTGGATCTCTGCTTGAGAAAACAGCAAAATGTCACAACATTAATGCTCTCTTCTGGCCCTTTTGTTCAACTACAGTAACACCATCTAGAATTCAATTTTAAAAGGCTTGTTTTCCCATTAGACTTTAGATCTCCAAATCACAGCTTGCCCCACTCATGGGTGTGTGCACAAGCCTTGAGAACCCATCCTTGCTCCCAGCAGGAGCTGAGTGGAACAGGAGGATGGGCCCACAGGAGGCCCAGCGGTCCTGTGACGCTCAGCTGTGGTGGTGTGGTAGTGCCCGGTGGTCCTGGCAGAGTTCATCTCCTTAGTCTTTGCAAGATCTTAAAAGGACAACTATGAAAATAGGTTTTATAAGCACAACACCACACTTTTTCACTCTGATTTTTTCACACACATATGTGAAATGAGTTTTTAAAAGGATACAATTAGATATACCAAAATACATGTTTTAATTATTAATCATATGGTAAAAAAAAATGTGTTATTATGTTCCAGATTGCTAAGGGGACCCAAATGATCCCTAAAATGTTAATGTTGCCCAGGCAACAAGGTGAAACCCCGTCTCCACAAAAAATAAACAAAATTAGCCAGGTATGGTGGTGCACACCCATAGACCCAGCTACGCAAAAGGCTGAGATGGAAGGATCAACTGAGCCCAGGAGGAGGTTGAGACTGCAGTGACCTGTGTTTGTGCCCCTGTACTCCAGCCTCGTCGACAGAGCAAGACCTTATCTCAAAAAAGTAACAAAATAAAATAGTCAATGTATAGCTTACCTGTAATTATCATGAATCCACATGAGAATATTATACATTTGTTCCCTACATGTTGTAGAAGGATGGGAAACGAATTCCACAACGGGGTTCAGAAGTTCTCGGAGTTCTACTGGTTTTAACTTTGGCATCATCTTATAAATTATGTCCAAACATACTTTTTGTCTTTCATCATCTCTATGGGAGAGATTTTAAAAACACACAAATTTAGCTATTTTTATTATTGCACTTTCAAAGTATGACAGGCAACTTTTTCTTCTTTGTTTCAAAATTAGTTATAATAGATAACGCTACACTTATATAAAACTTATATTCTTAAAATGATCATGGACTAGATTATCAAATATAAGACAAATTACTTCATGTGCTACCCTACACTGGATCCTGAAATAGAAAAAGGATATTAGAAGGAAATTGGTGAAATGGAAGTAAAGTCTAGTTTGGTAAATAGTAATGTTCTAATGTTAATTTCTTACTTTTGACAAATGTACCAAGATTATGTAAGGGGGAAAGTTGGGTAAAGGGTGTATATGGAAATTATGTGTACTATCTTTCAACTTTTCTGTAAATGCAAAATTACTTCAATATAAAAAGTTTATTTTTAGAAAAACCTAATAATGGCAAAGTATTTTTTAAAAGGACTTCAAGAGCTACCTGGCATGGTGTATAGTGAAGTACAATCTGAGCTCTAAATGAGGCAAATATCTATTTCCTTATTTTGACTCCTTATAGCACCCAGCTGAATGCTTCATACAGTAGATACTCAGTGAATGTAAGGATATTAGGACAGTGACATACATTTTTTGTTACTGACACAATGCATGTTTATTGCTGTGTAAAAATATTTACATAGGAGGGGGACAAGATGGCTGAATAGACATAGCCAGGAGGGCCTCTCCCACCAAAACAGAGCAAAATGAGTAAACCAACATGCTTCGAAGACATCTTTGGAAAGAAAGCACTGAGCATCAATAGAGAGGCAACACAGACACTGAGGCTGAAGAGGGAGGAAGCTGGGAAGCCTGCACAGTCTCCGGGTGCCAGGACCTGGCCCTAATCAGGTCCTAAGGAAGGGGTGAGTGGAGTGACTATATGGGGCAATCCACGCTCGCCGTGGAGCTCTGGGATACTAGCCACAAGAGATCCCACAACCCCAAAGACATTTGAATTGGTAGGGAACTGTCAGAGAGAAGGCACAGGCAGAGCACCAGCCTATGTGGAGCCCAGCAGGTCTCACTCAGTGTGGAGCAGCTCCAGCAAATGCAACCCCAGGCACCCATGCCCCCAGGTTCTCACCTTGCTCTGAGTCACTCTATCCCCTGCTGAATGCTGGGCTGGGAAAGAGCAGGGCTGTCCTTCCTGTGGGTCTGGGGAGAGGCTGATCTACACGCCTATCTGTCAACTTCCCAGGCACTCCCAACCCCAGCTGCTCCCACAAGAGCATACACACAGCATAGCCTCCATTACCCAGCCTGAGTGCTTTGCCAGTGGCCTTGGAGCACTTCGGCAACCCCAGCACAGTGCTTGATTCCAAGGGGACAGAGGACAAAGCTGTGGGCCTGGTCTCAGCCCCCCAGGGTCTAAGCACATCGTTCAGGAATACAGAGCTGAGATCTGTGGCCAGAACTTAAGCTCTGCTTAGAACACTGAGTAGAGTGAGACGTGGGTTTGTGTTCCAGCATGAGTGCTGGGTAAGTCCCCTTCCACAAGGCTGGTCTGGGAAGGGTGAGGCCTGTTTGCCAGCTTTGCATCTGCCTGAGGGACCCTGTGGCCTGAAACACCTAACAGCCCAGTGATCTGGGCGCAGAAAGCATGGCATAAAACTGGCTGGTCAGGCTAGCTACAAGGGCAGACACCAGCAGACTTGGTCAAGGGAACGTGAACTGGGCAGTCCCCACAACTGTGTGCTGGGCAAAAAACCCCAGGCTGTGGGCACCTCACCAGCTGCACAACCACGACAACATCACCCTGCCCTGAGATCCCCCACCCTTGACCTACTATACCAACAGACCACCCAGAGACATACCCCACAACCCTCTCTGACTTTGCCAAGCACAGAGGACCAGTGGGCCTCTGGAATGCTGCAGGTCTCCTGGTGACCTAACCTTCAGCTCAGGCTACTGCTAAGGGATGGGGAGTGCAGCCCACCAGGGCCCCCCTTGGGGTTCAGGAAATGTGGGTATGGTGCCAGTGATTGGAAGGGGCTCCTCTAAGGCCTGGGAATGAACTTGGTGAGGGGGTCATCTCCCTTCCCCTACCCCCAGCACAGAGCACTGTGCTGAACGCACTGTAATCTAAGAGTCTATCTGCTAGCCCTTATCCTTAAGCACCATATACTGGATCATAGTCTGAATTATATCACTAAAAAAAATTCTTCTAGTATCCATCACCTGTGAAACCCAATGCAGGAACCTAGAGAGATCCTATACAGGAGAGATCCTATACAGAGCCTCAGGAGAGCCTATACAGAGCCTCAGCCAGCTGAGAACACCCAGAAAGGGAGCCAGTTGACTATACTCAGCATACACCACAGTCAAACCCTCAAGGAAAATGATGAATAAGAAAACAAAAGGTCCCATCCAAGCAGAAGCAACTCCAAAAAGATAAAGGAACACCAGCCCTCTCAGATGAGAAAGAATTTGTGCAAACACTCTGGCAATTCAAAGTATCTTCTCACCTCCAAACAACTGTCCTAACCTCTCAGCAATGGTTTGCAGACAGATTGAAATGGCTGAAATGACAGAAATAGAATTCAGAATCCGGATGGCGAGAAAGCTCAAGATCCAGGAGAAGGCTGAAATTCAATCCAAGAAATCCAGTAAAATGATTCAAGAGTCAAAAGGCAACATAGCCATTTTAAGAATGAACAAGCCAGGCGTGGTGGATCACACCTGTAATCCCCACCACTTTGGGAAGCTGAGGCAGGTAGATTGCTTCAGTTGGGGAGTTTGAGACCAGCCTGGGCAACATGATGAAACCCCATCTCTGCAAAAATATAAATCATTAGCTGGGCATGGTGGTGCATGCCTGTGGTCCCAGCTCCTCAGGAGACTGAGATGGGAGGATCACCTGAGCTTGAGAGGTCGAGGCTGCAGCAGTAAGTCACGGCCACAACCACTGCACTTCGGCCTGGGTTACACAGCAAGACCCTGTCGAAAACAAAACAAAGGAAAAGAAAAGAAAAGGAACCAAACTGAACTTCCGGTTTTGAAAGATTCACTACAGGAATTTCATAATACAGTTGGAAACATTAACAAAAGAATAGACCAAGCTAAGGAAAGAATCTCAGAGCTTGAAGACCAGTCCTTCAAATCAACCCAGTCAGAAAAAAATAAAGAAAAAAGAATTTTTAAATAAAATCTCTAAAAAATAATGGATTATGTAAAAATCCATTATATGTAAAAAGAACCAAACCTATGACTTATTGGAATTCCTGAAAGAGACAACTTGGAAAATATATTTGAGGATATAGTCCATGAAAATGTTCCCTATCTCACTAGAGGTAGGTGGGCATGCAAATTCAAGAAATTCATAGAACCCCTGTGACATACTATACAAGACCATCCCCAAGACACATAGTTATCAGATTTTCCAAGGTCGATGTGAAAGAAAAAATTTTAAAGGCAGCTAGAAATAAGGGTCAGCTCACATACTGAGAGAACCCCATCAGGCTACCAGCGGGCCTCTCAGCAGAAACCTTAAAAACCAGAAGAGACTGGGGCCTATTTTCAGCATCCTTGAAGAAAACAAATTCCAACCAAGAATTTAATATCCTGCCAAACTAAGTTTCATAAGGAAAGAAAAAATAAAGTCCTTTTCAGACAAGGAAACATTAAGGGAATTTGTTACTATTAGACCTGTCTTGTAAGAGGTCCTTAAGGGAGTGCTAAACATGAAACAGAAGAACAATACCTGCTACCACAAAAACATACTTAAGTACATAGCCCACAGATACTATAAAGCAACTACACAGTTAAGTCTACAAAACAACCAGGTAACAACACGACAACAGGATCAAAACCTCACATATCAATATAAACCTTGAATGTAAATGGTCTAAAGGCCCCTCTTAAAAGCCACGCAGTGGCAAGTTGGATTTAAAAAAATAAAACTCAACTATCTTCTCTCTTCAAGAGACCCATCTCACATGTAACAACACCCACAGGCTCAAAGTAAAAGGATGGAGAAAGATCTATCACAAAAACAGAAAATGAAAAAGTGCAGCAGTCACTATTCTTTTATCAGATAAAATAACTTTAAACCAACAATAGTTAAAAAGGACAAAAAAGGACATTACATAATGCCAAAGGGTTCAATTCAATAAGAAGACTTAACTATACTACATATATAAGTACCTAACTTTGGAGCACCCAGATTCATAAAATAAGTTCTTTTAGATCTATGAAGAGACTTACACAGGCACTCAATAATAGTGGGAAACTAACACTCTACTGACAGTGTTAGATAGATCAGGAAGGCAGAAAACTAACAAATTCTGGACTTAAACTCAACACTTGAACAATCGGACCCAATACATCTACAGCATACTCCACCTAATATACCAGAATATACATTCTTCTCATCTGCACATGGAACATACTCTAAGATCAACCACATGCTCAGCCATAAAGCAAGCCTCAATAAATTAAAAAAAAATTCAAAATCATACCAAGCACACACTCAGACCACAGTACAATAAAAATAGAAATCAATACCAAGACCTCTCAAAACCATACAATTACATAAAAATTAAACAACCTACTCCTAAATGACTATTGAGAAAACAACAAAATTAAGGCAAGAATCAAAAAATTTTTTTCAATTAAGGAAAACAGGGACACTAAATGCCTACATCAAAATGCTGGAAAGACCTCAAATCAATAATCAAACATCGCATATAAACTAGAAAAATAAGAACAAACCAAGTCCGGGTGCAGAGGCTGATGCCTGTACCCACTTTGGGAGGTTGAGGCAGGAGGATCATTTGAGGTCAGGAGTTTGAGACCAGCCTGACCAACATAGTGAAACCCTGTCTCTACTTAAAATACAAAAAAATTAGCCAGGCGTGGTGGTGTGCACCTCTAGTCCCAGCTACTCAGGAAAGAGGCTGAGGCAAAAGAATAGCTTGAACCCGGGAGGTGGAGGTTGCAGTGAGCCGAGATCGCTACCACTGCACTCCAGCCTGGGCAACACGGTGAGACTCCACCTTAAAACCAACCAAAACAAAACAAACCAACCCTAAAGACAGCAGAAGAAAAGAAATAACCAAAATCCAGAGTGGAATTGAATGAAATTGTGATCCAAAAATCTACACAAAGATTCAACAAAACCAAAAGTTGATTATTTGAAAGAATAAACGAGATAGACCACAAGCTAGATCAATAGAGGGAGACAGAGACAGACAGACAGAAGATCTAAATAAGCACAATAAGAAATGACAAAGATAACATCATACCTGATCCCACAGCAATACAAAAGATCCTCAGAGACTATTGTGAACACTCTACGTAAGCAAATTAGGAAACCTAGAGGAAATAGATACATTCCTGGAAACATACAACCTCCCAAGATTGAACCAGAAATTAAAAACAAACAAACAAACAAACAAACAAAAACCTGAACAGACCAATCAGGAGCTCCTAAATTAAATCAATAATGAAAAAAACTTACCAAGCAAAAAAAAAAAAAGCAGAAAACAAAAAACCCAGGGCAGATGGATTCACAGCTGAATTCTACCAGACATACAAAGAATTGGTACGAATCCTACTGAAACTATTTCACAAAACCAAGGAGGAAGGACTCCTCCCTGACTCATTCTCTGAAGCCAGCATCATCCTGATACCAAAATCTGGCAGGACACAATGAAAAAAGAAAACGTCAGGCCAAATCCCTGATGAACACAGATGAAAAAATCCTCAACGAAATACTAGCAAATTGAATCCAACAACACAACTAAAAGTCAATGCGTGACAATCAAGTGTGCTTTATTCCTAGAATGCGAGGTTGGTTCAACATACACAAATCAATAATGTGATTCACCACATAAACAGAATTAAAAACAAAAGCCATATGATCATTTCAATAAATGGAGAAAAAGCTTTCAATAAAATCCAACATTCTGGGCCAGGTGCAGTGGCTCACGCCTATAATCCTAGCACTTTGGGAAGCTGAGATGGATGGATCATTTGAGGTCAGGAGTTCGAGACCAGCCTGGTCAACATGATAAAACCCTGTCTCTACTAAAAATACAAAAATTAGCCAGGCATGGTGGCATGTGCCTGTAATCCCACTTACTCAGGAGGCTGAGGCAGGAGAATCGCTTAAACCTGGGAGGCAGAGGTTGCAGTGAGCTGAGGTCACGCCACTGCACTCCAGCCTGGGTAACAGAGGGAGACTCTGCCTCAAAAAAAAAAAAAAAAGAAAAAGAAAAAAATCCAACATCCTTGCATGATAAAAACCCTCAACAAACCAGGCATCAAAGGAATATTCCTCAAAATAATAACAATCATCTATGACAAACCCACAGCCTACATGATACTGAATGATGGTAAAAACTGGAAGCATTCCCCTTGAAAACTGGAAAAGACAAGGATGCCCACTCTCATCACTCCTATTCAACACAGTACTCAAAGTCCTACACAGAACAATCAAGCAAGAGAAAGAAATAAAACATATTCAAATAGGAAAAGAAGAAATCAAACTATTCCTCTTCTCTGATGGTATGATTCTATACCCAGAAAACCCTAAAGACTCTGACAAAACGTTCCTAGAACTGATAAATGACTTGAGTAAAGTTCTAGGATACAAAATCAATGTACAAAAATCAGTAACATTTCTATACACCAATAACATTACAGCTGAGATCCAAATCAAGAATGTAAGCCTATTTACAATAGCAAAGAAAAGAATAAAACACCTAAGAATACAGCTAACCAAGGAGGTGAAAGATCTCTACAAGGAGGACTATAAAACACTGCTGAAAGAAATCAGAGATGATACAAATAAATGAAAAAACGGATTAGAAGAATCAATATTGTTAGAATAGCCATTCTGCCCAAAGCAATCTACAGATTCAATGCTATTCCTATCAAACTACCTATGTCACTTTTCACAGAATTGGAAAAAACTATTCTAAAATTCATATGAAACCAAAAAAGAGCCCGAATAGCCAAAACAATTCTAAGCAAAAAGAACAAAGCCAGAACATCGTATTACCCAACTTCACTATACTACAGGGATACAATAATCAAAACAGCATGGTACTGGTCGGGGGAAAAAACAAAATACAAAAAAACACAGACACACAGACCAATAGAACAGAATGGAGAACCCAGAAATAAAGCCGAACCATCTGATCTTTGACAAAGTCAACAAAAATAAGCTGTGGGGAAAAGATGCCTCATTCAATAAATGGTGCTAACTGGCTAACCATATGCAAAAGAATGAAACTAGAGCCCTGCCTATCACCACATAAAAAAATTAAGATGGATTACAGACTTCAATGTAAGACTTCAAATTACAAAAATACTAGAAGAAAATCTAGGAAATACCCTTCTCAATATCAGCCTTAGCAAAGAATTTATGACTAAGTTCTAAAAAGAAACTGCAACAAAAACAAAAATTGACCAGCAGGACCTAGTTAAATTAAAGAGATTCTGTGCAGCAAGAGATACTATCAAGAGGGTAAACAGACAACCTATAGAATGGGAGAAAATATTCAAAATAGTCACAAACTATGCACCTAACGAAGGTCTAATATCCAGAATCCATAAAAAACTTAATTCAACAAGTAAAAAGTGACCCCATTAAAAAATGAGCAAAAGACATGGATACTTCTCAAAAGACATAAAAGCGGCCAACAAATATATATATATATATATATATAAAAGTCATCATCACAAATCATCAGAGAAATGCAAATGAGATACCATCTCACACCAGTCAGAATGGTTTTCTTAAAAAGTTAAAAATCTGGCAGATATTGGCAAGGCTGCAGAGAAAAAGGAACACTTATACATGGTTGGTGGGAATGTAAATTAGTTCAGCCACTGTGGAAAGCAGTTTGGAGACTTCTCAAGGAAGTGAGAGTTGAACTATCATTTGATCCAGCAATCCCATTACTGGGTATATACGCAAAGGAAAATAAATCTTTCTACCAAAAAGACACATGCACCCATATGTTCACTACAGCACCATTTACAACAGCTAAGACATGGAATCAACCCAGGTGCCCATCAATGGTGGACTGGATAAAGAAAATGGTACATATATACCATGGAATATTAGGCAGCCATAAAAAAGAATGAAATGTCCTTTGCAGCAACATGGATGCAGCTGGAGGCCACTGTCCTAAGTGAACTAGTACAGAAACAGAAAAGCAAATACTGCATGTACTTACTCATATGTGGGAGCTAAACACTGAGTACACATAGACATAAAGTCAGGAACAACAGACACTGGGGAACAGAAGAAGGGGAAGGGAGGATATGAGGCAAGAGTTGAAAAACTAACTACTAGGTACTATGGTCACTACCTGAGTGACAGATTCATCTGTA
This sequence comes from Homo sapiens, assembly GCF_000001405.40. Taxonomy (NCBI): domain Eukaryota; kingdom Metazoa; phylum Chordata; class Mammalia; order Primates; family Hominidae; genus Homo; species Homo sapiens. The sequence continues at coordinate 47,848,568 of NC_000008.11, forward strand.
CACCAAACCTCAGCATTACGCAATATACCTTCGTAACAAACCTGCACTTGTACTTCCTTATTCAAAAATAAAAGTTGAAAAAAATGAAAAAAAAAAAAAAGGTATATGGACTAATAGACTAAGACTGGAAAAGAGTACAGGGACAGGGAAATAATATAATGTAAGTGATCAGCAGCTTTCTCTTTTAACATATACTTTTATGTTATGTTGCAATTTTGAAAATAAATGAACAATTTAAACACATTAACAGAAGCTCTCACCTGGCAAAATAGGTACAGAACTCAAAAGCATACATTTTAAATCTGAAGAGAGCCAAGGTAACCCCATAGGCCACCTCCTTCATTTATGGATGAAAAACACGCCCTGGGATGTGGCTCCCCAAGATGCCAGGCCAAGGGAGCAGAGAGCAGGCCCACCTCAGCAGATATCCTATTCTTATGGTGCCTTCACCTTTTCTTCAGAGATTCCAACTTCACAAATGTGTATATCATGGAAACCCACAGGTTCTTCTTGAGTTGGAGACGTCTTAATAAATTAACGCTTTATGAGCCAGTGGGACCCAAGAGCAGGGCTAGTGTTCACTCACCTATGTCTCATGACTTGAACGAAGTCCTTGCTCTTTAACTGGAAGTACAGCTCTGTCATTCCCTCCACACGACAAAGTACCACCTCCAGACAGAGTGTTTTCAACACTCCATGAAATTTTGGCAGCAGAAAGAACACAGCATTCATGAACCTGGCGGGGAAGGGAACTGGTGAGAGGAGGGCCGAGGACCCTCCTGCCCCGAAAGGATCCCTGGACAGCCCATACCTGTCTGCAAGAGGAGGGAAGCTCTTGGTCACTTTGTTCAAGCACACAATAAACTTGTCCTCCATAGTATTCTGATGTTGCTTCAATTGTTTCGCAACCAGTTCACACAGAGACTCCTCCAGTATCTGAAAAATTAAGTTTATTTTCAAATACACAAAAGTGGAAATGTAGGTTAAGCATTGAAAGCAAAGTTTATCTTGAGTATTTAAGTGAGCCCAACAAAGGTGCTCAATGTTGTCACCTACAAGGTAGATGATGGGACAGTAGGTGCTGGGGATGTCTGCTGGTCTACACTGACCATCGCACACCCTTAGGCTCTGGATCCTTGAGTTCCTACACCTCGGTGAGCCAGTCCACATCACTGTGCTCTGTGCTGAGCACCCAGGTGTCTGGCTCGTGTAGATGTCAGATCAATGAAGATCAGTGTTTCCTACTGACACCAAAACACTTGGTAGGACCAGTAAGTCCTTTGAGAAGCTAAGCTAAATGGCTAAATATTGTTTGAGACATATTTTATGGTGTTCAGATTTCTGATAAAAAATATTCACATGGACTAGAATTTTCAAGCAATTCTATTCACACAGCAGTCCCCATCACTGTACTGTCTGCTCATGTCCTGCCTCTTTTCACCAAGTGTTGCTACCTGTTATATATTCATCTGTGTACCATCTGTCTCCCCTCCCCAAATGCCAGCTCCCCAAGGGCAGGGACATGACCTGTCCTGTTCCCTACTGCATCCCTAGAACCAGGAAGTCCTCAAATGTCCTCCACACAGAGAAGTACTCAGTAGAGTCCACTGGCAGGAAGCAACGGAAAACACTGCTGTCCTTCCTGGCTCACCTCCTTCCTCACAAACATCAGAAAGAGGGGTAGGCAACGTTTCAAAGGCACACAGACCGAACAGTTTTTCAATGCAAACTCAACACAGACTGAGCGCCTCAAATCTGAAAATCCAGAATCCTCCAAAATGCAAAACGTTTTGAGCCTCAGCATGACACTCAACAAAACGTTCACTGGAGCATTTGAATTTTGAATTTTTGAATTAGGGATGCTCAAACAGAAACTATCATGAAAATATTGCAAAACCAGAAAATGGAAACACTCCTGGTCCCAAGCATTTTGGAATAGAGATACCGAATCTGTAGTATGAGGCTATTTTTAAATTATCTTAAGGAAAACCCTTAACACAAAACCACAAATTTCAACGGCCTGAACCCCATATAGAATACACATAGTATTACCCTACCAATTAATCAGATGTCTTTTTATTAAAAGTATTTAATACGACAACACAATGAAATGATCACAATCTAGCAAGTAAAGAAAGCAAGTTATAAAACAGTATGAATAACAGAGACCAAGAACAGTGGAGCTGTGTGCCACAGGTGCTGAGGGACATTGCGTGGGAAGAGTGCGAGCCTCTCTTACTGACTTCTTTTTATTTTTTTTGAGATGGAGTCTCACTCTGTCGCCCAGGCTGGAGTGCAGTGGTGTGATCTCAGCTCACTCCAACCTCTGCCTCCCAGGTTCAAGGGATTCTCCTGCTTCAGCCTCCCGAGTAGCTGGGATTATGGGAGTGTGCCACCATGCCCAGCTAATTTTTGTATTTTTTGTGGAGGCAGGGTTTCACTATGTTGGCCAGGCTGGTCTTGAACTCCTGACCTCAAGTGATCTGCCTGCCTTGGCCTCCCAAAGTGCCGGGATTATAGGCATGAGCCACAGCACCCGGCCTCTTACCAACTTCTTTATGTTTACTCTGCTTTCCAAATTTCTACGATAAATCCGTATCACTTTTATATTCAGAAAAAAATACGTAAAACAGAAGTGTTTTTTATTCTTAAGTTGAAATTTAAGTCATGAGAGATTAAACCTGGGGATCTGCTGTAACCTGCTCCATTTATGGTGGAAATGAAACATATTATGTAGATTTAAACCTCATATTTAGGGATGTTAGAATCATCTTGTAAAAAAGTTCTACTGAATTTTAAAAATCTGTTTATTTACAAAAATAGCTGATAATCCCTAAAATGAATTACAAGTAATATTTGATCTTCCCAAAGGGGTCATCTTAATTTTATTTTAAATCCAAACAAATCCATACTTGGTGACATGGACAAGGGTCCAATCACAGCACTGGGCCCACTGGTGCCTGCTCAGGACCACCTGGCTTCTCCTGAGCCTCTCCTCATCCAGCCCAACAGTGACTATGGCCTGGACTCTACTCTGTCCTTTCTTTCAGGAGAGTAACTGAGCTGGGGTTGCAAACTGGAGAATCATGAACATAAAGGCAGTCTACATAAAGCCATGAGGCTGGACGAGGCGGGCAGGGGAGCAGTGAGTGAGGCCAAAGCCGAGCTGTGGAGGTGTTCAGGGAAATGCAGCTGACGAAAGGGAGAGGGGGCTGCCACAGGAGGAGGACGGGAGCCAAGAGTGTCCTCAGGGTGTGACCAGCTGGGCCACCCAGACAGGCTCTGCAGCAGCAAGATCCCCAGGGATCCACAGAGCACCTTATCCCAGTGATGAACCTGAAACCCACCACCCTGCTTGGGCAACATGGCGAAACCTTGTTTCTACAAAAAATACAAAAATTAGCCAAGCATGGTGGCATATGCCTGTAGTCCCAGCTACTCGGGAGGCTAAGGTGGGAGGATGGCTTGAGCCCAGGAGTGCAAGGCTGCAGTGTGCTATGATTACACCACTGCACTCCAGCCCAGGTGACAGAGCAAGAACCCAGCTCTAAAAAGACTTTAAAACAATAAAGAACATGTTACTTCTTCATTCAGTCCTCTTATCTGAACAGCGCACTGCACTTAAACGTTCAGTTAGGCTCATCTCACAGTCCTGTCCAGTGGGCAAGGCAGCAGTACTGAGAGGGTCGCCTGGGAGATCCCTGCCCCTGTTCAACAGCTACACCAAAAACTGCAAGGGGAGGAATGGACTGGGGGAGGACAGCAGCTATCTACCAGGACAATTTCCTCCACAAGGAAATCCTGAGACCAAGTTCATAGTAATAAAAGCTGGTTAAATACTCTCATCCTGATTTTACATTACCAAGTCGGTTGCTGATCTCTCCACGTTCACCAAGTTTCCAAGGTGTTTAAAAATCATGTGCCCTCTCTAAAAAACTGAGTATTATATTTGCTATATTATAGTAAGAAACAGTAAAATTTTAATAAATGCAGATGCCCATTTTGTTTCTAATACCATACAAGAAATAAACATATAAGTATCAAGGGTCATAACAAATCAAAACAGAGTAAGAGGTATTTATTGAAAATTGTGTAGCACACTCACGTTTTTTCTCTCCATAACATATCGAAGTATAAGTCCTAGAACTTCTGCTGCAGCGGCATACACTTCTTTATATCTTACAAAGGACATATTATTCACCAAAGCCTGGAAGTATCTACAATAAACACAGAAAAGACATATGCATCAAATAAACCATTCTGTTGTTCCACAAATATAAATGACAATTTTCCTTCTCATGTCATATTGACAGCCTAAGTTGAGGAAATCTAAATATAGAATGTGATGCAAATTCCATGCACAAATGCACACATCAGCATGTACGTAAGGGTGCCCGATGTCATAACCAGAAAAGCATAGGGCAGTCTGCTGTCCCATCATGCAGAACCGCTGCAGCTGGACCATCCCACAAGGCTGAACAGACAGAAAGGTGCAGTGACAGAAAGAGCTACTATCCAAGATCACGGGACACTGACTCCCTTTCAAAACCCACCTACTATAGCAGGACAAGGACAATAAAATGAGAAAGAGCATACTCCCAGTGCCGTCTGTGTGAGGAGGCTTCCCAGGGAGCCACCCATTCACTGTCAGCACTCAGGGGACTCTGCAAGGTTATCCCAGTGTAGAAGCCAAAGCCCCAGCCAGTGACTGTCTAAAAGGAGCCGAGTTCCCACTGAGGCTGCCGCGAAGCTGGCTGCCTCAGCCCTGAGGTCATGTGTCATCTCTGGCACCAGTAACTGGTCCGACGGTGCTGGGGGGCCAACACGGAGGACCAAACAGAGAGAGTGATTGGGCAGGGCAGGCGGAAACCCAGGGAGTGGCCAGGAATCAACACTGACTTCACAACCCTCAGGAGCAGGACAAAGATGTCCTGCTCCTTTTATGATGTCCCGGAACCATCTTTCTGAGGCCTCTTGTCTTGACATGTCACACCCAGCTGCCCTAGCTCCCAGGCGGGATGGTGCAGCCCAGCGTCTACCAGCCCTCACCGTCAGAGAGCCCAGAACAAAGCCTTCCGAGGGGCCTGCATTACTTTTGGGGATAAATGTTCAGAATATCAGTTTAGAAAATAAGAAATACTTAACACCTCTCACCTTCCAGCATGGATATGAAAAAATCACACTGTTTTAAACACCTACATTTCTCATTTGCCCCAAACATTTCTTCCAAAAAAATCTAAATCCATCTTCCTAAATTTAGGCAGACAAGAATTTTTTTGGTATAGATGCGGTCTTGCTATGCTGTCCAGGCTGGTCTTGAACTCCTGGACTCAAGCAATCCTCCTGCCTTGGCCTCTCAAACGTGTTAGAATTACAGGCATGAGCCACCGTGCCTGGCCCAGAAACATTTGTAGCATGGGTCTGGTCCTTAAAATTATCAAAACTGCACCATACTGAAGTCTGTCAATCCAGTTTGGGTAGACGTGACCTAAAAAATAATCAAGCAAACACGTACTCGCTACTCTGGATGCCACACTGTGGGTCATAGGGAGGCAGGTCATTGGCCATCACGATGCCTAGCAATTGAATCCCTACTGAGTTGTCTTTAGAATTAGGATCTTTACCGGAAAACTTTTCAAATATTAACCTGAAACATAAGCACAAAGGAGAAAATTGAGACTGTTGCATAATCAAGTAAGAAGCAGGAAGACAAATACAGAATTTTATTTTTTTGAGACAGAGTCTGACTCTCGCCCAGGCTGGAGTGCAGTGGCGTGACTGAGACGGAGTCTTGGAGTCTCGCTTTGTCGCCCAGGCTGGAGTGCAGTTGGCATGATCTCGGCTTGCTGCAAGCTCTGCCCCCTGGGTTCACGCCATTCTCCTGCCTCAGCCTCCCAAGCAGCTGGGACTACAGACGCCCGCCACCACACCTGGCTAATTTTTTGTATTTTTTTAGTAGAGACGGGGTTTCACTGTGTTAGCCAGGATGGTCTCGATCTCCTGACCTCGTAATCCGCCCGCCTCGGCCTCCCAAAGAGCCGGGATTAAGGCGTGAGCCACCGTGCCCGGCCAAATACAGAATTTTCTAAAGCTAATCTTCAGGGTAAGAAATGCTTTTTCTTTATTTCTGTTTCTTCCCCAGGTCTAGCTTTGACTTTACAGAAATGCTTTCTTTTTCTTTTCCCATATCCAATATCCCTGCTTGCTAATACCTCCTGTTCACATCCAGGTTCCTCCAGCTTTGTAACACTGGCAATTTTATCGCCCTCGTATTTTAATTATTTGCCTAAATTCTCCCTTAGTTGATAGCAAAACTTTTTGGAAGTTTTAGCTTGCCTCAGGCTACAAAAAAAGGAATTACGCACAAATCCTACCTACCTCCCACCACCCTCTACCCCATGGGCCAACGGAAGGTAGTGCCCCTCCCCAGCGTGGGGACATCAGAGGCAAGCTGAGGCGGAGGGCAGGGCCACTGGAGGGTGCGAGACACGCATCTGGTGCCACACTCTGGAGGCTGTGGTTTTATTAGTAACAATAAATTATTTTCTTCCTCCTATCATTTCATGTAATTAAATTTCACTGTAATCATCATTTACGACACACTACATTTTAACCTAAATTTCTAAACAATACTGCAAAAACCAGTAAACATACCTATAAGGGATGGATAAACAATCCTTCCAGCACTCGACAAGGGTCTTTATAATTTCAAGGTTGTGTCTAAACACAGCTCTTTTTGGATGAAAGACATGTTTCATTAGGAAATTAAGCAATCGATTTGCTAACACTTCATCTTTAGGGACCCCCTGAAAAGGTACAGAAATTCTGTATTAATATGCGGCATTCCATTCTGGAAAGCATTTTTTAACTCAAGTTCATTTATAAAAGAAATCTGGCATTTTACAGGAGTCCGGCTCCTGTTGAAAGCCCTGTGATTTTTCAGAAACAGGTAACAACAAAGGCTGACCTGGCAAGAGGACCAGGCACCGCCGGCGCTGCAATCTCAGAGTTGCCGTCCAGGGTGCAGGCTGCTAGCCACCATGCCCCATGCATGCACCTCTGCCTTCCTCCCTGGAGCCTCCATGCCTAGGACTCTTTATCTGAGGCCCTGGACAGGGGTCGCCTGCAGGGCAGGGGAGCAGCATGAAGGTGCTTTCCCCACTCCGACTCAGTATCCAGTGCTTTCTGACTCAGCTCTTCCCTATAAAACTGCAGAGCCTCCTGTTCAGGGCCTCTCAATGGTGAGACGGCCCTTGTCTGTGCTAATCCATCTGGCTGCTGAGCAGTGCACCACTCTAGGGGCAAACAGAACAAGGGGAGTCTCCCTCCAGTGTTAGCCTCTCACTCCCATGACTCCAGAGTGAGTAAAAGCTTCACGGCAACCTTTCTGGCTTGCTGTTGCTTTATTCAGCTACCTCGAGCCCGGCAGTTCCACTCTCTTGAGTTCAGCTGAGCCACTGACAGCTACATCAATCTCTTTCAACGGACCCTTGTTAAACTGAACCCCTCTTAATTTTTTCATTTTATTAAGCAGAAAACAAAGTATTTCATTACACTAAGACAAAGAAATCTAAATTTGGTTAACTGTGAAACAAATGAGATAGGTACATCCAGAGACAAGCGTGTGAGAAAGCTCCACGTATTTTTTTGTGGTGGGGGGGTGGTGGTGGAGCTGGGGGAACGTAGTCTCACTCTGTCGCCCAGGCTGGAGCTACAGTAGTGCCATTTCAGCTCACCACAACCTCCGCCTCCCGGGTTTAAGCAATTCTCCTGCCTCAGCCTCCCGAATAGCTAGGATTATAGACATGCAGCACCATGTCCAGTTAATTTTTGCATTTTTTTAGTACAGATAAGGTTTCACCATGTTGGCCAGGCTGGTCTCAAACTCCTGACCTTAAGTGATCTGCCTGCCTTGGTCTCCCAAAGTGCTGGGATTACAGGTGTGAGCCATCATGCCTAGCCCCGCATGTGTATATTATATTTAATACAGACTGTTCTTACCATCTCCTCACATGAAAACGTTTGTATGCTGTCAGTGTCCACAGTTTTAAATGAGTAGGCAAAGCACCAACACACACACACATGTCTACACTGGTGGGTACTGCATTTGCCTCAACATAACATGGTGTTATCATCTGGCAGCTACTGCTTTAGCCCTAATCTTGCCATTGCTGGTATTAGTCAATACTCTGGGAGTAGAGAAGATGGCACAAATGCCAAAATCCAGGGACTTCAAGGCAGGAGTCCTCAGAGCCTCCCATTCAGGGTTGGTTGAAATTCAGTTTACACATAGTTTTAATAAATTTGCAATCTCATTTCTAAGGCAAGTAAAGGCAGCAAACAAAACAAAACAAACACCTGACAGCTTCATAATAAAAGCAAGGTCAGACGAATTACCAAAGGCAAAGGAAACAAAACAAAACCAAAGCAGGCTGAGGCCATTTGGTTTAGGAGCACACCAGCAATGTAGCAACAAATGCTGAAAACCATAGCACAGTCAGTGAGAGGGACCTGAATTATGTGTCATAGGCTCTATAGGCTATTGGCAAAGGATAATATATTAACATAAAAGATGCATCAATCCTTACTGTTGGAGTGGCCAAGCCTGTCCATGAAAGAATAGTGGCCACTATCTCAACCACCATGTAGTGAATTCCTTCTCCTCCATTGTTTTCAGAAGCAGCCAGCTGCAGCAAGGGGCTAAGCCAGTGCTTCGCGTAAGGGCGAAAGACCTACAAGAGGATGTAAAAGTCAAACATCAAAGAATGGTCTTAAATTGCCAAAATATTAATACAAGACTGTATCTTCCATCAGCTAAAATTTTATACTATGACTGGACCTAAAGCCAAAAGCGAGGTAAGCACGTTAAAGTGAAGGCATTAGTGTGGGCCCTAATCAAATATGACTGGTGTCCTTATTAAAAGAGGAAATCAGGACACAGAGACAGATACAAGGGGGAAGATGAGGTGAAGACACAGGGAGAATGCCTGTGACACACCACATAGTGCTTGAGGCTGCCGGATGCTAGGAGTAGCCTGGACCAGGCTCTCTCATAGCTCTCGAAGGAACCAACCCTGCCAGCAGCTTGATCTCAGGCCACGGCTGTCTGAGTCCCCCCAGTATGGCACCCTGAGACCATGTGCCCAGGGTGTGAAGAATCAAGTGAGCCCCGAGGAAAGAAGGTGCTGCTGCAGCCCTAGAGCAGCCTGTCAGGGATGTCCTGACAGACTCGCCATGTCTGCAGAGCTGCCCAGAATGACCTTCTACGGAGCCAAGTGGATGGTGTCACCCCACCACTTAGTGCCCTTAGTGGTTCCCTGGTGCTCAATGAATGAGCCCAACCCTCTGCATAGCTCTGGATGGCCTGGCCTGGCTCTGGTCCAGACCACACTCCCACAGCCCAGGCAGTCAGTGCAGACCTGCTTGGCTCACCCAGGGACCACCCGTGCTATGCTACTCCTTCCCTGCCTAGTGCAAACTCTCACTGCACTTCACCACGTCTAGCTCAAAGGCCTTTCCAAAATGGACTCCAAGATGCTCCTACCTCACGAACTCAGCAATTGCCTAAGAGTCCGCTGTTTTTCATATAGAGTTAACAGGAATATTTTCTCCCCCGCTCCACCCCCCGCTTTTTTTTTTCCTACTATAAGGAAAGAACGTTGGCAGCCGTAAGAAAGCAGCTACATGTACTTTATACAAAGACCACTTCTAACTCACGAGAGGTGAATTTACATATGTTAAAAACGATAAAAGAATGGTGATGAACAAGTAGATAAATATTGGGTGGCTAATCAGAGAACAAAAATGTCATGCTCTGCCCCTTTATATTTTCCTTTTTTGTGTGTGTTTTTAAGTATATTCATAGAATTGCAATTGATTCATTCATAGAATTGAATAAACAGACTTACAGAATCTATTCAAAGAATAAAGAAATAATCAATTACTTACCTCTTCTGTATTAATAACAAGCTTGGCTAAGAAGAGACGGATATTTAATGGTACTATTGGATTTCCCAGTTTGCCATGGAGGAATTTCATCCAAGAAGGAAGATCTCTTGGCACTGAATCCTAAAATAAAACATTCAAAATTACCTTAAAACGTGGAATAAAATAATGATACATTTTGATATTATGGGAAAACAAGGACAAAGTAAGACATGAACAAAAAAAAATCACATTTATTTGATAAGCAGTTTGGTTTTGTTTTCAATATTAAATGTTCATTCTCAGTATGACACCAATGAATATAGTATTAACAGGTAAGATGAGTGGGAAAAGCACCTCTTCTCCTTGAGGCGGGCCCAGGCTTCTGTGCATGTGCTTGACCAGGGCCGTCAGGGGCGCCATGCACTCATGCCGATTGAGCTCGTCCATCTCCAGCTCCAGCACATCATCATGCACCGTGGGGTCCCGCTGCTCCTGCGAAAGGGAGGGCCCAGGAGAGCAGAGGGTACAGTTAACATTCAGTGGACAAGGCAGTGGATGTGGGAGGCTCTTTCTGGGGCAACAGCATATAACAAACACTTAGGTAATAATGATAATCTGGTAATAATATCAAATACACTCACTGTACAATTAACAGATAAGAAGGATTTCATGTCTTCCTTGCATCCCAAGTACATAGTCCCCGTCCCGTCTGCCCAGTCATTCCACAGGGTGGCTCCTGAGGTCAGATGTCTCTGTTACACTGACCCCTGACCCCCATCTATGGTCACTCCTCAGGGTGGCTCCTCAGGTCAGATGTCTCTGCTATGTGACCCCCTGAACCGTCTGTATGGTGACTCCCCGGGAGTGCACCTCAGGTCAGAGCATCTTTGCTATGTTGACCTCTGACCTCCTACTGTGCTGATGATATCTGACTGCTGAGTCTACAGAATAAAAGGCTAGGAATTAGATCTTGGAAAATTCTCCAAATTAACTCTATACTCCGAGGGTTGTCAATGGACAGAGAACTGGCTTCCTGTAGTAACAGCAAGGCATAGCTGTGACCCCCTTTCTTCACAAACATCGACAATATTCTTTTAGTATGTGAAATGTGATCACCCGTCTCCGAAAACGACCAGTGGCAGGTCTAGGGTCTTGGGAGCTGTATGAATAGCTCTGAACTCCGGTTGAGAAATCAAATTGACTCATTTCCTCACTCAGGGTACTGTCTGCCAAATATGACAGGGAAGACATATAGGAAGGACCATCTGAAATATAAAAAAGGAGAAAATTACATGTATTCAAACATAATTAGTAAGAAATGTATTTCTCTAAATTCAAATGATATGAAAATTAAAGCACATTTTAATCTAAGGTTTTCATCAAGCCAGTGATTATTAACCTATTATCCAGATTAAGAAAGCAAAAAAGAAATGGGGAAAAGACCTCATTTTCTTTTTGTTGTTATCAAGCAGTTATTCTGTCATAGACAAGGAAATTGTTATACTGGTCCAATTTTGCATATGATTAACACATTTTCTTTGCATTTAAAATTTTGATGATGTACATTTTGCCCATTAAGTCTAACAAAAATGTGGGAAGAAATACCACTGAAAAGCAGCTAATCCAAAACACCTAAGAGATTTAGAAAACTGGTCCAAATTTTATTCTCATATCAAGAAATGATGATAAAGCTATAAGGAAAAATTAAGCAAAAAACAAAAACAAGGAGCATATAGAGGGATAGTGGACTAATTTTAAATAGGGAGGCCAGGAAGAGTCTACTTCAGGGGTTGACATTAAACAAAATGTCATGAGGTATGCTAATACCTGGGGTTGAGGGTATTAGAGGAAACTGCAAGTGCACACGACCTAGGGCAAAAGCAGGCCTGGCGCCTACAAGGCACAGGCAAGAGCCATATGCTGGAGTGAGCAGTAAGAAGGGCTGCAGGGGAGGGAGTCGGCAGGTCAGGGGCCTTGAGCAGCTCTGTCCTGCCGGAGATGGGAACCCACAGTGAGGCTGGGCACAGAAGAGTGGCTCGAAAGGACTTGTATTCTAATGTAGACTTCTGAATGTATCTAAACAACATACAAACACAATCCATATGCAAACAATAAGACACCAAGCTAATTTTGTATTTTTAAAAAAGTGTAACATATCTGAACCCCGTCTGGCCACTCTGAGACCTTTCTATGCAGCTAAGTTTAGCTAAGTACATTTCTTTCAAAATATAATTCCATTTGCCACTTAAAATACTTTTTCAAAGTCAATTTCAATGTTTTAGGGTACTTAAAGTATTTTCTATTTACATAAAAAATACTTTACTCCTCTATTTGTCTTAGAACAAAACAAAACAAAATAACCCATCGATTTGAATCCTTTCTCATGATTTTGAAAACATCCTACCTGAATCCCCATTTGCTGCTTCTCTGGCTTCTTTCCTAATTTCAATGTACTTTTTCTTTCTTTCCATAGGAACCTATTGGGAAGAACAAATAAACAATGTAAAACATTTTATAATAATAGTGATACTTTTTCTGTTTTAGTAGCAATCTGGCAAAAAAAAAATTATAAATTTTTAAACAAAACAAAACAAATTTAAAAGCACTCAAAAATAACCTCAAAAAGAGACTAGTGAGTGTCCCTTAAGGAAAGCCCTTCCTGCAGATTCCCACAGAACTCGGCCCAGGCACTTAACCTCCATCTCAGCTCTGGTACAGCTCACTGCGTACAGTGTGTACCAAACTCTTATGCCTGGACTGCTGATAAATTCTATTTATCTCTGAACCTCAATTTATTCAAATCTAGTTATGATATATCATAGTGCTTGTAATTGTTGTAAAATATAGAAGTAACATACAGCATGTGTCTACACGCTTAATAAACTGGTGCTAATTTTGTTGTTTTTTAGTTCTTTGAACATATGCCTAGAAAACAATCCTAGTCTTGTTCAGAAGAAGTACAAGGCAGGATCAGCATTCACATGTAGTGGTGAAGCACTAAGACATGGTAGAGGTCAGCAGCTGTGTGGGGAAAGTGCACGCCATGGTGGATGAGCTCAGCTCTCTGCCCACCTTCCCATTTCCAATGGGTGCTGAAGGCAGCAACCACCACATTCTCACCAACTGCCCAACTGCTGAGGCTGGCATGTCAATCTGAGCTTGGCTAAAACAAACCTTGTCCCATCTGCCAGAGCAAGTCTTCCAGTTAACCCATGACTTTTCCATGATCCTGCCACGTTGCCCAAGCAAGGCCACTGTAAGGATCTCAACTTCTTTGACTGGAGCAATTCACTTAGAAAACAACTTCTGGGATATGTCCTAACACTTCCTTTTACTGGCACCGTCTTTCCTACACATGTCAAGAGATGAAATCAAGTTCTGACAAATTTTGTAGTTGCCTGAGATTGTATCTGAAGCTACAATTGCCAGATTTTATAGAAACCACATGAAACCACCAGTTTTTGTTGAAAGCCGACTTGAATATTGGCAACTTAACGTGTTTGACATAATATGGTTTTCTTTGTGAGCACTTGATAAGTTTTTTTTAACATTGAAAATTTCACTCACCTCAACTTCTACAGGAAAATTATAGCGGCGCTTCAGGTCGATCAGATTTTCAAAAATAAGCAAGTTCTGTGAATACAAAGAATCATATAAAAATAGCTGAATGGTGAAGATCCTCATAATCGATGTTACTTTAGAATTAATGCTATGTAATAGCTCATGGAAAAGCACTCCAGCTTTAAATATACCTATGCAGAATTAAACGAACCACATCTTTAATATAAGATGGTATAAATTATCTGTAAGTTTGACTGATATAATCTAACTTTTGAACTCCTACAATAACAATAGTGCACACCGTAGGAGTGGCCTACCTTTTCTGGTTTTTCACTAAACAGAAAACCTTGGTAAAATTTTAACTCATTGAAGACACAGCAGATGACAGATATGGCGCAGTTGTATGCTGCACAATGGTAAAGTCTTCTCCTCTCCAGCAGCTGATTCTCTCCTGCCATGTTCTCTGTAAATGCATCGTAGCACAATCTGCAGAGAGATCCATGTGACAAATCAATTCACACAACATGGCAATCACTGCTCAAGCCCAACAATGCCAGACAACAGGACCTAATGCCATTCAGCCTTTCTCGAGGGTCAGGCTTGTGCCAGGCAGAGTATTAGGCACTGGGAATATGAAAAGGAACATGTCATCCATCTCACAGCAAAGGCAGCATATATACATGGATCTTGCAACACAGTGGTCAGTGACGCAACGGCATCAAGTGCAGTAAGTAAAGAGAGGGAAGGAAGCAAGGAGGACAGACAACAGCCTAGTCATGACTGAACGGTGACATCATTCACTGATGAGGTAAGACAGCACCAAGTAAGAGGAGGGTAATAATGAATTTGTTTGGTGATGCAAAATGTGATACGGCAAAAGTCTGTGTTCAATATTTACTAGGAGGAGAACTCCATTAAAAGACAAGTTTTAGAGAAAATACATTTGATTACTTTTGTATTGTTTAGAATGCCTGTTAAAAAATATTTACTATGCCTTTAATTTCAAATCTCAGAAAAAATAAAATACTCTAAATCTTTTGTTACTGAAAATCACAGCACTAAAAATATATCAAGCTATTCAAGGGGAAAAACAGTAGGAAAAGAACAGTAAAAGGAAAAAGTTTTATTATTTGTAAAATATTAGTACAAGATAAAACAACTGTTATCCAATACACCCTAAATTAACGCCCTAATTAAAGTTCACCTAAGTGGTTTATAAGAAGAAAACTATAAAAGCTCAGTATCTAAATAAAATATTTATTCACACTATATACATACATAAAAATATATGTACCCAAAGCATTGATAAATAAAATAGAATCCAAAATTAAGTAAAATCTTACTTAATCAATGTCTTTGTAAGTTCATTTCCTTCTGTAATACACGAGCCATGGAAAACTTGATTAATTTTTGATTCCTTAGCATGAACATCATCTTTGGGAAGGCGAGAATACATCACGTCTAGAATCTTATAGTAGCCCATCTTCTTGGTGATTTGAGTATCAAAGGTAGATTCATTTAGCTTCAAAAAGGTAAAAAATAATTATCTTTGGTCTTATTAAACATGAAATACATCTTATAGAATATATCAAATTTAATACTTAATATCCTTTAGACAGACAGAATTTTAACAGTCAAAAATGCTAAATCACTTCAATAAGAAAGCATGCAATTGTCCAGGTCTAGAACACGAATATAAGCATTGATATGTTACACTGGTGAAGCAGGAAATAATGTGTGACATCCAAATAGTGAGCCAAGGGTAGAAAATGTTTGCACAAAATCTTACTGAAGACATGGGAACAACAGGTGAAAATCCAAAATTCTCAGCTATTTTGAAGTCTGCATTAACAATGCAGCATCTGGGTATTCATAGTATTTCCCAACAGGATTCCGAGGGAGGCTGAGTGATACATCCTGCCCTCGCCCCACAAAAAGTATCCAAAAGATGCCCTCATCCCTGAAACCTACCTCCTCATGTGGCAAAAAAGGACTTTGTAGACAAAATTTAGTTAAGGGCCTTGTGATGAGGAGATTATTTTGGATTGTACAGGTGGGTAGGCCATAAATGAAATCACAGGCAACCTTGTAAGAAGGATGTGTAGGGAGATTAGATAGACAGGAAATGGAAATGTGACCAGGGAGGAAGAGACCAGGGTGAAACCAGCACAAGCCAAGCAATGCTGGCAGCCCCTAGGACCGCCAGGAACAGCTCTTCCCTGAGTTCCCAGAGTGAGCGTGGCCCTGACAACACTGTGATGTCAGCCCAGTGAAACTGATTCTGGACTTCTGGCCTCCAGAAGTGTAAGAGAATATCCAAATTTGCGTTAAGTTGTTACAGAAGCCACAGGAAATAAAGGCAGATCCCATGTAGCCACAGACTGTTATGTGGCACACTCCTTGAACAGCAGAGGCCATGTGACTGAGCACACAGCAGTGTCTAGGCACACCAGTCAAGTAGGCTGCTCACTTCTTATTACTGATTTAAGGCGTATGATACCTTTGTAAACCTGGACTTCAACACATCAATGGCATCCACCACAATTGTGCTGAAGAATTCTCTCAAAGCATCCAGGCTACAGTGCCACAGCAGAGTGAGGAGGGAGCGGTCCACAAAGGACTGGCGTGTGAAACTTAGGCGGGGGTCATCCTTCCTGAACATTTCATACACGCTTTCCAGAAGGCCTACTTGTGTGACACATGAACCCCTAAGAAAACAAGATAAAATTATATGAACATCCCTGCTTTGAAGAGGAACTTTATGAGTGCCTACTACATAACAGGCAAAGTAAACACCAGTGATTACAAATTACAAAAATAACTTTAAGGACTATATATATGCAAAATCCACAAAACACAAAAAGCATTTGCACATGAACCATACTACTTTTATCCACTCCCCAAAATCTTCAAATCAAACATGGGCATTAAAAAGAAGAATGTTTCATTTACTTTCAAATCTGGTCTTGCTTAAAGAACATCTGGAAGGCTCTAGAAGAATCTCAAGCCTAAAAAATAGACACATTTCTAGGATATAAAACTCAGAAGTTGGCTGGGCGTGGTGGCTCACGCCTGTAATCCCAGCACTTTGGGAGGCCGAGGCTGGCAGATCATGAGGTCAGGAGATCGAGACCACCCTGGCCAATATGGTGAAACCCTGTCTCTACTAAGAATACAAAAATTAGCTGGGCGTGGTGGTGTGCGCCTCTAGTCCCAGCTACTCTGGAGGCTGAGGCAGGAGAAACACTTGAACATGGGAGGCAGAGGGTGCAGTGAGCCGTCGCACCACTGCACTCCAGCCTGGCAACAGAGTGAGACTCCGTCTCAAAAAAAAAAAAAAAATTCAGAAGTTATGATTTTAAAATTCTAGTTTCTCCCTACCAGTGAACCACCATTGCTATTTCCCAAACAGAAATATACCTGTCTATCTGGTCCTTTATTTTCTCACCTGAAAATAATATATTTGAATAATCACCTATAAAGTTTTGTCTATAAATCTATAAATTAAGAATGCAGAGTTAGTATCTTCATCTGTAAAAATAAGAGGGTTAAGACTAAATGGCCATTAAAATTCTGATGCTATGAAGTTAGATAACCAGGTCAAAAATACTAGATTCAGAAAGTAACTCAGTCATAAAAAGACTATAGGACACTACTAGATGCCATACAGGATTTGCAAAGTTTATTTGGGTACTATAATGGACTGAATGTTTAAGACTCCCCAAATTCCTATGTTGAAACCCTGATCCCCGGTGTGATTGTATTAGGAGGTAAGGCTGTTGGGAGGTGATCAGTGCCCTTATATAAGAGGTCCCAGAGGCCGGGTGCAGTGGCTCATGCCTGTAATCCCAGCACTTCGGGAGGCCGAGGCGGGTGGATCACCTGAGGTCAGGAGTTTGAGACCAGCCTGGCCAACATGGCGAAACCCCGTCTCTACTAAAAATACAAAAATTAGCCAGGCATGGTGGCAAATGCCTGTAAACCCAGCTACTCAGGAGGCTGAGGCAGGAGAATTGCTTGAACCCAGAAGGCAGAGGTTGCAGTGAGCTGAGATCACACCATTGTACTCCTGCCTGGGCAACAATAGAGAAACTCCGTCGCAAAAAAAAAAAAAAAAAAAAAAAGAGGCCCTAGAGAGTTCTTTGCCCCTTCTACCATGGATGACTCAGAGAGAAGGTGCTGCCTATAAAGCAGGCAAGCGGGCTGTCATTAGACACTCCATCAACTGGCAGCACGTTCTTGGACTTCCCAGCCTCCAGAACCATGAGAAATACTTTTCTGTTGTTTTATAGGCCACCCACTCTGTGCTATTCTGCTATAGCAGCCTGAAAGGAATAACACAGGCACCATCCTAGGCTCATTTTCTCTTGAGGAGCTTTCCACTAGCAAGCACAGTAGAGATGCACATAAAACATCTGACTCTTACCTAAAAAGCTAAGATAGTAAGGAGAAGCAAAATAAAAAGAGCAAAGACCTAATGTTAAAAATGGGCCCACAGATGATTTACTGAAAAATGCAAATTAAATATATAAAAATATGCCTGACTTTACTCATAATAAAAGAAAAATTAAGGTAACAAAGGGAAACCCTTTCTCACCTATAAATTGGAAAAAATCTGAATGTTTCACAATGTTGGCCAGACAGTAGTGAAACAGATACACTAGTATATTACAAATAAGGGAGGAATGCAAATAATACAGCCCCAAAAGAAGCAATACAGACATACCTGGCAAAATTACAAATGTACTTACCTTTTCATCTGCATTTAGGAATCTACCCCAAAGATACACGGGCAAATACAAGATGATATAAACACAAGGCTATTCACAACAGCATTATTATTATTATTTTAAAATATTTTTTGTAATGATGGGGTTCTGCTACGTTGCTCAGGCTGGTCTCAAACTCCTGGGCTCAAGTGATCCTCCTGCCTCAGCCTCCCAAAGCACTGGGATTACAGGTGTAAGCCACTGCATCTGGCTTCCCTGTGGCATTATGTTTAACAGCAAAAGATTGAACCCAGAAGTCCATTGGCAAAGGGCTACTTTAAAATACTATGATATTTCTTTGCAATGAAGAATTAAACACTAATTTTTTAAGACAAAGAATGAGGAAGATTTCTATATGCTGATAGGGCGAGATCTGTACAAGACACAAGTGGAAGAGATAGGAAGGTGATGGGGCAAAAGAGGAACAAGAGAAGGGCCCGAGATGGAAGGAAGATCCTCTGAATTGCAGCTCATTATATAGCTTTGATTTTAGTCATGTAAATATCATACATGTTCAAAATGAAAATTGAGTCAAAAGAAAAAACAAAATTTCTAAAATTTGAAAGTTAAATAAGCACTACTAATTGGTGTAATAACCACACATCAAGAAAAAACTACATCAAATGATTTTGGAACACAAAATTTGACTGTATATCCTTAGATGGCATGTACTAAGAAAATTATAGCTAAAATGAAAAATTTAAACTTCATCTAGCTGTCATTATTCTATGTAATCATACTGGTATTGTTATTTTTGAAAGTATTTTGTGCATATTGTAAAGCCATTGAGTAATTATAGACTATCACTGGAAACATTAGAAAGGAAAAGAGAACAAGATGCACAGCGTAAAGGAATAAGAAAAGAAGTTACATTAAAATCCTGTAAAACAGAAAAAAGAATAAGAAAAAAATTTTAATAGTAAAAAATTTAGTTGCCTTTTATTTATTTTTGTTTATTTTTTCAGGCTCTCTGGCCTTGTTCCCAATCTCAGGAGGAAGCATGCACTCCTTCACTATTACATATTTTGTTGGCTATTGGTTTTTCATAGACAGCCTTTGTCAGTTTTATCACAAATGGATGTTGTAGTTTGTCAAAAGTCTTCCTGCATCTACTGAAATTATAATGAGTTTTCTTCCTTTATTCTATTATATGGTATCTAAGACTAACTGATTCCCAGAGAGAAAAGCAACCTTTCATTCTTACAATAAACACCAATAGGTTATGGCGTATAATGTTTTGTGGGTGTTGCTGAATAGCTTAATGTATCTTTAAAAATTTTTGTGTTTATATTCATGAAGGATACTTACTGGTCTATAGTTTTCTTGTGCTGTCTTTCTCTTATGTTGGTCTTGTTACTCGCCTCACAAAAGGAGTTGGGAAGTATTCCTTCCTCCTCTATATCCTGAAGGGTTTATGAACTACTGGTACAATTTCTTTTTAAATATTTTAATTCCGGGTATGGCGGCTCACACTTGTAATCCCAGCAATTTGGAGGCTGAGAAAGAAGGATCATCTGAGCTTATGAGTTCAAGACCAGCCCAGGCAATTTAGGAAGAACCTCTCTACGTTTAAAAAAAAAAAAAGAAAGAAGAAAAAAGGCTGGGCGTGATAGCATGCCTGTAGTTCCAGCTACTAGGCAGGCTGAAGGAAGACCACTTGAGCCCAGAAGTCAAGGCTGCAGTGAGCCATGATCATGCCACTGCCCTCCAGTATGGGCAATAGAGCAAGACCTTATCTCAAAAATAATAAATGAATGAATGAATGATAAAATTCAATGGAAGGAGTGGACCAAGAAGGCTAAATAGAAGCCTCCAGTGATTGTCTCCCCCGCAGAACGCCAAAATGAACAACTATCTGTATAAAAAAGCACTTTCATAAGAACCAAAAATCAGGTGAGTGATCATTGTACCTGGTTTTAACTTCGTATTAAGGAAAGAGGCACTGAAGAAACTAAGAAAGATAGTCTTCAATCAGCTACACCACTCCTTCCTCATCCCCCAGCAGCAATTGCACGCAGGACACAGAAGCTGTGCACTTGGGGGAGGAAAAGCACAGTGACGGGGCACTTTGCATTGGAACTCAGCGATGTCCTGTCACAGCAGAAACCAACCCAGGGCAGAATTTAGCCAGCACTCACTGGGAGAACATTTAGACCAGCCCTAATCAGAAGCAAACTGTCCATCCCAGTGGTCAGAAACTACATTCTGGCAAGCCCTGCCACCATGGGCTAAAGTGCCTTGGGGTCCCAAACAAACTTGAAAAGCAACTAAGATGACAACAATTGCAATTCTTGGGCAAGTCCTCGTGCTGGGCTGGGCTCAGAACAAGTGGACTTGGGGGGCACATAACCTGAGATACCAGCTGTGGCCACTATGGGAGTGCTTGGCCATGCCTCCCCAAACCCAAGTAGTACAGCTTGCAGTAATAAAAGTGATTCCTTTCTTCTGCTTGAGGACAGGAAGGGGAGAGTAAAGAGGACTTTGTCTTGCAACTGGGATACCAGCTCAGCCACAGCAGAACAGGGCACCAGGGAGAATCCTGAGTCCCTCACTCCAGGTCCTGGCTCCCAGACGACATTTTTAGACACACTCTGGGCCAGAAGGGAACCTGCTGCCTTGAAGGGAAGGGCTCAGTCTGATGGGATTCATCACCTACTGACTAAAGAGCCTTTGGGTGACGAATTATCAGTGCTAACCAGGTAGTACTTGCCGTGGGCCTTGGTTAAGACCCAGGGCCACGCTGGCTTCGAGTGTGACCCAGCACATTCCCAGTTGTGGTGGCCACAGGGAGAAACCATTTCTGCTTGAGAGAAGGAGAAGTAAGAGTAAAGGAGACTTGCATAATGTTTCATGCCTTGCAACATGGGCACCAGCTTGGCCACAGAGGGGCAACATCCCAAGCGGGCTTCTGAGGTCCCCAGTTCTAGGCCTTGGCTCTTAGGATTTCTGGACCTGCCCTGGGCCAGAGGGGAGCCCACTACCCTGAAGGGAGAAACTCAGGACTGGCAGCATTCACCACAAGCTGACTACAGAGCCCTTGAGCCTTGAGTGAAAATCAGCAGTAGCCAGGCAGTCCTCACTGCAGGCCTGGGGCAATGGTGACCACAGGCAGAGACTTCTTTATTTTAGGAAAGGAGAGGGAAGAATGAAAAGGACTTTGTTTTGCAGCTTGGCTGCCAGCTCAACTGCAGTGGAATAGAGCACCAGGTAAATTCCTACAGTTCCCAACTCTAGGCCTGGCTCATAGATGGCATCTCTTGACCCACCTGGAGCCAGGGAGAAATCACTGTCTTGAAGGAAAGAACACAAGACTGGCTAGATTTGCCTCCTGCTGATTGTACAGCCACTGGGCCTTGAATGAACACAGGCAGTAGCCAGGCAGTGGTCACTGAAGGCCTTCAGTGAGACCCAGTGCTGTGCTGTGCTGTGCTTCAGGTCTGACCTCATGCAGTCCCAATGGTGGTGGCTACAGAGGTGCTCATATTACCGTTCCCCCAGCTACAGGTAATCAGCACAGACAGAGAGACTCCATTTGTTTGAGAAAAGTAAGTAAAGGAAACAAGAGTCTCTGCCTGGTAATCCAGGGAATTTTCCAAGATTGTACCAAGACCACTAAGGTGGTACCTCTATAAGTCTGTAAGAACCACAGTGCTACTGGGTTTGGGGTGCCTCCTACAGCAGATTAGGACTTAGGGTGGCCCCTAAAGCAGACATGGCTTCAGTGACCAAAGACTTAGATCATACCCCCAAGTACCTACAAATACCTGGAAAGTCTTCCCAAGAAGGAAGTATATAAACAAGCCCAGAAGACTACAATAAATACCTAAAATCTTTAATGCCCTGATATCAATGAACATCCACAACCATCAAAACCAGCCAAGAAAACATGACTTCACCAAATCAACTAAATAATGCACCAACACCAATCCAAGAGAGACAGAGATATGTCACCTTTCAGACAGAGAATTCAAAATAGCTGTTTTGAGGAAGGCCAACAAAATTCAACATAATACAGAAAAGGAATCCAGAATCTTATCAGATAAATTAAACAAAGAGATTGAAAAAATTAAAAAGAATCAAGCAGAAATTATCAATCTGAAAAATGCAGATGACATACTGAAGAATGCACTGGAGTCTCTTAAAAGCAGGACTGATTAAGCAGAAGAAAGAATTAATGAACATGTAGGCAGGCTATTTGAAAATACACAGAGGGGACAAAAGAAAACAGAATAAAAAACAATGAAGCATACCTACAAGATCTAGAAAAGAGCCTCAAAAGGGCAAATCAAAGACTTACTGGTCTTAAAGAAAAGGTAGCGGGAGACAGGGGTAGAAAGTTTTTTCAAAGGGATAATAACAGAGAACTTTCCAAACCTATTGAGAAAGATAGCAATATTCAAGTATAAGAAGGTTATAGAGCACCAAGCAGATTTAACCCAAATAAAACTACCTCAAGGCATTTAACAAGCAATCACCCAGAAGTCAAGAATAAAGAAAGGATCCCAAGAGAAGCAAGGGGAAAGAAACAAGTAACATACAAAGGAGTGCCAATACATTTGGTAGCAGACTTATGGGTGGAAACTTTACAGGCGAAGACAGAGTGGTATGACATATTGAAGATGTTGAAGGAAAAACATTTTTTCCTAGAACAGTATATCCAATAAAAATATCCTTCAAGCATGAAGACTTTCCCAGAAAACATAAGCTAAAGGATTTTATCAATACCACAAGATAAATGCTACAAGAAATGATAAAAGGAGTTTTTTTTGTTGTTGTTGTTTTTGTTTTTTTAAGATGGAGTTTCGCTCTTCTTGCCCAGGCTGGAGTGCAGTGGCACGATCTTAGCTCACTGCGACCTCCACCTCCAGGGTTCAAGCGATTCTCCTGCCTCAGCCTTCTGAGTAGCTGAGATTACAGGCACCCGCCACCACGCCTGGCTTATTTTTAGTAGAGACAGGGTTTCATCATGTTGACCAGGTTGGTCTCAAACTCCTGACCTCAGGAGATCCACCAGCCTCGGCCTCCCAAAGTGCTGGGATTACAGGCGTGAGCCACCACGCCTGGCCAGGAGTTCTTTAATATGAAAGAAAAGGACATTAATGAGCAATAAGAAATCACCTGAAGTATAAAACTCACTAATAAGTACAAAGAAAACCATAGAATATTGTAACACTGTAATTGTGGTATGTAAACTACTTATATTTTGAGTAGAAAGACTAAAAAGATAAATTTATCAAAAATAATAACTTTTCCAGATATAGACAGTGTAATAAGGTATAACTTGAAACAGCAAAACGTTTAAAAAGCGGAAGATGAGATTAAAGTGTATAATTTTTATTAGTTTTTTCTCTTGCTCATGTGTTTGTTTATCCAATCAGTGTTCCGCTGTCAGCAGTTTAAAATGAGTTATATCATTTGCAAGCCTCACGGTAACCTCAAATCAAAAATAACATACAACAAACACACAAAAATAAAAAGCTAGAAATTAAAACATATGACCCGAGAAAATAACCTTCACTAAAAGGAAGACAGGAAGGGAAGCAAGGAGGAAAGACCACAAAATGACCAGAAAACAAATAACAAATGGTAGAAGTCCACACTTATCAACAACAACATTGAATGTAAATGGATTGAACTGTCCAATAAAAATAAAGTGGCTAAACTGATATAAAAAAGTAAAAAAAAAAAAAAAAAAAATGATCTGTTGCCTGCAAGAAACACACTTCACCTATAAACATCCACACAGATTGAAAATAAAGGGATGAAAAAAGATATTTCATGCCAATGGAAACCAAAACAGAGCAGGAGTAGCTGTACTTACATCAGACAAAATAGATTTCAAGACAAAAAGTATAAAAAGGGATTTTTGAAGTCATTATATAATGATTAAGGGGTCAATTCAGCAAGAGGATATAACAATTGTAAATATATATGCACCGGTCACTGCAGCACTCAGATATATAAATCAAATATTAGAGCTAAAGGGGTGAGACAGACCATAATGCAACAACAGCTGAAGACTTCAACACCCCGCCTTCAGGATTGGACAGATCTTCCAAACAGAAAATCAGTCAACAAAGAAACATCATACTCAATCAGCACTACAGACTAAATGAACCTTACAGATGTTTACAGAACATCTGACTCAATGGCTGCAGAAAACACATTACCCTGATAGGCACATGGATCATTCTCAAGGATAGAGCATATGTTAGGCCACAAAACAAGTCTTAATACATTCCAAAAAACTGAAATAATGTGGACAAAGGATATAAATTGTACAGCCAGTATGGAGAACAGCATGGAGGTTGCTGAAAAAACTAAAAATAGAACTTCCATATGATCCAGCAATCTCACTGTTAGGTATACACACAGCCTGGGTGACACAGCAAGACTCCATCTCAAAAAAAAAAAAAAAAAAAAAAAAATAGGCCAAGCGAGTTGGCTCAAGCCTGTAATCCCAGCACTTTGGGAGGCCAAAGCGGGTGGATCACCTGAGGTCTGGAGTTCAAGATAAGCCTGGCCAACATGGTGAAAACCCATCTCTACTAAACATACAAAAAAAATGAGCTGGGCAAGGTGGCACTCATCTGTAACCCCAGCTACTCGGGAGGGAAGCTGAGACAGAAGAATTACTTGCACCTGGGAGGCAGAGGTTGCAGTGAGCCGAGATCATGCCACTGCACTCCAGCCTGGGTGAAGAAAGGAAATCAGTATATCGAAGAGGTACTTGCACTCCCATGTTTACTGCAGCACTGTTCACAACAGCCAAAACTTGGAAGCAACGTATGTGTCCATCAACAGACAAATGGATAAAGAAAATATACACAGTGGAGTACTATCCAGCCATCAAAAAGGAATGAGATACTGTCATTTGGAAAAACGTGAATGGAACTGGAAATCAGTATCTTATGTGAAATAAGTAAGGCACAGAAAGACAATCTTTGCGCGTTCTCACTTACTTGTGGCATCCAAAAATCATTAAAACAATTGAACTCATGGAGATAGAGAATAGAAAGACGGTTACCAGAGGCTGGAAAGGGTAAGAGGGAGGGGGAAATGGGGATAGTTAATGGGTACAAAAACATGGTTAGATAGAATAAATAAGATCTAGTATTTGATGGCAGAATAGGGTGATTACAGTCAATGGTATTTTGCTATTTTTTTTTTTTTTTTTTTTGAGACGGAGTCTCGCTCAGTCACCTGCCTCCCGGGTTCACGTCATTCTCCTGCCTCAGCCTCCCGGGTAGCTGGGACTACAGGCGCCCACCACCACGCCCGGCTAATTTTTTTTTTTTGTATTTTTAGTAGAGACAGGGTTTCACCTTGTTAGCCAGGATGGTCTCGATCTCCTGACCTTATGATCTGCCCGCCTTGGCCTCCCAAAGTGCTGGGATTACAGGCATGAGCCACTGCGCCTAGCCAATATTTTACATTTTTAAATAATTAAGAGTATAACTGGATTATTTCTCATGCAAAGAAGGGATAAATGAGGTGATGAATACTTCAGTCACCCTGACCTGATTAC
Organism: Homo sapiens; assembly: GCF_000001405.40. Classification (NCBI taxonomy): domain Eukaryota; kingdom Metazoa; phylum Chordata; class Mammalia; order Primates; family Hominidae; genus Homo; species Homo sapiens. The sequence goes on from NC_000008.11 coordinate 47,874,353, forward strand.
ACATTATACACCTGTATCAAAGTGTGATTATTACACATTATACACATGTATCAAAATATCTCATGTACCCCATAAATATATGCACCTATGTACCAACAAAAACAAAAATATATTACATATCTGGGCCGAGCACTGTGGCTCACGCCTGTAATCCTAACACTTTGGGCGGCTGAGGCGGGAGGATTGCCTGAGCTCAGGACTTTGAGACCAGCCTGGGCAACACGGCGAAACCCTGTGTCTACTAAAAATACAAAGAATTACCCAAGTGTGGTGGTGTGTGCCTGTAGTCTCAGCTACTCAGCAGGCTGAGGCACAAGAATCACTTGAACTCAGGAGGCAGAGACTGCTGTGAGCCACTGCACTACAGCATGGGAGACAAAGTGAGACTCTTTTGACAAAATTCACTAGTAGCTATCTGGAGGCCAGGCACAGTGGCTCGTGACTGTAATCCCAGCACTTTGGAAGGCCGAGGCAGGCAGATCGCTTGAGCCCAGGAGTTCAAGACCAGCCTGGGCAATATGGCAAAACCCTGTGTGTATATAAAAAATACAAAACTAGCTGGTGTGGTGGTACATGCCTGTAGTCCCAGCTACTCACGAGGCTGAAGTGGGAGGATTGCCTGAACCCAGGAGGAGGTCAAGGCTGCAGTGAGCCTTGACCACTGCACTCCAGCCTGGATAACAGAGTGTGACCTTGCATCCAAAAAAACAAAAAAGCTATGTAGGTCTGGGATTTCCTTCACAGAAAGATTTTTAATTATTAATTCAATTTGATTACTTGTTGGGGGTGTATTCACACATTTTATTTCTTCTTGAGTCAGTTTTGGTAATTTACGACTTTCTATGAATTTGCCCATTTTGCTTAAGTTGCTGAATTTGCTGGCCTAATATTTTTCGTAATATTCGCTTATAATCTTCTTACAGTTTCTGAGAGGTCAGTGGTAATATCCACCTCTTTTCATTCTTAGTTTTGACAAACTGTGGTTCTTCCTTTATTTTTGGCTAGCCTAGCTAATGGTTTGTCAACTCCTTTAGCTTTGATTGTGAAAACAAATACTGATTTTTCTCCACCATTTTTCTGTTTCCTATTCCCTTCCTTTGTATTACCTTGGTTTAGTTTTTTTCTTTTTCTAGATTTTAAGGTAAAAAGTTCAGATTACTAATTTAAATCTTTCCTATTTTCAAACACAGGAATTAAAAGATACAAATTTCCCTCTGAACACCTATTTAGTTGCATCACATTTGGATAAGCTTTATTCTTATTTTATTCAGATCAAAATGCTATCTGACTTCCTTTGTAATTTCTTATTTCACCCAAGGGCTATTTAGAAATATATTATTTACAAACATTTTCAGATTCCCAAAATTTCCTTGTGTTGTTGAATTCTAATTTAACTTCACTTTGGACAGAGAACATGCTTTGTATGATTTCAATCTTTTAAAATTTATCAAGACTTGTTTTTATGGTCTAGTATATAGTCTGTCCTAAAGAATGCTGCAGGTATGCTCCAAAAGAATGTGTTCTGCTGCCGTGCAGAATTCTGTTTTATAGTTGGTTAATTATGATATTTTTAAAAATATCAGTAGAAAGGAATGAACTATGTCATGGATGAACATCAAAAATATTACGCTGAACAAAGAAGCCAGGAATAAGAGATCACATATTGTATGATTCCACTTATATAAAATGTCCAGAGAAGGCAGATTTATAAAGACAGAAAGTAGATTAGTGTTTGCGTGGAGCTAGGATCAGCAATGGCAGTCAACTGTAAATGGTCCTGTGGGGTCTTACTGGGGAATAAAAATGTTATATGGTGCTGGTTGCATACTCAATAAACTACCTAAAAATCATGGAACTATATACTTACAGTGGGTGAAGTTTATGATCTGTAAAATACAACTCAAGACAAATTTACATGGATATTTACAAATTCAATATAGATAAATGCCAATTTTAAAAATTCATTGGAAGTTTACTATGAGGAGTAGCCATGGCATCAAACCCTTACTTCAAAAATCAATAATCGGGGCCAGGCGGGATGGCTCACATCTGTAATCCCAGCACTTAGGGAGGCCGAGGCAAGCAGATCATTTGAGGTCAGGAGTTCGGAACCAGCCTGGCCAACATGGTGAGACCCCGTCTCTACTAAAAATACAAAAATTAGCCAGTGTGTTGGCGTGTGCCTGTAATCCCAGCTACTCGGGAGGCTGACGCAGGAGAATCATTTGAACCCAGAAGACAGAGGCTGCAATGAGCCAAGATCATGCCACCGCACTCCAGCCTGGGTTACAGAGCCAGACTCTGTCTCAAAAAAAAAAAAAAATCAACAATCAGATATGTCCTATCCTTCCCACTGTATTTTTGCTAAAATACTAAATTGCATTTTTGGTAACCAAACAATCCGAGTGATGAGACCTTCATTACACTGTAATTCCAGGCACTAAATTTAGAAGGAATAAAAGAATCAGAAAAATGGCCATTTGCAACTCTTAATGAAATAAGTGATTCAGGGCAATCATCATAAATAGAGCTAAACCATGAGGAAAATACAATCATGCACATGGCTAGTCAATCCTAGCATCACTAAAAGCAGGATCACCAGACATTATGCACCTCCTAATGCCGTGAATAAGAAGTATAAAGTATCAACTATTAGTCTTGCCAAAATTTCAACCTGAATCTAACTGTGCTTTTAGACATAACTTTCCATTTACAGAAAATCCAAGGGCTAGAGGAAGAAGTTCAATGAAAGCAAAAGAATCAGATAAATCCAGAATATAAGACATTATACAGGACAAGTGTCCAAGTATCTCCAAAAACAAAATAAATAATAGAGGAGACTGTTTTAAATGCAGACTGAAGAGACATAACAGTGAAATGCCATGTATGAACCTTGTTTGGACCAAATTTCAAATAAGCCAACACTGTCATCTTGTTTGAGACTACTGAGGAAATCTGACTATGGAATTACTGATAATTTCGTTCAGTTGATAATGGTACTATGGCTATTCAAGAAAACTGCTTTAAGAGACATATACAGAAGGATTTAAGAGGTGAAACGACATGGTGTCACAGATTTGCTTTAAATTACAATAGCAGTAGCAAAAAAGAAAAATGATAAAAGGCCAAGATGAAGCTTGGAAAATGCTGAACTTTGTTCAATCTGGGGCCTTATTTATACTCTTCCTCTAGCTTTGTGTATGTTTGAAAATTATAATAATAAAAGTTTTGTTTTAAAGACAAAAAACTAAAATAAAGTTTAGTAGCAAGAATATAATTGCCACTCAGCTTTTTTTTTGGAACAGAGAGGATAATTTCCCACAAAACTGAAATGCGTATGGTTCCTGAGATCCCAGGCCAGAATGACTTACCTTCTGGCAATCCTCCTGAAACTGGATTGAAATAATTCTTCCATGACATGCTGCTGTTCCCGACAAAGAACTTCTGTCATCAATTCCAACAACATAGGGCTTTGAGATAATTCCAATGCATCTAGAAACTAGAAAAAATACATCAACATCATTAAAATTTTGTTGGGTTTTACTTTTGCTTCAATAGTTAAATTATATACTAAAAATATAAAAAGTTTCTTATATAATAAAAAATATAACATACAGAAAAATACACCAGAATTTCACAGACTTAACAAATACCAGTATTTCTGTCATTTTTACAAATATTGTTGAGTGGCTGGTATATATCAATGTTCACTATATACTGAGCCTAGATTCTTTCTAGGTTTTTTTTTAGGTTTTTTTTTTTTTTTTTTGGAGACACAGTCTTGCTCTGTTGCCCAGGCTGGAGTGCAGTGACACGATCTCGGCTCACTGCAAACTCCGCCTCCCAGGTTTCACGCCATTATCCTGCCTCAGCCTTCCGAGTAGCTGGGACTACAGGCGCCCGCCACCACGCCTGGCTAATTGTTTGTATTTTTAGTAGAGACGGGGTTTCACCGTGTTAGCCAGGATGGTCTCGATCTCCTGACCTGGTGATCTGCCCTCCTCGGCCACCCAAAGTGCTGGGATTACAGGCGTGAGCCACTGTACCTAGCCCCTATTCTTTTTAGGTTTTGCAGATGCTACTCTTCTCTGCATCTCAGGTTCTGAGAGTACATGGAGACGTGCCTTCAACAGGCCCCCCTCCTTCACCATGCCAGGGACTCTCGCCCTTACTCTGATTCTGGTAATGTGCATCTTTTCCACACCGTCCTCGCTACAGAGGGGATATCCCAGGCCGCTCCCCCGATGTTCTCATCTTGACTCTCCCCTTCTCCATCTCAGTTTCTGTTCTGCTTTCTAGGAGATACCCTTAATTTTATCTTCAGAATAGAACAAGTATGTTTTATTTAAATTTTGCTTCTGCATATTTAATTTCCAAGGATCCTTATCCTATCTCATGGACATAATACCTTCTTTCATCTCTGAAACTGTTGTGTGCAGTTTCCACTGCACTTCAGCCTAGACGACAGAGCAAGACTCTGTCTCAAAACAAAAGAAAACAAAACAAAACAAAAAACACCAATGTATTTCATGTCTATGTCCAGACTTGAGTCCTATCCCCGGGATATCTCATGTATACACAAACATTCCAAAATCCGAAACACTTCTGGTTCCAAGCATTTCAGATAAGGGATGCTCAACCTATCATATTAGGGATAATCACGAAATGCTTCTCAAATAATCGCTACTCTATTAAATTTTAGAAACTGGAAATTATTGGTAATATTCTATTTCTTAGCTTCTTTTGGTATTACTCTTCATAACTTACATATATTTTACACATTCCATTTTACACATAAAATATTTCACAATTAAAAATGGGAGAAAAAAACAAATTCCAGTGGATTCACATATACTCCTGTCACTGCTTTCCAAGTGAATTAAATGAATTCTCAGGCCACACACACATAAATAAATGGGACATGGTGCTGATTCAGTATGTGCTTCCTCTTCTACAAATAATGACCCTAGTAAAAATGTACTGTACAAGCTTTGTGTAGAAAGAACATTTTGAATAACCTATTGGGTGGTTTACAACTTCTCTGATTGTGGATATTTTACTCACCTCTTTTCATCAAGATATGTAACAAGAAAAAAAAAACAGTGTTTTAATTTTACTTGATACTACTAGAAACTAACCTTTTTCATGCAGTCCACATAATTATTGAACCGCGGAGTTCCTGGAGGAAATTCCCTGGACTGCATGGGGAAGTGAGCAACGATGAGCTGCTCCAGAACACGTCTAAGTTCCTCCAGACTGCCTCCAGTGAGGCTGGTGAAGAATGGAAGAAGAGTGACAGCTTGGCCCTGTGGAGCAAGACAGACATAAGAAACTGCACGAATTATGGCTTATATATCCTACAGAATAAATAAAATTACTGTAAGACATTGCAAATAAAGCATTATGTGGAATCAATGAATGGCTTCACCATAATTTCTAAATTATATTAAAAACCAACATGAATACAATTCTATACCTCAGCTTTTTTTTTTTTTTTTTTTTTTTTGAGACAGAGTCTCACTCTGTCACCCAGGCTGGAGAGCAGTGGCATGATCTTAGTAGGCTCACTGCAACCTCCGCCTCCCGGGTTCAAGTGATTCTCCCTGCCTCAGCCTCCAGAGTAGCTGGGATTACAGGCGCCTGCCACTATGCCTGGCTAATTCTTTTCATATTTTTCATAGAGACGGGGTTTTGCCATGTTGGCCAGGCTGGTCTCAAACTCCTGCCCTCAGGAGATTCACCTGCCTTGGCCTCCCAAAATGTTGCGATTACAGGCGTGAGCCACCGCACCCAGCCTATACCTCAGCTTTGACTCTTACCCAGGCTAGTTGGTTGACGCCAGCTATGGACACATAAATAAATGGGACATGGTGCTGATTCGGTATGTGCTTCCTCTTCTACAAATAATGAACCTAGTAAAAATGTACTGTACAAGCTTTGTGTAGAAAGAACATTTTGAATAACCTAAGGAGGAGTTTACAACTACACATTGCAGAACTACAGAAGAACTTCATACTGAGCTTAACAAGAACTAGGAGTTGACTCCTGTTCTCCCTCGCATGGCAGAAAATTCCAAGACTGTCTATGGAGAAATGGGAAACTTGATTAATCACACAGCAGAAAATTCCAAAGAATTATCCCCTTTATCCAGTAAAAAGGTCCCTTGAATTAAGGCCACTTTTCAGTAGGGTTTAAAATCTAATTGTTCTAGGACTTTAAAATTAGTAACCCTTAAAATGACAGTATTTATTAATTCTTGACCCTAAAAATCACCAAAAATTTTTATATTATTTTAATAGAAAAATGACTGAGTAATAAAGTCATTATAGCACAAAAAGCCAATTTAAATAATATGTATGCAAACACAAATGTTAATTCATCCAAATATGATAATCTTATACTTTAAAAGAAATGTTCTAGGCCGGGTGTGGTGGCTCACACCTGTAACCCCAGCACTTTGGGAGGCCGAGGCAGGCAGATCACTTGAAGTCAGGAGTTTGAGACCAGCCTGGCCACTATGGTGAAATATACTAAAAATAAAAACATTAGCCAGGCCTGGTGGCGCACACCTGTGATCCCAGCTACTTGGGAGGCTGAGGCACAAGAATCACTTGAACCCAAGAGGCGGAGGTTGCAGTGAGCCATGATTGTGCCACTGTACTTCAGCCTGGGTGACAGAGCGAGACTGTCTAAAAAAAAAAAAAAAAAAGAAAGCAAGAAAGCAAGAAAGCAAGAAAGCAAGCAAGCAAGCAAGAAAGAAAGAAATGTTCTCATGTCTTGGAGAGGCACACTGAACTGAAGCAGATACAGGTCAGATAACACACCCGGCCTGCTTGGCCTTCCTTGCCTGCTGACGGGTGGGTTGACCGCACAGGTGAAACAAACACACCCACACAGGATGGTTATCGAGACTGGCTAATAAGTACGGGGGATTACTGTGCTAGTCTCCCTACATTTGAACACGTTTGAAATTTTCCATAATAAAAAATAAAAAACATCACAAATAAAAAATACGAAAACAGAAGAGAATGTAATCCAAAAAAATAAATATTTCACTGTTTACCTTTAAATGTAGATCCAGCTTTGTGTCAGCAAGTAGACTAATATATGTTGTAAAGACTTCAGGGAATGAACCATGACTTGTATTAAAAGATACAGATGAATCAATCTAAAGGAAGGAAAAGAAAAACAGGACACATTTGTATATTACATCTCTATTTCCTTTAGCCCATTGCTCAAATGTTTAAATTCCAGAAATGAATTGTTAATTTAATTTTGGGCTTCAATAATATTTTCACAATCTTATTGTAAAACATTGTAATACTATCTGTTAGGACAATACATGCAAAGGTACTTTAAAAAGATATAGCATAAGAAATAGTAAGTCTAATAAATAATGGAAAAAGTTTAAAAAGGTAAATATAAGCAACCATCCTGTCAAAATATTTTCTTATTTGTCAAACCAATGAGCTTTTGGAGCAACCTCCATCAAATTTTAAAGACACAAGTTACAGAGTTCAGAAGAATAAACATGACTGCTTTTTAAAGGAATTGAATACCTGTAAAATTTTTGCCAGTAAGGCCAGCACTGCCATTTTAGTTTCGAGAGGGGAATCTTTGGCCCACCATGAATCACACTTCTTCCAGTGTTGCAGAATTGTAGTCGCAAGTTTCAGTCCTTGGTGTTTCTGGTTTGCTCGCTCCCTGAAGCTCTGGTCTAACATGCCGTTCAAAACGGCACTCACCTGAGACAATTTCGTTGTGAGTGAAGAAAAATTCTTAATTTTGAGAATGACAGAAAACAAAATTTACCTTTATTTCAAAGCTATTCTTGGAAAATAAATAAGCTATTTCTATAATAGATGTTTATCTACTTCAAAACTCCTCGAGTTTGATTTGAGGTACACTTTAACCATAGTTTTTCCACAAAGTACAGGGTGGCCTTAGCTATGTCATCAGGCTCATCCAGCTTCTCCTGGCTTTCCTAGTCTGCGCAGTCTAGGAAAAAGGAGTCAGCTCTCTTCTGTCACCACCACCACCACTGTACATGCATGCACAAGCACACACAGGTGTACACGCACAAGCACACAAATATGCACATATGCACAAATGCACACTTCCTATCCCACCACCACTGTACATGCATGCACAAGCACACAGATGTACACACATAAGCAAACATGCACCCAAGCACATACTTCCGGTCCCACCACCACCATACAGGCACACACTAGCACACACAGGTGTACACACACAAGCAAACATGCACACACGCAAACGCACACTTCTTGTTCAACTACCATCATACATGCACACCCACATTTTCTGTCTCACCACCACTCCTGCAACAGAGTGACAGGCTAATTTTGGTCAGATTAACATGCACTATTCCTGTCATTCTGACTATGCAAACATTTTTCACAGATGTTCCAAGTAGAAACAATGCTTTTCCCTTTTTGCACATTTTGTACTCTCTGAAGCTAACCTTGTTTGCTTTCATTGCTCTTTTCAATGTGTCTGTCATTAATTCGTCATCAAACTCTCCCAAGTTATGAAATTGCTGCAAGCCCTCTAAGCCTATCAGGTCTATCTGCCCCATTTCTGTGGCAACTCAGCTCTTGATCTGCAATGCTGGTGCTGGACCTGGTGCTGGGCCATCCACGCCTCTGTGCGGGGCCGACATACTGTATCCAGCACCTTCCCCTGTCTTGGCTCACTGCCTGATCACTCTCTACCCAGCAGCATCGTGATGAGAGTGCACAGGGACCTCTTGGGGATCTGGCATGTCTAAAACATCTGTATTCCACTCTCACATAATGGATAATCCAGCTGGATTCAGAACTCTAGGCTGAAGATTTCTCTTATGAACTATGGAAGAAATCTGGTTCAAGTCTTGCAATGTCCACACTGCCGCTGAGAAGACATATGTCATTCAATTTCTAGATCCTTTCACACATAACTGCTTTTTCTCCAGTGGAAACCTGAGAATCTTTTATTGTAGTGAAACCCCACGGTTCTGAATTCTCAAGAAATGTGCTCCACGTGGAGCTGTTTCTGTGCACCATGCTGGACACTCCATGGCCCTCTTCTACCTGGAAACTCAAAGCCTTTGCTTCTGGGCTCCTCTGGAGCTGTGTCCTCAGCAAATGCCACTCCTGACCCCTGCCCTCCGGAGCCAAGGCCCTGCTGCTCAACCTCATGCATGAATCCCTAGTCTCCTCCTCTTTTCTCTCGTGTTTTCTGTTTTGTCTTTCACTCTACTCTCTGTGAGAGTTACTCAAGTTTACCTTCCAAACTCATTTCATTTTTAATTTCTGATGCCTATGCTTAATTCCCAAGAGCCTTTTTTGTTCTCTGATGTTCATTCTCCATAGCAATTCTTATTTCACAGTTTTGTCTCTCATCTTTCAGTTTTTTTTCTCCAGCTTACATTTCCATCTCACTGAACAGGCCTTGCCACAGTTGCCTGTGTCCCGCTACGCCCTCTGGCGTCCCTTTCCTCAGGTGCCTGAGCCCCTGGGCTGCCGGCTCACAGGTATCACCTGCCTGGAAGCGCTGTGCAGCGTGCAGGGCTCGCTGGTGGGGAGGATCACTGTCACTGACCCAGCTGGCTATGATGCCTGCATCTTTATTTTCTCTTAGGGCTTGTCAGGATATTCTGGTGCCCTGCCAAGGGCAGATGCTGAACTGAAAGTATTCAGAGGGAAAGGGCAGACAGCCTGAAAGTCTAGAATTTAGGTAGGTTAGTACTTAACTTTCCTCTTTTCCTGATGGTATCCACATATTCAGCCATGCCAGAGCCCCCAGTCTGGAGGTCTCTATCCTCTCCAGGGAGTCACTGCCTCCTGCCTTCTCCTCAAGTGGGGAGGATCAGACCCCCAGCAGCAGAGACAGGAGGCTGCCCTGCAGGGGAGAGCTGGCCTTTGCCCAATCCTCTCTTCTCAGCCTCTGCTCACCCCTGCTCGCATGTCTGCCCTGCTGGGGCTCAGCACGTGTGGACCCCAACTTCCGAAGGCTGCATCACCTCGCTGCTATCTCAAACTCTGCATGCAGTCTGCCACACCTGTCCTTTTGATTTACAACTCTTGTCACTCTTGGAAGTCCTTTTCTCTGTGTCCTTTGAGATTGTAGAGGTGTTTTAAAAATCTCATTCTGTTACTTTAGAGGAATTTAGGGAAGGAATAGAGGTCAAAGGCGTATGTTTTTTCTATCATTTCCATCAGAGGTCATAGTTTAAGAAATCAGAATGTTAAATCTGAGTGTCATCTACTACGATTTTATTTCTAATTTTAAAGAATACAAATTCCTACTGCAATCTACCACAAAAGATTCCCCTACAACAGAAAAGCACTGTTTGCAATAAAAGCTCAACTTAGGACATCATGTACTCTCCCTTAAAATGGTCATATCAACAGTTAACAGTTTCTGTCCACAGAACAAGTTAAATTTCAAAATCCCAGAGGTTTAGCAAACGAAAGTCAACTATATATTAAATACTGATCTCCAGGGAGAAAGGGGGACACAGCAGGAACATGCCAGAAATGATAACTCAGCATCGAGGCCACAAGAGAACTCTGAGAACAGAGAGGTCTACCGGGGTGCAGAGACCTGCCTGCAGCTGGTATGAATGCAAAGCCAGCTCTGGGCCCCAGGACGGGTTTGTAAGCTCCAAAGCCACATCTTGGCAAATGTCAATACCCTGCATAGCTGTGCCTTATAATATTTAGGCTTAGAAATTTGCAAAGCATAAGGGAATAGAAAAAACAATCAATGTTTTAACATCCAATAACACTCATTAGCTATTTCTTACTTTTTTAAGACAGAGTCTCGCTTCATTACTCAGGCTGGAGTGCAGTGGGCATGATCTCAGCTCACTGCAACCTCCGCCTCTCAGGTTCAAGAAATTCTCCTGCCTCAGCCTCCTGAGTAGCTGGGATTACAGGCACACACCACCATGCCTGGCTAATTTTTTGTATTTTTAGTAGAAACAAGGTTTTGCCATGTTCGCCAGGCTGGGCTTGAATTCCTGACCTCTGATGATCCGCTCACCTCCACCTCCCAAAGTGCTGGGATTACAGGCATGAGCCACCATGCCTGGCCTAATATTCATTAACTATTGATAAGGGGTATGTTTTGGGTTTTTCTGAGTTTGTTAAAAGCAAGAGCTTTCAACCTTATAGGAAAAAGTCTTGTCATACTTTAATGAAATATTTCAGGAATATGGCAACCCTTTTATAAGGATTATATAAGAAAATATTGACCGGGTGCAGTGGCTCACGCCTGTAATCCCAGCACTTCGGGAGGCCAAACTGGGCGGATCACGAGGTCAGGAGTTCAAGACCAGCCTGGCCAACATAGTGAAACTCCGTCTCTACTAAAAATACAAAAAATTAGCTAGGTGTGGTGGCGGGTGCCTGTAATCCCAGCTACTCGGGAGGCTGAGGCAGGAGAATCGCTTCAATCTGGGATGCAGAGGTTGCAGTCAGCAGAGATCGTGCCACTGCACTCCAGCCTGGGCGAAAGTGCAAGACTCTGTCTCAAACAAACAAACAAACAAAAAAAACAGTTTATTTAAAGGGAAACTTTGTTACCATTTTGGTATTATCCACTGAAGACTGCATGAGCTCCAATACAGCAAGATCCAGATTTTTCAATAATTCCGTGTTGATCGTTTCTGAGAACAAGCTATAGAAATACTCCCCATGGGAGAAGTGGATGACGCTGCCCTGTGAGCTGCCCAAGGACGCCGTGGACAGCACCGCTGGGTTCAGGAGAAGACTCACAAGGCGCTCACACTGGGAAAAAGAAAGGAGAAGTACCATAACTGGGGCACATCTTTGCATGGCACAGAAAGACCCTTGGGCAACTGATAACTTTGAAATTGGAAAATGACACAGGTCTAAAAAGAGCCTGATATGTGAAGCCTGGATTCAAGCTGAAATTGTATATATTTCAACTAGCCTCCATTTTCTAGGTTTCATTTTGGGAAAGAAATCTTCCTTGACCCATATTTCTTCCAAATGTCCAAAAGTCTTGTTGTTGTGTTTTATTTTTTGAGACAGGGTCTCGCTCTGTTGCCCAGGCTGGAGTACAGTGGCACGATCTCGGCTCACTGCAAACCTCCACCTCCTAGGTTCAAGCAATTCTCCGGCCTCAGCACCCCCGAGTATCTGGAATTACAAGTGCGTTCTACCACACCTGGCTAATTTTTGTATTTTTAGTAGAGACAGCATTTCACCATGTAGTTCAGGCTGGTCTCGAACTCCTGACCTCAAGCAATTCACCCGCCTTGGCCTCTCAAAGTGCTAGGATTACAGGCAATAAGTCACCCTGCCCAGCCTTGTTGTTTTTTAAAGACAGGGTGTCACTCTGTTGCCCAGGCTGGAGTGCAGTGGCATGATCATGACTCACTACAGCCTTGACTTCCTGGGCTCAAGCGATCTTCCCACCTCAGCCTCTTGTGTAGCTGGGACTACAAGCATGTGCCACCATACCTGGCTAATTTTTTAAATTTTTTTGTAGAAACAGGGTCTCGCTATGTTGTCCAGGATGGTCTCAAACTCCTGGGCTCAAGCCATCTGCCTACCCCAGTGTTGTTGCTTTGAGGATAGTCTATTAAGGGTGAGTATTTTTAGACAATTTAAATATGTAATTGTTTACATTAATCGGACAAAGGGGTGAAAAAGGGGTTTCTGCTACAGAAGAAAGAAAGTTGGGATGGAGTGAACACAGAGGGCTGGCTGCAGATTTCAGCTACAGCAGGGACTATTTAAGGCCAGCCCTGCATGGTTCAAAGAGCCATGAGAATATTTTTTTGGAGACTCTGGTTCCTCTGGGATTATCCTTCAGAGGCCCTCCCAATCATCCATGTGAAGGACCACCAAGGAGAGGAGAAGAGGCCACATGTCAACATGACTCAGCTTCATAGTCACAAAACGTTCTCTAGCTAATTCCTTTTGGAAACAAAGTGGGATAGACAAAACCTCTATTTAAAAAGAATGTTGTTCTATTCCGTTCTTTTTTTTTTTAACTATTGAGAAAATAATCTTTTAGAAAGTTGGCTCATGCAAATCATACAATACTTGTCCAGCTAAAACCTTACTACCCAAATTCCACAGTTTCTAGAGACACCTGCAAGTGACATATGTATTTCTATTATTAGGGGAGTGCAGCATGCAGAGGCGTTTTTCCTACCAGTCCTCCAAAAGCAAAGGCTAACTCCAGAAGTCCGCTGGCCAGCTGCTTACAACTGAGGTCTAGAGAAGGCAGACACTGTCTCTCATCTCCAGGGGCAATGCCTTTATAAACCAGGGAAAGAAGTTCTGTGCCAACAGAATGATGCAAATCTGTGGACTAAAAGGAAGCCAACACTGAAATGCCTAGCAAAAAGATATTTCTTAGAAAAAAACAACTTCACTCCTCTCATTAAATAAAAAACCCACTTCAGATAGCACTGACAACTACCTTCCAATATTCAGAAAAATTTTAATTCAACTTTGCTTTTGTTGTTCTTGCTATTGTGAGACAGGGTCTTGCTCTGTCGCCCAGGCTGGAGTGCAGTGACACAATCGTGGCTCACTGCATTCTCAGGCTTCCAAGCTCAAGCAATCCTCCCACCTCAGCCTCCTGAGTAGCTGGGACTACGGGTCCGCGGCACCCACTCCTGGACAATGTTTTTTTTTGTTGTTGTTGTTTTTTAATTGTTTGTAGAGATGAATTCCTGCCATGTTGCCTGGGTCGGTCTCAAACTTCTGGCCTCAAGCAATCCTCCTATCTGAGCCTCCCAAAGTGCTGGGATTACAAGTATGAGCCACTGTATCTGGCTCAACCTTGCTTTCTATGCTAGATTCTTCATTTGTGTTGTCTTGCCACAAAGGCACAACAGCAGTTCCTAAAGTTTTTCAGAAAGCTGCTCTGTAAATACCTAAATGTCCTTTATTTTACTTTCATTTTATATTTATAAATTTTTACATTTGCTTTCATATTTATATTGATATATCATAGATATACAGATACATAATATCTACATGTCTTGAGCAAGTATTTCTATAATTCCCATTTCAGCATGCTCAATACATAAAGGACTTTTAAGAAATAATATAAATAAATACACTAATTATCATACTAAAGCTAAAATAAATGTAAAAACAATAAGTTATAGTTACCTGAGACGGTAATATATTATGCAGAAGCCCAGCTCTGTGAAGCTGTTTACAGGCAGACACAACAGCAGCCAGCCTGCTCCTGTCCACTTGCGCGTCAGGGCCATACAAGTTGACGGCACAAAGCTCCTCAATGCTGGCCATGTGACAAAACAGTAAATTAGGTGAGCTCTGATCTCGTTAAATTATCAAGATACACTGAAAAAAATGTTTGCACTGTTATGAAGCAAACAGAGGCAACATCTAACAGGATCCACACGCACTAAGCTAGCATGGAGATCAAACATGGCGCTAACCATGTCTGAAGTTTGCTTAAGTTTGGTACAGGGAAGGCACTAGTTAAATGTGTTTTCTAAACAACTATTGAGGTCACTGGCAGCAAACATCCCACTGATATAAGCCTTCCCTGAGGAAGCAGGAGCAGCTGCAGGAGCACGGCAACATACTAGGGCCTGAAATTCCAGGACAACATGTCCCCGATTGTGACCCAAGTACCCACCTCTGTGCTGTTATTTTCTCTCTCAGATGGGTCTCTAGGATATCTTTGTATGGGGACATCTTTAGAGCTTTCATCAGATTCACACAAACATCAGGAAGATGAGCCATAACCTGGACGTCTCCGATGTTGAAACCTATGCTTGCGGGCTCACACAGCGTCTGCACCAGGACTCTCATCAGGTGTGTATTACACAAGTCCTTCTTCAGGAGCTGTAACAGATTGTTTGATAAAAACACTTCGTCAGCCAGCACTTCTATTTTCACCAAAGTGCAGGGCCCACAAGGTTGGGAACTTCTGCCTGACTAAGGGAGAGGTGGGCAGAGTTTCTCTGTAAAACGGGGGCACAGTAAACACTTGAGGTTTGTGGGCTAGACAGTCTCTGCTTCAACTCCTTACGCGTCTGATAAGAAAGCAGCACAGACAACAGGTGGACAGAGGCGCACAGCCATGCTCCTATTTAGCTTTATCTACGGAGCAGGCAGCAGGTGAGGTTGTGTCCATGGACAGGGTTTCCCCGCCCCTGACTCAGGACACTGCTGCATCCCAGGGCCTGGCGTGCCACAGGCACCTGGCAGAGATTCCCTGAATGAACTGACTGGAGTTTGTTTATACAATAAGCCTCATGGATACATCTATAAATATTTGCGAGTGTGTGTTTCCTAAGGTAGATGTTTGATCATAGCATAAAATACAGCATCCAATAAAACAATTAGAAAAAACTATTTTATATTTTATTCACACAGTGAAACTCTGAAGGACATGCAAAGTTTCATGATTTTCAATAGATCATTCATCATGATGACTGTAGTTAATAACGATGCATTGTAATTTTGCAAATTGCTAAGAAAATAGATTGAAAAGTTCCCATCAGAAAAAATGTTACATATATGAGGTAACAGATACGTTAATTAGCTTGATTTAGCCATACCACAAGGCAGAGCATATCAAAACATCATGCTGTATACCATAAATACAGTTTTTGTCAACTAAAACAAATTGACAAATTGATTTTGACATATAACTTCTGACAATGCAAAGTTTTAGAAAAGCCAAAACCTAGCCTTCTCTTCCTGGTTCTTCCTGAAGTCAGGAAAAGCTGGGTTGAGAGGATGAAATATAATAATAATAATAATAATAATAATAATGATAAATTTTTATTAAAAGCCAAAACCCCTTCTAACAGAAACCTTTGAAGTAGTTTTCCAGTACCAAAAACTGACCTCAAATTAACAGAGCAGCCTACCTTCCATCCTTCCGGGGAGGTGTTTAGCAGAGTCGTGGTAAACTCCATAATCCGGACCACAACGGTGCATTTGCTGTAGTTGTACCTTTCTCCCTCTTGTGGGCTTGTTCTGTTACCTGCTGCCCCAGTGCCAAAGCACTTTTCTGCTGCTATAATGTCATGCATGGCAATGCTTTCTAAGAAGAAAGCCACTGCTTTCAAAAGTGAAGACTGGGCTTCAGTACCTAGAAGCAATTATATTAAAGTATTAATATATGCTTCCTTTCAACTCCACTAAGATTAACATAAAATTGCTTCTGTAAGTATAGGCATGGTATACGTTCAGCAAAAATTCAAAATTTTTCAAAAGAAACAAACAGCTTAATAATAGCTGAATAAAGTGGCATTTATTTTTTCTCATATCAAAGGACACATTGATGGAAAGTCAGGTCTTTATTCCCAAACATTACATGTGAGAAGATAAATTAATATGCTCATTTTAAAGGGCAATTTGGCAATTCGTACCAAGTTTTTAAAAATATGCATGCCAATTTCTATCAAATGTTTAAAAACTCATTATGCTTTGATCCAGCACTGAAATTTTAACCTAATGAAATGACTGCAGAATTGAAGAGATGTGGTTGTAAGAATCTTCTTTTTAGCACTGTTATCAATAATGAATGTTATTAATAATGAAAAAATAAAAAATCCTGTCCTTCAAAGGACAGAGACAAATTATGGAGCAGTCTTCAAGCAGGTGTGGACAGGCACCAGTCATCTTATGGAATCAACTTTCAGATCAATCCTCAAACGGGCTTTGTCATAAAACTCGTTTGTCTGAAAACACCCTGGAGCTTGTTCTCCTTTCCCATCTCAGGTTGTTCATCAGGACTCTCCTGCTTAATGAAAGACAGACCCACCCTCACCTCTCTCCAGTCTAACTGTAGTTTATTACTCCAAGGTGCACAGCCCTTTAGAGTGCCAAGGGACAATTTAAAATACTTGTACACTGTTGAAAGAGTAAAGGCAACAATTGAGTAGGAAAGCCTTTTTGTAAGTCTCATGGTTTCTAATTCTTTGTTTCCAACATAATTTAAGGAAAGTCAATCCAAACTGTCAACTGACCTCGTTAAAAATAATTTTGATAACATGTATTTTGATGTATTCCAAGAACTGAGATAACTTATATTAAGAATTATTCTCAGCCGGGCGCGGTGGCTCACACCTGTAATCCCAGCACTTTGGGAGGCCGAGGCAGGCGGATCACGAGGTCAGGAGATCGAGACCATCCTGGCTAACACAGTGAAACCCCGTCTCTACTAAAAATACAAAAAATTAGCTGGGCGTGGTGGCGGGCACCTGTAGTCCCAGCTACTAGGGAGGCTGAGGCAGGAGAATGGCATGATCCCGGGAGGATGAGCTTGCAGTGAGCCAAGATCGCGCCACTGCACTCCAGCCTGGGCGACGGAGACTCCATTTCAAAAAAGAAAAAAACTAATTATTCTCAAAAACCAAATATCCTTGAATCCAATAGAATATTGGATTGTAAGACACACTGCAACCATGGATCTGTTAAATATGGGAAAATGTACATTTTAGAATAAACCAAATATGGCACTTATTTATGTGAACAAGTTTTTTTTGTTTTGGTTTTATTTTCTGAGACGGTGTCACCCAGGCTGGAGTGCTCTGGTGCGATCTCAGCTCACTGCAACCTCCGCCTCCGGGGTTCAAACAATTCTTGTGCCTCAGCCTCCCGAGTAGCTGGGATTAACAGGGACCTGCCACCATGCCTGACTAATTTTTGTATTTTTGGTAGATACGGGATTTCGCCATGTTGGCCAGACTGGTTTCGAACTCCTCACCTCAGGTGATGTGCCCATCTCGGCCTCCCAAATTGCTGGGATTACAGGTGTGAGCCACCGCGTCCGGCCATGAACAAGTTTTTTTAATACTAAAATCTATACGTACAAAAATAAAATTCCAACCGCATAATTTTACATTTTATGTGTAATAATTACCAAAATTTTTATTATATTTGTTGTTGTGGCAGTAAAAAATGTAATGTGCACTAATAACAAATATAATAGTAACACAGAAGAAAATTTTTTTTGAGACACGGTCTCACTCTATCGCCCAGGCTAGAGTACAGTGGCACAATCACGGCTCACTGTAGCCTCAACCTTCCAGGCTCAAGCGATCCTCCCACCTCAGACTCCCCAGTAGCTGGGATCACAGATGTGCATCACCACGCCTGACTAACTTTAGTATTTTTTGTACAGATAGTGTCTCGCCGTGTTGCCCAGGCTGGTCTCAACCTCCTGGGCTCAAGTGGTCCTCCTGCCTCGGCTTCCCAAAGTGCTGGGATTACAGGAGAGAGCCTCTGCACCCAGCCAAGGAATCTTTAAATATGTACATCTTTTCATTAAAAAGACGTAGATAGGGATATAGTAAAATCTTAAGCAAAAAAAACTTAATACTTTAGGATAAAATCATTTGAAGGGTAGGAAATGAGAATATGAATTAAGGGACTCTGCAAAATTTCCAATAAAGCAGCTATATTTTAAAGCCAATGATGCTGTACATAAAACTGCTACAGTATTCATTGTTCATGGAATACGTTTTTTTTAAGTAATATTAACAGTTTTGTGTATTTAAAATGTCAACATTTACAATACACCAGAAAGTGTAACTTTTTCAATTATATAAAGCTATGAGAACACTGTATTTGTCAACTTTGAAGTGTGAAGAATGGAACCCTTGCAGAGAAGTGACATGAAAGCACGGGCAAGGTGGTGCACAGCACCTACCATCATGTCGCTGGGATTCTGACCTGGCAGAGCCACTGCCCAGGGTGACTCTGGCAGCACGACACACACCAGAATAAGGCAAGGGTGACCTACCTAGGACCTGGAGCGCTCCTACAGTTCTCTCGCCAATGAACGTGTTGTAGCACTCCAACGCGGCCAGGAGCAGGTCCAGCCAGCATAGCGTGGCCTGCAGGCTGAATGGCCCCCGAAGGTACAAGAGGGTGGGCTGGGCCAGGATGCCCGAGGGCTGGCCACAGCCACCCCCCTCAAAGGTGTTGATGAGAAAAGAGACACCTTCTTCCTTGAGAACATCTTTCAGCCACAAATTAGGGGATCTGTTGCCTTTAAAAAGAAACAAAATTAAAATGCACACATATACCTACATTTCTTTAATCTAATCTTTGTACCTAAAATTTCAAAATGTTATGGGACAATCTTTTTTCATTTTACTACGCATTCAACTTGTTTCACTGTAATTACTTCCAAGAAGGTATTTCCACCACAGCCATTCTCTTCAGGTTCCTCAAACATTATAAAAATAGTTGGACACCATTTGGAGTAGCTGCATACTAATACTCTTTCCCCTGCCTTTTTATTTAAAAATTATTATTCCTTTAAGTCACAAAACAGCATTTGCAAATGAGAACAATAATATCTACCTCTGGGGCTGTTACAAAAATTAGCTGAATTAAAGTAGTTAATATTTGAACATGTGCTTAGAATAACGTCTACCACACAGTAAGTGCAGTGTTTGTTAAATAAGAGAATCGAATGAGCCGTTTTTTCCAGGAAATTTTCTTTTAAATATTAAACTTCTTCTAAATTAAAAAGATAAATACATAAAACTGCATTTTGTATGCTCTGAAATCAGTAGCACTGAAAATGTCAAATCATTCTGACTCTAATGAAGAATTCAAAACATGTATCTCTGATGTATTAAAAACAGAACATTCAGCCGGGGGTGGTGGCTCAGGTCTGTAATCCCAGCACTTTGGGGGGCTGAGATGGGCGGATCACTTGAGGTCAAGAGTTCATGACCAGCCTGGCCAACATGGTGAAACCCCATCTCTACTAAAAATACAAAAATCAGCCAGGCGTGGTGGTGCGCGCCTGTGGTCTCAGCTACTCAGGAGGCTGAGGCAGGAGAATCGCTTAAACGAGGGGGAGGTTGCAGTGAGCCAAGATCACGCCACTGCATTACATCCTCAGCTACAGAGTGAGACTCGGTATAAAAAAAAGAAAGAAAGAGAGAACATTTTGTATATTAAGAGGAGGAATATTCTGTAATGTTCTGTTACTTTCACTAAGAGACAAAGAAATGTATAATAATGAGCAAAAAATAAATAGTAAGATATTTAAATTCTACATCAAGAGTGACAGAAGAAAAATGATAGAAAGAAAGGACACAAAAAGGCAGATCGAGAGAGAGCAGACAAGGGTACATCACAAGAAGACAGAGAAGCTGAAGACGCAGACAAGCACGCTTGGGGTTGGGGAGCCTGCCCAGCCCTACTTCTTCCTTGGTCTCCACCGAGGACCTGCTGTCTGTTTCTGGGCCTGGACCACGCTGAGTCTCAGTATTCAGAAGCCGCCAGGAGCTGTCTCTCTTGGACACATGTCAGAGGGACAACCCTGCACCTGTCGTCAAGCCCTACTGATCTGGGTGTTCCTGTACCCAGGACTGCTGCTACACAGTGAGCTAAAGAGACACCTGACACAGACGCTTAAAAACCACTGAAGGAAGCTAGATGCAATGGCTTGTACCTGTAATTCCAGCACTTTGGGAAGCCAAGGCAGGAGGACTGCTTGGGGTCAGGACTCAAGACTAGCCTGGGCAACATATTAATACCAAGACCCTATCTCTACAAAAAAACTTAAAAATGAGCCAGGCCTGGTAGCACATGCCTGTGTTCCCAGCTACTCATGAGGCTGGGGCAGGAGGATCACTTAAGCTCAGTTTATGGCTGCAGTGAACTATAATCATGTCACTGCAACCTACCTAGCCTGGGCAACAGAGTGAGACCCTGTCTCTTAAAAACAAACAGGTGCTGCACACCTGCAGTCCCAGCTACTAAGGAGGTTGAGGCAAGAGGATCACATGAGCCTAGGAGTTCGTGTCCAGCCCGGACAACATAGTGAGACTTTGTCTCTAAAACTGAAAAGGAAAAAAATAAAAGAAAACAAAAATAGCCACTGGAGGATAAAGATACCAAAGGAGAAAGGTGGCTACACCCTGCAAGGCCACAGAAGAGATAAATCAAGGAAGGCTCCTTAATGTTATACAAATTACCTGTTGGAAGAAGGGCAAGGCTCACCTACTACCTAGCAGCCTTTGTCCAACAAAACACAATGCTGAGAGGTGGAACTCTATTTAGTTCAGAATACATGAGGTCCGTATCACAGGCAACTGAGAAGAGAACAGCACTAGAAATGCCTGAGATCAGTACAGCTGAGGTCACAAGAAATCCTATGTGCTACCAGAGTCACAGACTCAATGTGAGATAGTGGTCTGCCCATAAGCAGCTCTACCAACATGCTATCAGGGTCTCGGTTTCTACTAAATATAGGAAAAATGCTGCCCACTGCCCTCCAGCCCTTCCCCAGCCACTGGTCCACTCTTCAATGACTAATTTCACAAGGTTGCTGTGAGAATGACTTAACATATAAAAAAAAAAGTTGTTAGCTAAACACATTAAGCAAACTGAAAATGCTAGGCCAGGCGTGGTAGCTCACACCTGCAATCCCAGCACTTTGGGAGGCAGAGGCTGGCAGATTACGAGGTCAGGAGTTTGAGACCAGACTGGCCAACATGGTGAAACCCCGTCTCTACTAAAAACACAAAAATTAGCCGGGCGTGGTAGCACACGCCTGTAATCCCAGCTACTCTGGAGGATGAGGCAGGAGAATTGCTTGAACCCAGGGCGCAGAGGCTGCAGTGAGCCAAGATCGTGCCATTGCACTCTAGCCCAGGCGACAGAGCAAGACTCTGTCTCGGGGGAAAAAAAATTTTTTTAAATGCTAATGTTTTTTAAACAATTATCTAAATTAAAACACAGATATACATTTCTATTATACATGTAAAATGATATAGTAAATTTATACTTCATTATTTATATAGCATATATAAAATAATCTAATTCAGTTATAGTATGTATTTATACATACTCTATAGTATATAATATGTAGTATATAACATTATAATATATCCTATAGTATGACAAAATGTAAAGTCCTTTTTAGTTTTAGAAGCCTGGAAATATATAAAGTAACTTTTTTCCTCTTGTTCCATGAAGAAAAAGCCCAGACAGAACTCCACCCCAGGCCAGGTGCAGTGGCTGACGCCTGTAATCCCAGCACTTTGGGAGGCCAAGGCGGGTGGATCACGAGGTCAGCAGATAGAGACCATCCTGGCTAACACGGTGAAACCCCGTCTCTACTAAAAATACAAAAAATTAGCCGGACGCGGTGGCGGGTGCCTGTAGTCCCAGCTACTTGGGAGGATGAGGCAAGAGAACGGCGTGAACCCAGGAGGTGGAGCTTGCAGTGAGCTGAGATAGCGCCACTGCAGTCCAGCCTGGGCAAAAGAGCGAGACTCCGTCTCAAAAAAAAAAAAAAAAAAACTCCACCCCAACTTTTGCCAAGGAACCAGCACACCCATCTAACCTGAGGCACTCTCCACACATGGCACAGGGCTGTGACAGCCCACAATGGGGGAAGGCAGGGCTTGATCTGTCCTGAGCACAGCTTCCCCACTCCCAAGCTATCAAACCTAGGTTTGGACTTAATGGACAAAACTGAGCAATACATTTATTCCTGAGAAACTTGTCATTATTTCAGTCCATAAGCAGTTTAATGGTTTAGTAATTACTGAAAAGCACAGGTTCACTGCTTTCCTTTAATATGATTTGAGATCATTCAGACTTAGGATGCTGGCAATTTCTTATTAATCACATGCTGAAACAGAACTGCATTACCTCATCAACTGTTAATATTCTGAATCTTAACTGAATACCATGTTAACTGCAATGATACCCAATTACTCAATTCTTCTTTACTTCTTTTAAATGGGATAATAAAGCACCGTGGTGAAATTAAAGATATACAGATTACCATACCTGGCAATAAAGGAACGAATTTATAAAAGAGTTCAATGGATTTGTGTCGACATTCTGTCTGGGGCCTCCCACAATGAGCTAAAAGCCACTTGACCAGATCCAATAAACACAATGATGCGGAAGGTGGAAATCCTCTGCACAGAGACAGCATACTGTCATTAGTCCCTCTCCAACATGCAACATTCAGCTACCAAGGCTCTAGAAATCATAAACTCATCTTTATCACACAGATATATGTAGAAATCTCACTAAAAGGCATTCGACTTATTTTTAATGTATTATAATTAGATGCAATCAAAATAACATAGGTGAAATGGGTCCTAAATGCTGCTCATGTTCATTTTTTCATGTGGGGAAAAATTAAAAAGTTCTCCTTAAAAGAACAGCACTAAGTATTTTCATGTTTCCTTTGCAATATACCTTGTAAAGCAGTGCTTCTCAAAGTGTGGTCCCTGGACAGCTGTTCCAACATTACCTGTGCACTTGTTATAAATCCAAATTATCTGGCCCTACCCCAGGGGTACACAGAAATTGAGGGTGGGGCCAGCCCAGCAATCTGTGTTTTAACTAGATCTCCAGGCAATTCTAATGTATGCTAAAGTTAGAACCAATGAACTAAACTGATATCGTAAGTTAATAGTAGAATCTGGAAGAATCAACTTTTAAAACAACTGAGAAAATATTAATAATCCAGTCCACATGGGACTGTGCTTCTCCAGAGTGGCGGTCACTAGCATGGATAACAGATGTCCCCAGATACCCTGCAGAGATCTGGAGGGGCTTATGGAGGGCACTCACCCTACTGGAGAAGGCAACACCACTAGGATGGAATAAGGGCAAAAACTGGAAACCACTGGCCAACATCCCAGCCTTGGTTGGCTCTAAGCAGTTTCATTTCCTAATTTTATAATTCCATGTCTGTCAAAATGTTACTATTTGAACATTCAGTTCATACACTTCAAAATTTACGGAATAATGGTTCATGCATATTCTAGTCAAATCATCCACATCAAAACATGTTCAAAATTAGTGCATATTAAATAAAACGTCTGTTACAAAACTAATTTTCAATTTGTATGTACTATCTCAACCCAGATCAAATACCTTATACCTTATCCCTTAAACCAAGTATTTTCAAACACAAAGCTTTTTAACGTTTTTGGAAAACGAACTCTTCAGACTTCCACACATTCCTTGTTTAGGAAGTAATTCCTTATACTTCCACAGATCCATCCCAGGTTGTCCTTCATTAGCTGTGAATTAGTTTTATGTTGTGGGAAAAGACGGAAAAGGAAGCAAGATCACCTACCGCGGCAAACGTCGTTTCTTTGCTTTATTTAAAGAAACATGCTTCTTTTCAATGATGCGGCATAGGTGATCAATGGCATCACAACACTGTTGAATTGTACCTGTTCTCAAGTACAGAGACATATTTCCAAAGAAGGCATATATAGCTGATTATTATTAAATTTGTATTATAAATGTGTTGGCCTAATTTTTAACTGAAAAGGTAATTTTACTATAGATTTAATATGTTTTCATCCCTAAGAATAATAAAATTAGATAAATGATTCACACTGCATATTCAAAAATGAACACAAAACCCCTATTTAAGACTGCAGGATAGCATGGTGCGTGCACGCACAAACACATGCACACACTCAGAGCAATGCCATACCTAACTAGAAACTGTACCACCAACACCACGGCCACCCAAAGCACAGCCTCTCCTAATGGACCTGAGATGGAAGAGACTTTGCAGGTATTACAAAACCCACATACCAGGCCAGAGCCTGTGGACTTCAATGTGGCTATTTTAAAGGGGTGTAAATCCCTTGACCTCCCTTCCTATGCAGGATAAACTACGGTATCGTTTGGTAATACAGCCTCTGGAGAAGTACAACAGAGGTAAGATGGTGAAGTCACTCACAGAAGTCTGGAATTATTTAGGAAAGGAGCCTTATACATCTTATTTTGACCTGTGTCACCAAGAAAAAGTTTTCTATGTTTTTTAAATATGTCCGTGATCACAAAAAAAGTTTCACTCGTTGAAAAAATTCACCCATATGGGAAATCAAGATAAACAAAGCAAATTTAAGCAATTTGACAATGAGGACTAAATTTTACACATTTTTGCCCACAGTAGACTATCAACATGAAGGATAACAGAGCTCAGTCTGTCTTTTTAAAAAATAAACAAAGTTGCCAGGCGCAGTGGCTCATGCCTGTAATCCCAGCATTTTGGGAGGCTGAGGCAGGTGGATCACGTAAGGTCAGGAGTTATAGACCAGCCAGGCTAACATGGAGAAACATCTCTACTAAAAATACAAAAATTAGCCAGGCGTGGTGGCAGGTCCCTGTAGTCTCAGCTACTCGGGAGGCTGAGGCAGGAGAATCGCTTGAACCCAGGAGGCGGAGGTTGCAGTGAGCTGAGATCGCACCACTGCACTCCAGCCTGGGTGACAAGAGCAAAACCCCATCACAAAAAATAAACAAATAAAATAAAATAAGTCAAGACCCGTATCAGTGATAAACTCCTGCCACAGCTGTGTGGCCGTCTCAGTCAATGACACGCCTGAGCCTCTGTGCCCCAACTACATCATGTGCTGGGACCAACGGGGAGTTAAGAAGTCTTCTAGCTCAACAACTCTATGTAGTTCCTAATAGCTTCTTGCATAGAATTTAATTGTAATCATTTATTACTCTCTTAGCTATTTTAGCCTACTTCTGACTTAATATCTTTATAATATTCCTTCATCATGGATGAAACAACTCTATCACAGTCCTGTAATGAGATCCACTTTCTACTTTCTAAATGATCACGAGTGAGTGCAGAGGCACTGACCACATCTCAGTGGTTACCACATCCAGTTTCTTCAGCACCATATCTGCACAGTTTCATGTTCTGTCATCACAGCATCATAGTGTCTGACTGGCTTCGTTGTCTCCCCTGCCCTGGGCAGAATCTGCAACCAACCAGGGTCAACCTCAATGGCCACCAGGAGTACATGGTGAGTCAAAGAAAATAAGGGCATGAAAAAATTATTAACAAGCTGGGTTTGAGGCACTGAAGGGGATTCTCTTCACATTTATTAATTTATAGAACTCTTGGGAAAAAAAAAACCTTATAAGAGAATCACACGAGCCTTAACTCCTCATTGGGGAAACTCTTCAGACCTGTAACGCACACAGAACACTGAAGCAAAACGTACCTAAGGACTTCTCATCTGCATGTGCTAAGGCCAGACTCTCCATGTATATCACCAAGGCTTCAAACACAAACTGTTCCACCAGAGACTCTTCTTCCCTGTAAAATAAAGAATAGGAAACCTCACCTAAGAAAACAATAAAGCAGAAAGGACAAAGAAAAGAAGGAATGGAATTAAAGAAGGCACACATTAATTAAATTTGTTTTTTGTGGCCGGGTGCGGTGGCTCACGCCTGTAATCCCAGCACTTTGGGAGGCCGAGGCAGGTGGATCACGAGGTCAGGAGATCGAGACCACAGTGAAACCCCGTCTCTACTAAAAATACAAAAAATTAGCTGGGCGCGGTGGCAGGCGCCTGTAGCCCCAGCTACTCGGGAGGCTGAGGCAGGAGAATGGCATGAACCCGGGAGGTGGAGCTTGCAGTGAGCCGAGATCCTGCCACTGCACTCCAGCCTGGGCAACAGAGCAAGACTCCAGCTCAAAAAAAAAAAAAATTGTTTTTTTGTTGTTGTTTTTTTAAAGGCTCAGCTGGGTGTGGTGGTGCATGCCTATAAAGATCACTTGAGCCCTGGAGTTCGAGACCAGCCTGGGCAACAAAGTGACACCCTGTCTCTACAAAAAATTAAAAAAAAAAAATTAGTTGGGTGCAGTGGTGCACACCTGTGGTCCCAGCTACCTGGGAGGCTGAGGCAGGAGGACCACTTGAGCTCAGGAGGTTGAGGTTGAGTCATGATCCCCCCACTGCACTCCAGCCTGAGCAACAGAGCAAGACCCTGTCTCAGACGAAAAAAAGGGCGGGGTGGGGGGGCTCTGTCTTAAAACATGAAACAGGTGCAGTGGCTCACACCTGTAATCCTAGAACTTTGGGAGGCTGAGGCAGGGATCACCTGAGGTCAGGAGTTCAAGACCAGCTTGACTAACATGGTGAAACCCAGTCTCTACTAAAAACACAAAAATTAGCCATGCGTAGTGGCGGGCGCCTGTAATCCCACCTACTTGGAAGACTGAGGCAGGCAAATCGCTTGAACCTGGGAAGCAGAGGTTGCAGTGAGCCGAGATCGCACCACTGCACTCCAGCCTGGGTGACAGAGCAAGACTCTGTCTCCAAAAACAAAAACAAAAAAAAATAGAAAAGAAAAACCATGAAACAACCTAAAACACTTCTCAAAGATACTTCCTCAAGAGCAGACTAGAGGAAAGCTACATGAGCCAAAGAGGCAGCACACGCTCTGTTTCCACACAAGTGCCTCTGTCCCTTGCATCTGCAGAACTGCTCATTTGCCTATGTGGCTAATTATTATCTATGTGTCCTTCTGAAATGTAACCCTCACGAAGGGCTGTATCGTTATACCTCCAACATAGACACAGGTCTGGCACATCATTTTTTTTTTCTTCATCTTTTAAGTTCAGGGGTACATGTGCAGGATGTGAGGTTACACAGGTAAATGTGGTACACAATATTCCTAATAAGGAATGCTGGATGAATGAATGAACACCACTACCTTAGGTCAGTGACCACTTGTCTTTTACCTTGGACCTCTGAAATGGCCTGTTCACTGGTGTTCCAGTCTTCAGTCTACTCAGACCCACTCTCTACACAGCTACCAGCAAGTGGATTTTAGGAGGAAATCTAAATGCATCTCTCCCTGCACCCACTACTCCACAGATCCTCTGTCACTAGCGGTGACCTACGCTCCTTACTACAGCAAGCAGAGCCCTCCTCGCCAGCCTCACGACACCTGCCTCCAAACCTCAAAGGACTTTATCGCCTCAGACACCTTCCTATTTCTTATCTCTACCCCCCCACCACCCACTAACTTTGATCTAAAATGCCTTGGCTGACTTCCATTTATCCTTCAAGTCTCATCTCCAATATAAACCCTAGCAAGAGGCCACAGCAAACTTGCTCACCCTGGATCAGCTACTCCTCCTCTGTGCACCCAAAGCCCCTGTATATGTGTCTTTTGTTGCATTTCCAAAATGGCTGAGACAGTGTTTACATGCATTTCTCAGCAGTTTCCAAGCTTCTGGAGTGCAAACTGAATTTTAATTCACTTTTTAATTTCCAGAAGACAGCACAGCATCCAGCACATAATTACTTACTAAATGCAGGAAATATGACACACGGATACACAGAGTGAAACTCCAAGTCACCTTTCAAAACCACAAGTTTCTCTTCTCTGTTGTGTAGCTTACAAACCTGAATTCCCTGTAGATATTATTAAAGGCAAGTGATGCTCCCAGCCTCTTGAAAGCATTGGGGTGAAGCGCAAGGCTATAAAGTCGCTTGAAAAGCGATTTGGTGTTTACTGGACTCTTCTCCTGCTGCTGTGGTGTTATTTGCTTAATGGACCATTTAAGGAATTCTCGAATACACCGACCACAAAAATCTCTTAAAGTACTGTCAACAGGGTCCACAATTCCATCCTGAAACAAAACAAAGAGACCTTGATTGTACTAATTTTTATAACCACTGACAACTGAATACCCTTGGTCTATCTCTGAGCATAACTAAAGTATGTTAAAAATTAATTTATAGCACTAGTCAAGAAAAAAATAAACATTAGTAAAACCAATCTCCATAGTGTATCCAGAATCTAGGCTTGAATAACTATTTCCTTCTGATATAATGAAAACATTTTCTTTTAAACAAATTAATAAACTGAAAAGCCATGAAGAGGGGAGAGAAAACTTTAATTATAACAAAACAATCTTTCCCTTCCCTGAAAAAAAAGAAAATGGCTATATCCTAAGAATTCCAGAGGAATTTTGATTGTTGATTTTACCCCATAACAGCTTTTGAGACACTTTGCATATTGAAGTCAAAGAGAATAAGACCCTTTGAAGTTCCAAAGAAACTGTACTGCTCCATAAAGGAAAATCCTATGGAGGCATGAAGAGCAGACCCCATAAAGGCCCTGCCGAAAACAGCTATGGACATTTGACCAACGACCACACAGAGATGTATTCTA
The DNA here is from genome assembly GCF_000001405.40 of Homo sapiens. Classification (NCBI taxonomy): domain Eukaryota; kingdom Metazoa; phylum Chordata; class Mammalia; order Primates; family Hominidae; genus Homo; species Homo sapiens. Next base: position 47,903,341 of record NC_000008.11, read on the forward strand.
CTTTATGCTTTGTTGCCTTCTAGTCATGACGCTGTCTCAGATCTACAAAGGAAAAGTTTAACTTGAAAACGTACACTCAACAATGAATTAAGAGAGTTCTGCCTAACACTTCCAGTTATCTGCTACATATAAAATCCTTTCTTGCAGAGGTAATTAGAATCCAAAAAGGTAACACAAGCCATGGTAATGGGAGGAGAGGGTGCTTCCTGCTTTTCAGAGCAGAGGTCACCAGCGCCAAGTGGTGATGCAGGGAAGAGCAGCTCTCACCAGGAAACCCACGGCCCTCCTTCACTTGAGTGCCGTGCTACCGAGTTCATGCTGCTTCTTTACCTTTTCTTTCCTCAACTATCTCGTTTTACTTATCAGATTTCTTTCTTAATCTCTTACTTAATCTACCTTCAAGGATCAAAAGGGAGAAAAGAAACAGAAAACAACTAAAATAAAAACTTTTTAACAGAAACATTATAATGAAAACATCTGAATGTAAATAAGCCATAAATTAACTTTAGCTAACTGTATTTATTATAGGTAGGATTCACTGGTAGACACTGCAGGGAATTAAACTACAGGTTTAATTATGTCACCACCCTAACGAATGTTCAGTCACTCTCCCCTACCCGTAACATGACTAAGAAAGATCACACTCAGAGTACACTGCCAGCAGCATAACCAGGGCTGTGCAGGAGACATAAACTTATTTGCACAGGTTCAAAATTTATAGTAAAATAAGCATCAAAAAAAAACTACAATTTAGCTGGCCTCACTGCCTCTGCCCTCAGTGAGCTGGCGACCAAATTCTAAGACAATGCTTCTCCGTGTCAGGAGAGTTCTGTGTAAAAGGTGAACTGCTGTTTCCAGGGCCCTTTAGTTATTGAATCTGAGTATAGGAGAAAATTGGATATACTCAGAAATTCTTCTTATTCTTTGTTTTTGAGACAGAGTCTCACTCTGTCGCCCAGACTGGAGTGCAGTAGCGCAATCTCAGCTCACTGCAACCTTTGTCTCCCAGGTTGAAGCAATTCTCATGCCTAAGCCACCTGGCGAGCTGGCACTACAGGTGTGTAACACCATGCCAGCTAATTTTTCTATTTTTAGTAGAGACAGGGTTTCTCCATGTTGGCCTGGTTGGTTTCCAACTCCTGGGCTCATGCAATCTGCATGCCTCGGCCTCCCAAAGTGTTGGATTACAGGCGTGAGCCACTGTGCCTGGCTCACTGCCAAGGTGGGCGGATCACTTGAGGTCAGGACTAAGACCAGCCTGGCCAACAAAGTGAAACGCTGTCTCTGATTGAAATACAAAAAATTAGGCAGGCATGGTGGTGTGCACCTGTAGTCCCAGCTATTCAGGAGGCTGAGACAGGAGAATTGCTTGATCCTGGGAGGCGCAGGTTGCAGTGAGCCAAGATCGTGCCACTGCATTCCAGCCTGGGCGACGGAGCAAGACTGTCTCAAAAACATAAATAAATAAACAAACATCAAATACAACTAATCGATGGGAGTAAGAGGAAAAGAATCAACTATTACTTACCAATATAGCTTCTAGTAAGGCAACAGTATCCTGACTTTCAAATTTCTTGTTGTTAGTGAACCAGTGAATCAGCTGCATAACTAGTGGCTCATACAGTTGCCTTGTCACCTGAAGAAACAATACCATTAAAGTTAATTCCCTTCATGTTAAAGAAATGTTACGCTGTAAAGGGTTCCATTTAAATGCCATTTGCAGTATAAAATTAAGTAATACTACTACCATGGTTGTATTAGTTTCCTTTTTTAGTTCAGGCTCAAGTGGTCCCCTCCCACCTCAACCTCCAGAATAGCTGGACTACAGGCATGTACCACCACACCCAGTTAACTTAAAATTTTTTTTTTGTAGAGACAGGGTTCCACTATGTTGCCTAGGTTGGCCTTGAACTCCTGGCCTCAAGTGATCCTCCTGCCTCAGCCTCCCAACGTGCAGGGATTACAGGTATGAGCCACCATCCCCAGCCCCATTAGTTTCCTTTTCCAGTTAAATTCCATGATGAAGAGTCCAGCAAAGAAAAATATGCAACAAAAGCTCATTGTTCCTCTGATTGGGAGGGCAATTTAGGATACATATTGTTGGCTTTGTAATACTCATCTTTATTCATTTGATCTTGAACGTGCACACAAGATATCCTGGATTACAGACAATCTAGTCGCTATTCAACTATTGTACAAAGCAAATAACAACCCTGTGGTTCCCCACAGCCTAACTGTCTCCCCTTGTGGTGACAAAATGAAACCCAATCAATGTCCTATATACACAAATTCAAAGCCAGTACCACAGGGGAGGAACATAGAAAAACAGATTTAATCTGTTTATATACAGGACAAAGAGGAAGCTGCCTCTCCCACTGCTGCCAAAAGGAGGGAGGAAAACCTCTATGGAGATAGGATGAAAAGGATCCTAGGTCTAATCTTCTGGAACATAAATAAAGCCTCTCCAGGGGCCAGGTAGCCCCGTGCTCCCTGGCTTTGTAAAATCCAAGATGTCTCCAGGTCTGGGCTCCTCCCTTATGACAAGTAAATCCATACCCAAGAAGGCAGAGCTCCTGTCTTCCTGGAGGCTTGGAAGTGTAACCTAGTGGCCTGGTGGAGGTGTGACCATGTGGCCATCTTGGAGCAAAAAGAGAAGTGGATCAGAGCAATTAGCTAGATAAACTGCTACAGATCTAACCCTCATTATACATGAGAGTAAAATGCTGGCCAGGCGCAGTGGTTCATGCCCATAATCCCAGCATTTTGAGAGGCCAAGTCGGGAGGGTCTTTTGAAGCCACTTCAAGACCATCCTGGGCAACATAGGAAGACCTTGTCTCTCAAAAAATTATTTTTTAACTAGCTAGGCACGGTGGTGCGTGCCTGTAGTCCCAGCTACTCAGGAGGCTGAGATGGGTGGATGGCTTGGGCCCAGGAGGTGGAGGCTTTAGGGAACTATGACTGCACTACTGCACTCCAGCATGAGTGACAGAGGGACACCGTGTCTAAAAAAAAAATTAAAATGGCCAGGCACGATGTAATCCCAGCACTTTGGGAGGCTGAGGAGGGCGGATCACTTGAGGTCAGGAGTTTGTGACCACTCTGGCCAAAACAGTGAAACCTCTTCACTAATAAAAATCCAAAAATTAGCCGGGTGTGGTGGTGGTCACCTGTAACCCCAGCTACTTGGGAGGCTAAAGCAGGAAAATCGCTTGAACTGGGAGGTGGAGGTTGCAGTGAGCCGAGATCGTCCCACTGCACTCCAGACACAGTGAGATTCCGTCAAAAAAAAAAAAAGTAAAATGCTTGTGGTGGAAGTTAAGGTGAACACTCCCTACACTGATATCCTGTACATTTCTGCCTCAGAGGCCAGGGCTTTTATAGGAGTACTGAGCCATCCAGGAGACCTTTATTCCCCACGGTTATTGAGCTCAACAATTAAGTACTTTGATATTAGAGGTCCATACTGTAGTTAATATCACCTCAAAAATGATGCAAAATGTCCCAGGGCTCAGACTAAACAACACAGAGACTCTTCCAAACAGTCTTTCTAGTCTTTGAAGCTATTTTTTTCCCCTAATACCTTCACTGGCCTCTATGAAGCAATTTTTAAAATTAATCAATATAAAAGGGTCTTAACTTTCAGTTTGAAAGTTTAACCTGGTCTTAAAGCATCACTTTTTTTTCCACAAAAGAATCATACTGGTGTTTTTTTTTTGAGACGGAGTCTCGCTCTGTCGCCCAGGCTGGAGTGCAGTGGCGCGCAGTCTCTGCTCACTGCAAGCTCCGCCTCCCGGGTCCACGCCATTCTCCTGCCTCAGCCTCCCGAGTAGCTGGGACTACAGGCACCCGCCACCACGCCCGGCTAATTTTCTGTACCTTTAGTAGAGACAGGGTTTCACCGTGTTAGCCAGGATGGTCTTGATCTCCTGACCTTGTGATCCACCCACCTCGGCCTCCCAAAGTGCTGGGATTACAGGCGTGAGCCACCGCGCCTGGCCAAGAATCATACTGTTTTATTCTTAGTACATAAGTTTTTTAATACATGTATACATAGCTATATATATATATATACACACACACACACACACACACACACAATACAGACATACCCCTTTATAGAAAATCATCCCTCTACAATCCTACATCCCAAAGGTAACCACTGTCGACTTTCAAAATATTTTATTTATATACCTTTTTTTTTTTTTTTTTTTGAGACAGAGTCTTACTCTGTCACCCAGGCTAGAGCGCAGTGGTGAAATCTGGGCTCACTGCGACCTCTGACTCCCGGGTTCAAGTGATTCTCCTGTCTCAGCCTCCCAAGTAGCTGGGATTACAGGCGTCCACCACCACGCCCGGCTAATTTTTGTATTTTTAGTAGCAACAGGGTTTCACCATGTTGGCCGGGCTGGTCTCAAACTCCTGACCCCCGGCCAATTTATATACATTTAAATATGTGTATATACACGTGTAAAAATAAAAATAAATCTGCCAAGGAGGCAGAGCTCCTGTCTTCCTGGAAGAAACCAGTAACTGGTTTCTTCTTAGAGTACTTTCCACGTAAACATATGCACTCTACCAATGTTTTCAGTAGCCACCCAGTACCTCAACTATGGACCACAACCAAGCTACCAGAACCCTACAGCTAGAAATGCAAGTATTTCTAAATTATGACTACCATACAGAGTGGAGAGTCCTGAGCACACTGTTTAAGCAGCTCTCTTGTAAGGAAGCTGCTAGGCCAGGACTGTGGTCACTCAATCCGAGCCCAGCTGCAGAGCACTGTGCCTGTGTCGCCCCACCAACCATGACACGCAGGGTCCTTTCCTTGTGCCCTTGGCAACACCAAACATTGTTCATCTTTTAAATATTTGACAGTAGCCAATATCATTTTAATTTGAAGTTCCTTGTTTACAAAACGGTTGACTATTTTAAGATACATTCCATCGGCCATTTACATTTCTTCTTTTATGAGCTGCCTATTTTTTTCTTTATACATTTGTCCATTTTAAAATCTGATCTCTTCAGTAGTATGTTGCACATTATACATGTTACAATGTTGGTTTTGTGCCATTCAGTAGTCTTAAACATTTATAAGGTCAAAACTATCAATACATTAACACTTTTATGTGTCTCCCTATCTGTACAAACTTTATAGAAAGACACAGAAGGATGCTGATTATAGAAAAGTAATGAAATCCATCCAAGGAGCAGAAATCACACTGCACACAGAAGAAAACGTTTTGAAATGCTACGAGTCTACTTTTTGTTAACAAAACATCTATGCACATGTCAAGATGTGTTATTATAAAGACATTCTCCAGACTTTACAGAGGATCTAACATCTTTTCCCAGGGAACAAGCAGGTGAAAGGGGTGACGTGAACGTTCATTTTTATCTTTGAACATTTTAATATTATAAACTGATGTGTTATCAACAAAAAAGACCTAAAGATATACACAGACAGATATGCTATGTGGTCATTACATTTTTCTGTAATTTATTTATAGTTCGTTTTTCCTTCTAAATCTTATTGATTTACAGTTAGTTTCTTCACTTGTGACAAAGCCCCTCTTCCTTACCCTAACTCTAGTCAGGCTCCTCTGAACTCTTCTCAACTAGGCCTTGATTTCTGGGCTTCCATGTTCATCTCTATTAGTCCAGTTTCACCAAGAACTCCGCTGAGTCAGTTCAGTGAAAACTCCTCCCCTTGATATATAATCTAATTCCTCATCTCCCCCCAGCCCCCAGGCAGTGTCTGGTCACCCTGGCCCATCTTCAGCCATAACACTCTTAGGATTGGTTTAGCCACAATCCTCTTTATGCCTGATGTTTCTTCTGTTGTGGGAAGTCAGGGACCCCACACGGAGGGACCGGTTGGAGCCGAGGCAGAAGAACGTAAATTGTGAAGATTTCATGGACATTTATCAGTTCCCAAAATTAATACTTTTATAATTTCTTACACCTCTCTTTACTGCAGTCTCTGAACATAAATTGTGAAGATTTCATGGACATTCATCACTTCCCCAATCAATACTCTTATAATTTCTTATGCCTGTCTTTAATCTCTTAATCCTGTTATCTTCGTAAGCTGAGAATGTACATCACCTCAGGACCACTACCGTACAAATTGATTGTAAAATATGTGTGCTTGAACAATATGAAATCAGTGCACACTGAAAAAGAACAGAATAACAGCGATTTTCAGGTAACAAGCAAGGGAAGATAACCATAAGGTCTGACTGCCTACAGGGTCAGGCAGAACACAGCCACAGTTTTCTTCTCATAGAAAGCCTATAGACGGATGTGCAAGTAGGAGAAATATCGCTGAATTCTTTTCCCAGCAAGGAATGACCCTGGGGAAGGAATGCATTCCTAGGGGTAGGTCTATAGACAGCTGCTCTGGGAGTGTCTGTCTTATGCAGTTGAGATAAGGACTGAAATATGGCCTTGTCTCCTGCAGTACCCTCAGGCTTACCAGGATTGGGAAATTCCAGCCTGGTAAATTCTAGTCAGATTGGTTGTCTGCCCTCGAACCCTGTTTCCTGTTAAGATGTTTATCAAGACAATCCACAGTGGGACATAGGCCCTCATCAGTAATTCTAATTTTGCCTTGCCTTGTGACCTTTATTGCCCTCTGAAGCACGTGATCTTTGTGACCTACTCCCAGTTCATATACCCGCTCCTCTTTTAAAATCCCTAATAAAAATCTGCTGGTTTTGCGGCTCGGGGTTGTCATCACGGTCCCGGGTGTAACATTTCTCTCTTTGTACTCTTTCTCTTTATTTCTCAGACCGGCCGACACTTAGGGAAAATAGAAAAGAACCTACGTTGAAATACTGGGGGCTGGTTCCCCCAATATTCCTCTTAGTTATTTTCCATCCACTGACCCTGACCCTGCTCCTTGGCTATCAATCCCCCTGGTCAATAAGTATTTGGAGTAGAGCCCAATCCCTCTACAGCAGTGTAAAGGCCCACTGGAGTAGCCTCCCCTTTAATAGTTTTCCTTAACATCTTAACGAATGTCATGAATAACTTTTTCTTTAACATGTTAGTCATTTGACCTAATACCATTTATTAAATGACCCATTTCCCACTTAAATAACCCCCTACCATAGACACAATTTTCATATACACACAAGGGGCCATTTCCCAGCACCTAGCTCTCCCACTGAGCCATCTGTGCGCTGGTTCAGCCTCTTATACTCCATAAGGCCACTTTTCAACATCTACTACACAAGACTCCCTCCAGCGTGCAACCCTTTCAAAATGTGTCTTGCTTATTAGGCTCAAGCAATTACTCCTTCAGATTATTCTTTTAAGTTCAAAAATAAAATTAATTCTGGATTTTTTACTGGAATTACACCAGAGTTATCAATTGATTTGGGGAAACGACGTTTTTTTCAATAATGACTTCTACCTCAGGTACATAAGCTATTCATCTTCTATAGTCATAAAATATGTTTGCCTGGCACATTGAAGTTTATTCCTAGACATTTTTTTTTTGATGCTGTTATGAATAAGATGTTTATAGACATATTTTCCAAGTGGTCAATACTAATATATGAAATATATGAGAATAATATATGAAAAAAGATATATGAGAATTATGTGTTTATAATTCATCAGCTTTTTCCTTTATTAATTCTTAGAGTTTATCAGCTGATATGCTTACTCTTGGGCCTTCCAGATTTTGAAAACAATTATAATAATCTTTTCTCCTTCTTAATAGTCCTTCTATGATTTTCTTATCTTACAGTATTGAATAGAATCTCCCAAATAGTTAGTGGGGCTGATATCCTAGCCTTACTGGCCCGCTGACAAGTGTCTTTTGATTGCCAAGTGCCAAGTGCTGGGGTAGATGCTGGAGAGGAAGCAAGGAACACCAGGCTCTGTCCATGCAGAGTTTAACTAACTCCAAGTAAAGCACTGACCACTCCCAGAAACAGGCCATGCTCCCATGCTGGGTGGAAGCACAAGGGAGTGTCAGTGCTTCACACAGAGGATGACCTGGCTGCAAGATTCAGGCAGACATTCTATCACATTAAACATCATGTGAAACTACTCCTAGTTTATCAGGAGCTGCCAAATGCCTTCCAGGCTTCCATGGAGAGGTTCATTGCTACGTTAAATCTATTTCTGTGGTAAGTTTCCAGTTTTCACTATGAGCTCTATTTAATCACAGTGCATCTGAACATACTGCTGGACTATATCCACTCATGTATACTGCAGAATTTTCCAGCTGCATTTTGAATGAGTTTTGCATTTCATTTTCTTTTTTAAGTGTGTACCCTGATATCCAGGTCATGCTAGATTCATAAAATGAACTGAGAAGATTTCTTACCTTTTTCTGCTTCATGGCAGCAGTGAAGGATTTGTCCATAAAGTCATAGTATAGGCCACTTGCCAGCCATAGCTATTTTTTATTTATTTATTTATTTTTTTTTTTGAGAATGAGTCTCACTCTGTCTCCCAAACTAGAGTGCAGTGGCGTGATCTCAGAGCACTGCAATCTCCACCTCCTGGGTTCAAGTGATTCTCATGCCTCAGCCTCTCAAGTAGCTGGGATTACAGATGCGCACCACCACGCCTAGATAAATTTTGTATTTTTAGTAGAGACGGGGGTTTTATCATGTTGGCCAGGCTGGTCTTCAACTCCTGACCTCAGGTGATCCGCCTACCTCAGCCTCCCAAAGTGCTGGGATTACAGATGTGAGCCACCGCGCGCGGCCCATGGTTATTTCTCTCTTCTTCCCTTTGTGAAAGACTACGTTTGTCCATGAGAGGGGTGACAGCTAATTCACCTTTAGATGCCTGGACTCTCAGTAACTTTTAACTACAACAGCGATTCCCAAACTCCGAGACACACTGAAAGTGGAGGGGAGAGCTTTTAGAAGTCCTGGTGCCCAGGTCATGCCCATGACCAATTAAACCAGAGCACCTGGGGTAGCAGTCAGGGAGCAGTATCGTTCCTAACCATCTCCAGGTAATTCCACTGCTCTGCTGACCACTGAATTAGACAAACCAAACTTTTAGAAATTTTACAACTATTTCAGATTCAAAGCCCTTACCTGATCAACATCACACGCAAGTCGAAGCAGCACAGGAAACGTCCGCTTATAGAGCTGGTACATGGGTGGGGCTCCCTGTCCCCCTTCTGGCATCTGCGTGGCTTTGCCCAACATAAACATAACCATGCTATGTAAAAGTTCACAGGCTGCAACCTAAAACAGACCAGGAGGTCAGCAATGTTTAAGTTATCACGTTGATGACAAGAGAATATTTGAAATGTCACTCAATTTAGCCTTTAAGAAGAAAAATTTCATTGCACATAACTATCATGTAACCCAAATATAAATTAACTGGAATTAACATTTCTTGTTCTATAAAACTAATGATTCTGTTCACTTTGTTTTTTTATCCAAGAACAAAGAATTAAAATGTAAAAGCTTTAGAAACTGGGAAGTATATTTCACTGTTGCCATATTAAAGAACTATATAACTTTGCTTCATCTGTTAGCACATTTTCAACTATCACTTTAAGTAAAAATATTTTTTGAAGCACTATAGAAAATTTACAAATTAATACACGCATACCTCATTTTATGGAGCTTTGGACACAATGTGTTTTTTAACAAATTGAAGGTCTGTGGCAACCCTGCATTGAGAAATTCTATTGGCTCAATTCTTCCAACAGCATGTGCTCACTTTGTTAGCATTTTTAAGCAATAAAGCATTTTAAAGTATGTATATAAAGTTCTAATGCTATTGCACACTAAATAGACCAGAGTATAGTGTAAACATAACTTTTACATGTACTGAAAAACCAAAAAACTAGTGTGATTTGCTACACTGAGATATTAACTTTATTGCTTTGGTCTGGAGCTGAACCTGCAGTATCACCAAGGTATGCTATGCCTGTATGAAAATTTGAGATTATCTGTTTCTAATCTCCCAGAGTTAAGGGGATAACCAAGCATAGCCCGAATATCACTCTCAAATGCCCTTTATGTTCCATTTTATATAATGAAGAGCTTTTGGTATATTAACGTTTTGAAAGGCAATTTTTTTTTTTTGAGACGGAGTCTCGCTCTGTCTCCCAGGCTGGAATCCAGTGGCGTAATCTCGGCTTGCTGCAACCACTGCCTCCCAGGTTCAAACGATTCTCCTGCCTCAGCCTACCGAGTAGCTGAGACTACACTCGCATGCCAGCACACCTAATTTTTGTATTTTTAGTAAAGATCAGGTTTTACCATGTTGGCCAGGCTGGTCTCAAACTCCTGACCTCAAGTGATCTGCCTGCCTCGGCCTCCCAAAGTGCTGGGATTACAGGCATGAGCCACCATGCCCAGCCCAATTACCTATTAAGATGATTTATACTTAACTTACATTTATCAATGACACTGACTTCTAATAAGTAAGTAGTTTTCTAATTACTATATTACAGAAAATACAAAATTACTAATATTGGAATGGCTGAAACATGTTCTCTATATCCTAAGCAATATGTATTTTTAAAGCAATAGGATCTAAATAATGGGTGAAATGAAAAATAGAAGTACTTTAGTTTGTCTGTCACTGGCTGTGAGCGCTAATTCTGTGACTCGAGGCAGGAACACATCCAGGAAAATGACAGGTTTCATCTCTCTAAAGGGCACTGCAAAGCTCAGCCGCTTCTCTCTGTCCCAGGCCACATAGCTCTTCATCATCTCATCTGAGGACGTGACTGTTAGAAAAGATTTAAGAAGAATGAAACACTTTTTTTCTTTTTATTAGTGTCAGAATTATTCACAAATCAAAACATTTCTAATGCCAGCTGTTCTACATTCTATTAAAGTGAAGCACTTCATTCATCTTTCCCTTTTCTTTTGCCTCAGATATGTAATTACAACATCAGAAATCACTCGATTTAATTTAAAGTAAAATTACTTTTAAACAAGCCTAATAGTCTCAAATGTTTAATATCCAAATTCAGTAAGAGTTACTTAAAGTATTTTGTAGAAGAAAGTCAATGAACAAAATTTTTACTTAAAAAAAAAATCTCTTTGAAACACTTTCCAAATACAGGCTCTAACTCCCTAAATAACCAAAAGTCACTGGTATATTTAACACCAAATTTCAAAAGTAAAAATACAGAGGAATTTTTACTAATCAAAAATGTAGACTTTTGGCCAGGCACAGTGGGGCATGGTAGCTCACACCAGTGATCCCAGCACTTTGGGAGGCCGAGGCTGGTGGATCACCTGAGGTCAGGAGTTGAAGACCAGCCTGGCCAACATGGTGAAACCCCATCTCTACTAAAAATACAAAAAATTAGCCAGGCATGGTGGCGTCTGTCTGTAATCCCAGCTATTCAGGAGCCTGAGGCAGGAGAATCGCTTGAACCTGGGAGGCGGAGGTTGCAGTGAGCCAAGATTGTGCCACTGCATTCCAGCTTGGGCAACAGAGCGAGGGGAAAAAAAAAAAAAAAAGCTGATTCTTTTAAATTAAAATAATAGAGACAGCTTCTTGCCATGTTGTTGCCCAAGCTAGTCTCAAACTCCTGAGCGCAGGCAATCTTCCCACCTCAGCCTCCCAAAGTGCTGGAATTACAGGCGTGAGCCACCACACGCAGCCTACTAATCAAAAATGGTAATTCTCATTTGGAAAAATTTCTAAAAATATCATAATATTAACAATATTGGATCTCAAAGAGATTAACTTGGAATTCCCGACACTAATATGGAAAAGAGTATCAAATTACATTGTTTCAAACTGGATAACATGCTTAACAAGTCAAGCTAGAACATATGTTCTACCAGTATACTGAATTATTCCAATTTTACGGATACAGTCAAACCATTAGGCAAGATATTATTCTTTATAATCTTATTTAGAAATATATAAATCACATATAGGAGCAAATATTCAGAATATATTATGACCTGGATACATCCAAATAAAAGCACAAATATATCTACAGAGGTTATTTATTTTAAAAGAAGTTTACCTGTCAGAAGATTTTTGTTTATTTGTCCTCCTAGAGATCCAAGCATTTGTACTACTCTAATTCTTATTTCTTCTAAGGATATTGCTTCGTTCTGTAAATTTGAACAATTGTATATATGTGATTACAAATGGGTTAAAGATTAAATAGAAGACATAGGAAAAAACTCTTTGCCACCCACTTGGATGTCCATTTCCTAGAACCGCAGTTCCAAACTTTTTGGCAGGATCCTTTCCACTCTTAAGAAATATCAAGGACCCCCAAAGAGCTGTTTTATGTAGGTCCTGTTTATCAGTATTAATGACATTAGAAATTGAAACACAGAAACTATGTAAATAGTTAAACTACTAAACCCATTACATGTTATAAAAAGTAACTATATTTTTCAAACAAATGAAACTCTGGGCAAAGTGGCCATTCCACAGTAGTGCAGATCCGTTTACAGTGTAGCTCACTGGGAGACAGTTTGGTCCTCACACCGATATTGCAGTTGGAAAACCAGGCAAGAAATTTTAAATAGTCTTTTTAGCTAACTGTAGTTATTCTTCTTTGATATCACACCAAAACTGAACCAGCGTAGTTTCTTAAAGGTTAGTTACAATGTCGAATCTGAATTCTTATCATGAACTCTACGTACTCTACTATGTTAAAATCCAGTGGCTGATCTTGCACTTTGAGTGGATTTTTCATCCATGTATAATTTGGAAACATCATGTATTCCTCATCTGAAAATACTGGTTCACTGGATTGTGCAGATATTCCAAATGTTGACACATTTCATTATATATGCAAAAAATCACATAAGCAAATATCACCACCAATCTTATTAGAAAAAAATCTTAGGCTGGGCGCAGTGGCTCACACCTGTATCCCAGCATTTTGGGAGGCCAAGGTGGGCAGATCACGAGGTCAGGAGTTCGAGACCAGCCTTTCACCAACATGGTGAAAGCCCGTCTCTACTAAAAATAAAACAATTAGCCAGGCGTGGTGGCACGCACCTGTAATCCCAGCTCCTCAGAAGGCTGAGGCAGGAGAATCGCTTGAACCCAGGAGGTGGAGGTTGCAGTGAGCACTCCAGCCTGGGCAACGTAGCGAGACTCCATCTCAAAATAAAAAAAAAAAAATCTTTAAGTAATGAGAAGCTATCAAACTTACTGCAATAGTTACAAGTTCTCCAAAACTTTACAGTTCACTTAAAAGCTTAAATTTTATCATTGGCAACAGATTTTCAGAAGTTTTCCTCAAAGTGGCAGGCTCGGTTCATTTTAGAGAAAATGTCTGCATATATCCACCTATGAATAACCTCAGTGTGCCTTTCAGTTGTCATTTCAATAAAAATTGTGTCCACAAAGCAGTGGCTACTTCAGCTCCCAGTTCAAAGCACCACACAGTGCTTTTTCTCCAGATAGCTGTCACACTTTTCTACGCAGGCCTGCTTCAGGTGCACCTCCTGCCTCACACACGGAGTATTTTTAAAAATCTGTGCTCAGAGTCAACGCTAGAGAATCAACAGTGTTCTCCATCATAATACCGTGGTGCAAATTAACGGAGTAAAAATAGCTTTGGCCTTGCACCCTGGATCCCCCAGGGGTCACAGTTAGAGAACCATAGTGCTAAGGAACAGGCATTGTGTATCTGTACAAAAATTTTGGCAAAGCACAGTGGCACACGTCTGTAATCCCAGCATTTGAGAGGCTGAGGTGGGCGGATTGCTTAACCCCAGGAGTTCAAGACCAGCCTGGGCAACAATGCAAAACCCATCTCTACGAAAAATACAAAAATTAGCTGGGCATAGTGGCACATGCCTGTGGTCCCAGCTACTCGGGTGGCTGAGGCGGGAGGATCACTTGAGCCTGGGAGGTTGAAGCTGCAGTGAGCTGAGATCACACCAATGCACTCCACCCTGGGTGACAACATGAGATCCTGCCTCAAAAAAAAATTAAATCGATAAGAAAAAAAGAAATTTTATTTGTAAAACTAGAGATATATTTATTTTATCCTGCTGTGCCATAAAATTATAAAAACTTTTATGCCGCCATTTCTAGTTTCATTCTAGTCTCTCAATCAAAAGATGCCCAAAATAATGAGGTGAGAAGAACTGACCCTAGAGTTTGCATTATCAGTTTTAGATGTTAAAAGTTTTTCAAATTTTAATTCTTACTTCATTCCAAAAATAGCTATTTTCCCTATTCTAACTCAATTTTCTCTATTTACGTCATATTTTACTATCACATCGTATGGCTCATCTCGAGAAAACTTGCCCCAAGGAATTATCACCAAAAAGCCATAAAAGAACAAAAAAGAAAACTGGAACAAACTGAACCTGATAATATGACATATTTAAGATCTAAGCATAAATGAAAGTCTTACATATCCCTGGTATCAGTATTCTGACTTGCTTATTTAATATGAACCAGTTTACCTTTTATTATCCACTAAATACATTTGAGGGCAGGAATGAACAGAAAAACAAGACCAAAAAAATAAACAAAACAGTTAATATAGTTTATATTTTCATAGCTAAAAATATATTAATTTTTTTTGTCAGGCCACTCCCATTGCCCAGGCTGGAGTGCAGTGGTGTGATCTTGCTCACTACAGCCTCAACTTCCTGGGCACAGGTGATTCTCCCACCTCAGCCTCCCAAGTAGCTGGGGCCACAGGCATGCGCCACCACACCCAGCTAATTTTTTGTATTTTTTAATAGAGACAGGGTCTTCCTATGTTGCCCAGGCTGAGCTCAAGCGATCCACCCACCTCACCCTCCTAAAGTGCTGGGATTACAGGTGTGCGCCACCATGCCTGGTCAATATATTAAAATTATTTTTATATTGTACTCTACTTTGTATACAAAAACAACTAACATTTTAAATGAAGATTTTTACTTTTCACAAGTGTTAGAATCTGATCTCTGCATTATGTAAGGTACAGAAAATACAAAGGACTTCTTACTGATGAAAGGTTCTTTGTCTTCTTCAGATGCTTTAACACCACTTTATTAAATCCTTTCTGGGCAGCCCGAGAAAGAGCTGACACTTCCCAGTTATTCTTGGTCTCATCTATCAATAGTAAACGAAAATAAATTTAAAATAGCACTCATTCATTCATTTAATGTACATTAGAGGCAACAAACTATATTGTCAAATAGAAACATTAAAATCCTAAATTATGATTTAAAAAAATTAAGTTTCTAAAACAAAAAATATAAATGGTGGTTGCTTTTAAACATCACTGTCTGCCAAAAGGAACATGGCTCCTTGGGAAGTGTCTGACTCCAGGGTCGAGAAGAGCATGAATCATCTCATGGAGCAGGAGTGGCTCCCACGCATCACACTCGGGCCAAATCTGGGACAATGTGGGCTTCAAAACCAATCATGATGGCAAAAGATTAGACCCACTGAAAAAATAAGAATCCACAAATCTTACTAATACAGATAAATAAATAACGGGGAAAATTGTTTCTTGCAGTAGAACATCAACTAGGATGAAAGAAATGATGGGGGTAGAAAATCACCATTTTGCAACCATCAAAGTAATACCTGATTCAGAAGAATAGTCAGTGGATACTAAAACTATTATGGTGAGCTTGATGAGGAACAAGACTATTTACAGTGTTGAAGTACCCCGAATAAATTCCTTTTTTTTTTTAAGCAATCATAAACTTACAGAGGATGGAGAGTATATAACTTCTTTCCTGAAGCACTGAGGGTAAGTGACCGACTCAACACCCCACTGCCCCGAATGCTTCAATGTGTGTTTTCCACAAGGACAGTCTCCCACACAACTGCCACACAACCATCCAAACCAGATTATCAACATTCACTCCTCAGCACCACTCCGAGTTCAGCATTCACCTAAGAATGTTTTTAATTCAGGACAGCATATTGCACTTAGTTGACCTATCTCTTTAGTCTCTTTTAGACTGAAGCTGTTCTTCAGTATTACCTTGCATTTCATAATTTGGACATTTAAAAAATCATATGCCAGTAATTTCATACGTGGTCTCTCCATATGCATTTGTCTAATGTTTTCTCATGATTAGACTCAGGTTATGGGAACCAGTTGTAACATTTTACTATTTCCTTTATTAACTGCTGAATTAAACTTTGACACATGTTCATTTTTTCTCTGCAGAGTCATAGTTCTACAACTATAAAGTCATTTCCAAAAGTTCTGAGATGTCCAGTGCATTCACTGACACAGCCAGGTGAGCTGCGCCGCGGGAGGGCACCTGCCGGTGGTTTAACTCCAGCAAGTCTTCTCTTGGTTCCAGAATGAATCCCTGGCAGTGGGATCTTAGCTCTGCTCTCTCTAGCTAGTTCTTTTCCTTTCTATAAGATGTTAAAGAGTTCTACTCTCTGATGGGCCAGAGATGATAAGAGAATCCAGTTTTTAGTGGTTTTTTTTTTTTTTTTTTGAGCTCCAATAAGTTAAGAATTTTTAGTTCACTGGAAAAAACAGATCTTTGATATCTGGACTATTCAGCATTTTCTATGTCTGTTGGGGAACAGGCCCCCAAATCTGGCCATAAACAAAATCTCTGCAGCACTGCGACATGTTCGTGATGGCCATGATGTCCACACTGAAAGTTGTGGGTTTATTAGAATGAGGGCAAGGAACACCTGACCCACCCAGGGCAGAAAATAACTTAAGGCGTTCCTGAACCACAAACAATAGCATGAGGCATCTGTGCCTTAAGGACATGCTCCTGCTACAGATAACTAGCCAGAGCCCATCCCTTTGTTTCAGCCCATCCCTTTGTTTCCCATTTTAGTTAATCTATAATCTATAGAAACGATGCTTATCACTGGCTTGCTGTCAATAAATATGTGGGTAAATCTCTGTTCCTGGCTCTCAGCTCTGAAGGCTGTCAGCCCCCTGATTCACCACTCCACACTCTATATTTCTGTGTGTGTGTCTTTAATTCCTCTAGCGCTCCTGGGTTAGGGACTCCATGACCGAGCTGGTGTCGGCTATGTCTGTATCTCCTGGTTTTTGGCTCAAATTGCAGAACTGAAACTATTTACTAAGCTCTCTATGTGTCTTTGCAAGTATGTGTCTATAATTAACAAAGGCCTATATCTAATTTTGTGTATAATGTTCTCCTGTATTTGGGGGGTATTGATAAATTAGATTATAAAGTCTCTTAAAGGAGCTCTGTCCTGATTTATACAGATATGTAAATTGAGTATTCCTAAAATTCTCCAAAAATAAGGAAGTTGAACTAACAGTGTTTTAAATGTGCTAGATTTTAAAAATCGTACAGAAAACAATTTGGGATCATTTAGGAATATTCACATAATTAAGGCACATCTGTGGTAAAGAGACAAGTTTAATATTTTGGTTTAAATAAATGTATTTTATCTATCAGTATTAAATATAACACGAACATGCACTTTATTCTACTTGTGTTTGTTTTCCCTATAGTTATTCCGGCTAATAAGCTAACATTACTTCTCATAACGTTTTTTAAAACTGTGGTGTAATATACATAACATGAAATGTACTCTTTTAACCATTTTTAGGTATATAATTGAGTGGCATTAATTACATTCACAATGTTGTCCAACCATCACCACATCCATCTCCAGAAATTTTTCAACATCTGAAACAGTCCCATACAACTTTTAAGATTATGAAAAATGTGGCTGGGCACGGGTGGCTCACGCCTGTAATCCCAGCACTTTGGGAGGCCGAGGGGGGCGGATCACGAGGTCAGGAGATCTAGACTATCCTGGATAACATGGTGAAACCCCCATCTCTACTAAAAATACAAAAAAATTAGCCAGGCGTGGTGGCGGGCACCTGTATTCCCAGCTACTCGGGAGGCTGCGGCAGGAGAATGGCGTGAACCCAGGAGGTGGAGCTTGCAGTGAGCCAAGATCACGCCACTGCGCTCCAGCCTGGGCGACAGAGCGAGACTCCATCTCAAAAAAAAAAGAAAAAAAAATGAAAAATGTAATAAGTTTATGTCCAACTAAATTGAATCATTATCTGGGTAAACTTTTTATTTCCCAAGTAATTACGTTGTGCAGCATGCCAACTGGAAGATAATCTCTATTATCTTTAGGCAATTTGCAACCTTGGACTGACTGAGTTAATGGATACTTTGGATGGTTGGGTACTTTGATAATTTCTAAGGAAAATATTAATAGAATACTGAAATACTGATGAAAAGGCACAATTTTTGTGTTTATGTGCTTTTCCTTTTTGCTTTTATAGGCCGTTGAAGGTAGGAGCCTTGGGTCATGCTAACAGGCACGTGCATGCTGTCTCTTGGGGGGCTGCAGACAGTGGTATCTGTGAGCTCCATGAGTCTGACATACTGCTGGTGTGTAAGGCAATTCTCAATTTCCCACTCCAGTTTTCTACGTGAAACATGAGTTTAGTAATTATATAATTAACAAGTGGTTGTGTGGCTATATTAGAAGAATAGTACAGAAATACAATTGCATGCATGCTTTTGATTTTCTTTTTGAGACAGAGTCTTGCTCTGTCACCCAGGCTGGAGTGCAGTGGCACAATCTCCACTCACTGCAACCTCCACCTCCTGGGTTCAAACAATTCTGCCTCAGCCTCCCGAGTAGCCGGGATTACAGGTGTGTGCCACCACACCCAGATAATTTTTGTATTTTTAGTAGAGCCAGGGTTTTGCCATGTTGGCCAGGTTGGTCTCGAACTCATGACTTCACGTGATCTGCCTACCTCGGCCTCCCTAAGTGCTGGGATTACAGGCGTGAGCCACTGCACCCAGCCTGATTTTTCATTTTTCTTGGATTACAGGTGTGAGCCACAGCACCCAGCCTGATTTTTCTTTTTTCTTTCTTCAGAAGGGTCTCACTCTGTCACCCAGGCTATGGTGCAGTGGTGCAATCATGACTTATTGCAGCCTTGACCTCCCAGGCTTGAGCAATCCTCCCACCTCAGCCTCCCAAGTAGCTGAAACCACAGGCGTATACCACCACATCCAGCTAATTTTTAAAATTTTTGTAACGAAATTAGCCAGGTGCAGTGGTGCGCACCTGTAATCCCAGCCACTTGGGAAGCTGAGGCAGGAGAACTGCTTGAACCCGGGAGGCGGAGGTTGCAGTGAGCCAAGATCACGCAACTGCACTCCAGCCTGGGTAACAGAGCGATATTTCGTCTCAAAAAAAAAAAAATTGTAAAGATAAGGTCTCCTTATGTTGCCCAGACTGGTCTCGAACTCCTGGCCTTAAGTGATCCTCATCCCTCGGTCAATCAAAATGGTACGTGGGATTACAGGTGTGAGCCACTGCACCCAGCCTGCTTTTCATTTTTAAGTAAGGAGGGTAGTTCCTCATAAAACAGTGAATCTCAGACATTTTCATGTCTGGATCTCTTTCCAGAATTAGGACTGACCCCATAAATCTTTGTTTTGTGGGTTAGAACTAGTAGCAGTTACTATATTGGAAACAGAAATAATGTTTTAAAGACTTATTGATTGATTTGGAGGTCATGTTAACATGCATAACATCTCTGTATTTCAATGAGAAGAGTTCTGATCTCCCAGACACCCTGGGAACTGGTGTTTGAAAGTTGTGTCAATTGGTTTCAGAATATGAAAGGACATTAACACAGGACAAATCTCGGAAAGCGACTATCTGAGCCTAAAAAGATAGTATGAGATGAGTTAAATTTTTAGCAAAGGTCACTTAATCTTGAAAAGTTTGCTTCTTTGGTTTACTGATCAAGGACTTTGCCTGTACCATGAGAAGTCATTCTTTTTTTTTTTTTTTGAGATGAAGTCTCACTCTGTCGCCCAGGCTGGAGTGCAACGGCGTGATCTCGGCTCACTGCAACCTCTGCCTCCCGGGTTCAAGTGGTTCTCTGGTCTCAGCCTCCCAAGTAGCTGGGATTACAGGTGTGCGCCATCATGCCAGGCTAATTTTTTTTCTTTTTAGTAGAGACACGGTTTCACCATGTTTGCCAGGCTGGTCTCAAACTCCTGACCTCAGGTGATCCACCCAAGTTATGGGATTACAGGCGTGAGCCACTGTGTGCAGCCAAGAAATCATTCTATGTAATCTGCCAAGACAGCAAAGATTCACTGTCTTACCAGAAAAATTTTCTGAGCTTTACACTGACTTCACTGTCTGAAAAAGGAGATTCAGGCCATGTGTCTTTGACAGAAGAGGCCCAGAGTGGCACTGAGTTCCCCTCAGCAAGTCACATCAGGATGCACGTGTGGCCCACAAGTCCTACTGCTAGTCAGTGGGCAAAGAAGGGCTCTACCAGGTGTCTATGCTGTAAAATCACCATTTTCACTCTCAATCATTAGTACGTGTTTGGCTGAGGTACTTTAAAACCATGGTACTTCAAAAAGTGCCATGCTGGCTGTGAAGGTGTAGGGGCCACCTAGGAGGACACTCAGAGGCCTCCAGGAATTGAGAATCATGCTCCAGCCGTCAGTCAGCAAGGAGACAGGAACCTTGGTCCTCCAATCACATGGAACTGAATCCTGCCAACAACCTAGATGGGGAGTGAACAAGCCTGGACTAGCCAACACCTTGAATTCAGTCACATGACTTAACAGAGAACCCAGCTGAGCCCATTTGGACTTGTGTCCTACAAATCTACGAAATAATCAATGGGTGCTAATTTAAGCTAAGTTTATAAGAACTTATTACACACCAAACAATCAAACAAAAAAAACCACTAGGAAACTTTAACTTACTCATTTTACTTATTTATATCTGCACATGCTCACTGCTTCCTATTTGATTACCTGGGTTATAACGTTTCTAAAGTTATTTATTTTGATGCTCAAGTCATCACTACTTTTGCCTGTGACATTTCCCCCATCATGCTTTGAATAGGTCCTTACTTTCCGGATGTTCTATAAAATACAGTATTCTAAGTTCATAATATATTTTCCCGGCCCCAGGTTGGAACCAAGGAGTCCTGGTTCCATTAATGGAAAATGAGGTGTGGGTCTGGGCATGGTAGCTCATGCCTGTAACCCCAGCACTTTGGGAGGCCGAGGTGGGCAGATGACTTGAGGTCAGGAGTTCGAGACCAGTCTGGTCAACATAGTGAGACCCCCATCTCTACTAAAAATACAAAAATTAGCTGGGCGTGGTGGTGCATGCCTGTAGTCTCAACTACTTGGGAGGCTGAGGTGGAAGGACCACTTGAGCCCAGCAGGCAGAGGTTTCAGTGAGCCAAGATTGCACCACTGCTCTCCCGCCTGGGAAACAGAGTGAGACTCTGTCTCAAAATAATAATAATAATAATAAAAAAAAGGAAAATGAGATTTGGAGGCCATGACCTGGGTGCCAGGTTTGCTTGTTACTATTCAGATACCACACTCCTAGAGGTCCCTTCAGTGGCCAGAGTACATGTAACACACAAACACACACTCTCTCTCTCTCAGTTCTATTTTCACATTTATTTAGATGCATCCATAAGTGAATGCACATATATAACTGGGGAGAGGCAGAGGGAGACGGAGGACCATGGGTTCACACTGATATACCCACTTCCAATGCAACTCCACAGTGTCCATTCCAGTTTCCTGTCTTTCTGTATTTGTAGCTCACTTCAACATGAGAAACCTAGTTTCCCTTATTCTCAATGAATTTATGTATTTGTTCAATCTCCTGTATGTAACCAAACTACTACCTCCATCGCCCTTCTCACCCTGCCTGCACCCCAACATCCCAGACAGCTGTCCCAACACGTGGGTGCCTCATCTGGCTTGGGTAAACCCCATGCCAGGCCACCCCATGGGGGATGACCTCCTCACACCCTTGGGAGCACCTGGGACCTCCCCCTGCCCAGCATCTACCTTCCTCTGTACCACCTAAAGGCCTCAGGACTGATCACTCCAGAAAGTGGAGCATGGAATGCCTCAAATTACTAACTCACACAGAGAGAAAAACAGTAACCTGACAACCACAAAAAGATGATGCAAACACTGACCAAATGGTTACAGTGGAAACAACCAGCAAAGGCACCAAGTGTCCTGAAGAGAACCCAGCGTCTGTCAAAAAGGCACAGCCCAAAACTCATCAAGAGGAAACATCAGACAAACCCACATAGAAGGACACTGTACAAAATAACTGGCCTGCAGCCTTCAAAATGTCAAGTCATGAGAACTAAGAAAGGTTGAAGAACTATCCCACATTAAAGAAAGCTAAAGAGTTACAACTAAAAGTAACACATGATCCTACACTGAATTCTAAACCAGGAAAAATGCAGCTAAAAAAAGAAATTAATAGGGCAAGTGAAAAATGTGCCTATTGACTGTTACTTGGAAGAATATGTATCCATGTTATTTTTCTGGATTTTGATAATAATACTGTAGTTACGTAAAAGAATGTCCTCACTCTTAAGAAATATACAATGAAGTCTTCAAGATCTATGACACCTTCGGCTTATTCACAAACGGTTCCAAAAAAAATGTCCCATGTAAATATAAAAACATGCACAAACACACAATAGAGAAAGTACATGCAACAACATAAATGGTACAAAATCTTAATAACTGGTGAATCTAGATAGAACACATGGAGTTCTTTTTACTGTTCCTGCAATTGTTCTGGAAGTTTGATACATCAAAAAAAGTTATTAAAACACTAACTTCTGTCTCTAACATGATAGATTTTGTTTTGTCACCTAATTTTGCTTACTTTCTGCTTTTCTCAATTATCGAATCATCTAGATAGGGTACATGTTTAACAGGCAAATCCTTTAAAACAATCACAGTAACTTCCTTTACTAATCTAAAACTTTTCAATGAGTTAACAGAACTCAAAAAAGAAAATTAAATACTATAAAGATATATGCTATCAGATATATTCATTTTACTAAGTGATGTATTTGTCATGAATACTCAAATAATGGCACTCCTTATATAAATGTGAATTTTAAAAGCTATAAAGGTTAACTAGTTTGTAATTTTGGTCTCTAAAATATGCTTGTTATTACAATCTGTAAAAAAATCGTGACTCTTTCTTCATGAACTCTGCATATGCACTGAGGATGTCAGAAAAAGGAGACACAGTGCATGAAATCTGTCACACAACTTTCACTTAATGTTTCCAAGCCAATAAGATTTAACAATAAAATAATGATTTACACAGGTAAAACCTCACAATTTTTTTTCTGTATTTCTTTTTTTGGCCTCATGAAGAAAAAAACCTTATAAATTAATACTTGACTTCTACTGTGAAGATAGTAAAGCTTAAATTCTTACAAATACTTCAGTCTTTCTCCCAACAGAATCTTTTTGCTTGCATCGGATGACAATGTCTCTTTTCATTCCAGTTTAAGTCTGTGCCCCACCCCAACTCTGAAGTCCTACTTTTTCTTTTCTTGACTAGTAATATTTTGACCTGGGCAGATAATTTTTTTCTTTGACTCTTTTCCCAAACCTGTTTTTTCTATGATGACATTTTTTTCGCAATTCTTAGCTACCATTAGTGTGCTTCACCAGTTATGTTTTAAAAAGCAATAAAAATCTAGTGAAAGTAAAAATACAAAATTACTGTTGAATTTTCTGAAGTGTTTAATTCCTGACTGATTTATTCAACAAGTTTTTTTTGCAAAGCAGTGTATTAGGAGTCATAAAAATTTCAAGGTATTGAAGACAGTACTTGTCTTTGAAGATTTTATAAATCTTAGTAAGCTATAAGTGAGTAAATGAAAAATTTTTTAATACCTCAACTATATTTCTTTATCACAATTAGAGTCAGATAAATTAGGGAAATTACAAAAATAGCAATCAAACATATTTTGAACACACTGGGCTTAAATTTCAGAAGTTACAAAAATACAGTCCTACCTATTATAGTTACTCCATTTCCATTTTAATTACAATACACATCACAATTCTTCTAAACATTACCTGACAAGGCTGAAGTCTTCAGGTATCCATCCAGGCAGGGGAGAATGTCTTTGTAATAAGGCTGCATTACATGTCTGTCA
Organism: Homo sapiens; assembly: GCF_000001405.40. NCBI lineage: Eukaryota > Metazoa > Chordata > Mammalia > Primates > Hominidae > Homo > Homo sapiens. The sequence goes on from NC_000008.11 coordinate 47,927,274, forward strand.
ATATAAATTGACCATTCTTCTAGAGCATTCAGGCCTACTTCTGCCAAGGGGGTATAGCTCAGGCCCAGTTTGAAAGCCATCTGTATGTTAATACAAACAAGTTAAACTGAAACGCAGGAAATATAAGATTTAGAGGAAAAAAACACCAAGTAATTGTGATTTCTAATTAATACTCCTTTTTATTACTGGATGCCCGACACCGCTGGAGAGTTCAGTCCAGGTAATTAGGAGGAAAGCAAGCAGCTGTCTCTGTGGCTGTGGTATACCGCAGCCTTTCAAGGCACACAGGTTTAACTCTCACATCGACCTCCAAGTGCAGTTCAGAGTCACCAAGGGTCTAAGTCCCAAAGCCAGTAAGTGGCAGAAGCAGACCCTGACCCGGGCACGCCTGTGAGGAAACGCCTGCTGGGACTGCCAGGGCAAGAGGATGGTGTTTCTATGTGCTCTGGGACTCACAACAGCGATGAAGAGATGGCTCTGTTCAAGACAACGCCTACCTGCAGTGCAGGAACGTAGGCTCTAACATCGAGTTCAATGATGTTGTGTGGCAAGGACAGAAGAAAGGTCAAACAAGAGGCCAAAAGTTCATCTTTGTACTGCTTCATTTTAACTGCCACCTTAACAAGAAAGAAGACAGTAATGTATATCTGAATAGAGCCTACATTTGAAAATCAACTAAAAAGTATTTGCCCTATTCTCAAATACAAAAATTGGCACGTAGCCTTTATTGACATGACCACATTCACTTACAAATTACACACTAACCTCCAGGAAAGTTAATTTGTCGAAATGCTTAATACCTACTACATGGAAAAACAAGAATCTATTTCATCTTGAGTTGTCATCACTCAACTGAATTATGTTAAGAGAGCTTGAGGGACTTTTTTTTTTTTTTTTTTTGTAAGATAGAGTCGTGCTGTCAGCCAGGCTGGAGTGCATGGTGCAATCTCGGCTCACTGCAACCTCTGCCATCCTTCAAGCGATTCTCCTGCCTCGGCATCCCAAGTAGGTGGGATTACAGGCATGTACAACCACACCTGGCTAATTTTTTGTATTTTTAGTACAGATGGGATTTCGCCATGTTGGCCAGGCTGGTCTTGAACTCCTGCCCTCAAGTGATCCACCCACCTTGGCCTCCCAAAGTGCTAGGATTACAGGCACGAACCAAAGTGCCTGGCTGAGGGACTTTTGAAGCACAATAACTTCCTCTAATTAGTTTTTTTAGGACCTTAGTCCCGCTCCAGATTTAGCAAACACATTTTTATTTTTATTTATTTATTTATTTATTTTTTTTTTTGAGACACAGTCTTGCTCTGTTCCCCAGGCTGGAGTGCAGTGGCACTATCTCGGCTCACTGCAACCTCCATCTCCCGGGTTCAAGCGATTCTCCTCCCCCAGCCTCCTAACCTGACACAATTGTTTTTTTTTGAGACAGAGTCTCGCTGTGTCACCCAGCCTGGAGTACAGTAGTGCAATCTCAGCTCACTGCAACTTCTGCCTCCAGGGTTCAATCAGTTCTCCTGCCTCAGCCTCACAGCCTACTGAGGAGCTGGGATTACAGGCGTGCACCACCACGCCTGGCTAATTTTTGTATTTTTAGTAGAGACACGGTTTCACTACATTGGTCAGGCTGGTCTCGAACTACTGACCTTGTGATCCTCCCACCTCGGCCTCCCAAAGTGCTGGGATTAAGGGCATGAGCCACCGCACCCAGCCCCAATTCTTAAAATAATTATTTATGATCACTAGGATTTTTTCAATAGATATTCATTTAAAAACAGTTCATGATAACACTAAGATAAATCATTTAAAAATTACCTCTTTGCCAAATTTCACAAATAAAGCAAAGCAAGAATACTTTTCTGGGTCTTCAGGAGAGTGTTTCAGACTCTTTGGACTAACTCCCTGTCAAATAAAACAGCAAGTTAGTACACTGAACAAGAATCGGGAGACTGTATCCCAATCCAGTAGTTCCTAGCCTGTCTTCAGAGGGGTGAATCCATTTCAAGTTACCAACATCTAATGAAGACAGGAGGCAGAATCAGCTCTGCAGACATTTCAAGGCACAGGCTAGTCAGAACAAGAGGAGGGAAGGTGGCAGCTAGTGAGAAGCCAAGCACACAGCTAAGTCCATTCCCTCTTCCTCATCTCACCCTGTAATTACCCAGGTGGGCTCCTCATGTGACTGACTGGAGCGTCGAGAATGCTAATCCAGTTGTTCTCAAACTTCACTGGGTGCCAGAATCACCTGGTGGTGCTTAGCAGGGCAGCAGAGACCTGCCCCCAAGGTTTGTGATGCAGAAAGCAATGCTCAAGGCTGCCGGTCCTGGGACCATACTTTGAGAGGCCTTGTTAATCTTACATAATTAGCCAGGTGTTTGAGCATCAGGGCAAAAAATGCTGCTAGCTTTTTAGAGTGCTATCCAACTGCCATTCACATATCAATTTTTTTAAACACATAGAATAAAATTAGTAGACTTTAAAACTGCATAGGCCACAATCACATATTTTATGATACATTTATATATACTCATGACCTAAAAAAACGCAAGATTCAACATCCTGCAAGAAAGACTCACCTCGAAATATTTTATTTTCTTGGCATTTCTTACTGTAATAGAAAGCAATTTGTAGAAACCACTGATGAGGGGCAACCTTGTAGATTGCAAAATTAATTCATATGAAAATGAGTACACCCATGGTTCAAAAAATTCTGCTTGTTTCTCAGGGAGAATCTCTCTGTAAAAACAAATTAGAAATTGAAGGTAGAAATTTGTATCATTCTGATCTTAAAATTGTAAGGGACATAATCGAACAACTAAGCTACAAACCCATCACGTAACATTTTGAGGTATCCTAAAATGTTTAGTTATATCTATAATCCATTTTTCTCTACCTGAGGATCTTTTAAATATAAAAAATGAAAACTGTAACCTAGTACACTTAGATATATTTTAAAGATCTATATAATCGATTACAGATTTTGTCTTTTATTATTTGTTATTTATTTATTTTTTGAGACGGAGTCTCGCTCCGTTGCTCAGGCTGGAGTGCAGTGGCGCAGTCTCGGCTCACTGCAAGCTCCACCTCCCGGGTTCATGCCATTCTCCTGCCTCAGCCTCCCGAGTAGCTGGGACTACAGGCGCCTGACACTATGCCCGGCGAATTTTTTGTATCTTTAGTAGAGATGGGGTTTCACCATGTTAGCCAGGATAGTCTTGATCTCCTGACCTCGTGATCCACCTGCCTCGGCCTCCCAAAGTGCTGGGATTACAGGCGTGAGCCACCGAACCCGGCCTATTATTTCATTTCTTACATCTATATAAGGAATTTCCTATATTACAGCCAATAACTAACAATCATTTTCATTCTTAAATAATTAGAATTTTACCAAATACCTGCAAAATTCCACCAGGTTAATGAAAGCCGAAAAATCTTTAGGTTTAGCTGGATGCAAGTTAGCCGCTGGATCTGAAGTTGGGATCATCCAAACACCAGGCGCCTCATCTCCATTCTTAAAGAGTAATTGTAGCAAAGAAACATTGTACCATTCAATCACGAATCACTCAACAAATAACTTTCCAACTGACTTCATGGTCAAGGCCTGATGCTACGAAGAAAGATTGCAACAGCGAGAAAGACCAAGATGGGTGCTCAAGACCTATGGTCTGATAAGAAGGGCAGGACTTGCAGAAAGCGTTAACCAAAAGGACTCACAGGAAGTGATGAGAGAATGGGACAAATAGGAAAATGCCAGAGGTGGGCAGCACTTCTTGAGGGAGCTAGCAATAATGCCTTGACAGAGATAGAATTTTAATAGGTGACCTAGAGATTTCAAGTGAAGAAAAAGAGAAATAGAGAAATTATTAACAGTAGTAAGAAAGATAAATGAAAAATGTGGTATTTTGGAAGTGCATGAAGATCAGTTTTAAACACGCTAAGTTTGTGTCACCAAATTTGTGTTACCAAACACAACTGTGTATTCAAATTAAAATGTTGCACAAGTAGTTAGAAATACAGAGCAGGAACCAACAAGGGAGGAGGAGGCTGGAGACCAAATATATCTGGGAAGTGCTAACAGGTGGTCATTGATCTGTTGGAATGAAGCTGGAAGGGCAGGGAACAGAGGAGAAAGGGAAGCCACTGAAGACAGCAATGAACACACATGTTCTAAAATGCAGGTCTGTCAGCTGACACAGTTCCAGGAAGTCCCTTTGGGCAAGTTTTTTTTTTTTTTAATAAAATTATTTTAGACATTTGCAAAGCACAGAGAGCAATAAACCACACATCAGTGTTGCTACCTATCATCCCGCATGAAAAACAGAATACTCCAAGTGCAATAAAGCTGATGTGACCACCGGCTTGTACTGTGTCCCTTCATGTTTCCTCTGCACATCCTCCCCATTGCCTCTTGTCTAACTTCTCAGGACTGCAGTGGAGGTACTGACGCATGAACTCGAATCAGCACCATCTGGTCTGAAACAATCACTGCAGTCGAAAGCAAGCAAGACACCTTCCCAGGATCTTAGTTCTTTCTCACCAGCCAAATTACCATGGAGTCCAGTTACCACCAATGCCTCGGACCAGAGCAGGGCAGCTCCAGACTTAAGCCATGACTTATCCTTTTGTTTTTTTGAGATGGAGTCTCACTCTGTCACCCAGGCTGGAGTGCAGTGGCGCAATCTCAGCTCACTGCAAGCTCCGCCTCCCGGGTTCACGCCATTCTCCTGCCTCTGCCTCCTGAGTACCTGGGATTACAGGTGCCCGCCACCACGCCCGGCTCATTTTTTTTGTATTTTGTTTGTTTGTTTGTTTGTTTGTTTGTTTTGAGACAGAGTCTCGCTCTGTCGCCCAGGCTGGAGTGCAGTGGTGCAATCTCGGCTCACTGCAACCTCCACCTCCCAGGTTCATGCCATTCTCCTGCCTCAGCCTCCCGAGCAGCTGGGACTACAGGCGCCCGCCACCATGCCTGGCTAATTTTTTGTATTTTTAGTAGAGACGAGGTTTCACCGTGTTAGCCAGGATGGTCTCGATCTCCTGACCTTGTGATCCGCCTGCCTCGGCCTCCCAAAGTGCTGGGATTACAGGCATGAGCCACCGCGCCTGGCCTTTTTTTGTATTTTTTAGTAGAGACGGGGTTTCATCGTGTTAGCCAGGATGGTCTCAATCTCCTGACCTCGTGATCTGCCTGCCTCGGCCTCCCAAAGTCCTGGGATTACAGGTTTCAGCTACCGCGCCAGGCCTAAGCCATGACTTATCTTTAACTCAGGCTAGGAAAATTGGGTGTGAAAAAAAGGGAGGGCATTTTCTTATTTCTCTTCCTATTATCTATATTTTCCTATATCAGGAACACATTTAACACCTTGTACCACAATTTGGAGTTTCCTTAACTATAAACAAGAGCAACCCCAGGTTTCCCTATCCCATACAAAGTCATTTCTACATAAAATAAGATTTCTGTCACTCTTTACTATTGCTAAGGAATAAGAAACAAATGAACCTAGTAAATAATTTTTTCAAAAAAAAAATTAACATATATAAATTACTTTTTGAACCATCTAGTAACAACATTTTCTATACAATAGGTTACATCCAACAGAAATGCATCAGTGGCACATAATAATCCTGAAGAACCAAATTTTCTCCAGTTCTCCTCTACAAATGTGCTATTGTCCCCTAAATATTTATATGCAAAGACAGCTGATACAAAAATGATGAAAAATTACTACTGATAAAAATTTCTAACCTCTTGTTCCCCAACAGTCTGTATTTCAAGTGTAAGATCCAATTTCTCAACAATCTTCAAAACGGATTTTACAAATTCATCATAAAGTAAATGATTCAGACTTTCACTGGAGGAATTCACAGAGAAAAATGCTTCATCTGCTAAAATAGAATCCTTTAAATAAAGAAAAACAATAAACTTCAAAATCTTGTGCAAAAATGTATTAGTATTTTATAAGCATTAAGACACATACACAGATGTATGTGCCGGTTTGGGTATTATGGAAACAGTGATGATAAACTGCAGCAGATTTACCTGGAAGTTTTCAAGTTGCAAGATACCTTCCTAAATTATTATAACAGCATCATTTCAGTCAGATGTCATTTATCCAGTCATGTAACAAATACTTACTCTGTATACAGCAGTAAGTGAGAAGATTTAGGCCAATCCTTGTCAAAGCATTTACCCCAATTAATCTGTGGATGTGTATGTATAAACACAAATATGTGTAATATGCATATATAGACACTATATCTTTTATGTCTGTGTACATGTAAGTACATGCACATATACTTATGTGCATACATAACTAAATATGCACACATATATAAACGTACACATACATACATACGTACAAATACATATATATCCATCCTCAGGCTGGACCTGTTAGGAAGAACAGCTTAGCATGAGCTATACCATCCTGCTATTTAAAGCTAAAATGAGGACTCAGCTACAGTAACTAATGTTAAAGGAGTTCTATGTCTGTGTTTCTTTCAATTCATTTATTTCCACTCTCATTCTAACTTCCTGATTCATACGGTTTTAATTTTTTATTTTTGAAGTACACTGTTTTAAACTTTTGAAAGTTAGTAAAATATAATTCTGAAATAAGTCTTATGTCTAAACTATGGAGACTAATAAAGGAAGTAAGGTACATTTATGGCTTTCAATGGTAAATGTTACCATCATCTGGTCAGAGCTCAGGAGATGTCTGAAGAGATCCACGTAGTCTTTGTATGTGGGCACCTTCCATTTGCCAGTTCTGACTTCCCCTGAAGCACGGTGGTCTTCAGATTCAGACTCAGGGCCCTGGCCAGAAAGACAGCATGACAATATGTAGTGATGGATTCTCAGAAGCAGCACTGCTGCCAGAACATGCTGGTTTTCAGAATTTTCTAAATTAAACTGCCACCCATAGGAGACCATATGATTAAGGAAGACATCGTATTAAAAAAGCATAATTTAAAAAGCTAAGGCCAGGTGCGGTGGCTCACACCTGTAATCCCAGCACTCTGGGAGGCCAAGGTGGGCGGATCACCTGAGGTCAAGAGTTTGAAACCAGCCTGGCCAACATGGCAAAATGTCTCTACTCTAAACACAAAAATTGGCTGGGCAAGGTGGCGGTCGCCTGTAATACCAGCTACTTGGGAGGCTAAGACAGGAGAATCGCTTGAACCTTGGAGGGGAAGGTTGCAGTGAGCCAAGATCGTGCCACTGCACTCCAGCCTGGGTGACAGAGCGAGACTCTGTCTCAAAAAATAAATAAATAAATAAATAGATAACGGAAAAATATGTGATTCTTCTGTGACTAAAACTGTGATACACCAACAAGTACTTCAATACAATATCCACTGAATGTGCTATCATCATTTATCTTGCTTTCGTACATAGTTCAATCTTTCATCTCATCATATGTCCTATAATTTCTGGGAACTAAGATATGCCTCCCTTAGCAATTTGTCCTAGAGTTTCAAGAGAGAAAACATTTCTGATTTACAAAAATGTATAAAACCTAAAGTTATGCTTAAAGATGTTTCATACCTTAGAAGTGTATTCACCTAACAAAATATAGAGGTATTATGTCCTACACTTTTCAAAATGTAAGGCATTGCTAATAACTAAGAAAAGAACGGCCACTTTTGCAAAATTATATTCGAAAACCTCAGCAACATTCCTAGCTTTCAGTGATAACAGATTAATTTTCTAAACATTAAATTCAGAATTTACCTTTGGAAGGACCACTGGTTTAGAACATATTCTGATTAAACCCTGATGCACTGAAAAAAGAAAAAGAAAACAAAAATGAAGGAAACACTGAAAAACAGAATCAAAACTCACAAAAAAAAACAAACAGTCATTATATTTTGGAACCCAACTTTACCTCTCAATTTATTTTCTAAGTTCATTCACGGCTTTAATTTTAAAACTTAAAACTATTGGCCAGGCGCGGTGGCTCATGCCTGTAATCCCAGCACTTTGGGAGGCTGAGGCAGGTGGATCAAAAGGTCAGGAGTTCGAGACCAGCCTAGCCAATATGGTGAAACCCTGTCTCTACTAAAACTACAAAAATTAGCCGGGCATGGTGGCGGGCGCCTGTAGTCCCAGCTACTCTGGAAGCTGAGGCAAGAGAATCGCTTGAACCCAGGAGGCAGTGGTTGCAGTGAGCCAAGATCATGCCACTGCACTCCAGCCTGGGGGACAGAGCGAGACTCTTGTCACCAAAAAAAATGAAAAAAAACTATTAAAATTAATAGTTCTATTAATAGAACTATTAAAATTCAGAGGTAATAGGATGAAAAAAAGGAAAAGATTTTGGTCTACCAAAATTTAGGAGTTCAAAAGTTGTGTCAAAGATACAAAAGAATTTGGTAACCAGATTCTCTTTACCTATATCAAATAATGTGTTAATTATCCATCATTACTCATAAATACAATAAATTGCAAACTTACCCACAGTACTAATGCAATTCCTGAGAACTGGCCCTTTTGCTGCCAAAGCTAGGAACACCTTCACTATGGCTCTGCAACACACCAGCTGCATTTTTGGACTGTACTGTGGGAAACTGTCTATCTGCATCACCACGAGGTGCTCCAGAACTGGAGTATACACCTCAGGAACCTACCGGAAATAATCAGCAAACCGTGAGTTAGAGGAGGTAATCAATGAATACAGGAATAATACAAATATTCAAAGTAATTACAACTGAATTAGATACTTATTAAAAGAAAAACATGGTTTGTCATCTAACCTGCTGCTTAACATGTATTACTGTGATTGCCTTAAAAAAAAAACACACACTCAGAGTAAAAATTGTCTTGAGGTGCAATTCTATCCCAAGCAACAATTCCAAATCTTTCAGAAAGATGGAAGGAGAAACAAATATTTTTTTCCTGTTCTGGATAACAAAAAATCGAGTTTCATGACAATAATTCTATTGCCACAAAGTACTAACTAAAACTGTCATGTTGTTCCCAACAGTGCCTACACTAAATGTATTGTATGACTCCATCAAATTATTTGAAGAAATGAAGATTAAATACTTAAAATTGTGCTCAGTTTAGTTCACTTACTGTGTCAAGGTACAGCAAGACGCTTGCAACAGACTGGAGGAAGCTTGGCATCTGATAAACACGGTCGTCACCAGTGTCTGTCTGGGTGAGGAACATCTGCTTGCAGCGCTGAATGAGCTCAACGTACATGAAGTCAACATCTTTTGCGTTTATAACCTTGCACGGCTTTAGAAAAGGTAAAACAGAAGTCTTCATCAATCTTATCAAGATCAAAATAATATTTAAGGTGTCATGTTAAGCCATGTGATTATAAACACAAGTTTAACAAGGCTTCTTTTTTTTTTGAGACGAAGTTTCGCTCTTGTCCAGGCTGGAGTGCAATGGCGTGATCTCAGCTCACCACAACCTCCAACTCCCAGGTTCAAGTGATTCTCCCGCTTCAGCCTCCCGAGTAGCTGGGATTACAGGCATGTGCCACCACGCCTGGCTATTTTTTTTTTTTTTTTGTATTAAGTAGAGACAGGGTTTCTCCGTGTTGGTCAGGCTGGTCTCAAACTCCCGACCTCAGGTGATCTGCCCACCTCAGCCTCCCAAAGTGCTGGGATTACAGGCGGGAGCCACTGTGCCCAGCCACAAGCTTTTTAATTAAGAAGAAATACAGATATAAAATACAGTATCTGGCCGGGTGCGGCGGCCCATGCCTGTAATCCCAGCACTTTGGGAGGCCGAGGCGGGCAGATCACTTGAGGTCACGAGTTTGAGACCAGCCTGACCACCATGGTGAAACCCCGTCTCTACTTAAAAAAAAAAAAAAAAAAATTGGCCAGGCATGGTGGCGCACAACTGTAATCCCAGCTACTCAAGAGGCTGAGGCAGGAGAATCACTTGAACCCAGGAAGCGGAGGTTGCGGTGAGCTGAGATCGCGCCACTGCACTCCAGCCTGGGCAACAGTGAGGTTCCACCTCAAAAAATAAATAAATAAATAAAATATATCTCATTATAAAGATGCTTTGTATAATAATCTGTAACCACATTTTAAATATTTATTCACACAGGAAGCATTTATTGGTTGTCAGCTATGTTCTAGGCACTGTTTAGACAGTGGGTACTGAGGACAAATGAGAGGCAGTCCCTGCCCCAAGGCTGTCCACCTACAGGAGAGGCCAGGAGTCCATACATGACTGGAAGATGCTCCATGTCACACACCCTACCACACCAGAGCCATTTTTTCAGACTCACAAATGCGCTAATGTAATTGCTCAATTTCAGACTTTTCCAAGGCTTCTTTTCTAGGACTTCTGAATCTAGTCCAGGCTCCCCGAGGATCTGATGGTGCACCTCTTCAGATCCATTTCCCCTCTCCTGCCTATCATGCTCTAGCCACAGGGACAAGCTCAAGTGGGGATAGATCACTGTGTAAAGGGAAAATCTCATGCAATCTTTTAGCTCAGAGCCTTCTGCCATTCTGTTTCTTCTGCCCTAAGCATATTTAAAGTCGCCAACAGAGACAAATGGAGATGAAGATTAAGAAAAAGGGAAAGGCTGGGCACTGTGGCTTACAGCTGTAAGTCCAGTGCTTTGGGGACTGAGGCGGGAGGTTTGCTTGAAGCCAGGAGTTCATGAACAGTCTGTGTAACGAAGTGAGATATCGTCTCTACGAAAGATTAAAAAATTTGCTGGGCATGGTGGCTCATGTCTGTGGTCCCAGTTACTCGGGAAGTTAAGGCAGCAGGATTGCTTAGCCCTAGAGGTCAGGGCTACAGTGAGTTATGATTGTACCACTACACTCCAGCCTGAGAGGCAAAAAAGAAAAAGAAAGGAAAAAGGGAGAGGCCAGGAGCGGTGGCTCATGCCTGTAATCCCAGCACTTTGGGAGGCCAAGGTGGGCGGATCACCTGAGGTCGGGAGTTCGGGACCAGCCTGACCAACATGGAGAAACCCTGTCTCTACTAAAAATACAAAAAAAAAAATACCCAGGTGTGGTGGAGCATGCCTGTAATCCCAGCACTTGGGAGGCTGAGGCAGGAGAATTGCTTGAACCCGGGAGGTGGAGGTTGTGGTGAGCCGAGGTCATGCCATCGCACTCCAGCCTGGGCAACAAAAGCGAAACTCCAACTCAAAAATTAAAAAAAAAAAAGAAAGAAAAAAAGAAAGAAGAAAAAAAGGGAGAGATTGTAGGAAGAAAAAAGAAATCAGTTGTTTTTTCTACAAAGCAGAAGTCACAGAATTCCACTAAGAGGAAATAACTAGGGTTATTCTCAATATTTTTTCTTTAAAAAAAAATTTTTAAGAGATAGTGTCTCTGTTGCCCAGATTGGAGTGCAGTGGCTCGATCACAGCTCACTGCCACCTCTGCCTCCTGAGTTTAAGAGATTCTCCTGCCTCAGCCTCCCAAGCAGTTGGGATTACAGGTATGTGCTACCATGCCCGGCTAATTTTTGTATTTTTAGTACAGACAGGGTTTTACCACCTTGGCCAGGCTGGTCTCAAACCCCTGACCTCAGGCAATCTGCCCGCCTCGGCCTCCCAAAGCGGTGAGATGGTGAGATTACAGGTGTGGGCCGCCACACCTAGCTAATATTCTTAAATATATCTCTTTCTGTCATATAAACTTTTTTTTTAACTTCTCTTCCTAAAACGTTGTGAAATCAACTACAATTTTACTTTAGGAATAAGGAGCAGCATAGCACAGAGGGGAAACATGGTGTTTCTATTCTTCACACTTGGACTTATGCCTTGGTTCTGTCAATTCTGAGTCTCTTGACAAGTTTCCTAATTTCTCTGCATCTCAGTTTGCTAATCTGCAAAACAGAGTAATACTGAGCTCCTAAGGGTTAGGAGATTTTGAGATACCACATGTAAAGAATTCTAGTACACAGCAGACACTGAAGAAATCTTAACTGTTAATAAACAATACTAATACAGTGACCCTCAGTACATGCGGGAGGGATTGGTTCCAGGCCTCCTCAGTATACCTAAATCCATGCATACTCAAGTCCCACAGTCACCCTGTGGAAGCCTCATATACAAAAGGTCAGCCCTCTATATAAGTTTCACATCCAGCACACACTGTATTTTTGATCCGTATGGTAGAAAAACATCTGCATGTAAGTGAGCCTGTGCAGTTCACGCCCATGTTATTCAAGGGTCTACTGTATTGTTACAAGTATTAGACACTATTCAAAATGCAATGAATTAGATTCCTTTAAACAATCACGTGAAACCAAGACAAAATAGAGTAAGTTAATGAGACATACTCCTGCAAAAAGTCCATATCCACGGATAGCAATAGATAACTCCTTGTTGTTCGAATCCACATTTCTGATGATTCCATAAAACTGCTCCATAAAGTACTGCAGTTTATTTTTATGCATTTCTGCATTTTTCGCCACCATATTAGAAACCTGCAAATACATAATATTTATTTTTTTGGAAATATTTAATAGCAATGGAATCTATACAAACATGGAAAAACTAGAACTGTTTAGATGCTACTAATGTACTGTTATAGTTACACGCAATTGCTTTTAATCATAAAGACCCTTTGCTTCCATTTTGCTTAGTCTCTATCAGGTTCAGAAAAGTGTCTTAAATAAGGCTATGTGATACATTTTTCCTAGAGAAGGGACTAAGAGACCAAGGATACACATAAGTCTGAAAAAAAAAAAAAAAAAAAACCAAAAACAGGTTTTGAATTAAGGCTCTCTGAGGAAGCAAAGAGCAGTCTTTAGAGCTCACCTGTCACCCACAGGGTGAAAGAGAGCTGTCAGGGGACCAGTGACTTCAGACATCGTCAATAAACAGAGTTCAGAACAATCTCACCTGTCACCCACAGGGTGAAAGAGAGCTGTCAGGGGACCAGTGACTTCAGACGTCATCAATAAATAGAGTTCAGAACAATCAGAAAGACAAAGCATCTCAGTTTTCAAAAAAATAAGCTACAAACTATAAAGCTTAAATTAAGTGATGCAAGGGGAAAATGTCGTCTGAGAAGCAAATAGATCATTATTTACCAAACCAAGAGACAAGAGCCTAAATGCAAGAACTAATACAGGTATTCAAAGAGCATTCCCCATTTCAGCACAAAGACTGCCCAGAATAAGAATGGAAGAAATCTATCTAGACAATTATCAAAGGCAGAAAAAAAAATCCACCTTCCACTGCCAACTTATCCATACACTTCCCAATCCCCCTAAAGCCACTAGGTCTTAGCGCCTGACCTTCGGGGAACTTTGCTCCTTATTTGTTTTAGAAGAATGAAACATTGTATATACTGTTTCATAATTTCCTTCTTCACAAAACATATCATAAATGTTTCTCAAGAAGTAAACAACAGCATTTTACTTAATTACAGAATAGCAAATATTATATACTATAATGCTAATTTTCTATTATTGTATTCCCAGTAAGCATGTTTTTAACGCATCTTTATTCAACTATTTCCTGGATATAGTATTAAAGACTTGAAAATAATTATTCAACAGTAGCAGACAGAGGACAGATTAAAACACTATGGCTCATAAATATCATATATTACACTGCCACTGAAAATTAATCACACAGATGTTGGCCGGGCGCAGTAGCTCACGCCTGTCATCCCAGCCCTTTGGGAGGCCAAGAAGGGTGGATGACCTGAGGTCAGCCTGGCCAACATGGTGAAACCCTGTCTCTAACAAAAATACAAAAATTATCCAGGCACGGTGGCAGGTGCCTATAATCCCAACTATTTGGGAGGCTGAGGCACGAGAATTGCTTAAACGCAGGAGGCAGAGGTTGCAGTAACCCAAGCTTGCGCTACTGCACTCCAGCCTGGGTGACAGAGCAAAACTCCATCTCAAAAAAAAAAAAAAACCAAAAAAACAGCAACAAAAAAAACACATCATATAGATGTCACTGTGAGGAAAATATATTCAACATAGTGGAAAAAAGGCCAAAAAATTATGTATCCTTTATGTAAAGTCCTCTTTCCCTCTTTCTTCCTCTCTCCTCACTCCCTATTCTGAAGAAGGAGGGAAAGAGGGTGCCTCTCCTTGCCTGGGGCCTCAGGTCACAAGGGATGATCTAATAATGGGACTCAGGGTGGAGCTGACCACACCTGGTAACAATGTGACTCGGAATGGGAGCTTTGGGTCACACAGCATCCCTGGAAGCCGAGACCCAACAACCCACTATGCCTACAGGGTGGGGCCCCAAGGGAAACCCCAAACACAGAGGTTTGGGGGAGCACCCAGTCAATGCTCCACACATGGATGCTGGGAAAGGAATGCTGCCCTGACTCTGCGGGGAGAGGACCAGGGAAGATCCACATTTGGTACTTTCTTCATCTCTGCACTGTGTGCCGCTTCCTTCGGTTGATTTTTATCTGGGCCCTTTAGCTGTAATAAACCATAGATGTGAGTATCAAATTTGAGGGTATATTGCAAACTCCCAAACTTGCAACAGGCATCAGCCCTGAGGGCAGCATTGAGGATAGTTCTCTTGAACTTCTCCCCTGACTAAGCTCAAATAACTTTCTCACGAGGTAGAGATTAGCAGGTAGAATATATTTCCTCAATGAAACTCTAAAATCTATTCAATGTAGTTTTCATTAAGAATTGGAGTGGGGGACTGAAAAGTCTCTGGCAAGGATGTGAAACAGAGATGTCTGCGTGGCTCATTAAAGACAACCAGCGCAGTGGAGGGAGGGCTGGCCGGCTTCCCTGCAGGCCCACGCCCCACCCAGCCCTGTGCTAGGAAAGGCAGGCATCGCTAGGGAACAAGGCCCCCAGGGTGCCACCAGGGATGATCCCTCTGCACACATTCCGGACACTCCTCCTTGCTAACAAGGCATGAAATTCTCTCTGTCAAGATGTTTATCGCAGTAAATGTTTACTGAGATCCAAACATATTCATATGAATCAGTAAAAAATAATTCCTCTGATTTTTATTTCCCTTAGCAAGTAAGGCCAGCCAAGTTCAGCGTAACAGGAGTTTTATGAGAAGGACCAAGGTAACCTCAAAGCCAAGAGTGACTTCAGGGGGAACACAAGTCTGACGGGAAGGCCAAGTACAGCAGGGAGACTAAGGAGGCGAGAGGGACAGGCGGCAGAGGCAGAGGCCAAAGATGAGGCCCATCGGCTCAGTTTTTTGGAAGGCAGGCCCAGACATGAAAAAAGGATGCCAGTGCTCTCTCTTCTCCTTCCACACATCCCGGCTGTGACTCTCAGGCTAACACAACTGCCACACTGTTCACACAGGTTTGCATGGATACCCTGTGAATGCAGCTACTGTTTACCCATGTACAGCAGGGCCCCTAAGAAAACATTTGTTGTGAATCTCCAGTCCTTTCCCTCAGAGCAACCCCAGAAGTCCACTTCCTTAATGGCCAGGCCCCTGCAGCCACCTCTGGACACCCAGGACATCCTGGAGACCAGTGCTCAGAATGACAAGCACGGTCTCCTCAGCCGACCAGACAAGCTTCCACATACGCAGGTACAGATTCTGTAACCACCTCCTATCCAGGTGGAAAATCCACAATGGCAAAGAGGCACCCCTTGTTTTCAAGTTGACACACAAGCATCTATCCCCTGGAGACAGCTAGCCCTCCTCTTCCAGGAGAGATGGGGCTCCCCTCAGCCCTCCACCCACTCTCCAGCCCTGACCTCCCAGCCCTTCCGGCCATCACCTCACCACGTCTTTGCTCCATTACACTTGTCTCAATCTAGGCTCTGAGGCCCTAATCAAATCTGGCATCTCCCTAGCTCTCTTTCAGTCTGGCTGCCTCCCATATGGCTGGCTGATCAACATCTTTCTGCTTTAAATACTACAGAAGCTACAGATCAACTTGTATTTATTTTCAAACATGCATGCATGCAAAGGGAATTTAATTCTGTGTGTGAAAGAAATATTGTTAAATGACAGTTGAATTTGTGGTACCTGTTTCAGAAAGGATTCCAGGGCTGAAAGTGCAGCTTTTTTCAATTCTACATTTGTGTGGGCACACCACTTTAACAAGACTTCAAATAGAGACACGTAGTTGTCCAGAAGGCAGGTGCTAAACTGAGATGCATGCAGGGCAAATAGGCGCAAGCCAGCTGCAAATGCAAATGCCATTATATTTAAAATCAGACGACATAACACAGAACAGAAAACCAACAAACCTGCAGGGATATGTCAAAGTCAACACTGTGCTCAGGAAGATCTAGTACCATTACACTACAGTAACCCAGGGATTCCTGTCAGAGCTCTAACACTACCAATTAACAGGCCCATAACTTGGCTGACAAATCCCAAAACAAGGGTCAGAAGTGGAATCAGGATTCATTGAGGCAAAGTCAGAATCAAACAGCCTGGATCCCCTGAAAGATACCCTAAAATAAAGTGCTTTCAACCATGTAACCTGAGTATCAGCATTTCAACCAGAGCTTACTAAGTCACCGAAAGCCTCCCTGTAAATAACTGTGTGTGAAACATCACAGATGTTATCACATTTGCTTTCATTCAAAGTTTAAGCAAAAGCTTACTTGAGATGTTAATTTAGTAATCTAAAATATTATACCTCATTATAAACAGAATCCTACCTGAGGGCACAGCATATCTCTTCAGATCAATCTATTTTAGAAAAGAAAAATTCACCATCAGTATTTGAAAGTCTGCACTGTAAAGGCATTAGAATAATATTAATAGTAATATTAATCCTACCTGAGGACGAATTGCCTTTAGTACAAAATTAAAAATCTCCCTTGAAGTCTGGGGATCTAGGGAAATACCAAGAAGCCTGTTACAAATCGTAATAACAGTATCACATAACACACTTTACAGACAGCTTGACACCTATATTAACCCCATTAATCTCTTGTGAATTCAGGAGAAACATCTTTCATCATTCCATCCAGCTAAAGTTGCAAGTTATTACTGCTGCACGGTTATGACTGCGAGAAAACAGAAAGAAAATCTGGAATAACAAAGACATGGTTTAAGCACCAACCTATCACTTACAAGCTCTAAGAGATTTAAACACCAACTCATCACTTAAAAGCTCTGTTAGATAATCTCTCAGAGCCTCAATTTTCTTATTTGCAATAGGGACCGTATATACCTTTTAGGATAGTCTGGAGGATTAAATAAAGTAACTTACTCATGGCCAAACATACCATTCTCCCCAATACACCCAGGCATTTATTCAACACCTAGTACATGTAAGAAAAAAATTAAAAAAAAAAAAAAAACAGAAAAAAAAACATAGTACATGCCAAGATATTATGACAATTACAAATACAAATAAATTATGATCTTTGACCTCAGCATACTTATTAACTAAAAGGGAAGATAAAACAGGCACATAACTATAACATGAGGCTCTAATCCTGGCCTGACTGACATCACAATTATTTGCATAACTGTCTCCCACCACATTATTCATTGTAGCTATAGAGTCATGCTTTATTCATCACTAATTTCTCTACCCTTCTAACAGTGACTTGTAATCAGCAGAGACTCAAGAACTGTTTGCTTTTCATTGCAAGGACTGACATATTTGAGACAGAGCCCTGATGATGATGTGATAGGAGGTGGAGAGAGAATGTGGTCAGAGAGGCCTTAAAGCAGAGAAACATCTGTATGGTTGCAGAATGGTGGCATAAATGAGATACAAAAAAAGCTACTTTGGAATTCATGACAAGCAGATTTCTTCTGACTATGAGTATTCTATAAAGGCTTTCCAGATATGGTAGCATTTGTTCTAAGACTGAAAGAATAGGTACTAGTTGGGGAAAAGGTCATTCAGATAGAAAATAGTCATGTTAATAAACGCAAGTGTGCAGACACAAGGACACCCACAGTACACAGTGGGTTTAGGGTGGGGACTTAGCAAGGACAGACTTCTCCAGGCTCTGCCCTCCACAGTCCACTCTCCTGCAGCCCCTCCCTCTAGTGGCCCACTCCCTGTAGAAGCATGGTCTTGTATCTGTTTTTTTCAATGTGGTAAAACAGACATATTTATCATTTAAACAATGTGTACAGATACAATTCGTTGGCACTAAACATATTCACACTGTTGTGTAACCATCACTATTGTCTATACCCAAAATGTTTTCACCATCAATAACAGAAGGGTGCCCATCAAACACTAACTCCCATTTCCCCTCCCCCAGCCCCAGTAACCTCTATTTTACTTTGTCTCTGTGAATCTGACTACTCTAAGTACCTCGTGTGAGTGAAACCACACATTGTTTGCCTTTCGTGGCTGGCTTATTCCACTTAGCATCCTGTCTGCAAGGTTCATCCATGCTGCAGCATGTGTCAGACTTTCCTGCCTTTTTAAGTCTAAGTAATGTTCCATTGTGTCTACGTGCCATATTTTGCTTATCCATTCATCCCTGGATGAACACTTGGGTGGTTCTGGCCCTTTGGCTCACTATGGACTTGCTGCTAGGAACATAGGTGTGAAAATTCTATCCTTTTTTTTTGACACCGAGTTTCACTCTATCACCCAGGCTGGAGTGCAGTGGCACGATCTCAGCTCACCACAACCTCCACTTCCTGGGTTCAAGCTATTCTCCTGTCTCAGCCTCCCGAGTAGCTGGGATTACAGGCGCCTGCCACCACGCCCGGCTAATTGTTTTGTATTTTTAGTAGAGATGGGGTTTCACTATCTTGGCCAAGCTGGTCTTGAACTCCTGACCTCATGATACACCTGCCTCAGCCTCCCAAAGTGCCGGGATTACAGGTGTGAGCCACCACGCCCGGCCTACTTCTACTTTTTAAACCCCCTCTTGGCCAGGTGCAGTGGCTCACACCTGTAATCCCAGCACTTTGGGAGGCCAAGGTGGGCAGATCACCTGAGGTCAGGAGTTTGAGACCAGCCTGGCCAACACAGTGAAACCCCGTCTCTACTAAAAATAGGAAAAATTAGCTGGGTGTGGTGGCGCATACCGGTAATCCCAGCTACTTGGTAGGCTGAGGCATGAGAATTGCTTGAACTCGGGAGGCAGAGGCTGCAGTGAGCCAAGATCGTGCCACTGCACTCCAACAAGACTCTGCCTCAAAAAAAAACCCCTCTCTTACCCCCACATCTCCCATCAGCCACAGCCCATTTCTTTACTCTCTTCCATTACAAGATTTGTCTAGCATGTTTTCTACAAATGGCCTCCACTTCCTCCCGCTCTTCACTCTAGAGGTCCCATTTCTCCAATGTTCAATGGATGTGGTTCTCGTGGAGCTGAACCCACCACTTACTGCCAGTTCCTCCTCCTCCCCAAACTCCACCGGATGCGAGGCAGCCCTGCACTGCCTCCTCAGCACTCTCTTGAGACCCTCCGCCTGGTCTCTGCACTCTCACCCCCTCCTCATCTTGCTCACACTCCTAACTTTAAATACTACCTACGTGATGAAGACCTCCAAATGTATAGCCTGAAGTCTGATTTCTGCTGCAAGATCCCCTGTTACACGCACAACTGCACACCTGATATCTAAGCCTGGATGCTTCCTAAGTGTCTCTAGTTAAATATATCCAACACAAAAGGCCAGGTTTCTACAAAAAACCCGGTCTCTCCCATCCCATTCAGCTTAGGAGTCACTGCACAGCCCTCAGTCCCTCACTCACAGTCTCTCAATCCTACACTAACTCACATCCCACACCCAACAGCAGTCAGGCAGACCCCTGTGAAACATCTCTTGGCCCACATCCACTCCTTTTTGAAAAGCTCTGGCTCCCATTCCATCTGGAATGAGATCCCAGCTCAGAAAACTGTCAAACACCAACCCTGCGTCCTTCCCATCTCACCCTGGCCCACTTTGTGTACCTCCACACTCTTGACACACCAGCTCTTGTGGACCCTCGGACCACTGCACGCAGGCTAAGCACAGGGCTAGAGACTGGCCGAGCATGGGGCCAGGTGCTGAGCAGCTGCTGCCTGGAATGACTGCTCTTCCCAGCACTTCCCCAGCTGTCTCCCTCTCCTCCTTCTGATCACGACTTCTGCGTTACATCCTCAGAAAGTACCCGTGGGTCGTGTGCTCCACCTCTCCAAATTCTGGCATTCCTCTTCACTACACCCCACCTCTGGGCACTGCTGAACCCCAAAATCAGCAGAGCTGCTTTATTTGTTCATCTGTCTCCTCCACTAGACTGAGCTCATGATGGTAGGAACTTGGTGATTTCAATTACTGGTTTAACACCAAGTTCATCACTCTTTAGATAGATGGCACCCATGGCCAGGCACAGTGCCTCAAGCCTGTAATCTGAGCACCTTTGGGAGGGTAAGGCGGGTGGATTGCTTCAGCTCAGGAGTTCAAGACAAGCCTGACCGACATGGTGAAACCCCATCTCTACAAAAAATACAAAAATTAGTTGGGGCCGGGTACAGTGGCTTATGCCTGTAATCCCGGCACTTTGGAGGCCAAGGCAGGTGGATTGCTTGAGCCCAGGAGTTCAAGACCAGCCTGGGCAACATGGTGAAACCCCGTCTCTACTAAAAACACAAAAATTAGCTGGACATGGCATTGCGCACCTATAATCCCAGCTACTTGGGAGGCTCAGGCACAAGAATCACTTGAACGTGGGAGGCAGAGGTTACAGTGAGCCAAGATCGCGCCACTGCACTCCAGTCTAGGTGACAGGGCAAGACTCAAGTCTCAAAAAGAAAAATAAAATAAAAATTAGCAGGACATGGTGGCATGCACCTATAGTCCCCAGCTACTTGGGGAGGACCACGGTGGGAGCATCATTTGAGCCCAGGAGGTTGAGGATGCAGTGAGCCCATATCACAGCACTGCACTACAGCCTGGATAACAAAGTGAGACCCTGTCTCAAAAAAAATATATTTGCACACACACACACACACACACACACACGCGTTTATATATATGTATATATATAAAAATTTTTTTTGAGATGGAGTCTTGCTCTGTTGCCAGGCTGGAGGGCAGTGGCGCGATCTCGGGTCACTGCAGCCTCTGCCTCCCAGGTTCAAGATTACAGGCATGTGCCACCATGCCCAGCTAATTTTTGTATTTTTAGTAGAGACGGGATTTCACCACGTTGGCCAGGATGGTCTCGATCTCTTGACCTTGTGATCTGCCCACCTCAGCCTCCCAAAGTGCTGGGATTACAGGCGGGAGCCACCTTGCCTGGCCTTACAATTATTTTTATAAGTCATTCATACAGTCTGTATTTCCTGGGTGCCTTGTTTTTTTTTTTTTTTTGAGACAGAGTTTTGTTCTTGTCGCCCAGGCTGGAGTGCAATGGCGCGATCTCAGCTCACTGCAACCTCCGCCTCCCAGGTTCAAGTGATTCTCCTGCCTCAGCCTCCTGAGTAGCTGGGATTACAGGCATGCGCCACCACGCCCAGCTAATTTTTTGTATTTTTTAGTAGAGACGGGGTTTCTCCATGTTGGTCAGGCTGGTCTCGAACTCCCAGCCTCAGGTGATCCGCCCACCTCAGCCTCCCAAAGTGCTGGGATTACAGGCGTGAGCCACCGCGCCCGGCCCTGGGTGCCTTATATATATGTACCCATGAATTAGTATTTAGTGCTTGAAGTCACATGATCATGGCATCACAAAAAAAGTATAAATTTTAGCCTCAGACCAAGGCTTAAATCCCAGACTTGCCATTTGTTAGCTATATTAGTTTCCTAGTGTTGCCATAACAACTTACCACAAACTTAATAGTTTAAAACAATACAGATTTATTACCTATAATTCTAAAGGTGAGAAGTCTGAAATGATTCTCATATTGAGCTAAATTTAAGGCATCAGCAGGGCTGTGCTCCTTCCAAGAGGCTCTAGGGGAGAACCCTTTTCTCACTTCTCCAGCCTCCAGAGGCACCCCCATGCCTTGGCTCCTGCCGCCTTCCAGATCCCCTTCCTCTGACCTCCTCTGTGCCTCCCTCTTCCACATTTAAGGACCCTGTGATCACACCAAGCCCATGGGGATGATCCAGGATCATCTCTTCAGTTCAAGGTCAGCTGATTAGCAACCTTAATTCCGCTATGCCATGAAGCATAACAGGGATTAGGATGGGACACCCTGGTGGCCATTATTCTCCTAACCACGCAAGTCACTGTGTAACTTGGGGCAAGTTACTTAACCTGTCTGAGTGGCAGTTTACTAATCTATACAACAGAGACATTTTACCTGCCATGAAGAGTCATTACAGGAACTTGCCTTGCAACACGTCTAGAATAGTCCTTAACACACAATAAATGAGCACTAAGTGCTACTATTTTCCTTCCACTATATATGTTCACTGAGTGCTGATTTATAAGCCAAGTAAACATAAAGACAAATAAGCAACATCACCTGCCAACAGGGTCAAAGGAGAGAATTAAACATATGACCTAACAAACTTAAAATATGACCGTAAGTGCTGTCACAGAGGGGAGTACAGAGGCCAGAGGAAGTGCTCACCTCAGGGGAATCATAAATGCTTCCTAAGAGGGGTGACAGTTGAAAAGAAGCTGAGGAAGTGGGAGCCATAGGATACAGGAGAGAGGAGAGAGAAGACACGAAGGAAAATTACACAGGGCTACTCTAACAATCTTGATAAGCAAGGAAGAAGGCATGGGTAGAAACATTAGCTTAAAATGAAACTGCTGCCTACATAGGTTAAAAAAAAATCATTGGATATAAGTAATTTTGTAAGTTTCAACCTAATGGAAGAAAAACAAAGTAGGTCCAAACATTTGGTAATTACTTGAAGATAAAGTGATAAGGAGGCCAGGGGTGGTGGCTCATGCCTTGTAATCCCAGCACTTTGGGAGGCCGAGGCAGGTGGATCACCTGAGGTCAGGAGTTGGAGACCAGCCTGGCCAACATGGTGAAACCCCATCTTTACTAAAAATACAAAAATCCGCTGAGCATGGTGGCACACGCCTGTAATCCCAGCTACTCGGGAGGCTGAGGCAAGAGAAAGGCTTGAACCCAGGAGGCAGAGGTTGCAGTGAGCCAAGATCGCGCCATTGCACTCCAGGCTGGGTGACAAGAGTGAAACTCTGTCTCAAAAAAAAAAAAAAAAGTGATAAGGAAGAGCAAAGGAGCTTTTTCCCTCCCCTTAAGATTATTTTAGGATCGGCCAGGCACAGTGGTTCACACCTGTAATCCCAGCACTTTGGGAGGCCGAGCCGGGCAGATCACGAGGTGAGGAGAATGAGACCATCCTGGCTAACACGGTGAAACCCCGTCTCTGCTAAAAATACAAAAACAAAATTAGCTGGGCGTGGTGGCGGGTGCCTGTAGTCCCAGCTACTCGGGAGGCTTAGGCGGGAGAATGGCGTGAACCCGGAAGGGGGAGCTTGCAGTGAGCCAAGATCATGCCACTGCACTCCAGCCTGGGCGACAGAGCAAGACTCCGGAAAAAAAAAAAAAAAAAAGATTATTTCAGGATAAAAAGTTATATTTGTCCTTTCAAAAAAAGAAAAGAATTTCATTGGCCAGGCGTGGCAGGTCATGCCTATAATCCCAATGCTTTGGAGACTGAGGTGGGAGGGTCACTTGATGGGAGGAGTTCAATACCAGCCTGGGCAACACAGCGAGACTCCATCTCTGCAAAATATAAAAGGAGCCAGGCATGGTGGTGCCTATAGTCTCAGCTATTTTTGATGCTGAGGTGGGAGAACTGCTTGAGTCAGGAGTTCAAGACTGCAGTGAGCCATGATTGCATCTGTGAGTAGCCACTGTACTTTTGCCTGGGGAGACCCCATCTCTTAAAAAAATAAAAAAAATAAAAAAACTGAACTTTAGCAAAACAAGGGATTTTTGTGTACCAAAGGACATAATCAACACAGTGAAAAGGCAACTCAAAAAATGAGAGAAGGGCCAGGTGCAGCGGCTCACACCTGTAATCCCAGCACTTTGGGAGGCCAAGGTGGGCAGATCTCTTGGTTGGAGACCAGCCTGGGCAACATGGGGAAACCATGTCTCTTCAAAAAGTACAAAAATTACCCATCTGTGGTGGCACATGCCTGTGGTCCCAGCTACTTGGGAGGCGGAGGTAGGAGGATCACTTGAGCCCAGGAGGTGGAGGCAGGCAGAGAGCCATGCTAGCATCACTGCACTCCAGCCTGGGCAACAGAGTGAGACCCTGTCTCAGAAAAAAAAAAGAAAAGAAAAAGGGAGACAGAAAATATTTGCAACTCATGTATCATGTATCTGTTAAGAAACTGGTATCTGGCTAGGCACAGTGGCTCACACCTGCAACCCTAGTACTCTGGGGAGCCAAGGCAGGAGGATCACTTGAGCCCAAGAGCTTGAAACCAGCCTGGGCAATAAGGCAAGACCGTGTCTCTACAAAACATTTTTTAATATCAGGTATACACCTGTGGTCCTAGCTACTTGGGAGGCTAATGTGGGAGGTTCCCTTGAGCCCAAGAAGTTGAGGGTGCAGTGAGCCATGTTTGAGCCACTGCTCTCCAGCCTGGGTGACAGAGCAAGACCCTGTCTCCAAAAAAAAAGGAAAGAAAGAAAGAAAGAAAATGATATCTACAACTCAACAAAAAGTCAAACAAACCAATTAACCTAAAAAATGGGCAAAAGATCTGAACAGACATTTCTCTAAAGGCACACAAATGGTGAGTACATGAAAAGATGCACAACCAACGTCACTCATCATCAGGGAAACGGAAATCAAAACCACGAGATATCCCTTCGCAACCATTAGGCATTAGGATGTCTGCTACCAAAAACACAGAAAATGACAAGTTAGTAAGGATGTGGAGAAGCTGCAACCCTTGTGCACTGTTGGTGGGAATGTAAAATGCTGCAGCTACTGTGAAAAACAGTATGACGATTTCTCAGAAAATTAAAACTAAGGTTACCATACAACCCAACAATCACAATTCTAAGTATATATCCAAAAGAATCAACAGCAGGGACTGCCAACAGATTTCTGTACAACAATGATCATGGCAATACTACTGAGAATAACCAGTAAGTAGAGGCAAACCAAGTGCCCATATACGGATGAATGAATCAACAAAATGCAGTAAATACACACAGGAATATGATTCAGCCTTCAAAAAAAAAGACAATGCTGACATATCAGGATATGGACAAACCTGAAAGACACTATGCTAAGTGAAATAAGCCACACAGGAAAAGCTACATACCATGAGTTCATCTGTGTAACTTTTTGAAATGACGAAACCACAGATGGAGACAGATGAAGGGTTATCAGGTGGCCAAGATGGGGGAAGAGATTAACTATGGCTCTAAGTCAGTAGCACATTGGGACCCTTGTGCTAATCAATCTGTTCAATACCTTGATTACAATGGTACATACACGTGACAGAATTACACAAAACTCGCTAGGTGTGGTGGCTCATGCCTATAATCCCAGCACTTTGGGAGATCAAGGTGGACAGATTACTTGAGCCCAGGAGTTCAAGACCAGCCTGGGCAACATAATGATACCCTGTCTCAATTATAAAAAGAAAAAAAAAGAATTAAAAAGGGCCAGGTGCAATGGCTCATGCCTGTAATCCCAGAACTTTAGGAAGTTGAGGCAGGCGGATCACCAGAGCCCATGAGTTTGAGAACAGCCTGGCCAACATGGTGAAACCCCATCTCTACTAAAAATACAAAAATTAGGCCGGGTGCGGTGGCTCATGCCTGTAATCCCAGCACTTTGGGAGGCCAAGGCAGGCAGATCATTTGAGGTCAGGAGTTCGAAACCAGCCTGGCCAACATGGTGAAACCCCATCTCTACTAAAAATACAAAAAAAATTTGCCATTTAGTGGCGAGTGCCTGTAATCCCAGGTACTCGGGAGGCTGAGGCAGGAGAATCACTTGAACCAGGGAGGCAGAGGCTGCAGTGACCTGAGATCGAGCCACTGCACTCCACCCTGGGCTACGGAGCGAGACTCTGTTTAAAAAAAAAAAGAAAGTAATTTGCCAGGTGTGGTGGTGCGTGCCTATAGTCCCAGCTATTCAGGAGGCTGAAGTGAAGAACTGCTTGAACCTGGGAAGCAGAGGTTGCAGTGAGCCAAGAAAGTACCACTGCACTCCAGCCTGAGCGACAGAGCAAGATTCTGTCTCAAAAAAAATAAATAAAATTTTAAACAACTGCACAGAACTAAATACACATACACAAATGTGTGCACGTTAAACTGGTGAGATCTGACAAAGCTCAGTGGACAACATCAATGTTAATGCCCACCTTGCTGTTGTGCTGTAGTTGGGAAAGATGTCATCATCAGGGGAACTCGGGAGGGCCCACAGGTCCCTCTAGATTATTTCTCACTACTGTATGTAAATTCAGGATTGGTTAAGAGTTCAAAGAAATAATCAGGCATTGCTGGTTAGACTTACAGTTTTTGAATAAAGAAAATCAAGTGAAGCCAAGCAATACCTTCTTCCATGGACTTAGTGAAGTTGCACAGAAGTGAGGACAACCCCTTCAGACATCCTGCCAGAACAGGTAGTTTGGGCTCTCTTACTGCTGATGTCATCTAAAAGAAAAGATTTAAGAAGATGTCATTACAAGAGAAAAACACAACCACATCTATGGAAGCAGAATGTCATAAAGTTCATCATACCTGGGTCTTAAGTTCACCCAGAAAAGCGCGGAACAGGTTTTCTGCATTATTTATCATCTCACTAGGATGAACTTCACCCAATAATCCTAGGAGCTCATATACTTTTTCTAAAACTGAAAAGAAAATTTTAGACAAGTGAAGGCCTCAAACTACATTTAAATAAGTTAAACTAACCAAAATGTATGAAGAAAATAAAATAAAATAAAGTTCAAAATTGATTTTACAGTAAGAGATATAAAATATAAAGCTTTTAGGACTGCATTCTTTCCTAAGTTTTATGCAAATGTATTAATCATATTTGTCATATCTTGTGAGTTTTCTATTTACAGGAATAATTTTGTAAAAATTAACATTTTTGTGAAGGGAAGTCTTCACATGTTGTTTTTGTTTGGTTCCATTTTGGTTTATTTTCAGCAAAAAGTATTCGACTGTAAAATAAGACCTTGGTAGAGAAAACCTAAGTCTTATGCTAATAATTTGTTAATATTAATTTGCTAAACTATTTGAAAATAACATGTAAATGCATCTCACCTGTATCTGGTATTTTTTTTTTCAATGCAAGTTCTCCATAGAATTTACTAAATAATTCTCCAATTTTAAATTCATCCATGAGTCTAGAACTTCTAAAAGTCTGAAGTAACTAAAAGAATACAAATTAGTACATCAATGTAGTGCGGGAATCAAGAAAAAAAACACAATACAAATTAGCATTCTCTCTAAAGAGGGAAATAACGGGATTCCTCTATCTCAGTGCATCTGTCCACAGCAAAGGTTCAGAATTAGGTGTGTCTCAAGGATTTACACTTGGTCTCACAGGATTCACATCCACCCAGCTTATCTGGGAATTAGAGGTTGAGATGGGTATGGTGGAAGAACATCAGGGGAAGAATGCTCTAGGTGTGTTACGTTCCCAAGAAACCAACAACATGACTAGAACCTTTCTCCCAGAAGCCTACAAAACCAAGGAGCAACCAGAAACAAAGGAATTCTAAAATACAAATACAAAAAAAACAGAAACAGGTCACAGTGACCCCAACAACCACTTAACTGCAACGTATCAACTGATTCCCGCCAGACAGTGGCTCACGCCTGTAATCCTAGCACTTTGGGAGGCCCAAGCAGGCGGATTACGAGGTCAGGAGTTCGAGACCAGTGTGACCAACACAGTAAAACCCCGTCTCTACTAAAAATACAAAAATTAGCCAGGCATGGTGGCACATGCCTGTAATCCCAGCTACTCAGGAGGCTGAGGCAGGAGAATCGCTTGAACCTGGGAGACAGAAGTTGCAGTGAGCCGAGATTGCGCCACTGCACTCCAGCCTGAATGACAGAACAAGACTCTGTCTCAAAAAAAGAAAGAAAAGAAAACATATGGGCCGGGCGCGGTGGCTCACACCTGTAATCCCAGCACTTTGGGAGGCCGAGGCGGGCGGATCACGAGGTCAGGAGATCGAGACCATCCCGGCTAAAACGGTGAAACCTCGTCTCTACTAAAAATACAAAAAATTAGCCGGGCGTAGTGGCGGGCGCCTGTAGTCCCAGCTACTTGGGAGGCTGAGGCAGGAGAATGGCGTGAACCCGGGAGGCGGAGCTTGCAGTGAGCCGAGATCCCGCCACTGCACTCCAGCCTGGGCGACAGAGCGAGACTCCGTCTCAAAAAAAAAAAAAAAAAAAAAAAAAAGAAAACATATGAACTCTTTCCCATTGCTAAGGTTTTAGGAAAAACCTCAGAGATATAAGGTGATCTTTCAGCAATTCCTAATAGCATTAGGTTTTGCCAAAGCCAGTAAGGGTGATAAATGAAAGAGCAATAAATTCCTTAGTCATTTTCCTCCTTCATTCTCCTCACAACTCAGAATTCTTCTTTTACTACCCAGAAGAGTCTGAAAACAAAAAGCCAGGGTATTGTCAGGTGATGGTTGGAGAATGTGCATCTTACCCACACATCAATGTGATTAGATCCTATCCTTCCCCAAACACATCACCCAAAACACAACTCAAAACTCTGATTTTCTTTTAAAAGTTACATGTTTAATGTAAAATACGTGTACTTAGAAACATAATTACCTTAATAAGAAGGTCCAGGGCTGGAATTTTACATTTAGCAGCTCTATCTTTTGTATAAACACTGGTACAAGTGTTCTAGGTTTTAAAAAAAAAATAACCAAAATCATCAATAAGATATAAAAACTAAGACTCAGCAATACCTGAAACTACTTCTCCAAGAGGAGCAATACCAAAATTCAGTATTTAGCTGTGGAAAATATAACATTAGGCCGGGCATAGTGGCTCATGCCTATAATCCCAACACTTTGGGAGGCGGAGGTAGGCGATCACCTGAGGTCAGGAGTTCGAGACCAGCCTGGCCAGCATGGTGAAACCCTATCTCTACTAAAAATATAAAAATTAGCCAGGTACGGTGGTGCACGCCTGTAATCCCAGCTACTCAGGAGGCTGAGGGAGGAGAATCGCTTGAACCCGGGAGACGGAGGTTGCAGTGAGCCAAGACTGTGCCACTGCACTCCAGCCTGAAAGTATTCACGGGACTCTGTGGTTCACGCCTATAATCCCTTTGAGGATTACAGTGTGGTTCATGCCTGTAATCCCTTTGAGGATTACAGTGTGGTTCGTGCCTGTAAGCAATTTGGGAGGCGGAGACGGGAAGATCACTTAAGCCCAGGAGTTCAAGACCAGCCTAGGCAACAAGGCGAAACCCTGTCTCTACAAAAAAAAAAAAAAATACAAAAATTAGCTGGACATAGTGGCACATCCTGTGGTCCCAGCAACTTGGGAGGCTGAGGTGTGAGAATCACCTGAGCCCACGAGATGGAGGCTGCAGTGAGCCATGATTGCACCACTGCACTCCAGCCTGGATGACAGAGCAAAACCCTGTCTCACAAAATAAAAACAAATAAACAATAAAAATAAAAAAATACAAAATAAAAATTATTATTTTTTGAGATGGAGTTTTGCTCTTGTCGCCCAGGCTGCAGTGAAGTTATCAAGAGGCCATCAGGGCCCCAGGGAGCCCAGGGTGCCACTGCCACCTCCTCAGGAAAAAAAAGTATTAAGATAGTTATTAAAAAAAATTATCAAAGTAGTTTCTCTCACAAAGGCCTTAGCTTACTAAATCTAAATAACTAATGGGCAACAAGAGCAAAACTCCTTCTCCAAAAAAAAAAAAAAAAAAAAAAACCTAATGAAGAGCCCACTTCATTTGTAACACAATGAAGCAGAAATAAGCAAATTCCCCAATGAGAAAGGAAAATGTTTTATCTTTAAAATAAAAATCCAAGTTCCTCACACCATAAGTTAAAACAGATGTTGATATATAATGTAATAAGGTATGTTTTTTAATTCTTACCTTAATTTCAACAGAGTAAGGTGCGATCTTCTGGCCCATTTTTTCTAAGAAAATACATAAAAACTTTAGGATTTCTTCTCTACATTCACGAAACTGTAATGAAAGAGATACATATTGTAAATATGGGTAAGAGGAGTCACTCCAGGAATATACAAGAAAAGCAAAACCAAAATTGTCAACTTACTTCAATACTGTTGAGTGACTTCCGGACAAATACAAGCAAACCGAAATCTCTGGAAAAAACTAAAGATGTCTGTAATGCTGTTCAAAAAAATAAGTAAACAAGTTAAGAGAGTGCCAAGAGCATCATGTAAACCACTCCTAAAGGGGTTGCAATGATTTTCTTATTATTTTTTTTGAGATGGAGTCTCGCTCTGTCGCCCAGGCTGGAGTGCAGCGGCGCGATCTCGGCTCACTGCAACCTCCGCCTCCCGGGTTCACGCCATTCTCCTATCTCAGCCTCCCAAGTAGCTGGGACTAAAGGTGCCCACCACCATGCCCGGCTAATTTTTTTTTTGTATTTTTAGTAGAGACGGGGTTTCACCGTGTTAGCCAGGATGGTCTCGATCTCCTGACCTCACGATCAGCCCGCCTCGGCCTCCCAAAGTGCTGGGATTACAGGCGTGAGCCACCGCGCCTGGCCAAGGTTGCAACGGTTTTCAAGGCAGCCTTATAAATATAAAACACTAACCCAAGGTTGCTGTATTAAAACAAAGCAGAAAATTCTAGACAATGTTCCACAGGGATGCAGTACGCAAAATAATGGCCCCAAAGATGCCTGCATCCCAATCCCTGGGGTCACATCTTGTGAATATGTTAAATGTATATAGCAAAAGGAAATTGAGCTTGCAGATGGAATTAAGGTAGCTAATCAGCTGACCTTAAAATGGGAAGATCATACTGGATTATCCAGAGAGCCCAATGTAATCACACAGGCCCTTAAAGTAAGGAGATGAAGAAGAGTGGGTCAGAGAGACAGGAAGTTGGGAAAGCGGGAGATTCCAAACCTCTAGTTAGGGGGACTTGACATGCTGTTGCTGGCCTTGAAGACCAAGGGAAGGGAGCTGTGATCCAAGGAAAGGGGACAGCTTCAAGAAGTATGGAATGTCAGGGACCTCAATCCTATATAACCTGAATGAATAAGGCAATGGATCCTCCCCAAGAGCCTTCAGAAAGAAAGCAGCCCTGTCTGGTACTTTGGTTCTAGCTTGGTGAGACCTGTGTGGGATTCTGACTCACAGAATCCCCCTTACAGTGGGAACTGTAAGAGTAACAGACCTGTGCTGTTTTAAACCACTAAGCTTGTGGTAATTGTTACAGCAGCAATAAGGAACTAATACACTTCCCCTGGAATCTCTCAAGTGAAAGGAGATATGGCATAAATGGAAGGTAAACTTGGAAGTGCTTTAGAAACAAGTTACTAAACGAACAAAAATGAATTCTAAATTTGAAACCCTGAGAAGAGAAAGTAATCACGCAATGTTAGTTTTTTGTTTGATATTTCCCCATTGTTAATATATTCTTGACAACAGATAGAGTACATATAGGATACATGTATATAGCATCTTTTTTTTTTTTTTTTTGGGACGGAGTCGTGCTCTGTTGCCCAGGCTGGAGTGCAGTGGCACAATCTCGGCTCACTGCAATCTCCTTCTCCTGGGTTCAAGACATTCTCCTGTCTCAGCCTCCCGAATAGCTGGGACTACAGGCGCTCGCCACCATGCCCAGTTAATTTTTGTATTTTTAGTAGAGACAAGGTTTCACCATACTGGTCAGGTTGGTCTCCATCTCCTGACCTCAGGTGATCCAGCTGCCACAGCCTCCCAAAGTGCTGGGATTACAGGCATGAGCCACCGCACCGTGCCACATATAGCATCTAGTTTAAACTGTTTAAGTTATTCCTACACCATATTCACTACTAGACCCTCCGGAAGAAAATCTCACCTTTTAATAGGGCACAACATCAAGGTCTGCATACTCGTGTTTTAAAGAAGGAATACAGGAGATCCACATAATTAAGTATTTGAATATTTAAAATGCTAAAAAGAGGCACTTTTACTACAAAGGGGAAAAAGTTCCCACCCAGGCATTGCTAAAGAGTTAAAAGAACATGACTTCAATTACATTTCTTCAATTTTTCTCAAAGTAGGAACGGCAAATAGAGGGGTTTGGAAAAGGTACTGGTGGGATTAGGCGAGATTCAGGTGAAAGAAAATACTTTCTCTTGGCCGGGCCCGGTGGCTCACGTCTGTAATCCCAGCACTTTGGGAGGCCGAGGCGGGGGGATCACGAGGTCAGGAGTTCGAGACCAGCCTGACCAACATGGTGAAACCCCATCTCTACTAAAAATACAAAAAAATTAGCCGGGCGTGGTGGCGCGCGCCTGTAATCCCAGCTACTCGGGGGGCTGAGGCAGGAGAATAGCTTGAACCCGGGAGGCGGAGGTTGCAGTGAGCCGAGATCGCGCCACTTCACTCCAGCCTGGGCGACAGAGCGAGACTCCGTCTCAAAAAAAAAAAAAATTATTTCTCTTGCCCTGCCCCCCACTCTGCATAGCAATGATTGCCATATTAGGGGTCGTTTTCACCAACTTTGGCTTTAAAATATCTTTCCTCTAATACTAGGGGGTAAAAAGCAGTATGACAAATCCCTTTATACACATACACAGAAATTCCCCCAAGAATCTAATTGCTGTACTTCAAAATACCGTCATCTAAACACAGAGAAGCGCCGGGCTGCCCGGCTCCAGAACGACTCGGGAAGCCAGGACCCACCCGCGGCCCAGCTCGGGCCGGTACCCACCCAGCACCGCGGGGCTGCTGCTCAGGACGCATTCCTGCCCCAGGCCGCGGATCAGTTGATGACCGGCCAGGGCAGCACCGCAGCGGTCCGCAGCGGACAAGGTCTCCTGCAGCCGCAGCAGGGAGCAACGCACACCGGCTCCGGAGCCCGCCATGCCGCCGAGTCCCGCTCCCGCGCGTGCGCCCGCTCGGCCCGGACCCGGAAATGCCCCTACGCGCGGAGGCGGGGCTGCGGGGCGCGGCGGCAGGAACTTTCCCGGGGACCCCTGCGGGAAGGCCTGGCCAGTAAGCGCGCCTCTTTGGCCCGAATCAACATGGAAACCTAAGGAAAAACGTCTGACCTGCGGAGGTAGTTTGGGTGGCTACTTGGTGTTGGACTTGGCTAAATAAATACCAGAGGCAGATAAAACAAGCGAGGGGCCTAGGTCAAGAGTTCCAAGTTTGTTCCTCGATAAAAAACGACAAACGCGGTCGGGGGCGGTGATGCCCGCCTGCAGTCCCAACACTTTAGGAAGCTGAGGCGGGGGGATCGCAGGAGTTCGAGACCAGTCTGGGCAACATAATGAGACCATCCCCACCACCTCCCGTCCTTAATTTTTTTTAATAAAAAAAATCTTTAAGTGAGAAATGCATCTGTAATGTCCTTATTAACCAAAAACGCCTAAGGGATAAAGAAGCACACGCTCCCTAGCCAACGCTAGAGGAACACACCCCGAGAGCTGGTGCTGTAGGACCCAGTTTTCCCGCGAAAACGCTGCCGCGCAGGGGGTCAGACCATCTGGACCAAGGGGGGCCGAGCGAGGCCTACTTCTGGTTTACGCACGGGCGCTGAAAGAAGCGGCACTGTCCCCCCCTGCCGATGCGCAGTGGCGCCTCCCGGAGGCGGAGCCACGTACGAGCGCCGCTGTGATTGGTGAGGCCCCGCCAGGGGCGGAGACGACCTTGCCGCCGGCGGGAACTCTGGGTCTCGCGGTTTGGGAGCGCTACTCGCCAGGTGGACTCGGAGTCCGCGAGCGTCGTCGGCAAGCGGCCGCCTTTCCACGGTAACCGCGCGCCGGCGGGGAGGGCGTGGCGCGGAGCCGACGGGAACGTCCGCGCTGCGGAGCAGGGCAGGGAAGCCGGGAGGCGGGCCCGGCCCGAGCTTGTCCTTGTCGCGCAGGTACTCCGAGCACTATGTCGTCCCCGGCGTCGACCCCGAGCCGCCGCGGCAGCCGGCGTGGAAGGGCCACCCCCGCCCAGACGCGTGAGTCCCCCGAGCCGGGCCCACTACAGCCCCCGGCGCCGCCCCGTCTGCCCTCTCGCCGCAGCTGGCAGCGCTGGGTGGGTGCGCGGGACCCGGGCGCTCAGCCTCGGGCTGGGCGCTGCCGCTTGGTGCGCACAGACACCCACAGCAGGCTGTGGCCTGGGTGCTGCTTAATTCGATTGCCATTTGCCTCTGTTTGGTTTGGTTCAGTGGTGAGTCATAATGCCCCAAGGAAAAGACAAATCCAGGAAGGCCGGCCCTGAAAGTTAATGGCTGTCTTTTCTGTTTTGTGTGACACAAGCTCGGAGTGAGGATGCCAGGTCATCTCCCTCTCAGAGACGTAGAGGCGAGGATTCCACCTCCACGGGGGAGTTGCAGCCGATGCCAACCTCGCCTGGAGTGGACCTGCAGAGCCCTGCTGCGCAGGACGTGCTGTTTTCCAGCCCTCCCCAAATGCATTCTTCAGGTGCGTGTCTGAAGATCTTGGTTTTGCTGTGCTTGATACACAGCTGATGCTTTATCTGCTCAGGTTTACTGGCTTTATAACAGTTGGCATAACGCCTAAAGCATCCCCTCTGCACGTGACTGAGCATGTTCTTAACCAGAGGAGCTGAACGGAGTGCAGAAAATAGTAGTTTTAGGGCTTAGTGAGCAGAGGAAGCAGCTTCTCTGGTGCTTTTTTTTAATAGAACATTTAAGAGTGCTCAGAATCTCAGCCACCGCAGGTTGCAATAAATATTCAGTTTGCTGTTGCGATTAGATGGTATAGATCAACAGACAACATGCTGTAATTTCAGGTTTGATATGCCACCAGAATTTCCTAATTTTGTTTTTATAGCTATCCCTCTTGACTTTGATGTTAGTTCACCACTGACATACGGCACTCCCAGCTCTCGGGTAGAGGGAACCCCAAGAAGTGGTGTTAGGGGCACACCTGTGAGACAGAGGCCTGACCTGGGCTCTGCACAGAAGGGCCTGCAAGTGGATCTGCAGTCTGACGGGGTGAGTATGCAGTCTCCTGAAACCATCTTATGGCGGGTATCATGTGGGTAACTCTGTTTTCATGATTCTGTCATGTTTTTCTGTGTAGGCAGCAGCAGAAGATATAGTGGCAAGTGAGCAGTCTCTAGGCCAAAAACTTGTGATCTGGGGAACAGATGTAAATGTGGCAGCATGCAAAGAAAACTTTCAGGTGAGCTACATGTATTAAAATTCTTACTTTGGGCTCTGAAAATGTTGGGAGACCGTGTTTATAATCTATATCTAAGTAGCCATAATGACTAGAAGGGCCACCTGTGGTGGCTCACACCTATAATCCCAGTACTTTGGGAGGCCAAGGTGGGAGGATCACTTGAGGCCAGGAGTTTGATAGCAGCCTGACCAATATAGTGAGACTCCATCTCCAAATTAAATTTTAGAAAAGAAAAAGGAAGAAAAATATTATTTATTTCTGTCTCCTGATAGTGACATACTCATAACTTTGTGTGTTTTTAGTAGTTGCCTGTTCCCAAATGCTATATGCCTAATACAGTTTTCTCTCCACTTAAAGAGATTTCTTCAGCGTTTTATTGACCCTCTGGCTAAAGAAGAAGAAAATGTTGGCATAGATATTACTGAACCTCTATACATGCAACGACTTGGGGAGGTAATCAAATACTCTTTAAATTCAAGTTACGTGTTTTAAAATAGTTAAATTAGCAAAATATAACTTGTTCATTTTTATTTTCTAGATTAATGTTATTGGTGAGCCATTTTTAAATGTGAACTGTGAACACATCAAATCATTTGACAAAAATTTGTACAGACAACTCATCTCTTACCCACAGGTAAGAATTTAGCTTTGACCTTGATGAATTTTAGTAACAGTCTAGAAAGAATGTTTCCAGATAACAGAAATTCTTCAGTAATGAAGATAGTATGCGCAAACACTTTAAGAAACTGAGTATCATCTCCTTTGGCCCGGTGTGGTGGCTCACACCTATAATCCCAGCACTTTAGGACGCCGAGGCAAATGGATCACTTGAGGTCGGAAGTTTGAGACCAGCCTGGGCAACAAAGTGAAACCCCATCTGTACTAAAAAATACAAAAATTAGCCAGACATGGTGGTGCATGCCTGTAGTCCCAGCTACTCGGGAGTCTGAAGCGATAGAATCACTTGAACCCCGGAGGCAGAGGTGCAGTGAGCCGAGATGGCACCACTGCTCTCCAGCCTGGGCAACAGTGAGATTCCATCTCAAACAAACAAAAAAAAACTATGTATCATCTCCTTTAAGATGAACATTTTTTTTTCACATTTTAATGTTCCTGAAAGTGGGACTTGTATTACTATCAATGACAGGTTATGGTTTACTTGGCAGTGTTTTTCATGTAGAAAAATGATGAATCTTAAAACTGATAGCTTCTTGGGTTTCATGAAGTAAGTTATCTTAAATGGAAATACTTTAAATGAATTACATACTTCCTGCTGCTTTGAAAGAATATATTGTACTGTAGACTTTTACTTCTAAGCCTCAGGTCAGTTTCTATTAATGAAGTATCAGCTCTGTTGACTCTGGGTGTAGTCTTTGGAGGCAAGCAGACTTGGTTTTTGAATCTTGGTTTTGCTGATTACTGGCTGCATAACCTTGGTCAAGTTCCTTAGCCAACCAAAAGCTGTTTCCTCATCTGTAAAATGGGAACCATATGTTAAGAAATTTGAATAAATATGATTTAACTTACTTTGGTATCGCCAGGCACGGTGGCTCATGCCTGTGATCCCAGCACTTTGGGAGGCCGAGGCAGGCAGATCACCTGAGGTTGGGAGTTCAAGACCAGCCTGACCAACGTGGAGAAACCCCGTCTCTATTAAAAATACAAAATTAGTCAGGCGTGGTGGCAAATGCCTGTAATCCCAGCTACTCGGGAGGCTGAGGCAGGAGAATTACTTGAATCCCAGAGGCAGAGGTTGCAGTGAGCCAAGATCATGCTGTTGCACTCCAGCCTGGGCAACAAGAGTGAAACTCTGCCTCAAAAATTAAAAATAAATAAATAAAAAACTTACTTTGGTATCACTTCATTATAGAAGGAAAATAAAGTGTGAGGTCAAAATCTTTTTCCCTTCTAATAGAAAGCAAAGAATATGCCAGTATACATCAAGAAGGCACTTTCGTATAAATTATGAAATTTAACCCAATTGAAAATATGCAGAAATAGATAGTTCAGCATACCTAAATTTGAAAACAGCACGTGCATGATTCTGTAGGGTAATACTTTGGGGACATGACATGTTGTCTTTTTATACTTTGCTAATCTGACATGCCTTTATTATATTTAACACTGAGATATGAATACAAATACATCTTCATATTTGTTTTTACAGGAAGTTATTCCAACTTTTGACATGGCTGTCAATGAAATCTTCTTTGACCGTTACCCTGACTCAATCTTAGAACATCAGATTCAAGTAAGACCATTCAACGCATTGAAGACTAAGAATATGAGAAACCTGAATCCAGAAGGTAATGTATTTTTCATAGGATTACTTTTGTTGAAGGAAAATGCCTTACATGAAAATAGCCTTGTTTTCATTGAGAAATTATGAAAGAAGTAATTGGCGGTGGTAGTCAAGGTGACGGATTATAAATTGACAATAATATAGATTCAGTTATCCTATATACTTATGAACCCCCTATACTTTTTAAATTTAATTGAAGTTTCTGATATAAGAGATGTGACTATTGGCCGGGCACAGTGGCTCACGCCTATAATCCCAGCACTTCAGGAGGCCGAGGCAGGCGGATCACCTGAGGTCAGGAGTTTGAGACCAGCCTGGCCAACATGGCAAAACTCCTTTACTAAAAATAGAAAAATTACCAGGGCATGGTGGCACACGCCTGTAGTCCCGGCTACTCTCGGGAGGCTGAGGCAGGAGAAACGCTTGAACCCGGGAGGCGGAGGTTGCACTGAGCAGAGGCTGTGCCATTGCACTCCAGCCTGGGTGACAGAATGAGACCCTGTCTCAAAAAAAAAAAAAAATTAGATTTTAAAGATTTGAGGATCACTTGAGGCCAGGAGTTTGAGACCAGCTTGAGTGACATAAGAGACTCCATCTCTTTTTAAGAAGAAATTAGCAAGGCACAGTGGCTCACACATGTAATCCTAGCACTCTGGGAGGCTGAGGTGACGGGCTTACTTGAGCCTGGCAGGTTGAGGCTTCAGTGAGCAGTGATTGCACCACTGTACTCCAGTCTGGGCAACAGGTTAAGACCCCATCTCAACAACAACAAAATTGTAGAGGTCTCATGAATCAGTGGCAGGATAGGGTGATCTTCACGGCTAGCAGTGGCTAAATACAGGCCAGAACAGGGTAGCTTGTCTGAAACCAGCAGGGGAAATTAGTTGCGGGCAGTGGGACCTTCAAAGGGAAAAAGTTGTCTGTCAGGAAAGGTTCAAATAATAGAGGAAACGAGCAAGAGTGAAAGATCAGAGCATCTAAGGGGTTCTCCTGTGTGGATAATAATGACTTTAAAGTATAGAGGACTTTTTCTCTACCAGGTGCTCTTACTAGGCTTGAAGTACATTGGCACGTTCAGTCCTTGGCTCTGGGATAGGTGCTGATACCACCCCATTCTATAGGGGACACAAAATGTACACAGAAAGGCTAGGGTCAGGACTCAGTCCAGGCTGTCTGGCTTTTTTCCTGACACAGCAGGGTGTCATACAGGAGGCCAGGTGAGTGAGGCAGGAGGCAGGGAGCAGGGTAGGCAGACAAGAAGGGAACGAGGGATGCCTGCTGGACAGGGGCCCTGAGGAAGAAGGGCCAGAGGTTCGCTGGGCTTGAGAGTCTCCTGAAGACATAGCCTGCAGATGACTGGACACAGAAAGGTCGCCCTAGGCAGAGTCTTGGGCACCTAGCTCCTGTCTGTGATCCCAGCTATTCCTGGACCTCCACACCTCAGGTCAGGTGTGCTGACCTCTCTTCTCCCCTCACAGACATTGACCAGCTCATCACCATCAGCGGCATGGTGATCAGGACATCCCAGCTGATTCCCGAGATGCAGGAGGCCTTCTTCCAGTGCCAAGTGTGTGCCCACACGACCCGGGTGGAGATGGACCGCGGCCGCATTGCAGAGCCCAGTGTGTGCGGGCGCTGCCACACCACCCACAGCATGGCACTCATCCACAACCGCTCCCTCTTCTCTGACAAGCAGATGGTGCGCAGCCACCCTGGCCCCCCAGGCTATGCTTTGCCTGTCTGTATCCTCAAAAGGCCAACTATAACTTGTCCCTCGGACCCTGAGCCTCACTTCCCGAATGGCATCCATCCCTCTCTGGTCTTGTGGGTTTCGTTAGTGGCCTATGGGCTAAATATGCAGAGCACGCAAAGCCCCTGCTTCAGGGCACTGTCCCTGTGCTGTTGCCAGTGGCACTGTCTGTTGTTAGAGACACTGTATTTTCATGGCCTAAAATGCTTCAAACGTTTGAGATGAGAATACTTGGTTAAATGTCATTCTGCTTTTTCCATTGGTAAAGGATTGAGGAATTTTTCTGAAATTTTTTCACAAATTTTACTGTCTAAGAAGTTTGGTCTTTTTTCTCTATATTCATGAAATTTTAAGATGAAGTTATTAAAATGACAGAAAAAAGTGAGGGGAAGGTAGAAAATTGCTTATTTACCGTGATTGTGACTGTAAAGATGTGGGAGGACAGGATTTGAGTTTTTCTGTGACTGCGTGTGCATGGTTTCTTTAATGTTGCATGGGATGGAGAGCTGGAGACAGAAAGGCAGGCACCCTGCTCCGCAGGAGCACATGGCCTCCTATTCTCAGAATCATGCAGGCCCCCAAAGTGGCTTAGAGAAAAGCCCAGCATCCTTAGGCCTCTCAGAGGGTACCTGGTTTGGAAAGGCCTTCCTCGACCCTGCTTTATGAAAAGCATCTCAGCTTCCCCCACCGCAGCTCCCTACATTCCTTCCCCTGTTTTGTTGCTGTCTGTTGCAGCAACTTCTTTAGAAGAAGTAATTTCTAAGGAAATAATGAGAAACATGGACAATCATTTATGTGGGGATATGCACTGCAGCCTTATATGGCAAAAGCAGTACAAAGACATGCAGATTTTGTCCCCCTGCCCTCTCTTTGTGGCCCACATGTTCTCTGTTTGCTGACCTTCAGATCAAGCTTCAGGAGTCTCCGGAAGACATGCCTGCAGGGCAGACACCACACACAGTTATCCTGTTTGCTCACAATGATCTCGTTGACAAGGTCCAGCCTGGGGACAGAGTGAATGTTACAGGTAAGAGTGTAGGTTTGCACCAGCACTTGAGCATGTCTGGCTTGCTTTCAATGCTGTGCTTTAGTGAGTCATTGGACTTGGTCACAGGTCCAGTTCTACCTCCAGTTGTCACTGCTTGTCTTTGAGACTGTGGGGTATATCCCTGCTTTATCTGCCACCTTTTTAACTGAGTACCATGGCCCAGCAGTATGAAATTGTTCAGTTCTTCCCAAACTTGAATGTTGGAGCTCATGGTTCGTGTGGTCACTCGCCTCTTGATACCTCAGTATCCTGGAGCTGTGTGTGTCTCAAGTCAGTACTGTTGGCATCATGAGAGAGCAGCCTCAGACAGGCTTGTATGGGTAAAGTTTTGAGTTATGCCATCAGCTCAGAGAAGTATTACTCACCAATGCTGGAGTTTTAAGTAATTTTTACTTAATTTCCCAAATGTATAGCCAAGGGTTAACATTTGTTTGTTACAGAGAAAAATGAGTCAGTGACTTGTTTCCATGTGTAGAAGCTGAGGTTCAGGGATGCATAGACAGCAGTAGCTCAGATGCCACGGTAAATCAGAACCCAGGACCCAGGTCTCCTTCTCTTGCTGCCACAAGAGTGCTCTTTGCACAGCACCATATGAGTGTGGCAGTCCTCCTTTTGATGCTGTAGAGTCACAATGGATTTTGGTTGGGGGCAAGGGAGTGTTGATGGCAGCACGGTTCTTCATTGATGGGCAAGGTGGCGACGGTCGCGGAGTGCCTGAATCTGCTCCTGAGCGGAGGGCCTGGGGCACACCACGCATCGGCTCTTGTCTTCAGTGAGGCAGTGCTCACCCTGTTTCTTCCCCAGTGTGAAGTCCCGCAGTTATCACTGGCAATCTTCCGTCGTAAAAGTACTTGAAGTCATGGAGAATTTGAAAGAATGCGTAGTTTTTAGTGAGTGACGTGCGCATTTCCAGTCCTGCTACCCTGAAACCTTTGATAAAGTATTTAGTCCAATATTTTTGTTTCCTCACCTACAAAGTGGAGTTAATGTGATGATACATGTGTGAGAGTGTTTGGGGCCAAGGGGCTGTGGAAAGTGCTGTGTAGATGTGAAATAAGTATCAATGCTGCTCTGTGAGATAAATCATTCCGGGCCACTTTAAACATAATCTTCCATCCCTAGCCTATATTGGAGTGAAGAATAGTGTGTATTCTAAGAATGTGTGTAAACTGGTTTGTTGTGTTAAACAAGAATTACACTGACCCACTGAATAAACAAGGACAGTGCTCTGTGCCATTGCGTTGAGATAGCTGTAACGGGGAAAGGCCAGGCTTTCTCCAAAAGCTGCAGGAATCAGCCTGGAGTTAAAGCCTTCTGGTTTGAAATCCAGAAAAGACGAACATCAGATCAGACCTCTGTATGTGAGGAGCCTGGCTTCCAGAAGAATGCATGATTTGCATGCTTTTGTCGGGGGTGGTGGGTAGGTTGGGGGGACCTAGTCTAGTTTTAATGACTGGAGGATTTTAGCATTTTGTTGCAGTCAAGTAAGTGCTAGGCAGATTCTGTACACTCAACTTAGGGAAGTAAAAATACTGCTTATTAAAAACAACCACGAACCCAGCATTGAGCTAGAAGCACAGCAGCTCCATTTCACCCTCAGGGTGACTGTGCCCGTGGGCATGCTCACGTAGCTACAGTTGCCCTGGAGCACTGCTGACTAGTGGGCCCAGGTGAACACGTCCTCGGGTCTATCATTTGCAGAAACCTGGGTTCTTTCTCTTTTGTTTTGTTTTGTTTTGTTTTGTTTCATTTTGTTTTGTTTTGTTTTTGAGACGGAGTTTTGCTCTCGTCACCCAGGCTGGAGTCCAATGGCACCATCTTGGCTCACCGCAACCTCCGCCTCCCAGGTTCAAGCCATTCTCCTGCCTCAGCCTCCCGAGTAGCTGGGATTACAGGCATGTGCCACCACGCCCGGCTAATTTTTGTATTTTTAGTAGAGACAGGGTTCTCCTTGTTGATTAGGGTGGTCTCGAACTCCCAACCTCAGGTGATCCGCCTGCCTCAGCCTCCCAAAGTGCTAGGATTACAGACATGAGCCACCTTGGTTCTTTCGAGCTTGTCCGTTTCCTGCTGCTATTTCCCTGCTTGCTCATAGCAAGCGGGAGCTTTGCAATGTGGGCCTGAGTCCTGGGCTTGGGAGGGTCATTTAAGAGACGGTGGAGCTCACCCTTTCCAGGGCCAGCCCGACGTGGTGCCTCGCTCTGAAGTGCACCTGTTGCCTACGCTGGTTGCTGAGCCACTCGGAGGAAGATATGGGAAGGTAAAAGTGCATCTCCTGGTTGTGCCCTCAGGCATCTATCGAGCTGTGCCTATTCGAGTCAATCCAAGAGTGAGTAATGTGAAGTCTGTCTACAAAACCCACATTGATGTCATTCATTATCGGAAAACGGATGCAAAACGTCTGCATGGCCTTGATGAAGAAGCAGAACAGAAACTTTTTTCAGAGAAACGTGTGGAATTGCTTAAGGAACTTTCCAGGAAACCAGACATTTATGAGAGGCTTGCTTCAGCCTTGGCTCCAAGCATTTATGAACATGAAGATATAAAGAAGGTAACAGTGGATTTTAAACTAGGGGTTGGGATTTACAATTCTTTGGGATCAAATAGTATAAACATCCACTCCGCCACTCGAGCCATCCGCCATAAAGGACAGAGTTGTGGCCTGTTAGAGCAAGTGCTGGCAACCTGACTTGCCATTGGTTGAGAAGAATCATAGCATTGTCTATCCTCATCTCTGGTCTAAACTTAGGTTTCTAAACAGAAGAGGCCACACAGTGTCAGAATAGGGACTT
Organism: Homo sapiens; assembly: GCF_000001405.40. Lineage (NCBI taxonomy): Eukaryota > Metazoa > Chordata > Mammalia > Primates > Hominidae > Homo > Homo sapiens. Next base: position 47,970,299 of record NC_000008.11, read on the forward strand.
GCATGGCCACCATTCTGGTGTAATGATAGGTGCTGATGAACTGGTCAGTGATAACTTAAAGCATATCAAGCACTTTCACGAGCCTTTTTATACCTTCCTGTGATTTCTTAATTGTAGTTCTTTATAAGAGAGAAAAGTACCTCTAAAGTTTAAACTACATCTCAGTTAACTGTGCAGAAAATGAATGTTTAGACATGTCTCTGATTATTTAGGGAATTTTGCTTCAGCTCTTTGGCGGGACAAGGAAGGATTTTAGTCACACTGGAAGGGGCAAATTTCGGGCTGAGATCAACATCTTGCTGTGTGGCGACCCTGGTACCAGCAAGTCCCAGCTGCTGCAGTACGTGTACAACCTCGTCCCCAGGGGCCAGTACACGTCTGGGAAGGGCTCCAGTGCAGTTGGCCTCACTGCGTACGTAATGAAAGACCCTGAGACAAGGCAGCTGGTCCTGCAGACAGGTGCTCTTGTCCTGAGTGACAACGGCATCTGCTGTATCGATGAGTTCGACAAGATGAATGAAAGTACAAGATCGGTATTGCATGAAGTCATGGAACAGCAGACTCTGTCCATTGCAAAGGTGAGTCGCCTTCTCCACCGTGAACATGGACGTGTTTAAAATATGTGGACCCTTGAAAGACAGGGTCTGTGGAACTGTGCTGTGCTACCTTGGTTCTAACTTGGGGAGATTGATAAGTGCTTTCCACATCATATTTCAGCTAAATCTCAACATGTCTTCTACAGGGTGTCACGTTTTGTCTTTATTGCTGTACTAGCCTTGAATTTGTCCTAAAGCTCTTGCAAGGTGCCTGCTTCCTGAGAAAGATGTGGTTATAGCACACATTCATCTAAACTCAGTCCTTGGCATGAATCTGAGGACAGGGCTTATCCAGGTGAACTGCTGAAGTCAGTAAAGGCAACATGGCTCAGGCAATAGAAACTCAGTGGAGGGAATATGGGTTTAGTAGGTGGCCGGGCGAAGACGGTGCTTGTTAATTGCCAGCGTCAGGGAGAGGCTTCTAACTGCACTCTTTGCTCTGATAGGCTGGGATCATCTGTCAGCTCAATGCGCGCACCTCTGTCCTGGCAGCAGCAAATCCCATTGAGTCTCAGTGGAATCCTAAAAAAACAACCATTGAAAACATCCAGCTGCCTCATACTTTATTATCAAGGTATTAAAACAGATTTTTATTTTGTTCATTTGTAGAATATTCAGGGTGAGATTGAAAAGGAGCTACTAAGATTTCAGCAACTGCTAATGGAAACTCTTCACTCTTATCAAGATGTTTCAAATTTGGTTGGTCAAGAGTTTTCACGACAAGGATGATGTGTGTTCTCATTTGTTTTTTAAGCAGTTGGGATGTTTACCTCCCACGCCGTTTACACATGGCTGTCACTCACTACTCTTAGTCCTAAAGCCACTGCTGAGAGTCAACAGAGAACAATTCCGTACAGTAGATGAGGCTCTGAAAAGTTAGATTTATTAAAGTGCAATCACATAATCTTCACTCTTGGCCCCACTACAAATATTGGACATTTTTCATAAATGGATTTTAGGTTTTAATTACTTGCTTTTTTTTCTTTTTTTTTGACAGAAGTTTTTTTTCCCAAAAAAACAGTTGAATGTGTTTTCATTCAAATCTTTCCATTGTCAGCCAGGTACAGTGACTCACACCTGTAATTCCAGCACTTTGGGAGGCTGAGGTGGGTGGATCGCCTGAGCTCAGGAGTTTGAGGCCACCCTGGGCAACTTGATGAAACCCCATCTCTACTAAAATACAAAAAATTAGCCCGGCGTGGCGGCGCATGCCTGTAATCCCAGCTACTCGGGAGGCTGAGGAGGCACAAGAATTGCTTGAGCCTGGGGGAGTGGAGATTGCAGTGAGCTGAGATCATACCACTTCACTCTAGCTTGGGCTACAGAGTGAGACTCTGTCTCAAAAAAAAAAAAAAAAAAAAAACTTTCCATCGTCAAAATTATAGTAACGTTTCCCTAAGGGAAGACTTCCTTTGACTCAGCTGATTGGTCCCCAGCCGTTCCCTGGGCCGACCTAAGGACTAGGGACAGCACAGGGTGAGTGGGGTGAGTGGATGGACACGAAGGCCCTTTCCACACCAGGCAAAGATGCTTCTCCCTGATGGCGCTCACAGGGTGCACATTGACTGCACATCTGTGGTGCTCAAGCAGTCTTTAGTACGTCGTTTGTAGGTGTATTGGTGTCTCAACTAGGAAAACAGTTTTTTTGTTGTTGTTTTGGGTTTTTTTGTTTGTTTTTTTGAGACAGAGTCTCCCTCTGTCGGCCAGGCTGGAGTGCAGTGACGCGAACTTGGCTCACCGCAACCTTCGCCTTCCAGGTTCAAGCGATTCTCCTGCTTCAGCCTCCCAAGTAGCTGGGATTACAGGCAGGCACCACCACTCCTGGCTAATTGTTGCATTTTTAGTAGAGACAAGGTTTCACCGTGTTGGCCAGGCTGGTCTCAAACTACCAACCTCAGGTGATCCACCTGCCTCGGCCTCACAAGGTGCTGGAAAAACAGTATTTTTACTTTGTTTTCTTAGGTTTGATTTGATCTTCCTCTTGCTGGACCCTCAGGACGAAGCCTATGACAGGCGTCTGGCTCACCACCTGGTCGCACTGTACTACCAGAGCGAGGAGCAGGCAGAGGAGGAGCTCCTGGACATGGCGGTGCTAAAGGACTACATTGCCTACGCGCACAGCACCATCATGCCGCGGCTAAGTGAGGAAGCCAGCCAGGCTCTCATCGAGGTAACCCTGCTGAAAAAAGGCTTACTGTGCCTGTAGCCCACAGCATTAATGTAACTGACCAATCATCTCCTTTAAAATATTAATTATTTTGTTACGAATAACATACTGTTCTCTTCCTTGTTTTGAGACAGAGCCTGGCTCTCTTGCCCAGGCTGGAGTGCAGTGGCTTGATCTCGGCTTACTGCAGCCTGTGGCCTGTGCTTCTGGGTTCAAGCGATTCTCCTGCTTCAGCCTCCCTATTAGCTGGGATTACAGGTGCCCACAACCACTCCGGCTAATTTTTGTATTTTTAGTAGAGACAGAGTTTCACCGTGTTGGCCAGGCTGGTCTTGAAATCCTGACCTCAAGTGATGCGCCAGCCTCTGCCTCCCAAAGTGTTAGGATTGCAGGCGCAAGCCACCATGCTGGGCCTAAGAATAATAAACTTTTCTTTTTTTTTTTTTTGTGAGACGGAGTCTCGCTGTGTCCCCCAGGCTGGACTGCAGTGGCGCGATCTCGGCTCACTGCAAGCTCCACCTCCCGGATTCACGCCATTCTCCTGCCTCAGCCTCCTGAGTAGCTGGGATTACAGGCACCCACCACCACGCCTGGCTAATTTTTTGTATTTTTAGTAGAGACGGGGTTTCACTGTGTTAGGATGGTCTCGATCTCCTGACCTCGTGATCCGCCTGCCTCGGCCTCCCAAAGTGCTGGGATTACAGGCGTGAGCCACCGCGCCTAGCAATATACTATTTTTTATAACTGTTTATTACTTCCTCCCATATTGCAAAATTGATCTTTCCAAATGTTGCAAAAGGGGGAAATAGTTCATTTATGTAGGTAGTACACACACTTTATATGTTTAAGTACTTACAAGCATAGTGAATTTAAGATCAAAGACCTGGTTTCAAATAGAGGCAACACTACACAGTAATTTGGAAACTGAAAAAGTCATCCAGTTTCTGTAAGCTTCCTTTTGCTTGTAAAAAACAGAATGAGCTGTCTTTTAGGTTCACTTTTCAGCATCCTGGTACATGAGCTGAAGTGCATGATGGCACATTTAGGTTATTCAAGCATTGTGATATTAAGAAGGTTCCTGGTGCTTTGATGAGCTTTGCATCCTAACTGAGCTCCTAAAAATTCTAAGATGAAAGTTACAGACATTATGTAATTTTTTTGTGTGTCATAGTCTTGGGGGTTGTTAATGAAGAAATAAGACTGTGTCATCTGTATGTGAAATTGATACAACTTACCTTTGCAGCATTCTCCCAGCAATCCTTATGAGCCCCATTGTGCCCCATGTGAGCACTTTTCCCAGACAGGCCTGATTCTCCCTATGAGTGCTCACAGCCTTCTCCTCTCCCCACATGCCACATTCCTTCCCTCTGCCACGCCATGCCCGTCTCTGTTCTTCAGAGCTACGTTAGATGCCACCCTCTCCAAGAATTCTTCCCAAGCATCTCCCAGTTGGAATATGTTCACCCACCACTGCACGCTGCACGTTGATGTCTTCACCTGCGATTTCTGTGGTCTGTCTGTGTAGTCTCTACCACTTGATGAGCTCCGGGGCCCAGGACCATATCTGAGTTCCGTTTACTTAATGGAAGCCTAAGTGTTCAAAATTCACCCACAAAACTAAAGTTGTCACCAAGGAGGTTTGCTTTTGCTTTTGTTTTTCTACCTACAATAGGCTTATGTAGACATGAGGAAGATTGGCAGTAGCCGGGGAATGGTTTCTGCATACCCTCGACAGCTAGAGTCATTAATCCGCTTAGCAGAAGCCCATGCTAAAGTAAGATTGTCTAACAAAGTTGAAGCCATTGATGTGGAAGAGGCCAAACGCCTCCATCGGGAAGCTCTGAAGCAGTCTGCAACTGATCCCCGGACTGGCATCGTGGACATATCTATTCTTACTACGGGTTCGTTATTTTCAGTGAACAGAAAAGCTTTTGAAAATTATTTCAATATGCATGTAGTTTATATGTCAGATTTAAGCTAACAGTTAAATCATTTGAAACAGAAGTTCTTAACCTTTTTTGGATTAGGACCCCTTTGAGAATCTGATGAAAGTTGCCCTTTAATCTTATCTTGATAAAAATATTGATTAACACACACAGTTTTGTGTATAGTTTTTTTTTGTTTTTTTTTTTTATACTTTAAGTTTTAGGGTACATGTGCACAACGTGCAGTTTAGTTACATATGTACGCATGTGCCATGTTGGTGTGCTGTACCCAGTAACTCGTCATTTAACATTACGTGTATCTCCAAATGCTATCCCTCCCCCCTCCCCCCACCCCACAACAGGCCCTGGTGTGTGATGTTCCCCTTCCTGTGTCCGTGTGTTCTCATTGTTCAATTCCAGTTTTGTGTATAGTTTTAAGGAGATTCTGTCTCCTTGACTGTCTGGGAAGTTTTGTTAACCCATTTTAGAGAAGTTGTTTGTTTCTTAGCAGCAGCTGCTTGCTGCACAGATGTGTAGACTGTTAAGGAAAGCAGCAGCTAGTGGCTTACAGAAATTTCCAAATAATTAAAAACTCATTCCCTTCAAATGTACTCAGCCCCTGTCGCCTTATCTTTCTAGGTGATACTACTAAAGGAATATTTTTGAGAATTTGAAGCATTTCATTTCATAATAGCAAAAATGTTTTCATTGATTTCTTTTTAAATCAGGGATGAGTGCCACCTCTCGTAAACGGAAAGAAGAATTAGCTGAAGCATTGAAAAAGCTTATTTTATCTAAGGGCAAAACACCAGCTCTAAAATACCAGCAACTTTTTGAAGATATTCGGGGACAATCTGACATAGTAAGTGTTTATATGTATTTTTTGTTTGATAGAGCTTTCTCTTTTTCCTTAATATTGCTTTTGGGTTTTTTTCCTTTATTTATTAAATAATAAATATAGAGAAGAATGAAGAAAAGGAAGATGAACCATAAGCCATCATCAAGAAATAATCACAATTAAAATTTTTGGCTGGGTGCAGTAGCTCACGCCTGTAATCTCATTTGGGACGCTGAGGTGGGCAGATCACTTGCAGCCAGGAGTTTGAAACCAGCCTGACCAATATGGTGAAACCCTGTCTCTATTAAAAATACAAAAATTAGCTGGATGTGGTGATAAGCACCTGAAATCCTAGCTACTCAGGAGGCTTAGGCAGGAGAATTGCTTGAACCTGGGAGGCGGAGGTTGCAGTAAGCTGAGATCCCACCATTGCTCTCCAGCCTGGGCACCAGAGCGGAACTCCATCTCAAAAAAAAAAAAAAAGAAAAAATTGTTATGCCCCTTTCATAGTTGTTATAAGTTTGCTTTAGGTATGAAATATTTGGGTGTCCTTTTGTAAATAAGTAAGGTAGTTGTTTAGTGAAAAGAACTATGCAGTCTTTCAGTGCTGGTCCACTTTCCATCGCTGTGTTGTGACTGAGAGGGCAGAGTTGATAGTTACAACGTGGACTATACAGATGCCAAGTCTACCACATGGACCATCTGGCTACTCCACTCCTGATTTAGAGCATAAGGCATGTGTACAGCCACCAAAAAGAGAAAGATTCTGGGTGGTACTTTAACATTATAATTATTGTGTTTCTAACAGGTAAAGGAGGGACTTGACGTGTACAATATTTATTTTCTTTCTCTTCCCCACAGGCAATTACTAAAGATATGTTTGAAGAAGCACTGCGTGCCCTGGCAGATGATGATTTCCTGACAGTGACTGGGAAGACCGTGCGCTTGCTCTGAAGCCTTGTGAGCAAGGAAGGCTCCCTGCATGTCCTGCTTGCTGCACGCCACATGGGTGTGGTCTGCATCTCAGTTGGCCGCCATCAGTGTAAATAGAGCTTAAAGTCATGGTTTGGCTGCATAAAAATTTTCTAACTTGGGTTCAATATTTGTAGTGAAGTATCTGTTTTCATTTTTTTCACGTTATAAATAAAAATACTATGCTGGCCGGGCGCGGTGGCTCACACCTGTAATCCCAGCACTTTGGGAGGCCAATGTGGGTGGATCATGAGGTCAGGAGTTCAAGACCAGCCTAGCCAAGATGGTGAAACCCCGTCTCTAGTAAAGATAACAAAAAATTAGCTGGGCTTGATGGCATGCGCCTGTAATCCCAGCTACTCGGGAGGTTGAGGCAGGAGAATCGCTTAAACCCAGGCGGCAGAGGTTGCAGTGAGCCAAGATCGCGCCACTGCACTCCAGCCTCAGCAATAGAGTGAGACTGTCTCAAAAAAAAAAAAAAAAAAAAAACCTGCCAATTTTCAAACATACCGTAGAGATTATTTTCAGGTGCCATTTTATAGTATAGCAGCAGGGCTTTTACTCTGTGTATGCACAGATGCAGTCTGGGGCATGGTTTGTGTGCTGGACTTTCTCATGGCCATCATCAGTATGCTTATGGATTTGATGACAGGCATAGCCTGGGCATATCACCTCATTGGTAAAGGGCTAGAGCCTTTCTTTTTTATGGCACTTCTTTTTTTGAGATAGGGTCTTACTCTGTCACCCTGGCTAGAGTACACTGGTACAATCACGGCTCAATGTAGGCTTAACCTCCTGGGCTCAGGTGTATGTCACTATGCCCGGCTACTTTTTGTATTTTTTGGTAGAGACGGCTTCGCCACGTTGCCCAGGCTGCAAGCGATATGCCTAGGCTCAAGCGATCTGCCCACCTCAACTTCCGGAAGTGCTGAGATTACAGGTGTGAGCCACTGCACCCAGCCTTTGTTTTATTTTTTATTTTTTGAGAGGTATGATTCTTTCTAGAGATTTTTTCTCATGGCTACTATTAGATCAGGAATGGGTGATTGGAGATTATTAGATTCTAGGTTAACTTCTACCACTTTACCCTAATACATAAAACTTTTTCCTAAATAAATGATGGAAGGAATAATACTTGGTTACCTGGCATTATTTTTCAGTAAGAAAAAAGCTTTACTAACCACTACATTTATGGAAATTTGTAGGGGTAAGTATTTTATAGGTCATAAAAAACACCATAATATAACGAATCTCATTTTCTTTAAATGTGAATTAAATCCTAACAGTCATCTTTATAAAATGACCATAGGCTAAAATCTTACGTGTAAGTACTACTACAATAAATAATTTCTGAAACCTTTAAATCATATGAGTTGGGCCTTTTTTATAACTTGGAATCAACATTTTTTAATAAAGTATCCATAGAAAATGATAGATCTGGCCGGGCGCGGTGGCTCACACCTGTAATCCCAGCACTTTGGGAGGCCGAGATGGCTGGATCATGAGGTCAGGAGATCGAGACCATCCTGGCTAACACTGTGAAACCCCGTCTCTACTAAAAATACAAAAAAAATTAGCCGGGCCTGGTGGCGGGCACCTGTAGTCCCAGCTACTCTGGAGGCTGAGGCAGGAGAATGACATGAACCTAGGAGGCGGAGCTTGCAGTGAGCCGAGATCATGCCACTGCACTCCAGGCTGGGCAACAGAGTGAGACTCCATCTCAAAAAAAGAAAAAAAAAAAGATCTAATTGAATATTTAAATAGCATTAAAATGTTAGCAGTAGAATGCTGTATTAAATATCCTAAGTCGAAAATGTTTTTAATACACCTAATCTACCAAACATACCTTAGCCTAGCCTACCTTAAAAAGGCTGAGCATACTTAAATCAGCCTATGGTTGAGTAAAATAGTGCAAAACAAAGCCTATTTTACAATAAAGTGTTACGGTTGGGTGCAGTGGCTCACGCCTGTAATCCCAACACTTTGGGAGGCCAAGGCAGGTGGATCCTGAAGTGAGGAGTTCAAGACCAGTCTGGCCAACATGGCCAAACCCTGTCTCTACTAAAAATAAAAAAAAAATTAGCTCAGTGTGGTGGTGAGTGCCTATAATCTCAGCTACTCAGGAGGCTGAGGCAGGAGAATTGCTTGAACCCCGGAGGTGGAGGTTACAGTGAGCGGAAATCATGCCACTGCACTCCAGCCTGGCGATGGTGTGATACTGTCTCAAATAAAGTGTTAAATGTCTTGTGTACCACATTGGTAACACAAGAAAAGGTCAGTCAAAATTCAAAATTTGAAGAACATTGAAATTGTAACAGCTTTATACCATGTAAAGTTGAAAAATCATAAGTCGAACAATAATTAAATAATCTGTACTTATTGACTAAGATGATTTCCCCCTGAAGTTTATGTACTAGTAATATTTTTCTAAACCTAGTATTTGAATACCAAGTTGAAGGTATATTCAACTGTAGATGAAGTGTGTGTATAGTTTCATTTTAAGGGGATTTTAGTAGAATGAAAATAATGGGGTTGTCCTGTTGCTGTCAGGTTCCATCATAGTGAATCTCAGTTTAATTCAGTAAACTTTGTTTTCTCCAGAGTCTAAAATAATTCAGTGCTTGCTTCAGCCACACATATGTGAGAATTGGAATGATACACAAAAGATTATCATGGCCCCTGCACAAAGTTTGACACACAAATCCATGAAGCATTCTATACTTTCAATAAAAACTAAAATTTGGCCAGGCACAATGGCTCACGCCTATAATCCCAACACTTTGGGATGCCGAGGCAGGCGGATCAAGAGGTCAGGAGTTCGAGACCAGCCTGACCAACATGGTGAGACTCCATCTCTACTAAAAATACAGAAATTAGCTGGGCATGGTGGCAGGTGCCTGTAATCCCAGCTACTCAGGAGGCTGAATCACTTGAACCCAGGAGGCGGAGGTTGCAGTGAGACGAGATCATGCCCTTGCACTCGCCTGGGTGACAGAGTGAGACTCCATCTCAAAAGAAAAAAAAAATTGTAGTTATTTAGCAAACTTGTTTATGTCTGTAACCTGCCTACTGGTCATAAGTTTCTTGAGAGAAGGAATGGTCGTATCCTTCAGTGCAGTACCTGGTGCTTGGCGCTAGATGCTTGTTACATGTTAGTAGAGATAACTCCTATGAAAGGAGGGTGAAGGTGTAAAAGTCAGAAGGCATTCTTGAAAACAGCGAAGTATTAGGCTGTAGAGTGGAGGAATAAGAGGAATTACAGTCCTGCCCCATAAATTCTTATAAGTATTCCCTTAGAGGGTATGCCTCATAATCTCATGGAACCCAGGAGATATCTAGTATTGCTAATTAAAACGACTTGCTTTATTTGATTGGAGAATGCATGTGCCATTCTCCTTCAGCATCCATCATAGATAAAACCAACTCCATCTAAAGGAGTACACAACTAATAAGAGGAATGAGGAAACCCAGAATTTAATGACTCAGCACATCAGTTAGGAAATACTTTTAAAAACTGCTGTTGCTTACTAAATCTAAGAAACTCTTAAAATTCTTCTGTAATTCAGTTTTTTAAACTATTATTTTGAACTAATTTCATGACCAGGCACTGTGGCTCACACCTGTAATCCCAGCACTTTGGGAGGCTGAGGCGGATGGATCACCCGAGGTCAGGAGTTCAAGACCAGCCTGGCTGACATAGTGAAACCCCGTCTCTACTAAAAATACAAAAAAAAAATTAGCCGGGCATGGTAGTGCGTGCCTGTAGTCCCAGCTATTCAGGAGGCTGAGGCAGTAGAATCGCTTGAACCCGGGAGGCAGAGGTTGTGGTGAGCCAAGATCATACCACTGCATCCCAGCCTGGGCAACAGAGCAAGACTCCCATCTCAAAAAAAAAAAAAAATAGAAATAATTTCAAACTTACACAAAAGTTGCAAGAACAGTATAGTTTCCATATACCCTTCACTCTGACATTCCTTTAATGATATTATTTTATCAAGTTTGCTTTTTTGTTTTGTTTTGTTTTGTTTTGTTTTGTTTTTTTGAAACAGAGCCTGTCTCTGTCACCCAGGCTGCAGTGCAGTGGTGCGATCTCAGCTCACTGCAACCCCCACCTCCCGGGTTCAAGCGATTCTCCTGCCTCAGCCTCCCTAGTAGCTGGGATTACAGGCGCCCACCACCAGGCCTAGCTAATTTTTTTTATTTTTAGTAGAGACGGGGTTGCACCATGTTGGCCAGGCTGGTCTTGAACTCCTGGACTCAGATGATCCGCCCACCTCGGCCTCCCAAAGTGCTGGGATTATAGGTGTGAGCCATCGTGCCCGGCCTTTTTTTTTTTTTTTTTTTTTTAAAGACAGAGGGTATCCCTCTGTCACCCAGGCTGGAGTGCAGTGGTGTGATCGTAGCTCACTGCAGCCTCAAACTCCTGGGGTCAAGTGATCCTCCTACCTCAGCCTCCTGAATAGCTGGGACTACAGGCACACACCATGATGCCTAGCTAATTTTTAGAGATGGGGTCTTGCTACCTTGCCCAGGCTTTTTTCAAACTCCTGGCCTCAGCAATCATCCTGCGTCTGCCTCCCAAAATACTAAGATTACAAGTATGTGCCCCTGCACCCAGCCTTTAATGGATGCTTTTTTTTTTTTTTTTTTTTTTTTTTTCCTGTCGCCCAGGCTGAACAGAACCAATCTTGGCTCACTGCAACCTCCACCTCATGGGTTCAAGTGGTTCTCCTGTCTCAGTCTCCTGAGTAGCTGGGATTACAAACGTGTGCCACCATGCCTGGCTAATTTTTTTTTTTTTTTGTAATCATGCCTGGGATTACAGGCATGAACAACTGTTCCTGGCCTCGTTTTAGTAATTTCTATCTCTTTGTTGATATTCTCATTTTTGTTCATATGTTCCCTCGATTTCCTTTTTTTTTTTTTTGTAGTTGTTGTTGTTGTTGTTGTTGTTGTTTTTGAGACAGTCTCACTCTGTTACCCAGACTGGAGTGCAATGGTGTGGTCTCAGCTCACTGCAGCCTCCAACTCCCAGGTTCAAGCAATTCTTCTGCCTCAGCCTCCCGAGTAGCTGGTACAACAGGCGTGTGCCACCACACCTGGCTGATTTTTGTATTTTTAGTAGCGACAGGGTTTCACCATGTTGGCCAGGCTGGTCTCGAACTCCAGGTGATCTGCCCACCTCGGCCTCCCCAAGTGCTGGGATTACAGGTGTGAGCCACCGTGCCCAGCCCCTGCATTCAATATATTTTATAGCCGGGCTTGGTGGCTTACACCTGTAATCCCAGCTATTCAGGGATTAAATATAAATATATAAATAAATAAATACATATATATATATATTTTTTTTTTAAACTTGTCTTGCTTCCATGAACACCTTACGAAGGTTTTCTTATGGTCTGGTGCTGCCTTGTCTGCTCAAATAAACTTTAAAATTTGAATATATATGCCTAAGTTTATCTCATAGTAGCCCTGTCAGAAGTGAGGATCTGAAGGAGGGCACTGAGGGTGGCACCTGCAGCAATGAGCCACCTGTAGGGGCACTGGTGAAGCCATTGTGCTTGTTTTTCTACCTGCATCGATAAGCCCCCTTGATAGATACAAGTTTTCACAACTTGTGGCAACTTAGGAGTTTATTTGAGCATTTTTCATTCAGACTAGGGCCAGACATCAGATTGGATTCAACCTGGGTTCTGCGGGAAGTCTCAGGTAGGTAATGTTTCAAGAAGTCAGAAAATAATAGGTTCATCTGAATCCAAGGAGTCTGGGACTCCTGCTCAGAACCTGTGCATTTCTAGAGATATGGGTACATATGGTAAAAAAATAATGCCTAGTTGCGGTGGCTCACACCTGTAATCCCAGCACTTTGGGAGGCCGAGGCAGGTAGACCACCTCTGGTCAGGAGTTCGAGACCAGCCTGACCAAAATGTTGAAACTCCATCTCTACTAAAAATACAAAATTAGCTGGGCATGGTGGTACATGCCTGTAATCTCAGCTACTCAGGAGGCTGAGGCAGGAGAATCGCTTGAACCTGGGAGGCGAGGTTGCAGTGAGCCAAGATCGTGCTGTTGCACTCCAGCCTGGGCAACAAGAGTGATATGCAGTCTCAAAAAAAAAAAAAATTAGAATTATGGTGGCCCCAGTTGGAAAGTTTGTGGGTTTAGGGGAGGTGTTTTGTTTTGTTTTGTTTGAGATAGGATCTTAACCTATCTCACCCAGACTGGAGTGCAGTGGTGCAATCACAGCTCACTGCAGCCTTGACCTCCAGGACCCAATTGATCCTCCCACCTCAGTCTCCCGGCTAGCTGGCTGGGACTACAGGCGTGTGCCACTGTGCCAAGCTAATTTTTTTTTTTTTTGAGACAGAGTCTCACTCTGTTGCCCAGGCTGGAGTGCGGTGGCATGATCTCAGCTCACTGCAACCTCCACATCCCGGGTTCAAGCTGTTCTCCTGCCTCAGCCTCCCGAGTAGCTGGGATTACAGGCATGCGCCACCACGCCAGGCTAATTTTTTATATCTTTAGTAGAGATGGGGTTTCACCATGTTGGCCAGGCTGGTCTCGAACTCCTGACCTCAGGTGATACACCACCTCAGCTTCCCAGAGTGCTGGGATTAGAGATGTGAGCCACCGAGCCCAGCCAACACCCCATCTTTAAAAAAATATTGGCCAGGCGCAGTGGCTCACGCCTATAATCCCAGCACTTTGGGAGACCAAGGTGGGCAGATGACAAGGTCAGGAGATCGAGACCATCCTGGCTAACATGGTGAAACCCTGTCTCTACTAAAAATACAAAAAATTAGCTGGACGTGGTGGCAGGCTCCTGTAGTCCTAGCTAATCGGGATGCTGAGGCAGGAGAATGGCGTGAACCTGGGAGGCAGAGCTTGCAGTGAGCCGAGATCACGCCACTGCACTCCAGCCTGGGCGTGAGAGACTCTGTCTCAAAATAATAATAATAATAATAATAATAGTAATAATAAAATAAAATAAAATAAATAAATATTGGCTGGGCACAGTGGCTCACGCCTGTAATCCCAGCACTTCGGGAGCCAAGGCGGGCGGATCACGAGGTCAGGAGTACTAAAAACAAAAATTATCCGGGCCTGGTGGTGCACGTTGGTAATTCCAGCTACTTTGGAGGCTAAAGCAGGAGAATCACTGGAATTTGGGAGGCGGAGTTTACAGTGAGCCAAGGTGGCATCATTGCACTCCAACCTGGGCAACAGAATCAATCAATCAATCAATGATGGAGTGTTGTTCTGTCACCCAGGCTGGAGTGCAGTGGTGCAATCATAGGCCACTGTAACCTCAAACTTCTGGTTCAAGCAATCCTACTGTCTTAGTCTCCCAAGTAATTATGACTATAGGCATATGCCACCATTCTCGAATAATTTTTTTTTATTTTTTTATTTTTTGAGATGGAGTCTCACCCTGTCGCCCAGGCTGGAGTGCAATGGCGTGATCTCGGCTCACTGCAACCTCCGCCTCCTGGGTTCACGCCATTCTCCTGCCTCAGCCTCCCGAGTAGCTGGGACTACAGGCGCCCGCCACCACGCCCGGATAATTTTTTGTATTTTTAGTAGAGACGGGGTTTCACCGTGTTAGCCAGGATGTTCTTGATCTCCTGACCTCGTGATCCGCCAGCCTCAGCCTCCCGAAGTGCTGGGATTACAGGCGTGAGCCACCACACCCAGCCAATTTATTTTTTGTAGATACAGGGTCTTGCTATGATTCCCAGGCTGGTTAACATGTTGTGAGCCACCATGCCTAACGTTTAGAATTCTGAAGTAAGAAGAAATTGTGGCTGAGTGCAGTGGATCATGCTTATAATCCCAGCACTTTGGGAGGCCCAGGCGGGCAGATCACTTGAGGTCAGGAGTTCGAGACCAGCCTGGCCAATATGGTGAAACCCCATCTCTACTAAAAGTACAAAAATTAGCCGGGTGTGGTGGCACACACCTGTAGTCCCAGCTATTAGGGAGGCTGAGGCAGAAGAATCGCTTGAATCCGGAGGCAGAGGTTGCAGTGAGCCAAGATTGTGCCACTGCACTGTAGCCTGAGCGATAGAGTGAGACTCTGTCAAAAAAAAAAAAAAAAGGAAAGAAAGAAAGAAAGAGAAAGAGAGGGAAAGGAAAGGAAAAAGAAAAGGAAAGGAAGAGAGGGAGGGAGCAGGAAGGAGGAGGAGGGAAGGAAGGACGGAAGGAAAAAATTATAAGAGGTTTTTCTTCACCTTTTAAGTAATCTGCCAAAGAAAGATTTTGTGTTTTATCAAAATAATTTCCTGTACTTGATCTTGTGTTTTATCAGGTCTTTCATTACTTAAGAAAACTGAGTCCTCTCTATTAAAAGAGTGGATGTTTTCCCTACAACTCTGTAACTTTCTGTCTTTGTCTTTAAAATCTTTTGACTGTATGACTGAGTCTCATTCTGTTGCCCAGGCTGGAGTTCAGTGGCGCGATCTCAGCTCACTGAAACCTTCGCCTCCTGGGTTCAAGTGATTGTTCTGCCTCAGCCTCCTGAGTAGCTGGGATTACAGGCTCGTGCCCCCATGCCCGGCTAATTTTTGTATTTTTCGTAGAGACAGGGTTTTCACCATGTTGGTCAGGCTGGTCTTGAACTCCTGACTTCAGGGGATCCTCCCACCTCGGCCTCCCAAAGTGCGGAGATTACAGGTGTGAGCCACCGCACCCAGTCTCTTTGTGTAACTAAATATTTCACAGTGACCTGTGGTACTATTTGAGTATTTTAAACCTTTTGACATTTTTTACAACTTCCCAAAATCAACTTCTAAATTAAGTTCTTTTGACCTTGAAATTACTTTGGAATGTTCCAAGGGCCCCTACATTATCTCAAAAGAATTTTTTTCCCTCCTTAGGGAAGATATTAAAATAATTAAGCTTATTTGATATGTTAAATTTGCATAGGAAGTATTATCAAATGAAAAGTGATGTTTTACCTTCTTTAAGTCATACATTTTTGGGTATAGTTAGTACTAGTGTTCAAGAAATTACATAAAGTTCCTAGAAATCTGATAGTCCTGATACCATAGTATTAGTCTTAATTCTAGTTATTATCTTAAAATATTGTATGTCTTGAAATAACAAAATTTCCTTATCAGTATCATTATAATATGAATACCATTTTCTTTTCTCCTAAGCTATCTATTGCTTACAGCAATTTGGTAAGTTATAATTTTGTACAAAGAATGTAAACATTTATCTTTTCTTCCTACTTTATCCCTGCAGAATTCAGAAACTATTAGTATTTTTATTTTCATGGCAATATAATTATTTGCATAAGTTCAGTAAGAATCTGCTCTCTTTGTACCAAGACACAATTGGAAACATTAGTCATGTTACCAAAGCTTTGACTGAAATGTCATATTTTCAGATATAATCACACAACTTTTAGGAACTAAGATTGACTCCATGGAGCCAATACGGCCCCTTGAAGGAAAAAGCTGGCTTTGTATCTTGTACACAAGATTCCCTCACATGTTTCCCTTGCGATGTGTAAGGGACGGTCACTTCGCACAGGCCCAGGAACCTCAGGACATTTTGGGGATCGCAAGAAGAGAGAAAGTCACTGAAACCTATAGGATAGCAGGACCTTGGCTAGGCTTCCTAGGATGGAGAGGCATTTAAAAAAAATAATTAATTAATTTTTTATTAATTATTTGTGCTGCTATAATAAAATATCTGAGACTGGGTAGTTTATAAAGAACAGAATTTATTCCTCCCAGTTCTGGAGGCTGGGAAGTCCAAGAGCAAAGTGCCAATAGGTGTGATGTCTGGTAAGGGCTCAGTCTCTGCTTCCCAGATGGCTACCGGAATGCTGCATCCTCTGGAGGGCAGGAACACATGTGTCCTCACATGGTGTAAGAGGTGGAAAGGGAGCTAGCTAGTTCCCCTGAGCCATTTTATAAGGGCTATCATCCATTCATTACAGCAGAACCCTAATGACCTCATCACCTCTCAAACGTCCCACTTTTTTTTTTTTTTTTTTTTTTGAGACGGAGTCTCCCTCTGTCACCCAGGCTGGAGTGCAGTGGCGTGATCTTGGCTCACTGTAACCTCCACCTCCCGGGTTCAAGCGATTCTCCTGCCTCAGCCTCCAGAGTAGCTGGGATTACAGGCACACGCCACCACACCAGCTAATTTTTGTATTTTTAGTAGAGATGGGGCTTCACCATGTTGGCCAGTCTGGTTCTTGAACTCCTGACCTCAGGTGATCCACCTGCTTCAGCCTCCCAAAGTGCTGGGACTACAGGTGTGAGCCACCGTGTCTGGCCCAGAGTTTTATTATTACTCCAATCGGTCTCCCCGAGAATTCGAGAATTGGAGTTTTTAAGAATAATTTGCTGCCTGGTGCGGTGGCTCATGCCTGTAATCCTAGCACTTTGGGAGGCCGAGGCGGGCGGATTGCCTGAGTTCAGGAGTTTGAGAACAGCCTGCGCAACACGTGAAACCACGTCTCTACTAAAATACAAAAAATTAGCTGGGCATGGCAGCGTGCGCCTGTAGTCCCAGCTACTCGGGAGGCTGAGGCAGGAGAATTGCTTGAACCCGGGGGGTAGAGGTTGTAGTGAGCCGACATCATGCCACTGCACTCCACCGTGGGCGACAGAGTAAAACTCTGTCTCCAAAAAAAAAAAAAAAAAATTTGCTGAGTAGGGGGCCAGTGAGTTGGGAGTTCTGATTGGTCGGGTCAGAGATGGGAGTCAAAGCTGTCCTCTTGTCACTGCTAAGTCAGTTCCTGGGTGGGGGCCACAAGACCAGATGAGCCAGTTTATCGATCTGATTGGTGCCAGCTGATGAATCAAGTGCAGTGTCTGCAAAATATCTCAAGCACTGATCTTAGGTTTTGCAATAGTGATGTTATCCCTAGGAGCAATTTGGAGAGGTTTAGAATCTTGCAGCCTCCAGCAGTATGGCTCCTAAACTGTAATTTCTAATCCTGTGGCTAATTTGTTAGTCCTGCAAAGGCAGTCTAGTCTCCAGGAAGGCTTGTTTTGGGAAAGGGTTGTTGTCTTTGTTTCAAAGCTAAACTATAAACTAAGTTCCTCCCAAAGTTAGTTCAACCTAGGCCCAGGAATGAACAATGACAGCCTGGGGGTTAGAAGCAAGATGGATCTCTTTCATTGTAATATTTCTCAGTTATGATTTTTGCAAAGGCAGTTTCAGTATTTTGTTTTAAATTTCAGATTCTACTTGATGATTGCTGGTATATGGGAAAGCAATTAAAATCAGATGACTCCAAGGATTTTGGCCTCAGCAAGAATGGATTTGTTGTTTACTAAGAAAGAAAAGGTTTCTGGCCGGGCACAGCGGCTCACACCTGTAATTCCAGGACTTTAGGAGGCTGAGGCAGGCGGATCACGAGGTCAGGAGTTTGAGATCAGCCTGACCAACATAGTGAAACCCCATCTCTACTAAAAATACAAAAAATTAGCTGGGTGTGGTGGCGGGACCTGTAATACCAATTACTTGGGAGGCTGAGGCAGGAGAATCGCTTGAACCCGAGAGGCGGAGGTTGCAGGGAGCTGAGATCGCACCACTGCACTCAGCCGGGGCGACGGTGCAAGACTCTGTCTCAAAAAAAAAAAAAAAAAGAAAAAGAAAAAGAAAAAGAAAAGGCTTCCAGTAGAACTCTGTTGGGGAAGAATATAGGAGTTGAATTAAATTTGAGACATCTAATACACAGCCTTTTAGATGCTAACCTGAGTAGGCAGTTAGATATTAGAGCATAGAATTTATGGGAGGGTTTCGGGCTTCAGATAAGAAATTGGGAGTGGAAATATACGGATGCTGCCCAGGCGCAGTGGCTCACGCCTGTAATCCCTGCACTTTGGGAGGCCGAAGCGGGCAGATCACCTGAGTTCTGGGGTTCGAGACCAGCCTGGCCAACATGGTGAAAACCCATCTGTACTAAAAATACAAAAATTAGCGGGGCATAGTGGTGCATGCCTGTAATCCCAGCTACTTGGGAGGCTGAGGCGGGAGAATCGCTTGAACCTGGGAGGCAGAGGCTGCAGTGAGCCGAGATCGTGCCACTGCACTCCAGCTTGGGCGACGAGCGAAACTCCATCTCAAACCAAACAAACAATAAAAAAAAAAAAATGGATGCCACTTAAAGTGATGAGCCTAATTGTGTGATCACCAAGTGAATGTAGAGAGAGATAAAAAGATATCTGTAAGATCAGCCGAGAGAAAGGAAAAATAGACCCAAAGTCAGGTGAGCAAGTTTTTATTAACCTGTCGGCTGCCCCCTTAATAGTCAAGGGAAGCAGCACCAAGCTTACAGAATGAGGGGTTTATATTGGGGAGGGAAGTTTGAGGGAGTTTTTTGGTATGGTTGCATCCCAGGGTTGTTTGCTGGTTAATTTTGCCACATATCACCTTGTGACATTTATTACAGGAGGGTGTAGTAAAGTTTGTTTGTGCTTCCCACAACCTCCCCCTGTGCGGTCTGGATGGTTTGTTATTGGGGTTTGCTTATCGCAGCAAGGTCTGATAAGTGAAGTCTGTTGGCTTCACCGTAGCGACTACATAAGGGCTTAGAAACGTAAAGAGGCTTGGGGAAGGGTGGGCGGCATGGAGAAGAATTGCAGAGCATTGGGGGAGGGGTGGGCAGCACAAAGAAGCTTTCTCGGGGCAGTTGTCCCTCTCATGCCAGACTTTTAATAGGTAATGGAAGAGGGGTGCTGTTATCATCTGGCTGCTTCTTACTGGGAGAGGGCGACAGTTGTCGGGGAAGGCTGGACGGTAGGGACTGCTGTTCTTGGAGCCTCTGGTATTCCTGGAGCAGCATCATATTTTGTATTGTCCCGTGGGTGAAAGCGCTGATAGGGTCCTGTAAAAACTGGGTGAGAAGGCATAGGAGACAAGGGCTGAATGCTAGAAAAAGATGAATGGTTATGGCTGGGCCTAGGACGGGCATTAGCCATGGAAACCAGCTACTAAAGGACTGGGAGGGCCACGCTGGCCATCGCAGGATGTTTTCTTTAATTTTTTGTGCTCGGTCCTTTATATTTTTACAGCATCTTATACTAAGCCAGATTGGTTAAGATAAAAGCAACACTGTTCATCTAGAAAAAGGCATAGTCCTTCTTTTTCGGCTGTGAGTAGGTGTAAGCCTCTGCGGTTTTGAAGAACCACCACCGCTAAAGAATCTATTTGTGATTGGAGAGTATTTGGCTATCTCTTCCAAGCTATCTGTGAGGTCTTTGGAGAGGGATTGGTAATAGGAAATGGAGATGGTTAATCCCATAATCCCAGTTCCAACTCCTGTAGTTATTCCAAGGGCTACTAATAGAGGTATGAATTGTATAGCACGGCAGTGTCGGATAGGGGTATTGGTAGGGGTTGGTCTCCTGGGCAACATTGATTTTTGGACTGAGGAAAACCAGGGTGCAGGTGCCCGTCCAGTTAGAAGGGAGGCAAATATAAGTTGAGGTACCACATAGGAAAAGTATACCTTAGCTTGGTAGACAGAACTGATTGTGTGTGCTAAAAAGATGTATTATTTTGTTATTCTCATGCATCCATACTCCTAGGGTCCTGGCTAGGGCTGCTGGTGTAAGTGGTTGTAAAGGGGTGTTTGGTTTAGTCCGGGAGGCTTTTGGGTTCTTTTTCCTTGTGTAAAAGGAAGCATTTTGTGTCCACTAAGATCCATGTGGGAGTGTTGCTGAATGTTGGGATAAGGAGACAGTCGCAGGTGATGGGTGCAGGGATGGTGCATGGAGAGGGCAGCCAAGGGAAGAGGGATAAACAGGGGAAGTGTCAGCCATTACAGTACTCTGAATTTTTATTAAGGAGGTGGGAGGTGTCAAGGGCCAGGGGGGGCTAGAGAAATGAAGCCTGTCTTTATTGTTGGCAGCTTTGAGAGTAGTATGTTCAGTGGAAGGTTTGAGTCGTAGGGTATAGTTGCACAGTTTGGAATTCAGGTTGCCGAGGGGAATGCCAGAGGGTAGATGTCATTGGACGCCCAGTGGTGCTGCATAGGATAAGATTGTGTGGGTTGTTATGGCTCCTAATATGGGTTTATCATGGCTGTGGTAGGGGGATACGTTGCGTAAGTAGGGATGTAAGGTTGTAAGAGCCAGAACTCGCTAGCTAAGTTGGGGGAGATTTCTGTTAATGCCGGCATGTCGAGTTCGAGGCGGCTGTTAATGAGGATTTCGGGATGGTAGGTTACTTGGGTGGAAGTCCAGTTATAGGCTGAGGCAGGGATTGCATTGTATGTTGTGGAGAAGAGGGATACGCAGAGCCAGCAGTCTCTTGCCAGGGAGGAATTGGAGTTTTTTAGTAAGGAGTGTGTGAGACTAAGTGTTCTGTATAGGTGTTCAGGGGTTATAGGTATTGGTTGGGCTGAAAGAAGGGTTGGGGTATTGATTCTGAGATGGGTTAGAAAGGAAGAGAGTGAGCAGAAAAGTAAATAGTTCGGTTTCACCAGAGTGAAGCCATAGAGAGCCTTGGAAGAAAAGGTCGGTTATCCACTCAAAAAAGGCTTCCAGGGTGTTGTTCCATGGGCGGAACTAGGAAATATCTTGTGAGAGGGAGTGAGGAAGAGAGTGAAGCAGCAGGATAGACAAAAGCAGGGCATCTAGGGAGGATGTGGGAATGTTTGTTTGTTAGTGATTGTGATTCCTGCTATACGGATAACAATTAGGCAGAAGGCTAAAGTGAGGGAGGGTTTTTGGCTGGTATTCCAATCGAAAGGAATTGCACTATACAGGGTAAGTACTATAATGCCTGCAATTAAGGTGTAATAGAGTGTTTCCATTAAAGGAGGCTAGTTGTAATAGTAGTTTAAACCTGTTTGAGATGGATGGATTTACTGATGTGAAGTTTCTTCTGGGATGGATGTGAGGCAGACTCAGTTTGGCCCGAGGAATGTGCTGGAATACCGATTAGAAGTTGGTGAAGTGCAGGTCAGTAGATTGGAGGTGGGAGCTCTCTTTAACCTGGAAAGGTGATACCAGGAGGTATGTCCTGAGAGTTTGGCTGCAGTAGGGGTTGTAAGGATGACCTGGAAAGTGCCTTCCCCTTTTGGTTAAAGGCTGGTTGGGTTAAGGGCTTTTAGGAAAACATGTTCTCCTGGTAGGAGGCTGTGGTCAGTGGGGAGTTTATTCAGTTTTGGGAGGGCCTGGTCTGCCTGTTTGCGGAGGAGATGGCAGATGAGGGAGAGTGTTGGGAGGTATTCTCCTAATTGAAAATCAGAAGGAGGCCTGTTTTGTAAGAGGAAAGGGCATCCATACATTAATTCAAATGGGCTGAGGAAGGAGGGTGCTTTTGGGTTGGCTCTGATGCGGGCTAGAGCTATGGGTAGGAGGGAAGTCCAGGGCCTCTGGACTTCTAGAGTGAGTTTGGTCAACTGAGTTTTAAGGATTCCATTTGCCCTTTTGACTTTTCCTAATGACTGGGGTCAATATGGGATATGGAGGCACCAGTGGACGCCAAGGGGCTGGGAGACCTGTTGGGTGATTTGGGAAATGAAGGCAGGGCCATTGTCTGATTGAATGGAGCAAGGGAGACTAAACCTAGGGATGATTTCTGTGATGAGGATCTGGGAGACTACTGCGGCTTTTTCTGAAGAGGTAGGAAATGCCTCCACCCACCCAGAGAAGGTGTCTATAAGAGTGAGAAGGAATCTTGTGTTTTTGACAGGAGGCATGTGGGTGAAGTCTATTTGCCAGTGTTCCCCTGGGAGTATTCCTCTTAGCTGGTGTGCAGGAATAGATGGGGAATGGAGGGCTCCTTGAGAGGAGGTGACAGAGCATATATGACAATTTGAAGTTATGTTTTTTAGTGAGGTGAATAGGTGAGGGAAGAAGAAATATGGGTGGAGGAGGAGATACAGGGGACATGCACCAGTATGGAAGGATTGGTGGAGGGATGTCAGGATTTTGTCGGTTTGTCCCTGGGGAAGAACTAGCTTCTGGTCCTTAACTAGGCAGTCCCCCTGGAGGAAGGTTCCTTGTTGCAGTAATAAGGCCTTCTCAGTAGGGGAGTATTGAGGTTGGATTGCAGGGGTAATGAGGAGGAGGGAGGCAGGAGCGGAAGAAAGGGAGGCTTCTTTTG
Organism: Homo sapiens; assembly: GCF_000001405.40. NCBI lineage: Eukaryota > Metazoa > Chordata > Mammalia > Primates > Hominidae > Homo > Homo sapiens. The sequence goes on from NC_000008.11 coordinate 47,992,880, forward strand.
CTGCCTCATCAGCCTCTATGTTCCCTCCTGAGATTTTATCTGTCCCATTTGATGTCCCTGACAGTGTATAACTCCTGCCTCAGTTGGGAGATGTAAGCCTAGTAAGTCTGAGTAATCCTAGTGGCCTGAAGGAGTTGGTAAATAAGGGAGCCGTTAGTGATAGGGGTCCCTTTGGCAGTGAGAAATCCCGTCTCTTGCCAGATGGTGGCGTGGGAATGAAGAATGTGATAGGCATATTTGGAGTCTGTGTAAATATTGACTCGTCTGCCTTTGGAAACGGTTAGGGCTCTGTTGAGAGCTATGAGTTCAGCTTTTTGAGAGGAGGTTCCTGGAGGTAGGGGCTTAGCTTCAGTTACTTGGTCAAGGGAAACAACTGCATACCCAGCAATTTTGGGGGAGCAAGTGGGACAGGAAGAGGAGCCATCTATAAATAGCTGGTCGTCAGGGTTGGTGAGAGGCTTGGAGGAAATGTTGGGAAAGTATGGCTGCAGGTGATCTTGGATGTCAGTGCAAGAATGAGTAGGAGGGGAAGAAGATACAGGGAGTAAGGATGCTGGGTGAGGTGAGCACTTTTGGCGAGACTGAATTTGGGATTTTTGATAAAGAGTATCGGGGGAACCAGCCCCCGATATTTCAATGTAGGTTCTTTCTATTTTCCCTAAGTGTCGGCTGGTCTGAGAAATAAAGTGAAAGAGTACAAAGAGAGAAATTTTACAGCTGGGCCTCCGGGGGTGTCATCACATATTGGTAGAACACAGTGATGGCAACCCCGAGCCACAAAACCAGCAAGTTTTTATTAGGGATTTTAAAAGGGGAAGGGGTGTATGAACAGGGAGTAAGTCACAAAGATCACGTGCTTCAGAGGGCAATAAAGGTCACAAGGCAAGGCAAAATTAGAATTACTGATGAGGGCCTATGTCCCGCTGTTCATACATTGTCTTGATAAACATCTTAACAGGAAACAGGGTTCGAGAGCAGACAACCGGTCTGACTAGAATTTACCAGGCTGGAATTTCCCAATCCTAGTAAGCCTGAGGGTACTGCAGGAGACCAGGGTGTATTTCAGTCCTTATCTCAATCGCATAAGACAGACACTCCCAGAGCAGCCATCTATAGACCTACCCCCAGGAATGCATTCCTTCCCCAGGGTCTCAATTATTAATATTTCTTGCTGGGAAAAGAATTCGGCAATAATTCTCCTACTCATATGTCCGTCTAGAGGCTCTCTGCAAGAAGAAAAATATGGCTCTGTTCTGCCCGACCCCACAGGCAGTTAGACCTTATGGTTATCTTTCCTTGTTCCCTGAAAATCACTGTTATTCTGTTCTTTTTCAGGGTGTGCTGATTTCATATTATTCAACACACATATTTTACAATCAATTTGTACAATAGTGGTCCTGAGGTGACATACATTCTCAGCTTATGAAGATAACAGGAATAAGAGATTAAAGTAAAGACAGGCATAAGAAATTATGAGTATTGATTGGGGAAGTGATAAATGTCCATGAAATCTTCACAATTTATGTTCAGAGACTGCAGTAAAGACAGGCATAAGAAATTATAAAAGTATTAATTTTGAGAACTGATAAATGTCCATGAAATCTTCACAATTTATGTTCAGAGACTGCAGTAAAGACAGGCATAAGAAATTATAAAAGTATTAATTTTAGGAACTGATAAATGTCCACGAAATCTTTACAATTTATGTTCTTCTGCCTTGGCTCCAGTCAGTCCCTCCATTCAGGGTCCCTGACTTCCCGTAACAAAAGAGGGCATGAAGTAACTGAATCTGGGAAGGAGGAAGGGAGCCTAATTCTCGGGAGGAGAGGAGATCCTGTAGATTATGAGGACTATAGATGGTGGTATTTTGACTAAATGTTAGTTTCCTGCTTTCTAGAGCTAAAGCGGCTGCTGCTGCTAGCGCTCTAAGACAGGTTGGCCATCCTCCGACTGTGTTGCCTAATTGTTTAGAGAGGTAGGCTACAGGGGCAAAGGAAGGAGGGTCTCCTTTCTGTTGCCCTAAGACACCAAGGGCTATTCCTCAGCTTTCAGCAGTATAGAGAGTGAAAGGTTGGGCTGGGTGCGGCAGCTCACACCTGTAATCCCAGCACTTTGGGAGGCCAAGGCGGGTGGATCATGAGGTCAGGAGATCGAGACCATCCTGGCTAACACAGTGAAACCCCATCTCTACTAAAAATACAAAAAATTAGCCGGGCATGGTGGCGGGTGCCTGTAGTCCCAGCCATTTGGGAGGCTGAGGCAGGAGAATGGCTTGAACCTGGGAGGCAGAGCTTGCAGTGAGCCAAGATCGCGCCACCGCACTCCAGCCTGGGCGACAGAGCAAGACTCCTTCTGAAAAAAAAAAAAAAAAAAAGGAGAGAGTGAAAGGTTGGGAGATATCAGGTAAGGACAGAGCTGGTGCAGTGACAAGAGCAGTTTGAAGTTTGCGGAAGATGGGGAATATGTTATGTGAGGGATTTAGGGGCTCATTGAGGGGGCCTTTGGCTGCTTCATACAGGGGGTGAGCTAGGAGGGCAAAGTTGGGAATCCATATTCTAAAAAAGCCCGCTAGTCCTAGGAAGGAAAGGAGTTTCCTTTTGGTGGGGCGGGGGCAGATTATCTATTAGTGCCTCTTGGGCAGGGTCATAGCCTGGTCCCCAGAGGAAAGTTGAACTCTTAGGTAAGTTACTACGGAGCTGGAAAATTGAGCTTTGGAGGGGGAGACTCTATACCCTTTGGTGGCAAGAAAGTTTAAGAGAGAGACTGTGTGGGTTTGAGAGTCTTCTAGAGAGGGGCTGCAAAGGAGAAGTTCGTCCACGTAATGAAGAAGACAGCTGGGGGAAAGGTTTAAGGAGGTGAGATTTCAAGCTAAAACTTGTCTAAAGAAATGAGGGCTATCTCTGAAGACTTGAGGGAGGACAGTCCAGGTGAGTTGTTGTGACTGGAGGGTGTCAGGGTCAGTCCAGGTAAAAGCAAAGAGGTTTTGGGAATCAGGGTGAAGGGGAATAGTTAAAAAGGCATCTTTCAGGTCAATAGCAGTGTAGTGGGTAGTGTTGGAGGGAATGAAAGAGAGAAGTGTATAGGGGTTAGGGACTATGGGATGAATAGGAAGGATGGCCTGATTGATGGCTTGGAGGTCTTGGATGAGTTGGTATGAGCCATCTGATATTTTAACCAAGAGGATGGGGGTGTTATATGGAAAATGTGTTGGCCTAAGAAGACTGCGTGAGCAGAGCTTGTGACTGGCTGTGAGCCTTTTTGGTGGGTTAGGGAGATGGGATATTGGGGGGACATTGAGAAATTTAGAGGGGTCTTTTAACTGGATTTTGATGGGGTCACGGTGAGCAGCTAGGGAAGGGGTGGTGGTGTCCCATACTATTGGGTTTACAAGAGAGGTGGGAAGTGGGTACTGGGGAGAGGGCTCAGGGGCCAGACTAGCGCAAAGGAGTAGGAGGGACTCTGGTTGAGGAAGGCAGAAAAAGGTGATAGAATCTTTGAATTTGGCTAAAAGGTCTTGGCCTAGGATGGGGGGTAGGGCAATGAGGCATGATAAGGAAAGAGTGTGAGAAAACAGTATCAAACAGAGAGCAAGTAAGGGGTCTGGTGGCGCGTGGACTAACATGAGATGAGTCCGTCAAGCCCCACAACTGAGATCTGGGAGGCATGAGTGGGTCCTGAAAATTCAGGCAAAGCCCAGTAGGTGGCCCCGCTATCGATTAAAAAAGAGATCGGCTTACCTGCTACCAGTAGAGTTACACTGGGCTCCATGCAGTGATGGCAGTGGGGGCCAGGGGCCCTGGGCCTTGTCAGTCTTCAGTGGCTAGGCCGAGGAGCTGTGGGAGTGCAAGCAATTCTTCACTTTTTGTCTTGCTGAAGGGGTGGTGGCTCTGAGGAGCAGGCTTGTCTGTCCGTTTGCTGAGAGGACAGAGGGACTTCCAGTGGCCTGTCTGCTGGCAGACTGGGCAAGGGCTCTTTGGTACTCGAGGGTTAGGACATGCCCATGCCCAGTGGCCTTCTTTGCCACACTTAAAACAAGGCCCAGGAGGTTTGCTGCTATCAGGTCTTTGTGCCCTTGGGTAATATGGCTGGGTTGATGGATAGCCGCTGCTAGAAGTTGGTATTTAGCACGATCTCTTTGGGCTTTCTCTAATTTATTTTGCTCATCCCTGCTATTAAAGACTTTGAAAGCCAGGTTAAGGAGGTCTTGTTGTGGGGTTTGAGGGCCATCTTCAGCCTTTTTAAATATGCGCTGGATGTCGGGGGCAGATTGGGGAAAAAATGGGTGTTAAGAACAATAGTTCCTTCCTGGGAGGCAGGATTGACATGGGTATATTTTTGGAGAGCCTCTATAAGGCGAGAAAGGAATTGGGCAGGGTTTTCATCGGCCTTTTGGGAGGTTTCTTTGAGTTTTTCGAAATGTACACCCTTATGGGCAGTTTTGTTAAGGCCTGCAATGAGGCAAGTAATCATATGATTACGGGAGGCCCGGCTGGTGTCTGGGGGTTAATATTCCCAGGTAGGCTCTTCCCAGGGGGACTGCAGCGGCCCCTACTGGCCAGTAAAATCTTGCCAATGGAAGTCATCCGCATGGGCCTGGGCTGCAAGTCACATTGTTTCCTTCTCATCCAGAAGGAGGGTAGAATACAGAATAATATAGAGATCATGCCAAGTAAGTTCATAAGTCTGGGTGAGATATTTAAATTCTTTCATATAAGTGTCGGGATGGGAGGACAAGGACCCCAGACGTTCCTCAGTTTGGGAGAAATCAGAGAGGGAAAAGGGGACGTGGACACAGACAATCCCTTTGGCCCCTGCCACTTCCCGGAGAGGAAGCAAGGGAGCGGGCTGCTGGGCATGCTGGGCTCGAGGACGAGTAAGGGGTGGAGACGGGGAGGACTCAGAGTAGGAGGCGGGATGGTTGGAGAGACGGAGGTAGAGCCGGAGTGGAGGCATACGGTGGGGGGGTCATGCTGTTCTGGTGGAGGATTAGGATGTTGTCAAGGAGGGGAAAAATCAGTGGGATCAAAGGAGGCGAAGTCATCGGCTGGGGCTATTGGGGTGAGGGGAGCAGGAGGCGAGTGGAGTTTGGAGCGGGCGAGGATAATTTGAAAAGTAGAGCAAGACTGGCAGAGGGAAGGATGACTACAGAGAGTAAAGAAAGCCAGAACATAAGGAATCTCAGACCACTTCCCATTGCGGTGACAAAAGTTGTCTTAAGTCTCTGAGCACGTTGGAATCGAAAGTGCCATTTTCGGACCATTGGGAGTCATGGTCTAATTTGTATTGAGGTCACGCGGTATTACAGTAAAAGATAAGCCTTTTAGGGCAGATTTCTGAACGGAGGCCAAGAGTATTGAGATTGCATAGGAGGCACCCAAGGCAGGTAGTTTTAGAAGGAGCAGACTGAAAGGCTCCTATTATGAATGGAAGTAGGGGCGCACGTAGAAGAAGAAGAGACTGCCGGTGACAAGGACGTGGAAGAGGGCGTTCCCTTTCCTGGGGAACTTGTCTGGAATAGAGAAGGTAACCGCCGTGTCAGGTGTCCCTGACACAGAGGAACCAGAAGCCTGGAGGCCGGAGGAAGCCCTTGACCCAGGGCTGGGTCTTTTGGAAACTGAGAGACAGGCGGTCAAGGGTTTCGGAGAACAGCAACAGTCTCTTTTTACTCACCCTGGCGGAGGCTTTGATGGTGGATGAAGTCGTCAGCAGTGGGAGAGTCTAGGAGATTCTCTGGGACTTCGGCAGGTTCAGGGAAGGGGAGAGACTGGCCAGGAGATAGGTGATAGGGGAGGGAGGGGGAGAGAGAGAGAGAAAGAGAGAGTGAGAGAGAGAGAGACAGAGAGCGAGAGCCGGCCAGAGTCTATCCCCTTCCCGGTTTCGGCACCAGAATGTAAGGTCAGCCAAGAGAAAGGAAAAATAGACCCAAAGTCAGGCGAGCAAGTTTTTATTAACCTGCCGGCTGACCCCTTAACAGTCAAGGGAAGCAGCACCAAGCTTACAGAATGAGGGGTTTATATTGGGGAAAGTAGCTTGAGGGAGTTCTTTGGTATGGCCGCATCCTGGGGTTGTTTGCTGGTTAATTTTGCCACATATCACCTTGTGACGTTTATTACAGGAGGGTGTAGGTAAAGTTTGTTTATGCTTCCCACAACCTTCCCCTATGCGGTCTGAGTGGTTTGTAATTGGGGTTTGCTTATCGCAGCAAGGTCTGATAAGTGAAAGTCGGCTGGCTTCACCATGGCCCTTGATAAGGGCTTAGAAATGTAAAGAGACTTGGGGAAGGGTGGGTGGCACAGAGAAGAGTTGCAGAGCATTAGGGGGAGGGGTGGGCAGCACCAAAGAAGCTTTCTTTGGGCAGTTTGTCCCTAACAATATCCAAGGACTGAGAACTGAGGAGAGCAAAGATCACCTGGTGGCTATCAAGTGGACCATCCAGAGGCAATACTCCTTATCTGAGGAATTCATAAGTAATTAGACTTCCCCTTTTTTTTTTTTTGAGATGGAGTCTTGCTCTGTCGCCAGGCTGGAGTGCAGTGGCACAATATTGGCTCACTGCAACCTCTGCCTCCCAGGTTCAAGTGATTCTCCTGCCTCAGCCTCCCGAGTAGCTGGGATTACAGGCATGTTCCACCATGCCCAGCTAATTTTTTTTTTGTATTTTTAGTAGAGACGGGGTTTCACCATGTTAGCCAGGATGGTCTTGATCTCCTGACCTTGTGATCTGCATGCCTCGGCCTCCCAAAGTGCTGTGATTACAGGCATGAGCCACTGCGCCCAGCCCAGACTTCCCTATTATCTAAAGCCAGCATCTGGTACCAAGCTTCTTTACAAAAAACTTATAAGTAAGTATGTAGCAGGATGAGCCACAGACAAAACTCCTCAGACACTGGGTTAAAGAAGGAAGGAGCTTTATACGGTCGGGAGCATCGGCAGACTCACGTCTCAAAAACCGAGCTCCCCGATTGAGCAATTCCTGTCCCTTTTAAGGGCTGACAACTCTAAGGGGGTCCACATGAAAGGGTTGTGATCGATTGAGCAAGCAGGGGGCTTGCATGCACCAGTAATCAGAATGGAACAGAACAGGACAGGGATTTTCACAATGCTTTTCCATACAATGTTTGGAATCTATAGATAACATAACCGGTTAGGTCAGGGGTTGATCTTTAACTACCAGGCCCAGGCCATGGCACCAGGCTGTCTGCCTGTGGATTTCATTTCTGCCTTTTAGTTTTTACATCTTCTTTCTTTGGAGGCAGAAATTGGGCATAAGACAATATGAGGGGTGGTCTCCTCCCTTAACTAGAATTTCTATACGTCTCTGGAATGTATGCATGTTGAAACTCATTGTGCAACCCTTGCTGACATCATGGCACCAAAATGTCTACAGATGTAATCACTTATCATGACATGTGTGGCTAAGATGGTCCAAATTATCCTTAGTCTCCCACTTTAAGGTCCATAAATACTCCTAAGTAAAATCCACTGTGCAGCTCAGTCCTCTCTTGCCGAAGCGCCCTGTTGCAGTCTGCTGCAATGTGTTATCTAATATAACTTTCCTTTTCAAACCTAAACTGTTGTTGGTAAATTATTTTACCACCTGCAAGCCAACCACTCTCTGCTGCTGGGGCTCTGATAAGGCCACTAAGAACTAGTCCTCAATGGCTGGGTGCAGTGGCTCATGCCTGTAATCCCAGCACTTTGGGAGGCCGAGGTGGGCAGATCACGAGGTCAGGAGATAGAGACCATCCTGGCTAACATGGTGAAACCCTGTCTCTACTAAAAATACAAAAAAATTAGCTGGGTATGGAGGCGGGCACCTGTAGTCCCAGCTACTTGGGAGGCTGAGGCAGGAGAATGGCATGAACCCAGGAGGCGGAGCCTGCAGTGAGTGGAGATCACGTCACTGCACTCCAGCCTGGGCAACAGAGGGAGACTTTGCCTCAAAAAAAAAAAAAAAAAAAAAAAAAAAAGAACTAGTCCTCAATACTATGAATTCATGTAGAAGAGGAAGACTCAGAATAAATGGCAAGTGAAGTAGCAGAAGGACCAGGTGTTTCTCTGTATTTTGATGCATTGACGACTTGAGGCCTTGTGGACCCTTGAAGGATGGCCCCTCTCAGTGTTAGCTAATTCCTAGAGATAGTAAACAGCACTTTGTGGATTGAGCCTTTCAAATACAAACCAACCGAGTGCGCTCCCTCACCACCTTCATTATTGAGCTCTCACACTCTGGACACTATTTTCCCAACTTAATCATTCAAGGACAAAGTAACCGACAATTAGGGACAGCCCTTATGCCTCAGAGCCCGCTTAGCATTGGCTTAGCAGCCAATGCTAAGCCTGCTTGTCATTCCTTTCCTGTTCCTTCCCATGGAAAATACAATTAAGGCTGTTACCCACATTTTCCTCTTGCTCCTGCCTCCTGACCAAACCTACTACCTTTAAAACACTAGGACATGCCTGTAATCCTAGCACTTTGGGAGACCGAGGTGGGCGGATCACTTGAGCTCAAGAGTTTGAGGTGAGCCTGGGCAACATGGTGAAACCTGTCTCTACAAAAAATACAACAGATTAGCCAGACATTGTGGCATGTATCTGTAGTCCCAGCTACTCAAGAGGCTGAAGTGAAGGATCACTTGAGCCTGGGAGGTTAGGGCTGCAGTGAGCTGTGATGGTGCCACTGCACTCCAGGCTGGGCAACAGAGTAAGACCCTGTCTCAAAAACAAAACAAAACAAAAAAACACTATGAAAGTGTGGTAGCTTTGAAGCCAAGTGAAAAATTGGTCCTCCAGAAAAAACAACCCACAGAATGGGAGAAAATATTTGCAAACCATACATCTGAAAAGAGCTTAATATCAAAAATATATAAGGAACTCAAACAACTCAAAAGCAAGAAAGCAAATAACCTGATTTAAAAATGGGCAACAGGCTCAGCACAGTGGCTCATGCCTGTAATCCCAGCACTGTGGGAGTCCAAGGCGGGTGGATCACTTGAGGTCAGGAGTTTGAGACCAGCCTGACCAACATAGTGAAACCCCATCTCTACTAAAAATACAAAATGAGCCGGACGTGGTGGCGCATGCCTGTAATCCCAGCTGCTTGGAAGGCTGAGGCAGGAGAATCGCTTGAACCCAGGAGGTGGAGGTTGCAGTGAGCTGAGATTGCGCTATTGCATGCCAGCCTGGGAAACGAGTGAAACTCCGACTCAGAAAAAAAAAAAGGGCAACAGATCCAAAAAGACATTCCAAAAAGAAGCAGAGGCTTATGATCTAATAATTAATTAAAGGTCGTACCTCTTAACATTGTTGCATTGGGGATTGTTTCCCACACTTGATCTTTGGGGGACACATTCAAACCACTGCAAATATTATTCACAATAGCCTCAAGATACAGAATTGACTTGTGTCCATCAGTGGATGAATGGATAAAGATAATGTGGCATATATGTACACAGTAGAATACTACTCAGTCTTAAAAAGAAAGAAACAGTCATTTGTTACAATGTGGGTGAACCTGGAGGACCTTATATTAAAGTGAAATAAGCCAGGCACAGAAAGATAAATATTACATTATCTCACTTACTTGTGGAATATAAAATAATTTCAACTCAAAAGTAAGGAATGGAGGCCAGGCATGGTGGCTCACACCTGTAATCCCAGCACTTTGGGAAGCCGAGGTGGGCAGATTGCTTGACCTCAGGAGTTGGAGACTAGCCTGGGCAATATGGTGAAACTGAGAGGAGAGGAGAAGGGGAGGGGAGGGGAAAGGAAAAAGGAAAGGAAAGGAAAAACAGTGGTTACCAGGGTGTGGGGGGATTGGGGAGATGTTGGTCAAAGGATACAAAATGTCAGTTAGATAGGAGGAATAAATTCAGATCTATAGTTAATAACAACGTACTGTATTCTTGCAAATGGCTGAGAATAGATTTTAAGTGTCCTTACCAGAATATGATACGTATGGTAATGCATATGTTAATTAAGTTGATTTAGCCATTCCGTAATGTATACGTATTTCAAAATATCATGTCGTTAAAAAAGAAAGAGAGAATTGGCCAGGCGCAGTGGCTGACACCTGTAATCCCAGCACTTTGGGAGGCCGAAGAAGGCGAATCATGAGGTCAAGAGATTGAGACCATCCTGGCCAACATGGTGAAACCCCGTCTCTGCTAAAAATACAAAAATTAGCTGGGCATGGTGGCGCATGCCTGTAGTCCCAGCTACTTGGGAGGCTGAGGCAGGAGAATCGCTTGAACTCGGGAGGTGGAGGTTGCAGTGAGCCAAGATTGCGCCACTGCACTACAGCCTGGGCGACAGAGCAAGACTCTGTCTCAAACAAAAAAAAAAAAAAAAAAGAGAGAATTTAGTTCTCAGATAACAGAATTGTTGATTGCTCTAGAAGCTGCTGGCAGGTCAAGTGGGATGAGCACTGGGAATTAACCATCAGATTCCATAATTGGATGGCACCGTAAACAGGGAAAACATAATGAAAGTGGAGAAGAGTAAGCTTTAGACCAAACACTTTAAGTGGTTGAACTTTGTCCTCAACAGGAGAAAGAAGCCCAGTTCCAAATTTAAATTACAGGGGAGATAGCATGAAAATGTCAAGGCAACAATGTTCCCAGGGCGCATAATGGGTTTTTCTGTGTGTGCATGTGTGTGAGTGTGCTTTGATCGCAGGTACTGAGCTTCCTGCTAGTGGGAGGGTCCATGAATGTCTTGGCTATTGAGGCCCCACAACTCTGAGGGTTAAAAAGTCAAGTGGATTAAAATGGATCTGATTTTCATGTTACAGAGAGAACATATTAGTTTTTTTGCTGTACTAACTTCTTAGTACAGACTAAAAGAGCAGATCAGTTTAATGAAAAGACAAGAAAAATAAATCAGGAAAGGATTCAGAGAAGTGGGATTTCAATTTGGCCTTAAGGGAGGACAGGATGTTGAAAGGTGGAGGAGAGATGTGGTATCTCAGGTGGAGAAACAACCAGGGCAGTGGCAATAGTGCACCTGAGAGGCGGCTTGGCTGAGTGTGGGCATCCACTGGAGAGAGATGGGAAATCATTCAGGAGGTATCAGTGGAGGCTGGGTTCTGGTAGGTTGTGAAAATCAGGCCGTGGTGTTTGGGCTTGGCATCCTTGGCCAGGGTGGTAAATGGACCATTTTCTGCTATAACTACCTATGGTAGTTACACCAACATGGGATGACAAGACTTTTTTTCTGCTGAACTTGGATATGGTCTTAGAAATGGCTCTTCAGATAATCATTACTGGCAATCAATATGAAACTTACTACCAATCTGGTGGTAGGCAAAAGGAAGCAAATGCAGGTTTTCTCAATCAGTAAGGACATAATAAATGTGGTGTTTAAGAAATATTGATATTTAGGATAGGTCAGCTAGAGGCTGTTGCTAAGTATATAATGCTGAGGTCACTAGAACTCAGCAGACAAACTTGGGGAAAGTTTAATAATTTGATGATAATATTAGAGTTTTTCTCTGCACTGGTAAGAAATTTCAGTTAGGTTATTGTGTCAGGTCCCTTTGTGAGAAAAACAGTCTCATTTTGGCTTGTCAAGTTACAGTGGCTTGAGAGTAGATAAGGATAGTATATTATGATTCTTCTTTATTTCCTCTTCTGTTTTTTTTTTTTGTTTTGTTTTTTTGTTTTTTTTTTGAGGCAGAGTCTCGCTCTTGTCATCCAGGCTGGAGTGCAGTGGTGTGATCTCAGCTCACTGCAACCTCCGCCTCTTGGGTTCAAGCAATTCTCTGCCTCAGCCTCCCAAGTAGCTGGGATTACAGGTGGCCGCCACCATACCTGGCTAATTTTTCTATTTTTAGTAGAGGGAGGGTTTCACCATTTTGGCCAGGCTGGTATTGAATTCCCGACCTTGTGATCCACCTGCCTTGGCCTCCTGAAGTGTTGGGATTACAGGCGTGAGCCACCGCACCTGGCCCCCTGCATTTTTTTTTTTAAGACAGTGTCTCATTCTGTTGCCCAGGCTGTATTACAGTGGTGCCATCATAACTCACTGAAGCCTTAACCTCCTGGCTCAAGTGATCCTCCCATCTCATCCTCCTGAGTAGTTGAGGCTACAGGCACGAACCAGAATGCCAGCTTTTTTTTTTTTCTCTTAACTACTTTTTCTCCTTTTTTTTTTTTTTTAATTTAAATTCTGGGGAACAGGGGCAGAACATGCAGGTTTGTTACAGAGGTATACACGTGCCATGGTGGTTTGCTACACCCATCAACCTGTCATCTACATTACGTATTTCTCCTAATGCTATCCCTCCCCTAGCCCCCAACCCCTGACAGGCCCCAGTGTGTGATGTTCCCCTCCCTGTGTCCATGTGTTCTCACTGTTCAACTCCCACTTATAAGTGAGAACATGAGGTGTTTGGTTTTCTGTTCTTGTGATAGTTTGCTGAGAATGACGGTTTCCAGCATCATCCATGTTCCTGCAAAGGACATGAACTCATCCTAATTTATGGCTGCATAGTATTCCATGGTGTATATTTGCCACATTTTCTTTATGCAGTCTATCACTGATGGCCATTTGGGTTGGTTCCAAGTCTTTGCTATTGTGAACAGTGCCACAATAAATATACATGTGCATGTGTCTTTATAGTAGAATGATTTATAATGCTTTGGGTATATACCCAGTAATGGGATTGCTGGGTCAAATGGTATTTCTAGTTCTAGATCCTTGAGGAATCGCCACACTGTCTTCCACAATGGTTGAACTAATTTATACTCCCACCAACAGTGTAAAAGCATTCCTATTTCTCCACATCCTCTCCAGCATCTGTTGTTTCCTGACTTTTTAATGATCACCATTCTACCTGGTGTGAGATGGTAGCTCATTGTGGTTTTGATTTGCATTTCCCTAATGACCAGTGATGATGAGCTTTTTTTCATGTTTGTTGGCTGCATAAATGTCTTCATTTGAGAAGTGTCTGTTCATATCCTTTGCCCACTTTTTGATGGACTTATTTTTTTCTTGTAAATCTGTTTAAGTTCTTTGTAGATTCTATATATTGGCCCTTTGTCAGATGGATAGATTGCAAAAATTTTCTCCCATTCTATAGGTTGCCTGTTCACTCTCATGGTAGTTTCTTTTGCTGTGCAGAAGCTCTTTAGTTTAATCAGATTCCATTTGTCAATTTTGGCTTTTGTTGCCATTGCTTTTGGTGTTTTAGTCATGAAGTCTTTGCCCATGCCTACATCCTGAATGGTATTGCCTAGGTTTTCTTCTAGGGTTTTTATGGTTTTAGGTCTTACGTTTAAGTCTTTAATCCATCTTGAGTTAATTTTTGTATAAGGTGTAAGGAAGGGATCCAGTTCCAGCTTTCTGCATATGGCTACCCAGTTTTCCCAACACCATTTATTAAATAAGGAATCCTTTCCCCATTGCTTGTTTTTGTCAGGTTTGTCAAAGATCAGATGGTTGTAGATATGTGGAGTTATTTCTGAGGCCTCTGTTCTGTTCCATTGATCTATATATCTGTTTTGGTACCAGTACTAGGCAATTTTTTTTACTGTAGCCTCGCAGTATAGTTTGAAGTCAGGTAGGTAGTGTGATGCCTCCAGCTTTGTTCCTTTTGCTTACGATTGCCTTGGCTACGTGGGCTCAATACCCCTGATGAACATTGATGCGAAAATACTCAATAAAATACTGGCAAACCGAATCCAGCAGCACATCAAAAAAGCTTATCCACCAAGATCAAGTCGGCTTCATCCCTGGGATGCAAGGCTGCTTCAACATATGCAAATCAATAAATGTAATCCATCACATAAACAGAACCAATGACAAAAACCACATGATTATCTCAATAGATGCAGAAAAGGCTTCGACAAAATTCAACAGCCCTTCATGCTAAAAACTCTCAATAAACTAGGCATTGATGGAATGTATCTCAAAATAATAAGAGCTATTTACGACAAACCCACAGCCAATATCATACTGAATGGGCGAAAACTGGAATGAAGGATTCTTTTTATTTTTTATTTTTTTTTATTTTGAGATGGAGTCTCGCTCTGTCCCCTAGGCTGGGGTGGAGTGCAGTGTCGCCATCTCGGTTCACTGCAAGCTCCAACTCCCGGGTTCACGCCATTCTCCTGCCTCAGCCTCCCGAGTAGCTGGGACTACAGGGGCCTGCCACCATGCCTGGCTAATTTTTTGTATTTTTTTTTTTTTAGTAGAGACAGGGTTTCACTGTGTTAGCCAAGATGGTCTTGATCTTCTGACCTCGTGATCCGCCCGCCTCCGCCTCCCAAAGTGCTGGGATCCATGCCCGGCCAAAAGCATTCCCTTTGAAAGCCGGCACAAGACAAAGATGCCCTCTCTCACCACTCCTATTCAACATAGTATTGGAAGTTCTGGCCAGGGCAATCAGGCAAGAGAAAGAAATAAAGGGTATTCAATTAGGAAAAGAGGAAGTCAAATTGTCTCTGTTTGCAGATGACATGATTGTATATTTAGAAAACCCCATAGTCTCAGCCCCAAATCTTCTTAAGCTGACAAGCAACTTCAGCAAAGTCTCAGGATACAAAATCAATGTGCAAAAATCACAAGCATTCCTATACACTAATAACAGACAAACAGAGAGCCAAATCATGAGTGAACTCCCATTCACAATTGCTACAAAGAGAATAAAAATACCTAGGAATACAACCTACAAGGGATGTGAAAAATCTTTTTTTTTTTTTTTTTTCAGTTTTATGTAGAGACTAGGTATCACTATGTTGTCCAAGCTGGTCTCAAAGTCTTGGGTTCAAGCCATCCTCCTGCCTCAGCCTCCCAAAGTGTTAGGATTACAGAAGTGAGCTTCGGCGCCCAGCCTGTATTACTTTCCTTTTTCTTTCTTTCTTTTTTTTTTTTGAAATGGAGTCTCCCTCTGTTGCCCAGGCTGGAGTGCAGCGATTTCTGCTCACTGCAGCCTCACCTCTTGGGCTCACGTGACCCTCCCACCTCAGCATCCCTAGCTGTTCAAATTTATTGTCCAACTCTTTTGAATCGTTTATCAACGCAAATCTGTCAATGCCCACTTATTTTTATTTATTTTTTTGAGGCGGAGTCTCGCTCTGTTGTCCAGGCTGGAGTGCAGTGGCGCAATCGCGGCTCATTGCCCCTCCGCCTCCCCGGTTCAAACGATTCTCGTGCCTCAGCCTCCCAAATAGCTGGGATTACAGGCGCGCGCCACCACGTCCGGCTAATTTTTGTATTTTTAGTAGAGACGGGGTTTCGCCATGTTGGCCAGGCTGGTTTCGAACTCCTGACCTCGGGTGATCCGATCGCCTCGGCCTCCCAAAGTGCTGGGATTACAGACGTGAGCCACCGCGCCCGGCCCTCATGAACTTATTCTTTAGCGTTTCATTTTGAGAGCGGGATTCACAAGGGAATTGCGGAAACAGCAGCGAGGCCCCGCGACCCCTCGGCCCACGTGCGCGCTGTCCCTCGGGTCGCCCCGCGCCCGCCGGGGGCGGAGTCCGCTGTGACGCGTGCAGGGCGGCGCGCTCCCGGAAGTGACGCGCGACGGTTCGTGCGTGCGTGCGGGCGGCTGCGTCGGGCTGCAGGAGAAGATGGCGGTCTCCACAGGTCGGTTCCCGGGCCGGGCTGCGTGATTTTCCGCTCCGACCCGGCTCTGCCCCTCCGTCTGCTGCTGGCGCCCGAGCGCTGACCGTGCGGGAGAAGCCCGAGTGCGCTGTCTCGAATGCCGCGCTCTCCGCAGAGCGTAGCCTGGGACCGGGTGGGACCGGCGCCGAGGCCCCGGCGGCCGTCGGGTTGGCGGGTCGTGCTCGCGCGTCGGCCGCGCGCCGGCGGGCTGGGGGCGGGGTGGCTCCCGCGCGGGCGCCCCCGTAGGTTCCGGCGGGCGCGGGTCCGAGTTGTAGGCTGAAGGCTCTACGGGAGGGAGGCGAGGAGGCCCAAGGTGGGCGGGTGTCAACCTCCGGCACCGAAGATGGGTCAGGCCAACCGGCACCGAAGATGGGTCAGGCCAAGAGGTGTCCTGGATCAGAGTAGGGGTCCCATTCCTTTGGACTCTCCTTGACATGGGTTGGGGAGTAGAGGACGATTGCTCCTTAAAATAAGAGCGAGAGGATCTTTCTTACCTGACTGAATACGTGTGATCTTTTTATTATTTATGAGGAAAACTGCAGTGCAAACAAAATAAAAGACCAGAGCAAGATGAAAGCTAATTGAAGAACAAGTGGTTTCTTAGATAAGCTGTTCAACTCCTCTTTCCTACTGAATACAATGTTTGGTTTCCTGTGAGCACACAAGTATTAACGTTGAGGTTTTAGACATTAGACCATTTCAGAAATGTTAAAAACGTTAAGCTTTAGTTTACATTTAAAAATGTTAACCCGTGTGATCTGCCTTTTTCTTTTCTTTTCTTTTTTTTTTTTTTTTTGAGTCAGAGGCTCACCCTGTTGCCCAGTTGGAATGCAGTGGTGTGATCTCGGCTCACTGCAACCTCCACCTCCCAGGTTCAAGTGATTCTCCTGCCTCAGCCTCCCAAGTAGCTGGGATTACAGGCGCGTGCCACCAGGCCCGGCTAATTTTTGTATTTTTAGTAGAGACGGGGTTTTGTCATGTTGGCCAGACTGGTCTCGAACTCCTGACCTCAGGTGATCCGCCCACTTCGGCCTCCCAGAGTGCTGGAATTACAGGTGTGAGCCACCGCGCTCGGCCTGATCTGCCTTTTCCTAGTCTTCGTTGAAACAAGAGTATAGAGCAGTGTGATTTAATAGTTTATGCCATCATTGCATAATAAAATGAATTTTCAAATCTATATGTACTGAAATGGAAGGCTTTGAATATATGTTGTAATTGTTGCTTTAGAGTAATACCTCAGGATACATTCTGCATACATTTTAATTAAGTGGTGTCTTTTACATCTTTATTACATATAGGTGTCATAGGTTTTAAGATCTTTAGCAGTTCTAGTGTTGGGGTAGTATACATACTTGGGTCAGCTAGCTAGTAAGGCAAGGATTGTTTTAAAAGTGGAATTTTAGTGTTATGACTTTACTGTGCTTGCTGAAATCTAATCTGTGCTCGTTAACGGGGCCATATCTTTATAACAGTTGTGCTTAGGACCTCTTATAGATTTTTGAAAATTTAGTAATAAAATAATGCATTTTAATTTAATACTTTTCATTTTCCTTTTGTGGGTTGCATTATTAAACACAATTTTTTCATAACACTATACATGAGTGTATGTTAATATTTTGAAAAGACCAAAGGTTAGATGATATTAATGGCAAATACTTTTTGTTAATCACTTTTAGTTGTTTTGGAAGTTGAATATAAATTATAAAGATTACTGATAAATTATTAGCATATTGTACATAGGGAGTCTGTATTTTTTTTTTTTTTTTGAGATGGAGTCTCGCTGCATTGCCCAGGCTGGAGTGCAGTGGCATGATCTTGGCTCACTGCACCCTCCTCACCTCAGGTGATCCACCCGCCTCAGCCTCCCAAAGTGCTGGATTACAGGGGTGAGCCACCGTTCCCATCTACTAGTTTTTTTTTTTTTTTTTTTTGAGACGCAGTCTTGCTCTGTCACCCAGGCTGGAGTGCAGTGGCGCGATCTCGGCTCACTGCAACCTCCGCCTCCCGGGCTCAAGCGATTCTCCTGCCTCAGTCTCCTGAGTAGCTGGGACAACAGGCGCGTGCCACCATGCCCAGCTAATTTTTTGTATATTTAGTAGAGACGGGGTTTCACCATATTGGCCAGGATGGTCTTGATCTCTTGACCTCGTGATCCGGCCTCCCAAATTGCTGGGATTACAGGTGTGAGCCACTGCGCCTGGGTTTGTTTGTTTTTTTTTTTTTTTGAGACTGAGTCTCTCGCTTCTTTGCCCAGGCTGGAGTGCAAGGGCATGATCTCGGCTCACTGCAACTTCCACCTCCCTGGTTCAAGCAATTCCTCTGCCTCAGCCTCTTGAGTAGCTGGGATTACAGGTGCATGCCACCACGCCCAGCAAATTTTTTTGTATATATATATTTTTTTTGTATTTTTTTTTTTTTTTTTAGTAGGGACAGGTTTTCATCATGTTGTCCAGACTGGTCTCAAACTCCTGACCCCAGGCAATCCGCCCACCTTGGCCTCCCAAAGTGCTGGGATTACAGGTGTGAGCCACAGTGCCCAGCCTATTAATTAGTTTTAATTTTACTATTAGCTATACTTTTGTTTGCTTTTTGGTAACATGGGAAGTAAATAGTACCTGTGTATTTGTGAAAGCAGCATGATACAGCTTAAAATTTAAAATTAGATGAGCTACATCGATGTAATGCACGTGTTTGTTTGAAACGGAGTCTCGCCTTGTTGCTCAGGCTGGAGTGCAATGGTGCGATCTCGGCTGACTGCAGCCTCTTCCTCCTGGGTTTAAGCAATTCTCCTGCCTCAGCATTCTGAGTAGCTGGGTTTACAGGCATGCACCACCACGCCCAGCTAATTTATTGTATATATATTTTTTCTAGTAGAGATGGGGTTTCACCATGTTGGCCAGGCTGGTCTCAAACTGCTAACCTCAGGTAATCCATCTGCTCCGGCCTCCCAAAGTTCTGGGATTACAGGCATAAACCACTGAGCTTGGTCTAATACACGTGTTTTTTATTTAAGCCAAAGTATCTCGATAACAGTTGTTTAAGAGGCCAAAAAGAAAAACCCTGACAAATATGTTTTGATCTTTAGTTCAGTGTGCATCATATACCTTAGCCCCTTTAACCCTTCCTTCTACTGGAAGAGAATTTTGGAAGGAAAAAACTTTTAATTAGACTGAGACTTTTTGAGACGGAGTCTTGCTGTGTTGCCCAGGTTGGAATGCAGTGGCATGCGATCATGGCTCACTGCAGCCTCGACCTGCTGGGGTCAGGTGATCCTCCTACCTCAGCCTCCCGAGTAGCTGCGAACACAGGCACGCATTGCCACACCTGGCTAATTTTTAAATTATTTGTAGAGACAGGGTCTCCGTATGTTATCCAGTGTAGTCTGAACTCCTGGACTCAAGTGACCCTCCTGCCCTGGCCTGAGGTTAGGATTACAGGTTTGAGCCACTGTGCCTGGCCAGACGGAGACTTCTAAGCAGAAACATTTTTGGCCATCCCATCTGGTCTTCTTATTTTGCAGATGAGAAAACTGAGGCTCAAACAAGTAAAAGGCTATACATAGGTGGTTACTAGTACAGGCAAGACTAGAATCCAGGTCTTTTACCCTTAGTCTGATGCGCTCTCCATTATGAAGAACTCTGAATTTGGAATATTTCTCAGAACATGAATCTTAATTACTCCCTTTCACACTTCCCTTCTTAGCACAATCCTTGTTTCAGACTCTTAGATCCTTCTTATGGATGAAAGGGGAACGTAGCCCTCACCAGCTAGGTTCTCCTTTTCCAAGAGACAGAGTTACCCATGCAATTCAAGAGTATTTCACAGGACAGAGGTTAAGAAGCTACTCTCGGGAATAGAAATTTGATACTGTTTAGTACTCATGATTCAAAATTTTATTAGATTCCAGCATTAATAATAACAATTAGTTTAGATAGAAAAGTATGTGCAGGCCGGGTGGGGTGGCTCACACCTGTAATCCCAGCACTTTGGGAGGCCGAGGTGGGCGGATTACCTGAGGTCGGGAGGTTGAGACCAGCTGGACCAACATGGAGAAACCATGTCTCTACTAAAAATACAAAATTATCCGGGCGTGGTGGCACATGCCTGTAATTCCAGCTACTCGGAAGGCTGAGGCAGGAGAATCTCTTGAACCCGGGAGGCAGAGGTTGTGGTGAGCCGAGAGCACGCCATTGCATTCCAGCCTGGGTAAGAAGAGTGAGACTCCATCTCAGAAAAAAAAAGAAAAAAAGCGTGTGCAATAGTTTTAAAAAAATACAATAGTTTTAGTTTTACAGAAAAGTTGTGAAGATAGTACAGAAAGTTTCCATGCACCTCACATTCAGTTTTCCCTGTCAATTTCCTTTTTTTTTCTTTCGGGATGGAGTCTTGCTCTGTCGCCCAGGCTAGAGAGCAGTGGCGTGATCTGGGCTCACTGCAACCTCTGCCTCCTGGGTTCAAGTGATTCTCCTGCCTCAGCCTCCCGAGTAGCTGGGATTACAGGTGTGTGCTGTCACACCCGGATAATTTTTTGTATTTTTAGTAGAGACAGGGTTTCACCATGTTGGCCAGGCTGGTTTCAAACTCCTGGCCTCATGATCCGCCCGCCTTGGCCTCCCAAAGTGCTGGGATCACTGGTGTGAGCCACTGCATCTGGCTTCGCTGTTAATTTCTTATATTGGTATGGTACACTTGTCACAATTAAGGAACCAATATTGACACATTTATTATTAACTAAAGTTCAGATTTCCTTAGTTTTTCTTTAATGTACTTTTGCTGTCCTAGGACTTCATCCAGGATACCACATTACATTGTAACGTGAAACTTTTTTTTTTTTTTTGAGATGAAGTCTCGCTCTGTGGCCCAGGCTGGAGTGCAGTGGCGTGATCTTGGCTCACTGCAAGCACTGCCTCCTGGGTTCATGCCATTCTGTGGCCTCAGCCTCCGAAGTAGCTGGGACTATAGGCGCCTGCCACCATGCCCGGTTAATTTTTTTTGTATTTTTAGTAGAAGTGGGGTTTCACCGTGTTAGCCGGGATGGTCTCGATCTCCTGACCTCGTGATCCATCCGCCTCGGCCTCCCAAAGTGCTGGGATTACAGGCGTGAGCCACCGCGCCCGGCCCACATGAAACGTTTTACATTTATCACTTAGGTAATATTAATGGTACAGTGAAGCTCTAGTCTCTGACTGTAGATGCCTGGAAAATGTCTTTGAGTTATGAGAAACTCAGAAAAAATTGATGAAAGAATATGTTTTCTGCTATGTAGGCAGAAAACAAAACCAAAATATAACCTACTAATTGCCTTCTTCAGAAGTGGGTAGCATTGTATATACTGGAAGAACTAGTTTAGCAGTGTTCTGAGTTCCCTGCTGCCCCTGACAGACTACTGTGCCACCATGGGCATGTCAGTTAATCACTAAACATTGCTTTTCCCATCCCATCTGTGAAAAGATTGGACAACATCATCTTGTTTTCCTCTTTAGATGAAGATACTTGGATATGGACAGAACTCGGGTGTGGTGATAGAAGAGAATTACATAGTTTAAATCATAACCTAGAACTTGGGAACTAAACGATAGAAGAGCTGAACTATGGTAGTCTAGTGTATTTCCCTCTTGAGGCTTCCATAACTGGCCTGGTTGATTTTTCTAGGTCATTTGGGAGCCTGAATTCTCTTGATAAACATGCTTTTGATAATATGGTACAACCTCACTGTACAGGCAGTCCTTTGAACGGCAGTTGGCAGAGGTAAAAATGGCCATGCAAAAAACTACCCAAAGCAGTCTTAATAATTGGGAAAATTATGGTTATTCTGAGACCTTCAAAAATGTCAACACATTAAGAACTCTCCCTGTTTAGAAATATGCAGGAAAGGGCCGGGCATGGTGGCTCACGCCTGTAATCCCAGCACTTTGGGAGGCTGAGGGGGGCGGATCACGAGGTCAGGAGATGGGAGACCATCCTGGCTAACACAGTGAAACCCTATCTCTACTAAAAATACAAAAAATTAGCCGAGTGTGGTGATGGGCGCCTGTAGTCCCAGCTACTCGGGAGGCTGAGGCAGGAGAATGGTGTGAACCTGGGAGTCGAAGCTTGCAGTGAGCTGAGATTGCTCCACTGCACTCCAGTCTGGGCAACAGAGAGAGACTCTGCCTCAAAAAAAAAAAAAAAAAAAATGTGCAGGAAAATGAAACCAGTAAAATTAATATTTAGTATGTCATAATTTAAAGTATCAGATATTAAGAATTAAAATGTTTTATTTCATTAAAAAAAGCTTGTTGGCTGGGCGTGGTGGCTCACGCCCGTAATCCTAGCACTTTGGGAGGCCGAGGTGGGTGGTTCACGAAGTCAAGAGATCAAGACCATCCTGGCTAACATGGTGAAACCCCGTCTCTACCAAAAATACAAAAAACTAGCCGGGCGTGGTGACAGGCACCTGTAGTCCTGGCTACTGGGGAGACTGAAGCAGTAGAATGGCATGAACCCGGGAGGCGGAGCTTGCAGTGAGCTGAGATTGTGCCACTGCACTCCAGCCCGAGTGACAGAGCGAGACTCCATCTCCAAAAAAAAAAAAAAAAAAAAATAAGGCTTGTCAAGAGTAGCTTGAGGCTGGGTGCAGTGGCTTCCACCTGTAGTCCCAGCACTTTGGGAGGTCGAGGTGGGTGGATTACTAGAGCCTAGGAGTTCAAGACCAGCCTGGGCAATACAAGAAAATCCCATCTCTACAAAAAATGCAAAAATTAGCTGGGTGTGGTGATGTGCACCTGCAGTCCCAGCTACTTGGGAGGCTGAGGTAGAGTATGGGTTGAGCCTGGGAGGTTGAGGCTGCAGTGAGCTGTGATCGTGTCACTGCACTCCTGCCTGGGCGACAGAGCAAGACACTGTGTCAAAAAAAAAATTAATTTGAACAATGCTTGCTAATGTTTTGAAGTACATTATCTGTACATTGTGGAATGGTTAAATCTAGCTAATTACCAAATACATTATCTCACATAGTTATCATTTTTGTGGTGAGAATACTTAATAGCTACTGAGTATTTTTCAAGAATACAGTATGTTGTTAACTAATCACCATGCTATACAGTAGTGCTCTTAAACTTGTTCCTCCTGACTGTAATTACGTATCCTTTGTCTAACATCTTCCCAATCCCCACCCCCGTAACCCCAACCATCCTAACCTCTGGTAACCACCATCTCCTGTCTACTTCTGTGAGATCAATTTTGACTCCATATATGAGTGAGATAATATGTATTTGTCTTTCTGTGCCTGTGTTATTTCAGTTAACATAATGTTCTCCAGGTTCATCCATGTTGTTGGAAATGAGAGAATTTCCTTCTTTTTTATGATTGGAACAGTGTCCCACTGTATACGTATACCACATGTTCTTTATCCATTTGTCTGTGTGGTTTTTTTTTTTTTTTTTTTTGAGACGGAGTCTCACTCTGTCACCCAGGCTGGAGTGCAGTGGCGCGTTCTCAGCTCACTGCAACCTCCACCTCCTGGGTTCAAGCAATTCTCCTGCCTCAGGCTCCCTAGTAGCTGGGATTACTGGCACCCGCCGCCAAGCCCGGCTAATTTTTGTATTTTAGTAGAGATGGGGTTTCACCATATTGGCCAGGTTGGTCTCAAACTCCTGACCTCAAGCAATCCATCTGCCTCGGCCTCCCAAAGTATGGGGATTACAGGCGTGAGCCACCGCGCTCAGCCTATCCATTTGTTGGTTGATGGATACTTAGGTTGATTCTATATCTTGCATATTTTGAGTAGTGCTGCAATAAAATGGGAGTGCAGGCCTCTCTTTGACATACTGATTTTATTTTCTTTGGCTATATATGCAGTAGCAGGATTACTGGATCATACGGTAGCTCTGTTTTTAGGTTTTTGAGGAACTCCATACTCTTCTTTCTCCATATGGTTGTACTAATTCACATTCCCACCAACAGCATGCTTAGATTATCCTTTATCACCACATACTCACCAACACTTGTTATCTGTCATCTTTTTTTTTTTGAGACGGAGTTTGGCTCTTGTTGCCCAGGCTGGAGTGCAATGGCATGATCTCGGCTCATTGCAACCTCCACCTCCTGGGTTCAAGCAATTCTCCTGCCTCAGCCTCCCGAGTAGCTGGGATTACAGCCACGCACCACCATGCCTGGCTAATTTTGTATTTTTATTAGAGACGGGGTTTCTCCATGTTGGTGAGGCTGCTCTCGAACTCCCAACCTCAGGTGATCTTCCCACCTTGGCCTCCCAAGGTACTGGGATTACAGGCGTGAGCCGCCGTGCCCAGCCTTTTTTTTTTTTTTTTTTTAATTGAGACAGAGTCTCGCTCTGTCGCCTAGGCTGGAGTGCAGTGGCGAGATGTCAGTTGACTGCAACCTCCACCTCCAGGTTCAAGCGATTCTCCTGTCTTAGCCTCCCGAGTAGCTGGGATTACAGGCACCCGCCACCATGCCTGGCTAATTTTCATATTGTTAGTAGAGACATGATTTCACCATGTTGGCCAGGCTAGGCTGGTCTCAAACGCCCGACCTCAGGTGATCCACCTGCCTTGGCCTCCCAAAGTGCTGGGATTACAGGCGTGAGCCACTGCGCTTGGCCTCATCTTTCATCCTTTTGATTATAGCCATTTTAATGGGAGTGAGGTGATACCTCATGTGGGTTTTTTTTTGCATTTCTTTGATGATTAGTGATGTTGAGAATTTTTTTCATATACCTCTTGGCCATTTGTATGTCTTTTGAGAAATGTCTATTCAGATCTTTTACCCATTTTTACATGAGGTTATTTTCTTGGTATTGAATGGAGTTCCTTATATATTTTGGTTATTAACCCCTTATCAGATATATAGTTTACGAGTATAGTGAACCATTCTGTATGTTCTCTCTCTCTTTTTTTTTTTTTTGGTGGAGTTTCGCTCTTGTTGCCCAGGCTGGAGTGCAATGGCACGATCTCAGCTCACTGCAAGCTCTGCCTCCTGGGTTCAAGGGATTCTCCTGCTTCAGCCTCCTAAGTAGCTGGGATTACAGGCATGTGCCACCATGCACTGCTAATTTTGTATTTTTAGTAGAGACGGGATTTCTCCATGTTGGTCAGGCTGGTAATAAACTCCCGACCTCAGGTGGTCTGCCTGCCTCAGCCTCCCAAAGTGCTAGGATTACAGGCGAGAGCCACCGCGCCTGCCAGTTCTCTCTTTATTGTTTCCTTTGCAGTGCAGGAGATTTTTAGTTTTATGTGATCCAAATTGTCTGTTTTTGCTTTTGTTGAGTGTGCTTTTGAGGTCATATCCTCCAAAAATCATTGCCCAGACCAATGCCATTGACTTTTCTTCCTGTTTTCTAGTAGTTTCATAGATTGCCTTTTTTTTTTTTTTTTTCCTGAGACAGTCTCAACCTGTCACCCAGGCTGGAGTGCAGTGGCATAGTCACGGCTCGCTGCAGCCTCAACTTCCCAGGCTCTCACCTCAGCCTCCCGAGTAGCTGGGACTACAGGTGCACGCCACCATACCTGGCTAATGTTTTGTATTTTTAGTAGAGATGGGGTTTCGCCATGTTGGCCAGGCTGGTCTCGAACTCCTGACCTCAGGTGATCCACACGCCTCGGCCTCCCAAAGTGCTGGGATTACAGGTGTGAGCCACCATGCCCAGCTGCACAATGCCCAATTTTGCCACTTCTGTTCAACATAATACTGGAAGTCCTAGAAAGAGCAATAAGACAAGAGAAAGAAATACAAGGCATCTTAATTGGAAAAGAAGTTAAACTGTTCCTGTTTGCAGAAGACATATGATGTCAGTGTTTATTGTTATAAAAACTTCTGTCTTAAAACTGCTTTTGCTGTATTCCATAGGCTTTGTATGCTGTGTGTTTCAGTTTTCATTTTTTTCAATAAACTTCCTAATTTGTTTTTTAATATCTTCATTGACCTATTGGTTGTTCAAGAGCATGTGTTTAACTTCCATGTTTTTGTGAATTTTCTGAAGATCCTCCTGTTAATGATTTCTAGTTTTATACCATTGTGGTCAGAAAAGATATTTGATATGATTTCCATCTTCTTAAATTTGTTAAGACTTATTTTGTGGCTTGACATATGATCTATCCTTGAGAATGTTCCATGTGCAGCTTAAAATAATGTATTATGCCACTGTTGAATGGTATGTTCTGTGTATGTCTTTTAGGTCCATTTGTTCTATAGTGTAGCTTAAGTCTCATGTTTCCTTGTTGGCTTTCTGTCTGCATGATCTGTGCATTGCTAATTGTGAGGTGTGAAAATCTCCTACTGTTACTGTAGTACAACCTATCTTTCAGATCTATTAATATTTGCTTTATATATTTAGGTGCTTTGATGTTGGGTGCATATATATTTACAATTATTCTCTTGCTAAATTGACCCCTTTGTTATTACATAATGACCTTCTCTATCTTTTTTTTACAGTTTTTGATTTAAAAATCTATTTTATTGGGGGCCAGGCATAGTGGCTCATGCCTGTAATCCCAGCACTTTGGGAGGCCGAGGCGGGCGGATCACTTGAGATCAGGAGTTCAAGACCAACCTGGCCAACATGGCGAAATCCCATCTCTATTAAAAATACAAAAATTGGACCAGGAGCGGTGGCTCACACCTGTAATCCCAGCACTTTGAGAGGCCAAGGCAGGTGGAGCACGAGGTTGGGAGTTCAAGACCAGCCTGGCCAAAATGGTGAAACCCCATCTCTACTAAAAATACAAAAATTAGCCAGGTGTGGTGGCGGGCGCCTGTGACCCCAGCTACTTGGGAGGCTGAGGCAGAGAATTGCTTGAACCTGGGAGGCAGAGGTTGCAGTAAGCCGAGATCACGGCACTGCACTCCAGCCTGGGTGACAGAACAAGACTCCTGCTCAAAACAAAACAAACAAAAATTGGGCGTGGTGGTGGGCTCCTGTAGTACCAGCTACTCGGGAGGCTGAGGCAGGAGAATCGTGTGAACCTGGGAGTCGGGAGATTGCAGTGAGCCTTGATTGCGCCACTGCCCTCCAGCCTGGGCAACAGAGCGAGACTGTCTCAAAAAAACGGCAGGGCATGGTGGCTCATGCCTGTAATCCCAGCACTTTGGGAGGCTGAGGCTGGCGGATCATGAGGTTAGGAGTTTGAGAACAGCCTGACCAACATGGTGAAACCCCGTCTCTACTAAAAATACAAAAATTAGCCAGGCGTGGTGGCACATGCCTGTAATCCCAGCTACTCAGGAGGCTGAGGCAGGAGAATCACGTGAACCTGGGAGGTGGAGGCTGCAGTGAGCCGAGATTGCGCCACTGCACTTCAGCCTGGGTGACAGAGCTAGACTCCGTTTCAAAAAAAAAAATTAGCCAGGCATGGTGCCATATGCCTATAATTCCACTTGGGAGGCTGAGGCAGGATAATTGCTTGAACTCAGGAGGTGGAGGTTACAGTGAGCCAAGATCCTGCGACTGTACTCCAACCTGGGCAACAGAGTGAGTGAGACTCTGTCTAAAAAGAAAAACAAAAATAATTTTATCTGATATAAGTGAAGCAATTCTTGGGCTTTCTCTCTCTCTGTCTCTCTTTTTTTTTTTTTTTGAGACAAGGTCTCCCTATCTAGGCTAGAGTGCAGTGGCGTGAACATGGCTCACTGCAGCCTTGAACTATTGAGATCAGTGATTTTCCTACCTCAGCCTCCTGTGTAGCTGACCACAGATGCATGCCACTATGCCTTGCTAATTTTTTATATTTTTTGTAGAGATGGGGTCTCAACATGTTGCTCAGGATGCTTTCAAACTCCTGGGCTCAAACAATTTTCCCTCCTTGGCCTTTCAGAATGCTGGGATTATAGGGTCTTGTTCTCTCTTGATTTCCATTTGCATGGCATATCTTTTTCCATTCCTTCACCTTCAGTCTACATGTGTCCGTACAGGTGAGGTGAGTCTTTTATTGGCAGCATATAGTTGGGTCTTGTTTTTTTTAACCATTCAGTCACTCTATGTCTTGATTAAATAATTTAATTCATTTACATTTAGAGTAATTATTGATAGATGAGTTAATACTGCCATCCTGTTAATTGTTTCCTATTTGTTTTGTAGCTCCTTTCTTCCTCTCCTATGGTCTTCTTTGGTGGTTGATTTTCTCTAGTAGTATGTTTTTGATTCCTCGCCTTTTTATTTTTTGAGACAGTGTGTTGCTCTGACCTGGTCATAGCTCACTATAACCTCCAACTCATGGGCTCAAGCCGTCTTCTTGCCTCAGCCTTTGGAGTAGCTAGGACTATAGGTGTGTGCCACCAAACCTGGCTAATTTTATTTTCTTGTAGATACGGGGTCTTGCCATGTTGCGCAAGCGGGTTTGAACTCCTGGGCTGGAGTGATCCTCCTGCCTCAGCCTCCTGAGTAGCTAGGAATGCAGGCATGTGCCACGATGCCCAGCTAATTTTTTTTTTTTTTTTAATTTTTGTAGAGACAACGTCTTGCTATATTGCCCAGGCTAGCTTTGAACTCCTGGCCTCAAGTGCTTCTCCCACCTTGGGCTCCAGAGCACTGGGGTTTCAGGCATGATCCACTCTGCTGGCTTGTTATTGCTTTTTATGTTTTATCTATTATAGGTTTTTTTTTTTTTTTTTAAGATGGATTTTCACTCTTGTTTCCCAGGCTGGAGTGCAATGGCGTGATCCCGGCTCACTGCAACCTCTGCCTCCTGGGTTCAAGCAATTCTCCTGTCTCAGCCTCCTTAGTAGTTGGGCTTACAGGTGGCCGCCACCACGCCCAGCTAATTTTTTGTATTTTTAGTAGAGACAGGGTTTCACTGTGTTGGCTAGGCTGGTCTCGAACCCTTTTTTTTTTTTTTTTTTTTGAGACGGAGTCTCGCTCTGTCGCCCACGCTGGAGTGCAGTGGTGCAATCTTGGCTCACTGTAAGCTCTGCCTCCCAGGTTCATGCCATTCTCCTGCCTCATCCTCCTGAGTAGCTGG
Organism: Homo sapiens; assembly: GCF_000001405.40. Lineage (NCBI taxonomy): Eukaryota > Metazoa > Chordata > Mammalia > Primates > Hominidae > Homo > Homo sapiens. Next base: position 48,021,442 of record NC_000008.11, read on the forward strand.
GACTACAGGTGCCCACCACCACGCCCGGCTAATATTTTGTATTTTTAGTAGAGATGGGGTTTCACCGTGTTAGTGAGGATGGTCTCAATCTCCTGACCTCGTGATCTGCCCGCCTTGGCCTCCCAAAGTGCTGGGATTACAAGCGTGAGCCACTGCGCCCGGCCGGTCTTGAACTCTTGACCTCAGGTGATCCACCCACCTCATCTTCCCAAAGTGCTGGGATTACAGGTATGAGCCAATGCGCCTGGCTCTCTTTTTTTTTTTGAGATGGAGTTTTGCTCTGTCACCCAGGCTGGAGTGCAGTGGTGTGATCTTGGCTCAGTGCAACCTCTGCCTCCTGGGTTCGAGCAATTCTCCTGCCTCAGCCTCCTGAGTAGCTGCCATTACAGGTATGCGCCACCATGTCTGGCTAATTTTTAGTAGAGACCGGGTTTTACCATGTTGGTCAGGCTGGTCTGGAACTCCTTACCTCAGATGATCCACCTGCCTCAGCCTCCCAAAGTGCTGGGATTGCAGGGGTGAGCCACCACGCCTGGCATATAGGTTTTTGCTTTGTGGTTACCATGAGGCTTACAGAAAAGATCTTACAGTTACAAAAGGTTATTTTAAACTAATAACAACTTAGCCTTGATGGCCTAAAAAATCCTTTATACTTTTACCCTACTCTCCCATTTTGAATTTTTGATGTCACAGTTTGGATCTTTTTTTTTTTTTGGAGACAGTGTCGTTCTTGTCACCCAGGCTGGAGTGCAATGATCTGATCTTGGCTTACTGCAACCTTCGCCTCCCGGGTTCATGTGATTCTCCTGCCTCAGCCTCCTGAGTAGCTGATTACAGGCGGCTGCCACCACACCCCACTAATTTTTGTATTTTTAGTGGAGATGGGGTTTCACCATGTTGGCTAGGCTGCTCTCGAACTCCTGACCTCAGGTAATCCACCTGCCTTGGCCTCTCAAAGTGCTGGGATTACAGGCATGAACCACCACGCCCAGCCTGCATCTTTTTATATTGCATATTCCTTTACAAATTATTGTAGTTACTTTCAATAGTTTTGTCTTTTAACCTTCCTACTAAAGATACAAGTAATTTACACTCCACCATTACAGTATTAGTGTATTCTGAAGTTGACCTTGTGTTTACTTTTCCCAGTGAGTTTTATACTTTCAGATGTTTTTGTGTTACTCATCAGTATCCTTTTCTTTCAGCTTGAAGAACTTCCCATAGCATTTCTTGTAAGGCAGGTCTTGTGGTGATAAACTCCTTCAGCTTTTGCTTGCCTGAGAAAGTCTTTATCCTTTGTTTCTGAAGAACAGCTTTGTCCTGGGACAGACAGCTTTGTCTAAAGGACAGATTTTTTCCTGGTCGCATTTTTTTTTTTTTTTAAAGAGAGACAAGGTCTGTTGCCCAGACTGGTCTTGAACTCTTGGGCTTAAGTGATCTGCCTGCCTCAGCCTCCCAAAGTGCTGGGGTTACAGGTGTGAGCCCAGCCCCTGCGAGCGCTTTAAATGTATCATCTCACTCTCCCCTGGCCTCTAAGTTTTCTGTTGAGAAGTCTGCTGCTAGGTATATTGGAAGTCTCTTATATGTTATTTGCTTCTTTTCTCTTGCTGCCTTGAGGATTCTCTCTTTGTCTTTGATCTTTGACAGTTTGGTTATAACATGTCTTGGAGTAGTCTTATTTGGGTTGAATCTGGTTGGAGACCCTTCAACCTGTAGCCATATACTTATAACTTTCTCCATATTTGTACAGTTTTTTTGCTACTTTTTCTTTAGATATACTTTTTTTTTTTTTTGAGACAGAGTATTGCTCTATCGCCAGGCTGTAGTGCGGTGGCGCGATCTTGGCTCACTGCGACCTCCGCCTCCTGGGTTCAAGTGATTCTCCTGCCTCAGCCTCCTGAGTAGCTGTGACTACACGCACGCACCACCACGCTCAGCTGATTTTTGTATTTTTAGTAGAGACGGGGTTTCACCATGTTTGCCAGGCTGGTCTTGAATTCCTGACATCAGGTGATCCACCTGCCTCGGCCTCCCAAAGTGCTGGGATCACAGGTGTGAGCCACCATGCCCAGCCTAACATGAAACTTGATAGAAGTGGATATGAGGCATTCAAACTAGAATAAACAGTAACATTCAGTGTTCAGGCTGGGCGCGCAGTAGTGGCTTACGCCTGTAATCCCAGCACTTTGGAAGGCCAAGGCAGGAGGATCACTTGAGGTCAGGAGTTTGAGACCAGCCTGGCCAACATGGTGATACCCTATCTCTATTAAAAATGCAAAAAAAAATTAGCCAGGCATGATGGTGCTTGCTTATAGCTCCAGCTACTTGGGAGGCTGAGGTGGGAGAATCACTTGAACCCAGGAGGCAGAGGTTGCATTGAGCCAAGATTGCGCCACTGTACTCCAGCTTGGGTGGCAGAATGAGACCCTGTCTCAAAAAAACAAACAAAAAAAATCAATGTTTGAAAGTTTGTTTCAAACGTAGTTCACTTTTTCAAAGGCTCTTTTTCAAAGAGCTGATTAAAATAAGTTTGACATATGTAAGATGGGACTTCAGGACTGGGTTTGGGAGTGCTTTATTCTTGTTTATAAAGTCTTAGCTGATTTGTGTGAGAGCAGATGGTATTTTCAGTAAGCTGGAACTCAGCAGCTGTTTCAAACCTTAGAAGGAGATAAATCCTTGTGGCTGTGTATAGGTACTTTTAAATAGAAATAGAAAAAACAGTTTAATAGAATATATGTTATGGATTGCCTGGACTCTAGACCAAGTTCATTTTATAGATGAGCAGTAGAAATACAGATATGAAATGGCTTTTGCAGGATTTTTTAGCTAGATGTTGAGTCCAGAGCTGGTATCTTGATTTAAGACTCTTGGCTGGGTATGGTAGCTCATGCCTGTAATCCCAGCACTTTGGGAGGCCAGGGTAGGTGGATCACCTGAGGTCAGGAGTTGGAGACCAGCCTGACCAACATGGAGAAACCCCGTCTCTACTGAAAATACAAAATTAGCTGGGCATGGTGGCACATGCCTGTAATCCCAGCTACTCAGGAGACTGAGGTAGGAGAATCGCTTGAACCTGGGAGATGGAGGTTGTGGTGAGCCGAGATCGCGCCATTGCACACCAGCCTGGGCAACAAGAGCTAAACTCCGTCTCAAAAAAAAAAAAAAGAGATTCTTAAATACTGCTTCTGTATCACACTGTATCCTACGTATGCCTTGGTTGCTTTTATTTCCTGGAAACCCAGTGATGTTATTTTACAGATAAATGCTGTTAAGGATCAAGACAAAATACTTGATAGAGTCTAAAGGCATTAATAGAATATTAAAACTCCATGTTCTTTTAAGGTGTGAAGGATTTTATTGAAATGAGTAACAAAAATTTAGAAAAAGCGATTTCAGTGGCTAAATGCTGGTCAATATTCACATAAATCTTTTTTGTAAGCACATATTTGGTATTGCAGGTAAATACATATATATTATTTGTTCCCTTACTGATTTTTTTTTTTTTTTTTAGAACGAGTCTTGTTCTGTTGCCCGGGCTGGAGTGCAGTGGTGCAATCTCAGCTCACTGCAACCTCCGCTTCCTGGGTTCAAGTGATTCTCCAGCTTCAGCCTCCCGAGTAGCTGGAACTACAGGCGTGTGCCACCACGCCCGGCTAGCTTGTTGTATTTTTAGTAGAAACGGGGTTTCACCGTGTTAGCCAGGAGATGGTCTCGATCTCCTGACCCTCATGATCTGCCTGCCTCGGCCTCCCAAAGTGCTGGGATTACAGGCGTGAGCCACCATGCCTGGCCAGTGATTCTTATAAATCTGTGATTTTCTTTTCTTTTCTTTTTTTTTTTTGAGATGGAGTCTCACTCTGTCATCCAGGCTGGAGTGTAGTGGTGCGATCTCGGCTCACTGCAACTTGTGCAGGGTTCAAGCAATTCTCCTGCCTCAGCCTCCTGAGTAGCTGGGATTACAGGTGTGCACCACCACACTTAGCTGATTATTATTATTTTTTTTTTGTATTTTAGTAGAGAAAAGGGTTTCACCATATTGACCAGGCTGGTCTTGAACTCCTGACATCAAGTAATCTGCCCGCCTTGGCCTCCCAAAGTGTTGGGATTATAGGCGTGAGCCACCGTGCCTGGCCTAAATCTGGATTTTCTTTTTTTTTTCTTTCTTTTTTTTTTGAGATGGAGTCTTGCTCTGTTGCCCAGGCTGGAGTGCAGTGGCGTGATCTCGGCTCACTGCAAGCTCCGCCTCCTGGGTTCACGCCATTCTCTTGCCTCAGCCTTCCGAGTAGCTGGGACTATAGGCACCCGCCACCACGACCGGCTAATTTTTTTGTATTTTTTGTAGAGTCGGGGTTTCTCCGTGTTAGCCAGGATGGTCTCAATCTCCTGACCTCGTGATCCGCCTGCCTTGGTCTCCCAAAGTGCTGGGATTACAGGCGTGAGCCACCGCACCGGGCTCTGGATTTTCTATCTGAGGTTTATCTAAGGGAGGCGAGGGAAAGGGAGGTTATTGGGAGTGTTTTAAGTGTTTGATAGAAACGTATCTCTGTATCAGAGGTAGAATTTACAACCTGATGAGTTATCCTAAACATTTCAGTATTGCAGCTGTTATTCCTAAAGTGACCCTTTAGAATATTTAGTACTGTTCCTTTCTTTTTTTTTTTCATTTTATTCTTCCTTTTACCTACTTCCCCAAGTAGGCTGCCTCTAGATAAAACTGTATATTATCGGGTAGGAAGAACTTGGTTCCAGGAGTTTTGGGACTGGGAAGATTGGACAACAGCTATGTAACCCGGGCTTCTTATTCTCTCTAGGGCTTATGAAGTGGTTACTAAAATCTAAAGTTCTATGGAAAAGGGCCAGTTTCCTCTAGGATTTGACCACACCTTTGAGGGATGCTTCATAAGAAAGCTGAACTTCTGGTGGATGGAGATGTAAATGAATATTGAGTTTGGTTTCAGGGAGCTGTTGTTTCAAGACAACTTTACTGAGATATAATTCACATACCATACAGTTGTCTATTTAAAGTGTACAATTCACTGATTTCTGGCATGTTCACAGATATATGTAACTGTGGTCATTTTAGAACATTTTATCACCTCAGAAAGAAACTCTGTACCCTTTAGCTCTCACTGTTCTATACCTCCAAACCTCAGCCCCTGACTACTATAATCTGTCTCAATAGATTTACCCATTCTGTACTTTCATATGTGTAGATTTATATATTATGTGGTCTTTTGTGACTGGCTTCTTTCACTTAGCGTAATGTTTTTAAGGGTCATCCATGTTGTAGCATGTATCAGTATTTACATGTTTTTATGGCTGAAGAATATTCCAGTGCATTGGATACACCACATTTTTGTTTATTCATTCATCATGTTGGTGGTGTTTTCCACCATCTGGCTATTGGGAATAAGGCTGCTGTAAACATTTATGTACACGTTCCACCCCCGCCCCGCTTGAGTAGATACCTAGGAGTGGAACTGCTGGGTCATGTTAACTATGTTTAGCTGTTTGAGGAACTGCTAGGCTGTTTTCCAAAGGGAGACTTCTTTTTTTTCGAGACGGAGTCTCGCTCTGTTGCCCAGGCTGGAGTGCAGTGGTGTGATCTCAGTCCACTGCAACCTCAGCCTCTTGGGCTCAAGTGATCCTCCTGCCTCAGCCTCCCACGTAGCTTGGATGCCACGTAGCTTGGATGACAAGCCTGCGCTACCATGCCTGTCTAATTTTTGTGTTTTTAGTAGAGACTGGATTTTGCCAAGTTGGCCGGGCTGGTCTTGATCTCTTGACCTCAAGTGATCTCCCTGCCTTGAACTCCCAAAGTGCTGGGATTACAGGCATGAGCCACTCTGCCCGGGCCCAAAAGGAGACCATTTTATATTCCTACCAGCAGTATATGAAGGTCCCAGTTTCTCCACATCCTTACCAACACTTATTATCTGACTTTGATTGTAGCCATTCTAGTGGGTGTTAAGTGGTATCTCATTGTGGTTTTGATTTGCATTTCCCTGATAACTAGTGTTATTGAGTATCTTTTCATGTGCTTACTAGTTTTTATTTATTTATTTAATTTTTTGAGACAGGTTCTTGTTCTGTTGTCCAGGCTGGAATGTAGTGGTGCAGTCTTGGCTTACTGCAGTCTCCACCTCCTATACCCAAGTGATTCTCCTGCCTCAGCCTCCTGAGTAGCTGGGACTGCAGGCACGCGCCTTTATGCCTGGGTAATTTTTGTATTTTTAGTAGAGATGGTGTTTCACCATGTTGCCCAGGGTGGTCTTGAATTGCTTGGCTCAAGTGATCCACCTGCCTCAGCCTCCCAGAATTGTGGCATTACAGGCGTAAGCCACTGCACCTGGCCCTTTACTGGCTATTTATATATCTTCTTTGGAGAAATGTCTATTCAGATTCTTTATTCATTTTTTTTTTGTTTTTGAGACGGAGTCTCGCTCTCGCCCAGGCTGGAGTGCAATGGCGCGGTCTTGGCTCACTGCAACCTCTGCCTCCTGGGTTCAAGCGATTCTCCTGCCTCAACCTCCCAAGTAGCTGGGATTACAGGTGCCCACCACCACGCCTGGCTAATTTTTGTATTTTTAGTAGAAATGGGATTTCACCATGTTGGCCAGGCTGGTCTTGAACTGCTGACCTCGTGATCTGCCTGCCTTGGCCTCCCAAAGTGCTGGGATTTACAGGCATGAGCCACTGTGCCTGGCCCCTTTACTCATTTTTATTTATTTATTTATTTTTGAGCTGGAGTCTTGCATTGTCATCCAGGCCGGAGTGCAGTGTCATGATCTCAGCTCACTGCAACCTCCATCTCCCAGGTTCAAGTGATCCTCCCACGTTAGCCTCCAGAGTAGTTAGGATTACAGGTGTGTGCCACCACACCCGGCTGTTTTCTTTTTTTTTTTTTTTTTGAGACAGAGTTTCGTTCTCGTTGCCCAGGCTGGAGTGCAATGGCGCAATCTTGGCTCACTGCAACCTCTGCCTCCTGAGTTCAAGCAATTCTCCTGCCTCAGCCTCTCAAGTAGCTGGGATTACAGGCATGTGCCACCACACCTGGCGAATTTTGTATTTTTATTAGAGATGGGGTTTCACCATGTTGGTCAGGCTAATCTCGAACTCCTGACCTCAGGTGATCTGCCCACCTCGGCCTCCCAAAGTGCTGGAATTACAGGCGTGAGCCACTGTGTCCAGACCAACACAGCTAATTTTTTTTGTAGTTTTAGTAGAGACGGAGTTTCACCATGTTGGCCAGGCTTGTCTCAAACTCCTGACCTCAAGTGATCTGCCTACCTCGGCCTCCCAAAGTGTTGGGATTACAGGTGTGAGCTACTGCACCCGACCCCTTTACCCATTTTTAAATTGGGCTGTTTGTCTTTTTATTGTTGAGTTATCGGAGTTCTTTATGTATTCTGGATACAAGTCCTTTATCAGATGTATGGTTTGCAAGTATTTTCTTTCATTCTGTAGATTGTCTTCACTTTCTTGATGTTGTCCTTTGGAACCCAAAAGTTTAAAATTTTGATGAAGACCAATTAATTTTTTTTCTACTTCATTTAAATGCAGATTCTGGCTTTTTGTATGTAGCTCATCATCTAGCTGGTACTTTGTTTTAAAAACAATAATGTTCAGGCCAGGTGCAGTAGGAGGCCAAGGTAGGCAGATCACTTGAGGTCAGGAGTTTGAGAGCAGCCTGGGCAACGTACCGAGATCCTGTCTCTACAAAAAAATAAAAAAATTAGCTGGGCACAATGCTGTGTGCCTATAGTTCCAGCTCCTCAGGAGGCTAAGGCAGGAGGATCACTTGTGCCCAGAAGTTCGAGGTTGCAGTGAGACATGATTGTACCACTGCCCACCAGCCTGGGCAACAGAGTAAGACCCTGTCTCTAAAATGAACACACAAACATCAGAGAACCATGTTTCATGCAGGATATGGTCAGAAACTAAAATATAAATGAATAAAAACAACCTGATGAAGTACTGTGAATTCTAGTTGATGCTCTGGTTGTGATTACTGTATGACAGAAGGGCAGGAGTCTGAGCTCTTCTTGCCAGGTGAGGTTTAATCTCACTAAAAAAAGTTCGATAGCCAGATACCATGCATACTGTAAACAGTTTTATTCTTTGGAAGTAGTATAATTATGCCAGAGGTTTTTCAATTTATGGATTGGAATGTTCTTGAAAAGTACAGACAGTGCATTGCTTGGTGTACTGCTCTTCATGCCATTGTCATCTGCTACCTAAATTATTGATTGTTGTTTACTAAACAGTACTGATGTAAATGGTTATGTCCTCAGAGGAAATACTTATGTTATTGAGAAGTCTTTAATTTTCTCAAGTTTTTACCTCATAAACAGTGATTTGGAGAGATATCTGTTTATTTTGCTTAATATGGCTTTCTGACTGTGGAAGCCAGCTACAGCTTCCTGGACTCACAGGTGAGCAGTTATGCCCATTTAATAGTCTCCGTTAGAAGACCTCACATCTTTTAAAGTGCATGCCATCCTAATTTTACTTAGAAATTAAAACTAGAGAGGAACCAGAATATATTAGCTTACTTAACTTTCTTCCACTCCCTAGTGTATTCTAAGGGAAGTCTCCCTTGATAGTTCTGCAATAAACATTCTTAGCTACCTCACTGGAGAATGTGAAGTAACTGCTACATTCATTGGCTTATCTCATTGGGATATCTGTAGTGTATCCAGGTGAAATCTTCTGCAATAACTTACTGCATTATATTTGGATGTATTCACTTACATGGTTGTCTTCCCCACGAGATAGTAATGTCCTGGGGAAAGGATTCTGTGTTCAGTATCAGCAACATCTGCTGTCAGTTTATACATATTGAGAGAAAGATTAAAAACAAACATTTGCCATAAATTCACCAGGTGTTTATCAAGTGCCTGTTGTGTCATCATTTTCTATGGTACAGTTTCTTTCTATGTCAGAGATTTAATAATGAGAAAATAAAGGACTCAAGTAAAACCTAGCTTTTCAGGCTGGGCGCAGTGGCTCACGCTTCTAATCCCAGCATGTTGGGAGGCCCAGGCAGGCAGATCACTTGAGCCCAGGAGTTCGAGACCAGCCTGGGCAACATGGCGAAACCCTGTCTCTACTAAAAATACAAAAATTAGCTGGATGTAGTGGCATGCGCCAGTGGTGCCAGCTACTTGTGGGGCTGAGGTGGGAGAATTGCTTAAGCCTGGGAGGTGGAGGTTGCAGTGAGTTGAGATCGTGTACTCCAGCCTGGGTGACAGAGTGAGACCCTGTCTCAAAAACAAAAAACAAAACAAAAACTGGCTAGGCATGGTGGCTCACTCCTGTAATCCCAGCACTTTGGGAGGCTGAGGTGGGCGGATCACTTGAAGTCAGGAGTTTGAGACCAGCTTGGCCAACACGGTGAAACCCCGTCTCTACTAAAAATACAAAAATTAGCCAGGAGTAGTGGTACATGCCTGTAGTCCCAGCTATTTGGGAGGCTGAGGCGGGAGAATCTCTTGAACCTGGGAAGTGGAGGTTGCAGTGAGCTGAGATTGCACCATTGCCCTTCATTGTGGCTCTGGGCCACAGAGCGAGACTCTGTCTCAAAAATAAAAAACCAAAACACAAAAACAAAAATTAGCCAGGTGTGGTGGCAGGCACCTGTAATCCCAGCTACTTCGGAGGCTGAGCCAGGAGAAGCACTTGAACCTGGGAGGCAGAGGTTGCAGTGAGCTGAGATGGTGCCACTGCACTCCAGCCTGGGTGACAGAGCAAGACTCTGTCTCAAAACAAACAAACAAACCCCCCCCAACAACAACAACAAAAAAACAACTTAGCCTTTCCTTTTTGTAGATTGTAATATTTCACTGTTTTATTTTTAGTTTGCTTTTCTGAAGTAAAACTACTAAAAGAATATTTTAGTTCATATATATTCATTAAATCTAAAATCATGAAGCCGCTTATTTTCCCCTTATCTAGCTGAGTTAATATCTAACAAATAGATTCTAAATGAACTCTCCATATAGGTGGTGATTTTTTGGCAGTGGCTGGGGGTAGGGTGGTTTTGGTTACAACCTAAAGAGTAACAGTAGTATGATTAATTTCTCCTGTATGTAATGTATTCTCCACACCACAGAATTGAGATACTTTGCAAATCCTCTAATCCAGAGGTTTTTCCACTTGTGTTTGAAAGTGTAGTACAGATGCTTCAGATGTACGAAGTTTGACTTGAATTTGTTTTTTTCTTTTTTGAGACGGAGTCTTGCTCTGTCACCCAGGCTGGAGTGCAGTGATGTGATCTTGGCTCACTGCAACCTCCGCCTCCCAAATTCAAGCGATTCTCCTGCCTCAGCCTCCCGAGTAGAGGTGTGTGCCACCACTCTCGGCTAATTTTTTGTATTTTTAGTAGAGACGGGGGTTTCACCATGTTATCCAGGATGGTCTCAATCTCCTGACCTCATGATCCACCCGCCTTGGCCTCCCAAAGTGCTGGGATTGCAGGTGTGAGTAAATTTTGTTTTTATAAATTACATTTTTTTCTGCTATATTTCATCAATTCTAAAACACATTGAAATATCCGAAGTGGATATATGTGTTGTAGTTTAATTGGTAGAGTGTTTAAATTTTTTAAAATTATGGTATCATGTAGTTGGTTATGCCATCTTAGATTTGATCAAAGACAGTATTTAAAAAAACTGTTAAGATGCCCACATTGAGGTGAATATATAATAGATTTCAAATACTGGATTCTACAAACATACTGACGTGTTCTCATTTGTTAACTGAATACTAAGCAATTGTGATCAATTTAAACTTAAATGTATTCTATTGAAATATATTTTTAATCTCATACAATTTTTTGAAATATTTTAGAGGCTAAAGTTGAAAATTGGTTTATCTGGTAAACCTTCATTTCAGCAAAAGAATATTACCTTCTGATTTTTTTTGGTGAATTATATAAATATAGTTTTTAGTATTAAATCTATTTGTATAAATTCACAGTGTCTGAATGATGGATGTATTTCAAATTTAAAGTTCAGAAAAAGTGTAGCTGGGCATGGGGCTCACACCTATAATCTCAGTACTTTGGGAGGCTGAGGCAGGAGGACCCCTTGAGCCTGGGAGTTTGAGACCAGCCTGGGCAGCCTAGCAAGACCTTGTCTCTACTAAAAATATTTTAAAAATTAGCTGCGTGTGGCGGTGCATGCCTGCAGTCCCAGCTACTCTGGAGGCTGACGTGGAAGGATCTCTTGAGCCTAGGAATTTGAGGCTGTAGTGAGCCATGGCGACAGAGTCCCTGTCTCAAAACAAACACGCAGACACACATGCACACACACCCCAGCATATGCTTTGATGTCAATAATTGTGTATTATTGACATTATTGACATTATTAATGTCAACAAATAGTGTTCTTGAGAGTGGGGTTGTAACTGATGTTTTTGAAACAGCCAGTGGGGGTTATGGGCCCAGTTAGGATTCTGGAACAGTTTTCCTGAGTGTAGAACTGTGGTGGGGCTTATGATTCATACTCATTTCTTTGCTGGATGAGTGTTAAAAGCGGATAGGATGGCAGACCCACTCAGCAAGGAATTCCACTGAGGATGCCTTGAAAGGAGCAGGGGCATACCATCCAGAGTACAAGACAGAGTAAAGTTATCACATGAAGGACTCATTTGCTTGAAAAGACTTGACTTTTCTTAGTGTCCTCAGATATTCTAACAACTTTACAAGGCAAAAAGACTCAGTGATTTTTTTTATTCTTTTTCCATTTTTTTTTTCCTGAGACGGTGTCTTTCTCTGTTGCCCAGGCTGGAGTGCAGTGGTGTGATGTCAGCTCACTGCAACCTCTGCCTCCCAGGTTCAAGCGATTCTCCTGCCTCTGCCACCTGAGTAACTGGGATTATGGGCTTTCACCACCACGCTGGCTAATTTTTGTATTTTTAGTAGAGATGGGGTTTCACCGTGTTGGCCAGGCTGGTCTCGAACTCCTGGACTCAAGTAATCCTCCTGCCTTGGCCTCCCAAAGTGCTGGGACTACAGGCATGAGCCACCACACCTGGCTCATTCCTTGTTTTTTTAAAATAAAATTTATTGTGTGTATTTAAGGCATATATATCATGTTATGAGATATATAGGAAAATGGTTACTATAGTGAGTCAAATTAACATATTCATCATCTTACAGTTACCTGTTTTCCTCCCTGTGGCAAGAGCAAAAATCCTGACTATAGCAAACTCTTATTAAAAGTCCTCATGGCTGGGTGCGGGCTCATATCTATAATCCTAGCACTTTGGGAGGCCGAGGCAGGCTGATCACTTGAGCCCAGGAGTTCGAGACTAGCCTGGGCAACATGGCAAAACCCCGTCTCTACAAAAAATACAAAAATTACCTTGCATGTTGGCATGCGACTGTAGTCCCAGCAACTTGGGAGGCTAAGGTGGGAGGATCGCTTGAGCCTAGGTGGATGAGGCTGCAGTGAGTTTTGATTAAGCCACTGTGCTCTAGCCTGGGCAATAGAGGGAGACCCTGTTGCTAAAAAAAAGAAGAAAGTCCTCATGCTGTTCATTAGATCTGCAGACTTGTTCATCCTACATACCTGCTACTTTGTATCCCTTGGTCTATAGCTCCCTATTTCCTTTCCAGCTCCAACCTTGGTAACCACTGTTTTTATTCTGTCTTAATATTTGACCTCTGTTTTCTTTTCCTTTTTTTTTTTTGAGATGGAGTCTCGCACTGTCACCGGGCTGGAGTGCAGTGGTGCCATCTTGGCTCACTGCATCCTCCACCTCCTGGGTTAAAGCGATTCTCCTGCCTCAGCCTCCCAAGTAGCTGGGATTACAGATTCCCGCCACCATGAAGCCAGGCTAATTTTTTTGTATTTTTAGTAGAGATGGGGTTTCACTATGTTGGCCAGGCTGGTCTCGAACTCCTGACCTTGTGATCCCCCTGCCTTGGCCTCCCAAAGTGCTGGGATTACAGGCGTGAGCCACCGCACTTGCCCTGTTTTCTTTTTTTAAAGATTCCTCACTCCCAATGAATTTTAAAAGTCAATTGTAGTTTGTCTTTGGATCCATACTGATGTATACATGAGAGTTTTTTTTAGAATTATGATCAAAATATATGTGCTGCTATTAGGTCTCCCCCACCCCCCCTTTTTTTTTAACTTATACACAATTAATATAATTCATGTAGTTTAAAATGACTTTATATAATATTTTAAATTATGTGACATAGTTTGCCTGAATGTATACCAATTGGCTTCTTAAGTTTTTGCACTGCCAAATAAACATTTTTGTTCAGATTGCTTTTCCAACCCCCCTCCCTTCATTTATTTATTGCTGTGTAACAAATTACATCAAAACTTTGTGGCTTCAAACGATGATTGATTTTTTTCTTATAATATGGGAGTTGACTGGGTGGTTCTTCTGCTGGTTTCACTTAGAGTCACTCATGTGGTTGCATCAGCTGGTGAAGGGATAGGCTTGTTGCCCGGGACGCCTTGCTCCCCCTCCCTGCAGCCTCTCCAGGTGGCCAGTTAGGACTTCCTCACATCCCGGTGGTGTCAGGGTGTTCAGAATTCTTACATGATGGTTGGCTTCCAAAAGAACGAAAGCAGAAGTTAGCATTCCTCTTACAAGGTGAGTGCCAGAACTGGCCTTAGCATTGCTGCTTCCCTATTTATTCTTTTTTTTTTTTTTTTTTTTTTTTTGGAGGTGGAGTCTCACTCTGTCGCCGAGGCTGTAGTGCAGTGGCACAATCTCAGCTCACTGCTACTTCTGCCTCCCGGGTTCAAGCAATTCTCATGTCTCAGCCTCCAGAGTAGCTGGGACTACAGGTGTGCACCACCATGCCCAGCTAATTTTTTTTTGGTATTTTTAGTAGAGACGGGGTTTCACCATATTGGACAGGCTGGTCACAAACTCCTAACCTCAGGTGATATACCCACCTTGGCCTCCCAAAGTGCTGGGATTACAGGCATGAGCCACCGCGCCCTGCCACTGCTCCCCTCTTCTACTGATAAAACAGGTAGGAAGGTTTGCGCAGCTTCAAGGGGAGGAGGGGTGTGCCTGGGCCTGGAGGGTGGAGGATGGCTCACAGCACTCTGCAGGCATTCTGCGCCCTGTTTTTTTGTCCTGAGGGGAAATTTCACAAAGTAGCATTTAAGTCAAATCACAATACATATTTAAAAATTATTGTTTTTTTTTTTTTGTGTGTGTGTGTGTGTGTGTGTGTGTGTATATGTATGTATGCTTTTTTTTTTTTTTTTTTTTTGAGACTGGGCCCGGGTTCAAGTGATTCTCCTGCCTCAGCCTCGCAGGAGCTGGAATTACAGGTACATGCCACTATGCCAGAGCTACTCAGGAGGCTGAGGCAGGAGAATCACTTAAACTCATGAGGCGGAGGTTGCAGTGAGCTGAGATCATGCCGCTGCACTGTAGCCTGGGTGACAGAGTGACACTCCGTCTCAAAAAAAAAATTGGAAGTTGTATACCTTGTAATTATTACTTTTCTCCCCTTGCCTTTCTTTTTTTTTTTTTTTTTTTTGAGACCGAATCTCACTCTGTCACCCAGGCTAGAGTGTGGTGGCGTGAACAAACATGGCTCACTGCAGCCTCTACCTCCCAGGCTCAAGTGATCCTTCCATGTTAGCCTCCGGAGCAGCTCAGACTACAGCTGTGCACCACCATGCCTGGCTAATTTTTGCATTTTTTTGTAGAGATGGGGTTTTGCATGTTGCTCAGGCTTGTCTTGAACTCCTGGGCTCAAGCGATCCTCCCACCTTGGCCTCCCAAAGTGTTAAGATTACAGGTGTGAGCCACCACACCTGGCCAATTAAAAAAAAAAATTTCTTAGGATAGGGTCATGTCTGATGTTCTTAAGTAGTGCTCCAAATGAAATGAAGGAATATTAAAGGAGGAGGAAAATCAGACTTCACTTACTAGTGGGAGGAATAGCAAAGAATTTGTGGCCATCTTTAATTTGGTATAGAGTATAATGATTCTTGACTCAAAAAAATATATATTTTTTGAGACAGAGTCTCACTCTGTCACTGAGGCAGGAGTGCAGTGGTGCGATCTTGGCTCACTGCAACCTCTGCCACCTGGGTTCAAGAAATTCTCCTTCCTCAGCCTCCTGAGTAGCTGGGATTACAGGCACGCACCACCACGCCGGGCTAATTTTTTGTATCTTTAGGCTAGAGACGGGGTTTCATCATCTTGTCCAGGCTGGTCTTAAACTCCTGACCTTGTGATCCACCCGCCTTGGCCTCCCAAAGTGCTGGGATTACAGGCATGAGCCACTGCCTGGCCGACTCAAAAATATTTTTTCAATTGATGTTGATACATAATATTTTACATATTTTGTGGGGGTACATGTGATCTTTCATTGTGTGCATAGAATGTATAGATCAAATCTCAGGGTATTTGTGGTATCCAGATTCTTGACTCATGACAGATAGTTAATATATATGAGCTGGCCAGGCGCGGTGGCTCACGCCTGTAATGCCAGCACTTTGGGAGGCCAAGGTGGGCGGATCACAAGGTCAGGAGTTTGAGACCAAGCCTGGCCAACATGGCGAAACCCCGTCTCTACTAAAAATACAAATATTAGCCATGCATCGTGGCAGGCACCTGTAATCCCAGCTACTTGGAAGGCTGAGGCAGGAGAATCACTTGAACCCTGGAAGCAAAGGTTGCAGTGAGCCGAGATCGTGCCATTGCACTCTGTCCTGGGCGACAAGAGCAAGACTCTGTCTCAGAAAAATACGTATATAGGTTATGAAGTTTTAGGAAGTGACATTTTGGGCATCACAGGGATTGGTTGTTTCTTTTAGAATCAGTCTATGAAAGGATAAGGCTTTAGAAATAATGTGTTTCAGCAGGGATTCTGACTAGGGATAGAGGTGGGGGAAGGAAGCAAAGTGATAGGATTTCTCCTTTCTTTTGCCTCTTCTCCCCAGGGCAGTGGGTTGCCTTCCTGTACTAGGCTCTTGTGTGTTGGTCATTGAGATATATTGGGGTAGACAAAAAGTTGTATGTATACCACTGATACAGTTTAGTAGAAGTATGCAAAGTATAAAAAGAAAGCACTTTGCTCAGTCATCTGGTTAGGTTCTTAGTAGAGCAAAACTCTCGCTTTATGATGTTACCTCCTCCTTCTTACGCTTCTCCTTCTCTAATTGTGGTTTCTGTGTCTTGATGCCCTGCTGAACTTTAAGCTCCACAAGAGCAGGACTTTGACTATCATGGCTAGATCATGGGCCTAGCCACAATTCTTTGGCTCACAGTAGACATTTGGTGCTGTTAAAATGGAAATAAATAAATAAAACCAAAGAATTACAACAGTAAAATGAACCACAACTTTGTCTCAGTTAACTGAGTGCTTAACACTTCTTCCCTGATCATCCTGTTTCTTGGTCTTTTATAACAGCTGATACTTTTCTCCTCCTCTTACCTCCCAATCCATTCCCACGTTGCAGCAAAGTGAAGTTTATGCTTAAAACCCCTCCCTGAATCCTCATTGCTGCAGATAAAGGCTGAATTGCTAAGGGTGCCCTTCCAGGCCATTTCTGACTCTTTGCTCTCATACTCAGTTGCAGTCCCCAAACATTGCCCAGCATTCTCTCTCTCTTTTGTAATGTCCTCCCCACGCCTTTTTTGGCTCCACCCGTCCAATCCTCCCTTTTCTTTTTAAATAAAATATTTCAAACACCAGGAAAATACGTGAATACACATATACCCACCCTGGCTATTCACATTCTAATAAATTCTTGCTTCAGATTGTTTTTTGGAAACAGAACATTTCTAGTACATTTAAAGTCCTATTTTCACTTCTTAGTCCTAGGCCACTTTCTCTTTGCCCAGAGGTCATCAATATCCTGATTTTTATTATTTGTATTTATTTATTTATTTTGAGACAGAGTCGGACTCCGTCACCCAAAATGGAGTGTAGTGGCGTGATCTTGGCTTACTACAACCTCTGCTTCCTGTGCAAGTGATCCTCCCGCCTTAGTCTCCTGAGTAGCTGGGACTACAGGTGCGCACCACCATGCCCAGCTAATTTTTTTTTTTTTTGAGACAGAGTTTCGCTCTGTCTCCCAGGCTGGAGTGCAGTGGCACAATCTTGGCTCACTACAACCTCTGCCTCCCAGGTTCAGGTGATTCTCCTGCCTCAGCCTCCCAGGTAGCTGGGACTACAGGCGCACGCCACCATGCTTGGCTAATTCTTTTGTGTTTTTAGTAGAGATGGGGTTTCACCATGTTGGCCAGGCTGGTCTCGAACTCCTGACCTCAAATGATCCGCCTGCCTCAGCCTCTCAAAGTGCTGGGATTACAGGCGTGAGCTACCATGTCCAGCCACCCAGCGAGTTTTTTGTATTTTTAGTAGAGACAGGGTTTCACTGTGTTGACCAGGCTGGTGTTGAACTCAAGTGATTTGCCCATCTCAGTCTCCCAAAGTGTTGGGATTACAGGCATGAGCCACCACACCTGGCCCAATAATCCTGATTTTTTTTTTTTTTTTTTGAGACAGAGTCTTGCTCTGTCACCCAGGCTGAAGTGCAGTGGCGTGATCCCAGCTCACCGCAACCTCTGCCTCTTGGGTTCATGCGATTCTCCTGCCTTAGGAGAATTTTTAGTAGAGATGGGTTTGTATTTTTAGTAGAGACGGGTTTGACCATGCTGGCCAGGCTGGTCTCGAACTCCTGCCCTCAGGTGATCCACCTGCCTTGGCCTCGTAAAGTGTTGGGATTACTGGCGTGAGCCACCGTGCCTCGCCCGACCCCTGATTTTTAAATATCTTTTCCACTAACACCTTTATACTTTTTGCTACATATGTATATATGTATAAAAACTATGTTTATTTATAGCTTCTATACCAGTTTATTCTAATCTCAGCAGTGAATGAACTTCCAATATCTACACGTTTGCCCAGATCAAGAATTATCAGACTTAGTATTTGTCAGTTTGGTGGCTAGAATAAGCCGTTATGATTCCCTGATTACTGATGAGGTTGAACATATTTTTATGTTTGTTGGTCATTACTGTTTTCTGTAAACCTTATTCCTAATATGTTCTCATTGTTCTCTAGGGTTTTCTTTTCCTTGTTGATTTCTAGGAGGAATTATTTCTGTATTTTGAATAACGTTCTTGTCTTCTATATGTTATTCACATCCTTTTTCAGTCTGTGGCTTATCTTTTCATTTAATCTGCCTATAATTGATTTTTATGTATACTATGAGATCAGATTGGGTTCTAATTTTATTTTTTCATATTGGTAAAGTGTTCCAACACCATTAACTTTTCCTACTTTTTTTTTCCTTCTCTTTTGAGACAGGGTTTCACTCTGTGGCCCAGGCTGGAGTGCAGTGGTGTGATCACAGATCACTGCAGTCTTGACCTCCCTGGGCTCAGGTGATCCCCACCTTCTGAATAGCTGGGACCACAGGCATGTGCCAGCTACCACACCTGGCTAATTTTTGTATTTTTTGTAGAGATGGGGTCTTGCCATGTTGCCCAGGCTGGTTTCCAACTCCTGGGCTCAGTTGATTGGCCTACCTTTGCCTCCCAAAATGCTGGGTTTACAAGTGTGAGCCGCCACCATGCCCAGCCTTTTCTACTTTTTTTTTTTTTTTTCTTTTGAAATAACTTCAGATTTGCAGAAAAGTTAACATAAGTAGTACGAAGGATTCCCATATACCTTCATGCAGATCCATCAAATGTTGATGTTTAACATTTTTGCTTGCTCTTGTGTGTACTCTCTCTTCCCCCCTCCCTTCACATTCGATTTTGTTTTTTGGGGGAACCATTCAAGGGTAAGTTAACAGATACTGTCTCTTCACCCCTACATTCTTCAACTAGGACATTTTCTTACAATAGAATTATCAAAATCAGGAAATTAATGTTGATAGAGGACTATTATCTACCAGCCCTATTCAGATTTCACCACTACTGTTCTTTAAAGCAAAATAATGATAATAATATTTTTCCTGATACCAAGATTGCATTTGGTTGTCATGCCTCTATTCTCTTTACTGACTTTTAGTGTTGCCTCTACTAAGAAGCACATTTTCATATATGATATGTCTGCTTTGGGGCTTTTCTTTTTCATTAGTCTGTCCATTTCTGTACTGATTCCATATTTTCTTAATGATTTCTTTAGCTGATGAGGAAGTCTTAAAATCTAGGAAAGTGTCCCCTCTGTTTTTTCTTTTTTTGTTTTGTTTTTGTTTTTGAGACAGTCTCGCTCTGTCTCCCGGGCAGGGGCTTGATCTCGGCTCACTTCAGCCTCCACCTCCTGGGTTCAAGCGATTCTGCAGCAGCCTTCCAAGTAGCTGGTTGGGATTACAGGTGTGCACCAGCATGCCTGGCTTATTTTTGTATTTTTAGTAGAGATGGGGTTTCATCATGTTGGCCAGGCTGGGTTTTTTTTTTTTTTTTTTTTTTGTGTGTGTGTGTGTGTGAGACAGAGTCTCACTCTGTCACCCAGGCTGGAGTGCAGTGGTGCGATCTCGGCTCACTGCAAGCTCTGCCTCCTGGGTTCACACCATTCTCCTGCCTCAGCCTCCCGAGTAGCTGGGACTACAGGCGCCCGCCACCACGCCTGGCTAATTTTTTGTATTTTTACTAGAGACAGGGTTTCACCGTGTTAGCCAGGATGGTCTCGATCTCCTGACCTCGTGATCTGCCCACCTCGGCCTCCCAAAGTGCTGGGATTACAGGCGTGAGCCACTGTGCCCGGCCTTTTTTGTTGTTTTTTTTTTTTTTTTAAGACAGAGTCTCGCTCTGTCGTCTAGGCTGGAGTGCAGTGGTGCGATCTCGGCTCACTGCAGCCTCCGCCTCTGGAACATTAAATGTTCCAGACCAGTCTGGCCAACACGGTGAAACTCCATCTTTACTAAAAATACAAAAATTAGCCGGGCATGGTGTTGCACGCCTGTAATCCCAGCTATTTGAGAGGCTGAGGCAGGAGAATAGCTTGAACCTGGGAGGTGGAGGTTGGCTCGGCTACAGAGCGAGACTCTGTCTCACACACACAAAATAACACAGCAGGTGTATGAGGAACATTAAATGTCTTTCCTAACTTACTGTATGCAAATAAAAGTAGATACTTAAGAAATTGTCTAAAAATATTTAGTAAACCCATTTCTACACAGACAAATTAAAAGTTCTGAGAAATCAGGCTAAAATCACCTCAAATTTATAAGGTTTGATTAATAAATATTTACCTTTGCATATACACGAAAGCAAAAAAAGGTAGGAATACTTTCAATTTCAGATAACAATAAATTGAAATCAAGTACAAATTTTGACTCCCCTTCCTAAACTGAATAAACTCTTAAAAAGCAGACACACTTTACTTGTGTAAACACTCTTCTTTTTTTTTTTTTTAAATGGAATTTCTCTCTTGTTGCCCAGGCTGGTGTGCAATGGTGTGATCTTGGCTCACCGCAACCTCCACCTCCCGGGTTCAAGCGATTCTCCTGCCTCAGCCTCCCGAGTAGCTGGGATTCCAGGCATGTGCCACCATGCCCGGCTAATTTCGTATTTCTAATAGAGATGGGGTTCCTCCATGTTGGTCAGGCTGGTCACGAACTCCCAATCTCAGGTGATCTGCCTGCCTCGGCCTCCCAAAGTGCTGGGATTACAGGCCCAGCCGTATCCACTCTTTTAAATTTAGGCATCCATGTCACTGGAATTATGTTTTTCACAGGATCACTTTTAAATTCATTAAGAAGTTTCTTTATGTATATAAGCCTATTCATTTTACTTGAAAGGTTTTCTGTCTTCCCAAAGTCAAATCCTTACTAACTAAAATTAGGAATTTTGAAAAACCATCCATGAAAATCTCACAAACACATTAAAAAATGTATTATCTAAGGTGCATAAAATTAAACTCCATATTACCAATAGCATTTAAGAAACTCATATAAAATGATAATGTTTTCTTTAAAGAGACATACTGAAAGCCAAGTCAGTTGTTCACAGGAGGTGGTTTTGCACCATTATTTGAACTTTGATGTGTGAATTTGCTTTAGAAGTCCATGGTCTGTTTACTCTCTGACAGATTCTGTTTTCACATGCCCCTCACATGAAGGTTCACTCCTCATTCTTTTTTTTTTTTTTTTGAGACAGGTTGGGTGGGACTGCTTCAGGATTCTAAAAGACAGTACCTTCTGGTGCACTTTCTAAGATGGAACATAATTCTACTCTTTGAAAATCATTAGAGAGTATATATTAATGAACTTTGGCTTCTATGAACTTTCTGGGCATGCCTGTTTGATTGGTGCAGAGTCCTTGGCTGTAACAGAAACATCAAATAGGGAAAACGATTTCCTTATGGTTGATTGACTTACATCAGTATAAAATTGATGAGGAATTTATATACACGTTGTATACTGCTGTTAATGTTTGGTACAGTGCTTTCTTTAGTGTTTTCATTTTGAGGGGTTATTAGATTCAGCATTTTCTGGAGCAGAATGCTTTTTAAAGGGGATTTGGTCTTTTTGGGAAATAATTTATAAAGGTTAATTTGGAAAAAGCTGAATTTAAATACGTGTAGCTCTTATAATTATGAGCTTTTTACATTTACACTGACGTTCTTTTGTATAGGAGTTAAAGTTCCTCGTAATTTTCGCTTGTTGGAAGAACTTGAAGAAGGACAAAAAGGAGTAGGCGACGGTACAGTTAGCTGGGGCCTTGAAGATGATGAAGATATGACACTTACAAGGTGGACAGGCATGATTATTGGGCCACCAAGGGTCAGTGTTATAAATTATATTTTTTCTATTAATACTTATTGTTAAAGTTAGCATTTAATTTTATACTATTGATATTAAAATAAGCAATTATGATAACTTCTAAAATAGTTCCTTTTTATTTTGTTTACATTTATTGATGCTTCCCACGTGCAGGATATAATGCTCGATTACGTAGAGGATTGGGGGGAGGAAGGTTGATATGGTCATTGCCATCAAAGTTTTGCAGTTTAGTAAGGGAGAAAAAATCAGTACAAATGACAGATTCTAAATATGACAGAGCAAGTTCACTACGGGACTTTAGAATATGTTTCTTCTAGCTGGAATAATTGAGGAAGGCTGAACAGTGGAGGAAGTTGCCTTTGGAATGATCCCTAAAGGACTGACTGGTAGGATTTCAGAAGGTGGTGATGGGGATGGAGAACATTCCAGATAGAGAGGAGAAAAGGTGAGGAAATGGAGGGGGTATGTGGGGAGAGCAGTCATTTTGACGTAACATGTTACCTCTTGTGTGAACCTGAGGGTTTCTAAATTGGTTTGCATTGAGTGCATGTTGCTATTTGCCCTCTGACACTTCACATGCCATAGAAATGCTGTAGGTCTCAGCTTCTTCATCTATAAAAAGTCTATGATTCTTACATTTTTTTCTAGTATGGTTGGCAACTGGCCCATTGTACTTTGTCTTTCTTGGGTTTATGAAGTTTTATTTTTACTCAAAGTCTTTTAGTCTTTTTTTCTAGCTTGGGATTTTTTTTTTTTTTTACATTGCATTCCTTACTTAATGGTCCCATCCACTGCACTCCCTGCAGTGAATCTTTGAAATTTGTCTCTCTAATGTTTTTGGCTTGTTGGAAAGAGCACACATTTGAAGGGTTTTTTAAGTCTTTGGTTTTGTATACTGGTTGCTACCTTATGATGAGAGCATTTTAACTGTTTTGCTCTTGGGTAGAGTTTAGAGTTCCTCCTGATGATGATGATGATGATGATGATGATGATTATTGAGACAACATCTTGTTCAGCCACCCAGGCTGGAGTGCAGTGGTGTGATCTCAGCATACTGCAATCTCAGCCTCCTGGGCTCAAGCGATCCTTCCACCTCAGCCTCCTGAGGTGGTGTGCACCACCACTGCTGGCTAATATTTGTAGTTTTTGTAGAGATGGGGTTTCACCATGTCGGCCAGGCTGGTCTCGAACTCCTGGCCTCAAGTGATCCACCTGCCTTGGCCTCCCAAAATGCTGGGATTACAGGTGTGAGCCACTGCACCCAGCCCCTCCTGATTATTACAAAAGAAAAATGTATCAGGTAATTAGCAACATTAATTATAGAGAATGAATTAGTGTGTGTTTTATGTTGTTTTCTGGTGTTCCTTTGCAAAATTCATGCACACTCCTACACTGATAGGCTCCCTGTTTACTCCCTTGCTCTATTTTTTCCTGAAGACATTTTAGGAAGGAAATATAATGTTGATATGTTGATGGATAGAGTTCCATATGACTTGGTATATATAATGGAAGCCTTGATTTTCACTGCCTGTGAACATCATTACTGTGGTCTGTTTGGTTTAAAAAAAGCGCTTATAATTGATGAACATTCTGACTTACTGATTTGAAGATTTAACAGTCAGAACTTGGTAGAATATAAATTTGAAATTATTTAGATTTCGTTTTTCTCTAGCCACTGCCTGCAGCAGACTTTAAGAATGTTTTGGAACTTGTGATGAGTTCATCAGTGGTCTTGTGGGCTGACCCACAGCACAGTTCCTAGCTGTCGTGGACCGGTTCCTGCTTGGTCTTTCACCCGGTTGGGGTCCCCTGCAGGATGCCCCAACTAGTTGCCATTCCTGGTGTCACCGAACCTCAGGAAACTCTATCCACTGGGATGGGGGTGAAGGCTGCTTCTCTGCAACTCTCTCCCCTCTCAGGGCACACAGACAAAATGCTACTGTGGTCCTCCATTCCCTGTGGGTGGTGGTTTTGGAGCTGCAGGAGAGAAAAGGTCATAATAGCCTTTCCTCACTTGTCTCAAGCTTCACGCTGAGGCACTTATAATAAAAAGCAGAGAAAAGCATACAAATTTATTTAAGTTTTACATGACATGGGAACATTCAGAAAGGAAGACCCAAAGAAACAGGGAAACCGTGTATTTTTATGCTAAATTTGATGAAGAGTGGACAGTGATGCAACAGCGTGATTGGATCTGATGGTAACACACTAGGTAATAAACTGGGGGAACTTACCAGGGCCTGTTTGTTCACATTATTCCTGTGTCTTTGGATTTCATTCCTTTCTTGGCATAAGACAAGACCCCTTTGGAGTGGTTCTCATGACCTACCTACTTCGTGGGGAGGTCAGCTAGATTTTAGGGTCTGCTTCAGGGGAGAAGGGGGCGAAGGTAAGGTAAGAGTAACCTTGCTTCTGCTGTTTTCTTAAGTGCCAAGGTGCCGTATTTTGGGATAGTATGTCCTGAACCTCATCAGAGACCCCCTCACTTCCTTTGAGTGCCAGGCAGAGGTAGGAGGGTGTGCCCTGCAAAGGCACAGGCTTCTTCTGGAACTGGCCTCTGCTCACCACCTGATGATCTTCTCTGCATCACCTTCTCAGTTCTCTTGAAGGCAGGTCACAGCAGGCATATTCAGTTGCCTTTTCATAAAACAGGCAGGAGTTGGTATCTTACCACAGTTGTTTTCTCCTTAGAAGGTGCAATGTTGAGAACAATTTTGTCCCCAGGGTAGAGTATCTACATCTAGCCAGGAGAGGAGGAAGACTTTTTTGTTTGTTTGTTTTTGAGACAGAGTTTGGCTCTTGTTGCCCAGGCTAAAGTGCAATGGTGTAATCTCAGATCACCGCAACCTCCGCCTCCCAGGTTCAAGCGGTTTTCCTGCCTCAGCCTCCCTAGTAGCTGGGATTACAGGCATGTGCCACCACTCCCAGCTAATTTTGTATTTTTATTTTTTTTTTTGAGACGGAGTCTTGCTCAGTCGCTCAGGCTGGAGTGCAGTGGCGCCATCTCGGCTCACTGCAAGCTCTGCCTCCCGCGTTCATACCATTCTCCTGCCTTAGCCTCCCGAGTAGTGGGACTACAGGGGCCTGTCACCACGCCCTGCTGATTTTTTGTATTTTTAGTAGAGATGGGGTTTCACCATGTTAGCCGGGATGGTCTCGATCTCCTGACCTTGTGATCCACCCGCCTCGGCCTCCCAAAGTGCTGGGATTACAGGCGTGAGCCACCGCGTCTGGCCTAATTTTGTATTTTTAGTGGGGACAGGGTTTCTCCATGTTGCTCAGGCTGGTCTCAGACTCCCGACCTCAGATGATCCGCCCACCTCGGCCTTCGCAAAGTGCTAGGATTACAGGCGTGAGCCGCCGTGCCCGGTTGAGAGGAGGAAGACTTTTAACATGTTACATGGTTCGTTGTTTTTTATTTTTATTTTATTTTATTTTGAGATAGTCTCACTCTGTCAACCAGGCTGGAGTGTAGTGGCCCGATCACACCTCACAGCCTGGACCCCCTGGGCTCAAACAATCCTCCCACCTTAGCCTTCTGAGTAGCTGGGACTATAGGGGTACACCACCATACCTGGCTAATTTGTGTGTGTGTGTGTGTAGAGATGGGGGTCTCACTGTGTTGCCCAGACGGGTCTCAAACTCCTGGGCTCAAATGGCCCACCTGCCGTGGCCTCCCAAAGTGCTAGGATTATAGGCGTGAACCACTGTGCCTGGCCAGTTGTTTTTTATTTTTTGTACTTTATTGACTAAGGTCCCTCTTTTTTTTTTTTTTTGAGATGGAGCTTTGCTCTTGTTGCCCAGGCTGGAGTTCAGTGACACTATCTCGGGCTCACCGCAACCTCTGCCTCCCAGGTTCAAGTGATTCTCCTGCCTCAGGCTCCTGAGTAGCTGGGATTACAGGCATGCGACACCATGCCCGGCTAATTTTGTATTTTTAGTAGAGATGGGGTTTCTCCATGTTGGTCAAGCTGGTCTCGAACTCCCAACCTCAGGTGATCCACTCCCTTCGGCCTCCCAAAGTGTTAGGATTACAGGTGTGAGCCACCATGTCCAGCCAGATCCCTCATTTTTTATGTTGTTCTAGTATTTATTTGGATTTATATGATTAGCAGTTTTGTTTTTCTATGTTTTTGTGTTCAGTTTTCTGAAGCAATATTTGTTGTCACTAGAGTTTAGTACTTTTTCAAGTTTTCTCATATTTAATGAAGGTACTGTCCCCATCTTTAAAATAGAAACAGTGTGAGAATTAAGTGAAATAATGATTAGATAATAGGAGAATACCTGAGTACTTGACTTAGTAAATATTAGTTTGTTTTTCTCCTCTTTTTTTTGCTCTTGCTTTTTATTAGATAACAGAAAAACTTGACTGTTAATTAAAATTTTTTTTTTTTTTGAGACAGTCTTGCTTTGCCACCCAGGCTGGAGTGCAGTGGCGTGATCTCAGCTCACTGCAGTTGCCACCTCCCGAGTTCAGGTGATTCTCCTGCCTCAGCCTCCCGACTAGCTGGGATTACAGGCGTGTGCTACCAATTTTTGTATTTTTAATAGAGACGGGGTTTCACCATGTTGGCCAGGCTGGTCTCGAACTCCTGACCTCAGGCAGTCTGCCCGCCTTTGGCCTCCCAAAGGGCTGGGATTACAGGCATGAGCCACCACACCCAGCCTGTTAATTTAAAATTTAGAGGGGATAAAATCAAAGGTGTCAGAAGTTAGGGTGATATTTACTGTAAGAATTGGATTAGATTAATAGGCTAGCTTTGGGATTAAATTTTTTTTTGTTTACATAAAATCTTTCAGAAAAGAGCTTTGGGTTTTTTTTTTTTTTTTTTTAAACAAAAGGAATTGAGGTAGAATTTACATGTAGTGAAATGCACAGATGTGCCATGAGTTTGACAAATGTAGCTTGTTACCCCTACTGAGATACAGAACATTCCTGTCATTCCAGAAAGCTCCCTTTGCGCTTTCCCACACCTGAGAGATTTGCGTGTTGTAGAGCTTTGGTAAGTAGGGTCATGTAGTGTGTACACTTACGGTTCTTTACTCAGCATGAAGTCTGAGCAATTCAGTTGTGTTATCTCATGTAGTAGGAGTGTGTTTCTTTTTATTGTTGAATAGTATTTTACTGTATGGATATACCACAATGTGTTTATCACTTCTTTTTATGGACATTTGGATTTAATCTACTTTCTTGCTTTTACAAATAAAGCTGCTATGGGCATTCTTGTAGAAGTCTTTTTGTGAACATGTGTTTGTTTCCATTTCGCTTGGGTAAATGCCTAGGAATAGAATTGCTGTATCATAGGGGAGTCTGATATGCATCCAGATTGGAGAATCACAGCCAAGATAATCATGAGATCTATCTGATTTTAGTCATTTTTATATATTGAAAGTGCTGGGGATATTATTAATATTTGCTTGCTATTAATCTCAGATGAGTTTTATATAGCTCTTTTTTTCTTAAAGTATTGAAATATTTAATAACATACATATAACATTGTTGCATAGGTTTTACATTAGAGTAGTTTAATACTGCAAATCTGACCTCCATTTGGATAGCTCTTGTTTATGGGGATGGGATCAGTTTGAGTAGGTGAGATCTGTAGATGGTTGGTTAGCTTCCTCCCTCTCTGGTCTTATACAGCAGCCAGCAGATATTAAATTTTTCACTTTCATTTATTTATGTATATATTTTTATGTTATTTTAATTATAATTTAGAAAATTTAAAGTTTCAATAATTATAATTCTCTTTAAAACAATTTTTTTTTCTTTTTAATCTCTTGAGTCAAGGTGAGGATTCATTTATTTTTTACTTTGCTGTTTTAATGGTACACTAATAAGTTAACAGAGTGAACAAAAGCCATAGCAGAAAGAAGAGTTAATTTATAGGCATGAAAATAAGCCCTGGATAATCTAGAAGCTTTAAGTTTGATACCTATTTGAAAATGATGTGTAAACATAAAGTTTGCCATTGTATCTCTGAATTCAGATAATGGGATTTAATGAACCTCAAAATTAATGAAGTGGCAACGTAAGTATAACTAACAGGGGACATAAAATAATTATGTTTTATTGCTGCAAAATAGTATAATATGGGGTTTTCTCTTTTGCTAGA
The DNA here is from genome assembly GCF_000001405.40 of Homo sapiens. Taxonomy (NCBI): domain Eukaryota; kingdom Metazoa; phylum Chordata; class Mammalia; order Primates; family Hominidae; genus Homo; species Homo sapiens. The sequence continues at coordinate 48,049,298 of NC_000008.11, forward strand.
AGTTATTGATTGCCATATTTAGTAGGATAATCATATAATTTGTTATCCAACAAGACCCTTTTGAGAATGAAAGGAGGCACTGTTAATAGTCAATTCTGGGACAATAGGAATAAGCAGAACTGTTCTGTAAAACAGAAACCTTCATATATGTTTAACACAAGTCTCAAGTAGCCCCTCCCTCTACAATGTAAACTTTTTAGCAAAATCTAAATTTAAGTGGTTTGCTTTTTCGTTTTTCCTTCTTCGTTCTAATTTGTTACAGGCATCATTTTTATCACAAAAGCAACTTGGGATCATATTGATAATACTTTGTAGAATTAATTTTGTAAAATCTCATGGAATTAATTTTGTAAAATCTCAATTTTTAAGTATGCTTATTGCATTTTTTCTCACCATATAGGTGAAATAAATTTGAATGTAGAAAAATAAATTCTTAATCATAAACACTGTCTTACGTACATTCATATTGTACTTTCCCTTTTTTTTTTTTAGCACTTAGACATTAATATTTTAGGTATTGTTATTTTGATTATCTTTTTGTTTTTTGCCTTCCAGACAAATTATGAAAACAGAATATATAGCCTGAAAGTAGAATGTGGACCTAAATACCCAGAAGCTCCTCCGTCAGTTAGATTTGTAACAAAAATTAATATGAACGGAATAAATAATTCCAGTGGGATGGTAAGTTAATATAGTCATTTTGGTTTTATATAACATAATGTATAGAGTTATATATTATACGTACACACACCATAATATATGTAAGATATTAATATGTAGTTAGGAGAAAGTTTTTAAAAGAGGACCTTTGTTAAGCCAAAAGTCTAAAGAAGGTTGCATTATGTTGTTTTTCTTTTATTAATATAAATTAGGCCATCCTTAAAAACCTTAATGTACTTGCCTAGAATAGATGCATGTGGTGGTTAAAACTTTTTTTTTCTTTTCTTTTTTTTTTGAAACAGAGTCTCACTCTGTCACCCAGGCTGGAGTACAATTGTGCGATCTTGGCTCACTGCAACCTCTGCCTCCCGGCTTCAAGTGATTCTCCTGCCTCAACCTCCCGAGTAGCTGGGATTACAGGCACCTGCCATCATGCCCAGTTAATTTTTGTATTTTTGTAGAGACGGGGTTTCACAATGGCCAGGCTGGTCTCGAACTCCTGACCTTAGTTGATCCGCCCGGCTCGGCCTCCCAAAGTGCTGGGATTACAGGTATGAGCCACTGTGCCTGGCCAAAAGTTTTCTTAGGGTTTTAATTGCCTTAATAGTCATATTTCAGTTGATCTTTATTTGGTAAAAAGATGACCATTATTGGGCGGGGCATGGTGGCTCACGCTTGTAGAGATTGTGCCACTGCACTCCAGCCTGGGTGAAAGAGCGAAACTCCGTCTCAAAAAAAAAAAAAAAAAGAGATGATCATTATTTCTCTTTGAATGTTACTTTTCTGAGGGTTAAGGTACATTTGGTGGGATTAAAAGGATGACTGTTCATGAAAAGGATGAATATTCATGAAGGGTTTTTTTCTTTAAAGAGCAAATATGTCTGTGTTGAAACAGTCATGGCTGAGCATCATTGTCTATTTATTTTTGGGTTTCACTCTGTCCCCCAGGCTGTAGTGCAGTGGTACTCCCCCACTTCCTGTGGCCTCAAGTGATTCTCCCACTTCAGCCTCCCAAGTATGTGAGACTACAAGGCACATGCCACCAAGCCCATCTAATTTTTGTATTTTTTGGTAGAGATGGGGTTTCGTCATGTTGGCCAGGCTGGACTCAACTCCTGACCTCAAGTGATCTGCCCACCTTGGCCTCCCAAAGTGCTGGGATTACAGGCGTGAGCCACTGTGTCCAGCCCATTGTCTCTTTAAACAAAATGACATGCCCTGCTTGACCCACACAAGTTAGTTAGTAGAAACAGCTGAATTTCCAGTATGAGTAGATTGTTAAGTTCATGATAAGTCTTTGAAGCCTAGGCTCTCTTGGTGCCATGTTGAGAGCACGCCACATACAAAATACATTTTAGGAAGCAAAATAACATATCATCATCATAAAATGAGTATCATCCATCTTAGGAAATAGGGCCTCAGTATCCTTGATTTCTCATCCCATCCCTGCGTTCCCTCTCTCTACCAGTGTATTTTGTACTACAAATGTATCACATATGTACACAAATTCATCCTCCTTTCTTCTCTCCTTCTCTCTTTCCTTCTCATCTGTTTACCATCTGTTAAAAATCACGAGTTTATACTAACAACTCCCACTAATTTTATTCTAAAACTATAGGGTTTGTTCTATGATTCTTCCTTTCCAGTTGAGAAACCTGGCTCCCATGCTTCCCAGTGCATTTACTTATTTGCTCAATTTCCCCTTCATATAACTGTACTTCTGGCAACAAGTTGAATCTTGGATTCACAGCCAGCTCCCTGCCCCTCAACCCCAACCTAATACGCAGGTCTGAGGCGGGGCCCCAGATTGGCTGGTGCATCCAGCAGGGAGGCACCAGGCCAAATAAAGCATGACCCTGAGAAAGGAAGAAGCTGGGAAAGGTCATTGGAAACCTTAGCCCTGCACCTGCTGGGCCATTAACACCCCCCCACCCCTGTGCCAACTCAGAGCTGGGACCTGAGAGTCTCTCCAGCCCTCACAGTCCTCAGTTGGTCAGTCTTTGTGATTTACTGGGAGCATTTAGTCCATTTACATTTAATATTCTTAATTACTGACATGTTCAGGTTTAAACAGATCATCTTATTTGGTGGTTTCTATTTTTCTACATGTTTCTTGCCTACTTTTGGAATGGTTGTTCTCAACTTCTTTCATTCTGTTTGTGTTCTTTCAGTGATTATTCTAGAAATTATGCACACTTATCTATTTTTAAGAAATTTGATAGGAGCAGGATTATAAAGCATATGAGTACACAGAAAAGATATTATTTAGGGAATGTCCTGTGTGACACACAGCATTGCCTTTATGAAGAAGACCTTTGTTAGATTTTGCTACTAGACATATCTGGTTTTCTCCACTACTGTTTTGTTTTTACATTATAGCTTCTGTAAATTAAGTAACTAATGGTGTGTTCTACATTGTCATGGAAGCTAGGAAATTTAGATTAAATTTCAGACCTACCTCTAATAAGCTTATCTGATCTCTTGGGCTTTTGGTCCAGTAGTTGATATTTTGCCTCCCTCTCTACCTCCCTTCCCCCAACCCATTTATCATTAAGCCTTGTCAGTTTTATGTTCCAAATGTGACTGGATTTAGGTCTTATTTTTCTATTTACATTGCCACCAAGTGAATATTGGCCATCATTTATTTCCTGGACTCTTGCAACAACGTCTCTGATTCTACTTTTTAAAATCCCTTCCAGTCTTTCCAAAGTTAGCAGCCAGAGGGATCCTCCTAAGAGACAAATTGCGTCGTGTCATTTCTGCACTTCAGATTCCTTTAGGGGCATCAGCCTCAGCATGCATGCTTCTTGCCATGGCTCACTGGGAGTGCTCAAGGTGCACACTGGCCTGCATGCCTTTCGTTTGGTCTCAAGACCTTTGCACTTCTGTTCTTCCTCCTTCCTCCCCAGTCTGGCTAACTCCTATGGGTCCTTCATTTCTCACTGTAAATTCCACTTTCTTTTTTATTGAGACAGAGTCTCACTCTGTCACTCAGGCTGGAGTGCAGTGGCATGATCTCGCTCACTGCAACCTCCATCTCCTGGGTTTAAGTGATTCTGCTGCCTTAGCCTCCCAAGTAGCTGGGACTACAAGTGTGTGCCACAACACCTGGCTAATTTAATACAGATGGGGGTTTGCCATGTTGGCCAGGCTGGTCTCAGACTCCTGACCCGCGTTGGCCTCCCAAAGTGCTGGGATTACAGGCATGAGCCACCGCACCCAGCCTAAATTCCACTTTTTAGTATCTTTATTGATGTTCCAACTTGAATTATGTCCCTTCTATTGCTCTGTTAGAGTCACTCTTATTCTTTTGTTGCACTTAACTATAAATTTATTTTTTTGTTTTTAAAAGAAATGTTTCTAACATAATAGAAGTTTTAGAGAATGATAGAACCAGCATCTATGTGTCCTTCACCTAGCTTTGTCAAATGTTAACATTTGTCTTATTTGTAACAGATCTTTTAATTTTTTTTTTTTTTTTTTTGAGATGGAGTCTCACTCTGTCTCCCAGGCTGGAGTGCAGTCACGCGATCTTGGCTCACTGCAACCTCTGTCTCCCAGGTTCAAGCAATTCTCTTGCCTCAGCCTCCCAAGTAGCTGGGACCACAGGCATGTGCCACCACGTCCAGCTAATTTTTTTGTATTTTTAATAGAGACAGGGTTTCACCATGTTGGTTAGGCTGGTCTCAAACTCCTGACCTCAAATGATCCGCCCGCCTCGGCCTCCCAAAGTGCTGAGATTACAGGCGTGAGCCACCCTGCCCAGCTAGATTTTTTTCTTATTAGTACAAAGACTACATTATAAATAGAGTTAATTCTGTGTGTGGCTTTCTCTTGTTTCCCCTTCCTGTTTTTTTTTTTTTTGAGATGAGGTTTTGCTCTTGTTGTCCAGGCTGGAGTGCAATGGCATGATCTCAGCTCACTGCAACCTCTTCCTCCTGGGTTCAAGCGATTCTCCTGCCTTAGCCTCCCGAGTAGCTGGGATTACAGGTGCCTGCCACCATGCCTGGCTAATTTTTGTATTTTTAGTAGAGATGGGGTTTCACCACGTTGGCCAGGCTGGTGTTCAACTCCTGACCTCAGGTGATCTGCCTGCCTCGGCCTCCCAGAGTGCTGGGTGGGATTACAGGCTTGAGCCACCACGTCTGGCCAAGTTTAAAATTTTTAAATTAAAATGTTCTCCGTCAGATTGCTATAAAACTTTCTAAGTTCTTACTCTCAATTGCAATGTGTATCTTGTCAAGGAGCAATAGAATTCAGTTCGTGGCCTGCCCCTTTCCATGGACACACCTTGAGTAGTGCTGCTCTCGGGAATACATCTAGAAGTGTGCCGTGGCGTGGGGCTTTCTTCAGCTTGAATATTGCCAAGCTGCTTTCCTCCCGGCTGGGTCAATGTCAGCCCCACCAGTGGTGTATAACAGGACCCTCTGAATGTATATTCCCACCAACCCTTCTTACTGTCAATCTGGAATGGGGACTGGGAAATAGAAAAATAAATACTGATTTTAATCATTATTGGAGTGTAGATGTGTGTATAGAGGGTTGTGGGTAGGGTGAATATATTGGACATCTGTTTTTCTCTTCATTTACATCTAAGAGTTTGGATTATTACTTTTATAACTAGTAAATGGTACAGAATTTCACATTGGTGATTGTGCCAGGATAGTTTTTATATTTTGAGGCTGTTTAAGTGTCTCATGAATTGTAGTTCATAGGCATTGATGGTGGGTGTTGCTTTAGTAATTTTAGTTTATACGTATTTAATACGACGAGGCAAAGTTATTCCCTGTGGGTGGTTAGCACTCTGAAGTGTAAATTTTATTGTCTTATGCAGTGAGATCTCACATTTTGGAGGTCATTGTATGTTGTAGACTGATAAGATGCAGATTTTATTCTGACATGATATTTATTTTCTCATGCTCTTTACTGCGTCCTCTCTCTTCATCTTTTTTTTCTTTTCCTCCAATGTTTCTTTTTTTTTTTCTGCACCCTGTTGGTATTTCACAGGATTTGCAATCACTTATGTTTATTTAACTACCATTTACAGCTGGAAGTGTTTGTTTCTGATTTAGAAATAGCTTGGTATTCTCTCTACTTATTTTTATAAACTGTTCAGTTATGGAATCTATTTAAAATAGGCTAAGGAGGTTGCCACTCTTTAAAGTGAAAGTGTTAGAGGAAGCATTTTAAATGTACCTTACCATTGTAACATTTTTCTTACTCTTTTAGTTAGTTTCTTTTCCTTTTTTTTTTTTTTTTGAGACGGAGTTTCGCTCTTATTGCCCAGGGTAGAGTGCAATGGTGCGATCTTGGCTCACTGCAACCTCCGCCTCCTGGGTTCAAGTGACTCTCCTGCCTCAGCCTCCCTAGTAGCTGGGATTACAGGCGCCCGCCAACATGACCAGCTAATTTTTTGTATTTTTAGTAGAGACGGGGTTTCACTATGTTGGCCAGGCTGGTCTTGAACTCCTGATTTCAGGCGATCCACCCACCTCAGCCTACCAAAGTGCTGGGATTACAAGTGTGAGCCATTGCGCCTGCTGTTAGTTTCTAAAATAAATATCACTCTAAAATTATTTTTCTTTTCTACTTTCAAACACTTTTATGGTGATATAATTCACATACCATACAATTCACCCATTTAAAGGGTAAAATTCAAGGGTTTTTAGTATTCACAACATTGTGGAATCACTGCCATGACCCAGGTTTGGAACATTTTTGTTCTTCCCAAAGCAAATCTGTGCCCATCAGTTGTCATTTCCCATCCCATCTCCCTTAGACCTAAACAACCATTAATCCACTTTCTGTCTTTTTTTTTTTTTTTTGAGGCAGAGTCTCACTCTGTCGCCCAGGCTGGAGTGCAATGGCTTGGCTCACTGCAAGCTCTGCCTCCTGGGTTCATGCCATTCTCCTGCCTCAGCCTCCCAAGTAGCTGGGACTACAGGCGCCCGCCACCACACGGGGCTAATTTTTTGTATTTTTAGTAGAGACGGGGTTTCACTGTGTTAGCCAGGATGGTCTGTATCTCCTGACCTTGTGATCTGCCCTCCTCAGCCTCCCAAAGTGCTGGGATTACAGGCGTGAGCCACGGTGCCCAGCCCACTTTCTGTCTTTATAGATTTGCCCATTCTGGATGTTTCATATAAATAGAATCATAGAGTATGTGTTCTTTGGCGACTTAACGTAATGTTTTCAAGATTTACCCATGTTTGTATTGTGTATTGGTACTTTATTCCTTTTTATTGTTGGACAATATTCCATTGTATGGAGATCCCATTTTATTTATCCATTTATCACCTAGTAGATATTTCTATTTTTCTACTTTTGGCTATCATGAATACTGTTGCTATGAATATTTGTATACAAGTTTTTGAGTGGGCAAATATTTTCATTTCTTTTGGATATATATTTAGGAGTGGAATTGTTGGGTCATACGGTATCTATGTTTTAGTTTTTGAGGAACTGTCAAGACAGTTTTCTAAAGTGAATAGGCCATCTTACATTGCTACCACTAGTGTATGCAGGTTCCCAGCTTCTCCACATCCTTGCTAACCCCAAATAAAAAGCAAGAAATTAAAACATAACAACATAAACAATCACCTTCAAAAAAAGGAAAAGGAGACAGGGTTTCGTCATCTTGGCCAGGCTGGTCTCGAACTCCTGGGCTCAAGAGATCCACCCGCCTATCTCTCCCAAAGTATTGGGATTACAGGTGTGAGCCACTGCACCTGGCCTGCCTTTCTGGACTACCGTAGCTTTGTAGTAAGTTTTTTTGTTTGTTTTTGAGACAGAGTCTTGCTGTGCCGCCCAGGCTGGATTGCGGTGGTGCGATCTTGGCTCACTGGAACCTCCACCTCCTGGACTCAAGCAGTTCTCGTGCCTCAGCCTCCCAAGTAGCTGGGATCACAGGCATGCGCCACCACGCCTGGCTAATTTTTTGTATTTTTAGTAGAGATGGGGTTTTACCATGTTGGCCAGGCTGGTCTTGAACTCCCAGCCTCAAGTTGATCTGCCTGCCTTGGCCTCCCAAAGTGCTGGGGTTACAGGAGTGAGCCACCACGCCTGGCCTGTAATAAGTTTTGAAATCATAACTTTGTTCTTCTTTTTTTAATATTGTTTTGGCTATTCTGGGTTTCTTGCATTTGCTTATGAATTTTAAGATAAGCCTGTTCATTTCTGCAAGCAAGAAAAAAGCAGTTGAAATTTTAATAGGAGTTGTATTGAATCTCTAAATTAACTTGATGAATATTGTCATCTTCACAGTAATAAGTCTTCTGACCCATGTATATTTATTTAGCTCTTTAATTTCTATCAACTATATTTTACAGTTTTTAAAAATTATTTTTATTTATTTATTTTTTTGAGATGGAGTCTAGCTCTGTTGCCCAGGCTGGAGTGCAGTGGCGTGATCTCAGTTCACTGCAACCTCTGCCTCCTGGGCTCAAGCAATTCCTGTGTCTCGGCCTCCCAAGTATCTGGGATCACAGGCATGTACCACCACGCCCGGCTAATTTTTGTATTTTTAGTAGAGACGGGGGTTTTGCCATGTTGGCCAGGCTGGTCTCGAACTTCCGAACTTAGGTGATCTGCCCACCTCGCCCTCCCAAAGTGCTGGGATTACAGGCATGAGCCACTGCACCCGACCTTTAAATTATTTCTATTTAATTTTTTTTTTCTCTTTTTTCTGGGGAGGGAGGGAAAGGGGGAGGTAGGAGAGGAGGGTGGTAGGAAGGAGGGAGGGGAGATATTTTACAGTTTTCAGTGCACAAGTTTTACACTTTTGTTAAATTTATACTTAGGTATTTTATTAATTTTTATTTCAGATTGTTGCAAGTGTAAAGAAAAACTAATTATTGTATATGGAACCTGTATCTTGTTGCCTTGATGAACTTGTTTATTAGCTCTAATAATTTCTTTAGTGGATTCCTTTGAATTGTCTATATACCAGATCATTTCTTGTATTTCTTCTGCAAATAGAGGTAGTTTTACTTCTTTTCTTTCTAATCAGGGTGCCTTTTATTTCGCTTCTTTGTTAATTGTCCTGGCTAGAACCTCTCCAGTACAATGTTGAATGGAAGTGATGAGAACGGGGCCAGGTGGTGGTGGCGGCTCATGCCTGTAATCCCAGTGGTTTGTGAGGCCGAGGTGTGCAGATCCCTTGAGCCCAGGAGTTTGAGACCAGCCTGGCCAAGATGACGAAACCCTGTCTCTATAAAAAATACAAAAATTGGCCGGGCGTGGTGGCTCATGCCTGTAATCCCAGCACTTTGGGAGGCTGAGGCGGGTGGATCATGAGGTCAGGAGTTCGAGACCAGCCTGGCCAACATAGTGAAACCCTGTGTCTACTAAAAATACAAAAAATTAGCCGGGTATGGTGGTGAGCACCTGTAATCCTAGCTACTTGGGAGGCTGAGGCAGGAGAATCGCTTGAACTGGGGAGGCATGGGTTGCAGTGAGTGAAAGTAGCCGGGCCTGTGGTGGTGTGCGCCTGTAGTCCCAGCAACTTGGGAGGCTGAGGTGGGAGGATCACCTGAGCCCAGGGAGGTCGAAGCTGCAGTAAGCCACAATTGTGCCACTGCACTGCACTCTAGCCTGGGCAACGAGTGAGACCCTGTCTCAAAAAAAAAAAAAAAAAGAAAATATAAAAAGTGATGAGAATGGACATCCTTATCTTATTCTTCATCTTAGGAGGAAAGTATTTGGTCTTTATTAAATATGATGTTAGCTCTAAGTTTTTTGTAGATTCCTGTTAGGTTGGAGGGTAGTTTCCTTCTATTCCTAATTTATTGAGTATTTATATCATGAAAGGTTTTTGGATTTTGTCAGATGCTTTTTTGCATCCATTGAGATGATCATGGTTTTTGTTCTCTGTTCTGTTAATATGATATATTACTCTGATTTTTAAAATATTGAATCTATCTTGTGTTTCTGGGATAGGTCCTACTTGTATATAATCTTTTTTGTTTGGAGATGGAGTCTTGCTCTGTCGCCCAGGGTGGAGTGCAGTGTCACGATCTCAGCTCACTGCAACCTCCGCCTCCCAGATGCAAACAATTATCCTGCCTCAACCTCCTGAGTGGGTGGGACTGCAGGTGCACACCACCATGCTAAATATTATATTATTATATATTTATAAATACAAATATTATTGTATTTTAGTAGAGACGGGGTTTCACTGTGTTGCCCAGGCTGTTCTCGAACTCCTGAACTCAGGCAATCCGCCCGCCTCGGCCTCCCAAAGTGCTAGGATTACAGGCGTGAGCCACCATTCCCAGCCTGTATATAGTCTTATATGTTGCTTGAGGTCAGCTGTAGATGACAGCTTATGGCCTTCTCAGCTCTTTCATAAGCCTGTGCGCAGCCCTACACATGTGTGTGGTCTTCTAGATTCCCAGGCCTGTTTGGAGACACTTCGTTTCCCAGCTTGTCTGCTTAAGTATTTTGGTTACCTTCCTGCTTTTTTTTTTTGGAGACAGAGTCTCAGTCTGTCGCCCAGGCTGGAGTGCAATGGCGTGGTCTCGGCTCACTGCAGCCTCCACCTCCCAGGTTCAAGTGATTCTCCTGCCTCAGCCTCCCAAGTAGCTGGGAGTACAGGCACGTGCCACCACACCTGGCTAATTTTTGTATTTTTAGTAGAGGCGGGGTTTCACTATCTATGTTGGCCATGCTGGTCTCAAACTCCTGACCTTGTGATCCGCCCGCCTTGGCCTCCCAAAACGTTGGGATTACAGGCGTGAGCCACCGCATCCGGCCCACCTTCCTGTTTGACTCAACTTTTTTTGACAAATGCCCAAGGTAGGAGGTGAGTGAAGATATGTGAGCTCTGAGGTCAGATAAAGGAAAGCTCTGTGTGAGTGGAGTTTTCCAGGGAACTGCAGGACAGGTCAAATGCTGACAGTTAACTGGGAATGGGCTTGCAAGGAGCTCCATCCCCATTCTGTTGCTCTTTCACAGAAGATTAATTTGGGTCGGGTGCCGTGGTTCATGCCTGTAATCCCAGCACTTTGGGAGGCTGAGGCAGGTAGATCACTTGAGCTCAGGAGTTCAAGACCAGTCTGGGCAACATGGTGAAACCCTGTCTCTACGAAAAATAGAAAAATTAGCCTGGCGTGGTGGCAGGTGCCTGTAATCCCAGCTACTTGGGAGGCCTCATGAGGCAGGAGAATTTCTTGAACCTGGGAGGCGGAAGTTGCAGTGAGCCAGGATCGCACCACTGTACTCCAGCCTGGGTGACAGAGTGAGACTCTGTCTCAAAAAAAAAAAAAAAAAAAAAAAAGGAAAGAATAATTAGGAATAGTGCGTAGAATACATTGGAAAGAAAAATCTGAAAGAAGAGATCAGGTTAGTAGCTTTTGTCTAAATCTCAGTGTGAGATAATTCCCCAGATTTTGGGCGGTGGCATTGGAAATGGAGAGGAACCTTTTGACCTTACTCCATTAAGAAAGAATTGGTAAATTTATTGACAAAGTAGTTATTTAATATAACATTTATTTCTGATGACCAAAGTTCACTGTATGTTTTATGTCTTTATATTTTCCCAAAATATTAAACTAATTATGATAAAATATACTAATTATGGTATTAGTAATTCCATAGTGTATGTTTTGTGAAAATAGAGGCAAGCTATGAATTTTCAAAATCATTCTTATTAAAATATGCTTAACAAATTGGTGCCATAGTACTTTAAACTTGCTAGTTAACTGTACTCTTTCCTCCCCTTTCAGGTGGATGCCCGGAGCATACCAGTGTTAGCAAAATGGCAAAATTCATATAGCATTAAAGTTGTACTTCAAGAGCTAAGACGTCTAATGATGTCCAAAGAAAATATGAAGCTTCCACAGCCACCAGAAGGACAAACATACAACAATTAATTTTAGTGGATCTCAAACTTGTCTTAAATCAACAACCTTCTACTCATGTTAATGTCTTGATTAAATATCACAATGCAAAATACACATTAAGTAAAAGAATTCCAGCTGGTAAACATGACCTGGACATTTGTAAGAATATATTTAATATATGTACACCCATTATGTTTTCAGGTAACAGGAGGAAAAATGCAGCACAATTTTTTTTCTCTTGAAAGGCACTGTCATTTAAACATAAACCTGGAGTACTCGAAATAGAATTCAGGTTTACAAGATGAAAGCGTGTGGAGAAGTGTCAGATGGCAGTGGAAGCATGTGTGTTTCTAAAAAGTAAAAATCTCAAGAAAACAGAAATGGCATGCTTTACCCATCTTACTTAGTGAAAGAGAGCTGCAGTTGAAATTGTTTAAAAAGTAGCAGGTACAATGAATATTGTCACAGATGTGTTAATTTTTGAAGCAATGTGGGTGCTGACTACTAGTAGTATCAAAAATATGTTCAGGATTGTTTTGATACCTGTATTTATAATAAAAAATGTTGGGGGGAGTTGATGAATTCCTGTTAAAAGCTGTTCTTGTGTGTTACATGTAACAGACATGGTAAATATTTGTTTACAGTCTTTGTTTAACAAACCATGCATTTAAGTTTAAGTGAAGTCAACAAAAAGGAAATAGGTGTATGGATATGTGATTTTGAGATTAAAGTTAGTCTTAAAATGTAAATAAAATGTGAAACGTGTCCTCAGAGACTGTGCCATTTCTATTATGTTGATGTATATGTACAGTACCTTGCCAGGGAAGCAAAAATTGGAATTATTGTAGCTTTTCATGTATACACACTTTTATTTACCCTATTTTGTGTACTTCTTGTGAATTATAATTTGCAGACTATTTCAGAAAAGAAATTATCTAGTTTAATTTCTTCTTTGGACAAGGAGTCCTAGGTATTATATTTTGAGTTTGATTTCACCAGAAATAATAATATTAAAAAGATCTTTGCATTCTGGCAGTTCTTTTAGGATTATAGGTTGCAAATTATCCAAATATATATCCCATTTTTTAAAGCATAATATCTTTTTTAGTTGTTTTTCTGTGAAGCTTTTGGTTAATAAATAGGGTCAACTAATTGGAGACTTTTCTCTTCCAATTAGGGCTTTTAATACTAACAAGGATAACTTTATTCATTCCTCGTATTCTCTACTCTAACAAATATGAACTCTGAAGTTGAAAAGTCATTTATGTTCCGCTTTCACCAAAGTGACGTGAGGCTTTAGGTCACTGTTTCACTTCAAAGTACTGGATCCAAAGCTTTGTTGAAAATGCTGTTTGATGAATTCACTGAAGAATATAGAAAGGTGGTCAGGTAAAGTCTACTTTTATTTTGTCAAGCTTAATAATTTGTGTCATACTTTACCCCAGTATATATAGGCAAACCAAAACCTTATCAAATATTAAATTAGTTGTTTAAACTTTGCTTATAAAGTATTGGCCATGTGGTGGCTCATGCCGCTAATCCCAGCACTTTGGGAGGCTGAGACGGGCAGATCACTTGAGGTCAGGAGCTTGAGACCAGCCTGGCCAACATGATGAAACCCTGTCTCTACTAAAAATACAAAAAATTAGCCAGGTGTGGTGGTGGGTACTTGTAGTCCCAGCTACTCGGGAGGCTGGGCAGGAGAACTACTTGAAACTGGCAGACAGAGGTTGCAGTGCCGAGAGCGCACCACTGCTCCAGCCTGGGCAACAGAGCAAGACTCCATCTCAAAAAAAAAAAAAAAAAGAAAAATATTAATAATTGACCTTGGCTGTATATTAAAATAGTTACTTTTATAGTAGAGCACATTTCTCAAACATGCCCTGAAAGGCTTTTATCAAGCTCATATAAAGTTAAAGCTTTGAGCTACCTTTTCTTGGCCAATAAAGTCACTGACAGTTTATGTAAACATTAATTTCAACATGGCTGTTGCATTTTAATTATCAAAAATGTTTAAAATGCTTTAAGATGACACATAGAGAACATACACATACATACAAATTAGTGCATTTGTAATTTGTTAAATTTGAAATGAACTATTACCTTGAAATATAGTCTTTAAAAATTTTTAATGGTTAAAGATTAAATTGAATGAAACTGTAGTCTAATGGTAACTGATGATCTGAATCCGTCTCTCTGATAACCTCCTTTCCATTTTGAAAATGTGTCTTATTATACATGGAAGCTAGTAACTACGTGAATGCTGTTGGCAGGATGAGGGTCTGGGTACCTCAGTCTCTTGTCCTGTTTCCTTCCCCCAAATCCACCATTGTGAAGTTGCCAACCCCCTGCCGCCTTCCCCTGCCAAGTACATGTTGTCAGAGTCAGCCCTATAATGTTCATTTCCCCTCTTGTTTGTGGGATTATGGATCTCTGCAGAAATCTGCATGCCAATTAACCCATTTCTAAAGCAGAATCCATTTTGCATGTCACAATCAAGATGTACTTGGCAATCTAAGACACACTGGGAGACTGTAAGAGGAATTAATATAGAAAAGCTCTTAATTATAATAACATTTGGAAGAAATTTTTCCTTTGTTTTGTAAAGTGGCTAAGGTTGTAGGAGTGTGTGGTATTTATTACCTTTTAAATGAACTGTAAATTTGCCTTAGAAATTTGTTTAAAAGGCTAGCAAGTGAGACCCTTGAGGATGATCATATACTAATAAAGATTACCAAAAGAAACTTCTTGTCCTGTTAGGTCAGTGTTATGATTTAATGGTTTTAATTACTTAACCAATTTTAAGAATTGACAATTTTTAAAAATATTTTTTTCTACCATTCTAAAGTAATGTCTTTTGTTGTGGGTTTATGTGTAACTACAGGATTTTGGAACATAAACATTTTGAAGGATAGTCAATGGTATTTAGTCTTGGATATAAAAATAGAGAAAATTTATAGCTTTATGTTATTAAAATAATTTATCACACAGAGTGATTTGAGGTTTTCGCAGAGTAGATTTGTTTGACTCATGGTTTATTAGTCTGGATTACTTAAGAACAATATGTTGATTTTAATGTTAATTCCCACTAAATATATAATATTGATAAATACATGTGAAATTAATATTGTTTGGAAAATGTAGAGGACACAGCTGGGAATTATGAATGCTTTTTTCTTAATAGGTTTGGTGTGTGTGGCTTTGAATGGTTCTGCTGATGCATCATGGAAAGACAGCAGGGAACTGTAGCCTGCCATCAAAACTGTATCAACTCTTTTAATGAGCATGTGACTGTATTAGGTACATTTTGAAGAATATAAGTACTGATGATAAAGTCTAGTATGCATAATAGGATTTTGGAGGCATTTCAGGAATTTTCCTTTTATAGTATGCTTTTTAGGCATCTGTATGTGTAATATCATAGTATCATTTATTGCTGGGATGGATCGAAAAGCACTGCTTTTACTTTTCTGATAAGTATCAAAATGATTTTCCAGTACCAACTTGACTGGCTTTTAATTATTGTCACACACACACAAAATTCAACTCCTCAAGGTTTGGGAAAATTGTGTATTTTTTTGTATACAAGATAAAAGTGTCATAAAAAGGAATGGATGAATTGTTGATAGGAACATTAGCAGTTAATTTTTACCTGATACTGAGTTTACTGTAAAATAGGAAATGCATAGGAAGGAATACCTCCTAAATAATATGCCTTATAGAATGATGAAATCTTACCATAGTTCATACTGAAAATGTTGTTTATTTAAAAGTATTGTGGAGTGTTGAAAATAAAGATACACAATAAGTATTTTCTGAAGAGAAAATTAATGAAGGTATTTAATGATATAGGAAATAAGTGACAAGTTAAAGTCCATTTTGTTTCAATAAAGGAGTTGTGCAAACTCAAGGAGTGAGTTACATGATTGAAAAAAACCATTGGATATGAGGAGGTTGCTATGGTGTTTATATCCTTAATAGGATCTTTTCATCTAAAAAATTCCTAAGAATCTGCTCCATCTCATGTTTAAAATTAAATTTTTTTTTTTTTTTTTTTTTTTTTTTTAGAGACAGGGTCTTGCACTATCACCCAGGCTGGAGTGCATTGGTGCGATCACGATTTACTTTACCCTTGGCTATCCTGGGCTCCAGTGATCGTCCCGCCTCAGCTTCCTGAGTAGCTGGGACTACCGGTGCACGCCACCATGTCTGTTTTTGCTGTTGTTGTTGTTGTTTTGTTTTTTGTTTTTGGTAGAGACTGGGTCTCTGTTGTATAGGCTGGTCTGAAACTCTTGGCCTCAAGTGATCTTCCTGCCTTAGCCTTCCAAATGCTGGGATAACAGGCATGAGCCACCACCCCTGGCTGGCATCTCATATTTCTGTGTAGTCTATAAGACCATCTGAAAAGTTTTTGCTTCAGGTTAATTTGTGAAGTAAATGATAAAGGCTGATAGATGTTGTTTTCTTATAGAGATTCCAGGGATTATCCTTTCTCCAGTGTTTAACTGACCAAATACCATGTTAAGTGTTGTGCAGTGATCCATTTGCTGCCAAATAGATAGACTCAATGTGTGAATTCTTCTATCTTGTCATTGTCAATAGTGAGCAGCTACTTTATCCAGAAATTTTGGCAGTTAAAAGATTATACCAAAGCAGAGTTGTTATTCTTAGTTGGCACTAAGAAACCAATAGTCAAAAGAAACCTGTGGTCAATAGAAAAGCAAATTGTTGATCTTATCCATAGTGAATACTTTGCATTGCTTGTTCAGTACAGTAGTTGAGTAATGAAAGAAAAATATTGTTCAAGGATTACAAGGAGGCTTTTTTTTTTTTTTTTTTTAAACAAGCAGTCCTCCTGCCTCAGCCTCCCGAGCAGCTAAACCACAGGCACACACCACCACACTCGGCTAATTTTTAAAAATTTTTTTGTAGAGACGGTCTCGCTATGTTGTCCAGGCAGGTGTCAAACTCCTGGCCTCAAGCAATCCTCCTGCCTTGGCCCCCCAAAGTGCTGGGATTACAGGCATGAGTCACCTTGCCCAGCTCAGTTTTTTTTTTCCTTTTAATAATAGATTACAGGGTAATACTGAAAAATCACATCATGAAATGAGATTTTAACAGGACATCCTCATATTAAAATGTAGTAAAATTAGTTTTAATACTGAATGTCCTGTTTTTTATTTAAAGACTTTCATCCATTTATAATTAATAAACATGATACTTGATACTTGCTAATGCTTTATTACATTTGATAGCCCTTGTAGTTTATCAGCCTTTAACTTGAAGAACAGATTTTTTCCACAGTTGATAATTGATAAATATATTGTTTCATTCTTTATCACGCCACATTAGCCACTTAAGTAATGGTGGTCAAATGTTCCGATTACATCCATTATTATAAATTACCTTTTTGTTGCTATAATGTAAAAAAATCTGGATAATTGCAATGATTATTCAGACAAATTTAAAGTGGGTATTGGGTACGTTTTCAGTTATCCTAATACTCAAGTGAAAATAATTGAGTTCACAAGAAGAGTAAATTAATTGCATCGGTTTTTAAATTTTAGTAACATATGGATCCCTTTGAGAAGGAAAGTTCTTGTGGACTTAGTATTGTCTTGAATTATTTTTGTTAAACTATTGTTTAGTGCATACATTGAACTTAGGCTCTTAGATCTTTTTTTTTCTTCTTCTTTAGACCTGTAACAAAACTGCAAGATCTTTTAAAATTATAAAGTGGGCCCGGCAGAGTGGCTCACGCCTGTAACCCCAGCACTTTGGAAGGCTGAGGCAGCCAGATCACCTGAGGTCAGGAGTTCGAAACCAGTCTGGCCAACATGGTGAAATCCCGTCTCTACTAAAAATACAAAAATTAGCCGGGCATGGAGGTGCGTGCCTGTGGTCCCAGCTACTTGGGAGGCTGAGGCATGAGAATCGCTTGAACTTGGGAGGCGGAGGTTGCAGTGAGCTGAGATCGTGCCACTGCATTCCAGCCTGGGTGACAGAGCAAGACTCCGCCTCAAAAAAAACAAAAAAAGCTTCATTGCTAAAAACTAGGTAATTTTTAATGAAATGTGAACTTTATTAAGTTGTGTTTATCAAACATGTTGGCATGCTTGTTATTAAACCCTCCCCATGTTAAGTCCTTATAAAAGGCTGCTTACTTGGTACTTGTATGTAGATGATAATATTGAGTTCATAGGTAAATATATGTACATTATTGTCAACTCCTGGTTACAGAGATGATGATCAAGTCTGCCGGTCCCTCATCTGGCACCTCCTATCTGGTAGAGTGTAACTACCCATTAGCATAATGTTGTAAGCGGAACTGGATAGTAATATGGATAAGTGAAGCCATTGGCATGATATTCTAAACCGAACTGGATAGTAATATTGTGAAATGAAGCCATTAGCATAATGTTCTAAGCTTAACTGGACAGTAATATGGATAAATGAAGCAATTATCACAATGTTCTAAGCTGTACTGGACAGTAATATGGATAAATGAAGCCATTAGCATGATGTTCTAAGCCGAACTGGATAGTACTATTGATAAATGAAGAGCAGTCCAGAGGAATCTACTGCAAATCCTAGGGAAAACACCTATTTTGCCCTTTGCCCTGCGACTGTGGGCAGTTAGCCCTGTAACCTTCAGTTTATTCTGTAAAGGTTGTGCTTGCCTCTGAGTTGTCATTTAATGAAATAACATGAATAGGTTTAATCACGGTCTGATGCAGAGTGATTGATCAATAAATGGTAGCATTTCTTAATGTTATTAATCTAAGAATGCTTAGTCTATGTTAAGATTTGCATTTGTGGCCGGGCATGGTGGCTCACGCCTGTAATCCCAGCACTTTGGGAGGCTGAGGCAGGTGGATCACAAGGTATAGAGATTGAGACCATCCTGGACAACATGGTAAAATCCCATCTCTACTAAAAATACAAAAATTAGCTGGGCGTGGTGGCATGTGCTTGTAGTCCCAGCTACTCGGGAGGCTGAGGTTGCAGTGAGCCGAGATCATGCCACTGTACTCCAGCTTGGCAACAGAGTGAGACTCCGTCTCTAATAATAATAATAATAATAATAATAATAATATATACATTTGCATCAAGCCTGTACTTCTGTGTAAAGAATGGGTTGGTTTTTTAAAAGAGGTCATATGGGATGCCATTAAGGCATTTGTGCATTCTGAATTAAGTTAATTTCTGCCCGTGGTCAAAGGTGAACAGATATGCTTCTGGATGTTTGTGATTCTTGATGCCCCCACACTGCTGAGAGGACGCCCCTGCACGTCTTGCCGCAGGGGCCCTGATGGATGCATCTCAGGTTGGGCACAATTGCTTTGGTACCAGCAGCAGGCCATTAAGATGAGGTCCATTGGAAAGAGGTAACTTACTGGTAATGGAAAGCCAGGTTCACAAAGCTTGGGTTGAAAAGTCCATGGTTTAACTACATTATAATAGGAAACTCAATTCTTCATATATGCAACCTATGTAAAGTAACATGATTAATTAGAAAAAGGAGATTACATTTTAAGCTTATCTTTTCCACTAGTCACTTGTGAATGTAATCACAGTGAAGTCATATGAATTGTGAAAGAAAGTCGATTTCTACTTTTAATAAGCATCAGTGGGTGGTGCTTCCAGCAAATCTTGAGACTAGGGCTTCTGTCTTATTAATCCTTGCCTTTGGGCAGGCACTGTTAGATGCTGAAGATATACAGCCTCTTTTCTCACATGTACAATGTGGTGGAACTTAGAGATAGGCTGTTTATTTATTTATTTATTTATTTATTTAAGATGGAGTATTGCTGTGTCACTCAAGACTAGAGTGCAGTGGCACCATCTCAGCTCACTGTAACCTCTCCCTCCTGGTTTCGAGCAATTCTCGTGTCTCAGCCTCCTGAGTAGCTGAGACTACAGGCGTGCCCCACCACGCCCAGCTAATTTTGTGTATTTTTAATAGAGATGGAGTTTTGCCTTGTTGCCCAAGCTGGTCTGGAACTGCTGGGCTCAAGTCAACCTCTCTTCTCGGTCTCCCAAAGAGCTGGGATTACAGGTGTGAACCACCATGCCCAGCCAGGACTAAATTTCTGAGGTTGTTGAAAAGCGCTACAAGTGTTATTAATAGCTTGCCTTTTAAGGATAATATAAACTATACCTAAATATAAAGAGTTTGCTCCTCATCCTGGTGTTTGGTAACTGTATTCATTAAAGAGATAAGCCGGGGCCGGGCGCCGTGGCTCACGCCTGTAATCTCAGCACTTTGGGAGGCCGAGGCGGGCAGATCACGAGGTCAGGAGATCGAGACCATCCTGGCTAACACGATGAAACCCCGTCTCTACTAAAAAAATACAAAAAAATTAGCCAGGCGTAGTGATGGGCGCCTGTAGTCTCAGCTACTCAGGAGGCTGAAGCAGGAGAATGGCGTGAACCTGGGAGGCGGAGCTTTCGGTGAGCCGAGATTGCGCCACTGCACTCCAGCCCGGGCGAGAGTGGCACTCCGTCTCGGAAAAAAAAAAAGAAAAAAAAAAAAAGAGTTAAGCCGGGCGCGGTGGCTCACGCCTGTAATCCTAGCACTTTGGGAGGCCAAGGCAGGTGGATTGCCTGAGCTCAGGAGTTTGAGACCAGTCTAGGCAACATGGTGCAACCGCATCTCTACTGAAATACAAAAAATTAGCCGGGCATGGCGGCGTGTGCCTGTAATCCCAGCTACTTGGGAGGCTGAAACAGGAGAATCGCTTGAGTCTGGGAGGCGGAGGTTGCAGTGAGCCAAGATCACGCCACTGGCGACAGAGCAAGACTCCATCTCAAAAAAAAAAAAAAAAAAAAAAAAAAAAAGAGTTATATTGTTGGCTGGGCACAGTGGCTCACCCCCGTACAATCCCAGAACTTTGAGAGGCCGAGGTGGGTGGGTCACTTGAGCCCAGGAGTTTGAGACCAGCCTGGGCAACATGGTGAAACCCTGTCTTTACACAAAATACAAAAATAGCTGGGCATGTTTCAGCTACTTGGGAAGCTGGGGTGGGAGGATCACTTGAACCCAGGAGGTCAACGAGGCTGCAGTGAGCTGTGATCGCACAACTGGACTCCAGACTGGGTGACAAAGACCCTGTCTCAAAAAAAAAATTTTTTTTTTAACTTTTAGGTTTGGGGGTACATGTGATGGTTTGTTACATAGGTAAACATGTTACGGGGTTTTGTTGTACATATTATTTCATCACCCAGGTATTAAGCCTGGCACCCAATAGTTATCTTTTCTGCTCCTCTCCCTCCTCCCACCTCTAGACCCCGGTGTCTGTTGTTTCCTTCTTTGTGTTCACAAGTTCTTATTTAGCCCCAATTTATAAGTGAGAACATGTGGTATTTGGTATTCTATTCCTGTTAGTTTGCTAAGAATGATAGCCTCCAGCTCCATTTATGTTCCCGCAAAAGACATGATCTTGTCTTTTTTTATGGCTGCGTAGTATTCTACGGTATATACGTACCACATTTTCTTTTATCCAGTCTGTCATTGATGGACATTTAGGTTGATTCCATGTCTTTGCTATTGTGAACAGTGCTGCAATGAACATTTGCATGCGTCTTTATGGTAGAATGTTTTATATTCCTCTGGGTATATACCCAGTAATGGGATTGCTGGGTCAAATGGCAGTTTTGCTTTTACCTCTTTGAGGAATCGCCATAGTGCTTTTTACAATGGTTGAACTAATTCACACTCACACCAACAGTGTATAAGTATTACCCTTTCTCCACAACCTCGCCAGCATCTGTTGTTTTTTTGGCTTTTTACTAATAGCCATTCTGACTGGTGTGAAATGGTATCTCATTGTGGTTTTGATTTGCATTTCTCTAATGATCAGTGATATTGAGCTTTACCTCTTAGACTCTGGACAGCCCACACATTCTCGGGAATAGTTTAGTCTTGACAAAATGGAAACTGGAGTAGTCAATTTCTTGGTGCTAACTTCTCAGTCATTTAATCTACGTGTGTGGTGTGTGTGTGTGTGTTCTGAGACAGGGTCTCGCTGTGTCACTCAGGCTGGAGTGCAGTGGTGGTATCTCAACTCACTGCAACCTCTGTCACCTGGGCTCAAGTGATCCTCCCACCTCAGCTTCCTGAATAGCTGTGAATATTGGCATGGGCCACCATGACCAGCTAATTTTTGCAATTTTTGTAGAGACAGGGTTTCGGCATGTTGCCCAGGCTGGTCTCGAACTCCTGAGCTCAAATCATCACCTGCCTTGGCCTCCTAAAGTGCTGGGATAACAGGCATGAGCCACTGTGCCCGGATAATTTTTGCATTTCTTGTAGAGATGGGGTCTTGCCATGTTGCTCAGGTTGGTCTTGAACTCCTGAGCTCAAGTGATCTGCCTTTCTTGGCCTCCCAAAGTGCTGGGATTACTGGCATGAGCCACTATGCCCAGCTAAGTTTTGCAGTTTTTGTGGAGATGGGGTCTTGCCATGTTGCCCAGTTTGGTCTTGGACTCCTGAGCTCAAGTGATCCTCCTTTCTTGGCCTCCCAAAGTGCTGGGTATAAGGCATGAGCCACTGTGCCTGGCCTACACCGTGTATTCTAAAAGCATAGAATGCTTTATGGTGTATGGAACCTTGCTGGTCCTGTGGGAGGCACACAGAATGATAGTTTTATTCATATGTAGTGTACAGTCTGTCTTTTGAAAGGACATCATTTTGGTATACACCAGTGCTTCTCAGATTTTAATGGCATTCCTGAGGGTTTGTTAAAGTGCAGATGCTAATTCAGTAGGTCTATGGTGGGACCTGAGGTTCTGTTTCTTACAGGCTTCCCATGATGGCCACTGGTTGGCAGACCACACTTTGAGGAGCAAAGGGCCTAATAAACAGTGGTTTGGGAGGAGGCTTAATGGAAGTGTGTCTGGCGGGCACCGTGGAGTAGGAAATGTAGACCATGTTTGGGGTGCATATACTCAAATTCTCTTTACAGAGGAGCAGGCACGATCTCACCACGGTGTCCTTGGCTATTTTGGTTTTGTCTCCCTAACACTCTCCCCACTCACTTTTCATGGCCCTCTGCTGGAACTTCCTCTGGTGTTCTCCAGCTCCAGACTTTTGACTTGAGACCTTCTGACTCTCAGAGCCTGTGTATTTGGTATATTTGTGTGTGGGCAGGGATGGGCATAGAGGGCAATTTCACCACAAATATTTAAATTTTAACATTGCCACATCACGAAAATCAGTTTCCTTTTAGATGTTCCCATCTGGGCTGTGTGTACAATAATCTTTATGATGTCTCTGGCACATCCCCTTGCTGAGGTTGGGCACCTTGTAGATGATCTGTGGGTGTGCACCTGCAGCACTGAGTCTTCTAGGCTGTGTTTGCAGGGCCCTTCACCTGATGCCACCTCGCAGATTCTAACCTTCATCTCCGGGCACACTTGCCCTTTCCCCAGGCCTGGGAAGCTCCTCCTCCTCATCCCTGTTCCAGGCACATGACTGCTTCCTTTTGCAGAATGAATGAAATTTATTTCAGGGAAAAACATAGTAGGTAGGTTTTATATCCCAAAAGTGTCCTTCCATCTGTTAAGGCCAAGTTTAAATGTTACCTTTTCCACTAAAAATTGCAGGTCATGCTTATTTCTCTCTCCCTCAAGCTGTATTGATAAAGGGAAATAATGAGATGGAAGTCACAAAGTGCTTGTCGTGGTGTGTGTGCCATGCTCGCCAGCGCCAGCCACCCTGCCTGCTGCTGGCAGAGCACCTGGGTGTGAGGGTCAGGGCGGGTAGAAACAAGCTGTGGGGTGAGGTAGAAACGCCAGTGTATAGCGGAAGAGCGCGGCCTCTTACTCAGGTCTCATCTCAGCGCGGCAGAACTGTGGAGGGGCTTTAACTCAGTATACACTCCTGAAACATTTTTAAATGACCAGGGTCAATAGATATATGACAGATAGATACAAATAGATACATAGTAGATATTTGTCAATTTGTGAGGTAGAAAGCCTTGTAATGTGTTCCAAGCACTACAAACATTTTTCTGAGATTACGTTGTTATTTATCTAAGGCCTCTGTTAGCACTTTTGGTTGAATATGACTCTTCTCTAATTTTGAGATAATTTCTTTTTTTTTTCTGAGACAGAGTTTCACTCTTATTGCCCAGGCTGGAGTGCAATGGCGTGATCTCGGCTCACTGCAACCTCCGCCTCCCTGGTTCAAGCAATTCTCCTGCCTCAGCCTCCCGAGTAGCTGGGATTATAGGCATGTACCACCACGCCTGGCTAATTTTCTTTCCTTTCTTTTCTCTCTCTCTCTCTCTCTCTCCTTTCTTTCTTTCTTTTTTTTTAGACAAAGTCTTGCTCTTGTCCCTCAGGCTGGAGTGCAACGGTGCGATCTTGGCTCACTGCAATCTCCGCCTCTCAGCTTCAAGCGATTCTCCTGCCTCAGCCTCCAGAGTAGCTGGGATTACAGGCGCCTGCCACCACACCCAGCTAATTTTTGTATTTTTAGTAGAGATGGGGTTTCACCACGTTGGCCAGGCTGGTCTCCAACTCCTGACCTCAGGTGATCTGCCTGCCTTGGCCTCCCAAAGTGCTGGGATTACAGGCGTGAGCCACTGTGCCTGGCCTATATGATATATCATTGTTATTATATAGTCATCCTACAGTCATATAGAGCACTGGAACTCATGCCTCCTATCTAGCTGTAATTTTATATCCATGAGCAAATCTATCCCTATACTCTCCCTCCCCCTAACTTCACCAGCTATTTCTTATTTTAAAGAATTAACAACAACAACAACAACAACAACAACAACAACAACAACAAGAAAATCCTGTGAGCCAAGTGTAAGCTCCTTGGATAGCTCTTAATTCTGCAGTCTACTTGGGTTCTTCCATGTTTTAATATTGAACAGAGCAACTGATCCTGTAGCCTGTGTACTGTGGATGGCACACTTCCCCTAATCTATCCTTCAAATCACGGAGCAGTGACCACTCACAGGGTCATTCTTGTTTCCAGGATCCTGCATCTGTTGAAACCTTGGATCTCTGTTCTGAATCTTGCCTCCTATGACTGCTGCTCACTCCTTTCCCTCCCCGCCCAACTGGACAGGACTCTGATCCCTTACTCCACTAATGAAAGCTGATATCCTGTAAGTGATATCAGCTTTTTGGGTTTGGCCAATTTTGCTGAAGACTTGTGCTAGTGGAGGAGGGTTGAAGCATAGTTTAACACAAGGATATCAGTATTTTAAAAAACTCATGGTTCTCTTCCAACCATGGGCTGGGAGAGGATAATGGAAACAACAAAACTACACTGGCCACAGTTTTACTAGGAACATCCTTCTGCCCATGGAAACCACACCCTAGAACCCAGCGACAGATAGCCAGATGTCTACCACACATAAAGCACTGTATTCTTGATTTAAAAGGCCACAGTGATAAAATGCATACCTTCTTTTAGACATGAGTAAGAATTACGGCATCACACCAGGGCTCATCCTCTGGCCTGGCTTGTGAGGGATGGGGGGAAGCCTGTTAGACGGTCTGAGTTCAAATGCCATCCCTCCCACCAGCATTAGAGAAACCTGAGTCAGCTCACCCAAACCCAGGCTGAATCCCTGCTGGGCTCTGCCTCTGCATATCTACCTCCTAGTGATCTACCCTAGGGCTAGGTAGGGAGCTTTCCAAGATGCTACCTTGGAAATCACTTTTTTTTTTCCTTTAGGATGTAAAGAAACATATTCTCAAGCTGAGTTTCAACTACTTCAAACTTCAGAGCTTTTGTATGTATATGAACACACAAAAGCCCACACTGTGCCCAGCCATGCCTGGCTAATTTTCTATCTTTAGTAGAGACGGGGTTTCTCCATGTTAGTCAGGCTGGTCTCAAACTCCTGACCTCAGGTGCTCTGCCTGCCTCAGCCTCCCAAAGTGCTTACAGGTGTGAGCCACCGCGCCTGGCCGAAATACTTTCTTTTGAGAATATTTCTCATTGAATGGTGGCTCTAACTATTTGGTTACCACTGAGTTTCAAGATGTGTTCCCTGGGCCACGAAGAAGTCAGCTACTTGTCAAGGATCAGCTATGTTATGGGTGGATCCTGCTAGAACCAAAGATGGGAATAGTTTCATTACGAGCAGCCTTTGTGTTGAAAATAATTTCATCACTGAGAAGTATGTTTTTGTCAACAGATGTACTGCTTTTTGGAACTGTTTTCTCTAGGCAAACAGTAAAGGTACAAATAATCCCCCACGATGACTCAGAACATTTTTTGTCAGCTCAGGTTCTAAATATTTATGTTGTAGCCTGGAATGAAATTTTCATGAGTTCTGTATAATTTGAAAAACATTTTGCAAAGCAGTGTGGGAGACACCCACTGTTGGCCTCTTTGCTTTCATCTGAGAGGTGGACATTGATTAGTGGCCCCTGAGGGCAGATGTGTGTGATATGGGAGAGAGGGGATGCTGTGGGCCATAATTCCCCAAGTGAGGGTGAAAGCAGTCTGAGAGGACAAGCTGGCCCACAGAGACAGACGTGGGGTTGGACAGAGGGGAAGGTGCTGTGACTCAGGGCTGGCTCCTGTGGTTTCTGAAGCCCAGCTCCATGCATGCCCTTTCCATGGTCACGTGAGCTATGAGTAGGTTTATGATTGCCTTGCTTTTCTGTCCTAATACAAGCTGTAGATGGAATCTGGAAGTGTTGTTCATGGTGTAGTTTATTCATGCTTCAGTCAGTCTTTATCAAGTGCTTACTGGGGCCCAGGTATTGGCACATGCCCTGCTGGTTGGTGCGGCCCACCAGAAATATAGACCTTTCAGTCTCCAGGGTAACCATGTAGGGGCTAGACAGGTCCTCTTTGGATGTGTCAGATGCACCCTGGACATGTGGAGGTAGAGCATATAGGGGAAGCCAGTCCACCTTTAAGTTAACTTCATATGAAACGCTGCCCAGTGGGCTTTTTTTATTTTTATTTTTATTTTTTTCTGAGACAGAGTTTGGCTCTTGTTGCCCAGGCTGGAGTGCAATGGTGCGATTTTGGCTCACTGCAACCTCCGCCTCCCGGGTTCAAGCAATTCTCCTGCCTCAGCCTCCTGAGTAGCTGGGCTTATAGGCATGCATCACCACGCCTGGCTAATTTTGTAGTTTTAGTAGAGACAGGGTTTCTCCATGTTGGTCAGGCTGGTCTTGAACTCCCAACCTCACGTGATCTGCCTGCCTCGGCCTCCCAAAGTGTTGGGATTACAGGTGTGAGCCACTGCACCCAGCCCCAGTGGGCTCTTTATTAGAGGGGGGTGACCAACATCCACATCAGACCTACTCTTCTAAGCATGAATGACTCGTGTGCCCAGGGTGGTCACTAGACTTGAAATCATGTTGACCAGTGCTGGAATGTGGCCCTGCCATTCTATGAGGCCCACTCAGTTCTAACCTTGGTGGTGCTGAGCTCGGAGGACAGGAATGGCTGGGAGGTGAGGTTCTGGCATGCCTCTATTTCCATGGGCTTTTCATTTCTATTTATTTTTTATCTGAAATATAAACTACATACCATAAAATGCACCATTTTAAAGTGTACAATTCAGTGTTTTTTGTTATAGCCACAAGATTGTGTAACCATTACCACTAATTCCAGAACATTCCAGAATAATGAACATTTGGGCTGTTTGCACCTTTTGGCTATTATAAATAATATTGCTATACACGTTTGTGTACAAGTTTTTGTGTGGACGTTTTCATTTCTGTTGGGTAGGGGTGGAATTGCTGAGTCATACAGAAGCTATGCTTCACCATTTGAGGAACTGTTAGCATGTTTTCCAAAGTGGCTGTACCATTTCACATCCTCACCAGCAGTGGATGAGAGTTTCAATTTCTCCCTGTCCTCACCAACACTTGTTATTGCTCATCTTTTAAATTCTAGCCTTCCTGGTGGGTGTGAAGTGGTATTTCATTGTGTGTGTGTTTTTTTTTTTTTTTTTTTTTTTTGAGATGGAGTCTCGCTCTGTTGCCCAGGGTGGAGTGCAGTGGCACGATCTCAGCTCACTGCCAGCTCCACCTCCTGGGTTTGTGCCATTCTCCTGCCTCAGCCTCCTGAGTAGCTGGGACTACATGTGCCTGTCACCATGTCCAGCTATTTTTTTTTTTGTATTTTTAGTAGAGACGGGGTTTCACAGTTTTTTTTAAATTACTAGTGCTGCTGAACATCTTTTCATGTGCTTACTGGTTATTTGTGTATCTTTGGAGAAATCCTGTCCAACTCTTTTGCTCATTTGATTTTTTAAATTTTTATTTTATTTTTTATTTTTTAAGATGGAGTCTCTCGCTCTGTCACTCAGGCTCTGTCACTCAGTGGTGCAATCTCGATTTACTGCAAACTCTGCCTCCCGGGTTCAAGTGATTCTCCTGCCTCAGCCTCCCGAGTAGCTGGGGTTACAGGCGTGCACCACCACACCTAGACAATTTTTGTATTTTAATAGAGACAGGGTTTCACCATGTTAGCCAGGCTGGTCTCAAACTCCTGACCTCAAGTGATCCACCCGCCTCAGCCTCCCAAAGTGCTGGGATCACAGGCATGAGCCACCATGCCTGGCCTTTTTATTTTATTTTTTGAGATGGAGTTTCTGTCTTGTCACCCAGGCTGGAGTGCAATGGCACGATGTCGGCTCACCGCAACCTCCGCCTCCTGGGTTCAAGTGATTCTCCTGCCTTAGCCTCCAAGTAGCTGGGATTACAGGCATGTGCCACCATGCCTGGCTAATTTTGTCTTTTTAGTAGAGATGGGGTTTCTCCATGTTGGTCAGGCTGGTCTTGAACTCCTGACCTCAGGTGATCTGCCCGCTTCGGCCTCCCAAAGTGCTGGGATTATAGGTGTGAGCCACCGTGCGCCTGGCCTTTTTTTTTTTTTTTTAGATGGAGTCTCGCTCTGTCATCCAGACTGGAGTGCAGTGGTATGATCTCGGTTGGCTCACTGCAACCTCCGCCTCCCGGGTTCAAGTGATTCTCCTGCCTCAGCCTCCCAAGTAGCTGGGATTACAGGCACGTGCTACCACACCCGGCTAATTTTTGTAGAGATAGGGTTTCACCATGTTGGCCAGGCTGGTCTCAAACTCCTGACCTCAAATGATCCACTTGCCTCAGGCTCCCAAAGTGCTGGGATTACAGGTGTGAGCCACTGTGCCCAGCTGTTTTGTTCATTTTGAAATTTAGGTTGTCTTTTTTTTTTTTTTTTTTTGAGATGGAGTCTTGCTCTATTGCCCAGGCTGGAGTTCAGTGGCACGATCTCGGCTCCCTGCAAACTCTGCTTCTGGGTTCAAGCAATTCTCCTGCCTCAGCCTCCTGAGTAGCTGGGGCTACGGGCATGTGCCACCACGCCTGGCTAATTTTTGTATTTTTAGTAGAGACGGGGTTTTGCTGTATTGTCCAGTCTGGTCTCAAACTCCTGACCTCAGGTGATCCACCCGCCATGGCCTCCCAAAGTGCTGGGATTACAGGCATGAGCCACCATGCCTGGCCCATTTTTTGTTGACTTGTAAGAGTTTTTCTATATGTATTCTGGATACTTATCAAATATATAGCTTATCTGGATCTTATCAAATATATAGCTTGTGAATATTTTTCCCATTCTTTGGATTGTCTCTTTACTTTCTTAATATTATCCTTTGATGCAAAAAAATGTTTTTAATTCTGATGCAGCCCAATTTTTCTATTTTTTTTTTTTTGGTGACTTGTATTTTTGGGATCTTATCTAAGAAACTGTTGCCTAGTCCAAGGTCACTGTAGAGGGTTCTCCAGAGAAACAGAACCAACAGATGAATTGATAGATAGAGATTTATTATGAGGACCTGGCTCACGTGATTATGGAGGTAGAGAAGTATCACCATGTGCTGTCTGTAAGCTGGAGATGCAGGAAAGTCTGAGTTCAAAGACCTGAGAACTGGGAGAGCTGACGACGTAAGTCTTAGTCCAAGGGCAGGTGAAGACTGATGTCCCAGCTGAAACATCAGGTAGAAGGGACAAGTTCTCCCATCCTCCACTTTTTGTTCTGTTCAGGCCCAGTTTTATTTTTCAAGACTGTTTTGGCTATTCTGGGTTCCTTGCATTTTTGTATAAATTTTAGGATCAGCTTGTCCATTTATGCCAAAAAAAAAAAAAAGGGCTGTTGAAGTTTTGGTAGAGATTGCAATGAAGCTGTAGATTGCTTTGGGGAGTATTGCCATCTTAATATTACATCTTCCAACACATGAACATGAGATGACTTTTCATTTACTTATATCTTCTTTAGTTTCTTTTAACAATATTTTGTGGTTTTCAGCATATAAGTTTGCACTTCCATTTTAGTTTATCCCTACATATGTTACTCTTTTTGATGCTATCATACCTGGAACTGTTCTCCTAATTTGAATTTTGGATTATTGCTACAACTGGTTTTTGTATATTGGTCTTGTATCCTGCAATTTTGCTGAAGTAGTTTATTAACTCTAATAGCTTTTCTGCATAAACTATTTAGGCTTTTCTATATCTAAGATCCTATTATTTGCAAATAGTTTTTCTCCTTTTCCAATCTAAATACTTTTGATTTCTTTTTTTGTCTAATCGCTCTTCCATTATCTTTTTCCCCTAACTTTACAATTGGTTCATTGGGATATTAAATGCATTTTTGAGTTATGATGGGTTGATCAGCACATAACACCATCGAAAATCCAGGAGTAGCTATATAAGGCAAAAAAGGTGTAACTAATGAAAGGATACTGAATGACTTGAAAGAAACCAGTAGATGTTTACAATTGACGGGGAACCATGGGAGAGAGACTCTGGTACATAACAACAGTGAAATCGTACTGAGAACTCTGAAGGATTTGACATGGAAACATAGGAAACATACAAGAAGTAAGAAAGGGAAGGAGGGAAGAAAGTAAAAGAAGGAAAGGGGGAGGAGTAAGGAAGGGAGGAAGGGGAAGACGCTTGGTGGTACTAAAAGCAGAAACTTAATCAGTTTCTGAAATTTAAACATTTGAAATAGGAGATAAAAAGGGAAATTTTGGCATATTTCAACTATAGTGTGGACTTGAATGTCGAATAGAAGAAATATCTCAAAACAGAGCAAAAACGCAAAGATCATGACTAGGAATATGAGTCCTGAAGGAGAGTTCTTGGAGAACTAAATGTGAAACATAAATATCAATTATCAATATCAATATCAATAAAAACAAAAACCACATGACAATCTCAATCGACACGAAAAGTGCATTTGAAAAAATACAGCCCACTTCATAATACGAATGCTTAAAAAACTGTAAACAGAGGGGAGCTTCCTTAACCTGATAAAGAACAGCTACACACACACAAAAAAAAACCTACAAAAGACCAATGTTTAATGGCAAAATACTGAATGTCCCCTTCACGTCATGAATAAGAAAGACAAAGATGTCCACTTTTGCTACTTCTATTCAAGATTGTACCAGAGTTTCTAGCCAGGGAAATTAGGCAATAAAAGGCATCTAGATTAGAAAGGAAGAAGAAAAACAATCTCTATTCCCTGCAGACATTATCCTACATATAGAATATCTTAAGGAAACCATTAAAACAACTATTAGAACTAAGAAATGCGTCCAGCAAGGTTTCAGGATACAAGATCAATATACAAATATGAATTAAATTTCCACACAATAACAATGAACAGTCTGAAAATGAAATTTAACAATTCCATTTACAATAGCATCAAAAAGAATAAAATACTTGCAATAAGCCTGACCAAAAAATACAAAACGTATACCTTGAAAACTACAAAATATTGTTGAAATTATAGATGGCATAAATAAATGGAAAGACAAAAAACGTTCGTGGATGGAAAGACTTCATATTGCTGGGATGGTAATAATTCCCAAAGTGTTCTACACATTCTGATAGTGACAGGAGGCAGCCAAATGCCCAGGCAGATAGGGGCGAGTCCCCGGTGAAACCCCACCCCCAAGCTGAAGGCAGTTTAAAGCTTGAAAGCCAAGCTACAAGTTAAATCTTCGGACTGGATTGAGAACCTGTCTTCCCATTTGTCATGCTTTCTCCTCTGATTGATCCCCACCCTTCATCTATTTTACGTATACCTAATCTTTCCTAATTGATTTTCTACACTGTCATGTCCACCTTTGAGTGGTGTCTTTGCTTTAACCTTTTTCGCATACTCACAAACCAATCAGCAAACATTTCCCATTCTGAATTCATAAAAAGCCCAGGGCCCAGCCACGCTGAGAGAAGAAAACCACCCGACTGCGGAGGTGGGGGACCCCCTTACCCACCCTTCCGCATCGCCTCTCCACTGAGAGCTATTCCACTGCTCGATAAAATTCTCCGCCTATCCTTACCCTTCAACTGTCAGTGTATCCTCATTCTTCTTGGACACAGGACAAAAACTCAGGAGCCACCAAGCTGTAACACAGGTGGGCTGGGGCACCACCAGTGGCAGTCCCGGGGCTGAGCAAGGTCCGGGGTTGGGGGGGTGTCGCCGGCCAGAGGTCCCGACTGGCAAAGTAACTGAGATAATTCCTGTGTCAATTCCACATACTTCCCATCAAAAGCCTAGTTGGCGAGTTCGCAGAAATTGGTAAGCTGATCCTAAAATTCATACAGAAAATGCCAAGGACCCAGAATAACTAAAACAATCTTCAAAGAAATAAACAGAATTAGAAGACTCTTCCCTATGTTAAAGCATCCTGCAAGATAACAATAATCATGACCATATGGTACTGGGATACAGACATAGAGATATAGATGAAGGGAATAAACAGAGCCCAGAAGTAAGCCATTACATTTGCAGTCCATTGATTTTCAGAGTGTGCTGAGAAAACTAATTGTGGGTAGGAACCCTTTTTTTTTTTTTTTTTGAGATGCAGTCTCACTCTCTTGCCCAGGATGGAGTGCAGTGGTGTGATCTCAGCTCACTACAACCTCTGCCTCCCGAGTTCAAGTGATTCTCCTGCCTCAGCCTCCCGAGTAGCTGGGATTACAGGTGGGCACCACCATGCCTGGCTGATTTTTGTATTTTTGGTAGAGACGGGGTTTGACCATGTTGGCCAGGCTGATCTCAAACTCCTGACCTCTCAGGTGATCCACCCGCCTTGGCCTCCCAAAATGCTGGGATTACAGGCATGAGCCACCGTGGCTGGCCAGGAATCCTCTTCTTATCAAATGGTGCTGGCACAATAGGATACCCTCATACAAAAGAATAATGTTGGATACCTTTCTCAGACCACACACAAAAATTAACTCCAAGGTGACTATGGATCTAAATTTAAGAGCTAAAAAGATAAAATCTGGCCGGGTGCAGTGGCTCACGCCTGTAACCCCAGCACTTTGAGAGACTGAGGCAGGCGGATTACCTGAGGTCAGGAGTTCCAGACCAGGCCTGGCCAACATGGTGAAATCCTGTCTCTATTAAAAAAAAATACAAACATTAGCCGGGCGTGGTGGCACGTGCCTGTAATCTCATCTACTCAGAAGGCTGAGGCAGGAGAACTGCTTAAACCCTGGAGGCAGAGGCTGCAGTGAGCCGAGATTGTGCCATTGCACTCCAGCCTGGGCAACAGAGCGAAACTCTGTCTCAAAAGAAAAATAAAAAAATAAAGATAAAATCTTAAAAAATAAAAAATAATAAAACAAAAAAAGATAAAATCTTAGAAGAAAATATCACTGCAGGTGAGATGAAGGCTTTTAAGATGTGGCATCAAAACCACAAGCGACAAAAGAAAATACAATAATTGTACTTCATAAAAAGCAAAACCTTTTGTGATTCAAATGTGAAAAGACAACCACAAAATGGGATAAAATATTTGCAATCATATACCTGATAGGGAACTTGCATTTAGATTACAAAAAGAATTCTCACTACTCAATAAAAAGAAGAAAAATAATCCAATTTTTAAATAGGCAAAGGATTGCAGTAGATATTTCTCCAAAGAAGATACACAAATAGACAAGAAACACATGAAATGATTCTCTGCATCCTCAGTCCTTAGGGAAATGCAAGTCAAAACAACAATGGTGACACTTCACACTCACCAGAATGGCCAGAACGGAAAAGCAGATAATGACAAATGCTGATGAGGATGCAAAGAAGCTGAAACATTCCTGCATTGCTGGTGGGACTGTCAAATGCTACAGCCATGTTGGAAAATAATCTGGGAGTTCCTCAACATGTTTTTGTCACATAAGTCTTCATATGACCCAGGAGTTCCACTCCTGGGTATAAAGATGTCCACACCAAATAGTGTACAGCAGTGTTCATAGCAGCATTATTCACAAAAGCAAAAAAGTAGAAACAACCTAATGCCCATCAACTCATTAGCATCCCCAGGAGCATATTCATGCAATCGAGTATCACTTGGCCATAAAATGAATGAAACTGTGGGTAATTCTACAATGTGGATGAACCTTGAAAACATTATGCTAAGTAAAAAGACAGTTGCACAGGCTCACATATTGTGTTATTCTGTTCATAGGAAATACCCAGAATAGGCAAATCTATAGAGATAGGGGAGAGCTCTCTATGGAGCCGTTACCTAGGGCAGAGGTTGTTGTTGGGGGTGGGGCTTGGAGACAGTGTGAGGAATGACTAATGTTTATAGGGTTCCTTGGGGGAGGGGTGATATAATGTTATAAAACTGATTAAAATCGGCTGTGCGCAATTATGAATATACTAAAAGCCATTCAATCCATCACCTTAAATGGGTGAATCTTATCTAGGGCATCCATTTTGAGACTGGGGCAGATGTAGTGAAAAAGGGAAAAAAATGAGTAAATGTTTGAAATGGAGACAGAAACAAAGAGAATGAGACGTCCTGTGAATGGAAGAAACAGAGAGAAGGGAACATGGTCATATTTACAAATCAGAGATCTGAAAATGGAGGCTCACACCAATAGTGTCACTGACAGACAGGAGGGTCACCCGCAGGGCTGCAGACAGACTGGGGTTCACACTGCCATGGGCGCTGGCAGCCACATCGGCAGGCAGGAGGGTCCAGATGCCCAGCTGAGGGGTAATGATAACCTGGGTGGTGATGTCGGCCATTAGAGGGGCCTCTTCTGCTGGCAAGTGTGTGACAGTAGCAAGAAGGACAGGCCTGCGTGGAACGCAGGAGGGGCTCTTCTGTGGCTGGATGTGGGACCCTGACCAGGAATGTGGGGAAATGGACAGGTAAGCGGATCATGCTGGCCAGTAGATTGGCCAGCACTATAAGCTGAAGGACAATAATGGGGAGTGGCTGTGAGGCCCTGGGAGTGTCTGAGTGTGAACGGAGATGGGTGCGGGCCACTGGGGAATATGTGGGGGCCACTGCAGTGTAGACGGAGGTTGTGGGAGAATAAACTGGTGAGGTCTGTGAGTTTCTAGGGGTCTCCTAGGTGCCTGGGGCTGGCTCCTGCAGAAAACTGAAGATGGTTGGACCAGAGCTGGGAGACACAGGAGTCCCTAAGGAATGGGGGTGAAGAGGTGAGAGAGATGGGGGAGGATCTCAGGGAGGTCTGTGGGTTTTTAGGTGATTCCTGGGTGTGGGGGGGTTCGGAATCTGGGGATGGTTGGAGAGGAGCTGGGAGACATGGGAGAGTCCCTGAGGGCTGGGAGTGGAGACAGGGGGGAGGATTCCAGGAAGGCCTGTGAGTTTCTAGGGGTCTCCTGGGTGTTAGGGGCTGCCCCCAGGAGAAATATGGGGATGGCTGGAGAGGAGCTGGGAGGCACTGGAGAGTCCCAAAGGGCTGCAGGAGAAGAGATGAGAGACAGCGTGGAGGAGGGCACTCAGATTTGCGTCTGTAGGTGATTCTTGAGTGTTGGGGGGCAACAGTCAGTTGGAGACATCTGGGGATGATTAGAAAGTAACTAGGAGACATGGGAGAGTCCCTGAGGGCTGGAGCTGAAGGGGTGGGAGTCATAGGGGAGGATCCCAGTGAGGTCTGTTAGTTTCTACGTAATTCCTGGGTGTGACGGGCTGACTGTGTCAGAAATTCACAGTGGTTTGGGGAGTAGCTGGGAGAGACAGGAGAGTCCCTGAGGGCTGGGGGTGAGCTGTGGGGCAATGGCAGTAAGAACACGTGGTATATTACTGATGCACATGGTGACTCTGAAGAAGCTCCAGGGAAGGGCAGAGCCCAGTGGCTTCTGTGATTGTCCCTCATGGTTAGGAAAGGGAAATGGGATATTGTGGGATTTTGGTAAAGACGGAAGTGAGTGTGGTGAAGCCTTAGGTGATGATGAAAAGTACCCCGGGGTCCTGGTGAGGAGCCCCCTCCTGGGTCTGAGTTTCTGAGAGGGGAGAAGGAGAAGCTGGGTGAGGCTGGCATGGATCTTGAGGCCAGGCTGGGGTACTGCTCACAGGAGGAGCCAGGTGAGACCCCACTGTTCTTAGATGCAGACATGATTAGAAACCTGCACTCCCAGGGTCCCTTACTCCTTTTTTGACCCCTAATATGAAGGGTAGAGTGAGTGTGTGTGTGTGGTGAGAAGTATGTGCTCCTTAAGAAAGTGGGAATAAACAAATGAGACAGACAGAGATTCACTTACCCAAGTGTTCTGTCCTGTCCTCTGAATCCGCTCCCAGGTCATAGGATGCGGTGAGCTCCCGGGTGCACCCAGAACCAGCAGCACGCTCTAACCACTGCTGTCCCCTGCAAGGATCTGAGCACCAGCAGGCCAGGGTGGGCTTAAGTAGCCGTGGGCAGGGCCTGACAGCGGAAAGGGTGGAGCTTTATGCATTTTTCCCTGAGTCTCACCCAGCTTTCCCAGGCTCCACTGCATAGGAAGATGCTCTCCTGATTTGCTTTCATGTGAAACATTTGGGACAGTCTAAAAACTTAGAACTTTTGTTGGCCAAATATATGATGAATCAATAGCACTTAACTCTGAAAACCGTCTAGCTGTGTGGTTCTCACATTGTGGCCCTGAGACCAGCAGCATCCTTGTAACCCTCAAA
Source organism: Homo sapiens (assembly GCF_000001405.40). NCBI lineage: Eukaryota > Metazoa > Chordata > Mammalia > Primates > Hominidae > Homo > Homo sapiens. Next base: position 48,085,725 of record NC_000008.11, read on the forward strand.
CCCGGAGATCTGCAGATCTGTGTTGTAAGAAGCCTTGCCCCTGCCCCTGATGCATGGCAGTTTAAGAACCACGTGTGTTCGCCAAAAGACCTTTAAGAAAAAGTGGGGATGTCTTTTGTTTAAATATTATTCTACTCTGGAGTCATCTGGAGAAATCAGGGTCAGGTGGGGAGAGCATTGATTGGAGGAGGGTGATTCTGAATAATTTTATTAATCAGACTGAGACTGGCAATGCTCAGGTGTGACAAATACCAGATTTTACGTAAATATTTACATCAGAACTTAATCTTTTCTACCCTCGTTTGCCTGGTGGCCTCATTAAGGGTCAACAGCTTTCTTTTCCCAGACTTGATGTCTCATTCCAAGGACTTTAAGAGACAAGGAGGGTGAGGGGAGGGATTTCTGACACTGTTTCATTCTTTGTTGCTTTGTGAAGAAAAGAACATTTGTTTTATACGTATGTTACATTCTCCTTTCATTACTATTCTTCCTTTTTTCCAAGCCTTCTGAGATAACTTATGACTTTAATTCATCTTCTCTTTTTCTAAATGATTTACATCTGAAATAAATTTTGGTGACGTATTATACCACTCTCACTCTATTCTAAATTTGAAGGATATTCTCATTTCCTTCAATGGACCCACTAGCTATTTTAAGAACTTTACTTATGTTTCAAGTCCAGCTGCTGATGAATCATGAATATTTTGTTCAGATGTTGGTAATATTCCTTTTTTTTTTTTTTTTTTTTAAAGACAGAGTCTCACTCTGTTGCCCAGGCTGAAGTGCAGTGGCACAATCTCGGCTCACTGCAACCTCTGCCTCCCGGGTTCAAGTGATTCTCCTGCCTCAGCCTCCCAAGTAGCTGGGACTATAGGCACCCGCCACCATACCTGGCTAATTGTTTTGCATTTTTAGTAGAGATGGGGTTTCACCATGTTGGCCAGGCTGGTCTCAAACTCCTGACCTCTAGTGATCCACCTCCCTTGGCCTCCCAAAGTGCTGGGATTACAGGTGCGAGCCACTGTGTCTGGCCAATGTTGGTAATATTCTTTGCTGATTAGTAGATGATTAATTTTACATTACATCAATAGGCATTTATGAGGGACATTCATGGCTTTTGTACAACACTGAAATTGTCATTAAACCAGCAAATCTAACATTCAACCATGTCATTTCTTCCTTTACATGACTTGTATAAGTAAGATGTCAGCTTAAATTTGAGCATATTTTACTCTTTAGTGGTGCAAAACAAGTCTGACGCATTCAGAACTTCGTTGAACTGCCTGGGAAAAAGTCTCGTGTGTGCAGTCTTTGACCCCACTGGGCTACATAAGACTGGACCTGGAGCCCGGAATACTTCCGTTCCAAGTGACACTTTCCCTGTTTCAGACTCATTGTTCCTTTATTTAGCTTCAGAGTGCGCATCAACTACTCCCAGGTGTACCCCCAGTGTTCAGTATTTCACACTATACTGACAGAAGTCAGGGTCCTTCTGGAGCTGCTGCAGGAGAGGGGTATGAGCAGCCAAATTGCCCTCTGTCCTGGAATGGTGTTAGGGTTGGCTGCTAGCCATGGGGGACTGACGGACACCACTGAAACTAATATTCCACTTCCACTGTCTCCTCTCTCTGCAGGTAGGTAAAGCCTTGTTCCATCCAGTGCTTGTCTGCATTATGTTCACTTGGGTGAATGCTATACCAAGATGCAATGGATAGATGCATTTAGAGTCGTCCTCTGGGATTGGTAATTACTACACCTTGTGCTGCTCCCTTGGGATTGAGAACCATGCACATCTCTACAGTGCAAGAGAAATGTCTCAAAGCTCATGACTCTTGTATTTTCCAGTACTGGTAACAATGTTTTTATCATTCATTACTTTGAATATTTTATTGTAACTTTCAAAGGAGGAGTGGTCATTTAAATGCTTGGACTTAATGGGATTAAAATCATGGAGTATATCCATGACTTATGAAAAAGCAGTCCTGTGGCGGGGCATGGTGGCTCACACCTGTAATTTCAGCACTTTGAGAGTTGGAGATGGGAGGATCTCTTCAGCCCAGAAGTTTGAGACCAGGCTGGGCAACATGGCCTAAATCCTAGGAATCTTCAAAGTGATGTCTTTTTTTGGATGCATGCTAATGAGCTGACTGGTGGCTGGAGGCCCCTAGGTAGCTCCAGGTTGGGGCTGCTCATAGGAAAGAAGAAGGCAACATTAGAGGGGTGAGATTTTCAGCTCCAAACCCAATTTCCATGGAGGGGAGAGAAGCTGAAGCTTGAGTTGATCACCAATAGCCTGTAGTTTAATCCATCATGCCTATGTAATGAAGCCTTCATAAAAACCCCAAAAGGACTGGATTTAGAGACCTTCTGGTTAGAACTTCCTGGAAGGTAGTGCTTGGCTCCCTCCATACCTGGCCCTATGCATCTCTTTATCTGTACTTTTTGCAATATCCTTCATAATAAACTGATAAATATAAGTGTTTTTCTGAGTGCTGTGAGCTGCTCTAGGCAGATTAATTGAATTCAAAGAGGGGGTGGTGGAAACCTGATTTATAGCCAGTCTGTCAGAAGCACAGATAAAACAAACTGGGGCTTGCCATTGTCATTAGAATTGGAGGCCAGTCCTGTGGGCCTGTGGGATCTGATGCTATGTCCAGGTAGATAGCGTTCCAGTTGAATTGGAGGACACCCAGATGGTGTCCACAGCAGAATTGATTGTATGCTTGTTTGATGGAGAGAAATCCCCACATGTGTGGTCATAGAGTCTTCTGTGTTGATTACTGTGTTGTGAGAGCAGAGGAAAAAGTTTTTGTTTTTTTTCCACCCAGCCTATAATGTAAAAGGGTCTATTTTCTCACATATTGAGGATCACTGGACTTATAATAAAAATGTATCATCTTTGTCAACTTGATATGTAAAAAGGATGTTGGTTTTAATTTCTTTTATTTTTTTTTCCTTTCTTGCTTTTTTTTTTTTTTTTTTGAGACAGAGTCGCGCTCTATTCCCCAGGCTGGAGTGCAGTGGCACGATCTCAGCTCACTGCAACCTCTGCCTCCTGGGTTCGAGCGATTCTCCTGCCTCAGTTTCCCGAGTAGCTGGGATTACAGGCGCATGCCACCACGCCTGGCTAATTTTTGTATTTTTAGTAGAGATGGGGTTTCGCCATGTTGGCCAGGCTGGTTTTGAACTCTTGACCTCAGGTGATCCACTCGCCTCGATCTCCCAAACTTCTGGGATTACAGGCATGAGCCATTGCGCCCACCCGGTTGTAATTTCATTGCTAACAATAAAGGTGGTCATAGTTGATAACTTTTTGTCATTTCTCTGTTCACAGCCTTCTCAAATATTTCACTCATTTTTCGATTTCTAAATTTTTTTTTTTTTTGAGACAGAGTTTTGCTCTTGTTGCCCAGGCTGGAGTGCAATGGCGTGATCTCGGCTCACTGCAACCTCTGCGTCCTGGGTCAAGCAATTCTCCTGCCTCAGCTTCCGGAGTAGCTGGGATTACAGGCATGCACCACTACACCCGGCTAATTTTGTATTTTTAGTAGAGACAGGGTTTCTCCATGCTGGTCAGGATGGCCTTGAACTCCTGACCTCAGGTGATCCGCCCGCCTCGGCCTCCCAAAGTGCTGGGATTACAGGCAAGAGCCACCTCACCTGGCCTAAATTTTTAATTAAAAACGTTTTTTTAGAGACAAGGTCTCTGTGCCACCCAGGCTGAAGTGCAGTGGCACAGTCATAGGTTACCGAAGCCTCCAATTTCTGGGCTCAAGCAATCCTCCTGCATTGGCCTCTTGAGTAGTTGGGACCACAGGTGCACATCACCACGCCTGGCTGTTCACCCATTTTTCAGTCGTTCATTTGTCCCCCTTCATTGTTTTGTGACCATCCCTTCTTAAGGAAATTAGCTACTATCTGTCATATGTATTGAGGATAATTTCCCCCAGTCATTTGCCATATGTCTTAATTTTAATATGCTATCAAATTCATAGTCTTCACTTTATGGCACCTGGGTTGAGAACCATTATTTGAACCAAAAATTGGTCTGTCACTTTTTTGGTTTGAGCCTTTATTTTGCCAATAGTGTTTTATAATGTCTGCATATTTCTAGGACTTTCTCATTTTGCTAATGTAAATTTTATATATATATATATATATTTAAGATAATATTTGCTTATTTTTAAGGAAAATGTTAAAATGCAAGCCCCTATTCCTACAGCAACCTCCTCTCCCTTGTTAATTCCATTTCTCTCCCAAAATAACCACCTTTAACAATTTTGCCTTTGTTATTTCATATTGGTTTCTATATATTTACATACATATTTATGTAAGGTTAGAAAAAGAGTTTGGGAGTTCGTGTGTTTGTTTTTACTTAAGTGGTACCATATTGACTATATATCCTGCACATATTTTTGTTGTTTTTTACATTGTCTTGGAGATCTTTCCATGTTTATACATATAAATTACCTTTTTCTTTTTCATTGCTCACAGCATTCCATGCTATGGGTGTATCAGGTTAATAAACTGCTATTGGTGAACATCTACTTTTTTCTCTTAATAATTCTGCAGTGAACAGCTTTTGTACGTACTCTTATAAATGCGTATTTCTGTAGGATCATTCCCTAGAAATGGCAAACTCAAAAATTTAAGAGAAAGCTGCCAGATTTTCTTTTCAAAGGCTGAACCAATTTATGTTCTAACCAAGAGTAGACAACATAATCCATTTCCTCAAGCATACAGATTGAGACAGAGTCTCAATCTGTTATCCAGGCTGTAGTGCAGTGGTATAATCAGAGCTCACTGCAGCCTGGAACTCCTGGTCTCAAGTCATCCTCCTACCTCAGCCTCCCGGGTAGCTGGGAATGCACCCCTGTGCCTGGCTCATTTCTTTTTTTTATACATGGGGACTTGCTATGTTGCCCAGTCTGGTCTCAAACTCCTGGGCTCAGGTGATCCTCCTGCCATGGCCTTCCAAAATTCTGGGATTACAGGTAGGAGCCACCACGCCCTGCCTGGTCATCTTCTAATAAGCTTATTCCTTTGTATTTCCCTTGCTATTTACTCCTTGTTTGTTTTTTTGTGTTTAGGTATTCATCTTATGTATGAACTCTTTTTGTATATTTTTCGAAGTTTAATATTTTTCTTCTGTTATATGTATTAACAACAAAGTTACTTCCAACCTGTTGATCAACTTTTAACTTTCACGGTCATTTGTTTTAGAAAGTTTTTTTTTTTTTTTTTGAGACAGTCTCACTTTGCCCAGCCTGGAGTGTGGTAGTGTGATCTCTGTTCACTGCAACCTCTGTGTCTTGGGTTCAAGTGATTCTCCTGCCTCAGCCTCCCAAGTAGCTGGGATTACAAGCACCCGCCACCACGCCCGACTAACTTTTGTATTTTTAGTAGAGACGGGGTTTCACCATGTTGGCTAAGTTGGTCTTGAACTTCTGACCTCTGGTGATCTGCCTGCCTCAGCCTCCTAAAGTGCTGGGATTATAGGCATGAGCCACTGGGCTCAGCCTAGAAAGTAATATTTATTAATAAGGCGAGTTATATTGCTAAATGTGGTAATGATAAATTTTCCATGTGTTACTGTTGTACTATAATAATTTTAATATATTGATGGCTTTTGTATGCTACTTTTTACAAATATTTGCAGTTTTATTCATAGGGACATTTACTTATTGATTTTTTTGCATTTTTGAGCTTTTCTTAATTGTTCTGTTACAGTATAATTTGATTATCAGGGTTATACTAGGATTTGTGGTAGTAAGATAATGAATTTAGAAGCTTCCCAACATGTTCTGCTCTGTGGAACAGTTTATAATAATAATAGGCTCATTAAAGCTTTGGTATAATTCTCCCTTAGAGCATTCAGAACATATCACCTATTTGGGGATTAACCTTAAACTTCTGAGGTTATTGTTTTCTTTAGTATTTATACTACTTGTCAAATATATTTTGTTCTTTCTATATTTCTTGAAAATTATATTTTCCATTTCATTCACTTCTGTTTTTTTTCTGTAGTATCTGCTCTCTGCTTGCTCTGGCTTTTTTTGCTGTTTTTATCTGAGTCATAGACAGTTCAGTGTTAACAGCATGGGCTGTGGAAGCTTCCTCTCAGTTTGTTGTACCAGTGTGTTTAGTAGACACTGAGCCTCAGTGCCCTCATCAGTAAAATGACAATATAATCATGCCTGTATTGTAGTGTGGCATGAGAATTAAATGAAGTAATACACATGAAACACTGAGAACATACGAACCCTCAATGCATGTTAGCTACCATTGTTATTACCACTTTCTTGTAGTGGAAGATGAGTTAATTTATTTTCACTCTTGTTTTTCATGAAATCAATGTTACAAGTTTTCCTTTGAGTATGACTTTAAACTATTTCCTACTGTCTTGAATATGTACTGCCTTTGTTTATTTTCAAGTAGTATGTGATTATTATTATTATTATTATTTTTTCTGAGACAAAGTCTTGCTCTGTCGCCCAGGCTGGAGTGCAGTGGTGCAATCTCAGCTCACTGCAGCCTCCACCTCCTGGGTTCAAGCGATTCTTCTGCCTCAGCCTCCCCAGTAGCTGGGATTACAGGCGCACACCACCATGCCCAACTAATTTTTGTATTTTTAGTAGGGATGGGGTTTCACCATGTTGGCCAGGCTAGTCTCGGACTCCTGACCTCAGGCAATTGTTTTGATTTTTAGATTCCCACAAATAAGTGAGAATATGAGATGTTTGTCTTTCAGTGCCTGGCTTATTTCAATAGCATAATGACCTCCATTTCCATTCATGTTGTTGCAAATGACAGGATCTCATTTTTTTTCTTTTTTTTACAGCTGAGTAGTACTCCATGTGTACATGTACCACATTTTCTTTATCCATTCATTTGTTGATGGACACTTAGGATGCTTCCAAATCTTGGCTATTGTGAACAGTGCTGCAACAAACATGGGAGTGCAGAAATCTCTTTGATATACTGATTTCCTTTCTTTTGGGTATATACCCAGCAGTGAGATTGCTGGATCATATGGTAGCTCTCTCTTTAGCTTTTTGAGGGACCTCCAAACTGTTCTCCATAGTAGTTTTACTAATTTACATTCCCACCAACAGTGTATGAAGGTTCCCTTTTCTCCACATACTCACCAGTATTTGTTATTGCCTGTCTTTTGGATAAAAGCCATTTTAAATAGGGTGAAATGATATCTCATTGTGGTTTTGATTTGCATGTCTCTGTTCTCTGATGATCAGTGATGTTGAGCACCTTTTGATATGCCTGTTTGCCATTTGTTTGTAGGTTTTTTTTTTTTTTTTTTTTTTTTTTTTTTTAAAGACAGAGTCTCACTCTGTTACCCAGGCTGGAGTACACTAGCATAATCTTGGCTCACTGCAATCTCCACTTCTCAGGCTCAAGCAGTCCTCCCACCTCAGCTCCCTGAGTAGCTGGGACTATAGGCACATGCCATCATGCCTGGCAAATTTTTGTATTTTTTGTAGAGACAGGGTTTCTCCATGTTGCCCAGGCTGGCCTTGAACTCCTGGGCTCAAGTGATCCTCCCACCTCGGCCTCCCAAAGTGTTGGGATTACAGGCATGAGCCACTGCGCCAGAACTTGTATGTCTTCTTTTGAGAAATGGCTATTTCAAATATTTGGGCCATTTTAAATTGGATTATTAGATTTTTTTCCTATAGAGTTGTTTGAGCTCCTTATATATTCTGGTTATTAATCTCCTGTCAGATGGGCAGTCTGCAAATATTTTCTCCCATACTGTGGGGTTGTCTCTTCACTTTGTTGATAGTTTCCTTTGCTGTGCAGAAGCTTTTTAACTTGATGTGATCCTATTTTTCCATTTTTGCTTTGGTTGCCTGTGCTTGTGGAGAAATTTTTGCCCAGACCAAAGTCCTGGAGAGTTTCTCTTCTGTCTTCTTGTAGTAGTTTCATAGTTTGAGTTTTTAGATTTAAGTCTTGAATCCATTTTTATTTGTTTTTTTTTAAATATGGTGAGAGATAGAGGTCTACTTTCATTCTTCTGCATATGGATACTTGTTTTCCCAGCACCATTTATTGAAGAAGCTGTCTTTTCCTCAGTGTATGTTCTTGGCTCCTTTGTTAAAAATAAGTTCACTGTACATGTGTGAATTTGTTTCTGGGTTTTGTATTCAATTCCGTTGGCCTATGTGAATGTTTTTATGCTAGTACCATGTTGTTTTGGTTATTATAGCTCTGTAGTATCATTTGAAGTCAGGTAATGTGATTCCTCCAGTTTTGTTCTTTTTGCTTAGGATAGCCTTGGCTATTCTGAGTCTTTTGTGGTTCCATATAAACTGTAGGGTTCTTTTTTTCTATTTCTTTGAAGAATGTCATTGGTATTTTGATAGGGATTGCATTGAATCTGTGGATTGCTTTGGGCAGTATGGATATTTTAACAATATTGATCCTTCCAATTCATGAACATGGAATATTTTTTCATTTTTTTTGGTATCCTCTTCAATTTCTTTCATCATTTTATAGTTTTCATTATAGCGATCTTTTATTACTTTGGTTAATTCCTAGGTATTTAATTTTATTTGTGACTATTTTAAGTTGATTACTTTTAAAATTTCTTTTTTAGATTGTTCACTGTTGGCAGGTAGAAATGCTACTGATTTTGTATACTGATTTCGTATCCTGCAAATTTACTAAATTTATCAGTTCTAATAGTTTTTTTGTGGAGTCTTTAGGTTTTTCCAAATATAAGATCATATCATCTGCAAACAAAGATAATTTGACTTTTTCCTTTCTGATTTGGATGCCCTTTATTTCTTTCTCTTTTCTGATTGTTCTAGCTAGGACTTCCAGTACTATCTTGAATAACAATGGTAAAAGTGACATCCTTGTCATGTTCCAGGTCTTAGAGGAAAGGCTTTTAGTTTTTCCCCATGCAATACGATACTAGCTGTGGGTCTGTTTCTCATCAATTGAAATGATCATATGGTTTTCTTTTTTTTTTTCTTTTTCTTTCTTTTTTTTTTGAGACAGAGTCTTGCTCTGTCACCCAGGCGGGAGTGCAGTGGCATGATCTCGGCTCACTGCAAACTCCACCTCCCAGGTTCATACCATTCTCCTGCCTCAGCCTCCCGAGTAGCTGGGACTACAGGCACCCGCCACCATGCCTGGCTAATTTTTTGTATTTTTAGTAGAGACGGGGTTTCACCGTGTTAGCCAGGAAGGTCTTGATCTCCTGACCTTGTGATCTGCCTGCCTTGGCCTCCCAAAGTGCTGGGATTACAGGCGTGAGCCACCACGCCCGGCCAGTTTTCTTTTTTTTTTAATCATATGGTTTTCATTTTGCAGTCTGTTGATATGATGTATCATATTGATTGATTTGTGTATGTTGAACCATCCTTGCATCCCAGAGATAAATCCCATTGGTCATGATAAATGATCTTTCTAATGTATTGTTGAATTCAGTTTGCTTGTATTTTGTTGAGGATTTTTGCGTCAATATTCATCAGAGATATTGGCCTGTAGTTTTCTTTTTCTTTCTTCCTTTCTTTCTTTCTTTCTTTCTTTCTTTCTTTCTTTCTTTCTTTCTTTCTTTCTTTCTTTCTTTCTTTATGTGTCTTTATCTGGTTTTGGTATCAGGGTAATACTGGCCTTGTAGAGTGAGTTTGGAAGGATTCCTTCCTCCTCTATTTTTCCGAATAGTTTGAGTAGGGTTGGTATTAGTTCTTTAAATGTTTGGTAGAATTCAGCAGTGAAGCCATTGGGTTCTGGGCTTTTCTTTTTCTTTTCTTTTCTTTTTTTTTTTTTTGTTTTTTTTTTTTTGAGACAGAGTCTCACTCTGTCACCTAGGCTGGAGTGCAGTGGTGCAATCTCAGCTCACTGCAACCTCCATCTCTTGGGTTCAAGCAATTCTCCTGCTTTAGCCTCCTAAGTAGCTGGGACTGCAGGTGTGTGCCACCACTCCCAGCTAATTTTTGTATTTTTAGTGGAGATGGGGTTTCACTATGTTGACCAGGCTGGTCTTGAACTCCTGATCTCAGGTGATCTGCCTGCCTCAGCCTCCCAAAGTGCCAGACTTTTCTTTGGTGGGAGACTTTTTTTATGGCTTTGATCTTGTTATTTGTTACTGGTCTGTTCAGATTGTGGTTTCCTTCGTGGTTCAGTCTTGGTAGGTTGTATGTGTCTACGAATTTGTCCATTTCTTCTAGATTTTCCAATTTATTGGGATATAGTTGCTCATAGTAGCTACTAATGATCCTTTGAATTTCTGTGGTATCAGCTGTTAATGTATCCTTTTTCAACTATGATTTTATTTATTTGGATCTTCTCTCTTTTTTTCTTAGTCTGGCTAAAGGTTTGCCAATTTTGTTTAACTTCCCAAAAAGCCAACTTTTTGTTTCATTGATCTTTGTATTGTTTTCTTCATTTCAATTTCATTTATTTATTCTCTGATTTTTATTATTTCTTTTCTTCTACTAATTTTGGGTTCAGTTTGCTCTTGCTTTTCTAATTTTTTAGGATGTATCATTTGATTGTTTCTTTGAAGTTTTTCTTCTTTTTTGATATAGGCGCTTATAGCTATCAACTTTCCTGTTAGTCCTGCTTTTATAGTACTAAGATTTTGGTATGCTGTGTTTTGGTTATGATTTGTTGCCAGAAATTTTTCAATTTCTTTGTTAATTTCTTCATTGACTTACTGGTCATTCAGGAGCGTATTGTTTAATTTCCATGTATTTGTATAGTTTCCAAAATTCTTCTTGTCATTAGTTTCTAATTTTATTCCATTGTGGTCAGAGAAGATGCTTGATATTATTTCATTTTTTTGAATGTTTTTAGACTTGTTTTGTGACCTAACATATGGTCTATTTTTGAGAATGATGTACGTGCTGAAGAAAACAATGTATATTCTGGCCCAGGTGTGGTGGCTCATGCCTGTAATCCCAGCACTTTGGGAGGCCAAGGCTGGCAGAACACCTGAGCTTAGGAGTTTGAAACCAGCCTGGGCAACATGGTGAAACCTAGTCTCTACTAAAAATACAAAATTTGGCCGGGTATGGTGGTGCACTTCTGTAATTCCAGCTGCTTGGGAATAACGACAATTGCTTGAACCTGGGAGGCGAAGGTTGCAGTGAACCGAGATCATGTCACCACATTCCAGCCTGGGCAATAGAGTTAGACTCCATCTAAAAAAAAAAAAAAAAAAAAAAAGAGGAATGTGTATTCTGCAGCCATTGGATGAAATGTTCTGTAAATATCTGTTAATCTATTAGGTCCATTTGGTTTATAGTGCAGATTAAGTCCAATGTTTCTTTGTTGATTTTTGGTCTGAAACATTTGTCCAGTGCTAAAAGTGGGGTGTTAAAGTCTCTAGTTATTATTGTATTGGGGCCTATGACACCCTTTAGCTCTAATAATATTTGCTTTATATATGTGGGTGTTCCAGTGTTGGGTGCATATATATTTAAAATTGTTATATCCTCTTGTTGAATTGATCTCTTTATCATATAGTGACCTTCTTTGTCTCTTCTTATAGTTGTCTTTAAATCTATTTTTTTCTGATATAAATACAGCTACTCCTGTTCTTTTTTGGTTTCCTTTGGCATGGAATTTTATCTTTTTCCATCCCTTCAGTCTATGTGTGTCTTTACAGGTAAAGTGTGTTTCTTGTAGGCAACAGATCATTTTTTAAAATTTATTTTATTTTTTTACCCATTCATTCACTCTATATCTTTTGATTGAAGAGTTTAGTCCCTTTGCTTTCAATGTTATTACTGATATGTAAGAAGTTACTCCTGCCATTTTGTTATTTGTTTTCTGGTCGTTTTGTGGTCTTCTCTTTCTTTCTTTTCTGTCTTCCTTTTAGAGGAGATGATTTTCCCAGTTGATACGATTTAGTTTCTTGCTTTTTATTTTTTGTGTATTCATTGAATTTTTTTATTTGAGGTTACTACGAAGCTTACAAATACTATCTTATAACTTATTATTTTAAACTGATAACACTGTTTGCATAAAGAAACAAACAAGCAAAAAGAAAACTAATGAAGACTCTATGCCTTAACTTTATCTCCTCACTTTTAAACTTTTTGTTGTTTCTATTTATATTTTATTGTACTGTCTCTGTCTCAAAAGTTGTAGTTATTATTATTATTTTTCTTCTTGTGGTTATTATTTTTAATTGTTCATTATTTAGTCATTCTACTTCAGAGTACTTTAAACACCACAGTTACAGTATTATAATATTCTGTGTTTTTCTGAGTACTTATTATTACCAGCAAGTTTTGAACCTTCAGATGATTTCTTATTGCTCAAAATGTCCTTTATTTTTTCTGGTCAAAGTCCTCCCTTTAGCATTTCCTGTAGGACAGGTCTGGCATTGATGAAATCTCTCAGCTTTTGTCTGTCTGGGAAAATCTTTATTATTCCTTCATGTTTGAAGGATATTTTCACCAGATATACCATTCTAGGGTAAAAGTTTTTTTTCCTTCAGCACTTTAAATATGCTATGCCACTCTCTCCTGGCCTGTAAGGTTTCCACTGAAAAGTCTGCTCTCAGACGTAATGGAGCTCCATTGTATGTTTTTTTTTTTTTTCTCCTGCTTTTAGGATCCTTTCTTTATCCTTGACCTTTGGGAGTTTGTTTATTAAATGTCCTGAGGTAGTCTTCTTTCAGTTAAATCTGCTTTGTGTTCTTTAACTTTCTTGTACTTGGATATTTATGTCTTTCTCTAGGTTTGGGAAATTCTGTTTTTATTCCTTTGAATAAACTTTCTACCCCTATTTTTTTCTCTACCTCCTATTTAAGGCCAGTAAGTCTTAGATTTGACCTTTTGAGGTTATTTTCTAAATCCTTTAGGTGTGCTTCATTTTTAAAAAAAATTCTTCTTTTTGGTCTCCTCTGTGTATTTTCTTTTTTTCTTTTTATTTTTTTTTGAGATGAAGTCTCGCTCTGTTGCCCAGGCTGGAGTGCAGTGGTGTGATCTCAGCTCACTGCAAACTTTGCTTCCCAGTTTCAAGCAATTCTCCTGCCTCAGGCTCCTGAATAGCTGGGATTACAGGCACCCATCACTACACCCAGTTAATTTTTGTATTTTTAGTAGAGATGGGTTTCACCGTGGTGGCCAGGCTGGTCTTGAACTCCTGACCTCAGTTGATCCACCTGCCTCAGCCTCCCAAAGTGCTGGGATTATAGGCATGAGCCACGATGCCCAGCCTTCTCTGTGTATTTTCAAATAGCCTGTCTTCAAGCTCACTAATTCTTTTGCTTGATCAGTTTTGCTTTTAAAAGACTCTGATGCATTCTTTAGTATGCCAATTGCATTTTTCAGCTCCAGAATTTCTGCTTGATTCTTTTAAATTATTTCAATCTCTTTATCTGATAGAATTCTGAATTCCTTCTCTGTGTTATCTTGAATTTCTTCGAGTTTTCTCAAGACAGCTATTTTGAATTCTCTGTCTGAAAGGTCACATATCTCTGTTTCTCCAGGATTCATCCCTGGTGACTTATTCAATTCATTTGGGGAGGTTATGTTTTCCTGGATGGTCTTGATACTTGTAGATGTCTGTTTGTGTCTGGGCATTCAAGAGTTAGGTATTTATTGTAGTTTTCTCAGTCTGGGCTTGTTTGAATCTGTCCATCTTGGGAATGCTTTCCAGATATTCAAAAGGACTTAAATGTTTTTATCTAGGATGTATCTGCATTAGGGGTCATCCCAAGCCCCTGTGGTTCTTGTAGACTTGTAGAGGTATGGCCTTGATGGTCTTGGACAAGATCTGGAAGAATTCCCTGGATTACCAGGCAGACTGTTGTTCTTTTCCCTTACTTTCTCCCAGACAAATGAAAATTCTCTCTCGGTTCTGAGCTACATGGACCTGGGGATGAGAGACACAAGTACCCCTGTGGCCACCAGCACTAGGACCGTGCTGGGTCAGACCTGAAGCCAGCACAGAACTGGGTCTTGCTCAAGGCCTGCTGTAGCCACTCCCTGGCTACTACCCATGCTTTCTCAAGGCCCTGGGACTCTACAATTAGCTGGTAGCAACGCCAGCCAGGCCTGTGACCTTCCTTTCAAGCTGGCAAGTTCTCCTAGGCCCTGGACAGGTCTAAAGGTGCTGTCTGGGAGCCAGGAACTAGAGTAAAAAGCCTTAGAAGTCTACTTTGTGTTCTATTGTAGTGTGGCTGAACTGGCACTGAACCCACAAGATGCAGTCTTTCCCACTCTTCCCTTCCCTTTCTAAGGCAGCAGAGCCTCACCCCATGACCACCCATGGGGAGTACTGCCAGACTATTGCCAATGTTCCGTTGAGTCCCAAGTGCTCTTCATTCAGCTTGTGGTGAATGCTATCTGGCCGAGGACTCACCCATCAGGGCAGCAGGCACCCCTCTGGCCAAGTCCTGGAATCAGGGACCCAACAGCCCACTTGGTGCTTTACTCCCCTGTGGCCTAGCTGGTACCTAAGGTGCAAGACAAAATCGCCTTTACTTTTTCCTCTCCTTTCCTCAAGTGGGAGGAGTCTTGCCCCATAGCCACCACAGCTGGGAATGTGCTGAGCCTCAGAGTCTCAGCCAAGGCCCTGATGTGGTACCTAGGTGTTGGTGCTGGTTATTCAGGGCTCAAGGGCTCTTCAGTTAGCAGGTAATGAATCCGCCAGGACTGGGTCCTTCCCTTCAAGGCAGCAGGTTTCCTTTTGGCCCAGGGTGTGTCTAGAAATATCATCTAGGCACTAGGGCCTGGAAAGGGGGCCTTGTGACTCTGCCCATTGCCCTATCCTGCTAGGGCTGAGCCGACATCCAAGATACAAGACAAAGTCCACCCCACTCATCTGTCTTCTCTCCTCAAGCAAACGAAAGGGGTCTTGTTTGGAGCCATGAGCCGTGCAGCCTGGGGTTAAGGGAGGAGTGATGCCAGCACTCCCTTAGCTGCCCTGGCTGGTGTCTCAGTATGTCATGTGCCCCCCCAATCCTCTGGCTCTGGGCACAGTTGAGCACTAGGATTGTCCTAGAAGTTGCAGTCCTTGTGACCTAGAGTGCCTTTCTAGTTGATGTAGGGTGCCAGAGCACTTCAGCTTATGGTGGCAAGGCTTGTAGCAGCTCAGATTCAGATCGCTGGGATGGGCATCTCCACTCTGGCCAGGGCTGATTTAAATGCTCCCTTCCTGGGTGAGCATCAGCTGAGTTTGGTCTGGCTTTCTTTTCTGCTATAACAGGGCAGCATTGAGTTTTAGGCCTCACGATTGCTATGCTCTCCCTCTCCCCAGTGCACAGAGATGCTCTGGGCACCATGCAGCCACTGCCAGGGGTTGGGGAGGGGTGGCATTGGTGATTCAGGACTGTTTTTCCTAACTCCTCAGTGCCTCTTTCAGTGATATGAAGTTACAACCCGGTACTGTGAGTGTCCACCTGATTTTTGGTTCTCATGAAGGTTTTTTTTTTTTTTGTGTGTGTAGATGGTTGTTAAACTGGTGTCCTTGCAGGGGAAGGAAGATTGGTGGAGCCATCTGTTCTACCATCTTACTCTGCCTCCTTGGTTTTTCCAGGACAGACGTTCCTGGTTGGCAATATGCAAAGAAAGGAGTGGAATATTGCTAAAACTGGAGCTGACTGAATTCTGAAATACCAGCTCATCAAGTAAGTTGTCAATTCCCATCCAGCTGAATTGGGAAGTAGTGGAGACACCTAAAACTTAAGCTAAATAAAGAACACCTGAATAACATAGTGCTTTCTATTCTGTTGTTACAGTTAACAGCCTTGATGATTCAGAGAAAAACAGTACTAATCTGGGTGAGTAATGGTGTCACTTGGCAGTGCTCTGGATAAAGTAGTACCTGCAAAAAGCCCATCTGTTTCTTCTGACCTGGTAGTGAAGGCAATAGCTGGAGGTGACCAGACTGACTTGAAAATAAGCAGGCTCAGCAAGGCAGCCATTTGAGGAAATTCACTGGGGCTGATGCAAGACTCAGAGAGAAAGAAGCTTGACATAGCCCATTTTCATGTATTACTTTCCAGAACAGCTTCTTTGCTATTTATAGGCACATGTGTTATCTTGGCCTTCTGGGAGCAAAAATTCCTGTGTTTGACCAGAGCTGTTTTTGCCAGTAGGCAGTTCCTAAGAGAAACAGGGCATTTGTTTGTTTTACTTTTGGTTTTGCTAAATAAAAGCTGAAATTTTGCAAATACCAGACTTGTTTAGTATCAGGCACTTTATAAACGTAAAAATGTGCATACATGTTTTATTGCAATTGCCTTTCATGTGACACAACAGAAATCAGAGCCGACCATAGCATTCAGCGCTGTGTACATGGAGGGAGTCCAGCTTGGGTGAGAGGAGTGTGTGCATAAAAACACAGGTTTCTAGAGAGACTCATCAGAAACCAAATGCATGTCCTCAGAGCATGAAGGTGCTTTTCCTTTTGATTCTCCTGAAGATTCATTTTTTATATCATGCTGTGAACACATAAGTGAAACCTAGGTAGTTCTGAAGCCCTTTGTCTTCCTCTGTTGCTCTTAAAAAAGTAGGTTACCTTGAGTACGACTCCCTTCCCTTGTAGTTCTGAGTCTGTTGGCGGAAGACATGCGGCGAGGTGGAGCCAGCCTGGCTGTGGGAGGCAGGGATGAGGGTTCAGAAACCTGCGAGGGGAGCACGCCCACACTTCCTTTTATGAAATGCTATGTGCCATTTCAATATGTGGCAACCATGTTCAGAGAAACTATGGATAGAGTTTCCTCAAATGATCCTGGCAGTTTTATTTTTATTGATTGACTGATTGATTGATTGACTGAGATGGAAGCTTGCTCTGCCGCCCAGGCTGGAGTGCAGTGGCACCATTTGGCTCACTGCAACCTCCACCTTCTGGTTTCAAGTGATTCTCCTGCCTCAGTCTCCCGAGTAGCTGGGATTACAGGCACGTACCACCACACCTGGCTAATTTTTATATTTTTAGTAGAGACGGGGTTTCACTGTGTTGTCCAGGCTGGTCTAGAACTCCTGACCTCAAGTGATCTGCCTGCCTCAGCCTCCCAAAGTTCTGGGATTACAGGCATGAGCCACCGTGCCTGGCCCCTGGCAGTTTTAAAAAAAGGAAACCCATTGTAAACAGAGACTGATCTTAGATAAGCAAACAGAGAATGTACCAGAGTTACCAGGGACATAAAACTGTTGGTTAACATCAGAATATTGGTTGAGAAAACCAAATGCCAGGAGGGCTGTTGTTTGCTTTCTGATTGAATTTCTAGTATTTCCAGTATTGAATTAGAACCCATATTTTCTCTAGGGCCCTAAATTATTATTTTATCACTTTTGCCACCTTATTTGGTTATGTCTCAACAGGGATTTGACTATAGTCTTTATATCTACAGGGTTTATCTTGTTTTAATATATCGAAGATCATTTAATGAACTATGATAAAATTATAAGAAAATTTGAAATATTGAATTGCTTAGATATCTTGCTATATTCATTTGATAAATTGAATAGAGATATTAGGATTAATATGAAGTTTATAAATATGGCATCTATAAAAATTAAAGTTCTAGGAAGACAGATATCAGAATCATCTTTTTGAGTCAGTCCCTGCAAATAGCCTTATATGATTTCAAGGGCTTGTTTTTATTTGGTAATTTCTGGCTTTTGTGGCAGGAAAAGAGACCTCCGAGAAAAGAGGAAAGAGGCTGGGCACAGTGGCTCATGCCTGTAATCCCAGCACTTTGGGAGGCAGAGGCGGGCAGATCACCTGAGGTCAGGAGTTCAAGACCAGCCTGGCCAACATGGTGAAACCCTGTCTCTACAAAAATACAAAAATCAGCCGGGCATAATGGCAGGTGCCTGTAATCCCAGCTATTCGGGAGGCTGAGGCAGAAGAATTGCTTGAACCTGTGAGATGGAGGTTGCAGTGAGCCGAGATTGTGCCATTGCACTCCAGCCTGGGCAACAGAGCAAGAGTCCATCCAAAATAAAAAAAAAAAAAAAAAAAGGAAAGAAAGAGAAAGCAGAATGGAAAGGGGGATACAGTAACTAAATCTCTATTTCTCCTTGACTTATCAGAGTTGGCAGTTTTCTTAGGGAGCCATATTAGCCATATTTCAATCATTTCAGGATTTGTATGACTTTGCCTATTTTCATGTTTTGCGGGGATTAAGAATAGCACCTTGCGAATAGCACCTTAAGAACAGCACCTTAAGAACAGCACCTTGCTTTGTGTCACTATGGATCAACTCACTGAAGGCCGTTGATAGGGATCATCTAGCTGACTGCAGAGACATTATTTTAGTGTGGTTTAATCCAGCTTAATAATAAGCTCTCCTCCAGACACAACCCATTTTCCGAGTCAGAAAACTGATGTTCTCATCCTTGCTGTCATATTCAAGCCAAGCAGTTCTGTGTGTGTTTTTATTTTTGTGACAAAGTCTTGCTCTGTCGCCCAGGCTGGAATGCAGTGATGCGATCTCAGCTTACTGGAACCTCTGTCGCCTGGGTTCAAGTGATTCTCCTGTCTCCCCAGTAGCTGGGACTACAGGCGTGCACCACCATGCCCAGCTAATTTTTTGTATTTTTAGTAGAGATGGGGTTTCACCATGTTAGCCAGGCTGGTCTCAAACTCCTGACCTCAGGTGATCTGCCCTCCTCAGCCTCCTAAAGTGCTGGGATTACAGGCATGAGCCACCATGCCCAGCCTCTGTTCTGGTTGTTTTAAAATTCACACAGGGCATATTTTATTTTATGATTTTTATTTACTTAATGCAAGTTGCATCACAGCCTGTGGCTGCAAATGGGGTCCTTGTTGTTGTTAAGTGTATTCGCCAGTTTAACAGCTTTCTTCTTGTTCTCTCTTGGAATCCTGATTCTCTAATCCAGAGGCCCAGACCCTGGATGCACCTTCAGGTCTGTGAGCCGCTGCCTGGGTCCCTTGATGGAAACTCAGAGATCAGAATCAACTGCTTTGTTTTTGGGAACCTAACACTAGACTGTGCCTAGCCTTCTGGTCCGGACCAACAGTGAGTTGTGTGGAGAGGTGTCCACACACACTGTCCTGGGCTGGTCTTTCTGTCTCTAGCCTGGCCCCCTGTTGCAAGTAGGTCTCCAGGACGCAGGCTGTGAGGTGGAGCTTTTCATGCAGGGAGGTTGTTGAGAATTCCTCCTGGGAGCAACACTCCTGGGAGTAAAAAGATCAGGATTGGGCAGAGGGAGAATGTGAGCTGTGATGCAGTCACAACAGAGTGACGGCCCTTCAGAACCGTCAGAATTTAGGGAGCTGGGCCTTTATGTCCATCAGACAGTCCTGGTCCTGGCTGCCCCTAGGAACAGGGTGTGAGGCAGGAAGGGCTGACCCATCCTGAGAGGATATCTGTTCCAGGCAGGGTGAAGCCACCCTTCCCAGGGAAAGGGCTCCAGCAGACCTTCTGTGCCCCAGGGATCTGGTTGACCATCTCTGGCGTGGTGGTGTACAGGGCCCTGTGTCGGTTGCTGTCACAAGTGGGTGGCACACTGAACAGCGGTGGTTGGAAGAATGGCCCTGTGGCCCTTTGGCCTCCACCT
The DNA here is from genome assembly GCF_000001405.40 of Homo sapiens. Classification (NCBI taxonomy): domain Eukaryota; kingdom Metazoa; phylum Chordata; class Mammalia; order Primates; family Hominidae; genus Homo; species Homo sapiens. The sequence goes on from NC_000008.11 coordinate 48,105,242, forward strand.
TTCCTTCTACCGTTGACACTCTCTGCATGTGCCTGCCGTGCCGGCCCCAAGGTGGCTGATGACAGACGCGCTGATGTCGACTGCTGAGCCACTCTGCTTGCCTGGGTGTTGGATGTCTCTTCTGTGGTGGGCATGGTGCTCTGTGCCACTCCCACAGGGCCGCCGCGGCCCCTTCCTTTGTCCTCCATGTCTCTGGCTTCCCGTTGTTTTCCTTCAGGCCCCTCCCTGCCAGCCGAGCCTGCTGCCTCTTCCACAAGTCCCTGTGTGTTCCAACCTCAGGCCACAGGGATGGTGGGTGTGGGCCAGGGGCTGCCGCCTCGCGGGGCTGCCCTCGGTGGGGCTGTGGTGCATGCCAGGGACCAGCACTGGAGCTATGTGGGCCTTGCTCTTCCTGGATGAGCTGGTCCAGACTTGCTGCCTCCCAGTGTGGCCACAGGTGTGCGCCGGGGGAGGACACTGAGGTGATGATGGGGGTGGCGTGATGTTCAGAGCGCTGGCTTGTGGGCTCGCTGCCCGTTCTGGTCTGGATTGTGCCTGACCCCGGGCACCCCTTCCCTTCCCAGTGGCTTGCTCCCTGCAAGGTGAGGTGATGGGCTCACTGGACCTGTGGCTTAGTAGGTCCGACAGAGCCTGCCATCGTGGCAGCCCTGGCTGCTCGGCCACCTGGTTGGCTATGATCATGCACACTCTCTCTCCCAGGGCCAGTAGTGCACCAAGAGCCATTCTCGAAAGGTGTAATTGTCTGCTCCAGCCAACAGGGCATTGCTTAAGGCCTGGCGGTCCTGGAGGGACCTGCCTTAAGACACTGCTCCACCTGCTGTCTTTCCTCACTGCAGATACCTCTAATATCATAGGCTTTCCTGAGTTGTGTGGCCCAAGTGGCAGGGCCTCTGTACCCCAGAAGAGGGTTGAGATGTGAGATGGTCACAGTAGAAGCTGCAGCCAGTCCCTGAGGTGCTCTGAAGCTGGGGAGGCCCTTTAGAGTGCTGCGGATCCAGGGAGGGCACTGGGCCCTCAGACGCGTGCATGGACCAGCGTTGCATGTGCACTGCCCCCAGAAAAGACTTAACCTCAGGCGGGGGGATCTCATGTGAAAGCTGTCAGCTGCCAACTTCTCTCCCTTCCCTTTCCAATTTTTGATTATTATATTTAGTTGCCAGTATTTATAATATTTGTATTATTCTGTAATCATATTTGTTTTAATGTTAGTACTATTCTTGCCAGCCCCACTTTTTTTTTTTTTTTGAGACTGAGTCTTGATCTGTGGCCAAGCTGGAATGCAGTGGCACAAACTTGGCTCACTGCAACCTCTGCCTCCTGGGTTCAAGTGATTCTCCTGCCTCAGCCTCCTGAGTAGCTGGGACTACAGGTGCACACCACCATGCCTGGCTAATTTTTGTATTTTTAGTAGAGATGGGTTTTCACCATATTGGCCAGGATGGTTTCGATCTCTTGACCTTGTGATCCACCTGCCTCGGCCTCCCAAAGTGTTGGCATTACAGGCATGAGCCACCACACCTGGCCTACCCCTGCTTTTTTTTGACATAGGGTCTTGCTATGTTGCCCAGGCTGAAGTGCAGTGGCTTGATCATGGCTCACTGCAGCTTCAACCTCCTGGGTTCAATTGATCCTCCCACCTCAGCCTCCCAAGTAGCTGGGACTACTTGGTGTGTGCCACCACACCTGGCTAATTTTTGTATTATTTTGTAGAGATGGGGTCTCACTATGTTGCCCAGGCTGGTCTTGAACTCCTGGGCTCAAGTGATCCTCCTGCCCTCAGTCTCCCAAAGTGCTAGGATTACAGGTGTGAGCCACCACCACTAGCTTCTTTTTTGCAGTAGTTTTTCCTGTTATGTTTGGTTGGCTGACATTCATTCTTTGGTAGTTTCTAAAGACAAACTTATGGAAAACAGGAGGTTGAGGCTTTTTAATCTTTTAGCTTAATTCTTGAATGACAGCTTGGCTGTATATAAAGTTCTCAGGCTATTTGTTCTTTCCTTGAGCACATTTATACATTGCTCCACTGTCTTCTAGCATTGAACATTGATGGGCAGAGCCTTGGGGTCAGCCTCATCCACTCCCTGCTGCCTCTACTTATGGGTGACTTGAACTTTTTACCTTGATGTACACAGGCTTTTTGTTTTCTTCTTCTTTTCTTTTTTTGAGACAGAATCTTGCTTTGTTGCCCCAGCTCGAGTGCAATGGTGCGATCTTGGCTCACTGCAACCTCCGCCTCCTAGCTAGGGTTCAAGCTATTCTCCTGCCTCAGCCTCCTGATTAGCTGGGATTACAGGCACACACCACCACGCCTGGCTAATTGTTGTATTTTCAGTAGAGATGGGGTTTCGCCATTTTGGCCAGGCTGGTCTTGAACTCCTGACCTCAGGTGATCCATCTGCCATAGCCTCCCAAAGTGCTGGGATTACAGGCGTGAGCTACCGTGCCCAGCCTATACAGGCTTTTTGGAATATGCCTCAGTGCTGAATGCTTTGTGTCAATTTTTTCTCGGACATGGTAGATTTATGTCTTCTCCTAGTTCTGGGACACTTTCTTGAGTTATATTTTTAAATATTTAGTTTGTCTCATTATTTTTGTTTTCATCTTATACATAAATTGGGCCGCCATTGCCATTCATCCATAGCAGTTAGTTTCTCTCTGATTTTTTTTTTTAATTATTTGCTTCCATTTCCTTTTTCCTGCTTTTCTAATTCTCTCTTCTCCAGCTCTTCCTGGGTTTTTGGCAATGCTTAGTCTCCCTTGTGTTACTTCCAGTTTTTCTTTCATTTTTGTGATTTTCTTTCCTTCCACTTCTTTTCCAAGGTCTGCTAGTCATTAAAAAAATACTCTATTTCCTTATGAAATATTTTTTGTGTCCTCGTCTTTCCTCTTTGTAGTGGTTTGAATCTCCTGCATCATATTGGCAGTTGCTTCAACATCATGAAAAAGTCCATGATGAAATACTTGTTCATAATTTTCACTTGTTTTGCTATAGGGTACTTGCACAGATAAGGATAGACATTTCTTTAACAGGGACCAAATATATTCTCTTACCCGAAGCAACCAAAAATCCACACAGAAGATATAAAACCATGGATATCAAGCAATGAAGATGGGAAACAAGGGAGATGAGTCCCGCAGCCGCCCCAGCTTGCCGCGTGCAGGGAGTTTCCAGGTTGTGGCATGGGAGGGAGAACCCAGGAAAAGCCCACAGCCTCCCTGACTTGGGAGGCATAGCTGGGAATCTGGGAGGCCAGGATGGCTGGATTTTGCAGGGCAGAGTGCTGGCGAGGAGAGAGCTGCACAGTAAGAAAGAACTCTGGAGGTCTCCAGAGGTCCCCATTGAGTATCCAGCTCAGTACAGATTAGTACGAGTGTGAAAAAAGCACCTGAGGCTGGGGAAAGAGACACCTGGGATGATCCGAAGCCCACTCCTCAGAGCTCACCTGGGACCTGAGACAGAGCCTGCTCCCCCAGCAGTCAGGCAGAACACCCAGAAGGGTTTTGCCTCAGTCGTGAAGATAATTTTTCCCTTGAAAAGTCCAACTTTTAATATTCAAAGACAGCTGGATAAATGGGGAAAAGCCAGTTTGTTATGAGGATACATTGACCAGAGACTAAATGCTGACCTGGTCCTGCTTTGCAAAGTTTAAAGGCAAGATCTAAAAGGATCAAACTGTTTTAAAGAAATGTACTATGGCTGGGCACGGTGGCTCACGCCTGTAATCCCAGCCCTTTGGGAGGCTGAGGTGGGCGGATCACGAGGTCAGGAGTTCAAGACCAGCCTGGCCAACACAGTGAAACCACGTTGCTACTAAAAATACAAAAATTAGCTGGGCGTGGTGGTGGGCGCCTGTAATCCCAGCTATTCGGGCGGCTGAGGCAGGAGAATCACTTGAACCCAGGAGGCAGAGGTTGCAGTGAGCCAAAATTGCGCCACTTCACTCCAGCCTGGGCGACAGAGCTAGACTCCGTCTCAAAAAAAAAAAAAAAAAAAAAAAAAAAAAAAAAAAAAAAAAAAGAAATGAACTATGTCCAAAACTCAAGATTATTTTAGGAATACAAAAAAGTCTAGCACCTGACAATCACATTGGTAATAAAAAAAATTGCCTAGCATGCAAAGGAATAGGAAAATAAGATCCACAATGAGGAGAAAAATCATCAAAACTGACCCAGAAATAACGTAGGTATAGAATGAGCAAACAAGAACGTTAAAACAGTTATAACTGCATTTGATACATTCAAGAAGCTACAGGAAAGATTGAACATGTTAAGTAGTGACACAGAAAATATAAAAAAGACTCAAGTTGAACTTCTAGAAGTAAAAACCACAATGTCTGAGATGAAAAGCAGAATTGATAGGATTAGGAATTCATCCTAACTGAATGGGATTAGACACTGAAGAATAATACGTAGTAGTGAAGTTAACTACATAGCAATAGAAAGCATCCACAATGAAACACCAAGAGAAAAAAGAGTCACAAAAGGGCTCCTCGAGTAAGAGAAGGTTCCTCCTGCCTGCCTTCGAGCTGGGACATTGGCATTTTCCTTCCTTCAGACTCAAACGGAAACACTGGTTCTTCCTGGGTCTTAAGCCTCCCCGCCTCAGCCTGAAGCCTTCAGTCTCCAGCTCTCCTTACTGCTGGCTCACCCTGCAGATATTCAGACTGGCTGGCCGGCCTCCAGAATCACACAGGACTATAGCTTTTTTTTTTTTTTTTCTTTTTTGTGGGCAAAGGGCTGAGATTACAAGTAAGAGTCACCATGCCCAGCCCAGTAAATTCCTTATAATAAATCTCTCTCTCTCCCTTTCTCAGAATATATGTGTTTTTAGAATATGTATATTCTGTTTCTCTGGAGAACCCTGACTAATACAGTATCTCTCCATTTATTTATTTATTTGAGATGGAGTCTTGCTCTGTCATCCAGGCTGGAGTGTGCAGTGGTGCAATCTCGACTCACAGCAACCTCTGCCTCTTGGGTTCAAGCAATCCTCCCACCTCAGCCTCCCGAGTAGCTGGGATTACAGGTGTGCACCACCATGCCTGGCTAATTTTTTTTTGTATTTTTAGTAGATACTGGGTTTCACCATATTGGCCAGGCTGGTCTCGAACTCCTGGCCTCAAGTGATCTGCGTGCCTCGGCTTCCCAAAGTGTTAGGGTTACAGGCATGAGCCACTACTCCCGGTCTTCCATTTATTTTTGTTTTATTTGATTTCTCTCAATAATATTTAGTAGTTTCAGTGTACCCCCAATCTTTTAGTTTTTTATCCTATTATAAATAGTATTTTTTGTCAATTTATGAGTTCTAGCAGAGATAGAAGTATATAAACATGTAACATGAAATCATAAACTGTATACAATATAAGATACACATAAACCCCACGATTTTTATGTACAGTATGTGAACTAGATAAAAGTGGCTCAGCTGTGGGTGAGGGGCGGTGCTGGAGGAGCGTGGAGCCCTTCCCCTGACCTCCCATCCCAGTGCTCCATTTCCCTGAAGCAGTGAGGAATTCTGCACCAATTGATTTGAAAATTGTTGGTCTAAAACAATCAGACATCTTGGGACACTCTTTCCTTCACTAGATTGATGTGCTCCCAACGAGAAAGTAATTTGTAGACTCCCATGGTCCATGTTACATTTATCTTCCAAAATATCAATAAGATTGATTATACAATAGTGTTATCCACTGGGAAATGCTGCTATGAAAATATATGTGCTATAAAAATGCATCTGGGAAATTTTTGTGAGGTTAGCATGTCTTATTAGTAAGATAATTATAAGTTTGCAAGTATTTCTTGCTGGATTGTGTGATTATCATATGTGTCTCAGCGTCTGCAATGACAGAAAATTGAATGTAGGGTAATACTCTTATTTTATATTGACATCCTTCTTTGCCATGTCCTAACCTCTATTTTTTTTTTCTTTTTTGAGACAGGGTCTCACTCTGTCATCCAGGCTGGAGTGTAGTGACACAATCATAGCTCACCACAGCCTCGACCTCCCGGACTCAAGTGATCCTCCTGCCTCAGCCTCCTGAAGAGCTGGGACTACAGCTGTGCACCATTGTGCTAATTTTTAAATTTTTTGTAGAACTGGAGTCTTCTTATGTTGTTTAGGCTGGAGTCCTGACCTTTTTAAGGTCAGAGCCATTATATATATTTACACACACACACACACACACACACACACACACACACACACGGTGTAGTCCCGTGAAAGTGACAATGTTCCCAATCATTCCTCTGTGAATCTGTAGGAACGGACACCTAGGGCTCAGTTAAGACCCAGCTCTGTGATTGCTTCTTGTATCAATTCTCTTGAGTCTCTATAACAAAACAGCACAGTTTGGGTGACTTAAAAAATGGAAATTTATTTCTCACAGTTCCGGAAGCTGGGAATCCAAGATCAAGGTGCTGGCTGATTTGCTATCTGGTGAGGACCCCTTCCTAGCTTGCAGCCAGCCACCACATTGTGTCCTCACATGGAGGAGAGAGAGACAGCCCTCTTTCCCTCCTTATAAGGCTACCAACCCCATCATGAGGAGCCTACCCTCATGGCCTCATCTAACCCTAACCCCTCCCAAAGGCCCATTGCCAATGATACAATGATATTTGGGGTTAGGGCTTCACCATATGAATTTGGGGGAGATACAGTTCAGTCCATAGCACCCTGCTTCACTCATTTGTTCATCTCTGATGGGTAGGGAGGAGCTTCTCACTGTCATCAGCCTAGCAAGGCTGATGTCACCTTGATCCAGCCACAGTTACTCTTGTATTTAAGTTTTTGACCCTTTGTTTAGTGTTTAAATCTGAGAGTCAACCTGCTAGATTCCTCATCTGTAATTAGTAGAGCAAGCCTCAGTCCTCCACATGGTATAGATAATGTTCACTGCTCTTCTATGTCTTTCCCTCCCTCCCTACAGGATCATGGCTGTCCCGAGAGTGCATGTGTAGTGCCATCCTGCTTCTCAGCGTTCTTACCACCAAAATTGATGCACAAATTATTGGACAAAATGAGCTCGGGATCTGAGGGAAAGACTGCAGAGAACATGAATACCTACAGTCAAACCTTGTTCTTTTCTGGAACAAACTGTTATGACTTGGATGAGCCTGATTCCAGGTCATGCTGCAGCTGGAGCTGTGCATCAAACTTTTAGTTCTGCTCAGATCTCTCTCTGCATCTCTCTATTTTGGGGTTAGTTCAGGTGTGTGTGTGTGTGTACACTTGCACACTGTGTGCAGGGGCACAGATGTGAGTTTCAAGAAAAGGTGGCTGTGAAGGCTGCTTCTTTCATGTTATTATCTTGTCCTTGTCCAGGCCACCACCGATATTAGGACTTAAGTCCAACTCTTATCACTTCTTTATTACAGAGAAGAAATGAACGGCCACTGGCCCATATCCTTTAAGTGCACAGCACATGAGACGTCCTTTCCTTGCCCAGGCAGTGACTTCAGGAAGCCATAGCAGTAAGGCAGGTACAAGGACCCTGTTGTCCTTCTGAAAATTATGAGACTGTCCGGGTTTCAGGTTCTAACATTTTAGTACTTAGGTCATCCACTTTGGAGGCTGGTTAAATAATCTTAGTTAACAGAGGGAAAATGACTTCAAAGTAAGTTGATCATGGATGCTACATATATTTTCTTTCTTTCTTTTTTTTTTTTTGAGACAGAGTCTTGTTCTGTTGCCCAGGCTGGAGTGCAGTGGTGTGATCTCAGCTCACTGCAACCTCTGCCTCCCAGGTTCAAGTGATTCTCCTGCCTCAGCCTCCAGAGTAGCTGGGACTACAGGCAGATGCCACCACGCCCCGCTAATTTTTGTATTTTTAGTAGAGACGGGGTTTCACCATGTTGGCCAGGCTGGTCTCGAACTCCTGACCTCAAGTGATCCACCTGCCTTGGCCTCCCAAAGTGTTGGGAATACAAGCATGAGCCACCGCACCTGGCCAGGATGCTACATATTTTTTTTTTTTTTCGAGACAAAGTCTCGCTCTTGTCCCCCAGGCTGGAGTGCAATGGTATGGATCTCAGCTCACTACAACCTCTGCCTCTTGGGTTCAAGCAATTCTCTTGCCTCAGCCTCCCAAGTAGCTGGGATTACAGGTGCCTGCCACCATGCCTGGCTAATTTTTGTATTTGTAGTAGAGATGGGGTTTCACCATGTTGACCAGGCTGGTCTCGAACTCCTGACCTCAGATGATCCGCCCACCTCAGCCTCCCAAAGTGCTGGGGATTACAGGTGTGAGCCACCGCACCTGGCCGATGCTACATATATTTTCTAATGATATTATGTGTCATTGTTTGATCATTCTGCTGGTTTTAATTTTTTAGATGGAGTCAAAATGTGAAACTTGTGCTCAACATTTGCTGAGGTTATTTAAGCCTTTACCTTTGTAGAAATAAAGTTTTCCAAAATAGGAAATTTCAATGCTATTTGAATGTCATTGAGGGGAAGGGAAGAGAGTGAGATTCTGGAGCATGCATGGAGGGATAAGCGCTTGCTGAACCACCACTACACATGAGAGTGGGACTCAGATGGCATCAGGTGTCTCTTGACACCTTGAGTTCTGCTGAGTCTGTACATGGGCAAAATTGACAAGCCTTTAACTAGACTGACCAAGAAAATAAAAAGAGTGAAGACTGAAATGACTCCAATCAGGGGTATTATTACTGACCTTAGAGAAATAAAAAGGATTATGCCAACACGCTAGATAACAAAGACAAGTTCCTAGAAAGACACAAACTAAAAAACTAACTCAAGAAGAAACAGAAAATCTGAATAGAACTACAAAAAGAAAAGAGATCAAATTAGTAATTAAAAAAAAAAACTAACCACAAAGAAAAGCTCAGGCCCAAATGCTTTGCTGCTGAACTCTACCAAACATTTACAGAATTCACACCAACTTTTTTTTTTTTTTTTGATACGGAGTCTCGCTCCTTCGCCCCCGGCTGGAGTGCAGTGGCGAGATCTCGGCTCATTGGAAGCTCTGCCTCCCCGGTTCATGCCATTCTCCTGCCTCAGCCTCCCGAGTAGCTGGGACTACAGGCGCCCGCCACCACACCCGGCTAATTTTTTTTGTATTTTCAGTAGAGAAGGGGTTTCACCGTGTTAGCCAGGATGGTCTGATCTCCTGACCTCGTGATCCACCCGCCTCGGCCTCCCAAAGTGCTGGGATTACAGGTGTGAGCTACCACGCCCAGCCCAACAAATCCATTTATAAAATATTAATAGTTGGTTTCTCAATACCATTGCACACTTAAAAAACAAAAATAAAATGCGCATTTCTTACAGCCTTGGAGAGGGTCCATTATTCTTGTGTTTACATATTTTTAAAACAGCATAAATGGATTTATTCTACGTGTAATGCTCCATGGCTTGGTTTTTTTTTTTTTTTTCTTTGAGACTGAGTCTCGCTCTGTCGCCAGGCTGGAGTGCAGATGCACGGTCTTGCCTCACTGTAACCTCCGCCTCCTGGGTTCAAGTGATTCTTGTGTCTCAGCCTCCCGAGTAGCTGGGATTATAGGCACAGGCCACCACACCAGCTAATTTTTGTATTTTTAGTAGAGACAGGGTTTCATCATGTTGGCCAGGCTGGTCTCAAACTCCTACCTTGCGATCTGCCCCCCTTGGCCTCCCAAAGTGCTAGGATTACAGGTGTGAGCCACTGTGCCCGCACCCCCGCCTCCTTTTTTTTTTTTTTTGAATCTAACAATGTGTTTTATCAGCCTTTCCCTGGCAGTATATGTGGGTCCACCCCATGCTTTAAGTGGCTGCATGTTAGTCACTTTGACTCCTGCACACAGTTGGTCCAACATTCAGGTCAATTTTTAGTTTTCGTCATTACTGATGATGCTGCAAAGAATAAATTTGTATGAACCTCTTTGTGCACATGTGTGAATATTTCTAGAGGAGAGATCCTGTGTGTAAAATTTTGTATCTCATTAAGATTCAATCTTTATCTCCATAATGACTGATGATATTGTGCTCGTTTTCAGATATTTATCACCCATTTGCATCTCTTCTGGGAATTACTTTTTTGAGGGGGGAAGTATCTTTTCTTCCCTTTTTTTTTTTTTTTTTTTTTTTTGAGACAGAGTCTCGCTCTGTCACCCAGGCTGGAGTGCAGTGGTGGTGCGATCTCGGCTCACTGTAACCTCTACTTTCCGGGTTCAAGAGATTCTCTTCCCTCAGCCTCCCAAGTAGCTGGGATTGCAGGCTCCTGTCACCATGCCCAGCTAATTGGCCCTGTGTAACTATTTTGGAAATCTTTATTTCTACAAAGGTAAAGACTTAAATAACCTCAGCAAATGTTGAACACAAGTTTCACATTTTGACTCCAACACACACCTGTAATTAGTTTTTTTAAAAAACAAATTACAAATTTAAATTTTCAGCTTTATTTAAATAATTTTGTTTCTTTTTTTTTTTTTTTTTTGAGACGGAGTTTCACTCATCGCCCAGGCTGGAATTCAGTGGCGCCATCTCGGCTCACTGCAGCCTCCACCTCCCAGGTACAATTCTCCTGTCTCAGTCTCCCAAGTAGCTGGGATTACAGGCGTGCACCATCACACCTGGCTAATTTTTGTATTTTTAGTAGAGACAGGGTTTCACCATGTTGGCCAGGCTGATCTCAAACTCCTGACCTCAAGTGACCCATCCATTGTGGCCTCCCAAAGTGCTGGAATTATAAGCATGAGCCACCATGCCCGGCCCCCTGTTGGTTTTATAGAAACTGTTGATAAATGTTGGCTATTAATCCATTGGTTTTTACGTGCGTTGAAAACAGTTTCTCCCAGCCTGTCACTTTTCACACTGCTTATATTCTATTTCATCATTCAAAAGTTCTAGTCGTCCACACATAGTAAGCCTTTTCTCTTCCATTCTAGTACTCTTCCTTTTCTTTGTAGCATTGGTTTGAACCTCAGCTTTGTTAGACAGAGTGTTGGTGGTGAACGTCTTGTCTTTTTTGTTTGTTTGTTTTGAGATGGAGTCTGGCTCTGTCGCCCAGGCTGGAGTTCAGTGGCATGATCTTGACTCACTGCAACCTACGCCTCCAGGGTTCAAGCAATTCTCCTGCCTCGGACTCCCAAGTAGGTGGGATTACAGGCACCAGCCACCACACCTGGCTACTTTTTGTAATTTTAGTAGAGATGTAGTTTCACCATGTTGGCCAGGTTGGTCTAGAATTTGTTACCTTGTGATCTGCCCGCCTTGGCCTCCCAAAGTGCTGGGATTACAGACCTGAGGCCCAGCCAGCCAGGCCCGAATGTCTTGTCTTGTTCCTGCTTGAACAAGAAGATGTTGTTAGTGGTTGTGTTTGCTGAAACCCTCCATCAAAGGTTGACTCTCACTTAAGGAAGTTTCTGCTCTTGCACGGTTAGTTTCATAATGGTTTTGATTAGGCACAGATGACTTTTTATCCATGTCCTTCATGGAGTGACCTGCATTGGGTGTGTCACATGCATCACAGGCCAGTAAAAATGCAGTTGGCTGCCAAGGAATTGGTTGCTTCATGCCTTTGGCCTCTGTGTGGGCTTTTTCGCAGGGGGACTCCTGCACTCTCACACCCCACTTTCCACCCATGAGGTGGAGGCAACCCTAGGCGGGATCTCTTCTGCCTGGAAACCCAGATTGCCACCCCTCAGTTGCTCCTGTGGAATCCTGGGGTTGCTGCCTGCGCTACCTGGCCTTTCCTTTCCATCCAGGAGCTCATAGTCCTCATTTGCCAGGCCGTCTGGCCTGGGTGAATGGAAGCCCTCTGGCCTCCAGCAAAAACTTTCTAGCTAGAGGATGGGATGGGCCACACTCAGACCATAGGGACTGAGGTGGGGTATAGGGGTCTTTCCAAGGACACTGCTGTGTAGGGCAGGCAACCACACAGGCATTCATGATAGTCTCCTTCCTATTGACAACCATGTTGACAACCTAGGCTCCTGGTCTCCCAGGCCCATAGAGTACTTCTCCTCCCCTCCTGCAGAGCATCCCCTTTCTGTTATTTCTGCAAGTCCCCAGAGAGGCACCTTACATATGCTCACAAGCATGTCTATGATCCCAGCCCCACTGCTCCTTAGAGAATGTCCCAGTGTGTGTTGAGGCTGCCTGCCCTATTCTTCCATGGCTCTCGGGGCCCAACAGCCCTGGGTCTGTCGAGCAGTGTGTGGAATGGGCCCTCCTGCCTGTGCGGTCCTCCCTCGAGAGCAGGGAGCATCATGCAGCTGTGTGAATCACAGCTGAGGAAATCAAAAGGGCAAGGCAAGAGTGTAAAGCTTTGCCACCATTGTTTTTTTTTTTTTCCCTACTACAAACCCTGGGACTACATTGGCTGTGTTTTCTATAATCTTAGTGGGTGAGAGATGTAACATGAAGAGTTGAGGAATGACATCTTTGGCGTTGCACTAGAATGGTAGATGCCACTATTGGCCTTTTTCTTTTTCTTTTTTTTTTTTTTTTGAGACAGAGTCTCGCTCTGTCGCCCAGGCTGGAGTGCAGTGGTGCGATCTTGGCTCACTGCAAGCTCCACTTCCCGGGTTCACGCCATTCTCCTGTCTCAGCCTCCGGAGTAGCTGAGACTACAGGCACCCACCACCATGCTTGGCTAATTTTTTTGTATTTTTAGTAGAGGTGGGGCTCTTCTCGATCTCCTGACCTTGTGATCCACCCACCTTGGCCTCCCAAAGTGCTGGGATTAGAAGCATGAGCCATCATGCCAGGCTAATTGGCTTTTTTATTTTATTTTATTTTTTTAGGCAGGGTCTCGGTTTGTTGCCCAGGCTGGAATGCAGTGGTGCAAGCACAGCTCACTGCAGCCTTGACCTTCCAGGGTCAAGCCATCCTCCTGCCTCAGCCTCCCGAGTAGCTGGGACTACAGGAGCACGACATCATGCCTGGCTAATTTTTGTAATTTTTGTAGAGACAGGGTTTCACCATGTTGGCCAGGCTGGTCTTGAACTCCTGGGCTCAAGTGATCTTCCCCACTTGGCCTCCCAAAGTGCTGGGGTTACAGGCGTGAGCTACCATGCCTGGCCAGCACTGGCTTTTGATGTTAGGAGCTTTCACAGCCCTTACCTCCAACACCTTGTTTGACACCAGAATTTTCTTGTCTTTATTAATATGAGGAGGGGAAGGGAGGTAGTCACAGAGTAATTTGAAGTAGTTAAAAAAACTGTTTGGCATTGTATTAATCTGGGTTCTCCAGAGAAACAGAACTTAACAACTTGTAGGTTATAACAAATGAAATGAACTTGTGCAGATATGTCTGGACTAAACAGTAAGACTTCGTCGAATGTATGAGCGAGTAAGAAGTGAGATTGTGTGCACTGTTGGGAAGTATTAATATAAGAAATGTCACTTCTCCCTGATTAATTAGTACAATACCAATCAAATATCAACTGACTTTTGTTAAAGCCTGAGATGTTGATCCCAAGATTCTCTTGGAAACTCTAACAGCTATAAACAGTAAAAACCCAATCTGGAGAGGAAGTACCAAGAGAGAGTGTTATTCCTACCAGATAGCAAGTCCCTTTATACAATTATGTAATTAAGAGACAGAAATAAGAAATAGCTCAATTAAGCAGAGGAGAAAAAGCCCAGAGATAGACTCACATGTGTATAGAAACTAGATCCAAGGCAGAGGGATCTTTGGGAACTCCTGGGGAAGAATGGACTCTTCCATATGAGGCGCCAGGAGGAGAGGTTATGCAGACAGGAAATGAATGAGATTCCCTGTCATACTCAAAAACCAGTTCCAGATAAATGCAGGCCTACATGTGAAAAGCAAAACTCTAAAACTTTGAGAGAAAAAATATAGCAGACTCTTCTGGGTTGATTTGTGTCCCTCCAAGAAGATCTCCTGAAGTCCTAACTCCCAGTATCTCAGAATGGGACCTTATTGGGGAATAGGGTCTTTACAGAGAAAACCAAGTTAAGATGAGGTCATTAGGGTGGGCCCTAATCCAATATGGACTGGTGTCCTTATGAAATGAGGAAATCTGGACGCAGACCCGACAGAGGGAAGACAGTGTGAAGACGTACAGGGAGCCTCTATGCCCATGGTAGTGAGAGCATCTGAGTACACATGGGGATGATGGAAATGCTTTCCTCTGGGGAGGAAGGGTGGCGCATGGGCTTCAAAGTGATCCGTGAAGTTATGTTCATTAGAAAAGGAAGTAAAGGCTGGGTGCTGTGGCTTACGCCTGTAATCCCAGCATTTTGGGAGGCTGAGGCAGGTGGATTGCTTGAGCCCAGGAGGTTGAGACCAGCTTGGGCAACATGGCAAATCTCTGTTTCTATGAAAAGTACAAAATGAGTTGGGTGTGGTGACGAGCACCTGTAGTCCCAGCTACTCAGGAGGCTGAGGTGGGAGGAACACTTGAGCCTGGGAGGCTGAGGCTGCAGAGAGCCAAGATCATGCCACTGCACTCCAGCCTGGGTGACAGACCTTATTTCAAAAAAAGAGAAGAAAATGTGACAAAATAATATTTATCTTATTATCCATGTTCTTTGTGCTTGAAATAGCTCAGTAAACAAGTACCTAGAACATCTTGTTGAGTGCTCAGCCGGCGAACGACCACGAGGATGTGGGGGTGGGGTGGGAGGTCTCACTTCTTTTTTTCCTTTTTTTTTTGAGACGGGGTCTCACTCTCACTCAGGCTGGAGTGCTGTGGCGCAATCGTGACTCACTGCAGCCTCGAAATCCTGGACTCAGGTGATCCTCCCACTTCCGCCTCCTGACTCGCTGGGACTACAGCCATGTCACTGTGCCTGGCTAATTTTTTTTTAAAAAGTTCTTTTTTGGAGATAAGGCTGGTCTCAAACTCCTTGGCCTCAAATGATCCTCCCACTTTGGCCTCCTGAAGTGCTGGGATTACAGGTGTGAGCCACTGCTCCCAGCTCAGGTTTCACCTTCTAATAGGAGGCCAGGCCGGCTTTGGTGGAGATGAGAAGGGAGGCCCAGGAGGAGAGGGAGCAGTCAGGATGGTGAGAGGGGTCAGAGCCCGTGGGCCAGTCAGTGAAGACACTGTTTTCCCCCTGAGGGACATGGGCAGCCACTTCGGGGTCTTGAGCTGAGAAGGGATATGTATGGACACACATTTAGCACTGTCCCACTGGCTGCAGCATTGAGGGGCGAGAAAGGGCCCTGGAGGACTGCAGGGTCAGTGCGTGGAGGAGGGAGAGGTGCTGGGGCATGGGGAGCGAGAGACGCTCAGACAAGTGCCTCTTGCATTTCAGACATTGGCCCGCCTGTGCCTTACACCTTTCTGTCTGGCGTGGGGTTTCATCTCCTTGAAGGCTAGGATCCCTAGGATGGTATAAACAGAACAGGGCTCTGGAACACCAGAGGGCTCAGGAAACTCACAAGTGACTTTTCCTTATGCTGTGACAAAAAGGTTCTCTGCAGCATTTTGAGCTTAAGATGAATTTGTACAGCACTTGGATTTTACTTTTGACTGCTTTGTGAAAGGGTCCCTGTCAACGTCATGCAGCTGTAGGATGAACTTGCTGCTGGAGCACTTCCCTGGAGGCCTGGCCTCCAGCCCCAGCCCCTCCCCACCTGCACAGTGCTGATGTTGCCTGGGGAGCCCTCAAGTCTCCCCAGATACTGTGTATTTTAATAAAAATATTAGCGTATTTTTTAGAACTCATAAACACCATGTTGGTCTCTTTTTTTACATTTTTAATGGGAGTCACAAGAAATCTGGCTTAAAAATAAGGTGAAACAAGGTGATATTTGACACAGAAATAGCAGTGCCTGTAGATGCCGAGACCCTCTCAGACGCTGGACATTGAAGGTAAACGTGCTGAGGTCTGCGTGAGTTGTTATTTGTGAAGTGCTGGACATGAGCACTGGCCTTCTGAAATGTCATCTGCTAAACCAAGAACAGAACAGGCCTTTCTCCCGGGAAGTTTTTATAAGCTGAAGACCCACGGCAGGACAGAGTTCACTACACAACATGGAGAACGCACAGGCGAGACTGTCTGGTGGGTGGTCTCCGCGCAGGATTAGGGGAGCCCATGCTTCCCAGTACCGAGAGTTAGACATGGAGTGGATGCAACTTTGAAAAATCTTTTTCATTTCCCCAGTTTAGTCACTAGGAGGAGCATGCACATAGCAAGTCCGTGTTGCTTTGCAAATCCTGATGAATTTCCGGAATTACACTTTTAAGATTAAGTTGAATAAGTTCTGAGCGCGATTCCCCATCCATGGGTGACTGTTTTGTTTGGAAACAGTTTCATTTGCTGTAAGAACTAAATGAGATTATGATAAAGAGGGTGCAGAAACCATAGAGAAGCCTCTAAGTTTTGCACTTGCTCCACGGGCCAGCCCTACTTTAGTGATGGAATTGACTGAAAGTCAATTATAATTTGGGTCAGTGTCAGGTGCTTTACACATCTGTTCCCTATACCCAGGAAATCTGTGCAACTTCTCCTGGGCATGTTTGGAACTGAGAGAAAGAAATGTAGGTGTGTCGGGTTTCAAAATACTCTATGTAGGAAGCATGCCTTGTTTTGATCAGTCACTTTCCTAGTTCTTATAAATATCTGGGGGGGGGATTGTTTTCTCTCAACTGAGTTTTATCAAAGCTGGAAGTGATTTTTTTTCTGTGCGCAGCTTATGGAGTTATCATAAGGTTGAAATGTTTTGAAAATGTGGAAGATAAAAGTGATTTTTTAAGGTGGTGGGATCGTAAGTGTACTACAAGTTACTTTCATTAATGTTGGAATGGTTTTATTAGGGCAATACTAACAATACTAATGGCTTGAGAGATTTTTTTTTTCTTCAATTTTAAAATCAAGTGCTTTTTCTTGGCTGTGTCAGGTAGGGATGAATTTGTACAGCACGTGGATTTTACTTTTGGTTGTGTGTTATGAGAGGGTTCGCATCACTGTCGTGCAGCTGCAGGATGAACTGGTTGCTGGAGAAATTTCTCCTGGAGGCAGGGCCATACAGCCTCCTCTCCCGGGTGTGCCCTGGGGAGAATCATCCCCCCACCCGCTTCTCCACATCGCCTGTAACATTTGTATTTAATAAGTAGCAAAAATATATCTAAACACAAGAATATCACTTTCATTGCATGGGGAACCTGCAGCTTTTTCTTTTCTTTCATTTTTTTTCTTTTTTTTTGAGACAGGGTCTCGCTCTGTCACCCATGCTGTAGTGCAGTGGCACAAACACAGCTCATTGCCACCTTGACTCTCAGGCTCAAGCAATCTTTCCACCTCAGCCTCCCAAGTAGCTGGGACTACGGGAGTGCACCACCGCACCTGGCTAATTTTTGTATTTTTTGGTGGAGACTGGGTTTCACCATATTGCCCAGGCTGTTCTCCTAGGCACAAGATCTGCCTGCCTTGGCCTCCCAAAGTGCTGGGATTACAGGTGTGAGCTACTGTGCCAGGCCCTATTTGTTTTTTAATATGAGGTTGTGTTGTATTGCAATTGTAATCAATAGAGTAGATATAATTTTGAACTACGTATTTAAACATGTTTTCAAGTCTTGTATGACATTGCATTAACTTACAGATTCATTTTTGATATTCACGATATGGTTTTAAAGTATCTTATATCTGCTTTCAAAAATCAAACTCATTATTTTCCAAATTACCATGAAAATAGTAACACTGTGTACGTGCTGGGTGACAGGTATTATTTTCTGTTGAAGTGAGTGCTCCTTTGAAATATGTTACTGTGTCTGACAAACTCAGACATTTTAAAGTTCTTCATCCTCTGCAGTCATCCAGATTTTCCCAAAGGCTTTTACTAAAATGTTTCCATTCCCAGTGGCTAAGTATGTGTGGGAAGGGGAAGAGCAGAGAATCTTTTATATCAGATGAGTGGTTTTTAAGAATGTTTTATTCTTGAAAGTAATAGCTTTTCTTCATGACAGTAGGCCTGACCCCACGACAGGAAACTTTTCTATCTCAGAGCAGGATAGAACCCTGTTGCCTGGGACGGGGAATTCAGCCTGGTTTGCTCCATTTGCCTGCACTGGCCTAGAGAAGGAAATGGGGTATTCAAATCAGTGTTTCACAGCAAACGGGAGTGGGGGGCTTTCTTCCACCTGGAGGAAGGGGTGGTAGAGACAGACTCTGTAGAACAGCTCCCCCGTTCCCCCCAACCTGGGCAGAAGCAGAGAAGGTGGCGAGTCCTTTGCAAAGTGAGTTCAGGCTGTGATTTGACTGTTTGCTGTCATTTCTTGGGAACCTGGCCGCAGCCACCAGCCCTTTGGGAGCCCCTTTCTCCCCCTAGGCCCTGGGCTGGGGTGGAGGCTCTCCCAACTGCAGCATAAGTGGAATGGAATAAAGGCGAATCTTCTTCTGAAGTTAAGTGTTGAATTTTCAGGTGGAGATCACTGAGGCTGTTCAAGGCAAAAGTCCTGTTCACAGAAAGTCTCGTTCACATGTCAGAGGCAGGCAGCAGCAACCAAGTAGGTGCCTAGATCCTGTTTATTCACTGGGGGGCCTTGACTTGATCAGAAGCGTTTTAGAGACCACAAACAATGCTCTCAGCTCTTAGGTGAGGAAAGAAGTTTCTGTGATGAGCAGATAACATGTTTTACATTACTCGTTCCCTGTAGTGAAATGTCATCTGTGATACAAAGGTTATGTTTTTCTTAAGGTGGTTTCTTTTGTCATTAAATGAAGCTATGTGCCCCTGCCGTGATCTCTCTGCTCCCAAGGCCTGCTCGGCTGCATCTGTCTTGAGCAAAATCTTTGCTTCCATAAATACTCCTTCCATTCTGTTGCCTCTCATCTCTAAGACCTCTGCATCCCATAATCTGATTTTCCATCTACTGATGCATTATGATCACTCAGATGTTCACTGTGAACCCCAGCAGTCTAGAAGAGAGACAGCTTTTTTAGAAGAGTAAGATATTAAAAAGTCGAATTCTCAAAGAGCAAGTGCGTTCCAGACCCAGAGTGTCCTGAGAGAGTTTCCGGTCTGTGGGTTTGGTCCCCAGAGCCACAGGTGCTGCTGGGAAGTGCCTGCAGACCCCTGGCAGTCCCATTTTAGCCACAGTGGTCTGCCCTAGATCTCGACTGTGCAACAATCAGTAGCCGTGTTAGAGGAGTCTTGGTGCATCTATAAATGCCAAGTTTTAGTCCCCAGGAAGTGGGTTCTTGTGATCTGGGCCCCTCCTTGACCAAGTCCAATCCAAACTGGAGGGCTTCGGAAGATGCCTTGAGTGTTTACCTAGATTTTGAGGCATCTGTTTCTTGTTGCAGTGAATATTCCTTTGAAATATTTTCCCTTGTCTGACAAATTCATCCCTTTGGTCCATTGCTGGTGGCAGGCTTGGTGGCCTGCCATGGCTTCTGCTGCCTGGCATGGTAGCTGAGGGGGCTCCGGCTGTGAAACCACGAGCCTGAGGTCCAGTTTTTGCTGGATGGAATTGTGGAGAGCTGAGGCCCCTTCTCTTCTTAAGCCATTCAGATTTATGGACTGTGGCCCCAAGAGAAGGAGAGGAGGAGATTTAGGCTGCTATGTGGATAATGGAGCCAACCCCCAAGACACTCGTTAGCTTAGATTACTTGGGCGATTTATTTGGGGTCTGGGCATCTGGTCTGAGGTGGGGGCTCCTGGAGACACACTCAGCCCTGCCCTTCTGGCAGAAATGGCCCGAGCCCTCCCCAGCTGAACATACCATGTGCTGCAGATGAGCGAGCTCAGATTTGCAAAGGGTTCTAACACTCCCTGGTGAAAGGCACCGCATGAGTCTGGACATTCAAATGCTTGTTTTACCAAACAGCTCCAGAGACACAAGACAGAGGTGCCATGAACAAGCTTAGGGTCCAGGGCCCCTCTGAGTCCAAGATCCAGCTGCCCCAGTCACCAGAAGTGACTATCAGACTCCGGGAACACCAGGCCTTACCTGTTTTGTGGCATTCATCAAGCATGCTTACATTAAATAAATGCATATAGAAAGCTGGAAGGGGGAGAATAATTTGTTGTTTTCAGTTTTGCTCTATTGAGTCTAAGGTTACTAGAGGAATTCTCTGCCCTGCCTGGCGCTGGGCACCTTCAGTTCTCTTAAAGAACGAGTTGAAACAAAACCAGGTGCTTAGAAGTAGATTGAGTTTATTTTGTTGGTTTAAGCAATTGGCTGATTTTAGCATTCGGATGCTCTCATTTCAATGTTTTTTTTTTTTTAACAAAGCTTCAAGGTGCTTCCTTCAAATGAAATCAGGGACTGCTTCTCTGCTTTGTTGAAGTCAATAGATAAAGTTTATCATGCTATTTTCACTAAAGAGTAGCTGTTGGATTTAACCTTGGTTCATGTTCATGACAGCTTTTGTTGTTTTTAAATTTTTTTTTTTTTTTTTTTTTGAGACAGAGTCTTGCTCTGTCGCCCAGGCTGAAGTGCAGTGGTGCGATTTCAGCTCACTGCAACCTCAACCTCCTGGGTTCAAGCGATTCTCCTGCCTCATATCTGAAGAGCTGGGACCACAGGCACATGCCACCATGCCCCACCAATTTTTGTGTTTTTAATAGAGGCGGGGTTTCACCATGTTGGCTAGGCTAGTCTCGAACTCCTAACCTCAGGTGATACGCCCATCTTGGCCTCCCGAAGTGCTGGGATTACAGGCGTGAGCTGCCACGCTCAAATCAAATGCTTGTCATTTCTTTACCCTGGAAACATTGGGACTGTTCTAGCTATTTTGAAAGACAAAGTGGGTTACTGTTCGCCATGGTCACCCTACTGATGGGCTTTGGGCTCAGGCACCCCCTGTGGTGCTGGCCCGGCTGCCGTGCTGAGCAGGAGGGCTGTGCTGCACTCATTTTCAGTGTCCCTGGTGCCTGACCAGGGCCAACTTGAGGAGCACATGTACTATGTCAGATGAGCTCTGTGTGCATTTCATTCTTTGTGTGTGGAGCTGGTGCCATCCACCCCCAGCAGTAAACACAGTCTGGCTCTTCCTTGCAGGGCAGCTACGCTTCTGTATCCCCCCGACCCTGCCCGCTTCTCACTGGTTGGCGGAGACTCAGGCTGAGGCCTCTGTGATGAGGTGACCCTCAGAAGGGAGGGTTTGCCCACTGAGGTCTGCGCTCCCACGAGTAGCCAGGGGCTCCTCCTCCTCTGTGTGCAGGTGTCCCTTTTGTTCTCTGAACTTTGCTGGAATCCAGGGCTGATGGAGAACAACCTGGTCTGGGCATCCACAGAACAAGGTCTGAGTCAGGTGGCGTGGGGTAGGGCTGTGAGATGACCAGGGCCAGAGAGAAAGGGCGCCGCCTCCTGTTCAGCCTCCCTCTGGAATTGGTTGGGAGGGAGAGAGATCCCTACCCTTTTATCAAATAACTTTTCTCCCCCCATTTCCTAGTGATCAACAGAAGGGAGTGCCTGTTCTCATAAAGGAAGAAAGGCCCCTGTGCTCTGCGAAAGGAAGCCCATTCCATGTGAGCATAGATACATCTGGATGGAGCTGGGGTTGTATCTTTCCCCTGTTCTCCTCAAAACCTATTCTCTGGTGGAGAACTTATCACTCACACACGTGTGCATGGTAGACTTTCCTCTGCTCACCCATTTAGCATCTCTGGCAGGTCGTTGCTATTTCTCTCAATATGAACATTAATAAAGCGCAGAGGAAGCATATTCATGTGTTTCTGAAGACAGTCTTGAAGGAAAATAGGCAGGGTTCGGGAAGCTGTATGTTTCTGGCGGCACAGAACCTTATTTCCTTGGTTAGGGAAGAGCACATGATTGATAAGGGTGAATCAGGCATGCAAAGAGCTGCGCAGCTGGCTGACTGCTTCCTGCCTGGGCCCTGCTGAGAGTCGAGGGTCCATTCTAGAATCAAAGTGGGACCTGGGGGGGCACAGGTGCTGGACTGGGAGGCCTGAGGCATGAGCCATGCCAGCAGCTTGGGCATGTTCTGCATTTTGTCACTTTCTTCCTTCATCCATGTTTTGGGTCCAGAGCACAACCTCCTCTCCTAGTGCCTGTCTCTTGGCAAGGTGCTGACATCCGCAGGGAGAGAGACGGAGCATGGCCCCAGGTGTATGTTGTCCCTAGAGTTCATGAGCACTGACGTGGCCCCACTGCATCCATGCTAGAAATCTGCTGGCTTTGAAATGCACCTCTGTTCTGATTATGTGCTCCACTTGGCTCGTCATTTCTTTGTTTTATACATTTGAATGATACTCATTCTTTGGAAAATAAGAGCTGTTTCTGGTAAGTTCAGAATCTCCCCTTGTATGGTTTATTTATTTATGATTTTTTGAGATGGAGTCTTGGTCTGTCGCCCAGGCTGGAGTGCAGTGATGTGATCTTGGCTCACTGCAACCTCTGCCTCCGGGTTCAAGCGATTCTCCTACCTCAGCCTCCCGAGTAGCTGGGACTATGGGTGTGTGCCACCATGCCTGGCTAACATTTTTTTGTATTTTTAGTAGAGACGTGGTTTCGCCATGTTGGCCAGGCTGGTCTCAAACTCCTGACCTCAGATGATCCACTGGCCTTGGCCTCCCAAAGTGCTAGGATTATAGGTGTGAGCCACTGTGCCCAGCCCCCTTGTATAGTTTAGTAGCTTTCATGAGTATGGCAATCTGGAATATTCACTTTTTGCCCTAACAACCATTAGGAGGAAATAGTGGAAGAGGACACATGCCTTCTCTGTGGACAACCTAGACAGGGTCTGAAACAAACTCCAGGCTGAGTCTGTGGGAAGGTGCTTGGTGGGCATTCACCACTCTGTGTTCCTCTGCAGGAGCTGAGGAGAGGAGAGGCCTGGGCTGTTCTGTTGGGTGAGCTGCAAGGCCAGAGGGATAGAGTTAATCATGTTACATAATTATTGACAAGGATATGTTTTTTTCCCCCGAGAGGGCATTTATGTCTTTTATCTGAAGCCAAAATATGTCAAAACCTTTTATTACCATTTTACAAACTTGGCTATTTCCCACTGTCTCCTGCAAATACCTTTCCAGCCCTATCTTGTATTAATTTAATCTTCACCTGCTTAAGCTATTTATTGTACTTATACATAATAGTAATTCGCAATGAGGTCTTTGTGTGCAGGTATTTCTCCCGGAATGCCTGCAGCGCTCTCTTGGCCTAGGACCCGGCTGTCAGGTCCCATCCTCAGTGGCCCCCGCCCCACTGCCAGCTCTGTCCTGCACCCCCGCATGCGTGATGCATCCACACATTGTGTTTATCCAGTCATCTGTTGACTAACATTCGGGCCATTTCCACCTTTTGGCTGTTGTGAATAATGCTGTTGTAAACGTGTGCACAAGTCTTTCTCTCAGTGCCTGTTTTCACTTCTTCTGGGTATTAGAGTTGCAATTGTAAAGTAAGTTCCTTAAAGGAAGGAGTTGCGAAGTGTGCTTATTTGGATTGCCCATGGAATTAAACTCCAGTGCTCCCAGTGGCTTGCGTGGTGCACACCTTTTCCCCGCCCTTCTATCTGTCTCCACCTCAATCTCATTGCTTCACTGGCTCCTTCTTGGAAGGATCCTCTTATATTTCTGGTTACCAAGATTTGCCTTCTTATAGAAGTGATAATCTTGATTGATGTATTTTCCCTAAATGCCACACTGCTTTCCTTCTTTCTTTCTTTCTTTCTTCTTTTTTCCTTCCTTCCTTCCTTCCTTCATTCCCTCCCTCCCTCCCTCTTCCTTCTTTCTTTCTTTCTTTCTTTCTTTCTTTCTTTCTTTCTTTCTTTCTTTCTTTCTTTCTTTCTTTCCCTCTCTCTCTCTTTCTTTCTTTTTTTGGAGATGGAGTCTTGCTCTGTCACCCAGGCTGGAGTGCAGTGGTGCAATCTCGGCTCACTGCAGCCTCTGCCTCCCATGTTTAAGCGATTCTCCTGCCTCAGCCTCCTGAGTAGCTGGGATTACAGGTGTTCACCACCATGGCCCGCTAATTGTTTTGTAGTTTTAGTAGAGATGGGATTTCACTATGTTGGTCAGGCTGGTCCCTAACTCCTGACCTCAGGTCATCCACTCACCTCAGCCTCCCAAAGTGCTGGGATTACAGGCATGATCCACCACGCCTGGACCAAATGTCACACATTTCTGATCATTTTTGGGACTGTTTAATCACTATGATGTTGTCTAAGTTTAGTTGGATGTCCTTGCTTTGGCCAGGGTGTTATAACCACTCATAGATCACAGCTCCTTTCTGGCTTTTGACCCCTCCTTCCTGCTTTCTTTTGGTTACTGGACTTTATTGACCTAAATAATGAAAAAAGTGGCTCAAAAACGTAATGGATGTTTGAACACTGAAGACTTCTGCCTCAAGTCTTTGGAAGCCTCCTTGGTATCTTGTGTGGTATCAGCTTTGAGGACACGGGGTAGAAACAGATGCAGCTGTTTGTTACAAGCCTTTCCTTTTACAGATTTATGGGTGAATATATATATATATATATTTGAGATGGAGTCTCGCTCTGTCGCCAGGCTGGAGTGCAATGGCGCGATCTCGGCTCACTGCAACCTCCACCTCCAAGGTTCAAGCGATTCTCCTGCCTCAGCCTCTCGAGTAGCTGGGACTACAGGTGCATGCCACCACACCCAGCTAATTTTTGTATTTTTAGTAGAGACGGGGTTTCACCATGTTGGCCAGGATAGTCTCTGTCGCTTGACCTTGTGATTCACCCATCTCGGCGTCCCAAAGTGCTGGGATTACAGGTGTGAGCCACCCTGCCCTGCCTATGGGTGAATATTTTTAGGAGAAAAGCACTAAACCTCTCTGATGCATTTGTATAAACTGGATTTGCCTTGTTCCATTTCCCTTTTGCCAACATGATTGTTTTTTCTTTTTAGGGAGAGGTAGAGAAGAAAGAAGAAGCGCTTGTGGGCATCTGAAGTCTGATTAGGCTCCTTGGAGTTGCAAGGAAGCAGCAGCGGCCCAGGCCCCAAAGGCACAGAGAGCTCAAGGCGGAGGAGTTAGCTGGACGCTGTCAAGCTGAGAGCTTCAACTGGGGAGCTTTGAAGATTTGAACAAGACATGAAGAATGTTTTATAGCCTGTGCTTTAGAAGCGCCTATGCTGTGATTTTCCACCACACCAGAAAGGCGCCCAGTGGTTACTTTTCCAAAAGGTCAGAGGGCAAATGGACCGTTCCCCTTAATTCGGCGGGAAAATGCTGCTTGATAAGACACCATAATTCTTGTGCTCACACAGAGGCGATAAGCGGAGATCTGGCGAGGACTGCCTCTTCAGGTGGGCTTCTCTGAGATAACAGAGAAATTTTCCTGCTGTAGTGAATTTTCCTGCTGTAGCTTCTTGGCACCAGGGACATTAATGAGTCACAGGGTGTCTAGGACCCACAAGTACGGGTGATTCCAGGTGACCTCCGCGCAGTGATCCTGGTTTAGGGAGGGGACTGGCAGGACACCGGGCAGCTGAGCGCCCACAGTGGAGGAGGCGGCCCCAGCAGTGGCCAGAAACAAGTTCCCTGAGTTGAAATGGCAGGACTTGGGCTTGAGGTGAGATGGAGGTCAGGAACTAATTGCAGGGTCTCTTCACCATCCCTGGCCTTGTCATTGCCAGCCCTTCCCGATGGCACCCCCTTTCCTCCTCCTCCTTGACATCCCTGAAAATGTTCACTGGGAGCAAATGAAAAAGCTTACGGTGGATGCTGAATATGAGGGTGTCAGCAGCTGCGTCAGGATGTGGCCTGAAGGAGGAGCATTTGGGAGGAGAGGGAGAGAGGCCGTGGAGTGGAGATTCAGAATAGCCTTGCTTCCCCCTTACCCCCAACACACAGTAGGACCTGGCTGGCTAGCAGAGGAAAGCACGCTGGGCCGAGGCCAACGGCAGAATGCGGACCGTGGTGGAGGGTGGCGGCCAGGGGTTGTCCCGCTTCTCCCCCTACTGCTCCTTCCCTGCCCGCCTCTCCCAGTGATGAGCGGCCCAGTCGTGCTCCTTTACTCCCGTGCTCCCACACTTAGGAAATGATAGTGTGTGTTTGGTCCACGGGGCGGGCGTCCCCGGGGGTCGGAAGCAGCTGCCTGAGCGCGGGCCTTGGGAATGGCAGGGAGGTGGCACCCTCCTTCCCCTCCATCAGTTTCAGTGAGAATCAAGTGGTTCCCACGGAGCCTCTCGGTTTCCTTTTATTTTTGTAATTTTGAAAATATGCATAACATGCACTTAACTATGTGTGTAATGCCCGTAGACTCAATTTCCAGTTTAAGTAAAAGGCCACCATCCTGTTTGAGGTCTCTAGGTCCCTCCGGAGCCATCCCTTTCTTCTGTCCCCTCCAAGTACTGTATCCTAAATTTTGTGTTTATCCCTCCCTTGATTTTCTTCACAGTTCTTCCACACGTTTGTTATTTTAAACAACAGCTAGTTTGGTTTTTCTGATTTTTGAGTTTAAAATAAACAGAATCATACTTTATATATTATTCTGTGATTTCTAGTTTCATTCAGTTCTGTGTGTCTCTGAGATTTATCCATGTTTTTTGTGTAACTGTGATTTATCTACTTTCCCTGCCATCTGGATTTTAGTTGAAGGAGTATACCATCCTTTTGTTATGGACATTGGATTGGCGTCTGGCTTTCTGCTACTGCAGAAAGAGCCACTGTGCCCACTCTCTTCCATCTCTTCCTGCACAGACACAGCAGGTCTCCAAGGCCCTTTTTTCCCCAGAGGTTGAGTTGAGGGGTCATAGAGCACATGCCTTCTTCACATTTTCTAGATTCTGCTCGGTTGGTTTCCAAATGGTTTTTTTTTTTTTTTTTCCAAATGGGTTGTAACAATTACTTTCCACTGGGCATGTGCACAGAGTTCCACATCCTTCCCCTTCCCAAGCGCTGGTATTGTCAACGTTAAAATCTTTGCCAGTCTGCTGGGTATGAAATGGTTTCTTGTTGTGGCTGCTAATGAGCTTGTGCGTTTTCATGTACTTAGAGCCGTTTTTTATTTCTCTCTGTGAAGTGTTTTCAAGCCTTTCCCCATTTCATCTCAGAGTTGTTTACTGATACAGTTCTTTATATATATGTTATAGACAATAATCCTTTGTCAGTTACAGATGTGGCAAATATTTTCTCCCAGAGAATTTTTTTTCATTCCCTTTATAAGGTCTTTTTAGAACAGAATTTAAACATTTTAGTTTAGTAGAAATCATCAATCTTTCCCTTTATGTTTTTGCTGCGGTATTTTAAGAAATTCCTCACTGTCTTGATGTGTTCATATTTTGCCTTTTAAATTTTGTGGTTTTTGCTTTTCTCCTTTGTCTTCAATATACTAGAATTGATTTTTGTATATGGTGTGTGCTAAGAATCTAATTTCATTTTTTTCCATAGGTATAATCAATGTCCCACCACCATTTATTGAATAATCATCTTTTCTCTGCTAATCTGCAATACCAGCTTGGGCATACAGAAAACTTCCATTCGTGTGCTGGTCTAGGTCTAGCCTCCATTCTGTTCTCTTTGTCAATTTGTCTGTCTCTAAATAAGTACCACATTATCCTACTTTCTGTAGTTTCACAATGATTTTTGATATCTGTGAGTCAATTCCTTACACCTTATTCTTATTTTAGGAGTGTCTTGGCTATTCTCTGCTTTTTACTCCTATGCATTTTTCAATCAGTTTATCAAGTTTCACAAAAAAACTTGTTGGGTTTCAAATGAAATTGCATTGAATCTATAGATCCACTGGGGAAGAACTAATATCTCTATTATATTTAGTATTTTAATCCACAAACATGATGGCTTATTTCTCTGTTTAAATTCTTTAGAAAGATATTTTAATAAAGTTTTATAATTTTCCTCACAAAAATCTTATTTATCTTTTGTTAGATTTAGTGTTAGTTGTTTTGTATTTTTTTCATGTGTATCTTTTAAAGAATACATTTTCAAACTGTTTGTTACTGGGATATTTTTGCTGAGTTCTAGAGTATATGCATTCTTCACATTTTCTAGATTCTGCTCAGATTTTTAAAAACTTCTTATTTGAAATAATTATAGGTTCACAGGAAGCTGTGAAAATGTATGGGTAGATTCAGTGCTTCCCCCAGTTTCCCCCAGTGGGTACAAGTTTTGTAAACATAGCGCAGAATCAAAGCCAGGACCTGACACTGGTTCGAGGTGTGTGCGGTTCTGTTTATCATGTGGGCGGGTTAGGATAAGCAGCACCAGAGCCAGGCTGGAGCTCCTCCAGCCCCACGACAATCCCACTGTGCCACCCCTTCACCGTTCTCCTTCCACCCCGGCCCCCCATCATCACTCACCTGGGCGCTCGTCTTTTTTCCATTTCTCTAATTTTGTCATTTCAAGGACTTTATATAATGGAATCATACAGCATGTGACTTTTGATATTGACATTTTCCCCTCAGCCTAATGCCCTTGAGACACACCCAAATTGTTGCATGTGTCAAGTGTTAGTTCTTTTTTCTGCTGAGTAGGGGGCCATGGTACAAGTGCATCACAGTTTGTCTAAACATTCACCTGCCGTAGGACATTTGAGTTGTTTCTAGTTTTTGGCTATCACAAATAAGGCTACCATGAACAATTGTGTAGAATCTTTTGTGTGGGTATACATCTTCATTTTTCTGGTACGAATGCTCAGGATTGGTGGTATGATAGGTATATCTTTCTTAATTTTTTTTTTTTTTTTTGAGACAGAGTGTCACTCTTGTTGCCCAGGTTGGAGTGCAATGGCGTGATCTCTGCTCACTGCAACCTCCGCCTCCCAGGTTTAAGCGATTCTCCTGCCTCAGCCTCCCGAGTAGCTGGGATTACAGGCACATGCCACCATGCCTGGCTAATTTTGTATTTTTAGTAGAGAAAAGGTTTTACCATGTTGGCCAGGCTGGTCTCGAACTCCTGACCTTAGGTGATCTGCCTGCCTCAGCCTCCCAAAGTGCTGGGATTACAAGTGTGAGCTGCCGTGCCCAGCCAGGTATATCTTTCATTTGTGAAGAAACTGCTGATTGGTTTTCTGAGTGACTCTACCCTTTTACATTTCCACTAACAATGTATAAGAGAACCAGTTTTTATGTATCCTCACCAGTGTGTGGTATTGTCACTATTTCTAATTTTAGCTATTGTAATAGTTGTGTGGTGATTCTCATTGTGTTCTTTTCCTTTTCTTTTTTTTTTTTTTTTTTTTGAGACAGCCTCACTTTGTCACCAAGGCTGGAGTGCAGTGGCATGAACATGGCTCAGTACAGCCTCGACCTCCTGGGCTCAAGTGATTCTCCTGCCTTAGCCTCCTGAGTAGCTGGAACCACAGATGCATGCTACCACGCCTGGCTAATTTTTGTATTTTTGGTAGAGACGGGGTTTTGCCATGTTGCCCAGGCTGGTCTCAAACTCCTGAGCTCAAGCGATTCACCTGCCTTGGCCTCCCAAAGTTTTGGGATTACAGGCGTGAGCCACTGCACCCGGCCTCATTGTGTTCTTAATGTTCATTTCTCTAATAGCTAATGATGTGGAGCATCTTTTCATGTGCTTGCCATCCATATGTCCTCTTCAGTGAAATGTCTCTTTATGTGTTTGCTCAGTTTTTAATTGGATTTTCAAAAATTACTGTTGAGCTTTCAGAGTTCTTTATGTGTTCTAGATAGGAGACCTTTGTCAGGTGGACGATATGCAGATATTGTCTCCCAGTTTGTAGTTTGCCTTCTCATCCTCTTAACAGAGTCTTTTGCAGAGCAATAGATTTTACTTTTGGTGAAGTCCAATTTACTGATATGTTTTTCTTTTATGGATTGTGCTTTTGGTGTCAGATCTAAGAAATCTTCCTAAGCCCTACCTAGTTCCTGAAGATTTTCTCCATTTTTTTTATCTAAAAGTTTTGTAGTGTTATGTTTAAACCTGAGATCCATTTTGAGGTAACTTTATTTATTTATTTATTTATTTTGAGATGCAGTTTCGATCTTCTTGCCCAGGCTGGAGTGCAGTGGCATGATCTCGGCTCACTGCAACCTCCGCCTTCCGGTTTCAAGTGATTCTCCTGCCTCAGCCTCCTGAGTAACTGGGATTACAGGCACCCGCCACCATGCCTGGCTAATCTTTATATTTTTAGTAGAGATGATGTTTCACCATGTTGGCCAGGCTGGTCTCGAACTCCTGACCTCAGGTGATACACCTGCTTTGGCCTCCCAAAGTGCTGGGATTACAGGCATGAGCCATCGTGCCCATCCCATTTTAAGGTAACTTTTATATGAAGTGTGAGGTTGAGGTTGACATTCATTTTCCTAATAATTTGTGGATCTCCAATTTGTTGAAATAACCATTCTTCCTCTACTGAGTTACTATCCTTTGGCTGTACTTTTTTTTGTTTGTTTGTTTGAGACGGAGTTGTTTGAGACAGAGTCTTGCTCTGTCACCAGGCTGGAGTGCAGTGGCACGATCTCGGCTCACTGCAACCTCCACTTACCAGGTTCAAGTGATTCTTGTGCCTCAGCCTCCCTAGTAGCAGGGATTACAGGCGTGTGCCACCACATCCAGCTACTTTTTGTATTTTTAGTAGAGACAGGGTTTCACCATGTTGGCCAGGATGTTCTCAATCTCTTGACCTCGTGATCCACCTGCCTTGGCCTCCCAAAGTGTTGGGATTACAGGCGTGAGCCACTGTGCCTGGCCTTGTATGCATTTTTATGCCTTTTCTTAGGTGAACCCAGTGTAATCGTGTGGACAAGATGGAAGAAGAGTCAAGAGAGACAGGAAGCAGGAGTGGTGAGATGCATAGGTGCTGGCTTTGAAGATGACGCCCACTCTTCCCTTTTACGTAATGTTGCATGCCTGTTTGTCAGATTTTCTGGTTTTCCTCCTTATGATACCTCTCACAGTGGGAAGTTATGCATCACCACATTTTAAAACTCCGGAGCAGCTACGTGATATACCCTAGGCCAATGAAGTGTGTGCAGAGTGAATGTGAGCTGTTTCCAGGCAGATGCTTTTGCAGCTGGTATGGGGATGGCCTCTTTATTCTTGGCCATAAGACTGGATGTGCTTTGAAAGGAGATACTCTGTTGACCCCGTTCTGGAGGAAGATGACATGGAGCAGTGCTGCACTTGGCCCTGGAGAGCGTGACTGCTATAGAAAGCTGTGGAGATCGTGGGTTGTTGGTCATGACCAATACCCTCTTCCTCCTTGATACTCAGGTCACTATATTTCCACCTTGCTCATCCTGCTCCATGTGATGGAAAGCTGGTCTCTGTTGCCTGCATCTGCCAGGCTCCCTTTCCTTCTGGCTTCTGGTTGGGCTCAGCCAATGGAAGGCCCCAGTGAGACAGTGGAGAGGGGAGAAGAGAGTGCCAAGGTGTTTATCCCCTGGCTTTTCCCTGCCAGGCAGTGGGTTAGGGATGGCTATGTTCCTTTACCTGAGGTCTCAGTGAGCTGGTAAGCACCCCTCCCCTTGCCCCTCAGACATGGAGGTAATGGCCTTTTGCTGTCGCTTCATCAGGTCAAACCTGTCATCTCCCTTAACTTCACCACTTCACTAAACCCCTCAATTACTCCCTGAGTCCCTGGGCATTGTCGCAGGGCAGATGAAACAAGTGAGAATGAGCCCATTGTGCAATTGCCGCTCCTGGAGGGATCTTCAGAATGCAGTCCCTTTCAGTGGGCAGGGCAGGCGCTAGAGAGCGTTGTCTGAGGGAATTAGGGTCAACACAGCATGTTCTACTTGCTGAGGATTTGTGCTGCAGCAATCACATATTTGCAAACAAATGTTTGACCCGAATTTGCAATCACTCTCATGATGTGCTGAATCCTGAAAAAGGGTTGTTATCCCAAAATTATAGGAAAGAAAACTGCCAATTTGGGAACTTCATGACATACTACAGGCCACCTACAAGGAGGCATGCAGCCGTGTTCATAGCTGTGGTAAGCAGAGTTTCTAAAATTGCCCTCAAAGATGCCCCACTCTGCCCCCGGCAACCCTTCAGCAGGAGGAAATAGTTTTCCTTGCTTATCTCACGTTCTGTGGCACAGGCGGTAAGGAGATCAGCCTGAGTTACCTGGGCGGGGCTACTGTTATCACAGGAGCCCGTAACAGCAGGGAGCTCAAGAAAGAGCTGCGGCAGAAGTGAGAGAGATTCAAAGCATGAGGATTCCATGCACTGCTGCCGCTTCAGTAAGCTGAGAAGGTTTGCCATTTCATCATATGTGCCTCCCTGATATGGTGACCAGAAAATCTGCGCAAACAAATGTAGGGCAAATCTAGGAAGGTGGAGGCTATTGCTGGCAGCAACCTGAAGGAGATGGTGGCTGTCGTTGGTTTAAATTGGGGTATCTCTGCTGTGAACTAGGCACCTGGAGTGTATTCGCAGCCCTCAGTCTCCCAGACACGGCCATGTGGGGTTGCCACGCCATGCCACAGCATGGCGGTAACTTCTCCTGAGTCTTTAAGTTGGACTGACACTAGTCTCTCCATGAGCTCCGGTGTAAACCAAGCTCTGAGCTACTTGACTCAGTGTAATAGAGAAAGCTCCTTTATTCATGGAAAGTTGGGCCACATCACCTGCACACAGGAAGAGCCAAATTCCAATTTCAGCTGATTGTGTCACATGGTCACAATGGATAATGAGGGATCCACATTTATACTACAAAATAATTCAAAAGTGCGTGTTCCGCAGACAGTCGGTGGGTATGTTAGAATCTGGAACTTAGCATTTCTAATTTTTTTTTGGCTCAATATGGGTTTATGCTATTCGTGCGTGTGGCCGTTTAGCAATCTGTGGTCTCTCAAAGGTCTGCAATGCAGGTGCTCATTTTGAACCATTTATTCAAATTATGTGTATTGCCTGATTGGTGGTATAATTTTTTTTTTTTTTGAGACGGAATCTTGCTCTGTTGCCCAGGCTGGAGAGCAGTGGCATGATCTTGGCTCGCTGCAACCAACACTTCCCAGGTTCAAGTGATTCTCCTGCCTCAGCCTCCCAAGTGGCTGGGACTATAGGCACGCACCACCATGCCTGGCTAATTTTTGTATTTTTAGTCAAGATGGGGTTTCACCATGTTGGCCAGGCTGGTCTCGAACTCCTGACCTCATGATCCATCTGCCTCAGCCTCCCAAAGTGCTGAGATTACAGGCGTGAACCACTGCACCCAGCCTGTGGTAGAGGTTTTCAAAAGATAATATAATTAGGCCAGGCACAGGGGCTCACGCCTGTAAATCCCAGCACTTTGGGAGGCTGAGGTGGGCAGATTGCTTGAGCCCAGGAGTTCGAGACCAGCCTGGGCAACATGGCAAAATCCTATCTCTACAAAAAAAAAAAAAAAAAAAAAAAAATTAGCTGGGTGTGGTGGTGTACACCTATAGTCCCAGCAGCTACTTGGGAGGCTGAGGTGGGAGGATCGCCTGAGCCTGGGAGGTCGAGGCTGCAGTGAGATGAGATCGAGCCACTGCACTTCAGCCTGGGTGACAGAGTGAGACCCTGTCTCAAAAAATAAAAAAAAGATGGTATAATTAAAAGTTGCTTATACACACCCAGAGACCTTGGACAGCATGGACCATGCATTTGAGGAATTAAAAAAATACAATAAAAAATAAACAGAAGTATAACTGTATCAACTACTTCCATGAGGTTTGAAACAAAGTTATCTGCATAGTTAGTGAAAGACCATTTGCTCTTGTTCACTGTGAGAAGGAAGTTCTGCCAGGTGGTGGTCATGCATTAAAGGACAATTGCACAACAGAAGTGAGCTGCAGCACGCTGGTTTGATCCACTCAAATAAATCAGTTTGTGGTAATAAAGTATTTTCTTTCCTTTTGAAAAAGTCATGAAAACCGTGTTGCCTCTAGAATCTATTGTTTCACTAATCTCTCCCAACTTTCTTGACTATTCTTGGGAAGAAAAGCTTTTCCTCTTGAAATATTCCCTTTCTTACTTTAAGCCCTAACAACTTGCAAATGTCAGTGAAAGAACAAAGGCCTTTTGCAGAGAAGCTGCCATGGAGGAAAATCAATGGAGACGCAGTCATTTCATGGGGGCTTTCCTGGTGACATGCCAGCAGTCATCCAGCCCCTCCCATGTGGAGGGCACAGCCTCAGTGGCAATGCAACTGCCTCCAGCAGTGGCCTTTCCTGGTGGGGAGACAGAGATTTGAGGCTGCAAGGAAGTTGACAAAGACTGGAAACCATTGGTGGACTTTCAGTAAGACTCTGAAATATATTTTTGATCACTTTTCTATTGACCAAAATATTTTCAAATTGATGTGGCCTAAAGGCTACCACATCACATCACCTGTCCTTGGATATAGAGAAGTTGGGGCCTGGGAGAGTGTGTAATGAGTAGTAGAAAAAGGATGAACTATCTAGTAAATGCCTTTGGGAAGTTGCCTCCCCAGTGGAGGGAAAAAGAGTCCTGTCTTTCACCAAATACACAAGAAAATTCTAGAGGAAATACATTCCGAAAATGGAAAACCTAAACCTTGAAAAAGTGCTATAAGAAAATATAAGGGGATATTTTCATGACTTTGGGGTTACAAAGGGTTTACTAGGCAAGACTCAAAATCCAATAACCATAGAGTAAATGATAGACAGATTTGACCAACAAAACCAAAACAAAATAGAAACCCCAGCCACTTCTTTTTTTTAATTTTTAAATTTTTAGTAAGGATCTGTCACTTTTATATAAAGGTATAATCTACAAGAACCTATATTTAATCATTCCCCTCAAACATCTACCCAGAAATAGATAATGAAACTAGAAAAGATGCTTTGGGGGAAAACTTGATTTTGGAATTGTACCAATAGATGTGAATTCCAGGTGAGGTTTCAGTTACTCACTGGGTGATCTTGAGCAGGTAACCTCTTTTAATGCCTAAGATTTTTACTTTAAAAAAATTAGAAATAATAATACCTATGTCATAGAGATGCTATAGGTATTAATGAAATATATGTAAGAGACAACATATGCATATTGTTGGTGTAAATGTCAGTTTCCCTTCTCTTTCCCTCCTTGAACCAAACCACTTCTGATTAGTGAATGACACCATAAGCAAAGTTTAAACACAAGCTAAAGAGCCAGAGAAAATATCTGCCACACATGTAACAGAAAAAAGGCCATAGCTGTAATAGTTGAAGAGTGCACACCAGTCAATGAAAGAAGAAGATAAATGATAGAAGAGGCAGTAAAGTCAAGCCCAAGAGGGAAAAAAGAAAAAAAACCCTACTAATGACCAATCAATACTGCAAAGATGTTCATCCTCACTAAAAATGAGGGGAATGTACATACAAACATCAGTGAGATGTCATGGTTCATTGGTGAGATTGGACAACGTTCAGGAGGCTGAGACTGTATCTGAGGAGGTGGGGCCCAGGAAAAGATGCCCTCTCACCCCCCAGTGCATTCGAGTGCAGCTGTTTCGGTGCCATTTTAGCAATGGCCATCAAAATTTGGCAGGATCTGGAAAAGTTAAAAATGCACATTTTTGACCCAGTATTTCTATTTTTGGAATATGTCTTATATGAATACTTGCCTATAAACACAAAATGAATAAACAATAACATATATCTTGCATTATTACATAGTGAAAATTGGATGCAACCTTCGTGCCCATTAAGGGGGGAATAGTAAACATTTTTGGTACATATATAGATCTTGTGAAATATTATGGGGTATTACAAAACACGAGTTAGATATATAGATACATACACTTATTCTCCAATATATATTTGGTGAAATTCTTGTTTATCTCAAAAGCAGCAAGAAAAAAATCTCTATGCACAAGGGATCTAGCAGACAACAGGCACTCAAAATGTGCTTGTTGAATGAAATCTATGTAAACACATAGAAAAAGTTCTGGAAGGGCATGCAGCCAAGTGTCCTCAGCAGTTACCCAGAGGGAAGGGACAGGATTTGGGAGAGAGGGAAGAGGACTTGTACATCATGCGTTTCTGTATTGTTTGCATTTTAATTTTGTGACAGTTTTAAGGAAGTTGTGCCCTTCCAAAAGTAGGTGACTTCACTGTCATTTATACAGTAAAGATGGTCATGGTGCCAGCGATTTTAGAGCAAATGTTATTTCCCTTCCTGGTGTTTTGGAAAGAAGCCTCGGAGCTGGAAGGATGGGGAATGCTGGCTACAGCTGAACACCCAGGAAGGATGCGGTCTCCCTGAGTCATACCTACTCACTCATCTCTTCACTCCACAAACAACAACAATCTGGCTTTTGCGCCCACCGTCCCCAAAATGGTTTTGCTCAGATTACCAAAAACTTCTTGGCTACCAAGTCAAATGAGCATGTTTTAGTTCTCATATCACTTGACCACTCCTCTTTGCAATATTCTCTTAACTTTCATAAAATCATGCACTTCTGGTGTTTTCTTCATCTGGGCTACTTTTTCTCAGTCTCTTAGCAGTTTCTCTCTCCATGCTTCTCAGATGTTAGTGCTCTTTAGGGTTTGTCTCCAGGTGTCTTCTCTTCCTTTTCTAGGTTCTCTGTGGTCTTCCTGCATGACCCCCACACTCTCAAGGCTGAACTGCAATCTCCAGGCCCTGTTTCTAGGACAGACCCTTCCTCTATGCTCCAGACCTGTGTCTCTGATGGTAACTATGCATCTCTACCTGGGAATGTCCTGAGTGTCTCAAAATCAACATATTCAGAGTCAGACTAATTTCCTCCAAATGCGAATCAGCTGCCTCGCCAGGCCCTGGCTCCATGACTGGCACCACACTGTCCAAACAGAAGCCTGGATGTTGTTCTTGATGCTTCCCTTTCATTAGCTCACTGCCCTCAGTGGGAGGCCAAGCCGCCAATCCTTTACTAATGCCTCATGAACCCAATCCATTCTGTATTCTCCATCCCAAAGCCACTGTCTTTGGTTTGAGTCACATTTCTTGGCCTAGATGAGTGGAACAGTTTTCTGAATGGTCTCTCCCCTCCTGTCTGCTGTGCTGCAGTGTATAGTGCTCCTTCTCACAGTTCATCTGTGGCTGTCCATTAATCTTAGGATACAATGTAAGGTTCTTAAGGATCTGGCATTTACCTCTCATTCCCTCCTGCCTTCTCTGCTAGCCTTGCACACAGAAATACTTGCAGTCCTTCTAATGTGCTGTGTTCTCTTGCCACATTTTATTTAAAGGATATTTACTGAACACTTACTAAGTACCAGGTTGTAATCTACATGCCCCCTTGTCCCTGCCCTCGTGCGGGCATACATTCTAGCAGGGGAGGCAGAAAATAAATGTGCAGGCCAGGTGCAGTGGCTCATGCCTATAATCCCAGCACTTTAGGAAGCCGAGGCGGGCGGATTACCTGAGGTCAGGAGTTTGAGACCAGCCTGGCCAACATGGTGAAACCCTGTCTCTACCAAAAATACAAAAAGTAGCTGGCTGTGGTGGCTCTGGCCTGTAAACCCAGCTACTCGGGAGGCTGAAGCAGAAGAATCGCTTGAACCCAGGAGGCGGAGGTTGCAGTGAGCCAAGATCATGCCATTGCACTACATCCTGGGCGACAGAGTGAGATTCCATCTCAAGAAAAAAAAAAAGCATGCAGATAAATAGGACCTTGTAATGTAATGATAGATGCTGTGGCGTAAAGACGGCAATAAGACAGAAAGTGTGGCATAAAAGCGGTGTGGGAGTGTGGTCCTCTAGCTAGGAGGTCAGGGAGGTCCCTGTGACCAGGTGATGCTTGAACTAAGAGCAGTTTGGCTAAGATTCTGGACAGTGCACTCCACGCAGGAACAAGCAGTGCGAAGGCCCTGTGGCAGGAGCAGGCTTGGCGCGTGCTCCAGACAGAAAGGAGGCCAGCCATGCGGCGTGGGAGAAGGAAGCGCAACCTCATGATGCTTTTGGATGCGGGTAAAATAAACCCCAACTCAGGTTGACTTAAACTGTAGGGAAACTGGTGATCTATTGCCGACATTCTAGAAATAGGTGAGCAGGGTTTGTTTGTCTGAGACACCACCATGTCGCCAAGGCCCCAGGACTATCCGTCTCTGGCTTTGCTTTACTCTTCCGCTATTGCTTAGTTATGGGACCAGAAGCTAGGTGAACGACAGAGCCCCCACGGTCAAATTCTCCCACGGCCACATCGGGGATAAAAGGGGGACTTCTCTGCCTGGGCCTTCTCGCGAGGAAAGCCCTTCTTAGGCCCGGCGGCCTTTCCCGCAGGGCTTGCTGTGCACAGCGAGGCGGCATGTGTAGGAGGGCGAATGTGCTGGAAGCGGAGATGGGCCATGGGAAGCCTCTGAAAGTTTGAACATGTAACTCAGCTCCAGGCTGCTGAATCTCCTGTGGAATTGTAACCCCCAGTGTTGGAGGTGGGGCCTGGTGGGAGGCGTTCTGGTCATGGGGTTGGGGTGGAGGGCAGGAGAATCCCTCGGAGCTCGGTGCTGTGCTCCAGATGGTGAGGGATTTTGCCCAGATCTGGTTGTTGTAAAGTGTGACACCTCCCCCGCTTGCTCCTGCTCCCGCCATGTGGGACGCCTGCTCCCCCTTCGCCTTCCGCCAGCTATTGGAAGCTTCCCCAGGCCTCCCCAGAAGCAGATCCCCTGCTATGCCTCCTGTACAGCCTGCAGAACCGTGAGCCAGGTTTTCTTTTGAAGTACTCAGTCTCAGGTATTTCTTTATAGCAATGCAAGAGCAGCCTAATACACCCTGCCTCTAAACAAACAAACAAACAAACAAACAATAACAAAAAACAGAAACAAAAATTAGCCGGGCCCAATGCTGTGTGCCTGTGGTCCCAGCAATTCAGGAGGCTGAAGAAGGAGGATCACTTGAGCCCAGGAGGTTGAGGCTGCAGCAGGCGGTGATCAGGCCATTGCACTCACCACTGCACTCCAGCCTGGGTGGAAGAGCCAGACCCTGTCTCAAAAAAAGAAACAAAGAACAACCAAGCCCTGGGACACAAGAATCTGAAGGCCAGGAAAAGGAAGAGGGGCCAGCAAATACACGCAAGAGAAGCAAGAGAAGCAGTCAGGTGAGTGAGGAAAACCCAGTCTCCCAGGAAAGGTGCAGTCATTGGTGGTTTCAAATGCTGCTGAGAGAGCAAGTGCCCAGAAAGCAAATGATAGGTCACTGAGTTAGGAATTTGGAGGCTATGGGTGGCCTGAAAAAGCTTTTTCATGAAGAGATGAAGACAGAATTCTTACTGGAGTGTAATGAGGAGAAAGTGGGAGGTTGGAGTGCAATGAGGAGAAAGTGGGAGGTGAGGGATTAGCTACAATTTGTTGGGGTTCAATCAAGGAAGCAGCACCACTGTGCATGGAGTGGAGTGAGATCGTGGGTGCAGGGAGTGTCTTGCAAAGCTGTGGAGAGGCTTGGGAGGTGAGGGTCCACAGGAGGGAAGCTGCAGGGTGAAGAGCGGAGGGGAGGGCCCGCAGGAGGGTGGGTGGATGGAGGGTGGGGAAGGTAGGGTAGTTGGAGGGTAAGGAGAGGAGGGCCCGTGGGAGAGTGGGCAGAAAATGAGCAAGGTCTCTCACCAAGGCCACAGGGCCGGGGTGGGCTATGGAGGCGTCTAGGTGCTGTTTTCTCTGCCTCAGGAGAAATATTCCAACCAGTGACATTTCCACTTCCCCTGCCCATCCACTGGGCTGTTTTCTTTCTTTCTTCCTTTTTCTTTTCTTTCTTTTTTTTTTTTTTTGAGATGGAGTCTCGCTCTGTCACTTAGGCTGGAGTGCAATGGTGTGATCTCGGCTCACTGCAACCTCTGCCTCCCAGGTTCAAGTAATTCTTCTGCCTCAGCCTCCCGAGTAGCTGGGACTACAGGCGCATGCCTGGCTAATTTTTTTTTTGTATTTTTAGTAGTGATGGGGTTTCACCGTGTTAGCCAGGATGGTCTCCATCCCCTGACCTCGTGATCCGTCCACCTTGGCCTCCCAAGTTGCTGGGATTACAGGCGTGAGCCACCGCGCCCGGCCCTCTTTCTTCCTTTATTTTTTGAGAGGGAGTCTCACTCTGTCACCCTGGCTGGAGTGCAGTGGTGCGAGCTCGGCTCACTGCAACCTCTGCCTCCCGGGTTCAAGCGATTCTCCTGCTTCGACCTCCCGAGTAGCTGGGGCTAGCACGCCACCACACCTGGCTAATTTTTTTTGTATTTTTAGTAGGGACGGGGTTTCGCCATGTTGGCCAGGCTGGTCTGGAGCTCCTCACCTCAGGTGATCCGCCCGCCTCAGCCTCCCAAAGTGCTAGGATTACAGGCATGAGCCACTGCGCTCAACCCCATTTTCTAATCGTCCTTTAAAATTCCACTCGAGCTGTACCTCCCTGAAGCCTTTCTGGAACTTTCCTGTGCTTCCTTCTGCCTGGCTGAAGGGTCCTGTGTGTGATCTGGGTGCCCTGTGCGTCTTGCTTGGCAGCCCCCACCGCTATTGGTGCAGCTCCCGGTGATTAGAAGGCGCCCCAAATGTTTGTAGGATTGGTGCAGACCTCCCAAGCTCCTGGAGGGCGGGTACTGTACAGCTCCATTAATACGGGCCTGAACCCACTCAGATGCGGGGAGCCAGGAGGGACAGTCAGTCGCATAAGGCCGGGACCTCCGGTCATGCGTTCTCACCCACTGCTCCTTTCACTTGTGCTAAAATGACCCCTTAATGTTCATGGGTCCTACTTCCCAGGAATCAGAAATTCTGGGACTCAGCGAGCACATTCACACTTGGTTTCTGTAAATCCTTTTGCTAGTATGTTTTGGGTCCTTCATCATCTTTCTGAATTATTTTCGTGGAAAGTCCCTACCAACACTTTAATTGATGTCCTTGGCATGTTTCTTTCTTTCTTTTTTTTTTTTATTTGAGACGGAGTCTCACTCTGTCGCCCAGGCTGGAGTGCAGAGGCACGATCTCGGCTCACTGCAAGCTCTGCCTCCCTGGTTCACGCCATTCTCCTGCCTCAGCCTCCCGAGTAGCTGGGACTACAGGCGCCCGCCACCACGCCCGGCTAATTTTTTATATTTTTAGTAGAGACGGGGTTTCACCGTGTTAACCAGGAAGGTCTCGATCTCCTGACCTCGTGATCCACCCACCTCGTCCTCCCAAAGTGCTGGGATTACAGGCGTGAGCCACCGCACCCGGCCGGCATGTTTCTTCTTTGATCTGTCCTTCTCGGTGTGAAGCATCAGCACAGGTTGTGGCATCAAAACTGCCAATGTGTAATGCTCTCATGCAGCTTCGAGATTTGTGCTCTGGGTAAACTATGGAGAGACCTGTCAGAGCAGTAGCATGTAAATTAGTTATGCCTCATGTATATATTTAAACAAGGCTAATACTTCGGGAGGCCGAGGTGGGTGGATCACCTGGGGTCAGGAGTTCCAGACCAGCCTGGCCAACATGGTGAAACCCCGTCTCTACTAAAAATACCAAAAATTAGCCAGGCGTAGTGGCGGGCGCCTGTAATCCCAGCTACTCAGGAGGCTGAGACAGGAGAATCACTTGAACCCAGGAGGCGGAGGTTGCAGTGAGCCGAGATCACGCCATTGCACTCCAGCCTGGGCAACAAGAGTGAAACTCTGTCTCAAAAACAAAAAACAAACAAACAAAAAAAAACAACAACCCAGAAACCAAAACCCCGCCCCCACAAAACCAAACAAGGCTAATAAGGGCACATCCCAAAGCCCTCTAACCCTGCAGGTGGCAAGGGCACATCCTCCCTGAAGCAGGAGCAACTCTGCTTCCAGGATTCTCTGAAGACTGCCCTTTGCACCCAGAGCTTCTTGATGTCATGGAGGAAACAAAAGCTCCTTCTGTGATCCTGAGGTGCCAGTTTGGCCAGCAAAGACAAAGGGACATTTTAATAAAGTCTCCAGACATTTACTTAGCCTCAAAATTACTTCTCCAAATTTGCACATTGTGCAACATTGTAGATCTTCAAATGTATTTCTGTGACTGGGAACTGGCTCCAATATGCCTTATGTTGTAACTTTTCTTTTTGTCATGGGGAGGGAGTAGAAAAGGGATTAGTTGTCTTTTTCCCCCTTCCAGAGAACTGCCAAAATAATTTCGACTGTCCCAGATGAAGTAAGTTTTAAAATTGTGGTTCTCCTGAGGTTCATTTGGAAAAAGACGGAGCAATTCTGAGAAACCAGCAGTAGGGGCTGCCAAGACACTCATTTCCCTGGCCATGGCTTCTGTTTCCTTGCACTGGGGTTGGCA
Source organism: Homo sapiens (assembly GCF_000001405.40). Classification (NCBI taxonomy): domain Eukaryota; kingdom Metazoa; phylum Chordata; class Mammalia; order Primates; family Hominidae; genus Homo; species Homo sapiens. Next base: position 48,147,226 of record NC_000008.11, read on the forward strand.
CGGGATTGCCAGTGTGCAGGCTTGGAGGGTCCCATTCAGACACTTGCCCTTGCTTGCCCAAAAGCCGGCTACCGGGCTCAGTACCTTCACTTTTCATTGCTGATTGTAATCCAGATATAAGAGAACTGTTCTGTAGACTCCTTTGCACCACCCGCCCTGGGGTTATGCTGCCTTTTGTGCCAGTGGGGGAGGCTTTCCTCCTGTTGGGTGGCGCCTGGGCAAGCTTGGCTCAGGCTGGTTTTAGAGGTGCTATTTCCGGGAACTAGAGATTGCAACACCCCAGTGTTGTATCTCTTCTGCCGCATCCCAGGGTTTGGAGATAGACAGGGAAGGGGCGTGGTGAAGGATTGGAAAGGATTACTCAGGGGCTATAGGAACCCTAGAATGTCAGAGCTGCACGTTGCTTTTAGACAGAGTTGTGGAGTAGAGGGACGGAAGTGATGGAGGCCGACTGACATGGAGGCTGACTGACAGAGATGGGGCAGTTCAGGCGGTGTGTGCCGACCTAAGACACTGCCTTGGGAGCATCTTCATACTCCAGCTTCATACTCCTCGGGGATATCAGTAATGCAGCAATTTTCAAATGGAAGTTTAGGGATGTTTAGAAAAGAGCAGCCCCTGGGGCTGCCTTCCTGAGTACTGTCCTACCACTACCAGAGGATAAGGACATTTAGCCTCCGAGTCTCCGCAGTCTCTGTTCTGCTGTCTGCGAAATGTGGCTATAGCGAGGAAATAATGGGATTGTATGCTGAGCAAGGCCTAACAAGTAGCAGGTGGCCACAGTAAGTGCATGCGTCATCATCTATACAGTCCTTTTATTTGAAAGCTGAACACAGCAAAGCCTAGATAAGCTTAGGAGATTTGCCCAACAGCACACAGCTTTCAGTGGCAGAGCTCAGGAACAGACCATCTCTCCTGACCCTTTCCCATTTCACCTGCTGCAATTCAAATCTTTTGGTTACATCCTCATAAAAGAGTAAACGGAAATGTTTTAATTAAAATTTTTCATACAGCTGCCCACTGTCTGGGAAGTGAGGAGCGCCTCTGACTGGCCGCCAACCATCTGGGAAGTGAGGAGCGCCTCTGCCCGGCCACCCTGTCTGGCAAGTGAGGAGCGCCTATGCCTGGTCACCCCGTCTGGCAAGTGAGGAGTGCCTATGCCTGACCACCCCGTCTGGGAAATGAGGAGCGCCTCTGCCCAGCCACCACCCCGTCTAGCAAGTGAGGAGCACCTATGCCCGGCCATTCCATCTGGCAAGTAAGGAGCACCTCTGCCTGGCCACCCCGTCTGGGAAGTGAGGAGTGCCTCTGCCCAGCTGCCCACCATCTGGGAAGTGAGGAGCACCTCTGCCTGGCTGCCCACCGTCTGGGAAGTGAGGAGCACCTCTGCCTGGCCGGCCACTGTCTGGGAAATGAGAAGCCCCTCTGCCCAGCCACCCCACCATCTGGCAAGTGAGGCGCGCCTCTGCCCGGCCGCCGCCCCGTCTGGGAAGTGAGGAGCGCCTCTGCCCGGCCAGCCTTGTGTGTGATCTTTTCTGTCTTCCCCAAGTTTGCATTTTTGACATTAAGTTTACTTTTTAATTAAAAGTTTTAAATTGGAGAATATAAAAAACAAACAAACAACAAAAAAAGTTTTTCATAGCCCGGGCAACATGGTGAAACCCCATCTCTACAAAGAATACAAAAAAAAGAAATAGTTGGGCATGGTGGTACACACCTGTAATCCCAGCTACTCGGGGCTGAGGTTGGAGGATCACCTAAGTCCAGTAGGTGGAGGCTGCAGTGAGCTGTGTTTGCACCACTGCATTCTACCCTGGGTGACAGAGTGAGACCCTGTCTCAAAAAAAAGAAGTTTTGCATGGTTACCTTTTTCAACTTCAAAATAATATTAGTGTGGAAATGAGAGATTTCATGGTGAGTGTCTGTGTGCAAGCAGGAGGTAGTGGCCAGTGTGCCCAGGTTCTGATGTTGTGGGGACACTGTCCTTGTGGAAACCTTCTCCAGGGTTGCTCTGTGCAATTTTCTGAAGCTTGGGCTGGGAACAAAGGAGGAAAGTCACTGTCCCTTTCCCTTCGTTGTTCGTGGGGGAAGGCAGATTAGGGAGTAAACCACTGACCACGTTGCTTAATAAACCAGTACAGTCATAGTATAGGGCCTGATGGTGGCCGATGCTCAGTGAGTGGAGTGGTTATTTTTGAGTGCCTTCCACAGGGGCACAAGCTATTGGTGCAAGACAGGCTGGCGCCAGGCACCTGATGCTGGCTCCACACAATGCCATCTTCCTGGTGTGCTAAGACCATGTGGGAAAACGAAGTTCAGAAGTGGTGATGAGTAATATCCTCACTGCACACTTTGGGGATTGCCAAGAACTCTCATATTGAGCGTGGAAGTTAAGAACACAGACTCCAGAATCAGATTTTCTGAGCTTGAGTCCTGACTCGGCCGCTTCCTCGCTGTGTGGTGTTGGGAAAGTTACTGAACTCCCGAAGCTCCATTAGGTCATTTGTACAAGGGTAAAAATAGTGTCTATTTCAAGGGATGGGATGAGATAACACTTGGAAAGTTCCTAGAAGTGTCGACTAGCACAGAATAAGGAAATCATTAACGCTAGCCATTGTTGTTATTATATTCATTATTTCTTTGGATCCTTACTCTGTACAGCCAGATAGGCAGGGTAGGTGGTGTTGCTCTCGTGTTGTCGGTGGCCATGGCCATATGACTTGCTCAAGGTCACGGAGCTAAAAAAGAGGATCACAGTCTCCTGAGCCCCATTTTAGTGCCTCACATATTTTGGTGTTTAATATCTCTAAAGACAGGAAATAGTTGGTGCGTAACCCCACAAAGGTAAAATTAAACCCAAAGGGTGAGGGTTGCATTTCCTCCTCTACCACGAATGCCTGACCACACCATTCCTGGGCTGTGAATCCTGTGGAGAGGTCTGGTTTCTCCCAGGCTACATACACTTTCTGCTCATCAATTTGTCTTTTTCCACCAGACTCAGTTATGAAACTAGTTCCCTAAGTTATTCCATGAAAATAAATGGTATTGTGGTCAAATCAGTTTGGGAGATAGAGCTACAAGATTTCTGTTTAGAAATTCACGATGCATATTGGTATATCAGAGGTTAAAAAGTCATGTAGAACTTTGTTGAACCCAGGGCCTCTCTTAGTTATTTGTCCACAAGACAAAGTCCACATTACATCTGTTATTATTCCACCAAACTAGTGCTGAGAGGAGGACACTCTGGGAAACACGGTGAAGCTGATTTATCTCCTGTGCTAGAACCTAGATGTGCAGATTCCCTCATCTGTCTGCTCATTCTGTAGATAGTCATGGAATCCCCACCTTGCGCCAGGCTTTGTGCTGGGCACGGGGAATTCTGTGGTGAGCCCTGCAGTCACATGGTCTAGCACTAGGGCAGCTGCACCCTCATGGGCTCTGCAGGCATTCATCAAGTAATCTAATAAAATAAATATACAATTAGAAACCAAGAGAGAACTATTTAGAAAACTATTCTGTAGTATCCCTCAGTGAAAGAGATGGATGTGTCCGGGGAAGTGAGGGGGAGGAGCGGCGGGGAGAGAGCCTGCTGCAGGGAGAGAGGAACAGGTGCAGAGGCAGGGGACCGGGAGGGCCACTGAAGAGGGGAGTGGAGGCCAATGTGACAGGCACACAGACGACAGGGATGGCAGTATCCTGGGTGAGTGACAGACAGGTGGGACCAGTTCCCGCAGTGGACCCTCATTTGTGTGGTTAAGAACCATGGGAAGCCAATGAACTGGTCAGGGCTGGGATTATGGTGGGGTGAGTGACAGACTTGCCTGAGGCACAAATTTAAGGATCCCCCTCAAAACTCAATAATCAAGATAAGCAATACAATATTAAAAAAATCAGTATTAGTGCCAAAAAATCCAGGATGAACAAAATATCAAACTTCTAGGCAAAGAGAGGATCCCACAGTACCGTGACAGGCCTGTGGCAAAAGGGAAGATGTAGCCCCAAGTACGTTCCCCCTTATCTGTGGCTTTTTGCCTTCTGCTGTTTCAGTTACCTGCAGTCAACCACAGTCTGAAAATATTAAATGGAAAATTCCAGAAATAAGCAACTTACATGTTTTAATTTGCATGTCATTCTGAGTAGCATGATGAAATCTCAGACTGTCCTGTGTTGGGATGTGAATCATCTCTTTACCCAGAGTATGCACCGCTGTACACGCTATCTACTCATTAGTCATTGAGCTCATCTGCTCCTTGACAGCCAATCATTATGGCTTGATGACCCAGGATCGCCTGGAGCAGGTGAGTCTCCTCAAGGATGGCCAGAAGGTCAGAGGTAGCCTAATGCTAGGTCCTAATACCCACACCATTCCCCTAGCTTCATCTCACCATGTAGGCATTTTATCATCACAAGAAAAGAGAGGAACACACTACAAGAAGATAATTAGAGAGAGAACACATTCACTTTACTTTTATTACAGTATATTGTTAGTGTTCTCTTTCTTTTTTTTTTTCTTGAGATGGAATCTTGCTGTGTTGTCCAGGCTGGAGTGCAGTGGCATGATCTCGGCTTACTGCAACCTCTGCCTCCTGGGTTCAAGCGATTCTCCTGCCTCAGCCTCCCATGTAGCTGGGACTACAGGCATGTACCAACATGCCCAGCTAATTTTTGTATTTTTAGTAGAGATGGGGTTTCACCATGTTGGCCAAGTTGGTCTCGAACTCCTGACCTCAGATGATCCGCCCGCCTCAGCCTCCCAAAGTGTTAGGATTACAGACATGAGCCACTGCGCCCAGCTTGTTTGAGTTGTTCTATTTCATTATCAGTTACCATGCCTAATTTATACATTAAACTTTATCATAGGTATGTATGTATGGATAAAAGCAGAATATACAGAAGTTGGTACTATCCATGTTTTCAGGTATCCACTGGGGGTCTTGGAATGTATCCTCATGGATAAGGGGGCTACTGCATACCTTTTTGATAGTTACCTTTCTGCAGAATACTAAAGTAGAAGATGTAGATTTTGAAGACATTATTAATGAGTTAGCATCCATTAAAGCTAGAAACGTAAAATTCACTTCTGGTTTTGTGTAATAAAAAATTTAAATTTAAACGTACTGTTGTGAGTTTTAATAACTGGTGTTAAAATTTTTATTTCTTTCACCACTTTAATTTTCTGCCAAAAAGTTGACCATTAAAAAATTTATTAGCTGGGTGTGGTGGGGCATGCCTATAGTCTCAGCTACTTGGGAGACTGAGGTGGGACGATTGCTTGAGCCCAGGTGATTGAGGCTGCAATGAGCCATGATCATGCCACTGCATTCAAGCCTGGGTGACAGACTGAGAACCTGCCTCAAAAAAACCAAAATGCAAACTGAAAAACATGCATGTAAGGCACCCATTTTTCCTTTGGCCTCAGGCTCCAGTGTTGCTCAGCATGTTGCTGGACAAGGAGTTGATGGATCAGACACGACTTTTGCGAGAGTTTCTCTGAATGAATTAGGAGAAGATTGGAAAAGGGAGAAACTCATCAAGAGTGACTCTCTGATGTCTCCATTGTATAACGAGGTGGCTGATGGTGCCATTCTCTGGTGGGGAAAGCTGGAGGTGTTTTCGGGGGAGTGCAGATAATGATTTTTTTGAATATGTTGAAGTTTGAGGTACCTTTAAGCTTCAACTGTCTGATAGTTGTAATTTCTCAAAGAAGAGTTGTCAAAATCAGGCAGTTGCATAAATGGTTACGGAGGTCAGAGAAAAAGTATAAGTTAAAAGTTTGATTGGGAGTTATGAATTGGCCAACAGACAATAACTACAAGAGACAAGGATAACTATGGCAGGTTCTCAGCCCTGGGTGCACAGTGGAGTCACCCAGGAGTTTTAATTTTTTTAAATTCCTGATGTCCAGGCACCACTCCAGACCAATTAAATCAGTCTTTAGAAGTGGGGTCTAGGCAGAGATATTTAAAAAAATGCTTCCCACGGACTTCTGTTTCCAGGAAGATGGAGTAGATGTACTTTCCCTGCTTCCTCTTGCTAATTGCAACTAAAAATCTAGGACATTGCATATGTAACAAACATAAGAAGGCTCCAAAAGGTGGAGCAAAGAAAGACTGGAGGGGACCTTGGAACCAAAGGAACAACGGGCTGGCGAGTGTCCTGGGTTTTCTTTCTGTCTCATCTATTCCAGACTTGGAGCTGAAGAACGCAGCAACCTGGAAACAGCAATGAGCACAGACAAAGTCCCCGCAAAGCCTGCTCTCTCCAACCAAGGTACCAGGGAAGGGGCAGCTCAGCAAGGCAGAAAACTTTCAGACGGTAACTGTTCTACTCTAGGCAAACACCGCCGAAAAGCTATGACCCGTCTCCATGCATGCCAGCAAAGGCTGAGTAGGGAGCCTGGACTTCCACCCTCATGAGGCTCTAAGGAGGCCCTCTACCAGTGCTGTCTGGGTGACGTCAGAGAAGGCCACGTCGTGGGCGAGGTCTATTATTCCTCCCAGCTGGTAAGGTGCTCCTCCCACACTGTGGTGTCCATGGAGACCACGTAGAGATCCTGGACTTCCACCTCCACCTGGCAGTAACTAGGTGCCTGTTCCTTTCCCAGCAGGGTCTTGACAAAGGGGCCTAATGAAGAGTCAGGACTTTTACTGTCACCCAGTGGCAATAAGTCCATCCCCTTGTGGTGTCATTGGAGACAATGAGTTGGGACTCCCACCCCCTCCAGCAGTAATGAGGAGCCCCTTCCCACCCTGGATGTTAATAGTGGCCGAGTACGGATGTGGATTTCTAACTCTACCTGACGTTAATGAGGTAGCTTTTTACTTCCCTTCCTCTGCTGGAGTGGTTTCAGAGACATCTAGCTAAAATAGAGGTTTATATAATATTCAGAATCTTATAATATAAAAATGGTTCAGGCTTCAGTAAAAAAATCATTGATCATACCAAGAACCAGATGTTCTCAAATAAATGAAGATCATCAATACATGGCAAAACAAAGACGCTAGAGATGTTAGATTTTCTGACAAAGGGGTGGCATCAACAAGATGGTGGAGGAGGAAGCCCTGGACTTGCCTGTCCCCTACAAACACATCAGTTCAACAATACACAGACAAATTTCCCTTGTGAGAAATCCAGTAACTTTTCAGAAGTTTCTGCACCTCGGGCAAGCATGAAACCAGCCACATCTAAGTCAGTAGGAAAATTTGAAACATCCTTTCAACCAAATCTCAACCCCTGGCCCAGCACCATATATTTAAATGAAAATCCCCAGCTCTCAGCCTCTCCCTGGGAAGGGAAAGATTTGGACTGTACATCAAGTATTACACCTTCTCTGGGGGCTGCCCAAGGGACTGGTTTCTGTCTTGCTTGTCTCAAGGCACTGATGGGAGCCAGCATGCTCTAGATGACTGGCAGCTGGTGAGAACATAGATGGTGATTTGAGATTTGAACTAGTATACAAGCTGTTGCCATAGCCTCTCTCCTCAGTACAGAGTGAAGAAAACCCCCCAAACCCCAGAAACCAGCTTCTTCCTGAAAAAAGGGGAGTTGGATCATGTGTCCAATGTTCCAACTTTTCTGGGGGCTGCCCAAGGGATTGGCTTCTGCCTGGTTGGCCTTGGAGTGTTGCTAGGACCCAGCATGCTCTAGAAGCCTGGGTGCCAGTGAGAACAAAGATGAAGTTCAGACTAGCACGAAGGTTTGAGAGGCCACCGAAATCTCTGGGCAGGCTGATTGGCGAGGATCTTCTCTTGTATGAGGCTATCTGCAAAGTCTGGGAGAGATGGTTGTTTTCAGTAATGCACAGATGGTTGTTTTCTCTATTACAGAAACAGACCTATAACTAGTAGGGAGATTGAGTCAGTAATCGAAAACCTCCCAAACAGAAACACAAGGAGTTAGGAAAATGAAGAGACAGGAAATATGTCCCAAACAAAGGAACAAGATACATCTCCAGAAGCTGACCAAATGAAATGGTGATACATGATTTATTTGACAGAGAATTCAATTAGCCATCATAAAGATGCTCAATGAGGTCAGGAGAAAAATGTATGAATAAAGTGAGAATTTCAACAAAGTGATAGAACATATTAAAAAGTACCAAACAGAAACCTTGGAGCTGAGAATACAACGATAACTGAAGAATTCACTAGAGGGGTTTGATAGCAGACTAGATCAATCAGAAGAAAGGACTGGTGAACTTGGAGAAAGGTCATTGAAAATTATCCTGTAAATCATTTAAAATTTGAGTATAAAAGGTAAAAGACAAGATTATTAAAAGTAACTAAACTATAAAATATTTTAATGTGACATCAATAACATAAAGTGTGTGTGTTTGTGTGTATATGCATGTGTGAAGTAAAATTATAGGATTTTTGTATGTGATTGAAGGTAAGTTGTATCAGCTTAAAATAGATTATTGTAACTGTAAGATGTTTTATTAAACCACAAAGAAAATGCCTGTAGAAGATATACAAAAGAAAACAGAAAAGAATAAAACTACAATAAATTAATGAAACACAAAGAAAGATAGCAGAAAGGAAAGAGGGACAAAAGAACTACAAGACAGACAGAAAACCATACAAAAATTGGCAATGATAAGACTTTCCCTATCAATAATTAAGAGTAAATAAGGCTGGGCATGGTGGATCATGCCTGTAATCCCAGCAATTTGGGAGGCCGAGGCAGGTGGATTACTTGAGGTCAGCCTAGCCAACATGGCAAAACCTTGTCTTTACTAAAAATACCAAAATTAGCCAGGCATCATGGCACACGCCTGTAATCCCAGCTACTTGGGAGGCTGAGGTAGGAGAATCACTTGAACCTGGGAAGCGGAGGTTGCAGTGAGCTGAGATTGTGCCACTGGAGACCAGCCTGGTCAACATGGTGAAACCCTGTCTCCACTAAAAACACAAAACAATTAGCTGGGCATGGTGGTGCATGACTGTAATCCCAACTACTTGGAAGTCTGAGGCAGGAGGATCCCTTGAACCCGGAGGCAGAGGTTGCAGTGAGCCAAGATCACACTACTGCACTCTAGCCTGGGTGACAGACTCCATCTCAAAACATTAAAAAAAAAAAAGGTAAATAGATTAAACTCCCCAATAGAAAGACATAGAGTGGCTGAACAGAGTTTTAAAAAAGATTCAACTATATTCTGTCTACAAGAGACTCACTTTTGCCTTAAGGACACACATAGACTGAAAGTGAAGAGATGGAAAAAGATGTTTTACACAATGGTAACTAAAAGGGAGCAGGGGTGGCTATACGTATATCAGACAAAATAGACTTTAGTCAAAACACTCACAAGAGACAAAGAAGGTCATAGTATATGTTAAAAGGGTCAATTCAACAGGAAGATTTAAAAATTATAAATATATATGCACTCAATGTCACAGCACCTAAATATATAAAGTGAACATTGACAGGACTGAACAGAGAAATTGACAGCACTACAATAATAGTAGGAGACTTCAGTACTACTTTCAGTAAGGGATGGAACATCCAGACTGATAATTAATAAGGAAACAGTGGACATGAACAACACTTTAGATGAAATGAGTCTAACACATATGTTTATATAGGACATTCCATTCAACAGCAGCAGAATACACATTCTTCTCAAATGCACATCAAATATTCTCCATATAAATCTCATGTGAGTTCACAAAACACATCTTAATAAAGTTAAGAAGACTGAAATAATACCAAATATCTTTCCTAACCACAATGGAATGGAATTAGAAATTAATAGCAGAAAGAAAACTAGAACATTCACAGATATGTGTAAATTAAGCAATACATTCCTGAAAAACCAATGGGTCAAAGAAGAAATTGCAAAGGAAATTAGAAAATATCCTGAGACAAATAACAAAAACACAACATACCAAATCACACAGCATGTAGCAAAAGTAGCACTAACGGGGAACTTCATAGCAGTAAATGGCTGCTTTAAATAACAAGAAATCTCAAACAAACATCTTACTTTATACCTCAAGAAACTAAAAAAAAAAGAAGAAAAAAATAAGCCTGAAGCTAGCAGAAGGAAGGAAATAATAAACACTGGAACAGAAATAATGAAATAGAGACTAGAAAAGCAATAGAAAAGATTAGCAAAACTAAGACTTGGTTTTTAAAAGAGGTAAACAAACTTAACAAACCTCTTGGTAGACCAAGAAAAAAAAGAGAGAAAACTCAAATAAATAAAATCAGAAATTAAAGAGGAATCGTTACAACTGATGCCACCAAAACAACAAGGGTTAGAAGAGACTACTATGACAATTATATGCCAACAAATTAGATAACTTAGAAGAAATGGATAAATTTCTGGAAACATACAACCTACAAGACTGAATCATGAAGAAAAAGGAAATCTGAACGGACCTATAACTAGTAGGAAACCTCTCAAAAAGAAAAGCCCAGGACCTGAGGCCTTCATGGGTGAATTCTACCAAACATTTAAAGAATAATTAGCTCCACCCTTCCTAAACTTCCAAAAAATTGCAGAGGAGGAAATATTTCCAAACTCTTTTACGAAGATTATCCCGATACTAAAGCCAGACAAAGACACTATAAGAAAACTATAGGTTCTAGTGAACTTAGATGCAAAAGCTCTCAACAAAATGCTAGCAAACTCAATTCAACAGCACATTAAAGGATCATACCCTATGAACAAGTTGGATTTATCCGTGGGGATGCCAGGATGTTTCAACATACAAAAATCAATTAATGTGATATACTACTTTAACGGAAAGAAAGACAAAATCACATTTCACAAAATTCAACATACTTTCCTGATAAAAACTGTCAACAAAGTAGAAGTAGGAGAAAATTACCTCAATATAATAAAGGCCATAAAGGAATAGTCCACAGCTATCATCATACTTAACACTGAAAAACCAAGAGCCTTTCCTCTGATGTCTGGGACAAGGCAAAGATGCCTACTCTCACCACTTTTATTCAACACAGTACTGGAAGTCCAAGCCAGAGCAGTTAGGCAAGAGAAAAATAAAAGATATTCAAATTGGAAACAAAGAAGTAAAATTATCTCTGCACATGACAGGATCTTACATGTAGAAACCCTAAAGACTACACTGAAGAACTGTTAGAACTAATATATTAATTCAGCAAAGTTGCAGGATACAAAATCAATGTATAAAAACCACTTACACTCTTTTTTGTTGAGACAGAGTCTCACTCTGTTGTTCAGGCTGGAGTGCAGTGGTGCGATCTTGGCTCACTGCAGCCTCCACCTCCCGGGTTTAAGCAATCCTCCTGCCTCAGCCTCCTGAGTAGCTGGGAGTACAGGTGTGGGCCACAATGCCTGGCTAATTTTTTTTTTTTTTTTTTTTTTTTGAGACAGAGTCTCACTCTGTCACCCAGGCTGGAGTGCAGTGGCGCAATCTCGGCTCACTGCAAGCTCCACCTCCTGGGTTCACGCCATTCTCCTGCCTCAGCCTCCCGAGTAATTGGGACTATAGGGGCCCACCACCATGCCTGGCTAATTTTTTTGCAGAGATGGGGTTTCACCATGTTAGCCAGGATGGTCTCGATCTCTTGACCTCATGATCCACCCGCCTTGGCCTCCCAAAGTGCTGGGGTTACAGGCGTGAGCCACCACGCCTGGCCTGTATTTTTTATTTTTTATTTTTGGTAGATATGGGGTTTCACCATGTTGGCCAGGCTGGCTGTATTACTTCTATTAGTAACAAAACAATACCCCCGTCCCCCAAGTTTCTTTGTGGCAGGAATTCACAGAGCCTTCATTTCTTACCTGCAGGTGGAATCTCCACAGAAGGCTATAATATGCAGTATTTCCCAGGCTATGTGGTCGCTGAGCTCTTGTCGCCTTCCTTTTGGGCCCACTTCATGACACATGGAGGATTTGCTTCTCTCTGGAAGCCTAGCAATTGATCACCTTGGAGAGAGAAAACTGTGGGCTCTCTGCAGGCTTAGTTGGCTGCCCGCCCCTCACCTGGAGACCCTGCCACCATTTGGGCCTGTGAGACTGTCCAGCCCCTTGGAGTGGATGAACTATTGTTAATTTGTAGATAGTTTGAACCTGATTACGATCAAGTCTTGCTAACCTGGAATCATTCAGTCTCTTCAGTGACTTGTACATTTTATTTATTTTTTTTGAGATGGAGTCTCATTCCGTCGCACAGGCTGGAGTGCAATGGTACGATCTCGGCTCACTGCAACCTCTGCCTTCCGGGTTCAAGAGATTCTCCTACTTCAGCCTCCTGAGTAGCTGGGATTACAGAGCCCGTGGCTAATTTTTGTATTTTCAGTAGAGATGGGGTTTCACCACGTTGGTCAGGCTGGTCTCAAACTCCTGACCTTGTGATCCGCATGCCTCGGCCTCCCAAAGTGCTGTGATTACAGGCATGAGCCACCGTGCCTGGCCCCTAATTTTTTGTATCTTTAATAGAGATGGGTTTTCACCATGTTGACCAGGCTGGCCTCGAACTCTTGACCTCGTGATCTGTCCGCCTCGGCCTACCAAAGTGCTGGGATTACAGGCGTGAGCCACTGCACCCAGCCGACCTATACATTTTTGTTCTTATCTGTTGTTTGCGATCTGATTTGGAGTGTGTGGCAGGTCGGAAAGTGATAATGGTTTTCTCCCCTGGAGGAAATTCAGTCTGTAGTTTCTCATTGATAAGTCGACAGGACCATGGATAAGGGAAAGGCCATGGCGTGGTTTGGAGCATGGCTTTGAAAGCAGCTCTGGATCTGAATCCTGACCTTTCTGTGACGTTCAAGTTGTGCTCCCTCTATGCATCACAGCTTTACCGGCAGACCCTGGAGTTCTCTCCCCAGAGCTGGTTGTGGGATTGACATCACATCAAGTGAGTGACCGTGCCTGGCCCCCAGTGCTGCACACTTAGAACCTTATACTTGTCTGCACTCCCGTCTTCTGATCAGATCCACAATAATTCTCAGCCTGTTATTCCTTAGCCTTGGGGACGAGGCTTCAAACCATGGGTTTCTGGATTATAAACTGAAAGGCTTTTTGCAAACCCCAGCACAACGTCCATCCTATTAGAGTGTCTCCATACATGTCTACCGAGTGACAGAGCTTGGGATGGGATGTGTAGGACAAGATCTTGGTCTGGGTGGGACCCCATGGGAGCCAGCCGAGGGGTTCAGCCTGGAACCCTTTGAAGGAGGTGGTGAGTGGGGAGGGGAGGTTGGGCAGGGAACAGCCCTGGGCCCTAGGGGCCACAGCAGGAGAGGGGAACATGGAGGATAGCTGGGTCAGTGGTCTGGGGAGGCCCATGGAACTTGTCCCCCATGCTTCAGAGAGCTCCTGGTGCAGGGCAGACATCCAGGTGTGTGGTGCTGGCCTGTGGAGGCTGTGGGAACAGGAGACACAGCCCAGGATCAACTGCATGGGCTAAGGTGGGCACAACAGATCTCCAGGGGCAGGACTGGGAACAAACAGGGTCCCAGGCAGCTGGCCAGTGAGCCAGGTTGGCTGAGGCTCCCAAGGGCACCAAGGGATGCAGTCGCCTGGCTGCTGGACCTAGGCTTCTGCGAGCCTGTGTGTGTGTGCACATGTGTAGCTCTCCTCACCAAGGCACCGACCGGCTCTCGCTGCCCAGCATGCAGGCAAAGTCCTCAGGATGGCTGCGTGGAAACCAGGCAGCAAAGATGGCCCTTTAGTGAAGACAACTGTTAGAACACAGTCACTTGCACGTGCTGGGGAGTATATGGTAATCCAGTTAAGACAATCTTCCTGGATACAGAGATGGGCCCAAATGGATCAACGACTATGCCTCTACCACAGCTGTATATATGGCCTGTGCACACAGTAAGGATAATTATTTCTGATTTCAAAGATAACAAATACACAATAGAAGAAAAAACAAGTGTAAAGATGCAGGAAAAAAATCACTAATTTTCCCATCCCCACAAAGCAACGAATGTAAACATCTTGGCATAATTTCTTTTAGTTCTGTTTTCTTTAAACAGTTAAGCAAAGCTGAGGTATATTTACACATGGCTTTTGTGTCTTGCGTTTTTACTCATTTAATTGAAACACATTCTCATGGCCTTAAGAATGCTTGTGGGCAGACATTTTAATGATTCCTTAGCAGTCTTTCGGTGAAGATTCTGTATTGATGTCACCAGGTGTCCAAGGCCAACCATGTAGTTCTTTCTGGTTCTTCCCAGTGAGAAAGGCCCTGGGAGACAGCCCAGGTGGGGAGAGCACACATCTCCATTTAGGTGGCCTGGCCTCAAATCCTGCTCAAGTCTTTGGGACTTTGGGCAAACTATTAAACTCTTTGTGCCTCACTTTTGGGCAAAATAGGTAGTGATAGTAGTTATGTTGTGATGATGAAATCAAATGAATTAATATTTTAGAGCACTTAGCCTGAGATACAGTAGAAGTTATGTGTTTATTAAATAAATAACAACCTCTTCCCATGTTTTATTTAATTTAAAAATTTTTTTTTCAACTTTTATTTTAAGTTCAGGGGTACATGTGCAGGATATGCAGGTTTGTTAAATAGGTAAATGTGTGCCATGGTGGTTTGCTGAACAGATCACTCCATCACCCAGGTATTAAGCCCAGCATCCAGTAGCTATTCTTCCTGATCCTCTCCCTCCCCTTGACAGGGCCTGTGTTGTTGAACAACAGTGTGTGTTGTTCACCCCCATGTGTCCATGTGTGTTAGTTTGTTGAGGATAATGGCTTCCAACTCCATCCATGTCCCTGCAAAGGAGATGATTTTGTTCCTTTTTATGGCTGCATAGTATTCCATAGTGTATATATACTGCATTTGCTTTATACAGTCTATCTCACTGATAGGCATTTGGGGTGATTCCATGTCTTTGCTATTGTGGATAGTGCTGCAGTGAACATACTTGTGCATGTATCTTTATAATAGAATGAATTATGTTCCTTTAGGTATATACCCAGTAATGGGGTTGCTGGGTCAAATGGTATTTCAGCCTCTAGGCTTTCTAGGTATTTCTAGGCCTCTAGGAATCATCACACTGTCTTCTACAATGATTGAACTAATTTACACTCCCACCAACAGTGTAAAAGTGTTCCTTTTTCTCCACAACCTTGCCAGCAACTGTTATCTTTTGATTTTTTAGTAATAGCCATTCTGACTGGCATGAGCTATCTCATTGTGGTTTTGATTTTCATTTCTCTAATGATCAGTGATGTTGAGCTTTTTTCATATGTTTGTTGGCTACATGTATGTCTGTTTATGTTCTTTGCCCACTTTTTTTTTTTTTTGAGATGGAGTTTTGCTCTTGTTACCCAGGCTGGAGTGCAATGGCATGATCTCAGCTCACTGAAACCTGTGCCTGCTGGGTTCAAGTGATTTTCCAGCCCCAGTCTCCCGAGTAGCTGATATTACAGGCATGCGCCAGCACCTCTGGCTAATTTTTGTATTTTTAGTAGAGACAGGGTGTCACTATGTTGGCCAGGCTGGTCTTGAACTCCTGACCTCAGGTGATCTGCCTGCCTCTGCCTCCCAAAGTGCTGGGATTAGAGGTGTAAGCCACTGTGCCCAGCCCCTTTGCCTACTTTTAATGGGGTTGTTTTTTTTCTTGTAAATTTGTTTAAGTTTATTGTAGATTCTGGATGTTAGGCCTTTGTCAGATGGCTAGATTACAAAAATTTTCTCCCATTCTCTAGGTTTTCTGTTCACTCTGATGGTAGTTCCTCTTGCTGTTCAGAAGCTTTTTAATCAGATCCCATTTATCAATTTTTGCTTTCCTTGCAATTGCTTTTGGCATTTTAATCATAAAATCTTTGCCCATGCATATGTCCTGAATAGTATTGCCTAGATTTTCTTCTAGGGTTTTTATAGTTTCAGGATGTACATTTAAATCTTTTTAATCCATCTTGAGTTAATTTTTGTATATGGTGTAAGGAAGGGGTCCAGTTTCAATTTTCTGCATATGGCTAGCCAGTTCTCCCAGTGCCATTTATTAAACAGGGAATCCTTTCCCCATTGCTTGTTTTTGTCAGGTTTGTCAAAGATCAGATGGCTGTAGGTGTGCAGTCTTATTTCTGAGTTCTTTATTCTATTCCATTGGTCTATGTGTCTGTTTTTGTACCAGTACCATGCTGTTTTGGTTACTGTAGCCTTGTAGTATAGTTTGAAGTTGGGTAGTGTGATGCCTCCAGCTTTGTTCTTTTTTTTAAATTATACTTTAAGTTCTGGGATACATGTGCAGAATGTGCAGGTTTGTTACATAGGTATACACGTGCCATGGTGGTTTGCTGCACCCATCAACCCGTCATTTACCTTAAGTATTTCTCCTAATGCTGTCCCTCCCCTAGCCCTCCACCCACTAACAGGCCCTGGTCTGTTATGTTCCCCTTCCTGTGTCCATGTGTTCTCATTATTCAACTCCCACTTACAAGTGAGAGTATATGGTGTTTGATTTTCTGTTCCTGTGTTAGTTTGCTGAGAATGATGGTTTCCAGCTTCATCCATGTCCCTGCAAAGGACATGAACTCATCCTTTTTAATGGCTGTATACTATTCCATGGTGTATATGTGCCATATTTTCTTTATCTAGTTTATCATTGATGGGCATTTGGGTTGGTTCCAAGTCTTTGCTACTGTGACCAGTGCTGCAATAAACATACGTGTGCATGTGTCTTTATAGTAGAATGATTCATAATTCTTTGGGTATATACCCAGTAATAGGATTGCTGGGTCAAATGGTATTTCTGGTTCTAGATCCTTGAGGAATCGCCACACTGTCTTCCACAATGGTGGAACTAATTTACACTCCCAACAGTGTAAAAGTGTTCCTCTTTCTCCATATCCACCCCAGCATCTGTTGTTTCCTGACTTTTTAATGATCGCCATTCTAACTGGTGTGAGATGGTATCTCATTGTGGTTTTGATTTGCATTTCCCTAATGACCAGTGATGATGAGCTTTTTTTCATATGTTTGTTGGCCATGTAAATGTCTTCTTTTGAGAAGTGTCTGTTCATACCCTTTCCCCACTTTTTGATGGGGTTGTTTGTTTTTTCTTGTAAATTTGTACAAGTTCTTTGTAGATTCTGGATATTAGCCCTTTGTCAGATGGATAGATTGCAAGATTTTTCTTCCATTCTGTAGGTTTCCTGTTCACTCTGATGATAGTTTCTTTTGCTATGCAGAAGCTCTTTAGTTTAGTTAGATCCCATTTGTCAATTTTGGCTTTTGTTGCCATTACTTTTGGTGTTTTAGTCTTGAAGTCTTTGCCCATGCCTATGTCCTGAATGGTATTGCCTAGGTTTTCTTCTAGGGTTTTTATGGTTTTAGGTCTTACTTTTAAGTCTTTAATCCATCTTGAGTTAATTTTTGTATAAGGTGTAAGGAAGGGATCCAGTTTTAGTTTTCTGCATATGGCTAGCCAGTTTTCCCAATACCATTTTTAAATAGGGAATCCTTTCCCCATTTCTTGTTTTTGTCAGGTTTGTCAAAGATCAGATGGTTGTAGATGTGTGGTGTTATTTCTAAGGCCTCTGTTCTGTTCCATTGGTCTGTATGTCCGTTTTGATACTAGTACCGTGCTGTTTTGGTTACTGTAGCCTTGTAGGACAGTTTGAAGTCAGGTAGCATGATGCCGCCAGCTTTGTTCTTTTTGCTTAGGATTGTCTTGGCTATACAGGCTCTTTTTTGGCTCCATATGAAATTTAAAGTAGTTTTTTCTATTTCTGTGACAAAAGTCAATGGTAGCTTGATGGGGATAGCATTGAATCTATAAATTACTTTGGGCAGTATGGTCATTTTCACAATATTGATTCTTCCTATCCATGAGCATGGAATGTTTTTCCATTTGTTTGTGTTCTCTCTCATTTCATTGAGCAGTGGCTTGTAGTTCTCCTTGAAGAGGTCCTTCACATCCCATGTAAGTTGTATTCCTAGGGATTTTATTCTCTTTGTAGCAATTGTGAATAGGAGTTCACTCATGATTTGGATCTCTGTTTGTTTATTGTTGGTGTATAGGAATGCTTGTGATTTTTGCACATTGGTTTTGTATCCTGAGACTTTGCTGAAGTTGCTTATCAGCTTAAGGAGATTCTGGGCTGAGACGATGGGGTTTTCTAAATATACAATCATGTCATCTGCAAACAGAGAAAATATGACTTCCTCTCTTCCTATTTGAATACCCTTTAGTTCTTTCTCTTTCCTGATTACCCTGGCCAGAACTTCCAATACTGTGTTGAATAGGAGTGGTGATACAGGGCATCCTTGTCTTGTGCCAGTTTCAAAGAGAATGCTTCTAGCTTTTGCTTATTCAGTATGATATTAGCTGTAAGTTTGTCATAAATAGTCTTATTATTTTGAGATATGTTCCATCAATACCTAGTTTATTGAGAGTTTTTAGCAGGAAGGGGTGTTGAATTTTATCTAAGGCCTTTTCTGCATCTATCGAGATAATCATGTGGTTTTCGTTATTGGTTCTGTTTATGTGATGGATTACATTTATTGATTTGCATATGTTGAAGCATCCTTGCATCCCAGGGATGAAGCCGACTTGATTGTAGGATGAGCTTTTGTTGTGCTGCTGGATTCGGTTTGCCAGGATTTTTGCATCTATGTTCATCAGGGATATTGGCCTGAAATTTTCTTTTTTTGTTGTGTTTCTGCCAGGTTTTGGTATCAGGATGATGCTGGCTTCATAAAATGAGTTAGGGAGGAGTCTCTCTTTTTCTATTGTTTGGAATAGTTTCAGAAGGAATGGTACCAGCTCCTCTCTGTACCTCTGGTAGAATTCGGCTGTGAATCTGTCTGGTCCTGGGCTTTTTTTTGGTTGGTAGGCTATTAATTACTGCCTTAATTCCAGAACTTATTATTAGTCTATTCAGGGATTCAACTTCTTCCTGGTTAAGTCTTGGGAGGGTTTATGTGTCCAGGAGTTTATCCATTTCTTCTAGATTTTCTTATTTGTGTAGAGGTGTTTATAGTATTCTCTGATGATAGTTTGTATTTCTGTGGGATCAGTGGTGATATCCCCTTTATCATTTTTTATTGTGTCTATTTGATTCTTCTCTCTTTTCTTCTTTATTAGTCTGGCTAGTGGTCTATTTTGTTAATCTTTTAAAAAAAACCAGCTCCTGGATTCATTGATTGTTTTGAAGGTTTTTACGTGTCTCTATCTCCTTCAGTTCTGCTCAGATATTAGTTATTTCTTGTCTTCTGCTAGTTTTTGAATTTGTTTGCTCTTGCTTCTCTAGTTCTTTTAATTGTGATGTTAAGGTGTTGATTTTAGATCTTTTCTGCTTTCTGATGTGAACATTTAGTGCTATAGATTTCCCTGTAAACACTGCTTTAGCTGTGTGTCCCAGAGATTCTGGTATGGTATCTTTGCTCTCACTGGTTTCAAATAACTTATTTATTTCTGCGTTAATTTTGTTGTTTACCCAGTAGTCATTCAGGAGCAGGTTGTTTAGTTTCCATGTAGTTGTATGGTTTTGAGTGAGTTTCTGAATCCTGAGTTCTAATTTGATTGCACTTTGGTCTGAGAGACTGTTATGATTTCCGTTCTTTTGCATTTGCTGAGGAGTGTTTTACTTCCAATTATGTGGTCAGTTTTAGAATAAGTGCGATGTGGTGCTAAGAAGAATGTATATTCTGTTGATTTGTGGTGGAAAGTTCTGTAGATGTCTATTAGGTCTGCTTGGTCCAGAGCTGAGTTCAAGTCCTGAATATCCTTGTTAATTTTCTGTCTCATTGATCTGTCTAATATTGACAGTTGGGTGTTAAAATCTCCCACTATTGTTGTGTAGGAGTCTAAATCTCTTTGTAGGTCTCTAAGAACTTGCTTTATGGATCTGGGTGCTCCTGTATTGGGTGCATATATATTTAGGATAGTTAGCTCTTCTTGTTGAATTGATCCCTTTACCATTATGCAATGCCCTTCTTTGTCTTTTTTTATCTTTGTTGGTTTAAAGTCTATTTTATCAGAGACTAGGATTGCAACCCCTGCTTTTTTTGGCTTTCCATTTGCTTGGTAAATATTCCTCCATCCCTTTATTTTGAGCCTATGTGTGTCTTTGCATGTGAGATGGGTCTCCTGAATATAGCACATTGATGGGTCTTGACTCTTGATCCAACTTGCCAGTCTGCGTCTTTTAACTGGGGCATTTAGCCCATTTATATGTAAGGTTAATATTGTTATGTGTGAATTTGATCCTGTCATTATGATGCTATTTGGTTATTTTGCCCATTAGTTAATGCAGTTTATTCATAATGTCAGTGGTCTTTACAATTTGGTTTGTTTTTGCAGTGGCTGATACTGGTTTTTCCTTTCCATATTTAGTGCTTCCTTCAGGAGCTCTTGTAAAGCAGTCCTGGTGGTGACAAAAATCTCTCAGCATTTGCTTGTCTGTAAAGGATTTTATTTCTCCTTTGCTTATGAAGCTTAGTTTGGCTCGATATGAAATCCTGGGTTGAAAATTCTTTAAGAATGTTGAATATTGGCCCCCACTCTCTTTTGGCTTGTAGGGTTTCTGCCGAGAGAGCCACTGTTAGTCCGATGGGCTTCCCTTTGTGGGTAACCTGACCATTCGACCATTCTCTCTGGCTGCCCTTATCATTTTTTCCTTCATTTCAGCCTTGGTGATTTTGATGATTATGTGTCTTGGGGGTGCTCTCCTGTAGGAGTATCTTTGTGGTGTTCTCTGTATTTCCTGAATTTGAATGTTGGCTTGTCTTGCTAGGTTGGGGAAATTCTCCTGGATAATATCCTGAAGAGTGTTTTCCAATTTGGTTCCATTCTCCTCATCACTTTCAGGTACACCAGTCAAACATAGGTTTGGTCTCTTACTTAGTCCCATATTTCCTGGAGGCTTTGTTCATTCCTTTTCATTCTTTTTTCTCTAATCTTGTCTTCATGCCTTACTTCATTATGTTGATTTTCAATCTCTGATATCCTTTCTTCTGCTTGATCAATTCAGCTATAGATACTTGTGTATGCTTCACGAAGTTCTCGTGCTGTGTTTTTCAGCTCCATCAGGTCATTTATGTTCTTCTCTAAACGGGTTATTCTAGTTAGCAATTTCTCTAACTTTTTTCCAAAGTTCTTAGTTTCCTTGCATTGGGTTAGAACATACTCCTTTAGCTCGGAGGAGTTTGTTATTACCCACCTTCTGAAGCCTACTTCTGTCAATTCATCAAACTCACTTTCCGTTCAGTTTTGTTCCCTTGCTGGCAAGGAGTTGTGATCCTTTGGAGGAGAAGAATCGTTTTGGTTTTCGGAATTTTCAGCCATTTTGCGCTGATTTTTCCTCATCTTTGTGGATTTATCTATCTTTGGTCTTTGATGTTGGTGACCTTTGGATTGGGTTTCTGTGTGGACTTCCTTTTTGCTGATGTTGATGTTATTCCTTTATATTTGTTAGTTTTTCCTTCTAACAGTCAGGCCCCTCTGCTGCAGGTTTGCTGGAGTTTGCTGGAGGTCCACTCCAGACCCTGTTTGCCTGGGTATCATCAGCGGAGGCTGCAGAACAGCAAAGATTGCTGCTTGTTCCTTTCTCTGGAAGCTTCATTCCAGAGGGGCACCCATCAGATGCCAGCTGGAGCTATGCTCTATGAGGTGTTTGTCAACCCCTGCTGGGAGGTGTCTCCCAGTCAGGAGGCACAGGGATCAGGGACCCACTTGAGGACACAGTCTGTCCCTTAGCAGAGCTTGAGCACTGTGCTGGGAGATCTGCTGCTGTCTTCAGAGCTGGCAGGCAGAAACGTTTAAGTCAGCTGCGGCTGTCTTCACAGCTGCCCTTTCCCCCAGGTGCTCTGTCCCAGGGAGATGGGAGTGTTATCTATAAGCCCCTGCCTGGGACTGCTGCCTTTCTTTCAGAGATGCCCTGCCCAGAGAGGAGGAATCTAGAGAGGCAGTGTGGCTACAGCAGCTTTGCTGAGCTGCAGTGGGCTCAGCCCACTTTGGACTTCTTGGTGGCTTTGTTTATACTGTGAGGGGAAATCCACCCACTCAAGCCTCACTAATGGCAGATGTCCCTCCCCCCACCAAGGTCGAGTATCCCAGGTTGACTTCAGACTACTGTGCTGGCAGTGAGAATTTCAAGCCAGTGGATCTTAGCTTGCTGGGCTCTGTGGGGGTGAGATCCACTGAGGTAGACCACTGGGCTCCCTGGCTTCAGCCCCCTTTCCAGGGCAGTGAATGGTTCTGTCTTGCTGGCATTCCAGTTGCCACTGAGGTATGAAAAAAAAAAAAGCAACAAAAAAAACTCCTGCAGCTAGCTCGGTGTCTGCCCAAACAGCTGCCCAGTTTTGTGCTTGAAACCCAGGGCCCTGGTGGTGTAGGCACCCAAGGGAATCTGCTGGTCTGCGGGTTGTAAAGACCTTGGGAAAAGCGTAGTATCTGGGCTGGAGTGCGCTGTTCCTCAAGGCACAGTCCCTCATGGTTTCCCTTGGCTAGGGGAGGGAGTTCCCTGACCCTTTGCACTTCCTGGGTTAGGTGACACCGCACCCTGCCCTCTGTGGGCTGCACCCACTGTGTAACTGGTCCCAATAAGATGAGCCAGCTACCTCAGTTGGAAATGCAGAAATCGCCTGCCTTCTTCATTGATCTCACTGGGAGCTGCAAATAGGACCAGAGCTGTTCCTATTTGGCCATCTTGCCAGCCACCACCCAGCTTTGTTCTTTTTGCTTAGGATTGACTTGGCTATTTGGGCTCTTTTTTGGTTCCATATGAATTTTAAAACAGTTTTTCATAATTCTGTGAAAAATGTCAATGGTAGTTTAATGGGAATAGCATCAAATCTATACATTACTTTGGTCAGTATGGCCATTTTCATGATTCTGATTCTTCCTATCCATGAGCATGGAATGTTTCTCTATTTGTTTGTGTCCTCTCTGATTTCTCTGAGCAGTGGTTTGTAGTTCTCCTTGAAGAGGTCCTTCACATCCCTCATAAGTTGTATTCCTAGGTATTCTATTCTTTTTGTAGCAATTATGAATGGGAGTTCATTCATGATTTGGTTCTCTGCTTGCCTGTTAATGGTGTATAGGAATGCTAGAGATTTTTGCATATTGATTTTATATGCTGAGATTTTGCTGAAGTTGCTTATCAGCACAAGAAGCTTTTGGGCTGAGATGATGGGGTTTTCTAGATATAGGATCTTGTCGTCTGAAAACAATGATGACTTCCTCTCATCTTATTTGGATATTTGGATGCCTTTTCTTTCTTTCTTCCCCTTGCCTGATTGCCCTGGCCAGGACTTCCATACTATGTTGAATAGGATTGGTGAGAGGGGGCATCCTTGTCTTGTGCCAGTTTTCAAGGGGAATGCTTCCATCTTTTGCCTATTCAGTATGATGTTGGCTGGCTGCTCTTTCCACATTTTAGATTACTTCTTTTTCTTTTTTTTTTGAGATGGAGTCTCGCTCTATCTCCCGGGTTGGGGTGCAGTGGTGCGATCTCGGTTCACTGCAACCTTCGCCTCTCGGGTTCAAGCGATTCTTCTGCCTCAGCCTCCTGAGTAGTTGGGATTACAGGTGTATGCCACAATGCCCGGCTAATTTTTGTATTTTTAGTAGAGACAGGTTTCACCATGTTGGCCAGGCTGGTCTCGAACTGCTGACCTCAGATGATCCACCTACTTTGGCCTCCCAAAGTGCTGGAATTACAGGCATGAGCCACCATGCCCGACCTAGATTACTTTTTTAGAATGCATTCCCAAAAGTGAGACTCCTCGGGTGAGGGATTCACATATTTTAAAGGCTTTTGGTGCATCCCTGTAGTTGGTCCTGATGCCTCCTCTCTCCAGCAGCCTCCCAGCACATCCTCCTGCTGCTGCTTCTGTTTCCTGCTTCCCGGACAGCATTCGAGTTGGGGACTTGAGTTAAAAATACTTTTTGCAAATTGGATGCATAAAATATAGTACCCTCTTATTTTAACTATTTCATTAATTGAAACATTTTCCAAATGTTCACTAATACTTTGTGTTTACCCTTTTGCTAATTGTCAGCTGCTGTGCTTTGTCCACCTTAGAAAAATTGAGTTTGTCCTGGTGCGGTGGCTCACACCTGTAATCCAAACACTTTGGGAGGCCAAGGTGGGAGGACTGCTTTAGGCCCAGGAGTTCGAGACCATTCGGAGAAACACAGTGAGACCCCCCATCTCTACAAAAAAAAAATATAAAAAAATTAGCCGGGCATCTGTTTGTGGTCTCAGCTACCTGGGAGACTGATACAAAAGGATCGCTTGAGCCCAGAAGTACAAGGCTGCAGTGAGCTATGACTGTGCCACTGCCACTGCACTCTAGTCTGGGCAGCAGGGAACTAAAAAAAAATAGAGTTCCAAGGATTTTTTTGGTTTATTTATATGAGGCTTTATATGTGAAGGTTATTGACCTACATGTTTATTGTTTCTTTCTTTTTTTTTTTTTTTTGAGACAGAGTCTCTCTCTGTCGTGCAATGGTGTGATCTTGGCTCATTGCAACCTCCGCCTACTGGGTTCAAATGATCCTCCTGCTTCAGCCTTCCAAGTAGCTGGGATTACAGGTACCTGCCACCTTATCCTGCTAGCTTTTGTATTTTTAATAGAGATGTGTTTCACTATATTGGCCTGGCTGGTTTGGAACTCCTGACCTCAAGTGATCCGCCCGCCTCAGCATCCCAAAGTGCTGGGATTATAGGCATGAGCCACCATGCTTGGCTTGTTTCTCTTTCATTTGGAATTCTCTTCTTATACGAACTCTGGCCTCCATATTCTGATAGTTATTTGCCTCTGTTTTTTACCTGTAATGTCAAACACAGGGCTTGGTTCTCTTTTAGAGTCAGGCCCACATCTGGCAGCATCTTCAGCGTGGCCCCAGGACTGGCTGACAGAGGCCCTCTCTCTTGGGCTCCCATGTGGCTGCTATTCAAGGAGGGGGCGAAGGAAGGGTCTGCGAAACAAGAATTGGGTGCAAAATAGGACTATATAGAAACAGTAGACATTGTGCATATTGTTTATTTCACTCTTTTCTAAAGGAGCTTGAGGCTGTTAGGGAGGAGCAAATGAGTTCTGAGCAGCTGTACGACAAAAATCAGAAGAAATGAGAAAGCCTCGGAGAACTGCTAAGCCGGCGCTGCAGTAAGCCCGGAATCCGCTAGGTGTCAGGGCAGAACTCTGCTGCCTGAGTTCTGCGAGGAGACAGGCTTCCATTTACTCCCATCCAAAGTCAACAGCGCGCTGCTCAAGAGAATATTACTTTTTGAGAAGAAACAAAAGGTCTTGGATATGATAACACACAAACACAGTTAAAAGTTTGTCCCCTAGCTCACAAACTGCAAAGACTTTTCCTATATCGCCGGGTAAGACTCACAAAGAATTCAGAACTTTTGTCTTGGCATTTCAGGGCACCTTCCATTTGGAAACACTCGTGACTGTGAATAGGTTGGTAAAATCCTTTCTCTTCTCTTTGTGGCCCCCTCACAAAATGTCTACCTGCTTCTTCACCTTGGGCTGCCCTTTTCCACCCCTGACCCCATTAAGCTCCATAATCCTCGCTCCTTCCTTAGTGGTGGGGGCCACGGCCTGGCACAACGTCCTCTCTCCTAGAAGTTACCTGGAGGACCATAGTTGGGGAGGGGACACCCAATTCCTGAAGCCCCGTTCTGGTCCCAGCTCACTCATTAGATGCCTCACTGGGTGCATTTAAATCAGAGTGGCTGTTTCAGGCTCTGGCCCCAACTAGCAACTGATTGCTCCTGGAGCTGCCTCCCCATGGGGGTTTCTGTGAGGGTCCGGCTGCGCCACCCTCTTCCTCCTGTCCACCCTCCAGAAGCACCCTCATGGAGCGCCTTGTCTTCTCCACCGTAAATGCTTGTTGGGTAAGGGGATTGTGTGCAAGGTCCGCGGGGCTGGACTCATCCCTCTTCTTTGTCGGGGAGGGCCACACAACAGCCCAGGGGAACGAGTGGCCTTTCTGCTCCCACCTGCAATGCCCCCACGTCAAGCAGTCACAGAAGTGTGTGTGTGTGTGTGTGTGTGTGTGTGTGTGTGTGTGTGTATGAAGTCAGTCCAGGGACGCTGGGGTGACAGAGCTTATCTTACGCATTTTGGGCTGCTGTAAAAAAATCTGGTGAAGGCCCCTCCAGATGGCAGATTCCAGACGTGTCTATCCGCACACAGCGGGGAGCAGAGACAACAAGCTCTGCGTCGCTTCTTGTAAGGCACGAATGCCATCATGAGGACTCCACCCTCACGACCTCCTCACCTCCCAAAGACCCGCTCCAAATACCATCACACTGGGGTTTAGGGTTTCAGCATATGAGTTTTGTTGGAGGATAAATAGGCAGACCATACCATAGCATAGCCAGTATTCACTTGCATAAGGCAAGCACATGGTGTTGGAGTTGCTAGGGCTCCTCTCGTCCTCCACCAAGTCTTGAAAGTGTTTTGGGTAGCCCATGGGCAATGAATAAGGGGGCTTAGTACTTACAGTGGGGGCCATCCACCTGCCTTTACTCATACTAAAAGCCCTTTGCATCAAGCTTTTGACAGTAGCTTATTGAATAAGATTAATGATTGAATTAATTAGGCAAATTTTCATTCAAACAATCACTTTTTGATGTGAAGGAGAAATCCACTTTCACCATGAATTGTATGTAAATCAGGACATTGGCCTCTGGAACTATTTTGGAATTTTTTTGACCTTTCACACGAATTATCTTTTTGTTTTAAGGAACAGGGAAGATGTGAAGACATATGGTGAGAATTGCCTTGGGCTGAATGTGGCCCAAGTGGTGTGTGTGTGTGTGTCTGTGTGTCTGTGTGTGTGTGATGTAGTGTAGTGTGTGTGGTGTGGTATGTGTGTGGTGTGTGTGTGATGTGGTATGGTGTGGTGTGTGTGTGATGTGATATGTGTGTGGTGTGTGATGTATGTGTGTTGTGTGTGTGTGATGTGGTCTGGGTGGTGTGTGTGATGTGGTATGGTGGTGTGTGGTGTGTGTGGTGCAGTGCGATGTGTGCGGTGTGTGTGTGGTGTGGTGTCCTGTGGTGTGGTGTCAGTGGAAATGATCCTATGTTTCTTGGGGACTGGGGCCTCAAGGCTTGAGTTCCTGGATTCCACCACCAGAAGGGGCTCTGATAACGCCCAGGCCCTGTCACCCCAGCTATGGCTGCATGGCCCTTTGTGGCCACTGGTGTAAGCACAATGCTTTGGCAACACTGGTTGTATACTAAACACAATTCAGTGTCAGGTGTCCCGTAAGCACAAGGGTGGCCCCAGGAAGGAGCTAGGCCGTAGACGGAAGTGTGGGTGGGGCTGCTCCTCGGGTGGAAGGGAGTGTGGAACAGTGCAGACAGTGTGCAGAGCATGAGCAAGCCTGTTTCTGCATGACTGAGGTGAGTCCTACTGGAGGCCAGTGCTCTCGAAGGTAGTGGTGAGCTGCTGAGAAGTGTGTCAGAAGACATAGGGGCCTGATGGACTGGGAAGGTGAAGAGTGGTTTGGGGTCACTGAGGCTGGGTGTAGTGGAGAAGGGGTTGGCAGCCGCCGACTTGATGATTTAGAACACGTGGGATGGTCGAGGCCGTGGGGACAGGGTCTTGCTGACTCTGGGGTTAAGCAAACGTTATATCCCAGCTTAGAATGATGTGTTATCAAAACACATTTAAATTACTCCATTGCTTTACTATTTAATTTATATTTGTTTAATCCATGTTCTAAATCTCTTGGTTCTTCACTGGTAAGCTTCCAGTAGACAGAAACCATTTGTCCGGTGGTTTCGTGCAGCTTTGAATAGAGGGCCCTGTGTAGGATCATAGCCTCCTTTTTATCCTGACTTGAGCACTCATTTGGGTAAATGCAGTTGATTTCTGAAATGTTTGGTAAAATACTGTGGTTGGTTGGGTAATTTTCTGTGGCCGAAAAGATCATCTTTTAGGCCCCACCTAGGTTACTAATATCCTTATGAAAACGTATGAGAATTTCCTATGAGTTGTTAATTTTTTAATCAAAATACTTTGTCTATTTTTTATTTTGTTATTGAAAATAGATGAAGCAATTAGAACGTTTTGGGGCCTAATTGCTTGCCAAATATAACTTGCTTCCAAACTGAAATGGTCTTGGAGCTGTACTGCCACAAACAGTGTTTGCAACCAGTAAGCTATATTTATTTTTAGCTTTTGAAACAGCCAAATAGTTTGCCCTCAATTTTCAGAGGAAAAAAATTCCTTCTGGGCTAAAGCCTTGTGTGCTGAGCATCTTAATGCTGGACCATTCCCATCTGAACCCAAATAGTGGAAAACAAAGGTTTCTAGTGATTCACTCTTAATAACAGTTTGGCTGGTGTCATTGCTTATTAAATGCTAGGTTCTTAAATTATAATGAAGGACGTAGTTATAGGCTGAGTAGATTTAGTCAAGCACATGAAACCAGGAGGCATTACCACACTGTGAGCAATTAGGCGGGGGCAGGGCTGAGCCCGCTGGGTCAGAGCCTGAGATAAGCTTTCCGATGCGAGATTATGTGGCTTCGGGTTGACCTTGGATATGGGAACTTGAGCCAAAGAAATGATCAATCTGATTTCAGATCTGGTTGAGTGGAGGAAAAGGGGCATATGTCCCAAGCCTTGTGTTCTAGACATGCTATCTCCTTTAATCTGATTTAATTGGCAGGTACCAGTATTCTCTCCTTGTTGGACCATGAGGTCCCACAGGCTGAGGGGCAAGTCACCTGCCTGGGGTGTCGCAGCTTTGGTCAGCAGCAGTGCCGGGACTCAGACTTGGCCTGCCCAGCCGTAGGGCTCCCGCCCTTCCATGGCTGCATGCTGTCTGTATAAAGCAGTAGTTTGATAAGTTTTTGAAAAGTTTTGCTATGTTTTGAATGTAGATGGATTTAGTTCTAGTTGGCTGTAGAGTTAGCAAAGTAGGTGTGTGTATATTTTTAAACAACTCAAAACTTTGCTTTTGTTATGGCTGAGTGGAAGTGGGCATTGACCTTTGGCCTGTCCTCATGCATTTACCCAATTTCAGATTCTTGCTATGTTAGGTCACAGGCCAGGTCTCCCTGGTTTCACCCAGTGTGGCCAGCACAGGTCACCCCTGGACGCCCTGGTGCTGGAAGAAGATCACAGGGACGTCCTCTCTCTTCATGTCCTGGAGTGGCTTTTATTTCAGTCTGTACCAGAAAATTTCCAGGACAAAACTGTGATCAGAACCAAGGAGTAAGCAGCCCCATTTTGATGTAGTTGGGTGCTGGGTGAGTTTGCAAGTGTGAATGGGCTGCGGGAATTCGCCGGTGTGTGCTGTCTTCCCTTCCTTACCCTTCCTGCCGTGTAATGTTGTTTTTACCCGTGAAATCTGCAGCCTTGTCAATCTCTCCATGCAAACTTCAGGGAAGAGGGTGTCATGCCACATTCTGGTAGAGTGAGAACATGGGTTTGAGCATCCGATGCTCCTGGCTTTGAATTCTAACTCTGTGGCTTCCCGGCTGTGTGACTTGGGGCAGCTACTCTGAGCCTTTGTTTTCTCTTCTGTAAAAGGTAATAATCGTAACCCCTGCCTCCTAGGATTGCTGTGAAAAAGAAAATGTTTGTAAGGCTCTAAGGATAGCACCCAGCACATATAATTCAGTGTGATTATACATTATTTAGTTTTAAAATTTTGGGGTATTAGACATCCTTGAGGCCAGGCTGGCATATTTATTTCTTGAAGGCATTGTATGCAGAAGACAAGGAAGCTAGTCCTTTGGAGTTTTAATGCTACTGCTGGCTTCTTCCGTGACTGAAAGGAACTCCTTTTCTCCATCTGTGCCCACCTGCAGCATCTGTCACATTCATCCTGTCTGGGGTTTGGGGCTGTGTGAGAGTAAGTCATGATCCTGGAATCGCCCCTGCGGGGTGGCTCTGTGTTTTCCTACGTCCAGCCCCAGGGACACAAGAAGGAAAACTTCTGAGAGATTCTCACCAAATGCGGAGGAACTGGAGCCCCACAGAGCCAGGTCCTGCTGTGCTAGGGAGACCTCTGAGGCCCAGTAGTGAGGGACACAGTGATATGTGCCTTCTGGAGGGGGGCCTGGGGACTGGGGAGTCGGGGTTGGGGTGACAGGAGAATACCCAGTCTTTGCAGAAAGCCGGGACCCAGGCTCGCCTCTGACCCTGGGCTGGTGTGACCATAGAACTCTGTCGGGGCTGCACGAGTGTTCTGGCCTCTGTGTTTGCATGAGGGCTGCAGTTCTCAGAGGAGGAATGCTCAGAGCCTTCCATGCTGCTGAGCTTGGGCTCCCGGGAGGGGCAGAGATTCGAAGGCCAGGCGTAGTGACCGAAGCACACCCGTCTGCTCCTCACACGCGGAGTGTTTAACTATTGCTGAGAAGGTATTTCAGAGAGTTATGACTCTTGCTACCACCAGAGCTGGGACGGGCTAACCTTCCGCAGGCACTGACTATGTTGTGGGCAGTGTGCTAACTACCATATATGTGTATGTTGACATGCATGTGTATAGTCTAATTGAATCCCATGAGGAAGACATTTCAAGCCCCATTTTCTAGTAAGGAGGACTGAAGCAGTGGAAAGGGCAGAGATGATGGGGTCAGCCCAGGTCTGCACAGCGGACAGCTGGTGAAGCCAACTCCAGGTATGCCTTGCCCAAAGCCCTGGCTCTGAAACGCCATTGCCAGGTGGCCAGAGCCTTCTAGTAGAAGCCGTTAGGAGTAGGGCAGGCAGAAGCACTCGCTCTTACTATGTATGAGGCCTGGATTTAGCTTCTCAATCTTGGTGTTCTTACGGGGTGTCTGTGAGGAGGGCTGATTTCATATTTAAATTGTATAAATAAGCATTGTTGGATAAATAAGCATTGTTGGACATTTATTACATATAAAACTCGGTTTTCTTTCTTTTCCTCTTTCTCTGCTGTTGAAAATGAAAATAGAAAATGCCTAAAGGCAAAGATTTTCTCCTAGCAGGTTCCACTGAGATTACCCAAGACCTGTAATATATATGAGGAATTGAACTGAATTCTCAGTCACTTCCATGTGTGTGTATGTGTGTGTGTGTGTGTGTGTGTGATTTAATGTTTGAGTTGTTGCCATGTCCCTTTGATAGGTCATGTTTACTGAGGTTGTTAATAAAATGTCTAAATATTTGTCATGTAATAAAGCTGAACCCAAATGCAGGAAACTGAAGCGTTGTAATATAGTGGAAGTCTGGGACAGATAAACAGTCAATAAGAAAGAAAATAGCTAGAGTTCAAAATTACCAAACAGGCACTCAGGAGAAGAATAACCTTTTGAAAGAATGTGGGAGAAGCAATTTTGAAAAACACTGTGGTGCTCCTGGTCCCATCCCAAACCTTCTCATGTCTCTGCATTACCTCTGTTCAGCACAACACCTTTGGGTTATTAATCTTTCTGTTCCTTTTTTCTATACAAAGTGATCCCCTGGCACTATATGAGACTGACTTCTATGAATGTAGAATCTTTCATCTGAAAGCAAAAAATTCGTCTGAACAAGACAAGTTTGGATGAAAGGAGAGGCAGTGGGCACTTTCAACTTTCCTGCTTGTAATTTATGACATCTATAGTCTTATTTTGCAAATGCAAGTCTTGTGCTATCTCAGAAACCTCAAGGAAGAGACTATAATTAGGCTTCAACTTCTGGTTAGGACCCTCCAAAGCCTGAAAACCAGGGTGAATTCCTGAGACTACCACAGCAAAGTGTGCTGTTCTCCCAGAACTACCCTCGCCCTGTGTCCTGCCCTCCCTGTTGCTCTGCCTTTGCTCCTTCCGACAGCCTCCTTGTAGGTGGGACTGAGCTCCCCTAGCCAAGCCAGACCCCACCTTCTTCTCCTTGTGGAGGGCTGTTTTGCCACAGCTTCATTCTCATTGGTAAACATCAATTTCCATATTGATATCACAGTGCCTATTGTACAAGAGCCTAGTGAACACTTCTACTTGAATTCTTTCGCCTGCCTCTGCCTTGGACATGTCTGAGTTCTAACCTCATCGTTCCTGCAAGCTTTTAGGGCTGGAAGGTGTGAAGGATCTTCCTGTGGCTCCCCCTGGGCTCTGCGTGCAGTGGCTGGGTAGGCTCCCGGTTCAGACTCACTCCGGCATTCATCCTCCCTCGGCAAGTGTTCACCTCCAGGTGCCGCCCGTGGGAGGGGCAGTGGACCAGGTTGCCAACGGTCCTGGGACTCCCCTGGAGGACCTGCCACCCTGCAGTGCAGCTCGGGAGACACTGTCACAAGACTGCAGGCCCACACTGCACCGCACTCTGTACTTGGGAAGGGATTATTGACCCATTGTTCATTTCTTGGCCATCGAAAAATATACATTTTTTTTTTTTCAGGAAGGCCTTGGCATCTCTTATTTTGACTAAGCAGGCAAATTAACTTTTCTCTTTTATACTATACTTTTAAGTAAAGGCCTTAACCAGAGCTGGCAGTTTGGGTCTTTGCCATGTGAGACTTGAGAAATAGACACACATTTTTCAAGGATGTAATCAAGAAGACTTTAGTTACATGCACGATTAATGCTAGGAATAAAAAACTATGCAAAAAAATTAATAAATCTGCTAATTGCTTTTGGTGACATGTGTTTAATGAGATCTTTTTAGCCTTGACTTATTTTATTTACATTTGACTTACATACATTTGGGTCCTTAGCCAAAGTGAAACTGAAAAACAACTCACTGCAAAGATGGAGAGGACTAAGAAAACTATTTTTTTCTTAACTGGGCTTGAAAAAACCTTTTTCATTAAAAGAGAAGTTTTAATGTGGAATAGTTTGTGTTTTGCTTTGATCCAAAGAAACTACTAACCATTTTTTAAAAATAGAAAGTGGTTATTATGTTGTATGTTCATAATAAAGGATTCCAAGGCTACCAATGAACAGAGAATTAGCTAGGTCAAACCAGAAAAGCAGTCACATGGCTCTGCTTCCCAAGGTCCAGGAAATTTGAGGGAACCACTTATAACAGCTTTCCATTTTGTGGTCTTTCAACTCAACCTTAAGTTACAATTCACAATAACATGGAAACTAAAGTGGGGGAGAGTGAGGAGAAGGAGAAGGGGATAAATTAAGAATAACAACCACTATATTCTTGAAATTCATGCTATCAAAAACAGTTTTACTAATAGTCTGAAATATCAAGTAAGATTTGAAAAATTATTTTTTAATATTTCTCAGAATATGCTTTACTTTATAGATTTAATGATCATGGCATATCAGTTTCCTGTTGCTATTGTAACAAATTACCACAGACCTAGTGGCTTAAAGCAGCACAAGTTTGTTAGCTTGCATTTCTATGCACCAGAAGTCCAACATGGGTCTTACTTGGCTAAAATGGAGATGTAGCCCAGACTGTGTTCCTCTCTGCAGGTTTGAGGGGAAAGCCCACGGTTCTTCCAGCTTCAAGTGGTTGTCCGAATTCTTTGACTCATGGCCCCTTCCTCTACCTGAGCCTGCAGTGACAGTTCCTCCTCACATCACATCACCTAGATGGGCTCTTCTGGTCTCCTTTTCCACATTTAAGGATCTGTGATCACATTGGACCTCCTGATAATACAATATAATCTCCCTTCTTAAGGCCAGCTGATTAGCACCCTTAATTCCATCTGCCACCTCCATTCCCTATGGCCATGTGACGTCACATATTCACGGGTTCTGGGAATCAGGGTGCTGGCCATCTTTGGGGACCATTATTCTGCCTCCCTCCTGTGTTATTGCTTAGGCTTTCAATGTAGTCTGTAGTTGAGAATGGAAATGCAAAAGGTAAAAGATGTTTACCCAAAGCCTTTAGGTATTTATTCCTTTCTCAGGATTTTACGTGACATAAGTGTTTATGATGTTTTGATAGAAATATGTTATTTCATAGGTTTCTCACCTCTGAAACAGAATAGCCATTCTATCTTGTTAGGTTTACAGAATAAGGTGAACATTATTTCTCGTTCCCTTTGATTAGAGAGTTAGACGTAATCAGATGCCTTAGAGAAACTCATACCGGGACTGAAGGCTCCTCTCCAGGGGCATGAGGCAGATGAGAGCTGGACTCTAGGCAAGCCAGAAACATGCCTCAACTAACAAGTTATTTTATGGACATCAAGAAAGTCACTCTAAAGTTTATATAAAAAGGTAAAAGACCTAGGATAGTTAACACAATATTGAAAAAGAGCAGAGTCAGAGGACCGATGCTACTCCATTTCAAAATTTACTATAAAGCTATAGTAATCAAGTAGATGTGGTATGGCCAAGGAACACAGGAGAAAATTTAGATGACCTTAGGTTTGGCAATGACCTTTTAAATGCAACACTAAAACCATGATCTATGAAATAATTTCATTGATAGTCATAAGACTGTTCAGGATTTCTATTTTATCTTAAGTCAGCTTTGGCAAGTGTTTCATTTTCTACATAATAAATTACCCTCAAACTTAGTAGCTTTCAATCGTCATTTTTATTATATTTTTGATTCTGTAGATCAGAATCCTGTCAAGTCACCATGGAAATAGCTTGTTTCTGTTTCATGATGTCTGGAGCTTTCTCTTGACAGACTCCATAGCCAGAGGTTGGAGTCATCCAAAGGCATCTTTACGCACTTACCTGAGGATTGACACCGGCTGTCAGCTGAGATTTCAGCCTTGGCTTCTATAGAGCATGGTGGCTTACAGTAGACTTCTTAAAAAGTGTTTCATTACCAGCTTAAGGAGATTTTGGGCTGAGACGATGGGGTTTTCTAGATATACAATCATGTCATCTGCAAACAGGGACAATTTGACTTCCTCTTTTCCTAATTGAATACCTTTATTTCTTTCTCCTGCCTGATTGCCCTGGCCAGAACTTCCAACACTGTGTTGAATAGGAGTGGTGAGAGAGGGCATCCCTGTCTTGTGCCAGTTTTCAAAGGGAATGCTTCCAGTTTTTGCCCATTCAGTATGATATTGGCTGTGGGTTTGTCATAAATAGTTCTTATTATTTTGAGATACATCCCATCAATACCTAATTTATTGAGAGTTTTTAGCATGAAGGGCTTTTGAATTTTGTCAAAGGCCTTTTCTGCATCTATTGAGATAATCATGTGGTTTTTGTCTTTGGTTCTGTTTATATGCTGGATTACATTGATTGATTTGCATATGTTGAACCTGCTTTGCATCCCAGGGGTGAAGCCCACTTGATCATGGTGGATAAGCTTTTTGATGTGCTGCTGGATTCAGTTTGCCAGTATTTTATTGAGGATTTTTGCATCAATGTTCATTAGGGATATTGGTCTAAAATTCTCTTTTTTGGTTGTGTCTCTGCCAGGCTTTGGTATCAGGATGATGCTGGCCTCATAAAATGAGTTAGGGAGGATTCCCTTTTTTTCTATTGATTGGAATAGTTTCAGAAGGAATGGTACCAGCTCCTCCTTGTACGTGTGGTAGAATTCGGCTGTGAATCCATCTGGTCCTGGACTTTTTTTGGTTGGTAAGCTATTAATGATTGCCTCAATTTCAGAACCTGTTATCGGTCTATTCAGAGATTCAACTTCTTCCTGGTTTAGTCTTGGGAGGGTGTATGTGTGGAGGAATTTATCCATTTCTTCTAGATTTCTAGTTTATTTGTGTAGAAGTGTTTATAGTATACTCTGATGGTAGTTTGTATTTCTGTGGGATCGGTGGTGATATCCCCTTTGTCATTTTTTATTGCATCTATTTGATTCTTCTCTCTTCTTTATTAGTCTTGCTAGCTGTCTATCAATTTTGGATTCTTTGATTTTTTGAAGGGTTTTTTATGTCTCTATCTCCTTCAATTCTGCTCTGATCTTAGTTATTTCTTGCCTTCTGCTAGCTTTTGAATGTGTTTGCTCTTGCTTCTCTAGTTCTTTTAATTGTGCTGTTAGGGTGTCAATTTTAGATCTTTCCTGCTTTCTCTTGTGGGCATTTAGTGCTATAAATTTCCCTCTACACATTGCTTTGAATGTGTCCCAGAGATTCTGGTATGTTGTGTCTTTGTTCTCATTGGTTTCAAAGAACATCTTTATTTCTGCCTTCATTTCATTATGTACCCAGTAGTCATTCAGAAGCAGGTTGAGGATACAAAATCAATGTGCAAAAATCACAAGCATTCTTATACACCAATAACAGACAGAGAGCCAAATCATGAGTGAACTCCCATTCACAATTGCTTCAAATATCTAGGAATCCAACTTACAAGGGATGTGAAGGACCTCTTCAAGGAGAACTACAAACCACTGCTCAACTAAATAAAAGAGGACACAAACAAATGGAAGAACATTCCATGCTCATGCATAGGAAAAATCAATATGGTGAAAATGGCCATACTGCTCAAGGTAATTTATAGATTCAATACCATCCCCAACAAGCTACCAATGACTTTCTTCACAGAATTGGAAAAAACTACTTTAAAGTTCATATGGAACCAAAAAAGAACCCGCATTGCCAAGTCAATCCTAAGCCAAAAGAACAATACTGGAAGCACCACGCTACCTGACCTCAAACTATACTACAAGGCTACAGTAACCAAAACAACATGGTACTGGTACCAAAACAGAGATATAGACCAATGGAACAGAACAGAGCCCTCAGAAATAATACCACACATCTACAACTATCTGATCTTTGACCAACCTGAGAAAAACAAGAAATGGGGAAAGGATTCCCTATTTAACAAATGGTTCTGGGAAAACTGGCTAGCCACATGTAGAAAGCTGAAACTGGATCCCTTCCTTATACATTATACAAAAATTAATTCAAGATGGATTAAAGACTTAAATATTAGACCTAAAACCATAAAAACCCTAGAAGAAAACCTAGGCAATACCATTCATTCAGGACATAGTCATGGGCAAGGACTTCATGTCTAAAACACCAAAAGCAATGGCAACAAAAGCCAAAATTGACAAATGGGATCTAATTAAACTAAAGAACTTCTGCACAGCAAAAGAAACTACCATCAGAGTGAAGAGGCAACCTACAGAATGGGACAAAATTTTTGCAATCTACTCACTGACAAAGGGCTAATATCCAGAATCTACAAAGAACTCAAATAAATTTACAAGAAAAAAATAAACAACCCCATCAAAAAGTGGGCAAAGGATATGAACAGACGCTTCTCAAAAGAAGACATTTATGTAGCCAGCAGACACATGAAAAAATGCTCATCATCACTGGCCATCAGAGAAATGCAAATCAAAACCACAATGAGATATCATCTCACACCAGTCAAAATAGTGATCATTAAAAAGTCAGGAAACAACAGGTGCTGGAGAGGATGTAGAGAAATAGGAACACTTTTACACTGTTGTTGGGACTGTAAACTAGTTCAACCCTTGTGGAAGACAGTTGTGGTGATTCCTCAAGGATCTAGAACTAGAAATACCATTTGACCCAGCCATCCCATTATTGGGTATATACCCAGAGGATTATAAATCATGCTGCTATAAAGACACATGCACACGTATGTTTATTGCGGCACTACTCACAACAGCAAAGACTTGGAACCAACCCAAATGTTCAACAATGATAGACTGTATTAAGAAAATGTAGCACATATACACCATGGAATACTATGCAGCCATAAAAAATGATGAGTTCATGTCCTTTGTAGAGACGTGGATGAAGCTGGAAACCATCATTCTCAGCAAACTATTGCAAGGACAAAAAACCAAACACCGCATGTTCTCACTCATAGGTGGGAATTGAACAATGAGAACACTTGGACACAGGAAGGGGAACATCACACACTGGGACCTGTTGTGGGGTTGGGGGAGAGCAGAGGGATAGCATTAGGAGATATACCTAATGTAAATGATGAGTTAATGGGTGCATCACACCAACATGGCACATGTATACATATGTAACAAACCTGCACGTTGTGCACGTGTACCCTAGAACTTAAAGTATAATTATATATATACATATATATGTAGTTCAGGTTTCCAAAAGCAAGTGTCCCAGTGGACAAAATAGAAACTTCACTGCCTTCTATGATTTATCTTTGGAAGTTGCACAACATCAGTTCCCAGGAATTATATGATTACATGCAGTAATTAAAATCGGCTGAAATTTATGGGGAAACATAACACTAGGTTATATTCTTCCAGAAATTTCTCCATTTTATTATTTTAAAATTTATTGGTATAGTTATTGTTAGAATTATGTTTATCTTAATTTGTTCACCAGCAGTAGAAAAAAATTACGTTTATGTTTTAAATATTTGCTCAAACTGTAATTATCTGCATTTATGTTATATATTTGTGTCTTTTTTCTTAAAGTCAATATATTTGTAATTTTTTTAAACAAACTTATGGATTTGTTGATTCTCTCTATTTTAACTTTGTTTTTTATTTTGTTGCTTTCTGCTCCTTTCTTTTAACTCCTTTGGGTTCATTCTGTTTTTCCTATTTTTTAAAAAATTAAAAATTATTTTCTAGTGGCAGGGTTTTGCTCTGTCACCCAGGCTGGAGTGCAGTGATATGATCATAGCTCACTGTAACTTCAAACTCCTGGGCTCAGTAATTCTCTTGCCTCAGCCTCCTGAGTAGCTAGGACTGTAGGCACATGTCACCACACCTGGCTAATTTAAAAATTTTGCTGTATAGATAGGATTTCAGATCACTTCTTGGCCTTTTGGCTGAGCTCAAGTGAGATGGGATTTCACTGCATTGTCCAGGCTGGTCTCAAATTCCTGGGCTCAAGTGATCCTCCTGCCTTGGCCTCCCAAAGTGTTGGGAGTACAGGTGTTAGCCACCATTCCCAGTCCTGTTTTTCCTATTTTTTCTCACTTTTGGCTTTATACATAATTCTTGGTCAACTATTATTTTCTTTTAACATGTTGTAGTTATTCCACTTATCTTCTGGTCTCCATTATTGTTGAAAAGTTTGCCTTTGTTTATTTCAGCTGCCCTTCCAAGTGATATAGCCCTTCTTGCTCTGTATATTCATGATGTTCTCAATTTTGGTGCTCTCTAGTTTCACTGTGAGTGATCTCTTTATCAAGTTTTCTCAGGATATGTAGTGATTGTTGGGTCCATGGATTCATAGTTAATATAATTTCTGGAAAATCTGCAGCCAGACATTGTATCTTCAAAATTCTCTCAATTTCCTCTTTTGGATGTCACTTAGTAGGTATTATATCTTCTCACCTTCTATATGTCTTCAGCTCTTCATATTTTTCATTTTTTTCTCTCTTTGCTATATTCTAAATTCTTTGAATATGCCTTCCAGTTCACTAATTCTCTTGTCAACTGTATCTAATCTCTGTAAAATTTAGCCCAATTATTTGAGATTTTGAATCCAATAATTATACATTTTATTCTTGGAGGTTAGTATTTAAAAATTCTGTCTGTTCATTATTAATTGTTTATTTTTATATACTCATTTTTGTAATTTCATCCTTCATTTCCTTAAACATTTCATATAAAGTTCTTTAGTATGTTGTATCTCTTGCTGAATAGCTAAACTTCTGGTGTGTTTGGCAACACACCAAACACACCAGTGGGTTGCCAGGGAAGCAACACGCCTGACCTGGGGGAAGCTTTCTTCCCAGGAGAATTTATTCTTCTATGAATAGCTTGGGGGCATCCCTACTTAGGGTCTACTTCAGCCTTTCCTGAAGGTTTTGTGTTAGAATGGATATCTCAAACTTGGCTTCCTCCTCAATGATCTTCTGTAGGTCAACATTCCTACAACTGTCTAGCCATATAACCAAGGACTCAGGGTAGCCAACCTCCACTGTGGGTCCATGTTGCTTAATTCCCACATTGACTCTACCCTCTGGCTTTCTGCTGTTCTGCCCATGCTTCCTGGTGTTCTTGCCCTGACAATTCTACCTGCCAAATCCTTAACTCTTGCCTACTCCAGCCCTACCCTTTCCACTCTCCCCCACAACAAGCTCTAGCTCTTATTTGTTGTTTGTTGTTGTTTTTTGGAGTTGTCCCTAAAGAACTCTCCTACATTTTGGAAGAGTAGAAACACCTCAAAGAGTGTCATATCTGTTTCTGTGGACTAGTTGTGGCTAGGAAGTTTCCCCAGCATGCCTAGCTACTCATGAGACCAGAAATGGAGGCCTACTCTGTTTTCATTCTTGGGTTTTAAATTTTTCTGAATAGAATTTCCACTTACCAATAAAACTTAAAGGATGGAATTGAGCACATCCTCTTTATCAAAATCAAAAGGAAGGAACTTAGAGATTTCTCATGTTGCATAGAATTTATCTTTCATGGAAACTCCAATAGATGGGCCTTGGCTTCCTGTAATGCTGGTTGAAAAGAATTCTAAGGCCATGTCCAGACTTAGTGGAAATAGACCATGATTAACGAGCATTGTCCTCTAAAGGTATAGGAAGGTGGAATGACAGCACATGAACTTCATAGCTCATCCTTGAATATCATTTAGTTCAAACTTTGGATTTCACAGATGAGAGAAATGAATTCAGCTTAATTAATTGACCTGCCCAAGGCCACATAGTGAAAGTGGCTACTAAGATGACTAAGATGAAGTCTTCAAAACTCAGTCCAGCACATGTTCCTCTATGCTAGACCTCACACAAGAGTTCTCCTTCCCATTTCCCTATTATTGTCAGTGATACTGTTGATTATCCAGGAATTCCTGGTCAAAACCTAGAAATTGTGCTATTCATTCCAGTCTTTCATCCTTCAACAGGTGAATCTGTTGCTTTAGTCTTTGAAATAAATCACAACTTTCCTTTCCTTTCCTATCTCTTTGCATCACTGTAGTCAGGGACATCAACTCAACCTAAGTTTCTGTGAATGTTGTTGCTCTCACTGTCTCTGGACTCGTTCTAACCATTGTGAAACATAGAAGGTGGCCAGGCTCGGTGGCTCATGCCTATAATCCCGGCACTTTGGGAGGCCGAGGTGGACAGATCACCTGAAACCCCATCTCTACTAAAGATACAAAAATTAGCCGGGTGTGGTGGCAGGTGCCTGTAATCCCAGCTACTCAGGAGGCTGAGGCAGGAGAAGTGCTTGAATCTGGGGGGCAGAGGTTGCAGTGAGCCGAGAGGGCATCACTGCACTCCAGCCTGGGCAAGAGTGAGACTCTGCCTCAAAAAGAAAAGAAAAAAAAAGAAAAACATGGAAAGTTTTATATTGTTGTTAAATTTTTAGCTGTATGTTTCACATTTTTCCACAAGAGAAGCCCATTTAAGCTGTAAGCCTTGTAATTTTCTGATTCCATCACCCAGAGCCTTGGCCTTTGCACTCAGAACTTTTCTTTCCTGGCTCCTAATCTCTGGCATTTTGCCAACAGGGCTGGGAGGTGGCCAGGCCAGTGCCCTGGAGGCATAAAAAAGTGGCAGGCAGGGTTAGTGGCAATGGAAATAGAATGACCTGTGCTGTTGGGTTAATTGTAGATGATGATAATAGAATGAGCTACTCCTTTAAAGAAGGAATTTAGGTCCTAGAACTAAATTTATAGCCCCCTTTTTTTTATGGACTTGTGAGCAGATTTTCCCATTTCCCAGTTCAAGTGACCTATGCACACATTTTGAGTAGCAACAGGAAATGTGAGAGTCCAGTTATTTTACTCCCACTCTTTTCCTTGTCTTTCTGGGGGAAAATGCTTCCATACGCATAGTAATATACATATTTTAAACAAGAAAGAAGATAACAAGGTCAATAATGTAGGAATGAGTGGCGCAGTAGTCTTAAAAACAACCAAGAAGTCACATAGTTATCTGCAAAGAAAAAATAAAAAAGATCAACATGTAGTTAAACTCTTTGGAAACATTGCTTTAAATGAGACCTAAGTGGGCTTAGGAATCAGACATGAAATACTGCGGGAAGAATGTGAAGAGATCAGGGATTGGCATTTTTGATTACAAGAAATAAAGGTACATTACCAGATTTCTCCTGCCATACATGGTTTGAAAGCACATTTTAGATACAGCAAGACCAGTTTCCAATGACTAAATCTACTTAGGTCTAAGGCATGGTGAAATCTTCTCAACTGCAACCCTAGGGGGATGTCCCAGGAATGCATTGCTTTTCTTTCCCTTTGGAGTCCCAGCACCATGTCTTGGCACAGGAAACCCCTGGCCCTCTGGACTGGCTCCTGACCATGCAATGCTGTGCATCTCTGTGGCTCTGTCCCTTCCCCCATTTCCCCTTAACCTATGGAGCTTGGTGTCTGTGTTCTGTGGCCAAGTGTGGCTCAACTCTTCCCCAGGGTGTGGACTATTCCTGATTTAATAGTGGGTCCTTAGAGCAGCTCAGCTTGGCTTGTTTGTCCTGCCTGAAATGACGCTCAGCACACAGTGGGCTCTACTGCAGGGTGCTGGGGTGCTCTGTGGCTCTAAGCGATACTTCACACCACCATAAACACCATCCTCCCATGTAAAGTTCAGTTGGAGTCTTTGGTTGCCAGGCAATGCTATTTAATGAGGGTAAAGAGTGCTTGAACACATCTACAACTTGGCAGCCCTTCTACTTCTTATAAGCTACCATATGCATTGGAGACAAAAGTCTTCCATAGGCTACTTTTTAATGGGACAAGTTTACTTAAGAGCTGAGAGGAGATGGTGCCAGTAGTCTTGTTTTGTTCCTGTCCAATATTAGCCTTGTCAAAAGTCTTATAGAGTTTCCTGGGTATTTCTTTATTACATTCCATGTAAAGCTCTCTTGGGGAGCCAAGAATTTTGGCTGTAGTATATATAGAGGGCTCATAATATGGGCGTGTGTGCAAGTGTGTTTGTTTTTGAGTTTTAGAGGTAGCCCTATAAAAAGGCAATGCAATAATGATGAAGTTCTTGCTATTTCCTTCTTACTGTTGATGAAATTCATCAACCTCCTTGCTGATGGAAGTGCAGTCTCTTGCTAAAGTCTGGATGTCCTGTTAGATTTGCATTAATAGAACAACGAAACACATGTTACACTCAATACTATTTTAATTAAAATTAATACATGCCTTTTAGTTAGAGTGGGTAATATACGTTTGAACTGGGTTAAAAATTATTTTTCTCATGGTACATTTTGGAAGGAACTATGTCTTTTAAATGAATGCCTATCAGCTGGCCATCTCTTCCACGAATTCCTGAAAGGTGCTGGGAGGTTATGCAGGGGTCTAACTTTTTGAGCACTCTTTATAAAAGGCTACATAGGTTTGCTTCTCTCTGGCTGAGGACCCGCACTGGCTCTCTGGAAGCATGATGAATGCAGTGATTCCTCCTAGTTTGGGCCCTGGGACCTACCACTTCACCCAGGTCTTCAACTGGTCTTGGTTTGTTTTCCGTTTATCATCTGTATGACTGGATCTGAGTGTATATGCTAATGACATGATCTGTAGTATTGTTCAGGTCTGTTGAGATACTAGGTGACGTTTCAACATGGAAACATGTCTGAGACAGACCACATGTGAGTGAAAGGAAAGTCCAAGAGCCACTCTCAGAAGCAGGGGCTCAGAAGCTCAAGGAGGCTTGCCTGGGTCTGAAGATGTCTGCAAGGAGCAAGTGCTGAATATCTGGATCGGAGAAGAACTACGCTCTTCCAGGGTAGTGGGTCAAAACTAGTTTTAGCCCTATTTCCTTTTCATTCATTCATTCAGCCAATATTTATTGGCTGTGTACTTGAGTACTCTGTGCCAGGCATGCTATTTCTTTGGGTACTGGGCCGTGAATATGAATGGAACGAAATCTTCTCTTTCCCTAAAGACACTGCCTATTGATGGGGAAGGCAGAGGCATGCAAACAGTTTTAGTCCTTCAATCATGCAATACATATTTGCTGTTGCCTGTTATATACCAAGCACTGTTCTAGGTGTGTTGAGGGTACAGCAGAGAACAAAATAGGCAATTCTTATTCTTGCCTTTATGAAACTTATTTTCTAGTCAATAATGACAATTTGATGCCACCAGACCCTGCCAGGCTGCCTGCTTCTGTCAGGAAAGGTTTCACAGAGGAGGAAGCAGCTCAACTATAATGCAGGTGATTAGTAGGTCTACTTTCTGTCTCTGTGGAATTGCCTATGAATGGGCATTTCATATAGATAGAATCATATACTATGACATCTTTTGTGGCTGGCTTCTTTAATGGAGCACGGTGTGTTTGAGGGTCATCCACAGTGTGGTATGCATCAGTACTTCATTTTTAAAAATCACCTGGCCAGGCACAATGGCTTGTGCCTGTGACCCCAACACTTTGGGAGCCGGAGGTGGGCGGATCACTTGAGGCCAGGAGTTCAAGACCAGCCTGGCCAACATGGTGAAACCCTGTCTCCACTGAAAACACACAAAAATTAGCTGGGCATAGTGGCACACACCTGTAATCCCAGCTACTTGGGAGGCTGAGGCAGGAGGATCATTTGAATCTGGGAGGCAGAGGTGGCAATGAGCCGAGATCGTGCAGTGCCACTGTACTCCAGCCTAGGTGGCAGAATGAGACTGTCTCAAAAAAAAAAAAAATCACTGAATAATATTGTATTTTTTTTTCGAGACAGAGTCTTGCTGTGTCGCTCAGGTTGGAGTGATGTGGTATGATCTCGGCTCACTGCAACCTCTGCCTCCCACGTTCAAGCAATTCTCCTGCCTCAGCCTCCTGAGTAGCTGGGACTACAGCCACGCACCACCATGCCTGACTAATATTTGTATTTTTAGTAGAGACGGGGTTTCACCACGTTGGCCAGGCTGATTTTGAACTCCTGGCCTCAAGTGATCCGCCGACCTTGGCCTCCCAAAGTGCTGGGATTACAGACGTGAGCCACTGCGCCCAGC
Source organism: Homo sapiens (assembly GCF_000001405.40). Classification (NCBI taxonomy): domain Eukaryota; kingdom Metazoa; phylum Chordata; class Mammalia; order Primates; family Hominidae; genus Homo; species Homo sapiens. Next base: position 48,191,872 of record NC_000008.11, read on the forward strand.
CTCCCAAGCCTTTTTTATAAGAGCACTAATTCTATTCATGAGGACTTCACTCTCATGACTTAATCACCTCTTTTTAAAAAATTTATCAAAAAACAAAACCAAATAGGAGTTTACTGAAAGCACGTACATTTTGGTAGCTCTGATTAGAAGAAATTAACTTAGAAATACCATTACTCAGGAAAACAATATGTACAAAATCTCAGGAAAGGGAGAATAAGGCAACTTGCAAAGAATTCAACTTGAACAGGCCTGAATTACTACAAATGTCATGCGGCAAAATCATACAAAACACAACAGAGAGGCATTCATGAGAAAACTGTGTGCTTCAGGCCTGGGAGTGAGCACTCTAGTTTCCAGTTTCTTGGAGAACAGCCCATGATTCTCTGGGGCAGAGAGGCTGGCTGGAGCATGATGGTCTCACTGCCAACTGCGCGGAACTAACCCACGCCCTGTGTACAGGCTAAACATGTGGAAGGAGGCCACCAGATGAGTCACCCCCATGAATCCTGGAAGAGAGGAGTGCTCTCTGCAGAGTGTACAGACCTAGCAGGGACCGCTGGACCACGATGGCATAGAGATGATTACTCTGTGCCTGTCACTGAAAACCCTAGACTAATCTAAGCCCTACAATTCCCTTATCCAAATTACCACTAACTAGAAAGGTAGAAGAGAAGGTAGAAGCTGCCTCCAAACCAATTTTTGGTCTTTGGTAAATAGGGCGAACACAAAACACTGTTCCACAGGCAGTTAGAAAAGAACTGCTGGGTACAGCAGGGGGAAGATCTCAAGTTCTATTTAATGCTCTTCCTAGCAGGAGAGGGAAGATAAGGAGGAAGAGGAGGAGGAGGAGAGGAAGGAGGAGGTGGAGGAGGAGAGGAAGGAGGAGGAGGAGAGGAGGAGAGGAAGGAAGAGGAGGAGAGGAGGAGAGGAAGGAGGAGGAGGAGAGGAGGAGAAGAAGGAGGAGGAGAGGAGGAGGAGGAGAAGGAGGATGAGGAGAGGGAGGAGGAGGAGAAGGAGGATGAGGAGAGGGAGGAGGAGGAGGTGAGGAAAGGGGAGGAGGAGGAGAAGGAGGATGAGGAGAGGGAGGAGGAGGAGGAGGTGAGGAAAGGGGAGGAGGAGGAGGTGAGGAAAGGGGAGGAGGAGAGGAGGAGAGGAAAGAGGAGGAGGAGAGGAGGAGAAGTAGGAGGAGAGGAGGAGAAGAAGGAGGAGGAGAGGGAGGAGGAGGAGAGGGAGGAGGAGGAGAGTGAGGAGGAGGAGAGGGAGGAGGAGGAGAGGGAGGAGGAGGAGGACAGGGAGGAGAAGGAGGAGGAGGAAAAGGAGGAGGAAGAGAGGAAGGAGGAGGAGGAAGAGAAGAAGGAGGAGGAGGAGGAGGAGCAGGAGCTGGGATTGGAGGGCAGACGCCTGTTTTGCTACTGTAGACACTGGACTTGTCTTGCTCTGCTGCCTGGGCCTATGTGTCCATTGCCCCCCACTTTCTGGATGTGCCCTTTCAGAGCCCAGAACTCTCACTTCTCTGAGCCTAACCTCCCAGCCTCAGGCATACACAGAGTAGAAATGCCGGATGCTGGGGGTCCTCTGAGGAGGGTGAACGGCAGTTTTCCTGAGAACATGGCATTCTTCCACATCACCCCCATTGCAGGTAGGGTTGGGCAAACAAGAGACTGAGTTACAGGAGGCAGAAGGCAGCTGCCCTGAGAGCAAGATAATTCAGCTGGAAGGGTGACAGGAAGCTTCAGTGCATGGAGGCAGCAGGGAGTGGCCAGGGTCACCTGGACAGGGAGGCATGGACAGCACAACTGTATCTAAGTGATACAGGGACAGTGTATCTCCCCCTCCTGAATTCCCCAGAGGAACATTGCTTCTAATTCTGGAACTTCACACTCAAACCATCAAGGAGCCTGAAGTGAAGAGGTCTCTTCTGGTCCCAGATAGCCCACTGAAGGCCCATCTGTGAAGGCTGGCTTCTCGTAGGTGGGTCTGTAGGCTGCTGCAGATTTGGGCAAGACCACTGGAGAGCTTCTTTGTGCTTTCCAAGACCCTGGATCTAGTTTTGCAGTGTGGCCCCTGGCAAGTCACTGGCCCATAACAGCAGCCTTGCTCTGATGGGCCTCAGCCAGGGAGAGCTCTCTGCTGCTGGAGAGAGGGCTGCCATGCACTGAGATCGCAGGAATCCATGCTGTGGCTGCTGGTGCACAGGCCAGGGGGCTTGAAGAACCGTCAAGCCAAGCCTGGGTGTCAGGCCCAGTGTTGACTTCACCATAGGCAGCTCCAGCCAGCCTCCACTGGGGCCACAGTGCCACAACGGCTTTGACATCTTGCCTTTCCTTTTCCTAGTATAAACTGGGTTCTCTTCTTCCATGGAGGATCCCTTTCGACTCTTGCAGTTTGAAGATTCTTCTGTATATTTTCTCTTCTTCCACCGTGGTTTCATCCACTTGTATTGCTTTCTGTGCTGTGGCAGGTTTCAGGGCTGTCTGCAAAGCTCTGGCTGTGAGTGTGTGTATTTCTGTGCCATCCAGGTCAGCTGCCACCACCTCTTGGTCCAGGCACTGTTTGTTTCTTCCAAGGACAAAGTAGTTGAGCCAGGGCATCTCCTGCAGCACTGTGGGGAGCTGAGGACGCCATGGTTGTGCAGGTTCTCGCTCTCTGTGAAGAGTTCTTCCTGTCTCACTGAGTTAGCTTAAATTGTGCCGTCCTCCATGGCTGAAGTCATTAAGAAAGGACTTGAAGGAGTTGACTACAGTCTCAAAATGTATTCCTCCTATATCCTTTGACCAGCACCAAAGGATACAAAAATAATTATTCTTTACTCAGTGCTGTCACATTCGCTGTTAATTCTGGTGGACACCTTCACACCATAGTGATGTGTTACAAGGGCTATCATATTCTTTCCATTGCAGACCTCTGATAGTCTCAGTGTGGCCCAGAGCATTGCATAGGGAAGGCTCTCCCAGAGAGCCTTTATTTAATGGCTGACAGGATGATGCTGTTATAGTGATGAAAATGGTATTTTTGAAGAGAGGCCAGCAATTGTAACAGAAATAATAATCTGTTTCTAGTAAAAAGTTCATATTAAAACCACTTGTTCCACATTACAGAAATTTTTCTGGGACTAGGAATCAGTAGCAGGGGCAGAACCCTCATGCAAGCCCAGCTCTCTGGAGGGTAAAGTTGTTTAGGGCACAGGGTTTTTGCCTTATGGATTCTTTGTTTGTTTATTTATTTATTTATTTATTTATTTATTTATTTATTTTTAGAGACAGATCTCACTATGCCACTCAGGTTGGAGTGCAGTGGCCCAATCATAAATAGCTCACTGCAGCCTCAACCTCCTGGGCTCAAGGGATCCTCCTGCTTTGGCCTCCCAAAGTGCTGGGATTACAGGCATGAGCCACCACACCAAATTCATTCATTTGTTTGAATTTCCATGGATTTCCTAATAAATAAATATGAGTGGAGAGAGTAAGATTAGAATACAGTAGTGCCCCCTCATCCACAGTTATGTTTTCTGAGTTATCAGTTACCTGCAGCCAACTGTGGTCCAAAAATATTAAATGGAAAATTCCAGAAATAAACAATTTATAGGTAGTGTGATGAATAAACAATTTATGGGTAGTGTGATGAACTCTTGCATCATCCCCATTCTGTCTACCCTGGAACGTGGCTGCTCCATTTGTCCTGCGAATCCACGCTATATACCTTGGTCACTTAATAGCCACTTGGTTGTCAGATCAACTATCATGGTATCACAGTGATTGTGTTCAAGCCACCCTTATTTATTTATTTATTTATTTATTTTTATTTTTTTTTTGAGACAGGATGTTGCTCTGTTGCTCAGGCTGGAGTGCAGTGGTGCGATCTTGGCTCACTGCATCCTCTGCCTCCCGGGCTCAAGCTATTCTCGTGCCTCAGCCTCCTGAGTAGCTGGGACTACAGGTGTGTGCCACCACGCCTGGCTAATTTTCGTACTTTTAGTAGAGACGAGGTTTCACCAGGTTGGCCAGGCTGGTCTTGAACTCCTGGCCTCAAGTGATCTACCCACCTCGGCCTCCCAAAGTGCTGGGATTATAGGTGCCACCCTTATTTTACTTAGTAACAGCCCCAAAGTGCAATAGTGTTGATGCTGGCAATTCAGATATGCCAAAAGAAAAAAAAAGCTGCCAAATGCTTCCTTTAAGTGGAAAGGTGAAAGTTCTCCACTTAATAAGAAAAGAAAAAAAAATTGAATGCTGAGATTGCTAAGATCTATGGTAAGAACTGTGAAAGGAAAATATCTTGGGCCCCCAAAATCACTAAGCTAAAGGGAAAATTCAAGCTGGGAACTGCTTAGTGTAAACCTGCCTTCCATTCTATTCAGTCATCCTCCTGCTCACTGAGATAGATGCATATCTGATTGCCTCCTTTGGAAAGAGTAATCAGAAACTCAAAAGAATGCAACCATTTGTCTCTCACCTACCTGTGACCTGGAAGCCCCCTCCCAGCTTTGAGTTGCTTCCAGTTGTCCCACCTTTCTGGACCAAACTGGTGTTCATTTTACATATATCGATTGATGTCTCATGTCTCCCTAAAATGTATAAAACCAAGCTGTGCTCTGACCACCTTAAGCACATGTCCTCAGGACCTCCTGAGGCTGTGTCACAAGCGTGCGTCCTCAACCTTGGCAAAATAAACTTTCTAAATTAACTGAGACCTGTCTCAAATGTTCACGGTTCACAGAACTAATCTTCTATCTGTGAAATTGTGAAGAAGGAAAAATACTGTGTTAGATTTAGTGTTGCACCTCAAACTTTATCATATGTATGTATGTATATATATATGTATATATAAGAAAAAAGAACCAGGCACAGTGGCTCATGCCTGTAATCCCAGCACTTTGGGAGGCCGTGGTGGGAGGACCACTTGAGCTCAGGAGGTAAAGACCAGCCTGGACAACATGGCGAGACCCCATCGATACAAAAATTATAAAAATAAGCTGGGCATGGTGGCACGCACTTGTAGTCCCAGCTACTCGGTAGGCTGAGGTGGGAGGATTGCTTGAGCCTGGGAGTTTAATGCTGCAGTGGGCTTTGATTAAAAAAAAAAGAAGAAGAAAAGAAAAGAAAGAAAAAACATAAGAGGCATGGGACTTTGGATTTGGTACTATCTCCCGTCTCAGGCATCTACTGGGGGTCTTCGAACGTATCTCCTGCACATAAGGAAAAAGACTGTTTATGTTATTATGGTTGATAGTTTTCTAGAAATCCTAATGATTGACAACCCTTTTAACTGCAATTGACAACCATAAAACCCTAAAAAATGCAACTGGACATTTTGAAAAGGCCTACCGTATGGTCTGCAAATTTTTCAGTTGTTCAGAGATGAAGGGCAATTAAAGATTACTTGTTAATCAATCAATGACACTTAATGATTGCTTTCTCTGTATAAAGATGTTGAGTTAGAGGCATTTTGGGATTCAGAGGTGAGTAACATACAGTCTCTGCCCTCAAAGAGTTCATAGTCTCTAGAGACAAATACATAAATATTGCAATACAGTGCAGACTACGATTATACCTAAGAGGATAGAGAAAGCATTTCTGAGATTTATAAGAGGGAAAAATACAATCTGGTAAGGGAATCAAGAAAGCTTTATGGAAGAGTTTTTACTTGAGATGAACATTGAAGACTGGGTGGAGAGCCGCTGGAAGAGGTGGTGAGGGAGGACATTGCCCAGGCAAATGTGCAAAGCAGAGAGAGCAAGGCCTGTGCAGAGCCGTGGGCTGTGCTGGGACATGGGAAGGGAAGCAGCGTAGATGGCCGCGGGAGGGGACAGACATGTCACGTGCATAAATATTGAAACCCTGGCACAGGGACCCCTTCTGACATCAGCAGCAGGTGATTGCAACACAATGAGACAAGCTGAAAACCTAAGTAAGTAAGCTGCGGCTCCTTAGTCAAATCCACTGGCTCTTGGAATCCATGTACAACACCCCCGGAGTCTCTTACAATTCCGTTAGAGATACGGTTGAGTGAGGGAATTCCCACAGAGCAGCTGAGGCTGCAGCCAGAGAACTCAGTTTTGTCACTTTTGCCGGGACTGTCCTATTGCATGGGAATGCAAAAGTAGTTGTACACCTGGGTATGTTTGAGGGCTGTGTGTGTGAAATTACTTGAAGATGGCTAGAGACTATAATCTGCTAGCAATTACCTTGAAAGTTTAGCAGGATGTTAGGAGTTTTCTAGGAAGTTGCAGTTCTCAGCGGTAGGGTTTTGGATCTTTTAGAAAACTGTTTGAAGGACGATGTTGTGAGGGACCTTGAAAATGTCTCGTGACAAAGAACCTTGACCAGCCCTTTGTAGGGAATAAAACCAAGGTCAACTAATAGAATGGGCAAGAGACAGCCACACTCCCGAGGAAGGCATCCCAAACCCGGGCCTCCCTGGCCTGGGGTTGAACACCTGTGTGTGCAGTGTAGAAAGCAGGGGCCTTTAAAGTGTGCCCAGGGCGACGAGCTAAGCCAGTATATCAAGACTGTCAATTCATCATCAGTCTCCCTCCTCCATCTCAGAGAGACTTCTCTCACTTGTCATAGAAAATGAACTCACCTAGGGGCAGAAGAATACAAGGCAGAGAGGAGACTGTGTGGGAGCAGAGCACCAAAGGGGAGCACGCCCACCCAGCTCTGCCCCAGGGCACCTTCTCCACTTGCTGCCCTCAGATTCCCTGCCTTGGAGGCCAAGGAGTTGGGTTGAGAAATTCTAGAATCCTGTGATTACCCCTGTGTGGGATTTCAGGCAAACAGAAGAGTCTCTGAGCTGGGCAGCAAGCAGGGGGGTCCCAGCAGTGACCTTCCTCAGGGGTCCTTGCTCTGCAGATGAGAAGGAGGGCAGCCCTGTGTGGGGCTTGGGGGGTCTTGATCCTCAGTGCGCTTCTCTGATTCCCAGACTTCTCTCTGCTTTCCAGTACCAGAACATATAAGGGAAAAACTTTTCTTCACTAATCCTCATCCTTTAATCCCTTTAAGAAATGCCTTGTATATTTATGTTTACCTCAAAACTAGGCCAGTTTTCTTTTCCTTTCTTTTTAATTAAGGCAGCACCAAAAGACAGAAGGCATTTGAAATTCCTGTGGGCTGAGAGGGCATGCAGTAGGTGTTCAAAATTTGGAATATTGGGTGATCAAACCTGGAGCATTTACTGTAAATGGCACATAAATATGCAACTTTAAAATAGAGTTCAAACTGAGGGCTGAGAGTGTCAAGGATTCCAGGTAAAGTAATAATTCCTCTTCAGTTGCATAGCACGGGAATTTTCACAGCCAGCTTCGAGAAATTATCTCAACCCCGCATTCACCCTGCAAAGAGAATAATTCCCACTTAGCAATGCAGTGATTAAAAATATAATATACGAAAAAGTCATAAAAGGTAGACCCAAGTCAATGGCTAAAGTGCATACTTCTTTAAGAAAACAGACTAGGAAACTTTAAACAAAATGCTGGACAATCTCTGTAACGTTTAACCAATTGGTTTGGCGCCAATTCTGTTTTTATTAGACAGAAATCCAGTCGCTGAAAACATGGCGTGGGGCTGTGACTGGCTGCCTGCCAGCGAATGTCTGGGGGCCCGGTCAGCCTCGGCTGCAGCGAAGGGCCGCCAGGGTTGTCGCAGTCATAGCTTTGCTCCCTGGGAAATGCACCTCCTGCAGCTCCCTCGTGTTCCCGCTGACTTGGGAGCAGCCACGCAGGCAGGCGGGAGTGGGGACATCCATTTACAAGAAACAGCTCAAGTTAAGTTTTGCTTATGTTTGCAAACGAAGCCAGGTTGGGGTCACTCATGAGAACTGATTGACTTTGTTCAGGGATTGTTCAGGCCTGGACTCCATTTTAATTTACTTTAGCCCTGTGTCTTCATCCTTTTCAAGTCTTTATTATTCAGAATGCCTTTAAAAACCCCCCAAACCTGCCAGATTCTGTCATCTGTAACTTTATATGCCATTTTAATGGAATTTTTATTCTTGTGAAAAATTTGCTTTATCCCACATTGTACATCATAATCCTTCCTCCTCAAGTCCCTAGCACTGTCCCCTCCTCTCCTCCCTCCTCCCTCTCTCCCTTCTTTCTGGTTACATAGTTTTGCATATAAATTTGACATCCTTTTAACCTTAAGATTTGAGCTACTTCCCTATGAAAACGCTCCATGAGTGGTTTCTATGGTTGCTTAGCTTCAAAGATATCATTTCAAAATCACTCTGAGTTCTGAAGTCAGAGATTATTACTAAAGAAGCAACTTCCCGAATTCACTGGGAGCACTAATCCTCCAATGTTAGACAAAATTATTTCCCATAGAATTACAATCCCCTAATAATTTGCAGTTACCCATGTTTCTTAGACCCTAGGCGGAATGAACACACATGAGCAGAAAAGGCCCAGCAGGGAATGTTCATGGGGATTCATCTCTGTAGGAATCAGATAACTGAGAAAGCCATGCTGTGTGTATTATCGGGCTTGCCTATTGATCGTTTTAGAGCACTTTCAGCTCAGTTAGGTCTTATTCACAAAGAGTCGATTCCTAGGTGACATTTTGTCCTGAACAGAACATTCCAAGGTCAGTCTAGGTCATCTAGAGCACTGGCTTCCCAAACAGTTCAGACTAATAGGCATGCGCATGGCACAAAGAGGGGCTGCCTGTTCTGTGATTAATGATACGGGTGTTTGCTCACCCTCCAGATGCTGTGGGCTCTTAAAAATCGTGAGCTGCATGGGCACAGGGGGGTCCTGTGCTTGCCTTCAGCTCTGGGCTTGCCCTTGTCTTGTAGCAGCCATTGAAGCCAGAGTTCTCGCGGTGGGAATGTTTGCCTACCCGCTACCCACAGGATGTCTTGCTTTGGATGGTATTGAGTTTTATTTGGGCTCCCTGTAAACTGTCATTTTATGACCCCTAGCAGCTATTGGGTCTTACATAAATAATTCCCAGGAGTTCATTCTGGGTTTTCTTTGTATTTGAAATGACTGATTACCTGTAGATGGAGAAGATTTACAGGTAATTCACTCACATAGATACCATATATTTGGTTACTTTTGCTGCAAAGATCCCAAGAACTTTAGTCATCTCTTGCTTTTCATGGTTTATTCTTACAGCTTCTTTTCTTGTAGTTTGTGTAGCTCAGCTAAGTTGGTTTTCTAGTGGGTTTCAGTTTGTGGTTATCTAAAAACTAAGTTGCTTATTACAGCAGAATTAAGATATGTTTAAATGTTTGCAAAGCATATTATTTTGGAAGTTTCAGATGGGGGACTTTTCTGTTTCTTTATGCAATCCAAGTTTTTTTTTCAGACTGCATGGTCTTTGGGTAGGAACAAGGCCACAAAGAGAGAAGCTCAATATTGCTCAGCGTATATCTCCACACATAATTTAGGAATTCTAGTTTGTCCTTAAATGTCTCCCAGCTGTTTCTGGGAGTCTCTAGAGGCTGTCTCACGTGTCCTTGGGGACTGACTCTCTGAACCACCTGATGTCTGTCATTTCCTGGTTTTCTGCTCTGGCTTTTTGGGTGATTTCTCCCCAGGCTGCCAGAGCTGTGTGAACCCCAATGTGCTAGGCTTGGGAGTCTCTGGGACCTTCATCCAGGCCTCCCCTAACACGCGTGGCCCACGTACCACCTGCGTGATAGTTAAAGTTACAAATCAAACTAACAAACAGTTAAGAAATGTACATAATAAATCTTTCTATCTTGATAAATGTCTTCATAATGACAAAAATATATGTAAAACCATGATTTTTATATGACTGAAAGCAAAATATCAAAGATGAATTTATTATTTCACATGTGTATTTTATAGATGCTTGGATGGATAATAAAATAAGATATACACAACTCAGGTATATTTATCAGATAAAATTTATTTTTCTTGCATTAATTTCAGCTGCATCACTAATTATATGGGTGTAATAAAGATTTTTACATAATTTGTATTCAGTTGACAGTAATAATCTAAATGATTAAAATGGAAATATATTTCTAAAAGTATACATTAAAATAAGTATACAATTTTAAAGTTAACATTATTTCCATATATTTTTGAAAAGTTATCTTTTAAAATACTAAAAATTAAAATTAAAATGAAAAACACAAATGTCAAAAATGAATATTCACTTTTAAATGAAAATTATTTAAATAGGCTGGGCGCAGTGGCTCACGCCTGTAATCCCAGCACTTTGGGAGGTCGAGGCGGGTGGATCACCTGAGGTCAGGAGTTTGAGACTAGCCTGGCCAACATGGTAAAACCCTGTCTCTACTAAAAATACAAAAATTAGGCGGGTGTGATGGTGCACGCCTGTAATCCCAGCTATTTGGGAGGCTGAGGCAGGAGAATTGTTTGTACCTGGGAGGTGGAGGCTGCAGTGAGCTGAGATTGCGCCACTGAATTCCAGCCTGGGCAATGAGTGAAACTCTGTCTCAAAAAAAAATAAAAAAAAAAAAGAAAGAAAATTATTTAAATAAAGCTGAAAATTTAAATTTGTTTTTTAAAAAAACTAATTACCGGTATGTTTTGCTTAATGATGGGGCTATATACTGAGGAAAGTGTTGTTAGGTGATTTCGTCATTGTGTGAACATCACAGAGTGCACTTCCACAGACCTGGGCGGTATAGTCTACTACACACCTAGGCTCCTACACAGCATGTGACTGTACTGAATACCGTAGGCAATTGTAATGTGGGCAATTTGTAACATGATGGTAAGTGTTTGTGTATCTAAACATAGAAAAGGAACAGTAAATATATACTATTATAATCGTATGGGACCAATCTGTTGTTGACCAAAATGTTATGTGGTGCATGACTATATATTTTATATAATTTTTATTTTTTTAATGAACATAAAACAATTTACAGTTCTAGCATTTAATATTTATCTAGATGCCAATGTAAATAATTGATATTATGTTTTCTACATTTGATGTCTAGATCAACGTATATAGATTTAAGAGTAATAGAAATTGTTTAATGTTGCAAAATATTTCTCAGTCACCATGTGGTTTCTCAGCAACTGTGGTGAATATTGCATTGATATGTGGCTCCCTCAGGAACCATGAATCGGCAAATCAAGAAAAGCAAGAAAATGAAGTCTTGGCAATATGGAGCGCTGCTGAGAACTGATATGTGGTTATGCAAGAATTTGTTGCATTTATGCTGAGGAAAGATTGAAAAGGTAAATTAACTTTTCAAAGTATGTGTGTGCGTTTTGGTCCTTTCTCACATCCATGCATTCTCCTATCAATTCCTCCCTGCATGCACAAGCAGTGTTGGCCCCAGCTTTGTGGGTAAGTGGTGGTACAACACGCAAACTTTTATGGTGTTTGGACACAGCCACCTGTGTGTTGAGGATGTTGGGCAAGAATGCATTCTGGTGCCTGGGACGGGGTTGCTGTGTCCTAAGGCTGGGTCAGGCTATGCCTGGTACCAGACCTCAGGTGAAAGAAGTGTCTTCTGGGATGGCATAGTTTTTTGGCTTGTTGTTTGCGATGGGGGGCTCTAGTGCAGCAACCCCTCTTGCCTAGTCTAGGTCCTAAGCTGTGGATCCTACAGGAATTTCTTTCCTTGACTCTCACTTAATTATGTCATTGCTGTCTTGAGTATAAAAGAAACAGACTTGTGCTCTCCATGTCCTGAGGGAATCAGGTGCCATGGTTTTATTTTTACTTGCTCTTTATTGCATGCCTCTCTCAGTAGGATTCAGGCACCAATCCAGGAAGCTGGGTGGAGGATCACTGGAGCAACATATGCCATTGTGGTGTGCCCAAAGAAACCCTTCCGCTTTGACTTGTACTCTCTGGATTCGGCTACATCTGTGGCCCTTGACTGTCTTCCCTTACAAAGACATCTTTCTTTGGAAGCTTCTTGTACTCTCATGCACATATTCCCCAGGTGGGATCCCCCATCTGTCTTCCAAAAATACCCTAGACATTCATCCCCTAAACCTGCCTGGTTTGGTCCCATCACATTTATATGATGTTACAGAGTATGGAAATGGGAAAGCAGATGAACCTACCAGCTTGGCATCCATGTAATACTTTAATTAAATTGCTAAAATTAAGAGCTTTGGGAAAAAGTTTCATAATTTAGGTTATGTTCCTTTTTTGTCTAGTGAAGGGAACTTTTTATTTGGTATTAGGACTTTGTGTGTGTTATCTAATTTAATTTTCACAGTATCCCTGCAAGGAAATGGCTGTTTTCTCCATTTTTTTTTCAGATGAGAAAATGGAGTTTTATAGATTAAGTAACTTGCCTAATTAGTAAGTGCTAACATCAATATTTGAATACTGCTTGATTTCAAAGCCTTTGCTCTTTCTGATAAGCCATTCCCTGGTTTTTACCACCACAAGTAAAAGTTTACTTAAAAAAGTTCAAGTGGGAGACACATTCTTTCTTGTATTTAAATTTGGAGGAATGAATGAACCTGTGATACTTAAAAGCCATCAATAATGATCTTCTTTGACTCTTAGTGATTCTGGCATCTGGAAGTCTGCTAGACATCTGTTGGCTGTGCCCTCTGAGGAGGCTTCATAGCTGGGAGCCTTAGTTTATGATTCATTAAAAACAAAAATAGCTGTGATGCAGAGTTTTGATTATGGAATAGATATTATTAAGAACATTAAGAAGACAGGACAGAAGACTGACATAACACTTGATTATGCTATTCTTTTAAAACTTAGAGAATTAGAGAACAGTGGAAGGTTTGCTTACTGGATGTAGCTGATAGGAAGCTTGTGGAGATATAGAACATGTTGGATGAGATCATCCGAAAGCTACAGTGAGGAAAATCCAATAGACTAATTAATATGAGTTAATTTGTAGATTTCTGCACTTAGGTTCAAAAGACCACTACATTAGAAGAAGATCCAAAATTGCTAATAAAAACAGTGAAATAACATAAAAGAACTAGGGGTAGGGTGATGTTAGCAAAGTGATAGACTAGGAAGCTCCAACTGCTCATTCCCCTACAGAAACCATTAAAAGCCAAAACTGCCGCAACTAGCTTTGTCAGAGCTTTGGGAAAGAGTCAAAGGTTTACATCAACCAAACAGATGCCCAGTCAAGAAAAGGCCATCTTCAAAATGGTCAGAGAGTTTTGTGATGTTTTTCTCATTCTTGCCTCACTCTTTCCCTGGTGTGGTAGCAGTCTTGTTCTTGAAACAGCAGCAGCCCAGTTCCGTTTTGTCCTTTAAACTGGAGGAAGCAGAGCAGACTTTATTGGTAAATTATTGCTTGTGGCTGTTCCAAACCACCTGGGGAAATACCTGAAGGACTAGCATGAAGCATTCATCTCTGTTTTTCCTAACTCAGAAGTCAGGTGGGAAAAGCTATGGACACTGCTCATAACCACTGTAAGGCAACTACTGAGCCACAGATTCCTGGGGCAAGAGATTATGGAGGCAGACATATAGCAGGCAATTTAAAGCCTGGGGGAGAAGCTGGGGCAAGACTGGAAATTAAGGCATTCAAAAGCAACCCTGTATATGGGGGAGTTTAGCAAGCCACACACATGCAGGCAAGGCACATGCTCAGAAAAGACCTGAGAAGACATTAAGCTTTCACTTTGGGCTGATTCCTAGGCTGAGAGAAAACCTAAATAAGTGTTGAAGGCTCCCCAGCACAGAGCCAACCTGCAAAGGTGGGGAGAAATCTTAGTATTCAGGGAAATCTCTGCGAAAACATTAGCTGAACACAAGCTAGAAGGACAAACGTCAGTGATCACATGTGAAAAAGACTAGTCTTTGCAAAAATAGTTTAGGCAAGTCTCAAAACTACTGGATGATTATAGCCTTCAACAATAAACCAACCAACCAACAAATGAACAACCCCTAGAGAAGGAGGACAATCTGATTTTCAAAGATTTCACACTATAATCCACACTACAATACTTAAAAACCCAATTTTCAGAAAAAAAAAATCACAAAGCATGCAAAGAAACAGGAAAATATGGCACATCAAAGGATCAAAATAAGTGGACAGAAACTGCCCCTGAGGAATCTAAAACATTTGACTTACTAGACAAAGACTTTAAAACAACTGTCCTAAACATACTCAAAGACCTAAAGGAGGCTGGGTGCAGTGGCTCACGCCTATAATCCCAGCACTCTGGGAGGCCGAGGTGGGTGGATCATGAGGTCAGGAGATTGAGACCATCCTGGCCAACATGATGAAACCCCGTTTCTATTAAAAATACAAAAATTAGCTGGGCGTGGTGGTACATGCCTGTAGTCCCAGCTGCTCGGGAGGCTGAGGCAGGAGAATCACTTAAACCAGGGGGAGGTTGCAGTGAGCTGAGATGGTGCCGCTTCACTCCAGTCTAGCTACAGAGCAAGACTCCATTTCCAAAAAAAAAAAAAAAAAGAGAGACCTAAAGGAAAACATAGACAAAGAACTAAGGGAAATCAAGAATATGAAATGTCAACAAAATGAGAATATCAACAAAGAGATCGAAATTATAAAAAGGACCAAGCAGAAATACTGGAGGTGAAAAGTACAATAACTAAAATGAAAAGTTTACCAGAAGGGTTCAGTAGGAGATTTGATCAGGTGGAAGAAAGAATCAGTAAACTTGAAGACAAGACAGTTAAAATTATTGAGTCTGAGAAACAGAAAAAATAATAAAGAAAAGCAAAGAGAACTGAAGAGATTTGTGGGAAACCATAAAGCCAAGCAACATATGCATTATGGGAATTCAAGAAGGAGACGTGATAATGGTGCAGAAAAATTATTTGAAGAAATAATGGCTGAAAAGGAAAGCCATGAGTATAAAAATAAAAGAAGCACAACAAAATCCAAGTAGAATAACTCAGAGACCCACGTGTGAACCCCTTATAACCAAACTGTCAAAAGCTGAAGACAAAGAGAGAATCTTGAAAGCTGTAAAAGAAAAGCAACTTATTAGGTGTAAGGTATCCTTAGTAAGATTATCAGCCTGTTTCTTAGCAGAAATACTGGCATCCAGAAGGCAGTGGAATGGTATATTAAAGTGCCAAAAATAGAACTGTCAGGCAAGGATTCTATATCTCACAAAACTGTCCTTCAAGAGTTGAAAGTGAAATTAAGACATTCCCAGAAATGGGAAATTTATTAACAGAAATGGGAAGTTAAACAAAAGAAGTTTATTACTACCAGACTTGCCCCCCACCGCCGAGCCCAAAATGCTAAAGGAAATCTCCCAGGTTGCAATGAAAAGATGTTAGACAGTAACTAATAGTCATATAAAGATATAAAGGTTTCCATTAAAGGTAAATGCATAAGAATATATAAAAGCCAGTATTATTAGAATTTTCATTTGTAGCTCCACCTCTTATTGTCTATAGGATTTAAAAGATAAATACATAAAAATAGTTAACAATCTGTGTTTTTTGGCACACAACGTATAAAGATGTAATTAGTGACATCAATAACATCAAGTGGGAGATAGAACTGTATGGAAGTAGAGATTGCATACGTGATTGAAGTTAAGTTGATGTCAATTCAGATGTGATTGTCATATTATTAATGTAATCTGCATAGTAACCACAAAGAAATTATCTATAGTATATACACAAAAGGCAGTGAGATGGTAATCAAAATGTGTCACTCCAAAAACAACAACAACAACAAAACAAACAAACAACCAACTAAACACAAAAGAAAGCAGTAATGAAGGAAATGAGAGCCAAAATATGGTATAAGACATGGAGAAAACAAACAGGAAAATGGCAGAATTAGCCTGCTTTTTTAAAAATAATTACTTTAAATGCATTAAAGTCTCTAATCAAAAGGCAGAAATCAGCAGACTAGATTTAGAAACATGATCCAATCACATGTTACATACATGAGACTCATTTTAGATCTAAAGACACAAACGGTTGAAAGTGAAAGATTGGAAAAAGATATTCCATGTAAATTGAAAGCAACAAGAAGCTGGGTAGTTATACTAATAGGAGATCAAATAAACTCTAAGTAAAAAACTGTTACGAGGGACAAAGAAGGACATTAGTATTGATAAGAGACTCAATTATCAAGAAGATATAAAATTAGGAACATTTTTATGCAAACATCAGAGCCCTACAGAGCAAAACTGAAGGGAATACTAAACAGATTTACAATAATGATTGCAGACTTTCATACTCTACTTTTAATTGTAAACGGAACCAAAAGACATAAGGCAAATAAGGACATAGACTTGAACAGGACAATAAACCAATTAGACTGAGCTAACTATCTTAAATATATATGCACCCAACACAGGAGCACCCAGATTCATAAAGGAAGTCCTTAGAGACCTACAAAGAGACTTAGACTCCCACACAATAATAATGGGAGACTTTAACACCCTACTGTCAACATTAGACAGATCAACGAGACAGAAAGTTAAAAAGGATATCCAGGAATTGAACTCAGCTCTGGACCAAGCAGACGTAATAGACATCTACAGAACTCTCCACCCCACGTCAACAGAATATACATTCTTCTCAGCACCACACCACACCTATTCCAAAATTGACCACCTAGCTGGAAGTAAAGCACTCCTCAGCAAATGTAAAAGAATAGAAATTATAAGAAACTGTCTCTCAGATCATAGTGCAATCAAACTAGAACTCAGGATTAAGAAACTCACTCAAAACCACTCAACTACATGGAAACTGAACAACCTGCTCCTGAATGACTACCGGGTAAATAACAAAATGAAGGCAGAAATAAAGATGTTCTTTGAAAACAACGAGAACAAAGACACAACATACCAGAATCTCTGGGACACATTTAAAGCAGTGTGTAGAGGGAAATTTATAGCACTAAATGTCCACAAGAGAAAGCAGGAAAGATCTAAAATTGACACCCTAACATCACAATTAAAAAAACTAGAGAAGCAAGAGCAAACACATTCAAAAGCTAGCAGAAGGCAAGAAATAACTAAGATCAGAGCAGAACTGAAGGAGATAGAGACACAGAGACACAAAAAAGCCCTTCAAAAAATCAATGAATCCAGGAGCTGGTTTTTTGAAAAGATCAACAAAATTGATAGACTGCTAGCAAGACTAATAAAGAAGAAAACAGAGAAGAATAAAATAGATGCAATAAAAAATGATAAAGTGGGTATCACCACCGATCCCACAGAAATACAAACTACCATCAGAGAATACTATAAACACCTCTACGCAAATAAACTAGAAAATCTAGAAGAAATGGATAAATTCCTCCACACATACACCCTCCCAAGACTAAACCAGGAAGAAGTTGAATCTCTGAATAGACCAATAACAGGCTCTGAAATTGAGGCCAATCATTAATAGCTTACCAACCAAAAAAAGTCCAGGACCAGATGGATTCACAGCCAAATTCTACCACACGTACAAGGAGGAGCTGGTACCATTCCTTCTGAAACTATTCCAATCAATAGAAAAAGAGGGAATCCTCCCTAACTCATTTTATGAGGCCAGCATCATCCTGATACCAAAGCCTGGCAGAGACACAACCAAAAAAGAGAATTTTAGACCAATATCCCTAATGAACATTGATGCAAAAATCCTCAATAAAATACTGGCAAACTGAATCCAGCAGCACATCAAAAAGCTTATCCACCATGATCAAGTGGGCTTCATCCCAGGGATGCAAGGCTGGTTCAACATATGCAAACCAATCAACGTAATCCAGCATATAAACAGACCCAAAGACAAAAACCACATGATTATCTCAATAGATGCAGAAAAGGCCTTTGAAAAAATTCAAAAGCACTTCATGCTAAAAACTCTCAATAAATTAGGTATTGATGGGACGTATCTCAAAACAATAAGAACTATTTATGACAAACCCACAGCCAATATCATACTGAATGGGCAAAAACTGGAAGCATTCCCTTTGAAAACTAGCACAAGACAGGGATGCCCTCTCTCACCACTCCTATTCAACACAGTGTTGGAATTTCTGGCCAGGGCAATCAGGCAGGAGAAAGAAATAAAGGGCACTCAATTAGGAAAAGAGGAAGTCAAATTGTCCCTGTTTGCAGATGACATGATTGTATATCTAGAAGACCCCATTGTCTCCGTCCAAAGTCTCCTTAAGCTGATAAGCAAATTCAGCAAAGTCTCAGGATACAAAATCAATGTGCAAAAATCACAAGCATTCTTATACACCAATAACAGACAAACAGAGAGCCAAATCATGAGTGAACTCCCATTCATAATTGCTTCAAAGAAAATAAAATACCTAGGAATCCAATCTACAAAGGATGTGAAGGACCTCTTCAAGGAGAACTACAAACCACTGCTCAACAAAACAAAAGAGGATACAAACGAATGGAAAAACATTCCATGCTCATGGATAGGAAGAATCAATATTGTGAAAATGGCCGTACTGCCCAAAGTAATTTATAGATTCAATGCCATCCCTACCAAGCTACCAATGACTTTCTTCACAGAATTGGAAAAAACTACTTTGAAGTTCATATGGAACAAAAAAAATAAAGATGTTCTTTGAAACCAACGAGAACAAAGACACAACATACCAGAATCTGTGGGACACATTCAAAGCCGTGTGTAGAGGGAAATTTATAGCACTAAATGCCCACAAGAGAAAGCAGAAAAGATCTAAAATTGACACCCTAACACCACAAATAAAAGAACTAGAGAAGCAAGAGCAAACACATTCAAAATCTAGCAGAAGGCAAGAAATAAGTAAGATCAGAGCATTGCCAAGTCAATCCTAAGCCAAAAGAACAAAGCTGGAGACATCACGCTACCTGACTTCAAACTATACTACAAGGCCACAGTAACCAAAACAGCAAGGTACTGGTGCCAAAACAGAGATATAGACCAATGGAACAGAACAGAGCCCTCAGAAATAATACCACACATCTACAACTATCTGATCTTTGACAAACCTGAGAAAAACAAGAAATGGGGAAAGGATTCCCTATTTAACAAATGGTGCTGGGAAAACTGGCTAGCCATATGTAGAAAGCTGAAACTGGATCCCTTCCTTACACCTTATACAAAAATTAATTCAAGATGGATTATAGACTTAAATGTTAGACCTAAAACTATAAAAACCCTAGAAGAAAACCTAGGCAATACCATTCAGGACATAGGCATGGGGAAGGACTTCATGTCTAAAACACCAAAAGCAATGGCAACAAAAGCCAAAATTGACAAATGGGGTCTAATTAAACTAAAGAGCTTCTGCACAGCAAAAGAAACTACCATCAGAGTGAACAGGCAACCTATAGAATGGGAGAAAATTTTTGCAATCTACTCATCTGACAAAGGGCTAATATCCAGAATCTACAAAGAGCTCAAACAAATTTACAAGAAAATAAAACCCATCAACAAGTGGGTGAAGGATATGAACAGACACTTCTCAAAAGAAGACATTTATGTAGCCAACAGACACATGAGAAAATGCTCATCATCACTGGCCATCACAGAAATGCAAATCAAAACCACAATGAGATATCATCTCACACCAGTTAGAATGGTGATCATTAAAATGTCAGGAAACAACAGGTGCTGGAGAGGATGTGGAGAAATAGGAACACTTTTACACTGTTGATGGGACTGTAAACTAGTTCAACCCTTGTGGAAGACAGTGTGGCGATTCCTCAGGAACTAGAACTGGAGATACCATTTGACCCAGCCATCCCATTACTGGGTATATACCCAAAGGATTATAAATCATGTTGCTATAAAGACACATGCACATGTATGTTAATTGCAGCACTGTTCACGATAGCAAAGACTTGGAACCAACCCAAATGTTCAACAATGATAGACTGGATTAAGAAAATGTAGCACATATACACCATGGAGTACTATGCAGCCAAAAAAAATGATGAGTTCATGTCCTTTGTAGAGACGTGGATGAAGCTGGAAACCATCATTCTCAGCAAACTATTGCAAGGACAAAAAACCAAACACTGCATGTTCTCACTCATAGGTGGGTATTGAACAATGAGAACACTTGGACACAGGAAGGGGAACATCACACACTGGGGCCTGTTGTGGGGTGGGGGAAGGCGAGAGGGATAGCATTAGGAGATATACCTAATGTAAATGACCAGTTAATGGGTGCACCACACCAACTTGGCACGTGTATACATATGTAACAAACCTGCATGTTGTGCATACATACCCTAGAACTTAAAGATACCAATTAGACCTAACAGACATATAGAGGTCATTCCACCCAACAACAGCAAAGTACACGTTTTTCTCAAGTGCACATAGAACAATTCTATGTTCTGTGTTTAGAATGCCTGTAACATCCTGGCCAACCAGAGGTTGTGAGTCTGTCCATGTGACAGATTTACTGCTAGCATAACCAGCATTCGAGAAAACCAGCACACTAAACAAAACTACAAGCAAGAACTCTGACAGAGTCTGCTTCACTCCTCTGCTACCTCCAATGGAGCAGATGCTGGTATACACAGCTGAGAGATCTGAACACAGATCACATCACAGGACTCTTTGCAGACACTCCCCAGTACCAGCCTGGAGCCCAGTAGCTCTGCTGGCTGGCTAGACCCAGAAGAGCAAAAACCATCACTGCATTCCAGCTCTCAGGAAGCCCTATCCTTAGGGGAAGAGGGAGAACACATTATGGGAGCACCCTGTGGGACAAAAGAATCCGAACAGCAGTCCTTGAGTCCCAGATCTTCCCTCTGACATAGTCTACCAGAATGAGAAGGAACCAGAAAAACAATTCTGGTAATATGACAAAACAAAGTTCTTTAGTACCCTCAAAAGGTCACATCAGCTTACCAGCAGTGGATCCGAACCAAGATGAAATCTCTGAATTACCAGAAAACAAATTCAGAAGGCCGATTATTAAGGCTAATCAGGGAGGACCAGAGAAAGGTGAACTCCAACTTAAAGAAATAAAAAACATGATACAGGATATGAAAGGAAAAATCTTCAGAGAAATGGATAGCATAGATAAAAACAATCATAACTTCTGGAAATCAAGGACACACTTAGAGAAATGCAAAACGCACTGGAGAGTTTCAGCAATAGAATCAAACAAGCAGAAGAAAGAATTACAGAGCTCAAAGACAAGGCTTTCAAATTAACCCAATCCTTCAAAGACAAAGAAAAAATAATTTTAAAAAATGATCAAATTAACAACTTACATTTATACCTTAAGGAACTAGAAAAAGAAGAACAAACTAAGTCTAAAACTAGCATAACTAGGGAAAAAGAAAGATTAGAGCAGAGAGAAATAAAACAAAGAATAGAAAAACAATAGAGAAAATTAATGAAACCAAAGTAATTTAGTTCTTAAAAAGATCAAGAAAATTGATAAACCTTTAGCAATACTGACTAAGAAAAAAAGAAGACTTAAATAACCAAAACTAGAAATGAAAGAGAGGACATTACAACTGATTTACAGAAATAAGAAGGATTATTAAGAAGTATTATAAACAATTGTATGACAACAAATTTGGTAACCTAAATGAAATAGACAAATTTCTAGATACACAAAGCTTACTAAGACTGAATCACTAATAAACAGAAAATTTGAGTAGACCTATAATTAGCAAGAAGATTTAATCAGTAATCAAAAATCTTCCAACAAATAAAAGTCCAGGATCAGATGTTGGTATGGTATAAATGTATCCCCCCCCAAATTCATGTATTGGAAACTTAATTCCCAGTGCCACAGTGTTGGGAGGTGGGGCCTTTTGTGATATGTTTCAGTCATGATGGTTCTGCCCTCATGAATAGATTAATGCTATTATAAAGGGCCTTGATGGAGGGAGTTAATCTCTTTTGGCCCTTTTGCCTTCTGTCATATAAAGATACACAAGTTTCCTCCCTTCTTGAGGATGCAGCATTCAAAACACCATCTTGGAAGCAGAGACTGGACCCTCACCAGACACCAGACTTGCTGGCACCTTGAATTTGAACTTCCTAGTCTCCAAAACTGTGAGAAATAAATTTATCTTCTGTATAAATGACCCAGTTTCAGATATTTTGCTATAGCAGCACAAATGGATGAATACAGATATCTTAATTGATGAGTTCTACCAAACACTTAAAGAACTAGCACCAATATTTATCAAATGCTTCCAAAAAAAATGAAGAGAAGGGAACACTTCCTGACTCATTCTATGAGGCCAGCACTATATTGACACCAAAGCCAGACAAAGACAGTACAAGAAAACCATAGACCAATATCCTTTATGAATACCAATACAAAAATCCTCAAAAAAATTAGCAAACTGGATTCAGCAACATATTGAAAGGATTATACATCATGACCAAATGAGATTGATTCTTGGAATACAAGGATGGTTCTACACATAAAAATCAATGCAATATACCACATTAACACAATAAAGGGAAAATCCATGATCATCTCAACTGATGCAGAAAAAGTATTTGAGAAAATCCAATACCTTTTCATGATAAGAACGCCCAGCAAACTGGGAATAGAAACTACCTCAATATAATAAAGCTCTTATATGAGAAATCCACAGCTATCACTATACTCAATAGCTATACTATACTCAAAAGACTAAAAGCAATTCCCCTAAGATCAGAAATAAGACAAGGGTGCCTGCTTTTGTTACTTGTGTTCAACATAATATTGGAAATTCTAGCTGAAGCAATTAGGCAAGAAAAAGAAATAAGAGGCATACAAATTAGAAAGGAATAAGTAAAATTATTTCTGTTTGCAGATGACACAATCCTATATTTAGAAAATTGTAGCAATTCTGCACCAACTCCCCCCTGGCCCCACAACAACAAACAAAGATAAACCAAAGCAAACTGTTAGAACTAATAAATGAATTCAGAGGCTGGATACAAACTCAACATGCAAAAAGCAGTTGCATTTCTCTATAGTGACAATGAAAAATCTGAAGTGGGAATTTAGAAAACAGGAGGCTAAATAATTGTACATGGAAAACTACGAAGCATCGCTGAATGAAATTAAATAAAGTATAAAAAATGGAAAGACATCCCAGGTTCATTGATAGGAAGACTTAATATTGTTAAGATGTCAGTTCTACTCAAAGCAATCCACAGAATCAATGCAATTCCTATCAAAGTTCCAATGAGTTTTTTGCCAAAATGTAAAAATTCATCCCAAAATTCATGTGTAATATTAAGGGTCCCAAATAGTGGAAACAGTATTGAAAAAGAACAAAGTTGGAGGACACTAACTTCCTGATTTCAAAACTTGCTGTAAAGTTTCAGTAATCAAAACAGTGGTTCTGGCCAGGTGCGGTGGCTCACACCTGTAATCCCAGCACTTTGGGAGGCAAAGTTGGGTGGATTGCTTGAGGCCAGGAGTTTGAGATTAGCCTGGCCAACATGATAAAATGCTATCTTTACCAAAAATACAAAAATTAGCTGGGCGTGATGGCACGTGCCTGTAATCCCAGCTACTTGAGATGCTGAGGTGGGAGGATCGCTTGAACCCAGGAGGCGGAGGTCACAATGAGTCGAGATCAAGACTGTACTCCAGCCTGGGTGACAGAATGAGACTTCATCTCCAAAACAAAAAACAAACAAACAAAAAAACAACCAGTTGATTCTAGCATAAAGACAGACATAGGCCAATGGAATAGAATAGAGTGCCCAGAAATAAACCTTTGCATACATGGTCAATTGATTTTTGAAAAGAGTGACCATTCAATGGAGAAAGGATAGTCTTTTCAATAAATGACATTCGGAAACTGAATATCCACATACAAATGAATGAATTTTGATTCTTACTCTATACTATATTACAAAAATGGATCAAATACCTAAATGTAAAACCTAAACTTATAAAATTCCTAGGTGAAAACATAGAGAAAAAGCTTCATGACACAGGATGTGGGAATGATTTCTTGGATATGACACAAGCGTTTTACTACTGACAAAAGAAAAAATAAATAAATTGGACTTTATCAAAATCAAGAACTTTGTGTATCAAAGGACACTGTCAACAGAGTGAAAAGGCATCATACAGAATGTGAGAAACATTTGCATATCATTGATCTGGTAAGGGATTAATATTTGGTATGCATAAAGAAATCCTAAAACTCAGCGACAGAAAAAACAAAAAACCTAATTCAGAAATGAGCAAAGGACTTGAATAGATATTTTCCCCAAGAAGATATACAGATGGCCAATAAGTACATGAAAAGGTGCTCAACATTACTAATTAAAATATGCAAATTGAAAGCATGAGATACCACTTCATACCCATTAGGATTGCTATGAAAAAGACAACCGAGAAAATTATTGGCAAGGATATGGAGAAATTGGCACATTTCTGCATTGTTGGCAGGGATGTGCCACCTCTGTGGAAAACAATGTATGGTGATTCTTAAAAAGAATTAAATCTAGAATTACTATACGGTCCAGCAGTTCCACCTCTGGATATGTATACCCAAAAGAACTGAAAGTAGGGATTTAAAGAAATATTTGTGCGTCCATGTTCATAGCAGCATTATTCACACAATATATCTGAAAGGTACAAACAATCCAAACATGGACATCAACAGATGAATGGATAAACAAAATGTGGAGTGTACACACAGTAAAATACTATTCAGTATGAGATTCAAATACACGCCATTATATGGATGAACCTTGAAGAAATTATGCTAAGCGAAATAAGCCAGACACAGAACAAATACTGTATGACTCCTCTTATATGGTGTTCTTAGAGTAGTGAACATCCTAAGAGACAGAAAGTAAAATGGTGGTTGCCAAGGGCTGGTGGGAGGGGATGGATAGGGATTTATTGCTTAATGGGCACAGAGAGTCAGTTTGGGATGTTGAACAAGTTCTACAGGTTGTGGTGTTGCATAACATTGTAAATGTATTCGGTGCCATTGAATTTTATACTTAAAAATGATTAAAATGGTACATTTTATTATATATATTTTATCAGAATTAAAAAAAGCCTTGGGATGAGACAATGTGATAATACTGTCAAAACAAGGCTTAGACTGCATTTTCAACCTATGATGCACTGGTCTGGCCACACCACAATTCATTATTTAACTCATTTATTAATGAATTAACCCATTTTGCCTAACCATGCAACTGCCCTAGCTGTAGTCATAGGTGGTGGGATAAGAAGAAAAAAAATTCCTAAAAGAAGGCTACAGTCCAGAGTATGGTTTTTAATTTAGAGTCCACAGATAGACATCAGGGAGTTTGCTTATCTCCTATAGCTGTATGTGAAAGCTGTTTTTTTTTTTTTTTTCTTTAGAGGTCTCTCTTTCACTCCATTCTCAAAGATAATCAGTGATCTACAAATGAGAAAGAACCGGAGGGCAAGAGAGACAAGTAAACATTGAGCAGCAGGACAGTGTGTTAGCAGGGGCTATGCCGTGTCCATTCAGGAGTTAGGGAGGAGAAGCACCTCACACTGCACTCAGGGAGAGGTACCAGGAATGAAGGGTCTAGAAATGGATGTGTATCAGGAATGGTTGAAACAACTGAGTATGTTTGGTGTGGAGAAAGCCTTCATTGCTACTTTATTTACTCGAAGGACTATTTTTTATCAGCCATGTTCTCTTTTGGAGTCAATTTCCTTTACTGGTTTTGGAAAAGTAGGAATCTGGCAGACTCCTGTTCCTGTGAGGTCCATCTGGTGCCTCTCATGCCATCTCACGGTGGCCACCACTGGGGGCCTGCACTCCTCGGCCCCCTCTCCTTGATAGGATGCCCTCCCCTTAGCATTCAGGGGAGGCAGTTTTTGCATTTACTGCTCCATGCTGACAAGGATAAAACTTAATGGTGCTCATCCTATTGATGTCTGTGTTGGACTAGAGGAATAGCACTAACAAAGTTGAACTACTGAAATTAAGGCATCCCTGCAGACTGGGTTTCCTCCCGCTCTCCTTGAAGCTTCAGATGCATCCCATCCTGAGGTCTGAGATCACGATTTTGTCACAGTTCTCTAGACATGGTTTTATAACCATAGTTTGCCAGCATTGCCCTAGGTGTTTACTGTAATCTTTAGTAAACATAGGAGGGGAGGAGTATTCACAGGATGCCTTTCTTACACAGGAAGCCTGGAAGTAGGCTGTTGCAGGGGAGCCTGTGGTGCACATTGCCACAAAGGTCCCCTTCTGCTCTGCCCTCTCTGGTCTGGTCCTTAGGTCTGCCTCTTATCGAGGCAGTGTGTCTGCTGCAGTTTGGGTGTCATATGTAGTTACAACAAGGTTTGGTCAAGGAGGTGGTACCTCTTCCCATGCCTCACTAGATTATTTATTAGCAGGGAAATCACTCCAAGATTCTCACAGCCGAGTTCCCCCAGGACCTATGGACCACGCCCTACTGCAAAGTTGGGAAAGTAGACATCCAGCATATCCAGCCTCTATCTTGCAGGTAGGCACTGCTAGTAAGGATAAGGAAGTAGGATAATAGCTTTTGAGAAGAATATCAACAATACTCAAAAAGGAGACATTTTCTTCACTGCTGTTTAGTGAGTGAACATAGTTAGAGTAGATTAAAAAAACAAACTTCCAGAAAATTAAAGAGGAGGAATACCTCCCAGCTCACTACAGATACTACTCTGTACTACCCAGAACTACTCCAGTACTAAAACTAGACCAAAATATGAAAGCGAATTTAGTGTTAGACTATTATTATATTAGCACCCACAATGGCTTTAATGATGCTCATCTTACTTGACATGATAGTACAAATTGAACTGCTTCTAGATAAAAAGAGATATGAAATACAGCTTGCATTTCAAGATGAAAATAGTGGTCCTGAGAAGAGGGTGGAAGATACTGCATTTGATCAAGGAGAGAATTTAGGTTATATAACCATTTTGACAGTGATGTTAGATAGGAATGCAGTCAACTTAGAAATTAATAATTAAAATATAGCCACCCTTTTTAGGTTTAGAAAATTGTGATAAATCTAAATAATTCATGTGTTCAAGAGAAAATAACAATGGAAATTATAAAAATATTTAGAAATCAGCAACAACAAAAGCATTACATTTTAAAACTAAAGGAGTACTTAAAGAAAATTTACATCCTTGAGTGCATTTATTAGACAAAATCAAGGTAAAGATAAATTAGCTAAGTCTTTAGCTGAAGCAGCTACAAGAGAGCAGCACTGTAAACTCAAATCAGAGAAAAAGAAATAGGGACAAAATTATAGACTAATGCATTATGAAGCAATAAAAATAGGTGATTGACAAAATCATAATCTGATAATTTAGAAGACTAAAACATTGACAAACTTTTGCCTTGATTGATCAGGAAAAGGAAGAGAGAAAAATTAAGTGAATAATATTAGGAATGAACTAAAGGCTATTACTATAAATACAGCACAAGTGCAAAAATCAGACACAAATTCTCTGAAGATGATTATGCCAAAGAATTTGAAAAGTTAGTGAAAAATAGCTAATTTTTATGTAAAATATAACATGAATAGTCCTGTATCTATTAAATAAAGAACTTCCTACAAAGAAAACTTTAGGTCCAGATGGCTACAATGGTGAATCCTTCAAAATATTTAAAGAAGAAACCTGCTGGGCACCAGGGCTAACTCCTGTAATCCCAGCACTTTGGGAGGCTGAGGTGGGTGGATCACCTGAGGTCAGGAGTTTGAGACCAGCCTGGCCAACATGGTAAAACCCTGTTTCTACTAAAAATACAAAAATTAGCCAGGTGTGATGGTGCGTGCCTGTAATCCCAGCTACTCAGGAGGCTGAGGTAGGAGAATCACTTGAACCCAGGAGGCAGAGGTTGCAGTGAGCTGAGATCACACCACTTCACTGCAGCCTGGGTGACAGAGTGAGACTCTGTCACACACACAAAAAAAAACCATATTAATTTCATAAAAATCCTTCAGAAAATTTCTAACTCATTCTATGTACTACTCTATGTACTACTTTGTATTATTCAGAATGGCTCTGATACTAAAACTAGAGAAAAATATTACAAGAAAACATTATGCCAATATTTCTCATGAACATAGATGCAAAAATCCTTAAGAACATGTTAACAAATTGAATCCAGTAATAAATTAAAATGACAATAAAAAGAGCAGTTTTTTCTTGAACTGCAAGTTTGTGTTAATGTTGGAAAATTAATCAATATCAGTTCATCATATCAACAGTGAAAAAAACCCACGTGTATTTTAATCTCAGTGGATGCAGGGAAAAAAACTCTTAGTAAACTGGAATAGAAGGAAACTTCCTTAACTAGATTAAGGTCTGCAAAAAACTAACAGCTAGCACCACACTTATTTCACTTAATTCTGAAAGTGAATACTTGTCCCCTAAAATAAAGAATAAGGTAAGGATTTTCACTTTACCATTTCTATTCAACATTGAACTGGAACCAGTACAGTCAGACAAGAAAAAAAAAGCCATCATTGGATAGGGAAGGAAGAAAAACTCTTTATTCACAGACAACATGGTCATCTACATAGAAAAGCTTAGGAAATTGACAAAAAATGTTAAAGAGTGAGTTTAATAACTGCAGGATACAAGATCAATATACAGAAATCCAGTTGTATAAAAGTTAGCAAAAATGGTTATTAAAATGCCACTTAAAATAGCATAAAATAGAAAATATTTAGATATTAGCATGAGAAAAGTTGTATAAGAATATTACTGAAAACTACAAAGTATTGCTGAGAAAAATTAAGGAGTACATAAATAAGAGAAACATGAATTGGAAGACTCGAAATTGTTAAGATGTCACTTCTCCCGAAATTGACCTGTAGATTCAAATGCAACCCCTGTCAAAATTCCTGCAAACTTCTTTTTTTTTTTTGTAGAAATGGACACATTACCAGGCATGGTGGCTCACATCTGTCATCCTAGCACTTTGGGAGGCCAAGGCAGGAGGATCGTTTGAGCCCAGGAGTTCAAGACCAGCCTGGGCAACATAGTGAGACCCCCATCTCCATTTTTTTAAAAAAGAAATTGATATACTGATTCTAAAAGCCATAAGGAAATGCAAAGCACTTAGAATAGCTAAAATGTCTTTAAAAAAGAACATTGGAGGACTTATACCATCTGACCTAAAACTTATAAAGCTACAGTAATCAAAACAGAGTGGTACTGGCGTCAAGATAGACATATTGTTTGATGAAACACGACAAAGAATCCAGAAAAAGCCATATATATAGATGGCCAACTGATTTTTGAGAAAGGCACAGAGGCAATTTAGTGGACACAGCATACGTTTTTTTCTCCCAACAAATGGTCCTGAAACAATTTGCTATTCCTATCTGACCTTGGATCAGGTGAGGATATACAGAAATACACAACACCAAAAGCGTGGTTCATAAAATAAAACAAAATTATTAAATTTAACTTCATTGAAATTAAGAATGTTGCCTTCTGAAAGACACTATTAGGAGAATGAAATGATAAGGCACAGACTGGGACAGAATCTTATAAGAAAACAAACAACCCAGTAAAAATAGGCAAAACATGAACAGACACTTCTCTGGAGAAGGCATATGGATAACAAGGACATGAAAAGATGCTTAACATCATTAGTCATTAGGGAAATAGAAATTAAAACTACAGTGAGATGCCACTACTTACCTACTTGAATGACTAACATGAAAATGACTAAACCAAGGGTTGGTGATGAGATGGAGCAACTGGATTCCTGATACACTGCTGGTTGGATGTAAAATGGCATAACCATTTTGAAGAAAGTTCGGCAGTTTCTTAAAAAGTTAAAGATACACCTAGCCATTCCACTCCTAGAAATTTACCCAAGAAAAATAAAAGCATATGTTCATACAAAGACTTCTATACAAATGTTCATAACAACTTTGTTTTTTAAAAATAATGTTTATTTGATCCTTTCATGATACTTTCCCTTTCTTTACATAGATGCAGGTGTCTGACATACAGCACTTTTTTTCTTTCTGAAGAATTTCTTTCAACATTTCTTGAATGGCATTTCTACTGGTGACAAATTCCTTCAATTCTTGTTGGAGAAAGCTTTATTTCTCCTTCAGTTTTGAAGTATAATTTTCCTGAATACAAAATTTTAGGTTGGTGTTTTTTTTTCTTTCAATGCTAAATATTTCACTCCACTCTCTTCTTGCTTGCATGGTTTTTGAATAGAAATCCAATATAACTCTTATTCTTGCTTCTGTATAGAAGGGTATATTTTCCTTTGGCTTCTTTCAAGATTATCTACCTTTAATTTTTTGCAGTTTGAGTATGATATGCCTAGATATAGATGTTTTGTTCTTTATCCTGCTTGGAGTTCACTGAGATTCATGGATCTGTGGCTTGGTGCCTGTCTCAGTCCATTTGTGTTGCTATAAAGGAATACTTGTGGCTGAGAAATTTGTAAAGAAAAGAGATTTATTTGGCTCATGGTTCTGCAGGCTGCACAGGAAGCACGGCACCATCATCTGCTTCTGTAAGGGCCTCAGGAAGCTTCCACTCATGGTGGAAGGGGAAGGGGAGCTAGCATGTGCAGATGATGTTGAGGGGAGAGGAGGCATGAGGGAGGGGAGGGAGGTACCAGACTTTTTTTTGTTTGTTTTACTTTGTCTTGGTCATTTTTGATATGTTCTATATTCCTCACATTTCTACAACATATGTTCTTTTAAAATTATATTTTATTTCAATAGTTTTTGGGGAACAGGTGGTGTTTGGTTACATAGATAAGTTCTTTAGTGGTGATTTCTGAGATTTTGGTGTACCCATCTCCCAAGCAGTGTACACTGTACCTGAGGTGTAGTCTTTTATCTCTTATCCCCATCCTACACTTTCCCCTAAGTCCCCAGAGTCCATTGTATGATTCTTATGGATACTCATAGCTTAGCTCCCACTTATGAGTGAGAGCATATGATGTTTGGTTTTCCATTCCTGAGTTACTTCACTTAGAATAATAGTCTCCATTCCATCCAGGTCACTGTGAATGCCATTATTTCATTTCTTTTTATGCCTGAGTAGTATTCCATGGTGTGTGTGTGTGTGTGTGTGTGTGTGTGTGTGTGTGTGTGTATGTATATATATAAAATCACAATTTCTTTATCCACTCGTTGGTTGACAGGCATTTGGTCTGGTTCCATATTTTTGCAATAGCAAATTGTGCTGCTATAAACATGCTTGTGTATGTATCTGTTTTGTGTAATGACTTCTCTTCCTCTGGGTAGATACCCAGTAGTGGGATTGTTGGATCAAATGGTAGTTCTACTACTTTTAGTTCTTTAAGGAATCTTTATACTGTTTTCCATAGTGGTTGTACTAGTTTACATTCCCACCTGCCGTGTAAAAGTGTTCCCTTTTCACCACATCCCTGCCAACATCTATTATTTTTTTGATTTTTAAATTATGGCTATTCTTGTTGGAGTAAGGTGATAGTGCATTGTGGTTTTGATTTGCATTTCCCTGATAATTAGTGAGGTTGAACAAGTGTTTCATATGTTTATTGGCCATTTGTATATTCTTTTGAGAATTGTCTATTCATGTCCTTGGCCCACTTTTTGATGGGATTATTTGTTTTTCTTTTGCTGATTTGTTTGATTTCCTTGTAGATTCTGGATATTAGTCCTTTGTCAGATGCATAGTTTGCAAAAATTTTCTCCTATCCTGTGGGTTGCCTGTTCACTCTGCTGACTATTTCTTTTGCTGTGCAGAAGCTTTTTAGTTTGATTAGGTCTCATTTATTTATTTTTGTTTTTGTTGCATTTACTTTTGGGTTCTTAGTCATAAAGTATTTCCCTAAGCCAGTCCAGAAGAGTTTTTCCAATGTTATCTTGTTGAAAGTTTCAGGTCTTAGACTTAAGTCCTTTATCCATCTGGAGTTGATTTTTGTGTAAGGTGAGAAATCAGGATCCAGTTTTATTCTTCTACATGTGGCTAGCCAATGATCCCAGCACCATTTGTTGAATAGGGCATCCTTTCCCCACTTTATGTTTTTGTTTGCTTTGTCAAAAATCCATTGGCTGTAAGTACCTGGGTTTATTTCTGCATTTTCTGTTCTGTTCCATTAGTCTGTGTGCCTATTTTTATACCAGTACCATGCTGTTTTGGTGACTATAGCCTTGTATAGTTTGAAGTCAGGTAATGTGATGCCTCCAGATTTGTTCTTTTTGCTTAGTCTTGCTTTGGCTATGTGGGATCTATTTTAGTTCCGTATGAATTTTAGGATTGTTTTCTCTAGTTCTGTGAAGAATAGTGATGGTGTTTTGATAGCAGTTGCGTAGAATTTTTATATTGCTTTTGGCAGTATGGTCATTTTCACATTATTGATTCTACCCATCATGAGCATGGGATGTGTTTTCATTTGTTTGTGTCATCTATGATTTCTTTCAGCAGTGTTTTGTAGTTCTTCTTGTAGAGGTCTTTCACCTCCTTGGTTAGGTATATTCTTATTCTTATTATTTTTTTTTGCAGCTATTGTAAAAGGGGTTGAGTTCTTGATTTGATTTTCTGCTTGGTCATTGTTGGTGTATAACAAGGCTACTGATTTGTGTACACTGATTTTGTATCCTGAAACTTTACTGATTTCATTTATCAGATGTAGGAGTTTCTTGGATGAGTCTTTAGGGTTTTCTAGGTATATGATCATATCATTGGTGAACAGTGACTGTTTGACTTTCTCTTTACCAGTTTGGATGCCCTTTATTTCTTTCTCTTGTCTGATTGCTCTGGCTAGGACTTCCAGTACTGTGTTGAATAGAAGTGGTGAAAGTGGGCATCCTTGTTTTCTTCCAGTTCTCAGGGGGAATGCTTTTAACTTTTCTCCATTTGGTATAATGTTGGCTATGAGTTTGACATAGATGGCTTTTATTACCTTAAGGTATGTTCCTTCTATGCTGATTTTGCTGAGGATTTTAATCATAAAGGGATGCTGGATTTTGTCAAATGCT
The DNA here is from genome assembly GCF_000001405.40 of Homo sapiens. Taxonomy (NCBI): domain Eukaryota; kingdom Metazoa; phylum Chordata; class Mammalia; order Primates; family Hominidae; genus Homo; species Homo sapiens. The sequence continues at coordinate 48,224,688 of NC_000008.11, forward strand.
TTTTCTACATCTATTGAGATGGTCATGTGATTTTTGTTTTTAATTCTGTTTATGTGGTATGTCACATTTATTGACTTGGGTGTGTTGAACCATCCCTGCATTCCTGGTATGAAACCCACTTGATCATGGTGGATTATATTTTTGATATGCTGTTGGATTTGGTTAGCTATCATTTTGTTGATGATTTTTGCATCTATATTAATCAGTGATGTTAGTCTGTAGTTTTCTTTTTTTTATGTCTTTTCCTTGTTTTGGTATTAGGGTGATACTGATATAGGAGTTAAGAAGGAATTACCTAGGCAGATAGCAAGGGCATGGGAGTCCTCATTAAGGTTTTTCTTTTTAATGAAAAACAGCCCCAAATCATTTTCCAACAAAGAGCAGCCTGCAAGCTGGGAGCTTGCATGGGTGAATGCTGGCAGGAACTAAGGACTAGACATTTTCAAAATGACAGCTCAGTCTTCCCTTCTCTGTAAGGCCTGTGTACTGTAAAGGAGCAGAGAAGGTGGTACCAATCAACTGGAAAGCCCATTTGCATAAGATTAGGGTGGGTGGCCAGCCTTCCCCACACACTATGTAGATATCATACCTAATCAAACCAATCTGTGAGCCCTATGTAAACCAGACACTGTCTTCTCCAGCCTACCTATAAAATCTGCTACAGTCCACCACCTTCCCCATTTTTCAGATGCCTGTCTCCCTTTTGCAAGGAGCTGCCCTCCTCTCTCCTTTCTTCTGTCTATTAAACTTTCCACTCCTTAACTTACCCACATGTGTCTGTGTCCTGAATTCTTTCTCAGTGCATAACAATAAACCCCAGGGAATATACTCCAGACAGTGTAGCTGCTTCATAATGGAAGCTTGGCTGGGATACCAAGGTACAACATTCATCAAAATGGTGAGTAGAGTAGCAGACTCCAACTCTGTCCTTTCATTCTGGGGCTCTCAGCCTCCATTTTAGACCTTTCACAGAGGGCTTAGCCATCACATGGGGCTGGAAGAAGTCCTGGGGCAACTGAGGATTTCTGGCTAGGGCTACCTTCTGGTGTTATCCAAAGGTTTCTAGACTGACCCCAGCCTCCAACTGCCCCGATGGGGTGTTGGCAACAAGATCTCCAACTTTCCTATAATAACTTCCTCCTTTCCTGTCCATGACCATCATATCTCTTATCCTTTTTGTGTATGCAATGTGTGGGAAGTTTTACAGTTCAGGGAAGTAGTCTTGTTTGACAAGATCAGGGAATGGGTATATGACTCAAGGGAAGGTGTCTGTGATTTTCTAGGAACAGAGAGTTTCCTTCTCCCCATGGTGAGCCTCTCCCTCTACCCTTGATCTGGAGAGCACATGGCATGTCAAAGTCACTCTGCCCTTGGTCTAGAGAGCACATGGTGTTTCAAGGTCAACAGTGCTACCTAGTGGAATAGGGATCCTCTCCATGAGGCACATGGTTGATCCTTCACTGAAATACCCTAGTTTCCCAATTCTCTCCCCGGTTTGCTCTTCTCTACTAGAAAACAGGCTTCATGCTGCTTCTATAAACAGGAAAATTCTGCCTTCAACAATTAGGGGTAAAATATCCTCCAAAGCCAAATTTTAGTATTGACACTGCCCCATCAGCAGGAAAATGGTCATTCAGGCCCTATATTCTTTGAAGGCACCTGTTCTGCCTCCAATTGGAGTGGTAATTAGTAAGGTGATTTTCAGTTCAGAAGTTAACCGGAACTGTTATCTAAGGGTAAATGCTTCATCGGGGCCATAATAGAAGGATACAGAGTTCAATTTAGGATGCCCCCTCCATTAAAGGGGCCTTGCCCAACTATTACATGGTTTTTCTTGAGATCCATTTTTTCGGGAGCCAGGCAGGTCACATAAATCTAGAAGTGAAAGGGAAATCACAGGCAGAAGACTGAGCCACTTGGGTGGGTGTGGCTAGCCCCAATCGATTAGTTCCTCTGGCTCCATGGTTAAGGGTCATGCCTGCAACTATGGGTGGCACATTCAACAAGGTGCCAGGACCCAGGAACCATGGAGGGAAAACAGCATGGGAACACTCCCACTGTCTTCCTCTCCACTCTGTGTCACACCAAAAGAAAGGAGACTAAAGGGATGCCTTTTTCTTGCTTCCCTTTCTAGATGAGTACCATCCTCAGTCTGCACTCCTCTGGAGTGCATTCTGAAGAACAAGGACTCCTTTGACCCTGAGAGTTTAAAGAAAAAGTGGCTCATTTTATTTTGCACAAAGGCATGGCCTTCTTACTAGACCTTTTGCAAGCATTACAAAATCAACCCAGCCCTTTTAGCAATCATATTGGGAAGGCCCAAAGAGAATAATTCCGCAAAATGAGAGAAAATGAGAGGGGAATCATCCGAGGATCTCCCTTAGTTGGGGCCCCTTCAAGTTCCATTTTTCATTGCAGGATCTTAGGCAAGTAAAGGGAAACTTAGACTGATTTTCTGATGACCCTGTTAGGTATATAGAAGCCTTCCAAAATTTAACTCAGGTATTTGACTTCTCATGCAGGGATGTTATGCTGCTCTTAAGCCAAACCCTGACCACAGCTAAGAAGCAGGCAGCTCTGCAGGCAGCAGAGAAATTTGGAGATGAGCAATATGCCTCCTATAATAGGCAAAAAGGGAAAAGAGAATATCGGGAAGGGGAATAAATAGGGGAAACACCATTCTCAATAGGAAAAGAGTCAGTACCTCTTGATAACCATAATTGGAACACCCAGACTTTTCTATGGTGTTTTTCTTTCTTTGGTAGTTTAAAATGGCTCCCATCTCTTCTTTTATAATGTTCCTCCAAACTAGGAAAAGTTAATTTCCCCAAACCTTAAAATACTTGGCTTAGAATTGAGCTAGGGGGAAGGGAATCTCAGAAGCCTGACATGCCAGCAAAAGGGTAAAAGTTTTTTTTTTTTTTAAACTAGTGAAGCTTTTGGCTTCTGTCTCCCTGTGCAAAGTGGTAAAAAGGATAATAAGGATTATTGTGTATATACTCTGTAAAATTTTAATTAATGAAAAAGGATCAGTGAAGTTGGTCTTAAGCTGTAGCCAATCTTGTGTGCTTTGTGTGTTTCTATATGGTTTTGTCAAAAGAAGGGATACTTTAGGTTAGGATGCAGACCAAGGACCCCATAAGCCAGCCGTTCAAGCCAGCCCAACAAAATGGTCAGTAATGAACATGCTACAGGCCTCCACCTTGTTTCATGTCTTTGTGAACATGACCTGTAGCCACATGGGAATACTTTGTTTTAGTCTCTGCCACTTTACAGTGGTGGCTGTTTTCTCATGCTAAGTGAGTTCCTGGGTGAGGGCCATAAAATCAGATAAGCCAGTTTATCAATCTGAGTTGTGTCAGCTGATCCATCAAGGGCAGGGTTTACAAAATATCTTAAGCACTCATCTTGAGAGCAGTTTAGAGAGGGTCAAAATCTTATAGCCTTCAGCTGTGTGACTCCTAGGCCATGGTTTCTAATCTTGTGGCTAGTTTCTTGGTCTGGTCCCCAGGCGAGAGGGAAGTATATCTTAAGAAGGGGCTGTTATTATCTTTGTTTTAGACTACACAGTAAACCAGGCTCCTCCCAAAGTTGGTTTGGCCTACACCCAGGGATGTGCAAGGACAGCCTGGGGGCTAGAAACAAAATGGAGTTGGTTGGATCAGATCTCATTCACTATCTCAGTCACAATTTTGCAATGACAGTTTCAAAAATGCTTATCACCCCTTTGAAAGTCTCTTGTACACTCATAGTTAAGTCATAACTTAATTAAGGCTTGTTGGTTTCACCTGTAGGTTACTTTTTATAAATTTCAAAAGCCAAAAATCTTAACTGCTTGGTGTGGCTACAGTCGAGTAACAAGGGATTTAAAAGGGTTTTCTCAGTTTAATTAAAAGTGGATATTCAAGTTATAGGTATATTTAAAATGCCTTTTTGTGTTTTTCTTCTTGGATTTTGTTTTTCTGGAAAAAGGCTTTTTTCTTCTCAGTTGACCGAATTATTTTTCTCCATTTTTTTTCTTGCCACTCTTAATGCATGCATGAAAGGCTCTAAGATAACTTCTGGTAGCATGGGACTCCTTGGGAAAAACAGAGGAGGCACCACAGACTCCATTTTGGGAAAAAAAAACCTCTCTGTTTTCCTCATAAAACCCCAGAAATTAAAAGTGGATAGTTCCCCCTCAAAATCAAAGGGTCGGGGGAGGGGGGAGGGATAGCATTAGGAGATATACCTAATGCTAAATGACGAGTTAATGGGTGCAGCACACCAGCATGGCACATGTATACATATGTAACTAACCTGCACATTGTGCACATGTACCCTAAAACTTAAAGTATAATAATAATACTTAAAAAAAAAATCGAAGGTTCTGTTCTGTTTTGCATTGTGTTATCTGTCCGTTTGGAGTTTTGGGGGTATCAAATTAGTTCACTTTAGGAGAGGGCTTTGTGTAATAACTAGGTAAGAAATACACTTTAAGAGATGGCTAACAATAATTGTAAATCAGAGAAGCATGCTCTTGGCCACCTGAAAGATATGGAAACATTCCCACTCCCCACTGAGAGATGAGAATCCCATGGGGGATGGGCTGATTATGAAATAAGCTGATTGGCTTTGAGTTGCCTTGCAATGAAATGCATGGTAGAAGCACTGCACTGTCTTCTCCCATAGTATCTCCCTCCTTTAGGGGATCCAAAATCCAGTATAAAATGGCACCCTTAATTTGGGGGATCTGTCTTTGCCTTCAGCTGTGCTTGTTTATTACACCCTAGAAATGCCTGCCTGCCTGGCCCTGTTTCTCCAAGGGCTCCACCCTGAAGCCAGTAATCCAGTTAAGAAACTGCCAAATGAAAAATCCTACAAATGCTGAACCTTCTGTCTGTTTGTGTCACTATATATGTGTTGTGTGTAATGTCTATAAAAAGAGCTCTAATTGATTGGCTTAAAGAAAAATAAGCACTTTGGCTGGGCGCAGTGGCTCACGCCTGTAATCCCAGCACTTTGGGAGGCCAAGGCAGGTGGATCACGAGGTCAGGAGATCGAGATCATCCTGGCTAACACGGTGAAACCCTGTCTCTACTAAAAATACAAAAAATTAGCTGGGCGTGGTGGTGGGTGCCTGTAATCCCAGCCACTCGGGAGGCTGAGGCAGGAGAATGGCATGAACTCAGCAGACGGAGCTTGCAATGAGCTGAGATCACGCCACTGCACTCCAGCCTGGGTGACAGAGCGAGACTCTGTCTCAAAAAAGAAAAAAAAAAAAAAGAAAAATAAGTACTTAAATCAAATACTTTTTTATTTCATGTGACTTTAATCTTTAAGAAATAAAGAATAGTCTTAAGGATTATTGGTAAAATGCAAGTATCATCAAAATGCAAATAGGTGGTCTAAATTATACAACTTAGATACTAGGTTTGCTACATGTTCTAAGGTTGTATACTGCCTGCTTCAGGAAAGGTAAGGCCTGGAACACATGGAGCTAGATGCTGGAAAGAGTCAAACTTTATCTGCACTCTGTCTGGGTCCTAGGCTCCACACCTGGTACATAATTAAAATTGCTTACTAGGCCGGGTGTGGTGGCTTGGCTGTAATCCCAGCACTTTGGGAGGCCAAGGTGGGAGGATCACTTGAGGTCAGGAGTTCGAGACCAGCCTGGCCAACATGGTGAAATTCCATCTCTACTAAAAATACAAAAATCAGCTGGCTGTAGTGGCAGGTGCCTATAATCCCAGCTACTCGGGAGGCTGAGGCAGGAGAATCACTTGAACCTGAAAGGCAGAGGTTGCAGTGAGCTGAGATTGCACCACTGCACTCCAGACTGGGTGACAGAGCAAGACTCCATCTCAAAAAAAAAAAAAAAAAAAAAAAGATTAGATGGTATTGTCTATAAGGTTTCTTTTAAGCAGTTTGAAGTTAACATTACTAAATTAATGAAATTAATGCAAGGGTAAAATTTGGCTTTGAACAGGATTTTCATGTAATAGTAAAGGCTAATGAAAGGTTTTTGCCTTTTGAGTCATCATTTTGGCAAAACGAATAATTTATGGCAGTTTGGAATTCGATTTCATCATCCCAAAATCAAACTCCAAGTTTCAAAATTGTTTTTCCTGATTCCTGGCTTTCTGGATGGCTCAGAGGGCCTCTGAAACATCTAGAGAAGAGGTGAACAGGATTATTTGACATGTTTAGTTACATGGGATTGCTAAAATGATTGCTAAAAATCTTCTTTAGGTTATATTTTGGTGAATAATACTGATATATTTTCTAAAATTGTATGGGGTTTGTAAAATTCTAATGTCTGAATATATGCTATCAATCATAATTAAGGGTAAAGTTATTGTAAGCCGCAGAGATAAATGAACTCCTTTGTCTGTCATGTTTTTAACTGTATCTATCCTGGAAATTTTGTTTACAGATAATTGTTGTCTTGCTTGGTTCCTTCTCAAAAGATGGGTTATAATCAAGCTATATTAAGGACTTTACTAGGTATTCTCAACTGCGAGTTTTTAATAGCTTTGAAGATTGTAACATTGAAATAGATAAAGAATGTATGGGACTCATGAAGAACTGAAATGTTCATGTATGTCAAGCAAAACAAGAGTTAACTAAATGGACTGCACTCAGAAAGTTAAAGCAACCTTTTTGACTTTTGCTTGAAATATTGCTGATCCTTGTTTCATTTTTGAGTTGAGAAAACTTATTTTGAACTATTTATGGCCTTTAATAACTGAGTAAGGCATACTCCTGTGAACAAAATTTGGAGCATGTTTGTTTCTCTCTGCCTGGTTCCTCTAGAATTTTGAAACTATATGTAAATATGCTTAACTTATGGCAATATAGTTGTTTGCAGCAATGTAATAGGAATCCATTTTTTTTCCCCAAGAGGACACAATTGTAAAAACTGGTTATTTCATCAAGGCTTTGACTGGAAGTGTATGCTTCCCTTTAAGGAGTCAATCTCAACTTGCAGAGCCAATAAAAGCCCTATAGAGAGAACTGGCCTCATACCTTGCCTACACAGTCCCTGCACAGGGTTTCTAACCTGTGGTCAGTAAAGAATGTCACTTTCTTTTGTTGTTGTTGTTGTTGTTTTTGAGACGGAGTCTTGCTCTGTCACCAGGCTGGAGTGCAGTGGCATGATCTCAGCTCATTGCAACCTCCACCTCCTGGGTTCAAGCAATTCTCCTGCCTCAGCCTCCCAAGTGGCTGGGATTACAGGTGTGCACCACGACACCCAGCTAATTTTTTTTGTATATTTAGTAGAGACAGGGTTTCACCATGTTGGGCAGGATGGTCTTGATCTCTTGACCTCGTGGTCCTCCCACTTTGGCCTCCCAAAGTGCTGGGATTACAGGCGTGAGCCACAATGCCCGGCCAAGAATGTCACTTTCTAACAGGTCCAGGAGCTCCCAATTTATCTTGGGACCTTAAGAGAAAAGGATCACCCAACTCACAGGTATTTGAGGATACAAACCCATGGCTGAGCTCAGCTTTAAAAGGTCTTATTTGAGATTCCTTGTGGAAAGGAGCTCCATCAAAGCCAATCAACAAGGCCTATGTTAAAATAAACATTCTTGCTGCACTTTATGCAAATAATCAGGCCAATTATAAGGCTAAAGTTTATTCTACAAATAACATGGTCCTATCATAACTTGTTTTAACCAAAAGGTAGGACTGGAGAGAGAAATTATGTTCCAAAGCTTATTATACATTTGTCATGAAATCCTAGTCTTATTAATTGTTTTTAAGATTTTGGCCTACATTTTAGACTAACCCTGCTTATTCCTGTGAATCAAGTGGTGATCTTCTGCAGCTTGAAAGAAACAAAAAGGAATGGGTAATGTAAAAATCTGAATCAATATGCTACTTCTGGGCAATTATCCTGCAAATTCTGCCAGGTAATAAAAGTGAGTAGGATTCACATAACCTAGAGGTTTCTTGGGGAAAATAAAGCCAAGGAACTTCATAGAACCACAAAGGGAAATTCTGTATGTTGGCAGATAAATTTTAGATGTAAATAATCTACTACATCACCCTTAAAGGAATTGCTGTACTCATTCTACTATTTGCAGTAGAGCTATACATGGTAGCATCTTCTAACTGAAATATTGGACGGAGAGTTTCCATTGCTGTAGTATTGAGAGTTGAAGCCAGCTGGACTTCCTAGGTCGAGTGGGGACTTGGAGAACATTTCTGTCTAGCTAAAGGATTGTAAATGCCCCAATCAGCACTCTGTAAAAACACACCAATCAGCCCTCTGTGTCCAGCTAAAGGATTGTAAACACACCAATCAGCACTCTGTAAAATGGGCCAATCAGCACTCTGTAAAATGGACCACTCAGCAGGATGTGGGTGGGGACAAATAAAGGAAAAAATGCTGGCCACCCCAGCCAGTGGCGGCAACCTGCTTGGGTCCCCTTCCATGCTGTGGAAGCTTTGTTCTTTTTCTCTTCACAATAAATCTTGCTGCTGCTCACTCTTTGGGTTTGCAACACCTTTAAGAGCTGTAACACTCACCACAAAGGTCCGTGGCTTCATTCTTGAAATCAGCAAGACCACGAACCCATGAGAATGAAGAAACTCCGGACACATCTGAAGGAAAAAACTCTGGACATACCATCTTTAAGAGCTGTAACACTCACCGCGAAGGTCTGCAGCTTCATTCTTGAAGTCAGCGAGACCAAGAACCCACCTGAAAGAACCAACTCCAGACACATCTTGGTGACCCAGATGGGACACATCTTGGTGACCATGAAGGGACAATTGCCAAGTGGTGAGTACCATTGGACCCCTTTTGCTTGCTATTTTGTCCTATTTTCCTTTTGGTATTTAGTCCTTAGAATTCGGGGGCTAAATACCGGGCACTTGTCACCAGTTAAAAGCAACTAGCATGGCCACTGGACTAAAGATACGGGTGTCAGGCTTTCTGGGAAAGGGCTTTCTAACAACCCCCAACTCTTTGGAGTTGGGAGGGCTGGTTTGCCTGGAACCAGCTTCTGCTTTTCCTGCATTTCTGGGCTGAGCTGAGGGTCGACAGAGAGGAAAGCCATTCAGCTCTGGGGTCCCAACAAAAAGTTGGTTGACCCTGTAGCCATGAGCAGAACTCTCCAAGTCACGTCGCCCAAGCGAGATTCGCTTATCTATCCTATCTATCCTGACCCTTGCCTTCTGGGTCCTAATGCCTGTGAGACAAACTTCCTCTCACCTCTCTTCTCTGAGGCTAGTCCCACTTCTAAAAACCACTCCTTGTCTCTGGTGCTTTTCTAGTTTCTCCTATAAGAATGATTTCTGGTATAAACTTCAGGACTCTGTTCCCTTCTTTAGGCACCTGGGCTCACCAATCAGAAAGACATAATTTTTGCCCAAAGCCCCATTGGGTGGGGAGACCAACTGTCTTCTTAGGATCCCTCCTCAGACAAGCAGGCCTAACAAAAGCTATTCCTGAAGCTAGGCTATGGGGAGCCTCAGAAATTATATCCTTCCTATTCATGTAAGTGAAGACAAAAGGCGTCACTCTTCCAACCCTGGAAATCCCTTCCCTCCCTCAGGGTATGGCCCTCCACTTCACTTTTGGGGCATAACATCTTTATAGGATGGGCTAAGTTCCCAATACTAACAGGAGAATGCTTAGGACTCTAACAGGTTTTTGATAATGTTTTGGTAAGAGAAACTAAATCTGATTTTTTTTGGTCCTCTTTGTGGTCTAGGAGGACAGGCAAGGGTGCAGGTTTTCAAGAATGTGTTGGTAAGGGCCACTAAATCTGACCTTCCTCAGTCCTCTGTGGTCTAAGAGGAAAACTAGGGTTTCTGCTGCTGCATCAGTGAGCGCAATTATTGTGATCAGCAGGCTCCAGGGACCATTGCAGGTTCTTGGGCAAGAGGGGTTTCTGCTGCTGCATCGGTGAGTGCAACTATTCTGATCAGCAGGGTCCAGGGATTGTTGTGGGTTCTTGGGCAAGCAGGGCTTCTGCTGCTGCATTGGTGAGCACAACTATTCCAATCAGCAGGGTCCAGGGACCATTGTAGGTTATTGGGGGGGGGGAGGGGGGCGGACAAACAAACCAAAACTGGGGGCAGTTTTTTCTTTCAGATGGGAAACACTGAGGCATCAACAGGCTCACCCTTGAAATGCATCCTAAGCCATTGGGACCAATTTGATCCACAAACCCTGAAAAAGAAGCAGCTCATTTTTTTCTGCACTGTGGCCTGGCCCCAATATTCTCTCTGATGGGGAAAAATGGCCACCTGTGGGAAGTACAAATTACAGTACTATCCTGCAGCTTGACCTTTTCTGTAAGAGGGAAGGCAAATGGAGTGAAATACCTTATGTCCAAGCTTTCTTTTCATTGAAGGAGTATCCATAACTATGCAAAGCTTGCAATTTACATCCCACAAGAGGACTTCTTAGCTTACCCTCATATCCTAGCCTCCCTATAGTTCCCCTTCCTATTAATGATAAGCCTCCTCTAATCTTCCCCACCCAGAAGGAAACAAGCAAAGAAATCTCCAAGGGACCACAAAACCCCCCTGGCTATCTGTTATGTCCCCTTCAAGCTGCAGGGGAGGGGAATTTGGCCCAACCTGGGTACATGTCCCCTTCTCCCACTCTGATTTAAAGCAGATCAAGGCAGACCTGGGGAAGTTTTCAGATGATCCTGATAAGTACATAGATGTCCTGCAGGGTGTAGGGCAAACCTCCGATCTCACTTGGAGACATGTCATGCTATTGTTAGATCAAACCCTAGCCTTTAGTGAAAAGAATGTGGCTTTAGCTGCAGCCTGAGAGTTTGGAGATGCCTGGTATCTTAGTCAAGTAAATGATAGAATGACAGCTGAAGAAAGGGACAAATTCCCTAGCAGTCAGCAAGTCGTCCCTGGTATGGATCCCCACTGGGACCTCGACTCAGATCATGGGGACTGGAATGGCAAACATCTGCTGGCCTGTGTTCTAGAAGGACTAAGGAGAATTAGGAAAAAGCCCATGAATTATTCAATCATGTCCACCATAACTCAGGGAAAGGAAGAATATCCTTCTGCCTTCCTTGAGTGGCTACTGGAGGCCTTAAGAAAATATACTCCCCTGTCACTCAACTCACTCGAGGGTCATTTGATCCTAAAAGATAAGTTTATTACCAAATCAGCCACAGATATCAGGAGAAAGCTCCAAAAGTGAACCCTGAGCCCTGAACAAAATCTGGAGGCATTATTATTATTATTGTTATTATTATTATTATTATTATTTTTATTATTATTTTGCAGTTGCAAGATTTAATAGAGTGAAATAGAGTGAAAACAGAGCTCCCATACAAAGGGAGGGGACTCAAAGGGGGTTGCCGTTGCCGGCTCAAATGCCTGGGTTTATATCCAATCCTTGTCCCTCCTGCTGTGCTCTCAGGCAATAGATGATTGGCTATTTCTTTACCTCCTGTTTTTGCCTAATTAGCATTTTAGTGAGCTCTCTGATTGGTTGGGTGGGAGCTAAGTTGCAAGCCCCATGTTTAAAGGGGGATGCAGTCACCTTCCCAGCTAGGCTTAGGGATTCTTAGTTGGCCTAGGAAATCCAGCTAGTTCTGTCTCTCAGTCCCCCCCTCAACAGGAAAATCCAAGTGCTGTTGGGGAGGTTGGCCAAGACCACTCTAACTGCTTCCTGCGGAATTGGGGCATAGTAGGGGTTGTGCAGTTGAGATTTCCTCAGGAGGGGTGCTTTCGATGTCATTAACATCAGAGCATGGGCTAGCAGGCCAGTCCAAGAGTCCACAGTGGATCTTAGTCATGGACTGCATCTGGGGCTCCATTTGAAGAACAATTTGTAGTTTTACAGTTTCAATTCTGGAAGAGACAGACTTACCAAAGAGGTTAAAGATACAGGGATTGAAATGTGTGGCCTGCAGTGTAGGGGATTACTTCTTTGGCACACTTCACAGGCCCTGACTATCTGCTTGATAGTTTTGAAAAGGCCTGGTCCAGTAAATAATAATTTAGCCATCTGATGGGTACTATCAATGCCTAAATGGAAGGTTTAGTGAAGAGTTTTAAGTAATTTTTATTGGTTAGCTGCAGGCAAAAATATTTTTCCCTCTTTGGTGGCTAGCCATCTGGAGGGGAGGGAAGTATGTTCTCATGAGGTTCCCTATTCTATTTTTCCAGCTGAGTACTGGGGCTTGGTTTCCCAGAGGGGATTACCCCATACTAGGGGTCCTTCTATAAACATTTCTAATGGAGGATCTTGCCTTGCGGCTCTTTTGGCTTCAATATCCGCTTGGCTGTTCCCTTCTATTTCCCTTTCCTTTCCTTTCTGATGACCCCGACAGTGTAAGACTGCCACCTCTTTAGGTTTCTGTGCAGCCAATAATAATTTCCTAATGGCTTCCTGATGTTTGATAGGTGTTCCCTTGGAAGTTAGGAATTCCCTTTCTCTCCACATTGCTGCGTGGGCATGGAGGACTAGGTAAGCATACTTAGAGTCTGTATATATATTTACCATTTTCATTCTCCTAATTCTAGTGCCCAAGTGAGGGCTATTAGTTTTGCCAGCTGAACACTAGTTCCTGGAGCGAGGGGATTACTTTCAAGTATTCCATTATCACTGACCACTGCATACCCCGCTTTTTGAAGTCCTTCTTCTACAAAGGAACTTCCATCAGTACACAAGTTGAGGTCGTGATCAGTCAAGGGAACCTCTAAAAGGTCCCTTCAAGTGGCGTAGGTTTGAGCAATTACTTGTTGACAGTTACGTTCTATCTTTTCTTCATTGTCTGGAAGAAATGTGGCTGGGTTAAGAGTTGCAAAAGTGCACAGTCACAGCACTGGCCCTTCAAGTAATAGAGCCTGATATTTAAGTAAACTGTTGTCTGACAGCCACAAGTCTCCATTAGCAGTGAGTATGCCATTCACATCATTAGATGTCCACACAGTAAGATCTCTTCCCCGTATTATTTTAACTGCTTCAGATACTAAGACTGCTACTGCCACCACTACCCATAAACAATGAGGCCAACCCTTTGTCACTACATCTATTTTCTTACTCAGTTATGCCACAGATTGCAAGCTCATCCTTTGGACCTGTGTAAGGACTCCTAGAGCTATTCCTGTTTTTTCTGTGACATATAAAGAAAAGTCTTGCCCCGTTGGCAAGCTTAACACTGGGGCTTGGGTTAGGGCTTTCTTTAGGGCCTGGAAAGCTGCTTCTGCTTCAGGTGTCCATCTTACTAAATGGGTATTGGCTTTCTGAATTTCTTTAATTAGTGTATATAATGGTCTGGCTATTTTGTCCTACCTGGGAATCCATATTTGGCAGAAACCTGTTATGCCAAGGAAACTTCTTAGTTGCTTTAGGATTTTGGGATAAGGATAAGCCAGTATAGGTTGGATACATTCCTCACTGAGGGCCCTGGTGCCTTTGGATAATTTTAGCCCTAAGTATTTAACCTGCTGTGAGCAGAGCTGAGCCTTTGGTTAGGAAACCTGTAGCCACAGGTAGCGAGGAAATTTAAGAGCGCTTGGGTGGCTTGATGGCACAAGGTTTCTGAACAGGTGGCTAAAATTAAATCATCCCTGTACCGAAGAACCAGAATGTCCAGGTATGAGAATTGGCTCAAGTCTTGGGCTAATGCCTGGCCAAATAGATGGGGCCTATCCTTGAACCCTTGGGGTAAAACAGCCCAGGTGAGTTGAGACATTGGGTTTGAAGGATCTTTAAAGGCAAACAAGAATTGAGAGTCAGGAGGTCAGGATGCAGAAAAAGGCATCCTTAAGGTCCAGGACTGTAAACAACTCTGCTTCCTCTGGTATTTGGGAAAGCAGAGTATAAGGGCTAGGTACAGCTGGGTATAGAGGAACAACAGCCTCATTGATAATCCTGAGATCTTGCACTAATCTCTACTATCCATTGGGTTTCTGTACTCCTAAAATTGGAGTATTGCAGGGGCTATTGCATGCTTGGGCTTTTAGGTCCTTAAAAATCTTTTGGAGTCCTTTTTGGGCCTCGGGTCTGAGGGGGTACTGCCTTTGGTAGGGAAAGGAGGTGGAGTCCTTTAGTTTAACTTGAACAGGATGGGCATTTTTTGCTAGTCCATATTGTCCCTCTGTTGCCCAGACTTCAGGATTAATTCCTTCGTCAAGCAGGGGACAACAAACAGGTACTCCTTCTCCTATGTTCAGATGTATAATGGCCCCTGCTTTTGCTAGAATGTCTCTCCCTAACAAGGGAGGGGGGCTTTTGGGCATAATTAGAAAAGCATGTGAAAAGAGTAAAGTTCCCCAGTCACAACTTAGTGGCTGGGAGAAGTATCTAGTGACTGGCTGTCCTAGGACCCCTTGGATAGTGACAGATCTGGAGGACAGTTGTCTGGGACAGAAGAATAAGATTGAGAAGGCCAGTGTCCAGGAGACAGTTAACCTCCTGGCCCTCAATGGTCAAGCATACCTGGGGCTCTGTGAGGGTGATGGCATGGGCTGGCGCTTGCCCCAGGCACCCTCAGTCCTGCTGCTGGATCATCTGGTTAGTGGCTTCTGACTCAGAGGACCTTCATCCCCTGGGGCAATGGGCCTTTCAGTGATTCCCTTGACATAAGGGGCATGGACGAGGGAGCAGCTTATTTCTACTTGGACAATCTTTTTAAAAGTGTCCTTGTAGACCATACTGGAAGCAAGCCCTATTAGGCATTCGATTTGCCCAGCTTTTTCTTTTTCCAGAGCCTCTGGAGGCATCATTAAACCTGGCAACCTCAATGTTCTATAATAGGGACCAAGAGGAACAGGCTGAAAAGGAAAAGTGAGATCAGAGAAAGGCCACAGCCTTAGTCATGGCTCTCAAACAAACAAACCTTGGTGGTTCAGAGAGGACAGAAAATGGAGCAGGCCAATCACCCGGCAGGGCTTGTTACCAGTGTGGTTTGTAAGGACACCTTAAAAAATGATTGTTCAACAAGAAACAAGCTGCCCCCTTCACCCATGTCCACTATGCCAAAGCAATCACTGGAAGGCACACTGCCCCAGAGGACAAAGGTTCTCTGTGCCAGAAGACCCTAACCAGATGATCCAACAACAAGACTGAGGGTGTCTGGGGCAAGAGCCAGCTCATGTCATCACCCTTACTGAGCCCCAGATACATTTAACCACTGAAGGCCAGGAAATTGACTTCCTCCTGGATACTGGTGTGGCTTTCTCAGTGTTAATCTCCTGTCCCAGACAGCTGTCCTCAGGGTCCGTTACCAACCGAGGAATACTGGGACAGCCTGTAACCAGGTATTTCTCCCCTCCTCAGTTGTAATTGGGAGACTTTGCTCTTTTCACATATATTTCTTGCTATGCCTGAAAGTCCCATACCCTTATTAGGGAGGGACATATAAGCCAAAGCTGGAGCTATTATCTACATGAATATGGGGAAAAAGTTACCCATTTGTTGTCCCTTGCTTGAGGAGGGAATCAACCCTGAAGTCTGGGCATTGGAAGGAACAAACTCAAGCTCCAGCCTTAAGCCTTCCCATGGGAGAAAACTTCTCTTTATACATCACAGAGAGAGCAGTAATAGCTCTTGGGATCCTTACTCAGACTCGAGGGACAACCCCACAACCAGTGGCATACCTAAGTTAGGAAATTGATATAGTAGCAAAAGGCTGGTCTCACTGTTTATGGGAAGTTGTGATTGTGGCCATCTTAGTGTCAGAGGCTACCAAAATAATACAAGGAAAGGATCTCACTGTCTGGACTACTCATGATGTAAATGGAATACTGGGTGCCAAAGGAAGTTTATGGCAGCCGGGCACGGTGGCTCAAGGCCTGTAGTCCCAACACTTTGGGAGGCCGAGGCGGGTGGATCACGAGGTCAGGAGATTGAGACCATCCTGGCTAACATGGTGAAACCTCGTCTCTACTAAAGGTAAAAAAAAATTAGCCTTGTGTGGTGGTGGGCGCCTGTAGTCCCAGCTACTCAGGAGGCTGAGGCAGGAGAATGGCATGAACCTGGGAGGTGGAGCTTGCAGTGAGCCGAGATTGAGCCATTGCACTCCAGCCTGGGTGACAGAGTGAAACTCCGTCTCAAAAAAAAAAAAATAAAAAAAAAATAAAAAAAAGGAAGTTATGGCTATCAGAAAACCACCTGCTTAGATACCAGGTGCTACTCCTTGAGGGACTGATGCTTCAAATGTGCACATGTGCAGCCCTCAACCCTGCCATTTTTCTCCCAGAGGATGGAGAACCACTCAAGCATGACTGCCAACAAATTATAGCCCAGACTTATGCCACCTGAGAGGATCTCTTAGAAGACCCCTTAGCTAATCCTGACCTTAACCTATATACTGATGGAAGTTCATTTGTGGAGAATGGGATATGAAGGGCAGGTTATGCCATAGTTAGTGATATAACAGTACTTGAAAGTAAGCCTCTTCCCCCAGGGACCAGGGCCCAGTTAGCAGAACTAGTGGCACTTACCCCAGCCTTAGAACTGGGAAAGGGAAAAAGAATAAATGTCTATACAGGCAGCAAGTATGCTTATCTAATCCTACATGCCCATGCTGCAATATGGAAAGAGAGGGAGTTCCTAACCTCTGGAGGAACCTCAATTATATACCACAAGGAAATCATGGAGTTATTGCATGCAGTGCAAAAACCCAAGGAGGTGGCAGTCTTACACTGCTGAAGCCATCAAAAAGGGGAAGGAATGGGGAGAACAGCAGCATAAGTGGCTGGCAAAGACAGGGAAAGACCAGCAGAAAGAAAAGAAAGAGACAGAAAGAGAGAGAGAGAGGGAGACAGAGAAAAAGAAGGAGTCAAAGAGAGAGAAAGAGAGAGATAGAAGTAGTAAAGAAAAAACAGTATACCCTATTCCTTTAAAAGCCAGGGTAAATTTCTGTCTACAAAGCCAAGGCATATTCTTCTTATATGGAACTTCAACCTATATCTACCTCTCAGACCGTTTGCAAGAAATAACGAAATCTGTCCTTACTCTACCATCCCAAATAGACTCTTTGGCAGCAGTGACTCTCCAAAACCACTGAGGCCTAGACCTCCTTACTGCTGAGAAAGGAGGACTCTGCACCTTCTTAGGGGAAGAGTGTTGTTTTTACGCTAACCAGTCAGGGATAGTAAGAGATGCCACCCTGCATTTACAGGAAAAGGCTTCTGAAATCAGACAACACCTTTCAAACTCTTATACCAACCTCTGGAGTTGGGTGAAATGACTTCTCCCCTTTCTAGGTCCTGTGACAGCCATCTTACTATTACTCGCCTTTGGGCCCTGTATTTTTAACCTCCTTGTCAAATTTGTTTCCTCTAGGATCGAGGCCATCAAGCTACAGATGGTCTTACAATGGAACCCCAAATGAGCTCAACTAACAACTTCTGAGGACCCCTGGATTGACCCACTAGCCCTTTGGCTGGCCTAGAGACTTCCCCTCTGGAGGACTCTACCACTGCAGGGACCCTTCTTTGCCCCTATCCAGCAGGAAGTTGCTAGAGTGGTCATTGCCCAATTCCCAACAGCAGTTGGCATGTCCTGTTTAGAGGGGTGATTGA
Organism: Homo sapiens; assembly: GCF_000001405.40. Taxonomy (NCBI): domain Eukaryota; kingdom Metazoa; phylum Chordata; class Mammalia; order Primates; family Hominidae; genus Homo; species Homo sapiens. The sequence goes on from NC_000008.11 coordinate 48,242,202, forward strand.
TAGTTGAAGCCAGCAAGACTTCCTGGGTCGAGTGGGGACTTGGAGAACTTTTCTGTCTAGCTAAAGGATTGTAAATGCACCAATCAGCACTCTGTGTCTAGCTAAAGGATTGTAAACACACCAATCAGCACTCTGTAAAATGGACCAATCAGCAATCTGTAAAATGGACCAATCAGCAGGACATGGGTGGGAACAAATAAGGGATAAAAGCTGGCCACCCCAGCCAGCAGTGGCAACATGCTCAGGTCCCCTTCCATGCTGCGGAAGCTTTGTTCTTTCAGTCTTCACAATAAATCTTGCTGCTGCTCACTCTTTGGGTCCACACCACCTTTAAGAGCTGTAACACTCACCACAAAGGTGTGCAGCTTCATTTTTGAAGTCAGCAAGATCACGAACCCACCAGAAGGAAGAAACTCTGGACACATCTGAAGGAACAAACTCTAGACACACCATCTTTAAGAGCTGTAACAGTCACTGCAAAGGTCTGTGGCTTCATTCTTGAAGTCAGTGAGTCCAAGAGCCCAACTGCAGAAGGAACCAACTCCAGACACAGTATTTTGCTTAATTATTATTCTTATAACTGTGATAATAGTTACCAACAAAGAGGAAGCATGAAAGTTTTACTATCACTTAGTCTGCAAGGACTTTTTATTGGATTTAATGATTACATCACACCCTTTAGCTCCTACAGTATCAGCCATGGCCCATTTGTACAACAAGACTAATTGCTGGGTCTGTACCGAGTGGTTTCCTCAGTTCAGTAACACTAAGGAACCTGCACTATAGCAGCAATATTCCCCAAACTATTATTTTTAAATTCCACTGACATGGCTGCATCATCTGGGGACATTCCTAACCTAGGTTCCTTTTTAGGAAGTGCACCATCTCAGACATGCTGAACAAAGAGATCTATCATTTCCATACTCTTATATGGAAATTTAACTGAAAGAGAAGATTGGGGAGGGCATCCACATGACAGTCCCATCTTAGAAAGACTATGGATGGGGAATTCTATAACCAGAGGCCTCTTTTGGTTTGCTGGTATACCTCTCCTTGAAAGGTCAGTACTTTTCTATTATGATGCAATCTGGGTGGAAGACAACAGTAGGAGTCATAGAAGCACAAAATCAATCCATAGACTCTTTAGGCTCAGTAGTAGCACAGAATAGATGGGCCCTGGATGTCCTTACAGCTGAGGTAGGTGGTACATGTGGAGTCTTACATGAAACATGCTGCTTCTGGATCAACACCTCTAGTCAAGTTGAAGAAAACCTACAGGTGCTTAAAGATCAAGTGAAAATCATTGACAGATTAAGAGAAAATGCAGGCTCCAGTCCTGGATGGCTACAGTCCCTCTTTAATAAATCCCAGTCTTCATTGTGGAACTGGTTAGCTCCATTGTTAAGCCCCCTCTTGCTCATAAATTTTATATTAATGTTTGGACCTTGTCTACTCAATACTATAACTTGAATTGTTTCCTCTTGCCTAGAAGCAATGACACTAAATGGTGCTGCAGACTGAGCCACACATGGACACACCTTTCTTCCAAGGACCCTTACATCAACTCCAGAAGGAGCCCTAGCTGCTATTCCCCACACAATGCCCCTTTTCAGCAGGAAGTAGCCAGAAAGAGTCATCACCAAATACCCGCTAACTGCAGTTAGGGTTACCACTCCAGAGGGGAGAATGGTATAGGAGCTAAGAAGGAATTACTTAGGCAGATAGCAAAGGCATGGGAGTCCTTGGTAAGGCTTTTCTTTTAAATGAAAAACAGCCCCAAGTCATTTTCTAAGAAAGAGCAGCCTGCAAACTGGGAGCTTGTGCAGGTGAATGCCAGCAGGAACTAAGGACTGGGCATTTTGAAAATGGCGGCTCCATCTTCCCTTCTCTGCCAGCCACTTGTACTGTAAAGGAGCAGACAAGATGGCACTGATCAACTGGAAAGCCTATTTGCATAAGAAAATTAGGGTGGGGCAACAAGCCTTCCCCACGCACTATGTAGACGTCATACCTGATTGAACCAATCTGTAAGCCCTATGTAAATCAGACACTGCCTTTTCCAGCCTGCCTATAAAATCTGCTGCAGTCTGTTGCCTCCCCCTTTTTTTGGATGTCTGTCTCTCTTTTGTGAAGAGCTGCTCTTCTCTCTCCTTTCTTCTATTAAACATTCCACTCCTCAACCCACCTACATGTGTCTGTGTCCTCAATTCTGTCTTGGCATGCAACAACAAATCCATCTGTCCTGGACTTTTTTTTTTTTAATTACCATTTTAATCACACTGCTTGTTATTGGTCTGTTCAGAGTTTCTATTTTGCTGAGACCAGCTCAGTCGGGGAGACCCAAACCCAGTGGCACTAGAAGAATTAAAGGCACACACACAGAAATATAGAGATGTGAAGTGGGAAATCAGGGGTCTCACAGCCTTCAGAGCTGAGAGCTCTGAACAGAGATTTACCCACATATTTATTAACAGCAAACCAGTCATTAGCATTGTTTCTATAGATATTAAATTAACTAATAGTATCCCTTATGGGAAATGAAGGGATGCGCCAAAATAAAGGAATAGGTTGGGCTAGTTAACTGCAGCAGGAGCATGTCCTTAAGGCACAGATTGCTCATGCTATTGTTTGTGGCTTAAGAATGGCTTTAAGCAGTTTTCTGCCCTGGGTGGGCCAGGTGTTCCTTGCCCTCATTCCCGTAAACCCACAACCTTCCAGCATGGGCGTTATGGCCATCACGAACATGTCACAGTGCTGCAGAAATTTTGTTTATGACCAGTTTTGGGGCCAGTTTATGGCCAGATTTTGGGAGGCTTTTTCCCAACATGTCCCCCTTCTTTGATTTGCAAATCAATAAAAGCAAGGGCAACTTTGTCACAGTGAACTACTTCTCACAGGAGTCAGGATCCACATCTGCAGACTATACAAAGACAAACAACACAGATTAAAAGCACAATCATCATTGAAATCACAGAGCTTCCAAGTGTTTTTATCCATTTTAATGGGTTACTAGCTGCTAATTTGTCTGCAGCTCCTTTAAGCACTCCAGTTCCTGGCATTAAGGTCAGGTGTGCCTGGGATGCTTTAAATATTTGTTCTTTTAATTTTGCATATCCAAAAACAAGTTTCTAGTGTCCTTCTCGATGCTTTTTTATCTTTCCCAAATTTTGATCTTATTAAGGCCTATTAATAGTTTCCACAAAGGACTCTTGCCATACTTCTTATTATATCTGCCATCTGACCGTTTTGTTCAGATCATCTGAACATAGTGTGGCCATGGCATGCAGACTGAGAGGTGCAATTTAAGCTAAACATCCCCTTAGGGGACCAATTAATAATGATTCCATTATTATGCAGCACCTCTGTCTGTTCTGCTATGCAATCTTCCTAAACAAGTACATTCATTTTTTCTGGTCAGGTTCAATTTTGTTTACAAATAGGTTTTTGAGGGTGGTATGCCTCAATTATAGGAGGAGATTTGTTATGGTAAATACTGAGATCAGAAAGCATACTTAATTGTGTCATAGAGTGATTATATCCAGGCATTATTGCCAGCCAAGATTGAAAAATATGCCCAATAAGTATAATTATGCTCTGTGTCAGCCCTTGTTGAAGGAATACTCATGGCAATGGTGATCTCTGCTATCATAGCTACCATTAAATTACTCATTGTGACTGGTTGTCCTGCTTTCCTCAGGTTTTCTTCCACCATCTGTTACAGCTTCTTGATCTGTCCCCAGGTGGGTGGCTGTGTTCTATGGGTGTTGCTGTCATGGGATCCTCCTGGAGTCTCTTCCTCAGCATCTGGCTCATGATAAGGTTTCAGGTATCTTGATGGTATCCAAATCGGCTGTTGATTTTGGCCTGGAGAAACACAAGCATAACCTCTACCCCAAGTTATTATTTTAGCTATTTCCTAACTTTTTATTATTGGATCTCTCCACAAAATCAGTTGTTCTTCTTCTGTCCTTGCAGCTGGTTTCTGTAGATGCTCTTCAGCTGCTGATAACGTCTGGCCTTTGGGCAGGCTCAAAAAATTTAAAGTTAATGATGCTAGATTCAGTTGTATCTTCAGTGTTCCATATTCTCTGTCTCCCCCTTTCTGCTTTTGCAACTGCTGTTTTAGGGAGAGATTCATTCTTTCTGCTATGGCTTGTCCTTGAGAATTGTATGGGATAGTAGTAATGTGTTTAATATTCCACATAGAGAAAAATGTAGCTAGAGCTTGGCTAGTATAGCCTGGGGCATTATCTGTTTTAATAGAAGCTGGAATGCCTATCACTGCAAAACACTGCAAAAGGTGACATTTAACACAGGCAGAAGACTCTCCTTATTGGCATGTAGCCCAAAGTGAGAAAAGGTGTCCACACATACATGTACATAAGCTAGCCTCCCAAACGAGGGAACATGTGTGACATCCATTTGCCAAAGAGAGTTAGGTTCCTGTCCTCGAGGATTAACTCCTCCTGTAAAAGATGAGGAATGTACCATTTGGCAAGTTGAACATCATTGGATAATAGCTTTAGCTTCTTTCCAGGTAATGCTGTGTCTGCGTTTGAGACCAGAGGCATTAACATGGGTTAAATTGTGAAAATGTCTAGCATTAGATATTGCATTAGCAACTAGGTGATCAGCCATTTGATTTCCTTCAGTCAAAGGTCCTGGAAGAGTTGTATGAGCCCTAATGTGAGTGATGGAAAAAAGGTGCATTCTACTTATAACTGCTATTTGCAACTGGGTAAATAAAGTCATCAGTTGTTCATCTGTATGAAATTGTAACAGCATTTTCAATTAACTGTGTGGAATGAACCATGTATGAAGAATCAGAAATCACATTGATAGGCATATCAAAAGCAGTCACTACCTCAATTACAGCTACAAGCTCCGCTTTTTGAGCTGAAGTATAGGGCATCTGGAAAACTTTACCTTTTGATCCAGAATAAGCTTTACCATTACTAGACCCATCTGTAAAACAATGAAAATGCTTAGCAGGTTGCAGGTTGTTTACTGCAGGAATTGTAAATGCAAACTGTTCACAGTCTTCCTCAGCTAAGGGGATAGTAAAGAAACAGTCTTTTAAATCTATGACTATTAAAGACCAATTTTTTGGAATTATAGCAGGAGAAGGCAATCCTGGCTGTAATGCTTCCATAGGTTGTATAACTGAATTTATGGCTCTTAAGTCAGTTAACATTCTCCATTTACCTGATTTTTTCTTAATTAGGAAAACTGGAGAAATCCAAGGGGGAAAATGTTGGAGCTATGTGCCCATTTTCTAATTGTTCCATAACTAATTTCTCTAATTAGCAGCCATTGTTCTATCCAAATTGGCTTATCTGTTAACCATTTTAAAGGTATAGGTTCTGGAGGCTTAACAATGGCTGCCATCAAAAATGGTATCTTAATCTTTGGCGGGAATTTTGTCTTTCCACTTGAAGCGGTTCTTTCAAACCTTGCAAATTTTTTTCTAGTCCCATACCAGGGACATGCCCCATTTCATGCATCATATGTTGACTTTGAGGGCTATATAATGGTTCTGGAATTAGAACTTTTGCTCCCCCTTGTTGTAATAAATCTCTTCCCCATAAATTTATAGGTACAGAAGTTATAATTGCTTGAATAATCCCAGGTTGTCCATCGGGCCCTTCACAATGCAAAATATAATTACTTTGAAATACTTCAGGGGCTTTACCAACTCCAACTATGTTATATTGAGCGGGTTGAATTGGCCACCTGGATGGCCAGTGCTGTAGAGAAATGATTGAAATGTCCACTCCTGTATCTACCAAACCTTTAAATTTCTTTCCCTGAATAGTTATTTCACAGGTAGGACGTTTATCAGTAATTTGATTTACCCAATAAGCTGCTTTGCCTTGTTTATTTGTGCTTCCAAATCCTCCTGTTTGTTTAATTTCACTTTTTCCCGTTCCCACATACGGCACAATCAGGAGCTGTGCTATGCACTCTCTTGGCTCCGCTTTCCAGGGAACAGAAGTAGATATAACAATTTGAATTTCCCCTTTATAATCTGAATCAATGACTCCTGTATGTATTTGTACCCCTTTTAAACTTAAACTAGACCTTCCTAAAAGTAATCCTATTGTGCCCACTGGCAAGGGTCCACAGACTCCTGTTGGGACCTTTTGCGGGGGTTCCCCAGGCAGGAAGCTTACAGCTTTCATGCAGCATAAATCTACTGTGGCACTACTGGCTGTAGCGGGGGACAGACATTGTACAGGCGTGAGGGAATGGCCTGAGCTGGAAATGCCCCGGTTTAGAATGGGGCCAGGGATGGGCCCCTCATGGTGTTTCCTGAAATCGGGTTCTCTTCTTTATCAAACTTAGAGTGACACTGATTAGCCCAATGTTTTCCTTCTTTACATTTTGGACATATTTCAGGCTCAGCACTTTTCTTTTTTCCCCTATCTGGCGGCCTGACTCGCTGATTTTTTCTACATTCTTTTTTAGTATGACCATGCTTCCCGCAGTTAAGGCAAACTCCACAAAATGGAGTATTTCCTTTATCCACTCTCAGTCCTGCCATTGCCTGTGCCAACAAATTAGTTTTATGCAGATTACCTCTGATAACATCACAGGCCTTGATATAATCAACTAAATGTGCTTTCCCTCTGATAGGTCACAGAGCAGCCTGGCAATTGGGATTAGCATTGTCGAAAGCTAATAACTGCAACACTATATCCTGAGCAGCCGAATCTGCAGTCATCTTTTTAAGAGACTCCTGTAACCATGCTATAAAATCAATGTATGGTTCTTTGGGTCCCTGTTTTACAGCACTAAAGGAAGTGTATTGTTCTCCACTTGAAGTGATTTTTTCCCAAGCTCTAATGCACACTCTGCTAAGCTGTTCTGTGGCATCATCCTGCGTGACCAGTTGTGCATCTAAACCAGCCCAGGCACCAACCTCCAAAAGTTGGTCTGCAGTTATATTAATTTGAGGTTGGTCCTGGGCATTGTGAGCAGCCTGAATGGCAGCTTCATCTGCCCACCAAGTTTTAAATTGTAGGAACTGAGCAGGAGTTAGACAAGCTTGAGTAAGAGCATCCCAGTCAGTAGGAATCATCTGACTGGAAACAGCAACATTCTTTAACAGTCCCATTACAAAAGGAGAACCTGGTCCATACTGATTTATAGCTTGTTTAAATTCTTTGAGTAATTTAAAAGGAAAGGGCTCAAAAGTAGCTATAATATTTCCCTGTTGATCTGGGGGGTGTATTCTACCAGGGAAGTGCCAAGTCTCTAAATCACCCTCTGGTCTAGCTTGCTGAATTCCTGCCTGAATAGAACTAAGAGCGGTTGCTTGAGGCGCTGCCCGAACAGTCACTGGGGCAACTACTTTTTGCCCACTGTCCTCTGGAAAAAAAAGATCTGTAGGGTCAGGTCACTCTTTTTCTCAAAATAATAATGAGGGGGTGCAGAGGGTAGGGATGAACCTCTCCTTCCTTTGCTGCTTTAGCTTTAGCTGGCAAATAAACATGCTCTGTATCCTCTCCTTCCTTTGCCACTTTAGCTTTATCTGGCAAATAAACATGCTCTGTAACCTCTTCTATATACTTCGCTATACTCTCCTTCCTCCTCATCATCAGTGTGAAAAAGTTCCAAGGTGGAATGAACCACAGCCCACACTTGTCCCAATGTTACCCTGATGCTTCTGAGCTCCCCTGCTTACTCACTACGGGGATTGCTTTAAGAGTACTCGGGTGTCCTCCAGCTTAGTTCCACGTTCTCCAACTGTTGCTCCAGTGACCCTTCAACCTGGATTCAAGCCCCCACGGTGGATGCCACTTGCTGAGACCAGCTCAGCTGGGGAGACCCTAACCCAGTGGCTCCAGAGGAATTAAAGACACACACACAGAAATATAGAGGTGTGAAGTGGGAAATCAGGGGTCTCACAGCCTTCAGAGCTGAGAGCCCCAAACAGAGATTTACCCACATATTTATTAACAGCAAACCAGTCATTAGCATTGTTTCTATAAATATTAAATTAACTAAATTATCCCTTATGGGAAATGAAGGGATGGGCTGAAATAAAGGAATAGGTTGGGCTAGTTAACTGCAGCAGGAGCATGTCCTTAAGGCACAGATTGCTCATGCTATTGTTTGTGGCTTAAGAATGGCTTTAAGCAGTTTTCTGCCCTGGGCGGGCCAGGTGTTCCTTGCCCTCATTCCTGTAAACCCACAACCTTCCAGCATGGGCATTATGGCCATCATGAACATGTCACAGTGCTGCAGAGATTTTATTTATGGCCAGTTTTGGGGCCAGTTTATGGCCAGGTTTTGGGGGGCTTGTTCTTAACACTATTTCATCCTGGTTTAATCTAAGATGGTTGTATATTTCCAAATATGTATTCCTGTTCTCTAGGTTTTCTAGTTTGTGGATGTAAAGGTGTTCATAGTAGCCTTGAATGATCTTTTGTATTTCTGTGGTATCAGTTGTAATATTTCCCATTTCATTTCAATTGAGCTTATTTGGATCTTCTCTCTTCTATTCTTGGTTAATCTCACTAATGTTCTGTCACTTTTGTTTACCTTTTCAAATAACCACCTGATTGTTTCAGTATATTATTTATTTTTGTCTGTTTGTTTCAATTTCATTTAGTTCTGTTCCAATATTTATTTCTATTCTTCTGCTGGGTTTGGGTTTGGTTTGTTCTTGTTTCTGTAGCTCCTTGAGGTATGGCCTTAGATTGTGCTCTTTCAGATTTTTTGATATAGGTATTTAATGCTATGAACTTTCTTCTTAGCTCAGCTTTTGCTGTATCCCAGAGGTTTTGATAGGTTGTGTCACTATTATCATTCAGTTCAAAGAACTTTTAAATTTCCATTGCAATTTCATTGTTGACTCAACGATCATTCAGGAGCAGATTATTTAATTTCCATATATTTGCATAGTTTTGATGGTTTATTTTGGAGTTGATTTCCAGTTTTATTTCACTGTGGTCTGAGAGAGTACTTGATATAATTTTGATTTTCTTAAATTTATTGACACTTGTTCTGTGGCCTATCATATGGTCTATCTAGGAGAATGTTCCATGTGCTGATGAATAGAGTGTATATTCTGCAGTTATTGGGCAGAATGTTCTGTAAATATCTGTTAAGTATATTTGTTCTGAGGTATAGTTTAAGTCCATTGTTTCTTTCTTTCTTTTCTTTTCTTTTTTTTTGAGACAAGGTCTCATTGTGTCACCCAGACTGGAGTGCAATATCACACTCTTGGCTCACTGCAGCCTCTGCCTCCTGGGTTCAAGCAGTTCTCCTGCTTCAGCCTCCCAAATAGTTAGGATTACAGGCATGTGCCATCACACCCAACTAATTTTTGTGTTTTTAGTAGAGGCAGGGTTTCACCATGTTGACCAGACTGGTCTCAAATTCCTGACCTCAAGTGATCCACCCACTTTGGCCTCCCAAAGTGGTGGGATTACAGGCATGGGCCACTGTGCCTGGCCTGTGTCTTTTTTGACTTTCTGTCTTCATGACCTGTCTAGTGCTGTCAGTGGAGTATTTAACCCCCTCACTATTACTGTGTTGCTGTCTATCTCATTTCTGATGTCTAGTAGTAATTGTTTTATAAATTTGGGAGCTCCAGTGTTAGGTGCATGTATATTTAAGATTGTGATATTTTCCTGTTGGAGTAGTACTTTTATCATTATATTAATATTCCTCTTTGTCTTTTTTAACACTTGTTTTTTTAAAGTCTGTTTTGTCTGATATAAGAATAGCTACTTCTTCTTGCTTTTGGTTTTCATTTGCATGGAATATTTTTTCCACCCCTTTACCTTAAGTTTACATGAGTCCTTATGCTTTGGGTGAGTCTCTTGAAGACAGCAGATATTTGGGTGAATTGTTATTCATTCTGCCATTCTGTATCTTTTAAATGGAGCATTTAGACCATTTACATTGAACATTAGCATTGAGATCTGAGGTACTATTCTATTAATTGTGCTAGTTGCTACCTGAATACCTTGTTTTTTTCATTGTGTTATTGTTTTATAGGCCCCATGAGATTTACATTTTAAGGAGGTTCTATTTGTGTATTTCAAGGTTTTGTTTCAAGATTTAGCACTTTTAGCCGTTCTTGTAATGCTGGTTTTGTAGTGGTGAGTTCTCTCAGCATTTGTTTGTCTGAAAAAAACTTTATCTTTCCTTCATTTATGAAGTTTAGTTTTACTGGATACAAAGTTCTTGGATGATAATTGTTTTGCTTAAGTAGGCTAAAGGTAGGACCCCAATCCTTTCTAGCTTGTAGGGTTTCTGCTGAGAAATTTGCTGTTAATCTGATAGGTTTTCCTTTATACGTTACTTGATGCTTTTGCCTCACAGCTTTCTTTGCTTGATTTTAGATAACCTGATGACTATGTGCCTAGGTGATTATCTTTCTGTGAGGAATTCCCTGGGTGTTCTTTGAGCTTCTTGTATTTGGATGCCTAGATCTCTAGTAAGGTCAGCAAAGTTTTCCTTTATTATTCCCTCACATAAATTTTCCAAACTTTTAGATTTCTCTTCTTCCTCAGGAGCACCAATTACTCTTAGAACCGGTTGTTTAACATACTCCTAAACTTCTCGGAGGCTTTGTTCATTTTTTTGATGCTTTTTCTTTGTCTTTGTCTAAATTTGGTTAATTTGAAAGCCTTGTCATTGAGCTCTGAAATTCTTTCTTCTACTTGTTCAATTGTTCAAACTTTCCGGTGTATTTTGCATTTCTATAAGTGTGTCTTTCATTTCCAGAAGTTGTGATTGTTTTTTATTTATGATATCTATTTCCCTGGAGATTTTTTCATCCATATCCTGCATTTTTGTTTGATTTATTTGTTTTTCACCTTTCTCTGGTGCCTCCTTGATTAGCTTAATAATTGGCCTTCTGAATTCTTTTTCTGGCAATTCAGAGATTTCATTTTGGTTTGGACCCATTGCTGGTGAGCTAGGGCAATCTTTTTGTGGTGTTGTAGAACCTTGTTTTGTCATATTACCAGAATTCCTTTTTTGCTTCCTTCTCATTTGGGTAGACTATGTCAGAGGGAAGCTCTGGAACTCAAGGGCTACTGTTCAGATTCTTTTGTCCCAAAGGGTACTCCCTTGATGTGGTGTTCTCCCCCTTACCCTAAGGGTAGGGCTTCCTGAGAGCCAAACTACAGTGATTGTTTTTGCTCTTCTGGGTCTAGCCATGCAGTAAAGCTACTGGGCTCCAGGCTGGTACTGGGGGGTGCCTGCAAAGAGTCCTGTGATGTGATCCATCTTCAGGTCTCTCAGCCACGGGTACCAGCACTTGCTCCAGTGGAGGTAGCAGGCGAGTGAGGTGGACTCTGTGTGAGTCCTTGCTTGTAGTTTTGTTTAGTGTGCTGGTTTTCTCAAATGCTGGTTATGCTAGCAATGAAGTTGTCATATGGACAGACTCAGGACCTCTGGTTAGCCAGGATGTTACAGGCAGTAGAATTAGCTGTTGTTTTTTCCTTCCTTGAAGCAGGATTGGTTGTTATGAGTTACTGCAATGGCTTGAGTGGGTTGGTCCAGCAAGGAGGTGGCACTTTCAAGAGAGCATCAGCTATGGTAGTATAGGGGATACAAGCTTGCCCTAAGGTCATCTGAATAAGTATTCAGGTTTCTCAGGTGATGGGCAGGGCCATAGAGCTCTCATGAGTTTATGCCTTTTGTCTTTGGCTACCAGGGGAGGTAGAGAAAGACGACCAGGTGGGTGCAGCCTTAGGTGTGTCTGGGCTCAGAGTCTTCTTGGGGAGGGCTTACTGCAGTCATTGTGGGGGATGGGGGAGTGGTTCTCAGGCCAATGGAGTTATGTTCCAAGGGGGATTATGGTTACCCCTGTTGCTTCTTACAGGTCGCCAGGGAAGTGGGGGAAAGCTGGCAGTGACAGGCCTCACCCAGTTCCCAGGCAGCCAGCAAGGCCAATCTCACTCCAGCCCGCATTGCTTCCACAACAATTGCCAACAGAGCCAAATTCACATCCAGGCTTCCATGCAGGGCTGAGATCTTGCCCGAGGCAAGCCTCAGCCTCCCTGCTGAGAAAGCAAATAGGGCTTTCAGGCCTTACCCCTCCCTGCCTGCCAAGGCTTTTTTGCTCGTATCTGCATTTCCTGTTTACTCCCTCAGATTCTGCCCAGGAAAATTTGCCCTTGATCAAAATTACTACAAAGTTCAGCTGGAGGTCTCCTTCTCCCTGTGGCCCTTCCCCAAATCCACTGACTGCTGTCCCTAAGGACCCCTCTGAGATAAAATCAGAAATGGCTTCCCTGGGGACAAGGAGTGCCTATAGGGCTCTTCTCGCTGTTTCTTCTACTTTTTTATTTTTCTCTGCTTGACAGTGGGGTTATCAGTCATCATGGGAGTTAGCAAGTGCTCCTGGGGAAGTGGGAACAAACTGGGGGGAGGGGGGCGCTTCTTAATGGGTATTTCTAATGTGCAATGATCTATGGATTTTTTTTCTTCACTTAAACAGCTCCTATGCCCTGAAATTAGGAGAGTTAAATGCATAGACTGTGCCATATTAAAATGTTAGTTTCATTATGTTTTCACGCCAGGTCTTCTTTTTAAAAAAATTTTTAAAAAGTGTTTATAGAATTGCAATAGAAGGCATAGGAAATACCTGTATAGAATGTATATTTTTATTTCACATGTAGTTTATTTTGAACACTGTAATTCATAAAGCAAAATCAGTAGGTAGTGCTAAGTTTCTCAAGGATTTGATCATGAATACTTTGGCTGCCTTAGGTGTGGGAATTAGAAAACTGAATGGAGCCTTGTTCTGCTTCTTGCTCTCTAACACATGTCTTGTGTTAAACACTAAAAAATCCCTAAATAAAACAGGCTAAACAAGTCCTGGTTAGCCATGTTCGTGCCAGGCTGTGCTCCACTGAGGTCCATTTTGGACAAGCCCAGCTGTACCATTATGGTTGTCTGTTTTATGAAGGACAATATCAGACTAGAGATAATGTCCTGAGAATTTGGATCAAGATGGTGAGGGATACTGAAATCATGGCATTTGGGGGATGGCTGAAGGAACTGGGAATGTTACATGAGGAGGGAAGAAGATTTATTATGCTCTATCTCATCTCTGGATGTTTGGAAACTCTGCTTCCTCTGTGCAATTGATCCCCTCCTCTTTGACTAACTCTTACCATGCATCAGCCTAGCTATCTTCTCCTCCAGGAATGCTTCTGTGACACTGTAAGAGAGGATTAGGTGACACTTCTATACACCTCCTTAACTCGATGTCATCCTATTGATAGGATTTATCTCACAGGCCCATTCACTTGTTTATCTTACACTGGCCCATGAAAAGGCACTCATCTAGCTCTCTGCTGTAAACCCATCCTTTAACACTGAGCCTGCTTAAAGTGGATGTATTGGAATAAATGAATGAATGAGTGAATGATATGACTGTTGTCTTTGCACATACAAAAACCTGAGATGTGGGAATGATTACAGATTTATTCTGTGTTTGTCCAGCAAGAAGTTGTAAGATTAACAGATGGAAGTTACATGAGTTGATTTAATTTTACTTCAACACAAAGAACTTTCTAAAAATTAGAACTTTTGAGAAATACAAGGGTAGGCAGACAGGTCCCCGTTCCAGTAGAGGCCAGTTGGTCAACTGTCAAGAATAATGTCAAAGAGCTTAGTCTAAGGTGACCTAGGGGTCTTGCAAATTGCAGAATCTATGTACCAAGGGATGCTTTTCTCCATGGGTGTTCCTGTGGGACTCGAGACAGTGAGAAATCACCAGGTGTTAATTAGAGGGAAAAAGTGCTCCAGGTAGAAGGTTAAGCAGGTTTCCTCACTGAAGGCTATGTCAGAGCCTTCGTATGTTGTTGGGAGTAAGCCCCCCAAAATCTGGCCATAAGCTGGCCCCAAAACTGGCCATAAACAAAATCTCTGCAGCACTGTAACATGTTCATAATGGCCCTAATGCGCACGCTGGAAGGTTGTGGGTTTAGGGGAATAAGGGCAACGAACACCTGGCCTGCCCAGGGCGAAAAACCGCTTAAAGGCATTCTTAAGCCACAAACAATAGCATGAGTGATCTGTGCCTTAAGGACATGCTCCTGCTGTAGTTAACTAGCCCAACTTATTCCTTTAATTCAGCCCATCCTTCATTTCCCATAAGGGATACTTTTAGTTAATTTAATATTTATAGAAACAATGCTAATGACTGGTTTGCTGTTAATAAATATGTGGGTAAATCTCTGTTCGGAGCTCTCAGCTCTGAAGGCTGTGAGACTCCTGATTTCCCACTTCACACCTCTATATTTCTGTGTGTGTGTCTTTAATTCCTCTAGCGCCACTGGGTTAGGGTCTCCCCGACCAAGCTGGTCTTGGCAGTATGTAAATTGCTGTGAACTTCAAGAAGGGCATAGACAGCAAGGCACGGTGGCTCATGCCTGTAATTGCATAACTTTGGGAAGCTGAGGCGGGTGGATCACCTGAGGTCAGGAGTTCAAGACCAGCCTGACCAACATGGAGAAACCCTGTCTCTACTAAAAATACAAAATTAACTGGGCATGGTGGCACATGTCTGTAATCCCAGCTACTCGGGAGGCTGAGGCAGGAGAATCACTTGAACGGAGATGGAGGTTGTGGTGAGCTGATCTGAGATCACACCATTGCACTCTAGCCTGGGCAACAGGAGCAAAACTCCATCTAAAAAAAAAAAAAAAAAAGGAAGGGCATATACTATTTATCACTCCAAACTCATTTGATTAAGAAACTTTATTTTTACAAAATATTGTGGTACAAGTGTTCTGCAGAACTTACTTTGGGAAACCAATCTACATCCATAATTCCCAAACCAGGTTCTATAGAGAGAGTTACTGCAATAGAACAACCTGGGGAGATTTAAAAATGCAAATCCTCCTCCCTGACACCTGTCTTAACTCACTCCTAAGCACAGCAATATTCTAGGGAGTGAGGAAGCCATTTGTGTTAGTCCATTTTGTGTTGCTATAAAGGAATATCTGAGGTTGAATAATTTACAAAGAAAATAAGTTTATTTGGCTTACAATTCTGCAGCCTGTACAAGAAACATGGTGCTGGCATCTGCTCCTAGCAAGGGAACTCAGGAAGCTTTCTTTTTTTTTTTTTGAGATAGAGTCTTGCTCTGTCACCCAGGCTGGAGTGCAGTGGTGCGATCTTGGCTCACTGCAACCTCTGCCTCCCAGGTTCAAGCACTTCTCCTACCTCAGCCTCCAAGTAGCTGGGATTACAAGCACCTGCCACCACGCCCGGCTAATTTTTCTATAGTAGAGACAGGTTTCACCTTGTTAGCTGGGATGGTCTCAATCTCCTGACCTCGTGATCTACCCACCTCGGCCTCCCAAAGTGCTGGGATTACAGATGTGAGCCACTGTGCTCAGCCATGGAAGCTTTCAATCATGGTGCAAGGGGGACGGGAACAGGTGTGTCAAATGGGAGAGAGGGGAGGAAGTGCCAGGCTCTTTTAAGCAAGCAGCTCTCCTGTGAACTCATAGAGTGAGACCTTACTCATTACCGTGGGATGGGATGGTACCAAACCATTCATGAGGGATCTACCCCCAAGACCCAAACACCTCCCATTAGGCCCACCTCCAATATTGGGGATCAAATGTCAGCATGAGATTTGGAGGGGATAAACTTACAATCTGTTTCAACCATCATGAGTGCAACATCTTTGAAGGAGCATTGTCAGACTATATCAGTGTGATGTACATCACTAAAGTTCACTAAGTACCTCAGGGGAGAGGTGCAGAGACCTGGGTCATTTTCATCAATGGTGGATTGTGAGGGAGAGCACTGAAGATTGGGGCAGCCTGGAGCAGGTGCAGGGTTGGGCGTGGAGATGCGTGGCAAGGGCAGCTGCCTGAAGAAGAAATCGTGGGGAGAGAACATGCTGGGGGAAAGTGAGGCAGGTGGGGACTCAAGCCAAATCTTGCCCACTTCCAAGATCTGCAGAGCTGTGAGCTACCACTCCTTACACCAAGAAGAGGCCCTTTCCCTACATGTGTGGGATTAAGTTTTATGCCAAATGTAAAGTATTTTATGGTCATGGTTTTCCTGAATTATCTGTACCTATTTTTCTCCCAAATTGAAAATGGCCTGCAGTGCAGTCTTTCATACTGACCACTGCCTCCTCATACTCCTGGAGGCAGAATCATCACGTGAGCTGAAGATGGTTACTAAGTGTCTTTAAGCAAACAAAAGGTCCCAATAAAACCAGTCATTTTGTAGCAGCTCTGATGTGAGCATGCAATTTTAAAGGCATCCTCCCAAGAGTGCCATTAAATGGAAGTATTTTCCTACAAGAAAAGTCCTATAAGAAGTCCAAGAAAATCTGTGGATAAATTATTAGAAGTAATAATAGCTAAGCAAGGTTAATGAAGGTCAGATCAATGTACAGTACTCCATTATACTCCCATACCTCAGTTATAAACACTTAAGAATGAATTTTTAAAAGGCACTTTGCAAAAAATTACAAAAATATTTAAGCATCTGGCAATAAATTCCAACAGAGGTTATTTTTGTGATCTTAAAAGTCTGCTTCTAAAATTTACATGGAGTAGTAAAGGTTGGTTTCCCACATGAGCTCAGTCTTCACGCTCCCTGCCTCTGTGCCCTTGAGAATGTGAACTGGCCGCTCCCTGCACCAAGGAAGCCCCTTCCCTATCCTTGGGGTCTGGGCTGGCCTCATGACATGCCTTGGCCAGTAGAGAGTGGCTCAAGAGGCTTTGTGTGTTTTGTTCAGTCTCTTGCTACTTGCCTTTGCTGTGGCTAAGCCAGCTGGGTGATGAAAGACAGGTGGCCTAATTCTCCCCTTTGCCCCAGGGCCAGCTAGCTGCAGATGTGTGAGCCAGCTCAGGTGAGATCAGAACCATCCAGCTGAGCTCAGCCCAAACAGCTGACCTCAGGCTTGGAGAAGAAAATAAATAACCTAAGACTTTAACTGTTTAAGTTTTGAAATGGTTTGTTAGGAAGTAATAGCTTACTAATACAATAGCCAAGATAATTTTTTAAAAAATAGAGCAAAATGGAGGGACTCATCTATCAGATATTAAGATTTGTAATGGGCTTTAATAATTAGGACACTATAGATAGATATCAAAAACCAGACTGATGGCTAAGACTAGCGAGTCTAGAAAGAGATGTATAAAAATAAGACAACTTGATATATGAAATAGGGGCATTATAAATTGAGTGGTACTGGAACAATTGGTTATAAAAACGAAAAATTTAAATTCCTACTCCACACCAGTCTCAAAAACTCATTTAAAAATTTTAGAAGAAGATATGGGAAAATAGCTTTATGACTTCTGGGTAGGGTAATATTTTTAAGATACAAAAAGACTGTAAAAGATATATATTTTGTTTATTTTTAAATAAATCGTGATATATTCAGAACATTGAATGAAATAGAGTAGAGAAAATGAATTAAATAAGAGTACACAATGACATGGAAAATTTTTCAAAAACATGTTGGACACATAAATAGAAAGGTGCAGGGTATTTACAGCACAGTGTCATTTATATAAGTTTCAACCATATTAAACAGTGATATAAATGTCTTTGGGTCATATATATATTCATATTCTATATACCAACTCTTTCTACCTTTCTATCATCTGTCATATCTATCATCTATCTATCTATCTATCTATCTATCTATCTATCTATCATCTATCTAATCTGTCTGTCATCTCTGCATCCACCCAACAGTCTGTCTGTCTACACATCATCTACGAAGTGAAAGAACGTGCTTGGGAACGGTCAACACCTGAAGAAGGAGAGGGGACCTCAGGAGAGGATCTTGGAGGAGGCACGCATGAACTTCTGCCGTATGTGTAAAAATTTTCTTTCTTAAACTGGGTGGAGGGGCCTTTTTATGCGTTGGAAACGCTTTTTTAGTGAAACTAAACTGAAGTACTTACGGAGTAGCTGAGCTGGGCGGACTGCGCAGGAGCCCAGGCACCAATTGGCGTGAACTCTCCAGTTCTGGACCCACATCCAGAGGTGTGTGAAGCCACCCCCCAGAGCCCAGCCAACGGTAAATAGGACTGTGACCTGGGAATCAGACCGTTCCCGAGCGCCCCCTGTGTGTGGTGTTCCTTGGGTGGTGGGGACCGCTGTGTTCAGCCCGTCCTTGGAAGAGGCGAGGGGTGCTGCCGTGGGAGGTAGAGAGAAGGGCAGGGGTGTGGTGCTCTTTTTTTCCATTCCTACTTCAGCTAAACCATTGCCACTTTTATCCGTTTTGTGCCGCGAGCTCTTACCTACTCTTGTTGGTTGGCGGCTTTCGGGCAGGGAAACGGGCAAACGTGGACGCGCGCAGCTAAGGCAGGCGCGGTGGGCAGGGGGCTGGGCCGGGCAGGGACTGTGCCGCCCCCGCTTCTGGGTGGGAGCGGCCTGTCTCCTCTCCGAGGGTCTGAGAGCACCCGCACCCACCTTCCTTCCCCAGGGCATTCCGGCCTAGGGGAAGGGCGTCTGGAATGGGAGCGGGCGCTCCACCGCCTGCAGGCATACGGTAGGCCTGGCCCAGTACTGGGCGTCCGAGCTGCACCCAAGGGGCAGCACCCACACCTACCAAGCCCACAACACCTGCGGCAGCGCCTTGCGCTGGGAGCTTCAGAAAAAGCGCAACAGGAAAGGTCCCCAACCCCCTAGCAACGTCGCCGAGAACCTACTGCACAAGGCCACTCCATAGCCCATGTTTCCTGTACTGCGGGGTCTGGCAGCACTGCCTAGGTTTGAGATCATTGGCTGGGTTTCCCTGGGCGGTTTTTCATTTGTAGAGGGAAATTAACAGTGGTGCCCATCTCACAGTATTGCTGTGGCAATTCAGTGAAATCACATGTGCAGCGCTGGGAGCTGAGCCTGGCACAGGTGGGCACACTGACATTTTAGTTATTGTAATCATAAAATAATTTGTCTGATTTGCTCATATATATATCTAAACATGCCTGGAGACCTTGGCAAAAGTGCCACGATTCTTATTATTTTCATAGAAGACCTTGCTTCATTCATTCATTCAACAAATATCTGTTGAGCACCATGCCAGAGATTGCTCAGGCTCTGGGGACAGCAGTGAGGGAAACCCAGGAAGCTCTGTCCCCATGGAGTTCCATTCCAGTCAGGGGGTGTGGGACAGGCTCACAGCAAGCCAGCAGATGGGGGAAAAGAAAGCCAAGGAAGCTTCCCTGGAGAGGGCTCATTTGAGGGGCAGAACAGAAATGTGCACCCCAGAAGCCCCAGTGTGGGATGGCATTGGAGAACAGTGGGGTATCCAGTCCCAGCTCCCCTACTCATATGGGCCTGAGGCTTTTAGAATTTGAAAAATGTGACCTGTAACAACCTCGCTTTTGTCATTCAGGGTCTGTTTAAGCACTTGGCCTTCACAGAGAGCCAGGCACCCTGAATGCAGAGCAGAGGCCAGTTCTTCTACCCATGGGAATGGACAGTGCCAGGGGAGGAACGGCTGTCACAGAGCCTTGCAGTCAGGTGGACAAATAGCAGCTGTGGACACAAACTTTCATGCATGTCCGTGTGAAGAGATCACCAAACAGGCTTTGTGTGAGCAATAAAAGCTTTTAATTGCCTGGGCACAGGCAGGCTGAGTCCGAAAAGAGAGTCAGTGAAGGGAGATAAGGGTGGGGCCGTTTTATAGGATTTGGGTAGATAAAGGAAAATTACAGTCAAAGGGGAGTTGTTCTCTGGTGGGCAGAGTGGGGGTCACAAGGTACTCAGTGGGGGAGCTTTTGAGCCAGGATGAGCCAGGAGAAGGAATTTCACAAGACAATGTCATCAGTTAAGGCAGGAACACGCCATTTTCACTTCTTTTGTGGTGGAATGTCATCAGTTAAGGCAGGAACCAGCCATCTGGATGTGTACATGCAGGTCACAGGGGATATGATGGCTTAGCTTGGGCTCAGAGGCTGACACAAACATCTTCTGGTAAAACACTCTCAAAAGTTGCTGCAGTAAGAGTTAAATGTTAACGCTGAGTTGCAGTTTTTTTTTTGAAAGTTTTGTAGGTTTCTGATTTTCATCTCATTCTGGGCTTTCAATTAGCAGCTGTGCAGTTGCCCGCAGGTTATGTGCACATGGGCTTTGCCTCCTACGGTGTCTTATGTGATATTTTTTTCTGACTCCATGATAAGAATTTTTAGCAAAATGGAAAGTAAACAATTGGACCTGAGTACTCTATTTTTAGTTGACACATCTGAAGCAGAAGTAGTCAATCTTGCCATGGACACGGGGCTTGCTTTGAACTTGTGTTGAAGAAGCAACAGCATTTATCACGCGGTGTCAGCCCAACATTGTAGCACGGGGGAGAGAGCATGGAGCTGGAAATGAGGATTGGCTGTGCGATTTGTGCACAACTTTCCAGGGGCTAAGTGGCTTTCCTTTCCATAAGTGAGGCCTTTTGACTCAGTCTCCAAGCCTTCCTCACTTTCCATCTTTGGTCACTGCTTCTTCCTTGCCTCAGAAGCATTGCTTTAGACTTCAGAGGCGTGTGTTAAGAATCTAGTTTGAAACCCACTGGTGGAGGTGACAAAGATGATTCAGCATGACTGCTGTCCTCCAGGAGTTTTACCTAATGAATTTCAAATGATTAAATGTGATTTGTTTAAAATGAATAAGAAATTTAAATGTTTTTAAAGATATACATAAGTGAAATTACAGATTCCCATAAAATAATATGAAAAAACCCAATAACTTCCCTATTCCTTGAAGGTGAAGGGGTTGAGAGCAGTAGAACATGGGAGATTTATTGATTTTTTATTTTTATAGATGGAAGGGGTACAAGCGTAGTTTTGTTGTGTGGCCATATTTCGGAGTGGTGAGGTCTGCGCTGTTTTAGTGTACCCATCACTCAAATAGGTAATCTTTCAACCTTCCTGGGAGATTTTTGTGTTTGAGAATCATTTTGTGTTTGGCTTTTCCCCTATGAAAGCTAATGTGCAACCCAGGCCAATCCGCAGGAAGGTGGCTGGGAAGAGGGGAGTGCAGGAGGGCTGACTACCAGCTCTTGTGACACCCACATAGGGAGGCCGAGCCACACACCTGGTGGAATTTATCTTGTATCTTGTTAGCCTAAGTTTGTGAGAGAACATACTGCATACCCACATACACAGAGGTTGGTAAGCAATTTTGTTAGTCAATGTTTTAAAAAATTTATGAAGAAAACTGATTGGTTTTCAGCTTGAAGTAATTTACTGACACTTTATAAACTCATCACATGCCAACTTGGAGAGTCTGCACTTTTTCATGTTGCTGAATGGCCTTTGGCTCCCTGCTGTGTGTCTCTGGGGTTAAACCTGGGGTGTCCTGTGCCCCAGGAGCTTCGTATGTGGGTGCCCGCCACCCAGTGCACGGATTCCCACCGTGCTGCTGGGGCTGAGTCCTGGAGCCCATGCTGATCCCTGTGCGAGGGATTGTCAAGCACTTTCGTCAGCAGGAGGCCTCTCCCTGGTGGGGGCGGGTGGGGGAGCTGCAGCGACGCAGTGTGCAAGGGTGGTGAACATACCCTTGAGTACGGAGCACCCTTGAGTACAGAGCATGTTTGGGATGTATGTTACATGACTTCTATGTGTAATTGTTGACACTGATGAAAATGCCTTAAATTGTTGGAGAGCCCACCCACAGGGAAAACATTTCTCACCTTTGGTATTAGTTTGGGCTTGCATGTTGCCTCTGGTAGAGGCCCCAGAAGGTTCAACGAGTTTGTCTAAAAATGAAGCTGTCTTTTTGAAAATTACCTGGCATAAAAGCCTCATGACCTACGTGATGCACACTGCGCACCGATCTTCAACCAAACCCTGTGTTTTGCTGCCAAAGAACATGGCTTCAGTCTCCCACTCCCAGGTCAGGTGGACAGAGGCCCAGAGAAGGCTGTGGAGGTTGGTGGAGGTTGCAGCTATGGCCATGAGCCAGCGACGGTGATACACCGACATCCAGGGGTAGGCTCTGTCTACCTTGGCTTTCCTAGTCCCCCTGTGGACACAAACAGGGCTGTCCTACCCCAAGCACTGGGAGCCGCCCACATGGGGGTCAGACATGTGGACCGGAACCCTGGCTCTCACACGGAGGAGCCGTAGAACTTTGGGCAAGTGTCTCTACTGCCATGAGCTTCTGCTTCATCATCTGTAAAACAGAGATAGTGACCTGCCATTAAAGGATGCTATGATGATTAAATGAGAACATAGGAGGGAATACTTATCAATTGACTGCTGATGTTTTATTGATTAACAAGCTGCATAAATAAAACTGGTATTTTGCCTGATGTGGAAGTCAGCACAGAGAATCTGACTTAGGGATCAGCTGCTAGCAAGGAAAGTGACAATGAAGTAGCTTGTTCCAGAGCCTAAAACACTGCTGAGCCAGCAGCTTGTGATTTCTTTAAATGTTACGTTGCTCACATCTGCAAAAGCACCATAATTAATATGGTTTGCTTCAACTATCTATGGTTTAGAAAACATCAGCGACTGTTTGGAATTAGAGAAAAACAGTGATTCACCAATTTGAGTCTTCAAGTGTTGCTGGCAAGATGAGCTCTGAACATCAGAGTCATGCAGCCGAGTCATCTAAAGGCCACCTGGTGGCTCGGGCTGCTGAAACCTGGGTCTCCATGTGCAGCAGCTTGTCTCAGGACGGCACCTTCAGTGCTTTCCCCCTGGTGCTCTTTCTCTTCCCAAAGGGCCCCTTCTCCACCCCTTGGAATCTGGGCTGACCTGTGTGACTCCTTTGACTCCTAGCATGGACAGAAGGGGAACTGGGCAAGCTCTGAACCCAGCCTTTAAGGCGGACAGCATCATCTTCTCTCAGAACACTGCCATGGGGCCAGGCACGGTGGCTTACGCCTGTAATCCCAGTACTTTGAGAGGCTGAGGCAAGTGGATCACTTGAGGTTGAGAGTTTGAGATCAGTCTGGCCAACATGGCAAAACCCCGTCTCTACTAAAAATAGAAAAAAATTAGCTGGGCCTGATGGCGCGCACCTGTAATCCCAGGTACTCAGGAGACCGAGGCAGGATAATCGCTTGGACCTGGGAGGAAGAGGCTGCAGTGAGCCGAGATCGCATCACTGCACTTCAGCCTGGGCAAGAGAGGGAGACTCCATCTTAAAAAAAAAAAAAAAAAAAAGGAACACTGCCATGGAAGCCAAGATACCCACAGTCCGAGGAAGCCTCAGCTGGCCCTGGAGAGGCCACAGGGAGGCACTTGGCTGCAGGTCCCCAGCTGGTGCATGTGTCCTGACCCAGCCCCCAGACAGGCTGGGAGGGAGCCATCAGGAGCATGCCAGCCCTCACAGACAACAGGAGGAGGAGAGCTGGAGCCACTGCAGGGTGCCGGGCAGGCTGTGCCACCAGCTCCGGCGGATGGCATGGAATACACCAGCCACCCCTGTGTCCTGCCTGGCTTCCCCATGGCTGGAAACTCATGGCTGCTTCCAGGCTTACTGGTCTTGTTTTTGTCCCTGGCCTCCATTGCACAGCTCTGGCCACTTGTGCTTCAGAAGGCAGGATGGTGGGAGCCAGACCGAGGCACCCAGTCCTCTTATTTAGGAAGCTCGTGGTCACTCGCCTGTTGTCTGGACTCCCCCTGGTGAGAAGCAGTGAGACATGGTCATGGGGGTGCGGCTGCAGCAGGTGATTCTGTTAGCACTGCAGGATCGCTGTCCACTCTGTAGATCCCCAGCCCCTTCTGCATATTCTTGACGTACACAGAGTGGGCCTGATGAGACTCGGCATTCATCCTCTGGCCTTTCTGATCTCCTTCCTGGCCACTCCAGCCTGGTTTCGGGGGGACACTACGCTGGGCTGATACCAGCATATTATGGTCATGGGAGGTGACAGATCACAAGCCCAGGGCCTGGAGCAGTCAAGGGAGCCATGAGCCACACATTTGAACTCAGCGCCTTCTGAGCAGCTTTTACTCTACAATCATGAGTTTTCTTTTGTTGTTTGCCTCTTTAGTCTGCTTTTGTGAGGGGAAATATGGATAACACACACTTGTGTGCACATACATGTACAACTGTGTGTCCACAAGTGTGCAGAGCTTTCCTAGGTACATGTTCCCACAAACACATGTGGCCACGAGGGCACCTTATGACTAAACTTCAGCTTGGAACTAAGGGACTGGACTTGGTTGGCAGGTGACATGGTCCCTGGGTTCAGAGCCGGCTCGGCACAGACTACTTCAGACACCCACTCATGGATATCCAGGCCGTGCACTTCAAAGTCTAATGTTGATCTCACCAAAGCATGTGATCTTTCTGGCAAGGTGATGGGTGCGCAGTAAGGACTGGGTGAGTTAAGTAACTTGGTTTTCACATGGGACTCACCCTGGGTGTTTAGGGGCAGCCTTTCCAAGCAAGCTGAGCTGGTACCTGGGCTTATTGGAGACCCCTAGGAATGAATGAAGACTATTCCCAAGCAGAATGACCACGTTGCAGAGATTGCTGTTCTCCTACCATGATTATAGAATCCCTGGAGACCAACCGTGAATACAGATTGTGAAATTTTAACTTGAGCACTTGACACTTATGATTGATCCTCAAGAACTGAAGTAGGTTTCAGGGTCTGACTAAGGAGGTGTCAAAACAGGGCAAGTTATCTCAATCAGTTGGAATTGTATTTGACTGAAGTGATGAATAGAAATTCAATCCATCCTGTTGGAATAGCATCTCTTATTTTTTTTTCCTTTCTCAGAACAGCCAGAGGGAGGCAGCCTGGGGCTGGTGCAGATGCCTCAGGGTCCTTTGCTTCTTCCGGCTTCCTGCTCTACCCTCCTAAGTTGATAGCTTTTGTCCCTCTGATCTCAAAGATGCCTGCTCCATAGCTAGACATCATTTCCGCATTCCAGGCAGGAAGAAAGAGCAAGAGCAAAGGGCCAAAGGTGTCCACATGCTGAGGCTTCCTTTTTATTAAGAAAACAATGACTTGGAGGCACTACCAAATAGATTCTACTTCATCTCATTGGCCAGGTCATGGCTGTCTCAGCTGCACAAATTGTTTCTGTTAGTAAGGAAGAAAGGGAGAAGATATTGTGATGGATTCCAGTGGGATGCAGAATTAACATTTAACATTCTCATGTTAAATGAGGAAGTTTATTTAGGAAGTGCTATCCAAGTGCTTATTGAATAAGCCAGGGAGGCTATTCTGTTAAGGGCTGGAGACAGGAACCATCGCTGGACCTTGGTGGGCCACACGGGAAGCCTCTGCCTAGGGAGGAAGGAAGGAAGAGCACCATGCACCCTCAGTGCATGGGTGTGAAGGTGCGCACAGACAGACGGGAGGGTGGCCCGGGGTTACAGAGAGATGGAGGTGGGCATGGCTATATGAGACTGGTGAATTATTTTTGAGGCTCTGAAAAATACAAAACATAGCTATATAATGGGTTTTTCTTTTAACACAAACATTTAGATGATCGTTAATATCATTTTAGATGATGATCTTGTCTGATCTCATAATTTGCCAGGCAAGGCTGCATGAACACGTCTATTAGATGGATGTGAAGACCGAGGTCTGCGAGTTCCAGTGTTTTTGCCATTCCCAGGTCTCATAACAGCCAGGTTTCAAATCCAGGTCTTTGGGCTCTTGAGTTCATGCCCCACATTCATGACAGTTGACGCCCATTTTTACTGAACTGCTCCTTGCCCTTTATCTCTGTTTAATCCTTTAGGATCAAGAATCCAAACATTTCTTGATATCTAGAACATTTGTTCTAGAAAATGTTCTTGAACATTTTCTTTTATTTGTTGAGAAAGAAAGTGGCAAAAAGAATAGCATTTCTTTGCTCCTTGCCATTTGCCCGGAGGAGCAGTGCCTGGCAGGAGGCGGGCCCTCTCTGCGTGGCCTGGCCCCATGCTTTCTGGGTGTTTTTCTCACCAAGCTGGACCTGCCCCGGGCACCGCCTTTGAGCCCTTCTGGCCTCTCCTCATTCCCCTACTGCCTTTGTCGGTACCTGCTTCATTCCTTTTGAAAAAACATTGCTGGTTTAAAAAATGGTAGCTGCTCATTATAAATTTTATACATTGTTATATGCATTATATACATTATTATGCCTATCTACCTAGAAAGAAGAACAAATAAAGAAATGAAAGTTAGACAAGATCCCAGCATTTAGAAGTAGTGATTCTGTTAATTTGTTGGTTTTACACCACTCTAGAATCTTCCTTTGTATATGTAAATATGCACATATAGCTAGATAAGTATTTATCATTTTACATAAGTAGGATGATGGTTTATATGTGGTCCTGTTACCTAAGTCTTCATGCAACAATATGTCATAGGCTCGTATTCATGCCAACAAAACTAACTGCATCCTTATTTTGAATGGCTGGTAGAAGTCCACTGTACATGTGAACCATAATTTAGGTAACCAGCCTCTTGTTAATTGACACATACAATAGTTTCTATTTTTTTCTTTAAAAAAAAAGCAAAGCAAAGAGAGGTGGGCCAGGTCTCCGTGACCCGGGCCGGCCCAGCATCTTGGGTGGTGGGTGACACGCTGGGGTCCCCTGGGAAGGTGCTGGGACAGGGCCTGGCATGCTGTGCAAGGCTTTGGCTGTAGCCAATGCTGATAGGAGCAGGGTGGAGAGCACTGAGGGGGCAGGCAGCTGGAATCTGTTTCCGTGAGAACAAGTGATGCACTGGGCAGGTTGTTCTCCTGCCTGTGACCAGAAACCATGGGTGCATCATGAGCTGCTCTCGGGCAGGCAATTCTTCCCTGCTGAGGACGTGGTCCTTGTGCGAAGAAAGCACACCGCTTCCCTCGTGCTTGCAGAGTCCCTGCAGCGTCCCGGTGAGGCACTGCCCTATCCTACTCCTTCAGGATTCATTCCAATCTTTGGCCCCACTGGCAAGTGAGCCCTGTGAGTGGCTTGGCATGAGTTTTTCTTCGGCTGGGTCCCTGGATCACTTGAGAGTAGGTCACCCCAGATCTTGGGATGTCCTATTGCTGGTCTCTTCTTAGTGGCACAGAGCCCCCTTTCTACTTGTAAACTGTGCAGTGGCGGGTCAGGGCTCACTGATGGAGGGGACAGAGCAGCTGTTACCAGTAACAGTAACGACACGATTGCTGAGACAAACATTTTCATGGTGATGCATGAGAACACTAAATCCAAACCACATTGTTTAGCTTTCACTCCAGCAGAGGGGAATGCCACATCCCCTAAAGTAAATGGAAGAGATCAGAGTTTAGAAAATATGACAGAGTTGAAAACTTAAAGCTGTATTGCATAGTAACATCTTTTGGAGGCGAAAACAATGGGTAGGAGCCAGTGTCTCTGCATTTCCAGGGCAGCAGTGGCTGTGAGTCAGGGGTGCCTCGGGCAGGCAGCTAAAAAGGCGGGAACTCCCGCAGTCACGGTTGGGAGGGACACATGTGGACAGACCGGAGGAATGCGGTGGACCGTGAGAACCGTCTTCACGGCCGGCTTCTGTTCTGTGTTTGTTTCAGGCTGACATTGAATGCCATACATGGAACTGTGCGACCCTGATATTTACATGCTCTAGTTCCCTGTTTTTCTTGTGGATTGAAAAATCACTAGGAGTCTGTAAACACTGTGCAACAGTGTTAGATTTCACAGAGGCCAGGGCAGGCGCTGGGGGAAGGACCAGGGTCGTGCAAAAAGAGCCCAGCAGAAGTGCAGGGTGAAGGTGCCTCTCTCAGCCCTGACAAGGAGCAGAGGTAGGTTTACTGTGCAGTGAATACTTCTCAAGCTTCAGGGCCCTCCCTTGCACAAGCTTGATGGGAGACGTGGGGAGGTACAGAGTGTTCCTGGTGAGGAGAGGAAGCCAGGTTGCTGTCAGCAAGCTTTTCAATGCAAGCACTTCTGGTAAATTAAAAAGTTTTCAGAAAAACGGGTCTGAATTCCCAAAGCTCAATCGATGTGTTGCAATTTCTTTTTTCATTCTGGCAAAATGTTGATTTCGTATGTAATTTTATATTTGTAATTGTGTACTCAAGAGGGACCATAACTTGGTAAGATTTTGATCTCGTAGGACCTGGGGCCAACACTATAAATTTTGGCCCATGCTGTCCTTGAAATCTGTATACTCAGGAGAGATGGTCCCAAGGAGCCCTCTGCAAACCCCAACATGGTTTTGTCCCCTGTTCCTTGGCAGAGCAAGTCATCCAGTGGGTGGCCACACACAGTGGACACGCGCCAATGTCTGTAGCACTGGAAGATAGACTTCCAGAATTGATTCCTAAGCTATGCAAGGTGCTTCCTGTGTTAGGAAGCAAGTCTGGAGGATGTGGAGGCAGAGCGGCCACCACAGCCCTTGCTGTGGCGAGCGTCCGCGTCCAGCACTCCAGCTCTGGGCAGCCGCTGCTGGGAGCATGCAGCTGGGGCACGGGAAAGTTTCAGTGAGGCCTGGACTTCACGTGCAGGAACTACCTCTGGCACTGCTGTTGGCCAAGGGCAGTGAAAGCTTGTGAATGAAGAAGCCAGGTGTTCTCCACGTGGTATCTTATGTGGTCAGGACTGTGGAGAAACACTATGCAGCACTACAGGCACCAGCTGTTGGAATTTGCAGAAACCTGAGATGCCATCTAATTTAATCTCTCATCTTACAGATCAGAAAACAGGTCAGGAGAGGTCTGCAGCTGACCCGAGCTGCAGGCAGGATGCGCCTTGATGGTAGGCTCGGGGCACAGGTCGGAGAGGAAGCCCAGTGGAGGCCCAGGCTGGGCAGGTCCCATGAAGTTCAGTGTTGGTCCATGAGGCCTGTTCCTTCAAGGATGCAGCACGTAGGAAAGCAAGCCAGTGTGCCACATGTTACGGATTTATCTGGCATCCAGAGGATGTGATAACTTTTTCCATTATGTTGTAACAACTTTCGAGAGCGTGGAAACCTCACGTGCTGCAGGTGTCTGCTATAGGAGAGCTGTGTGCCTTGTGCACTGTCAGAGGGCATGAGGACGCCCCTAGAGGTGCCCTGTGGGCACGCCTGCCTCAGGTCTTTACCCATTTCTGCCACTGGAGTGCCCAGAG
This sequence comes from Homo sapiens, assembly GCF_000001405.40. Taxonomy (NCBI): domain Eukaryota; kingdom Metazoa; phylum Chordata; class Mammalia; order Primates; family Hominidae; genus Homo; species Homo sapiens. The sequence continues at coordinate 48,271,194 of NC_000008.11, forward strand.
GGCCTGAGTGTTACCTCCTGGGCTGCCTTCCCTATGCCTGGTGCTGGCCACTGGCAGACGTAGGCAGGAAGCGCAAGAGCAGGATGTGGTCCTGCCAGAGTTTGGCCTGGGAAGCTCAGCAGGACCCATTTGAACAGACCCAGATTCGGCTGCACCAGATCACACTTTTCCACTCGAGCCATTAGTCAATTAAAAAACCCTGCAGCCTGGCTCTTGAGTGGTGCCAAACAGCATGAAACACAGCTCTCCCAGAAAGATGACATGTATGCTTTTGTTTTATTTCACAACCCTTTTTCCCTGTTCAGTCTTAGCAAGATATGCAGCCTGGTGGAGAAGCGGTGGCTCTGCTAGAGTGGCCAGGACAGTGGCTGTTTCCCTGCAGACCCTCCCAGGTGCTTTCTGAGGTGGTGGTTGTCTGTAGGCTGGCACCTCAGGCAGCCAAGGTCATTGACCAGCTGGCCCCATAGGGCAGTGAGGCCCTGCTGTATGGGGCCTCTGCTCCAGCAGCTCTGATGCTCCAAAACAAGCACCGTTTCATGCTGCAGCTGTGTAAGGAGATAAGAATCCACACTAGACATGGCCTGAGAGACCATCACCCTGTGCATGTTTCAAAGAGTGGTGCTGACAGCAGAGTGATGCCTTAGGATGGGGCCGGCAAGGGACTGGGGTGTCGTGCTCAGACCCTGGAGCTGCCTTTGTCACCACCATGGGGCACTTACCTGCAGGGGCCCATTCAGGCCTGGGCCTGGGGTGCCTTGTGGGCTTTAGCTTTTGGATTGCAAGAACACCAGTCTACTATGTCCCAGGCTGGCCACACAGGTTCTCAAGCCTGGCCGTGCAAGAGAATCACTGGGACACATTAAAGTCAGGGTGCTGGGCTCCACCTACAGAGGGTATGACTTAGCAGGTTTGGATGGGTCTTAACAACCAGCAGTTTTAGGGGTGTGAGGACTGGGAATAACTGCTGCAGACCAGGTCACTGCCTTACATTGGGTTCATGATTCTCAACTGGTGCTGCAGTGGAACCATTCAGGGACGTCACCAACCCCACTGAATCTGCTGCTAGACTTGGAAGAAGAAAAACAAGAGTTTGGTGCACTGCCTCTTCCTCTCTGGAAACAACGGCACCATGAGCCACGTGGAGCACCAAGTTCCTGTACAAGCGGGACCCACTGTGAGGTGTGCCACCCCATCAGGCGGTGTGAGGACCTTTTGACGCCATTAGCAGAGTGGAGTAGAAAAGAGTTTAGTGTCTCCCCAAATCACTGGGTTCTTCAAAAAGTTGTTGGGCAAATGCTCAGAACCCAAGTTAAGGTCTCAAGCAAGTCAGGCAGTTGCCTTCAGGAAGGTGACTAGAAATGTGAAGCAGCCCAGGAGCAGCTGGGTGCCCTGCAGGTGGCCTGGAGCAGGTCACACATGCATCTTGTTGACCCTGCTTGCACCTGTCTTAAGGCACCTGTTCTGCAAGAAGCAGGAACCAAGGAAACACACACTCCTGTTGTGCTGGGAAATGGTTTAATGACTAATTTAGAATAAAACAACAACAACAAAAAACCAGCTGAATCAAAAAAGAGGCTGTATAGCCAAGACAATCCTAAGCAAAAAGAACAAAGCTGGAGGCATCATGCTGCCTGACTTCAAACTATACTACAAGGCTACAGTAACCAAAACAGCATTGTACTGGTACCAAAACAGATATATAGGCCAATGGAACAGAACAGAAGCCTCAGAAATAACACCACACATCTACAACCATCTGCTCTTTGATAAACCTGACAAAAACAAGAAATGGGGAAAGGATTCTCTATTTAATAAATGGTGCTGGGAAAACTGCTAGGCATATGCAAAAAACTGAAACTGGACCCCTTCCTTATGCCTTATACAAAAATTAACTCAAGATGGATTAAAGACTTACATGTAAGACCTAAAACCATAAAAACCCTAGAAGAAAACCTAGGCAATACCATTCAGGACATAGGCATGGGCTAAGACTTCATGACTAGAACACCAAAAGCAATGGCAACAAATGCCAAAATTGACAAATGGGATCTTATTAAACTAAAGAGCTTCTGCACAGCAAAAGAAACTATCATCAGAGTGAACAGGCAACCTACAGAATGGGAGAAAATTTTTGCAATCTATCCACCTGACAAAGGGCCAATATCCAGAATCTACAAAGAACTTAAACAAATTTACAAGAAAAAACCAACAATCACATCAAAAAGTGGGCGAAGTATATGAACAGACACTTCTCAAAAGAAGATATTTATGCGGCCAACAAACATATGAAAAAAAGCTCATCATTACTGGTCATTAGAGAAATGCAAATCAAAACCACAATGAGTTGCATTTTTTGCCTCAAACATGTTTCAACCATGAGCTTAAGATGCAAAAATTGTGTTTTTTAAAAGATAAGAAATACATTTCTCCTTTAAAACAAAAATGATGCTCACCACAGGCCCTATCATGCTCCAAGAATGACTCATGTCCTAAGTGAATTTGCTTAAGTTTGGAAAAGTTTAAAAAAGTTTAAAAAGGCCAATATTTCTAACCCTCTTCCTCCACTCCTTAATCAGGCCCCCAGCATGTGGACTTTTCATTTCCCCAAACTGATGTATTTTTCTGACTGAAAAAAAAAATGCAGTTGGGTCCTTGTCATTCCTGGTGAACACACTGTGGCAGAGGTGTCTGAGCTGAGGTTGCGTTATCTGAGTACAAGTGTCTTGGAGTTGCTTGTCAGGATGGGCCCGAGTCAGGGCTGTCCTTGCTGGGCAGCCCTCAAGTGCAATTCATGACTTAAGGGTTCTAATTAGGGGTTCTGTCCTTCCAGATGTAAATACAAAGTGGGTGAGCAATTCCAGCTTCTGCAATCACAGCCCAGCACTTCCTGTCGGGCCTGGAGGAGGGCAGGGAGCCCCTGGGGTCTGCCTAAGGGAGCGTGGTGGAGGGGCTGGAGGAAGCAGCAACATCAAAGGGTGCTGGGCAGAGCTTCTTGGCGCTCCGACGTCCCCAGACAGATGCTCGGCTTTTTGCTCCGTGACACGAGGTTGTACCAATCTGGATCTTTATCAGCTGCAGGCCAGCACCTCCTTCCTGCTGTGTGCTGGTCTCTTTTCCGACATGCCAGATTTTCCCCACACTTTCAAATCCTCCCCGAGCGACTCCGCTGGCTGGAGCTCAGAGTGCAGGCCATCAATTCCCAGCTGCCAAATCCAGGCTCCAGATGCCTGGGCAAGGGGGCTCACATGCTTGGGAGTGGGGTTGCAGGCTTCCTTTTCCCTGTTTTCGAGAAATCTGGCCTGTGCTTCACCCTCGCCCTCCCTGAAGCCCTGGAAAAGACCTGGGTCACCCCTGTACAGTCTCTGAGGTCTGATTCCTGGAGGCAGGGGTCTCAGGGGCAGCCTGAAGCGGAATGATCTTGCAAGGGACAGAAAAAGAGTCCTCTCCAAATCCTGGGAAAGCTCCCTGGCTTGGCACTAGGGGTGTGCAGTAAGCCAGAGTTGGTGATATAGGTGGACAAGAGACAATGCTCCACACCCCTTGAACTCTCTGGTATGAAGGAGAAACTTTTTTTAATCTCTAATTTTTAATGTATAACAGATTTATATTTTTATGTTATGATAAATAACTAAAAATGAAATAAGAAAGAAGACATACAAAGTACAAGTTCAATAGTTTATTTTCAGATTTGACAGCCATCAGATTATTCTGATGAATTGCAGTGATGGTTTTTGAACCTTGAATCCCAATTTCTGTCCTTATTGTGCTGTAGACCAGGAGCAGAGAGTGAACAGGCACCATTCAAAGCACTGCATCTAGAGTAGTTTGGTAAGTCCTGGAGTGTGTGTGAATATATGTGCATGAGTGTGTGGGTATGAGTCTGAGAGTGCACATGTGTGTGAGTGGGTGTGTGAGGGTGTGAGTGTGGAATAGGGGAGAGGAGGGGTGTGCTTAGGCTGGGACTCGGAGGAGTACCTAGGGGGCTTAGACCATGCCTGTCCCCATACATGGGGTCTAATTAATGGGTGCCTTCAGGAGGGGGTGCACACCCAGGACAGGTGTGCAAAGAAAGGTGTGGAGACAGGGAGGAGCCTTTCCCACGGAGCAGACTGGCCAGCCAGGAGGGCAGGCCTGTGTGGTGGCGGCTGGGCCGTGGCTGGATTCAGCATGGATCTGTCCCGTATGTAGGCAACGGCCAAGCGTGTGCACATCTTACTCAACCCAGCTCTCCCGGTGTCCCTTGGAGATGTGTTATCATCAGCTCTATTTTGGAATGGGGACACTGAGTCTCAAAGCCCTAGGGGCTTGCTGAAGTGACAAGGCTGGACACCAAATCCACTTGTATTCCCAACTCCAGTTCTCACAGCATTACAGCAGCCCCCGCGAGCATCCCCTCTGCTGAGACTAGTATTATTATTGTTGAGTTCTGTTAGGAGAGAAATCGGTGTAGAGAGAACCTTTCCATGACTGCCTCTGGGAAGCATCGTCCTCCAATGAGAGGTCTGGCCAATTTGGACTGGGGTAGAGGGGCTGTTGTAATCAGAAATATATAATAAAATAAATTATTTCAAATAGTCTATTATAACTATCCAGGCATCTCCTTTGCAAGAACTGGTTGGGGAGGGTTGGGGCACAAAAGTGTTTTTAGTGTTCCAAGGAAATGTTTCATTTTCTATTTAAAAAATGTTAAACAGACATTTTCTGAGTTTTTACTCAAGACCAAGAGACAAGTTTAGTTGTAGTTAAAGGTTTACCTTCTTATCTATTGCAGGCAGCTGTCTTCATGCAGGCTTCTGAAGATGGCTGAAGCATGTGGCCTGGTGCCCTGTGCATCTGGGCAGGAGAGGCTGACCCCAGCTCTGCACCGTGGGGTTGTGCCCCTTGAGGGCCTTGCCTGCTGGGCCTGGCACCATCTGTGCCCTGCACCATCAGGGCTGCATGCTGTCTGGGCTCTGCAGGGCTGCGGGTGAGGATTTGGTGGAGGCTCCAAGTTCTCCAGGTTCCTAATCCTCTGCTTCCTCAAACATAGGTTGTAGGAGAGCCCCAGGAACCCCATCATACAACATTCAAGATTTGATGTAAAGAAACCATGAAAACTGCCCTTTAAAATAATATGTATCGATAGACCACCGCCTAAGGCAGATGGAAGAAAAGTCAACAGTGGCCTCTTCGAGCTGGTCTTTATGCCTTCCCTCGCGGGTTTCTCCCTCTATGGCTATGTTGTCCTGCTCTGTGAGGCCCAGAGACTGAGTTAGAGGCCAGAGGGGCTGTGGGCAGCAGCTCTCCCCCGGGAGAAGTGCATACAGGGAATGCACCTAAGCTGGGTTGTGTGGTGTACCTGGCACCTAAGCTGGGTTGTGGGGTATATGTGGAGCCTAAGCTGGGTTTTGGGGTGTACCTGGTGCCTAAGCTGGGTTGTGGGGTGTACCTCGTGCCTAAGGAAGGTTGTGGGGTATACCTGGAGCCTAAGCTGGGTTGTGGGGCGTGCCTGGCGCCTAAGCTGGGTTGTGGGGTGTGCATGGAGCCTAAGCTGGATTGTGAGGTGTACCTGGTGCCTAAGCTGTGTGTGTGAGTGTACTTGGCTGGTTCTGAACAGGGTCGGGGTGATGCTGTATTTGTTTTTTAGAAAGAATGCCACCTTGGCCAGGCATGTTGGCTCATGCCTGTAATCCCAGCACTTTGGGAGGCCGAGGCAGGTGGATCTCTTAAGGTCAGGAGTTTGATACCAGCCTGGCCAGTATGGTGAAACCCCATCTCTACTAACAAAAAATACAAAAATTAGCTGGATGTGGTGATGTGGGCCTGTAGTCTCAGCTACTCGGGAGGCTGAGGCAGGAGAATTGCTTAAACCCAGGAGGCGGAGGTTGCAGTGAAGAAAATGAAACCTGGAACCAGAAAGGCAGAAGACCTAGATGGAGAGAGAAGCAATACACAAACAAGATGAGGTTGGGCATGTTTGACTTGGTTTGCAAATTGCCTTTTGGACACTGAAGAAGGTTATGCATGAAACTGGGATGGAAGAGACAAAAAGAAGATAAAATGATACAGATTTTTGCCTCTTGGCCCTTGTAGTCCTGTGTGCATTTTGGGGTCAGGAATGAGTATCTCACTCCTACCTTCCTGACTTGGAAAGGAATTTGTGGTGAGCACCATTTTTAGCTGTCTGACTTTCCCCTGGCTTCTGAAGCCAGTCTACGGGTTCTGTTCAATAAGTCTGGAAGGGTTCTGTTGGGCCAGGGTGAAAAAGGAAGGGGGGTGCCCCTTGGCCATGGTGTGAATGTCCTGGGCCAGAGGGCAGGCGCCTTCTTGGAATCAAGTGAATGTGCTGAGGTCAAGCTAGAGAAACATGTCTGTAGTGTGTGGTCAGAGCATGGGTAAATACCAGTAGCAGAGGTGCAGAGCCCAGGAGGACAGGACCGGGAGAAGCTGGCCAGGCACGGTGAGGGACTGGCATCAGGGCAGCAGACACCCCTGAGGCCTGGCTCTCTCCCAGTGTACAGCAAGACCAGGTCTGGGGCTGGGCCCTTCCTGAGTGGACACCTTTGCCCCTCCCCAAGGGGGCTTCTAGTGCCCCAGGCCTTGGTTTTACCATCCAGTTCTTTGTTTATTTTCATTCTACCATTCTATTCTTTCTTTTAATTACACTGGCGAGATAGATGCAGATATCTCACTGGCGATGCATATATTTGTAGTATATATATATATAAAATAAAGCAAAAGATCCCTATCACCCTCTTTTATAATCCTGTCCTCTTCCCAGAAACACGCTCTTATCAGTTTGGTGTGACATGCACTATCTTTTTTTTTTTTTGATGTTATCTGCATACACTTATGTGTACATATAAAAATGTATAGATATAAAAGCATGCATAGTGTCGTATACTATACATGTTTCACAAACTGGCTTTTACACTTGGCATATTTTATCTTAAAGAACTTTCTGTGTTTGTCTGTTTAGCAGCTGCATTGCACTACAGTTAATTTAGCCATTTTCTCTATTGACAAATATTTAGGATTTTCTGATTGGTCACAATACAAATATCGCTGCTATGAACATCCTTACATGTGTCCCTTTGTGCCCAAATTTGAGTACTTTTCTAGCATAGATATCTAGAAGTGAAATTCTGGGACTCAATATTTCATCTTTTCTTGTGAAGTAGTTGTGTGTAGGGTATTAGCTGTTGGGTTTGATTGGTGACCAGTTCCTTTGCATAAGATGGCATGTTGCTCAGTAGAGATGATGATTCCTTGTGCACAAGCATAGTCCTTGGCTCATGCTTAAACAGCCAGTGGCCTCTCTCGGGTATGGCAGTGACCTAGAGTGGGAAGGATGCCATGTCCCACAGTCTGAACTCATGTGGTCTGGAATCCTCCAGACTCTGCTATGTTCTCTTAGACCTCCAGCCTGGTGTTTTGGGTGGATAATCCAGACAGAGGATAATTGAAACCTTTCTGGGAGCTTTTCTTCACTATGGGTCAACCATCGTATGGTCAAATAAATGTTGGTACCCTGTGGGAAGATGGGAGCTCTCCTTGGTGGGAAGGTGAGATATTGCAGCTCATGTTGCTTGCCACAAAACTCATTCCCAGGGTGGCCTTTCCAGATTAGTGTCATCCCCATGGTAACTGGCCATCCCCAATCTCCTGCATCCCTGTTATGGCACTGGGACAGCTGGAACTTCTCCCAGAAGAAAAGATAGAGACTTATTAGAAATTTCCAAGGTTTTAATCTGTTGAGTTATTCATCATTTGGAACTGTGGCTAGTCTCAATTGAGAAGCCATCGAGTTTAATCTTCTTGATCAAGACCTGAGTTTCCAACCTCTGAATGGGAGGGAGTCTTATGCAAAGCAGTGGTCTTGGGCTTGTCTTCTGTGGTTCGATAGCACAAGGTGTAAATATCTATCATGTTGAAAAGTTGCTATTTCCTGGTCACAGAGAAGGAAGCATTGGTGTGGAAGGGCCCTGGGGACTTGGTCATGTCCTTAATCTGCCATTTAGTGACTGTGACCGTGTGTTGGGGATGTTCCTTCTTTTGTAAAATGAGGGGCCTGAAGCAGATCTTCTGAGTTCAAGTCCAGCTCTAAGTCTCTGAGTTTGATTAAGTGCCCTCTCTTTTCTGGGAACTTTTTGCAAAGTTACAGTTTGCTTTTGTAATCTGCAGAAAAGGAAAAATTTCCGCAGAAAAGGAATACATGTTCTTTCGATGCTGTCATCAGGCCAGGGGATTTTTCTGTAATTAAGGGGATCTAGTAAGCAGAGACTCTAGAGGTCTGAATCAGTGTCTCAGCATTGCCTGGGCCTGGCTGAGGGCTCTGGTCCCTGTTACCAACCTGAAGGCACATTTCCTCACCCCGAAAGCACAGAGGAGGCAGGCCTCTGTGACTGACACTGAGTCCCTTGTGGTTCCCAAGTGTTCACCTTTGTGAAAAGCAATCTCACTGATTCTCTTTCTCTGCCTGGCATTATCTTGCCCATTGCATCATTTCTCAAAGATGGAGGTTCATCCTGCAAATCCAACCCCAGGAGTTTAAAGCTCACCCCTCTACTTGATATCCCAATGGGTTAGAGTGGCTGCAGTGATGGGGAGCTCAGAGCCTGGGTGCAGGTGGCAAAAAAAAAAACAAAACAGGCTGGGTCTGCAGCCTTGTTGGACAGAGCAAATAATGATGTATTTGCTCAGTTTCAGGGCTGGTCCCATGCAAACCTCAAAGGAGGTGATGGTGTCTTTGGGCTTCTGTGTTCCTTTTCCTGTCCCTCTGTAGACATTCTCCTTTCTATCAATCAATCAGCATCTACCTGTTCACCCACTTCCTATGCCAAGTCTGCTTTTCTAGGAAGAGATTTGATAATTTGATTTACATTGTTGTAAGTGAATTTTATCATTGCAACCCTAAGAAGATAAAGGCATAAAAACCATCAAACTGCATTTCCAGGTTAGTGACATCATGGTGTTTTAAGCACTTTCTCCCCTTCAGGGCTGGGGTGACAGAAGTGAGTAAGGCTCCTGTTGTGTGTTGTTTTGCTTTGCTCTGTTGCTGTAACCCTATAAGATGCTATCACTGACATGTATTCATAGCACCCCTGTGACACATAAGGGGTGTGCTTTCCATTTTTTAACACTAGAACATTCAGATGTGTCATATTTCCTGTGACAGTATGCTCAATAGATTTGATTTTCAAAGACTGTATCAACTTGCGTGCTAAGACAGCTGTGCCACTTACCTTCATTTTGAGTGGCTTAAAAATAAGGACACATCAGTGAGGATGGGAGACGTATATCCTCCTAGCTTCACAAACACTTGAGGCTCTGAGAAATACTTGTCGACATGTCCATCCTTTTCCTCTGGCTGGAGGAGCCAAGACTGAAGGTGAAATGGTGAAGTCAGCTGTTCTTTTTAGTGAGGTGTCTTTGAACATGGGAATTGTTAGTACGTCTTTTTTATTGTAGTAACACTAGCCTGTGTGTCCTTCAGCTAGTACAGTTTAGAATTTTTTTGCCTAAGAAAATAGAGCTTGTTTTCTCCCTTTCCTGTGCCAGCTTCGAGGTTCTAAGATGTCACTGTTTTTCTCATTAAGAGTCACACACCCCCTCCCTTACCTTTCTCTTTTATTTTTAAATTACAGATTTAAAGGCCCCATCTACCCATCCACTCACCGTTCCATTCGCCTATCCATCCACCCACCCATTCCACACAGAAAATGCTGAATCTTCTGTAGGTACAAAAAGTCCTGATATAAATAAGATAGTCTAATAATACTCTTCTGTGCTGCCTGGTCATCAGTGTTCTAGATAAGGAGGGTTTTATGGTATAATTTGTTTTAAAAGATACGTCTGGGCCAAGAAACAGTGTGAGCATTAAAAATGGACTTGGTTACTATTTTTAGGGAGGTTTGGGGACAGTCTCTTTATTGAGGTCTCATCATGTTAACAATGATCAAGTGTCTATAATAATTTATTGACGATGATCAATGCCTAGCCCTATAGCTTGAATACTGGATTCTCAATAAATATTTGATCGGTTGATTGAATGATAAAACTGATTGGTGAAGAAGTCTGCACATGAAATGATAAATGTGAATAGACTTTTGGATTCAAGGTGAAATGGCTCAGTAGACACCATTGCACCATCATAATGTTATAACTTTAATAACATGATACTATTTTGTTATTCTTTTATGGCTTGGTACAGAAAAGTTTGTGTCTTATAAATGCCAGAATACTGTTACTTCAAATGGGTTTTGGGTGCAATGGGACTTGTTTATTTCCTTAGTGCCCCCTTGGTCCCAGTAGACAGTGTTTTCTGGGAAGAAAGATGCTGTATTCCAGAAATGTAATGTCACAGTCTTCCTCCACAGTGCTGAGAACAATTCCACACTCTGGGTGGATGTTATTTCTTCTACAAATCAGAGTGAGTTCTGGGGCTAATTATTTCCTTCTGTCAAACAGGGCAATAGCAAATGGTCATCTCTTTCATCATGACACACTATGATGAGCTCAGCCACTTCCTTGCTCTAATTTCCTGGATTGCTACACAAAAGATCTGTGGAGTGCAACACAGCATCCTTTGGAAATCACAGCAGAAAGTTCTTTCTCTCCCCAGAAGGAGTAGGAAGAGAATGGAGCTGACACAATAGCTTTGTGTATAAATAGCGTCTCGTTTATGAAACTGGGACCACTTTTCTGTGCAGGATCTCTACAGGAATATCAAGGAGTGGATGTGACATGTTATTGACCTTAGCAGATATTTTACAACCTGGGGTTATAATAATCTCAGGAATTCCCCTGACATCATTTTCCCCTGCATCATTTCCCCCCTTACCACCCCCAGCAGCACCCAAGTCCATGAGGGCACAATCCTTCCTGCACAGACCGGTCCTGGGTGGCCTTGCCTGCTAGCAAAGCACCCGCTGTGCATCGTTCTCGCCTGTGAGCACCCAGAGGAAGTTCACCGCCACCTTCCCCTTCTACCACCTATGAGAAAAGGCCACCCTCTCTTGGATTTGATCCCAGAGCTCTGGGTCGAAGGCAGGGACTTCCTATGTAAGTAGAGTAAGTGAACAGCAGTGGGCGGATGCCTGGGAAGGCGGGCGAAGAGGGTGAGGGGTGTGCTCTCTCCTCACTCTAAACGCGGTGAAGGCTGTGTCCTTTGACGGCGTCCTGAACATCCGGGCCTGGAGCTTTGGTTATGACTGCGACATGTGCTCTGGCTCTCCTGCCTTTGTGCTCCAGGTGACTTGACCTCAGGTGCCTCCCGATGTGAGCAGCTGAGAACCAGCACGTGACTCACACCCACTTTTGCTTGGCTACCACTCATGCTTCCCACTCCTGGACTTCTCTTCCATACCCACCCATACCCCCAGTTCTCTGTGGACCAGACGCTCATGGGGTGTCTGCTTTGAGCCCCATCCTGCACTGGGCTCCCCAGAGGCAAAGGTAGAGGGACAGAGACAGTGAGGAGGGAGGGGTAAACAATGGTCACTGTGCGGTGCGGTGTGACACTGCGGGAACATGTTCGGAGGTGTTGATGGGCACAGCCTGATTGATCATGGCACTGGAGTAGCGCTCATTACACTGAGAGTCAGGATTCCCAGAGACAGACTGCAGTTCCAGGTCCAGTCTCATACAGCTCTGGCTGAAGATTCAGATCAGCTCGCAGCTACCTGATGGGATTTTAGGTGTTTCAGGATGACTGTGTGTCCTCCTCCAGCCAGAGAGTAGATATCTGAAATTTTGCCATTAGACATTCATTTCTTAGACATCATTCTTTTGGTTCACTCCTTGGTTAAAATAAACATTTATTTAGAGTGGAGCCACCTTAATCTTCAGCTCATTAATCCTGGGGTGTAGGTGTCACATTGCTGTTTAAGAAAGATGTTTGGAGGAGGGGTGGGTGGAGAGAGTGGAGGGAGTAAGCCTGTGCTGACTAGGGGAGGAGGGCAGCTTCTAGCAGAGGCTGACCATCTAGCTGCCTTCACAGGCCTTTGGCAGTGTTGCCTGCTGTGGTATAGGGACAGGCCCGGGCCCGGGCCCCTCACATGCACTGTCTGCTCCCACATTGCCTGGAGTCTGTGGAGAAGTTCACATGACAAGCTTGCAGGGCGAATTGTTTCCTCTTAATTATTTATTGGTGCAAAGCTAGAGAGGCCTGGTGACTGGGGTGGTGTAGGGGAAGGACAGCATTGTCCTCTGAAAGGGCTGTGCAAGGAGATGGCCACTCAGGGGCTGCTATGAGCCTCAGAAACCACCGAATCCATCTCATTTATTGTTTGGATAATAAATTGGAGATGCCGTTGCGGGGAAAGGGGCATTTCCTAAATTCGGGGAGAGATGGTAATGCAACGCTCCTGTCTTCTGGTCCAGGAGCTCACAGTGAGGGAGCAGCGCTCCTGCCCTGAGTTCCTTTCACCAAGCCCTCTGGATTCCCCACATCCTACTCCACAGACAACAGGCAAGGTCGCCGTGCTGGGGCTGAAAGGCGCTCTGCACACCTTCCGCAGCGCCACTGCCTCTTCCTTGCCCTGCTGGAAGAAGAAGCAGGAGGGAATGGGTTTGAGGGAGAAGGATGGAAGCCTATTGTGGAGATACAGAAATTTACTACAATATAAGTTTAGGTCAAAGACTTAGTTCCACGTTGTAGGGTTGGCAGAGTCTGATTTGTGGTTTTGACTCAGTCGTAAGGTAGGGGTGGGCCAGTTAGCAGCTGAACCTGTGAGCTCATGGAGTGAGTGGGCCACACGGGTTCTCCTAGACATCCCAGTGCCAGCAGAGCACAAGGTGTCAAGCAAGTGCTAAGTTCATGAAGTAAATGATGAATGCAAAGTGTGGCATGTTCTGCTTAGTCTCCACTGTGCTGTGGTAAGCTTTGCTGTCGATAGTGGAGTAGAATAGAGTATGGCATGGTGCAGTATGGCCTAATGCAGACAGCATAGTCTACTGTTGAATAGCACAGTGCAGTATGCCACAGTACAGTGTGACTCAGTGCTGTATGGCACAGTGCAGTGTGACACAGTGCTGTATGACAGAGTGATGTATGGCACAGTGCTGTATGACACAGTGCCGTATGACAGAGTGCTGTATGACACAGTCAGCACTGTATGACACAGTGCAGGACAACACAGTATGCTACAGCATAGCACAGTACTGTATGGCAGGGTTAGTATGGTACAGTGCAGGTCAGCATAGTATAGCACAGTCTCGTGTGGCATAGTACAGTATAGTAAGTGTAGTATAGTACAATGTAGTCCAGCATAGTACAGTGTGGTACAGTACAGTACAGTACAGTGCAGTATAGCTAGGTGTAGGGTGGCTGTGCCTTTGAATAGAGAGGGAGGAAACACTTGTTTGACTTTCTTTCTTTCCTTCCTTTCTTTCTTCCTTCCTTCCTTCCTTCCCTCTCTCCCTCCCTCCCTCTTTCTTTCTTTCTTTCTTTCTTTCTTTTTCTTTCTTTCATTCTTCATTTCTTCTTTTTTTCATTTTTAGGATATTTTAATGCTTGCTTTCAAAAAACAGCTTTATTTTGGAAGCATTCCCCTTGAAAATCAGAATGAGACAAGAATGCCCTCTCTTACCACTTCTATTCAGCATAGTAATGGAAGTCCTTGCCAGAGCAATCAGGCAAGAGAAAGAAATAAACAGCATCCACATAGGAAGAGAGGTAGTCAAACTATCCCTTGTTGCAGACAACATGATTCTATATCCAGAAAACCCCATAGTCTCTGCCTAAAAGCTCCTTGAGCTGATAACCAACTTCAACAAAGTTTCAGGATACAAAATCAATGTTCAAAAATCACTAACATTTCTATACACCAACAACAGTCATGCTGAGAGCCAAATCAGGCATGCAATCCCATTCACAATTGCCACAAAAAGAACAAAACACCTAGGAATACAGGTATCCAGGGAGGGGAGAGATCTCTACAATGGGAATTATAAAACACTGCTCAAAGAAATCAGAGATGGCACAAACAAATGGAAAAACACTCCATGGTCATGGGCAGGGAGAATCAGTATTGTGAAAATGGCCATACTGCCCACAGCAATTTACATTCAATGGTATTCCTATCAAACTGCCAAAGACATTCTTCATAGAACAGAAAAAACCATTTTAAAATTCATATGGAACCAAAGAAGGAGCCCGAATAGCCAAGGCAATCTTAAGCAAAAAGAACAAACCTGGAGAAGTCATGTTGCCTGACTTCAAACTGTACTTTAAGGCTACAATAACCAAAACAGCATGACACTTGTACAAAAATAGACACATAGACCAATGTAACAGAATAGAGAGTCCAGAAATAAGGCCGCACACCTACAACCATCTGATCTTTGACAAAGCTGACAAAAACAATCAATGGGGAAAAAGATTCCCTGTTCAATAAATGGTGCTGGGATAACCGGCTAGCTACATGCAGAATGCTGAAACGGGACCCCTTCCCTATACCACATACAAAAATCAACTCAAGATGGATTAAAGACCTAAATGTAAAACCTAACACTCTAAAAATTCTGAAAGATAACTTAGGGAATACCATTTGGGCATAGGAACTGCCAAAGATTTCATGACGGAAATGCCAAAAGCAATTGCAACAAAAGCAAAAATTGACAAATGGGATCTAATTAAACTAAAAAGCTTCTGCACAGCAAAAGAAACTATCAACAGAGTAAATAGGCAACCTACAGAAGGGGAGAAAATTTTTGCAAACTATCCATCTGATAAAGGTCTATAAGAATCTATAAGGAACTTAAAGGTACAAGCAAAAAGCAATCAACCCTATTAAAATGGGCAAAGGATGTGAGCAGACACTTTTCAAAAGAAGACATACATGAGGTCAGCAAGCATGTGAAAAAATGCTTGGAATTACTAATCACCAGAGAAATGCAAATCAAAACCACAATGAGATACAATCTAGCACTAGTCAGAATGGCTATTGTTAAAAAGTCAAAAAATAACAGATGCTGGTGAGGTTGTAGAGAAAAGGAAATGCTATACACCGCTGGTGGGAATGTAAATTAGTTCAGCCACTGTGGAAAGCAGTGTGGTGATTCCTCAAAGACCTAAAAACAGAACTACCACTTGACCTAGCAGTCCCATTATTAGGTATATACCCAAAGGAATATAAATCATTCTACCATAAAGACACATGCATGTGTATGTTCACTGCAGCCCTGTTCACAATAGCAAAGATATGGAATCAACCTAAATGCCCATCAATGATAGACTCACCATGGAATACTATGCAGCCATAAAAAAGAATGAGATTATGTCTTTTGCAGGAGCATGGATGGAGCTGGAGACCATTACCCTTAGCAAACTAATGCAGGAACGGAAAACCACATACCACATGTTCTCACTTATAAATGGGAGCTAAATAATCAGAACACATGGACACATAGAGGGGAACAACACACACTAGGGCCTACTTGAGGGAGGAGGATAGGAGGAGGGAGAGGTTCAGAAAAAAGTAAAAAACTGTCAGCCACCATGGTTAGTATGCCAGTGACAAAATAATCTGTACAACTAACCCCCATGACACAAACTTACCCATATAACAAACCTGCACATGTACCTCTGAACCTAAAATAAAAGTTAAAAAATTAAAAAATAAATAAATGAAAATTTAAAGACAAACAAAAAAACTAAAAAGAGCTTTATCAAGATGTGATCAACATACCATGAAACTCACTTATTTAAGGTGTGCAGTTCGTTGATTTTTAGTATATTCACATAACTGCACCACCATCACCATTGTCAATTTTGGAGCATTTTCATCACCCCGGAGGGAAACTGTCTACCTATTAAACAATCACTCCCCTTTCCATATTCCTCCTAGCCCCTTGCAAGTACTATTCTGTTTCCTATCTCCATGGATTCACCTGTCCTGGACATTTCGTATACATGGAATCCTATAATACATGGCCTTTTGTGACTGTCTTCTTTCACTTGGCATAATGTTTTCTAGGTTCATCCCTGTGGACTTGTCAGTACTTCACTCTTTTATTCATGAATATATTGCATGAATATAACATATTTTGTTTATCCATTCATCCGTTGAGGGGCATTTGGGCTGTTTTTACTTCTTGGCAGTCATAAGCAGTGCTGCTGTGAACATTCGCACATAAGCATCTCTGTGGACATGTGTTTTCATTTCTGGCGGTTATATACATAGGAGTGGAATTGCTAGGTCAGATGGTCATTCTATGTTGAAGCTTTTGAGGAACTGCCAGACTGTTTTCCAAAGTGGCTGCAGCAGTTTCCACTCCCACCAGGAATATATGTGGATTCCAATTTTTCTACATCCATGGCTTTGTTATTACCCGTCTTTTTGATTACAGACATTGTAGTGAATCCTTCCTTTATTTTTCTAAGGAATATTTTATGTAATGCATACACATAATAAAAAAATTTAACAGTATAAAGCAGCATAAAAATAACAAGCAAGGCTTCCTTAGATTTTAAACTTGTGGTCCTCCAGTACCACTCCCTCCAGGTATCCACCAGTTGCTTGAGATCCTTCTGGAAATAATATCCTAAACCTATATAGGCAAATACAAACCCTCTTTTAACGAATGCAAATGGGAGTGAGTTTTCTGCCATCTTGCATGTTTGTGCACTCATCTATGACAGCTGGAGACTCTTGGCACATAGCTCACACCTCACACTCCTTCACAGCTGCGTGGCATGCTAAGATTTGGCTGCACCACCATCTGCTTAGTCAATGCCCTCGTGGTGGATGTGGAGGCTGTTTCTGGCCTTTTGTCTATATAAACAATGCTGCTGTGAGTATCATTGAATATACGTGTCTTTGTGCACTCGTGATTATTTCTCCATCACCTCTTCTTTCTGAATGAGAATGAAGACCTAGAGTCAGAAGGGCCTTGCTGAAGCCTTTCCCATTCCTAGTGCTGTGTGATGGTGTGCAGTTGGCTGTGGGGGACTCCCGAGTGCGGCTGCAGTGTGTACACCAGTTATCTGTGGCACCACACAGTGCAAAATCCATCTAACTACTCAAGCTTCAGCTGGAGAACCTCAACAGCTGCCTCGGTGGGTCAAGGGTGAGATTTGGGGCCCTGTTCTGCCTCTGCAGGCTCTGGGGCAGGGAAGCCTTGCCTGGCCTGCAAGTGGAAGTGGCCTGGTGCACAGCACAGCACAGATCTGTGGTATCAGCACCTCTTCATCAATCTGGTGAGACCAAAGCCAACTCTCAAAACAAACATTTCCTGCGCGAACAATGTGTTTGTTATATTTTCCTCATTTGTTTATGATGGCTGTGTCAGCCACACTGATTTACATAAACACTGCCAATCTTGGGATGTTACACTCTCAACAAAAGTAGTTGAGTACAAACAGCATTTCTTAGTTTTAATTCATATTGTCTAAACATAGCAGATGTTGATAAAATGAGCCAACAAGAAAATACAACAAAGGAGACCATTTTGAGGGGGGCTTTTGATTCAAATGCATTCCAGGTTGACACAATGATACACTATTAATGGAATGGATCATTTAAATGTCATATTTGGCTCCTATAGAACCATAAAACAAGCTTGCCTTAAGCTTTTGCAGCTCCCAGACTCTAAATGCATAGGATGGCTGTGTCTGCATCTGCTGCCCGCCCAGTTTCTGTGGTCTCACTCCTCCATCGCTGATTTGGTTGTTTATTTTTGCACGTGTGCTGCTGCTGCTGAGTTGCAGCCTCAGTCCTGGACACACTGAGAGGTGGAACTCTCCCAGAGGATGCCCCTGCTCTTCCATGGACCATGTTAACCCATGGGTGGTATTTCCAGGGCCCAGCATGGGGCACGGAGAACCTCTTCATCTCCCTTAATGTGATCTGGGCAACCAGGTGTTCCTAATCCAAGGAGGTATGATTGCAAATAAGGAGACACCAGCAGACGAGGAGTTTGACGATTCGTCACGCTTTCTATTGGCTACCAGGGAATAACTCCCAAAGGGCACTGGCAACCTCCTGGCACTGAGTCACTGAACATTAGGCTAGAGTGAGCAGTAGGGCCAGAATCTTCCATAGTACGGGGTGACATATCGACTTTGAATATGGACAGTGAGCTTTTGCTTATTACAATGAGTCAGAGAAAGAGATAAAATGTAATATTGTATCTTTGCCTTTAAATGAGAATTTGGATTCTAAGAGTCTTTGAAATCAGCTGCAGTTGTCCTGGGACCCACAGTTGCTCTGGCTGGTGACCTGGTGGTGGGAGAACTTTCCCGGTGCAGTTCTGGCCCAAGAGCTGACCTTTCTCAGGCTCTGTTGGAGCGCAGTCCGTGGCAGGCAGCCTTCAGTGGGCTTGGGGAGGCCTGGAGAGTGCCCTGCTCTCTGGAGCTGCTGCATCTGTGTGTGCACGGCCTGCTGCTGGGCATGGGGCTGCTGCTCTGTATTATATGCCTAGAGTAAAGCTCATTGCCTTCAGCTGCTTTAAAAAACTAAACTCTGGGACAGGCATGGTAGCTCACGCCTGTAATCCCAGCACTTTGGGAGGCCAAGGCGGGCAGATCACCTGAGGTCAGGAGTTGGAGACCAGCCTGGCCAACATGGTGAAGCCCTGTCTCTACTAAAAAAAAAAAAAAAAAAAAAAAATCCAAAAAAAAAATTAGCTGGGATGGTGGCACGTGTCTGTAATCCCAGCTACTTGGGAGGCCAAGGCAGGAGAATTGCTTGAACCCAGGAGGTGGAGGCTGCAGTGAACCAGGATCATGCCACTGCACTCTAGCCTGGGCAACAGAGTTAGACTCTGTCTCAAAAAAAAAAAATGAAATAAGATAATAAAATTAAACCCTATAAAGTTCTTAAAATAGAACTTATGTAATAAACACCCCATAAATGGAAACTATTATTATTATTATTGAGATTATTGGGTTTGTTCTTAGATCATGCACATTCCTGCTCACCGAAGGCCATTTACCCCTGCTTGTGTCATGTGGGGAGCTGTGTGGAGGATGTGGGGGAGTCCTTCCAGTTGGCAAGGGAGTGGGGCTCAGTGGAGGGACAGAGGTGCTCACCTACATATGGGGCCTTTGACACAAGGAAAAGAAAAAAAAAACATAACCAAGTGCTTCTTTGACTAAAGGCTCATTAAAGAGCAGGCATGAAACAGGATGATATATCTTCATCATGGCATAATGTTAATTCCATAGAATTTGGTTTATAATGCAATGGCAACATTCAGGTCCATTTTGTAGGTGGAGAAATTGAGACCAAAGAGGTTAAGTGAGTTTTGCAACACAGATTCTGGAGGCATCTCTAAACGTAGGCTAGTGTTTGGCCCTTGTCTATACTGCCCTTTTTAGTCAAGCTTTCTATGATCTCTAAACCAAGGAACCCATTATACTGCTGAGAGGAAAGACTGGTGTTTAATGCCCAAGTAAGTATAGTAATTTGTTCAGAGTCTTTGCAAAATGTTCATGAAAGACAAACACCTTCCAGCTGCAGGAGATTGTAGACGGGAAGCAGTAAAAGTGACAAAAATCTTTTTTTTTTTTTTAAATTCCTATTCGGCTTTGGACACCAAAGAGTTGTCATTAACTTTTTAAAAAATTGAACTTTTAATTTTGAAATAATTGTAGGTTGATATGCAGTTGTAAAAGCAAATACAGAGTGATTGATACTGATCAATACAGAGGGATCACATGTTACTTTATGCAGTTTCCCCCCATGGTAACATCTTGCAAATCTATAGAACAATACCATGCCTAGGGCACGGACATTGACACAGTCAAGGCACAGAACTTTTCATCACCATGAGGACACCTCCGTTTGCCCTTTTGTAGCCACACCCTCCTCCTTCCCCTGTGCACCCACCTGAAATGTGGCAACCACTAATCTGTTCTCCATTTCTAGGACTTTTTATTTATTTTACAAATTTTCTGCAGTGCCACTTGCCAACATTTCAGTGATTTCGTAATTTTAAAAATGTTATATAAATGAATCCTATGGTGTGTGACATTTTTTCACTCAGAATAATTTTCTGGACATCCATATATGTTTTGTGTACCAATAGTTCATTTCTTTATATTGTTATGTATGTAACACATTCATTTAACCATTCACTCAGTGAAGGACACCTGGGTTCTTCTCAGGTTTTGGTTATTACAAATAAAGTTGAACATTCTGTACAGATTTTTGTGTGAACATAAATCTTCATTTCTCTAGAATAAATGCTTGAGAGAGCAACTGCTAAGTTGTATTGTTGTTGTATGTTTAGTTTTTTATTTTCAAACTTTTATTTTCAAATTGTTTTATTTCAAACTGTTTTATTTTCAAACTGTTTTCCAGAGCTCCAGAGTGACTATGTCATTTTGCATTCTTACCAGCAATGTATGAGTGATTCAGTTTCTCAACATCCTTGTTAGCATGTGGTGTTATCACTATTATTAAATTTTAGCCATTGTGATAAGTATGCAGTGGTATCTCATGGCTATGCATCTTATTTAATTTGCATTTCTATGGCTAATGATGTTGAGCATATTTTTATGTGCTCATTTGCACCTATATATCTTCTTCAATGAAATGTCTCTTCGTCGCTTTTGCCTGTTTTTTAAAGGATTTTTTTTTCTTTTTTACTGTTGAGTTTTGACAGTTCTTTATATATTCTAGATAGGTTCTTAGTCAGATGTGTGTCTTACAAGTATTTTCTCCTAATCTGTAACTTGTCTTAATAGGATCTTAATAGGATCTTTCACAGAGGAAAAGTTTTGAATTTTGATGCAGTCCAATGTATCAATTCTTTTCTGTTATTAATTGTGCTTTTGATATCTATTTAAGCACTCTTTGACAAAAGCTATATCACGTATATTTTCTCCTATGCATTTCCTAAAAGTTTTATAGTTTTACTTTTTAATTTTAAGCCCATGACACATTTTGGGTTAATTTTTGTACAATGTTTGAGACTTAGGTTGAGGCTCATTTTATTTTGCCTTTGGATGTCCAATTGCTCCAGCACCATTTGCTCATAAGCTATCTTTACACCATTAAATGGCTTTTGCAACTTTGTCAAAAGTCTGTGGGACATATTTGCATGGGTTGACTTCTGGGTTCTTTAGTTGGTCCCATGATATACATGTTTATCCCTCTGCCAATACTACACAGTCTTGATTAATGTAGTTATATAAGTCTTGAAATTGGGCACTGATTCTACCCATATTATTCTTCTTTTTTAAAATTATAGCTATTCTCATTCCTTTGCCTCTTCATATATCTTTTGGAATAGTCTTGTTTATATCTACAAAAACTTCTGCTGAGATTATGATAGAAATTTTGTTAAACCTGTTTATCAGTTTTGGGGAGAATTGGCATCTTTCCTATTTGAGTCTTCCAATCCATCAACACCATATGTTTCCCTGTTTATTTAAATTATCTCTTTTTTCATCAACATTGTGTAATTTCTGCCTCACAAGTCCTATGTATGATTTGTTTCATTCGTACTGTTTCTTTTTTTTTTTTTGATCAATTTTAATGGTATTGCATTTTTACCTTCCATTGAAAGGCCATGTGTCCATGTGTTTATTGCTGGTACATAGAAATACAATCGGTTTCTTTATGTTTATTTTGTATCTATGACCTTGCTGAGCTCACTTATTAGTTCTAGGAGTTTTTTCTCTTCAGGTTCTTTGTGGTTTTATATGTAGACCACGTGTCATCTGCAAACAGGAGCTGGTTCATGAGTTTCTTCTCTGATCTGTGGCCCTTCGTTTCCTTTTCTTGCCTTTTTGCAATGGCTCGATAGAACTTCCAGCACTATGTTGAATAAGAATGTTAGAGTAGACATCTTTACTTTGTTCTCAACCTTAGAGAGAAAACATTCAGTCATTCACTTGTAATATTAAGTATAATGTTAGCCTCAGGGTGTTTGTAGACGTTCTTTATCAAGTAGAGGAAGTTTCTCTCTATTCTTAATTTTTTGAGAGTTTGTAAAAATCATGAATGAATACTGAATTTTGTTAACTGCTTTTTCTGCATTGTTCGGTACAATCATGTGATTTTTCTCAGGGGTATAGCTCGGGGTAGAGCGTCTGACTTGACTACACAATCATGTGATTTTTCTTTTTTAGTCTGCATTATAGTGGATTGCAACGATTGCTTTTCAAATACTAAGCCAGCATTGCATCTTTGAAATAAAACCCTATTGGTACTGAGTGTAATTCTTTTTACATATTGTAGGATTCTATTTGTTAATATTTTGCTAAAGATTTTTATACTATATTCATGAGGGACACCAGGCTTTGTTGCTTCTGTTGTACTGTGTTTTTCTAGTTCCGAACTGGGACGTGTTCATTCCTCTTCTATTTTCTGAAATGATTCTGTATAGTTGGCATCTATTCTTTTTTATATGTTTGGTAGAATTCTCCAGTGACACCACCTGGACCTGCAGATTTCCTTTCTGGGAGATTGTTAATTATGAATTCAATTGTCTTAATAGTTTTAGGGTTAACACAATGATCTTTGAAGTAATTATTTAGTATTGTAGTAGTTTGAGTTTTTCAAGGAATTGCTTCATATCATCTAATTTGTCAGATTTATGTGTATAGAATTGTTCACTGTATTCCCTTATTATCCTTTTTTTTTGAACAGGTTAAATTAAGTTTTATTTGCTCTCTCTCATTTTACAATAACCTCCCTCATAAACATCTTCTACAAACAGAGCATATATCCTGGTTGTGTAATACAAAGTTATAAGTTAATTCTTTTTTCCACACAAGTTGTAAAGTATCAGTGTATTATATGAGAGTTCCCCTAATAGGGAACCAAATTTAAAACAAAAGAATCATTTTAAATTTACCAAGTAGAGAATTTTTTCAGTAATCACTCATCTCTACATTCACATTCTATGTATTTTCTTGTGGTAAACAAACTGATTCAAATGACTTAAGTTATCCCACCATTTAATAAGAAAAGCCTCTACAATAATTTGAAACCATGGTGTTCTCTTATTTTACAAGTAGCTGCTGTTTTCAGAAGTTCTTCTAGTTCTTCCTTTGAGATAGCTTTTAATCTCATTGGGATCTAGACTCAAAGTGACATTCTTCCTCACAAATAAAATGTAATCAATTTCGTGTTCACCCCAGATACCATCAGACTGAGCTTCATAGTGAATTCATGTTAAACAATTAATTTCTTCTGGAGGAACTGCTTCTATGGGGATTCCTAACTCAGCTTTCAGATGCTTCTGCACTGCTTGCCTTACTTCAAGGTCATCACTTTCCTCAAGCTTGCCTGAATTACCTAATGGATGACCACAACAAGTATTGGTAAAGCAACCCGGAAAGGAAATCTTAGCATCTGAGCTTTCCTCTAGCAGGAGCTTATTTTTGGTGTTGAATAAGAAGACACTAAAAGTCCAATGCAATAATCCTCTTTCAGTGTTCTCATTCAGGTGACAATTCTTCTCGGTCTCAGCCCCAATTTTATTGTCATTTTCATCAATAGGGTTACATGTGTCTGCCAAGAGCTGAACCTGTTGCTCATAGAGATGGCTGGTGTTTATTTCAAGCATTGTTACAAAGTGTCAGATTTGTCCTAGAACACTGAGCAGCCTCCAGCTTGAACACCAGGCAGCCCAGGTGTGTGCCTTTTTGGGTTCTGTCCTCTGCATGCGTCGGCCTCTTATCCTTTGGATGTCTGCAAGGAGAGTGATATCTCCAGTTTCCTTCCTGATATTGATGATTTGGGTTTTCTCCCTTAATCGTTTGTCAGTTTTGCTAGAGGTTTGCCAAGTTTATCAATCTTTTCAAAGTACTAACTTTTAAAAAACCTGACATTCTTTCTTATTTTTCTCTTTTCAGTATCATTTATTCCTGCTCTTATTGTTATTTCCTTCCTTCTGCTTGCTTTAGTTAATTTTGTTCTTTTTCTAGGTTCTTGGGGTGGGAAATTAAATTATTAATTTGAAACTTTCCTCTTTTCTAATGTGTACACTTAGTGGTATACATTTCCCTTCCAGCACGATTTTAGCTATTTCCCACAAATTTTAATATGCTGTATTTTCATTTTCACTGACTTCAGTGTGGTCAGAGAATGACTTCAATTCATTTAAATTTGTTGAGATTTTTAAAAATGGCACAGAATGTGTTCTATCTTGGTGTATTTTCTCTGGATCTCTGAAAAAAAAAAGTACATTCTGCTCATTAGGGGAAGTATTCCATAGATGTTGATTAGAACCTGTAGTATTGTTGATTTATTCCGTATCCTTGCTGATCTTCTGCCTAGTTGTCCTAACAATTGTTGAAGGACAGACATTGAAGTCTTCAACTGTAATTATGGATTAGTCCATTTTTTTCAGTTCTGTCAGTTTTTGCTTCACATATTTTGTGGCTTTGTTGTTTGGTGCGTACACATTTAGGATTACTATGCCTTCTGATGGATTGACTTTTTATTATTATTTAATGTCCCTCTCAATCGCTCGTATTTTTTCTTTTTCTTTTTACTCTTTAGCCTGCTTTATCAGATATTAATGTAGCCACTCCTCCATTCCTTTGATTAATATTTGCATAATATATGTTCTTCCATCTTTTTACCTTCCACCTGGCTATAGCATTATGTTTGAAATGAGTTCCTTATAAACAACATATAGTTAGGATATGTTTAGACTATTTGTGGTTAGTGTATTTATAAGTTAGGAGTTAAGTATGTTTTATATTTCAGTTTCTGTTCTCTGTTTTTCTTTCTTAGAAGGACCTTCGAAAGAACTTAGAAGACCTAAGAGAAGGAAAGTCTGTTGTGTTTACCCATATTCTCACTTACTGTGTTTTTTCTTCCTTCCTGATGTACCAAGATTTCTTCTTTTATTCTTTCCTTTCTGTTTAGAAAACTTGTAGCCGTTCTTTTAGGGTAGTCCTGTTGGTAACAAATCCTCTTGGTTTTCCTTCATTTGAGGATCTTTTGAATTTCCTTTTATTCCTCAAGGATATTTTCACTGGATATAGATTTTTAGTTTAACAATCCTCTTCTTTCAGCACTTGAATCATTGTGCCATTCCTCTGGCCTCCATGGCTACCAACGAGAAGTCTGTCCCTTGAATTGTTTTCCCCTTATAAATGAGGTATTGTTTTTCTTTGGATTTTGAATTTTTTGAGAAATTTGCTTTGCTTTGTCTTAGTTTTTGGAAGTTTAATTATGATGTTTTAAATTATGACTTGATTCCTTTGGGTTTCTTCTATTTTGGATTCACTTTGCTTCTTTAATCTGAAGGCTTGTCTTTTGTTAAATTTACAAAGTTTTCAGCCATCATTCCTTTGGGCACTTTTCAGGCGTGTCCACTTTCTTTTTTTTTTTTTTTTTTTTTGAGACGGAGTCTCGCTCTGTCACCCAGGCTGGAGTGCAGTGGCGCAATCTCGATCTCGGCTCACTGCAAGCTCCGCCTCCTGGGTCCATGCCATTCTCCTGCCTCAGCCTCCTGAGTAGCTGGGACTACGGGTGCCTGCCACCATGCCTGGCTAATTTTTTGTGTTTTTAGTAGAGACGCGGTTTCACTGTGTTAACCAGGATGGTCTCGATCTCCTGACCTCGTGATCCGCCTGCCTCGGCCTCCCAAAGTGCTGGGATTACAGGCTTGAGCCACCGCACACTGCCAAACCTATGTTTCTGCCTGGTCTCCTTCTGAGACTCTGTTGACACAAATGTGAGAGGTTCTGTTGCAGTCCCACAGGTTTCTGAGAATCTGCTTTCTATTTCTTTCAGTCTGGTTTCTAGGTTATTCAGATTGGGTACATTCTACTATTTTGTCCTCCTCTTCACTGATTCTTTCCTCTGTCACTTCCATTCTGCTGTTGAGACTATCCATTGAGTTTTTTATTTTGGTTATATTTTTCAGTTCTAAAATTTTTATTTAGTTTTCTCTTCTATTTCTTATGAAGACTTCCTGTTTCTTTGCTAAGACTATGTTTTCATTGGTTTCAAGCATGTTTGTATCTGTTGATCAAAGTATTTTTATCTTGGCTGCTTAAAAATTTTTGTCAGATAATTCTAACATCTGTGTCATCTCAGTGTAGGCATGCAGTGATTTTCTTTCATCATTCAATTTAAGATCTTCCTTTTCCTTGTTATAATGTGTGATTTTAGATAGAAACCCAAACACTTAAGTATTATGTCATGAGACTCAAGATCTTATTTTAACCTTTGATTTTAGTGAGCTTCCTCTGACACTGCTGGGGATGGGGGTTGGGGAGGGTGCTGCCTCATTACCTCGAAGTTGGATAGAAGCCTAGGTTTTCCACTGAGTCTCCATTGACAGTGGGGGTGTCTCCTCAAACTGCTCTAGGTGGGGGTGTTGGGATTTCCATCGATATGTCCCTGGTTATGAAGAAGAGGACCGTTCCTCAGGAGGCCTCCCCTGATACCATGGCAGGGATGGTCTCATTGCAGTGGGCTACAGTGACATTTCTGACTCTCCTCTAGGCCTCTCTGACACCACCACAGCTGGCAAAGGGAGGGGCACTTCATTAGTGCTGAGTGGGAGTGCAAGTCCAGCCTCCCCATGTGGTGTCCACTGACACCACCCTGGTGGGGTACGGGACGGAATGGAGGGGCACCCCCTTATAGCCCAGAGAGAGTGGGAATCTAGGCTCCCAACCTGGCCTTTGTTGACATGGTATGAGAGAGGAATCATCGTTATTTCTGTGGTGTTTGGCTGGGGCAGGGAGGTTATCTTGTGAAAGTTTTCTGTCCTGATAGGCTACCTCTTTCCTGGTAACTTGCCTAGGGAGGATCAGCTTTTGGGCTTTTTAATGCCTCTTCCTGTTGGTGCTTCCCGGTTGCCAGCTTCTTCAGCTTCAAGTCTGGGATATATGAGGCAAAAAGAAAACACAGGAAACCCATATCATGTTCCTCAGGTCTCCAGCCAGCCTGGCTTCTTCTCTGCACCTTTCAGTGTTTTATACGTAATGTCCAGCGTTCTTAGTTGTACTTGGTGGGAGGAGACAGGAAGAACACACCTACTTCATCTTCCCAGAAGTCCCGTCTTAGTTTTCAAATGTCTGCCAAGTAGCATAAACAGCAAGTGGAAAGCAGAAAGTCTGAGACTTTGTATGCAAATTCATAATCATGATCCAATAATGTCCACTTCCAGAGAGGACTTTGAATTCCTTTTTGGTTGCTTACAGTGCTGTGGGTGTTAATGTTCCCTTGAAGTAGGAATCACTTACTTTCGACTAGCTTATTTTATACTGGGTTATTCTAGGACCCTTGCATTGAATTACCTAAGAACAGCCAAGGCAGACAAGTATAAATTTGCTTAGCAGCAATTACTTAAAAGTGAACCTAAATGCTGCTGCAAACAATGGCTAAGTTTCTGGAGTGGGGAGCTCAGATCATCCAGTCTCTTAGGGAAGGGTAGGGTATGAGTGTTGAACACAGAGACTTCATAGCTCACATCATTAAGCAGTGATAGATTTAAGTGACTGTTCCTGGACAAGACACATTAGTAGCTTTCCTGTGGCACTTCATAATGAGCAGTTAATTTTAGCCTGCTCAAAGGAGGAAGGCGTCCCTGCTGGCTTACCAGCTCGGTTTTCAGGGAATCACTATAGTGACAAATACTGTTGTAAAACATACAGAGGAAAGTGATTAATAAGTGCCCACTGATGATGAAGTGTTGCCAGATTTCCTGTGAAATGGAGAAGTGGTGTGAAGACTAGGCCATCTATTGGCATCTCTTGTAATGAGTGATTAATGTGCCTTTGAACCTAACTTTTCCATTTGTATGTTGTTTCTAACCAGGGATAGAAATGGAAACTATTTATCTTTGGATCCAAACCCTAGACACATTTAGGAGTTCAGAATTCATAAAAGCGAAGACTAAGAATGGATTAAAGTGACTTTGGAAATGTAGATTATTTTATAAGTTATTGATGCACCTGACCCAGAACAAAATACTCTGGTTCAAATTACAGCTGCTCCTACACAGCAGTTGATTCCCATCACCGTCACCACTGCATGTCACAAACCAAAAATCTTATGCTTGGCACATGAATATTCCAAATGCCCCAGTCCAAGCTAGCCCTACTCATTTGTGACATGGAATTTAGTTTTCTGAATGTAATTTACTCTGGTATTCCAGGGCCAGGCCCAGAGTAAGTGCTCAACAAATGTTTAATGAACGAATGGGCTATGGGAGACATGGAGACTCCATGGCCCCAAAGCAAAAGGAAGATTGGAGTCAATTTCAATTTGGCCCATAAAATTGAGTTGGCTTTCCGATGAGTAAAGACATTTATTTAAGTTCAGGGTTCTGGGTGTACTTTTCTCATAAGACTTGAGCTTTAGAAACAACCATGAATTAGTATGGACACTATGGCTTGGTCTTCAAGGAACACAATACTGTTAACAATGTTACCCCCGCCTCCCCAACACACACACACACACACACACACACACACACACACACACACATTTCCCTCTCAACTTCTAGATGTGTTTCATTGTTTGTGGTGGCACATTACAGTGCTTTATGTAATACTTTGGCATTTCCTTGTGTCACACTGTCTTACAGTTTAGTTGAGTTGTCTACATACAGACAAGTGGCCCCCTTGTTCATGACAGTTACAGTTGGGTTCTATTGCATTCAAGAGAGTCACTCAACCTCAGTGGTTTTACCAGACTTGTTGTGAACAGTGTCATAGAATACACCTGGCTGCAAAAGAGCCTGAGAGAGTTTTTTTTTTTGTAATAGGAATGTTGCTGCCCCAGACAAAATTGGGTTATGTTGATTAAAAAAAGAAGGTAAAAAGGGAATGGCTATTTAGTTGACAATCTGTATTTTCTGACACACTACTGAAGTGTGTATTTATATCCACTCATTTACCCTGAGCTGGAGAGCCTCCAAGCATTAATTTTTTAATGCTCGTTAGCATGAAAACACAATGACACACTTATGTTTTTTCTTTGGAGGGATGGCGTGGAAAATCTGTGAACTTGCTTTCTGGCCAAATGAGTCAACCAAAGATGGGAACATTAATTTGTTGGAACAGTTGTGTATCAACATCAAGCTGAAAACAGAATTATAGTAATATATATTCTTAGAGAAATAGGGAATGCTAAGTTAAACACGGCATTCCTGCTCACAGCAGCTAACAGTGAACCTACCTAGGAAGAAATGGCAGATGTCAGTAAACTGCTCTGCTAGGGCAGGGGCTCTGGAGTCCCTGTTGTCTACAGAATTCTGGGATTCTATGACCCCCCTACTGTGGAAATGCATTTAAAAATAAGCCATCTCTAATCACTCACCTGGGGTGAGCTCAGGAGCTGGAGTTCCTACCTACGAAAATGATTTATTCAGCAGCCCTTGATGTTTTCTTGATTTTCCGTATTCTCACCCCACTCTTATTCCTTAATTTAGCTTCTTTTCCCATTTTCCATGGTTTCTGACCTCGTAAAGACCATCCTACTGTATAAGCATTCAAACCCATAGTAGAAATGATCAGGAAAGTGGTCCCATTCCCCATCTCAGAAAGCTCTGTGAGAGTTTCACTGTTATCATTGAACTTTAGGCCCGTGTTCTTCCATTGTGAAAAATTACAACCATTTGCTATTGTTCACTAACTCTCTCTGCCCCATCAGTCCATTTTCAGCCACTGTATCTTCCATATGAAAGGAGATGGCACAAGAGACTTGCCACAGTTGAAACTCTTTATAATTAATGAATTGAAGACATTTGTTAAAGCTGCTTATTTTTAAAAATAATGTGACCTCTTCTTTATAACTATAAGGTGTGGGAAGACAAGGCCATTCTTTGTTCTACAGATTTCAGGTTTGTACATTGGATGAGAATCTATCTTTTTAACTTGCTATGTTGGACAATAATAATGGCTCATATTTTTTGAGCACTTAATATATGCCCATTGAAGGCTTTACATGTGATATCAGTTAGGGTTTGTTTGTCAGTTAGCAAATGACTACAGAACTTAGTGCCTTTTATGAACGAAATGATTGTGCACCCCACCACCAAATTCACATGCTGAAGCCCTCCTTCCCAATGCAATGGTATTAGGATGTGGGGGCCTCTGGGAGGTGATTAGGTTTAAATGAGGTTATGAGGGTGGAGCACTGATGATAGAATTAGTGCCCTTATAAGAAGAGGAAGAAAGTGCAGCCTCTATGCTGTGTGAGGACACAGTGAGAAGGCACCCACCTGCAAGCTAGGAAGTGCACCATCACCAAGGACAGAACCTGCTGGCACCATGAACTTGGACTTCCTAGCCTTTGTAGCTATGGAAAATAACTGTGTGTTGATGAATCCACTCAGTCTACGGCATTTCGTATAGTAGCCTGAGCTTGGCTTAAACCAAGAACTATTTATTATTCCTCATGAATCTCTGGGTGGATGGGGTTCCACTTGGCTGATCTTGGCTGGGCTTGTACTTTTATCTGTGGTCAGCTGGAGGGTGGCGTGGCTGAAGCTGGCTGGTCTCAGAGAGCTTCACTCAGATCTCTCGTGGTTAACCATCGGATGGCAGGGGTCACAGGGCAACTGGGCCACTTGTCTCTCATCACCCAGCAGCCTGGCTTCATTGTGTTCACAGGGTGGCAATGGGGTCCTAAGAGGGGAGGTGAAAGAATGCATGGCCTCCTGAGGCTGACTCAGAAATGGCAGGATGCTACTTCCACCCAGTTCTGTCAGCCAGAATGTCACAGGGCCAGCTCAGACTCAAGGAAGAGACTCTGCCTCTCGATGGGAGGAGCTGCAGAACCACATTGCAAAGACATGGATGATATAGGGAGGGATGGAGATGTGGCCATTTTTAATCTCCCTCACATGTGTTAATGCTGTTAATCCAGCAGTCTTGTGAGGCCATATGATATACTCTTATACCTATTTTATACATGAGGAAACTGAGGCTTAGCAGGGCTAAGGAACAGCATTCAGAACTAGGACTCAAGCATTTTTTCTCTAGAATCTGTTCTCTTACCTATTCCCTCACTTTGGACTAGATATCAAAACTAGACATCAAAGTCAACTCATGTTAATTGCACCACCATATAGAGAAATTCCAGAAAGCAACAGCCATCTAAAAGGGTTTTGAGGAAGGTTCATAAATTGTGCATGGCTCACTTAGAGAAATGCAGTCAATGTAGATTCATGACTGCACCTCTCTCCTCCATGCCTTCTTCAGAGGCAGCACCAAACATTTCTGAATGTCCTGAGTGTCCAAACAGCCACTATTTAAACTCTCAGGTGTCCTGGATCTGTCTCTGTGCCTGTCCCTAGAAAATATACTTCCAGATTTTCCCAGATGTTGGTGGTCTGATCATGGCAAAGGCCGTGGACAGATTCTCAATTGCAGCCAGGCTGAGACTCCCAGAGAGCAGAGTGGGCACTTTGAGGACAAGGCCATGGATGAGGGTGGCCGTGTTATAGGAAGTGAGCCAGTTGCCATCAGATGTGTCCAGTCAAGGTTGCTGAGGCTCGTGGACCCCTCCCTTGTTTTGCAAATATCACCAACCCCAGGGTCTTGATACTTTGACAAATATGAGGACACAAAATCTGCTGATGTCTCCAGGGAAAACAAGCAAAAAGATGGATCTGGCTTTCAAATGCCTGGGAGGCCAACAGATCTCAGCCAGGGCTGTGCAGCAGAGTGGAAGGATGTGTTTGCCCAGAATCCCAGCTCCACATTGGTCCTGGAGTGTTAAAGAAGAGGTGTTGAGTTCTCTGTCCCTAGACTTCTCCTCCCTGACTCCAGGCCTATATCCCAGGATGAGGATGGATTTGTGATATCTGGAAGTGCTGAGGTGAGAGTGATGAGGCCTCAGCAGCATGGAGAGCTTTATTTGTGCTCTGCTGGAGAAGTTAGAAGAGCAGCAGTCATGCACTGGTGCTCCCAGCTCTTGGCACCCTGTCTGGGTTGAGCCATGTAAGCTGGCACATCCTGAAAAGAATAGGTTTTCTGTAGAATAAATAATCACTTTCTCAGGACAGTGACTAATGGAGAGCCCTAATCCTCCAGTACAAGTTTCTGCATCACCGTGAGATTGAGAACTTCCTGGCCAGTGACCACAAGTTGCTGATGGGCAATAATGCCAAGGCTGACTTTCTGCACTCAGTCGATGACAAAAACGCTGAGATTTCAAATGCATCTCCTGGAGAGCAGACAGGCAAATGTAGAGCCAGTAGGGAGCCTGAACATGAAGATGGCTGTGAAGCCAAAGGCGGGCTCCCAGGTTGGAGGTGCCGTGCACACGTACCTGCTCTCAGCCTGAAGTAGCTTTGGAGTGAGTGACTTTTTTATTGACTCAAATAAAAACAATCTCTTCCCAGTTGTGTGCTTTGAAAAACAAGTGGCCTGAGGGAACTGTACCAGAGCAGCAAATGGCAATAGACCTGACGGTTGACTTTGTGAACAAGAGACACATTACAAAAACATGAGGAAATGAAGACAGACCCTGCCCAAGTCAGATGCTCAGACATCAAGTCAGGAGCCTGGAGGGAGAGGGCTTTGTGTGTGCCACACAGGGTCACAGAAGTGAAATAACTTTGTAACAGTGGGGAGCACTCTGCACACATTCCCATCTGAAGGGCCCATGACAGAGTTTGGATGTTGCCCTACTCAAATCTCATTTGAATTGTAATCGCCAGTGTTGGAGGTGGGACCTGGCGGGAGGCAATTGGATCATGGGGATGGATTTCTCATGAATGGGTTAGCACCATCCATTGCCTTGATGCTGTCCCTGTGATACTGAGTGAGTGCTCATGAGATCTGGTCTTCTAAAAGTGTGTAGCACTTCCTCCTTTCTCTCTTGCTCCTGCTCCTGCCATGTGAGACGCCTGCTCCCACTTCCCCTTCTGCCATGATTGAAAGTTTCCTGAGGCCTCCACAGAAGCCCAGCAGATGCCAGCATTGTGCTTCCTGTACAGCCTGCGGAACTGTGAGCCAACTCACCCTCTTTTTTTTTTTTTTTTAAACCCAGTCTCAGGTGTTTCTTTATAGCAATGCGAGAATGGACTAAAACAGCTCAGACCCACCTAATTATTAGTAGTGCCTCTTCCTCTCTCTTCCTGAGGAATGTCTGCAAGGACAAACTGTTCTCTATTTACTAAAAGCTAAGTGAGCATTCCTGTATAACTCTTTAAAATGTTGGGATCAGAAGTGTTAGTGCTGCTCTATTTTTGTCTTACCAATACTCATTTAGTTCAGTGTCCAAACACTCTCACTTAGAAAAGTACTAGAAACAGATGAGATGCCAGCCTAGGAGGCAGCCTCCGCTCCACACAGAACCCCCACTGACCATCACTGCTCTCTCAATCAGGGCAGTATAACAGGGAAGAGACAGCAGCACCGTGGGACCCTGAGCCTTGGTTGAACTCGCCAATGCAAAGCAAAACGAGGAAAACAAAGGCTCTCCATGGAAAAGGAGCTGATTTATCATGAATTTTATTTTAGTCATATGACAGAGTACCTCACTAAAGACAGATAAATGGGTGGAAAGCTATTCCCTGGAGGTGTTAGACAAGAAAAGCTCTGTAACAATGTGAGGTTGGGAAATGTTGAGTTAAACAAATTAAATAAATTTCTTTCTTGCAGGATTTCTCAGAATATTCTTATCCTAATGTGCGCTGTGAGTCTCCAAGAGGGGAATATGTTATGCAGGACTTCCCAAATTCATGTAGCCACAGGACTCCTGTTTTTCCTTCTCCCACAGGCAGCGGCTTGGTGCCATGTGTAAGCATGTGGGCTCTGGGATCAGCCTGTCGGCTTGAATCTAGGATCTCCTGCCTCTGAGCTGTGCGGCATTGGACAAGTCACTTAACCTCTCTCAGCTTTGGTTTCCTCATCTCTAAAACGAGTATAACAGTAGCACCTGCCTTATAAGGTTTTCATAAGGGTGTGGAAAATAAATTAGTTAATTCATATGAAGCACTGCATTTATCCCATGACCTCAGAGACCGTTAAAGCTTAGCAAGTTATCCATAGAAAGCACCTTGCAAACTGAGTGCTGCATCGTGAACACTTTTCAAAATTATCAGTGTAGTGGACATTAGGGTGGCCGCTTAGCATCTATGACACACACCCTGGCCAAAATGATTGGTTTAGGTTGGCCTAATTAGAAGGCTGGTCAAGAATGTTCTTTGATGGTTGAGAGGAGGACATCCCTTTGCATCTGAGTGATGGTGGGTGGGCATTGGACCTGGAATTGCTGTGGGCAATTCACTCTAATGAGACTAGTCAGCCTGGGAGGGAGCACACACCCTGAGGACGGCAGACCACAGATGTGCCCTCAGCAAACCTCCCTGGAAGTGTGCCCCTCCCCTGGACTTGCTCAGTCAGGAGAGCCTGTAAATTCCTTGCAGCTGAAGTAAGTATGAGTAAGGTTTTCTGTGACCAGCTGTCTGCAGCTTCTCAGCTGATAGAGTGGGGGAGCTGGTGGCAAAGTGGGGGAGCAGCTACGGGGTGCAAATACAGCCCAGCTCTTCGGAATGGACTGCACCAGCTCCCAGCTCTCATGTGACTGCTCTGCTTCTTAGTTTCCTCAAAGGGAGATATCAAAATCTTCTACCTAAACATTATGGTAAAGGTGAGGTGCAAAGGAGAGAAGGTGTGGGAAAACACTTTGGAGACAGTCAAGTGTTCTATAAAGGCAAAGCAGAAATGTTTATAGCAATTGTGGAAACTCAACCACTTCTTGATTTAAAGCTGTTACACTGTGGTGGTACAAGATTTTTGGCTAATGCCAAAATAAGAACATAAAAGCCAGCTGTCAAAATATTATAATTGGTTTCTGTCAAACCCGAAGGCTTTAAATTCTGTGATGCTATAAGTTTAAGGGCTTATCTATGGATTTCTGCCATTCTATAATACTCTATCCCATTTAAAATTCTATCGCTGTGAATACTTCAAAAGGGACTCTGGAAAGTATTCACGTATAACTGACGAGTCTCACATTATGGTAATTAAACTTTTTTTTAAATTTTAAACTCCGTGAAATTTTAGTTGTCACTTATCCTTATTTACAATTCAACTAAATGGACCAACTACTATTTGATAAAAGGTAGTGAAATTTTCACTTCTAGTTTTAGAAAGTTTTAACCAACAGTATAGTATGGTGGAAAGTTAGTAAAAGAAATCGTCTACAAAAAGTAAGAAGAAATAAATTCTGCAATTACTTTAATGAAGTTGAAACTTTAAATTATTACCAATAGTAACCATTATTGAGAAGGACAGTTTTCCATGGGTTTCTTGCACGTCTACAAGTCTTGCTGGGTATTTCAAGAATGCAAAGCCCTGGCTGACCTTTAGCCTGGCCATTTCTCAGGTTGTGTTTGCAGTGAGTAACCTTGAGGAACTGAGTAAGGTCTCCCTCCAAGACAAAGAGTGGACGGACTTACTGTTTGATGTGACAGTGGTGTGTTCCCCAAGCTTAGTGCTCGTCAGATGTGGCACAAACCCACTGCACGTAAAACATCCATCTGGGCCCCTCCATGCCAGCCCCATACACATTCAAGAAAAGGAGAACTGTCATATGCATGCCATGTCCTGAGTAATAAAGTCCCATGTCTCCGATCCAGGGGTCTCATGTCTGCTGCCAGCATCCATGAAACTGAAATAGGCTAACCTATTAGCTTACAAGGAGGGTAAAGGCAGATCCTAGACTTTACATTGGTATTGAGATTTTTGGTGATTTTGTATAATATTTGATTTATTTTCGTAAACATTTCCGTGTTAAGAATTCACACCTATGGTATTCTTTGTGGGCACCTGGCATCTTCATTAACCAGCAGACGGAGCCTGTGCTGATTAATTAGATGCAGGCAAGCTTTCTTTGTTTTACACATGCCAGACACCTCACAGAAAAATCCACTTACAGTTATCACAATGCTGTTAGTACACAGAAAAAATGTAGGACATGATAGTAGCATCCTTTACTTGGGCTTCAGAGCATAGAAGGTAAAAATATTACGTTTTCCGAGGGGACCTCCCAGGTAGGAGGAAGTTCGGGAATGTGCATTACCACTCTAAAAGCACTTGAAAGGAATATTTTCTAAATAAAGAATTACTCTGAAGTTGCTAGCACTGGATCTTGTGAAAGGAGAGCTCCTGAATATAACATATTTGTCTTTGGAACTCTAGAACTTTCTCTTTCGTTTACATCATGTATGTTATTAGGGAATAAGGTCCTCAGCTGGTTGTGGTGGTGTGTGCCTGTAGTCTGTTACTCAGGAGGCCTAGGTGGGAGGATTGCTTGAGCCCAGGAGTTCGAGTCCAGCCTGGGCAACATGGTGAGGCCCTGTCATTGCAAAAAAATAAAAATAAAAATGGAAAGGAAGTCTTACCTTGGAAATGATCTGATGTTTACTATGCTTAAAAACTGTGTGTCCGTCAAGTGCCTGAGGAAGTGCACACGCAGGTCATGTGACTTTACTTTAACATCCTCATGTTTGTACTTTCACCCACCACAATTTTAGGTGCACACAGACAAGTCCAGAGCTGACCACCTGCCTGCAGCTGGGCCAATTTCCCTGAACAAGTCTTAGCATCAGTACTTGATGAGCTCCAAGCCTCCTGTTTGTTTATAAAATAAAGCTCCTCTTGCTCATTTTGCCTTTGGGTGGAAGCACAAAACATTCTTTAAAATAAAGGAAAGAAATTTAAGAATAATTCAAAATTGCATTTTAAGGATTGTCACATGGTAGAAAACCAAATAGAAAACTATTAGTGATAAGATGGCAATAATGAAAAATATTTAATAATGTCTGTTGTAATTTGAATGTTGTTTTATTATTATTATTTTATTTTAATATGGAGCTCTTCATGAATTTGCGTGTCATCCTTGCACAGAAGCCATGCTGATCTCTCCAGCATTCCAGTTTTAGTGTATGTGCTGCTGAAGCAAGCATGTAACTTGAAGTTTATTTTCAAACTTTGGAGTTGCATGTATTGACAGTCATGTTGTTCCACCTTCAAATGGGTTTTTACTTCTTTTTTTTTTTTTTTTGGAGACAGAGTCTCACTCTGTCACCTAGGCTGGAGTGCAGTGGTGTGATCTTGGCTCACTGCAACCTCCACCTCCCAGGTTCAAGCGATTCTTGTGCCTCAGCCTCCCGAGTAGCCAGGATTACAGGTGTGCATCACCATGCCTGGCTAACTTTTTGTATTTTTAGTAGAGATGGGGTTTCATCATGTTGACCAGGCTGATCTCAAACTCCTGACCTCAAGTGATCTGCCTGCCTTGGCCTCCGAAAGTGCTGGGATTATAAGTGTGAGCCACTGCTCCTGGCCCTGATTTTTTTTTACTTCTATTTCACAGTGACATGACTTGGTGGATTTGAAAAAGTGATCCCTGTACTGGAGTGTTTTTCATTTCATCACTAGCTTTAATTTTTAATTTTTAAAAAAGTTTCTTGGAA
Source organism: Homo sapiens (assembly GCF_000001405.40). NCBI lineage: Eukaryota > Metazoa > Chordata > Mammalia > Primates > Hominidae > Homo > Homo sapiens. Next base: position 48,308,541 of record NC_000008.11, read on the forward strand.
TAGGTATCTTGCTTAGAAACATATCAGAGAACTTAAATGGTAGAAGAATAAGAGTGGTGAGGAAAAGAAAAAGGCTGTTTTTCAAATACAGTCGGGCTTTAAGGCAGTCTGTGCTCTTGGAAGAAGTTTTGTAAGAGGAAGTGATGTAAGTCAAATCTAATTTTCCCGTCCAAACAATGCTATGACTATAGGGTTATTTTACTAAACAAAGACTTAATGCCTAGTTTTTTTTTTTTTTTGAGACAGTGTCTCGCTTTGTCACCCAGGCTGGAGTGCAGTGGCGTGATCTCGGCTCACTGCAAGCTCTGCCTCCCGGGTTCACGCCATTCTCCTGACTCAGCCTCCCGAGTAGTTGGGACGACAGGCGCCTGCCACCATGCTAGGCTAATTTTTTGTGTTTTAGTAGAGATGGGGTTTCACCGTGTTAGCCAGGATGGTGTCAATCTCCTGACCTCGTGATCTGCCTGCCTCGGCCTCCCAAAGTGCTGGGATTACAGGCGTAAGCCACTGTGCCTGGCCATGCCTAGTTTTTAAAGGAATACTTTAAATACCCCTTTGATTCAACTGCAAGTGTATGGTGTGGCACTTCTGAGGCACATGCAAATTGGTGAAGGAGGGCAGCTGGTTGCACATTATTTATTACTTGATTTATGCAAGAGAGCCCCTGAAATGGGGGCAGATAAGATTGGAAGATCCTTGAGAAGGTCTGGTCTCAATCTAGGAACTTTAGAAAACCTCGGGTGCGGTTGACGAATGGTCTAGCCAAGGAGTGCGCCATGTGGCCCGAAGGAAGAGTACTGAGGCTCCATGATGCCTGGGCTGCTCAATGGTGGGCAGAGCTGAGAATGAACCATTGGAGAGGAGTGACATCAGCAGGATGGAGGACCAGTGCTCCCCATGTGTATCCCCCCACAGCAGCCGCCCACAGTCAAAAGTGCCTCTGTGGGAACTTTGGGATCTAGATGGGAATTGCAAAACCCCAGTGGAGTCCAAGACTGAGCAAAGCCATTTTAGGAAGACAGAACCAGGTGGCAGCTTGCTGATGGTGGTCCCAGCCACACACTTGGGAACAGTCCTGTCTCCCTGTAAACTTACCTTGATCCTGCAACTGGCACCATCTGCCAAGCCAGGGATGTGGGAAGAGCCATGCCCACCTGTACTTCCAGTAGCAGGCCCACCCAGCTCAGTCCAGGCTGTGGATGGTGAAGCAGCCAGTGACGCAGTTCCATCTCCTCTCAGCTGGGGTCTGGGAGCAGCACTGTCTACCAAGGGACGTGGTGGGAGACACATTCACTTGAACAATGGAAATACAACGCACCAAAACTCGCGGGATACAGCAGAAGCAGTTCTAAGAGGGAAGTTTATAGTGATAAATGCCTGCACGAATAAAAGAGAAAGATCTCAATTAAACAACTTAACTTTACACCTCAAGAAATTAGAAAAAGAAGGATTAACTAAACCCAAACTTAGAAGGAGGGTAGTAATAAAGACTAAAGCAGAAGTAAATGAAAGAGAGACAAGAAAGACAACTGAAAACCAGTGTAACAAACCTGCACATCCTGCACATGTACCCCTGAACTTAAAAGTTAAAAAAAGAAAAGATCAACAAAACTAAGAGTTAATGTTTCTTGAAAGGATCAACTAAATTGACAGACCTTTAGCTAGACTAAGAGAAAAAAGAGAGATGACTCAAATAAAAAAAGAGAGAGGGCTCAAATAAAATAATAAATTAAAGAGAAGACATTACAGTTGATACTATAGAAAGAAATACAAAGGACTATGAGACACTACGATAAATAATTATACTCCAGCAAATGGAGAAGCCCAAAAGAAATGGATAAATTCCTAGAAACAGACAAGCTACCAAGACTGAACCAGGAAGAAATAGAGAATCTGAACAAACCTATAACTAGTAAGGAGACTGAATTAGTAATCAAAAACCTTTCAACCAAGAAAAGCTCAGGACTAGGTGGCACCACTGGTGAATTCTACCAAACATTTAAAGAAGAACTAATACCAATTCCCAAAATCTCCCAAAAAATGGAAGAGGAGGGAACATCTTTAGACTCATTTAATGAAGCCGGTATTTCCCTGATACCAAAGACAGATAAGGACACAATGAGAAAAGAAAACTACAGGCCAATATTCCTGGTGAACATAGATGCAAAAATTCTCCACAAAATACTAGCTAACAGAATTCAATAGCACATTACCGGAATCATACACCATGAAGAAGTGGGATTTATCCCTGGGATGCAAGAATGGTTCAACATATGCAATACCATTTCCTGAAGCTTTTCCTGTAAGATCAGGAGCAAGGATACCCACCCTCACCACTTGTTTTTAAGATAGTACCAGAAATTCTAGCTAGAGCAATTAGCTAAGAAAAAGAAATAAAAGACATCCAAACTGAAAAGGAGTAAGCTACACTGTCTCTGTTTGCAGATGACATGATCTCACCCATAGAAACATCCTAAAGTCTCTATCAAAAAACTGTTAGAACTAATAAGCAGATTCAGTAAAGTTATACAATACAAAGCAATGTCCAAAAATCAGTTGCATTTCTATACACTAAAAGTGACTAATCAAAAAGACATTTAGAAAACAATCTTATTTACAATAACATCAAAAAGAAGAAAGTACTTAGAAATACATTTAACCAAGGAGATGAAAGATCTGTACACTGAAAAACTATAAGACATTAATGAAATAAATTGAAGAAGTCACAAATAAATGAAAAGATAGCATATATTCATGGAAAAGAAGCATTAATGTTGAAATGTCCATACTACCCACAATAATCTATAGATTTAATGAAATTCCTATCAAAATTTCAATAACATATTTCACAGAAATAGGAAAAAACATTCTAAAATTTTTCTGAAACCTCAAAAGACTCTGAATAGCCAAAGCAATTTTGAGTAAGAAGAACAAGGCTGGGAGCATCACACGTCCTACGGTCAAACTATATTACAAAGCTATAGTAATCAAAACAGTATGGTACTGGCATAAAAACAGACACATAGAACAACGGAACAGAATAGAGTCCAGAAATAAATCTACAGCCATTACATGGCTTTGACAAGGGCACCATGAAGACACAATGGGGAAAGGATATTCTCTTCAATAAATGGTGTTGGGAAAACTGGATATCCATATGCAGAAGAATGAAATTAGACCCTTATCCTGCATCACACGTAAAAATAACTCAAAGTGGATTAAAAGACTTAAACATAAGACCTGAAACATAAAACTCCTAGAAGAAAACATAGGAAAAATGTCCTTGACATTGGTCTTGGCAATGAGTTTTTTGAATGTGACAACAAAAGCACAGATTACAAAGAACAAAAATCGGCAAATGGAATTACATCAAAATAAACGCTTCTGCATAGCAAACAACCAACAAAATGAAAAGATAACTTACAAAATAGAAGAAAATGTTGTTTGCAACCATGTATTTGATAAACAGTTAACATCTAAAATATATAAGAAACTCATACTACTCAATAGCTGAAAACCAGATAATTTGATTAAAAATAGGCAAAAGACCTGAATAGACATCTCTCCAAAGAAACATACAAATGTCCAACAGATATATGAAAAGGTGCTTGGCAACACTAATGGTGAGGAAAATGCAAATCAAACCCACAATGAGATAAAGACAAGAGATAATAAGTGCTGGCGAAATGTTAATTGTTACATCCATTATGGAAAATGATATGGAGTTTCCTCAAAGATTAAACATGGAACTACCAAATGACCTGGCAATCCCACTTTTGGGTTTATATCCAAAGGAAATGAAATCTGTATGTGGAAGAGATATCTTTACTCCCATGTTCATTACAGCACTATTCACAATAGCAAAGATATGGAAACAACCTAAATGTTTGTCAGTGGATGCATGGATAAAGAAAATGTGGTATATATACACAGTGGAATATTACTCAGCTGTAGCAAAGGAAAATCCTCATGGATGATCCTGGAGGACATTATGTTAAGTAAGATAAACTGGACACAGAAAAAGAAATACTAATGATCTAAGTAGTAGATCCAATACTAGCAGTAGTACTCTATTAGCTTATTAGTAGTACCCAAAGGACATACACTTAGGTAATGTTATTTGCGATTAGATGTTTTCTCTTCACCTCTCTCTCCAGCATTTTTCACTCCTCCTGTTCTTGTGATCCAAAATATATGTTTCTTTGAAAGTGGAAATTGTGTAACAGAAGTGTGGCTTTTGTATTTTATCCTTAGCTGTTTTCCATGAAACACATGAATGTAACGTTTTGACTTTCAGAAAAAGAGAGGTGAAAGCAAAATGAAATGATTTTAAGGTGTGCCAGGCAGTCAGGGACAGAGGGAACTTTTCCTTCTAGACTGTGTCCAGGCAGGCTCTGGAGGCTGTTCTGCAGCTAGCTGAGGCGAGACTGAGTTTCAGATCAATCTGGCACTTGAAGTCTGAGCTGGGTTAGTTCAGGGGCAAGATTGCCCACGAGCTACCGCCATCCATGCTGGGAGGGTCTCCTAAGCCTGTCCTGCAGCCCAGCTACCACGCCTGTGCTGACCCATGAACGACACGTCAGGCACCACAGAGTCCTATTCATAAGCTCGTGTTTTTGGAAGAAAGGTCCAGAGTCTCTAAAAATGAGCAGTGAGACAGTGACATCATAATGGTATTTATTATTTCAGGTTAGACTGGCATCTACTAAATCATTACGGCCACAGGTAGGTTTTTCCACTGAGAAAAGCCTTCTTTTTCCCTCTAAAGCTGGATTACTGGGAGGCTGAGCACGCACGCTCCCTCGGGGTGCCAGCCTGGGTGGAGTAAAGGCCCAAAAGATTCCCGCTTCATTTTATTTCCACACATTCCCCACCCTAGAAGTTGAGTAGATTAATTTTTATGGGGCACAGACTGGGCAAGGCTCAGACACAGGCCCTCCTCTTGCCACCTCCACTGCGTGAGTGGGACCTGCAGACCGTCTCAGGACACCCTGCTCCCAAATGCCTCTTTTTGGGCCTGAAATTCCCATTTTACTTAAACCTTTAAGTTCAGGCTTTCAAGGACCCTATTAACACAGATTTTCAATTTATTTGGAATACAAAACAAATAAGATTATTAGCATTTTATCATGGATTAATTTATCCTATTACCCTAGCCTAGAAAGGCCCGGGAGAACGAGACTGATAAATTTAGGTGGGGAAGGAAAGGGATGAAAAAGAGCCAGTGAATACAGGACTCTGCCTAGGCAATGTTTAGTGTGCCTACTGGTGGAGATGTGTGTGCACGTGTGCATGAGCATACGTGTGTGCATCTGTGAATGTGTGTGGATGCATATGTGTGCTATGCACATGCATGCAAGTGCACATATGCACATGTACCTGTATGTGCTGCACACGTGTGCATGTATGTGTGTGCACACATGCACGTGTATGCATATGTGTGTGTGTATATGTGTATGTACAGAGTAGATGAGGTGGGAGTGGATGGGAGATAGAAGTAGTACCAGGCTACAAAATCATCTAGATGGATATTAGGACTTGAGGAATTAAATATATACATGCATATATATACATTCATCCCAACCTAAGTGGACTTCTAAACAAAATCCAGAAAGTAAGATAGTGCTTAAGAGCTATCTTAAGCTGGCTCTTAAGATAATCTTAGTGATCTTAGTGTAATCTTAGTGATAACCTAATTACCCAAGTTGCATTTTATTTTATTTTATTTTTGAGATGGAGTCTCTCTCTGTTGCCGAGGCTGGAGTGTAGTGGCGCAATCTCAGCTTACTGTAACCTCTGCCTGCCAGGTTCAAGTGATTCTCCTGCCTCAGCCTCCTGAGTAGCTGGGACTACAGGTGTGCGCCACCACACCTGGCTAATTTTTTTTTTCAGTAGAGAGGTTGTTTCACCATGTTGGTCTCGAACTCCTGACTCAAGTGATTCACCCACCTCAGCCTCCCAAAGTGCTGGGATTACAGGCATGAGCTACCGTGCCCAGCCCCCATGTTGCATTTTAGATATGAAAAAATTCCGAGGGATCTGGGCACTTAAGAAGTCTCTGTTTCTTTCCTATTGAGTGAAAGGTGACCTTGGCTTGGGGATGCCCCAGAAACACAACTCCCTGGGGCTCCATCAGCCAGCCTGGGGTCTGCTAAGGAGAATTTTCCTTTCTCCTTGGGCTGTGGTTTTCCTTACATTCATGGTTTCTTTCCCAGTCTGGCAGCAGCTGCATCATTAAACTAATCTGGCGCCTGAAAAGAAGGATAACTCTCTGTGGAGATTAATGATAATGCACTTAAATTTACATAACACGTCAAGTCCAGAAGGATCCCAAAGTGCCGTGTAAACCTCCTAGAAGGGCTGAGATGCAACAGGTTTCCTCTGCAACCTCACAGAGCCGGGCAGGTGGAGCAGGAAGGCAGTTCAGCTTCTGTTTCCTAACGATGCTAGCTGTGGTAGTGCAACTTCAGGCTGAATGGTCAGGAAGAACAAAATGCTTGACAGACTTTTGTGTGGATGTTAAGCTTTTGCAACACTCAGCTCAGCCACTTAGAAGAAATGGTTTTACATCAGTTTTGCAGAAAAGGATTGGAAGCTCAAAGTGATGAGACCCCTAGAGTTCCAAAGCAGGAGACGTCCCAGACTAGGCTCAGTGAAAGGAAGGGTGTGGCCAGCTGAGCGATGAAGTCTTGGGGCAGGGAGGAGGGACTGGCAGGGAACCCCACTGCATGCCCCCTCCCTGGCTCCTCTGCTTCAGGCACATGCCTTTTTGCTGTTTCCCCAACTCACAGAGTTGGGACGTTGCATGGCTGTCTCCTGTGCTTGGAATTGCCCTTGCTGCAGGCTCACTCCTGCATTTCACTCAGGTGACTTGCCAGATGTCAGGTGGGCAGGGAGCATGCCCCTGACCCCTAGCCACAGCCTCTGCCTCCAGGCACAGCCAGTGCCCTTCCCTGCACTCTTTCTCATCAGAGTGTGTGCCTATCTGAAATTATAGTCTTTTTTTTTTTTTTGAGATGAAGTCTCACTCTATCCCCCAGGCTAGAGTGCTGTGGCGCGATCTCACTCAGCTCACTGCAACCTCCATCTCCCAGGTCCAAGCAATTGTCCTCTCTCAGTCTCCTGAGTGGCTGGGATTACAAGCCTGCGCCACCACGCCCGACTAATTTTTTGTATTTTTAGTAGAGACGGGGTTTCACCATGTTGGCCAGGCTGGTCTTGAACTCTTAACCCCAGGCGATCCACTCGCCTCAGCCTCCCAAAGTGCTGGGATTACAGGCATGAGCCACCGCACCCAGCCTATAGTCTGTTTTTAATCTGTGCACTGCTTATTGTCAGTCTCCCCAACAAGAATATAAGCAACATGAGTTGGGGCTGTTGTTCCATTCTCTGCTGTATCCTTCAAGGCTAAGGCAGGGCCTGAGACCCAGCAGGCACACTATCACACCTCAGGCTGCAGGAAAGTGTGCAGCGCCCGCAACCTTGCATCACTCCCCTGCAGGCGGGGGCTTGGCATGGTGTGCAAAGTCCCTGCTTGCTTTGGGTAGACAGCACCCAGTGTGTGTCCAGATCCAGACCACATGACACTCCGTCCAGTGGCTTGTGCAGAGTGGACATTTTGTGGAATTACATGAAATTTGTCATTCAGAAAGGCCTCTGCTTAGGTCAGCACATTTCTGATACATTGGATGCTAGGAAGGTGGAAGTTTTTCTTTCCCTCTTCCTGTTCAAAAGGGGGTTTGGCGTGTGCTAGGGTGGATTGAAACAGCTTAGTCTCTCTGGCTTTTTCCAAAAGAAGACAGTGGAGTTGATGGGATTGAGTAGCTCCTTGGGTCAACTCTAAATGAAGGCAGAACTCTACCGAACAGTGTCCATCCCTGCCTTCAGGAACCCTACAACATTTGGACAACAGATACAGCGGCCAGAGGCCACAGGACAAGCACAGGTGTGAGGTGTGAAATGGTGCAGTGTGTGGAAGGTCCCCAGTTGGCTGGAGTTCACTGGTGGAGGGAAAGGGAAGGGATGTTCCAGGCTGAGGGAACAGCAAGAGCAGAACTGGATTCAAAGAGGATGTGGGTGGGGAGCAGGGAGGAGCTCTCAATGTCTGGAGTTGGAGCCTGGGGGAGGATCCAGCTCTGCCCTGGGAGATGATCTCATTAGCTAAGCAGGACCAGGCCTGGGCCAGCATTTATAAGGAAGACCTCCCAGGAAAACCAGGGTATGGCAGGGATTGATGCTGGTGATTCATTGAGTGGCAAATCTTTCTTTAGAGTCATTTCCGAATTGATGTTCCAGGACTGTGTCTGTAAATGTGTGCTTGTGTGTGTCAAGGAGAATAGCTCAGACTCTTTTTGCATCAAGGGGAATTGAACACGCAGATATGTCCCAGCCCTGGGAGGTCTTTCAGAGGCCAAGGGCTGAGTGCAGTGGGATGCTCTGTACAAATAAAACTCTTCTAAGCAAAGTAAGGGTGTCCAGTTCTCCTCAGGACAGTGTGGGTCTGTGCTAGCAGCTGTCCACGGGCAAAGGGTGTGCTGGACCAGGGAGCTGAGGCTCACTCAGAGGACACAGGCAGTGGGGAGTGCCCTGCTGACAGTCACTGTGACCCCAGTGTGACTCCCCGGCCAAAGCATCCCTCTGTAACCTGTACTATTCTTGTCTCTGCTAACCCCAGAACTGAGCTCAGCACAGGGTCAGAGCACACTTTCTGTGTTAAATAAAGGTATTTCTTAATTACTTTAGTCAATGTGGTAACGGCTTCATGAGGAAAGCTCTGTGTGCCTCTTCGTCGGGCTGCTCTGTCCTCGGGCCTGGCTGCCATGCTTCTCATCCTGGACACGTGGCTCCTAGGGCTGGCACAGCATGTGTGCCGCATGCCCCGCCGCTCATTGGGTGGCAGTGCACAGGCACCCACCCCGCCTGGGCCATGAGCCTGACCCCGGGTTTGTTCTCAGCACCAGGGTGACTGTGGGGGGTGGGGTGGGAAGAGGCGAGATCCAAGAGACATTGGTCTCGAAGGCCTTACAGACTTTGTTCTCTCTAGGCAACCATAACCTCCGGAGAGGGATCCAGAGGCAAACTCAATTGGTCCTGTCTTTAGTCAGGCAGGCTTTTCTGAGTTTTTTTTGTTTGTTTGTTTTTTCTCTCTTACATAGAGACAGGTTCTTACTATTTTATTATGAAATAGTTTGATGTGCTCATTGCTGGTAGGCTTGTAACTAAGACTCATAGACTCACAGTAAGTTTTAGAATGATTTAAAAAATAATTCTCGGTTACTGGTTGTAGGATGCTGCCGGTCGTTAAGGAGTATGGGAATTTGCTTGGCATTCCACAGTGACTCTTTTCTTCTTTAAGATAATCAGCCCTCAAAACAGAAATGGAGAAAACTCAGCATCAGAACACATTCATATCCAATCATAAATAGGTCAGTTCACTGACACACATAAAAGGTTTCCCTGGGACATTACTTTGTTGTGGATAGGTGCAGGAATTCTACAATTCACTGCATAATTTTCACTCTGATTTTAATATGCCAACTATGCATAAGTCACATAAGTGAGTTGGTAGTTAAAAAAATGAGTTTTCTACATTTCTTGACTTTCTATGTTTGGATTATAAATGATGTGATGAATATTCTTACCCATATGGAGAAATATCAAGAATTCTCCATGTGTTAACTGAGCAAATGTATCTAAACTTTCTGGCACACCGAAGTCATAAATCTCTTTGGAAATGTAGACTACATGAAGCCTTGTACTTAAGGATCCAATTCTATTTCTGCACTTTTATTCAATATTGTGACTTTGTGGAGGCTGAAGGTACACCCTCCCTTGTTATCTCTGCCAGATTCCTGGCAGCTGCACTTAGGCAAGCTGGCCAGTACAGGGAGGAGTCCCCTAAATTACAAAACGCAGTGCTTGTCATCTGAGAAGAATGAAGCACCCCCAGTCCGCTGACTGATTGCTAATCATCCCCTACACTAGCTTTATGAGCAGCCGATTCCTTCCTGTGTGGTTATCTTCGACCTGCCCATGCCTGCGCGCTGACTCTCACCTCTCCGACCTGCTCCAGCGGAAGGTTCTCTGCCCCGGGCAAAGCTATTTGAGCAGGCCAAGAGTTGAAGAAAAATACCAGACCAAACCAGCTCCTCCAGCATGAAAGACAAAAGCAAGAAAAGCAAGGTGCAGGTGGGGCCTATCCGATCCTTTTTCTTAATACTTGTCGGAAACCTCTAGTTTGTTGAGGCTACATGTAGCATGCTCTGAATTTCTTACCCTGCTTCCAACACATTAAAAATGTGTATTTATTAAGTTAAATACCATCTAGGGCCACTAGATGTCACTGCCTTCAATCTGTTCCACAAACTGCCACTTGCTGGGAGCTGAGAAGCCGGCCAGACATTTCAGTGCAGGAAGAGCCCTCGCGGCGACAACCGCGAAGAGGACTTCCCGCGAGTGCGTGGGGCTAGAAGCACTTCCAGTGATTCTTTGCAAGGTTCAAAGTGAAAGTGAACAGACCAGTCAAAGGGAGCTCGCGTTCAGGTTCCTGTTATTCGGACTATGCTGGGCCGGGAAGGGCGCACGGAACGGGACCTATGGCCTACAGACTCACCGCGCCCTCCGTCCCCGCCCACGCCTAGGGTACCATCTGCCCGCCTGTGCTCTGCGCTGAGTGCCCAGCCAGCCGCAACCCCACAGATGACCACGACGTTGACCTGCCTGTTTCCACTTTGCAGGAAAGGAGACAGAGTGAGGAGGCCAGCAACAGGCACAAGAGCTCCTTTTTGACGTGGGATCAGGGAGGCCCCAGGTGGTGGCCGCAGAGGAGCTGTATTCACCCTGCCTCCTAGTTGGGGCACCACACTAGTTCCAAATGGGGGAAACTAGGGCAAGACTGGAGCTAAAGGAGCAGGGAAACCTTTGAATCCATAACGAATGCTACACAACTTCCAGAGGCACATGGCCCAACAGAAAAGCCTCAGATGGAGTAACATCTAAAAGGACTGAGTATTTGGAAACGTGTTCCTTTGGGGCAAAGATGACACCTCCTAGGTTGATGCGTGATTGGCATCAGCCAGGGCCTGAATTTATGTTTCTTATAATGGTTTTATAGTTCTTGATTAAATTGTGCATTTTCTTTTTGCACTGTTCCGCAGTTTTAATATTCATTCCCATTGTAGCTGGACATACTCATCTGCAGTTCAGTTCACAACAGAAATGATAATTTGTGTAGGAGGGATGACAGCCCAAAATAGCCCATTTTCTATAATCCAGCTGTAGTTAGAAGGGGCAGAACACTCTAGGATGCCTAGAAGAAAGAGGGTAACAATAAAATAGCAGGTTCTACTTTTTGTTTGTACCAGTGAGTTCAAGAGCACTTGTTACTGAGGGAGACTCTCCTGTGGCTGGGCTTGGAGGCCTGTCGATTTCCTGTTTCTGAGCTCAGGCTTTTCTGATGGGGAAAAGCCTGTCAGCATCATATAGAGGACAGTATGGCTATTTCCCTTGTGAGTAAGCCTCTTTGCTAAGGGGAAAGTGGTCTTTTTCTTATACTGGCCTAGCTAGAAATAGAATGCCCCTGGGTGAATGAGAATTCCTTCCACTATGGGCACATTTGGACAGATTTCATCTTTTCTGTTTCTACTTGAAAGAATTCCCTGGATGACAGGATTCAAAGGTTTTCTCTATAGCGAGTGTTTGGGCTGCAGCTAAGATGGTACTAAGTGAACCAGTGCAGGGAGGATCTCACAGTGCGAAGGCAGATGTGAGCTAGGGCCTCGGCCTGGCGCAAGCTGCTGGAGTACTGTGCACTGGTGAGGTTCAGAAAATTGGGGAGGTCTCAATATGGGAAAAGGCAGGCAAAAAGAGAAGTATTGTCAACCAGATCCTCAAAGTAAACCTGGAGTTTATTCCTTCAGTAAACATGGGACACTGACTATAAGCCAGACATTGCTGTAGGCTGAGGAGATTAACAGTGAACAAAACAGACAAAAGTAATCGGCTGGAGTATGCCTTCTAGTAGGAAGAGACACAAAGTGAATGAACGTAGTGAATCATATAGCTGTGGATTAGATGAGACGGGCTAAGGGGAAAATAAAGGAGGAAGGGGGATGAAGAGTGTCAGGTGTGATGGTCAGGGAGTCCCACTGAGAAGGTGACATGTGTGCTCATGCATGGAGAGGACAGTGAGGAGGTGTATGGCTGGAGAAGTGACCAGGGACAGTGCTGAGCTAGGTCAGAGGGTCCAGCCCAGATCTTGGTGAGCTTGGAGGTCATGCAAGCACTTCACCTGCCACCCATGGGAGGTGGGTGGGTTTCTGCAAAGGAGTGCCAGGCTCTGACACCTGTTTTGAAAGGTTAAAGGGGCAAAGGCTGTACAGAGGCTGAGGAGGAGAAGGTTGTGACGATCCAGGTGAGAGATTGCGGTGGTCAAATCTGAGCAGTAATAGGCAGTACTGAGAAGTGGTCAGTTTCTGGATACGTTTGGGTTGAATGTGGCATGAGACATAGCCCTGTGCTGGACTGACCAGAACAGCTCAAGGCGGAAAGGGTGCTGGGGAGGTTAAATATTCAAGAACTCTGCCACCTGGTGGTTAAACCATTGGTGACTTGAAATCAGCCGTGGTGGGAGTATTTACATCATGGAAATGAGCAAACACTACAGATTAGGGCTCTTGTCTTTTGTGAAGCGGGTTTCTCAGCAAAGCACGGGATGTAAGAGAAGAGGAAAGGGTGACTCTGGGGCAGGGCTGCCTTATTGCTGAGATGAGGTTGTGCTAGCTCACTGGCATGGGCTGCTGCAGAATCCCTGCTAGTTGAACTATTCTGCTATCTGTATTTGAAGGTAGTTCTACACTGAGTTATCAACCTTTCAATTCAGGTTGATTATATGTATTTCACATCTCTCCAGAAGAAAATAGGTATGAAAAGTACCATATGATTAACAATAATCATGTATTTCAGGTCTACATTTTTTCTTCTCAAAATGATAGGTGATGGCTGGACCGTGTTCTTTACAGTTAAGTCAGATGACACTGAGCCCATTTTGTCCCACTTGGGGGTATTTCTGTGAGCTGTTTTGAACAAAAACATGGCCTGTGAACCAACCTTCTTCTGCTGCACTCTCAAACTGCCTCTCACTCTATCCTAATCTGTACCTTTTAAGGATGTTAATGAATTAAATGCAGTGCTCCGCAGCATTTTGAAACATATCATGGGGTGCACCCCAAAGTTCAATGGGATTGATTTTTGTCACCGTATGATTTTGACTTGGATATATTTGGTTATATCAAATTACTCTGTTGTCATGAACATCTGGGGTTAATTTTTTTTTTTTTTTTGAGATAGGGTATTGCTCTGTTGCCCAGTTGTCGAGGCTGGAGGGCAGCAGTGTGATCACGGCTCACTGCAGTCTCAACCTCCCAGGCTTAAGTGATCCTCCCACCTCAGCCTCCCGAGTAGCTAGGACTACATGCATGCGCTACCACCATGCCCGGCTAATTTTTTGCTTTTTTTGTGGAGATGAGGTCTCACTATGTTGCCCAGGCTGGTCTCAAACTCCTGGCCTCAAGCAATTCTCCCACCCTAACCTCCTAAAGTGCTGGGATTACAGGCATAAGCCATCATGCCTGGCCCTTGGGGTTAAATTTTAATAAGAATTTAGCCCTGGCCGAGGCTTTGTATGGTGGGCATTCTTTAGTGCCCAGGGAAAGTCCTGCTGCTGTTTAGAACTGGCAGAGCAGAAGTGATTAGAATGCACAGCTCTTCCTTTTGGGACTAACAAAAACACTGGAAATTTTAAAAGAACTGACTTTTCTGTGAAGTTTCCAGAACTTTCACCTACTACATGGACTGACCAACAGCCCATATCCATCAGCATGGGGCATTCCAGCTGGGAGCTCAGAGGTGTGGATCTGCTGTGAGGGCTGGGTGGGCCAGGCGTCTAGGCCCTGGAGCCAGGAAGTCCAGGTACCGTCCACGTCTGGCCCTGACTCACTCTTTTGGATGGAAAAAGCCAAGGTGGCCTCGCAGCCTCAGTGAGGACTTTGCAAGGATTGGCTACTGTGGGTCTTGTGCTACCTGGGGTGCAGCTGTGGCTGTTTGTCCTCCCCCAGGAGGGGGAGTGCCCTGCGGCCTGTGCTCTGCTGCCCAGGCCTGCTAGGCCTGCACAGGGCCATGGCGGGGGTCCCTGGCGGCAGGGCTTTGGGTGTGGACCAACCTGGGTTTGCATTCCACTCTGTGTGCCCACTCTGCAGCCCTGGGCACACGACTCACTCTGCCTGGTGTCTGTCTCCCTGTGGCCAGTGCCGATTAATATGGATTTCAGCAAGAACATTTAGACTCTTGGCTGGCATGTGGTCACTTGCCAGATCTCAGTGAGGTGGCATGTTTGGGAGTGTGCAGGGAGCATCCATGATCTTCCTGAAGCCTGAGGAGTGCTCCTGTCATTAAGGGGTGAGGCTGCAGAAAACTTGCTACCGAGCCGTGGGGAGATGCAGGCAACACTGGCTCTTGCTTCAGTGGGAGTCAGGGCCACAGCGGGAATGCGCAAAGAAAATGAGATCCCCAGTTCTGGCACCGAACGTGGCTGTCCCCACACACAGAAGGAAAGGCTGGGCGGGGTGAGAAGCCACACGCGATGTCAGCAGAAGTGGTGCTGTAGATCAGACCAGGTCTCAGGAGCTCTCTGAGTGATCTTGGCCAAGGTGCTTCCCCTCCAGGCCTCTGTGACTTCTGTAAAACCAGGAGGTCGACAACAATACTCTGGAAGCCCCAGCCATTGTGGATTCTGAGTGGAGACAGGGCAGAGGGTGGAGGGCCACTTTCAGGGGACAGGTGGGTGGATGCATTTCCTGTGGGGCTGACTGTGAGTGAGTCCTGAGGGAGAGTGCATTCCAGGTGGGGCTGGCTGCAGAGGAGACTCGATGCTGGGCTACAGGAACCCCCGGGGGTTGCGATGGCCCAGCCTGCGGTTGGGCATGCGGGGACTGGGCCTCAGATGGTGCTGACAGCACCCGCGTTTGCACACTGTGATTCCCAGCTCATCCGAGTGGAGATTTGGGCTACAGGGAAACTTGCTGCTGGGCCTTGGCCTGGGCTCCACCATGGCTGGTGGCTCCCCTGATGGTTGGTGGAAGGGCTGAGAAAACCAATTCCACCAAAGGTAAGAGGGATGCATGTGGACTGTGCTGAGTTCCTCTTAGAGCAGCCCTTCTGTTCTACGTGTACCACAGGTGCTGTTTAATTTTACGTGTCCACTTGACTGGGCCATGGACTGCCCAGAGATTTATCAAACATTATTTTTGGTGTTTCTGTGAAGATGTTTCTGGGTGAGATTAACATCTAAGTCAGTAGATGGAGTAAAGCCAAGCGCCTCTCCCAGTGTTCAGGGCCTCATATAACCAGTTGAAGGCCTGAATAGAACAAAAGGCTGACCTCCCCAACGCGTGAGAGAATCCTCCTGCCTGGAGGCCTTCATCCTGGGATATCACCTCTTCCTGGTTCCACAGCAGATTCTAGCTTTCAGGCTCAAATGGAATGTTGGCATTGCAGAGGGCCAGGCCCACATCACATGAAGCAGTTCCTTATACTAAATCCCTCCCCACCTCCCATTCTGTGTGTGTGTGTGTGTGTGTGTGTGTGTGTGTGTGTGTGTATGTGTGTGTGTATCATATCGGTTCTTTTTCTCTGGAAAGCCCTAACACAAAGTATTTGATGATCTTCCATGCTGGGGTTGTCACGGTTATGAGGGGGAGGCCAATCGGTTGTGTCTGTGAAGCAGTGTGTCTGGAAGGCTTACTCCCTGAGCCTTCAGGCTTCCACCCAGGAAATGAGCTTCCAGAAGTAAGTGCCTGAGTCATACCTAGGAGTTTGGATTGCACCACAGAGATGCTGGGAGCGTACATCAAAAGCCTTCTCCTCCTCCACAGAGATTAGGAGAGAAAGAGCACAGGCCGATGCCCATGGCTTCTCCTTTCCTTATTACTGACATTGACTGTTCAGAGCAAATAGGTCTGGAGTAAGTAAAGTAATCCATGGATACATTCTCAAAAGTTTTGAAAGAAAGATGCTGGAGAAATATTTAGAATTATTACCATTATTATTTCTGGATTTAATTCTACCTATATTTAAAGAAAATGAAGAATAAGGTTCTATGACCTATGTGTTTTTGGCAAAAATGTTTAAAATTTCCCCCTGGCATGAATTGAAAAAAATCTTTCATAATTCTCAGGTCAGACATATAAATATTCTAAACAAAAGCTTGTTAGTTCTACCCATTCCACCATCTATTGAGTTAAGACTGGCTAATCCAGAGGTTGACACAGTTAAATGAAAGGGTTCATTTGGAACTGTTAACACCTTGCAATAACACCTTGCACTTATATAGAGCTTTTCATGCTGAAGGATTGCAAAGTGCTCTGCAGACAGTGTATAAATAGAAATGCCTCCCCCACCTCTAAAGGCAGCCTTCTTGCAGGCACAATGCGACCAAAACATCACCCCACAGTCTTTTTGTTGAAGGGAAACATTGCAGACCATTTTCTCCATTTCAAACTGAGTGAGTTTTTTCCTTGCATGGTTTGATTTTCTGATTCTCTGATACCAGCTGGGTGTCCAGTGATTCAATTCAATTCTGACATCAATTCTCCAGAGTAACCCAGACCCCACAAATTAAGGGCTCTGTCCTGCAAGAATACCTGTCATTTCAGATGCCAGTTGCAAGTAGTGGGTGCCCAGGTTACCCACACTATTGTCCCATTGGGCTACAAACTGGGGATGCCCACGAATCCCCCTGAGGTTCGGTAGTTTACTATAATGGTTTACAGAACTTGGGAAACATTTTACTTAAACGATTTCCAGTTTATTGGGAAGGATACAATTTAGAAACAGCCAAATGGCAGTGATGCACAGGGCAAGGTGTGGGGAAAGGAGTGCCCTCTCTGGGTGTATCACCCACCCAGCCCCTCAATGCGTTCAACAACTGGGAAGCACTCTAAGCCTTTCATTTAAGGGTTTTTAATGGGGGTTCCATGTTGTAGGCATGCTTGGTTAAATCACTGGCCATTGGTGATTGAACTCAATTTCCAGACCCTGACCCAGGGTGTGGAGTTGAGAGTTCCAACTCTCTAATCACATGGTTGGTTCCTGGGCAGCCAGCCCTATCCTGAAACTGTCTAGGGTCCACCAAGACTCACCTCAATGGCATAAACTCAGGTGTGGTGGAAAGGGGCTTGCTGTGAATAACGAAACACATTCCTCTCACCCCGTCACTCAGTATTGTGAGTGATAGGAACTTTGTCTCCAGGAACTGGGGACAAAACCCAAACATGTATTTTCTGTTATGTCATGCAAATGACAGGGTATCTCATATGACCAGTATGGGTCATGTTGGCATGAAGCAGGGTACTGCTATGAGTTGTCACCTCTCATGGAAGGGGTTCTGGGGAATCTGAAATGGCTTTCAGATACCCTCCATATAAGCACTGTTCAATAGAATTTCTATGTTGATGAAAATGTTCTATAACATGCACTATCCAATATGGTAGCACTAGTCACATACGGCTGTGAGCACCTGACATGTAGCTGGTTATGACTGCAATACTATTTTATTGTGATTACTTTAATTTCAATCAGCTTACATTTACTGGGTCCCCTGTGTTTCATGGCTGCGTTGTGTGAAGCTCTACAGCACAGACCCTCTAGAAATGACCGATGACCGTATGTGTGGGGTGGTGGCGGCTCAGGAGCAGTCCTAATGACCGCATTACTTATCCCCCAGCTCTGGAGCTGTAACTCAAAGTGAAATGGATGCTGGCCTCTGCAGAAAGTGTAGTATGGGACTCATTGATCCATCGAGCCATCCATCTATTAATCAATTTATCCTTTGAACAAATATTTCTTGAGTGCATTCAACACTTGGTCACATTCAACACTTTCCCAGGTAAATGGAGATTTTTACATTTAGAGTTGCCCAACAACTCTTTATTTAGATGAAGAATCAAATTTTGAATAAAAGTGAAGTTAATCGTTAAAATTATGTTTAAAAGCACTCCTCCCAAAAGTGAGTGCTAGTTGAGAGGGTGATTCTGAGCAGGAGGAGAGGTAGGAATGACATGATAACACCAGGTGTTAAGTGAACAAGACGGTGGTGTCCTGGACATGGAAATGTGTTTATAGGTCATGCAAATGACTCCTGAAGAAAAGCAGTTGGTGATTCTGGCAACAATGAAGGCATTGGTGATGGGGGGAAGCTGCGTGGTGTGGATGGCAGTATTTTACGGAGTTAAGTTTATTTTTGCCCAAGTGAAATTGTGGCTTGTAAAGAGGAATGAGAAGGCAGGAGCCTTGAAACAAAGTACAGGAGGTAGACTGAGATGCAGCTTCAGAGAAATGGCAAGAGCAATGAGCAGGGAAGACGGAGAGATGCACTGGGCCCAGGACCCGGGGGAGGGCTCAGCATGAAGTGGGGTGGGGTGGTTGTGCAGCCCAGGCAACCTCTGTGTCCCCAGGTCACAGAAGCTGGTCACTCTCTCTACCAATTCAGAGGAAGGAGCAGACTCAGAGGTCAGGGAGAAGGCTGCACCCAGGCCTGAGAGGCCTGCAAGGGCTGGGAAGGAAGACTTGTAGGAAGAGCTGGACCAGGGCAGGCCCTGGAAAGAGGGCGGCCTCTTCCTTCCACCATATACAAAAATCAACTCAAGATGGATTACAGCCTTAAATGTAAGACCTAAAACTATAGAAACCGTGAAATAAAACCTAGGAAATACCATTCTGGACATAAGCATTGGCAATGATTTCATGATGAAGTCCCCTAAAGCAACTGCAACACAAACAAAAATAGACAAGTGGGACCTAATTAATCTAAACAGCTTCTGCACAGCAAAAGAAACTATCAACAGAGTAAACAGATAACCTATGAAATGGGAGAAAATGTTTGCAAACTGTGTATCTGACAAAGGTCTAATATCCACTATCTATAAGGAAATTAAACAAATTTACAAAAGAAAAACAACCCCACTAAAAAATGGGCAAAGAACATTAACAGACACTTCTCAAAGGAAGATATACATGTTCATGGCCAACAGGAATATGAAACATGCTCAGCATCGCTAATCATTAGAGAAATGCAAATTAAAACCACAATGAGGTACCATCTCACACCAATCAGAATGGCTATTATTAAAAAGTCAAAAAATATTATAACAGATCCTGGTGAGCTTGTGTAGAAAAAGGAATGCTTATATACTGCTGGTGGGAATGTAAATTAGTTCTGCCACTGTGGAAAGCAGTCTGGAGATTTCTGAAAGAACTTAAAACAGGACTACCATTTGACCCAGTAATCCCATTACTGCGTATATACTCAAAGGAATAGATGTTGTTCTACCATGCACACGTATGTTCACTGCAGCACTATTCACAATAGCAAAGACATGGAATCAACCTAAATGCCCCTCAATGATAGACTGGATAAAGAAAATGTGGTACATATACACTATGGAATATCATGCAGCCATAAAAAAACCTCAAAATCATGTCCTTTGCAGCAACATGGATGCAGCTAGAGGCAATTATCCAAAGCAAATTAGTGGAGGAACAGAAAACCAAATATCACATGTTCTTACTTATAAGTAGGAGCTAAGTGATGAGAACACATGGATGTAAAGATGGGAACAACACACACTGGGGCCATTGGAGGCTGGAGGGTGGGAGGAAGGAGAGGATCGAAAAACTACCATCAGATATTATGCTCACTACCTGGGTGATGGAATCATTTCTACACCAAACCCCAGTGACACCTAATCTATCCATGCAACAAAGCTGCACACGCACTCCCTGAACCTAAAATAAAAGTTGAGAAAAGAGAAAAGAAAAACCTTGTTTCTTTTCTCTTACAAAATCTTTTCTAAGGACGTAGGGAATGAACGCAATTAATGGTAATTTAGTAAAATGTTTCATTCAGTGTTTAGAAGTTGATTTCTTTAGCAGTGTTTCACGTTGGCTTTGGAGGTGGCAGACTCTGCTTGTCCCTCATACACACGAAGTTCTGACCAGCACACAGGCATTTTCACATCCTGCTCAGAACCAAGTTTATATCCCATTTTAACTGGGTGAAAACTGACTCTCCAAGGAAAGTTTATCTGGGGGGCACCTTGGCTCTTTTTCAGCAAGTGGGGGTGTGGTGGGGGTGGCTGCTGAGGCTCAGGAGGTTGCGATCCAGGTGGGCTATCTGGGATTAGAGTGAGCCATCCTACGGGCTCCCAATGAGCCCAGTCAAGCTTGCTTTGTCAACACCGTCTTCTGAACAGCTGTAGATCATGCCGCCATCTGTGCGTGGCCTCTCCTACAGGAGCATCGTCTCAACCAGGGCCAAAGCCAGCGCCTGAGTCTGATGTCTACCAACGACGACCAGAAGCCCAGCTGCAAAGAAGGGGGCCTCTCTCTATCCCGGCCGGGTGCAGATTACCAGTTCCTGGGCCCCACCCAGCCGGGAAAGCCTGAGGTCCTTGCTCAGTGACTGGACTCACGGGCTTCTCCGGTGGTGGAGGGCCTGGCCCGGGCGTAAATGTCTGAGGGGC
Organism: Homo sapiens; assembly: GCF_000001405.40. Lineage (NCBI taxonomy): Eukaryota > Metazoa > Chordata > Mammalia > Primates > Hominidae > Homo > Homo sapiens. The sequence continues at coordinate 48,329,117 of NC_000008.11, forward strand.
TTACTGGACGGCCTGGGAGTGCAGCCACTCAGCCCCCTCGGGACACCGAGGCTGGGGATTCGCAGCCCTGCAGGGACGGGCTCCTTCCCTGAGCTCTTCCTTGCACTGGCTCAACATGACTTGACGGGCCTTTAATGGAGAAGGAATCCTTCCGAGGGTCGATTTCACGTCCTCGTACTTCTTTTGGCAGTTGAGAAATTTCTTATTGAATCTTGCCTCCTCAGGGTTTTGACCGTTAATGGAAAGATTTATTGTCAACCTTAAAATGATAAAAAAATTGCCAATTATTTTTCAGGAAATGTATGATTTTTAGGGATGAGGAGTCCTTCAGAGACCTACTTAGCTGTGTGATCTTGAGCAAGTCGTTATCTTTTTGAACCCAAAACTGAGCTTCTTTAAAAGGAAGCAGTTGTACTAGACGACTGCTCAGAGCTATTCCAGTCTCAAAATTCCATGGTTCTGTATTTTCATAATTAGAAAAACCATGCATGTATATGGGTTCAGGTGATAATACTGACTAAAAATCATGCTGGGATACAGATGGCTGATGCCAGATCCTTTCCTGAGATCAGACTTGATAAAAGACAAGAGCGTTGAAAGCCGAGCAGAAACTAATACAGAAAAAAGGAATTTAAAGCTGTCAGAAATAAACCGCACGGACTGTAGTGGATTTGGATCTCTGTTCTCTGCCTTCTCTCTGTATGACTTTGGGTGCATTTCCCAGCCTCTCTGTGCTTCCATTTCCTATAATACGGGGACCCCAGTTCCCAGGGCTGTTTGGATGCCTAAAGCAGCCAGAAGACCGGCCCAGGGAGGGGATGCTGAAGGCTTGCCACTTTCACTAATGATGAGTTTTGGTACGCCATGCCCTGGGTATCTGCGGCTTGGAGTGATTCTTCCCTTAGTTCAATATCAATCTGAGTTTGGGAGTGGAAGGAAGTGAAGGTAGGAGTGACATTTTAGTCTTGGCTTTCACAAGCTGGTGAAGCAGCAGTAAGTGTTGCCCACTTTTATGGATCTCTGTCTAGGGACCTCTGTGAAAGAACCATGACTGCCCTAACACTTTGAAAAGCTACCTTTTTTTTTCCTTTTGGCTCTGCAATTTACATGGCTTTTGAAAAAGGCACTGACATTTTTTTAAAAGGGCATATTATGTATTTTCAGGATTTTACTGTTTATATAGTTACTTTTTCTTAAGGTTTTAAAAAGGTTCTGTTTTAGGGTGACCCCAGTTGACTTCACAGTCCTAAATGTGTCTGTGATAATTTATTCCCTGGTCTGAATACAGTTGAGAAATGCAATGTAGTCTGTAAAATCTTCTGATGGCCTTTCAATGATTCCGTCATCACCGGGGCACTGGCATGGGCTCCATGGAGGGCACTGTGCCATCCCCTTTCTCTATGCTGCCAGGTCCCTGCACCTTTTGAGGGCTAGAGCTTCCATGCAGCACCCTTCTGCCCTTGCGGGCTGTGCCTGAGGCCCTAGGGATCTGCGGAGTGGCCTTCTTCCAGGGCTCTGGAGGTTTCTCCTGAGCCAGGGGTGCTGGGAGTAGAGTTAGTGCTGGCTTTCTCCTGATTTGTAATTCCTCTCCAGATCTACATTCTGTGGGTTCATCTTTTGCAAATGTACACAATAGCTTGATTACTACACAGTGCTTACTTAAAAATAAAAGTTTGAAATTGCTTAGACTAAAAGTCACATGCAATAAGACCATTTAAAAAAGGATAAAGAATAAAAATCAGAGGCTGGAAGGGAAGATGTAATCGTAGTCTAGAGACACTTCTTCTTTTAGTCCTAGTTCATCTTTGAAATGGCTAGCAACCGAGGTAGATAGGTAGATAGAGATTGAAACTAAATAAAGCACCATGATTGAAACTAAATAAAGCACCATGAAACTAAATAAAGCACCGTGGTTTCCCTTACATCATGAATAAAAGTAGACCAGTTTGAACCTTGACATAGGTGTTTGATCCTCAATTCTCAGCAAAATCGCGGGTGTGTCTCTATACAGCAGGATTTGACCATGCAGTAGGTGGACCTTTCAGAGAAATGCTGCAAGAGTTTCAAGGACGTTATTCTCTGCAGGTCTGTTTCTCATATTTTATCTTGTCTATCACAATGAGAGGGGACAAGTGTAATTCAGAGGCCACCTACTCAAAAAGGTAATATGAGTCAAGAATAATGAGAGGGCCTCAAAAGGAAATTCTGCTGTGCAGAGAGTACGATGGTCCTGGGTAATCATGGTGCTCCCACCCATCTGCTTTAAGAATTCAGACAGATTTTAAAGTGTGATGGGAGGTGGGTGGGAGGAGAGTTAAGTTCTACAGTATACTACTTCAAATAGTGCTTGAATCACTAACCCCAAAGCACAATGTATGGGGTGCGAGATTCTGATGAGTGCAGCTGTCTTCAGTTACCTTGCAGGACAACTTTGACTCACTGAAATGTATAATTTTAAACAGAAGTGTTCCTGCAGAGATTGTCATCTTGTTGGCAGGAGAATGGCACCTTACCGAGTAAGAATGAGGACTGCAAGAGGATGGGGCACAAGAAGCCCGAGAGGAAGAAAAGCAGTGAGACACCTTCAGTCTTCTAACCAGGCAGGTGCAATACACACTGCCTCTCCCAGATGGTTACATGTGTTTCTTTGAGTGTAAAAGTAGCCCCTGGCCACTGCCCTCCAAAGTATCCAGGGCTGTCTGCTTCATCATGTAGAGAGCTCATTTCCTGACCAGCTCATCCTCTGAGCCCAGGTCCTGTTTCTGTCTTTGAACACAACCTGGGCCATCATAGAGACAGTTTGAGCTCTTTTCCCTCTCCTTTTTCTCCCCTCTCCAAATAATCCCAGAAGTGCAACTCATCAAACCACACCTCTGCTTCTGGACCCGGCCAGGGCCCAGACAGCCAGAAGCCCATAGTGCCAGCTCTGGAGCAAGTTCTGCGTCTGCAAAGGGAACAGGAATCAGCCCCAGAAATGCAGGCGTGGGAAGAGTGTGTGCCTGGGAAAGGCATAAGGTGTGAGGTGTCTGTTTGCCAAACAACCCACTTAGCCATGTTTTCCAGTGTTGGTGGCGCCTGGAGACAGAATGAGAAAACACTCAAAGTGCTCCTCTGTCCAAGAATAATGAGGCTCACTTTCTCGAAAAACCTGTGATCTGTGAGAATTGGACTTCAGTAGTTAACTGTGCCATTGTGGTTATAAGGGTAATTGATTTATTTTTTTTCATACAACAAAAAACCCTTCTCTATGTCCTAGGGATTCAGCTGTCAGATCCAGGCAAACAGATAGTCTGCTTAGAAGAGTAAAAAAGATGTTCACATTGTGGGCGTGGGAATGGTCCTCCCCAATCCCTGCTCCGAGTTGCTCATCTCCAGCAGTCCTTCCCAGACTGAGCACAAGTGAGCAGCCGACAGCACCCTGGAACCCTGTGTGGACTCGCTCACTCCCACAGGCGAGCCCAGCTCCACACTTCTAACTGGCTACACAAAATGGGTTATGAACCCATTGTCAAGAGTTGTCAAGCTCCGGGCAGATGTGCTCTGTGGAAATATCTCCCTCCAGTGAGATAATGAGATGGCAATTAAAGCAGGACCTGAGAATGAGCCCAGACAGGGTTGGAGTGACAGAGCGGCAGGTCAGATGGGAAAGATTTTTTTTTAACTTTTATTTTTGTTACATAGGTAAACTTGTATCATGGGGGTTTGTTGTATCAATTATTTCATTCCCTAGGTGTTAAGCCTAGTACTCATTAGTTATTTTTTTTATTATACTTTAAGTTTTAGGGTACATGTGCACAACATGCAGGTTTGTTACATATGTATACATGTGCCATGTTATCGGGGGACCTGCCCTGATAATCACGTAGGTTCTTTTCTATTTTCCCTAAGCGTCGGTCGGCTTGAGAAATAAAGGGACAGAGTACAAAAGAGAGAAATTTTAAAGCTGGGTGTCCGGGGGAGACTTCACACATTGGTAGGATCTGTGATGCCCCACAGGCCACAAAAACCAGCAAGTTTTTATTAGAGATTTTCAAAAGGGGAGGGAGTGTGCGAATAGGTGTAGGTGACAGACATCAAGTACTTAACAGGGTAATAGAATATCACAAGGCAAGTGGAGGCAGGGTGGGATCACAGGACCACAGGACCGAGGCGAAATTAAAATTGCTAATGAAGTTTCGGCACCATTGTCATTGATAACATTTTATCAGGAGACAGGGTTTTGAGATCAACTGGTCTGACCAAAATTTATTAGGTGGGAGTTTCCTCTTCCTAATAAGCCTGGGAGCACTATGGGAGACTGGAGTCTATTTCATCTCTGCAGCCTTGACCATAAAAGATGGCTTACGCCTAGGGGGGCCAGTTCAGAGACCTACTTGCAGGCACACATTCTCTTTCTCAGGGGTGTTCCATGCTGAGAAAAAGAATTCAGCAATATTTCTCCCGTTTGCTTTTTAAAGAAGAGAAATATGGCTCTGTTCCACCTGGCTCACCAGCGGTCACAGTTTAAGGTTATCTCTCTTATTCCCTGAACAATTGCTGTTATCCTGTTCTTTTTTCAAGATGCCCACATTTCGTATTGCTCAAACACACATGCTATACAATTTGTGCAGTTAATGCAATTATCACATGGTCCTGAGGTGACATACATCCTCCTTGGCTGACAGGATTAAGAAATTAAAGTAAAGACAGGCATAGGAAATCACAAGGGTATTGATTGGGGAAGTGATAAGTGTCCATGAAATCTTTACAATTTATGTTTAGAGATTGAAGTAAAGACAAGCATAAGAAATTATAAAAGTATTAATTTGGGGAACTAATAAATGTCCATAAAATCTTCACAATCCACATTCTTCTGCCATGGCTTCATCTGGTCCCTCCGTTTGGGGTCCCTGACTTCCCGCAACACCATGTTGGTGTGCTGCACCCATTAATTCGTCATTTAGTATTAGGTATATCTCCTAATGCTATCCCTCCCCGCTCCCCCGACCCTACAACAGGCCCTGGTGTGTGATGTTCCCCTTCCTGTGTCCAAGTGTTCTCATTGTTCAATTCCCACCTATGAGAGAGAACATGTGGTGTTTGGTTTTCTGTCCTTGTGATAGTTTGCTGAGAATGATGGTTTCCAGCTTCATCCATGTCCCTACAAAGGACATGAACTCATCCTTTTTTATGGCTGCATAGTATTCCATGGTGTATATGTGCCACATTTTCTTAATCCAGTCTATCATTGTTGGACATTTGGGTTGGTTCCAAGTCTTTGCTGTTGTGAGTAGTGCCGCAATAAGCATATGTGTGCATGTGTCTTTACAGCAGCATGATTTATAATCCTTTGGGTATATACCCAGTAATGGGATGTCTGGGTCAAATGGTATTTCTAGTTCTAAATCCCTGAGGAATCGTCACACTGACTTCCACAATGGTTGAACTAGTTTACAGTCCCATCAACAGTGTAAAAGTGTTCCTATTTCTCCACATCCTCTCCAGCACCTACTGTTTCCTGACTTTTTAATGATCGCCATTCTAACTGGTGTGAGATGGTATCTCATTGTGGTTTTGATTTGCATTTCTCTGATGGCCAGTGATGATGAGCATTTTTTCATGTGTCTTTTGGCTGCATAAATGTCTTCTTTTGAGAAGTGTCTGTTCATATCCTTTGACCACTTTTTGATGTTTTTTTTTGTTTTTTTTCTTGTAAATTTGAGTTCATTGTAGATTCTGGATATTAACCCTTTGTCAGATGAGTAGATTGCAAAAATTTTCTCCCATTCTGTAGGCTGCCTGTTCACTCCGATGGTAGTTTCTTTTGCTGTGCAGAAGCTCTTTAGTTTAATTAGATCCCATTTGTCAATTTTGGCTTTTGTTGTCATTGCTTTTGGTGTTTTAGACATGAAGTCCTTGCCCATGCCTATGTCCTGAATGGTATTGCCTAGGTTTTCTTCTAGGGTTTTTATGGTTTTAGGTCTAACATTTAAGTCTTTAATCCATCATGAATTAATTTTTGTATAAGGTGTAAGGAAGGGATGCAGTTTCAGCTTTCTACATATGGCAGGCCAGTTCTCCCAGCACCATTTATTAAATTTGGAATCCTTTCCCCATTGCTTGTTTTTCTCAGGTTTGTCAAAGATCAGATAGTTGTAGATATGCGGCATTAATTCTGAGGGCTCTGTTCTGTTCCATTGGTCTATATCTCTGTTTTGGTACCAGTACCATGCTGTTTTAGTTACTGTAGCCTTGTGGAATAGTTTGAAGTCAGGTGATGTGATGCCTCCAGCTTTGTTCTTTTGGCTTAGGATTGATTTGGCAATGCGGGCTCTTTTTTGGTTCCATGTGAACTTTCAAGTAGTTTTTTCCAATTCTGTGAAGAAAGTCATTGGTAGCTTGATGGGGATGACATTGAATCTATAAATTACCTTGGGCAGTATGGCCATTTTCACGATATTGATTCTTCCTATCCATGAGCATGGAATGTTCTTCCATTTGTTTGCATCCTCTTTTATTTAGTTGAGCAGTGGTTTGTAGTTCTCCTTGAGGAGGTCCTTTACATGCCATGTAAGTTGTATTCCTAGGTATTTTATTGTCTTTGAAGCAATTGTGAATGGGAGTTCACTCATGATTTGGCTCTCTGTTTGTCTCTTATTGGTGTATAAGAATGCTTGTGATTTTTGCACATTGATTTTGTATCCTGAAACTTTGCTGAAGTTGCCTATCAGCTTAAGGAGATTTTGGGCTGAGATGATGGGGTTTTCTAGAAATACAATCATGTCATCTGCAAACAGGGACAATTTGACTTCCTTTTTTCTTAATTGAATACTCTTTATTTCCTTCTCCTGTCTGATTGCCCTGGCCAGAACTTCCAACACTATGTTGAATAGGAGTGGTGAGAGAGGGCAACCCTGTCTTGTGCCAGTTTTCAAAGGGAATGCTTCCAGTTTTTGCCCGTTCAGTATGATATTGGCTGTGGGTTTTTCATAGATAGCTCTTATTATTTTGAGATACCTCCCATCAATACCTAATTTATTGAGAGTTTTTAGCATGAAGCATTGTTGAATTTTGTCAAAGGCCTTTTCTGCATCTATTGAGATAATCATGTGGTTATTGTCATTGGTTCTGTTTATATGCTGGATTATGTTTATTGATTTGTGTATGTTGAACAAGCCTTGCATCCCAGGGATGAAGCCCACTTGATCATGGTGGATAAGCTTTTTGATGTGTTGCTGGATTTGGTTTGCCAGTATTTTATTGAGGATTTTTGCATCAATGTTCATTAGGGATATTGGTCTAAAATTCTCTTTTATTGTTGTGTCTCTGACAGGCTTTGGTATCAGGATGATGCTGGCCTTATGAAATGAGTTAGGGAGGATTCCCTCTTTTTCTGTTGATTGGAATAGTTTCAGAAGGAATGGTACCAGCTCCTCCTTGTACCTCTGGTAGAATTCGGCTGTTAATCCATCTGGTCCTGGACTTTTTTTGATTGGTAAGCTATTAATTATTGCCTCAATTTCAGAGCCTGTTATTGGTCTATTCAGAGATTCAACTCCTTCCTGGTTTAGTCTGGGGAGGGTGTATGTGTCGAGGAATTTATCCATTTCTTCTAGATTTTCTAGTTTATTTGCATAGAGGTGTTTATACTATTCTCTGATGGTGGTTTGTATTTCTGCAGGATCGGTGGTGATATCTTCTTTATCATTTTTTATTGTGTCTATTTGATTCTTCTCTCTTTTCTTCTTTATTAGTCTTGCTAGCAGTCTATCAATTTTGTTGATCTTTTCAAAAAACCAGCTCCTGGATTCATTAATTTTTTTATGGGTTTTTTGTGTCTCTATTTCCTTCAGTTCTGCTCTGATCTTAGTTATTTCTTGCCTTCTGCTAGCTTTTGAATGTGTTTTCTCTTGCTTCTCTAGTTCTTTTAATTGTGATGTTAGGGAGTCAATTTTAGATCTTTCCTACTTTCTCTTGTAGGCATTTAGTGCTATAAATTTCCCTCTGCACACTGCTTTGAATATGTCCCAGAGATTCTGGTATGTTGTGTCTTTGTTCTCGTTGGTTTCAAAGAACATCTTTATTTCTGCCTTCATTTCGTTATGTCCCCTGTAGTCATTCAGGAGCAGGTTGTTCAGTTTCCATGTAGTTGAGCGGTTTTGAATGAGTTTCTTAATCCTGAGTTCTAGTTTGATTGCATTGTGGTCTGAGAGACAGTTTGTTATAATTTCTGTTCTTTTACATTTGCTGAGGAGTGCTTTACTTCCAACTATGTGGTCAGTTTTGGAATAGGGGTGGTGTGGTGTTGAAAAGAATGTGTATTCTGTTGATTTGGGGTGGGGAGTTCTGTAGATGTCTATTAGGTCCCCTTGGTGCAGAGCTGAGTTCAATTCCTGGATATCCCTGTTAACTTTCTGTCTCGTTGATCTGTCTAATGTTGACAGTGGGGTGTTAAAGTCTCCCATTATTATTGTGTGGGAGTCTAAGTCTCTTTGTAGGTATCTAAGGACTTGCTTTTGTATTGGGTGCATATATATTTAGGATAGTTAGCTCTTCTTGTTGAATTGATCCCTTTACCATTATGTAATGGCCTTCTTTTTCTCTTTTGATCTTTGTTGGTTTAAAGTCTGTTTTATCAGAGACTAGGATTGCAACCCCTGCCTTTTTTTGTTTTCCATTTGCTTGGTAGATCTTCCTCTATCCCTTTATTTTGAGGCTATATGTGTCTCTGCACATGAGATGGTTTCCTGAATACAGCACACTGATGGGTCTTGACTTTTTATCCAATTTGCCAGTCTGTGTCTTTTAATTGGAGCATTTAGCCCATTTACATTTAAGGTTAATATTGTTATGCGTGAATTTGATCCTGTCATTATGATATTAGCTGGTTATTTTTCTCGTTAGTTGATGCAGTTTCTTCCTAGCCTCGATGCAAAACCTACAATTTGGCATGGTTTTGCCATGGCTGGTACCAGTTGTTCCTTTCCATGTTTAGTGCTTCCTTCAGGAGCTCTTTTAGGGCAGGCCTGGTGGTGACAAAATCTCTCAGCATTTGCTTTTCTGTAAAGTATTTTATTCCTCCTTCACTTATGAAGCTTAGTTTGGCTGGATATGAAATTCTGGGTTGAAAATTCTTTTCTTTAAGAATGTTGAATATTGGCCCCCACTCTGTTCTGGCTTGTAGAATTTCTGCCGAGAGATGAGCTGTTAGTCTGATGGGCTTCCCTTTGTGGGTAACCTGACCTTTCTCTCTGGCTGCCCTTAACATTTTTTCCTTCATTTCAACTTTGGTGAATCTGACAATTATGTGTCTTGGAGTTGCTCTTCTAGAGGAGTGTCTTTGTGGCATTCTCTGTATTTCCTGAATGTGAATGTTGGCCTGCCTTGCTAGATTGGGGAAGTTTTCCTGTATAATATCCTGCAGAGTGTTTTCCAACTCGGTTCCATTCTCCCCGTCACTTTGAGGTACACCAATCAGACATAGATTTAGTCTTTTCACATAGTCCCATATTTCTTGGAGGCTTTGTTCATTTCTTTTTATTCTTTTTTCTCTAAACTTTGCTTCTCACTTCATTTCATTCATTTGATCTTCCATCACTGATACCCTTTCTTCCAGTTGATCGAATCGGCTATTGAGGTTTGTGCATTCGTCATGTAGTTCTCTTGCCTTGGTTTTCAGCTCCTTCAGGTCCTTTAAGGACTTCTCTGCATTGGTTATTCTAGTTAGCCATTCATCTATTTTTTTTTTAAAGTTTTTAACTTCTTTGGGTTTAAGGGTTTGAACTTCCTCCTTTAGCTCAGAGTAGTTTGATCCTCTGAAGCCTTCTTCTCTCAACTCGTCAAAGTCATTCTCCATCCAGCTTTGTTCCATTTCTGGTGAGGAACTGCATTCCTTTGGAGGAGGAGAGGCACTCTGATTTTTAGAGTTTCCAGTTTTTCTGCTCTGTTTTTTCCCCATCTTTGTGGTTTTATCTACCTTTGGTCTTTGATGATGGTGACGTACAGATGGGGTTTTGGTGTGGATGTCCTTTCAGTTTGTTAGTTTTCCTTCTAACAGTCAGGACCCTCAGCTGCAGGTCTGTTGGAGTTTGCTGGAGGTCCACTCCAGACCCTGTTTTGCTGGTTGTCAGCAGCGGAGGCTGCAGAACAGCGGATATTGGTGAGCAGAACATGTTGCTGCCTGATCATTCCTGTGGAAGTTTTGTCTCAGAGGAGTACCCAGCCATGTGAGGTGTCAGTCTGCCCCTACTGGGGGGTGTCTCCCAGCTAGGCTACTTGGGCATCAGGGACCCTCTTGAGGAGACAGGGACATTTAAGTCTGCAGAGGATTCTGCTGCCTTTTGTTTGGCAATGCTCTGCCCCCAGAGGTGGAGTCTACAGAGGCAGTCAGGCCTCCTTGAGCTGCAGTGGGCTCCACCCAGTTCGAGCTTCCCAGCTGCTTTGTTTACCTACTCAAGCCTCAGCAATGGCGGGTGCTCCTCCCCCCGCCTAGCTGCCCACCTTGCAGTTTGATCTCAGACTGCTGTGCTAGCAATAAGCGAGGCTCTGTGGGCGTAGGACCCTCATAGGCATGTGTGGGATATAATCTCCTGGTGTGCTGTTTCCTAAGACCGTTGGAAAAGCACAGTATTAGGTGGGAGTGACCCGATTTTCCAGGTGCCATCTGTCACCCCTTTCTTTGACTAGGAAAGGGAATTCCCTGACCCCCTGCACTTCCCAGGTGAGATGATGCCTCACCCTGCTTCGGCTCATGCTCAGTGCACTGCACCCACTGTCCTGCGGCCACTGTCCGACACTCCCCAGTGAGATGAACATGGTACCTCAGTTGGAAATACAGACATCACCTGTCTTCTGCATCGCTCATGCTGGGAGCTGTAGACTGGAGCTCTTCCTATTTGGCCATCTAGCCTCCACCCCCTCATTAGTTATTTTTCCTGGTCATCCCCCTCCTCCCACCTGTCACCCTCTGAAAAGCCCCAGGTGTCTTGCTCCCCTCTATGTGTCCATGTGTTCTCATCATTTAGCTCCCACTTATAAGTGAGAAGATGTGGTATTTGGTTTCCTGTTCCTGTGCTAGTTTGCTAAGGATTATGGCCTCCAGCTCCAGTTTACGGGCAGGGGTGGAACCATGTGTATAAGAATCTGATTTGGTTCTTGGAATCTGGACACTGCTGATTTTTAGTCATCATCAGTGATGCTCCCATTATGATTGACCACAGGGCTGCAAACTAAGTTTATTTGATTACCCTTCTTTGGCCTCTTGACTTTCCAGAAATGGGACTTTCTGCTTCTATAGGGCATAGTCAGAAGTGTCTGGGGATAGGATATTAAAAGGAAAAAGCAGCAGCCATGAGGAAGGCCAACTCTAATACCCATAAGGACCCTATCTGATGGGCAGGGGATGCGTAATGGCAGGAACCTTTGGTAGTGACAATACTTGAGGCCTGAAGAGTGGCAACACCTTAGTTCAGCATGGTCTCTATGGAGGGGGACCTTGGCTAGCAGCTGGAAGTATGTTCTTTGGTGTCTAAATGGGAGGGTTCTGGCAAGGACTAAGCTTCTGCTCAGCAGTCTAACTTTAGGGGGAAACTGGATAATTAGCAGGGTCTGGTGGGACTGTCAAATAGTTGGTTGGACAACTTGAAAACTGAAGGATCTTAGCTTGAGGCCTCAGATCCTCAGCAGTTGCAACCTCAGTAGATATACTGTGCTGTGCCTGGTTCTGAGGTCTGTACATTGGAATCAGTGGAAGAACTTAATACTGATGGCCAGCCTCACCTGCTGAGTGCTTGAGCAGAAACTCTGGGGTGAAGGTGATATTTTGGCATTTTTAGAAGCTGCAGTGATGACTCTAATGCACAGCCAAGGGTGAGTTACACCAGTTACTAAATGGTCCTGTTAATCCCAGCTCTTCTCACTGCTACAATGTGGCTGTGAGTGCATTGCCTCTCTTAGTCACAACTGGCTCAATAATGGAGCAGAACTTACTATATCTCATTATGTCTAATTACTATAACTACTTTAAGTCAGTACACATCTGAAGTAGATTTTGATAAGTTACCAGGTATATGTAAGCCCTAGAGGAACACCAAAAGCAAAAACCTGAAAAAATCATTAAAGGAATAAAATGTTACACTAGAAAATATTTAGTTAAGTAGTAAAGGAGTAATAGACAAAGAGAAAACAAAATGCAAAATGACAGACATAAATGTACCTTCATCGATAATAACATTAAGTGTGAATGAATAAAACAATAATAAAATAACAATCTGAAAGGTACAGCTTGTAATACTGGATAAAAATATAAGATTAAGTATATGCTCTATACAGGGACACAATTTAGAGTGAAAAATACAAATAGATTGAAAGTAAAAAGATGGTAAAGGCATATTATGCAAACAGCAACCATTAATAAATCTGGAGTTGGAGTTGCTATACTATCAGACAAAATCAACTTTAGGATAAAAATGTTGCTAGAGATAAAGAAGGACATTTTATAATAATAAAAAGGTCAATCCATGAAAAAGATATAACAATTATAAACATATATACACCTGAACACTCTAGGAAACATCAACAAGATGGCAGAATAGGAGGTTCCATCCCTCAACCCTCTGGTACCCACAGAAACACTGGTTTTAACAACCACTTATAATGACAATACCTTTATGGAAACCCAGAAGACTAGTTTAGAGGTTCCAGCAAAATGGGGAAGCAAAAAAATCCAAGAATAGAAGCATTGAAGAGGGTGAGAAGAACAGTTTCATTTCATGTGTGTCATTCCTCCATGAAGGCAGCACAGATCAGTGCCAAGAGAAACCCTCAGCCTGAGGTTTCTTCCATGGGGGAAGTAAGAGCAAAGTGAGTTCCTGGCTTCCTTGGCTGCTGTGATCTGAATGAATGTCCCCCTCAAATTCGTATGTGAAATCTAATCTCTAATGTGATGGTAGTAAGAAATGGTGCCTTTGGAAGATGATTATATCATGAGGGTTTAGCTCTCATGAATGGGATTAGTGCCCTAATAAAAAAAAGGCCCCCGAGAGCTGCCTTTCCCCTTCTACCAAGTGAGGACACCACTGGAAGTCACTGTCTGTGAGTAATGGGCCCTCACCAGAAACTGAGTCTGTCTGATACTTAATCTTGGACTACCCAGCCTGAGATAAACATTTACTTCTCACAGTTATTTATAAGCCACCCAGGTTATGATATCTTGTTATAGCAACCCAAACAAACTCAGAAAGAAACCTTGTGGGATACTGCCCAGGAAACCTACTTTTGTCTCACCCATCCAGAACACTACAGGGATTGGCACAGATGAATTGCCTGGGAGCAGCATGAGCAGAGAGAAGGGACAGGGTTTCACAGCAGCCTGTGCATGACACTCTCATACAGCTGCAGATCCTACTGGTCAGCTCAGAGACTTCACCAGGAGCCCCACCAGGTTCACCCCATGAGCCCTGTGGGGTGTCTGTTAGATAAGAGACCCCCAACTAGCTTATGAGTTTCCTCACCACAATGGCCATCACATGTGATCCCTCTCAGATAGCTTCTCATGCTCCCCTGCAGATGGAATGCGCATTCCCACACAGACAGCACATGGATATCAGCAGCTGTCTTAACTCTGCTGAATTGGTAGAAGATACACAACCTTAAACACTTCAGGGTGCTACTCTAGGGAAAACAAATGGGAGGCTGTCAGTACTTGGTCTGGTTTTACAAGATTAAGAGGATTTGAGAGAAAGCACACAATCCTAAGACCCCCCCCGACCGCTCCCCAGGGGGAAAATAGAGGAGTGGAGTGAATGTAGTCATAAAGAAATCTGAGAATCTCTAGCCAGGCTGACTGGTGAAGATCTTTCTCTCCTGAAGCTAGTCAGTTAAGGCAGGAGGAAGTGACTGCTTCTTCAAATGCAAAGATAACAGTGCAAGGCTTCAAGGGGCATGAAAAGTAAGAAAATATGACACTACTAAAGAAATGAAATAAATCTCCAGTGGTTGACCCCAAATAAATAAAGATGTATAAACTGCCTGACAAAGAATTCAAATTAATTTTCTTAAAGAAGCTCAGTGAGCTGCAAGAGAATATGGATAGATAACTAAATAAAATAAGAAAAACAATGCGTGAACAAAATGAGAAATCTAATAAAGAGTTAGAAACTATAAAAAAGAACCAAACAGAAATTTGGGAGCTGAAGAAGACAGTGACTGAACTGAAGTTAGATATTAAATGAGCAATCTAACTTTACACCTCAAGGAAATTTAAAAAGAAGAGCAAACTAACCCTAAAGTTAGCAGAGGATTAGTAAAGATTAATAATAAAGATTAGAGCAGAAACAAATGGATAGAGACTAGAAGGACAATAAAAATGTCAAGGAAACTGAACTGGTCTTTTGAAAAGATAAACAAAATTTTAAATACCTTAACCTAGGCTAAGAAAAGACTTAAAGTTATAAACAAAAGAGAAGACATTAAAACTGATACCACAGTAATATGTCTGATCATAAAAGACTACTGTGAACAATTACATGCCAAAAAATTGTATAGCCTAGAAGAAATAAATAAATTCCTGTAAACACACAACATACTGAAATCAAGTTATGAAGAAATAGAAAATCTGAATACATCATTAACAAGTAAGAGATTGAACCAGTAATCAAAAACTTCCCAACCAAGAAAAGCCAGGGACTGAATGGCTTCACTGGTAAATTTTACCAAAAATATAAAGAATTAATGCTAATTATTCTCAAATTCTTCCAAAAAAATTGAAGAGGAGGAAACAATTCTAAGCTTATTTTACCAGGCCAGAATTACTCTGGTACTAAAGCCAGAAAAGGACATCACATAAGAGAAAATTATAGGCCAATATTTCTGATGGACATTGATGCAAAAATCTTGAACAAAATATTAGCAAACTAAAGTGAACAGCACATTAAATGATCACACAATATAAGGAATTTATTCCTGGGATGCAAGGATGGTTAAACGTATGCAAATCCACATAATATACTATATTAACAGAATGAAGGATAAAAGTCATATGATCACATCAATAGATGCAGAAAAAGCATTTGACAAAATTTAGCATCCTTTCATGATAACAACTCTCAACAAATTAGGTTTAGAAGGAATTCACCTTAACCTAATATGGGCCATATATAACAAGCCCACAGCTAACCTTATACTTTGTGGCAAAAAGCTGAAAGCTTTTCTGCTAAGATCAAAAACAAAACAAAGATGTCCACTCTCACTAATTTTATTCAAAATAGTACTGGAAGTTCTAGCCAAGGCCATTAGGCAAGAAAAGAAATAAAAAATATTCAAATCAGGAAGGAGGAAATAAGACTCCCTTTGTTGTAGATAAGATGATTTTATATACAGAAAACCCAAAAGACTCTACCAAAAGCTGTTAAACAAGTAAAAATCAGTTGTAGCTTTATATACTAACAATGAACTATCTGAAAAAGAATTTAGAAAACAATCTCATTTACAATAACCTCAAAAAGAATAAAATACATAGGAATAAATTTAAGGAGGTGAAAGATTTTTACCCTCAAAACTATAAAACATTGATGAAAGAAACTGAAAATGTCCATAGTAAAAATAGAAATCAATACTTTAAAAAGTCACTGAAAACCATGGAATTATGTGGAAATTAAACAACTTACTCCTGAATGACTTTTGGGCTAGTAATGAAATTAAGGCAGAAATCAAGAAATTATTTGAAACTAATGAAAACAAAGATAGAACACACCAGAATCGCTGGGACACAGCTAAGGCAGTGTTAAGAAGGAAATTTTTAGGATTAAATACCCACAACAAAAAGTTAGAATGATCTCCAATTAACAACCTAATGTCACAACTAATAGAACTAGACAAGTAACAGCAAACCAGCCTCAAAGCTATCAGGAGGCAAGAAATAACCAAAATCTGAGCAGAACTGAAGCTGAGTAGGACACAAAACACCATTCAAAAGACCAACGAATCCAGAATTTGGTTGTTTGAAAAAAAATTAGTAAGACAGATAGACTAATAAAGAAAATATACAAATAGTCACAATCAGAAATGATGAATGGAATGTTATCACTGACCCTACAGAGATACAAATAACCATCAGAGATTACTACAAACACTTATGCACACAGACTAGAAAACCTAGAAGAGATGGATAAATTATTAGACACACACATCCTCCAAAGATTGAAACATGAAGAAATTGAATCCCTGAAGAGACCAATAATGAGCTCCAAAATTGAATTAGTAATAAATAGACTATCAACCACAAAAAAAAAAGGCACAGCACCAGATAGATTCACCAGATATCTGAATTCTGCCTCATGTACGAAGAAGAGATGCTACCATTTCTGATGAAGCTATTCCAAAAAATTGAGGAGAAGGGACTCTTCCTTAAATCATTCTATGAGGTCAGCATCATCCTAACACCAAAATCTGGCAGAAACACAACAAAAAAAGAAAACTTCAGGCCAATATCTTTGATGAACATTGATGCAAAAATTGTCAACAAACTACTAGCAAAGTGAATCCAGTGGCAAATAAAAAAGCTAATCCACCATGATCAAATAGGATTTATCCCTGGGACACAGGGTTGCTTCAACATATGCCAATCAATAAATGTGACTCATCACATAAATGGAACTAAAGACTAAAGTCACGTGATTTTCTCAGTAGATGCAGAAAAGGCTTTTGACAAAATTCAACATCCCTTCCTGTTAAAAAATCTCAATAAACTAGATATTGAAGGAATATACTTCAAAATAATAAGAGCCACCTATGACAAACTGACAGCCAACATCGTATTGAATGTGCAAAAGCTGGAAGCATTCCCCTTGGAAACTGGCACAAGACAAGGATGCCCTCTGATATGGTTTGGCTGTGTCCCCACCCGAATTTCATCTTGAATTGTGGCTCCCATAATTCTCAAGTGTTGTGGGAGGGACCTGGAGGGAGGTAACTGAATCATGGGGCTAGGTCTTTCTCAAGATGGTGAATAAGTCTCATGAGATCTGATCCTTTTATAAATGGTTTTATTAGTTCATTAGCAGCATGAGAATGGACTAATACAGTAAATTGGTACTGGGTAATGGGATGCTGATGTAAAGATACCCAAAAATGTGGAAGTGTCTTTGGAACTTGGTAAGAGGCAGAGGTTGGAACAATTTGTAGGGTTTAGAAGTGGACAGGAAGATATGGAAAAATTTGGAACTTCCTACAGACCTGTTGAATGGCTTTGACCAAAATGCTGATGGTGATAGGGGCAATGAAGTCCAGGTTGAGGTGGTCTCAGATGGAGATCTGACAGCTTGCACTCTGTGCCTGGAGAAGCCTCAGACACTCAGTGCCAGCACATGAAAGCAGCCAGGAGTGGGCTATACATTGCAAAGCCACAAGGGTGGAGCTGCCCAAGGCTGTGGGAAACTACCTCTTGAATCAGCATGACCTGGATGTAAGACATAGAGTCAAAGGAGATCATTTTAGAACTTTAAGGTTTAATGACTGCCCTATTGGATTTTGCACTTGGATGGGGCCTGTAGTGCTTTTGTTTTGGTCAGTTTCTCCCATTGGGAATGGGTGTATTTACTCAATGCCTGTACCCTCATTGTATCGAGGAAGTAACTAACTTGCTTTTAATTTTACAGGCTCATAGGCAGAAGGGACTTGCCTTGTCTCAGATGAGACTTTGAACTGTGGACCTCTGAGTTAATGCTGAAATGAGGTAAGACTTTGGGGGACTGTTGGGAAGGCATGATTGGTTTTGAAATATGAGAACATGAGATTTTGGAGGGGCCAGAGGTGGAATGATATGGTTTAGTTGTGTCCCCACCCAAATCTCATCTTGAATTGTAGCTCCCATAATTCCCACATGTTGTGGGAAGAACTCAGTGGGATGTAATTGAATCATGGGAGCGGGTCTTTCCCATGTGTTCTCATGATAGTGAATAAGGCTCATGAGATCTGATGGTTTTTTAAAGGGGAGTTCTCCTACACAAGCTTTTTTGCCTGCTGCCATGTGAGATGTGTCTCTGTTACTTCTTTGCCTTCCACCATGATTGTGAGGCCTCCCCAGTCATGTGGAACTATGAGTCCATTGAACCTCTTTTTCTTTGTAAATTACCCAGTCTTGGGTATGTCTTTATTACAACATGAGAATGAACTAACATAGTAATCAATAAACTATGTTTTGAAAGAACATACGTCAAAGTAATAAGAGTCACCTATGACAAACTGACAGCCAACATCATACTGAATGCACAAAAGCTGGAAGCATTCCCCTTGAAAACTGGCACAAGACAAGGATGTCCTCTCTTAACCCTCCTATTCAACATAGTATTGGGAGTTCTGGCCAGGGCAATCATGCAAGGGAAAGAAATAAAGGACATTCACTAGGGGAACTGTCAGGCCTGAACTTTGCAGGGCAATCTTGCTCATCCAATGGTGCTCGTCTCATCTGAGCACCCGTTGGTCTGCTGGCCTCTCTTAGGGCCTCAGCCTGGCCACACCTGCTTGCAGAGCAGTCTCAGGTGCCCTGGGGGCCTGCACCATAGCTTCTGTGCTGGTGGACTGTGCCTGACCAGTGGAGAGGTCTAATGGGGCAGCCACTATGGCCATACAGCAGCTTGCATGCTCCCTCCCCATACTGCAGCTTCCCCCAAGTCCATGGCAACTCCCCATGTTGCTTGCTGTTGCCCATCTGCATGGATGGGTTTTGCTTTCCTTGCTCCACCAGTGCAAGGGAGTGCAGTCTGGCCCTCCTCCCTCAACTGACTGCCATTGCAGATGAAGCCTTGGTGGGCAGAGAGTCAACCAGTCCCACCCCCACCCCCACCAACACCCTGCCCTTGCACTAACACTGTGTAGAGAACAGTGGATTCTCCCCTGCCCTTAGCAATCACTCCTGCTTGTGGGGCACAGATAAGGCACCTAGATCTGTGTCCACCAGCACCTTACCCCTGAGCCAACACCACCTTTAGCATGACTGTGCACATAGTCCCCAGCAAGGGCCCCCCTGACACCACCCCACCAGCTGTGTTGCCTCTGTCACCGTAGTAAATGCCTGCAGGGAGACAGGCACCCTGGCACCTGCAAACACTCTGTCATAGCTGCCACACCTCAGGCCCCCCACCCCCTGGCACAAGTGGATTCTTAACCTTGAGGAGCCAGAGAACAAAGCTGGGGCCCAATACCAGTTCAGAGCACAGAGTCCATGAGATGGGAGATGAGCACTGTCTACCTAAAATCTTCCAGAAATAGAGCCAGCCATCTGAATTCACCTTATACCACAATCAAACCCTCAATGTCATCAGGTAGTATAAAAGAAGAAAAAAAAAACACTCTGCCAAAGGTCAGAAGCCTCAAAGATTGAAGGGAGATAAGCCTACAAAGATGAGAAAGAATCAGTGCAAGAACCCTGAAAACTCTAAAAGCTGGAATGCCCTCTTTCCTTCAAATGACCACATCACCTCTGCAGCAAGTATTTTGAACTGGGCTGAGATGGCTGAAATGACAGAAATCGAATTCAGAATATGGATAGGAAGGAAGATCATTGAGCTAGAGGAGTACATTGAAACCCAATTCAAAAAACCTAGAAATCATGATAAAACAAAACAGGAGCTGACAGACAAAATAGCCAGTATAGAAAAAAGAATTTAACCAACCTGATAGAGCTGAAAAACACATTACAAGAATTTCATAATGCAATCACAAGTATTAATAACAGAATAGTCCAAGAAAAGGGAAGAATCTCAGAACTTGATGATTGGCTTTCTGAAATAAGACAGTCAGACAAGAATAGAGAAAAAAGAATGGAAAGGAATTAATAAAACCTCCAATAAATGTGAGATTATTTAAAGAGAGTAAATCTATGACTCACTGGTGTCCCTGAAAGTGATGGGGAGAATGAAACCAACTTGGAAAACATACTTGGGGATATCATTCATAAGAACTTCCCCAACCTAGCTAGAGAGGCCAACATTCAAATTCAACAAATGCAGAGAACCCCACTAAGATACTTCACAAGAAGATCATCCCCAAGACACATAATCAGATTCTCCAACGTCAAAATAAAAGAAAAAAATGTTAATGGCAGCTAGTGAGAAAGGTCAGGTAACCTACAAAGGGAAGCCCTTCAGACTAACACTGGACCTCTCAGCAGAAACCCTGCAAACCAGAATATATCTGGGGCCAATATTCAAACTTCTTAAAGAAAAGAAATTCCAACCTGGAATTTCATATCCAGCCAAACCAAGCTTCATAAGTGAAGGAGAAATAAGATCCTTTTCAGACAAGGAAATGCTGAGGGAATTTGTTACCAGCAGACCTGCATTACAAGAGCTCTAGAAGGAAGCACTAAATATGGAAAGAAAAGACCATTACCAGCTGCTACAAAAACACACCAAAGTACACAGACCAGTGGCACTATTAAGCAACCACATAAACAAGTCTGCAAAATAACCAGTTAAAATCATGATGACAGGAACAAATCCACACACATCAATACTAACTTTGAATGTAAATGGGCTAAATGCCCCAATTAAAGGGCACAGAGTGGCAAGCTGGATAAAGACCCAATGGTATGCTGTCTTCAAGAGATCCATCTCACATGCAATGACACACATAGGCTCAAAATAAAGGGATGAAGAAAAATCTACCAAGCTAATAGAAAATAGAAAAAAGCAGAGGTTGCGATCTTAGTTTCAGACAAAATAGACTTTAAACCACGAAGATCAAAAAAGACAAAGAAAGGCATTACATAATGATAAAAAGTTCAGTTCAACTAGAAGATCGAATTATCCTAAATATATATGCATTAAACACAAACCACCCAGGTTCATAAAGCAAGTTCTTAGAGACCTTCAAAGAGTCTTACACTCCCACACAATAATAGTGGGAGATTTTAACACTGCACTAACAATATTAGACAGATCATTGATACAAAAAGTTAACAAAGATATTCAGGACCTGAGCTCAGCACTAGATTAAAAAGACCTGACGACATCTACAGAACCCTCTACTCCAAAACAACAGAATATACATTCTTCTCATTGCCACATGGCACATACTCTAAAACTGATCAGATATTTGGAAGCAAAACACTCCTCAGCAAATGCAAGATACCTGAAGTCATAGCGAACAATGTCTCAGACCACAGCATAATCAAATTAGAAATTAAGACTAAGAAATTCACTCAAAGCCATACAATTACATGGAAATTGAATAAGCTGCTCCTGAATGGCTTTTGAGTAAATAATGAAATTAAGACAGATGTCAAGAAGTTCTTTGAAAGTAATGAGAACAAAGATACAACATAACAGAATTTCTGGGACACAGCTAAGGTAGTGTTAAGAGGGGAGCTTATACCACTAAATGCCCACATCAAAAAGTTAGAAAGATCTCAAATTAACAACCTAATGTCACAACTAAAAGAACTAGAGAATCAAGAGCAAACAAATACCAAAGTTAGCAGAAGACAACAAATAACCAAAACCAGTTTGAACTGAAGGAGATTAAGACACAAAAAACCATGGAAAAGATCAACGCATCCAGGAACTGTTTTTTGAAAAAAATCAATAAAATAGGATAAAGAAGAAAAGAGAGAAGATTCAAAGAGACACAATTAGAAATGATAAAGGGGATATTACCACTGGCCCCACAGAAATACAAATAACAGTTGAAGAATATAATGAACACCTCTATGAATATAAACTAGAAAACACAGAAGAAACAGATAAATTTTTGGTCACACATACCCTCACAAGACTGAAAGAAGAAGAAACTGAATCCCTGAATAGACCGATAATGAGCTCTGAAATTGAGTCAGCAATAAATAGCCTACCAATGAAAAAAAGCCCAGGACCGGATAGATTCACAGTTGAATTCTACCAAATGTACAAACAAAAGCTGGTACCATTCCTGCTGAAACTATTCTAAAAAATTGAGGAGGAGGGACTCCTCCCTAAATCATTCTATGAGGGTAGCATCATCCTGATACAAAAACTTGGCAGAAACACAACAAAAAACAAAACTTCAGGTGAATGTCTTTGATGAACACTGATGCAAAAATCATCAGCAAAATACTGACAAACTGACTTCAGAAGCACATAAAAAAGCTTATCTACCATGATCAAGTAAGCTTAATCCCCAGGATGCAAGGTTGCTTCAACATACACAAATCAATAAATGTGATTCATCACATAAGTGGAACTAAAGACAAAGACCACATAATCTCTCAATAGATGCAGAAAAGGCTTTCAATAAAATTCAACATCCCTTCATGTTAAAATCTCTCAATAAAGTAGGTATTGAAGGAACTTTCTTCAAAATAACTGGAGCCATCTATGACGCACCCCCAGACAACATTATACTGGATGGGCAAAAGCTGGAAGCATTCCCCTTGAAAATCATGGGGACAGATGGATGCCCTCTGTCACCATTCCTAATTGTCACCACAATGGCATTCCCATTAGAAATCATGGGGCATTCCTCTTGAAAATCAGTGCAAGAGAAGGATGCCTTCTATCACCACTCCTCTGTCACCATTTGTATTCAAGATAGTATTGGAAGTCCTGGCCAGGGCATTCATGCAAGAGAAAGAAATAAACAGCATCCAAATAGGAAGAGAGGAAGTCAAACTATTCCTGTGTGCAGATGACATGATCCTATATCTAGAAAACATCATATTCTCAGTCCTAAAGCTCCTTAAGCTGATAAACAACTTTAGCAAAGTTTCAGGATACAAAATCAGTGTGAAAAATCACTAATATTCCTATACATCAATAACAATCAAACCAAGAGCTAAATCAGGAACACAATCCCATTCACAACTGCCATAAAATAATGAAATACCTATGAATACAGCTATCCGGGGAGGCAAAATATATTTACAAGGAGAGCTACAAAATATTGCTCAAACGAATCAGAGATGATACAAACAAATGGAAAAACATTCCATCCTCATGGATAGGAAGAATCAATCTTCCTATATTAAAATGGCCTATATTAAAATGACCATACTGCCCAAAGCAATTTATACATTCAATGTTATTCCTATTAAAATACCAATGACATTCTTCAAGAACTAGTAAAAACTATTTTAAAATTCATATGGAACCCAAAAAGAGCCCAAGAATTGCTTGAACCTGGGATGTGGAGGTTTCCATGAGCCAAGATTGTGCCACTGCACTCCAGCCTGGGTGACAGAGCAAGACATCATCTCAAAAAGAAAGAAAAAGAACACTTTATCCAACAATAGTAGAATACACATTTTATTCATATACCCATGGAGGATTCATCAGACAGACAATATTCTGGGTCATAAAACAAACCTTAAAAAACTTAAAAGAATTGAAATTGTACAGAGTACATTGTCCACAATATAATAAATCTGGATACAAAGGAAAGATAATAGGAAAGTGTAAAATACTTGTAAACTAAACAACACATGCTATATGATAATACATGGATCAAAGAAGGTGGCTCAAGGGCAAACGATATATTGAACTAAATAAAATGAAAATGCAACATATCAAAGTTGATAGTATGCAGGGATTCCATTCCAAGATGGCCAAATAGGAACAGCTCTGGTCTGCAGCTCCCAGTGTGATCAACACAGAAGATGGGTGATTTCTGCATTTCCAACCTAGGTGCCTGGTTCATCTCATTCTAAAAACCAGAGCACCTCTTCTCCTCCAAAGGATTGCAGCTTCTCGCCAGCAATGGAACAAAGCTGGACAGAGAATGACTTTGACGAGCTGACAGAGGTAGGCTTCAGAAAGTCGGTAATAACAAACTTCTCTGAGCTAAAGGAGGATGCTCGAACCCATCGCAGGGAAGCTAAAAACCTTGAAAACAGATTAGATGAATGGCTAACTAGAATAAACAGTGTAGAGAAGACCTTAAATGACCTGATGGAGCAGAAAACCATGGTACGAGAACTACATGATGCATGCACAAGCTTCAATAGCTGATTTGACCAAGTGGAAGAAAGGGTATCAGTGATTGAAGATCAAATTAATGAAATAAAGTGAGAAGAAAAGTTTAGAGAAAAAAGAGTAAAAAGAAACAAACAAAGCCTCCAAGAAATATGGGACTATGTGAAAAGACCAAATCTACATTGGACTGGTGTACCTGAAAGTGACAGGGAGAATGGAACCAAGTTGGAAAACACTCTTCAGGATATTATCCAGGAGAACTTCCCCAACCTAGCAAGGCAGGCCAACATTCAAATTCAAGAAATACAGAGAACACCCCAAAGATACTCCTTGAGAAGAGCAACCCCAAGACACATAATTGTCAGATTCACCAAGGTTGAAATGAAGGAAAAAATGTTAAGAGTAGGCAGAGAGAAAGGTCAGGTTACCCAAAAAAGGGAAGCCCATCAGACTAACAGCAGATCTCTTGGCAAAAACTCTACAAGCCAGAAGAGAGTGGGAGGCCAATATTCGACATTCTTAAAGAAAAGAATTTTCAATCCAGAATTTCATATCCTGCCAAACTAAGCTTCATAAGTGAAGGAGAAATAAAATCCTTTACAGAGAAGCAAATGCTGAGAGATTTTGTCACCTCCAGGCCTGCCTTACAAGAGTTCCTGAAGGAAGGACTAAACATGGAAAGGAACAACCAGTACCAGCCACTGCAAAAACATGCCAAATTGTAAAAACCGTCAATGCTAGGAAGAAACTGCATCAACTAATGGGCAAAATAACCAGCTAACATCACAATGACAAGATCAAATTCACACATAACAATATTAACCTTAAATGTAAATGGGTTAAATGCCCCAATTAAAAGACACAGACTGGCAAATTGGATAAAGAGTCAAACCCATCAGTGTGCAGTATTCAGGAGATCCATCTCATGTGCAGAGACACATGTAGGCTCAAAATAAAGGGATGAAGGAAGATCTACCAAGCAAATGGAAAGCCAAAAAAAAAAAAAAAAAAAGAAAAAAAAAGCAGGTGTTGCGATCCTAGCCTCTGATAAAACAGACTTTAAACAAACAAAGATTAAAAGAGACAAAGAAGGCCATTACATAATAGTGACGGGATCAATTCAACAAGAAGAGCTAACCATCCTAAATATATATGCACCCAATACATGAGCACCCAGATTAATAAAGCAAGTCCTTAGAGACCTACAAAGAGACTTAGACTCCCACACAATAATAATGGGAGATTTTTACACCCCACTGTCAATATTAGACAGATCAATGAGACAGAAATTTAATAAGGATATCCAGGAATTGAACTCAGCTCTGCACTAAGCAGACCTAATAGACATCTGCAGAACTCTCCACCTCAAATCAGCAGAATATATATTCTTCTCAGCACCACATTGCACTTATTCCAAAATTGTCCACATAGTTGGAAGTAAAGCACTCCTCAGCAAATGTAAAAGAACAGAAATCACAACAAACTGTCTCTCAGACCACAGTGTAATCAAATTAGAACTCAGGATTAAGAAACTCACTCAAAACCACACAACTACATGGAAACGGAACAACCTGCTCTTGAATGACTACTGGGTACATAATGACATGAAGGCAGAAATAAAGATGTTCTTTGAAACCAATGAGAACAAAGACACAACGTACCAGAATCTCTGGGACACATTTAAAGCAGTATGTAGAGGAAAATTTATAGCACTAAATGCCCACAAGAGAAAGCAAGAAAGATCTAAAATCGACCCCCTAACACCGCAATTAAAAGAACTAGAGAAGCAAGAGCAAACACATTCAAAAGTTAATAGAAGGCAAGAAATAACTAATATCAGAGCAGAACTGAAGGAAATAGAGACACAAAAAAACCTTAAAAAAATCAATGAATCCAAGAGCTGGCTTTTTGAAAAAGAGCAACAAAATTGATAGACCACTAGCAAGACTAATAAAGAAGAAAAGAGAGAAGAATCAAACAGATGCAATAAAAAATGATAAAGGGGATATCACCACTGATCCCACAGAAATACAAACTACCATCAGAGAATACTATACACACATCTATGCAAATAAACTAGAAAATCTAGAAGAAATGGATAAATTCCTTGACATATACACCCTCCCAAGACTAAACAAGGAAGTAGTTCAATCTCTGAATAGACTAATAACAGGCTCTGAAATTGAGGCAATAATTAATAGTCTACTAGCCAAAAAGAGTCCAGGACCAGACAGATTCACAGCCGAATTCAACCAGAGGTACAAAGAGGAGCTGGTACCATTCCTTCTGATACTATTCTGATCAATAAAAAAAGAGGAAATCCTCCCTAACTCATTTTATGAGGCCAGCGTCATCCTGATACCAAAGCCTGGCAGAGACACAACAAAAAAAGAGAATTTTAGACCAATATCCCTGATGAACATTGATGTGAAAATCCTCAGTAAAATACTGGCAAACCGAATCCAGCAACACATCAAAAAGCTTATCCACCATGATCAGGTGGGCTTCATCCCTGGGATGCAAGGCTGGTTCAACATATGAAAATCAATAAACATAATCCATCAGATAAACAGAACCAATGACAAAAACCACATGATTATCTCAATAGATGCAGAAAAGGCCTTCGACAAAATTCAACAGCCCTTCATGCTAAAAACTCTCAATAAACTAGGTATTGATGGAACGTATCTTAAAATAGTAAGAGGTATTTATGACAAACCCACAACCAATATCATACTGAATGGGCAAAAACTGGAAGCATTCCCTTTGAAAACTGGCACAAGACAGGGATGCCCTCTCTCACCACTCCTATTCAACATAGTGTTGAAAGTTCTGGCCAGGGTAATCAGGCAGGAGAAGGAAATAAAGGGTATTCAATTAGGAAAAGAGGAAGTCAAATTGTCCCTGTTTGCAGATGACATGATTGTATATTTAGAAAACCCCATTGTCTCAGCCCAAAATCTCCTTAAGTTGATAAGCAACTTCAGCAAAGTCTCAGGGTACAAAATCAATGTGCAAAAATCACAAGCATTCCTATACGCCAATAACAGACAAACAGAGAGCCAAATCATGAGTGAACTCCCATTCACAATTGCTACAAAGAGAATAAAATACCTAGGAATCCAACTTACAAGGGATGTGAAGGACCTCTTCAAGGAAAACTACAAACCACTGCTCAATGAAATCAAAGCAGACACAAACAAATGGAAGAATATTCCATGCTCATGGACAGGAAGAATCAATATCGTGAAAATGGCCATACTGCCCAAGGTAATTTATAGATTCAAAGCCATCCCCATCAAGCTGCCAATGACTTTCTTCACAGAATTGGAAAAAACTACTTCAAAGTTCATATGGAACCAAAAAAGAGCCCACATAGCCAAAACAATCGTAAGCCAAAAGAACAAATGTGGAGGCATCACACTACCTGACTTCTAACTAAATTACAAGGCTACAGTAACCCAAACAGTATGGTACTGGTACCAAAACAAAGATATAGACCAATGCAACAGAACAGAGGCCTCAGAAATAACACCACATATCTACAACCATCGGATCTTTGACAAACTGACAAAAACAAGAAATGGGGAAAGGATTCCGTGTTTAATAAATGGTGCTGGGAAAGCTGGCTATCCATATGTAGAAAGCTGAAACTGGATCCCTTCCTTACACTTTATACAAAAATTAATTCCAGATGGATTAAAGACTTAAATTTTAGACCTAAAACCATAAAAACCCTAGAAAAAAACCTAGACAACACCATTCGGGATGTAGGCAAAGTCAAGGAGTTCATGACTAAAACACCAAAAGCAATGGCCACAAAAGACAAAATAGACAAATGGGATCTAATTAAACTAAAGAGCTTCTTCATAGCAAAAGAAACTACCATCAGAGTGAACAAGCAACCTACGGAATGGGAGAAAATTTTTGCCATCTACTGGTCTGACAAAGGGCTAATATCCAGAATCTACAAAGATCTTAAACACATTTACAAGAAAAAAACAAGCAACCCCATCAAATGCGGGCAAAGGGTATGAACAGACACTTCTCAAAAGAAGACATTTATGCTGCCAACAGACACATGAAAAAAATGCTCCTCATCACTGGTCATCAGAGAAATGCAAATCAAAACCACAATGAGATAACATCTCACACCAGTTAGAATGGCGATCATTAAAAAGTCAGGAAACAACATATGCTGGAGAGGATGTGGAGTAATAGGAATGCTTTTACACTGTTGGTGGGAGTGTAAACTGGTTCAACCATTGTGGAAGACAGTGTGGTGATTCCTCAAGGATCTAGAACTAGAAATACCATTTGACCCAGCAATCTCATTACTGGCTATATACCCAAAGGATTATAAATCATGCTACTGTAAAGACACATGCACATGTATGTTTATTGCAGCACTATTCACAATAGCAAAGACTTGGAGCCAATCCAAATGTCCATCAATGATAGACTGGATAAAGAAAATGTGGCACATATACACCATGGAATACTATGCAGCCATAAAAAGGATGAGTTCATGTCCTTTGAAGGGACATGGATGAAGCTGGAAACCATCATTCTAAGCAAATCATCACAAGGACAGAAAACCAAACACTGCATGTTCTCACTCATAGGTGGGAATTGAACAATTTCCTGCCTTGGACACAGGGCGGGAAACATCACACCCTGGGGCCTGTCGTGGGATGGGGGTCAGTGGCAGGGATAGCATTAGCAGAAATGTATAATGTAAATGACGAGTTAATGGGTGCAGCAAACCAACATGGCACTTGTATACCTATGTAGCAAACCTGCATGTTGTGCACATATACCCTAGAACTTAAAGTATAATTTAAAAAAAAGAGAAAACAAAAACAAAAAACAAAGTTGGTAGTATGCAGCCAATATGGTACCGGGAGGGAAATTTATGGCAATAAATGCTTACAATAGAAAAAGAAGAAAATCCCAAATAAGTAATTTAAGCTCCTACCTCAAAAACCTAAGAGAATAAGAGCAAAATAATCCCAAAGCAGGTAGAAATAAATAATAAAGACGTGGGCAGAAGTCAATAAAGTTGAAAACAGAAAGACAATAGGGAAAATCCATGAGACAAAAAGCTGGTTTTCTGAAAAGATATATAAAATTCATCTAGCAAGACAAAGACACAAAAAGACATAAGTTACCAATATCAGAAAGAAAACAGAGTATACCCACAAAACCCACAGCTAACATCATACTTAATAGTGAAAGAGTATTTGTTTTCCCCTTAAGATCAGAAATAAGGCAAGATATTTACTCTAGCCACAGTTAGTAAGCATAATCCTGGAAGTTCTAGCCAAAGCAGTAAGGCAAAAAAAAAAAAAAAAAAAAAAAAAAAGGATATAAAAGACACAGAGATATGAAAAAAGATATAAAACTGCCTGAAATAAAACTGCTGACAGCATGGTTGTTTACATAGAATATGTACGATGACTTTTCAAAAAAACTCCTACAACTAACAAGTGGTTCAGTAAAGTCACAGGACACGAGATAAATCGATACCCAAAATAAAAAATACAATTTATCGATTTTCCAAAGAAAATGAAATATTTGTGTACACATTTAACAAAACATTTTATAGGACTTGCACACTGAAAACTACAAAATGGTGATGGAAAAATCAAAGAAGATCTACATAAACAGAAAGGCATGCCATGTTTGTGGATTGCAAAACTCAACATTGCCAGTTCTCCCTAAATTCAAACACAGGTTTAATGCAATTCTTATCAAAATTTTCACAATCTTTTTGTAGATATAGCCATGATTATTCTAAAATTTATATCCAAACATATAATACCATAGACTTTATAAATCTAAAATTTATATCAAATTGTGAAGTTGAGGCTGCAGTGAGCTGTGATTGTGCCACTGCACTCCAGCCTGGGTGACAAAAGTGAGACCTTATCTCCAAAAATAGATAAATAAATAAACCTGTAGAATTTTTAGCAGATAATATAGCAGAAAATTTTTAGGCTGTGGGCTTGGTGAAGAAATCTTAGACATGACATCAAAATTATGAATCATAAAAGAAAAAAATTGGTATCGATAAATTGGACTTCATCAAGATTTAAACCTTCTGCTGTGGGAAAGAACTTGTTAAGAATATGAAAAGATGAGCTGCAGATTGAGGGAAAATATTTGAAAACCACATATGTGAAAAACGTCTTACATCTAGAATTCATGAAGCATTTTCAAACCTCAACAGTAAAAACCAAACAATCCAATTAGAAAATGGACAAAAGATATGAAGAGATATTTCACCAAAGAGAACATACAGATGTCAAATAAACACACAAAAAGATATCCAACATTACTAGATATTAGGGATATCAAAACTAAGGCTATGGTGAGATATCAGGACACACCTATTGGAACAACCAAAACCAAAAGCAAGTACTGACAACACTGAATACTATCATGGATGCAGAGAAACTGGATCCTGCATGTGGTGCTGGTGGGAATGTAAAATAGCACAGACAATCTGGGAAATAGGTGGTTTCTTAGAAAAATCTAAACATACAATTACCGTGTAACCCATCAGTGGTACTTCTGTGCATTTATCTGAGACACGACAACTTATGTCAACACAAAAACCTGTACACAACTCTTCACAGCATCTTTATCCGCAATAGCCCAAAGCTGAAAGCAACCAAAATGTCCCTAATAGGTGATGGTTGAATAAATGGATACATCCATACCAGAGAATACTCAGCCATAAAAAAGGAATGAATGAATGATCCATGCAGCATCCTGGATCAATCTCCAGAGGATTTTATGGAGTGAAAAAAGCCAATATCAAAAGTTTACATGCTCTGTAATTCCTTTTATATAACATTTTCAAATGACAAAATTATAGAGATAGAAAAGAGATGAGTGGTTGCCGGGGACTGGGGGTGGTAGGGGTGGGGGAGGCATGATTATAAAGGGGGTAACACAAAGGAAGCCTTGGGGTGATGGGATAGTTGTGATTTTTGATTTAGGTGGTGGTTACACAAATCTACACATTTAATAAAATGACTCAAACCTAGCACACATTGTACCAATGTCACTTTTCTGGTTTTAATTTTGTATTGTAACCACTGGGGATAACTGGGTGAAGGGAACAGGAGACCTCTCTGCTCCTCTGCTGTCTTGGTAACTTACTGTGAATGTATAAGTATAAAAGTTATTTTTAAAGTGTAGTCTGCAGCCTTTGGTCTGTGACTATAACCGAGTGACTCCTAAGGTTGGCTTTCTCAACCATCTGATCATGTAGTAGCCTTTCTCAACCATCTGGTCATGTAATAGCACTGCCTCTCACGGGGTCCTGTGAGGATTGAGGGATGTAACCCGTATAGCGCATCGGGTGTGAGCACACCCTCAACAAATGGGAGCTGTTCTAAAGATTGACCCCAAGCAAAGGGGAGCTCAGGATGCCATATGTTATTTCCTAAGAAAAAATTGCATGGATGGTAAGTGAGGATAGTGTCAGACCCAGGTAGATCTCAAGAAGAGTCTGAAAAATGGGACAATGTTATGTTCCTAATTAGACGTGGGCCACGGCCTCAGGTAAAGAGATTTTCTCTGTTCCTTCTTAGAGAATAGTGTGTGATGATTTGTCAGAATCTGATAACAGGGACACTTTGGAAGTTCTTGGAGCATTATGTTTAAGTGTATGGGGTTTCAGTATCACTCTTTAAACAATATCAAGTTAAAAGACCAAAGCTCGTTTCAGTTCTGGAAAGGGGAAAAGGAACAAGAAACCACTGATTTATCAGTTATTGAATGATAGGCCTATGTGTGTTTATACTCTGACTCTTGAAGCAAAATGTTGAAGGAAATCTCATATCATTCATTATTTACAAACAGAAAAGGACTATGGCCCTGAAGGATCCCTTTCTGTAGATTCCCCCTGTCTCTAGAGACTGCAGGGGAAGCAGAGTGAAATCCACACTCACATGGGCTGGCCTTGTGCTCTGCTCCTTGGATCAGTTTAGGGTCAGAATGAATACTCAGAATTTTTGAGATTCCAAACATTGATCATTTGGGCATATTCAAATTGATCAGTTTGTTTCAGTCTACTTATCATGAATAAATAATTAGAAAATATTTAAACAAATAATGTGAGATTCTTTTGTCAGATATTTACTGAGTGCTACTGAGTGAAAATTAAAGGCACTAATTAGACATTGTTTGGACTTCAAGAACTGTACAGTCTCCTTAAGGGTGAGGTGCATGAGTTGAAGACATTTTAAGAAATACACACATGAAGACATTTAAGAAATATACACAAGAAAGTGTATATTTCAATTCAGTGCAGAAGAGAAAGAACACAAACACATGCATGACATTTCAGGGGCAGAGAGATGGCTTTTTCAGGATGGCAGCAAGGAACATTTCATGGAGCACACATTGGATTTGAGCTTGCCCTTGAGGATCTGGACGACAGAAAAAGGTAAGTTGCGTGGCAGCAACGGGGAGGGACGTGGCACAGTCTGGGAGTGAAGAGCCGTCCATTTGGCTGGAGGGCAGGCAGGAAAAGTGAATGAGAGGGTTTTGCTGGCAATAGCAAGTTTGGCTTTCAGGCTAAGGAATTTAGAGTCTATTTGTCAAACCATGAGGAACAACAGCAACTTTTTGCATACAAAAGTGTTGGGCCTGGAAATATTCAAGGTAACTGTTACAGCCGTGGTGCTCCATGAATGGAAGGGGCCTGTGTTGGTCTGCTCAGGCTGTGTAACAAAATACCACAGGCTGGATGCTTAAAGGCAGACATGTACTTTGTCACAGTTCTAGAGCCTGGATGTCCAAGAGCAAGGTGCTAGCAGGTTGGTGTCTGGTGAGAGCTCCCTTTGTGTCCTTTCTTGCTATATGTCCCATGACCTTTCCTCCATACAGAGAGCAGAGAGGGAGTGAGCCCTCAGGCATGTCTTCCTGTAAAGACACTACTCTTATGAGATTAGGACCCCACTCTTATGACCTCATTTTACCTTAATGACTTCCGTAGTGGCCCCACTCCAAATGCAGCCACACTGGGGGTTAGGACTTCAACATGTGAATTCTGGGGGATACAACATGCAGTCCCTAACAGGGCCTAAGGTCTAAGGCTGAAAACAGGGAAACCACTCAGAGGGGGGCTGTGATCGTTCAAGAAGAATGAATGAGATTGGGTGGGGATGTGGCAGGGAGGTGAGGGTAAGTCTAGAGGGACAGCTCCGTGCAGGGCCATCTACTCCTGTACTTGCAGTGGGCACCTCTTTCTGGTCTTCTTCACACTTCTAATGTCCTGTGTCACTTCAGGTCTCTTAATCTGGGGGGCCAACTATGTGGTGTGTGCAGGAGAGGAGAGAACTAGAAGAGTGTTCCACTTCTCATGCTGTATTGAGAGTGGCAGAGGATGGAGACAGGGCTGAGCAGCTTATTTCTAAAGGTTTGTTTTGCTTTGCTTTGGACATAGGACCTCTCTACGTGCGGAGAGGTGTCTAGAGCTGCTACATCATCACACATGCAAGCCGTCCTCACAACAGGGGCAGCAAACTGTTTCTGTAAAAGGTCAGATGGTAAATATTTTAGGCTTTGTGAGCCAAGGGGCAATATTGAAGACATTATGTAGGTACTTAGGTAACAAGAGAGAAAACAAATCCCTACAAATTTTTTAATGACAAAATTCAAAACATAATAATTGTGTACAGTGTTTTGTAATATAGTTCTCCTGATGAGAAGAATGGAATTCTTTATGGGAGAAATAATATTTCACTCAGAATTCAAAGTTTGTTTTCTCTGTCATCAAAATCAAAGACAAATGTTCATCTCTTAATGCTGATCTAATAGGAAGGAGATCTTACATATTTCACCTTTGAAAATGCCATTTTACACAACAAGCTGCTGCCAGATAATGACATTAACTCATGAGCATGTGATTTTAACTGAGGATATCATCACTTGGAAGGCACATCTAGAATTTGATAAGATTCTTCTCTTAATAGGTGCTTTTAGTATGTCATGATACTCCAGATTTAATAGTTCCTATTGAAGGTTAAGTGGAGACTCTTCAACTACACGTTTAATTGATTTTTCAAAAAGAAAATTATGGAATGAATATTTTCAAACATCATACAAAAAAATTAAGATAATAGTCTAATAATCCACATGTACCTACATTCTAGAATTATCTAGATTTTGTCATGTTCACTTCATCAGTCATTTCCTCTTCTATTTCTTTTTCCTTTTCTGTTAAAAACATTTGGGAGGCTGGGTGTGGTGGCTCATGCCTGTAATCCCAGCACTGTGGGAGGCTGAGGTGGGAGGATCACTTCAGGTCAGGAGTTCGAGACCAGCCTGGTCAACATGGCGAAACCCCCTCTCTACTAAAAATACAAAAATTAGCTGGGTGTGGTGGCCTGTAATCTCAGCTACTTGGGAGGCTGAGGCAGGAGAACTGCTTGAACCTGGGAGGTGGAGGTTGCAGTGAGCCGAGATCATGCCACAGAACTCCATTCTGGGTGACAGAGGGAGGCTCTGTCTCAAAACAAACAAACAAACAAACATAAAAACAAACAAAAAAACATTTTGGAACAAATCTCAGACATTACATCACTTTAATTCCTACATAATTCAGTGTTCATCTCTAAAAAATATGGACTTTGTATGACTATTCTTATAAACCAGAAAAAATCTAAATACTTTATTTAGAAAATTTAATGTTTCTCTCTTGATATCCAGCAGTGTAGGACTTGAGAGCAAGATCAAATTAGTTACAAAAAAATAATATGGCAATCTTTTCTTTGCACATCTGAGTGTGGAAATGATCCATCCCATTACCTTTATATGTCTTGTTAAAAAATAGCTTTTCATTATGAAATAATTATAGGTTCACAGGAAGTTGCATGGAAATGTAAGAGAGGTCCAGAGTACCCTTCACCCAGCTTCCCCCCATGTTATTATTTTGTGTAAATATGCTACAATATCAGCCAGGAAATTGATGTTGGTTCCATCCGTGGAGCTTATTGAGATTTCACTAGCTATAGTATTGGTGGATATGTGTGTGTAGTTCTATGCAATTTTATCACATGTGTAACTTCATGTAACCATGACTACAATCGTGGTACCATCACTACAAGGTTCTCTCATGCTTCCTGTTTATGGCCACACCTGTGCTTCCATCTGTATCCATAACCCTTAGCAACCACTAACCTATTATCCATCTCTGTAATTATGTTATTTCACAAACATTATATAAATGGAATCATGCAGTATTTATACTTTTGAGATTGGCTTTCCTTGAGGGTCATAAAAATTGTGTGGATCAATAGCTTTTTAAAATTGTTGAGTAGTAGTATTCCACTGTCTGGATGTCCCAGAGCTTATTGAACTATTCACCCATTGAAGGATATTTGGTAGTTATGAGTTTTGCACTTTTATGAATAAAGCTGCTATGAATATTCATAGTCAAATTTCTGTGAGAAAATCAATTTTCATTGTTCTGAAATGCCCGAGTACAATTCTTGGTCATAAGGTAAGTTCACTTTTAGGTTTAGAAGAAATTGCCAAAGTATTTCCCAGAGTGGCTATACCATTTTACATTCCCACAAACATTCCAGTTTCTCCATATGTATTCTCTCACATTTGATATTGCATCATTTGAATTTTAGCTATTCTAATAGATATGTGGTGATAGCTCCTTGTGGTTTTCACGTGCATTTCCTTAGTGGGTAATGATGATGAAATTTTTTTCATGTGCTTCTTTGTCATCTCTATGTCCTTTTCAGAGAGATATCTCTTAGTGTCTTTTGCTCCTTTACTAATATAGATATATTTTTTTAAGTTGAGATTTGAAAGTTCTTTAGATAGCCTAGCTACAAGTCCTTTGTGGGATACATGGTTTATAAAAATTTTATCCTATCCCGTAGCTTGTCTTTACGTTCTTCTTAACAGGGTCTTTTGCAGAGCAAAAATTGAAATTTTGCTATAAACATTTGCATGTTCATAGCATGATTTCAGAAGTGTTTCCTTCTCTTCTATTTTCTGGAAGAGTTTGTGTAAAATTGTTCTTAAGTTTTCTTAATAATCTGGGCCCAGAGATGTCTCTTTGGGAAACTTTTAAATTATGCATTCAATTTAATAATTTTGCTGAGGTCCAATTTATTATATTCTCCTTTTATGGATTTTACCGTGTTTAAGTATAAGATATCTTTGCCTAGTGCCTGGTCCCAAAGACTTCCTCCTAGAGGTTTTATGGTTTTACAGTTTACATTTAAATCTATGATCCATTTTGAGTTGATTTTTTTTTTCTAAGGTATTCTGTTTAGGTTGAGGTTCACATTTTGTTTGCCTATGGATGTCAAATTGCTCCAGCACTATTTTCGACAAGGCTTTCCCTCCTCTGTTGAACTGTTTTGCTCCTTCGTCAGAAGTTAACTGGGCATATATGTATGTAAACCTCCTTCTGGATTTTTTAGTCTGTTGTACTGATCTATCTGTCTATCCCTCCATCAATATCATGTAGTCTTGATTACTTTAGCTATATAGTAAGCCTAATAATTTCTCCCACTTTATCCTAATTTTTCAAAATTGATTTGGCTCTTCTTGGACCTCTTTCTGTCCATATACATTTTTCTATGTTGACAACAAATCTTTTCAAGGTTTTGATAGGAATTTCATTAGCTCTGTCTATAAATTTAGGGAGAATTGATATGTTTGCTATGTTGTCTTCTAATCCATGTACATGGTATGTCTATTCAAAAAATTTATGACTTTGATTTCCTTCATTAGCATTTTATAATTTTTATCATATGGCTTATACATGTTTTGTTAGAGTTATAGACAATAATTTAATTTTCTTTGAAGAGATTATAATTGGTAGTGAACTTTTAATTTTGGTTTCCATTTGTTTTCAGTAGATAGAAGTGCAATTGATTTTTGTGTGTTGATTTTGTATCCTGCAATCTTACTGAACTCATTTATTGGTTCTATGAGTTTTTAAAAACATTTCTTAAGATATCTACATAGACAATCATGTCATCTGCAAGTAGAGATGGTTTTATTTATTTCTACTCTGTACATGTTTTTTTTATTTTTCCCCCTTTGGCTCACCTTATTGCATCTGCTTAGTACTTCTAGAACTGTGTTAAAGAAGAATGCTGAGACATCCTTGCATTGCTCCTGATCTTAGAGGAAAAACATTCAGTTTCCACTATTAAAAATAATGTTAGCCATAGTATTTTTGTAGATGCTCATTATAAGGTTGAGGAATGTCCCTTCTTTTCCTAATGTACTAAAAGTTTTAAAGATTATGAAATGGTGTTGAGTTTTGTCATTCTGCATCAACTGATATGAGCATATAATTTTTTTCCTATTAATATGGTAGATTACATTGATTGGTTTTTGAATAATGAACCAGTCTTGCATTCCTGGAATAAACCCCACTTAGTCATTGTGCACATATTTTATATTTATTATTGAATTTTATTTACTAATATCTGATTAAGAATGTTTCCATCTATATTCATGAGTGATATTGGTCAATGGTTTTCTTTTTTGTACTATGTCTGGTTTTAGTATCAGCACAATAGTATTGTTATAAGTGAGTTGGGAAGTACACCCTCTTATTTTCTGGAGGGGATTATGCATACTTGTGTTCTTCGAACATTTGATAGAATTCTTCAGGGAAACTATCTACTGAGAAATGCCTATTTCTGGAAAGTTTTAAAAATTACAAATTCAAGTTCCTAAATATAGAGGTAATAAAATTATCTGTTTCTTACTGGGTGAACTGTAGTAGTTTGTACTGTTTAAGAAAATTGTACATTGCATCTCTGTTGTTAAATTTATATATGTAGAGTTTTTCATAGCATGATTTCAGAAGTGTTTCCTTCTCTTCTATTTTCTGGAAGAGTTTGTGTAAAATTGTTGTTAAGTTTTCCTAATAATATGGGCCCAGAGATGTCTCTTTGGGAAACTTTTAAATTACACCTTCAATTTAGTAATTATAGTACTATTTAAGCTATCTGTTCATCTTGGCTGAGTTTTGGTAGTTAGAGTTTCCCAGGAATTGGTGATTTCTTCTAAGTTGTTTAATTTGTAAGTATAAAGTTGTTAGCAGTATTTCCTTGTTATACTGCAGAATCATTTGTAATTTCATTTGTTTGATTCCTGATATTGGTGATTTGTGTCTTCTCTTTTTATCTTTGTCAAAATGCTTAGGTTTGCCATTTTCACTATTTTTTCCCCAAAGAATCATTCTTCTCCATTAATTTCCTCTATTGTTCTTCTGCTTTCAATTTCATTGACTTCTGTTTTATCTTTATTATTTCTTTACTTTTGCTTGCTTTTGATATATTTTGCCTTGCTTTTTCCTATTTCATGAGATTTCAATCTAAGTTCAGCTTAGATTTCTGATTTGAGATCTCTCCATTCGTTAGAAGGACTTGGGGCTATAAATTTCCCTCTCAATACTACTCTAGCTCAATCCCCAACATTTTAATATGTTGTCTTTTAATTTTCATTCAGTTGTAATTGTTTTTAAAAATTTCTTATGGACCGCTTCTTTGATTCATGGATTATGTAAAAGTGTGTTATTTAATTTCCAAGTGTCTGGGAATTTCCCTTTTATCTTTCCGTTATTTGTTTCTAGTCTTATTTTATCATGGTAACAGAATGCACTCTGTATGACTCAATTATTTTACATTTAGTAAGATTTGTTTTATGACCCAACATTCTTAATAACATTATATGGGCACTTTAAAAGAATGTGCATTTTGACTGGACATGGTGGTTTACACCTGTAGTCCCAGCACTTTGAGAGGCCGAGGCAGATCATTTGAGGTCAGGAGTTCAAGACCAGCCTGGCCAACATGGTGAAACCTGTTTCTATTAAAAATACAAAAATTAGCTGGGCGTGGTGCACTGCACGAGATCGCACCACTGCACTCCAGCCTGGGTGATGGAGTGGGACACTGTCTCAAAAACAAGCAAACAAAAAAACCCAAAACAAACAAACAAAAAGAATGTGCATTTTGCTGTTCCTAGATGATGTCCTATAAATGTCAATTAAATCCTTTCAGTTGATGGTGATGTTGAGTTCCTG
This sequence comes from Homo sapiens, assembly GCF_000001405.40. Taxonomy (NCBI): domain Eukaryota; kingdom Metazoa; phylum Chordata; class Mammalia; order Primates; family Hominidae; genus Homo; species Homo sapiens. Next base: position 48,368,129 of record NC_000008.11, read on the forward strand.
AGAGTGGGGTGTTTAGGCTCTCAACTACAATTCGTTTATTTCTCCTTTCAGTTCTGTTAGTTGAAGCTCTGGCATTTGATGCATGTAGATTTAGAATTGCTGTATATTCTTGGTAGGTTGATGTAATGTCCATCTTTTTAACGTTCTTTTCTCTGACATCTACTTTAACGTATCCACTTTTGCTTTTAAAAAATATGTCTGTATGATATAACTTTTTCATCTTTTTTACTATAAACCTACCTATGTTGTTTGCATTAAGGGAGTTTATATGTAGACAGCGTATATTTGGGTTGCATCTTTTTTAAATCCACTGTGCCAACCTGTGTGCTTTTATTGGTGTATTTAAGGCATTCGGATTTGAAGTAATTATTGATACAGTAGGGCTTAGGTCTGACTTTTTATTTTTTCTTTTCTGTTTGTTCTTTTTTTTCTCATTTTCTCTTTTTTATTTCTTGCTTTTCTGTGTGGTACTTGAACCTTTTGTTAGAATTCCATTTTGATTTCTTCATAGTGTTTTTGAGTATATTACTTTGTATAGCTTTTTTCTTGTTCTATATTACCATATACATACATAACTTATCACAGCTTACTGGTGTTGACGTTTGATCATTTTGAATAATGTGTAGACCTTACTTCCACATAGGTCCTTTACCCTCCCTAGTTTTTAAATATAAATTGTTGCTGGGTGTGGTGGCTCACGCCTGTAATCCCAGCACTTTGGGAGGCCGAGGCGGGCAGATCAACTTGAGACCATCCTGGCCAACATGGTGAAACCCCATCTCTACTAAAAATACAAAAATTAGCTGGGCATGGTGGCATGTACCTATAATCCCAGCTACTCGGGAGGCTGAGGCAGGAGAATTGCTTGAACCTGGGAGGCAGAGGTTGCAGTGAGCCAAGATGGTGCCAGTGCCCTCCAGCCTGGTGACAGAGTGAAACTTTGTCTCAAAAATAAATAAATAAATAAAAAATAAATAAATATAAATTGTCTTAAGTATTCCCTGCACATAGAATGAATACCACATCAGATTGTTTTATAAGTTTTGCTTCAACCATAAAATATCATTAAAGTAACTCATTAAATGATAGTCTATTGTCTTTATTTCTATTTTTTACCCTTTCCATTGTTCTCTTTCTTTTCTAAAATTTTCAGCCCTCTTTTGCTATAATTTTCTTTCTGTTTGGGAGTTTCATTTAGCCTGTAACAAATTTTCTTAGTTTTTCTCTGTGTGAGAATTTCCAGTTCACTCATTAAGGATAGTTTGTCCACGTATAGAATTTGCAGTTGAGAGCTCTTTTCTTTCAGCATGTGAAGACTGTTGTATTACTTTTTTCTGGCCTCCGTAGTTTCAGATGAGAAATCTGATGTCATATGAATTTCTGTTCTTTTATAAGTTATGTATTATTTCTCCTTGTTTGTTTTTAACTCTTTGATTTTTAGAAATTGATTATAATGTGTCTTTGTGTAGTTCTGGTTTATCATATTTATGTTTTTCTCAGCTTTTAAAATCTTTAGGCTTATGTATTTTATTAAATTTGGGAAGTTTTTGGTCTCATACTCCTTAGTCCTATCCTTGGGGAGTTCAATAATATGAATGGTAGATCTTTGGTTTTAAAGTCTGTTTTCTCTCTGTTGTTCAGACTGAGTAAATTCTATTGGTTTGTCTTCAAGTTCACTGAGTGTAGCATCCATCATCACTACTCTACTATTAAATTCGAGTACTTTAAAAACATTTTGGTTATTATATTTTTCAGTTTGTAATTTTTATTTGGTTCTTTTTTATAACTTCTTTTCTTTGCTGAAGTTTTTGTATTTGTTTTGAGATAATTTATAATTGATTGTTAAAACATTTCTGTGATGGCTAGTTTAAAATCCTTGTCCAATAACTCCAACTTCTAATTCATCTCTGTATTTGCATCAGTTAATTGTCTTTTCTCATTGAAGTTGTGTTCTATTGGTTTTTGGTATGATATGTGATTTTTGATTGCATCTTGAACATTTTGTTTATTATGTTAGGAGACTGTCATCTGATTGAAATCTGTTTTAGCAGGCAGTCACCCTGCTTAAGATTGGTATGTACACTGTGGCCTGCTATTGGCTCTAGTTTCATATCAGTTTAGTTTTCAAAATGCTTGCAATGCTTTTCTGGTCTGACTCATTCTTCTGGCACTTCTGGGGGCCCCTTTCAATCTCTGTTGGTGCTGCCCTGGAGAGATGGAAAGCGCCTCTCTGGGTTGCCTTGTATTGCTGGCTCACCTTCTGTTACTGGGGGATAGAAGCTCAGGAGCTGCTGGGCCTTGGTCTCCTTATGCAACTGGGCAGAGGGCAGGGCAATGCAGGGTGCTACTGATGCTGGCCTGGCAGGTTAAGTGGCCTACTGGTTCCCTGGTTCCGAGCAGAAGTCGAGGCTTCCCATCAGGACTCTCTTAGGCTTCCCCTTTCCCAGTTTTTTTTTTTTAATTTTTTTTTTTTTTTTTTTTGCTAGCGAGAGCAGGCTATAAAAGCTTTTTAATCTATGCCTGTTGGGGGTCCGAATTGCAGGCCTGTCATGGCTGATCCCTTAGGACACCTAGGGAACCTCCTGGTTTTTCCTTAAGTCTTAAAATCCCTAGTTAGTTCACTTTCTCCTTTTCAGGGTTTAGAGTTATTCTTTCTAGAATCATAGTCTGTTTTATAATTTGTGGGCTTATTTAGTTGCATTTAGAGGAGATCAGTAGGGAAAAGTGGTATATACCATCTTGTTCCAGATCCCAAAAGCTTAAATGGATTTTGAAATATAGACCAATTTTTCACACTTGCAATGAAGTGCAAGTATTGCTGCCACTACCATGGTTTGAGCTAAAAAATATATATATCCACTGTGTACTTGTATGGGAATGGAGAGCTAATTTCTTATGTTAAACATTAACAATACAGGAAGTGTATAAAGTATATTGACATTACTTTTGATTCAACAAGATTAGTTGTTGACAAAATGAGTTTATCACATTGTAAGTGTTATATATAAGTGCTGTTTTGTCACTTTAAGTTGAATTTGTTAAGAAACATGATCAAATCTGTAGCAAAAGCTAATTTCCAAAACCATTCAGTGTTTGATGATAGTGGTCAAGGGTGTTTCTACCAATCACTGAAAACACAAAAACCATTCCTAGCTCGGGCCATACTCCAACAGGCAGAGGCCTTCGTCTGCCTATTTCTGGTCTGCAACAACTTTTTCCAGTGCTATGCTGGTAAATGTTTAACAGTTAGGTCTCTGGGGAACAGAAGCCCTGGTGGGTAGGGCTTACTGGTTTCTGTGGTGGAAATACTTCCACCATGGCTGATCTTAAGCTGCCGACGCAATGTCACTGAATGAGGGATTGTGAGAGGTTGTGCACCATTGGCTCTCTCAAGCAGCTGTGGGCAGGCTTTAGGACACCATGGCCTGTGAAGACCTTAGGAGACCCTGTAAGGAAACTTCAGCTTCTATGCCACACACATTGAATTGCTGCAGTGGGCATCATATTTGGATAATTGTTCACCTAGAGCTCCCCCACCTTTTAAAAACATGCATACATACGGAAACGTTGCTTTCTGCACGATTTCATTTTAATGGAACAGAACAGGGGAAAAAATAAATCAGATTTTTACTTTTCTGCACTGGCCTGAAAAACTGGTTCAACCAATCCCACTCTTTTCTTTATAAGCAAATGTTTATTTTTGGAATGACAAGCCCTGCACCCTGTGTAGTAGTTAATACCATTCATTAAATGATGTTTCTTTATGTTATTTACAGAGGCATTAGCCTGGCTTGGGTTTCTGATTCTTGTTTTAAATATCTTTGTGGTGGCATTTTTTAATATATCAGTGATAAAGAAATCCGCTCCTTTCCAAGTTAAAGCTGTGTAGTCAGCTGTTTGCTTCCTTGCCCGTGAATAGACACTGTACTGCCACATGGCCAGCTGGGGCATTCTCTCGTGGAACATGTTTGCTATAACTGGCTCTCTCCAAATACTTCCCCATTCCTGAACTCTCCTGCCTCTGCCCTGTGGCCCATCACCTGCACCCCTCTATGGTACTGGCCACTGTGTCCAATACCCCAGAGGATAGGCCAAGTGGGGTATTGGACACTTCCCGTGCCTTCCTGCCCAAATCAAACTTACCTCTCTGGTGTCTCAGGCCACTGAGGCCTCCATGGCAGAGAAAGGATCTAGGACCAAGGGCCAAGGACAAAGAGGTCTCTGCCTCCAAGGTAACTGTATGATTTAAAAGAGAACCTCCGATCTTGGTGGTTTATCTTAGAGTGGCAGAATGTCTGGGACTTGACAGGTTAGTGACACAGCTCCTTCCATCAGGGTTCTCAAAGCAACTGGGACTTCGGTTGCCCACAAGGCTCATCTGAAGCTTGGTGCAAACAATTCAGGAAAGTGAGGGTGTCTTCCTTCACCTCGCTGAGGAACCGCCTGCCTCATGGGACCAAAACAGAGCTTGGTCCTGGAAACAAGGAAGTTGTCTCTCACCCATAGGCTGCCGCTCACCCAGAATGCTGCCAGCTCTTCTGTGTCATCTTTTTATTTTGGGGAATGGGGCAGAGCCCCATCTGTGGGACAGGGATTTACAAGCTGTCTACTCAACCCCTTTGTTATCCCCTCTTCAGAATGCTGAGGGGCTCTCTTTGGTGTCGATGGGGAGAGGGTGGTGGGCATGGCAGGGGGGCCTGGGAGTCCTCATGCAGGTGGCTGCCAGTGATGCACCATCCCACCCTGAGCTATGGCTACCTCCCTGGGGGACTGGCGATTGACATGTGTAATTGGAGGGTCCTTTATTGTTCTTGAGGGTGTATTGCCCAGAGAGAATCTTCCCAGAAAGAAGTGCCACACTCCTTGGGAAGGATCCGCGATCTAGTTCCTAATGATGTTAGTTCATCCCATTCTTTTCAGAAGACTATGGGGCAGAGGGAAGGGGAAGAGGGGCACAGAGGCGATGGGATGCCTGAGTCAAGTGCCGCTCAGAGCTGGCAGAGGACAGACAGGAAAGCTCTGGTTGGCTGATCCCATTGCTTCCGGCAAGCCCCTGGAGGAGCAAAAAGCTATTTTAGCAATAACTTCACTAGAGGACTACTGGATGGAGAGCACATTCACTAGGAGGATGGTAGCTGTACATCCACCCAGGGGACCCTTGTTTCAAAGGATGCAGCTTTCATTTAATTGAAACAGATCCTTGACTCAGTAGAATCACAGCTTCTTTCTCTAGCATTTACTACACTAAAGTATCAAATAGCAGAAAGGTAGAATGAGATTTAACGGTAAAAGAAAGAGAAATTTGTTTTCTGAGAGGCGTGCAATCACTGGTATTTTCAGCACCTTCTATGGTTTCTTTCATATAACTGTGTGTGGAGATTTCTTATTCAGAGCAATGATTCTGAGGCATTGCAGGATCCTAATTTATCAAGGGAAAGCTGAATCATACTCAGAGTACTGTGCTTGGGAAAGAGAGCTGACTTTCATGAGAGGCTCCTTTGAGGTGGGAGCTTTGCTTGAAGTTCTCATTTAATCTTCACTATCTCAGTCAGCTCAGGCTGCCATAACAAAATACCATGAACTGCGTGGCTTACACAACAGACATTTATTTCTCAGAGTTCTGGAGGCTCAGAAGTCCAACCAAGATCAAGATGCTGACAGATGTGGTGTCTGGCGGGGGCCCCTTCCTGCCTCGTGGCCACCTTCTTGCTGGGTCCTCCTATGGCAGAAAGCAAGTGAGCTCTGGTCTCTCTTGGTATGAGGCCACCAGCCTCTCCCTATCAGGACTCCTCCACGATGACCTCATTTAACCTTCATTACTTCCTAAAAGCCCTGTCTTCAAATATAGTTGCAGACAGGGGGTCAAGGCTTCAATATATGAATTTTGGGGAATACAATTCAGTCTCTAGCTCTCACCTTGGAGGTAAACTATATTAAAAAAAGTTGCAGAAGAGGAAACCAGGGCCCAGAGAGATGAAGCAGTGTGCTCAGCCTCCCATCACAAAGTGGTGGCTGGGCTGGCTCTGGCCAGAGCACATTCTTTCAGGGTACCCTGCTGTGCCCAGACATGGGGCTGCTTCCGAAGGATGGGCATGGTGAGGGCTGCCTTCAGGGTGCCACTCACTTTGCTCTAACAAAAGCTGGAACCAGCCTGAAAGCATGAATGCCCCTACACTTAATAGAGGGCAGGCACAATTTTCTTCTCCTCAATGGAGTTTGGTGAGTCGAAAGGCAAAATTCTGAAAACACTAGTAGTTCTCTTTGAAAAACAAGGCCCAATTATGCGTTCCATCCATTACTAAGGTGGGTCCTTAGAAGGAGAGATGCCAAGATGCTCACCACATACCCCATGTCTTAGTCCCCTTGTGCAGCTATTATAAAGTGCCTGAGACTGGGTAACATATAAAGACGAGAAATTTATTTCACATCCTAATTCTAGAGACTGGGAAGTCCATGAGCAAAGTATGAGCTTTGGTGTTTGGTGAGAGCAGCTCTCTGCTTCCAGGATGGCCTCTTGCTGCTGTGTCCTCACAACATGGAAGGGGTGGAAGAGTAGGAGGTGACCTCTCTCTGAAGCCTCTTTTATAAGGATACGAGTTCCATTCATGACAATGCAGCCCTCATGACTGAATCACCTCCCCAAAGCCCCCACCTCCTAATACTACCATCATGGGGGATAAGATTCAACATGAATTTTTGAGGGGACACACATTCAAACCCTAACACTGCACAATAAGAAATTCCCACTTAAATGAATGTAAATGACTTCAAAGGAAAGCATGCAGTTGCTTTAGCATTAGCATTTATGGAGTTATTTTATTTATATTTTTAATTTTTGAGACAGGGTTTTTCTCTGTAGCCCAGGCTGGATTGCAGTGGTATGATCACTGCTCACTGCAGCCACAAATTCCTGGGCTCAAGTGATCCTCCCAAGTATCTGGGACCACAAGTGTGTATACACTCGGCTAATTAAAAAAATTTTTTTTGTAGAGGCATAGCCTCACTATGTTGCCCAGGCTTATCTAGAACTCCTGGCCTCAAGTGATCCTCCTGCCTTGGCCTCCCAAAGTGCTGGGATTGACAGGTGTGAGCCACCACACCCAGCCTGGAATTATTTTCTAAAAACATATAATCCTCTCATGAATTCTGAGAGGTGATTAATATCTCCACTTTCCTGAGAGAAAGCAGAGGCTCCCCCAGGTGAATGACATGAACAGTCATAAGAACTAGTGATGGAGCCAGGGTGCCAACACAGGTCACCAACTGGAAGGCGCTTACCTGTGCTGTGTTATTCTCTAGCCTCTCAGAGCATCAAGGGTGTCAGAGTGCAGCTGTCAAAACATCACCCACACTGATTCTGCCTTTACTTTTAGTCATTTGTTTACTTCCCTCATTAAGCGTGTATGAAGCACCTATGGTGTATGGTGCCGTTCTGGGCACCGGAGATAAGGGAGTGAGTAGAACAGTGCTGTCACCTGATTTCTGGTGTGATTTCCTTCCAGGAGGCAGGCATGGCAGGGGCCTGGTCACGTGAGCCTTTGGAGCAGGCCCAGTGTGGCTATTTTCCCTATTTTTTAAAATTTTATCTTATTCATTTCATATATTTTAGAACAAATGCCCAAAACCAGGCTGCTTGAGTAGATAGTGCCACAGAAGAAGCTAATTATAAAGACTGAGTGGTCATACATTTGCAGAATTTGCTGCTGTAATCAAAAAAATGTAGCTAATCTGACACACATTTCAGGATGTACATAGTCATTATTGTACAGCATGGTAACCAGGCCTGAGTGATCAGCAGTTAACCAGAATCACTATAATCAGTATGGCTTTTACAATCATCTTCCAAATGTTTTTCTTTACCTCATTAGGTTTCTAGCACTCAGATCTGGTGTCACCCTAGCTTTGCTGGTACAGTGTGTGGCTCACACATGGACATGCGGTATGAAAAGGCCCAGCCCTTAATCTCTGCTCTGTCAGCTGGCCAGACAGAGCCTGGTGAACCTACTCTGGGCCCTGCTCCACCTCCCCCTGTACCCCATGATTCCCCATGTTCTTCCCCCGACCATCTAGATAGCCTTCAAGGCCTCATCCCAAGGTCGATGCTGCAGGAAGGAGAGGCATCTGGGACTGTTGACCTAGTGCCACCCTCTCCATCTTTGGGAGAGTCCTGGGCAGGGGCTGGGGTGAGAGGAGTGCTGCTCCAGCATCCTCGGCTCTCAGATCCAGGCACACAGAAATCTTGAAGTGATTTTAGGTGTAAGGAGGATTTATCCAAAAATCCTCCCCTCAAACCAGACATTCCTTTAACAAGACACAAAGCTTCCATTTAATGATTGGAGATAAAAATCTGAAGATGCAAATGCCTGGAGAATTACCACACTGGCTGGAAAGGGGTTGAGTTCCAGGATAAATATGTTGCTTTGATTTAGAGAGGAGTTAGGAAGCAGAAGGCCCCGGGAGACAGGAGAGGGCAGGGGACGTGCTTCTGAGGAGGGAGGGAGGAGGATGCAACTTGGAGGCCCTGAGGTGAATGTCTTGGCTCTGCCTCAGGTGCCTGCCTTTCTGGATTTGTGTTCTAGGACGACGGGAGTTGGGGAAATGTCTGTTCTTTGGGTCCTGTGATGGCGGTCACCTCCAGCCTGAGATCACTGCGAAAAAGGATTCTTCAGGGAAAAAGATGACACGCATCATTAAAGTGAGGCTAGCTTGGTCAGGCATTGCATTTCAGGGCAATTCTTGGATGCTGGGGGTGGAGTTACAGGCATAAGGCTAAAGGTTGAATGACTTCAAGCCACCCATATAAAACAATCCTTGCCAGAGATAGACCCCCCCCGACCCCAGCCCTCCAACCTGATGGATAGGAGTGGGTTGGGGCAGCTTCCCTGGTGGTGGCTCTGCAAGCCCAGGACACCAGGGCGCCAGCCTGGGCCATCCACATCCCTGTGGGGCCTGAGGGAAGCTGGCACCCTGGCCAGGGTCACCCGGGACAACCTGCCCTTGGATTTGCTAGGAATGTGAGAGTGATGAGAGCCAAACTGTAAGTTTCTAAGGAACCTGGAGAAGCAAACCCAGAGGCCCCTGGTTCGCTTTCCTCTAATCAGGGCCCTATCTGTGTAACAGAGTTACTGACTTCAGGATTAGGCTGATTACTGCGGGTGGCTACACACCCAAAAAGAAACAAAAGACAGATGGCTCACTGGGAGTCAGAGTTTTTTCTCACACAATATTTAATGTCAAAGAAAGTAGAGACAAAAAAAATGTAGGATCCAGATTCATCTGGCATTGCACATTCTCTTGTCATGATTGTTTCGGTTTCCTGGATTTCACTGGGAGGCTGTTCTTATTTGGGACAGGACGCTAAATGCTGTCATTGAAGACACATTTCACTACAAAATGCTGTTCCTAAGCACAAAGAAAAACACTGGTCTCTCTAACAAGCTGAAGTTCTCGGAGCCGTTGAACCCAGCTTCTCCCACCGTGTAGAACGGCATGTGCTTCTTATAAAATTGTGCCTATTATCAAGCTTATAAATGAACAAATAAATATCACATTCATTTATGTAACATATGAATACATACATCAAATATTTTATATCTGATAAGGAGTTTTCTCCATTAGAAAGAGGGTGGAGGCTGGTCTACACACCAGGGCTTTCAGTCTGTAGTTGAGAATTCCATTCGTGGCCTAGATCCTGACTGCAGGCTACTGGCTGGCCTCTTCTAGGCCCCTTTCTCCATCGGTGGAGGGAGCAGCAGTCATGTGTCCAGTGGTAGGGGCCTGCAGAGTCATCTTGTGCATATTCCTTCATGCGGCTCTTGAGTTAGGCCATATGTAGATTTAGGATCTGCAGGGGGAGTGGGCCTGTGTGGTCTGAGAAAGCCTCCATCTCACCTCAAGTGTGCACACCCCATTTACTTACCTGTTCCCAGAGTCAGGCCTGTTGGGAAGGAGAACAACATTGCTTGACATGAATTTGATTAGCTGGGCCTGTAGATGATTCATAAATGAACACGTCTCTACACTTTCCATCAGCTTGCACATCTCCCCATCAGTCCCACCTGCAAACCATTGCCATGGTGTTTCTTCCCAGTCATGCTGCCACAAGCGGGACCCTCTCTCCCAGTGCTGCAGGCTTCCTCGGCCCTCCACCAGTCTACACCATCAACTCACATCTCAAGGGAAATGGTAACACTTCTATTTAGCACTCACAACTTAAACCACTTGCTGTTCCAAATGCTTCTCAAATATTCACTCATTCCATGTGCACAAAAACTCTATAATGCGGATGCCATTATCATCTTCTTTTTGCAGATAAGCGAAGGGGAACTCTGAGAGCTCTACCGTTTTCCGTAGGTCCCACCACTCATCAGAGTCACAGAGCAAAGCTGCATACCTGGGTGCCAGACGCCAGCCACTCTCCACCGGCACTGCGTTGGGGGTGAGCTTCTTAACAGGTGGTGCAAACATGAATGCTCTCCACCTGCGGGCCCCAGCTACACCTCAGAGCAATCTCGGAGCCTTTATAAATAAAAATGTCTCAAGTCCTCACTCGATTTGGTAGATTAGGGAGTCTCTTCAAAATTCCTTCAGTGCTTTGAAGGTGAAGCCAGGTTTGGGGACCCTATCTCATGCAGCATAATACTGCATGCACCCAAGGCATGTGGTGAATGTTCACTGAGAGAAATGCACAGTGTATGTATACAAGTGTGTGTGTACGCATGTGGTGTGTGTGCACCTGTGCTGTCTGTGTATGCTTGTGCTGTGTGTATACACTTGTGCTATGTGTATGTGTGCTGTGTGTGTACATGTGTGGTGTGTGTATGCATGCCATTTGTGTATGCACGTGCTGTGTGTGTACATGTGTGGTGTGTGTATGCATGCCATTTGTGTATGCACGTGCTGTGTATACACACGGGTGCTGTATGCGTGCAGTGTGTGTACACATACATGCATGTGGGCCTGTGGCTCACTCAGCAGAGGAAGCCTGACCACCAGTGGCCTCAGATGGATACGAGTCTGTGGGTATGGAAGACAAGCCACAGAGGGTTGACAGCTGTCACTGGCTGGTCTTAACGATATGGAAAAGTTGACATGGTGGGTTCCTACTCCTGAATTTTAGGAAAACTTAATTTAAATCAAAACTAACTAATCAAAACATCTAAGTAGAAGACAAATTTCTTCCAAAGCTCATGCTTCCAATCTTGTGGCTTTCTTAGTTATGGTATTCCACCTGCAGGTGAGAATGTGACAGGCTGAGGGGGACTCCCACCCCCACGACCACGGTCCTGGGGAAGACACTGACATCCACAACCCAGAGGCGCTTGGCTGGCCGAGCCCCAGAGGCTGGAGAGGGAGGCCTCAGAACCGGCAGGTCAACTGCCTCACTGCTGTGTCAAATCAGGATTCAAACACTTTTAATCGGTGCACCGCTTTGCTGGTGGCCCCGGTAGGTGCTCTGTCTGGCCTCTTAGCAGGACTGGCCCTCCCCAGGGAGTGAGGGACTCCACCGCTCTCCCCCACCTATGCCCCTTGCCAGAACCGAGGAAGGGCATTTTAATATAAATTCCTGCTCCCTGCAAGCCTCCAAAGCTCACATCGTTTTCTTTCACATCAGAGCGAAAAAACTGCAAGTGAAAAATCCCAGGGTAGCAACTCTAAGGGATTAATTTCCCCTCTCTTTTAGCCTTCCCACCTCCTCTAAGGGTTAAGAATGTGGAGGAAGAATCGCTAGACTTGGTGTCTGTGCTTGGTGGGAACTATTAAATTACGGCGGGATGTTTCTGATTAGAGCGAAAGCCGTGCCTGTGCGCGGCCCCGGGGGCCACATGTGCCCGGCCGCCTGCCCCAGCCCCACACTTGATCGTGGGGCCCCTCCGTGGCACCGACGCCGTGTGGGTTTTTTATGTTGAGCGCAAGGATGGGAGCTCGCTCGTGCTGGCAAGGGAGAAGGAAACAGGCAATAAAACGGAGAGCTGAGCGGCTTACTGGAGCCAGGACGCTGGGGTCGGCTTAATTGCTCTGAAATGAAAAAGATTCGGGGTTTTCGTGAAATCCCATAGGCACACTTGCCAAGCCTCAAATATTAGGTTGAATTACAGTTTCTAATCCCTCCCCTCCCCTAGTCCTGTGCCTTATTTCTCCTGGCGGTTTTGTCCCCAGCTTCGAGGACTGAGAGGGGAAAGGTTGACAAGAGCGGGGCTGGGCTCCGGCATGGGCGCAAAAACACCAGTGCGGAGGAGTTCTCGGGACCCCCCGGGGCTGCGGGGCCTTGCGGGGACAGCCCCAGGCCCGGAGCTGCAGAAACACCCAGACCCCGCGCCTCCCGGAACCACGCGTCTCTGTGCACAGACATTCCTGGGGGCAGGCTCCTGTCCTTTAACACAGTCTCAAAGGAGTCTTCAAAAACAAAAAGTTTACAAGCACTGATAGGGAAAACAGAAGGATGATAACACCAAGAGGGACTTTCCCGGGAGAGGACGGCTTCCAGGGACTGAGAAAGGATGGGCAAGTGGGCGGGGCCCGGCGCCGTGCGGGCAGGGCTGGCGCCGGGAGTCCCCAGACTCCCCCGCAGTGGGAAGCACCTCTCCCATTCACGCCGGGCAGGACACCTGGCCGGGCGGGGGAGGCAGCGCAAGGGCCGGCCGGGGAGTACGGGACTCGAGCCGGGGACCTGAGGCAGGAGCCAAGCATCGTCGCAGGGCAACCAGCAGAACGGAGAGGGAGGCGCGGGGGCGAAGGCTGGCGGGAGCCGCGCTGAGGGCAGGAGCCCGGAGCCCCCTAGGGCAGCGCCGATCCGCCCGCCCCGTCCCGCCGAGCTGGGCCTCCGTCTGTGGCCTGCGCAGCCAGGGTCGCCAAGCCGCCTGGAATGGCTCAGGCTTCCAAAAGGAGCAGGCGCCAAAAAGAGCTTTGCCCGCCGGGTGATGGAGATCATGAAACTTTCCAAAGTGACTCTGAGAGCTGAGTATGTTCCTTTCTACTTAGGATGGGAAAAATTCAGTAAGTTACAATTTTCAATAAAATTCTCAGAAGAGTGATAGGAAGACGGTGAGAATATGGACGACATGGTGTGAAGTCAAGGAAGTTTTGGAGGCCGTCCATTTTAATATGTAAGCAAAATAAAGCAGGTCCGTGTTTAAGCTGTCACGTTATCCTCAGTACCAATGAAGAGGTGCTGGGTGAGTCTTTTTCTTTTCTTTTTTCTTTTCTTTCTTTCTTTCTTTCTTTGTTTCTTTCTTTCTTTCCTTTCTTTCCTTTCTTTCTCTTTCTTTCCTTCTTCCTTCCTTCCTTCCTTTTTCTTTCTCTTCTTTCCTCCTTTCTTCCTTTCTCTCTCCTCCTCCTCCTTCTTTTTTCTTTTTTGAGATAGGCCCTCACTCTGTGGCTCAGGCTGGAGTGCAGTGGCGTAAACAGGGCTCTCACTGCAGCCTTGAACTCCCAGGGTCAAGTGATCCTCTGTCCTCCCCCTCCCCAGTAGCTGGGCCTACAGGCACATGCCACCAAGCCCTGCTAATTTGTAAATTTTTGTTGCCATGTTTCCCAGGCTGGTCTCAAACTCCTGAACTCAAGCGATCCTCCCACGTTGCCCTACGAAAGTGCTGGGATTACAGGTGTGAAGCACCTCTCCTTGGCCAGTGCTGGGTTTTCTGGTTCCTGGTTTACAGAACGGGTGACTGAGGGTGAGCTGAATTCGGAGACCCGCTCATCCCTCACACTCACACCAGGGACGGAGCTCACAGTGTCTTCCCTGACAGGACATTTATATGCATTGCTTTTAGGCGGGGGATCTGTGACCCTGTCTCAGGCACACCTGCCTGAGCCACAGCCGGTGATTCCAGTCTCCTCACCTCCTGATTCTTCTTGCCTCAGCACCCCGTGGTCTACCGTGAGAACAGCAGCGGGTCTTCAGGGCAAGAAGAAGCCAATGGGAGGTAGAGAAGCAGGGAAGGCAAGTGGACAGTAGGGTGCAGAAGGAATTCGGTTTCCCGAGCCCTTGGAGGAGTGAATCATCCACCCCAATGGCCTCTGCCCAGACCATTGTGTGGCATGGGGAAGCAACTTTCCACACAGCTTCCTCTGGGAGAAGCAGGTTTGTAGGCTGCTCTTCAGAAGAACAGCATCCACTGGGGGGCTCTGTGGGCCTCGACCTCATCACTGTCCACCTGGTGACAAGGGCTTACTGCTCCTCCCTCTGCAGCTGGGTGGAGGGAAGAAACAGAGAAGTCAAGCCCACTCTTGCAGACACATCCGGGCTGATCCCAAGTGTCATTTGATTGCAGCCTCACAGAAACATTCCCAGATGCTAATTATTACTCTCATTCTTTTTTTCTGAGATGGAGTTTCACTCTTGTTGCCCAAGCTGGAGTGCAATGGCGCCATCTCAGCTCACTGCAACCTGTGCCTCCCAGGTTCAAGCAATTATCCTGCCTCAGCCTCCCGACTAACTGGGATTACAGGCACACGCCACCACGCCCAGCTAATTTTTTGTATTTGTAGTAGAAACGGGGTTTCACCATGTTAGCCAGGCTGGTCTCGAACTCCTGACCTCAGGTGATCTGCCCGCCTCAGCCTCCTAAAGTGCTGAGATTACAGGCGTGAGCCACCATGCCCGGCCTCTCATTTTTTTAAATGAGGAAATGGAAGTCCAGAAATACATTAGTTAACAGTAGCTGTTGTAAAAAATAAACCCCCAAATGTATACAGATTTAAAAATGACAGGCATGGCACAGTGGCTCATGCCTGTAATCCCAGCACTTTGGGAAGCTGAGGCAGGTGAATCACGAGGTCAAGAGATCGGAGACCATCCTGGCCAACATGGTGAAACTCCGTCTCTACTAAAAATACAAAAAAATAGCTGGGTGTGGTGGTGCACGCCTATAGTCCCAGCTACTCTGGAAGCTGAAAAATCACTTGAACTCGGGAGGCAGAGGTTGCAGTGAGCCGAGATTGCGCCACTGCACTCCAGCCTGGCGACAGAGCGAGACTCAGTCTCAAAAAAAAAAAAAAAAAAAAAAAAAAACCCACAAAGGTTTATTTCTCATTCATTTAAATCTCAATGGGTGTTCATTCTCAACTCTCCTCCAGGGCACAGCTCAGGGATGTGGTTCTATGCTCAGGACTTGTCATTTTCCATAAATTTCTCGTGCTTTGTCCCCATGGTGAAGTTGATTTAAATTTGGTGAGAATGGCATTTTAGAACTAGAGTGAACCATAGCAACAAATGGTCCAAGCCACATATTTTATTGAATAAGAAACTGAGACTTAAAGAGAATGGGGGGGTTAACCAAAATCTCAAAATTAGGTAATATAAAAAGTAGGTCATGCATTAGGTTTTACAAATGCATACAGATAAGGCTTTTTTCCTCCTCAATAAATTAAAAAAACAAAGCACAGATTCAACTCAGCTCCCATGTGCAGATATAAAGTGTGGGGTTCAAAGTTCTTCTACAAACCTTGGTTTGAATATTTTGGCAAGGAAAAAAGAAATGCATGTGGCTCTGGTAGCAATGTCTTTTGAGGAGTAATATTAGGCTTCTTTTGCAGCCCCCCACTTAAATTTCCACCTTTCTTTCAAAATATTTGTTCCTCTCCATTGGCTAACGATGTGTTCCCAATAGGCGGCAAGTGAGGTTTCCTGATTAACCATCAAAGCGGTGAGCTTGATTATGTCTTATTTTTGGTATTCCCCACATTCCCAATAAACAATGTGGTGTGAGGTTAGGACAGGAAGCGAGGAAACAGACGGTCTGCAGACCCTCATAGGGCTCTTGAGTGTGGCAGGTGGGACATTGCTTGTAGGATTAGGATGCAAAGGGCTTTCTATAAGAGAAGGGGAAACGGAGAACAATGGAGAAAGGTGAGTCAAGACAGTTGTAGTGCAGATAGCACATGTAGGGAAGGGAGGAAGGCGTGATGGCTATATTTCATCTTTTGATTCACTTCTCTCTGAAGCTGAGGAATGAAATCAGCTCTCTCCTTAGGAGATGAAAATCCAGCTTCACCATCTCCACTGCAGAATATCTGCTTGTCTCATTAAGTGGACTTCCATATGTGGTGTGGATGCCATGAACTGCACAGGGCCAGGGGCTGATCAGAACAAAGGTCAGATTCTAATCTTCAAGCATCATATTTATCTTTTCACCACACTCTTAACTTCCACTTCTACCACCAAATAAAGGGTAAAAGAAAGAACAACAACAAGAAAAACTATCAACAGCAGTAGGGTGTGATCTGCAATAAAGCCCTGAAAACCTTCATTTGCTGATATCAATTCATTCAGGACAAAAACCCTCACTGCTCCTTCCTGATTGGCCTTGAGATCACGCAGGCAGCCCTGACGAAACCCGAACTAGTGGGGTCAGGAGACACACACAATATGTTGAGAAGATTGTTATCAAAATGCAATGTATGGGTGGCCCCTTTCTCTTTCGGTTCTAGGCGCTTCAGGAGCCGCGGCTTAAGGTGCAGACATGGCCAAGTCTAAGACCCATGCCACACACAACCAGTCCCGAAAATGGCACAGAAATGGTATGAAGAAACCCCGATGACAAAGATACAAATCTCTTAAGGAGGTGGACCCCAAGTTCCCGAGGAACATACGCTTTGCCAAGAGGCACAAGAAGGGCCTAAAGAAGATGCAGGCCAACAATGCCAAGGCCATGAGCATAGGTGCCAAGGCTATCAAGGCCCTCGTAAAGCCCAAGGAGGTTAAGCCCAAGATCTCAAAGGGTGTCAGCCGCAAGCTCGATCGATTGCCTACGTTGCCCACTCCAAGCTTGGGAAGCATGGTCATGCCTGCATGGCCAAGAGGCTCAGGCTGTGCCGGCCAAAGGCCAAGGCCAAGCCCAAGGATCAAACCAAGGCCGACGCTGCAGCTCCAGCTTCAGTTCCAGCTCAGGCTCCCAAAGGTGCCCAGGCCCCTACAAAGGCTTCAGAGTAGGTATCTCTGTCTGCCAATGTGAGGATAGAAGGACTGGTGCGACCCCTGCCCCGACCCGGGCTGCCATCTGCATGGGACTGGGGTCCTCTTGTGCTACTTGTGCAAATAAACCGGAGGCAGGAAAAAAAAAAGACAAAATGCGTTGTATGCTTATTTTATTTGTACATACAATAAGTCGAGGTTTGCATAATGATTGTTAAAAGTGAGAGAAAAAATTGTAAAAAAAAATAAGTCATTGGTTTTGAACAATATGTTTCATTCCTGTTTAGTTGCTTGTGGTTGTCAAATCTACAAAAGTGCAAAACTTTAAAAAACCCTTGTTGAAATCTCTTGGAAAACATACAATCTTCCAGAAATTCCTCTGAGTTTTCCTTTAAGTTCGACAACAAATGGAAAGAAGTGGATTGTTGTCCTTCTACAAACGGTAACAAAGGTGGGGGTGTAAGTCTGTAGTTTGAAGAATTTCATTCTTATCAATTGTGTAGAACAAAGTTGAAATAAGTTACATTAATTTCACGTAAATTAGTTTCCTGAGCTCTTTTAACGTCTTGAGTGATTTTTTTTTTGTATTTTGTAATTTTTTTCCTTTTGTTTATCTCTATTTCCTCAGTTTTCTTTTTTAATTATACTTCTGGGATACATGTGCAGAACGTGCAGGTTTGTTACATAGGTATACACGTGCCATGGTGGTTTGCTGCACCCATCAAATCATCTACATTAGGTATTTCCCCTAATGCTATCTCTCCCCTAGCCCTCCACCCCGACAGGCCCCAGTGTGTGATGTTCCCCTCCTTTTGTCCATGCGTTATCATTGTTCAACTCCCACTTATGAATGAGAACATGCAGTGTTTGGTTTTCTGTTCCTGTGTTAGTTTGCTGAGAATGATGGTTTCCAGCTTCATCCATGTCCCTGCAAAGGACGTGATCGCATTCCTTTTTATGGCTGCATAGTATTCCATGGTGTATATGTGCCACATTTTCTTTATCCAGTCTATCATTGATGGGCATTTGGGTTGGTTCTAAGTCCTTGCTATTGTGAATAGTGCCGCAATAAACATACGTGTGCATGTGTCTTTATAGTAGAATGATTTATAACCCTTTGGACATATACCCAATAATGGGACTGCTGAGTCAAATGGCATTTTGGTTCTAGATCTTTAAGGAATTGTCACACTGTCTTCCACAATGGTTGAACTAATTTACACTCTCACCAACAGTGTAAAAGCTTTCCTGTTTCTCCACATCCTCTCCAGCATCTGTTGTTTCCTGATGTTGTTTCCTGTTGTTTTTAATGATGGCCATTCTAACTGGCGTGAGATGGTATCTCATTGTGGTTTTGATTTACATTTCTTTAATGACCAGTGATGATGAGCTTTTTTTTCATATGTTTATTGGCTGCATAAATGTCTTCTTTTGAGAAGTGTCTGTTCATATGCTTCACCCACTTTTTGATGGGATTGTTTGTTTTTCTCTTGGAAATGTGTTTAAGTTTCTTGTAGTTTCTGGATACTAGCTCTTTGTCAGATGGATAGATTGTAGAAATTTTCTCACATTCTGAGATTGTAGATGTGTGGCATTATTTCTGAGGCCTCTGTTCTGTTCCATTGGTTTATATATCTGTTTTGGTACCAGTACCATGCTGTTTTGGTTACTGTAGCCTTATAGTATAGTTTGAAGTCAGGCAGCATGATGCCGCCAGCTTTGTTCTTTTTGCTTAGGATTGTCTTGGCCATTTGGGCTCGTTTTTGGTTCCATATGAAATTTAAAATAGTTTTTCTAATTCTGTGAAGAAAGTCAATGGTAGCTTGATAGGAATAGCATTGAATCTACAAATTACTTTGGGCAGTATGGCCATTTTCACGATATTGATTCTTCCCATCGATGAGCATGGAATGTTTTTTCCATTTGTTTGTGACCTCTCTTATTTCCTTCAGCAGTGGTTTGTAGTCCTCCTTGAAGAGGTCCTTCAAATCCCTTGTAAGTTATATTCCTAGGTATTTTATTCTATTTGTAGCAGTTGTGAATAGGAGTGCACTCATGATTTGGCTCTCTATTATTGGTGTATAGAAATGCTTGTGATTTTTGCACATTGATTTTTTATCCTGAGACTGCTGAAGTTGCTTATCAGCTTAAGGAGACATTGGGCTGAGACAATGGGGTTTTCTGAATATATAATCATATCATCTTCAAACAGAGACAATTTGACTTCCTCTCTTCCTATTTTAATACCCTTTATTTTTTTTCTCTTCCCTGATTACCCTGGCAATATTATGTTGAATAGGAGTGGTGAGAGAGGGCATCCTTGTCTTGTGCCAGTTTTCAAAGGGAATGCTTCCAGTTTTTGTCCATTCAGTATGATATTGGCTGTGGGTTTGTCATAAATAGCTCTTAGTATTTTGAGATACTTTCCATCAATACCCAGTTTATTGAGAGTTTTTAGTATGAATGGGTGTTGAGTTTTATCAAAGGCCTTTTCTGCATCTACTGAGATAATCATGTGGTTTTTTGTCATTGGCTCTGTTTATGTGATGGATTATGTTTATTGATTTGCATATGTTGAACCAGCCTTGCATCCCAGGGATGAAGCCGACTTGATCATGGTTGATAAGCTTTTTGATGTGCTGCTGGATTCAGTTTGTCAGTATTTTATTGAGGATTTTTGCAACGATGTTCATCAGGGATATTGGCCTGAAATTTTCTTTTTTTGTTGTGTCTCTGCCAGGTTTCGGTGTTAGGATGAAGTTGGCCTCATAAAATGAGTTAGGGAGGATTCCCTCTTTTTCTATTGTTTAGAATAGTTTTAGAAGGAATGGTACCAGCTCCTTTTTGTACCCCTGGTAAAATTTCGCTGTGAATCCTTCCGGTCCTGGGCGTTTTTTAGTTGGTAGGCTATTAATTACTGCTTCAATTTCAGAACTTATTATTGGTTTATTCAGGGATTTGACTTCTTCCTGGCTTAGTCTTGGGAGGGTGTATGTGTTCAGGAATTTATCCATTTCTTCTAGATTTTCTAGTTTATTTGTGAAGAGGTGTGCATTGTATTCTCTGATAGTAGTTTGTATTTCTGTGGGATCAGTGTGATATCCCCTTTATCATTTTTTATTGTGTCTAATTCTTCTCTCTTTTCTTCTTCATTAGTCTGGCTAGTGGTCTATTTTGTCAATCTTTTCAAAAACCCAGTTCCTGGATTCATTGATTTTTTGAAGGGTTTTTTATGTCTCTATCTCCTTTAGTTGTGCTCTGATCTTAGTTATTTCTTGTCTCCTGCTAGCTTTTGAATTTGTTTGTTCTTGCTTCCCTAGTTCTTTTTTTTTTTTTTGAGATGGAGTCTTGCCCTGTCACCCAGGCTGGAGTGCTGTGGCACGACCTGGGCTCACTGCAACCTCTGCCTCCTGGGTTCAAGCAATTCTCCTGCCTCAGCCTCTCAAGGAGCTGGGACTATAGGTGCATGCCACCATGCCCAGCTAATTTTTTTGTATTTTTAGTAGACATGGGGTTTCACCATGTTAGCCAGAATGGTCTTGATCTCCTGACCTCAGGATCCGCCTGCCTCGGCCTCCCAAAGTGCTGGGATTACAGGCCTGAACCACCACACCCAACCTCTTCTCTGGTTCTTTAATTGTGATGTTAGAGTGTTGATTTTATATCTTTCCTGCTTTCTGATGTGAGCATTTAGTGCTATAAATTTCCCTCTAAACACTGCTTTAGCTGTGTCCCAGAGATTCTGGTACATTGTATCTTTGTTCTCACTGGTTTCAAATAACTTATTTATTTTTGCCTTAATTTCATTATTTACCCTGTAGTCATTCAGGAGCAGGTTGTTCAGTTTCCATGTAGTAGTTGTGCGGTTTTGAGTGATTTTCTTAATCCTGAGTCCCAATTTGATTGCACTGTGGTGTGAGAGACTGTTTGTTATGATTTCCATTCTTTTGCATTTGCTAAGGAGTGTTTTACTTCTAATTATGTGGTCAATTTTAGAATAAGTGCTATGTGTTGCTGAGAAGAATGTGTATTCTGTTTATTTGGGGTGGAGAGTTCTGTAGATGTCTATTAGGTCAGCTTGGTCCAGAGCTGAGTTCAAGTCCTGAATATCCTTGTTAATTTTCTGTCTCATTGATCTGTCTAATATTGACAGTGGGGTGTTAAAGTCTCTCACTATTATTGTGTGGGACTCTAAATCTCTTTGTAAGTCTCTAAGAACTTGCTTTATGAATCTGGGTGCTCCCGTATTGGGTGCATATATATTTAAGATAGTTAGCTCTTCTTGTTGCATTGATCCCTTTACCATTATGTAGTGCCCTTCTTCTTTTTTATTTTTTTTTATCTTTGTTGGTTTTTTAAACCAACTTTTTAAGTTTGTTTTATCAGAGACTAGGATTGCAACCCTGCTTTTTTTTGCTTTCCATTTGCTTGGTAAATATTCCTTCATCCCTTTATTTTGAGCCTATGTATGTCTTCGCACGTGAGATGGGTCTCCTGAATACAGCACACTGATGGATCCTGACTCTTTATCCAATTTGCCAGTCTGTGTCTTTTAATTGGGCATTTAGCCTGTTTACATTTAAGGTTAAAATTGTTATATGTGAATCTGATCCTGTCATTATGATGCTAGCTGGTTATTTTGCCCATTAATTGATGCAGTTTTCTTCATAGTGTTGACATTCTTTACAATTGGGTATGTTTTTGCAGTGGTTGGTACCAATTTTTCCTTTCCATATTTAGTGTTTCCTTCAGGAGTTCTTGTAAGGCAGGTCTGGTTTGAGTGATTTTAGTAGTGGAATTCTGGCAAAAAATGCACAAAGCATGGCTAATTTGGAGAAATCTCAAGTACAATGGAATTTTTAGACATCTCTTTTTAAAACAGTACTGGCCTGGAATATCTGAGGGGTTTCATTACAATGTTCGGAACAGCTTCCTGGTAAAGGCAACAGCTCTGCTGCCCATGAAGTTGGAGAGAAAAATATGTAGAGCAGATAAGGTAAAAGACATCTTTCTTCTCAATTACAAAAGTTTGGTGACCAACTGCCTTGTTTTACTTTTTAAAATTTCGTTTTATTTTCCATTTTTATTTGGTTTGTAATACCATTTTCCTTGGGCTTATTACGGTAAATGTACAATACTTCTGGCTTCTTTGGAAAATAAAATGGAAAACCCTCAGTTTCTAGACAGGAAAGAAGGGCCAGCAGCATAAGGCTGAAGTGCTGTTGGCTCATTGTGGTGACTACAGACTGTGGGCACCCCGGCCACAGGTTCCAGCAGGGTACATCCTCTGGCTTCACACTCTTCCCTTCTCTACCACCTCCTCCTCTCTCCCCACACTTCCGCAAACTGTGCAAGCTTCAAAGGAATCTCCTTGTAGCTGAGTGATTAAGCCTTGGAATCTTGACACTGGGATTAAATTTGGATGTTCTGGAGAAGACTTTTGGACACATTCAGAAAAGAGCAGGCAGCAAACCCCAGCTGCATCTAGAACAGCTGCGTTGGGTGAGGGTTCCTGGGATGTTCTCTAATTGGTCTGTTTTACATGTTGTCACAGACTTGGAATCAGCAAAACATCCCCTTTAAAACAGATAGTCTTCTGGCTGCTATGCTGGTTCTTATATTAAAACTTTTTTGTATTGAAAAAACCCCTCTTTTTAAACAAGTAAAAGGCTATGTATTTTCTCAAGTGCTGCAAGCAAATAGCTAGGGTGTTGGGAATATAAAGCACAAAGAAGTCATGTTTATTATAAGAACTTTAAAAAAAGCAGGAGATGCTCTGAGGGCTGGTATTTTACCTTCCACCTCCCACCACTTCTCTCTTTCTCTTATAAAAAGGCTGCTATGGCGACCGACCTCCTGAGTATGGTTAAAAAAAAAAGATCCTTTTGCCTTATGTTCCAGTAGTTTTTGAACCTTTGGAATCTCACAAGAGGTGTCAAATTTAGCTGACTCAAGCTCTTCATCTGAATAGAAATAGAAACCTTTGCGAGGCTGAGGCAGGAGGATCGCTTGAGCTCAGGAGATAGAATCCAGCCTGGGCAACATAGCAAGGCCCCATCTATAAAAAAGAGAAATAAAAAAACTAGCCAGACACGATGGTGTGCACCTGTAGTCCCAGCTACTTAAAAGGCTGAGGTGGGGTAATCGCTGGAGCCTGGAAGGTCGAGGCTGCAGGGAGCCATGATTGCACCACTGCACTCCAGCCTGGGCAACAGAGAGATATCTTGTCCCAAAAACAAAAACCTAGAAATAGAAGCCTAGAGGGGAACTGAGGTGCTGCATGCTGGGGGTCCCCTCCCACAGGAAGGACCAGAGCAGGACAGCTTCAAGGATCTGCTGCAAAGCCCCGTGCTCCTCAGAGTCATGCTTTGTCTCAAGAGTGGAGTAGAAAGAGCTTTGTGTAGATATGCTTGTCTCATTTCGTAATAATAATACAACCCGAAATGAACTTTTTATTTAGTGACTGAATGCTTTAACCTATATTATTTTTTCCTTTTCCTCATCCCCTCTCTTACCAGCTGTCATTTATTCATTCAGTTCTTAATGTGTTCTATCCTGTGACTATTGGGATTAAGAAGGTCAATGAGATATAATTCCTATCTTCAAGGAATTTATCCTTAATGTAGTCACTTGAAAGTTCAGATATTATGCTTCTGACTTCTAATTCCAATGAGGTGATGAGACATTATTTGTATGCTATCCCTGGACCCATTCTGCACATGCAGATTGCTATGGTGTGGTAAATATAAGCTGCCTTTTGCAGGGGCTTTCGCTATGTACAGTTTTGTTCATTGCACTCTTGCTGGTCTTAAGAGTTTGCTCAGGAAGGCCCTTTGCTGTTTCCACTACTGGGTCTGGCATTTCTTGTTGTCACCAGAGCCATAGAAGGCATGCTGCTTTTCCTCAGAGTCTACCTTGTGGGCTGGGAGCCTGCACGTAAATGCAGGAAACCATTGTCCATGCCACAAAAGCTCCGGCACACTGGAGGAGCTGGTGCACAAACCTACCAGAGGCTATGCATTCACAAGGAAGCCACCTGGCCTCAGAGGCGGTTAGTGAGGCTCTGGGTCCTAGGTGGGCTGGGGAAGTGCAGTGCCAGAGACAGTGCAGAACACATGGCCGTTCCATGCCAGCAGGTCTTCCCAGAGGCCCAGTGGAGAGGAGTGGGAGTTCGTGCAGGACCCAGGAGGGCAGGGCTTTGTGATAGGCAGGTGCAGCCAGGAAAGCAGTGGCTCTCTGGGGCTCTGGGCTAGGGTTCCGTCCTCTGTACCAGAGCTGCCTCTGGAGCTGCCCTAAAGCCAGTCTCAAAGAATGGCTGCGGCTGTGAGGTGGTCTAAGTGAGTCTAATAGTGGGAAGACAGCCAGTCCCTTAGAGGTACCTCTGAGATGCTAGGAAAATTGCCCTTGGAATCTGACACATGCCCCTGTACCCAGAAGGAAGAAACAACTCTTGCTTTTGTTTTTAAGAGCATCTATCTCCCTGCTGACCTGAGCATGCTTCACTGCATCTGCGCAGAGGCCAAGAAAACCCCAAATAAGAAAGTCCCTGTAGCTGTGCTAGCCTGGGAAGTCAGGCACTGGGCTGGGCTCAGTGTTGCCTGCGGCAGGCAGCTTATCAGCTCACAGCCAGAGCTTGGGACTCTTCATCCATTGCCCTACACAGGTCTGATTTTAGTAGAAATTTGCTCTTTAAGACAGAGGCATTCTTATGATTATGCAGAATATAAAACTGCCTTTCAGGCAGCAGATAGGACCTTTTGCTTCTCGCAGCATCGGAAATCCCATCTCTAGAAACTTCTTCCTCTTACGAGTAGGGCGAACATAGAAAAGTCTCTGCAAGTCTTGTCAGAGGAGAGAGAATCAGAGGCTGATGTCAGAGTGGCTGTGACTGGGAAGGGCTCTGAGGGTGGGGAGGAGAGGCACTGGGTACCCAGGACCCAGTGTGCCCATCGCATGCTCCTATGGGTGACACACATCAACGACTGCTCAGAACAACCCAGGAGTTGCTGGAACTCACATCATCAGCATGGCAGCACCAATGAGTGAGGGCTTCCTGATCTCCTTACTGTGGCCTGGGCCTCAGGCCATGAGTACTTCGGATGATTTCAGTGGGATCCTCCTCATTGCCCAGCATGAGAACTGGCTGCAAACTGGAAGGCACCCTGAGTAAGACAGGCGCACCCTTCCTGCACAAGTGGGTCAGCTCTCGAATCCTATAACATGGCTCAGGGTGCTGTGAGAAGTGGGCATGGTGGGGGTACTGAGGAGCATGGCCCTGTTTCTGCTGCCCCTGGGAATCTCTGGGCAGCCAAAGAGGGGCTGTGTTGGGCTTCCCGTGTGCCCAGAACTGGCCTGCACAATGACCGGGGCACAATTACAGATAATTCTGCCCCTTTCCAACCAATTTGGATGTTCCATTATGAGTCTTTAGAGTTGGACCAGGCTACACCAAGTATCATTTTGTTTTCCTGACCTAGTTTAATGGTTTTTTTTTTTTTTTAAATAAGAAACTGAATTTGTAGCTCTTTTCACCCTAAAATGATTGCACATTGAGCTGAGCTGGAAGAGAGACTTCTGGTTCTTTTTTTTTTTTTGGAGGCAGGGTCTCACTCTGTTGCCCAGGTTGGAGTGTAGCAGTATGATTGCCCCAATCACCCTGGACTCAAGTGATCCTCCTACCTCAGCCTCCAAAGTAGCTGATGGGTGTGCACCATCACACTTGGCTAATTTTTCTTATTTTTTGTAGAGATGGGGTTTTGCCATGTTACCAGGCTGGTCTCAAACTCCTGGGCTCAAGTGGTCCTCCTGCGTCGGCCTCCCAACATGCTGGGATTATAGGCGGGAGCCACTGTGCCTGGTCACTTCTAGTTCTTACTTGCTTCATTTTGCAGAGGAGCTCTGTGCTGCCGTGGCCAAAGCACAGGCTTTGGAGGCCTGGAGTCCTGGGGTTCTAATTCTCAGCTCCTAACTGTGCGAGGGATGCAAGCTTTCAAAGTCTGAGTTTCTTCCTTTCTAGAAAGGGAAGTACTCCAGGTTGCTGGAAGGATGCTGTGAAGTGGCAGCGTGGGGACATGGTGCTGTTCTCTATCATCTGTTGCCTGCCTCAGCTAATGCCTGTCTGTGCATGGAGTGATAAGAGCGAGCCCAGGTGGAGCGAGGGCCTTCCATGCCAGGGTGAGCGGCCAGCCCTCCGACTCTGGGCTATGTTCCCTGGGCTGTGTGCTGCATTCACACATCACACCACTGTGGTCACGCCCCCAGCTCCCAATGCTGCCGTCACACAAGTCAACCAAGGACGCAAGTCCTATCCTCTTTTCAATACACAGAAGAAGAAAACAAGCTTTGAAAAACTATGAAACCTGACATGGTTTGAAGCTAGGCTGTGCCATTCCTGTGAGACCTGGGGAATGCCCTCAATCCCTCTCAATTTCGTTTCCCTCACCTGTGGAATGGGGATGACAATAGAGGCTGGCCCATGAGATGCCCGGTGGGAGGAAACCAATGCCCAGCCAGCACTCCCAACCAGCAGGCACTGAGGATTCTGGCCGGGTCCTTGTCACCACAGGGGTGGTGCTGTGAGAATTCGAGGTCACTGTCTTTTTCTATCTGAGTGCTGGGACTCCGCAAACAGGCATGGCCTATAATAGACAGTCACTTTGGAGGTGCTTTGCTCCATGTCCCTCTCCCTGCTCCTCCATGAGGCAGGAACCTCATCTGCTTACTTTTCTTTCTTGGTTCCTGGTTCTCGACGCAGGTACATGGTAGGAGCTAAATACTCGTTGAAGAAATGAATGTAGAGGGATAATGCATTCTTGTGACCTTTCTGTATCATCTCCTCCTGGGAGGGTTGAAAGAGCATCAGCTCCAGATGTGGCCTTGGGTTTAAATCACATGGGCTCCCTGGCCATCCTTGGTGGCTCAGAGCTGGCCACTGACCCCTTGGGCCTGGTGTCCTCAGGTGTGAGTATAGGATTCGTGACCACACCTGTCTCACAAGGTGGTTCTAACCATCCAGGGAAGAAGTGGAGGATGCATTTCAGCAATCTTCCTTTCTTATAAAGACACCCAGTGGGAATCTAACTAGCATTATTCATTTTATTATGATTTTAATACCTTTTCCAAAGAGAGGAATTCTTGTTTTTCATTGGCTGCATCTGTGTAAACATATGTGTTGGACATAAATGCACTAAAATTAAAGTTAAATCCAATTTCTAAAAACTTACAAAAACTAAATTATGCCAGTTCCCCAATCTGCCTTTCTATTTCAGTCTTCAGAAGCTGATACTTTGGCTCAGTAAAGCCAGGATTGTGTGCTCACTAAGGTGTCTTTAGGGTGGCTATCTCACAGAGCCCGAGGCTCCCCTGCACTGCTGCTGGCTGGCTTCTATTTTTTTTCTTTGCAACTTATTTGCTAGACTAATTCTAATTGCACCTTGCTTTGAATCTTAGAGACAAAGAATGGGGCCAGGTTCAGTGTCTCACACCTGCAATCCCAGTACTTTGGGAGACCAAGGCAGATGGATCACCTGAGGCCAGAAGTTCGAGACCAGCCTGGCCAACATGGTGAAACTCCATCTCTACTAAAAATACAAAAATTAGCTGGGTGTGGTGGTGGGCCCCTGTAGTTCTAGCTACTCAGGAGGTCTGAGGCAGGAGAATTTTTTTTAACTTGGGAGGCGGAGGTTTCAAGAGCTGAGATCGCACCACTGCACTCCAGCGTGGGCAACAAAGTGAGACTCTTTCTCAAAAAACAAACAAACAAACAAACAACTGGATGAGAATCCCTTACCCAATAATAGGTATCAGCCAATGCTTAGGAATTTTCTCGAAAGACAGTTGTCTCCAGGAAGTACCTTCTCTTAATTCCAGGACCCCAAGAAGGTCGCCCCAGAACACCTGCCATTACTGGGGCTTCCTCTTCCACCTTGTTAGAAACGGGTTTATTCCATCCTACTTCATGGCAAAGTGGATATCACCAGTGCTGAGAAGGAATGCTCCAAGCTGCATGCGGCAGCTTTGAAAGCAGTCATGTCCATCCTCTTTTCTCTATCTACAAACTGAAGCCGATGGCCTCTGGTACACAGCTCGGAGGCCAAGGCTAACAAAAAAGTTTGTGAAAAAATATTCCAACCTTGCTGCTGGTGGAAACAAGGAGTGTATACCCAGGAAGCAGGTTCCCTATGGCGTTCCTCCACGGGACTCTCCCTGGGAGCCTCGTCCGGGAGGTCAGGGCGCCCTAGTCAGTGGGAGGTCGGCCAAGCCACCAGGCCTGCCCGCAACAAAGCTCCGACGGCCAGGCCTCAGATTTGACCTGTTTTGCTCCCTCAGTTACACCGCCTGCCTCATCGCCAAGTAAGGCCCCCTGCCACCATCACGGCCAGGTGGCGGCGAGGGGCATCAGAGAGCAGCTGTGCGCCTTATGCACACCTGTGCAGAAGGAAGAACCTTAGCTCACTGCAGCGCCACGCCGGGGACGGCCACCCCTGCCTTCGGTCCCATCAGGGCTCCTCCACCAGCCGTTCCCCTGCCTTGAGTCCGGGGGCACATCCCCAGCCCTGCCTTTCCCGGCCACAGGTCAGGTCGGCGGACAATATACGTCCTGTCCCCCTCCGCTTCACGCACTGCTCTGCCTTCCCCTGCCCGGGTGTGACCCCTCTCCCCCTCCCCCTCAACTACTCGGAGGCCCAGGACAAGTCTGCCACTCCCACCTCTCCCTGCCTGAGTCCCGGGGCACGTCCCCGGCACACCATCCCCTCTCTTGGGTGAGAGTCTCCGGGTGACTCCCCGCAGCTCCCCCTGCTCTCACCTCCACCGGCCTCCCCCCGCCGTGGTTCCCGCGGTGCGCCCTCCCCAAGTCCCTTCCTCCCACTGCCCTGGGTCCCAGAGCACATCCGCCGGCGGCCCCCACATCCCTCTGCCTGGAGTCCCGGTCCCCGCGCACCCCCGCCCCCGCCCTGCCTTCACCTGCCGCAGGCCGCCCGCCAGCCCCGCTGACCGCCGCCCCCGCGCTTCGCTGGCGCCAGCCTCTCGATGGGTCTTGCACTTTGATTATTTGTGTTAGCAGTTAATTTAGCACCGTGGCCACGTGTGCCAAAGCTGCCTCCACTTCCTCCGGGCTCCCAACAAACGGCACTTTTATGAGATCCTTTCAAAGCGGCTCCCAGGCTGTCTCCCGCCTCCTGGTCCCCGCCTCTCGGTGCAGACTCCATTTCTCTGCCCTCCGCCCTCCACCGGGGCGCCCCCTCTGCACAGGCCTTATGGCAGCTGCGATCTTTCCTGCCGTTGCAGGAAAGGAGCTATTTCTGGCAACTCTGTCCCTCCACCCAGGGCACTCAGCCTGATCTAATGGAGATTTACCGAGCAGGTCCCTGCACTCCCCAGGGCACTCTCCTGCGCGCAGAGGCCTCGTGGGCCCTGGGTCAGAAAATTTCAGAGTCTGGGGTCCTAGCAGATGGCTGACTGCTATGGCACCCTTGGCAGGCTTTATTGTGATTATTTTGCAGAATATTTCTGATCCCTTTCACCTCTTCTGTTAACATCCCACTCACCTCCCAGGTCTAACTTTCCTCTGCCTCTTCCCTCGCAGAGTTCTGTGCTAACACTGCCTGGGTGTCTCCAAGCCTGTGTTTTGGTCTAAATCCCTTCATACCCAGTGCTTCTTCCTAGCTGAGATGAGATATTCCGCACCTCAGAGAACTAGGTTGCTTCTCCAAATAATTCCAAAGAGGAGGTCCTTGAGATTCATCTGAGTTTTCTAAGCTCAGGCTCTTTTTCTCTTTCAGATAACCTGATTTCCCCTCTCCTTAGATTTCTAATATGAGTGATATTCCAGAATAATAATACTCTGTAGGCTTTTACTTATGAAGAGAACTCTAGTCATGTTTGCAATAAACACCCCTATGCTCATGGAGCTAGTGTGGGGAGGGACTTTGCAAGCCCAGCGCTGCTTGAGAGGGCTCAGGAAGGGCTTCCTAAGTGCTCAAGCAGGGGGCCCTGGTGCTAGCTGGCAGGCACACAGTGGACAGCTGGTCTTTTCTGGCCTAAAGGATCACAGTGAGCCTGGGCCGATTTTAGCATAAGCTGGGGGCTCCAATCTGCTTCACTGTCAGCGCAGAGTGTCTCAGCCCTGGATGAGGCCCAAATCCCTACACATTTGGAACCTCACCTCATTCTTGCATGGCTGGAGGCTGGGCCCCTCCCATTGTCAGGGAAGATCTGCCTGCACTGTGACAGCCCCTCAGTGGTGACCTGTGCTCTGTGTTGGGCCTGGCTGTGCACAGAACCCAGCTGACACGCTTTCTCTCTACTCCACCGGTGCACTCAAATGGAATGCCTCACCATAGGATTCGTACACAGTCATCTACCCTTTGGCAAAAAGTCCTAATTCCCTCAAAATGAATGTGTTTTGGCTGACCCCAACTCTTGAAGAGAGACAGGGGAGTGTGTTTGTGTATGGAAATGTACATGTGTGATATCTGACTAGGGAAAATGAAAGTGATCTTCAGTATTCACAATTCTAAAACTACTTCTGTGAAGGTCACAGTGACCTCCAATCTGCCGAATTCAGTGTCCAAGTCCTCATCATCTCTGTAAGTTCTCTGGACTATTGGACACAGTTGCTCAGTTAGGCTCTCTCTGAAACTCTTTGACCTCAGCGGTTGTGAAGCCCCTCCTTTCCCCACCCACACCTCCCAGCTGTGTAGGGGTGTAGGCACGCACTCCCACAACTGCCTTTGTGCAGATGACTCTTAAAGCTAAACTTTCAGTGCTAAATACCAGGCTCCTATTTCTAACTAAATCAGACATTTATGAGGGCTTGGAATGTCATCTTAAGGCAACATGTTCACTTATTTTTTTGTTCAAAAAACGTTGAGTGCCTAGACATCTGTGTTCTTGATGTTAGGGACACAGCAGTGAAAAAAGCAGCGAACAGTGAAGTTCCTGCTCTGATAGGGCTGGAGTCCTCTGGAGGCAGGGTTTCAGCTGACCCCCAGCACAACCAGGCCTCTTGATGCCTGGGAGCAAACGCTTGAAGTCAATTTAATTTCCCCTTCATTTTTATTTCTCATGTCTGATCGAGCCGTATTGGTACTTCCTGTACAGTTTCTTTCCAATCCATCTTTGCTTCTCATTCTCCTTCAACACGCACTGCTGGAATCGGGCTTCTGAATTCCTGGTTCTAGTTCCTTCAGACCTTCCCTCTTCCTCACAACTTTCATCCATTTCCCCCCAGCTGTGAGATTACTTTTCAAAAAGTAAAGCTCTGATCTGTTCATTTATTCATTGTGCACACATGGGTGGGTACGTCCTATGTGCAGGGCAGTGGGCTAAGTGCTGAGGTGACAGAGAAGAAAAGAGACCCTGACAGATGTCCCAGTTTACTTGAGAGGAAATGCGCCAAAAGCTAAAGTAAAATACAGTAGGAGCTCTGCTGAGATAGAAATAAGATTCCCTGCCATGTATGAGATTAAACATTCTTTAAAACCTGATACCCAAGGCTCCCCACCACCTGGACCAGACTTAGCTTGCTAACAGGTCTTCCTTTACCCAGCTTCCTGTCCACCGGCCACGCCACCTCTTCCCGAGCGTGCCCCACCTTTCCTGCCATTCTCTTGTTGCCTCTGCCCTTCTCTTTGTCTATAATGCCCTCCCCTTACCCTCGCTACCAATTAAAATTCTATGAATCCTCTGAAACCAAGCTTATATTCCACGTTTTCCAAGCAGCTTTCACTCAGATTTCCCCAACTGAAAGTCTTATCTGTTTCCCAAACTCTTGTAGCATTTCATTTGGATCTCTTCCATGATACAGCTAGAGACTAATATTAAAGTTATTTGCATTCTGTGCTACACGATAAGGTCCCTAAGTGCAGAGCCTTTCTTCTTTATCTTGTTATTCTCTGCTGTAACTACATAGCACATCAGCACACAGAGGCAAGCAGTGAATGCTTTCAAGCGAATGGCTAAATGAGCTCATGGAAGAAGTCAGCTTTGTTGGGGCTTTATCAGGGAGAGTTATATCCAGGGTTGTTGATGTGATGGCGAAGGGCCTTTCTTCAAAAGAGAGAGAGATTATAAAGGTATAACCCAGGGGTCCCCAACCCCCAGGCCATAGATTGATGCCGGTTCATGACTTGTTAGGAACCTGGCCACACAGCAGGAGGTGAGCAGCGGGCCAGCAAGCCTCACCACCTGAGCTCTGTCTCCTGTCAGATCAGCAGTGGCATTAGATTCTCATAAGAGTGCGAACCCCATTGTAAATAAACTGTGAATGCGAGGGATCTAGGTTGCACACTTCTTATGAGAAAGATGATCTGAGGTGGAACAGTTTCATCGTGAAACCATCCCACCCACTGTCCGTGGAAAAATTGTCAAATTGTTTTCCTTGAAAACAGTCCCTGGTGCCCAAAAGGTCGGGGACTGTCGGTATAATCCACTGAGAAAGGAGACAGCAACATTATGGTCAGTATAGAGGGCCTCTGAGTTGGAGAGGCTGGAACCTTCAGCTGAGTGTAAGATTTCAAATATGATTGTATCTGGGACACCTAGAAAGAAAAATAGTTTATTTGAGGTGAGCTAAAAGAAATGGTTTCACCTGTGTGTCACAGCGAACCTAGAATAAGCTAGCCCACAAGAGCAGTAACCCCTGGAGTTGGGCCTTCTATAGCGGAGGGAAGTCAGGGATGGAGGCCAAGTTGGGCTGATTTTCCTGCTGCTGCTAAAAGGAAGCCAATTAATGGGAGAAGACTTGAGCACAATCCCCCACCTAGGTCTACTTATAAGCCAAAATCTGGCTTCACTCTTACTAGACTTAATTTGATTGGAAAAATCTATATCTAAAACAATTTCACAATCCCAGATCACCGGGGACTAAAGGGACTAAAGGGAAGTAATTACTAGAAGCTTCTAGAAGTTAGCTTGATTCTTTTAACCAGTTCACTGAATAATGCAAATTCTTTTACAGTCTCTGCTGTATGTGATTTGTACCCTGAATTTTCCTCATGTTCGTGGAGAGAGAGTTAGGTGGTGAAAGGCGGGGACCCAGGGGTGCAGTTTTTGGTGAAAGAGTCGTGGAGCCTGACTTTCCAAAGGGTGCAGATCACGGCTCCTGCAGCAGCAGAGCTGGCCTCACACTGTGGATAAGGAAAACAAGTCCTCAGCAGCTCAGCAGCGGCACAGCTAGTCCTCATTGCTCATTATACTAAATGAGGAGCAGCAGTTGCCAGGTGGACCTTTCAGGATGCTCTGGTTGGAAGTAGCTGGAAGCCTACCTCCCACTGGCTTAAGTGGTAAAGGTAGGTGTTACATCTTTGAAAGTCCAAAGGGAAGGCAGGCTGCAGGATGGTGGCAGCCTCTACAGGCTCTACAGGCAGCAGATCCAGCAGCCAGTGGAGCCTGGTCCACCTGCCTGGTCCAGGCCCATCCTTGGACTGGTCACAGTCCTTAGGGGATGTTGAGGCTGATGGCTGCAGGCAGAGTTCCAGAACCATTACTGACAAGAGAGACAAAGATGCCACACTTGACTGAGACAAATAGGGCTCACTCCTGGATTTCCTCAAGGTATGAGGGCTGCCTGGGGGGTTTCCTGCAAAAGGGGTAGGAGGAAGGAGGAGGGATTCCTGGGAGGCCCGAGAGAATGGCACGGAAAGTGGAATGTGGTTCCTCATGGGTCCTCAGCCAGATCACACTTGGGAGTCACAGGCATTCAACAATTTACCAAATAAGTTGGTCAAGTTTTAGGAACTTTAAAGACAGGTATTTTACTTTCTAAGCACCGCCTATGGATTTTTAGGCTGTCCTCATGTCCTAGGTGGGCCTGGCTGGTCATTTCTGCTGCCCACCCGCCATTCCCCATCTCTGGCCTCAGTACCTGCTCTCTCAGTCTGGGTGTTCTGTTTGCTTTTCTCTTTTTCCCTCAGCCTTTTCTCTTGCACAGATACATGTACCTGGCACACGAAATAGCATTCAGTTCTGAGTTGAAGCAGATAGAAAAATTGGAGAGGTGCATGAAAACCTTTTCCATTCTGATTCTTTTTAGTAATAGCTGCCCTTTCCTGAGCAACCACTGATGCTAGGCACCATACATAACATCATCCAGCAGCTGGCAACAGCCCCACCAAGGGCCCATTAAGTGACCTGCCTAAAATCCTGTAGCTCGTAAGCTGTCAGGGTTCTGGCTTCAAACCTCACGCTTGTATCTTTTATAACCTTCTGCCAAAGTCTGTCTCATCAAAGGAAATTTAATATCACATAGCTTTTCACCAGCAGCATAGGTGGCTGAATAAAGAAGGTCAGTGTTTATAATCCACCCGAGAGGCCGTGGTGTTTCCTCATTGAGCCCCATCATACATTTACTGCAGTTTCTCCTGGAACAGTGCACTCTGTACAGTGGGAGGATTTGGCTACATTCCTCACTGGCACAGATTTGGATAGACCAGGGGGCCAACTCTCCCTTTAACACATTTCTATACATGGTTAGACATATGATAACCTGGTTACATGCCAGCTTCTCCAGGAAGGGGCACCCTATGTCCTGACGCCACCATCATGGAAGGCTCACAGTGGGAAGGCCTTCATGTCTAATGAGTAAAACAGGAAAGACACAGACAAGGACTGCCTGGGGCAGTGGCAGAACCTTTTCAGGGCCTGTGATTTATAACCAAGACTGTAGCGCATGCTGACGTTGCATATGCTGTGCATGGACACTGCCCGGCCGAGAGCTTTGCCTTTGAAAAGATGACATGTCCGGGTGTGTGAGGAAGGATCCAGTGTCTGTGACTGGTCATGAAGGTGTATCCCAGGGAAAGCTTTCACTCCACTTCCTGACTTTGATAACAAAGAGTAACTTAGTTTTATTCACCAAGAAGCACTGAGATTGAGCCCTGTTCTTCATGTTCTCCCAGATTCTATGAAGTACTCTGTATCTTTTCAGTAACTTGCTATTTACTTTATATTGGCCAAAGTAGATTTCGGTTGTTTGCAATCAAAGAGAATGAACTAATACCATGATGAAATGATAGGTAGATGATGGTTCAGAAAGCACAGAAATATGATGTTTCATCACTTGGTTGTCATAAACAACACCCACTTGACATGCTAGCCTGTGTCTCTACGAAGAAGCCACCTGGGAGATCTGGTCTAGAAAGCCATTTCAGGCATACATTGTTTAAATCATTCACCCTGAGAGAAAGGCCCAGTGGAAACAGCTTGCAATAACACATCCAGAATGACCTATTGGGCCATTTCTTACTTCCTTACCAGGATTTGTGCCTCCAGGAGCCATCTGGCTCTATGAAACCTGCCTGCCTACCTGCTGTAAACTACCTCGGAGCCTGAACAATCTGAGTAAAGCTGTATTTATGAATACAGGCAAAGAAAGAAAAAGGTAATAGTTCTTGAATGAGGGTCAGGGATGGGATTCCATAAAAAATATATTTGTGTCTCAAGAGCATATCTGCAGATATTGTAATTCCCTTCCTCCTCTATTCCTTTCTTTTTTTTTTTTTTTTTTTTGAGGTGAAGTCTCGCTCTGTCACCCAGGCTGGAGTGCAGTGGTGCGATTTTGGCTCACTGCAACCTCTGCCTCCCTGGTTCAAGTGATTCTCCTGCCTCAGCCTCCGGAGTAGCTGGGACTACAGGCGTGCATCACCACACCTGGCTAATTTTTGTATTTTTAGTAGAGACGGGGTTTCACCATATTGGCCAAGCTGGTCTTGAACTCCTGACCTCAGGTGATCCACCCGCCTCAGCCTCCCAAAGTGCTGGGATTACAGGCATGAGCCACTGTGCCCGGCCTTTTCTTTACGTTAGGACAACCAGGGGGTCTATGCTAAGGCCTTAGGTCACCAAGCTGGCCAAGGGAAGACCTCCCGGTATGGCGGCTCTGGTTATAAAGTGGGACAGGGTTACTTCAGAGCTGTCAGAGTCTTCAGAGATTGTGCAGCACCCACTCTGCACCCAGTAGGTGGAGACCCTGAAGCCCAGAAAGATGAGGCAGCCCCTGCGGCTGGCTCCCTCTGCCCTCCAGGCCCGTAGCAGCACCTCCTGCTGTGTTGGCCTCATGGTGGTCATGGTCCAGAGGTGTATCCTTGTGATGGGGCACTCTGCTCAATGTCACTGAGCAGGTAGATAGACATACATGACACACCCTAAAATATACAGAGTTGAGAAAAGGCCATGTTGGTCAAAAAGAAAGGTGCACCTACTGATGGCTGTCTCTCCTGTTCCCATGACATTAGCTAGACCCTACCAGGCACAGCTCCTGGAGGCACCTGTCATCAATCTGCCCTGAAATTTAAAAAAAATGGTCTGAGGCCTTGGTCAGTTCAGAGTATATCATTGCACTTATCTGAACACAAACAGACTGAAGGAGGTTATAGAGAAAGAAATATAACTTGAGTGTGCATTGAACTGGATTTATAGGTGTGAGGTTAGAAGTAGAATCGTAAGAAGTTTGGTGGTTAGAGTTAATGGAGTGTTTCCTTGAGCTGATTTCCCCCCTGTAGTTGCAGGCTTTGCATTGCTGGATATCATTTTATACTTTCTTGGTTTGAATGAAAGGTTTTTCCAATTTTGTCTACATTTGAATGCCAGAGTTGAGTTTCTGGTGAGGAAACGATGGTCAAGATTGGTAGTCATTGATGAAGCTGTCGTTAGAAAGGAAAACCAAGCCCAGAGCCACTCCAGCAAGACCTATCTTTTATGGATTTATTTATTATTTTTTAAAATTTATTCTAAAATTATGGGATACATGTGTAGAACATGCAGATTTGTTACATAGGTATATGTGTGCCATGGTGGTTTGCTGCACCTATTACTCATCTTCTAAGTTCCCTTCCCTCACCCCTCACCCCCCAACAGGCCCTGGTGTGCGTTGTTCCCTTCCCTATGTCCATGTATTCTCAAAGTTCAACTCCCACTTATGAGTGATAACATGTGGCATTTGGTTTTCTGTTCCTGTGTTAGTTTGCTGAGGATGGTGGCTTCCAGCTCCATCCATGTCTCTGCAAAGGACATGATCTCATTCCTTTTTATGGCTGCATAGTATTCCATGGTGTATATGTACCACATTTTCTTTATCAGTCTATCATTGATGAGCATTTGGGTTGGTTTCATGTCTTTGCTATTTTAAATAGTGCTGCAATAAACATACATGTGCATGTGTCTTTATGGCAGAATGATTTCTATTCCTTTGGGTATATACCCAGTAAAGGGGTTGCTGATTCAAATGGTATTTCTGGTTCTAGATCCTTGAGGAATCACCATACTGTCTTCCACAATGGTTGAACTAATTTACACTCCCACCAGCAGTGTAAAAGCATTCCTATTTCTCTACAGCCTCACCAGCATCTATTGTTTCCTGACTTTTTAATAATCACCATTCTGACTGGTGTGAGATGGTATCTCATTGTGGTTTTGATTTGTGTTTCTCTGAGGATCATTGATATTGAGCTTTTTTTCCACGTTTGTTGGCTGTGTAAATGTCTTCTTTTGAGAAGTGTCTGTTCATATCCTTTGTCCACTTTTTGATGGGGTTGTTTTTTTCTTGTAAATATGTTTAAGTTCCTTGTAAATTCTGGATATTAGACTTTTGTCAGATGGGTAGATTGGAAAAATTTTCTCTCATTCTGTAGGTTGCCTGTTCACTCTGATGATAGTTTCTTTTGCTGTGCAGAAGCTCTTTAGTTTAATTTGATCCCATTTGTCAATTTTGGCTTTCGTTGCAATTGCTTTTGGCATTTTTGTCATGGAGTCCTTGCCCATGCCTATGTACTGAATGGTATTGCCTAGGGTTTCTTCTAGGGTTTTTATGGTTTTGGGTTTTACATTTAAGTCTTTAATCCATCTTGAATTAATTTTTGTATAAGGTGTAAGGAAGGAGTTCAGTTTCAGTTTTCTGAATATTGCTAGCCAGTTTTCCCAGCATCATTTATTAAATAGGGAATCCTTTCACCATTGCTTGTTTTTGTTAGATCAGATGGTTGTAGATGTGTGGTGTTATTTCTGAAGACCTATCTTATTGTATATTGATATTAAGGCAAAAATACAGCATGTGCTACAGCCGTAGTTAAAAAAGAGGAAAACCAGTCACTCCTCTGGGTTTTCCCAAATTGTTATGCTCACAGGCTTCCGTGAGATGTGTCCTTCTTCCCCAGTGTCTCCGCTATGACTCCCAGCCCTGCCTTTGTGGGTGCCCAGCTGCTCCCAGGAAAAGCTGGGCAAGTCCTTCTGTCTGCATTCACACCTGGGACCCCTTCCTATGCCCTGCTGTGGCTGTGAGTCTTATTTCCTAGTGAGTCGCTATTGCAAGGAAATGTTCAGAGGATTTTTAGGTGCTGCTATTTGTGTTTTGACCTGGTTTGTGGAATGATATTGCTTAAATCATTTCTAGATTAGCTTCAAACACTGTTAGAATCACAGTCCATGAGGAGTTGTGTCTGATCTGGTTGCAGTATATAAAGAATTAGTAAAAAGTCTGTTCCCAGATACTATGTTGAGTTCCACAGAGAAGGGCTTCCTCACATAGATCTGCATGAGGTGTTATGTTCCTATCAAGATATTTAAGATGCTTTGACTTCTAAAAGAATAACTGGCTTTTTTTTAAAATCTCTCTGGGGGAATTTTCTCATCTTTTCTACTCCCTGCTTAAGTTAAAAACCACTATGAAGAGCTCTGAAGTTTATAAAGGTTTTGACTCTTAAAATCTGCTGGTCTTGATGTGAAAAGTGCTAAATGATATGGAATGAAACTGCTGGCTGTGCCTGGTGTTGCAGCCAGGCATTTTATTGTTCATTCAAGGAGACAGCTGTGCGGTCTGAGGTCAGCGAGGGAAGATGGCCTGGGTCTGTGAGGGTGCTGTGGGCTGCTGGCTTCTGAACATGCTTGGCCATGATCTGGAGTCCAGCATTCCCAGAGGGAACGGAGCCTACAGGGTCACGTTTAAACACCACAATGGAATTGAAACTTTTCCTTTAGGCTATTTAATTTGTATGTAATAAAAGCTATATTGCTTCTTGTTAAACCTGCATGAAAACAAGTTAAATTTCCCAGAAAACCTCATAAGGGATGGAGGTAGTGAAGGGACCTTGGAGATGGATGAGCAGATGTGAGCATGTGGCATACTCATGTTCCTGCTGGGACCCTGAGGGCTCCTCTCAGGGGCTCCCTACTCCCAGTGTGGACACTGGGTCTTCTTCCTGCCACCTGTGAAGCCCACACGGTCACATGTAAATCACCGGACAATTTCCCTTGGGTGCCTTGAGATTTCCCTACTGTGGATAAAGTGTTCTGTTTCTTGGGTGGAAGGAGCCCCACTCACTCTCTGGGGCAGCCAGGCTGCCGGGTACAGCTGCCCCCAGTGCTTTCTGCCCACTGCAGATGTTAGGTGAATCAAGATAATTAAAACCTGAATTACAGGATGCTTGTTCTCAGCTCAGACCAGGAGCTTTATTCAGATTTCATTTGCTGAGACACCTCTTGTGCCCCAGACATTGCCCTAGTGCAGCTGCATTCCATCCTCAGCAAGCTCAGCAAGGTAGATGTGGTTATGTCCACTACACAGGCAAGGCAAAGGAGGCAGAGAGGCTAGGCAGGCTGACCATGTGTCTCGCTTAAGAAGTGGTGAAGACAGGACCTAAATGCCAGTCTCCTTGGCTAAACGTTATACTTTTCCTCCCAAAGTGCACTGCCTCTCACAGATGGTGGAGGAGGGTGCAGAAGGGGCTCACGTGGCCAAATGGCCATGGCCATAGGAGGTCTGTGTGTTCCCAAACCTCTACCAACCCTGTCCCCCATCATTTAAAGTGATGATCATGATACCAACATTCTTAGTGGGCAGTAGTGCAAAGTCAGAGAAATAAGAAATAAGATGACTAATGTGAGAAAAGCCGGGGTGGTGTCTGGACAGGGGATGAGTCATTTATGCTCCACATCAGGTGGCTTGGAAACCATCACCCGCACACACTGCTGCTACTTTATGTTGGTGTGTGCAGCTGGCGTCTAAAGACTTCCTGCAGGTAGTCTTCCTGCAGCGGCTGCCCACCTGGCCCTGCTGTGCACCCTGTGCCTATGTGAAGCTTGGAGTCTAGCCTCACGCAGCCCGAGACTCCCAGGCTGCTTCATCCCCCATCTGCTGGAGAACCTGTTGCAGCTACAGAAATCTGAATCACTTGAGAAGCTTGTGTGATGGGCCTTGTTGCCTCACAGCTGCCTTTTTCCCGTGCTTCTCTCACCTGGGATGGATCAGCCCTTGAGTCTTCTCATGGCAAAGGTGAATGAAGCCTGGTTTTTCGCAGTTATCATCCTCTGACTTTATCATCCCCAAGGAAATGATCTAGGAAAGAGTGAGTACTTAATGATAAGAAAACTCACCATGTTTTATGATAGAGAAAAGCCCAGACCGCTTTTCGAAGTTGAATTTGCTACAGAAAAAGCATGGAAGGAAGAAGAAATAAGGTACACACAAACCTTGCCTGCTCTGCCCCAGAACTACAGGCCCTGGTGGGGCCTGCTCCCTGTCGCCAGCAAAGTTGCTGAGAGAGCACACGCCAGCCACGGTGGTGAAGTCATAGAAATGCTATGCCCCCACAGGCCACAGGAATTGTGGAAAGATTTGTGTAAATATCTCATGCATTCTTGTGATCTAAGCTTTATGGAAATAAAAACCACAATCAAAAAGCCAATGCCACATTTATTCCACCTCCTTCCTTTTCTCCTGTAGAATAAATTCATAGAACAGTTTATGGAGCAGCCAAGAAAATACGTTATTTCAATTTTATTACCAGGAAGACATGCACCTAAGTGCTCAGCAAGACTAACCTAAACAGGGTCCATTTCGGAAGAAGATGAGCAGATGCTGCTGGGCATCCCCTTAGTCATGAAGACAAGAGTGGCTCTCGCAGAGGCCACCCCACAGCCCCTGTGTCCAGATGGGCTTGGTAGTTACCAGTACTCAGAGAACTTCCAGCTTCCTTTCCTCTTCTCTCCTTTCTTAACTTTGTGGTGGATATTGGAGTTGGGACGTCTCACACACTCAGAGCACAGCTGGGATGTTCAACTTGCTGAAGCTTCCCTGGCACCAAGTTTAAAGAAACCACCGAGGAGCACATGGTTTCCCACACAGGCTCCTGGTGGGGCATGCCCTCACCAGGATTCCAGCAGCAGACCCCCAGGAGTCCTGGCCTGAGAGTGAGGAGGGGCCCTCTCTGGAGAGGAGCTGTGGACCCATGCTCACATCCATCCTTCCCACTTACCATAACACAGCAGGGAAGTCAGTGTCATGAGAACACATTTCCACCCTAAGTTTTTAAATGCACCATGCTAAAATTTTCTTTGAATTCTTGCCCCAATTTTTCTGACTTGTAATGTGAAACAACAGACTACTTCCTGCTTCTCTCTGCCCTCCTTTTCCCCACTCACATTCCAGTTATGTGTGTCACCCATATATTGAATGGACTTAGGAAAGTGCAAAGCAGGAAACAATCCAATTTTAATTAATCAATTGATGTTTTCTTCATTGCTCTTGAGGAGATCTCAGGCAGAAATCATAGTTTTCCTATTTACTTCTAACTATTCAAAGTCAAGCCTGAATTAAATCCTAACTTTGATCTCTCATCTAATTGAAAGTGTCTCCCCTCCCTGACCCCATCTCAGTCCTTATCTAGCCTGGGGACCTGGCACTG
Organism: Homo sapiens; assembly: GCF_000001405.40. Classification (NCBI taxonomy): domain Eukaryota; kingdom Metazoa; phylum Chordata; class Mammalia; order Primates; family Hominidae; genus Homo; species Homo sapiens. The sequence goes on from NC_000008.11 coordinate 48,409,721, forward strand.
GAAAGGAGAACATTTCTTCACCCTTTCCTTCTACTCTGGAGTTAGGGGCTGGGAAGGAGGAGAGTAGGTGGCAGGAAGGTCTCATTTGTCTAGTGCAGTTATTATTTGACATTGTTACCTCTCCAGGGGCTCAGAAGCTGCCTTTTCCTTACCCATTTCAGAAGGAGACACTTGCGTGGTCTACCTGACCACTTCAACCAACTCTCAGCTTTTGCTGTAATAGCAGCACTGTGGAATGTTGCTCATGGAGATATGGGCCATTACTTGCCCTGTCAGTAGAAGTGCAGGTCCTGCTCTAGACTGTTCTCCTTGCTCTGCTGTCAGGGCAGATTAGGTAACCTATCATGGTTAGACTTTTTTCAACAAGAAGTAGTCACAACTGTCCAATTCCCCAAGACCTCTCTGACAGGCCTTTCATGTTGCCACAGGGCCTGTGAAGTGCCCTTATTTGGCTTGAGGTACGTGTGTCTTGAGCACGAATATCATAGAACCCCTTCCTCCCCATTAAAACAAAAACTCTTCTGAAAAATCCCCTCTCAGCAAGGCAGGTTAGGAAAATGGCAGAGGAAGCATAGGCAGCTCCTGCCCCGCCACAGAAATGTCAAAAACAAGCGGAAACTGTGAGAACTCTGGAAAACAGTCAAAGGTTTACAGTAACCAAAAGAATGCTGAATCAAGGAAAAGACAACTTTAAAAAAATGGGAGGAAAACTTTGTGGCATTTTTGTTTGCTCTTATTCCACCCCCTTTCCAGCTTGGCAGCAGTTTTGAGGAAGTCAGCTTGCATTCCCAGGGTGGAATTCTGGTCTCTGACTCTAGGAATCCTATTTACAAATTTTTGTATTTGCCTGTTCTCACCTGTCTGAGGGCTACCTGAAGGACTGACACAAGATGCTTGTCTCTGTTTTGGCTCACTCAGAAATGATTTGGGGTAGAAAAGCAGTGGGCATTGCCCCAAAACACTGTGTGGCAAACAAATAATCCATAACCTCCTGGGCAAAAGATTACAATTAAGACATGTAATTGAATATTTAAGTTTCCCTGAGAGGGAAAGATAGAGTTTCTTCATGAAATTAAAAGCATTTAAAAGTACCCACGTATACTGCGGAATTTAGAAAGCAACATGTACACCCAGGGCAGGACACATGCACTGAAAAGACTTGAGATTTAAAGGTTTGACTTCTGGCTGATCTGTAGGTTCAGTTCCAGCACAAAATGAAGGCTGAGGCAGAGTTGTAAACAGATCAGTTAAATGTTGAAAGAGTGACCCAGCACAGTCAATTTGCAAAGATGAGGAGAGATCTTTTGTTTGTTTTAAATTTTTCAGTTATGGGCATTCAAGGAAATCTCTATCAAAATACTGGCTGAAAATAAGCTAAAGAAACAGAGCCTTCATTGACCACACATGACAAGAAATACAGTCTTTGAAACAAAATAGTTTGACAAACTCAATGCACAAATAGATTACAGATTATTGCAGCCTTCAATCAATAAATAGCAAACCCTAAAGGAGAAGAATAATTTGATTTCTAGAGTTGCCATATTATTATATAAAATTTCCAGTTTTTAACCAAAAGGTTGCACATAAAAAGAAATAGTTAAATGTGGCCCATTCAAATGAATAAAATAAATGGACAGAAACCATCTCTGAGGAAGTCAAACCACTGGAGCTATTAGAAAGAGATTTAAGTCATCTGTCTTAAAAATGCTGAAAGAGCTAAAGGGAACCATAAACAAAGAACTAATGGAAACCAGAACAATGCTGTATGAACAAATTGAGAATATCAATAAAGGCATAGGAATTACAAAAGGGAACTAAATAGAAATTCTGAAGGTGAAAAGTATAATAATTGAAATGAAAAATTTATTGGGCCAGTCACGGTGGCTCATGCCTGTAATCCCAGCACTTTGGGATGCCAAGGTGGGCAGATCACCTGAGGTCAGGAGTTCGAGACCAGCCTGGCCAATATGGTGAAACCCTCTCTCTACTAAAAATACAACATTATCCAGGCACGGTGGTGTGCACCTGTAGTCCCAGCTACTCGGGAGGCTGGGGCAGGAGAATCACTTGAACCCAGGGGGCAGAGGTTGCAGTGAGCCAAGATTGTGCCATTGCACTCTAGCCTGGGCATTGCAGTGAGACTCCATCTCAAAAAAAAAAAAATTACTGGAGGATTTCTACAGTATATTTGACCAGACATAAGGAAGTCAGTCAACTTGAAGAAGGGACAATTGAGATTATGTAGATTATAAATGGAATGGAAAGAAAAAGAATGAAGAAAAGTGAATAGAACCTAAGGGACTTGTAGAACACCATTAAGCAAACCAACATATGCATTATGGGCATCCAAGAAGAAGAAAAGACAGAGAAAGAAGAGGGCAGCAAGAATATTTGAAGACAGAAGGGCTGGACATATCCCAAATTAGATAAAAGATATGAATCTACAAATCCAAGAAGCACAACACATTCCAAATAAGATATATTTGAAGAGATCCACATTAGACATGGTATATAATTGTTGAATGCCAAAAAAAAAAATCTTGAAAATAGAAGGAGGGAGTGACTTGTCAAATAGAAGAGATCCCCAGTAAGATTACTAGTAGACTTCTAGTTGCTAACCAGAAACCATGAAGGGCAAAAGGCAGGGAGATGACATTTAAAGTCAAATGAAAGAAAAAGACTGTCAACCAAGAATTCTATATTTGGCAAAATTATCTTTCAAAATTCAGGGAGAGATTAAGACATTCCCAGATAAACAAAAGCTGAGGGAGTTTGCCACCAATAGACCTGTCTTATAAGAAATGCTAAAGGAGTGAAATGATAAAACACTAGTCAGTGACTTGAAACCACATGAAGCAATAAATATCTCCAGGAAAGGTAAATACATAGGCAAATATAAAAACCAGCATAATTATATTTTAGGTTTTCAATTCCACTTTTAATTTCTTACATGATTTAACAGACAAGTGCATAGAATAATTATAAATATGTATTAGTGGGCATACAATGTATACAAATCTAATTTGTGATGACAACAACAACATAAATGGGCAGCAGTTGAGCTGTACAGGAGCAGAATTTTTACATGCTATTGAAGTTAAGTTGCTATAAATTAAATTAAAACTAAATTATATATCACTTAGATGTTAATTATATTTTCTATGGTAACAAAAAAATCTAAAGAATATACATAAAAGAAAATGAGAAGGGTATCAAAATGGTTTACTACACAAAATTACAAATAAAAGAAGATAATAATGGGGGAAATGAGAGACAAAAAAGGCATAAAGAAAACAATAGCAAAATGTCAGAAGTAAGTATTTCCTTATTAGTAAGTCCTTCCTTCCCTACATTCAATTACATAAAAGGTAGATGGATTAAACTTTCCATTTCAAAAGGCAGGTATTGACAAAATGGATTAAAAAAATTTGCTGTCTATGAGACAATTCAGATCCAAAGATCCAAAAACACAATGAATTGAAAGTGAAAAGATGGAAAAGCTACTCTATGCAAATAGTAACCAAAAGAAAGTAAGGGTAGCTATATTAATATCAGACAAAATAGACTTTCATCCAAAAACAAAGAGGGACATTATATATTGATAAATAGTCAATTCATCATGAAGTAGCAATTATAAACATACATGTATCAAATTAGAGCCCCAAATTACATGGATAGAAATGAAGGGAGAAAGAGACAGTTCACAATAATAGTTGAAGACTTCAGTATCCCCCTTTAAGTAATGAATGGAATATCTACACAGAAGATCAACAAGAAAGTAGAGGGCTTGAATAACTATAAACCAAGTAGACCTAAGAGACATATATGGAATGCTTTGTCAAACCATAGCAGAATACTCATTCTTCTCAAGTGCACAGAGCATGCTCTTGAACAGACCACAAGTTAGGCCATAAAACCATCCTCAGTAAATTTAAAAATATTGAAGTTGGCCAGGCACGGTGGCTCACACTTGTAATCCCAACACTTTGGGAGTCCAAGGCAGGTGGATCATGAGGTCAGGAGATCGAGACCATCCTGGCCAACATGGTGAAACTCCATCTGTACTAAAAATATACAAATTAGCTGGGCATGGTGGCATGTGCCTGTAGTCCCAGCTACTCAGGGGGCTGAGGCAGGAGAATCACTTGAACCCAGGAGGCCGAGGTTGCAGTGAGCCAAAATCGTACCACTGCACTCCAGCCTGGTGACAGAGTGAGACTCCATCTCAAACAAAACAAAACAAAACAAAACAAAACAAAACAAAACAAAAAAATGAAGTCATACAAAGTATCCTTTCCAAACACAGTAGGATAAAACTAGAAATCAATATCAGAGGCCAAATCTGAAAAATTCACAAATATGTGGAAATTAAGCACGGTCTTAAACAACCAGGGGGTCAAAGAACAAATCATAAGGGAAATTAAAAGATACTTTGAGATGAATAAAAGTGAGACTGTAACATACAAAAACTTGTAGTGCGCAGTAAAGATCAGAGGGAAATATATAATCCTGAACGCATACATTAAAAAAGAAGAAAGATAGAAAATCAATAACCTGACTTTATACTTAAAGGTACTAGAAAAAGAAGAGCAGACTAAACCCAAGGCTAGCCAGAAAAATGATATAGTAAAGATTGGATCCAAACCAAATAAAATAGACAATAGAAACCAACAGAAAGACTTAATGACACCAAGAGTTGGTTCTTTGAAAAGATCAACAAAATTGGCAAACTAATAGCTAGATGTACATGAAAGGAGAAGATACAAATAACTAAAATTAGAAATGAAAATGGGGACTTTACTACTGATCTTGCAGAAATAAAAAGGATTATAAGAGCATACTATGAATAATTGTATGCCAACCAATTAGATGACCTAAGTGAATTGAACAAATTCCTAAAGACATACGAATAATCAAAACTGATTCAAGAAGAAATAGAAAATCTTGAGATACCTATAAACGAGTACAACAATTGAATCAGTAGTAGGAAAATTTTCCACCAAAGAAAAGTCCAGGGTCAGATGGGTTTATCGGTAAATTTTAGCAAGCATTTAAAGAAGAACACCAATCTTTCTCAAACTCCTCTAAAATATGAGAGAGGAAACATTTATTAACTGATTCTATGATGCTAGCATATTTTTTATACCAAACCCAGATAAAAACATCACAAGAAAAGTACAGAACAATGTCCCTTTTGAATAGAAATGCAGATATCCTAAACAAAATACAAGTAAACTGAATCTAACAGCATACTAAAAGGATTATACACCATGATCAAGTGGGATCTATTCCAAAAATGCAAAAGTAGTTCAACATAGTAAAATCAATCAATGAACTATACCACATAATTAGAACAAAGGGGAAAATGCATAATATTGTCACAACTGATGCAGAAAATGCATGTGACACAACTTAATACCCTTCATAATAAAAATTCTCATTAAAGTAGGAATATAAAGAAATTTCCTCAATGATATAAAGAACATCTATGAAACACCCACAGATAACATCACATCAATGGTGAAAGACGGAAAACTTTCCCACTCAAGAACAACACAAGGATGCCCATTTTCACCATTGTTATTCAATATTGTATTGACAATTCTAGGCACAGCAATCAAGCAAGAAAAAAAGATGTCCACACTGGAAAAGGAAAGCTATCTCTATTTTCACAGAGAGGTATTTTCTACATATACATACACATGTATTTTCTACATATACATTCTATATGTAGAAAATACCAAAGAATTCTTAAGAAAGCTACTAGATCTAATAAGTGAATTCAACAAATTTGCAGGGTATAAAATTAACACACAAAAAGCAGTTGTGTTTCTGTATACCCCCAATGAAAAATACAAAAAGGAAATTTAAAAAATCCATTTACAATAGCATCCAAAAGGTAAAATACCTAGGAGTAAATTTAACCAAGTAAGTGAAAGACTTGTACACTGAAAACTACAAAACATTGCTGAAAGAAATTAAAGAGAAGGTCTAAATAAGTGGAAAAGAAATCCATATTCATGGACTGGAAGACAATATTGTTAAGACATCAATTCTATCCAAAGAAAACTACAGATTAAATGCAATCACTATTAAGATTTTAATAACATTTGTGAAGAAATGGAGAAGTTGACCCTCAAATTCGTATGGATTTTCAGTGAGCCCCAAATAGCCAAAGCAATCCTGAAAAAGAAGAGCAAAGTTGGAGAACTCACACATCCCCATTTGAAAAGTGCTACATACAACAGTAACCAAAACAATGTGGTACTTGCATAAGGATAGACTTATCAATCAAGGAAATAGAATTGAGAGCCCAGAAACAAACCATTTGTGGTCAATTGAGTTTTAACAAGGGTGTCAAGACTTTCAATGGGGAAAGAATAGTCTCTTTAACAAGTGGTGCTAGGTCAACTGGCTATGCACATGCAAAAGAATGAAGTTGGACCCCTTCTTCACATCATATACAAAATTAACTCAAAATAGATCAATGGCCTGAATATAAGAACTAAACTCATAAAATTCCTAGAAGGATACATAGGGATATAGCTTCGTGATCTTAGATTTGACAATGGATTTTTAGATATGACACAAAAAGCATGTACAAAAAATAAAAACTAGATAAACTGGGCTTTATATGTATTTAAAAAATGTGCATCAAAGGACATTATCCTTTGATGTGAAAAGACAACCTATGAAATAGGAGAAATATTTGGAAATCATGCATCTGACAGGCATCTGGTATCCAGGATACATAAAGAACTCTTACAACTCAACAACAGAAGACAATTCAATTGAAAAATGGGCAAAAGAGTTTCTGCAAAGGAGATACATAAATGGCCAACAAACACCAGAAAAGATGCTCAATGTCATTAGTCAATAGAGAAATGAAAATCAAAACTACAATGAGTTACCATTTCATACCCATTACAATGGTGATAATTAAAAAATAGAAAATAAAAGTGTTGACAAGGATGTGGAAAAATTAGAACCCTTGTGCTCTGCTGGTGGGGATGTAAAATGATTCAACCTCTGTGGAAAACAGTGTGGTGGTTCTTAAAAAGTTAAACATAGAGTTAATGTATGACCCCACAATTTAACTTCTAAGTATATACCCCAAAGAATTGAAAACAGGTACAGAAACAAGTACCTGTAACATGCATTTTCATAGTAGCATTATTCACATAAGCCAAAAGGGGGAAACCACCCAAGTCCGCCTACCAACAGAAGAATGGACAAACAAATTGTGACATAGTTATACAATGAAATATTATTCAACCACAAAAAGTAATAAAATACAGCTACATGATACAATGTGGATGCACCTTGAAAACATTATGCTAAGGGAAAGAGCCAGACATGATAATTTACAATCCCATTTATATGAAATAGACAAATCCATAGAGACAGAACTCACATTGGTGACTTTCAGAGGCTGAGAGGAGGGGGAAATAAGGAGAAACTGCTTAATGGGTAAGGGGTTTTACCTTGGAGTAATGGAAATGTTTTGGATCTAGAGAGAGGTGGTGGTTGTGCAGTGTGTACTAAATGCCACCTAATTGTTCACTTTAAAATGATTTAACAAAATCCCCTCCCAATCTACTGCTTCCACTTGGAGCCTTCCCTTAGGCTGGGAGTGGACGGTGACCAAGTGTCCCAGAACAGGTGCTGTTCTACCTCTAAGAGAGTCTGTTGTTTTTCTTTAGAGAGCGTGACCAGTGCTGTTCACCTGGGGCCTTGGTGAATGATCCTGTTACTGTGCTCTGTGATCTGTGTTGAGGCTCCCAAGCAGGGGCTCCACTCTCCAGAGGGAGGTGTGTGGCAGAGTGGAGCCTGTGACTATCAGTGAAATGGGATGTGATGTGCTCCTTGGTCTCTCAAACAAATCTTACACTCTTTCAACTAATCGAATAACATAATCCAAGCCAGGGCCAGCACCATAGCCTGATTTTGCAAGATCACATGAAAAATTGGATATTACATGATAATAGGTCTTAGGAGTGTTAAAGGAATAGAGGCTTCAGAGGGCTTCTCCAGCATCCACACATCCCAGTTTCCTGTCTTTTATATATGGGGAAACTGAGGCTCAGGCATATTAAAAATATGCCTGGAATCTACAGAGACAGAAAGAAGATTAGTGGTTGCCTAGGGTTGGGGTGATTGATTGTAAATAGGAAGTGACTGCTTACGGGTACAGGTTTTTCTTTCTTAAAACATTTTTTTTTTTTTTTGAGACAGGGTCTCTCTGTGTTGCCCAGGCTGGAATGCAGTGGTGTGATCACAGCTCACTGCAACCTCTGCCTCCTGGTCTCAAGAGATCCTCTCACCTCAGTCTCCAGAGTAGCTGGGACTACAGGTGCCTATCACCATGCCTGGCTAATTTTTTGTATTTTTTGTAAAGACATAGTTTCGCTATGTTGCTCAGGCTGGTTTCAAACTCCTAGACTCAAGTGATCTGCGCATCTTGACCTCCTAAAGTGCTGGGGTTACAGGCATGAACCACCAAACCAGGCCGAGTTTTCTTTAGGGATGGTGAAACTATTTGAAAATTAATTGTGGTGCTGATCGGACACCTCTATGAATATATTAAATTCTGCATTTTAAATGAGTGAATAGTATGGTACATGAATTATATCTCAATAGAGCCATTATATATTATTTTAAAAAATCTGTTGGGCTCAGACATGGCTAATTAGTGGCAGGGCAGCTTTCCAGCTCTCTTACCACGACAATGACCTTTCTCTGTGGGCCTCAAATGACCCTTTGTTGTAATACCTGTGTCTTTTGCCAAGACTGGCTTGAATAATTGCTTTGATCCTCTCAATCACTTCCTCATGTGACAGCCTCATGAGTCCACCCCTATATGACAAGTCAGACTGTGCATGCTCCACTGGGCTTCATGTTCAAAGTGGCCAAGATCATGCCTAGACCACCTCTATCAGAGTGAAGACAGCTTTGCATTTTGGAAACAATATCTACCCAGGAAGCAAATAATGAAACATTCAATTTTCAAGGCTCTCCCAATGGTAATGGATCCTGTTGGGAAAGCCCTCTGGACATGTGCAGGAGAGGGTCATGTGTGATGAAATGAGAAAGGACACAGCCAATGAGGAGACCACTTCTGAAACTACCTAGACACAAACCAGATTCAGGGGCCATACGTCTCTTCTTGAAGTCACGTTCCCAAGCTCTCTGGGCAATTGGGAAGTACATTGAAGAAGCATCAGTCAATTACTGCTAGCGAAATGTTTTGTATAAACAGCAACTTCAAAGCACATGGAAATCCCATAGGCCCACAGCTTGTTTTTTTTCAAACACAAGGGCCTTGCAGCCATTAGGCTGACCTGTGTTATAAATGGCTCAGGTCCCGGGGTGAGGCTGCCCTTCTATCTGAGGTCCCTCTGATTGCGGTTTTCACCTCCAGAGCTGGGTCCACACAGCACAAAGCCAGATGGAAACTCGGCAACTGCACTGACTCGGTGAGAGAATCCACTCAGGAAGAGGCCAGTGTGCATCATGCAGGCCCCTGCTTGCTTTCCAGGAGGAATCTGCACAAAGAAACTAGAGAGCTCTCACATGCGCCAGCATTGCCTGGGATGTTTTTCATCATGAGGGATCTGGTCGGTCTACTTGCAAGGATGTCACCTTCCAGCAGAGAGGAGCCATACCGGGTGTAAGATGATTTTCCTCAAAATAGCTTCTTCTTTGTACCTACCTCCAACACACTTCCTTCTCTGTCTGCCATCAGTTCTGGGGCAGGCGGCTGTGCTCTTCTGACCTGAGTTCAGTGGTCTGTTGCTTATTTTATCTCCCCAAACAAAACAAATTTCTCTCCATTTTATCCTATTTCCTACCAGATAGGATCTTTTGTTTTCACTCACTGCCTCGTCAGCTTCCAAGAATTTTTTCTACTTGAGAACTGTCGAGACACTCCGGGTTCAGTGGTCTGTGGCCAGGCTCCGGCCCAAGGTCGAGGATTCCCTCCTTTTCCTTCCCAGTATTGTCCAGTATCCTGCAGGGCTCCTGTCTCCAGCCACGAGGGCGGGGCAACGCCGCCCGCCATGGGCACCCTCCTGCTGCTGTGGGCGCCACGGCAACCTTGCCAGCATCACCACCATGACCTTGCTAGTGTCACCACCATAACCTTGCCAGCGTCACCACCATCGGGCACATGCCCTGACTCCTTGTGGAGGATGAACATGAAGCCTGGGCAAGAGCAGGTCCCTTTTGATCCCCAGCTCTCTGCCTCATTCTGTTGTGAATGGTTGCAGTCTCAGAGGTGATAGCACCCTCTCCGTGTTCAGCAGCACCTTAGCCCCCACTTCTGGCTTTGCCTAGACAGCATGTGTCTCGTAGGATACCCAAGAATCCTTGCTTAGGAACACTGCAGCCTCGCTCCAGTGCCTTTTCAAATAAAAAGAGGCTTTCTCCCTTGCAATCCTTCCTCCAGACTGGGTTTTGTCCTAAACATAGACTTAATCACGTTGCTTTGATTAAAAATCTTCCATGACTTCCATTACCCATAGGACAAAGTCCAGATATCCCAGGGTAGCCTATCTGCCCCTCCACAAGCTATTCCCAGTACCCCTCCTGCCTTCAGCCCTACTCACCCTGCCCTCGGTGTGTCCAGCAGAGCTCCTCCGGCCCCATGAGGGGCTCCAGTCTCCTCTGTGAGACCTCTCCCAATTTCCCAGAAAATTATCATTTTCATTAACGATGATGAGACGACATTCCTCATAGTGCCCTCTGGACCATCGTGTCTCCCCTATTTCCCCCTTTAGGTTGTGAGCTCCTGGACTCCGGCCCAGCATGGGGTTGAGCACATAGGAGGTTTTTGAGAAATATTTGTTGGCCAGTGATCTGTGAGATAAGAATGCAAAGGCTTTCAGTTTCATTCAATGAGCATTCTTTGAACACTGGCAGGAGGCAGGGGTGATATAAAGATGGATGAGAGATGAATGAGTGAGGAACAAAGTATATCATGTGTGAGTCATGACCTGAGTTTCACTGAGGTGCAGCAGAGCCCAGAGGAGGCTGTCAGCAGCATCCCAGGAGGATGTTGCAAAACTGATTCCTGTTTATGGACGTGGAGGGTGAAGGAGGTGTTCATGGGGCATCACCCAGGGTGTAGTCTGATATTAACTTGCATGTAAGTAGGCAACCTCTTCTTTTAAACATCAAAAATCACTTAAAAGGATTATCTCTGTCATTTCTATTATAGGGGAATTACTTTGCTCAGATAATGAAATTGCTTGTTTCTTAAGAGTTTAACTCAATTGTGCTGAGAGAATGGGGCAATGGGGTGATTTGGGAGATGAAGGCATTGTATAGGAAGGAAGCCCGAGACACCTCTCCCCACAAATCTTCTCCTCAGGGACACAGCGATAGGTACGGACTTGGATTATTAAAAGTATGTGTTTCTCCAAGTGTATAGAACACCAGTCTCTGCAGAGGGGTTCTGGGTATTTGGTGGGAAAAAGCACTGAGGCCAAACACATTGGACATGTTAGGCAGGCTTCCTTCTTGTAGAACCTCCACCAAGGCTATGGCGTATGCCCCCCATTCCAATCACATTTGAGCAAAGGGCCCCGTTTTTCCTCATAAACACACATTTTGGAAACGTTGTTGTGCTAAAAAGGAAAGAGCTTTCACAGCCAGAAGATAAGAGTAGACTCTTTCCAATTGCAGCACCCTCTGAGCCTAGTTCTCTCTACTGAAAAATGAGGCAAAATGCCCAGATGCCCTCACAGGCTGTGCCACCGTGTGTGTGACCGTGTGTGTGGCCATTCTGCAAAGGTGATATTTTATTCATGTGTGATTGCTGTACTCACACTTGGATAACAAGCCCCTGTGTTCAGACAATTTATTTACTGCCTCCTTCGTCTTTAGAAGAGCACTGGGTTGTCAACGAACCTCAACTATCACAGCCAGCAGAGTGAATGGGCATTACTAGAGAGGCTAGGGAGAAAAAGAGTGTGAAGTGATCGTTTTGGGTCTTGGCATCATGACTGTCTTTGCTTAGGAGACAGCCAAGCGTGGGACATGTGATCTGGTGATGTGGCGGATCTGATTCTGCATCCAGCCAGCCAGTGCTGAGCTCAGGCCCTGCCGCCAGTGGTGAAGCTCTTGCAGTGAAGGACATGCACGGTCTCCAGCCTCCTTGGGTTGCTGTCCAGTGTGGCAGACAGACTTATCAAATCAGCAAAACCAGGGACTGGCACATGTTTTCTGTGGAGGGCCAAGCAGTAGAGACTTGAGACTTGGTGGGCTTCCTGGTCCCTGTTGTAACCGCCCAGCTCTGCGTTGCATGGGGGTGCAAAAGCATCTGTACCACATGTAAGTGCAGGAGAGGCTGAGCTCCAACAAAATTTTATTTTCAGAAAGGGATGGAGGGTGGCTTTAGACTGCAGGCTGTAGTTTGTTGACCCATGATCAAAACAATAAATATACAATGGAAGAAGAGATGTGTGGTATATTCAGAGCATATGAAGGGGAATTTAATAAATCTGACTTGAGATTTGAAAGATGAGAAGAAATTCAGTAAAGCAGGGAGAACAGGGCGCTGTAGGTAGACGGGGGTGCTGGAGCGTGGTCTGAGATGGAGCCAGGAGGAGGAGGAGGGACCTGCCCTGCTGGTCGGAGTCTGCTCTGAGACCCAGGGACCGTGCGTTCTGCAGGGAAGCTGGCGCATGCCCTTAGGTTCTGCAGCTGTGTGGGCTGCGCTGCCTTCGGGGGCACGTGACGCCACGTGGGAAGTGCTGTGAGGCTGGTGCGGAGAGCAAACCTCCTGCAACTCTTAGCGAGTAAATGGGCACATCCACACTGGAGTTGAACACAGGGGCGCCGGCCACGGGTTCAGGCTAGCCCGGGCGTCTGGCTTCCCTGCCAGGATGGCTGCCTCGTTACTGAGATGGAACACACAACACAGCCGCGTGGGCAGTGGGAGGCTGCGAGGTTAGCCTGGCAAAGCTGTGTCCAAGGAGGCAAAGATTGGTCCGCAGCTCAGAGGAGAAGCCTGAGTGGAAACTATAAATCTGAGTCATTTTGAAGCCTTGGGAATGGATCTGTACTCAAAGAAGGTATGGAGCCATGCTCAGCAAATGCTGCCTGCTTTTGTCAATAAAGTTTTATTGGAACTCTCCTTTGCTTGCACGATGGCTGTCTGAGGCTGCCATTGTGGGCAGCTGCAAGAAGGCCCTTTAAGATTGGCCATCTGACCCCCATAGACAAGGCGTGCTGACCCTTGGCACACCAGAGTGGGGAAAGAAAGGCGACTCCAGGCCAATCCTAGAAGTGCCCCAAGTTTAATGTGCGAGGGGAGGATCCTGAGCTTCCAGGGGCCCTGCCTGGGAGTGACTGGCAAGAAGGTCTGCTTTGGACATAAAAGGCAAGAGAGTTGAGCATTTTAAGGAAGGTGTGGTCACAGTGTCAGAGCTGTGGGGAGGTCCAAGAGAGGTGAGGACAGAACAGCCATCCGTTAAGTCCAGTGCAGAGGCCAATGGGGCCCTAAGGTCATGAGAGTCTGTGCCCCTGGCTTCTACTCAAACAGTGGGATGTTTCATTAGAGGGACGGGCAGAAGCCAGGGGCACTGATCCTCATGACCTCATGACCCACAGGCCCCACATCCTAGAACCATCACACTGCAGGGTAGGATTTCAACACATAAATTTTGGGGGGACATATTCAGTCCATGAAACTTCATTCCTAGTCCCCCAATCTTCATGTTCTCAAGTGCAAAATACATTAATTCCATCCCACAACCTCAAACATCCTAACTCATTCCAGCATTGACTTTGAAGTTTAAATCCAAAGTCTCATCTAAATATCAGACATGGGTGAGATTACAGGTACGATGGCTCCTGAGGCTGATTTCCCTCCAGCTGGGAGCCCATGAAACCAGACAAATTATGTGCTTCCAATGTGCAATGGCGGGATAGGCCTAGGACAGACAATCCCATTCCAAAAGGAAGAAATAGGGAAGAAAGAGGGGTGAAGGGTCCCAAGCAAGTCCAAAACCAGGCAAGGCTTGAGAATAATCCGTTTTGGCTCCATGCTCTGCCCTCCACACCCCCTGCAGGTTGGGGGGAGGTTCACACCTTCTGGACCCATTGGGGTAGCAATATCACCTCCATAAGGGTTGAAGGAAAATAGAAAGGAGAGAACTAGAGGACACAGAATGGAAAGGACTGAGCAACATAGCCAGTGGCAAAAGAAGTACTGCAAACATGATGCAAAGGAAAAGTTTTGCCTTGACTCTCTATAAGCCCCACCATAGCTCCAAGGTTCTCAGTGAAATCTGTCACTGCCATGTGTGTATGTGTGTATGTGTGCATGTGTGTATGAATCAAGGAAATATTTGACCAGTGTATTAAGTAGAGAAGAAGAATTCAGGGCAGGCAGGAAGGAGACAGAACGACCTTGAGAAGTTCCAGGGGATGTATTTTCAGAAAGTCTTGGGAGACCACTGGCTTCCTTCCAGAGGACATAGGATAGAGGTAGGACACAATATTACCTAGATCGTAAGGCGTGGAGAGGCCCAGCGAACATCTGGACTGCCATAGCTGAGATGTGGGGGCCTAACGATGTTTTCGTACTTTTTAATTGTTATTGCTGTCTCCCCTGTCTTGGGTGCAGGCTTCCTTATGATGGAAACCTGGTCTGGGTTGCTCACCACTGAACCTCCTCACACCTGGAGCCGTGCCTAGCACAAGGAGCTTACGTATCCTCAGAAGAGAAGAAACAGAGACGATTGCTGTCTTCATTTTAGAGACAAAGAACCCGAGGCGTAGAGAGCCAGGTGAGTAAGTGAAGGATCCAGACTCCTACTTGATAATTTTTTTTGCTTCTAATCCTCATGCTGTGTGGCCCAGGTGGGTCCCACTGTCTTGGGCATCTCCATTGTGTGGCTGTGTCCCCTGCCCTGCAAGGCCCCCTTTTATGTTCTGTGCAGGCCCTCTGACCTCCTGTTTTATGGTGGCTCTGACTCTAGTGTCTAGCTGAGGAGACTTTACCACTTCTGGAACGCACCCCTCATCCTCTTCACTGACCCTGTCTTCATCCTCGCTTAAGTTCTCACTCATCCTATGGTTTTAGGTGTACACTCAGTTATGTGGGCATGGTTGACACGACATGAACTGAAATGTCACCCCAGTATGGCTAGCTCTAATCCCTGCCTCTACTCTTGATTCTTATTAGAAAATTGCTTTTGACATACATGTTTAAAAGGTGGCATGAATGGCCAAGTGTGAATGGGTGTAGTGGGAGTTTGGGGCAGAGCCCCTCATCTCAGAGTGTTGCCCTTTTGTGGGAATCACAGTCATCAGCAGTAGCCTGTGTAGGAGAGTGACAAGAAGAAAGGCCTTGCCTAAGGATTACTTGGAATATAAAAGGTGCTATTATTTACCTTGTTTATGGAGTTGGTTAAAAATCCTCAATGGCTCTACTCTTTAGAAGCCAAAGTCTAAATTCTAATCTGGTTTGCAAGCTCAGCTTTCCATCAGGCTTACCCCCAACCCAGCTTCCTCCTTGTGGGATCGCTGGTGGGAGTTATTGTGTGCTGCTGGTGGCTGTGCAGAGGGACCTGGTCCATTAACCAAATCAAATGCAAGACCACCTGGGACTCAGCAGTGGGCTCTGTGGACATCCTCAGGCAGGTCCTGGAGGTGATGTGTGTGAGGATGTTCATCACGGTGTTCTGTTGGGGATGTGGACTTGGGGCATCCTGGATGCTGGTCTCTGAGGCCTGGATGAGTGGAAAATGGTGTGCTCAGACCATGGAAAATGTGTCCTGTGAAGGACTCGGTGTGCACATAGAGACTGGGACAGTCTTAAAAACATAGCACTTGGCTAAAAAAAATAGGCAACAAACAAGATGAAATACACAATCATTTACATCAATCAAAAATACATGCACACAAGATCATAAAACACACTTTGTAAGAACGCATTCAAATAAGAAGAAATGCATCATAAAGACACTGCCTTTGAAGGGGAAGGGAATGAGAGTGGTATATGGGACACAATGGAATTTAAAAATCTCAGCAAAAGGGTCCTTGCATCAGCCGTTGATGACAATGCGCTGAGAACTAAGGAGTATGAGGAACTCCCTCATCCACAGCGGATGTTTAAAAATCCAGCAGGGCTTTTCTCTTCAAAAGTCTAATCCTTATAACAAGTAGTGGAGAGGATGTGGAGAAATTGGAAACCCTGCACACGGTGCAAATGTAAAATGGCATAGCTGCTGTAGAAAAGAGTAGGGAGGTTCCTTAGAAATTAAAAATAGAATTAGCCTGTGATCCAGCAAGTCCATTTCTGATATGGACCCAAAAGAAATGAAAGCAGGATCTCAAAGAGGTATGTGCGCACCCATGTGCATAGCATCACTACTCATGATAGCCAGAAGGTGGAAACAGCCTACATGTCCATCGACAGATGAATGGATGAAGAAAATGCGGCATGTACATACAGGGGAATATGGCTCAGCCTTGAAAAGGAAGGAAATGCTGACGCGTGCTACAACTTGGATGAACTGTGAGGACATATGCTAAGTGAAATAAGCCAGTCATAAGGACAAATACTGCATAATTCCACTTCCAGGAGGTACCAAGAATAGCCAAACTCATAGAGGCAGAAAGTAGAATGGTGGGTGCCCAGGGCAGAGAAGAAAGGGAAAGGGGAGTTATTGTTTAATGGATACAGAGTTTCAGTTTTGCAAAATGAAATGAGCTCTGGAGATGGCTGGTGGTGATGGTGGCCCAACGCTTTGCATATGCTTGGCACTACTGGACTGCACACTTAACAATGGTTAAGAGGGTAAGTTGTATGTTATGTATATTTTACCACAACGGAAAAATGAGGCAAAGATGGCATCCTTGATAGGCATAGTGGTCTGGAGAATGGTCTGTGGTCCCGTGCCCACTTGCTCTGCAGACCTGATCCTCTCCATAGCACCCTCCTCTCTCCAACTCCCACCTGCTCCCCATCCCAGGCTGGGGACAGTGACCCTGTTCCTCTCTAGGTGTCTGCACATGCTGTTCCCTTGCCAAAAGATACTCGTTCTGCTCTCATTGCTTGAGTAGCTCAGCTGTCTCAATTCTACTTCCATGGTCTGGCTTGCCTTGATTCCCAAGCATGATTAGCTTTCTCTCCTCAGCTCTCATAATAGCCTCTGTCCCCACAGAGCGTGCAGATGGCCCCCTTCCCCTCCCTCGCCTCGGGGTAATGGGACCCTCCACAGGCCTCAGCCATGTGTGCTGGCACCCATGGACGTCGACAGGCATCCTCTGTTGAGGGATGTCTTATTTTCTAAGGAAGCCCAAACAGTTAGCTGCTCAGGATAGTAATAATCTTGCTTTCCGATAAATTTCAGAAGTAAGAACATAATTTTGATGATTTTGTTTTAACTGGGAATTCTTTTCGAAACCTGCCTCCCTGGCTGGCTGGCTCCTCTGTGTTTGCACACGTGCCTCTGTGCGGGTGGCACCTGCCCTATTTGTGCTCTTCGTTGTTTGCTACTGGGATCAGTGGCTTACGACGAACAGCCCATGG